>NC_000013.11:58408106-60908106 GCF_000001405.40 Homo sapiens | reverse complement strand
ATTTTTCTCTTGGCAATTTTGAAATATGCAATACATCATTAACTATAGTCATCATGCTATGCAGTTGATCTCAAAAGACTTATTCCTCCTACCTAACTGAAACTCTGTACCTTTTGACCAACATTTCCCCACTTCTTTGGATTCCACGTATTAGTGAGAGCATGCAGTATTGGTTTATCAGTGCTTGGCTTATTTTACTTAGCATAATGTCTTCCAAGTTCATCCATATTGTCATAAATTACAAAATTTCCTTCTTTTTAAAGGCTGAGTAGAATCCCATTGTGTAGATATTTAATGGCTCAATTTTGAATCACCTTGGAAGAAGCAAGGAAAATTCACATTCCAACCAACAACCCACTGGCTAATAAATCAGGCCCTTAAAACTATTTGGCATGCCCTTTATTCTTCCGGGTTAAGTAAGACAACTATATTTCTGAAAATATATCAAAGTAATATATCTGAAATCTTTGAAAACTATCAAAATAACTGAAGCTATGACACTTGAAAGATATTCAAACAGAGAACTTATGCAGAAGTGATTAGATCCCAGAAATGGTTTGACTATAAATGAAGTAATTAGTTAAGTGATAACTGTGTGTGTCCTTTGCCTTCTGCTTAAGGTACATGAATCAGTCATAATAATTTCATTAGCTTAATTTTTTAATGAAACTGAAAATATGTAATCCATTTTTAAAAGCTAAACATAGTTTTAAATGTTTTATTACATTTGTGTGGTTAATATACTGAGCATTAAACAAATAACAAATAATTATGGATATTCCTTTCCATGTACAAAAGCCTCTCAGACATAAAACTAAAACCTTTTTGTCAGGATGTGAAGTGTGCACATTAGCATCTATTTTCACATTAGCAGAGATCATATTCTTGGTAAGAGCAGAGAGGAAAATTCTCAGAAATGCAATTCTTAGAAAAGTTTTAATGAGAAGCGAGAGTTAAGAGCCAGAAGTATTATCCAAAGAGGGCAGAAATGAATAGAACAAAGCCACATAAATACTGTTTTCATCATTGTTTTGATAGACAACCGTGTTTGTGATTTTTTCTTTTTTTATTATACTTAAGTTCTGGGATACATGTGCAGAACGTGCAGGTTTGTTACATAGGTATACACATGCCATGGTGGTTTGCTGCACCCATCAACCTGTCATCTACATTAGATACTTCTCCTAATATTTTCCCTCCCCTTGCCCCCTACCCCCCAACAGGCCCCATTGTGTGATGTTACCCATATGTTCTCATTGTTCAGTTCCCACTTTTGAGTGAGAACATGCAGTGTTTTGTTTTCTGATCCTGTTAGTTTGCTGAGAATGATGGTTTCCAGCTTCATCCAGGTCCCTGCAAAGGACATGAACTCATTATTTTTATGGCTGCATACTATTCCATGCTGTATATATGCCACATTTTCTTTAACCAGTCTATCCTTGATGGGCATTTGGGTTGGTTCCAAGTCTTTGCTATTGTGAATAGTGCTGCAATAAACATACATGTGCACGTGTCTTTATAGTAGAATGATTTATAATCCTTTGGGTATATACCCAGTAATGGAATAACTGGGTCAAATGGTATTCCTAGTTCTAGATCCTTGAGGAATCGCCACACTGTCTTCCACAATGGCTGAACTAATTTACACTCCCACCAACAGTGTAAAAGTGTTCCTATTTCTCCACATCCCCTCCAGCACCTGTTGTTTCCTGACTTTTTAATGATTGCCATTCTAACTGGTGTGAGATGGTATCTCATCGTGGTTTTGATTTGCATTTCTCTAACGACCAGTGATGATGAGCTTTTTTTCATATGTTTGTTGGCTGCATGTTTTCTTTGGAAAAGTGTCTGTTCATATCCTTCATCCAGTTTTGTTGGGATTGTTTATTTCTTGTAATTTGTTTAAGTTCTTTGCAGATTCTGGATATTAGCCCTTTGTCAGATGGATAGATTGCAAAAACTCTCCCATTCTGTAGGTTGCCTGTTCACTCTGATGACAGTTTCTACTGCTGTGCAGAAGCTCTTTAGTTTAAATATGTCCTATTTGTCAATTTTGACTTTTGTTGCCATTGCTTTTTGTGTTTTAGTCATGAAGTCTTTGCCCATGCCTATGTCCTCAATGGTATTGCCTAGGTTTTCTTCTAGGGTTTTTATGGTTTTATGTCTTACCTTTAAATATTTAATCCCTCTTAATTTTTGTATAAAGTGTAAGGAAGGAATCCAGTTGCAACTTTCTGCATATGGCTAGCCAGTTTTCCCATCACCATTTATTAAATAGGGAATCCTCTCCCCTCTGCTTTTGTCAGGTTTATCAAAGATCCGATGGTTGTAGATGTGTGGTGATATTCCTGAGGCCTCTGTTCTGTTCCATTGGTCTATATATCTGTTTTGGTACCAGTATCAAGCTGTTTTGGTTACTGTAGCCTTGTAGTATAGTTTGAATTCAGGTAGTGTGATGCCTCCAGCTTTGTTCTTTTTGCTTAGGATTGTCTTGGCTATACATTCTTTTTTGGTTCCATATGTAATTTAAAGTAGTTTTTTTTCTAATTCTATGAAGAAAGTCAATGGTGGCTTGATGGGAATAGTATTGAATCTATAAATTACTTTGGGCATTATGGCCATTTTCACAATATTGATTCTTCCTACCCATGAGGATGGAGAGTTTTTCCATTTGTTTGCATCCTCTCGTATTTCCTTGAGCAGCAGTTTGCAGTTCTCCTTGAAGAGGTCCTTCACATCCCTTGTAAGTTGTATTCCTAGGTATTATATTCTCTTTGTTGCAGTTGTGAATGGGAGTTTACTCATTATGTGATTGTTTGTCTATTATTGGTGAAAAGGAATGCTTATGATTTTTGCACATTGATTTTGTATAGTGAGACTTTGCTAAAGTTGTTTATCAGATTAAGGTGATTTGGGGATGAGACAGTGGTGTTTTCTAAATACACAATTATGTCATCTGCAAACATAGACAATTTGACTTCCTCTCTTCCTATTTGAATACACTTTCTTTCTTTTGTTTCATTGCCCTGCCCAGAACTTCCAATACTATGTTGAATAGGAGTGGTGAGAGAGGGCATCCTTGTCTTGTGCTGGTTTTCAAAGGGAATGCTTCCAGCTTTTGCCCAATCAGTATGATATTGGCTGGGGGCTTATCACAAGTAACTCTTATTATTTTGAGGTACATTCCACCAACACCTAGTTTACTGAGAGTTTTCAGCAGGAAGGGGTGTTGAATTTTATTGAAGACCTTTTCTGCATCTATCGAGATAATCATGTGGTTTTTGTCATTGGTTCTGTTTATGTTATGGATTACATTTATTGATCTGCATATGATGAACCAGCCTTGCACCCCAGAGATGAGGCCAACTTGATTGTGATGGATAAGCTTTTTGATGTGCTGCTGGATTCAGTTTGCCACTATTTTATTGAGGATTTTTACATTGATGTTCATCAAGGATATTGGCCTGAAATTTTCTTTTTTTGTTGTGTCTCTGCCAGGCTTAGGTATCAGGATGATGCTGGCCTCATAAAATGAGTTAGGGAGGAGTCCCTCTTTTTCTATTGTTTGGAATAGTTTCAGAAAGAATGGTACCAACTCCTCTTTGTACCTCTGATAGAATTCGGCTGTGAATCCATCTGGTCCTGGGCTTTTTTTGGTTCGTAAGCTATTAATTACTGCCTCAACATCAGAACTTGTTATTGGTCTATTCAGGGATTCGACTTCTTCCTGGTTTAGTCTTGGGAGGGTGTATGTGTCCAGGAATTTATCCATTTCTTCTAGATTTTCTAGCTTATTTGCATAGAGGTGTTTATAGTCTTCTCTGATGGTAGTTTGTATTTCTGTGGATGGAAATTCTTCCTGATGGAAGAATTTCATGGCACTGAATGTTTCCAAGAAAATTTGAGACAGATTTCTGGATATTTTGCCCACTGCTTGAGGATCTACCTTAGTGTTTGTCTTTCTTCCATTGTTACTGAGTTTCTTGTAAAATAAAAAACCACTCTTACTAGAGGTGATTAATTGATATAGGCATATGCATATTCCTTGCTCCTTAACGTGTCACGGGTCTGTCATATGGTAAAGCAGAAGCTGTGTGTACTAGAAACTTTACATATTACTGTTTTGTGAAGTTAAATGAAAAAAAACCCTGATTACGTCTATTTTCTAACTGTTAAAAAATTTTTTTTTCTTGGTTTACTTGGCTAATTTGGGGTACAGACCTCCACTGTTATTCCACACTCTCTCTTTGCTTTCACTATGCCAGGATGGGAGGCAGAGGGAGCAAAAGTAGTCAGTACAAAGTCTTAGACAACTGCTTGAGGATCTTCCTTAGTGTTTATCTTTACAGACATTACAAAGAAATCACTCTTCAGGCAATTCCTGCAGACGGCTGGTGAATCCACATAATGGGTTTCCAAATCTCTCCAATGAGGAGGACATGAAAGCAGAAACACTGGGAATAAGTGGTGATACGCCTTTATCATTTTTTATTTTGTCTATTTGATTCTTCTCTCTTTTCTTATTATTCTGGCTAGCAGTCTATCTATTTTGTTAATCTTTTCAAAAAACCGTCTCCTGGATTCATTGATTTTTTTGAAGGGGTTTTGTGTCTCTGTCTCCTTCAGTTCTGCTCTGATCTTAATTATTTCTTGCCGCCTGCTAGCTTTTGAATTTCTTTGCTCTTGCTTCTCTAGTTCTTTAAATTTTGATGTTAGGGTGTTGATTTTAGATCTTTCTTGCGTTCTCCTGTGGGCATTTAGTGCTATAAATTTCCCTCTAAACACTGTTTTAGCTTTGTCCCACAGATTCTGGTATGTTGTGTCTTTGTTCTCATTGGTTTCAAAGAACTTATTTATTTCTGCCTTAATGTCATTATGTAGCCAGTAGTCGTTCAGGAGCAGGTTGTTCAGTTTCCATGGAGTTGTGCAACTTTGAGTGAGTTTCTTAATCCTGAGTTCTAATTTGATTACACTGTGGTCTGAGAGACTGTTTATTATGATTTCTGTTCTTTCACATTTACTGAGGAGCGTTTTACTTCCAATTATGTGGTCAATTTTAGAATAAGTGCAATGTGGTGCTGAAAAGAATGTATATTCTGTTGATTTGGGATGGAGAGTTCTGTAGATGTCTATTAGATCCACCTGGTCCAGAGCTGAGTTCAAGTCCTGAATATCCTTGTTAATTTTCTGTCTCATTGATCTAATATTGACAGTGGGGTGTTGAAGTCTCCCACTATTATTGTGTGAGAGTCTAAGTCTCTTTGTAGGTCTCTAAGAACTTGCTTTATGAATCAGAGTGCTCCTGTAGTGGATACATATATATTTAGGATAGTTAGCTCTTCTTGTTGCATTGATCCTTTTACCATTATGTAATGCTGTTGTCTTTTTTTATCTTTGTTGGCTTAAAGTCTGTTTTATCAGAGACTAGGATTGCAACCCCTACTTTTTTGCTTTCCATTTGCTTGTTAGATCTTCCTCCATCCCTTTATTTTGAGCCTGTGTGTGTCTTTGCACATGAGATGGATCTCCTGAATACAGAACACTGACAGGTCTTGACTCTTTATCCAATTTGCCAGTCTGTGTCTTTTAACTGGGGCATTTAGCCTGTTTACATTTAAGGTTAATATTGTTATGTGTGAATTTGGTCCTGCCATTATGATGCCAGCTGGTTATTTTACCCATTAGTTGATGCAGCTTCTTCATAGTGTCAATGTTCTTTACAATTTGGTATGTTTTTGTAGTGGCTGGTACTGGTTTTTCATTTCCATATTCAGTGCTTCCTTCAGGAGCTCTTGTAAGGCAGGCCTGTTGGTGACAGCATCCCTCAGCATTTGCTTGTCTGTAGAGGATTTTATTTATCCTTCACTTATGAAGCTTAGTTTGGCTGGATATGAAATTCTGGGTTGAAAATTCTTTTGTTTAAGAATGCTGAATTTTGGCCCCCACTCTTTTCTGGCTTGCAGGGTTTCTACAGAGAGATCTGCTGTTAGTCTGATGGGCTTCCCTTTGTGGATAACCCAGTCTTTCTCTGTGGCTGCCTTTAACATTTTTCCTTCATTTCAACCTTGGTGAATCTGATGATTATGTGTCTTGGGGTTGTTCTTCTCAAGCAATATCTTTGTGGCATTCTCTGTATTTCCTGAATTTGAATGTTGGCCTGTCTTGCTAGGTTGGGGAAGTTCTCCTGGATAATATCCTGAAGTGTGTTTTCAAACTTGGTTCCATCCTCCCCTTCACTTTCAGGTACACCAATCAAATGTAGCTTTGGTCTCTTCACATAGTCTCATATTTCTTGGAGGCTTTGTGCATTCCTTTTCATTCTTTTTTCTCTAATCTTATCTTCAAGCTTTATTTCATTAAGTTGATATTCAACCTCTAATATCCTTTCTTTTGCTTGATCAGTTCAGCTATTGATACTTGTGTATGCTTCACGAAGTTCTTGTGCTGTGTTTTTCAGCTCCATCAGGTCATTTATGTTCTTCTCTAAACTGGTTACTCTAGTTAGCAGTTCCTGTAACCTTTTCTCAAGGTTCTTAACTTCCTTGCACTGGGTTAGAACATGCTCCTTTAGCTCGGAGGAGTTTGTTATTCTGAAGCCTACTTCTGTCAGTTTGTCAAACTCATTCTCCATCCAGTTTTGTTCTCATGCTGGTGAGGAGTTGTGATCCTTTGGAGGCGAAGAGGCATTTTGTTTTTTTTTTTCCAGCAGTTTTGCTCTATTTTTTCCTCATCTTTGTGGATTTGTCTACCTTTGATCTTTGATATTGGTGACCTTCAGATAGGGTTTTTTCATATGCGTCCTTTCTGTTGATGTTGATGTTATTGCCTTCTGTTTGTTAGTTTTCCTTCTAACAGTTAGGCCCCTCTTCTGCAGGTCTGCTGGAATTTGCTGGAGGTCCACTCCAGACCCTGTTTTCCTGGGTATCACCAGCAGAGGCTGAAGAGCAGCAAATATTGCTGCCTGCTCCTTCCACTTGAAGCTTTGTCCCAGAGAACCACCCGCCTGATGCCACCAGGAGCTCTCCTGTATGAGGTATCTGTCGACCCCTGCTGGGAAGTGTCTCCCAGTCAGGAGGCATGGGGGTCAGGGACCCACGTGAGGAGGCAGTCTGTCTCTTATCAGAGCTTGAGCGCTGTGCTGGGAGATTCACTGCTCTCTTCAGAGCTGGCAGGCATGAACATTTACGTCTGCTGAAGCTGTGCCCACAGCTGCCCCTTCTACCAGGTGCTCTGTCCCAGGGAGATGGGAGTTTTATCTGTAAGTCCCTGAATGGAGGTGCTGCCTTTCTTTCAGAGATGCCCTGCCCAGAGAGGAGGAATCTAGAGAGGCAGTCTGGCTACAGTGGGTTTGTGGCTCTATGGTGGGCTCTGCCCAGTCCGAACTTCTCAGCAGCTTTGTTTACACTGTGAGGGGAAAATTGCCTACTGAAACCTCAGTAATGGCAGACGCCCCTCACCCTACCAGGCTCAAGCGTCCCAGATTGACTTCAGACTGCTGTGCTGGCAGCAAGAATTTTAAGCCAGTGAATCTTAGTTTGCTGGGCTCCACGGAGGTGGGATCTGCTGAGCTAGACCACTGGGCTCCCTGGATTCAGCGCCCTTTCCAAGGGTGTGAACGGTTCTGTCTCGCTGGTGTTCCAGGCGCCACTGGGGTATGAAAAAAAAAAAGTCCTGCAGCTAGCTGGGTGTCTGCCCAAATGGCCGCCCAGCTTTGTGCTTGAAACTCAGGGCCCTGGTGGCATAGGCACACGAGGTAATCCTGGTCTGCAGGTTGCGAAGACAGTGGGAAAAGTGTAGTATCTGGGTCGGAATGCTCCATGCCTCACAGCACCGTCCCTTATTGCTTCCCTTGGCTAGGGGAGGGAGTTCTCCCACCCCTTGTGCTTCGCAGGTGAGGCAAAGCCCCACCCTTCCTCTGCTCGCCCTCCGTGGGCTGCACCCACTGTCTAACCAGTCCCATTGAGATGAGCCAGGTACCTCAGTTGGAAATGCAGAAATCATCCGCCTTCTGCATTGGTCTCTCTGGGAGCTGCAGACCAGAGCTGTTCCTCTTCAGCCATCTTTCCCGGGAATCCCCATGTCTGTGATTTCTGACCTGCCATTTGACTTTCCTACATCCCAGCACCCCTTCAAATGTTATCTGGGCAGGATAACTTTATAGCAAAAGTTGTTCATTTGGAATCCAAAAATATTTATATTTTAATCCCCCTCCCATTATTAACTATGTGTTCTGGCCACATTAGTTAATAACCCTAAGTCTCTATATTTTTATCATTAGTATAGGCATATTAAAAGTTCACTTAAAAGTGAATAAGGGTTAAATAAGGATTAAATATATAAAGGTATATGCTACAGTAATTGATTAGTAAATATTACCTGTTTCTATTACATAAGAATGAGGTGAAAATAGACATAAATAATAAATCTAATCCTCAATGGCAACAGATTTTTGACTTTTGGGGATGGTGGTGGCCATGAAAACATGCCTTTCAGATCTCCCATGATGAGGAGTATAATTAACCCACAGCCTCAGCTGCTGTGCTCTGAAATCCATCACCACTTTTGCACTGGGGTCCCATTTCCCAGCAATGCTCCCAGACAGTGATGGAACAAGGAAAGGATACTAAAGTGGGGGACTCCTCTAACAGAAGCTTTGGCTTGTAGACTCCCCATCAGGGAGTCCTGCACCCAACCTTCCTTCTTCACTTCTCTCATTCACGAGGGTCAAATCTGCATCATAATCTAATGGTTCTCCCAGCTTCTCCCAGCTTGTTCCCCATTTTCCCTCACAAGCATTGCCCCTAGGAAATCTTATGCATGTCTAATCCTGCCTTGCCATCTGCTTCTCAAAAGATCTGGATTAACACGGACGTCTAGGTTCTTATATTAAGGCAAATTGTATTATATTCTAAAGCTCTTAGTGGGCTAAGGAGTTAATTCTCCTCCAAAAGACCTTCACTCACAGGTGGAAGCAGAGCCAAAAGATTTAAGGACTTTAAAGTACTAACATTAAAAGACTATATTAAATCTATTAAAATAACCCATTTACAAAGGCTAATGCTAGCATTAGTGAAAATAATGACAAATGTATGTTTGGAATTCAAAAATAATCCTTGGTCAAGGCCGTTTGGCCCATGTCTTAGAATCAATCACAGAATGTACTTTCTGAAGTGTTTCTTTATTATAGCAAATGCCCAAAAGACAATAGTAGAAATCAATAAAGCTAGAATAGGGTTAAGTCTACATGTTCTGAATAGGCATAATCTTTAAGAGTGTATTATCATGAAACAAGTTTCAGGACCCTAAACTGACACTGGAAGAAAAAAAATTCAAATTCTCATCAGATCCACAGTCCAAAACCTCAACATTTCTATTACTGAAGAGGGTTCCCACCATACCGTCATTTAAACATTGTCTTAGACTCTTTGAAGGCTGCCAATATAGAGCATGTCTACAAATAAATTTCTTATCTGTTCTTTCCATATCCCCTTCATTTTTGTTTTGAATTTTAAAGGATATGTTTGTAATTCTGTGTCCATCTTCCCACTAGATGTAGCTCTTTTATAAAAATATTTAGCTCTCAAGTGTCATTTTTAAATATTAGTCTAGTCATTCCTACACTCAATTTTACTGGAATATCTGGATTCCTACCACTCAACAACATGTTTCTGGAATGAAATTTGCTAAAAAAAAAAGTATATTCATAAGATATATATTTACATGGGCTCTATAATACAGATGAACAAAATCTATCACCTTATCTTCCAGATGTTATTTTCAATCCAAAAATAGCTATCTTCAGGAAGTCATGACTCTTAAAGAGGTCTTAGAAGTTAGAACTGCTAATCTTCTTTAACACTTATTCAAAACTTATTTTGAGAAAGGTTTTAATAGTTACAAGTATTAATTCATTAAATTCCCTCAGCAATCCTGTGTGGTAGGTGTTACTATTTCCAATGTTGCAGGTGAAGTTATGTGATCTCTGCGATGTCACACAACATGTAAATCACAAGGCTAGATTTAAGCCCTAGTAGACTGGGCTCCGAGTCAGTTCTCTTAGTGCAGCCTGTGATACCCACAGCGTGACAATGGTAACTAAAAACTGTGAACATAATTCCGTACAATAGGGAAGAAATAATTAACTTCTTCATGATTTTTTTTTGGATGACAGAAGTGTTTCCCCCTATTTTCTGCTGGAGAACAATCACTGGTAGCTGCTTGGAGGTCTATTATAATTAATTATGAATATGAGTCTGTGCCAAACAGGAAAGAGAACTGAGATTACCAGGGAACGTCTGACAAGGGCAAAGTTGGGGTAGCTTGTGCTCTCTGTGTACATACTAGCCATACCTGAATTAGACCTTCTTAATTTAAGCCTACTGCATGTGTCCCTCCTTAGACTTTAAGATGAATGAGGTTTGTAAAGACCAATGGGACTGAGGAGTCGAGTCACTAGACACTTTAAAGGGGGTCCAGAAATGAAAATATTTTAGAATCATTAAATACTTTCTCAAATGCAGGAATGACTTTGGAACCACCCAGGCTAGTTTTTCATTGCAACTGTAGCATAATGAGCTTGCAGTTAGATAAAGATGCTTTAAGACAATTACTTAAAGAAATAAGCATTTTTGCATACTTAAAGTCCATGAAATAACATGAACATCTTTGGTATTTTCCAGCAACAGGGATTTTCTTCCTAGGTAACTGGATTCTGTTATACTCTCTGAAATAACAGTTACCCTTGCTGAGGTGAGCATGGTATGTTGACATTTACTTACTTAATTGGCATTCAGATAAAGACTAACTGCATAATTTTGACCAAACAATCTTCTAGAAAGGAAAGAATACAGAAATTTAAAATAATAATTTTCAAGTATTCTGAGCAAACATATCCTTCTTTTGAAACAGAGAATTTTCAAAGATTTTCTCTAGTTAAGAATCTGATAATTTTTTTCAATATTTCTAGGATTAAAAAAACTATACGTTATCAACAGAAATGGTTATTTCCCTGACCAGAAACAAACCACCTACATGAAATGAGAATCTGATGTGCACATTATAGTCATGTGTCCATTTATTCACTCATTCATCAAATGACTGAGAACATACTATATGTATGATATTATATAGGTGCTGCTGAAACAAAAAATATAACAAAAACCTTTCTCTCAATACCCAGAGTTCAGCAAGGAGGCAGATAATAAAATGTTTTTGGTATAAAATGCTAGGTGATAAGCTGACCTACGTGTGTGGCATTACAATGAGCATAGATGAATTTAACTTTTTGCCTAGGTCAAGACAGGGTTAAGTAAGTCTTCAATGAAATAATGACCTTTTGCTGAATATTAGAAGGTAATTAGGATTTGTCAAGTGACAAAGTGTCAAGTGAAGAATGGTCAAAGTGGGGCTGAAAATGTCGGCAGGCAGAATTGAGCTCATGTGTACTACATGAAATAGATAATTTGGACTTTAGGCATTGGGTAGTGAGAAGAAATTGGGCAGAAAACATTTACCATTCATATGACATAGTTACAACTTTACATTTTTATTGTATGTTTTATACACCAACTTTTAAAGACATCTATCTGAAAGTTGAATGGAGGCTAGAACATGAAAGAACAAGGCTGGGAACAAAGAAACTGGTTAGTTAATTGTTCTAACAGTAAAGATATGATGAAGCCTAAGCTTCAACATAAAAGCAGATTCAGCAAATATCTACATAGATGATATTTCTAATAACAGACTTCAATGGGGTCTAATAGGGTTTTTGCATTAGTCATTTTTTTATTCTACTTAACATCAATGTATTTGTATATTCACATTTTCCATACAACAATTTTATGATATTAGTATTACTAATATGAAATTAGTATTACTACATCAATTTTACTGATAAGAAAAACAAGGTGGGCTGGGCACAGTGGCTCACACCTGTAATCCCAGCACTTTGGGAGGCTGAGGCAGGAGGATCACTTGAGGTCAGGAGTTTGAGACCAGCCTGATCAACATGGCGAAACCCCAACTCTACTAAACATACAAAATTAGCTGGGTGTGGTGGCACATGCCTGTAATCTCAGCTACTCGGGAGGCTGAGGCAGGAGAATCTCTTGAACCCGGGAGGCGGAGGTTGCAGTGAGCTGAGATCGCACCATTACACTCCAGCCTGGGCAACAAGAGTGAAACTCCATCTCAAAAAAAAAAAAAAAAAAAAAAAAAAGAAAGAAAGAAAAAGAAAAACAAGGTGTAGAGAAGCCAGTGGCTCACCTGGTGATTTACTGCTAGTAAATAATGAAGTCAAAGGTTAAACCCAAAACTTCAGTTCTAAACTCTATTCTTCTCAGTGATCCACAGTGTCATGAATGGAAAACTATTCATTAAAGTGAAAAAAGTTGAGTTTTATTGTTGTGAGTGTACTTGATATTTCAATATCCATTTCCATCAACCTAAAGTTCAAAATCAATGATTTTCCAGATAGTTAGATTCACTATAATCCTTGCAAATATTTTAAATGCCAATCAAGGAGTTAGAATTAATAATAGAATGGTAGAATATATAATGTCCTTCATTCCCAAGTAAAAGAAAAGTTTCTTATGTAATTCAACAAATTATCCTCATCAATTGTTAGACGGAAACATCCCTATTATTTCCTTTCTTGGAATAGATAAAGCTTTCTGCTATCTAGCTACTTTTTTATTGAAATAAAATGTGCACATGGCAAAATACATAGATCTTAAGTGCACAGTTTCACATAGGGCTGTTGCATAGAGAGGATTTGTCCATTCCAACACTCTACCTCTTAGCAGTGCATTTATTAAAGTGGTCACCTTTTTCTGCGTTTTATTAGCAGAAAAAATGTTATTTTTCTTTTTTTTTTTCTTTTTTTTTTTTTTTGAGACAGAGTCTCGCTCTGTCACCCAGGCTGGAGCGCAGTGGCGCGATCTCGGCTCACTGCAAGCTCTGCCTCCCGGGTTCACGCCATTCTCCTGCCTCAGCCTTCCGAGTAGCTGGGACTACAGGCACCCGCCACCACGCTCAGCTAATTTTTTGTATTTTTAGTAAAGACGGGATTTCATCCTGTTAGCCAGGATGGTCTCGATCTCCTGACCTCATGATCCGCCCGCCTCAGCCTCCCAAAGTGCTGGGATTACAGGCGTGAGCCACCGTGCCCAGCCAAAAAATATCATTTTTCTTTTTCCCTCATGGATAGAACTACTCTTGTAAGACATTGGACCTGGCTTTCATTGTGTTTTTCCAGGATTAAGGCCTGGGGAAAACGTAGTGGCGGAGAGGGTGAACACCGTTATTATTTACTGTTGAGTAATTAATAAGAACTATGTCTCTGGTCCAGAATATGTGTGCACATTTAAGACAAAGTTAATAAAGATGAATATGTAAAACCCAAGAATATATACAGAAGCCCTGTAATGCATTATTATTTATGCTGTTAACTGTCAATTATCTTTTAAAGCTATGTTTATAATAATGCCAAAGTCTCTTTTATTTATCCACATATTATCTACCATTTCTATTCTCTTCATGCTTTTATATAGATTAACTTTCTATCTGGCATTATTTTCCCTCTGCTTGAAGAACTTTTTTTTTTTCTTTTCAACATTTCCTGTAGCATTCATCTGCTGCCAGTGAATTCTGTTGATTTTACAATTTTTTTGAGCTTTTTTTGGTCTGAAAACATGTTTATATTTTACTTATATTTTTGGAAAATATTTATCTGGGTTTATAATTCTAGGTTGACCGTTTTATTCACTGATCTTTTCATCTATGGAATTTAATCTACCCTTATCCACTCAGTTAAACTGATTAGTTTATACTCCTCCTTCCCTCAGAAATCATTCTTCCTCTGGAAGTTGTTTTTTTGTTTGCTTTCCCCCACCATGGGGTTTTTGCTTAGGCATGCATAGATTCAGTCAAAAGTTTAAGGGGACACCTCTAAAGATTTCTAGACTATCTGTGGTTACCTTCTATCCAGTATTTTACCTATAAATTTTAGCCAAATTTTGTTCTCTACAAATTCTTACCCTCATCTTCTCAACTCAGCAAAATGCCAAGTTCATCCCTCTACCACAGAATGAAAACTTCCTCCAGGCAGAAAGCCAAGTCAATTTGGAGAGATTACGTCTTTCAAATCTGTCTCTCAGAGATCATAGTTCTTTGCTACAATAATGGAAAACAACTGTTTCTAGCTTGCAGTGAAAAGGTAATTCTGGTGCTTCTTGCTCCCTCATGGATGGAAGCAAACATCCCTCACATTGTTCTTGAGATTCATTCATGTTTTTATATGCATTCTTCTTTATTGATGAGTATTATTCCATTGTTTCAACATACCAAATTTATTCCTTCATTCTCAGTTGATAAATGTTTTGGTTACATGCAGATTTTAGCTACAAGTTGGCTTGCTGCATTATAGCATATATGTATAATTAACTTCTTAAGAAACAACCCCAGCAGTTCTCTGTATAGTTTTACCATTTTAATTCCCACCAGCAATGTATCCAGCAATGTATGAGTGATCCACTTTGCTTCAAATCCTTGCCAACATTTGAATTTTCAGTCATTTTAATTTCAGCCATTCTATCTGGTTTAAAATGGTATTTCATTGTAATTTTATTTTGCATTTCCCTGATGACTAATTATGTTTAGTACATTTTAAGTGTTGATTGGTTATTCAAGCACATTCTTTTGTAAAGTGTCTGTTTCCGTCTTTTTTTAGTTGAATGTGCCTTTTAATTGAATTTTCTAAGCAGGTCAAGGCATTTTTTATTATACTGGACATTGCTGGATCCATAATCCATTATGTGAATTATGTTGACTCCTTAAAAACCTGTTGAGATTGTTCTTGGTGGCCATTAAATTACTGGTGGCTCCCTTAGATCAGGAGAGGTTTGGTTTTATTCTTTGAAACTATCTTGAGTTTATCCTTAGTCATATGATGTGATCCATATTTAGTGTGTTTTCCTTACACCAAAGTCATGGCATTTCTGGGATCTCAGCTGAATGCCTGGAGAGCTCTGAATGGTCTCTCTGCTCTGACTGCTTTGCAATTCCAACAACCCCTGGCATTTCAGTTTCATTTTCAGGCAACCAGCAGCCACTCTTGATTACAACACATGGAGTCTTACCCTGTATAAATGGACCCTCGCCTTTGGCCAAGAACATGTAGTATACCCCACACAGACTTCTGATGCTTCCCTCTGTACAGCTTCCTCCTTTCCAGTACCCTGCCTTAAACTATTAGCCACTTCAGCAGCCCCAAACTATAATATCTGCCTCCTTAGCTCAATGAGAGTACCATGCTTTTCTTGGGCCTCATCTTCCTATATGGTAGTCGAGAGTGTGCCCTAACCAGAGTCTTTGAAATCATCATCTCATATTGTTATTTCCGTATCTCACTGATCTTTAAAAAATAGTTGACATACATTTTGCCTAGTCTTATGGTTACTGACAGGCAGAGGAGCAAGCCTGGTACAAGTTGCACCATTATGGCCATAGTGGAGGTCTTCTACTTATATTTAACCCTAACAAAGTGTCAAAAAGTTGTATCCTAATGCTACCGATCCAACTAGATTGCACTTTTCAAAAGCTTCCTGTAATAATTTTGAGAATTTTCATTTCTCTTCTTATGGCTTTGTAAAATCTCTGCAAAGAGGCATTAGCTAGAATTTGCCTCCAAGATCTCAGATCCAAGATAAAATACAAAGTAAAACTGCAAAGCATATTAATCAAATTGTTAAATTACATGCAAACAGAAGTCCTTAGTTAATACCCAAAAAACTTGTGATGAATATTAAAACTAGATGTAAAGCTATTCATTTAATCCAAGACTTTTAAAATGCATGAATATAGTGATTAAACGATCTCAAATCAGTTATAAATCTTTCATGTCAATCAAAAGCAATGATATATATGGATCTGACAAAAAAATCTGTGTATAACAAGGCATCTGACAGATGTTTGAAGAACTGCAAAAGATATTAAAATGCTATTTTTAGCAAATCCCAATTTAGTTATTAAAATGCATATTACAATTCAGAACATCAATATGTATTAATAAAATCAAAGAATAAGTATTATATTCTCTTCTGAACGAGAATGGGTGAGGAAGGTGAGAAGGGAGACAACAGGAAGCATATATTCATTATATAAATATTATTTTATTAGCATGTTTCTCAATCTAAAGTGATATATCATTATGTTTGGCAAACAAAAGATGTTAGTGTTATACATACTGAAACCAGAAAATCATATAAGTATTAATTTTGTTTATGCATAGGTATGCTGAATAAATTATGATTTTTTAATAGTTTCTTGCCCACTTTCTGATACACAGTTTACATTTATATAATACAAAACTATCTGTGGATATTTACAGTTCCTTCTTTTAATGATCCCTGGAGGGTTCTTGGAAAATTAAGAACAGAGCAGAGCTGAGGAAGATGGCAGCCACCACACTGCTAGATATTCATAATGTAACTTTGGTCATTTGTGTGTTATCTGCAAAATTTTGTGTGGACTGTAACATGTTAATGGTCACATTCTATGAGCATTGGTGAAGACGAGAATGTAATCGGAAGATAAGTCACTCAAAACCCCTTGTATTCACTGCTATGTATTAAGATATTTATTTTGAAAAACTACCTGAGTTCCTGACTTCTCCATCAATAACTATGATGCCATGTAAATAAGAATCAGAAACTAGAGGGAAAAACTTAACTGAATGAGTTTGTAGAGATGATCTCTCAAGTCCTTTCTGTTTCAAAAATCCTTGTGTTCTAGGAATTTTTTTTAAAAAAAATAACTTTTTTGCAATCATTTTGGTCCATGGAAGCACTCTTGGAAAGGGAGTAAAGCTCCCCAACATGATTGCTTTGTAGGTTATAATATGAATTTGAAGATGAATATTGCAGTATGTTAAAATACTACTGACAATTTTTATTAACATTTTGTACTTAGTATTCATGTATTATAATTAGAAATTAACCAGTAATTTCCTTGAGTTATTCATGCTCACTGTCTCCAATTCATCTCCTCCCTCTTTCTCTTAAAACTACTCCAGTTATACTTCTGCCTTCCATCACTCTACCACAATGATTTTCTCATCCTAATTCCAATGGTCGCTTCCCATGCCTCATCTTACTTGACTCAGCAGCACCTTACTTCACCTAGCAACATCCTTAAATATTTGATTCTCCAATTAGCTTCCAGGACACTCCATTCTTCTAGCCACTTGTCCTCATTCTCTTTTGTTGGTTCAAATTAGCTTCCAGGACACTCCATTCTTCTGGCCACTTGTCCTCATTCTCTTTTGTTATTTCCTTTTTATTTTCTTTAATTCTCAAAGTTGGAGGGCATCAGAAGGAAATCCTTGAAGTTTTTCTCTTTTCTAAAATGTTTACTCCTTTGGTGATCCTATCTAATTCCATGGCTTTAAGTATTATCGCTATGCTAGCAACTTGTAATTTCGTATCACCAGTCTATAGTTTCCAAAAGCTTATTTAATTAACTCCATCTGAGTTAGTCTGACAGACATCTCAAAATTAATATGTCCAGAAATGAGCTCTTGGTCTTCCCTCCAAAACTGCTTCTCCCTGTATCTTCCCACCTCCTCAGTGGCAGCACTATTTTTCCAGTTGTTTGGGACAAAACTCTTGGAGTCATCTCTTTTCTTTTTCTGTTGTACTTCATTGAGTCCACCAAATCTAACTGGCTTCACCTTCAAAATCGATCCAGATTTTACTTCTCACTGCCTCCACTGCTACAAACACCCTCTTGTCGAGTTCACTGCATGTGTCTCCTACTGTGTCCCTACTTCTTCCCTTACCCCCACACTTTCCTTTTTCAACAAGGAAGCCACAACAATCCTACTAAAAATCAAATCAGATCATGTCATTGCCATGCTCAGTACTATACAATAGCTTCCAATCTCACTTCAAATTAAAGGCAATTTTTTAAATGGCTGTTTCCACATGGCTCACTATCCCACAGGTTTTTGTTTTGTGTTTTTGTTTTTTTGTTTGTTTTTGCTTTTTGTTGTTGTTGTTGTTGTTGTTTTTTGAGACGGAGTCTCACTCTTTTGCCCAGGCTGGAGTGCAGTGGTGCGATCTCGGCTCACTGCAAGCTCCGCCTCCCGGGTTCACGCCATTCACCTGCCTCAGCCTCCCGAGTAGCTAGGACTATAGGCACCCGCCACCACGCCCGGCTAATTTCCCACAGTTCTTCTTAAAATTACTTTCTTACTACGCTTCCCAATGGCTCTCTGTGTTCTTCCTGGGGCATACTAGGTGTGCTTCTGCCCGAGGATTGTTGCCTCTGCTGAGGTTTATGCTTCAAATATTCATTTGCCAAATATGCAGACTTCACTCCCTTTTGGAGGTTTATGCTTCAAATATTCTTTCGCCAAATATGAAGACTTCACTCCATTTGCCTCCTTCACCTTTTTAATGATGCTTTTCATGACCACCCTACTTAAAATTTTAATAATATCCTGTTCCTATTTTCTCAATGCACTTTTCACTTTCAAACTATTTTAGTTTTTTATTTTTTTTTACTGTCTTCTCACTGAAATGTAAGCATTAGAAGAGCAGAGATTTTGTCTGTGTAATCAATGACTGTATCTACAGACTTATAAAAATGCATAGTAGGCACCTAATAAATACTTCTGGGTGAATGAACATTATTTACCAGAAAAATAAACACTATCCCTAAACTAATAAGTTGTTTAACATTAGAGATAAAGCAGCTTGACAAAAACAAAAAGCTTATCCTCAGGTTTTTCGGTATTGTGGAAGAATTTTAAAAGACTAGTCTAATAGTCTTTTAATAATTGACTTAAAATGTAGAAAGATTTAAGAAAGAAAAAAGAAAATGCCACATTCCTACATATCGGATGATATATACAACAAGATATTAACTGTAACTACATCATTGTGGGAGAATAAAAACTATGAATCTTACATACTTAAGGCAGTGAAAAGTTTAAAGACATTTGCCAAACTTTCTTTAATAGTATTTTCTGTTTGTGAGTAACCCAAATTTTAAATATGTTAAAAATATAAATACTTCTTCATAAATTGATAATGATCAATATTTACTACTAAGAAAATACACATTTTTCATGGGCTACATAATGAAACTTTTTAATATCCCTCTTTGAAAACAAGCAACACAGTTAGGTACATATCCACTCAGAAACTTCAGACTGAGAGAGAATAAAAGTAGGATGTTCCAGGTTAAAGAAAAACCGTTAATGACAAATCTAGTATCTCCCATACTTCTTACTAAAGCCAACAATACTATCCCTAAAATCTGTCTCTGTAATATTTGGGTTTTGTTAATCATAGTACATTTTATTTTAGCAATCTACTTTAGAGACCAGAGCTCTCAAATTATTTTAGCAACGTAAATGTCATACACACTGGGATTTAACACAGAGCACTTTAAATTCCTTGATACAACAGCTGTTATCCTCATTTTTAGCTGAAGCTCAGGTAAATTAAATGCTTATTATATAAGGATTCAAGGAAAGGGATACGACTTTTTAAAAATCTTCATGTCTAAATTTAAATACTTAAATATTAAGAGAATTTGAGTTTCTTTCTTAGTTCATCATTTCATGTCTAATTCTCACTAGTGTTTCCTAGAATGTAAAAATTCAGCATGTTGGGGACCACAACTAAATTTTCCAGATACCCCAGAAATAAATGGCCAGAGTGATCTTTGAAAATCGAAAAATGTGGCAGCAACCATCATCTTCTGCATTTCTCCTTTCTGAGATTTCATAGAACCCCAAAGAGAACAATAAAATAAGCTTAAAACTTCCTCTCACTCCACTTTAAATCTAATATTTTATCTAATGCTGGAACAGTGTCACACAGGTTATATAAAAAAGAGAAGAAAGCTATTCCACCATTGTAGAGCACTCTAGAACTAACTTTCCAAGTAGTAAATATCCAGGTCTTAGACTATTAATTATTGCAAAGAAAAGAAGAAACTCATTCATTAAACTTTCTATGGTTATCAACTTAAATCAACCACATGCCAAACGTCGTGCTAAGAACTAGACATTTCTGTGCTTTCTACTCAAGGAATCCAATGTAGTAAAAGAAACAGGTGTGAACAAATAATGTGATGTAGTGTGATGAGTGTTATGACATTGGCCTGCAAAGGAAACCAAGAAATTGTGTAAGAGGGACACTAAATCCAGACAGGAAACAGAAGGAGACTTGTGAACTAAGCCTTTAGAAAAAGCAAGAGAAAGTCAAGGAGGAAACACTGACCAAATCATCCAAGGAGAAGGGAAAGACAATTTGAGAAATGATATTGACAAAAGGAAGAATGAAGCCATCATTTCCTCATCACCCAACATGTAAACTTGCAGGAATATTTTGCTTCTTTCTCTCCCTTTTACTTCATATCCTTCTGGTTAAACTATGTTGATTCATTCCTCCTTTTCTCCCCACTACTTCTGCATTACCTGGTTCAGTTTTTAATAGATGCATCTTACATGACTGCAAAAGCCCCACAAACTCGTTAATTTGTTTAGGAATTGCTCCCCTCAAGTCTATCTTAGAAACTACTTGATGATAAAAAGATAAAAAGAAATTGTACACACACACACACACATACACAGTTCATATATAAATAAATGTATTTATTTATCTATAAACTTCTAAAAGAGAAGATCAAGGCTTTCCAAGAGGTTGGTTTCACTCAACCTACTCAGCTTTATTTCTTTTTTAACTCCCAAAAGGGTGTTGCAGTGATGCATGCTTATTATGTTCTCTATTTGCCACACATCCACCCTGCCACTTTAATGTTCTCAGGTTGTTTCTACATACATGTGTCAGCACACATATACTCACATTCATATACACCTATACACATCCCACTCCCTTTTATTTTGTCCAAGTTCTATCCATTCTTCAAAATAACTATTAATTTTCAAATTTTTTCTGGTTGCTTTTAGCAAGTGTTCCATTTTAAATTTCAATCCTCCTTCTCAGAACATCTGGAATCTCCTTAAAGCTTAAAACTTCCTCTTTGGCCTCTTGTTTGTCCATTCCAAAAATATTTATTAAATGCCCACAATGCGTAAGGAAATATCGAAGATGCTTTGTATATAGAAATAAACAAAGTAAACATGATTTCTGCTTTAATGGAATTAACATTCTCGATTTAAGATTAGTGACTTAAAATAAGCCATTGATTATTTAAAATACAGCTGACCCTGCAGCATTTTCCTAAACAGGGTATTATGCATATGCAGCCACTTCATATATACAAAAGACTCCTATATTTAGGGATTATGTCAGTTGTTTTGTATTCTCTATACTTCCTAGTCCATAGGCAGTGTTCATAAAAGCTAGGTGAGTTAAAAAGAAAAAAGTATACACGGAGCTAAATTTAAGATGAAATAATTTTTTCTTTATTCCCATCTCTTTAAACTTCAAGAAAGATTAACAATATGAAAGGTTGTATTTGAATTCCAGGATTCAAAACAGTATTTCACATAGATCTTTAAACTTAAAAATAAAATGACTTTAAAGGCTAATATGTCCAATAGATGGTCATCTCTAGAGAATATAATCCTTCAGAGGTTTTCCAACACTTTATTAATATGCTTCTTCTGGGAACTTGCCTGTGATCCATTTTTTTTCTGGAGTCTTAGCAAAATACTTTTCAATGAATTATCCTTTGCAAGAGAATTATCTTTAAAACAATGCAGAGCTAACCAAACTAACAAAATAAACTTTATGTGCAAAAGGCATCTTTGAATAAATCATGATTTAAATGTCTGCAGTGTTATTGTTAAATAACCTAATAGTTGGGAACTGTGATTAGGATTGACATAAACATGTTTTATACCATGGGTTAGGGGTGTAAAAAATGTTAGATAATCTTAACCAATACTCCAGCTCATCAATCAAATAAAACTAGTCTTCAGTCATTGTTCTGAGTTGAGTTTTGTCCTGCTTTGACCCTACATTTTCAGAGCTGCCTTCTCCTAAGTCATTGTTGAAATGGAGAATATAATGCTCATGGCCTTGGGCAAATACTTCAAAATGATAATATCATTTGGTTCAATATATTAACTCCTTGTCAATTGTATAGAAAAGGAAGGAAAGTTAAGACAGTGTTGGAATATAACCAATGATAGCTTCAGGGTATTGAAACACACACATGCACATATATACACACACAGTCACATTCACATACACACATTCCCATTCTCAAAGGAGGAAATAAATGTTGGAAACAAACATGGCAAACAATGTACAGAGTATTACCCCAGTAGCACCCCTCATATATAATAACTTCATTATTTCTCAAATGATTATTTCAGTGCTCTTATTTTGTAAGCCATGATAAATTTCAAACATACTTTTAAAAAAAGAGACAATAACCCTCTCATTCTTAGTGTTCACATGTTACTAAAAAAAGACATGCACCTTCCTTTCCTCCCCCTCTTTTGTTATCAGATTCATGGCATTATCTCTGGGCCTGTTGCTCTCTGACATCTCCAGCACTTTGCAGGACCCAGTTTTTTGAGTTTGCCCTTCTCTTTGTCTCAGATAAGCCCACTTCTAAAGCCAAAAGGCAAATGATCAATTCATTTTGGCCCCCTTGTAACTAGGACTCAAACAGTATTTTTTCCCTAGCCAGCATGACTGTTCATGCATGCCTATCTTTTCTCCCCTGTGTTATTCATCCAGGCTTCTTAATGATTATTCTAAAGCACATAAGCTAAAGTATTTCAAAAGGCTCTAGAATGTAATAAAAAATATAATAGTAATCTTAGAGGAGAAAAAGTATTGAAAGAATGTGGGATCAACAAACAATCAATTCAGTATTATTCCTAATGTAGAGGTTCTCAGCTGTATTCTCATATTAGAGTCACCTGAGAATATTTTTTAAAACCCATGCCCAGGTCACACCCCAGAATGATACGTAAGTTTCCTAGAGGGTTCCAATATGCAGGCAGGGTAGACAATCACTGCAATAACCCAACAAGCAGATAACAACTCATATGAAAAAGCTGAAGGAAACCTCTGGTCTCTTATTGGAATGAGAGAGGTGCCAAATGCAAAAGCCAGGTGATCTGCCAACCTATTCTCAGTTAGGAGGAAGTCCTGGGGAGGAAAAGGAAAAGGATCTCACTTTTAGCGATTTATAGGTAAAATTCCAATGTTTGTTGTTATGGGTGGAATTGTGTCACCCCACTAAAAAAACATGTTCAAGTCATAACCCTCAGTACCTCAGAATGTAACCTCATTTGGAAATAAAGTGTCTACAGAGGAAATCAAATTAAAATGAAATCATTAGGGTAGGCCCTAATTCAATGTGACTGATGTCCTTATACAAAGGGGAAGTTTGTATATGCAGAGACAGACAAACTCACGAAGGAAAATGATGTGAAGACGTATAGGAAAAAGGTGGCCAGGGGACTAAAACGATGCATTTACAAGCAAAAAAATGCCAGTGATTGCAGCACACACTAGAAGCTAGAAGAGGCAAGGAAGGATTCTGCCTTAGAGCCATCAGAGAGAACATGGTCCTGCCAACACTTCAGTTTTAGACTTCAAGCCTTCAGAACTGTGACACGATAAATTTCTGTTGTTTTAACCTACCCAGTATTTGTTATTTTATTATAGCAGCCCCAGGAAACTAATATAGTTAAAAATGGGGATTATTGTGTTCTGACAAAGTTCACAGTGGTTGAAGGAAAACTATGCAAGGAGTAAGAGACACACAAAGCAACATTAAAGTCTGCACTCTAAGTAGTTGAGCTTGCTTGGCACAATGTTTATTAGTAACAGTCAATTAGTGATATATTTTTCTTTCCTTTGAAATGAATTGTCTAGTTATTGCTAATTGATGACAATGTACAACAATCAGCCCAGCTATTTTTCCTTTTAAAAATATTTTTTGCACCACTAATTAGATCAGCATGCATCTCACCTAAGACAGCTCAAAACACCAAAACAACTGGTTTTGATCTGATGCTTTTCACTGTAGACACAAACTTCATCCAGCATAAGCATCTTCAACATTTCTTCAGCAAATATGAACATTTCTCTTTTATTGTAGATGGAAAATAACTATTTTGGAAACAATCAAAAACAAAATCTAAGCACTGACAATATTGATGTAAGTGAGAAAGATAAAATCCAGCAATAGTTTGGTTCTTGGCTTGATTATTGAACTTTATTTCCATTATTGTAATATAAACATATGGGAGTATATATGTAAGTGAATACTTATGTATGTATTTCACAAACAGTTTTGCTTAATTTCCTATATAAAATACTAAAATTTAATATCTTAGAGAAATTATGCTATCATGACAAACTTAAAAATTAATCAACAGCTCCTGCTTTATTTCCTAAAATACTAACTTACTCTAACTTCTTATGATGGTTCAAAGTAATAGGCTCATTACTCTCAGCTAAGACACTTATTAATTTTATTGGCTCTGTAGCAGAGATGAAAATACCTGTTGATAACCTTCTCTTCACTCGTATAAGATTTATAACTGATATTTTAGTATTCAATCCTGATATTTACAGTATTCTGTATCTTGGCTGTAAGTTCTATGAGAACAAGAATCTAATAGAAGGCTGTGTGCAGAAGAGAAATTTAACAGTGTGTATTAGGAAAAGGATGAATTGAGCATGAGCCAAGAGGCCTGTGTTGGAAGCCGACATCTGCCACCCATGAGCTTTATTTCAAAAACATTACAACCTTCCTGAACTTTTGCTGTTTATTAAGAGAAAAAGTAGTAGTAATCAATAACAATAATGCAAAAGAGAACAAAGTCATCTATTAAAAAGTTGTCCTCTTTCTCTCTCTTTGCCTATGGTTGTTGTTGTTGTTATTATTATTATTATTTTCCTGGGCTCAAGTAATCCTCCAGCCTCAAGGCTTCCAAGTAGCTTGGACTACAGGCATGTGACTACCATGCCCAGTATAAAAACTAATATAAAACCCATTATAAAAACTAATATTTTTAGTTTTTGTTGTAGATATGGGGACTTTTTATGTTGCCCAAGCTAGTCTTGAATTCCTGGTGTCAAGTAATCCTCCTGCCTCAGCCTCCTAAAGCACTGGGATTAAAGGAATGAGCCACTGCACCTTCTGTCCTTTGCTTATTCTTTAAATGACAGTGATTCCAATGTGTCTGTCTGGTGGGCCTAGTGTGGTTCCATTCTCTTCTTAATCTAAAACATTCTTCCTATACAATTACATCAACTGCCAAAGTTCCCATCGTTCCCTCTAAGCTTCAATATCCAAATTTGTTGATTAAATGTATCAGTAAACAAAAATCATCTATATTGTCATCGTCACCTAGCAACAGGCCTACCTTCTGACAAATGCCTTCTTAGATGATTTTGTCATCATGAAAACCTCATAGAATGTACTTACACAAAACTAGATGGGATAGCCTACTACACATCTAGGCTATATGGTCTAGCCTATTGCTTCTAGGCTACAAACCTGCATAGCATGTTACTGTGCTGAATGCCGTAGGCAACTAATATAATGGTATTTGTGTATGTAAACATGTCTAAATATACAAAAGGGAATATGTTATGCTACAGCATTATAACAGCTATGACATCACTAGGTGACAGAAATTTTTCATCTCCACTATGCTCTTAGGGGACCACAGTCATCTCTGCATTTTAGTCATTGACTAAAATGTCATTATGTAGTGCATAACTGTGTTTCTCTCTCTCTTGAAAGCCATACCTGTGCATCGGACGTCCAATCACATACCCTCACTCAGCTCTCTCAGAGATAGTCAAAATTCATGAAGTCCAAAACATGTCTTTTCCCCAGTCACGCTTCTCTGCTCATGTCCTCTGTCTTTGTGACTGGCCCTTCTGAAAAGTAATCCCTCAATTAGCCAGGTCCATAGCTGAACTCATTGTGTGTGTCTGTATATGATCAATCGGGCTCTGCTGGAGACAACTGCATGAACTGAGATCACAATAATCATCTCCAACCTCAGCTAGCCCATCAGCTCTCTCTAGCATATGCCTCCTAAGGGGCATCAGTGGGTGCCAGGGTCAAATATATATAAGAAATGCTGCATTACACAAGGTTAAATAGGTTTCTCTACTGAAGGGGTTCTTGGTCTTTAAGAAACTAATGAGCACTGTGAATCTTTAGATTCACTCCCCAAAGTGTGGGGGAGATGTAATGTGCAGCATTTCCCGAACTTATTTGCCCATGCAACAATTTCCATAGAGCATCTCATAAAGAAAATGGTCATTAGCTGTGCTGTAGCAGAGCCAGGATATGCCCAGACTCTGCTGAAGCCAGCCCTGCAACTTTGGGCAGAGCTTCAGGGTCCTTGCTTCATCTTCCCCACAAGGAGCAATTTGGACTTCAGAAGGGTAACTTGCTTTACATTAAAATAGCTCTTAATAGCTTTTTGTCAAGCCAATTGAACCCAGCTATTTTCTTTTCAATACTATGAGCTATTGCCATCTCTATTTTACAAAGAGGCAAATAAAGTCCAGAGAGATCAAATATTTGTTCAGAGACCACAGCTATGAACTGACCAAGTTAAGGATTTAAATTTTGTCGTGTAATAAGCAGGTCAATATCCTTACCCACTCCCCGCCATTTAAAAATCCTGCAATTTAGGGTGGTTAACATGAAAGAAAGATGGGTAAATAAGAAACTATGGGAAAGATCATTCATTGGTACTGAGATAAAGTTAGTTTAAATCAGTGAGGAGTCAAAAACAACAGATGCTTTCAAAGAAATCCAGTTTGCTTTCTGCCATTTTAAGTATAATACTTACTTGTTTAAAAACAAGTTTTTAAATTATACTTGTATGGTTACATTAGCAAATTTATAATAAAAATGTTGACTATTTTATGCAGCCTTCCAAAGTTTATGAAAATTTAAAACTCTTCCCCTAGAATTAATGTATGTTACTAATTTTTTACAGACAGTTTTATCATGAAGTAAACTTCAACCCTGACTATATCTGTACAACAGTAATAATGATAATAACTATCTAGTAAAAAAAACTAGAATTATATTATTTATCTCTCAGAGCCAACACCTGAGGTAAGCTGTTATTATTACCCCATGTTACAGAATAGAACAGGGAGTCTTAGAGAATCTATATAATCTTACAAAGCCACAAGTTAGTACGCAGAGCTAGACTCAAACTTCTGACCCTCTAAGCTTCAGAAACCAATTCTTAACCATCATACTCCAGTGCTTCCTAAGTAAAAAAGACATAATAAATTTAAGACATAGCATTAGTAATTTAGGAAGAATACCTGAGGGTGGAACCTGTTACATAAGGTAAATATATAGCTATTCTGGCAAGAAATATTGAAATCAGATAGATTGGTGCATCTTAGAGATGGGTTGAACAAAACCTTCTGAAAGTGGAAGTGCTTCCCGAAAAAAGGTCAGGATCGTACCATCTCTCTGTTGACATAACAGAAGACATCACAAAGTCCACTCATCTAATAAGACAGTGTTTTATAAAGACTTGTCAGCTTCCATCTAGAATTGATCTGGAATTTGTTTCCTGGTTAGAAAACGGAAGCAAGGGAGTTTAAGATGATCCCAAGACTATGCAGGGGCTGCTACTGGGGTTGAAACTGCGTGTAATATGCCTGTCTTTCCTGCGTTCCTCTGGCCAAGACCTGTATATTTCACTGCTCAAAATTCCTTCAAATTCTGCTATTCTGTGATATCACCGGGAAAGTAAACTACCCCCTAGGTGTGAGGTAACAACTCTTCTAGGAGATAGATTACAGCTTCAGGCTCCCAAATTGCCAATTAGTGTACTGGAGATGAAATGTAATGTCCTGAAAGAGTTAGTGTTCCAAAGAGCCAAAAAGGTGTTTCTTATTCACCTTGAGGGCTGGCTGGTGGAAGTTACCTGTCTAAGAACCAGCATACCATTTTAAAATATGTATCCTGCGAGTAAAGCCAGGTTCATTCACCTTTGTCTAAATCATCAGCAAACCAACATATGAAAAATGAAATCAACTACAGTGTGTTTATGGGGAAAAGTGACATTATCTCAAGGAAACTAATTGGAAAACTTTTATTTTGTCTGAAAATTCCCTGAAGATATCATTTATCAAAGAATTTGTGTCCTGAGCTGTTATATATGATACTCTCCAAACAGTGAGCTGTTAATTCACTGCCTTATCTCCCTAAATCCACTAATCTTTTTTCTCATATTTTACTTTCTCCCGAATTGTGTAGTGAAATATGAGGCTGTAGAGGTTTCATGTACTGCAAAATACCCAGTGCTCTCGGAACATCCACTGATACATTTAGGGATCCCTCTAAACAATACTACTGTCATTCCCTATTCAAGTGAAACCTTCTCCCTGGGTTCATTTCCTTGTCCCTACTCTGTCCTTGACTTCACCTCTGCTGATCTCATCCCTACTTCATACCATGCCTTGTCACACACACACAGGTAAAGGGTATTTTTAAACCTGACTTCAAGGTGAGAAAATTCAAAGTATAATTAATTGCCACTAATGGAGATGGTTGCTGTAATGCCTGAGTTTTCAGGGGGGTTTATAATTTTTAAGGCTCCCAATTACTTACTATCAAGGTTGTTAGAGTCACGCCATAAAAGTCTCAAATGCCTTCACCTGATTGTGCTTACTAATCATTCAGCAAATATTTGTTGAAGAATTTCTATGTGCTGATATTAGAGATACAGCAGTGCTCAAGAGAACAATGGGCTTTCTCTCACAGATCTTCAGGATAAAATGGAGATACATACTACTAAACACACAATTTCAACATGGTGTTTTTAGTATTGTGATGAGGAAGATAAGAGGGTCAAGCATGCACCTTCTCCTTCCTGGATCCACCTTTTGTTGGTCCTTATGAGTCTTAACTGAATCCAGTGGTCTGCTACCTGGGGCAATATTCAGCATATTGAACTACTAGGTATCAGGACTGACTGAGCACTTAACATATATTACTTCATTTAATCATTCCAACAACACAATGAAGGTGTTATTACTATTTTAACAAATGAGAGAGCTGAGTCAAGAAAGTTTATACAACTTGCCCCAGAACTAACAGTTAGTAAATGGTAGAGATAAAATTTCATGCCAAGCAGTTAGGTTCCATAGCCCACATGCTTAAGGACTCTACAAACCTACCTATTGTTCTTGTATTAGTTTGCTCTCAAGGACTAATAAAGACATACCCAAAACTGGGTAATTTAAAAAGCAAAGAGGTTTAATGGGCTCACAGTTCCCTTTGGCTCGGGAGGCTTCATAATCATGGCAAAAGACAAAGGAAGAGCAAAGGGACGTCTTACATGGTGGCTGGCAAAGAGAATGAGAGCCAAGTGAAAGGAGAAACCCAGCATAAAACCATCAGGTCTTGTGAGACGTATTCACTACCATGACAACAGTATGGGGCAACCACTCCCACGATTCAATTATCTCCCACCAGGTCCCTCCCACAACATGTGGGAATTATGGGAGTTACAATTCAAGATGAGATTTGGGTGGGGACACAGCCAAACCATGTCAGTTCTACACTTTCATAATTGGAGTACTCTCAGAATCATTTCATTCATCCACAAAATGCATCCATCTGTTTAGCCCACAAATACTTATTGAGTGCTTACTGTAAAGTCATAATGATAAAGCAGAAAAGGAGACACCATCCCTGCCCTCTAAGGAATGTGAAGTCCATTTTGAGAAACACTAACTTAGGAGGCAAGGTCAACATGATTTCTTCAGAAACATCTAACTACCCCAAACTTTGGGGAAAGACAGGAACATTTTCTCAGTATTTAATCTCTTCCCCATCTGAAGGGTAACCAGGAGTTAGCCAGTGAAGGGTCTTTGGGTCAGAGAGAAGAACAAGTACATGAGCATGAATGGAGAGAGAGCTTTGCATATTCCAGAAAAGCAATGAGCTGGTGGCTTTTGGAGTCTCAGTCTATTGGGATGGAGTGAGAATGACAGGAGGTAGGGGTGAAGAGAAAAGCACGTGTCATGTCATGAAGGGCTTTGTATGCATGCCTTTTATCCTGAAGGTCTGAAGATATTTAATCAAAAGAGTGACAACACCAGAACTGGTTTAGGAAGAGAACTTTGACTATATGTCACTTTCTATCTTTATAATATCACATCTAACCAAGTTCTCTATTTGAACATAGAAAACAGCAAACCTCTCTCCTTCTTTCCCTTATTATGTTGGTAGAACTTCACCAACAATTCAGAATAACTGCTCTTGAGAAGGCTGTTTTCTCAAAACTCTCCAATAATGTAAGTTTGATTATTACCACCAAATTCCTTTCCTCCTCTTTTTCCTTTCCTCCTCTTTGGTTTCACAAAACAGAATGAAACAAAAATGAGCAGAACAAGAAAAATGTTGCTTTGGATGTGATGAATGATCACATTTAATATTGTTCTCTTGGAACATTTTTCTCTTTAGAAAAATATTATCAAATAGCTAACAAAACATGCAAAAAGGCAAAACCTATTAACTTAACTCAGTTTAATCACCTAATGCCTGTATACAGCTCACGCTTTTAATTGCATTACAACTTCACTCTTTCTACCTTGTTTCAAAACACAATATTTCTATGCCTTCTCTGGGTTTCAAAAACCACTCCTCAACTGCATTTTAGTGACTATACTTTTTATTTTTTGTGGGGGGATGGAGTCTCACTCTGTCTCCCGGGCTGGAGTACAGTGGTGCAGTAGCATGATCTCGACTCACTGCAACCTCCGCCTCCCGGGTTCAAGCAATTCTCCTGCCTCAGCTTCCCAAGTAGCTGGGACTACAGGCATGCACCACCACACCTGTCTAATTTTTGTATTTTTAGTAGAGACAGGATTTCACCATGTTGGTCAGGCTGGTCTCACTCTTGACCTCAGCTGATCCTCTTGCCTCAGCCTCTCAAAGTGCTGGAATTGCAGGCGTGAGCCACCACACCTGGCCAGTTTTGCTCTTTTGTATAAATCATGTGGACAAAGGAATACATAATGTACGTACATATATATTTCTTTAAATTTTAATAAAAACTATGAAGTAAACATCAGTGTATCCATCATCCAGTATAACATATGAAAGATTAAAAACAAGTTTGAAGCCCTTCTTACAGTTCTCTCCACATCCCTCTCCCTCTTCCCAGGAGCACTTAGGATTCTAATATTCTTGTAAATTACTCCTTTGTTTTCCGTGCAGTTATGATATTTAAGTGGGAATCTCTAAATACTATAGCTGAGTTTTGATTCTTTGGAACTTTGTATAAATAAAATAAAAATAGATTGTCTGCCATGCAGCTTCTATAAATCAAACAAAAGGATTTCTGTGAAGCTTAAGGGCACTGTCCCTCAGCTGTCTAGCAGGAGCCCAAGGTAGAGAAGGGGTACTCTTAAAGAGACTTGTGGTGTAAGTTTGTCTAACGAATATATGGAAAAGTCCAGCAAAATTCTCAGAAGGGTTACATTTCCAGCATCATTGCCAGCTGGGCCTGAGGAGAAAAATAATAGTATGGAGTTAGGAGAGGCCATTGAACCCCCAGAGTTTTACCAGCAAGAAGAAGACTGAGAGAACTGCTCAGCTACAGGCATGTGCTGCCTGTTTGTAAAAATAAAATTATGGGGGTGGAAATAAGAGCCCGAAGAGAGGAGCAGGGAGCCACAGTGAATTCTTCCCAGACTTTGAGAGCTAATAGAGTACTTTCCAATTTGCCTGGCTGGATTTCAGAATTTTTATGGACTCCTTAGAGGCTCCCATTTTATCTCTTTTGAACATGAATGTTTATAGTAGCTATACTATGCCTTCCCCCCATCATATTAATATGTTAGGGGTGAGGGTGGAAGACAACCTCTCAGTTTTGTTTCACATATCTGTAGATCAGGAGAAACTGTATGTGGGGAGCTGTACCCAAGGAATCACATCAATGAGCCTCATCTACTCCTGGTCCAGGTTTAGATGGCAAGATCCTGGGCTTTAAGGCAATGGTATAACAGAATGAAATATGACCTATGGTGTGTAGTGAATGTAGTTCATGTCCTGGGAGCCACAGGACAGTCTGTGGTAGGCAGCTGCCAAAAAGATCTCTGATGAGACTTGCTTTTTAGTTCTCATACCCTTGTGTAATCACGTTGAGTATGAGATGGACTTAGTGACTTTCTTCTAATAAATATGGTAGACATAATGGACTGTCATTGTCAAGATTAGGCTATAAAATAATTGTGGTTTCCATCTTAAGTTGGTTTGCTCACTCTCTCTCGCTCGCTCTCTCTCGTCATTTGCCCTCTGGAAAGAAAATTGCCCGTGGAGAGGCCCACATGCTGAGGAACCAAAGCCTGCCAATAACTAGGTAAGTAAGCATGGAAGTAGATTGCCCCCCTTCAGTTTGAGATGAGACCACTGTCCCAACCAACAACTTGAATGCAGCCTCATGAAAGACCTTGTGCCAGAAGTACTCAGCTAAACTTCTCCCGTGTTCCTGATCCACATAAAGTGAAAGACACTAAATGTTTGTTATTTTAAGTTGCTGAGTTTGGAGTTAATCTGTACTGTATCAATAAATAACTAATACAGACTTTGTTGAAAGCAATACAAAACAAATATATATTTACCTCAGATCCTTGATTACCTGATTTCTTAGTCTGCATGGTTTATAAGCCAAGACTAATTAATTCTGTCAAAAATAATTCCAAAGTTTCTGAACCAGTAGGTCTGAATAGCCAGACTATACAAAATGTATATCCTCCGTGATAACTGCTTAAAGTGAGTATAGCAGTATAAAGTGATTATAATACCTTATGTTTACATAGGTTTTTGTTTACAGACCAGTTTCACATAAATGGCCCATTTTTATTCTCAGAAATCAGTCTATGAACTTAGCTATTACAATTTCAGTTTTAAAGATGAATAAAGTAGATAGCAGAAAAGTTAGAGACAAGCACATACTCATTTTCTAATAAATAACAAAACAGGCCTTAAATGTTTGCCTTGTAACTCCACCATCTACCCTCAGCACTGTTTTGGAGTTGTTCTGGTTTGATGGCAGTCTGCAGTTGTATAGACCTAGAAGAATAATTTTTAAGTGCCAGACACTGCTTAGCATCTTATAAATTACAACTTAGCTCTAAGAATATACTGGCTTACTCAGATTAAAATAGCTGATAACTAAATGATTCTATTACATAAAAACAAAATAAGCAGGCTTTACTAATAGACCTAATCATTATTAGATGAGCACTATTTTTCACTATCAATAGCCTTGATATAAAGAAAGCAACTTAAATTCAGAGCCAAGTTTTGCCTCTGACTATAAAATTGGAGGCTCTTAAATATATGATAAAAAAAATCTGATTGCATCTTCTCTCATTTTTTTGCCACTACTGTCATTCTAAAATATTCAGGGCTCCAATTTTCCTCAACTTTGCAGAAAGCATTGAAAGTAATTTTGTGGAAAGAAAGCAAAATGTGGCAGATTATCTCTATTACATACATCAAAAAATATAGCATTCTATTCTCAAGTTAAAATATACCAAAGAGACCCTGTGGTTTTTGTGTAGGAAGAGATTGAAAGAAAATCAACTGAACATACCTCAAAACAAAAAAAAACAAAACAAAAAAAAAAAAAAAAAAGGGAGGTGGGGCCTTCTCAACAATGCTTTCTAAATACGCTGTTAAGTTTTTAGACTCCCAGTGGTTTCAGAAGACAGGTAAGCAAAAACTTTTTATATTTAATTTATATTTCCCATCCATCAAAGATTGCTTTTTAAATTTGTTTTTTATGGCTTTGTCAGCAGCCATTTTTCAATAGAGGTATAAATGTAACTTGAATTTTTAATGATAAACTGATAAAAGTCATTTTCATAAAACAAAAAATCGCTATTTCAAATCTTTTAAGGTATCTTTTTAAGTTTTTTGAATTGGAGTTCACATTTACAAAAGGTTTCAGATGGCTAGTGGAAACTTGAAAATTCATTCAGTAAAGAGATTTCTGCTTCTATGGCACTTTTAATGAACTAATGTATGCATTTTTTTTGAGTATTTTACAAAGAAAGATATTTGCATAAAAATAGAATTTGCATTTTTAAGAGATCATCTGTTCCTTATTCTTCTTTACTCAAAATCATAATGTTATCTTTACAACATCATAATCCTTTCCACAGGGACAAAATCTGATGTCATAAACGACCATTATGATTTCAAGTGTGCAATAAGCACAGACAGAAAATACACTTTTTATTTTTGTAAAAGAAAAAAAACTTCATTTACAAAAACAAAATTCACAGCATTTGACAAAACAGTCAACATTTTACACCTGTTGTTTTTTTCAGCAGATCTCCAGCACATTTTACACTTCTAAAGGCAATCTGTAATGTCTACTTAAATGGATAATAACTTGATTTTAGCATCTTACAAGAAAGAGCCTTAATTCTCGGTGTTCTAACAAAATTATCTTTATCATTCAGAGCAAAAAAGAGGAATTTAATTCCTAGGAAAAAAAATCTGAAGCTTTAAAGGTTCATATAGTCAGTTAATTACAATTTTGAGTCATATGGACTGGATGAGATTTTTCTACACATCTTTGTAAAACACGCATCAAATCATATCAGTACCTTTTTTAAAACTCTTCAATACCTTCCCCAGCACCCTCAAGACAAAGTCTGAATTTTTCTGCATGACAGGCACATGTGCACCTTCACATTTTGGTCTCTGAGTGTCTAGAATCATCTCACCTCTGTCCTCCTTCCCCTCCAACCTCTTTCCCTATCCACACACTGACTCACAGTTTTTTAACACTATGAACTCTCCCATATTTTCAATAGCTTGTAAAACATTTATTATTTCATAAATCGTTCTTTCCCTAGCTTTACTTTGTTCACCTTGTAAACACCTTCTAAAACTTTGTGAGAATGCCATCTTTCCCCTGAAGCATTTCCTGATCCTCAGCCAGAATGTGTTATTCCCTCCTCTGGAGTCCCAGAATTTTGTTCTGTCATAGTACTTAAGAAACAATGTTTTCATTATGAAACAGTTTGGCTCTGTGTCCCCACCGAAATCTCATCTTGAACTGTAATCCCCATGTGTTGAGGGAGGGGCCTGGTAGGAAGTGATTGGACCATGAAGGCAGTTTCCCCCATGCTATTCTCATGATAGTGAGTGAGTTCTCAGGGGATCTGATGGTGTTAAGTGGTGGTTTCCCCTGCACTTCTCTCTCACCTGCCATCATGTAAGAGGTGCCTGCATCCCCTTGCCTTCCACCATGATAATGTTTTCCTGAGGCCTCCCCAGCCACGCAGAACTATGAGTCAATTAAACCTCTTTTGTTTTATGAAATTACCCAGTCTCAGATAGCATTTTTATAGCAGTGTGAAAACGGATTAATGCAAATTACTTGTTTTTCTACTTACCTCTCCCTACTAGAAAGTGAGTTCCTTGAGGTCTGTGTCATCAGGACATAGCAAATGGAAGATAATAGAGATTTTTATTAACTGAGTGGATAAAGGAAGGCAAGGAGAAAAGATGGAATGTCTGATGCCATGATGGAATATATCTAATTATTTCTAACTGGAGATCGAAGCTGACCTATACTCCAAATTTTGATACAGAGTTAAGGAAGAAATTATGCTTGATAATTTTGTATTTTTTTCTTAAATAAGCATTAAAATGATGACTTTACATGTCTTGTAAAAGAGAAAGAGTATGTAAAGTTCCTCAACAGGAGAGAAAACATTATCATAGCTAACATGTAACATTAATGTGCCAGATATAATCATTTTATGTGCCAGATATAATCAGTATGACCTCATTTAATTGTCACAGAGGTAGATTATCACAAGTCCTATTTCCCAGGTAATAAATCAATGCACAGAAAAGCACCATAGCTAATAATTAGGAAGAAACTGGAACTAGAACCTAGATCTGTCTTGAGTCCAAGTTCTCAAAGTTATACTAGAAGCCCCAGATAAGCTAAAAAATAAAAAGCATAATCTATAGTTTATATATAATAGAAATGACTTCATGAATATTGCATTATAAAAGTGAAAAAATAAAAGTTTCCCAAACATGGGCCATCCAAGCCACATATTTCTTTGATAAATTGGAAAGACCTATAGGAGGTGGCAGGCAGCAAGATAGACTGCACTTATACCTTTGATTATAGTGTTATCTAAAACAAGTCTTTCAGTATTCTAAGTATTCCCATGAAAAAAAATGTGCATAGTATTTGCTACCTAACCAATCTCATAGAAATATTGTGTAAAATACTGAGTTCATTTTCATAAAACTTTTTAGATATTCAGATTAAATACTTACTTCGGATATATATAAACTATTATTAGCAATAACACTATTTTGTCTTTCAAAAAAAAAATCTGCTACTTTAATAGGGGATTAAATCCTACTGATTACTTCCCCACAATTCCATTCAGGTGAATATATCTTCTAAATGACTTGCACATAGACAAACCTTCTAAAATTCATCTCAAATTTATGCATCTGTGACATATATAAACAGACACAATAACTGCCATTAGATGACAGCCTTAAACGCTACTCAGAAATGCCCTGCACATAAATATCCTCCAGGTGGATAAATGGCTTTTGCAAAATTTCTTTTTTTAGCAGGAAAACTACAGAGCTTATTTTTCCTTGTTGTGCTTCTAGTGTGCAAGCGTGAAGGAAACTATAAACATGCTCTATCCCCGTGGTCTCAAAGAGTGCTCTCCATATTACCAGCATCAGCATGGCCTGGGAACCTGGTAGAAATTCAACTTCTTGGGCCTCTTCAAACCTTCTGAGTCAGAAACTAAGGAGTGAGACCTATCAATCTGTGTTTTAACAAGCTCTCCAGGTGGTTCTGACAGCCTCCACAGTTCAGGAACCATTGGCCTACCACCATTCTTGTTTCACTGGTGAGAAAATTGAAGCACTGAGTTAAATAATTATTCAAATTATTCAAGTCTAAACAAAATAATTTTGTGTAAGAAGCCAGTAGGTTCTCTCTTTCCTCATTTTCCCCTCGTTGATTACCATTGAAATCACATTTCTAGGGTCACAATACAGAAATGCCAGTGTTGGTTTTCTGAATCCAATGTTTTCAAGACTTAAGGTCTAGATATACAGATGGAAAACAATACCTTTGAGCACTTTATTCCACAGTTAAGACTAGCGGAGCTTTTCTGAGACTGGTGTAAGTGCATCCTTGAGTAGAGAGGCAGCAGGCTTGCTCAGTTGCTCACTTCGTGGAGCTTATCTTTTCAAGCGGATATTTTTAAGCGTGGAGAGAACAAGTGATGCATAACAACTCTGAGCAATTAGAAGACATGAGAGAGGGCTAAATGGCCAACTAAATGCAGCCAGGTGGAACAGCTGCCACCAGGGTACCAAGAGGACTGGCATACTCCTAATAGATTTTCAGAGGGAAGGCATGGAGAGTGCACGGAGTGAACACGCAGAAGCTGAGGTGAAGGGGAAGAAGCTGGGAATCATGCACAGGGCTGCTGTGCACCAGGACTCGTTCTTAGCCCCCAAAGACTCTGGGGTAAGTGGTGAGTTGAACTAGCAAGGAGAAACCCGCTCTTGCCACAGGCCTCTGGAACTACAGCAGGAGGAGACCGCTCGATCACCATGGACACTTGACTTGGCAGGGAGAGCTGCTTAGAGAAGTGATAGGGGCAGCAAGCCAGCTGATATGGAGCCCAGAGGGTTTGGTGTGGGGGAATCTATAGTGAAGCATAGCCAGGAACAGTCATCTCCCTGGGCTCGACTTGCACCCATAGGAGACTTTAGCCCTATGGGAACTGTCAGACATAAATTCCGCAGTCTTGCCCATCAGACCTGGCTGGTCTGACTTGAGCACCCCTTGGTCTGATGGCCTTTTCTAGGGCCTCAGCCTGGCCATGCCTGCCTGTAGGACCGCCTCAGGTGCCCTGGGGACCTGCATCATAGCTACTGTGCTGGCAGACCATGCCTAACTGGTGAAGAGCTCCAGTGGGGGCAGCCACCACATCCACACACCAGCCTGCCTGCTCCCTCTCCACACTGCAACTTCCTCCAGCCCACAGCAACATCCCCACATCCCTCTGCCAGAATGCATGTACACCAGCAGCTTTTGCCTTCCTTGCCCCTCCAGTAGGCAAGTGTGAGTGCACTTTGCCATGCCTGCACAGTAGCAGGAGTGCAATCTGTCCCCTTCTCTGTGCCAACTGCCATTGCAGTTGAAGCCTTGGGTACAGAGCCTGTCAGTCTTGCCCCCAGCAGCAGCTGTCCTTGCACAAACACTACCAGGGGAGTAAAATTAGGCACAGAGAATAGTGGACCCTCCCCTACTCTGAGCAATCACCCCACCTGCGGGACACAGAAAGCGCACACAGACCTGAACCCGCCAGCTCCCCAACTCTGTACCAACACCACCAACAGCAAGACTGGGTGCACAGTTGCCAGCAGGGGCCCTGAACCCACCCCACTTCCCTGCCACGCCATGTTCCATTTGGTAAACACCAGCACAAATGCAGACACCCCACCACCAACTAGCATTTTGCCCTAGCCAACGAGCATGCACCCCATTGTGTTGCTGCTGCCACTGCCACTGCTATTGGCACATTTAAACCAGGACAGACCTGCCATCACTGCATTACGAAATGCTTTGGCTGACACTACCCATCAGAGTATAGTGACCAACAGTCTGGGAGTACCTTGGCACCAACAGTACAGTGTATTTCTAACCTCAGGGAGCCAGAGAACAAAGTCAGAGCCTGTTACAAGTCCTCCATAGTTAGAGCACTCAGTCCAGGAGTTGTGAGCTGAACATTGACACTCTAAAATCTTCTGGAAATGAAGCCAGTTGGCAGAATCCACCTTATACCACAATCAAACCCTCAATGTCACCAAATAGGATAAAAGAAAAAAAAAATCAAAAGGTTAGCAACAAAGATTGAAGAAACATTAGCCCACAAAGATTAAAAAAAAAAAAAATCCAAGAACTCTGACAACTCAAAAAGCCAGAGCGCCTTCTTTCCTCCGAGCTCCACCTCTCCAGCAAGCATTCTAAACCAAGTTGAGACGGCCAAAATGACAGAAATAGAATTCAGAATACAGACAGAAACAAAGATTATTGACATGCAGGAGCATGTTGAAATCCAATCCAAGGAAGCTAAGAAGCACAATAAAATGATGCAGGAACTGACAGACAAAATAGCCAGTATAGAAAAAGAACATAATTGACCTGATAGAATTGGAAAATACACTGTAAGAATCTCATAATGCAATCATTCATAGCAGAATAGACCAAGCAGAGAAAATAATCTCAGAGCTGAAAAACTGGCTTTCTGAAATAAGATAGATAAGAACGAAGAAAAATAATGAAAAAGGAATAAACAAAACCTCGAGAAATATAGGATTATGTAAAAAGACCAAATCTACAACCCATTGGTGTCCCTGAAAGAGATGAAGAGAGTGTTAGCAACTTGGAAAACGTATTTCAGGATATCATCAATGAGAACTTCCCCAACCTAGCTAGAGAGGTCAACATCCAAATTCAGGACACACAGAGAACCACAGTAAGACAATTCACAAGAAGGTCATCCCCAAGACACATAATCATCAGATTCTCCAAGGTTGAAATAAAAGAAAAAATCTTAAAGGCAGCTAGACAGAAAGGTCAGATCACCTACAAAGGGGAGCCAATCAGGCTAACAGCAGCCTTCTCAGCAGAAACCCTACATGGTAGAAGATATTGGGGACCAATATTCAACATTCTTAAAGAAAATAAATTCCAACCCAGCATTTCATATCTTGCCAAACTAAGCTTCATAAGCAAGGGAGAAATAAGATCCTTTTTAGGCAAGCAAATGCTGAGGGAATTCATTACCACCAGACTTGCCTTACAAGAGTTCCTGAAGGAAGTACTAAAAATGGAAAAGAAAGACCATTACCAGCCACCACAAAAACACACTTAAGTATATAAGCCAGTGACACTATAAAGCAACCACACAAACAACTCTGCATAATAACCAGCTAACATCATGATGACAGGATCAAATCCACACATGTCAACACTAACCTTGAATGTAAATAAGCTAAATGTCCCAATTAATAGGCACAGAGTGGCAAGCTAGATAGAGAACCAAGACCCATTCACATGCAGTGACATGAATAGGCCCAAAATAAAGGCATGAAAAAAAAATCTCCCAAGCAAAAGAAAAAATAGAAAAAAAAACAGGGATTGCAATTCTAGTTTCAGACAAAACAGACTTTAAACCAACAAAGATCAAAAAAGACAAGGAAGGGCATTACATAATGGTAAAGGGTTCAATTCAACAAGACCTACCTATTCTAAATATAGATGCACCCAACACAGGAGCACCCAGATTGATAAAGTTCTTAGAGACCTCCAAAGACACTTATACTCCCACAACAATGACAGTGAGAGACTTTAATACCACACTGAAAATACTAGACAGATCATTGAGACAAAAAATTAACAAAGATATTCAGGACCTGAACTCAGCAGTGGATCAAATGGACCTAATAGACATCTACAGAACTCTCCACCTAAAAATCTCCACCCAAAAGCAAAGGAATATACATTCTTCTCATCACCATATGGCACACATGCTAAAATCAATCACATAATCTGACAAAAACATTCTTGAGCAAATGCAGAAGAACTGAAAAAATAACCACTCTATCAGACCACAGTGCAATAAAATTAGAGTTCAAGATGAAGAAAATCACTCAAAATCATACAATTACATGGAAATTGAATAACCTGCTTCTGAATGACTTTTGGGTAAGAAGTGAAATTAAGGCAGAAATCAATAAGTTCTTTGACAATTATGAGAACAAAGATAAAACATACAAGGATCTCTGGAACATGGCTAAGACAGTGTTAGGGAAATTTATAGCACTAACTGCCCACATAAAAAGCTACAAAGATCTCAATTTAACAACCTAACATCACAACTAAAAGAACTAGAGAAACAAGATAAAACCAATCCCAAAGCTAGAAGAAGACATGAAAAAAACAAAATCAGAGCTGAACTGAAGGAGACTGAAACATGAAAAATCACTCAAAAAATCAGAGTCCAGCAGTTGGTTTTTTGAAAAATATTAATAAAATAGATAGGCTGCTAGCTAGACTAATAAAGAAGAAAAGAAAGAAGAAGCAAATAAACACTAATGAGATATTACCATTTACCCCACAGAAATACAAATAACCAGAGAATATTATGAACACCTCTATGAACATAAACTAGAAAATCTAAAGAAATGAATAAATTCCTGGACACATACACCCTCCCAAGACTGAACCATGAGGAAATTGAATCCCTGAAGAGACCAATAACAGGCTCCAAAATTGAATCAGTAATAAATAACCTACCAACCAGAAAAGCCCACGACCAGATGGATTCACAGCCAAATTCTACCAGATAAGCAAAGAGCTTGTACCATTCCTGCAGAAACTATTCCAAAAAATTGAGGAGGAGGGACTCCTCCATACCTCATTCTATGAGGCCAGCATCATCATGATTCCAAAGCCTACAGAGACACAACCAAAAGAGAAAACTTCAGGCCAACATCTGAACATCAATGCAAAAATTCTCAACAGAATACTGGCAAACCTATTTCCACAGCACATCAAAAAGCTTATCCACTACAGTAAAGCAGGCTTTACCCCTAGAATGCAAGGTTGGTTCAACATATAAAAATCAATCAATGTGATTCGTCACATAAACAGACCCAAAGACAAAAATCACATGATTATCTCAATAGATGCAGAAAGAGCTTTCAATAAAATTCAACACATCTTCATGTTAAAAACTCTCAATAAACTATTGAAGGAACATACCTTAAAGTAATAAAAGCTATCTATGACAAACCCACAGCCAACATCATCTAAATGGACAAAAGCTAGAAGCATTCCCCTTGAAAACTGGCACAAGACAAGAATGTCCTCTCTCACCACTCCTATTCAACATAGTATTGGAAGTTCTGGCCAGGGCAGTCAGGCAAGAGAAAGAAATAAAGCCGCCCCAAATAGGAAGAGAGGAAGTCAAACTATTTCTGTTTGCAGATTACATGATCCTATAATCTAGAAAATCCCACAGTCTTGGCCGAAAATCTCCTTCAGCTGATAACTTCGGCAAAGTCTCAGGGTACAAACTCCATGTACAAAAATCACTAGCATTCCTATAGACCAACAACAGCCAAGCTGATAGCGAAATCAGAAATGCAATCCCATTCACAATTGCCACAAAAAGAATAAAATACCTAGGAATACAGCTAACCAGGGAGGTGAAAGATCTCTAAAAGGAAAATTACAAACCACTGTTCAAAGAAATCAGAGATGACACAAACAAATGGAAAAACATTCCATGCTCATGCATAAGAAAGAAGGATCAATATCATTAAAATGGCCAACCGTCCAAAGCAATTTATAGATTCAATGCTATTCCTATTAAACTACCATGACATTTTTCACAGAACTGGAAAAATATATTTTAAAATTCATATGAAACCAAAGAGAGCCTGAATAGTCAAGGCAATGCTAAGCAAAAAGAACAAAGCTGGCAGCATCACGCTATTCGACTTTAAACTATACTACAGGGCCACAGTAACCAAAATAACATACTACTGGTATAAAAGCATACACACAGACCAATGGAACAGAATAGAGAGCCCAGAAATAAGGCTGCATGCCTACAACTATCAGATATTTGACACAGCTGACAAAAACAAGCAATGAGGAAAGAATGCCCTATTCAATAAATGGTGCTGGGACAACTGGCCAGCCATATGCAGAAAACTAAAACTGGACCCCTTCCTTACACCATACACAAAATTTAACTCAAGATGGATTAAAGACTTAAATGTGAAACACAAAACTATAATAAACCTGAAAGGCAGCCTAGTCAATATCATTCTGGACATAGGAATGGGAAAAGACTTCATGACAAAGATACCAAAAGCAATTGCAACAAAAACAAAAAATGACAAATGGGATCTAATCAAACTAAAGAGCTCTGCACACACACACACACACACACAAAATTATCAACAGAGTAAAGAGACAACCTACAGAATGGGAGAAAATTTTTGCAAACTATGCATCCACCAAAGGTCTAATATCCAGCATCTATAAGGAACTTAAACAAATTTACTAGAAAAACACAACCCCATTAAAAATGTGGGCAAGGGACATGAACAGGCACTTCTCAAAAGGAGACATACATGCAGCCAGCAAACATATGAAAAAAACTCCACATCACTGATCATTAGAGAAATGCAAATCAAAACCATAATGAGATGCCATCTCACACCAGTCAGAATGGCTATCATTAAAAAGTCAAAAAGTAAAAGATGCTGGTGAAGTTGTGAAGAAAATAGAACACTTATACACTGCTAGAGGGAGTGTAAATTAGTTCAACTATTGGGGAAAACAGTGTGGTGATTCCTCAAAGACCTTTAAACAGAAATACCATTCAACCCAGCAATCCCATTACTGGTTATATACCCAAAAGAAAATAAATCATTCTACCATAAAGACACATGCACCCATATATTCATTGTGGCACTATTCACAATAGAAAAGACATGGAATGAACCTAAATGCCTATCAATGGTGGGTTAGATAAATAAAATATGGTACATATACACCATGGAATACTATGCAGCCATAAAAAAGAACAAGATGATATCCTTTACAAGAACATGGATAGAGCTGGAGGTCATTATCCTTAGCAAACTAATGCAGGAACAGAAAACCAAATACTGTATGTTCTTACTTATAAGTGGGAGCTAAATGATGAGAACACATGGACACATAGAAGAGAACAACACATACCAGTGCTTGTCAGAGAACAGATGGTGAGAGGAGGGAGAGGATCAGTAAAAATAACAGGTACTAGGCTTAATGCCTGTATGATAAAATAATCTCTACAACAAATTCCTGTGACACAAGTTTACCGATATAACAAACCTGTACATGTAACCCTGAGCTTAAAAGTTTATAAAAGTACGTGAAATTAAATGTTGTTGTATTATTACATTTTTTAAAAAAGGACTAGAGATCTGGTTTACTAAGAATTCACAATTCGAATAGTTGCCGCAGACATCATCTATTACTTATTCATTCAAAATAAGCCTATTATAACTTCCCTCTAGAATCAAGTAGTAAGAACAATATTTTTTCTTTCTTTCTTAAAACAGTTCTTAAATTTGGACATTTCTACTTGACACGACCCTCCAGAAGACCCATATACAATGGATACACAAAAGTCAGAACCTTAGCATATGTGGGGATTTCAATGTGTTGGAGCAATTTGGAACATTCGGATCTTTGGGTGGTCTGGATTGAGCCTTGCCCCATCTTGATTCCCAATTCTAGCATAGTCATGACCCTGTTGCTCTCTCTGGGTTCTTTTCTAATTTAAAATCATTTCCTTTTGCTTTTTCTTTTTTTTTGGAGTGAAGGAGAAAATGTTTCTCATTGAATATCAGCATGCTAAGAGTTTTTCCAATGTCCATTAAGAGTTCCCACAGAGACTAAGGAATACATCTCCAAGGCAGATCTGGAAGGAAGCAGAACTTCTATGTATATAATAATTTTACTTAAGAACAAAGAGAGTGTATCCTTTCACTTATGATTAGTAATTATAGCTCAAGTCAAAAGTATGCATGAAAAGGGCTCGCATGGTAAGAATTTCCACATGTCTGTATCTCTTTTTATATTGCCATCTTCTTCTCTAGGCTCCTGAAATTCCTGCTTCTGTGTCCAGGTATCATCTTCATTCTCATTTTCTATGTTTGGTAAGCATCTGCATTTCAAAGACAGTACCTCTTATTTTTGAAAAAGATGTCATGTACTATTATAATAAGTGTGATAGGCTTAGTGTTCTGAGAAGATATCAATGCTTCCTGAGGACTGATCTTTGTCTTCTAATTTCAACCACCTGGTGTATCAATATATTAACTAAATTATTGCTAAGTCTCCTAAGGCTAATAAACATTTCTCATCCCCAGGATTTATTTGTTTACAGTATCTTAAATTACTGGAGATCATAAAGGATAACCCTTCATCTCCCTTATTGCCGTGACCTTTCAGAATGAAGAGAGCTATTAAAAAAAAAAAACTGCTGCAGCATTTCAAATCCTTTATGACAGTGTCTGCCTCCCGGTTTTTTCAACAGCTTGGTGCTTTCTTAATTACTTCTTTTTTCTTTATTTCCTCAAAACTACTCATTTTCAGATGTGCAAGGGTATATACTCTTTCTGTCTCTCTAGATCAACATACCTGCTTCTAGAAGTTAAATAAAATCTAATAATAAGTTGAAAGAAATAATTTAGAAAAGGGCTGCCTGTTGCTAGACTCTCCCCCTACATTCTACCTTCATATACCTCAGAAAGTCAAGTGCAGTGCTTGTCCTCCCTAGGCTGATGGCCAGATACAGGCACATTTAATGGAAACAGCACATGATCATTTTGTTCCTAGAACAGTGACGGATTACCACGCTTTTTACACAATTTTAAAAATAATGGCAGCCTATATAATAATCATGCTCAGTGAATCACTCAAATGATGTGGGTTGTCATTTCTTACCTCAAATGTTAAAAGTTATTGATATCATGGAAAGACAAGCCACCAAGAGGAAAAACCTCAGACCAATGGGACACTAAGATAACATTTAAAACAACACCATCCCCTAAATATATGTGGGCTTTTGCATTTTGCTTGTTTGCTTATTGAGATTATCACCTGATTGATAAATTTCCTGTTTTAGACTTCCCTAAAGTTTTCCATTATATTTCCAGTGTCTCCTATTTCTGCCAGATGGCTCTGCAGTCTTTTCCGTATGCTTCCACATTAGGAGCAAACTCAAGACATGCTTTAGGAGGCCATGTCACTCACAAACACAGTAAATTATTCAAATTTCCAAAATGAGATATTCATGATTCTAGAGACTCTCACCATGGATACAATTCTTTTTCCACATTTATAAATATTTTTGAGGCTTATATGTCATGTACTGGACTAAACATGGGGAAACAGAGATGAATTAATCATGGAATCTATTCCATCAGCTACATTTTAAAGAAAGAGGCTCATTTAAGATATTTCCATGCCAATCAGCTTGAGATATTTGTTTTGTTTTATTACCTAGTAATAAATATCTTTCTAAAGGAACTATATTTCTAGAAATATAAGAACTGCCCATTATCTGAAATAAATGACCCCTCAAAATTTTTCATTTCCAAAATAATCCCCAAAAGTTAATCATCTGCACTTCTATTAAAGGAATAAATAGCTAGTATGTTTTCTTAAAAGAAGACCTATGGGTAAGAGAAATAGTTCTTTGCAGGAAAGTACCAATCTTTGCTATCCCAAATCTCCTGTACTTTCCTGGGCCTTCTTGGCAACCCCACTGTGTTCACTAAAGTGAAGGCTCATCAGGAAAACTCTAAAAGGCCTCTCCAGCTCTGACTCTTCACAGAAATTTTCACCTTTCCCATCTCAAGTCAGAGTACTGCAGACCAGTTTGAAGCTGCCTGCTTCGGTTAGAAGGTACCATCTGTGCTAATCAGGCAATAACTTTTAATGTGCAAATTAGTCACACTCTCAAAGAATTTACGTGGAATTTGAAGACACAATTCCTTAAGTGAAAGAATTGATGTAGGCAGAAATTTAAGCCTTCTGTCATATCAGCAAATGAGATATTTGGGGATGAAGGATGGTCTGTGTACAGATTAGATCAGCCTTCAGGGGCCTGAGGATAAGTCTTTCCCCTCTTCCTTCACCTCTCCAATGCCAAGGTCCTTAAACATCATCTCAAGTCCAGTCTCCTCCATGGGCCTTCCCCAACCACTTTAGCCCTATAATTATATAGCATGTTTTGAACCCCGCACTCTAAGCTACATAGAGGCTGCATTTCATGTCATTCGTTCTTTCACTCATTCAACAGATACTTATTGAGCCCCAACTATGTGCTAGGTGCTGTAATAGGTTCTGGAGATATAGGAATAGGCACTGTAATAGATGGTGGAGATTTGATGTGTTAATATACGATTTTGTCAGCTTTCAGTCAATTAAAACCAATGATCATTAAATTTATACAAAATTAGAGAATAAGGTTCTGTAATTCCAAGATTTGATAATCGTACTTCATCTAAAAAATTATGTTATAATGCCACAGTAGAATTAAATAGCTTTGCTAAAGTTTTTACTCACAAATTAAAACATTGTGTAAGTAGTTGAAAATTGGCCCAAGCCACTTCTAACTTAAATGATGCAAGAAACAATGAATTCGAACTGCTTAGTCCAGTGCCTGACACATAGTAATCTATCATAGCTTTAGGTGCTGTTTTTATTGTTGAGCTGATTCTCAAATTCTGTAATGCTACAGAAATTCCTGATAATCTTTGTTAACTTGATAGATGATCATCACACTCCATACCACAGCAGAAATTTATTTCTAAAGGGGGATGATCAGGATTAACTTTAAAAGATTTAATTAATTTATTCATTTATTTGACAAACATTAAAACCATATGCCAGGCATTGGAAATATAAAAATGATTACACCACTGCCCTAGAGGATATCACAGCCCATTTGGGGAAACATACAAGGGAACTGATCATTTCAAAATTGTTAGGTTGTTACCCGGTTGTCTTCTGTGAGCACATAGAAGAGAGACTACCTATCGATTTTCAGTAAATAGATAATGTATGAGTTGATCTCAAAAGCATTTTTAGACAGATGGACTAATAAAGGGGTAGAAGAATAAAAAACAAGCTAAGAATGAACATGACTTATTCAGACAAATGCTAACAGTAAATCTGGAACTCAGGTTACATGTGACTAAGTTGCCAGTAAAAATATACAACCTCTGAAGGCTGGGCAGGTGGGAGAGTCTCAGATCATGAAGGGCCCACATGCTATGACCAGGGACTTATCCTATAAGAAGTAAAATATAATTGAAAAACCTGCTTCTAATATAAAGATATTTCATCCCTTTTCTTCTCAAAAATCAACCCAAAATAATAACAAGAAACAAAAATATGACTCTGTCTTCAATAAAATTAGAAACATTTGTAGTGCTGAACTACAGTATATAAAGACAACTCAGAGAGGATTGGCAAATATATGTGCACAGCAGAGGATGGTCAAATATAAGTGCTGGCAGAGGAGACTATTGATAACCGGAAGCCTGGTTCACTCTGAGGAGCTCAAGAGATGCCAAGGAATTGAGGAAACCAGGTGCTGCAAAAGACAGAAGGGAAGGAGCAGAGCTGAGGACAGATTGTTTAAAAACTGGTCCAAATTCCCACGAGGTTTGACCACTAGCCGTCAACCACAGGAAAAAGGAGATACATAGAATTTGAACTGTTGACTCTGGGATACCACACATACAGATACAGCAAAAATGCAGCAAAAGCATCATGTGATAATAAACAATATGAATAGTGGGCCATTCCAGCTCCCTTTTGCTTCCCAGCTACAGAACAAACTTATACCCACTCAAACGCTCAGAAGGACATGACTGGGACAGATGGTTGGAGGGTGCTTTTCTGAATAAACTTAGCCTCCTTGGAGAAAATGGTTGCAGCTCTTCTTATGGAAGTCTCCAGTGAAAAACCCACATACCCTACCAGCCTAGAGCAAAGCCAACCTTTCAAAAAGCCTTGCCCAAATACTCAGAGCCTAAAATCATTTATTCAGCATTTATTCTTAAATAGGTATAGACACCAATGATAACCAGACATTTTAGGAAAGCCTGTAACATAAAATATAAGGACAAATATACAAAGTAACTTGAAGGCCAGGACTGGTAGCTCACGCCTGTAATCCCAGCACTTTGGGAGGCTGAGGCAGGCAGACTGTTTGAGCCCAGGAGTTTGAGACCAGGCTGGACAAAATGGCAAAACCCTGTCTCTACAAAAAATACAAAAATTAGCCAGGGGTGGTGGCACGCACCTGTAGGCCCTGCTACTTGGGAGGCTAAGGTGGGAGGATCACTTGAGCCCAGGAAGTCAAGGCTGCAGTGAGCCGTGATTGTACCACTGCACTCTAGCCTGGGTGATAGAGGGAGACCCTATCTCAAAGAAAAAAGAAAAGTAACTTGAAAGAAAATAAAGGTAAAGTAAGAATGAGAAGAAATAATAAACATGCTACAATTAATACCTCAGAAAATTAACAGAAGGTCAGATATTACATCCAAAAAAATGAAACCAGGATATTGTGAAAGACAGGGAAAAAGGCTCTTAGAAAAATTAAAAATATGGAAGCAAAAATTACAATGATGGACAAAAATTGGAATATCTGTTCTAATATCCAGAATATCAGCTAGAAGGAGTGAAAGAAATATTTTAGAAACTAGAAATGGAAAAATAGAAGATTAGAGAATCCAGGAGTTCTAACTCACAACAAATAGGCATTTCAGAAAAAGAAAAGAGAGAGGAAGAAATAGTGACTATAGTTTTCCATAATTGAAAGGCACCAGACTCCAGATTATGAAGTTATGTGAGCAAATAAAGATTGTTGTTTAAAGCCAATACATTTTCAGGAGATTTGTTATGTCCCAGTAGATACACCTGGTACACCTGGCCTAGGTCATGGTCTATACTCCAGCTGCCAGCGGTGGTAAGTGGCAGCCTTCCATCAAGAGTCATGTAGTATATAATTTTCCAGCTATAAGAAAAGGGTTTGCAGCCAGGCATGGGGCTCATGCCTGTAATCCTAGCACTTTGGGAGGCTGAGGTGGGCGGATCACTTGACGTCAGAAGTTGGAGACCAGCCTGGCCAACATAGTGAAACCCTGTCTCTACTAAAAATACAAAAAATAGCCTGGCATGGTGGCATATGCCTGTAGTCCCAGCTACTCAGGAGGCTGAGGCAAGAGAATCGCTTGAACCTGGGAGGTGCAGGTTGCAGCGAGCTGAGATCAGGCCATTGCACTCCAGCCTGAAAGACAGAGGGAGACTCTGTCTTAAAAAAAAAAAAAAAAAGCCAATAAAAACAAGAAAGAAACAAACAAAAAACAAGAAAGAAAAGGCTTTGCTTAAAAATCTGTGAGTCAGTAACTCGGGCTGGCATCACACATGCAGATGCAATCATCTGGCTACTTGACTAGGGCTGGACAGTATATGATAGCCCATTCACATGTCTGGCATTAGCTCCGGCTTACAACTAGGCATGTGTGAGCAGGCCAGCTCTAGCTTCTTTACATATGGCAGAAAAATTTCTAACAGCAAAAAGGGATAAGCGTGAATGCACAATAACTTGTCAAGCTTCTGCTTGTAGTATCCCACTGGCCAAAGCAAGTCTCATGGACGAGCTAAGAGTCAAAGTGGGAAGGACTACACAAACATAAAATGAGAGAAGGAGTGATTCATGAGGACATTAGTGTAACAATCTATATTAAACCAACCAGATAGGGCTACCCAGAACTTTGGATCCAGACTGAGCAACTTAAAAGAGGAAGGACAGTGGAGAATATTTTTCATGTTGGGTTGGCTTTCATAAACACCTTAATCTTAGCATTTATAATTCTTTTCAATCACATATTTATGTATGCATTTATTTTTAACGTCTGTTTTCTGCTCTAGATTGTAAACTACATGAAGACAAAGACCATGCTTCTTTTTAACCTACCTCTTTTAGCCTAGGAAGAGGCAAAGCGCATACCACTTACTATTAAACAAAGGAATGAAGAGAGCAACAAATGTGCCCTCGGAAACAGGCAAGAGTCTAGGGTTCTGATAGCACCAAAGACAGGGAGAGACCAGAGGGACAAGCTATGGGTTGATGTGAGGAGTAAATCAGGTAATTCCTGTATCTCACACACACAGAGGTTCAGTAAAAGTTTATTACACATAAATACAACAAAATAAAATTGTGAGCCCTGATCTTAGATAGCACTTTGCCGTCTGCCCTGTTTGGAAGCCTCTGTAACTACATGAATGTCCTTGCACCCACAGGTGTTTGATTATAAGAGCGGTTCTCAAAAATTCTTGGTCCAGGACCTCTTTACACTTTTAAAAATTGAGAATTCTAAAAGCTTTTGCTTGTGTGTATTATATCTGTCATTATTTCTCATATTCTATATTTCAACAGAGAACTTTTAAGTACTTAATTCTTTTTTAAAATAACAATGACAAATTCATGCAATGCAGATAGCATATTTTTATTTTTAAAAAACTTCATATTTTCCAAAACAAAAAAAATTACTAAGAATGGCATTAAGATTTTCCAAATCTCTTTAATATATGGCTTAATAAGAAAGGAACTAGATTCTCCATCTCCTACTGCACTTACTTCATTAAAATATTATGTATCATGCAGCCTCTGGAAATTTTCATTGAACAGTTGTAAGCGAGAGAAAGTAAAAAAAAAAAACCAAAAAAGGCAAATAACACCATAGAATTATTATGAAAATACTTTTGACTCTGTGAATCCTCTAAAAGGGTCTCAGACATTTGTTAGACATTTGTCAAGCGAAAGTGATAAAACATTTTTCCCTAAAGTTGGTAACTTCTTTAAGGTAATGCATCCCCAGAGTATTTTCTATTTAGAATTCAAGGAAACAAATTGAACTATTAGGATTTCTTAGTACAAAACAAAATATCACTCTGAAAGGTCTGTTAATAAGTCCATTACTTGGCAAAGTAAAACTGGACTTTCTTAATGGATTCCCCATATAGAATATGAGCTGTTTTTCTATTCTTTGAGCAACTCTATTAGCTCAGTGATTGTTTACATTCTCTCCCTTCAGCTCCTCTAAAAACTGAAAACAGCTCTACAGACAGCTCTCTTTCCTTTAAATACAATAACAATTGCATATTAATTATAAAAGAATAACTAAAATGTCTTCAGTGATTCATATGTTCCAGAAATTGTACAGTGTGCTTTATTGCATCATTTCATTTAATCCTCAAAACAAATATTTGAGGTAGGTATTATTCTTCTTATATATAGATAAGAAAACTAAAACCTAGAGGGATTAAGTAACATGCCCAAGGTCACACACCCAGTAAAAAAACAACAACAACAACAGAAAAACACTCAAAGCTTTTTACTACTGTTCCACTCAGCTTCCCTTCTGATGAGTATGGTAATAGTAATATTTTCTACTATTTTCCATTCTAACTGCACAAGTTTTCAATTTAGCTTTAAAAGCCTTTTGCGTTCTAGTCTGAGAAAGTAGCCTTGTTTTCAGAATCTTACCAATGTAAAAGTGTGTACCCAATGGAAACAGATATTTGGACCACAATACATCCCTGCCCTGCTCTGATTCCTTCCAAACGATCCCTTCTAGATCATGCCTGAAGACACACCATCTCCATTTTCTGTCATTTCTTTGATCATCCTTGTCTCTCCTGTTTGAATTGTTCAACATCACTGCATAAAGATTGAAAACCAGACTGACAGTGATGGTGACGAATCTTCCAATAGCCTGATGGCCAAATTACCAAAGATCTGGGACAATCCTGTAGCATATATGTCACACCTTTCATCATCTTTTCAAAAATCCTGTCAGCAACAACTTTCTGCAGACCCCTGTGACTTAGAAAATCACCATTCTATAAACTACAGAAATGAATACCAGATGTGTGCTAGCTGCCCTGGGAAATTCAGAAGTGTCAGTTTAATATCCTGGGTGTTGCTGCCCAATCCTGAAAAGTCAATTCCAGTTATAAAACTTTCAGTAGACTGCCACAAATCCCTGAATGTTCTCTTCAGTTCAAGTAGAGCAAAGGTAATGGGCCACTGGAGAAAAGCAGGGAAAAATAATGGATCCCATCTCACTAATTGAGAGCTGGCTCTTGAAAAGGATAATGATACTAAAAACTATTTCCCCCTCCTCATAACCCGTAATTTTAGGGTAGCAAAAATACACATGGGCAATCACACACTGTAGTGTCATCACAGGCAAGTCAGATGGGAATTATAGAAATGTTATGGTATCTTCCTCCATTATAGCCTTATTTATGTCAGATAAAGCCTATAATCTTTACCTGTTAGTTTAAAACTTGGTTGCCAAGCATTTTAATCATCGATAATCTATACTACAAATAGGATTATCACTGATCAACTATTGAAAAAATTATAATGGCAACAAAATTTAAATAATGGAACAATGTGCTTTTTTTCCCTCCAGAAACTTTTCTTTAGCTTACTCCATGGAAATCATACATTGCTTTTTTCAGTTGACTCATTTGCTCTGTTAACATGATTCCATAGGAAACAAATTTATTTATTACCAAAAATAACAGCCATGTTATTTTAGCATGAATGCCCCTGCAGAACCTAGCTTTCCCAAAGAATTTTTTTAATGAGAACATCCAAAGTATTTCTCACTTGATTAATCAAACATGCAATCTCTGAACTATATTCATAGTTTTCCAGTATAATGCTGTGTTTCAAATAATGCCTACATTGAGTACTTAAAATTAGTGTATTCATTTATTTATTATACAATCATTTAATAAGCACCTACTCTGTAGCAGTGTGTCATGCTGTAGCTATGAAGACTGATTAGTCTTGCTTCTTTATCTCAAAGAGTTTGCAGTCATATCTGGTAGATTTACATTTGAAGAAATTAAATACAAAATAGAGTCATATGTTTTATACTAAAAGAATGTATGGATCATGTATGGGAACACAGAAAGAATCTATGCATAGAGAGATTAGGAGAAGTTTAAAAAAAATTAATGTTCTTTTAACCAATTGGTTTGTTTTTATACAAAGTAAAGGTTCTTCAACCATATCATTTGACTACTATCCACAAATACATGCAACAGCAATTAGAGCAGCATGCCCACTTGCAGAATCTATCCTATAAATAATAATAATGTTGTTCTGTTTATTGTTGTTTCTCCTTTTTTAATAAGCAGCCACTATGAGGTAGGCATTCATGTTTTATCTAACTTAATCCTCACAACGCTCTGTGAGGAGAATAGAAATTTCTCCATTTTACAGATGGGCAAACAACAATATAATAAAACCGATATGGTTTGGCTGTGGCCCCACCCAAATCTCATCTTGAATTGTAGCTCCCATAATTCCCATGTGTTGTGGGAGGGACCTAGTGGGAGATAATTGAACTACGGGGGCAGTTTCTCCCATACCATTCTCATGGTAATAAATAAGTCTCATGAGATCCGATGGTTTTATAAGGGGAAACCCCTTTTGCTTGGTTCTCATTCTTCCTGCAGCCATGTAAGATGTGCCTTTCACCTTCCTCCATGATTGTGAGGCCTCCCCAGCCACATGGAACTGTGAGTCCATTAAACCTCTTTTTCTTTATAAATTACCCAGTCTCAGGTACGTCTTTATCAGCAGCATGAAAACAGACTAATACAGTAAATTGGTATGGAGAGTGGGGTGCTGCTGTAAAGACACCTGAAAATTTGAAAGCCAACTTTGGAACTGGGTAACAGGCAGAAGTTGGAACAGTTTGGAGGAGTCAGAGGAAGACAGGAAAATGTAGGAAAGTTTGGAACTTCCTAGAGACTTGTGAATGGCTTTGACCAAAATGCTGATAGTGACATGGACAATGAAATCCAAGCACAGGTGATCTCAGATGGAGATGAGGAGCTTTTAGGGAACAGGAGTAAAGGTCATTCTTGCTATGCAAAGAGACTGGCAGCATTTTTGCCCCTGCCCTAGAGATTTGAGAAACTTTGAACTTGAGGGAGATGATTTAGGGTATCTGGTGGAAGAAATTTCTAACCAGTGAAGCATACAAGAGGTGACTTGGGTGTGTTAAAAGCATTCATTTTTAAAAGGGAAACAGAGCATAAAAGTTTGGACAATTTGTAGCCTGATGATGCAATAGAAAAGAAAAATTCATTTTCGGAGGAGAAATTGAAGCCAGCTGCAGAAATTTACATAAGTAACAAGGAGCCAAATGTAAATCACTAAGACAATGGGGAAAATGTCTTCAGGGTATGTCAGAGATCTTTAAGGCAGCTTGTCCCATTACAGGCCCAGAGGCCTAGGAGGAAAAAATGGTTTTGTGGGCTGGGCCCAGGGCCCCCTGCTGTGTGCAGCCTAGGGACTTAGCGCCCTGTATCCCAGCTGTGGTAGCCATGGCTAAAAGGTGCCAAGGTACAGCTCAGACTGTTGCTTCAGAGGGTGCTAGCCTCAAGCCTTGGCAGCTTCCACGTGGCTTTGAGCCTGCGAGTTCACAGATGTCAAGAATTGAGGATTGGGAACCTCTACCTAGATTTCAGATGATGTATGGAAATGCCTGGATGTCTAAGCAAAAGTTAGCTGCAGGGGCAGGGCCCTCATGGAGAACCTCTGCTAGGGCAGTGTGGAAAGGAAATGTGGGGTTGAAGCCCCCACACAGAGTCCTTACTGGGACATTGCCTAGTGGAGCTATGAGGAGAAGGCCACTATCCTCCAGACCCTAGAATGGAAGATCCGACAACATCTTGCACCTTGCAACTGGAAAAGCCACAGACACTCAATGCCAGCCCATGAATGCAAACCAGAGGGAGGCGGTACCTGGCAAAGCCACAGATGCAGAGCTGCCCAAGATCATGGGAACCCACCTCTTCCATCTGTGTGACCTGGATGTGAGACATGGAGTCAAAAGAAATCATTTTGGAACTTTAAGATTTGACTGCTCCACTGGATTTCGGACTGGCGTGGGGCCTGTGGCCCCTTTGTTTTGTCCAATTTCTCCCATTTGGAATGGCTGTATTCACCCAATCCCTATACCCTCATTGTATCTAGGAAGTAACTAACTTTTGATTTTACAGACTTATAGGCAGAAGGGACTTGCCTTGTCTCAGATGATACTTTGGACTATGGACTTTTGAGTTAATGCTAAAATGAGTTAAGACTTTTAGAGACTGTCAGGAAGGCATGATTGCTTTTGAAATGTGAAGACATGAGATTTGGGAGGGGTCAGGGTGGAATGATATGGTTTGCCTGTGTCCTCACCTAAATATTATCTTGTAGTTCCCATAATTCCCATGTGTTGTGGGAGGGACCCTGTGGAAGACAATTGAATCATGGGGTGGTTTCGCCCATACTGTTTTCATGTTAGCAAATAAGTCTCAGGAGATCTGATGATTTTATAAGGGGTTTATCCGTTCACTTGGTTCTCATTCTGTCTTGTCTGCTGCCATGTAAGACATCCCGTTCACCTTCTGCCATGATTGGGAGGCCTCCCCAGCCACATGGAACCGTGAGTCCATTAAACCTCTTTTTCTTTATAAGCTACCCAGTCTCAGGTATGTCTTTATCAGCAGCATGAAAGCAGACTAATACAGAAACTAAATAATTGCCAAAGATTGCTAGTAAGTGCTGTAACTGGGATGGAAACTGATTCCTGAGCTCAAGATTTTCTTGCTCAGCTAGACTGTCCAAGTAATCTGCCCAAGAAAGCTAGCAGAAATGTATTCTATATACATCCACAAACATGTATTTCAATGACTTCACTAGAAGCAGAGCTGCAATGTCTAAACATCACATTTGAGCATCTGAAAGATAATATTGTCTCAGTGAGAAGATTGACAGCATAGTCTGGAAGCTAATAGTTACAAGATTGAGAAATAAAGCAATTATGTGTGTTGCATTTGAAGCCTTACATAATTGATGGCAAAACTGCTTGTTTCCTGGTATATTCCAGCCATATTTACTATATGTACATTTTATTATGTTATAATTTGAAATGAATTTATCCCCCAGGCAGGAAAAAGAATAGAATAAGCAGTACTGCAATCACAATTACCGACTATAAATGGGAAATCCATTGATCAAGAAATCTATTACAATAGAAGAAGGAATGTTATAAGTTAGATACAGGTAATGTGTGTCCAGAGCAGCAGAAGGGCATGGAAGAGACTGGGTTCTGGAATCAAACTGCTCGTGCTAAATCCTGGCCTCTAGTACATAATTGCTGTGTAATTTGGGGCAACCTTAACTTCTCTGTGCTTAGTTTTATCTTTTATACAAGAGGAATGATAATAACAACAAAGGGTTGTTACGAGGATTAAATGAGTTAATACGTATTAAGGCTTAGAACAGTGCCTGACTAAAAGTAGTGTTCCATAAACATACGCTATTATACTAAAGTACTTTTATAAATACTGCAACATTATTATGTGGTCTAGCTATCCTGTTCAGAAAGTATATGTAATATCAATATAGCCCTTAAAATAGTTACGTACATTTGAATTAATTTTCAAGGAAGCACTGCCAATTCTATTTGGCATTCTATTTAAAGGGAGAAAAAGAACCTATTTTAGTCAGGATGGACCTTACAGATTACTGCCTTCCATAATAAAAAGTAATAAATGGCTACACTCTATCCACTCTCAATCTGGAAAGACTCTAAAACACTCTGCTTTGGGTGTGCTGGACTGGATCCAGTTTTTAGTGAATCATTTCTAATTCTCCCACGTCTTCAGATTCAGGATAAACATGAAAAGATTCTGCAATGTGATTGAAGCATACTTAGTTAAGAAAGGTTCTTATTTTAATATTAGAAATGGACAGGAACAAAGAGAAGAGGGAGCATGCAGTGTGGCAAGATTTCATTTTACCTCTCCTTTTATTTCTTCCTCCATTCAGATAAAAGCATGATTTCCAAGGCTTCTCTGCTTCTCTGTTCTTATTAATGTTCTTTCTGTCAATGTCCTGAAAGAGGTAATTAACCTCATGCTAATACAAAATATTCTCTAAAAGCATGCTTTGCTAGCCCTTTTATTGCTATTATGCCCTGGACAAGGACCATGCTCCCCCCTCCATTCCCCCTTCAATACCTATCAAGACTTTGCAAGTATTATTAGGTAACGACTTCTCATTAATATTTCCTTTGGCTACATGATGCTAAGTTTAATTTTGCCATGATGCCAATGCACAAAATCAAGACATCATTTTCCAGGTCCAAAGTTCCTTATGGTTTTAATAGATTTTATTTCTGTATTTTCTCAACATTCCTAGGCAACTCCCAGGATAACCTGTATGGTTGTTGTTTATTCCTACAAGTGTGGAGAATGGGATACTATAGGAAGGCCCAGTAGCAAGATTAAGCCCTGGAACAGTGTGACATTTTCTCTAAGCCCCTCACATGCCACCATAATGTCAATTATCAGTCACAGGAAGCATTTTAGGGCAATATGGTAAGAACAACAGTCAATTATCAGGAAAATGTGCCATATAGAAACTTGGTCACATTCTTGACCTCCAAATTTGGCTTCTACAATTGTTTTCTCTCCATTTCTACCAGCTGCTTTAATGATCTGTTAATATGTTAGTTATTGGATCCTTGATATTTGCAATCCTTCCAAATCTATAGATGAGATTCTGAATATTTTAATAATAAATTAGTTCTTTAGGGAGTAAAGTTCTTTACTTTAGTTATTTAGGGAGTAAAGAACAAGAATGGCATTTTATGAAAGAGAACATCAATTTCATTTTTGGCTTTACTAACTATGCACTGTGCATCCTTAGGTAAGTTATCAACTACTCCAAGCCTCAAATTTTTCATTTGCAAAATGTGAATAATAATATCTATCTCACAGGACTGATATGATAATAGAATGGACAATGTCCTTAGATAATTATTTATAAATGTTAAAGACCTCTCCAAAACGGAAGAATCCTGACAATTCCCTAATCTTTCTGTGGGAACATTTTAAAAGATATGAAGGATGAGCCAAACACAGTGACCTAAAGGCCTGGGATGCAATGACCCAGAATAAAATTGCATGAATGTACACTATGTGTTTCTTTTATTTCTCCCACTCTATTCCACTAAGGAGAAGAGGGACTGTCTGCAAAAATTACATTATCAAAGTCAAAAAGCATTATTCAAAACAGTGTTGGAGAAAAATATCTAATGACAAGAGTACATATATTATTGAATGACAAATCACTTTCATAAACCTTCATGTGTCATCATTTTTTTTCTCTCTTTTACATCTCTTCCCAACCTCCTAGCATTCACTTTTACTTTCCCAGGCTTTGAGTCTCTATGATCCCAGAAGGCCTACTGATCAATTAGAACATTGTATATGACTTTCATCCTTCCCTCCTCACTACCTCGTCTGATGTTACTGTGAGTTCTCAAATCCTTCTTTCTTCACCGCTATTTTTCTCATCCCATTCTCCATGACCTAGACCCACATCTTACCTAGACATGTGCACTACCCCAATTTCAAACCCATTAAGAACAAGCCCATCTCATTCCCACATTTCCCTCCTTCTGTACCCTTCAAAAGTATTCACATTATTATAGATGGGGGCAGTAAATAGCATGTTTTTCCAACATATTTATAACCTGTCCACTCTGTCACCTGCCACTCCAGTGACCTGAAAACCTGCTGGAAGCTTCCCCAACTGTGCTTACCCCAATCTCACCATTTCCCTCTAACAGAAAAGGGAATGCATTTTGTTCCTTTCTTTCTTTTTCTATATCCTTTGTGTTACCCAGATCTAATCTCTCAAACCCAGACCCCCACGTGGCTTCAAAATTTATCTTCTGTCTCCAGTCTCCCTTCTTCCACAAAGGCTAAAAGAATGTCACTCAAAATTAATTTGACCACAGAATTTCTCCTATACAAGAATCCATTTTTTTGCTCTTACCATAGCAAGTACTACTCTACTAGCTATCAGCTCCAGCACCACCTTGCATCATACTGTGGGGCTCTGAAAGGAATATTTTAATATTTCTACAGTTAATGCTTTCTGATCTGAGGAAATTTTACTAAAACTTACTTGGGGTAAAAGACAAAGTTAAATTATAACTAAATAGAAACCTTTTTGTGAAAAATCATGAATTAATTAAGATGGTAAATAGCAGAACTCTTCAGTTTTAGAAAATGGTTCAAGGAAAAAAGACTCAGGAAAATGCCTCTGACATGAAAATCAGTCAAATACAAGGTACCTGTTGTAGGCAGAATAATGCCCCCACCCAAATATGTCCATGTCTTTCCGAATCCCTGTGAGTATATATTACCTTTGTGAAATTAAATTATAAAATAAGACTCCAAGCTCTCTGGGATTTCTGTGATAATAGAGACCCTCTAAATTTAAAAACAGAGCCAGATGGCCATAGCATGGTGAGAGAGTGGTCACACACTCTGAGTTCTCAGGAAACGCAGCTTTTGACAAACATCCTACTTTATACTCCTAAACCAGAACAGTTCCTATAACCAGAGCCAAGATAAACTGTGACCAATAATCCCCACCAGTCATTTGAAAGAAATATATGACAGAGACTTCTGGCTTTGGGCTTGGAAATCACCCAATCAGAGCTTGACTATTTCAACCAATGAGAACAGAAGAAGCTGAATTCTTCATTTGCATAAACAAAGCTGATTGAGAACCTAGGTAAGAACTTTTCTTATTCAAGCCAGAACATCCCTTTGTTCTTCAGAGTGCACACCAGAGGCTGCAAGCTCCCAGTCTGCAGATTGTTTTCTATAAAAAAAATAAAGATTTTCTTTTTTCCCTATAGATCTCATGATCTCTTGTTAACACCTTACATGACAATGTTAGTAAGTTAAGAATTTTGAGCTGGGGAGATTACCCTGAATTATCTGAGTGGGCCCAATATAATGACAAAGTTCTTATAAGTGAAAAAGGGAGGCAGGAGAAGAGTCAGAGAAGGAAATGTGATGAGGGAAGTAGAGGTTAGAGTGATGTGATTTCTGGCTTTGAAGATGGATTGGGCCATGAGCCAAGGAAAAAAATGATCCTTTAAAATCTGGAAAAAAGAAAAAAACAGATTTTCCCCTAGAGCCTCAAAAGGAACACAGCCTTGCCAACACCAACACCTTGAGTTTTAGCCTATGAGATGCATTTTGGACTTCTAGGGACTTAGGCTAGGTTGACCTTCTCACTATTCTGAAGGTGACCAGCTCAGCTTTTCAGGTAGGCCATGACATTAACTGATATTTCCAATATGGCACCAAAGCTGGCAGGAGCACAGAATTATCACCAAGATCTGCAAACTAATCACTATAACCTCCAGAACTGTACAATAATAAATTTGTATTGTTTTAAAACCATTATTAACTATTGTTAAGAATTTTTTAATACTATGCTTGTGGTGATTTATTATAGCATAGTAATAGAAAACAAATACTGCAGCCATAACTAAGAGAGGCCAGAATTTTTCAGAAAGAATTGTGGGTATGACTATAGATAAATATTAATTTTATAATTCTAATTGTTTAAAAAAATGGACTCAGTTATTCAGAGTTGTAATATCAAAAGAGACTAGGGCAGACTGCGACTATTTGAAAACGGAAATGTCCCTTTGATTCAATAAGCAGGAAACAGATTGAGAAAGCTGCTTAGGTCAACAAGATGGCAGCATAGAAAGTCTCAAGCTCCACTTCCCTCCACAGAAAGTTCAACTAGCTATTATCCACAGCCCAGAACATCTTTTTAAAAACCTCAGCATTTGAAAACAAGCCTGAGTCACTAAAGTGGTCCACAGAACTGAATAAAATTCAAAATTAGAAAGATAAGAAAAATAGTCTCACTTTGACTTGACTGTGTCTCCTCTTCACCCAAGTTGGCACAATGCCCAATGGAGATTTCTGCTGTTGAAGCTTTCTATTAAAATTTTCAGTTTACTCATTTTATTCTTTATCTCTAGAATTTTGATTTACTTATCTATTATCTATATCTTTATCACACTTCTCATTTTATCTGTGTATTGTTTTCTACATTTTATATACTTTTTTATCTGTACATTCTTATAGTTCACTGAACTTTGTTTAGAGGATTATTCTGAATTCTTTGTCAGCCACTGCATAGAAAAACTAGGCCCGTAACTTTTATAAGGGAAAAAGAATTGGAGGCAGTCATCCGGCTTCCCTGGCATTTGGAGACATTTTCCAGAAAACCCACCCCAGTCTCACCTTACTGGGAACACTGAAGATATCGACAAGTCTAGACCATCCAAGATAAGGCAGAAACAACAAAAAAGGAAGCAGAGGTTATAGCAATCAGCAGGCAGATCTTGGTGATACTTCTGTGATACTTCTGTGTTCCTCCCAGCTTTGGTGCCATATCAGAGATATCAGTCAATGTCATGGTCCACATGCAAAGCTGAGCTGGTCACCTTCAGAACAGTGAGAAGTTCAACCTAGCTTAAGTACCTAGACAGCTAGCCTCTATGCACAGCCTCAGGGCTTACCTCAACAACCCAGCCTAGGCAGTGAGACTTCCACCTCTGTGAATTTCAGAAAAGCATAAGTGCTAGACCTCCTTGATCTGAAAAGTCAAACTCGGCCAAAAAGCCCACCCAATGACCCTACCTAAGCAGGGAGGCTCCTACCTCTCTGCATTTTCAATAAGTGTAGGGGCTAGAGCTGCTATATTTATTCAAATTTTTGGCTGCTTGACTCAGCCAAAAGTCCACCCCACAGCTCCACCCTGACAGGGAGGCAATCCTCCATTGCATATTTCTAAAGAGCATAGACTCTTGTCCTTTCCATCCCAAGTGGTGACTCCCACTAACCCCAGAACAAAGCCTGTAAGCCTCGTGCAACTGCAGATACCAAATAGCAGAATTTGGTTGCCAGGGAACAAATTCTGTGACCAGCCTGACCAGATACCATCACAGTATACAGTCAGTGACTTTGCCTGATAGCAGAGCCCAGCAAATGATCTCGCTGGAAATCAGAGCCTAGCCTGAGGCCCCACCCAACATCAGAGCAAAGGCAGCAGCCCAGACACCTAAAGAACTCACAATAATCTCCGCATGCCCAGGGTTATCGGCAGGTGGCCTTTCCAGAATCTCAGGTAAAACTATATAGTAAAGGTCTATCCCTGCAAAAGAACACATGTAAAGGCCAGAAGAGTAAACTATCTCTTCAAGTGCATAGACAACAGAAGGATACAGGATTACAAAGAATTAGAGAATCATAACACCTTCCAAAGAAATTAATAAAGCTCCAGTAATGGACTCTAAATAAGAAGATCTATGAAGTCATTGACAAAGAATTCAGAATAATCCTCTTAATGAAGTTCAGTAAACTACAAGAATATAAAAGAATATACAAGATAGAAAATTATAAAATTTAGAAAACAGTGATGTTAGACAAATAAATATAAACAATAAAAAAGAACTAAGAAGAAATCATAAAGATGAAGAGTACAATTACGACTGAACTAAAAAATGTAATAGCAAGCTTCAACAGCAGATTTAATTAAGCAGAAGAAAAGAATCAGTGAACTAGAAGACAGAACATTTGAAATTATCCAGTCAGAGGAACAAAAAGACAAAAGAATGAAAAGAATGAAGAAACCCTGCAAGAATTATTGGACATATCAAGAGACCAAACATTAGCATAATAGGAGTTGCTGAAGTAAAAGAAAGAGAAAAAGAGACCAGAAAGCATATTTAAAGAAATAATGGCTGAAGACTTTCCTAATCTGGGGATAGATGGCAACATTCAGGTACAGGAAGCTCAGAGGTCTTCAATCAAATTCAATCCAAAGAGGAGTTCACCAAAATATAATAATCAAACTATCACAAAGACAAAGATGAAAATTCTGAGAGCAGCAAAAGATAAACACATCACAAATAAAGAAGTGCCCATACAACTATCAGGATATTTCTCAGCAGAAACCCTGCAGATCAGGAAAGAGTGAGATGATAAATTTAAAGTGCTGATGGGCAAAAAAAAACTGCCAGAAAAACATACATTACTAGTCAAAGTTAGCTTTCAGAAATGTAAGAGAAATTAAAAATCTCCCAGACAGTTAAGGAAGTTCATCACCACTAGACCTGCCTTATAGGAATTGCTATGGTGTGTAAAACAATTTTATCCCTCATAGAAGAGGTAAAAGACAAAAATATTAATAAAAACTATAGCTAAAATAAATTGTCAAGGAATACACAATACAAAATAATGTAAATTCTGACATCAAAACATAAAATATGGGAAGAGGGGAATAAAAGTGTAGAGTCATTGTATGGAATCAAACTTAAGTCGTTATCAGCTTGAAATAGGTTGTGACACCTAAAAGTTGTTCTGTGTAAGCCTCATGGTAACCTTAAAGCAAAAACACTAAAACTTATTAAGTGGAAGCACAAAACAGAAAGAAAAAGATTCAAAGCATACCACTATGTAAAATCATCAAACCACCAAGGAAGACATCAAAAAAGAAAGAAACAACATATCTATAACACAACCAGAAAACAGTAACAAAACGGCAATGGTAAGTCTTCATCTGTAACAATTACCTTGAATGTAAATGAATTAAATTATTCAATTAAAAATATATTGACTGAATAAAAAACAAGAACTAGCTATATGCTGTCTGCAAGAGACTCTCTTCATTTTAAGGACAAACAGACTAACCTTGATGGGATGGGAAAACATGTTTTATGCAAATAGAAACTAAAAGAGAGCAGGAATAGCTATACTTATATAAGACAAAATAAACTTTAGTCCAAAACTGCAAAAAGAAGTACATTATATAATGAGAAAGTGGCCAATTTATCAAGAGGATATAACAATTAAAATGTAGATATACACCATGTAAGAGCACCTAAATATATAAAACACATATTTAAAAATCTGAAAGGAGAGATAGACTGTAATACAATGACAGTAGGAGACTTCAATATCCCATTTTTAACAATGGACATATAACTTACACAGAAAATTAATAAGTAAACATGGAATGAAAAACTTTAGACCAAGTGGACCTAACATACATATACAAAGCATTTTATCCAATGCCAATGGATTCTTCTCATATGCAAACAAAAATTCTCAGGCCAAATCACATATAAGAGCACAAAACAAGCCTTAGCAAATTTAATAAGATTGAAATCATATCAAGTATCTCTTCTGACCACAATAGTATGAAGCTAGAAATCAACAATAGGAATAATTTCAGATAATACACAAATATATGGAAATAAAACATGTTTATGAATGACAAAAGGGTCAATGAAGAAATTAAAAGGAAACTTTAAAAAATATCTTGACAAACAAAAATGGAAACACAATATACCAAAACTTACGGGATACAGCAAAAGCAGTTCTAAGAGAAAAGTTTATGGCAATAAATGCCTACATCAAAAAAGTAGAAAGATCTCAAATATACAAAATCTTACTCTTCAAGGAACTAGAAAAAGAAGAACAAATTAAGTTCAACGTTAGCAGAATGAAGAAAATACTAAAGATCCACCAGAGACAAGTGAAATATAGACTAGAAAAACAATATGAAAGATTAGAAAAATTAAAAGCTGTTTTTTGAAAAGATGAACCAAATTGACAAATCTTTAGCTAGACTTAAAATGAAAGAAGACTCAAATAAATGCAATCGGAAATAAAAGAGAAGGCATTACAACTAATAACAGAAATTCAAAGAATTATAGGACACTAATATGAAAAATTATACACCAACAGATTTAACAACCCAGAAATAAATGGATAAATTTCTAGATGCATATAACCTACTAAGACTGAATTACGAAGAAATAATATCATAGTAATTAACAGTAAGGAGAATGAATCAGTAATAAAAAGTCTCCCATCAAATGGAATCCCAGGGTCTGATTACTTCACTGCTGAATTCTACTAAACATTAAATAAGAATTAACACCAATCTTCAGCTCTTCAAAATACTCAAAAAGGGAATACTTCCAAACTCTTTCCACAAGGCCAGTATAACCCTAATACCAAAGCCAAACAAGGACATTACAAAAAAGAAAATTATAGGCCAGTATCCTTGATTAACATAAATTCAAAGATTCTCAACAAAATACTAGCAAAAAGAATTCAACAGCACATTAAAAGGATCATCCGCCATGATCAAGTGGAATTTACCCCTGGAAAGTAAGAGTGGATCAACATGTGCAAATCAATAAATGTGATACATCCTATTAATGGAATGAAAAATGAAAATACATGATCATCTCATTTGATGCAAAAAAATTTTGACAAAATTCAACATTCTTTCATAATAAAAACTCTTACCAAATTAGGTAAAAGAAATGTACCTCCATGTAACAAAGGCCATACATAAGAACCTCACAGTTAGCATTATACAAAATGGTGAAAAATTAAAAGCCTTTTCTCTATGATCTGAAATGAGACATAATATTAGAAATTTTTCCCAGAGCAATCAGGCAAGAAAAAGACATAAAAGGCAACCAAATAGCAAACAAAGAAGCAAAACTGCCAATGTTTACTAAAGATATGATCTTATATATAGAAAACCTTAAAGATGTCACCAAAAAAAAAATATTAGAACTAATAAACAAAGTTGCAGTATACAAAGCCAACATACAAAAATCAGTAGCATTTCTATACATCAACAAACTAACCAAAAAAGAAATCAAGAAAACAATTCTATTGTGATAGCTACAATAAATGAATAAATAAAATACATAAGAATAAGTTTAACCAAGGAGGTGAAAAATGTATACATGAAAACTATAAAAAGCCGATGAGAGAAAATGAAGAGGACCCAAAATAAATAGAAAGATAACCTGTGTTCATGAATTGGAAAAATATTATTAAAATGTCCACACTACCCAAAATGATCTACAAATTCAGTGAAAGCACTATCAAAATTCCAATGTTAATTTTCATAGAAATAGAAAAAACAGCCCTAAAATTCATACGGAACCACAAAAAATCTTGAATAGCCAAGGCAATAAGCAAAACAAAGCTGGAGGCATCACACTATCTGATTTCAAACCATACTAAAAAGCTTTAGTAATTAAAACAATGTGGTACTCGCAAAAATATAGGTACACATCGACTAATGTAACAGAATAGAAAGCCCAGAAACGGGCCTATGCATGTACAGTCAACTGATTTTCGACACAGGTACCAAAAATACACAATGAAAAAAGGATTGTCTGCAACAAATGGTGTTGGAAAACTGGGTGCCTATATGCAAAATAATGAAATTGCATCCTTATCATGGGTCCAATTTGGACCCATGGAATTGAACCCTAGTCATGGGTTCCTCGTGCCATATACAAAAGTCAACTGAAAATGAGTTAAAGACTTAAACATAAGACCAGCCACTATAAAACTACTAGAAGAAAACATAGGGAAAAAACTACACAACATTGGTCTAAGCAATGATTTTTTTTTATTTGACCCAAAAGCACAGGCAATGAAAACAAAAATAGACAAATGAAATTACATTAACCAAAAAGCTTCTGCAGATGAAAAGAAATAATAGTGTGAAGAAACAATCTATACATTGAGAGAAAATATTTGCCAGCAATACATCTGAAAAGAGGTTAATATCAAAAATATATAAGGAACTCAAACAACTCAATGGGAATAAAAAATGAACAAGAAAGTTCAATGGACTTTTTTTTCGAGATAACACATACAAATGACCAACAGATACATGAAAAAATGTTCAACATCACTAATCATTAGGCAAATGCAAATTAAAACCATAGTGAGGTATCATCTCACACCTGTCATAATGGCTACTATCAAAAAAAAACGATAAGTGCTGGCAAAGATGTGGAGAAAAAGGAACTCTTGTACACTATTGTGGAAATGTAAATTAGTACAGCTATTATGGTTTGGAGCTTCCTCAAAAACTAAAAATAGAACTACCATGTGATTCAGCAATCCCACTTTTAGGGTTTTTCCAAAAGATTTGACATCAGTTTGTCAAAGACATGTCTGCAATCCATTGTCACTGCAACACTACGCACAATGTCCAAGTCATTTAATATTTCTAAATGTCCACCAGCAGGTGAATGAATAAAGAAAATGTGGAATATAAACACAATAGATTATTTAACCTTTTTAAAAAAGGAAATTCTGTCACTTGTGACAACACAGATGAACCTAGAGAACATTATGCTAAATGAAATAAGGCACAGAAAGAGGGGTACTGCATGTTTTCACTTATATGTGCATCCTAAAAACATTGATCTTATAGAAGCAGATAACAGAATGATAGTTACAGAGGCTGGCGGTGGGGAGAATGATGATCAAAGTACAGTTAGACAGTACAATAAGTGTGTTTTCTTAGATCAAGTTTCCAATGCGGTACATATGGTTATTAATACTTTACTGTACATTTTTAAATTGCTAAGAGTAAATTTCAAATGGTCTCACCACAAAAAAGTGAGAAGTATTTAAGGGAAGGGATTTGTGGCTTCACTTGGTTTAATTATTTCACATTGTATTCATAAATCATAATATCACTCTTTACCCCATAAATACATATAGTTATAGATTGTCAACTTAGAATGAAATAAAAAATCAAAAAAGTAAACTGCTTAGTCTTCAGATAGAGTATATTCTCCAAATGTTTTCTTTAAATATTGCAGAGGAAGGTAAATGGAAATGGAAGAACTTCCCAGAGAGCGAAACCAAGAGTCCCAAGAGTCACAAAGACCCATAAAGGTTGGGGTCCAGTTGAGAAATATCTCCCACTTTCATGTTAGAGGCCCTCACAATACATCCTAATGTGATTTCAGAATTGTAGTAATCAATGTTCTTAGCTAGTGCCTCCCTTTCTTTTCTTTCTCAAATGTATTTTAATAGCTTTTCATGGTTATCCTGTCATTATTCTACTATTGCATATAGAGTAGAACATGGGGTTTAAAGGACTGACTTGGTGCTTTTCGTTGTTGTTTTTGTTTTTTTGTTGTTTTTTGTTACTGTTGTTGTTGTTTTTTTGAGACGTTGTTTCGTTCTTGTTGCCCAGGCTGGAGTGCAATGGTGCGATCTCAGTTCATTGCAGCCTCTGCCTCCCGGGTTCAAGCAACTCTCCTGCCTCAGCCTCACGATAGCTGGGATTATAGGCATGCACCACCATGCTCAGCTAATTTTGTATTTTTAGTAGAGATGGGTTTCTCCATGTTGGTCAGGCTGGTCTCGAACTCCCGACTTCAGGTGATCTGCCTGCCTCAGCCTCCCAAAGTGCTGGGATTACAGGCGTGAGCCACCATGCCCGGCCAACTTGGTGTTTTTTATATAAGCCTCCAGCTCAAGTGGCCCCACACTCAGACCTGATTTGGAGACTGTCGTGCAATCCTGGACATTGAGCCTGATTGGGTGATGAGACTGTTGGATTGTTTCTTTTAGAAGAGTGAGTGTATTTTGGGTGCAGAAGAGAGAGAAGTGAATTTTTGTGATTAAGCAGAGGGCTAAGGTTGAATTTATTACTGTTTCCAAATATTTTATGCCCCATCTTGTGAAAGAATTGTACTTCCCTGCTCTGTTGATGTCAGGCTTGGTCACGTGACTTGCTTGGGCAGTAAAATGTGAGTGTAAATAACATGCACCATTGCCGAGAAGCTTTATGAGGCATTGCAAATTTAACTTCCCTCTTTCTTCCTCTCTGCAATAAGCCCAACGATTCTCCAGGTAGGGGCTGCTTTGTCAGTTTAGTTCCCAGAGTAAAAACATTGTGAAACTGAGCTGTAAGCAATGACCCACAACTGACATGTAACATGAGCAAGCAATGGAGCTTTGTGGTTGTAAACCACCATAACTGGGATTGTGAGGTTGAATGTTACTGTAGTATAGCAGCCTAAGCTGACAGATAGAGGTAAGATCAAAGAATAATTCCAATGACCACCGGTCCTGATGCAGTGACCCAAGGGACAGCACTATCAGATACATTTTTTTTTTACTTTAGTTCAATAAAAAAATTTAATTATAGAATAATGCAAAAATTATTCTCGGTTCATGTGTGGTTTAGAATAAATGTGATGGGTACTGAATTTCATATTTGAGAACAGCTGTAAGAAAAAGAATTCCACATGGTACTAGATGAGCCCAGAAGAGAATTCTGGACAAGCAATTATTCACTTGTGGGGGGAAAAAAGTCCATTTAATGACAAAAGGGTGAGACATAATCTGTGCTCCAATCTGGTGAAATGTTAAAGTTACAATTCTTCCCTAACAAATGATAGAATTCCACTGTGACACAAAGAAGAAAATAAATGAGCCTTTGACATCATGATTATGTATTTAACAATCTTATTGTGTAAAGGGCAAGCATCCATGAACCAACATGACTTACTTGGAATAGCTACATTGCAAAGTCATTGAATATGCATCATCACATATTTCCAAAGTGCAACCACAAAACTAATCCTTGCAACCCATTCCCAGAATAGAAGTTTGAATTTGCAACAAACAAGACCCATATAGGTACGTGTCAAAAACATGCAGTGAATATCTGGCCCAGAGGAGGCAGGGCTATGGGTTAAATCACAAGGAATGCTTGCTCCCCCACTGTAACATTCTAGTAAAAATAGAAATATGACTTCATGAATTTCAAGTCCTAAAAAGAAAAACACATTCCAAAATTCCCCACATACACACAGTTCTAGAGTCCAGAAAGACAGTCCCACCCTCTTGCCTTGTTAGTGCTGACAGGGGAAAGGGTTGAGAAGAGTCTGAAATTGTGCTGCTGCTGCTATGAATGTGATGATTGTTGCTGCTGCTGCTGCTGTTATTTTAAACCCAGGTCTTTTTCCTCTACTCATTGTTTCATTGAGTCCAGAGGATTTTTGCTGCGACTGGACAAAGGCTAAGCTTTGAAGACAGTGAATAAGGAACAAAGCATAGGGCTAGGTGCAGTGGCTCATGCCTGTAATCCCAGCACTTTGGGAGGCCAAGGCTGGTAGATCACCTGAAGTCAGGAGTTCGAGACAAGCCTGACCAACATGGTGAAACCCCATCTCTACTAAAAATACAAAATTAGCCAGGCCTGGTGGCGCATGCCTGTAATCTCAGCTACTTGGGAGGCTAAGGCAGAAGAATGGTTTGAACCCGGGAGGTGGAGGTTACAGTGAGCTAAGATCATGCCATTGCACTCCAGCCTGGGCAACAAGAGCAAAACTCCGTCTCAAAAATAATAATAAAAGAAAAAAGAATAAAAGCATGACTTTTAGACTTGAGATTTTATGCCCCCTAAAACTCAACATGTCTTGAGAGTTGTGCACTGTGGCTAGAAGGCATGCTTTTGCATATGCAAAATGATATTGATATTGCTCATGTAACACACCTGAGGAGGGGTAGGTGTTGAAGCTTGTCCTTGATCCAAACGTTCGCCTCCAGCAAAGAAGCTGACAATGAGAAATACAAAAACTGCCAAAAACAGGAAGCGCAAAAGAGAACAGCTTCTTATAAATGATGCATAACCTTAATTAGAGTTTTCCTTCCAGCTTAATATGACTAAGAATACTATGTTTAACCCATAATATGCGATGGGAATCCCAAATACTATACCCAATTAGATTATACATTTTCATATATAATGATATGTTGTGAAGTCAGAAAATATTTTAAAGCATTGTGGTAGGAACAATTCCAATTGTTTTAGCTGGTAAAACAGTAGACACAGACCTAAATAAATAACCGTAAGAGAGAAAACTTCAGAGCTAGGAGGCAATACAAACGTTAGAGACTATTGTCAAATCAGAAAAAGCACACACCCCAGGTAAAAGGGGAAGCTACTATCAGACTCCTACAGAGTGTTCCCTTTTAGAAAAATAAGCCCAGGGCAGTTATCTGATTTTTCAAGAGAAACCATAAATTTAGAATTTTATGTGAAATTGATTTTCAAGTTCTACCCACTAATTAAAAAAATAAACCCTGTGAATGGAAACAATTTGTGGGCCCAACAAAACACATCTGCTGGGCAGACTGGCCAAAAGACCCAAGTGTCCAGTTTCTGGGCTACTATGCTTGATCGTCTCCTTCTCAAGGTATAGCCCTTTCTCAATATCAAAGGAAAACACCAATGAAAAGAGGGTTTCTTTTTGTTTGACTTAAAATTCAATTTTAGATCAACGAAAAAGTATACATTTTATCTGCAAGTGTCATGACCATAATGATTCCCCTGTGACAAGTAACATGTTTGTAGTGGGCTGATCTTTGGGGGTTATTCTTAAATTTCAACCAGGAACCAAATGTTAGTTCCGAGACATATCTTCCTGAGAGCCTGATGTGGTAGGAAGTACAAAATACATAACTAGGATTTAAGAGACAATGATTCTAGGCCTGACTCGATTGTGCTGCTGTCCAGAGCGAACAGGTAGGGTTTAACCCTCTATGCCAAAATGAAAAACAGAAATGACTGATTCTCTATTACTTCAGGTTTTCAAATAATTACTGGGTAATTGCTAATTGCAGATTTGTTGCTAGTGAGTGAACTTGCATGGGCTTGGAAAGGCCAGAGCATAAGATGTACATCAAAGAATCAACTCAGATTCAGCAGTTTCACAGAGTCTTGTCAAACTCCTGAGGAAATTACAAACCCTGTTGCGATTGAGATTCAGTTGAATAAAAGGTGTAAATACCTTAGAGAATAGAATCATGGGACTGATATGGCTCTTTGCAAACAGATGAATGACTTACAGGAGATGAAGATTTTAACCCTACTTATGTAGTCCCAAGAGACAGAATGAAAAGCCGTGGATAGACTTCACAGGAAGACGGAATTGTCCAAACATTGACTCAAGTAGGTGGTTACCCTGAATTCAGTTCGTTTTCTTCCACCGAAATTACAGTCAATCCTCATTATTTGAAGATTTTCTATTTGCAATTTCACCTATTTATTACAACTTATTTGCAACCCCAAAATCAATATTCCTGATGATTTCATGGTCAGGGTCATTTGTGAACATGCATGCATGGAGCTATTAAAAAAAAAAATCAAAATCAAGTCATCTGCTATGAACATTTCCAGCAGAGGTCAAACAAGGCAGCCCAGCCCACTGCCTTCTTGTTTAATCTTTCATATTGTAAAGAAGTACCCTTTTACCAGACTACTTTGCACTTTTGTGCCTTTTCTTGGTGATCTCACCGCAAATGGCCCCAATCATAATGCTGAAGTGCTGTCTAGTGTTCCCAAGGACAAGAAGACTGTGAGGTGCATTATGGAGAAAATACATATCCAATAAGCTTCATTGAGACATGGATTATAGTACTTTGGGCCATGAATGTGATATACAAAAATCAAAAGTATATATTAAATAAGGCATCTTTAAACAGAAACACACATAAAACAAAGCTATACTTTGATTGATTGATAAAAATGTTGTGACCAGAGGCTCAAAGAACCTCACCCTGTATCTTCCCTAGAGACAATGATTCAATTTTCGCTAATTCAGTGTTCAAGGCAACTTTGCAGAACATAACTACCCTAAATAATGAGAATTGACTATATCTAAGTAGCAATTTGATTATCTCTTAAAAATGAGGTCAGGGAAATGCTGTACACATAAAAGGACAGCAAAGAAACCACACAGTGTCCTTTCCAGTGTCAAACTCTAGTATTCAATGAAAAACTGATGCAAGCCCCAGAAAGATGATTAAATAATCTTTTAAGTCCTTTGAGCCCCTCAAATTCTATGATTCTATTGCTTAGTCAGGGAGTCAATTGTGTCTCAGTTTTCCATTTGTATAGCATAAGAATTTTAGGAAAAAAATGTATTAGGTTTCTTCTTGGCTCTAAAGTTCTATTACTCAAGAAAAAAAGGTTTTCATAACACTCTTTTGTTCACTTCTAACATTAAATTCTCTTCCAATTCTTTTTACTCTCCATTCAGTATTTCATCTGTAGAAATTCCCACTTACTCTTCTTCATTCATAACTTTCCTCTTTTTTCAACAAGTTCTGGTCTTTAATTTGTTGTGTTTGAGGATAAGAGGAAGACACCAAAAATTCTCCTTATATCAAACATCCCATGCTTTTAAAGAAAAAGGCCTTAAATCTTTTGGGCTGCCTCATGTCCCCTTGGCTTTATTATTATTATTATTATTACTATTATTATTATTATTATTTTTGAGACAGAGTCTCGCTCTGTTGCCCAGGCTAGGTACTGTGGTGCGATCTCAGCTCACTGCAACCTCTGTCTCCAGGGTGCAAGCAATTCTCATGTCTCAGCCTTCCAAGTAGCTGGGATCACAGGATTTTGTATTTTTAGTAGAAATGGGGTTTCACCATGTTGACCAGGCTGGGCCACAGGTGATGCCACCTACCTCAGCATCCCAAACTGCTGGGATTCCAAGTGTGAGCTACCCACACCCGACCAACTTTGCTTATTGTAAAGAACTGGATCCAGAATGTTGTAATGGCCAATAAGCCATGCACTTGTTGTCTTAAACCTAATGGATAATAAGTTTATAAATATCCTACAGAGGTCAGTCATTGTGGCTTACACCTGTAATCCTAGCACTTTGTGAGGCCAAGGCAGATAGATCACTTGGGCCTAGGAGTTAGAGATCAACATAAACAACATAGTGAGACCCCTTCTCTAAAAAAAAATTCATTAGCTGGGCATGGTGATGAATGCCTATGGTCCCAGCTGCTCAGTAGGCTGAGGTAGGAGGATCACTTCAGCCCATAATTTCAGGCTGCAGTGAGCCATGATCGGACTACTGCATTCCAGCCTGGGCAACAGAGTGAGACACTGTCTCAAATAAATAAATATATAAACTTCAGAGTGTCTCCACCAACAGGAAAAAAGCTTGAGGTAACATTCTTCTTTTTCTATAACCCTATTTTTAGGAGTCTCTTGGCCTTCTGAGTGGTTTCCTACAAAAAAACTCAAAATTACATCTAAGACAATTGTGGTTACTTTTCAATCAATTCATAGCTGGGCTGGCAGCAGTGAGCCATGAACCTGCCTGAACTGGGTAAGCACACAGTCCATCAGGTGATAACATCTGAGAATTGGCCAGCTTAGCCATTCTTCCTATTCCTATGAAAGGCAAAAAGACAAAAAAAAGGGCCATGGGGGTGGAGCCAAGATGGCCAAATAGGAACAGCTCCAGTCTACAGCTCCCAGCATGAGTGACGCAGAAGACGGGTGATTTGTGCATTTCTAACTGAGGTACCGGCTTCATCTCACTGGGGAGTGCCAGGCAGTGGGTGCAGGACAGTGGGTGCAGTGCACTGTGCGTGAGCCGAAGCAGAGCGAGGCATCGCCTTACCCGGGAAGTGAAAGAGGTCAGGGAATTCCCTTTCCTAGTCAAAGAAAGGAGTGACAGATGGCACCTGGAAAATCGGGTCACTCCCACCCTAGTACTGTGCTTTTCCAATGGGCTTAACAAACAGCACACCAGGAAATTATATCCTGCACCTGGCTTGGAGGGTCCTACACCCACGGAGCCTCGCTCATTGCTAACACAACAGTCTGAGAACAAACTGCAAGGCAGCAGCCAGGCTTGGGGAGGGGCGCCCACCATTGCCGAGGCTTGAGTAGGTAAACAAAGCGGCCAGGAAGCGTGAACTGGTTGGAGCCCACCACAGCTCAAGGAGGCCTGCCTGCCTCTGTAGGCTCCACCCCTGGGGGCAGGGCACAGACAAACAAAAGGCAGCAGTAACCTCTACAGACTTAAATGTCCCTGTCTGACAGCTTTGAAGAGAGTAGTGGGTCTCCCAGCACGCAGCTTCAGATCTGAGAACGGGAAGACTGCCTCCTCAAGTGGGTCCTGACCCCTGAGTAGCCTAACTGGGAGGCACTCACCAGTAGGGGCGGACTGACACCTCAAACGGCCGGGTACTCCTCTGATACGAAACTTCCAGAGGAATGATCAGGCAGCAGCATTTGCGGTTCACCAATATCCACTGTTCTGCAGCCACCACTGCTGATACCCAGGCAAACAGGGTCTGGAGTGGACCTCCAGAAAATTCCAACAGACCTCCAGATGAGGGTCCTGACTGTTAGAAGGAAAACTAACAAACAGAAAGGACATCCACACCAAAAACCCATCTGTATGTCACCATCATCAAAGACCAAAGGTAGATAAAACCACAAAGATGGGGAAAAAACAGAGCAGAAAAACCGGAAACTCTTAAAATCAGAGCACCTCTCCTCCTCCAAAGGAACGCAGCTCCTCACCAGCAACGGAAAAAAGCTAGACGGAGAATGACTTTGACGAGTTGAGAGAAGAAGGCTTCAGAAGATCAAACTACTCCAAGCTAAAGGAGGAAGTTCGAACCCAAGGCAAAGAAGTTAAAAACCTTGAAAAAAAATTAGACGAATGGCTAACTAGAATAACCAATGCAGAGAAGTCCTTAAAGGACCTGATGGAGCTGAAAACCACAGCACAAGAACTACATGATGAATGCACAAGCCTCAGTAGCTGATGCAGTCAATGGGAAGAAAGGGTATCAGCGATGGAAGACTAAATGAATGAAATGAAGTGAGAAGAGAAGTTTAGAGAAAAAAGAATAAAAAGAAATGAACAAAGCCTCCAAGAAATATGGGACTATGTGAAAAGACCAAATCTATGTCTGATTGGTGTACCTGAAAGTGATGGGGGGAATGGAACCAAGTTGGAAAACACTCTGCAGGATATCATCCAGGAGAACTTCCCCAACCTAGCAAGGCAGGCCAACATTCAAATTCAGGAAATACAGAGAATGCCACAAAGACACTCCATGAAAAGAGCAACTCCAAGACACATAATTGTCAGATTCACCAAAGTTGAAATGAAGGAAAAAATGTTAAGTGCAGCCAGAGAGAGAGGTCAGATTACCCACAAAGGAAAGCCCATCAGACTAACAGCTGATCTCTCAGCAGAAACTCCACAAGCCAGAAGAGAGTGGGGGCCAATATTCAACATTCTTAAAGAAAAGAATTTTCAACACAGAATTTCGTATCCAGCCAAACTAAGCTTCATAAGTGAAGGAGAAATAAAATACTTTATAGACAAGCAAATGCTGAGAGATTTTGTCACCACCAGGCCTGCCCTAAAAGAGCTCCTGAAGGAAGCACTAAACATGGAAAGGAACAACTGGTACGAGCCACTGCAAAATCATGCCAAATTATAAAGACCGTCAAGGCTAGGAAGAAACTGCATCAACTAACGAGCAAAATAACCAGCTAACATCATCATGACAGGGTCAAATTCACACATAACAATATTAACCTTAAATGTAAATGGGCTAAATGCTCCAATTAAAAGACACAGACTGGCAAATTGGATAAAAAGTCAAGACCCATCAGTGTGCTGTATTCAGGAAACCCATCTCACGTGCAGAGACACACATAGGCTCAAAATAAAGGGAAAGAGGAAGATCTACCAAGCAAATGGAAAACAAAAAAAGGCAGGGGTTGCAATCCTAGTCTCAGATAAAACAGACTTTAAACCAACAAAGATCAAAAGAGACAAAGAAGGCCATTACATAATGGTAAAGGGATCAATTCAACAAGAAGAGCTATCCTAAATATATATGCACCCAATACAGGGGTACCCAGATTCATAAAGCAAGTCCTGAGTGACCTACAAAGAGACTTAGACTCCCACACAATAATAATGGGAGACTTTAACACCCCACTGTCAACATTAGACAGATCAACCAGACAGAAAGTTAACAAGGATACCCAGGAATTGAACTCAGCTCTGCACCAAGTGGACCTAATAGACATCTACAGAACTCTCTACCCCAAATCAACAGAATATACATTCTTTTCAGCACCACACCATACCTATTCCAAAATTGACCACATAGTTGGAAGTAAATCACTCCTCAGCAAATATAAAAGAACAGAAATTATAACAAACTGTCTCTCAGACCACAGTGCAATCAAACTAGAACTCAGGATTAAGAAACTCACTCAAAACTGCTCAACTACATGGAAACTGAACAACCTGCTCCTGAATGACTACTGGGTACATAACGAAATAAAGGCAGAAATAAAGATGTTCTTTGAAACCAACGAGAACAAAGACACAACATACCAGAATCTCTGGGAGACATTCAAAGCAGTGTGTAGAGGGAAATTTATAGCACTAAATGCCCACAAGAGAAAGCAGGAAAGATCTGAAATTGACACCCTAACATCACAATTAAAAGAACTAGAGAAGCAAGAGCAAACACATTCAAAAGCTAGCAGAAGGCAAGAAATAACTAAAATCAGAGCAGAACTGAAAGAAATAGAGACACAAAAAACCCTTCAAAAAATCAATGAATCCAGGAGCTGGTTTTTTGAAAGGATCAACAAAATTGATAGACCGCTAGCAAGACTAATAAAGAAGAAAAGAGAGAAGAATCAAATAGACCCAATTAAAAAATGACAAAGGGGAAATCACCACCAATCCCACAGAAATACAAACTACCATCAGAGAATACTATAAACACTTCTACACAAATAAACTAGAAAATCTAGAAGAAACGGATAAATTCCTCTACACATACACTCTCCCAAGACTAAACCAGGAAGAAGTTGAATCTCTGAATAGACGAATAACAGACTCTGAAATGGAGGCAATAATTAATAGCTTACCAACCAAAAAAAGTCCAGGACCAGATGGATTCACAGCCGAATTCTACCAGCGGTACAAGGAGGAGCTGGTACCCTTCCTTCTGAAACTATTCCAATCAATAGAAAAAGAAGGAATCCTCCCTAACTCATTTTATGAGGCCAGCATCATCCTGATACCAAAGGCTGGCAGAGACACAACCAAAAAAGAGAATTTTAGACCAATATCTTTGATGAACATTGATGCAAAAATCCTCAATAAAATACTGGCAAACCAAATCCAGCAGTGTATCAAAAAGCTTATCCACCATGATCAAGTGGGCTTCATCCCTGGGATGCAAGGCTGGTTCAACATACGAAAATCAATAAATGTAATCCAGCAGATAAACAGAGCCAAAGACAAAAACCACATGATTATCTCAATAGATGCAGAAAAGGCCTTTGACAAAATTCAACAACGCTTCATGTAAAAAAACTCTCAAAAAATTAGGTATTGATGGGACATATCTCAAAATAATAAGAGCTATCTATGACAAACCCACAGCCAATATCATACTGAATGGGCAAAAACTGGAAGCATTCTCTTTGAAAACTGGCACAAGACAGGGATGCCCTCTCTCACCACTCCTATTCAACATAGTGTTGGAAGTTCTGGCCAGGGCAATCAGGCAGGAGAAGGAAACAAAGGGCATTCAATTAGGAAAAGAGGAAGTCAAATTGTCCCTGTTTGCAGACGACATGATTGTATATCTACAAAACCCCGTCGTCTCAGCCCAAAATCTCCTTAAGCTGATAAGCAACTTCAGCAAAGTCTCAGGATACAAAATCAATGTGCAAAAATCACAGGCATTCTTACATACCAATAACAGACAAACAGAGAGCCAAATCATGAGTGAACTCCCATTCACAATTGCTTCAAAGAGAATAAAATATCTAGGAATCCAACTTACAAGGGATGTGAAGGACCTCTTCAAGGAGAACTACAAACCACTGCTCAATGAAATAAAGGAGGATACAAACAAATGGAAGAACATTCCATGCTCATGGGTAGGAAGAATCAATATCATGAAAATGGCCATACTGCCCAAGGTAATTTATACATTCAATGCCATCCCCATCAAGCTACCAATGACTTTCTTCACAGAGTTGGAAAAAACTACTTTAAAGTTCATATGGAACCAAAGAAGAGACCCCATTGCTAAGTCAATCCTAAGCCAAAAGAACAAAGCTGGAGGCATCATGCTACCTGACTTCAAACTATACTACAAGGCTATGGTAACCAAAACTGTATGGTACTGGTAACAAAACAGAGATATAGATCAATGGAACACAACAGAGCCCTCAGAAATAATGCCACATATCTACAACTATCTGATCTTTGACAAACCTGAGAAAAACAAGCAATGGGGAAAGGATTCCCTATTTAATAAATGGTGCTGGGAAAACTGGCTAGCCATATGTAGAAAGCTGAAACTGGATCCCTTCCTTACACCTTATACAAAAATTAATTCAAGATGGATTAAAGACTTACATGTTAGACCTGAAACCATAAAAACCCTAGAAGAAAACCTATGCAATACCACTCAGGACATAGGCATGGGCAAGGACTTCATGTCTAAAACACCAAAGGCAATGGCAACAAAAGCCAAAATTGACAAATGGGATCTAATTAAACTAAAGAGCTTCAGCACAGCAAAAGAAACTACCATCAGAATGAACAGGCAACCTACAGAATGGGAGAAAATTTTTGCAACCTACTCATCTGACAAAGGGCTAATATCCAGAATCTACAATGAACTCAAACAAATTTACAAGAAAAAAACAAACAACCCCATCAAAAAGTGGGTGAAAGACATGAACAGACACTTCTCAAAAGAAGACATTCATGCAGCCAAAAGACACATGAAAAAATGATCATCATCACTGGCCATCAGAGAAATGCAAATCAAAACCACAATGGGATAGCATCTCACACCAGTTAGAATGGCAATCATTAAAAAGTCAGGAAACAACAGGTGCTGGAGAGGATGTGGAGAAATAGGAACACTTTTACACTGTTGGTGGGACTGTAAACTAGTTCAACCATTGTGGAAGTCAGTGTGGAGATTCCTCGGGGATCTAGAACTAGAAATACCATTTGACCCAGCCATCCCATTACTGGGTATAAACCCAAAGGATTATAAATCATGCTGCTATAAAGACACATGCACACGTATGTTTATTGAGGCACTATTCACAATAGCAAAGACTTGGGAGCAACCCAAATGTCCAACAATGATAGACTGGATTAAGCAAATGTGGCACATATACACCATGGAATACTATGCAGACATAAAAAATGATGAGTTCATGTCATTTATAGGGACATGGATGAAGCTGGAAACCATCATTCTCAGCAAACTATCGCAAGGACAAAAAACCAAACACTGCATGTTCTCACTGATAGGTGGGAAATGAACAATGAGAACACATGGACACAGGAAGGGGAACATCACACTCTGGGGACTGTTGTGGGGTGGGGGAAGAGGGGAGGGATAGCATTAGGAGATATACCTAATGTAAATGGCGAGTTAATGGGTGCACACCAACATGGTACATGTATACATATGTAACAAACCTGCACATTGTACACATGTACCCTAAAACTTAAAGTATAAATTTTAAAAAAAGGACCAGATTCGAAATCATGTGATTATCTGCATATTTTAATTCACATATCTCATTTTAAAAAACTGGGTTTGTAGGTGTAAGTCTAAAGAAGATAAACAAAGGCAATTAAGAGACCCTAAACTAGAGTAGAAGGAAAAATACAACCAGAAAGGTAATACTATATCAGAAGTAAAATAAGACAAAATAATACAGAATTGATATAGTAATTAAAATAAACCATCTCAAATTGTTGCTGCCATGTTTTTCCACTCCATTAAGATCTGAGTATCTTGAGAGATAATATGATTAAATCATCCATGAATTCCCAAAGGCAGTTACCAGAATATAGGTACCTGGTAAGATTAATTGAATTAAAAAATGTTATTATTTTGGTTACTTATATTAGTATTTTTCAGAAAATTATGACACTCTCAAAAGAAGCAGAAGATTCTCTTGGATTAGAGCATATCAGTTGTCCATCTTCAATGTGTGATGTCTTGCCAGACTAAAGTGGTAGAAAGGGTTAAAAACAAAGGCCAAAAATAGTAGTGGCAAGGTAAATAAAAGCATATTACCCTTTCTTCTGTAAACTAAAATTTATTGATTTATCCTTAAGGGTGCTCAAGTATATTTGCTTTCACTGAGAAATTTGAACAAATTGTTAAGAATATTGATAATCTTAATGCTATTCAGATTAAAATCTAGAACTTAAAGCTATAATTATTTCATCATGACGTCAAATATGATAGGAAACCTTTATGTTATGCTAATAGACATGAGTGGAATCCAAAACTATTTGTCTCCCATTTCCTTCACGTGATCCAAAATTAGATTGCCTTGCAGCATTAACAAATTATAATGAAAGCTTATCATCATTTCGGTCAATTCATTGTATTTTAAAAATTGAAAATAGGATGCATACATTGCTATTTACATCACAGATTCATCTCATTATGCAAGAAAACAAATATGGCAAGTTTTTGCAGCTCAGCTCAGGCTACAGGAAAAATGGCAAAAGCCAGGCAGCCCAGCTTCACAAAGGCTATAAGGGGTGCTGTAGTTCCTAGGCATCCCTGCTGCCAAGATGCCCAAAAAGTCAGCTCAACTGAAGGAGCAGTGAAGGAAGAACTCAAGAAAGGTTGGGTGCCCTCATCAGCTAAACCTGCTCAGGCAAAGGTAGAAACGAAGACAAAAAAAAAAAAAGGCAGCAGGAAAGGATAAATCTTCAGACACAAAAGTGCAAACAAAAGGGAAAAGGGGCCAGGTGCAGCGGCTCATGCCTGTAATCCCAGCACTTTGGGAGGCCAAAGCTGGAGGATCTGTTGAGCCCAGGAGTTCAAGACCAGCCTGGGCAGCATAGTGAGGTCCTATCTCTAAAATTTTTTTTTTTTTTTTTTTTTTTTGGTAATTAGTCAACATGATGGCTCCTGCCTGTAGTCCCAGCTACTTAAGAGGCTGAGGCAGGAGGATTACTTTAGCCTGGGAGGTTGAGGCTACCGTGAACACTGATTGTGCCACTGCACTCTAGAGCCTGGGCAACAGTGTGAGACCCTGTCTCAAAAAAAAAAAAAAAAAAAAGGCAACGGAGGAGGGAAGTAGGGGGAAGGATAGCAAAGGGAAAAACAGGCTGAAGTGGCTAACCAAGAAATGTCTGTGTACTAATGCAGATAAATAATTTGAGAAGCTGTCATAGAAGTTGATATTACCTGATATTTTGTGCCTTAAGTGTGATCATACTTAAATGATCCAGAAAAAAAATGCCTGCAGTTCATCTGTTTGTAGATATCAATGGCCACAAGTGTACAAAGTTTTTTTATTTGTCATCTATCCATAATTAGTAAAGATGTTTTCCTTAGCGTTTTTAGTCAAGATTAGACTGACATGTATTATTCATATTTATAATGACTGACATGTAAATATTCATATTTATAGTGACAACACTGTTGATGTTACTGGAAGTTATTGTAAATGTGCGGTACTGGCACATTCCAGAGATTGGTCCACAGTAAATACATGACAGTAATATTTACTGTAAATACATGACAGTAATATTTACTGTAAATACATGACAGTAATATCAATGACTCTTGTAAAAGAAATAGTTTAAGTCTTCAGAAATGTCTCCAATGCACATATGATCCCACAACAAGAGTTCCAAATTTTGATGTGAATCAAAATTACTTGGAAGGCTAACTAAAACTCAAGTTGCTGGGCTCCACATTCCCAGGTTTTCTGATTGCGTAGATGTGGAGTGAGGCCTGGGGAGTTGCATTTCTCATAAGTTCTCAGCTGTTGTGTGGAGACCATACTTTGAGATCACAGGCATTAAAATATCCCAATTATAAGACGTTACTAACAAATTTAAAATGTAGTCCCCAGAGCTTATAGCTGGCCAAACAGTTATTTGTAAATTAATAAGTAAATAACAAATGTATTAGAGTAGTATAAAAGTAAAGGCATTCACAGGGCTCCTTGGAAAGATAGAGGAGTCAACTAAATTATAATGGAAAAGGATGTCAGAAAATGTTCTTCAGGAAAGGTCATTCCTGGACTGTGTTCTGAAAACAAGAATTACTATGTAGGAAAGGAAAAACATTTCAGGCACAGAAAACAGTATGTGCAAATAGGGGGATTTGGGTTTGGACTTACTTTCTTCCACTTATTCTAAATATTCCTCATTAAGTTTATTAGCCCTCTGAGCCCTCAGTAAGGTGGATCTAATAATGGTACCTTTACCTCATGGATCTGTTGTCACAATTACACAAGATAATACATGTCAAGGAGGAAAGCACAGTGCCAGGTGCAGAGTATGTGCTTCACAAATGCTGGCTACTGTTATTATTGCTATTGTTTTTGTTTTTATAAAATTATAAAATTTCGTGACGCATGCCAAATACTGTATGTATAATAGATCCCATGACTAAAGTGAAGAGAAGGTGTGGGGCAGTTGAAGTGAAGATAGAGAGTTATGGGCTCTCGAGATTGCGCCACTGCGCTCCAGCCCGGGCGACAGAGTGAGACTGTGTCTTTAAAAGAGAGAGAGAGAGCGAGCGCGCGTTATGGGCTCTATTTCACACAGACTTTCATGCGTGCTAAGCTAACTGGTTTGCAAATTATCAAGAACCTTGTAAATTTCCATTGAAAGATTTTAAGGTGCTGCAGGATCAGACTTACATTTTAGAAAAAGTACTTATGTGTATGTATGATAGATGGATTCATAGGGGCTAGACCAGCACCAAGAAAACTATGGATGTTGGGAAAGATGGAGTGAGAGAAGATAATTTGCAAGTTTTCCTTTAATCTAGAAAAAAAAAATACCTTCAGGGTTTTGATCAAACATATATTTAAATTTACTTACACATACTTAGTTGCTCACACCAATCGTGTCAATACAAAAAGCTACCAAAGGAATGCAGGAGGCTGAGTAAAATAAATCAAACAAATAGAAGTTATTACAAGTTCATGATCTGCATAGAAATATCAATATTTCTGTCTTAGAAATAAATCTTTGAAACAAATTATCTCAGAATTGCTAGCAATGAATGAAGTATTTCAAGAATTACTGTCAATGAATGTGAGTAACTGTACTTAAGCCAAAAAACTGCACAAATGTAACAGATGTCAGCCTGAACCCACCCACCTGCCCATCCTTTTTGCATTGCCCCAACCAGCCCCACCCCCTCCATCACAATGGATGTCCTTGACTTATGACTGTGTGTGTTTAAATAGCTTTGCCTTTTCCAATTTATATGGGCCAATGAAAACTGCAAAACGTCTAGATGACATTCTGTTGCAAAGCTTAATCATTTTTGGGTCAGAGGCACCTTTGATAATCTGATAAAAGCTGTATATAGATAGACTCTCTCTCCAGAGAGGGATTAAGATACAAAATTTGCATTAATATACAAAATTTCAGGGGATTCACAGTTCCTAAAGGTATATAATTCCCCAGATCTGGAATTGCTGCTACAGAAAATAGAACATGTAACCCCTTACAGGATAAACTCATGCCCACAGGGTAAGGCAATGTAAAAAAAGAAAAACTTTTCTTAAGTAGCTATACCAAAATCCTCTAGGGCAAAGTTATGTAAGGTCCTAAGAATGAATATAAGGGAAATAAAGCTAGAAAATAAACTTTCCAAATGTGTTTTTTTTGTTGTTTTTGTTTTTTTTTTTTTTTTTGAGACGGAGTCTGGCTCTGTCGCCCAGGCTGGACTGCAGTGGCGCAATCTCGGCTCACTGCAAGCTCCGCCTCCTCCAAATGTGTTTTTTAACAACAAAAAAATGGATTATACACATATCAGTCAAGACACCAAGGAAATACCCTGCAAAAAGTATGTAGGGCAAAGCTAAATAGCATGAGTCATAGGTAACAGAAATTAGCCTGTAAATGTTTAATTCTTCCAATTTTTAGAAGGGATGGATACTACAAAATAAGAGAACCATAATTACAATCTTCCGTGAAGATTAAATTCTAAAGATTTTAATCATTAAGGACTCAATTCAAGTTATAGCTAGAGTAGGAAGAGTATTAGAAAAGAAATTATCACTGGAGGTGATTCTTTTAGGATAAAATAGAATCACATTTTCTTAGTATAACCAGAACAATTTCTGTCAAACAAGTAGAGCACCACTGGAAAAAAAAACAAGGTAAGTACTTATGAAACTGTTCATTAATATTTATTTAGCTGTGTAGCCCACATCATACTGCCCATCCCACCCCCAGAACATCTTCTAGATTACCCAGAAGTTATTCTTCCTATATAGAAACACACACACACACACACACACACACACACACACACACATTTGAGAGTCTGCCCTCATCCTCTCCCTCCTCCACCTGCAACTTTGCTAGCCACTCCCATGAACATTAAATAAAATGAGTGCCAGGATTGTCCTCATGTTCCTCCTAGTCTTCATAGATTAGTGAAATTATATTGGGTCATGACAAGGAAAGCAAAAGAGAATTTGATTTTCCAATCAATTTTAAATTAAAGAAAAACATAAAACTGAAGCTAAGAGGTTACTTCTTTTCGTGGATAAAAATAATAAAGAAACGCAAGTTACTTAATAGTTACTAGAAACTAGTATTCGAATACAAATAGTCATAAAGGTAAGCTATTCAATTTATAGGGATGTTACATGCATAGGAAAATTAAATTACTTTCCCAATCAACAAATGACTAAATATAAACTTGCGAGTATGTAATGAAAAGGATATTAATAAATAAAAATATTATCTGTAATCACTATAAAAGCTCTGAAATGTCTTTTTATATAAGCAGTTATCTCCCAAAATATAAAAATTCCAAACTACTAACTGTGCTCTTTAATTTTACTACCTTATAATTTATAATTCTCATATTTCATTGAAGGAAAAATTAAAGATTCCAATCAATTTCAGGTAAATTCTAACTCTTTGGCATAAATTCTCCAGACACAATGGAAAATGATCATGAAATAACCAAAATAAATATTAATCTGTAATTGAACCTTCATAAGAAATATTTAGCCATCTTGATGCTGTAAAAGGAAAAATATTTATTGTGTTAATTTCTAGCTTTTAAACACTAATTACTAAAAACTAATTCATCCCACATAAAGATATTCCTATATGTAAAAGTAAATAGCTTGACTTTTCATTACTTTTATTTTAAAACTATAATGATGGCAACAGAATACGTTAACATGCATTTCTAATTAAGCAATACTGTCCTGAAATCCTCACCAAAAGGAGGAAAAAATAGCTCAATATATAATATAATCATTTTATTTCAAAGCAAAGTTCAACTCCTGTCTTTTTTAAAGCAAGTGAGTGAAACAGACATGCAGTCTCTGGTGTAGTTAGATTCTCATTTGTAGTTAGTTATGCCTTTGAACTCTACCGTTGCCAGAACAGTTACATGGGGAAATTGCTGAATGATTTGCCAAGTGGATAACCAGCAAATGTTTAAGGGGCCAGAGGTAAATTGAATGCTAAGGCAAAATGAGCACTTGAAAGGGATTTGTCAATTTGATCCCAGAAATACATAAGTAAAAGGAAAGCTGTTAATTCAGAGAAGGAGCTGAAAAAAGAAAAAGTGGCTTAAATTGCTTCTAAACAAGAAATTCCTCAATGAAAGGTAATGAACATTAACAAATCTGAATTACTTCACTTCCACTGGTATAAAATTATTAGACAAAATGTTACAGGGGTGGAAAAGGCCAGTCCTGGAGAGACGTATTTAGGCGTCACTGTCCTGAGAGGATGTGTGTTATGTGTGTGCTAATCCCAATTCCTCTAAATGCAAGATGAGCTGTTCCATTGAGACATCAGACAGAGTTTTATTAGTTTACACTAATTGTGATAAGAAGTGCTACTTAATTGTCCTAAAATCACTAAAGTGTCAAAGGCTATCTATTATCCAAGTCTTTGGGGACATATTGAATAAATTTGTGTCCACATTAACCAAGCTGCAATTATGTGGGCTAGCTTTCCTAGGACTTTTCTGGTTCTGACACATCACTCAAGGGTGGTACACGAGCTTCTGCTGCACACACTGTACAGGCAATTTAGTTACAAACAGAGGTAGATCAAAGATTCGTTTCTAATATTGTTCTTGATGATGTTCAAAGTTTTGTTGGCATTTTGAACTTTTACTCAAACATGAAACATGGAATAAAGTCTTTAAAAATTTATTAGACAATCACAGTATTCCTTTTCAGGTTAATAATCATAGCTCAAAGTCATCATTATATAGTCATATAATCTGGATACTAGAATCTTTGACTTTAATACTTTTTACTTTTCACAGTGTCCACAATAATACTCACCTAACAGAAATAATAGTTCCACTATAACCATTGTTATTTATCTGGAAATTCTATGCAATTTGAAATAAAAATAGGAAAAAAACAGTACAAAGAGAAATAAAAAGTCATTATATTAAGATAATATATTAGTAGTCCTAGACATACCAAAAATTTCAACCAAAAAATCTGTTAGAATTAATAGAAAAGGTCATAAAATGGCAAGAGAAAAGCAAATATACAGTAGCATTTCTATATAATAACAATTAGTTAAAATATTGTGAAAATACACTAAAATTATCACTGTGTACCACATTGAGTGTTAAAATCACTTTGCATGTATTATCTCATACCTATGAGTAGATGTTATTACTATCCAACATATAGATGAGGAAATTGAAATTTAAGGCAATTAGTTACTCATCATGATCATTTAGCTGGTAAATAATGGCCCAAACTATCTGGTTTAGTCGCTTTACAACTAAACCAACCATGCTCCTTCCTATTCATAACAGCAAAGGTAGATAATAGACAGAAAGACAGACAAATAGATTTTTTATAGGAGTAACCACAATAAGAAATGTGTATGCCCAATATGAAGCAAAATACAAAATTTATTCAATCTAAGAAAAAGTTATTTAAGGAGACATACATCATTCGTAGTTGGGAAAAATACAAAATTTTGTATTATTTCAAAATTCATTTTTAAGTATGGTAACCCCCATAAAAATCATTATAAAATTTATTCTGCAAATATAGTATCATTTTTAAGTATGGTAACCCCCATAAAAATCATTATAAAATTTATTCTGCAAATATAGTATCTCTAAAGTTCATCAGGAAGTTGAAAGGGATTCATCTAACTAGATATTAAAATATATTATAAAACTGGACTAATTAAAATGGTAATGTCACAAAATTTAAAAATTGTAGCTTTATTAAAACAGTATGAAATATCATAGCACAGAACTAGTAGAAACCGTCATGTATTAGACATTAACACACAATAAAGAGAGCACTAAAAATCATCAAGAGATTTCTGCTCCCAGAAAAAGATGGCGTTGACATACCTTTATTATTCCTCCTACTAAATAAAACTTAAAAACTTGGACACTATATATTAAACAAACATACAGGGACTTTGAAAGAGTGGGAGAAAAGGGTAGCTCAGCCAGGTACCTTGTGACCCAAAGAACAACATTGCAGTGAGTCCCCTGGGTTTTATTTTTGCGTCATATATCCCACACTTAGAGATAAAGAAGCTGTCAACTCAGAAATACAACTGGCTAAAGACAAAAAAAAAAAAAGGCAACCAAAACATATTCTCTTTAGACAAAGGATGAAAAAGAAGAAGCTTAGCAAGACAGAAAATATTTAGATAATAAGGGCTCTATTTCAACAAACAAAAGAAAAAAATATGGCCCTACTCATGCCAACAAGGCCCGGTGGAGAGCCTAGACATCCCCCCTCACCTGGCTATAAAGAGACATTACATTTTCACCCTTACAGGATGGTGTTAGCAAAGGCTGGGTACAAAGCCAGGACACTTATCCCAACTAACTTCCCCTTTTCCTTCTCTCACAGTATCAGTAGAGACCACATGGGAAACAGGGACTTCTTTCTACTCCCACCTGGCAAAAACAAGGGTCCCTTAAGCTCCCCACTCTAGCATTGTCACAGGACACTTAGTGATCTTTTATTACCTCCTAGCAATAAAGGGACATACACCCCATGTGGGGAGCAGTAATGAGGCACACGTATCCCTCCTAGTTGAGAAGGTAACGTTGGAGACCTAGTGAAGAGCTGGAACTCCCACCCCCACCCGGCAGTAATGAGCAGTCCTCCTCCACCAGCCATCAGGTATGAATAGAAACCAGAGGTGGAACCTGGACTTTTACCCATACCTGGGAGTAACGGGAGGGTAAGTTGCCTGTTCCACTGACAGATCATAGTTAAAGAAAGAAAGGAAAAAAGAGGTTTAACTAGATCCAGTGTTTCATAATATATAACACTTAAAATGCCCAGGTTTCAATTGAAAGTCGCTCATTATATCAAGAAGCAGGAAGATCTCAAACTGAAGGAAAGAATGTAACCAATAAATGTTAATACTAAGGCGACAGAGCTGTTAGAATGATCTAGCAAAGATTTTAAAATATCCATAAAAATTACTCAATGAGCAATTACAAGCATGCTTGAAATGAATAAAAAATATAAAGTCTAAGCTAATACATACATACATACATACATACGCAACACTTTGGGAGACCAAGGCGGGAGGATCACTTGAGCCCAGGAGTTTAAGACCAGCCTGGGCAACATAACAAACCCCCGATCCATGAAAAAAATTTTTGAACAGTTAAGCAAAGTGATGCTGCCTATAATCCCAACTACTCAGCAGACTGAGGCAGGAGGCTCACCTGAGCCCAGAGTTCCCGGCTGCAGTGAGCCGAAATTGCACCATAGCATTCCATCCTGGGCTACAGAGTGAGACCCTGCTTCTAAAAGTAAAAATAAAAATAAAAAACATTTTACCTAGTAAAATGCCAACACCAGTAGACTGTGAAAACTTTATGTATATGTAAATATTTAGAGCAACCACTAAAAAATTTTACCAAGAGACACACCCAAAAATACTCTAGATAAATCAAAACAAAATTCTAGGCTGGGTGTGCTGGCTCACGCCTGTAATCCCATTGCTTTGGGAGGCCAAGGTGGGAGGATCACTTGAGCCCAGGAGTTTGAGACCAGCCTGGGCAACGTGGTGAAATTCCATCTCTACAAAAAATAGAAAAATTAGCTGGTGTGGTAGCATGTGCCTGTAGTTCCAGCTACTCTGGAGGCTGAAATACAAAGATTGCTTGAGCCCAGGAGTTCGAGCCTGCAGTGAACCGTGATCAGGCCACTGCACTCCAGCCTGAGTGACAGAGTGAGATGCTGTCTCAAAAATAAAAAATAAAAATAAAAAAAATAAAAAAAAAATTTAAGCCACAGGGAGGTAGAAAAAAATAGAAAAGCAAAAAATAAAATGGCAGATTTAGCTCTGACATATCAATGAGTACATCAAAAATAAATGGTCTAAATACATCAATTAAAAACTGTCAGCATGGAATAAAATATAAAAACTATATATTGTCTTTAAGAAACTCACTTTGAAAATATATATATAGGTAGGTTAAAAGTAAAAGTATTAAAAACATATATCATGCAAAGCTTAAAATAAAGCAAGATGGGCTATATTAATATCAGAAAAGTAGACTTTTGAAATAAAGAAAATTATAAGTGACAGAGAGGGACATTATGTAATGATAGAAGGATAAATATATCAAGCTCCATATATCAAAACATTACATTGTACCCCAGAAATATATACAACTATTGTTTGCCCATTAAAAATAAATTTAAAAAAGGATATCAAGGAAATATTATGAATAATTCTTCACACATCAATACGATATCTCAAAAGACATGGACCAGTTCCACAAAAAACACAAGCTACTACGTACGCACAAACATAAACACATAATTTGAATAGCCCTATAACTATTAAGAAAATTGAATTCATAATTTTAAAGTTTCCAAAAAAGAAATCTGTTGGCTCAAATGATTTCACTAGAAAATTCAAACATTTAAAGAAGAATTAAGCTGGTCGTATGGTAATGAGTTATCAGAATTTATTAACATTGATGGCATTAAAGTTGGTATACAACCCCCCACTGCTAAATTTGACTGAAAGAAAGAAGAAAAAAAAGAAGGAAGAGGAAGAAGGGAAGGAAAGAAAGAAGGACGGAAGGGAGGGAGGAAGGAAGGGAGGAAGGAAGGGAAGAAGGAAGGGAGGAAGGGAGGGAGGAGGAGGGGAGCAATTCATACAATCTCTTCCAGAAAATTGAAGATGGAAGACTTTCCAATTCATTTTATGAAACTAGTGTAGTATTGCCCTGATATGAAAACCAGAAAAAAGACAGTACAAAGAAAACTACAGACTCTTATTCCTCATGAATATAAACAGAAATATCCTTAACAAAATACTAACAAATAGAGTCCAGCAATGTGTGAAACGAATCAGACACCATGACAAAGCAGGGTTTATGCCAGGTATGCAGGCCAGTTTAAGATTTGAAAATCAGTTTATACAATCCTTCACATCAACAGGCTAAAGAAGAAACGTCACATGATTATATTGTTGCCTAAAATGCATTTGACAAATTTTTTCGTCATAAAAACTCTTAGAAAAATGCTAATAGAAGAGAATTTCTTAAATTTGGTAATAAGCATCTACAGAAAGTCTTCAGCTAACATTATACTTAATGGTAAAAGACTGAATGCTTTCCACTTAAGATCAAGAACAAGGCAAGGAAGTATGTCTGTCCTCACTGTTCTTATTCAGTATAGTGCTGGAGGTTCTAGCTAGTACTATAAGGCAAATAAAGGAGATAATAGGCATACAGATTGAAAAGTAAGAAAAAAAACTGCCCTATTTGCAGATGATATTACTGGCTGTGTAAAATACCCCAAGATATCTACAGAAACCTCCCAGAAGTAAAAAGTGAATGAACAAGATCTCAGGATAAAAGATAAGCACACAAAATCAATTGTATTTGTATATACTCACAATTAATATGTGGACACCCACACTGAAAATACATTACTATTTACAGCTGCTAAAAATGTAATACAAAGTGTAAATATGACAAAACATGTACAGGATTTGCATGCTGAAAACTATGAAATACTGATTAAAGAAATTAAAGACTTAAATAGGAGAGATATCCCATGTTTTCCCTAAATTGATTTATCAGCTTAATGTAACTCCTGTCAAAACCCCAGCAAGATTTCTTATAGATACAGACAGATTATTTCAATATTTACATGGAAAGGTAAAGGAACTAGGACAGCTAAAAACTATTCTGAAAAAGAAGAATAAAGTGAGAGGGATCTGTCTACCCAATTTCAAGAGTTAGATAGCTACAGTAATCAATACTGAGTGGTACTGGCAGAGGAAGAGACACATGGATCAATGGAATAGGATAGAGAATCCAGAAATAAACCCACACATATTACATATTTCCAACTGATTTTTTACAAAGGTACAAAAGCAATACAATCGAGGAAATATAGCTTTTTTAAAAAGTAGTACTGAAGCAATTGGACATCTATAAGTGGGGAAAAGAACTTTGGCCTAAGTCACATTTGATTTGAAAAATTAAAATGGATCACAGGCTTAAATGTACAAAAGTAAAAATGTTTTAGGAAATAACATAAGAAAAAACTCTTTGGATCTAGAACTATGGAAAAAATTCTTAGATTTGACACTAAAAACCCAGTCTATTTAAGAAAAGATTGCTAAATTAATTTCACAATAAAAAAATTTGCTCTGTGAAAGATCTTGTTAAAAGGATGGAAAGACAAATTATAGACTGAGAAAATATGTGAAAACCATGTATCTCACAAAGCACTAGCATCTAGAATATATAAAGAACTCTCAAAACTCAACATTCAAATAGTAAACAATCCAATTTGAAATGGATAAACTATATGAAGAGACATTTCACTAAGAGGGTATATAGAAGGCAAAGAATCACATAAGAAAAATGTTTAACATCATTAGCCATTGAGGAAATACAAATTAAAACCACAATTAGATATCACCAGATATCTAGCAAAACAAAAATTTAAAGTAGTGCCAACACCAAATGCTGATGACATTAAAGAGAAACCAGCTCATTTATAAATTGTTTGTGAAAATGGAAAATGGTACAGCCCCTCTGCAATACAGTTTGGTAGTTTATTTGAATTAACATGCAAATACCATACAATCCAGCAAATACACGCTTAGGCATTTATCCCAGATAAATGAAAAATTCTGTTTACACAAAAACCTGTACATGAATATTTACAGCTTTACTCATGATAGCCAAAAAGAAAACAACCCAGATCTTCTTCAGGGTGAACAGTTAAGCAAAGTGGTACTTACACACCATGGAATACTATTCGGCAATACAAAAGAATGAACTACTGATAAACACAACAACCTAGATGGATCTCAAGGGCATAGGCTGAGTGAAAAAAATGTCAGCTTCAAAAGGTTACAAACTATATAATTCTATTTATTTAACATTCTGAAGATGACCAAATTATAGAAATGGAAAACTGATGAGTGGTTGCCAACAAAGGAGAGAGTAGACATAGGAGGGAAGAGAGAGGAGCTATAAAAATACAATAGAAAGTATCCTTGTGGTGACCAAAATGTTCTGTATCTCTGCTGTATCAGTGAAAATATCCTGGTTGAGATATTCTACTACAGTTCTGCAAGAGGAAAAGACCACTGGAGGAAAGTGAATAAAGGGTGCACTGGATCTCTCTGCATATTTTTTTTACATATTTTTTACAACTGTATGTGAATCTGGAATTATCTCTCTTAAAGAAATAATTGGGAAAGTCCAAGATCATTCAATAAATGGTTTTGTAACATCTGATTAATAACTTGGACAAAATCATTTTTTAATCTGAAAGACAACATAAATAAATATCAAGAATTATATAATGTTCACATGGTCTTGACTAGTAATGGCTCTTCTGGGAGCAAATAAATAAACAATCCTAAACATGAAAATAAGAAAACCCTGCACAAAGCACTGTTACATAGAGAAATCCCTCCAAAAGAGCATCTACTGATTACATTGTGTACCAAAACTAGTGCTTGACTGTGGGAAACATTTGGTTGGAGATGGAGAAGTATGTGCTGTTCTACAGGAGAAGAAAAGGGTGAGAGATGGCAGCAACAACAAAAAGCTGTTACCTTACTGTCCTTGGAAGGAGTTCGATTCTCAGACCTGGCATGCACCAAACAAGGGACAGCTGGCAAGAAACAGCAATTGTGATGATTACACTGTGTACCCAGAATCCAGAGCTCCACCAAAGAAAGAAAGAGGGCAGGAGAAACTCAAGCCAGGGAAAGGGATGGGCAAGCTACTCCTCCAGCAGTATGGCAAAAGCATGCTATTTGGAAGTGTGTGAGAATAAAGAAACCAAGTGTAAAGAGGATGTGTTTATACCTCCCAGTGTAGATGTGTTTCCCAAACTTGTGCCAGCTTTCTGTAGTTTCTGTCCACCGCTCATATCTCCCCTATTGTCCTCTGCCTCTGGTAGAATACAGGAGCAGTAATGAAAAAACATGGTTCTTAGGAGACAATGGAATGGTCTGGGGGAGGTTATGGTATGTTAAGGAAGTACCAAGGATAAGCAGCACAGTAACCTGAGAGCTAGTAGCCATATATCTCAGGAAGAGTAAGCCTTCTTATCAGGAGGAAGAAACTGGAAGGGCCACAGTTCCAGCCGTTGGAGGGCTGATGAGAAAAATAATAGTAGTGCTTATAATTTGCATTTGGAGTGTGAGTATAGCTGACATGGCCTTAAACAATTGTTTTTCATGCTGCTATAAAGACACATGCACACGTATGTTTATTGCGGCACTATTCACAATAGCGAAGACTTGGAACCAACCCAGATGTCCAACAATGAGAGACTGGATTAAGAAAATGTGGCACATATACACCGTGGAATACTATACAGCCATAAAAAATGATGAGTTCATGTCCTTTGTAGGGACATGGATGAAGCTGGAAATCATCATTCTCAGCAAACTATTGCAAGGACAAGAAACCAAACACTGCATGTTCTCACTCATAGGTAGGAATTGAACAATGAGAACACATGGACACAGGAAGGGGAACATCACACACTGGGGCCTGTTGTGGGGTGGGGGCAGGGAGGAGGGATAGCATTAGGAGATATACCTAATGTTAAATGAAGAGTTAATGGGTGCAGCACACCAACATGACACATGTATACATATGTAACAAACCTGCATGTTGTGCACATGTACCCTAAAACTTAGTATAATAAAAAAAATTTAAAAAATCATTTTTACACAGTTTGACTTATTTTTAAAATAGAGGAAAGAATTGTCTGCTAGTGCTAGGATTAGGACGAGGTTAATTGATGCTAAATCATACAAATGTAAAGTCAGATGGTCTCTTTATTTAAAATAAAATTTGATAATTTTGTTCATCACCTATCTTTTTTGCCTTAGTTTTTAACTTATTAGCACAAGACATTAAAAACTTGTTTCTCTTGATTGCTGCGTTTTGGGGGACTCCTGTGCCTAAGTAAGTGCCTGCCTTGCCTCATCCTATCCACTAGCCCAGATCCTGTTGTTTGCTGCAAAAGGACCCAGTTGATACAATGGGTCAGGTCACAGGGCAAAGCCAATGGGAATCATCAAAATAAAGAAAATGAGAAAAGGAAATGGAAGAAAGCCAACGAAGTTGACCTTAATCCTTGAGAAGGAAAGATAATGGGAATATATCGACTAGGTATGGAATTTCTACCCTCAAAGGCAAAGTTTGACTCACATTTCCCTTTGCTCAGGCTTTGGAAGACAACAGTAAGAATTACCATTTAATGAGTGCTTATATAATATGGGGGCTTAGGTTAATCATTATATTTATATCATAATTGTCAAGTTTACTTTATTAAATATGCACTCATAACTCTCAGTTGTACACATTAGAAAACTTAGACTTCCTCAGTTAAGTACATTATCCAAGGTCATGAAGTTGCTAAGTGGAGGGACGTGTTGGAACTCATGTCTACTTGAATGCAAAACTCCACAGCCTTAATCACTGCCCCATACATACCTACTGATAGAGTCAAGAGAGGATAAGCATCAACAGAAGTTGCAGAGAAAGAAAGAGTCAGGGCTGATATATAAAAATTCATGTTTGCCTTCTAAAAATGTTTTTCCCTGTTCTTAAATAGTATACACATAGGACAAGTTCCCAAACTGGAAAGAACAAAAGCTTGTCTGAATTTCAATAATTCACAGGCCATGTGTGTTCTTAAAGTTGGGGGACAATCCAGTTACCTAACCCATAGGGAAACACATGCAGAACATAGGTAGAAATAAGTAGAAAGTACTAGTGCTCATTCTTACCCCACCCCAATCAGAGGAGACCTAAAATGATCTGTGTAACATCAACCAGAGAGAACATTCCCCAGCCCGTCAAAGGCCTCTGAGTATAGAGACCTGACTGTGTTGGCTGCAGCACCTGCTACTGTGCCAAGCCTAGCAAGAAGAATACAGTACTAGAAAGTGAGATTATGAGACAGTTAAAGCATGTTTTTTACTCTTTGTATACCTCATATATCTGGACATAATGGTATAGCACATTGGAAACCAAATGAGATCCCCTGAGGCTGACCAAATGAGGTCAATAACTCATCTTAGTCCCCAAAGATATTTGTTTTTTGCTCTTCTATCTGTAACATAAAGGAAATGCATCACAGAAGTGTGAATAATCCTGAATAAAGCGATCAGAGTTGCATATTTCCATGGTGCCACAGGGAATTATTCAAAAGTATTTGTCAGAAATAGCAAGATAACAATAACAGTTGGTCCCAAAGCACTCTGGTTTGTAGGGAAGGACATTAGCTCACATCGGAATTTAGATTAATCATAATGTTGATATGATATTGTTAATTGTTAATATAAAAGGCTTAGATATCCCACAATGAAAAGACAAGAACACAAACTTTGTATTGTTTCAGTTTGAAAGTTTTATTTATACAATAATCCTACTAAGAGGTTAACCACTCATAATTCTTTGTTTTAGTAGTGAATCATAAGAGCTTAGTAAATGTCATTATCATAACATGACCAATCTTTGCATTTCCAAAAACCAAATATACTTTTAAATTAAAAGCTAGATGGGGTTCTGTGTATTTTGCCTAAACTTACTGAAAGATTACTATCAATTCCTGACAAGGTACTTCTCTTTTCAAAAAGATTACACTTAAAGAAGGATTTTCGTCTTACTCTTGGGAAAAGGAATTGGAAAAAGATAAGCAAAAAGACATGCTACAGTGCACTGTGGGGTAGTATTTAATTCAGCCTTACCCCAGCCCCTCCTCAAAGAAATCCAAAGTGGCAGGGATGTCAGTAAAATTAACATAGACATTTTAAGGTGGTGTTCTATACAAAAAATGCAAATTTTGGTAAATATTCAGAGTAAGCCATTGTTTAGGTAGGCCTAGTTACAATCTGCCATACCTATAGTTCATAGACATGACTAGCAAGGGACCCTACATAGGGAAGTAATAACCTGGGCATCTGAAGTGTGTAACCCCAAGGGATACTGTTCCCATTGCAGTCACTGCAAACAGCAACCCTTGGAGTGGGCGGTGAGCATCCTGCACAGCTGTCTGCCTTGACCCTGGACACCCTGATATCAGAAAATCAAACTACATGTAACAAGCACAGCATTTTTAAACCAAGTTAGTTCTATTTTATAAATCACTTGAGCCACATATTCCAAGCCTGGCAGGCAGAACAAAAAAAGCAGACTCACTTAGTTCAAATCAGTGTAGGAACATTTAGCTTCTTTCAGAACTATCAATAGTACTTACCTTAAAACTGTACATTCAGGCAGCTTGATGGCTGAGGTCTGTTCGGTTTGGTTTCTGTTGATCTTTCATCTCTGCTTCAACTCCCACTTGTATCATATCCACCCCATAACCTGATATCATGCTCAGCCCAGTCTAACAACTGCCTTAGCCTCAGAACCCAGCCCAAACCAGGCCCCATTCTGAACAGCCTGAGACAAGCAGAAGTCAGAGGGAGAGAAAGAAGACAAAGATTAAATATTAAATTCATTCTTTAGAGGTGGTTGAGATACTAAGTAAAAATGGCCTTTTACATTTGTTATTCAATAGATGTCCATTTTTTTGGTTTTTATTTAAATACTTATATTTTAAGGAAAGGGAGACAGAAATTACCAATGCATTTTCTCACCCAAGAGTACAGATGTGGACAGGCAATAATAGTGAGAAAGCGTCAAAAGGAAATCAAATTCCAGAGGAATTCTTGTAACTGATGCCACATAGGATTATTTTGGGGAGCCTAAAGCAAGGGTACTATAAGGAGGATGAACAGTACAAGGTAAACCTGGAAGTAAATATTTAGGTAGAACTCACCAGAAATTCCTTGAGCTTAATCTTCTTTTCCTCTCTCTCAACACTGACACTTGTCTTTCCAACCCCCAAATCCAAGCTCCACCCTGAAAATTTCCCAAACAAGCTTTAGTCCTTGAACTTAATATCTGCTCATCTTGGGGTGGTCTGCAGGATCTGCTTGTATGATCATCCATCAGCAGATGTGTAGGTCCACAGCACAGCCTCTGCTCAGGATGGTCTCATAATAAACCTGAAAGGCCCTCAGATTCTGAATAATGAATACTGTTATATGTTTCTCTTCCTTGTGGTATTTCTCAAATAATAGCCCCAATTCCTGACGGAATTGCTGTACTCATACCAGTACGAGGTTCCTCCCCCCACCGCCACTAGACTATATTTAAGATAAATTGTTCTCCCTCAACTGCTGCCAAAGTAGCAATGATAGGATAGGGAGTTTCCTTGTTTCCTGGAGCTCCCTGAAGAAGTTAGAGCCGCTGAAACTCTGAGAGGATGTGAAAAGCATTAACATGTATTTCTTTCTTTCTCACTTAGTTCAAATGGACTGAAAGAAAAAGAACATTTATGTCCATGACTACTTCAGGTAAAGCCTCAAATCCTCTGGTTTCTCTAAAGTTTTCACTTTTGTGTGAGAAAGCATACTGTCTTTCATCAATAAACCCATAAGGGCTTTAGAGCTCTTCAATCCTTGTAAGTAATCCCAACATGATTTAATACCATTTTCTGGTTTTGTTCTTCACCACTATAGCAATTCAGGATGGATTATAAAGAATCTATTTTTATTTCTAGGCTCCCAATTGCATCACAATATGCATTTAAAACAAATCAGAATTATCCTAATGCTACAAAATTGTTTTTATATTTCTCTATAGGCCTGGAAGAAATCTCCAGGATCCATAATAGGCAATTTCCTGGACATAAAGTGAAACCACAGTATAACCATCCCAGAGAAATAACTGTTTCACCTTCTTATAGAGACTCACAAAAGTGGAGATTCCAAGATATCCTTCAGTTACTTCAAATGTTAACATCCCTCAATGTTGGCAAATGTGTTCTGATCCGTAGAGTCTCATGTTCTTATTAAACCTGTTCTGTTTGTTCCTCAATGAAGAGATGTATCGGGTGGATATTCATTTTTATTTCAATGCAGTAATCATTTATTAAGCAACTCCTATGTGTAAGCACTCTACTAAGCACCAGAAATAATGAAATGAAAGATATAATCCAAGCCCTCAAGAAATTCGAAATCTAGTGAGAAAAATAGACATGTAGACATTATAATAACATTTGTTACAACAGAGGCTGGGTAATATTCAAAATATTTAAACATTACAATATGGGCACCAACCTATCAAAATGGAGACCTATGGTAGGACCAGGAGAAGGTTCTGAAGGACACTCTGTAAATGCTGCAATTAAGCATCATAGGAAAATGTAAGGAGTGTGGGTGACAGCAATGATGACCTGCAAACAGAGGATGTAGCTCTGTAGGTCAAGGCACTGACAATTTTGCAATTGATATTTTTAAATTTCAATATTTTGCAACTAGTTTGGTCATTCTGATGCACAAGAACTGAATACTAGCTTCACATAAAAAAAATCATTCTTAAAATAACCATTCTTAAGTCAGCACTAGCATAGTTCAGGGGTGACCACTGAGGATTTTCTGTGACTGTCCTTAATGCTGCTCATCTAATATCCTGATTTTACCTTCTTGCAAGTACATGATAGAATTGCACATTCTGTTCTTTTGAGGCAAAACAGAATTCTGTGATTTGCTTTGGCCAGGGAAACATAAGCAGAAGTGATGTGAAAATGGTAGAAGACTTTAAGAGCCATTAAAGGGTTGGCTTAGGTTGTAAGAAGGAGCACTGATGACTGTAAGCAGAGGAATAGTAAGAAAGAAATGGAAGTGAAAGTGTCTGAACCAACACAACTGATAAGATGATGAGAAGCAATGTGTTAAAGAGGTAGGCAGAATTCCATCATAAAATAGCCATATGGGGTGCCAAGGAAAACAGACTTTATCTTACAGGTAGGGTCAGGGATATAATGACCAGAGAGCCTTAACTCTCCTCTCAGCTTGACTAACTTTCGACAAGTTTATTCTTGACTTTAGGCCAGTGACCTCTCTATTTTTAGGGCATTTACTTTGGAAATCTTGCAGTTATAAATTCTTTCTCTGATCCTTGAGATACAAATCTTATACAGCCAGGAATGTCTTTCTCAAGAACCTGAGAGCCATCCCTTTGAAATATAATTATTCAGAGATCATTACCCCTCTCTCTGCCAGTCTCTGTGGGAGGGTAAAATCTTAACTTCAATAAGTACTTATTAGCAAACACAGATGACCTAACCACATTGACTAACCTCCTCCTAATATACTCTAGTGCTTTTTGACTGGCACTCTTACATATAAACTCTTATAAGTGCTAGTAAATTTCCTGCCTTTTGTTTTAGCTGAGTTCAATCTATCTCCTCTATGGCAATAGTCTTGAATAAAATCTTCCTTGACTGTTTAACTTGTCTGATGCAATTTTTTTTAATAGTAACGATACAAGTAAGGAGGTAATCCAGCAATCCAGATAACTAATATATTAACATGACCTGATAGCTGGTCAGAGACAGAAAAAGTAATCACTAAGGTGGCTCTATCTGTCTTGGGATAATGCTGTCTTTTAAGATGGGGAATCAGTGAAGGAATGCTGCAAAGGCAAATCAACTGTAATGCCATCAGAATTTCAGCTTCTGGGCCCTTCACTTCTTCATTCTCTTCCAAGGCTCAAGTAAGCACCAAGCAAAATATTACTTTTTTAAATCTCTGCAAAAATAAGCTATTTTAAGTGTATTTGGTAAGAATACTTTCCAGGTTCTTTCCCCTATAACTTTTCCTATGTGACTTTTTTCCTTGTGTCAGATTGTATTGATGTGAGCATCTGTGGGACACTGGTGAAAGGAAGCTAGTTTGAGGAGATGCTCGTATTTTCAGCTTGGAAAAAATTTGGGAACATTTCCATAAGTGAAGATTAACAGATTCCTGATTAGCATTTATATAAACTGTACCTGCTCTTTAATTCTTTTAAATTGTGATTAAAAATAATGGAATATGAAATAAAACTGGTAAAGTTTATCAATGAAATAAACAAATATATATTATTCTGATGTTAAAAATGAAAAAAAAATTCTAACAGAAAACAGATCATTCCTAAAGCATAAATTTAGTAAGAGGAAAAGATAAAGTACAAATAGAAGTAATAAATAGCCTTTAATAAACAAGTTAATGAAAAAGAGTGCCTCATATAAATACATTGGAAAAGGATTTAAATTTATGGCTGATCTGACATGACATACTGCTATTGACAAAGATAATATAAAATTCATGATTAAACATTAAAATACAGATATTGGGAATAGGAACAGCTCCAGTCTACAGCTCCCAGCGTGAGCGACGCAGAAGATGGGTGATTTCTGCATTTCCATCTCAGGTACTGGGTTCATCTCACTAGGGAGTGCCAGACAGTGGGCGCAGGACAGTGGGTGCAGCTGCACCATGCGTGAGCTCAAGCAGGGCGAGGCATTGCCTCACTCGGGAGTTCCCTTTCCTGGTCAAGGAAAGGGGTGACTGACGGCACCTAGAAAATCGGGTCACTCCCACCCAAATACTGTGCTTCTCCGATGGGCTTAGGAAATGGCGCACCAGGAGATTATACCCCGCACCTGGCTCAGAGGGTCCTATGCCCACAGAGTCTCGCTGATTGCTAGCACAGCAGTCTGAGATCAAACTGCAAGGCAGCAGCGAGGCTGGGGGAGGGGTGCCCGCCATTGCCCATGCTTGCTTAGGTAAACAAAGCAGCCAGGAAGCTCCAACTGGGTGGAGCCCACCACAGCTCAAGGAGGCCTGCCTGCCTCTGTAGGCTGCACCTCTGGGGGCAGGGCACAGACAAACAAAAAGACAGCAGTAACCTCTGCAGTCTTAAATGTCCCTGTCTGACAGCTTTGAAGAGAGCAGTGGTTCTCCCAGTGCGCAGCTGGAGATCTGTGAATGGGCAGACTGCCTCCTCAAGTGGGTCCCTGACCCCTGACCCCCAAGCAGCCTAACTGGGAGGCACCCCCAAGTAGGGGCAGACTGACACCTCACACAGCCAGGTACTCCTCTGAGACAAAACTTTCAGAGGAACGATCAGACAGCAGCATTCGCTGTTCACAAAAATCCGCTGTTCTGCAGACACCGCGGCTGATACCCAGGCAAACAGGGTCTGGAGTGGACCTCTAGCAAACTCCAACAGACCTGCAGCTGAGGGTCCTGTCTGTTAGAAGGCAAATTAACAAACAGAAAGGACATCCACACCAAAAACCCATCTGTACATCACCATCATCAAAGACCAAAAGTACATAAAACCACAAAGATGGGGAAAAAACAGAGCAGAAAAACTGGAAACTCTAAAAAGCAGAGCACCTCTCCTCCTCCAAAGGATCGCAGTTCCTCACCAGCAACGGAACAAAGCTGGACGGAGAATGACTTTGACGAGTTGAGAGAAGAAGGCTTCAGACGATCAAACTACTCCGAGCTACAGGAGGAAATTCAAACCAAAGGCAAAGAAGTCGAAAACTTTGAAAAAAATTTAGAAGAATGTATAACTAGAATAACCAATACAGAGAAGTGCTTAAAGGACCTGATGGAGCTAAAAGCCAAGACTCGAGAACTACGTGAAGAATGCAGAAGCCTCAGGAGCACATGCGATCAACTGGAAGAAAGGGTATCAGTGATGGAAAATGAAATGAATGAAATGAAGCGAGAAGGGAAGTTTAGAGAAAAAAGAATAAAAAGAAATGAGCAAAGCCTCCAAGAAATATGGGACTATGTGAAAGACCAAATCTACGTCTGATTGGTGTACATGAAAGTGACGGGGAGAATGGAACCAAGTTGGAAAACACTCTGCAGGATATTATCCAGGAGAACTTCCCCAATCTAGCAAGGCAGGCCGACATTCTTATTCAGGAAATACAGAGAATGCCACAAAGATACTCCTCGAGAAGAGCAACTCCAAGACACATAATTGTCAGATTCACCAAAGTTGAAATGAAGGAAAAAATGTTAAGGGCAGCCAGAGAGAGAAGTCAGATTACCCACAAAGGGAAGCCAATCAGACTCACAGCTGATCTCTCAGCAGAAACTCCACAAGCCAGAAGAGAGTGGGGGCCAATATTCAACATTCTTAAAGAAAAGAATTTTCAACCCAGAATTTCATATCCAGCCAAACTAAGCTTCATAAGTGAAGGAGAAATAAAATACTTTACAGACAAGCAAATGCTGAGAGATTTTGTCACCACCAGGCCTGCCCTAAAAGAGCTCCTGAAGGAAGCACTAAACATGGAAAGGAACAACCGGTACCAGCCGCTGCAAAATCATGCCAAAATGTAAAGACCATGGAGACTAGGAAGAAACTGCATCAACTAACGAGCAAAATAACCAGCTAACATCATCATGACAGGATCAAATTCACACATAACAATATTAACTTTAAATGTAAATGGACTAAATGCTCCAATTAAAAGACACAGACTGGCAAATTGGATAAAGAGTCAAGACCCATCAGTGTGCTGTATTCAGGAAACCCATCTCACGTGCAGAGACACACATAGGCTCAAAATAAAAGGATGGAGGAAGATCTACCAAACAAATGGAAAACAAAAAAAGGCAGGGGTTGCAATCCTAGTCTCTGATAAAACACACTTTAAACCAACAAAGATCAAAAGAGACAAAGAAGGCCATTACATAATGGTAAAGGGATCAATTCAACAAGAAGAGCTAACTATCCTAAATATATATGAACCCAATACAGGGGTACCCAGATTCATAAAGCAAGTCCTGAGTGACCTACAAAGAGACTTAGACTCCCACACATTAATAATGGGAGACTTTAACACCCCACTGTCAACATTAGACAGATCAACCAGACAGAGAGTTAACAAGGATACCCAGGAATTGAACTCAGCTCTGCACCAAGCAGACCTAATAGACATCTACAGAACCTCTACCCCAAATCAACAGAATATACATTTTTTTCAGCACCACACCACACCTATTCCAAAATTGACCACATACTGGGAAGTAAAGCTCTCCTCAGCAGATATAAAAGAACAGAAATTATAACAGTCTCTCAGAACACAGTGCAATCAAACTAGAACTCAGGATTCAGAAACTCACTCAAAACCACTCAACTACATGAAAACTGAACGACCTGCTCCTGAATGACTACTGGGTACATAACGAAATGAAGGCAGAAATAAAGATGTTCTTTGAAACCAACGAGAACAAAGACACAACATACCAGAATCTCTGGGTCGCATTCAAAGCAGTGTGTAGAGGGAAATTTATAACACTAAATGCCCATAAGAGAAAACAGGAAAGATCCAAAATTGACACCCTAACATCACAATTAAAAGAACTAGAAAAGCAAGAGCAAACACATTCAAAAGCTAGCAGAAGGCAAGAAATAACTAAAATCAGAGCAGAACTGAAGGAAATAGAGACACAAAAAACCCTTCAAAAAATTAATGAATCCAGGAGCTGGTTTTTTGAAAGGATCAACAAAATTGACAGACCACTAGCAAGACTAATAAAAAAAAAGAGAGAGAAGAATCAAATAGATGCAATAAAAAATGATAAAGGGATATCACCACCAATCCCACAGAAATACAAACTACCATCAGAGAGTACTACAAACACCTCTACACAAATAAACCAGAAAATCTAGAAGAAATGGATAAATTCCTCAACACATATACTCTCCCAAGACTAAACCAGGAAGAAGTTGAATCTCTGAACAGACCAATAACAGGATCTGAAATTGTGGCAATAATTAATAGCTTACCAACAAAAAAGAGTCCAGGACCAGATGGATTCACAGCCGAATTCTACCAGAGGTACAAGGAGGAACTGGTACCATTCCTTCTGAAACTATTCCTATCAATAGAAAAAGAGGGAACCCTCCCTAACTCATTTTATGAGGCCAGTATCATCCTGATACCAAAGCTGGGCAGAGATACAACTGAAAAAGAGAATTTTAGACCAATATCCTTGATGAACATTGATGTAAAAATCCTCAATAAAATACTGGCAAACCGAATCCAGCAGCACATCAGAAAGCTTATCCACCATGATCAAGTGGGCTTCATCCCTGGGATGCAAGGCTGGTTCAATATATGCAAATCAATAAATGTAATCCAGCATATAAACAGAACCAAAGACAAAAACCACACGATTATCTCAACAGATGCACAAAAGGCATTTGAAAAAATTCAACAACCCTTCATGCTAAAAACTCTCAATAAATTGGGTATTGATGGGATGTATCTCAAAATAATAAGAGCTATCTATGAGAAACCCACAGCCAATATCATACTGAATGGGCAAAAACTGGAAGCATTCCCTTTGAAAACTGGCACAAGACGGGGATGCCCTCTCTCACCACTCCTATTCAACATAGTGTTGGAAGTTCTGGCCAGGGCAATTAGGCAGGAGAAGGAAATAAAGGGTATTGAATTAGGAAAAGAGGAAGTCAAATTGTCCCTGTTTGCAGATGACATGATTGTATATCTAGAAAACCCCATCATCTCAGCCCAAAATCTCCTTACACTGATAAGCAACTTCAGCAAAGTCTCAGGATAAAAATCAATGTACAAAAATCACAAGCATTCTTATACACCAACAACAGACAAACAGAGAGCCAAATCATGAGTGAACTCCCATTCACAATTGCTTCAAAGAGAATAAAATACCTAGGAATCCAACTTACAAGGGATGTGAAGGACCTCTTCAAGGAGAACTACAAACCACTGCTCAATGAAATAAAAGAGGATACAAACAAATGGAAGAACATTCCATGCTCATGGGTAGGAAGAATCAATATCATGAAAATGGCCATACTGCCCAAGGTAATTTACAGATTCAATGCCATCCCCATCAAGCTACCAATGACTTTCTTCACAGAATTGGAGAAAACTACTTTAAAGTTCATATGGAACCAAAAAAGAGCCCGCATCGCCAAGTCAATCCTAAGCCAAAAGAACAAAGCTGGAGGCATCACACTACCTGACTTCAAACTATACTACAAGGCTACAGTAACCAAAACAGCATGGTACTGGTACCAAAACAGAGACATAGATCAATGGAACAGAACAGAGCCCTCAGAAATAACGCCACATATCTACAACTATCTGATCTTTGACAAACCTGAGAAAAACAAGCAATAGGGAAAGGATTCCCTATTTAATAAATGGTGCTGGGAAAACTGGCTAGCCATATGTAGAAAGCTGAAACTGGATCCCTTCCTTACACCTTATACAAAAATCAATTCAAGATGGATTAAAGACTTAAACGTTAGACCTAAAACCATAAAAACCCTAGAAGAAAACCTAGGCATTACTATTCAGGACATAGGCATGGACAAGGACTTCATGTCTAAAACACCAAAAGCAATGGCAACAAAAGCCAAAATTGACAAATGGGATCTAATTAAACTAAAGAGCTTCTGCACAGCAAAAGAAACTACCATCAGAGTGAACAGGCAACCTCCAGAACGGGAGAAAATTTTCACAACCTACTCATCTGACAAAGGGCTAATATCCGGAATCTACAATGAACTCAAACAAATTTACAAGAAAAAGACAAACAACCCCATCAAAAAGTGGGTGAAGGATATGAACAGACACTTCTCAAAAGAAGACATTTATGCAGCCAAAAGACACATGAAAAAATGCTCATCATCACTGGCCATCAGAGAAATGCAAAGCAAAACCACAATGAGATATCATCTCACACCAGTTAGAATGGCAATCATTAAAAAGTCAGGAAACTTTTGTTTCCTGCTGGAGAGGATGTGGAGAAATAGGAACACTTTTACACTGTTGGTGGGACTGTAAACTAGTTCAACCATTGTGGATGTCAGTGTGGCGATTCCTCAGGGATCTAGAACTAGAAATACCATTTGACCCAGGCATCCCATTACTGGGTATATACCCAAAGGACTATAAATCATGCTGCTATAAAGACACATGCACATGTATGTTTATTGTGGCACTATTCACAATAGCAAAGACTTGGAAGCAACCCCAATGTCCAACAATGATAGACTGGATTAAGAAAATGTGGCATATATACACCATGGAATACTATGCAGCCATAAAAAATGATGAGTTCATGTCCTTTGTAGGGACATGGATGAAATTGGAAATCATCATTCTCAGTAAACTATCGCAAGGACAAAAAACCAAACACCGCATGTTCTCACTCATAGGTGGGAATTGAACAATGAGAACACACGGACACAGGAAGGGGAACATTACACTCTGGGGACTGTTGTGGGGTGGGGGGAGGGGGGAGGGATAGCATTAGGAGATATACCTAATGCTAAATGACGAGTTAATGGGTGCAGCACACCAGCATGGCACATGTATACATATATAACTAACCTGCACATTGTGCACATGTACCCTAAAACTTAAAGTATAATAATAATAAAAAATAAAATAAAATAAAATACAGATATTGACAAAAAGCCAGCTCATAAGTATCACTAATTCAAAGAGTATTTGAGATTAATCACTGTGGCCAGGCGCAGTGGCTCACACCTGTAATCCCAGCATTTTGGGAGGCCGATATGGGTGGATCACAAGGTTAGGAGTTCAAGATCAGCCTGGCCAACATGGTGAAACACTGTCTCTACTCAAAATACAAAAATTAGCCGGGCATGGTGGCGCACACCTGTCATCCCAGCTACTTGGGTGGCTGAGGCAGAAGAATTGCTTGAACCCAGAGGTCAGAGGTTGCAGTGAGCTCAGATCACACCAACACACTCTAGCCTGGGTGACAGAGCAAGACTCTGTCTCAAAAAAAAAAAAAAAAAGGAATAAAAAAGATTAATCAATACATAAAACAACTTGAAAGGTTCTGAAATCTTAAAATGTACATATGAGTAAGTTTGAGGGTGGTTTTCAAAATGTGTCAACCATGTTCAAAATTCACTATATTTCCAATAACAGTTTCAAAAATGAAAAGACTAAATTATGTTTCTGTTCTGTATTGAAAAACATATAACAAAATCATTGTCTTTATTTAAAAAGGTACCAATACTTATGCAGCTAAAAAATAATAAGAAAAAGTATTTAGAGGTCTGTAAAGCAGTTATTAAAAATTGATATTTTCTAAATTTTGGGGTGTTTGGGGATGTTTTCAACTTTTAATTTGTTAACATTTCTTATTTTATATAACTATTCAATTTCATATCTAATGTGGCAAAGCCTTGCTCTCCTAAAAAAGTCTGCCTTTTTCAGAAATGGAAGGAACATCACAGCTTCTCTCAATAGGATATATAGTCAGGATAGAAATCAAAACCCACGGACCTCTGGCTCAGTAGATAATCACTTTATGTAAGAATTACATTTCAGTAACAATGTCATAAGTGAATAAATGCTGCCTAGCAATACACAGGCATAGTCATTATTTGTAGTTTCTTTTTAAAAGCATTTTTTCCAAGCCGTCTTTAAGAATCTTGCTTTCTCGCAATTTTCCTCTTTTCTCTTTCTGGACTGATAGAGAAGCAAGTTAAAGAAAATTCTCCTACACAGTTTCCACTATTGGCTTAATGACTAACACTCTTCTCAAAATCTGGCTAAGTGCTTGAGTGTGCTGCACTATGTGTTTGCTCGTGTGTAAAGTGGCATGCTTACAACTGGCCTGTTTTCCCTTTTAATGTTAAGAACTCACATTTCCAAACACAAGTGTGAGAGAAGCCAGAGGCCATGGAATCCCCTGATGTCACTGGCCTGCCCTCTGCCATGGTCTGCCTGGGGTGGCTTCTCTTGATTTAGTGGTGCCATAATGACGGAGTTGAGATAGCACAGTTTCGTGATTCTTTGGGTGGGGTTTTTCAAAGAGTGTACAGTCAAGTACAACTGAATGAAAGAGTGACATAAACAGGAATTTTTTTACTTAATTTAAAAAGAAAGTGTTCTGGAAAGACACTGCACTTTCATATTAGTTGTGTGATCTTAGTGTCTTAATCTCATTTGTAAAATGAGGATAACAGTATCTATGACATAAAGCTGTTTTATTTTTGTTTTTTACAATTTACAATCTTTTATTTTTCAAACCGTTAAGTGGTTACATTGAGAGACAGAGGAGAGGGCAGCTAGCTATTGATAGATTTTATTTCTATAAGAATCTCACAAATAACTCTTGAATATTGCAGCTGGATCAAAGGCTTCAATGAGGCTGCTGACTTACAACCTTCTCTATGCCTCCCATATACCTACGTCATTTTGTTGATCTCTAAATCTTAAATAGAGGGCTTCCTCTGCTGGAGCAGAGACTGGGATCATCAAACCCATTTTATCTTCTTCCTAGACATGGGTTTAGATTACCTTTCCTGGGCTACTTGGCTGTTAGGTTTGGCTGTGACTGAGTTTTAAGTAATCTTAAAGGACTTTGTAAGTACTCTTATAGGACTAGCCTATGAAAAATTTCCAGGCATAATTCTCCATATTTCTTCAGCTGCTACAAGCCTAATAAAGATAACCATGGTAATTATAGAAGCCACTGCTAAGGAAGATATAGGCATTGAGGAAAAAAAATCAGGTCCCTGAATTATTGCTTTGGCAAGAGTTACAAATCAGGAGTATCAGTTTTATAAGTAAACAAGAAGTGATTTTTCTATCATGGTTGAGCAATGACACATTTAGGGTTTATTTTTTTTTTAACAGCAGTTGCCTTAAATGAAATACCTCCTAATTGATATTAGTAATGTGATTACTATGAGAGAAATGTGATTTGGACTTTGAAAATGTATTTTCCCTTCTCCTTATAGAGAAAGGTTACAATATGCAACTTTTGTGAAGATTAAAATAATTGCTTCAGTGATGTTGCTTGATTAATTATACATATTATAGTTAACACTACTATTATCGAGTCAACAGATGTTTATGAGCATTTACTAAGTAAAAGTTGCTGTGGTATATCTGACAACATAATAGTTGACAAGAACTCTCATCTCATGGAGCTTATGTGTCACCATTCCACTTAAAAAATTCTCCTGTTGCTTTTAACACAATGACGTAATGATTTTTTCCTGTGTTCCTATTTTTTAATTCTCTGCTCCTAATATGAACCCTGAAAACATTATCAGAGTGCCTCCCATATAATAAATCAATAAATTTTTTCAAATGAAGAAATATTGCAGCCATGGTGTGAATTTTAAAAAGCCAGAAATTACAATGGCTAACTGCATGAGGGAGGATAGAAGTATTTATTAATATAGATCTCCATGAATGTATGAAGAGAGCTCCAAACAATTATATAAGCTGTAAGCCTCAAAGAACTTGGATCTACCCTTGAATAACAGGTTTGTAGACATAATAGTTAAGTTTATGTGTCAGCTTGACTGGACTACAGGGTACCCCGGTATTTGGTCAAACATTATTCTGGGTGTGTCTGTGAGGGCCACTTTGGGTGGGATTAACATTTAAATCAGTAGACCAGTAAAGTAGGATCACCCCTCATAATGTGGGTGGCCCTCATCCAATAAGGTGAAGTTATTAATAGAACAAAAGGCTGATCTTCCCCCAGATAAGATAGAATTCTCCTGCCTGACAACCTGCAAACTAGGACGTCAACTCTGTGGATTTAGGACTTGCAACCTCCATATGCCTGAGCTAATTCCTTATAATAAATAAATAAATAACCAACAGTGATATGTGTGTACGTGTGTGTATGTGTATGTATATATATAAACAGAATAATGCATATTATAAGGAGATATGTGTGTATATACATTCTAACAGAACAAATTATATATACTAATACATATATATGTGTTATATATTGAGGGATGTGTATATATATGTGTGTGTGTGTGTGTGTGTGTGTATGTTCTGTTTCTCTAGAGAACCCTAATACATTAAAAAGGTTAAGTTAAATTTCAGACTTTTTGAATCTGTGACTCCTCTGAGATATTTTATATACTAAAAACATGCCTTGGATTACTGAGAGCATTTTTTTGGCCTAAAAAATCACATATCAAAGGTGAAATCCCAAAAGAATTGTTCTCCTGACCATTCACCACTCTTTATTGGAATGAACATAAGTAAACCCTCTATAAGAAACATGCATAGATACAGCCCCATAAACTCAAATCCAATGCAACTTTGCACACAATATCCAGATCCCATGAAGTCTCATCTGTGGCCCTTAGCTAAGAAGACCTATTCTGAAAAGTTTCAATAAGAGCCAAATTTAAGAAGAGCATTACTTCACAATTTCTATATTTTTCTATTTGTAGATTTTTAAGAAATAGGCTGTGCGCGGTGGCTCATGCCTGTAATCCCAGCACTTTGGGAGGCCGAGGCGGCGGATCACGAGGTCAGGAGATGGAGATAATCCTGGCTAACACAGTGAAACCCCGTCTCTACTAAAAATACAAAAAATTAGTCGGACGTGGTGGCAGGTGCCAGTAGTCCCAGCTGCTCGGGAGGCTGAGGCAGGAGAATGGCATAAACCCAAGAGGTGGAGCTGGCAGTGAGCCGAGATTGCGCCACTGCACTCCAGCCTGGGCGACAGAGCAAGACTACATCTCAAAAAAAAAAAAAAAAAAAAAAAAAAAAGAAATAGAGAAAAACAGAGAGAATCAGAGAGACAAGAAAGATATAGAAATAGACGATCAACCTCCAGAAACCCATGCACTAAAGCCCACAGTTTCCAGTCTGGTGAGCTTGCTTGACAGCACCAGATTGCACACAGTATTTTTTCCAAAGAGATATGTAGATTTAAACATATCTTTTTGACTTCCCCTTTTCCAATAGTGAGTACAATGGATTTGTGTTTCATGAATTGGTTCCTAAATTATTCCATGGAAAACTGAGGGAGGAAAGAATGTAATAAATGTCAGACTTTGATATGTCCATAAAAGTTCTTTAAGGTCCAGCTTATCAGAGGCCATGAATATAATCTTTAGCAGTGCCATAAAATACAGTAAAAGCCATAGGGGTTTAGGTTCAGTGGAACTGCAAAGATCCTAACCCACTACTACTTAACGGAGGCTCAGAAAGGAATAATCTTAACAGTGCTCTATTGAATTCAGATAGCCGGAAACTCAGCTCTCAAGATCAATTTGAAAGGTCACTCAAGTCCAAAGGAACATATGGTGAAAATAAATGAAAACTAAATAAAAATCAAGGTCATTTAAGAGTCTGCACAGCAGCAACAATAACTAACATTTTAACGCACTTAACAGAATGTTCAAATTGCATGGAAATCCAATAACATGAAAATAATTTTAATTTGAGATAAATGCAGCTCTGAGATGCTAAATAATGAGTAAGTGACAGAGGAGGGTCTCAGAAGCACAATCCTTAGACCACAGTTTTCATGCTCCAATTGTGCCACCAGGAGACTTTATGAAGTGATACAAGTAGATCAGTCTCCAATTGGAGTGGCTAATGGAAAAGGAAACCTGCTCAATAGCACGAAGCAGCTCACTCGAATGACAAAGTGGTTTTGTGAATCCCAAATGTCTGTGACCTAAAAAGAACAGGTTGCCTTTCTCACTATTTAGACAATTTGTCCACGTTTAGTTCTCATACAGAAAGCAAAATAAATGTGGGGATGACAAGATATAACTGATCTTAATACTCTTTGTCTATTTTATTCTGCTCAAATCAGTTTACTCCTTGCCAGCAGGTGTCCTCTGAGTGAGAAAATTAAATAATGGCATAGTCTCCCCAATATTCTTACATACTGTGAACCAGATGAGCAGTACCAACTCGTTCTAGGATATATAGACTTTATTTTCCTTTGTCATAACAAGAGGGAATATTTCAGGAAATCTGTATTTCAGCAAAACACATGTTTTGACATTTAAGAATCACCGTTTTCCTGTACAGGAATATAGATAATATACCCACAATTGTTTTGGCAGTTATATAATCTGAGTATTTATTTTCAAGCTATTCATCAGAAAATGCAACATATTGTTATTTGGATACTTTTACTAGTTGTCATAGGCTTTTTAAAAATAAAGTTGAATATAGCTTGTTTCTCTCTTCTGATCTCTTTAGAAAAACGTTGCTTCTCTTCTTAAAAAAAAATCTAATATTCTTGACCCTATGCCAGATTGCAAATCATTACTGCAAATTATATTTTATAATACATTAAATAGGATATTGGTCTTGTAAGAGTAAAGTTCATAGCCCATATTCTATTTCCCAAGTTTTAGGCCTAGAAGCCCATAGGGTCTCTCTTCTGCTTTGTCTAGTTTTCTATTTACAACTGCCCACCAACAGATGTTATTACTTGACATGACATTGTATATCACTGCCATGGAGGTGGCATAAAGATTTATGTCCTATTCATGAATAATTGACAAATTCTATTTTCATTTCACAATGGATGAATGCAAATCACTTGGCCTTAATGTTTCAAAAACAAAGTTATTACTCGTTGGCACTCTTTTTGGCTTGAGAAAATGTTTGGCCTTCTGGACACACACAAACACACACATACACATGCTACATGTATATGCACACATGCAGGCACATACATTTTTTCAGGTTGCTTATATATTCTGAAATCTGACTGTCTTTATATAACCTTCACCTTCTATTTTCTTGTTTCTAGATCAGCATATTAGGCAAATATGCATGGCTTTATTTTTCATTTGCATTGCTTATCCCCAATGTTTGTATTTCCTTTCGTATTTTTTTTCTAGAATAATAAGTTACCAGGGCCTCTGACTGATGCACTTGCTATCTTGCATATTGATTTGTAACTGACTTTCTCATTTGTCTTCACAATTCCATCTTTCATAGACTGGAGTCTCATTTTAGAGATCAGATATTTCGTTCTTCTCACCCTCAGGCCTCTCTATACATGAACTATTCTGCTTTGTCTAATCTGTCTGCTTTCATGTTTAAAGTGTATTTTTGTACTTTAAATATTGCATAGGACTGGTAATATGCTCCTACACAGTTTGATTTTACAGTATTAGTCTAGGCTCTGACATCTAAGAAGCACCATAAGAGGCTATAGGATCTTCACTTCCTCCATTATCCCAGCAGTATCCACAGCAAGTGTTCACAAATGCTTTTTGACTGACAGTTACTTCTGGAAGATATGGAAAATAAGCATCTTCACCATATACTGAGTTTGACTTTGAAAAGACAGGAATCTGAGGGTAACACATTTGATGGCTTAGAAATCTATCTATTTTTTAAAATTCTGAATCTCAATTAAAATGTAATAAACCAAAAGCTGGCATTATCCCAAGCAAGTGGAGAGATCCAATCTTGATTTTCAAAATGCTACAATCTTGATTTCCAGTTCAAAAGCCACAACACAAGTGCTAGGTGAAAATACTGAGGAAAACTTGTGATTAGGCCAAACCAGTTCTCATGGCCCTTTCAACCGAACTAAGGGATCCACCCAGGAAAGGAGGAAGAGAGATTAGGAAGGAAAAGAGTTGAATCTGAGAGGCTGTGTCTGGGAAATTTATTTTCTTGAATGGAGTCATACATGAGGTAGAACCACTGAGCATTCTTTAATGCTGAGATTCTGATGGTAACCTCTATGTTGCTTCCTAGGTCAATCCCAGGGAGACTACATATTTCCTGTGGAAAGTCCTCAAGCCCTCTTAGTAGGCATAAACAGAGTAGAAATGGTAGCATAGCTGGTTGGTCTAAGCAGTGGAGAGCTAAAATCAATCCCCTGAGATTTCTGTGGGACCAGAGTGAAATGGGAGAGCATCTCAAAGTCCACTGGGACTTTCCCAAGGGAAAAGAGCTCTCCTGTCCACAGGGGGTTTCACAGACTGCACTGCATAATGAGGTTTGGACCCTCATGTCAGAGGTCAGATGAGGAAGACACTATATATAATGCCATAATGGAAAAGGACCACACACAATGAACTCCATCCCACCATAGGACTGAGATCAGGATCTAAAAGATACTCTTTCCTCCCTAAGACGAATTTCCATACTCTTCTTCCCCACTTTAATTGAGTTTAAACTTAAATGATTGATGAGATTGTTCCACTGAGTTTACCTGAAATTGATTAAATGAAGTTTTCCTAACTATGGTGCATGTGCTGTCCAATGCTGTTAAGTGTACTCACTCGGGAACCAGATCAACTGGGTTCCAATTTCAGCTTTGTCTAGGATTTATGTCATCGGGTGTGTCACATTACTGTCTGTGCCTCAGTTTCCTCATACATGAATTAGGTAAAATAATAGTGATTTACTTATGCTATTGTGTGAATTAAGTGAGTTAACATATATATGTGCTTAGAGAAGTACCTATGGCAACTACAATATAATAGTACTATTCTGCATCAGGTAGAATGGGTGCTCAAGATAGAAATTAATATTAAATAGTATATTTTTCCACACTTAAGTTTGGGGCCTATTAAATGCATAAATGTTACAGTAATACATTACTATTAAAGAATTTTAGAGATAAAACTTAAAGATAATTTAGTTCTAGATTTATTTGTAGAGATAAGGATAATGATATTTTAAAAGGTCAAATAATTTGCCCATGGTCATGTAGCTAATACATTTCATAACTGAGATATAAACTCCATACAAAGCATTTTCTCATTCAGTGTGCCAGGTACTGTGCTACATGTTGGAGGCACCTACAGGCCCCAATCTCACAGAGCTTACAATATACCAGGAAATATACCAGAAAAGAAAGGGACATGTTATGATAGAAGAAATACATGGTGCTGTATTTCTAGGAGCCAAGCAAAGCTCTTTAAAATAGTAACCTGAAGCCAAAATCTAAATGAAGAGTGGGATTTATACAGATGAAGGGATGGGGTTAGAATACTCAAGGACAAGGGAGAGCTATAAAGGTGGCCCCAGAGTTGCAAAACAATATGACTTGTTTAAGGAGTTGATATCAATTCAGTATGCTTTAGCAAAGACTGCAAAAGGAAGGAGTGAACAGGAAGCAGTAATAGAACAAGAATCTTAAGTAGTTTTGTAAATTATGATGAGGAATTTGGACTTAATGTTAAAGACAGTAAAAAAAAAAATCTGTTTAGTTAAACAGATAATTAAAGATAGAAAATTTCCTTTTTAAAAAGATCTTTCTAAATATAGGAGGTAAAGAGACTGTTCGGGGAAGATTAGAGTCAGGGAGACCATTTAAAGTAGTTGTTGCATCCAAGAAAAAAAACCAGGTCTTCTGCCTTAATATTCTTTGTTCTTCTAAATGTCATCTTTGTTGGAAAACACATAAAGCAGAGCTGGGAAAATAAAGATAGGGAATAAAAACGATTCTTGCTATCCTTAAGTCATCTTAAACCCTTTTCATATCGATCACAGATTGTTAGAGAAAGAAACAACCTTAAGGAAACCAACCTCGGATTTTATAGAGTGGCCCTGTGTCTTGTTCATGGCCTAGTAAATGGCAGAGTCAGAACTAAATCTCAGGTCTGACCTGCTGGCCCAGTGCCTTCTGCTGCACGAGCCTGGAACAATCCTTCTGGAATGAAGGTCAGAGCCACAGCAGTAAGTAAGAGGCTGAGAGGCCTGGAATCCTCAGCGGACTGTCCTGAGGAGAGAGACTCCAACCAGACCTCAGTGTCCCAGCAGCCTGGGTCAGCAGGAGCGCTGTTGTCAAATAAGAACAGGCTGCTCTGGCGGTTTGTGCTGTGTTTTGAAATACATTGTTTTTCCCCTCTCAGAAAAATTATCAGTTAAAATTAGTTTAAGATTCAAACTCAGTGAATAAGGTATTTCAGTTCGGTATGGAAAGTAGTCTAACGGTACATTATTAGAAAATTGTAATAAGCAGCTAATTGCTTTCAGCAATCTAATTGTTAGGCTACCCTGATGGTTAGAAAAAACATTTTATATTAGGCTGAAACCTTCCTGCAATTTCTACGGACTGGCCTGATTGTTCCCAAACTGCTTCAGATGCATCTTACAAGTAAATAGGAGAGAAATAATAAAGCCTTACCCCTCTGGAGCTTCAGACAGCAAGACATGAAGTATTTTCCTGTTAAATTAAAAATACGTGGGGTCAAGCCTGGGCTTGGGGAAAGAACTCGGTTAATTCAATTCACTTTAGGATTCAAATCTTAGATTTAAAATAATTCAGTTCTCTAGTAGAACCTATGTGTAAGAGATAGACAGCAAAGGGATTAAGTGCCCTAGAATTCAAGAAAACAGACTCAGAGTCGAGGCCCAGAGACACAAAGCATTACCACCACCCAGCACCTGCTCCATTGCAACCCTGGATTCTCTGCAGTTTGGGTGTTTGATTTTTTTGTTTTGCAAAGAGCAAGTCACTAGCAGCCAGGGTCTGTTGGGCAATTCCTAAGAATGGTTTTGGCATGCTGGTGACTGACACAAACAATTCTAATATACTCTAGAGCTCCATTAAATTCAAAGCTTGGAAATTCACTAAAACCCACCACTTTCACTCAGCTCCCAGCTTCTACCCCAGCTCCTGCTCATCACTGCAGCTGGTAAATCTTCTTTAGGTCTGAATGTCAAGGGAATAGATCCAAATCTAGGAATTGCATCTACTTCCTCCTTTCCAGACCATGCAGGCTTGAGATTCCTATTAGAAGAATATCAAAATCTAAAATAATCCCAACCACCTGTCATATAAAAAGGAAGAGATTTATTATGTTTAAACAAAGGGCTATTTTATTTAATTTACTTTTTACAACAAATTTCTTAAGGCTGGTCAAGTGAAGCAGTGGGAGTGGAGCAGGAACAAGAAAATCTGTAACTGGTTGGGACCAATTAGCTATAAACACTATTGCACTCAGACCAGCCAAACAAAGGACTATCTATTATAGCTGAATACTAAATGTGTCAAAAGAGGTAGGTCTCACCTGGTGGTGGCTTTGGACTGTGAACATCAGTACAAAGTTTTAATTCAAAAAACAAAATCATTTGTTTGTAATAATTACTGGGCTCAGCGTTCAGTCTTCAGGATTTAGCCAAGATAAAGGATTTCAGAGACTGGTGCTTATTGGTGGAATAACAAGGCATCTATAATCCCTGACCATAGCTTCAAGAGCTCAGTTGGACAGTTTTATAGCTTGTACAGAAATAAAATAGTGACCTCAAAATAATCACAGGCTATTTATTGGTTGGTCTAAATATGTGACATAATTATTTCTCCAACCAAGAGCAAACTGGAGGAGGTTGACCGAGTCCGCTACTGGCCAACAGTCTTTCTAGGACAGGCTATTACCATTTGTCATATCTCCCAGAATCACAACTGGGCAGGAGAGAGAAATTAAGATAATCTGAGAGAAGTTAAGATAAACTAAAGGTAGAAACATTTGGGAGTAACAGAGCATCTCTGTTTTTTGTATTTTGCTAAGGTATTTCCCTGGAACCTCTTTGGATTGAGAACCAAGGCTGTTTTTATAATGTTAAAATCAGAGTGTTAGGATTTAAAATAGCCCATGCTAGACTTTGTGTATGTGTGCACACATGTGTGTTGCATGCACACATGAACGTACATGTTCATACATTTACACATTGTGCTTTAGAAACAGGCTTTTTGATAGCTGCAAGGTGTTTCTTATTTCTGGGGAAAAGAACATCAAGTTCCTTCTCAGTCGACCCCAGGAAATACCATTTCAGATCAATTCAGGGAAAACACTATGATTAGGTTTAGCCGACAGCTCCTCAGGGAGCAACCGCATCCATCATCTTCTAGCCAAATAGTTGTAGAGGATTACTGTTTCCAATTTTTCACTCCCTCTTTGCTATTGAATAATACTTAACACTCTCTTTGCCAGTGACTTTGCTGAAGCTTCCATTAGAGTAAGCCAACATGACTTGGCTATGAGATTTGCTTTAGCTAATCAAACATTAATGGCTGTAATAAGAGCAGAGGCTTTAAACATGCTTACATAACTTGGCTTGGCTCCTATCATGTCTGCCATCATGATGAGAAAACCATGTCCCTAATAGTAGCTCATTCCAGAATGACACATTTGCAGCAGAACTGAGCCCAACCAACAATCTACAGTCAAGCCCCACAGGAGCCCAGCCAACTCACAGACTCATGAGCCACAAAAATAAATGACTACTGTTGTAAACTTGTAACAGCCTGTAAGCTATTTTAAAGTTATTTGTTACATCCATTTATTGCTGCAATAGCTGACTAATATATGAGATAATTCAGAATGAAAATGAACAGTATCAATAAAGCAGGCTAAGAAATACAAGTTTAAAAGGTATATATGTCCACACAAACAAGTAAATTAGATAGAAATGATCCTCATATTTTCTAACAAGACTACCTAAGAGCTCAAATAGTCCATTAAATTGTTTGCATCTTTTTATTTTACCTATTTCTCTAATTAAGAGATGTGGGATAAAATGTGAAAGAAAACCAAATTAGTTAAAAACAAAAAAACTCCATTAAATTGTTTGCATCTTTTTATTTTACCTATTTCTCTAATCAAGAGATGTGGGATAAAATGTGAAAGAAAACCAAATTAGTTAAAAAAAAAAAAATCAAAACTCCAGGTTCTTCAGTCTGGCCACAAATAAATGTTGGCTGAAATTACTAGATTCAATCCTGTTCTAAAACCTCTTATTAAAAAGTAAATTGTTTTCTCAAAACTAGTCAACCTTTGATGAAAATATGACAAGTTATTAGAGAAAATGTACTTTTAATTGTTTCTATAATAGTTGTGATGATAGGTGGTTTAATGGAAGGGTAAAGACAGAGAGTAGTCCTTACCTCTGTCTAATAACTCACTGAGTCCTTTCTCATCTCAAGAAAATCTATTAAGTTACTGAGTTGACACATCTAAAATGACCAGTTTAATCATTTTAGACAATTCAGTATCAATGAGAAATTTTCCAAGATAAATTCAGTGGCAGAAAACAGTATTGAATGTTAAGGCAATTGAAATGTCCACATCATAGATTGATTACAACCTCTTGGGGCCAGAAAAAGAAAAATTAAAGAGACCCCTCTGTCTTTACCATGTCTTGAGGCCTCTCAAGCACAGAGATCCAGGACTCTCTCCTGGGACACTGCATATGAGCTCACCCAATAGTTAATCAGACAGAGGCCAAGCCAAGTATTGGGCAACTAATGGGCACCACCCAGTGCTTCTCAGATTACAGGTGCCCTACCTCCTCAGACCACTTTCCCAGCATCAAACTCCTGAACTCTTATGGAATCCAGCAACCTATGTTTTTCCTCATTCTCCACTTCTCTAGCCCCTTTTTGTCTCCAGAAAATTCTACCCATTCTCTAGAGTCACTCATTTTCATTAGCTTATTTTAGAAATCTACTTTGCTTTGAGTTCTTTTGACAATGGATCTTAATGGTCCATTAGAACCCAGCGCAGGAATAAAGCCTACAATAATCCTGCAAGGGCTGCAAAGAAAAAAAAATACATTTAAGTTTCTACATTAAAATAGTCTGACTCTCCATATCCTGCCAAAGGTATTTGAGGGTCATTTAAAATACATAACAAACATAAGAGGTAGGTATTTTCATATATATTTTTTCATCAAAGAAATGGATATTCAGAGAGGTTAAATAACTTACCCAAGTATATACAACTAGTAAATGGTGATCCTGGAATTTGAACAAGACTTTTTTTTAATAAAAGCTTATATCAAATCGGTCCATTATTTTATGAGTAAAGAAGATTAGGCTGGAAGTGAAAGGTCAATAGCTGATTTGTAACCTTTCTTCTAACCTCAAGAACACCTAAGGGTTTGATCTTTGATTGAATTTTCCTGTTGGGGAGACCCCAGATCTGGTACTTCTCTTAACTGAGACTGTCTACACTCACCCACCCATCTTTTGAGACCACATGCATCCAAAGTGACATTTGCTAGTTGTACCTTTAAGGTACAAGACCTCTGTATGTTATGGCCATATATGCTGCATTGCTGCCTATCCTATATCCTTTCTAAAGCTAAGCAAACTTAGTTATAGATAAATTCTATGGTACCTTGTGAGTTTGTTAATCTGAGCTCAATACCTTGCTGCTGGTTGGGTGCAGTGAATCTGGCAGAGGCCAGAGGCTGATTTTTTACACAGCTAGCTCACTGCATAATTTTAATGAAAACACAGCCTCATGCCTTCTAATTCAATGTGCTCTTCACTACAGTGTCATTATTCAGTTTATTAACCTCCATTAACTTCAAAGTAGCAAAAACATGCATTTTTATCAGATAAAGTTACGTGTATATCCACTTTCTATTCAACCTTCAAGACCTGTCAAGTCATGCCCTTTTTCAAGAGGATTTCACAAAATATTCTGTAATGCACACACCATTCCACTCTTCCTGACCTCCCATATCATGTGTCTTCTATTTGAGGCATTTGGACATCTAGTTATCTTTGGCCTTAACATTGTTCTCCTCTTATTCTATGTGTTGTTCCTTCTTCCTCCACCAATTAAAGAGGGAGGTCTTCAAGGGCAAGAAATATAACGTATTTCTTAAACCATTTTGAAAAAAACCCAGCCTGGCACTCAACATTTAACAAGTACTCAATACGGATTTCTTAAATGAATGAACCACAATCAAGATTTTTAAACTTGTGATGGAATATATTCAGACATCTATAATTTAAATACCTTTTCAATTTAAATCCAATGATGTAAAGGTCTAATTAAATTGAATTCTTGTTGGACATATTCTCAAGTAGAAACATTTAATCCTAAGAAGAAAGGTCCAGGCACTTCTATTAGACAAATTATTAGATAAATAATAGAGCCAAAAAGTAGGTTTCTTATCACCAATTTACAAAGCATTTTAATTTATTTTCTATTGTTTTTAAAATTTTTATTTTTAATATTCATGGGTATGTAGTAGGTGTAAATATTTATGGGGTACTGCATATTAATTTCTACTTGGCTACATCCTATCATAGGATGAAGTTAAGAAATCTGTTTTTCTCCAAAACCAAAAAAATTTATCATTTTCTTCCTTTTTTTTAAAAATGGAGCTAAATTCAATATGTTTATTGATTGTTAACCACTTACAATACACACTTTATACAACAAACCGTCTTTACTTGCAACCAGCATCTCTGACGTCTTCACATCTCTGAAGTGGGTGCATGTTAAAGCAATGAACTTTTGCAAAGCAAGCCTCAAGAACACTGATTTTTCCTGAAATAAAAGGTTGTTTTTTTTAATGGAGTAGCTTTTTTCCCCTAAATAAGCTATTATTATTTAGTGCTAGGCTAAACATTTAGCTAAGAAAAATTCCCCCCCACCGTTTTTTTTTTTTTTTTTTTTTTTTTTTGAGACAGAGTCTCCCTCTGTTGCCCAGGCTGGAGTTCAGTGGCATGATCTTGGCTCACTGAAGCCTCTGCCTTCTGGCTTCAAGCGATTCACCTGCCTCAGCCTCCCAAGTAGCTGGGATTACAGGTGTGTACCACCACGCCCAGCTAATTTTTGTATTTTTAGTGGAGAGGGGGTCTTACCATGTTGGCCAAGCTGGTCTTTAACTCCTGACCTCAGGTGATCTGCCTGCCTCGGCCTCCCAAAGTGCTGGGATTACAGGCGTGAGCCACCATGCCAGGCTGATTCTTTATAATTTCTAACACCAAGTCTATAGAATCCATTTGTAACCTATACAGAAAGTGGCTAGGAAAGAGAAATAGCTGTATATTTTTAGTGTTCTCATGTATAAAGTCACACTGAAGCAACAAGGCAATTTCACTGCCATTACAGAAAATTACTAAAACTGTCTCTATTTGCTACTTGAGAAGTACTGGAAGAGATGTAACTTGCATAGTATATCCGTAACCTAAGTTTTCTTATGCATGAACTTGGAAATGGTCATTTCCTAGAAATGGTATTTCTATCAACCACTTGAACGAATACTAAGGGATTCTTCTGGGAAAATTAATTAAATAAATATGGGTGAATCTTTTGTTAATATAAGGATGTTAAACAGAATCAAAATACAATAAAACCAAAATTAAAAGGGTTAAACTCCTAACACTGTTAATGACCTAGAAAGGTGTCCTTCAAAAGTATTTCAAGAGACACTTGTACCTCAATCATGTGATATGGTAATTAAAAATTAATAGTGTGATACCTGTCAAGCAGAAGAGAGGAAGCTACATGTTTAAAAGTAAACAATGATAAACACAAGAAACGATCTCATTTGTAATAGCACTAAAAGGAATAAGATACATAAGAATAAACTTAACCAAGAAGGTGAAATACTTGTATACTGAAAACTACACAACACTGATGAACGAAATCAAGGCCAGGAGCAGTGGCTCATGCCTGTAATCACAGCACTTTGGGAGGCCAAGGCAGGCAGATCACCAGAGGCCAGGGGTTTGAGACCAGCCTGGCCAACATGGCGAAACCCCATCTCTACTAAAAATACAAAAATTAACCAGGCATAGTGGCAGGTGCCTGTAATCCCAGCTACTCAGGAGGCTGAGGCTGAAGAATCATTTGAACCCAGGAGGCGGAGGTTGCAGTGAGCTGATATTACACCACTGCCCTCCAGCTTGCACGACAGAGCAAGACTTCATCTCAAAAAAAATAAAATAAAATAAAACAGGAAAGAAAAGAAAAGAAATCAAACAAGACACAAGCAAATGGAAAGACCTCCTGTGTTTTATATATATACATGTATATATATATATATATGTATGTGTATACATGTGTATGTGTATATATATCTGTATATAAATGGTCAACTGATCTCTGACAAGGGTGCCAAGAACACAAAACAGAGAAAGAATAGTCTCTTTAACAAATGGTAGTGGGAAACTGCATATCACCATGCAAAATAGATTAAATACTTAAATATAAGACTCAAAACTATAAAACTTCTAATTAAAAATTAGAGGAAATTCTTTATTACATTAACCTGGACAATGATTTTTTGGATATGACACCAAAAGCACAAGCAACAAGAGTAAAAATAGACAAACGGGATTACATAAAACTAAAAAGCTTCTACACAGAAAGGAAACACTCAACGAAGTGAAAAGAAAACCTATAGAATAGGAAAATATATTTGCAAGCAATATATCTGATAAGTGGTTAATGTCTAAAATACATAAGAAACTCCTATAGCTCAATAGCAAAAAAAACTTATAACCAATTTAAAAACGGGCTAAAGACTTAAGTAGACATTTCTCCAAACAAGACATACAAATGGCCAACAAATATATGGAAAAATGCTCAACATTGTTAATCATCAGGTAATACAAATCAGAATCACAATGAAGTATTCCCTCACATCTGTTAGCGTGGCTATTATCAAGAAAACAAAAGATATCAAGTGTTGGGGAGGCTGTAGAAAAATTGAAACCCTTATGCATGGTTGGTAGGAATGCAAAATGATGCATCCACTTTAGAAAACTGTATAAAGATTTCTCAAAAAATCAAAAATAGATCTACCACATAACCCAGCAATCCCACTTCTGGGTATTTATCCAAAGGAATTGAAATCAGGATCTTACAGAGATATTAGCACCTCTATATTCATTGCAGCCCCACTGACAATACCCAAGATGTGGGAACAACATAAATATCCATCATCAGATAAATAAAGAATATATGGTATATACATACAGTCGAATATTATTCAGCCTTATAAAAGAAGCAAATTCTGCAAGAAGTGACAGCATGAACAAACTTTGAGAACATTATGGTAAGTGAAATATTCCAGGCACAGTAAGAAAGCCAAATACTGCATAATTTCATTTATAGGAGGTATCTAAAATAGCCAAAGACTGTAAATGCCTTATCTATACCTTCAGCAAGCTGCAGCTGACCCAAGGAGAGAAGGCTAGCAAATCTTCCAGACAGGCAACACCTGGCTTGGGCCCACAGCACAGACCCTCTATCCTGGGCTGAATCCACTGAGTGATTTCTGACCTACATCTCTCAAGGGTGAAGACCCCCAAAAGATAAGCAAAAGACCCTTGGCCACAACAACTATTGAGGTTCCTTCCTCTGCTGCCTTCAGTTTAGGGAAGGAACATAAAAACTGAGATCACCTCAGAGCTTCAGTGGGCAACCCAGGAGCACCAGGCCACGATCTACAGCCAACACTTAAGGGGAAGAGGAACCTACATTTTCAGAACATTGAGAGGGAACACGACTGCAACTGTGAGTAAATACAGGACAGTCACACAACCAAACAAGAGTCCACCAACTGGCCAACATCCTTTCATCTACTGGATTACACCCCAAAGTTTCAACACCAAAAATACCTGACTAACATACCCCGTTTGAAATCAAAGAGAAGAAGTTGGCTTAAAATAAAAACCTTGTACAATGCCTCAGCCTGTGGAAAAATCCAGAAAAGAAGCCTACTGACTGTACTCAATCTACACTGCAATTAAAGGAACATCCACACACAGAGTTGAGAAAGAACCAATACAAGAACTCCAGTAATTCAAATGGTCAGAGTGTCATATGTCCTGCAAACAATCACACCAGTTCTCCAACAAGACTTCTTAACCACACTGAACTCGCTGAAACAACAGAAATAGAGTCCAGAATATGGACATAAAGATTATTGAGATTCAGGACAGAAAAATTCAATCCAAGAAAAATAAGAATAACAATAAAATGATATAGGATCTGAAGGACAAAATAGCCAGTATAAAAAAGAACTTAAATCCGACAGAGCTGAATAACACAAGACAATAATTTCACAATATAAGAATTTCAAATTCAGGATATACAGAGAACTACTGCAAGATTCTACACAAAAGGATCATCCCAAAGACATACAGTCATCAGATTTTCCGAGGTCAAAAGGAAAGAATGTTAAAGGCAGCCAGTGAGAAAGGGCGAGTCACCTACAAAGGGAACCCCATCAGGCTAACAGCAGATCTCTGCTGAAACCCTATAAGCCAGAATAGATTGGGTGGCCGATATTCAACATTCTTAAAGCAAAAAAAAAAAAAAATCTTCAACCAAGAATTTTATATCCAGCTATAATAAGCTTCCTAGGTGAAGGAGAAATAAGATCCTTTTCATATAAGCAAATGTTGAAGGAATTTGCTATCACCAGACCTGCTTTACAAGAGATCTTGAAAGGAATGATAAATATAGGAAGGACAGACCACTATCAGCTAATACAAAACCACAATTAAAGACACAGACCAGTGACATTATAAAGCAACCAACCAACCAAAGAAAACAAAGAGATCTTCAACTAAGAATTTCATATCCAGCCAAACTTAGCTCCCTAACTGAAGGAAAAATAAGATCTTTTTCAGATAAGGAAATATTGAGCATATTTATTCCCACCAGACTTGCCTTAAAAGAGATCTTGGGCCAGGCACAGTGGTCACTCCTGTAATCCCAGCACTTCGGGAGGCAGAGGCCGGTGGACCACAAGGTCAGGAGTTCGAGATCAGCCTGGCTAACATGGCAAAACCCCATCTCTACTAAAAATACAAAAAATTAGCTGGGCGTGGTGGCAGCTGCTTGTAATCCCAGCTACTCGGGAGGCTCAGACAGGAGAATCACTTGAACCTGCAAGGCGGAGACTGCAGTGAGCTGAGACTGTGCCACTGTACTCCAGCCTGTACAACAGAGCAAGACTCCATCTCAAAAAAAAAAAAAAAAAAAAAAGGATCTTGAAAGGATCACTAAGTGTAGAAAGAAGAGACTGCTACCAGCTAATACAAAAACACACTTAAACACACAGATTAGTGTCACTGTAAAGCAACTACATAAACAAGTCAACATAATAACCAGCTGACAACACAATGACAGAATCAAATGCACATGTATTAATATTAGCATTGAATGTAATCAGGCTAAATGCCACATTTAAAAGGCACAGTGTGGCCAGGTGTGGTGGCTCACGCCTGTAATCCCAACATTTTGGGAGGCTGAGGTGGGTGGATCACTTGAGGTCAAAAGTTCGAGACCAGACTGGCCAACATGGTGAAACCCCATCTCTACTAAAAATACAAAAATTAGCCAGATGTGGTGGCACACACCTATAATCCCAGCTATTTGGGAGGCTAAGGCACAAAAATCACTTGAACCCAGGAAGCAGAGGTTTCAGTGAGCCCAGATGTGCCACTGCACTTTAGCCTGGGTGACAGAGCAAGACTCTAACTGAAAAATAAAATAAAAAGCACAGAGTGGCAAGCTGGATATAAAAGCAAAACCAAATGGTGGGATGACTTCACTAGACCCATCTCACATGTAACAACACCCAAAGGCTCAAAATAAGCAATGGAAGACAACCTACCAAGTAAATGAAAAACAGAAAAAAGTAGGAGTTGCAATCGTAATTTCAGACAAAACAGATTCATAAGCAAGTTCTTAGAGACTTACAAAGAGACATAACTCCCACACAATAGTAGTGGGAGACTTCAACACTCCACTGACATTATTAGATAGATCATCAAGGCAGAAAATTAACATAGATATTCAGGACCTGAATTCAACACCGGACCAAATGGATCTGATAGACCTCTGCAGAACTTTCCACCCCAAAACAACGGAATACACATTCTTCTTATTGCCACATGGCATATACTCTAAAAATGACCACATAATTGAACATAAAACAGTCCTCAACAAATGCAAAACAACTGAAATCATGCCAAACACACACATGGACTACAGTAAATAAAAATAGAAGTCAAGACTAAGAAAATCACTCAAAACCATGCAATTACATTGAAATTAACAACATGATCCTGAATGACTTTTGGGTCAATAATGAAATTAAAGCAGAAATTAAGAAGCTCTTTGAAACTAGTGAGAAAAAGGATACAACATACCAGAATCTTCAGGACACATCTAAGGCAGTGTTAAGAAGAAAATTCACCCAGTAAATGCCCACATCAGAGAGTTAGAAAGATCTTCAATTAACAACTTAATATCACAACTGAAAGAATTAGAGAAGATCAAATCAACCCTAAAGCTAGCAGAAGATTAAAAATAACCAAAATAAGAGCTGAACTGAAATAAATTGAGAGAAAAAATCATTCGAAAAATAAACAAATCTAGAAATTCAGGTTTTTTTGAAAAAAGTGAGTAAGATAGACAGACCATTAATTAGACTAATAAAGAAGAAAGAGTGAAGATCCAAATAAACACAATTGAAATGACAAAGGGAATGTTACCACTGACCCTACAGAAATAAAACTAACCCTCAGAAACTACTATGAACACATCTATGTAGACAAACTAGAAAACCTAGAAGGGATGGAAGTTCCCAAGGCTGAACCAGGAAAACCTGAATCCCTGAAAAGACCAATAATGAGATCTAAAATTGAATCAGTAATAAATAGCTTACTAACCAAAAAAATGCCCAGAACCAGATGGATTCAGAGCTGAATTCTACCAGATGTACAAAGAAGACCTTGTACCATTCCAAAATAAACTATTCCAAAAAAATTGAGAAGGGACATCTTCCCAACTCGTTTTATGAGGCCATCGTCATCCTGATATCAAAACTTGGCAGAAATGCAACAAAAAAGAAAACTTTGGGGGCCAATATCCTTGACGAATATTGATGCAAAAATCCTCAACAAAACACTTGCAAACTGAATCTAGCAGCGCATCAAAAAGCTAGTCTACCACAATCAAGTAGGTTTCATCCCCGGCATGCAAGGTTGGTTCAACACATGCAAATCAATAAATGTGATTCATCACGTAAACAGAACTAAATACAAAAACCACGTTTATCTCAACAGATGCAGAAAAGGTTTGATAGAATTCAACACCCCTTCATGTTAAAAACTCTCAGTAACTATGTATTGAAGGAACATGCTTCAAAATAATAAGAGCCATAGATGACAAACCCACAGCCAACATAATACTGAATTGGCAAAAGCTGAAAGCATTCTCCTTGAAAACCAGCACAAGACAAGGATGTCCTCTCTCACCATTTCAATTCAACATAGTATTGGAAGTCCTGGCCAGAGCAATCAGGCAAGAGAAAGAAATAAAGGACGTCCAAATAGAAAAAGAGGAAGTCAAACTATTTCTGCTTGCAGATAATATAATTCTATGTCTAGAAAATCCCATAGTCTTCACCCAAAATCTCCTTACACTGATAAACAACATCAGCAAAGTCTCAGGATACAAACTCAGTGTACAAACATTACTAGCATTCCTATAGTCCAACAACAGCCAAACCCAGAGTCAAATCAGAAAGGCAATCCCAATCACACTTGCCACAAAAAGAATAAAATACCTAGGAATACAGCTAACCCAGGGAGGTGAAAAATCTCTACAATAATCCTAGCTACTTGGGAGGCTGAGGCAAGAGAATTGCATGAACCCGGGGGGCAGAGGTTGCAGTGAGCGGAGATTGTGCCACTGCACTCCAGCCTGGGCAACAGAGTGAGACTCTATCTCAAAAAAAAAAAAAAAGAAAAGAAAAGAATTACAAAACACTGCTCCAGAAGTCAGAGAAGACACACATAAATTGAAAAACATCCAATGTTCATGGACAGAAAGAAGCAATATCATTAAAATGGTCATACTGCCCAAAGCAATTTGCAGATTCAATGCAGCTTCTATCAAACTACTAACGACATTTTCCAGAGAACTAGAAAAACCTATTTAAAATTCATGTGGGATAAAAAAGAGCCCAAGTAGCTAAGGAAATCCTAAGCATAAAAGAACGAAGCTGGAGGCATTATGTCACCCAACTTCAAGCTATACTACAGGGTTATAGTAATCAAAGTAGTATAGTACTGGTACAAAAACAGGCATATAGACCAATGGAGCAGGATAGAGAGCCCACAAATAAGGCCACACACCTACAACCATCTGATCTTCAACAAAGCTAACAAAAACAAGCAATGGAGAAAAGACTCCCTATTCAGTAAATGGTGCTGGGATAACTGGATAGCCATATGCAAAAGATTAAAACTAACCGCCTCTTCCCTTTTTTTTTGTTATTTTTTTTTTTTTGAGACAGAGTCTCATTCTGTTGCCCAGGCTGGAGTGCAGTGGTGTGAGTTCAGATCACAGCAACCTTCACCTCCTGGGTTCAAGCAATTCTCGTCCCTCACTCCACCCAAGAAGCTGGGATTACAGGCATGTGCTACCACACCCAGGTAGTTTTTTACTTTTAGTAGAGGCAGGGTTTCACCATGTTGGCCAGGCTGGTCTCAAACTCCTGATCTCAAGTGATCAGCCTGCCTTGGCCTCCCAAAGTGCTGAGATTACAAGCGTGAGCCACTGTGCCCAGAAAACTGGACCTCTTTCTTACAGCATATACAAAAATTAACTCAAGATGGACTGAAGACTGAAATGCAAAACCCAAACTAGAAAATTCTGGAAGACAATCTTGGCAATACCATCCTGGACATAGGAACCAGCAAAGATTTCATGACAAAGATACCAGAAGCAATTACAATAAAAGCAAAAATTGAAAATGGGATCTAGTTAAGCGTAAGAGCTTCTGCACAGCGAAAGAAACTATCAACTGACTAAACAGACAACCTACAGAATGGGAGAAAATATTTGCAAACTATGCTTCTGACAAAAGTCTAATATCCAGTATCTATAAAGAAATTAAACAAATTTACAAGAGAAAAACAACCCCATTAAAAGTAGGCAAAAACATAAGCAGACACTTTTCAAAAGAAGACACACATGCAGTCAACAATCATATGAAAAAAAGCTCAGTATCACTGATCGTTAGAGAAATGAAAATCAAAACCACAATGGATACTATCTCACACCAGTCAGAATGGCTATGAATAAAAAAGTCAAAAAATAACAGATGCTGGTGAGGTTGTGAATAAAAGGGAACACTTATACACTGTTGGTGGTAGGGTAAATTAGTTCATCCATTGCAGAAAACAGTATGGTGATTCCTCAAAGAGCTAAATACAGAACTATCCAACCCAGCAATCCCATTACTGGGTATATACCCAGAGGAATATAAATCATTTTACCATAATGACACATGCATGCAAGTGTTCATTGCAGCACTATTCACAATAGCAAAGACATACTCAGGAGATTATGGCCAGAAGTTCGAGATCATCCTGGCTAACACAGTGAAAGCCCATCTCTACTAAAAATACAAAAAATTAGCCAGGCGTGGTGGCGGGTGCCTGTAGTCCCAGCTACTTGGGAGGCTGAGGCAGGAGAATGGCGTGAACCGAGGAGGTGGAGCTTGCAGTGAGCCAAGATCACGCCACTGCATTCCAGCCTGGGCGACAGAGCTAGACTCTGTCTTAATAAAATAAATAAATAAATAAATAAATAAATAAATAAATAAATAAAAATAGTTAATGGTGAAAAACCAAAAGCTTTCCCACTAAGATCACGAACCAGGCAGGTATGTCCTCTTTAATGACTCCTTTTCAACATCATATTAGAAGTCCTAGCTAACACATTAAGACAGAAAAGTTACACAAATGGGAAGGAAGCAATTAAACTCTGTTCATAGATGGTGTGACTGTCTATATAGAGTTGATATGGTTTGGCCCTGTGTCCCCCCACAAATCTCACCTTGGATTGTAGTCCTCATAATCCCCATGTGTCAAAGGTGGAACCAGGTAGAGGTAATTGGATCTTGGAAGTGATTCCCCCATTCTGTTCTCGTGATAATGAGTGAGTCTCTCAAGATCTGATGGTTTTTAAGCATTTGGCATTTCCCCTGTTTGTACTCACTCCATCCTGCCACACTGTGAAGAAGGTGCCTGACTCTCCTTTGCCTTCTACCATGATTGTAAGTTTCTTGAGACCTCCCCAGCAATGCAGAACTGTGAGTCAATTAAAACTTTTTCCTTTATAAATTACCCAGTCTTGAGTATTTATTCATAGCAGTGTGAGAATGCACTAATACAAGAGTAAAAAAATAAATTAATTAACAAAAGAAATCCTAGAACTAGCAATTGATTATACTAAAGTTGCAGGATATAAACTTAAAATACACAAGCCAATTGCTTTCCTATATACCATCAAAGAACAGATGAAATATGAATTTTAAAACACAATACCAGTTACATTATCATAAAAAGACATACTTTTGCCAACAAATATGTACAAAATTTATATAACAAAACTAAAAAATTCTGTTGTATGAAATGAAAGAACTAAATAAATGGAGACATATCTCATGTTCATGGATTGAAAGACGATATTATCAAGATGTCAGATCTTCCCAACTTGATCAATAGACTGAACACTATCTTATTTAAAATCCTAGCAATTAAATATGGAAACAAAAGAACAATGCCTCCTACCACAAAAACACACTTAGGTACATAGTCCACAGATGTCATAAAGCAACAACACAATCAAGTCTATGAAACAACCAGCTAACAACACAATGACAAGGTTAAAACCTAACATATAAATATTAACCTTGAATGTAAAGGATCTAAACACTCCACTTAATAGGAATAAAGTGGCAAGTTGAATAAAAGGATAAGACCCAATTGTCTTCTGTCTTACCTTAAATGTAACAACATCCATAGGCTCAAAGTAGAGGGATGGAGAAATATCTGCATGCAAATGAAAAACAAAAAAGAGCAGGGGTCACTATTCTTATATGAAATAAAACAAACTTTAAGCTAACAATAATCTGGAAGGACAAAGAAGGGTATTAAATAACGTTAAAGTGTTCCACTCAACAAGGAGAATTAACTATCCTAAATGTATATGCACTCAATATTGGAGAACCCCAATTAATAAAACAAGTCCTTCTTGGTCTATGAAAAGACTTAGGCAATCACACAATAATAGTGGGAGACTTCAACACACCACTGATAGCATTAGACAAATCACTGAGGCAGAAAACTAACAAAAAAAATATCTGGACAGAAACTTGACACTAGACAAATTGGACCTAAAAGACACCTACAGAATGCTCCACCTAAAAACCACAGAATATATATTCCTCTCATCTGCATACAGAAGATATTCTAAGATCAAGCACATATTTGGCCATAAAGCATCTCAATAAATTTTTAAAAAGTCAAAATCGTACCAACCACACTCTTGGACCACAGTGCAGTATAAATAAAAATTAATACCAAAAAGATCTCTCAAAACTGCACAATTACATGAAAATTAAACAACTTGCTCCTGAATGACTTTTGGGTGAGCTATGAAGTCAAGGCAGTAATTTAAAAATTATTTGAAATTAATAAAAATGGAGAAACAATATACTAAAATCTTTGGGATGCAACTAAAGCAATATTAAGAGGAAAGTTATAGTGGTACCCTGTATCAAAAAATTTAAAAGTTTTCAAATTAACACTCTAACATTGCACCTAGAAGAACTAGAGAAAAAAAAATAAAGAACAAACCAAGCCCAAAGCTGGCGGAAAAACAAAAAAAAAAAAAGGAAAGAAACAACTACAATCAGAGAAAAACTGGATGAAATTGAGATACCAAAATCCATACAAAATATCAATGAAAGCAAATATTGATTTCTTGAAAGAATAAACAAGAATGATAGACCACTAGCTAGATTAATAAAGCGAGAAGATCCAAATAAGTACCATCAGAAATGACAAAGATGACATTAAACCAATCCTACAGAAATATAAAAGATCCTCAGAAACAATTATGAACAACTCTATGCACACTAATTAGAAAATCTAGAGGAAATAAATTCCCAAAACATAGAACCTCCCGATTGAACCAGGAAGAAAGTAAAAACCTGACCAGACCAATAATGAGTTCTAAAGTTGAATCAGTAATTTAAAAAACCTACCAACCAGAAAAAGCCCTGGAACAACTGGAATCACAAGCAAATTCTTCCAGGCATACAGAGAACTGGTGCCAAACTTACTGAAATTCTTCCAAAAAATCAAACAGGAGGAACTCCTCCTTAACTCATTCTATGAATCCAGCACCATTCTGATAACAAAATCTGGCAGAGACACAATGAAAAAAGAAAATTATGGGCCAAAATCTTTGATGAACATAGATGCAAAACTCCTCAACACAATACTAGCAAACTGAATTCAGAAGCATATTCAAGTGGGCTTTATTCCTGGAATGCAAGTTTGGTTAAACATACACAAATCAATAAATGTGATTCATCACATAAACAGAATTAAAAACAAAAACCATATAATCGTATCAATAAATGCAGAAAAAACTTTTGATGAAATCCAAGATCCTTCATGATTAAAACCCTTAATAAACCAGGCATTGAAGGAACATACTTCAAAATAATAAGCGCCATCTATGAAAAACCCACAGTCAACATCATACTGAATGGGGAAAACCTGGAAGCATTACCCTTGAGAACTGGAACAAGACAAGGATGCCTACTCTCAAGACTTCTGTTCAACATAGTACTGGAAGTCCTAGCTAGAGTAATCAGGCAAGAGAAAGAAATAAAAACATCCAAATAGGAAAAGAAGTCAAACTATCTCTCTTCACTGATGATATAATTCTATACCTGCCAAAAACTAAAGACTGCCAAAAGACTCTTGGAACTGATAAATAACTTCAGTAAAATTACAGGATACAAAGTCAATGTACAAAGCTCAGTAACATTTCTACATACCAATAATATGCAAGCTAAGAGCCAAAACAAAAATGAAATCTCATTAACAATAGTTGCAAAAAAATATAAGGATATGTCTAATCAAGAAGGTAAAAACTTCTTGCAATGAAAACTATGAAACATTGCCAAAAGAAATCAGAGACAACAGAAATAAATAGGAAAACCTTCCATGCTCATGGATTAGAAGAATCAATATCATTAAAATGGCCATACAGATTCAACACTATTCCCATCAAACTACCAATGTCTGTTCTCATAGGTTTAGAAAAACTATTCTAAACTTCATATGGAACCAAAAATGAGTCCAAATAGCCAAAGCAATTCTAAGCAAAAAGAACAAAGGCAGAGGCATCTTACTACCCAACTTAAAACTATACTGACACAAGGCTACAGTAACCAAAACAGCATGGTACTGATATAAAAACAGACACATAGACTAATGGAACAGATTAGAGCACCCAGAAATAAAGCTGTACACCTGCAACCACCTGCTCTTTGACAAACTTGACAAAAATAAGCATTAGGGAAAAGACTCCCTGTTCATTAAATGGTTCTGGGAGAACCGTCCCAGAACCAGCATATGGCCCTCCATATGCAGGGGAAAGAAACTGAACCCCTACCTGTCACAAGAAGAATTAAAGACTTAAATTAAAGACCTCAAACTATGAAAATCCTAGGAAAAATCTAGGAAATACCCTTTTCAATATTAGCCTTGGCAAAGAATTTTTAGCTAAGTCCTCAAAAGCAATGGCAACAAAAACAAAAATTGACAAGTGTGACTTAATTATACTAAACAGCTTCTTCGCAGCAAGAGAAACTATCCACAAAGTAAAAAGACCATCTACAGAATGGAAGAAAATATTTACACAATGTGCATCTGACAAAAGTCTAATATCCAGAATCTATAAGGAACTTAAATCAACCATCTAAAAACAAAGTATCCCATTAAAAAGTGGACAAAGGACATGAATAGATACTTCTCAAAAGAAGACATACAAGTGGCTAACAAACATGAAAAAACGTTCAGCATCACAATCAGAGAAATGCAAACCAAAACCACAATGAGATACCATCTCACACCAAGATCAAAGAGTTGGACTACCATTCAACTCAGCAATTCCATTATTGTTCATATACCCAAAGGAAAATAAATCATTCTACCAAAAAGACACATGCACTTGTACATTCATCACAGCACTAGTCACAAGAGCAAAAACATGAAATCAAACCAGGCGCTTATCGATAATGGGATAAAGAAAATACATCACGGTATACCATGCAGCCATAAAAAAAATAAAATCAAGTCTTTGCAGCAACATGGATTTAGCTGGAGGACATAGATATTCTAAGTGAACTAATATGGAAACAGAAAACCAAATACCACATGTTCTCAGTGGGAGCTTAACATGGGGTATGCATGGACATAAAGATGGGAACAATTACACTGGAAACGACTAGTGGAGGAGAAAAAAGGGAGAAAGGGCTGAAAAACTACCTTTTGGGTAATATGCTCAGTACCTGGGTGACAGGTTCAATTATACTCCAAACCTTACCATTACACAATATACCCAGGTAACACACCTGCACATGTACCCCCAATTCAAAAATGGAAGTTGAAAAAAATTTGAAGCAAGTTACTTTGTTACTATTAACAAGTTGATTTTAATGTTTACACAAAGAAGCAAACAACCCAGAATTGCAGACACAATATTTTTTTAAAAAGCCAGAAAACTGACACTATCCAACTTCAAATCATATATTAAGGCTACAGTAATCAAGATGATGTGTTGTTGATGAAATAATAGGTCAGTGAAACAGAATATACTGCCCAGAAATAGATCTAAATAATTATAGTCAACTGATATTTGACAAAGGAGCAAAGACAATATAATGGAGCAAAGATAGTCTTTTCAACAAATGATGAAATAACTAGACATTCACATGCAAAAATAAATAAATCTAGACAAAGATCACACACAAACGCTAACTCAAAATGGATCACAGACCTAAATATAAAATTCAAAGCCATAAAACTTCTAGAAGAGAACATTGGAGAATATCTAGATGATGTAACTCCAAAGAAAGACAAATAGAAAATTATAGTCAGATTTCAAAAATCCCCTCTCAAAAATTGAAAAAAGATAATCAGTACAGCCAGAATGTTTGAGATAAACCAACAATCTACGTAAACTAATTCACATTTATGAAACACTTCACCTAACAACAGCAAAATACACATTCTTTTTAAGTACACAAAATACTTACCAAGGCAATCTAAATTCAGGGCCATAAAACAGCATATACTTAAAAGAATTCATCTTATACAAGATATGTTTTGTATCCATAAATAAATTAAACAAGACAATAAGAAAGATAACTGAAAATTCACAAATATTTGAAAACTAAAGAGCACTTTTAAATGGCAATAGGCCAAAGAAGATAACAAAAGGGAAATTAGAATGCAGCTTGAAGTGAATGCAAATGAAAAAACAACACATCAAAATTTAGAGGATGCTGATGATCAGTAAGTAGAAAGAAATATATTGCTTTAAATGCCTCTATTAGAAAATAAAAAGCTTTCAAATAAATTACCTCAACTTATAACTTTAGAAACCAAAAAAAAAGAGCAGTTTAAACCCAAAACAAGCAAAACAAAATAAATAAATATCATAGTATCAATCAGTAAAACTGTAAAACAATAGACTTAAACCAACAAAAAAAGTGATAATATCAATAAAAATAGGTTTAAAGACACATGCACGTGTATGTTTATTGCAGCACTGTTCACAATACCAAAGACTTGGAACCAACCCAAATGTCCATCAATGATAGACTGGATAAAGAAAATGTGGCACATGTACATCATAGAATACTACGCAGCCATAAAAAAGGATGAGTTCATGTCCTTTGCAGGGATATAGATGAAGCTGGAAACCATCATTCTCAGCAAACTAACACAGGAACAGAAAACCAAACACCACATGTTCTCACTCATAAGTGGGAGTTGAACAATGAGAACACATGGACACAGAGAGGGCAACATCACACGTCAGGACCTGTCAAGGGGTGCGGGTCTAGGGGAGGGATAGCATTAGGAGAAATACCTAATGTAGTTGATGGGTTGACGGGTGCAGCAAACCACCATGGCACATGTATACGTATGTAACAAACCTGCACGTTCTGCACGTGTATCCCAGAACTTAAAGTATAATCAAAAATAAATTAATTTTAAAAAATAGGTTTATCTCAATGAAGGTCATATATGACAAACCTACAACCAACATGATACTCAATGAGGAAAAGATGAAAGCTTTCTCTATACACAAATAACAGACAAACAGAGAGCCAAATCATGAGTGAACTCCCATTTACAATTTCTTCAAAGAGAATAAAATACCTAGGAATCCAACTTACAAGGGATGTGAAGGACCTCTTCAAGGAGAATTACAAACCACTGTTCAATTGCATAAAAGAGGATACAAACAAATGGAAGAACATTCCATGCTCATGGGTAGGAAGAATCAATATCATGAAAATGGCCATACTGCCCAAGGTAATTTACAGATTCAGTGCCATCACCATCAAGCTACCAATGACTTTCTTCACAGAATTGGAAAAAAACACTTTAATGTTCATATGGAACCAAAAAAAGCCCGCGTTGCCGTGATAATCCTAAGCCAAAAGAACAAAGCTGGAGGCATCACACTACCTGACTTCAAACTATACTACAAGGCTACAGTAACCAAAATAGCATGGTACTGGTACCAAAACAGAGATATAGACCAATGGAACAGAACAGAGCCCTCAGAAATAATACCACACATCTACAATTATCTGATCTTCGACAAACTTGACAAAAACAGCATAATTAGTCATTAGTAAAATGCAGATTAAAATCACAACAAGACACTACGTTGTGCCTATTAGAATAGCTAAAATTAAAAATGCTGACCATACCAAGTACTGGGGAGGATGTAGAGCAACTTGAACTCCCACACACTGTTGGTTGAAATGTGAAGTGGCAGCACTATTCACAATAGCAAAGACATGGTCAGCATAAATGCCCATCAATGAGAGACTGGGATAAAGAAAATGTGATATATATATATATATATATATATATATATATATATATATATATACACACACACACACACATATATATAGAGAGAGAGAGAGCTAGATACATATATATAGAGCTAGATACATATAGAGAGAGAGCTAGATACATATATATAGAGAGAGCTAGATACATACATACACACACATACACACACACACACACACACACACACACACACACACACCCCTTGGGATACTATGCATCCATAAAAAAGAATGAGATTATGTCCTTTGCAGGGACATGGATGAAGCTGGAGACCATTATCCTTAGCAAACTAATGCAGGAACAGAAAACCAAATACAGCATATTCTCATTAGTAGAAGCTAAATGGTGAGAACACATGGACACGTAGAGGAGAACAACATACATGGTGGCCTTTCAGAGGGTGAAGGGTGGGAGGAGGGAGAGGATGAAGAAAAATAATTAATGAGCACTAGACTTAATACCTGGGTGATGAAATAATCTGTACAACAAACCCCCATGGCATAAGTTTACCTATGTAACAAACCTGAACTTGTACCTTTAACTTAAAAGTTAAAAAAATAAAGATTAATAGGCTCTAATTTCATATTATGCATCCTTTGCTAACACATGAGTAAATTTTTCTCAACTTGAAAAAAAAAAGTGAAGTGGCATAACCACTTTGGAAAATATTTTGGCAGTTTCTTTAAATGTAAACATATACCTACTCTATGATACAACTATCCAACTCCTAAGTATTAACCCAAGAAAAAAAATGAAATGATCAAAATGTGCATCAACAAATAAATGGATAAACAAGCAGTGGGGTATCCACACAATGAAATACCACCCAGCAAATAGAATGGAATAAATTGATGATACATGCAACAACATGGATGAATCCCGAAGTAATTATACTGAAAGAAGCCAGAGAAACACAAAGAATACATATGATTCCCTTTATACAAAACTCTAGAAAATGCAAACTAATCTCCAGTGATAGAAAACAGGTTAGTAACCACTGGGGATTGAGATGGTGGTGGGACAGTGGGGGAATGGTGTCAGGAGTGAGATGGAGGTATTACAAATCAGTTATGAGAAAACTTTGGGGTGATGAGTATCTTTATTCATTAACTTGATTGGCATCATGGGTTCGTGGGTACATACATATGTCAAGACTTGTCAAATACTACACTTCAAATTTTTCCAATTTATTGTAGGTTAATTATACCTTAATTAAACTGTTTTTAAAAATGTCACAAAGGAATTGCCAACCTTTGCTTATAAATAAGTAAATTTTAGGAGACCTGCCTTCTTTTCCACATTACAGGGTGAGGCCGTACTGGTTGGTAGAAAAGAAGTCAGGCCTCCTAATCTGAAAACAATTGCCACTGAAGCATTCATTGAGATCTATATGAATACATTCTTCTGTCTTCCCTAATAAAGACAGCATCGTACTTTCTGGCTCTTTAAAATCCACACTGTGGCTACAATATTTGTTCATTTGAAATCCATGTATTATAGATTTATTACACGGGAGGCACTCTGATAAAACTTCCAATGTTTATATTAGAGGCAAAGAATACAAAAATAGCAACACCAGAAAACATCATCCCATCATTGTGCTTAACACAACACCACTAGAATTGCTACATGGAATAATGACACATGAACTCCATGAGATACAGCCTTTGGCAACTGTTCTATTGTCAGATATACCACAGTGGCTGTCACTTAGTAAATGCTCAATAAAATGTGTTATAGTATAAACCAGGGGTCCCAACCCCCAAGCCATGGCCTGTTAGGAGCCAGACCACACAGCAGGAGATAAGCAGCACAACAGCCAGCATTATCGCCTGAGCTCTCCCTCCTGTCAAATCAGCAGTGGCATTAGATTTTCACAGGAGCATGAATGCTTGCACATGCGAGGGATCTAGGCTGCATGCTTCTTATCATCTCATGCTTGATGATCTAAGGTGGAACAGTTTCAACCCAAAACCATCCCTCTTCTTCATCCATGGAAAAGCTGTCTTCCAAAAAACTGGTCTCTGGTGCCAAAAAAGTTGGGGACTGCTGGTGTAAACTATAACGTATATGCTTGGTCAAGCAATATCAGCAGAGCACTCCAGCCTGGGCAACACAGTGAGACCCAGTTTCTTAAAAAAGATGCTCTAAATACATCAATTATATTCATCTTCACTGAAACTCTGTGACATTGATATTATAACCCCATTTTACAAGTGAGAAAATTAAGACACTAAGATCACACAACTAATGTGAAAGTCCAGTGTTTTTCTAGAACACTTTAAAATTTTAAATTAAGTTTAAAAAAAAATCTTGTTCATGTCACTCTTTGATTCAATTTTACTTGACAGTACACTCTCCGCTGGAAAAGCCCCACCTAAGGAATCCCTGAACTGTGCTATCTCAACACTGTCACCCTGGCACCAGCAAGTCAAGACAAACCACCCCAGTCAGACCATGGCGGAGGGAAGGCCAATAACACCAGGGAATTCCACGCCCTCCAGCTTCTCTCACACTTGCATTTGGAATGTGAGTTCTTAATACCAAAAGGGAAAACAGGCCAGTTATAAGTGTGCCATTTTACACATGAGCAAACACAGCATAGTGCAGCACATTCCAGCACTGAGACAGCCAGATTTTGATAAGAGTGTTAGTCATTACGCCAATAGTGGAAACTGTGTGGGAGGATTTTCTTTAACTTGTCTCTCTGTCAATCCAGAAAGAGAAAAGAGGAAAATTGTGAAAAGCAAGATTCTGAAAGATGGCTTGAGTAAAATTCTTCTCAAAAAGAGACTATAAATAATGACTATACCTGGCTATTGCTAAGCAGTGTTTAGTCACTTATGACACTGTTACTGAAAAGTAATGTTTACATAGTGTGATTATTTACCAAGTTGTTTTGATTTCTATCCTGACTATGTATCTCATTGAGAGAAGCTGTGCTGTTGCTACCAATTCTGAAAAAGGCAGACTGGTTTCAGGATACCAAGGCTTTATCAACTGTGTTTACCACTGTATCCTTGTACTCAGAACAGTTGAGGGGCCCAGGGCAGAGGTTTCTGTTTTCGAAGTCTAAGGGCAATGCTGCCTTAGATCTCATCTCAAGAAATAATTGTTCTCTATCCTTTAGCACCCACTTCTTGAAAAGAATGCCCTACCCCCTATTAGCACTTACTCTGCTCTCTGTTCTTTCTTTACTTGTAACTCCAAAATCTTTACTTGTAACATACCCCCCTCTAAAACCAGAGAAAAAATGTCAGCTTCAAATAAAGACCCTGCACAAAGTCTCAGCCTGGTGAAAACATCCAGAAAAGAAGCCTATTGACTGTACTCAATCTACATGGCAGTTAAAGGAATACCCACACCCAGAGATGAGAAAGAATCAATGCAAGAACTCCAGTAACTCAAATGGCCAGAGTGCTGTATGTCCTCCAAACAACCACACCCATTCTCCAACAAGACTTAATAAGGCTGAACTGGCTGGAATGACAGACATAAAATACAGAATATGAATAGGAACAAAGATAATGAGATTCAGGAGGACAGCAAAACCCAATGCAAGGAAATTAAGAATCATAATAAGGTGAAACAGGAACTGAAGGATTAAAGAGCCAGAATATAAAAGAACCTAACAGTTCTGACAGAACTAAATAACACAGGCCAGGTGCAACGGCTTACACCTGGAATCCCAGCACTTTGGGAGGCCAAGGTGGGTGGATCATCTGAGATCAGAAGTTCAAGACCAGCCTGACCAACATAGTGAAAGCCCGTCTGTAACTAAAAATACAAAAATTAGCAGGGCATGGTGGTGGGCGCCTATAATCCCAGCTACTCGGGAGATTGAGACAGGAGAATTGCTTGAACCCGGGAGGCGGAGGTTACAGTGAGCCAAGATTATGCCATTGCACTCCAGCCTGGGTGACAAGAGTGAAATTCCGTCTCAAAAAAGAAAAAAAGAAAGAACCAAGAAAGAACTAAACAACACAATACAAGAATTTCACAATGCAATCACAAGTATTAACAGCCAAATAAACTAAGCTAAGGAAAGAATCTCAGAATCTGAAGAATGGTTTTCTGAAATAAGATAGACAAAAATAAAGAAAAAAGAATTTCAAGCAATGAACAAAACTTCTGAAAAGTAGGCGATTATGTAAAGAGATCAAATCTACAAATCACTGTCATCCCTGAAAGGGAGGGGGAGAAAGCAAACAACTTGGAATACATATTTCCATGAAAACACATTGTCCATGAAATACATATTGTCCATGAAAACATCCCCAACCTTGCTAGAGAAGCCAACAGTCAAATTCAAGATATACAGAGAACTCCTGCAAGATTCTACAAAAGAAGATCATCCCCAAGCACATAATCATCAGCTTTTCCAAGATCAAAATAAAAGAATGTTAAAGGCAGACAGAGAAAGGGCAGGTCATCAGCAAAGGGAACCCCATCAGGCTAATAGCAAACCTCTCAGCTGAAACCCTACAAGCCAGAAGACACCAGGGTCCTATGTTCAACATTCTTAAGGAAAAAAGTCTTCAACTAAGAATTTCATGTCGAGCAAAACTCAGCTTCCTAAGTGAAGGAAAAATAAGTTCTTTTTCAGATAAGCAAATGTTGAGCAAATTTATTACCATCAGACCTGCCTTAAAAGGGATCTTGAAAAGAGCACTAAATGTAGAAAAAAAAGACTGCTACCAGCTAATACAAGAAAATACTTAAACATACAGATCAGTGTCACTGTAAAGCAACCACATAAATAAGCCAACATAATAACCAGCTGACAACACAATGACAGGATCAAATCCACACATATTGATACTAACCTTGAATGTAAATGGGCTAAATGCCCCACTTAAATGGTACAGAGTGGAAAGCTGGATAAAAATGGAAAGCTGGACAATGCTATGCCATCTTCAAGAGACCCATCTCACATGTAGTGACACTCATAGGCTCAAAATAAAGGGATGGAGGAAAATCTATCAAGTAAATGGAAAACAGAAAACACCAGGGGTTGCAATACTAATTTCAGACAAAACAGATTTCAAGCCAACAAAAATCAAAAATAAAAAAGACAAAGAAGGGCATTACATAATAGTAAAGGATTCAATTCAACGAGAAGACCTAACTATCCTAAATATAGATGCACCCAACAGAGGAACACCCAGATTCATAAAGTAAGTTATTAGAGAACTACAAAGAGACATAGACTCCCACACAATAATAATGGGAAACTTCAGCACTCCACTGACAGTATTAGACACATCGTCAAGGAAGAAAACTAACAAAGACATTCAGGACCTAAACTCAACATTGAACCAAATAGATATGGTAGGCCTTTACAGAACACTCCACCCCACAACAACAGAATATACATTCTTCTCATTGCCATATGGCACATATTCTAAAATCGACCACATAATTGGACATAAAACTATCCTCAACAAATGTTAAAAAAAATTATAACACACACACACTTAAGACCACACCATAATAAAAATAGAAGTCAAGACTAAGAAAATTGCTCAAAACCATGCAAACACATAGAAATTAAACAACGTGCTCTTGAATGACTTTTGGGTAAATAATGAAATTAAGGCAGAAATCAAAAGTTTTTTTAAACTAATGAGAACAAAGATAAAACATATCAGAATCTCTGGGACACGGCTAAGGCAATGTTAGTAAAATTCTTAGCACTAAATGCTCACATCACAAAGTTAGAAAGATCTCAGATTAACAACTTAACATCACAACTGAAAGAATTAGAGAAGCAAGAATAAATCAACCCAAAAGCTAGCGGAAGATGAGAAATAATCAAAAATCAGAATTGAACTGAAGGAAATTGAGACACCAAAAAAAGTTCAGAAAATCAATAAATCCAAAAGTTGGTTTTTTGAAAAAACTAATAAAATAGGCCACTAACTAGAGTAATAAAGGAGGAAAAGAGACTATCCAAATAAACACAATTAGAAATGACAAGAGAATGTTACTACTGACCCCACAGAAATAAAAACAACCATCAAAAACTACTATGAACACCTCTATGCACACAAACTAGAAAATCTAGAAGAGATGAATAAATTCCTGGACACATACACCCTTCCAAGACTGAACCAGAAAGAAACTGATTTCATGAACAGACCAATAACGAGCTCTGAATTTGAATCAGTAATAAATAGCCCAACAACCAAGAAAAGTCTTGGGACCTGATGGGTTCAGTCGAATTCTACCAGATGTTCAAAGAAGTACTGGTAGCATTCCTACAGAGACCACTCCAAAAAACTGAGGAGGAAGGACTCCTCACCAACTCATTGTGTGAGGCCAGCATCATCCTGATACCAAAACTTGGCAGAGATACAACAAAAAAAGAAAACTTCAGGCCAATATCCTTGCTGAACATTCATGTAAAAATCCTCAACAAAATACTCACAAACTGAATCCCAGCAGCACATCAAAAAGCTAATCCACAATGATCAAGTAGGCCTCATCCCCGGGATGCAAGGTTGGTTCAACATACACAAATCAATAAAGGAGATTCATCATATAAAGAGAACTGAAGACCAAAACCACGTGATTATCTCAACAGACACAGAAAAGGTTTCAATAAAATTCAACACTCCTTCATGCTAAAAACTCTCAATAAACTAGATATTGATGGAAGGTATCTCAAAATAATGGGAGCTATTTATGACAAGCCCACAGCCAGTATCATACTGAATGGGCAAAAACTGGAAGCATTTCCTTTGAAAACCAGCACAAGACAAGGATGGCCTCTCTCACCACTCCTATTCAACATAGTATTGGAAGTCCTAGCCAGAGCAATCAGGCAACAGAAAGAAATAAATGGCATCCAAATAGGAAAAGAGGAAGTCAAACTATCTCCGTTAATATATCTAGAAAATCCCATAGACTCAATGCAAAAGCTCCTCCAGCTGATAAACTACTTCAGGCATGTTGCAGGATACAAAATCAATGTACAAAAAACACTAGCATTCTATACACCAACAACAGCCAAACCCAGAGCCAAATCAGGAAGTCAATCCCATTCACAACTGCCATGAAAGAGTAAAATACCTCAGAATGCAACTAACAGTGAGGTGAAAGATCTGTACAATAAGAATTATACAATAGCACTCAAAGAAAAAAGAGAAGACACACAATGAAGAAACATCCCATGTTCATGCCTAGGAAAAATCGATATCAGATTTCCAAGAGAAAAACGAACAACACCATTAAGAAGTGGGCAAAGGACATGAATAGAGACTTCTCAACAGAAGTCATACATGCAGCCAACAAGCATATGAAACAAAGCTCAACATCATGAAAACCACGATAAGATACCTTCTCACACCAGTGAGAATGCTTATTACTAAAAAGCCAAAAAATAACAGATGCTGGTGAGATTGTGGGAAAAAAAGGAATGTGCATATACTCAGAGAAATATAAATCATTCTACCTAAAGCCACATGCACGTGAATGTTCATTGCAGCACTATTCATCATAGCAAAGACATGGAATCAACCTAAATGCCCATCAACAACAGCTTGGATAAAGAAAATGTGGTACATATACACCATGGATACTATGCAGCCATGAAAAAGAAACAAGAGCATGTTTTTTGCCAGAACATGGATGGAGCAGGAGACTATTATCCTGAGCAAACTAATACAGGAACAGAAAACCAAGTACCACATGTTCTCACTTATAAGTGGGAGCTAAATAATAAGAACTTATGAGCACAATGAAGGAAATAACAGATACTGTGGTATAATTGAGTGGGGAGATTGGGAAGAGGGAAGAGAGAAGAAAAGATAACTATTGGGTACTGAGCTTAATGCCTGGTTGATGAAATTACAAGTTTACTTATGTAACAAACCTTCACATGCACCCCTAAACCTAAAATAAAAGTTAAAAAAAATAAAATTTTTTAAATGCAAAAAGAAAAAAGAAAAATAAACTCCCAAATCTTTACTCAATATTAATCATCCCTAGCTATTGGTGAACATCATTCTAGATACTTTTCTATGTGTGTATGTAGATAAATGAATACATAAATAATAGCAAGAACATTTTTAATTAGAATTGTGTCAGATATGGAGTTTAATAAAAACCACCAAACTAATTTTTCTTGAATCCAACCTTATAAAGAAACTAAAACAATCAGAATTGCTCAACTGTAGTTAAATATTTCTTTACAAATTCAATATCAGATCCTAAAAGAGATATCTAAAAATCATGAAGAATAGTGACACATTTATTCTTATTTTATGAATATTGCTGTATCACAGCAGTATTGGATCATTTCACTTTTATATTGAAAAATTTTATCTTGAAATATTTGGCTGTTTCAGCCAAATCCCTCCTTGCCCATTCTGAAGCAGATTTCCTTAACCTCATGTCCGTAGACACCCCCAAAGAATCTGTGAATAGAAATCAAGGGTTTGTACATGTAGATGGAAAAAATTCCATTTTCCCTAACCTTTAAGTGTAACGTGCACTTTTCCTCAATTATGAACTTAGGTAACAAACCACAGTAGTGTCAGCATTACCTGTGAGTTTGTCACTAATAGAAATTACTTATATTTCCATATTACTTACTGCTCTTGCCAATCTTAAATGGTGTTTTACACTTATCAATGTTTCATTAATCAAGGAGCACTTATATTTCTTCAGTACAAATTTATTTTTTACATACTTTTATATTTGCATTTCAATTTAATTGGTTTCCCTTAAAAACGTACATTTTTTATTTTATGCATTTAAAACATACTGAGAAGGCATTCACAAACTTCAACTGCCTGCAAAGGGGTTAAAGTATCAAAAAGGTTAAGAATCCCTGTTTTGAATGCTTTTGTCAGCCCCACCCCCAATTCTCTTCACCCGAGTTATAGGAAACAGATCCTTTCTTGGTTCCGGTGGAAGCCGATTAAGAGAAAAGAAAGGCACAACAGTCACAATCCCCCCAGCAGACAAATTCGGTGTTCATCATTTCCAAGGCTACAGCTTCTTTATTCTCGGTGAAATAAAATCACATTCCACAGATGCCAGATCCCCATATCACTGGCTTACAGATGGGCTTCCTGCCAGTCAACAAATACTGTTGCCAAGGCTTCTGCTGTGACATTCTGATAAGACTGGAGTCGTGCCTTTATAAAGTAACGACATTTTTAAGGCAAATGATTGTTTTATGATGGCCTTCTGACACTGTCGATATGTAATGAAGTAGTTAAGTCAATCAGATCCGAATCACAGGGTCATTCTACTTTACTTCAGTCAATAACAAGACCACTTATCTCCTGCTGCTTTTCATATCTTACGATGACAGTAGTTCCACTGTGTCGAACTATTACCTTCATAGCTTCATAGCTTCTCAGAAAGTATAAGTGAATAGAATATATGTCAGGTATTTATAAGTATCTGAGTATGTATGTAGTATATATAAATTGTAGTTTTTAATATTTAGAATTTGTATGATTCTAAACACACACACCTTTTTGTGAAAGATAGAAATAGCAGTATTGGTAGTATACTAACAGGTAAATCTCCACGTTCCTAGTATTTATGTCAGCCTTAGTTGTTTTCAACTGCAAAACTCAGCATGCATTCCAATGTACTGCATAAACATGACTATATTAAATAGCAAAATTACCACCTATCCCTATTATACCATGGGCACATTAAAATAGAAAAACATGATTTCATATATATATAAAACTAGTAATCAAGTACTAATAGATTACCTCAAGAATTTTTATGGGTACAAAAGTGCCCTTGAAATCAGTGGGTGTTTTGTTCAAGGAAAGAAGAAAAAGAACATAGTCATGTTCCCTAGTTTGAAAATGAAATTTTTGTTTCATTACTGGTACCTATTGCTGGGTTTCATTCAACAAGCATTGGCATGCCACTGCTTGCAGTTCCTATAAACCTTGAGAGCTAGGAGGCTGAAGGGACGAAAATTCCAGAAATGGGATTCAGAGACTGTGTTCTACATACTGTTAAGTATACAGGGGCTTTTTACACAATATTAGTCCATTCATTTGTATAGTGGAAGCTACTGCCTTACTCAAAAGGTGGCCATGAATATTAATTGAACTAAGACACAAGTAAAGTGCCTGGCAGAAAGTAGCTGTCCAATAAGTATTAATTTCACTATTTCTACCACCTTTAACATCTCAAGACCTTATACAGCATAGGGTTCAATGAAACACCCACTTTAGTCAAACCCCTTAAATGAAAGATCACAAAACAAAATACTCCTAGACCCTGGATAAATGTGAACCAGCTCAGTGGAATGGTGAACTCTGTGATGAAATGGAAATCATAATTCCTACTAAAATCATGCAAATTCTAAACATTAAATAACACTCTATGTGCTACATAAGGCACCAAAAGGCATCATTCAGTATGCTTGGCAAAGCAGCTACAATTGATAAGTGGAACTCAGGGAAAATAAATTTCTCAGCCATGCAGGGTTCTTTTTTTCCTATGGAAGTCTCCTACAAGATCCGAAAGAAGCCATGTGACCCAATACTAATCTATTGGTGTTGTCATTGTTATCATTTTTAATTATTGAATCAACCCAAGTCTAGATACTGAAGAAATTTGTTTGGTGTCCACACAAGCATATAGTGCATTGAACCCTAGAACAAAGTCCTGCCTTTCTGAGCAATAAACATTTGCTTTTGTGATACTGCCCTGTGTGAGAAAAGGACAAAGCAGAAAAAAAAAGAGGTACAAGCAGAACAAAGGAGGAGCCTCTGTGTACTTGTCCCCTACCCAGAGGCATAAATACCACCCAAGTAGTGCCCTGTACTGCAGGATAGCAATTGAAAAGAAAAGCTCTCTTCAGTGAACATTTCCTTTATGCTCTTTAACTAAAGCAAGAATTTTTGTTTGCTGGCTCAAACATTCTGCCTTAAAAAAAATGTATAACACAGTTTAGGTTCTCTTATTCGTTTTTGCCTTCTTTTTTGCAAGGTGGGGGAAATATAAATCATGTGTCCAGGCATACATGATTGTTAATGCCATGTCACTGGGGATCTTAAGTATGCGAAAAGGTTAAGTGAACTTGATTTATCTACTGTCCGAGATTGTCATGCCGAGAATACTGAGTTGCTACCAGAAGGCGAAACTTAAGACACATTTCTCAGACGGGCCTGGGCCACTTTCCTGTGCTGAGTGATGTGACTTACGATGTGTGTTCCTCCTCTGATCTATGAGTATCTGTCTGGGTTTGTGGAATATGGGAAGCAAAGACTGGTGAATATGGACATTCACAAGGCATGACCAGCTCTAGAGTTAGTAAGGTTGCAGGGTTATAATCAGCTGCGGTTATCAAGAATATGACAAAGTATTAATAATGAAGGAAAGGAGTACATGAAGTGTGAAATGACAGTCGGGCTTACATAAATTCTCTATTTGGGACTGAGCACTCGATGGGGCTGAGGCTAAATTCAGAATAGCCAGGAAAGAGGAAGGGGAATATAGGAATATAGAAAATGAAGCTGTACCTCACTGGTGACCATCTGCCAAACCAGATGCAGGCAGAAACCTGCTAGTTAGCTGAACATACGAAGCAGATTATTCTCACTGTTCTGGGTCAAAGCCACCAGCTAATAAATCCAGTTGGTATACCCACAAATAAAAACTCACTGTAAATTAGGGGCTACCAGTGGAAACTTGGTCCCAGAAATCAATAGAGATTTCTGACATCAAGTCTCCAAGCACTGGCCATGCTCAAAGTCAGGTGCTGTGTCAGCTTCATGGTTCTGCGTACTCCACCAGCTTGGGAGGAGGATCCTAGCCAGCAGATGTAAGGGCAGGGACTATAGTCTGGCACCCTAGGTATGGGGCATCTAGTGACAAGCAGATTGTCTGGCAGGACCCAGACTGGAAGGTTAAACTTAATCACATATCAAGATAGAAGCCCAGTCTCATAAACTGTACAAATGCATCCAAAGACTTTGGCCCAAGAGACACAAAGCTTTCTAGGATTTCATACAGGCATACTAGTTTCAGGTTTGCAGCTGCTAAGCTATTTCCAGGCCCTTTTCTTTACTATTTACTTATATCCAAGCTTTTTACAAAAGGACATCTATATGTCATCAAACATAGCAGAGATAGCAGGTTGTCCATCAAAGATTCTGGTTCCCCCATTCATAGTATGTAGCTGTTGCCAAGAAGCAGATGGCAAGCCAAGGATCACATTCCTTAGTCGTCCTCCCTTAAGTGATGTCATGTGAATGGTTTTTGCCAAACAGAGTAACGCATGCCACTTTGAGCCAAGTTGCTTAAGAAGCAAGTGTGCCTACTCTATCCTCTCTCGCAGCTGAATGCGAGGACTATGCAGAGGGAAGGCAAAGCCATGCAATGAAGGAAGTCTAAATCCCTGAATCATCCTGAGGAAGACAGCCCACCAGCCGGGAACACTAGCACTGAATGATTATGTGAGTGAAACATAAACTTCTCCCGTGTAAAGCCAGTGAGAGGGGTAGCAGCAGCAAGTATTGCTCTAATCAAGACCCTGAGATACATACCACACAATTAAAATTAGCAAATGGGAAAATCAGTCCAAAGGGAAGATACATAAAGCCAACTTTTAATATTGGCGCATGCACACATACACATAAAAAAATATGCCTAAAGTTTGTAGTGTTTCCCTCAGATGTAAACAAACCAGATGTCAGAACAAGATTTATCTGGTTTTAAGAGGTTCTCACCTGGGTCTTTACACAGGAAAACTATAATGTAACACACAACTAGAGGTGTGGTTAAAATGCATGTTTTAGAGTCAGAGAGTATGGCTTCAAATTCTGGTTCTGCAACTTACAGGCTGTGTAAACTCAGGCAAGTTACTTAACATTTCAAAGCTTCTATTTTCTGAACTGCAAAATGCAGATGATAAAAATACTTTATTAGAATTGTTGTGAGAATAAAATGAGATAAATCCACATAAAATGTTTGAAAAGTACACTCTACATGGTGCTAAGTGTGTGTGCTAAATCAAACTGAGCCGTTATCAATATTACTATTTTTTTAAACCATAAGTCTGGCTTTTAGAAATGATAATGAGTTCTGAATCATAGTATGCCTCTGAAATATTAGAATAAAGTAACCCAGATCCTGACACTGCCTGACACCTGGGAGAGATTAGGAGGTAGGGTGCCAATCAGATATCACAGCTCAGAAATGCTTTGTAGCATGTCAGAAGTTGAGTTCTTCCCTCGCCCCCACTTATTTGTGGCAGGATCCCAGACTCCACCTGCTGGTGCAGATAAGGCTCCTGAAACTCAGTTCCCACATTCCTCAGGATTAACGCAGAGCCTGTACCTTGAAGACATTAAGGTCTAAAAATGAGCAGAAATAGGGAAGACAGTGCCTGACATCAAGGGTCCTTCAAGAACAAGAATTAAGTTCTTTAACAATGTAGTTAATCTGCCCACCAAGCCAGCAAAATTATGTCAAATTATATTTCCTAATCTTTCCATCAGCGCTATGATTTTGAATTAGACTCCTTTTCAGAAAAAATTGGGTCATAGTCTAATGGCTTCAGAAAAGGCTTACCCATGCACCACAGATAGAGGAGACATTTATCTGTAGGCCGTATCGTCCCCTGCTACAGATGTATCCCTAATAAGAAGCCCTCCCAATTCTCAGCTTTGAAGGATTAGACAACGAAAACTACAGACACACACACACACACACAAAGGTCCAAAGTCCAACTCACTAGTAACCCCTCAGAAAGTGATTTTTTTTAGCATTTAACTGGCTTCCCTTGAAGAAGAAATTATGCTACCCTAAAGTAAACTCTAATCTGTTAGCCCACAGAGAAAAGGCAGCAAGCTACCAAATATCTGCTCATCACAATGAGCTTAAATGAAGCATGGATTTAAGCCTCTTTTATGTGTATAACCCACGATCTTTATTAGAGTTTACTTTGCATAATTAACTCAGGGAACTATGAGAAGCCCAGAGCTGTTTCTGAGTCTTGATTCGTTATGTGCTGCTGTACCCAAGGAAGTAAATATAAACAGGAGGGTTTTGCCAGGCTCCCCGGATTCTTGAATTATCCCCAACAAAATGAGAATCGTAGCGTCCTGGAATCCTCTGTGTGCCTGAGAATAAACCCTGAGCTAAAGCAAAAATCAACAGACCATTTCTCTACCTTGGAGAAAAGTAGAAAGTTGCTGAGGGGGCAGTTACAATGATGATAGTGAGTATTTATGCAGATTTGCTTCCCTAAAGCTAATCTAGAAGACTCACAGCAGTGTCCTTAAAAGAGCTGCTATTTGGAAGAACCATTGACTGAAAGAGCTATGGGGGTGGGGAAAAGCAGTTTGTCTTAGAGGAAGTAGCTAGGGCTCTGCCACAGATTGTCCTCTGGGTAAGTCATGAGGAATGAGGGGACTTTAAGAGCTGAGAGATGCTGGCTGGGTGTAGAGGCTCATGCCTGTAATCCCAGCACTTTGGCGGGCGGAGGTGGGTGGATCGCCTGAGGTCAGAGGGTTCAAAACCAGCCTGGTCAACATGGCGAAACCCCGTCTCTACTAAAAATACAAAATTAGCCAGGCATGGTGGTGCATGCCTGTAATCCCAGCTACTCGGGAGGCTGAGGCAGGAGAATCGCTTGAATCCGGGATGTGGAGGTTGCAGTGAGCCGAAATCATGCCCTTGCACTCCAGCCCTGGGCAACAAGAGTGAAACTCCATCTCAAAAAATAAAATAAAAAATAAAGAGGTGAGAGTTGCTGACACTGGACAGGAAATAGAAGAAGTAAAAAAGTAAGACAGTTTGAGAAGATGACAGACCCAAGATATCAGAAGCTGCCACCAGATAAAGGGAAACCCCAAGGAAATGCCTACTTAGCCTACTCAGGACTGTCTTGGAGAGGCATGAGACAAGGCGTTCAGCCAAGAAGGTCCTGAACTCCTGAAATCCCCATCCTACTTTCCACAAAACAGTCATTCCTCAGGCAAACAGGAATGTCAACCTCCCCTCTTTATGTACATCCAGGAGGAAAAGGAGTTTGCTCTTCAGAAAGATAAAATACTAACCACTCATTAAATAACTTGGAGAAATTTAAATTTCAGAATTTCTGGCAGGAGTTCAAGTCATAAGATTCCTTGTAAGAGATACGTCAAGAAACAAGGGTTAATATGATCCAGAAGTATCTCTCATTGATGAAAGAGTTGCCCTGATGAATCTCAGTTTTAAATTCTAATAGGAAGGTGTACTCAAACCTAACAGGCTTGGAGAAGCTAGAAAAAAAACCATAAGAAGTCACCTAACCCATTTTTTTTTTTTTTTTTTTTTTGAGAGATGGAATCTCGCTGTCACCCAGGCTGAAGTGCAGTGGCACAATCTCGGCTCACTGCAACCTCTGTCTCCTAGATTCAAGCAATTCTCCTGCCTCAGCTTCCCAAGTAGCTGGGACTACAGGCATGCAACACTATGCCCAGCTAATTTTTGCATTTTTAGTAGAGACAGGGTTTCACTATATGTTGGTCAGGTTGGTCTCGAACTCCTGAGCTCAGGTGATCAGCCTGCCTCGGCCTCCCAAAGTGTTGGGATTACAGGCAAGAGCCACCGCACCAGCCCGACCCACTCATTTTAAAATTGTTTCCTGGAGCCTCAGGGTGCCACCAGAGGCGCATCAATGACCATCGTGTTTTACAATGGACAATTCTCCCTCAGAGAGGTTTAGGAAGGAACCAGATTGGTCAGAAGTGAATCAGAGCTACAACTCAGGTTTCTTGACATCTGATATTCCACCCACCATGCTACACTGTTTCTCATCTCCTATATAATTGTTTTTTCCATATAATTTTTTCTCAGAGCTCTTTATTTAGATTTTCTGAAATTCCCAAGCTAAAAAGCAGGAGTCAAACTATACTCATAGAGCTTATTGTGAATACAACCCAGGAGCTGATGTATCCCATAACCAGAGGTGAATTTTTGAAACTACCTTGGCTACATCCAGCAGGGGGGAAAAAAGTGGGAAAGTTTCAAGATCCAGATTCCAGTAAGAATCTTCTCTACCCTAATCCTAAGGCTGTTTCACACATGGGTAGGATTGCTGTCACACATGTAATTTAAGGTTATTACTGTGTGATTACCACCTCCTCTATTGAAGCAGAGATTAACATTTTGGCATTCTTAGAGAATAAGGCCACATTTTCAAGAATTCCCTGGAAGGCAGAAAACAATCATCAACATCCAATAAGGCCTTCCGGTGAATTAGTATATTAGATCAACCAATTGCTATCAAACAAAAATAGGGGAAAGGCTGGTGCATTTTAGCATGAGAGAAAAAGAAGAGAGAATATATAGAAATATATATTTATTTTATATGTGGAAAAAAATTGAAGGAATAAAAATAAATAACTCAGGCTCAAACATAAAAAGGGTGGAGGGACACCACCCAAGTCACCCAAGGCAGACTTGGACACCATGAGGACTTTGGGTCCTCAGAAACAAGAGCCTAAGTGGACAATAAGTGACCAGAAAAGGAGACTAGAAAATCTTCAACTTTTCTTCTTACCCAGCAGCAGTCTTGCCTAACAATTTCCAAAACTTAATACAGTGATAACTAGAGCTGAGCCCATTGTGAAATTATTAAAAGAAATGTGGGTTTCATATATATGTATATATAATTATCTGATTTACTAGGCAATATTTCTTTTCTTGTATCTTTTCTGTGTTTGCATATGTGACATTGTAAATGACTTTGAAAATAATCTTCAATTCTATCTATTCAACTGTTTTCGTTTCCTCACTACAGCTTTCTAAAATTCTCACGTAATATTCAGATTGATTTTTTTGCTACCCTTATGAAATCTGCTAAGATTTCCACAATTGTGAATTAGGGTGATGTGACTAACAGTGCTATCATGCCTTTCTAGGTGGCATTGCATTTTTTACCCTTTTGGGTCCAAGACGCAAAATGTTTCTGTGCTCCTGTGTAAAGCGTGAACTCGAGGCTTTACTAAGGACACAAGTTCCTTCTACCAGCTTTTTCATTCATTTCTCATATCTCATTCAAAAACCTTTGTACTCACTTCTCCTTTTCCTTTCTCTTTAGATCTTTCTTGTCTTTTTCATTTACCCAAGCAAATTGTTTTAAGGTATCCTTTGAGTGCTAACAGAGCAATATGGCATTTTTAATGCCATTTTGAAAGTTAATTGCTCTTGTTAGGTTTCTTTATGACTGTGCATGCTCCTCAGAGAAACCTCCTAGTGCCCCACCCCCACATCACTGCAGTGCTTCATATTTGGGAGCAATAGTCAGAGTCAAATTCTGTGCTTTCCTATTGGGAACTACTGTTTGTGACTCTGCGGTTGTCTAGTTGGATTGACCACTATAATTAGCATGTGCCATGTGGCACAACACCCTTTCTTATTTGTATGTCCTGAAGAAAGCCTCCGCATTATTTTACATTTTTTTGATATCAACATTTATTAGTGTATTGTCAGTGAATCACTCAATTTAAATGCCTTTCCACCATTTATAACCTTGTGATAAAAGATATCATCTAAAATTTTAAAGACATCATGAAAATGGACTCTGGTATCTGCTAACCAATTGAAATAAAAATTTTTCCCTTAAAAAGGAGAAGAAGAAAAGCAGAGACATAATTTTTCACAAGAATAGTGTTCTGCTGCAATTTGCTAGAGTGAGAAATACTAAAAAGCCTGCCTCATAGGAAGGCTCACTTTAGAAAAGCAAATTTCATAACTTAACTGGCTTACAAGCCCACAGAGATATAATTACATTTTCTCGTCTTTAACTTATAATTTCTTCTGACTCTCAGGTTGCTACAACAGAGCTATAAAGATCTGGCATATTCAAAAATGGTAATTCCATTTGATATCTTCTGATTTGCTTTTCATTTCCAACAACAGAAGCCCACTGTAAGCCAATGAAGCAGAAGCCAGGAATTCTATTTGGGTAAAAATCTGGAACAACCTATATCTTAAGTCTAATTCTCACTTGATCCAGCATTTAAGACTTAGTATGCATTCAAAAGTAAACTCCTTAAAATTTCTGCTATATAGACCGGGTATAGTTTGGTTAAAGACCTCATGAGGAACATAGGCTAATAACTGATTTGAGCCCCTTTAGAATTGGGCAAATATTCTTCCCAGCTAAAAAGATGTTGCAGTACACTGCATATTGCTAAGCACCCATTCCCCAAAGCAGTTCTCCTGCTTTCTGGAAGCAAAACAATCTGTTCGTCAACCCCATTACCCAAGGTAAGGACAAAAATGGTCATTTCAGCAGGCTGATGGGATTCACATGTCTTTATGCCAGCAGAACTCAACAGAATAAAGAGAAGTTGATGATTCCATTTTTTATAAGAAGAAACTCAATCTGTGTGATCCATTTATTTTTTAGTTACAAAAGCTTATCAAGTTCCAGAAGCTTCAGTATCTTCAAATGGGAAATACAATTGAAACAGTGGGGGTTTAGCCAATTGTGTCTTTCAAAAACATAATAGATAGACACATTCCAGACAGAACATTCAAAGAGATCAAGTATGCAGGAGTGAATAGAACAGATAAAAAAAAAATTGTTCTCCTTTGTAACCGTACGTAATTCCTGATTCCATAGCAAGGCTGTGTTGCCAATCAAAATTTCCCAAATCATGGCATTTGGAGCCTGAAAGAAATCTTCAAAATATCTCCTGACTTACTTAAGGTGAGTGAATCTTAGACTACTAGATTTAAAAGAAGAAAAAAAATAATAATAGGATGTGCTTAATGAACTATCTATATTATTAAAACCACTCTAAAAGATCAAGCAAAGAAATCTTCAGCTTTGATTAATCAAACTATTCAAAATTCAATGATGTTAGACAGGGAACCTTGACCCATTCAGCCTTAAGCCAGAAGCTATGCATTCTTTTACCTCGCTCCAACCTTAAGACTGCAGCAAATTCATTTAACTCTACTTTAGTCACATAAAACTGAAATTTATGAAAAGTTCAACCTGTCATTTCCCTAGGAATGCCTCCTGATGAATGTACATTGATGACTGATTGATACAAACCCTTTGTGGGGGAAAAGAAAGATGGCATACTGAAATTACGAACCCCTGAAGGAAACTATGATAGTAGATCCAGCATGAAGTCCATTTTCATGATCTACTAAATTATAAAGGAAATGAATATTAATTTCAGTAATTGTGGTAACAAAGTAACAAGGTAATTGCCTTGTGCGAGGGCAAGATGAAAATTATATATCATTTCATGGAAAGAATGAAAAAGGTATGAATATATTTTTAAATCATTGCCTAGGTAATTAACAAATATAATGAAAGCATTTCACCTTCTAGCAACTGATAGGAATAACCAGCAATATAATAAAAATTGATAAAAATATCCAAATGTCTCTACTGCACAATGTTGAAAGAACTGTTGGTCCCAGGCTGTTCTCAACCACACCTGCGCACACAGATGGTAATTTGTCACCAGGAGCTTGGGCTGGGGAAAAAAAGGAAAACTATCTTTTTTAAGTATATGCTTAACTGTTTTTGAACATAACATGCCCCTTATATAGAAAACAAACAAAAAAGAACAGCTTTCTTTTTTTGAAGTCCATATTTTTTCTCACTATAAAAGTAATATCTACTCATAATAAAAGTTTCAAAAAAGTAGAATTTTCAGAAAAATAGAAGGAAGATTCAATATCTCTCATAAATCCACTATTCAACTAAAATTTTAATGTATTTCCTTTTCATTCTCTTTTTTTAGCAATGCTAGTTCATATATATATATATAATTTTCATCACATAGAGATCACTCAGAATTCGGAAATATTCAAAGGTGTTTGGTAATCATCAAAGACTTCTAAAGCTTAGTGACAAAATAATATAAAACCTGTAAGAACATTTATATCAGAGATTTAGAAAGTACTACATATAAAGCCTACATGTGTAGGTACTGTACACCTATAGTAGGTAACACAGTTTGGGAGAAAAAAATAAAATATATGACTCTAAGAGTTCTGAAAGTGATTCCAAATAGGTGTTCTGAACATATTTTGAACAACGTTAGTTTAGTTGTGATGCACGTATATCTTTCCCGCCATAGGTTGAGCCCTCAGTGTGGCTCTTATTCCCCTGAGAAAACCAGCCAGCCCCTTGGTAGATTTCTTCTGCTATGGAAAGGTCCTCTCCTACTATGGAATGGTCATTGATTTGTTCTTGTGGGAATATGTGTGTATCCTGATTTTTTATATATATGCATGCTATAATATATATAGAATATATATGTATATAGATATAGAGATATATTCAGGATACAAATGTGCTCTCCCTGCCCACAATACTTCTGTTGTCACCAACAAATATGGACTTAGGGAAAGTCTCATTCCCTCCATAATGTCCCACATATAGTTACTTCTGACAAGGGAACACATTCCTCAGCAAAAGAAGGAAATAAGCTCACATCTACTGGATTCATTGGTTTCACCCTAACAAAACAAACAGCTGGCCTGATGGAATAGAGGACTGACCTATTGAAGAAATGGTTACATGGCCAGCTTGATTACTTTGCTGACTACAGGCTGTTGCCTCTTGGGTTTCTCAAGAGGCTGACTCTAACAAGATTAGCATGCAGGAAGTCTTGCAATCAATATTTGTGGAAGAGATGGAAGGAAGCAGAATTGAACAGACACAGAAGTTGAGGTGCAATGCAGGCTCAATGGAAGCCTCAGCTAACTCTGTGCAGAGTATTGACGATGACATGGCCATTCAGAGTTTTCCAGAGTTCGGGAAAAAGGACTGGGCCCTTATGCCCCCATGTTAATTATCTTGTCACTGACTGCAGTAGGCTCAAAAAAGGGGATGTGGCCTTGGAAGAAGTTAACTCTCCTCAACTGAGGGAATCCCCCAAAAGGGGCTGAAAACTAAAGGTCAATAGCACTTCCAGAAGCTGGGAATGTGGGTATTTTATTCCTCAGTGGAGAGTCTGAATAATGCATCACAGTGTCCACCATAATTGCTGCCCTCAAAGATGTAGTACAAGGTCTGAACCAGCAAACAACACATAGTTTCTAGGAATTTTCTAGTTTAAGTGACTTCCTTCACTATTATCCCTAATAAGCTACTTGTAAAATGTTTGCTTTAAATATCCCAACATCTCTGTGCCCTGCTGTTTTCATTATCTTGGTCCCCATGAAAGGAATGCTTCCACCGGGAAGCAATTCTTTCTGTTAACAATAACAAAAATTGTTAACTTATTTTTTAACTAGAGGCCGAGATTACTACTTGGCCACATTTGATTCTTTATGCCACTGAGTTAGCAAAAAAGGAGGTTACCATATTTCTGGGGTAATTGATACTGGTAATTAAGGAAAAACTGTGTTGCTTCTATGCAATGGAGAGAGGGAGAAGTAAACGTGGAATCTGCTAAGTAACAGTTATTGGAACATACCAGCAGCTCAATAGAGAAAGGACTACTAATGGTACCAACCCTTCAGAAATGAAGGTTTTGAGAACTCTATCAGGTAAAGAATTCCAACCAGCTGAGTATAGGCATAGGGAAGGAGAACAGGGAATGGATACTGGAGAAAGTATAGCCACATGACCAGCTCTAAATACAAGGATAGAAGCAGCTATATGTATTTTCTTGTTTCTTGAATATATCTATATTAACTATTTTCCCCCTTTATAACATTAGTTATGTTAATAGTTGTTAACATTTTAATTCAGTATTTAAGTTACAAAATCTCAAATGGGAATTATAACCAATCTAGGAGAACAATACATATCATCCAGAGAGTGGTATGGCTAGAATGTAGCCCTGCTATATATAAAAGACCTGAAAGAGCAATCCTATTATCAGAAGGTCATCTTATTGAACATGATTTTTACAAAAGTGTTAAAATGTAGATTTCCTATATGTGTCAGAAACCAAGTCTATATTGAGCTCATACAACATTATCAATTTCTGTCCAGAGTGTAAGAGACAAAAAACCTACACTATAAATTCTCTTCTCTCTCCCTCTTATTTGATCCTTTCATTCTCATTAGCATTTTTAAACATGTTGAAGATTCTCTCATCTTGAGAAAGACAGAGAGAGTTCTTGAAACACTCACTTTCCTTGGTTTCACTTATGTCACACATCCCTCTTATTTCTCTATTCATTCAAATTCTCCTCTGCTGGTTCATCTTCCTCTACCTAGTTCTTAGTGGTTCTTTAAAGCTGAGCCCTAGCTCAGAATTCTGTTTTTCAGTCTGTAGTCTCTCCATCAACAGTGTCATCAGTGCACATGGATTTGTTAAAGTGAACCAAATATGGCTGGAGAAGAACTCCGTACTTCTACATTTGAGTTCTTGTGGATGAACTATGATCTAACTTAATAGGTAGACAAGACTGAAAACCTAACATAGGAGTATGTGCCTGTAACAATAGCTACATCTTGCCCAATCCCAGCAGCTGTACTTCAACCACTCATACACTGCTGAGTGTTCAATCTGTGTTCAAATAAGGAAAATGCCAAGATGTAATCAATCCAGCTGTTTCTGTACCTCACCTCCAATTTCTGTATATCACTTTCCCGTTTTGTCTAAAAATTTGTTCTGACCACGAGGCGTCCCTGAAGTCTCTCTGAATCTGCTGATTCTGGGGGCTGCCCGATTTGCAAATCTTTCACTGCTCAATTAAACTCCTTTAAATTTAATTTGCTTAAGTTTAACAGATTCAATTAGCAATTCCATGCAGCTGTTTCACAAATTCATGTCTCCAATAGCCCAAGTCTACTCTCTGAACTCTAGACCTACATATTCAACTTGCTGCTGGACATCTGCATGTGAAAGTCTCTCAGACACCTAAGACACAACATGTCCAAGATCAAATTTACTATCTTCTCCCCCAAATCCAGAGCTCCACACAATGAATGGCACCACCATCATTCAGTTTTTCAAAGCAGAAACATAGATATAATCTTTATTGCCTTCCCCTCACCCCTTATATTCAGTGTAGCTTGTTCAGTTGATTTCAGCCCTAAACTTCCTAGATCTGTGCATATCCATTGCCACCATCCCATTCTAAGTGACAGAAATAACGTGGAGTTGTCAAAGAAAACTGCTTAGTCTACTATAATACCCTCCTAATTGGACTCCAAGATCTCTCTTGCCTCTTTACAATTTGTTCTTTCCAGCAGTAAGAGATATCTTTTTGGAATGCAAATCTGATAACACCACTTAAAATTCTTCAGTGAATTCCATGTTCTTAACAGAATTTAACCTCAACAGAATTAGCATGAACCATGAGACTTTGCCAGATCTCTGCCCTGCTTATCAAACTCTACTCTTGCCGGGAACACAAGCACATTAGTCTTCTCCCAAATCCTCAAACATCAGTCCTTTTTTCTGCCGTGAGACCTCTGTACACACTACATCCTTATGTGGAATAAGCCTGTGCCTCTGCCTGGAATGACCCTGTTCATGCACGTGCATGCACACACGCATACACACAATGTATTAGTCCATTTACCCATTTCATGCTGCTGATGAAGACATATCCAAGACTGGGAAATTTACAAAAGAAAGAGGTTTATTGGACTTACAGTTCCATATGGCTGAGGAGGCCTCACAATCATGGTGGAAGGCAAGGAGGAGCAAGTTACATCTTACATGGATGGCAGCAGGCAAAAAGAGAGCTTATGCAGGGAAACTCCTGTTTTTAAAAACCATCAGATCTTATGAAACCCATTCACTATAACAAGAATAGCACAGGAAAGACCTGCCTCCATGATTCAATCACTTCCTACAGGGACCCTCCCACAACACATGGGAATTATGGGAGCTACAAAATAAGATTTGAGTGGGGACACAGAGCTGAACCATATCATGTACCACTGGCCCCTCCCAAATCTCATATCTTCACATTTCAAAACCAATCATGCCTTCCCAACAGTCCCCCAAAGTCTCAACTCATATCAGCATTAACTCAGAAGTACACAGTCCAAAGTTTCACCCAAGACAATGCAAGTCCCTTCCACCTATGAACCTGTAAAATCAAAAGCAAGTTAGTTACTTCCTAGATACAGTGGTGGTACAGGCATTGGATAAATACAACCACTCCAAATGGAAGAAATTGGCCAAAACGAAGGGGCTACAGGCCCCATGCAAGTTCAAAATCCAGCAGGGCAGTCAAATCTTAAAGCTCCAAAATGATCTCCTTTGATTCCATGTCTCATATCCAGGTCATGCTGATGCAAGAGGTATAGGCTCCCATAGTCTTGGGCAGCTCCGCCCCTGTGGCTTTGCAGGGTACAGCCTCCCTTCCGGCTGCCTTCACAGGCTGGCATTGAGTGCCTGTGGTTTTTCTAGGTACATGGTACAAGTTGTCAGTGGATCTACCATTCTGGGGTCTCAGATGAAAACGAGGAACTTGTTGGGAACTGGAGCAAAGGTGACTCCTGTTATCTTTTAGCAAAGAGACTGGCCGTATTTTGACCCTGCCTTAGAGATTTGTAGAACTTTGAACTTGAGAGAGATGATTTAGGGTATCTAGTGGAAGAAATTTCTCAGCAGCAAAGCATTCAAGAGCTGAATTGGGTGCTGTTAAAGGCATGCAGTTTTATAAGGGAAGCAGAGCATAAAAGTTTAGAAAATTTGCAGCCTGGCCATCAAAAAGCTTATCCACCATGATCAAGTGGGCTTCATCCCTGGGATGCAAGGCTGGTTCAATATACACAAATCAATAAATGTAATCCAGCATATAAACAGAGCCAAAGACAAAAACCACATGATTATCTCAATAGATGCAGAAAAAGCCTTTGACAAAATTCAACAACCCTTCATGCTAAAAACTCTCAATAAATTAGGTATTGATGGGACGTATTTCAAAATAATAAGAGCTATCTATGACAAACCCACAGCCAATAACATACTGAATGGGCAAAAACTGGAAGCATTCCCTTTGAAAACTGGCACAAGACGGGGATGCCCTCTCTCACCGCTCCTATTCAACATAGTGTTGGAAGTTCTGGCCAGGGCAATCAGGCAGGAGAAGGAAATAAAGGGTATTCAATTAGGAAAAGAGGAAGTCAAATTGTCCCTGTTTGCAGACGACATGATTGTTTATCTAGAAAACCCCATCGTCTCAGCCCAAAATCTCCTTAAGCTGATAAGCAACTTCAGCAAAGTCTCAGGATACAAAATCAATGTACAAAAATCACAAGCATTCTTATACACCAACAACAGACAAACAGAGAGCCAAATCATGAGTGAACTCCCATTCACAATTGCTTCAAAGAGAATAAAATACCTAGGAATCCAACTTACAAGGGATGTGAAGGACCTCTTCAAGGAGAACTACAAACCACTGCTCAATGAAATAAAAGAGGACACAAACAAATAGAAGAACATTCCATGCTCATGGGTAGGAAGAATCAATATCGTGAAAATGGCCATACTGCCCAAGGTAATTTACAGATTCAACGCCATCCCCATCAAGCTACCAATGACTTTCTTCACAAAATTGGAAAAAACTACTTTAAAGTTCATATGGAACCAAAAAAGAGCCCGCATCGCCAAGTCAATCCTAAGCCAAAAGAACAAAGCTGGAGGCATCACACTACCTGACTTCAAACTATACTACAAGGCTACAGTAACCAAAACAGCATGGTACTGGTACCAAAACAGAGATATAGATCAATGGAACAGAACAGAGCCCTCAGAAATAATGCCACATATCTACAACTATCTGATCTTTGACAAACCTGAAAAAAACAAGCAATGGGGAAAGGATTCCCTATTTAATAAATGGTGCTGGGAAAACTGGCTAGCCATATGTAGAAAGCTGAAACTGGATCCCTTCCTTACACCTTATACAAAAATCAATTCAAGATGGATTAAAGATTTAAACGTTAGACCTAAAACCATAAAAACCCTAGAAGAAAACCTAGGCATTACCATTCAGGACATAGGCGTGGGCAAGGACTTCATGTCCAAAACACCAAAAGCAATGGCAACAAAAGCCAAAATTGACAAATGGGATCTAATTAAACTAAAGAGCTTCTGCACAGCAAAATAAACTACCATCAGAGTGAACAGGCAACCTACAACATGGGAGAAAATTTTCGCAACCTACTCATCTGACAAAGGGCTAATATCCAGAATCTACAATGAACTCAAACAAATTTACAAGAAAAAAACAAACAACCCCATCAAAAAGTGGGCGAAGGACATGAACAGACACTTCTCAAAAGAAGACATTTATGCAGCCAAAAAACACATGAAAAAATGCTCATCACCACTGGACATCAGAGAAATGCAAATCAAAACCACTATGAGATATCATCTCACACCAGTTAGAATGGCAATCATTAAAAAGTCAGGAAACAACAGGCGCTGGAGAGGATGTGGAGAAATAGGAACACTTTTACACTGTTGGTGGGACCGTAAACTAGTTCAACCATCGTGGAAGTCAGTGTGGCGATTCCTCAGGGATCTAGAACTAGAAATACCATTTGACCCAGGCATCCCATTACTGGGTATATACCCAAATGACTATAAATCATGCTGCTATAAAGACACATGCACACGTATGTTTATTGCGGCATTATTCACAATAGCAAAGACTTGGAACCAACCCAAATGTCCAACAATGATAGACTGGATTAAGAAAATGTGGCACATATACACCATGGAATACTACGCAGCCATAAAAAACGATGAGTTCATGTCCTTTGTAGGGACATGGATGAAATTGGAAACCATCATTCTCAGTAAACTATCTCAAGAACAAAAAACCAAACACCGCATATTCTCACTCATAGGTGGGAATTGAACAATGAGATCACATGGACACAGGAAGGGGAATATCACACTCTGGGGACTGTGGTGGGGTCGGGGGAGGGGGGAGGGATAGCATTGGGAGATATACCTAATGCTAGATGACACGTTAGTGGGTGCAGCGCACCAGCATGGCACATGTACACATATGTAACTAACCTGCACAATGTGCACATGTACCCTAAAACTTAAAGTATAATAATAATAAAAAAAAAGAAAAAAAAAAGAAACTACCATCAGAGTGAACAAGCAACCTACAAAATGGGAGAAAATTTTCACAACCTACTCATCTGACAAAGGGCTAATATCCAGAATCTACAATGAACTCAAACAAATTTATGAGAAAAAAACAAACAACCCCATCAAATAGTGGGCGAAGGACATGAACAGACACTTCTCAAAAGAAGACATTAATGCAGCCAAAAAACACATGAAAAAATGCTCACCATCACTGGCCATCAGAGAAATGCAAATCAAAACCACAATGAGATACCATCTCACACTAGTTAGAATGGCAATCATTAAAAAGTCATGAAACAACAGGTGCTGGAGAGGATGTGGAGAAATAGGAACACTTTTACACTGTTGGTGGGACTGTAAACTAGTTCAACCATTGTGGAAGTCAGTGTGGCAATTCCTCAGGGATCTAGAACTAGAAATACCATTTGACCCAGCTATCCCATTACTGGGTATATACCCAAAGGACTATAAATCATGCTGCTATAAAGACACATGCACACGTATGCTATTGTGGCACTATTCACAATAGCAAAGACTTGGAACCAACCCAAATGTCCAACAATGATAGACTGGATTAAGAAAATGTGGCACATATTCACCGTGGAATACTATGTAGCCATAAAAAATGATGAGTTCATGTACTTTGTAGGGACATGGATGAAATTGGAAATCATCATTCTCAGTAAACTATCGCAAGGACTAAAAACCAAACATCACATGTTCTCACTCATAGGTGGGAATTGAACAATGAGAACACATGGACACAGGAAGGGGCACATCACACTCTGGGGACTGTTGTGGGGTTGGGGGAGGGGGGAGGGATAGCACTGGGAGATATACCTAATGCTAAATGACGAGTTAATGGGTGCAGCACACCAGCATGGCACATGTATACATATGTAACTAACCTACACATTGTGCACATGTACCCTAAAACTTAAAGTATAATAATAATAAAATTAAAAAAAGAAAAAAAAAAAAGAAAATTTGCAGCCTGGCAATGCTATTTTCTAAGGAGAAATTCAAACCTGCTGCAGAAATTTGCATAAGTTACAAGGAGCCGAATGTTAATTTCCAAGACAATGGGAAAAATGTCTCCAGGGCATGTCAGAGGTCTTCATGCCAGTCCTTCCCATCACAGGTCTGGAGGGTAGGAGGAAAAAGTGGTTTTGTAGGCCAGGCTCTGGGTCCCCATGCTGTGTGCAGCCTAGGGACTTGCTACCCTGCATCCCAGCCACTCCAGCTGTGGCTGAAAGGGGCCAACATAAAGCTCAGGCTATGGATTCAGAGGGTGCAAGCCTCAAGCTTTGGCATCTTCCATATGATGTTGAGCCTGCAAGTGCACAGAAGTTAAGAATTGATGTTTGGGAGCCTCTACCTAGATTTCAGAAGATGTATGGAAATGCCTGGATGCCCAGGGAGAAGTTTGCTGAAGGGGCAGGGCTTTCATGGAGAACTTTTGCTAGGGCAGTGCAGAAGGGAAGTGTGGGGTGGGAGCTCCCACAAAGGGTCCCTCCTGAAGCAGCACCTATGTAGCTGTGAGAAGAGGGCCACCATCCTCTAGAACCCACCGCTGGTACCAATTTACTGCATTAGTCCGTTTTCATGCTGCTCATAAAGGCATACCCAAGACTCGGCAATTTACAAAAGAAAGACGTTTATTGGACTTTCAGTTCCACATGGCTGGGGAGACCTCACAATCATGGTAGAAGGCAAGGAGGAGCAAGTCACATCTTATGTGGACGGCAGCAGGCAAAAAGAGAGCTTGTACAGGGAAACTCCCATTTTTAAAAATCATCAGATTTCATGAGATCCATTCACTATCACAAGAACAGCACAGGAAAGACCTTCCCCCATGATTCAATCATCTCCCACTGAGTCTCTCCCACAACATGTGGAAATTATGGGAGCTACAAGATAAGATTTGAGTAAGGACACAGAGCCAAACCATGTCACACATACACACACAATTAACTCCTATTTATGCTAATCCAGTTCAAGTGGCCTTTCCTCAGAGGAGCTGTCCCCAATGCCCTAGTCAAGAGCAAGATACTTTATTATGTACTCTCATGTCACATGTTCATTTCCTTTATGGCCTTTAATTTAACAGCCATTTCTGAGATTCTCTTACTTAACTCCATCTCCCCTATGGAATTGTAAGGCATGGTCCTGTCCACAAAGGCAGGAGCATGATGATTTTACTCATTTTACCCTCAGCACTTTACACAGTTCCTCATATAGAGGTAGCACTTCTTAAAGGCTTGTTGAGTAAAAAATAACAAAGAAGAGTTTATAGAGAATCTTACTCTTCAGATATTTCCCAACAAGAAAACAAATGATTTAAAATATATACAGCAATTTCACATATATAATCTCCTTTTATCTGAACAATATAAAGTGAACCATGAACAATGAATTTTCACTACAAATCTTTGTCTCTTACACAAAGAAAGGTTCACACCAGTCTTCCTAGTCCATGTACTGGCCTTTTTGCCCTACACCCAAATATGCTGTATTAGTTTGGGTGCTCCAGAGAAACAGAACCAATAGGAGATATACATGCATATATACACATACTAATATAGATCTATATGGAGAGGGATTGGGGGGAGAGAAGAGAGATTTATTGGCTCATATGATTATGAATGCTGAGAAGTCCCATGATCTGCCATTTTTGCAAGCTAGAGAACAAAAAAGCTAGAGGTGTAATTCAGTCTCAGTCCAAAGGCCTGAGACCAAAAGTGCTAATGTTCAAAGGCAAGAGATAAGAAGATGGTTGTCCCATCTCAAAAAGAGGGAGTAAACTAAACTCACCCTTCCTCTACCTTTTTGTTTTATTTAGGCCCTCAGTAAGTTGGATGATGCCCACCCACACTGGGGAGGGCCACTTGTTTTATTCAAGTCACCGATTCAAATGCTCATGTCTTCCAACAACATCCTCACAGACACACCCAGAAGTAATGTTTTATCAGCTATCTGGGCATTCCTTAGTCCAATCAAGCTGACACATACAATTTGTTATTACATATGCTTTTTTTAGGAAAAAAAAAAAAAAAACCTTATGCGCTTATTGAGAAAACAGGGTTGTGGTATAGCAGTAAAAACCTATAGGACTCTTTAACCAAAAGATTAAAACAAATTACTATATCCTGATAAATCCAAATAAGAAACATCACACCAACTAGAACATTTCATGGTGATACATCCTGGAAGTCAAAAATCTTTCTGCAAGATGTTGTCATATGCTCAGACATTTTACTTGACATATGACTTATCCTTGAAGAAAATGGAGGGCATTTATCTGTGCTTATTCTGATATATCCTGATAAATTACTAGTAAAATAAAGCTTCCGTTGGCATTTGCACTTAATATCATCTTGTCCATTCTGCAATCTTTTATATCCTTAGGTTTGTGTCTACTACTTTGAGATATAAATCCATGAATAATTCCCTTTTAAGAGGCCAATTATATGAAAATTAAAAATTCAACCTGGGGATATTCTTCCCCAACAATGTTTGCAACCTGGGAGAAATGTATTCTCAGCTGCTACTTTTGCATTTGCAGCTTCCCTAGAGACAGCATCACATTGTGGAAATCGTCCCATTTTTTAAAGCCACTAAACCACAAAGGCACTTTCTTGCAAGAAAGGAAGTCACTTCTGTAAGATTTTCAATTATTTCCTTAAGGTCTTCCTAATTGCTAAGGCTTTCTCCTCAATTATGAAAAGGTTTACATCTAAGAGCTATGAGCTGTTAACATGCTGGAACATATGTGGCACACTTTCCATGCGATGCTGGCATCAGCTCCCTATTTAACAGTTGCGTATGAGCTAATCCACACTAAATAAACATGCATTTCAGGAGAATAAATTGTATACTGTTCATTTCTTTGACTATATTACTGAGTTTTATGGAATTGTCAAGCATATTTCATTACTAAAATGTAATTTCATTTTTGAAAGTGTATCTCTTCAACTTACTACTATTTGTAGTATCAAAGAACTGTATATTCTGTCAACTGTAAGCCTATCTTGTTTATCAAGGTGCTTCATAAATAATAGCCAAGTACAAAGTCCTTATCAAAAGAGAAGACATCATTAGATTGGGTTATTTTCCTCCTAAATGTTAGTACTATTTTCAACTCAATAAACATAAAACAAACACCATTAGGGTAAGATTATCTGGATCACAGATTAAAAGACCCTATTTTGATCTTACTGAAATTCCTGTTTCAGTTTGTGAGGCCAGCATCTTCAAAGTAATATCATATATTCAAAAACCGAGTCTAACTGATGTGTTTTACAATTTAGAGCTGTCATATAGTTGACAAATAAGAAAAATCACACCAACTACAACATATCCCCATGATCACAATGATACACACTGGAGGTCAAAGTCTTTCTACAAGATGTTGTCATATGCTGAGACATTTTACTTGACATATGACTTATCCTTCAAAATGGAGGGCATTCACTCTGCTTATTCTGTTGAAATTTTGTGAGATATTCTAAAATGGAATCCATTTCGTGAGATCTTCAAAAAAGACAACTTAGTCTTCCCCAATTCGTCTTTAAATAAGGCAATAGATTCTGAAATGAAATAAATATATTTCACTCTTAACTACAACATGTACAGGTTTTCTTACTATTGTGTATATACATAGCAATTTACAGGAAATATCAAAAACATCTACTCCTCCCTATTCAATAAAAATAACAATGGAATATCTCAAACAACAAATTACAATAGTTAGCAAATTAATAAGCTTCAAAAGCAATGGCGATGTGAACAAAATCACTGCAGATTCAAATCCCATATTCTTTGTGGCTCTAAAAGACAGTGAAAAGGGCAGTCCTCAGAGTGGAAAAAACTCTGAGTAGTACCTATGGTTGTCCACTTCTCGTGGAAGAAGAGATGGTCCACAGTGACTAATGGGAGGATCTGGCTAGGTAGTAAGGGTCTTAGAAAGAACAAGAATAGAAGACTAGTGACAAAAAGGTTTGGGAAAAGGTATATGAATCAATTTTACAAAATGGACACAAAGTCTACAAATATTTATGTTGTATTTGTGTGTATGCAAATGCTCATCAGAAGACAAATACCAAGCCAATGGAAAGGGTAAATCATCCTGTGGATGTCAGTCATCGGATTTTCCCTGTCACTCCAGTGTTTAATCCATGGGACCATGTAAAAGTGGTCATGGTAGCAGGAGCGGAGGCAATAGATGGGATAAAAATATGGTCTTCCAATCATCGATGATTTAGTCTCCCGATTATCATTGTTTACCATAGCTACGGAGTGTCCTTTCTGTCAAGCACAGGCAACAATGATGAGACTTCTAAAACAACTACCCAGCCATCTGCTGGCAAGATGATTAAACTCCTTTCATCATGGAGAGCGCTTGGTCTACATTGCAATAAAGAGCATTTTCTGTCAACAATGCCATCCGTGGGCTTGTTAAATGCCATTTTTGCTATGCCATTATTGTTATTCCAGTATTGACATTATTCCAGCCAGTATTGCTGCTGACTGAGAACTGCATTTTACGGCTCCTAAAAATGAGGTAATGAGTTGATACCTATATTTCCTGTTATTTTCACATATCATCACACAAAAGCCAGTGACTCCACAGAACAACAGTCTGGCTTAAGGACTTAGTTACAGCTCCAGCCTGAAGATAACACCGCGTAAAGTCAGGGTGTCCTCCTGCTGCAGAACTAGATATGATATATATTCTGAATCAGCAATCATTATGTGGTACATTTTCTTTTAGAGATAGAATTCGTGTGTCTAGCAGGAGCAACACTTCTTTTTTTTTTTTTTTTTTTTTTTTTTTTTTTTTTTTTTTGAGACGGAGTTTCGCTCTGTCTCCCAGGCTGGAGTGCAGTGGCGCGATCTCGACTCACTGCAAGCTCCGCCTCCCGGGTTCACGCCATTCTCCTGCCTCAGCCTCCCGTGTAGCTGGGACTACAGGCGCGCGCCACCATGCCCGGCTAATTTTTGTATTTTTAGTAGAGACGGGGTTTCACCGTGTTAGCCAGGATGGTCTCGATCTCCTGACCTCGTGATCCGCCCGTCTCGGCCTCCCAAAGTGCTGGGATTACAGGCGTGAGCCACCGCGCCCGGCCAACACTTCTTATCACTACATGTAATTACAAACAAAAGTTTACTTCACAAGGCGTAGCTTTGACTTTTACTGGTTTTGCAGTCTTAGTACCCCAGGGAATAATGCTTCCAGCAGGGACCAAACTATTGGTTCCACTAAGCTTGAAATCAAGACAGTCCAATGGCCATTATAAGCAGTTTAAGTCATGAACAAATAGGGGAAAAAAGGTTGCTTTGGTATATGGAGTAATCGCTCTTGAGGGGGAAGTGCATCTCCTTCCTGGCAATGCCATGTCCCAGAGTAAAAGTTCATGGGAGACTATAATAACCCAGTACAAGCAAGAATACCCTGTAGTCCTCAACGCTGAGGCTTAGAGTTATCCCAACTAACCCAGATTAAAAACAAAACGAAACAAGAAACTAAATTAGGTGCTGACGCTGGAAAAAGGAAACATGAAATAAATAGTAAGGAAGATATAAATACACCATTATATTATAGCCTCATGATCAGTTCCAAAATGAATGACAATAGGCGCTATATATTTTTCTTCTTTGCTCTTAATATATTAAATATTTGTGTTTGTATTATTAAACAATTTCTCCATTCCTTTTCCCCTTAATATTTTATATAAAGTATGTTGTCAATGACTTAACTAAGTTATACTATATCCTGTAGGATTGTGATTTAAGAGTGTAACTAAGCAGGAAAAGGAATAAACATCATTCAGAGATGATGTGGTAACTGATAGGGTTTTAGGTCTTACCTTTTGGGGAAAGGATTTCATGTATACCAAAAATAGTTGCATTATGCTAGGCAGGGGCATATTGTTGTCCTTTAGAAGGTTGTGGCAGGTGTTGGCTTAAATTTAAGAACAAGGACCTTGTCTACTTACCCATCTTTGTATCCACAATATGCCCAACTTAAGCCTGGCCCATACCTGAAACTCAATAAATATTGAAGGAACATCGATATGGAACCTATCATGGGTTGAGGCGATGGAACTCTCTATAAAATTATTGTGCAGCACATGACTGTATTTGCTTTTCCCCTCCTCAATCGCTTTTCTAAATAGACTGGTACCTATACTGATCCTCTCTCTAAAATAAAGAGTGAAATAGGGTGGTGCAGCTAGGAGCTAGCAGAGTTGTGTGCTAGTCACTTTGCTCTGAGCTTGAACCTGAAGAGCTCAGTTGTATTCTCTCCACCTTTGGACATTAAGTAGCTTCTGAAAGATGCTTGCTGGAGTGGTATGTGCCCAGTGCTCACATTTTGTCAGCTACCAAGTATCCTCCCTGGACTCTGATGCATCCTTGTACCTAAATCTCCTAGCTGAGTCTGGCCCTAGCTTCTACATCTATTCAGATTAGCCTTCCTCTACCATCCTGTTATTTATCTGACCATACCACACACTCAGTCTTCCAGAGTTGCAGCTTGCTCCTTTCCCTGGCCTTTTGAGCTCTTTCTCCCTCTGCTGACCATTCCTGCTCCCACTAGTCTTTCTCCCTTCCAATAATAGGCCCCAAGGACCCTTAGCAATATCCCCTTCTGATGGCTGGCCAAGACAGAGCAGAAAGATGAGGGCTGAGACTTAAATGTCATACAAGAGGGGAGACAAAGAAGAGGCACCAAAGAGAACTGAGAAGGAATAATTAAAAGAGAAAATGTTATAATAATCAAAGTAAGAGGAGTCTCAGTCTCTAAAGGGGAGAAAAATCAGTGGGTTAAGAAGTATGAGGAACTGGCCAAGGTAGAAAACATAGGCCATTTCTCTAGAAGCTTGGTTGTTGTTCCTAAAGGTGGAGGATAAATTCCACAACATATATACAATGGAAAGTTCATGAACTTTACTCATTACAGAGATCCTCAGAACCCATATACCTATTCCCTTATTTTCTTCTAATACATTTGGTTATCCGGTTTCTCTTTCCACATAAAATTTTAATAATCCAGAAAGGAGAACACACTGACATAGTCAATATAACATTACAATTTGACAAAAGAGAGAACTAGGGGGTGGCGGGGGGTGGGGAGGAGGAAGACAACAGATCTCAAACAGAACAATCCAGCATCAGTTAGTATGGACATAAACCACTGTAAACAACATGCCAGGAGAAACATCATTGCATTTCACCATAATACAATGCATGAAATTGTCAAAGATGAATCTTGGTTGTCAAAAAAATGCTGAACAGTGTTCCGTGGACTCAATTTTAAAGGATTATAAAGTGAAAAGATTTTTACCTAAGCCGTATTAGACGTTTTAATTCTTAAAAGGTTAGTCTTCAATTACCTAGGAAATGTGTGCACACAAAATACATCATTACCCAATGATGTTGAGCAAATGAGAGTCTACTCAACATGGCACAGGAATGGTAACCAGTTATCAAACTCAGACTAAGACCAAATCAGAACTGGATGATTTTTGAAAAAAAAAAAAAATCCATAAAATGCCTTCTGCTTATTATTGTATTCACTGCTGAATTTTCAGTTAAACCTTTTTTTCTGCATATGGTGATTTTATTCTCCACACAACTTCTACTTTTCATTGCTATTATGAAAAGCATATTCTGTATGAAATTTTTCCAGCAATGTTCTTTTATGAAACAGCCTTCATTTTCTCTGAAGTACAAGCACCAAATCCATAAATGTGAGATTCATAACTACTGATAGATAGGAAGCCCTCTGGGTTCACAGATTCCTAACTCACTGTTCTGAATGTTCACTGTCAGTACTAGCGACCTGCTCCCATCCACTGGGGCCACTCTAGGCCCTGGCCCCTAGCTGCAGGCTAGCTGCTATGACGTTTCTACCTTGAACCAGTGCCACTCATTAAAATGAGGACCATGGGAATTAACAACATATTAGAATCTACTTGAAGCCTACTTCTTCTATAGAACTAAAAGAAAAGCTTTGGAGAGAAAATTTGTATTTGGGGAAAAGAAAAATTCTTATGAAGAAAAGTGAAATTCCTCTGCTTTATTATCTGTGAAGCAATAGGTAAAAGTAAATTGATTATTGATTTTTTTATGTCTGTGCTTTCCAGAAAGGATTTATCTATCTCATATTTAAAATGCACCCAGACAGAAGAGGGGCATGCAGGTATAACACTCACTTATGATAGCCACAGCTTCTCCTTCTCTGAAGTAATCTAAAATGTGATACCTAAAGCTTTTGAGTCATTATGAAATGGCCAAACTCTCTGATACCTCTCTTTAAATACATGCAGTCTCCATTCTAGGTTGAACAGTTAAAACTAGCTGGGAGTTGCTGCTTGTAGAATGTTTGAGATGAGTCTCCAGGGTCCTAGGTGCAGCTGAAGAGGTAGCCATGGTGAACACCAGAGAAGGGCAATGCTGAAAAGGGAAAGAAGGTGAGGAAACAAGCCCGGGAGACACACTGCATCAGAGAAATGAAACCTGCTCACTGCAGAGACATAAACAGCTCCATTCATATTCTGAGTAACTGGATAAGAGGCCTTGCAACCCTGGGCCTGTTGGCTTCATCTCTGCCTTCCCCCGATTCTAATCGCTTCTGTGCCTACATAGAACTGTCCAGTAAAAATAGTATTACTGCTAACTACCTTTAACATATTGTACTTTTCAAGGTTGCCCAGCCACAGTTATTTTCTCCTGTTGCCATTTCTCAAGTGAATTACAGTGCTTTTCTTCTCTCCCTCCCTCTGTTTTTGCCTCTTCTATGTAGGGAAGATCATGGTCTCGATATTCTCTGGATAATAATGCTGCTTTCCATTAAGTACAAGGAAATAGAATTATACTTGGAAAAAAAGCACAGCTAGGTATTGAATCAATAGAACCAAAGTTTTTATCCATAATTATTTAACTGAGAAAAGCAATTGTAAACATACAAACTTAATGTCAGGTAATATTCTAGGAGGTTAGAAAGAACTTTTAGAAGGGATCCCTTTTTCGGTCTAGCAGTTAACAGGAAAAGCACAACGGTGGGAAATGGAGGGACCCTACTCATCATTAACCACATTGGGCAAACAATTTGCCTGAATTCCATAGTGAAGACCATCAACCCTGGCTTGATGAGTACAAATTCTGTTTTGTTTTATAACTTTTTTTTTTTTTTACAATGTCGTGATGCACCTGGCTCTTTTCTCCTCTTCCTAACATTCTGGCTTTAGCCCCTAATCTTCTCTGACTGAATTTATAGCAAGTCACCTTTTTTTCTGAAACAATGGGAGATAATATTTGGAAAATATTAAAACAAAAAAGAAAATGAAAATAAGAGTCACCCATATTCTCAGCATACAGAATTGGTATTCTAATCTATTTGCTTCTAGTGTTCTAATATTTCCATGTATAAACTTTTTCAATACACAATATATGAGTGAATTCTTTAAAAAATTGAAGATTGCAAATAAAACAAAAAGTTTTTTTGTAATACAAAGATAAAACTGAAGTCTCCTTTGACCATCATTCCAATATCAGTTCCAAACCTAATTTCCAAAGCGTAAGTTTGATACATATCCCTTCTAGTCCATCTTTATACTTTTATATTAAATACATTGAAATATATTTTGTGGGTGATTCTGGATATAAATGTATCATGGTAAATGTATTAATTTAAAGTTAGCCTTTTCATTAAACATTTCTCCTTGAAGCTCTTGCATTCTTTGTTAGGTTTATTCTTAGACACTATATAGATATTATTGCAATTCTAAACGAAATCCTTTCTTTTATTCTATTTTCTAATGGGTTATTGCCAGGTTGTAGGAAAGAAATTGATTCTGATATGTTGATCTTATATTCAACAATCTTGCTGTACTCTTTTATTACTTCCACGGTAGGTCTTTTCTACCTTCTTACGACCTCCAGAAAACTGGATGCCACATATGTCATCTATAGTCCTGAAAACTAGATAATTTTATGAAGTTTCTGAAAATAACAAAATTCCACTACAATGAAACTATGATGCCCCATGAGGGTCTTGATAATGGGAATTGGCCTGTCATGCTCTGCTGATTTATAGCTTGGTCAGACATTATCCACACTTGGTGGCAGCCTGTATGCCTACAAGATAATTGCACTGACTTTCTTTCTGTGGTTTTTTAATGTCCTAGCACAAAGTTAGAGTTGAAATCACTTTTCCAAGGGCCAAAGCCATGTTTACTTCTCCTCTGGTGGATTACAGTGATGAGAATGATGGTAAGCTTCTTAGGGCTAACCTGCAGGAGGTTTTGGGAGAGAGAAGTGTTCTAAGTAACTGCATTAAAAGTTAACACAGTGTCTTACTACAATTCCCAAGCAGAACAGTTAGCAAAAAAAGAAAAAAAAGATAAAAAATGAATAATTTCTGTTGAAGAAAAGTAACACCCTACAGATCAGTAATGTTTATTAAAGCTCTACAATAAAATGATTGTTCGTATATACAGATGTTCATGCCGGTCCTAATTTTCATTTGCATTGTTCCAATAAGGCCAATGGACTTTGGACATATCTACCTATACATGATGAACCTATAGTAGAATCCATCATCAGTAATGATCAACAATAAATGCTCAAGGTTTATAAATTGGCCATTATTTTATTGTATTTTCCTAGTCTATGTAGAGAAAACTACTAATAGAAATCCTGCTTGCTTTTTTTCTTCTTCCCTCCTTCCTTTTTTTCCTTTCTTTTCTTTCAGTCTTTCTTTCCAAAAGTATTTCACTCAAATAAAAGGAAGAAAACCAACACAAAAGTCATCCTCTAAATTGATAACATCTTCTTGAAGCTCTTTTATGTAGTGACTATGAATCTCCCACCTGCCCCACCTCCTAGCTAAATTTAGGGTTTACAAAAGGCTGTACTGAAATGAACAAACACCAATTTGTTAACAAATACCTTAAAGAAAATTAGTTTTTTCAAGGCACAATGGAGCCAAGCCCTCTCCAAATTCCCAAAGGCACTAGAAACATAACGACATCAGAATTCCTCTAGATTTATGCTTATAGTAACTATTTTTATGCAAGCAGGTATATAGTAAGTTGAAAATAAGTATTCTCTAAACTATAATTTTTTCATTGCAAATTATCATATAGAAGAAAATAGAAGGAAAAACTACAGGCTGGACACAGACGATCAGTCTGGAAATTGCCAAATTGGCCATAACTGAGCTGGCTTTCTCACTTTTGCTCCTACTAAAGTGGAGGAAATTCATAAGGTTTCTAAGGCTGGTGATCTAACAGTTTGAAAATTTCTAAATGGTGCCGGATTAAAATATTAAGTCCTGAAGCTGCAAATTTTATTTCCAGTAAAAAAAAAAAAAAAAACTAAAGTAAAAATAAATGATTAAGACAAAAATTAAGGAAGTGGGTGCCTCTGTGTGGTTAGTAATTACTACTCTTCCTAGGTTGTAGCCTGGCCCAGAAAGTCACCATAATACATTTTATACAATGCAACATGTATCCTTCCATTGCTAGACATAGATAAATCACAACAGACAGAAACTGACATGCTTGAAGCTGTACAGAGTTCACTTCCCAGGAACTATGTCACATTATAGCATCCTTTTTATCATAAATATGTATGACTATTATGTATCCATAAAAATTAAAAACACACTTTTTAAGAATTCAAACTAATAACAAACTATCATTCACAAAAAGAACAATTTCCATGGATCATGGTTGAAAGAAGGTAAACACAGATTTCCAAGAAGTATGTTTTAGGAAATTCTAAATATCATGCTTAGGAAGATAAATAATACATAATAGCATTCTTCCCTGCTTAAGAATCCCAAATTTCTTCCTACAAACTTAGTAACAAAAAGATATTTTCTTTCATTATACTTTCTCTCTTGTAGTTAGAAATCACAATGTCTACGTTGTCATATACAGGTCATTTCAAAAACATTTGACAACATGAAAACCTAATTAATTTAGTCTCAAGGAGAATATTAAAATATACCACGAATAGGACAGAACAATTATGTTGCTTAAGAGGAAACCTTGATGGGATGCAATGGGTTTAATTGTAAAGTGTTCTTTCACATTGAAGAGAGAGAATAATTCTTATGAGTACATTGTTACAATTTCGCAAAAAGATTTAATCATTGAAGTAAGAGACAGATCAAACATGTAATTTCCTTCTTTCTATGAGTAAAGGTTTTAAAGTACTTTAATCATTAACCCTTCATTTCTGCTATTTTTTCATGTTCAACCTATTGCTAAAATGTAATAATGAGGGAAGAGAGGAAGAGAATGAGAATAGGAACTGAGTATTCTGGCAAGCAGAGCCTTTTCTACAGAAAACATTACTGTCAAAGTCTGTTCCACTCTGAATGCAAAGAGTTGGAAATACTTAGAGGAGCGTTGCAATGCTCTTAGGAGATGACCAAGAAAGGAGAAATGTGATACATCAATGGCATGGGATACCCTTCCCAACAATGGCTTCTTTTGGCCCACAGTCTAGTGGCTGTGATAGAGACAAGAGGCAGAGAAACTCTCAGCTGACAGGGACAGGTCACTGCCAAAGCCCCACCTTCAAGCTGAAAAGCCTGAAACCCATGGCCCAAAGTGAGAACTTCTATCCCTGTTTGCCCACTCTATCCCAATTGGTTCTTTCTGAATATTGTATTTTTACTAATTGAATGCTGCCTTTTCCAAAACTACCTAAGGCCTGCCCCACCCTCCATCCTGTGCCTACAAAGACCCTAGACTCAGCCAGTAGAGAGGAGAAGTGGCTGGACATCAAAAAGAGGTGTCTTGACTTAAGAGAAGTAGCTGGACATTAGAGAGAGGCAACTTGACTTCGAAGGAGAGAGGCAGAGAGGTGACTTGACTTCAGAGGAAAGCGACCTGCCCTTCTCGTACTCTTTCCAGCTCCTCTGTCTGCTGCGAGCCACTTTCAGTGCTCAATAAAATTGTCTGCATTCACCATCCTTCAATTTGTCTGTGTGACTTCATTCTTCTTGGCCACTGGACAAGAATTCAGGATACACCAAGTGTGGGTACCCAAAAAGGCTGTCACACTGGCCCTTTACCCTCATTAGTGGAGGACAGCCACCCCACACAACAAGGCAAAGGGCCCACTGAGCTGACAACACACTGCTATCTGCGTACAGCAGAGCTGAGAGAGCATAGTAACACACCCTCTGGGGCCTTGAGGTCACAGGCACCTGCACCTGTATGCTACCACAGGGCCTGCATGGAGTTTGCTCCTGCCAACACCAAAGCAGCTGGTTCCTGCACTTGCTCACCTGCATGCTCCCTCCCACAAGGGGTAGGGTGAAGCAGGCCTGAGTAAATGGAGTTTGCTTCTGCCAGTGCTGAAGCAGCTGGCTAGCTCCTGTACTCACTCACCTATGTGTTCCCTCCCACAAGGGGTTGAGCACAGTGGGAGGAGTAAATGGGGAATCCCTGTCACCCATCCCTCGAAGCGGTCAAAAAAAAAAATATCCTGCATCAGCTGCAAGGTACAAGGCACCTTGAGCTAGCCACCATGGCATTTCTATGTAATTACTTTCAACTCACTGACAGTCATCTTGCTGATGCATGAGCAGGAAAGCATAGGAACATGGATGAGAATGTCAGGTACCTATGAACTAGGTAGTTTTCAGAGTGCCAATGGATTAAGGTGAATCCTTGTCTCCTAACTTCCTTTTGAGAAACAACCCATTGGAAGTCTCAACTGGAAAAAAAGAAAGAAAGAAAGAAAACAGGGGAGAAGGCAGAAAAAGCTGTATGATTTGAACACCTGATCATGGTCTCTGGAGCCACTTGAAAAGCTGAAATGTGGAGAAATCACATGCAAAGCCTTCTTCAGGATAGAGCAGCTGCTTGATATTGAGGCATTGGGGATGCCCTGAGACCCTGCAGACTTTGGCTTAGTCCATTTTACAAAGGACCAGAAAAAAAAAAAAAAAAAAAAAAAAAAAAACAAAAACAAACAAACAAACAAAAAAAAACCTCTTGATGAGGATTTTTGCATTACTGAAGTAAGGGAGGGTCCTAAGACCAATCGTGAGAGTTCCTGGGTCTTCTCAAACATGTGTCCTTACAATCCCTTTGCCTATGTCTGTACCAGTTTGCAGAAATGCCATATACTCAGGATGGTACATAATTATGCAGTAAATCTCCATATGTTAAGATGAATACAATTACTAAAAGGAAAAAAATCTAGAGGCAAACATTTGTCAATGTGCAGCATTTATTTTTAATCATGTCTCTTTAAAATTCTTCCAGAATTCTCCTCCTTATAAGAACTTCAGCCTATCATAAGCAAAATTTAAATTTTTTACTCTGATAAAATCAGAGCAAAGACAGCCCGGGATGCTCTAAGGACCCCATTTAGTGCAGCACATGGAAATTGAGTCCATAGTGTTTCAGTCCTTTTGAAAGTTGTTTCTCTTTTGCTTTACTTTACTTGGCTGGGAAGGAGGACAGAAGTGATATAAGCCCTTTAGAAAACAGAGAAACATGTCACCATTGTGTCAAAATTATTTAGAAGAAAAGGATGCATTATTTTTAATATATATTCACACACACTGTATGATGGCTCAAATGTCATGACTGGAGAATGTAAAGTATTGTTAATATGCTTTGGAGCTCTGCCTTGTCAGCTGCATTAATTGTAATTAACTGACAGATTGACAGCTACATATTGATGGATTGTGTGGGGAATGATCCTTTAATGTTGCCATGTATAGTGTGGATGCATATTCACAGAATAAGTAATTAGCATATTTGAGTGATCACATCTAGTCTTGTGTTTTTTCTTGTATCCATAAATACAACCAGTATAGCAAACAAACAAAAAAAAATCCTTCCACAAATTAAGAATAACTACATGAACAGCAACCATTTGTCCTGTCATTTGTATCCCTGGCTGTTTTAAAGTAGTATAACAAGTGAGTTATCTATTCTAAGAACTAAGAATACTTGACATTGAATTTTTTTTTGAGACGGAGTCTCGCTCTGTCACCCAGGCTGGAGTACAATGGCTCACTCTCGGCTCACTGCAACCTCCGCCTCCCGGGTTCAAAAGATTCTCCTGCCTCAGCCTCCCGAGTTGCTGGGATTACAGGTGCCTGCCACCATGCCTGGCTAATTTTTGGATGTTTTGTAGAGACGGGGTTTCACTAGGTTGGCCAGGCTGGCTTTGAACTCCTGACCTCAGCTGATCCACCCGCCTCGACCTCCCAAAGTGCTGGGACTACGGGTGTGAGCCACCACACTCCGCCAACACTGAATTTTAAATAGGAAGGCATTTTTATCACATACAAAAAAATATTAAATTTTTATGTACCAAGATGGACTCAGAAAGAACACATGTAATCATTTTAGTTTCTAAACTTGGCCAGGTTGGTGGATAGGAAGGAAAGGCATGGCAGTTGGAATTGCAGAACTCTGGAGTCAGGTTGACACGAGTTGTAAAATACTCCATTACTCATTAGCAATCATCTTGCACAAACTATTCACTCACCTATTCAATTTTCTCCTTACTAAAATGGGAATCATATAGCTGAAAGTTTGGATTTAAGATCAGAGAATAATGTGTATGATTTAGCATAGTGTCTGGCACACAGTAGATGCCATATAAATTATAGTTACTATTGGTAATGAAACAGAATAAAAATAAGGCCTTCTGTAACTCTTCAGAAATTAAGGATGCACACTATCACCTTTTACCAAAATTAAAATGGTATCAGTGAGCAGTCAATGCAGAATACAGTTTTAAGTCCTTTCTTTTCACAGCTATTTTCAGTTTTGTCTAGTTCTCACTCCTATTTTGCCAATTCCTAATTTTGCCTTTCTTCACCAAAGTGGTCAAGAGAAAGGATAAACACCCCATCTACAATTATCATATTCAATCTTCCTATGAAATAGGAATTGACAACTAACCACTGATTTTACCCTATTCCAGAATAAGGCTTGTGGGTTTTTCCTCATATGCCAAACCTCAACGTGGAATTAAGAAGGTGGATCTCTGACCGCTAGAGAGTGACATGGTTGGAATTAGTGCTAAAAAGTCTTTGCCATACAGTATATTGATGCATCTTCCTGTTACTCTAGAAATTTTATTAACAAGGACTTAAGCAAATCAAGGCATATTATAGATTTCTTGCTATGTTTAATTAGAAAACATTCAAAAATCCATAGTTTGCATAATCTACCTACCCTCCTGAGGCTGTTTCTTCCAGACAACACCGTAGCTGGGAATTGAAACATCTAACAACGCATACTAATGAACTATGAGATTTAGTGTTCCAGGCCAACACACAAGCAATCAAAGAATATGTCGTTTGCTTAATTGTACAGGTCATTGGGAAATGGTGAGGAGGCAGTCTTGTAGTACTCTTTTCAAGTTCCATTGCACACACTATAGATTGTCAATGCACTAATCTTCTGAGATTAGCACTTATGTAAATTTAATCAGTTTTCATTGATAGACTGCAAACCTCTTGTATGTTGCTTGTATTGTTGGATGATTTCTTTGTCTTACTTTTCCACAGCTCTGCTCTTATCTTCATGAAGCCTAGATTTTTCTAATCCAAAAACTTGCCATAGATTTAGTTACAGTTTTTTCCTTGGAAGACATGCCGCGATTCTGAGAGAGAGACAAAAAAAGGGCAAGAGAGATCCAAGCCTATTGTATTTCTTATAAAGCAGAGTACAGATGAATTAGCTGCTGCTAAATAGATGACTTATCTTATACATAGGCATTCCTCACTACCACTTCTATCTTAATTTTTGTGGAATCTCAAATCCTGACAGGTACCATAAAGTGATGGCTTTGTTCATTTTGAAGTACAGGGAGGAAACAATCTATCAACAAATACCTCACTTGACTTTTTCCATTGGTGTTTTGAATTCCAGCCATGTTATATTCTCTTATATAAAAGCAAACAGAGATGTGTGTCATCTCAGACATATTTGACAAACAAATCAGAAGGGCATGTAGTGCCTTCCCCATAGCTTTTAGGAAGCAATATCAGCCAGGCTCTTATTTAAAGTGGGGTTGACCTTCCTGATAACTAAAGCAACATAAGTTAGTGCACCTGCCATTGTCCTTGTGCAGGTTCAATTATTTCAAACCTGGAAGAACTCAAACAGATGATTCAGAGGAGGTGTGATTATTGCTCATAAAATTTGTGTTGTATTTTTCATGCCCGACAGCAGCATCTCCAAGAGAGGAAAGCACGACAATTGTTGCAAATGAAATCTCAGGACAGGCAACATGTTCATCTCACACCAGAGATTAATACATTTTGAAGTGTCCTGGAATACCTGCATGTACTTGTTGAGAGTTCTCAACAAAGCTTAAGGCCTGGAAATCCAGTGGTTGTTTGTAAAGTGATGAGGATAAAACTATTCAAGAGGTCAGCTGTCAACATCCTAGGCACCCCATCAACCAGTAGCAAATAGCCTTCTCAGAGGACAAGTTCTAAGCTTCTTTGGCTTCACTCTCTGAAACCGTACATCAGGCAATGGATGAATAATCTATCAAAATGAACATAAATCTAAAAGGAAAGGGGCTTGAGTTCTAAAACTTGTTGCAACCCATGCAATAGAGCCAAACTCTCTACTATTGTACCTCTACTTACTTTCAGAGAAGCTTGTATGAGAATTATATTAATAATCTTCTCATCACTACAGCTTGCCCATAAGGTATAGCTGTGAGGTCAAGATATGGAAGTGCTGGCTTTGCTACCCAGAAAAACAGAAGCTGAATTTGATGATCAAAAATCTAGATTGCCTTGGAGTAATAAACTTTCCTCAGTTCATTCATATATAAAGTGAAAATAATAAGGAAATATGATTTTCATAATAAGAATTCAGGGAAACAATGATTTGCTGATGGTGAAAAAACACAAGTAAATATAAATTTGATAATCATTTCTAAATTATAGGATGAATCTGGTACCCTACTGATTATTTTTAAAACCAGGAAAGCATCTTTTTGAGCAGGCTGACATTTTTCACCTCATTGATTCTCACTGCTCATTAAGACATGATCAACTGTTCATTGGCATTTCATTTCTTTTAATTCTCTTTTCTCCTCTTGCTCAGCACTTCTCTGAATTAGTGCTTCATTTTGAACTAGTAGCCACTGTAAGCCATTAGCAGCAATTCATACCCATCCCTCTCTTCTCATTTCCTAACTAAATTTCTAAACTTTGCAGTCAGCTTCTAATGCAGTAACAAGAGGTGGCCACCTGGTAGGATTACGAGAAGCCTTCACACTCCCAACTCTCTATGTGTGTGTGTACACACAAACACACACACACACACACATACGCACGCACGCAAGCATGTACCCCTCCCAGACCCAGGTTGCCACTCCTCAAGTCCCATTGTGGTCTTAGTCAGTCTACTAAAATGGAAGGTTTCCATAAAAAGGAACATAATAGGATTATTAATATACCTCCGTATGAACAAGTAAATCATTTCTCAACAGCAGGGTTTACAGAGACAGGCCAAAGGAGCCTGTTTATCTGTAGGAGTGGAAAGAGGTCAAGATGCCCAGTGTGGTGGCTCATGCCTATAATCCTAGCACTTTGGGAGGCTGAGGTGGGTGGATCGATTGAGCCCAGGAGTTTGAGACCAGCCTGAGCAACATGGTGAAACCCTGTCTCTACAAATCATATAAAAATTAGCTGAGCATGGTGGCACGCACCTGTAATCCCAGCTACTCGGGAGGCTGAGGTGGGAGAATAGTTTGAGCCTGGGAGGTGGAGGCTGCAGTGAGCTGAGATCACACCACTGCACTCCAGCTTGGGCAACAGAGTGAAACCCTGTTTTTTTGTTTTGTTTTTTTTTTAAAAAAACGGAGAAAGGAAAGGAAAGGGAATGGAAGGGGTCAAGAGCTCAACAAGTCAGTCAGAACAGGGCACTGAAGAGGGGAGCTAACACAGATCTCACAGAGGTCCCAGGTTTGCTTAGAGCTGCATGTATACACAAACACACAAAGACATGACCAAGTAAGAGTTTGGCTCCATTCTCCACCACAATCATTCTGGAGTTCTTTGTATTTGCCTCTTTCACAGCCCTAAATTAGTATTGTATTATGTGTCATTTATATGTATAGCTCTCTCATAGGATTGCAGATGCTTGAAGGCATAGACAGTGTCTTAATTTTTTAAGTATCGGCCTCAGCACTAAACACTAAAGACAGAGTTGACAGCATATCAGAATTACCTAGAGATAAATAGAAATACAAATTCCTGGATCCTTCCCCAGACCTACAGAATCAATATTTATAAAAATGTGGCCTGAGCAGATTTCTTGTAGTCTTAGGAATGATTTTGATATGCATGTGGGTTGAGGCTAATTATAATATCTGTTGAATAACGGAAATCGCTCTTCTTATATCCTTTTTGCTTACAGTCTACACTGAGGAAATGTAATCAGAGTTGCAGCATTGCACAACCCCAGGGGGTCCAACTAACATAAAATGCAATGGGGAGGGGACCCCTTCAGACTTATGTGGCACTGGTAGCCCTGGAAGACACACAAAAGCTCTGAGTGAACAAAGTCAGTGGAGGAAAATTTGCTGATGCCTCCAAGTCTTCAGTTTTTATGACTCCAAAAACTTATCGCTTCATGACTTACGAATCAAAAGAAAAAAAACTTTCCATGATAAAAAAGAAACTAGCCTCTCATTTCCAATTCTCCACTCAATAATCTCAGTCTACAGCAGGGTTGACACTGCCTTATTATCTACCAGCATAATTCTAAAGCATTGCATCTTTTGCTGCTAAGAGTGTTGAAGGTCCTAATTATCTATCTAATGGCTGCTATTTCCTTCCTAGAGGTTTACTGGGCCCTCCTCTGAGGTAACTGCAGCCCAACCCCCTTCCAAACTGCTGCTTTATGACATGTCTCTTCCAAACATTACAAAACATGCACTTTGCTCAAAGTGTTGAAGGCTTGGAAAATGGACTGCAGCTGTCATTTTGCTGGAGTAGACCAAGAGTCAACTTCCAGCTGTGGTGATGTGTTTGCAACAGTAAAAGTGGCACCAACATTCATAGAGTGCGGGACGTTGATGCGTGGAAGAATTCTGTTCTATAGCAGGATGTGTGTTCCACTGCAAATACAGGTCTTGGTTGGACATTCCAAGGAGGATGGGCCCTATGACTGCAAGACAGATTGCTTGGACTGACATGACTAGAGCCATCCCTTCATTTTTCCTCCAAATTCTCTACAGCACCACTTTTCAAACTTTCATGTGTTTACTAATTACCTACAGATCATGTTAACACACAAATTCTGACTTAATACGTCTGAGGTTAGGCCTAGGGTTAAAATTCTAACAAGTTCCCAGGGGATGCTGGTGCTGTCTCACAGCAGACCACACTTCAAGTAGTAAATACTAAAGTGCTGCATAGTTGATACACAAGGAACTCTGGTAAACCCTCTGTGGAGTTTATAACCACATTGTGCCATCTAAGTACAGAAAGCCTTTGACCCACAGTCTTCTGAAGGTAATTTCAAAAGTTGGTGAATTTAGAAAGCAACAAACAAACCAAAAACAGTTTCTCAGAGGGAAAAATTAACTTTGTCATTAACTTAACATGATTAAATTCTTTTATTATTTTTCCCATGATTAAATAAACTCTAAGGGCAGAAATTAGATAATAGCTGCAAATGGTAATTGTGATATGCCCATATTTCAATTATTTTCTCAATTGCTACTGATAACTTCAAATCTTTACTGAAACAGTATTTACTGAAACAGTATTTGCATGAAAGAATTTTAAGCTGCAAGCTAAGGTAACCAAAAAATGCTTCAGCACTCTATTCCGCAAGAATATATCCAGTACTTCTAGAAAGCCACTCTGCACACAAAAGGTTCTTCAAGGGCATTAGAGCCACTCATGGAGGAAGTGGAATAAAGTGCAGCGGGAACCATGGCTCACCAACAGCAATGCAGAGCAGAATCCATGGGCAATTTTTGGTTTGTTCTGACTGCCACTTTCAGTCTTCACTCGCCTTTGTTCCTGACTTGGTGGTCTTGTTCCCAAATCTGAATTCAACCCTGTTTTCATGACAACCTTAGAGGATATTTCTTAAAGTTGTATTTATGATTATCTAAATTTGCACTTGAGATAGGAAATGTGAAGCAGATGTGTGAGAATTTTCCTCTACAGGTGTATTTTCTCCCTTTGTTGAGAGACCACAGCACTGATCAAAGTTTAGTTAGTAGGTATGTTTCAGATCAAAATGTACCATGAATCAAAATGTAATTTTGTACCAGCAAATGAAACCCAGCTAGATATGTGTTCTAATACATTAATGTTACTTCCCTGCATAAGATGAAGTCGTTAAGCCAACAGCATACATCCTACTTCTTCTGCCATGGTCTTAGAATGGAATAAGCCCCACGTGATCTGACAGAACCACCTCAGGGGAGAGGGGTGACAGGGAGGCTAATCCATTTTGATGAACACAAGTGAAGTGGTGGGGGGTGGGCGGGTGGTTCTTACACAATGTCAATACAGTATTACACACGCACATATAGTCTGGTCAGTCAACCTCCAAACCTATCAGTCCCAGACAAATCAGGACAATTTTCCCAGCACTATCCCAATTTTAAAATAAAACTCCACATTCTATCCCCTGCCCCAGTCCTGGGGAAACTGGGCTGACTGGTCACCCTGGCCCTGAAGCCTAATTCTACTCATCTGGCCCCACTTATGCTGTGAAACATCTGCACAGTCAAGCTATGGTTCAGAAGGTGCAATCAAAGCCACATTTCCCGTAAGCCTCGTCTATCCCAAGTGTAAATATATATAAATACTCATGCAAATATTCCACTCTGGTGAAAGAACTGGAAGAAGAAGGGCAGCTGATGATATAGGCTATTCCTTTCTTTTTTCCTTTTTTATACTTGAATCATGTAACTCTAGCTTTTTAACATCCTGAGTAAGAATGCCCAATAGAGTCAAATCACGAAGTGAGATAGAGATTGGAATAGCTGATTATTATTGGAGCTGTTTCACGAAAAGCACTGAGGCACAATCCATTCTTGACATGACTTGCTTTGACTTTCTGACTTGCTCCCCCATTCCTACTTCGCCTTAAACTTTCGATAACCAGTTTTAACATGACTGAAAGCCTGAGGATTGATTTCTACACATGGCCACAGTCCATGTTACCTGCACCAAGATACCAGCTCATCTCTGGCTCTCCTAGGTGTTCAGTCTCACCTCTAGTGGCCATTAATGGTGGAATCCATCAACACCTGTAAAGGACTATTGAACCCTGACATGAGTGATTTTTCCTCTGAAAAAAAGAGGCTGTACTTGAGAAAATGATAACAAGGAGAAATAGAAGAGTAATTGAAGGTAGAAGGGGAAGGAGCATTGTGTAAGAGTTCTGGGTTTTATTTATGTGTCTGTTCTCTTGCCACATACACAGAGTCATGTTCTCCTCTCACACATTCAACTCATGTTTATTGAATCTCACGCTAGACAAAAAGTGGTACCTTTCTGTTTATGTGGTGATGGCGCGGTAGAGGGTACAGTCAGAAAAATATACCAGGGAAAACTTTTCACTATAAAAACATTAATGAGTTGGCTGAGACAAAAGAAAAGACTATAGCATTTTCATACTTATAAAGCTCCTACAAAATAATCAGGAATCCTCCTATTTAGTCCATTCTCACACTGCTAATAAAGATGCATCTGAGAGCGGGTAATTTGTAAAGGAAAGAGGTTTAATTGCTCACAGCTCCCTGTGGCTGGGAGTCTTCACAATCATGGCAAAAGAGCAAGGGACATCTTACCTGGCCACAAGCAAGAGAGAGAATGAGAGCCAAGTGAAAGGGGAAACACCTTATAAAATCATCAGATCTCGTGAGACTTATTCACTACCATGAGAACAGTATGAGAGAAACTGGCCCCATGATTCAGTTATCTCCCAGCAGGTCCCTCCCACAAGATGTGGGAATTATGGTACCTACAATTCAAGATAAGATTTGGGTGGGGACATAGCCAAACCATATCACCTCCTTTACCAAGAATCCAAAAAAACAAACAAAAAGCCTTAAACCGTATCTTCCATGTCATCTCTCTCTCCATATTCAGACCATCTGCCTGGGATACAAAGGGCCTGGGCTCTCTCTGATCCAACCACTACAGGAAATGTCTGGTCTTAACATAAATCTGAACATTCGACCTGATCTGAGACACTGTGATTTTTAATTCCATAAATATCCACATCATAAGATGACAGAAAATGATAGAAGATATAATTCTTACCAAGTAATTTTCCTCTTTAAAAACATGTCTAGTTGTTAAAAACAAATTGCTGACCTGCCCCTTTGTAGATGATTGTGTGTTGACATTAACTTGTTAAATTCCAGTGGTTAGCTCATTTTAATTTTTCTTTGAAATTGAGCATTTTTCTTGAACTCCCTTCATGCACCTATAACTTTGCACCCTTACTCTGGCTTTTCCTACAGGAGATGATGGTCATGCTAAGTTGAGCCCTAACAGATGGCTTTGTGGTGCTGTGAAGTAGCTTGGACCACTGGTCATATTTTATTCCAATCCATCCATCCCTGCTCTTCCCAGCATGCATACCTGCCCCATAACTCAGTCAGCCAAATCCTGATAAAGTCTATCCTTTTCACCCAATGTCACTGCATTCTATTCACAGAGAGCCACACATTGAAAAGAAATAATTCAGTTGAGCTTCCTTAAAAATAACTCTGAGTCTCATGGTGTTGGCCCAGCAGCTGCCTTTTTTCCATCTCAGCTGCCACTCTGATTCACTGGATTGGTCCCTGACAGCACAAGATGCCTTTGAGCTCTCCTTAGATGGCTCTAATCTTACATCAGACTAGACCAGTCCAGAGCTGCCGATTATGCCAGTGGCACCAAAGCACACTGGCTTCCTAAGGGGGCAATCCTCAGTAATACAAATTCACTATTCATTTTGAAATGATCACATTTTAGTTGAATACTAACTTGTTGCAGCAACAGAAACTCCCATTCTCCAGCAGTGACATAAAACTTGTAGAGGGTGAAGAAATTCTCATTTTTATCGACTGGCAACCTGAATACATCCCATAAGGCTGCCCTTGCTGAGAAACTATAGTAGATAAAGCAGAGCTACAGCAAGGTCCTTCTGGCACTCAAAGGAACAAACTGCCTTGACTGCTCCAGAGATATCTGCTTGACACAAAATATTACGCAATAGTAAGGCTTCTGTGTGTTTAATGATGTGTTTGTCTTGCAATGACCATTGAGAAAAGAAATAAGATATAGAAAGAAAAGGGACCCCTGCTTGGCTCTTTAAGTGCTTATTTTACAACACATAAAAAATAATGGGCACTATAATAGAAAACAAACTACCAAGACAAAATCCTAGAAATTTTAACCTTTTTGAGTATCATAAAAACTTTGATTCTGTGCTGTTTTCTAATTGTATTTAAGAGCATTCAAAAATTCACTTAAAGGTACTTGCATATTACATAAGACCTTAACATATATTCATATCCTGACTTAGTGGTGTGTGTGTGTGTGTGTGTGCACATACGTGTGCTTATTTTTGCCTTTCATATATATTCCCATCAGTGTGACCATCTCAGATCATCAACTCTGGTGAGACTGTCTCTGTAGAGCTATAGAGCTAACAACCTTAGCACCATATCTAAGACTGAAAAGCAGCTGTATACTTAATGCCTATCTTTTTTTCTTAATATTTCAGATATATTACAAAGGATATAAGCACATATAAAGCAAACAGAAGTACAGCAAAGCATTTAGTAGCCAAATGGATATATTGCTTCTAATATTAGAATTATTGCGTGATGGTCTCCCATTTATATTTTTAAACCAAAATCATACAATTATTCACTTTTTTTTAAAATTTATTTTCTTTTATTATTATAATACTTTAAGTTTTAGGGTACATGTGCACATTGTGCAGGTTAGTTACATATGTATACATGTGCCACGCTGGTGCGCTGCACCCACTAACTCGTCATCTAACATTAGGTATATCTCCCAATGCCATCCCTCCCCCCTCCCCCCACCCCACAACAGTCCCCAGAGTGTGATGTTCCCCTTCCTGTGTCCATGTGATCTCATTGTTCAATTCCCACCTATGAGTGAGAATATGCGGTGTTTGGTTTTTTGTTCTTGCGATAGTTTACTGAGAATGATGATTTCCAATTTCATCCATGTCCCTACAAAGGACATGAACTCATCATTTTTTATGGCTGCATAGTAGTCCATGGTGTATATGTGCCACATTTTCTTAATCCAGTCTATCATTGTTGGACATTTGGGTTGGTTCCAAGTCTTTGCTATTGTGAATAGTGCCACAATAAACATACGTGTGCATGTGTCTTTATAGCAGCATGATTTACAGTCCTTTGGGTATATACCCAGTAATGGGATGCCTGGGTCAAATGGTATTTCTAGTTCTAGATCCCTGAGGAATTGCCACACTGACTTCTACAATGGTTGAACTAGTTTACAGTCCCACCAACAGTGTAAAAGTGTTCCTATTTCTCCACATCCTCTCCAGCACCTGTTGTTTCCTGACTTTTTAATGATTGCCATTCTAACTGGTGTGAGATGGTATCTCATTGTGGTTTTGATTTGCATTTCTCTGATGGCCAGTGATGATGAGCATTTTTTCATGTGTCTTTTGGCTGCATGAATGTCTTCTTTTGAGAAGTGTCTGTTCATGTCCTTCACCCACTTTTTGATGGGGTTGTTTGTTTTTTTCTTGTAAATTTGTTTGAGTTCATTGTAGATTCTGGATATTAGCCCTTTGTCAGATGAGTAGGTTGCAAAAATTTTCTCCCATTTTGTAGGTTGCCTGTTCACTCTGATGGTAGTTTCTTTTGCTGTACAGAAGCTCTTTAGTTTAATTAGATCCCATTTGTCAATTTTGGCTTTTGTTGCCATTGCTTTTGGTGTTTTAGACATGAAGTCCTTGCCCGTGCCTATGTCCTGAATGGTAATGCCTAGGTTTTCTTCTAGGGTTTTTATGGTTTTAGGTCTAACGTTTAAGTCTTTAATCCATCTTGAATTGATTTTTGTATAAGGTGTAAGGAAGGGAACCAGTTTCAGCTTTCTGCATATGGCTAGCCAGTTTTCCCAGCACCATTTATTAAATAGGGAATCCTTTCCCCATTGCTTGTTTTTCTCAGGTTTGTCAAAGATCAGATAGTTGTAGATATGTGGCATTATTTCTGAGGGCTCTGTTCTGTTCCATTGATCTATATCTCTGTTTTGGTACCAGTACCATGCTGTTTTGGTTACTGTAGCCTTGTAGTATAGTTTGAAGTCAGGTAGTGTGATGCCTCCAGCTTTGTTCTTTTGGCTTAGGATTGACTTGGTGATGCGGGCTCTTTTTTGGTTCCATATGAACTTTAAAGTAGTTTTTTTCCAATTCTGTGAAGAAAGTCATTGGTAGCTTGATGGGGATGGCATTGAATCTGTAAATTACCTTGGGCAGTATGGCCATTTTCATGATATTGATTCTTCCTACCCATGAGCATGGAATGTTCTTCCATTTGTTTGTATCCTCTTTTATTTCATTGAGCAGTGGTTTGTAGTTCTCCTTGAAGAGGTCCTTCACATCCCTTGTTAAGTTGGTTTCCTAGGTATTTTATTCTCTTTGAAGCAATTGTGAATGGGAGTTCACTCATGATTTGGCTCTCTGTTTGTCTGTTGTTGGTGTATAAGAATGCTTGTGATTTTTGTACATTGATTTTGTATCCTGAGACTTTGCTAAAGTTGCTTATCAGCTTAAGGAGATTTTGGGCTGAGACGATGGGGTTTTCTAGATATACAATCATGTCGTCTGCAAACAGGGACAATTTGACTTCCTCTTTTCCTAATTGAATACCCTTTATTTCCTTCTCCTGCCTGATTGGCCTGGCCAGAACTTCCAACACTATGTTGAATAGGAGCGGTGAGAGAGGGCATCCCTGTCTTGTGCCAGTTTTCAAAGAGAATGCTTCCAGTTTTTGCCCATTCAGTATGATATTGGCTGTGGGTTTGTCATAGATAGCTCTTATTATTTTGAAATACATCCCATCAATACCTAATTTATTGAGAGTTTTTAGCATGAAGCATTGTTGAATTTTGTCAAAGGCCTTTTCTGCATCTATTGAGATAATCATGCGGTTTTTGTCTTTGGCTCTGTTTATATACTGGATTACATTTATTGATTTGTGTATATTGAACCAGCCTTGCATCCCAGGGATGAAGCCCACTTGATCATGGTGGATAAGCTTTTTGATGTGCTGCTGGATTCGTTTTGCCAGTATTTTATTGAGGATTTTTGCATCAATGTTCATCAAGGATATTGGTCTAAAATTCTCTTTTTTGGTTGTGTCTCTGCCAGGCTTTGGTATCAGAATGATGCTGGCCTCATAAAATGAATTAGGGAGGATTCCCTCTTTTTCTATTGATTGGAATAGCTTCAGAAGGAATGGTACCAGTTCCTCCTTGTACCTCTGGTAGAATTCGGCTGTGAATCCATCTGGTGGTCCTGGACTCTTTTTGGTTGGTAAGCTATTGATTATTGCCACAATTTCAGATCCTGTTATTGGTCTATTCAGAGATTCAACTTCTTCCTGGTTTAGTCCTGGGAGGGTGTATGTGTCGAGGAGTTTATCCATTTCTTCTAGATTTTCTAGTTTATTTGCGTAGAGGTGTTTGTAGTATTCTCTGATGGTAGTTTGTATTTCTGTGGGATCAGTGGTGATATCCCCTTTATCATTTTTTATTGCATCTATTTGATTCTTCTCTCTCTTTTTCTTTATTAGTCTTGCTAGTGGTCTATCAATTTTGTTGATCCTTTCAAAAAACCAGCTCCTGGATTCATTAATTTTTTGAAGGGTTTTTTGTGTCTCTATTTCCTTCAGTTCTGCTCTGATTTTAGTTATTTCTTGCCTTCTGCTAGCTTTTGAATGTGTTTGTTCTTGCTTCTCTAGTTCTTTTAATTGTGATGTTAGGGTGTCAATTTTGGATCTTTCCTGCTTTCTCTTGTGGACATTTAGTGCTATAAATTTCCCTCTACACACTGCTTTGAATGCGACCCAGAGATTCTGGTATGTTGTGTCTTTGTTCTCGTTGGTTTCAAAGAACATCTTTATTTCTGCCTTCATTTCGTTATGTAACCAGTAGTCATTCAGGAGCAGGTTGTTCAGTTTCCATGGAGTTGAGCAGTTTTGAGTGAGATTCTTAATCCTGAGTTCCAGTTTGATTGCACTGTGGTCTGAGAGATAGTTTGTTATAATTTCTGTTCTTTTACATTTGCTGAGGAGAGCCTTACTTCCAAGTATGTGGTCAATTTTGGAATAGGTGTGGTGTGGTGCTGAAAAAAATGTATATTCTGTTGATTTTGGGTGGAGAGTTCTGTAGATGTCTATTAGGTCCGCTTGGTGCAGAGCTGAGTTCAATTCCTGAGTATCCTTGTTGACTTTCTGTCTTGTTGATCTGTCTAATGTTGACAGTGGGGTGTTAAAGTCTCCCATTATTATTGTGTGGGAGTCTAAGTCTCCTTGTAGGTCACTCAGGACTTGCTTTAGGAATCTGGGTACTCCTGTATTGGGTGCATATATATTTAGGATAGTTAGCTCTTCTTGTTGAATTGATCCCTTTACCATTATGTAATGGCCTTCTTTGTCTCTTTTGATCTTTATTGGTTTAAAGTCTGTTTTATCAGAGACTAGGATTGCAACCCCTGCCTTTTTTTGTTTTCCATTTGCTTGGTAGATCTTCCTCCATCCTTTTATTTTGAGCCTATGTGTGTCTCTGCACGTGAGATGGGTTTCCTGAATACAGCACACTGATGGGTCTTGACTCTTTATCCAATTTGCCAGTCTGTGTCTTTTAATTGGAGCATTTAGTCCATTTACATTTAAAGTTAATATTGTTATGTGTGAATTTGATCCTGTCATGATGATGTTAGCTGGTTATTTTGCTCATTAGTTGATGCAGTTTCTTCCTAGTCTCCATGGTCTTTACATTTTGGCATGATTTTGCAGCGGCTGGTACCGGTTGTTCCTTTCCATGTTTAGTGCTTCCTTCAGGAGCTCTTGTAGGGCAGGCCTGGTGGTGACAAAATCTCTCAGCATTTGCTTGTCTGTAAAGTATTTTATTTCTCCTTCACTTATGAAGCTTAGTTTGGCTGGATATGAAATTCTGGATTGAAAATTCTTTTCTTTAAGAATGTTGAATATTGGCCCCCACTCTCTTCTGGCTTGTAGGGTTTCTGCCGAGAGATCTGCTGTTAGTCTGATGGGCTTCCCTTTGAGGGTAACCCAACCTTTCTCTCTGGCTGCCCTTAACATTTTTTCCTTCATTTCAACTTTGGTGAATCTGACAATTATGTGTCTTGGAGTTGCTCTTCTCGAGGAGTATCTTTGTGGTGTTCTCTCTATTTCCTGAATCAGAATGTCAGCCTGCCTTGCTAGATTGGGGAAGTTCTCCTGGATAATATCCTGCAGAGTGTTTTCCAACTTGGTTCCATTCTCCCCGTCACTTTCAGGTACACCAATCAGACGTAGATTTGGTCTTTTCACATAGTCCCATATTTCTTGGAGGCTTTGCTCATTTCTTTTTATTCTTTTTTCTCTAAACTTCTCTTCTCGCTTCATTTCATTCATTTCATCTTCCATTGCTGATACCCTTTCTTCCAGTTGATCGCATCCGCTCCTGAGTCTTCCGCATTCTTCACGTAGTTCTCGAGCCTTGGTTTTCAGCTCCATCAGCTCCTTTAAGCACTTCTCTGTATTGGTTATTCTAGTTATACATTCTTCTAAATTTTTTTCAAAGTTTTCAACTTCTTTGCCTTTGGTTTGAATGTCCTCCTGTAGCTCAGAGTAATTTGATCGTCTGAAGCTTTCTCTCAGCTCGTCAAAGTCGTTCTCCATCCAGCTTTGTTCCATTGCTGGTGAGGAACTGCATTCCTTTGGAGGAGGAGAGGCGCTCTGCTTTTTAGAGTTTCCATTTTTTCTGTCTGTTTTTTCCCCATCTTTGTGGTTTTATCTACTTTTGGTGTTTGATGATGGTGATGTACAGATGGGTTTTTGGTGTGGATGTCCTTTCTGTTTGTTAGTTTTCCTTCTAACAGACAGGACCCTCAGCTGCAGGTCTGTTGGAGTACCCTGCCATGTGAGGCGTCAGTGTGCCCCTGCTGGGGGGGTGCCTCCCAGTTAGGCTGCTCGGGGTCAGGGGTCAGGGACCCACTTGAGGAGGCAGTCTGCCCATTCAGATCTCCAGCTGCGTACTGGGAGAACCACTGCTCTCTTCAAAGCTGTCAGACAGGGGCATTTAAGTCTGCAGAGGTTACTGCTGTCTTTTTGTTTGTCTGTGCCCTGCCCCCAGAGGTGGAGCCTACAGAGGCAGGCAGGCCTCCTTGAGCTGTGGTGGGCTCCACCCAGTTCGAGCTTCCTGGCTGCTTTGTTTACCTAAGCAAGCCTGGGCAATGGCTGGCGCCCCTCCCCCAGCCTCGCTGCTGCCTTGCAGTTTGATCTCAGACTGCTGTGCTAGCAATCAGCAAGACTCCGTGGGCATAGGATCCTCCAAGCCAGGTGCGGGATATAATCTTGTGGTGCGCTGTTTTTTAAGCCTGTCGGAAAAGCACAGTATTCGGGTGGGAGTGACCCGATTTTACAGGTGCTGTACATCACCCCTTTCTTTGACTAGGAAAGGGAACTCCCTGACCCCTTGCACTTCCCAAGTGAGGCAATGCCTCACCCTGCTTCGGCTTGCACATGGTGCACGCACCCACTGACCTGTGTCCACTGTCTGGCACTCCCTAGTGAGATGAACCCGGTACCTCAGATGGAAATGCAGAAATCACCCGTCTTCTGCATCGCTCACGCTGGGAGCTGTAGACTGGAGCTGTTCCTATTCGGCCATCTTGGCTTCTCCCCCTCAATTATTCACTTTAAATGTATCAGTTTTGAAACTGATTGAGAATGCTTAACATCTTTTCAGAAAGGCAGTAGAGTATAGTAGTCAGGAATATGAAGGTATGAGTCAGACAAAGAAGGGCTAGAAGTCTAGGCTGGCAACTTAGTGTAAAATGGGCAAGTTATTTAACCTCTGTGGGCCCCATTTCCCTCATCTGTAAAACGATAATACTGCCTCATAGGTGTTTTGAAGACTGAAAAAGTGAATGGCTATTTAAGCCACTTAGCATAGTGGCTGGTACAAATTACATGTTTAATAAAAATATGTTTGCAAAGTTCACTACATCTTTATAAATATTCAGTAAGATTTCAAATATGTAGCTGACATCAAAAATTATTTTATAGACACATTGATATTGACTGAGCATCTACTTATGTTCCAAGTACTATTCTAATTATGTGAATTACAAAGAATAATGCAATCTGCTTCCGTCCAATGAGGAATCACTGTAATATTCATCTACATAATGGACTCCTTGGATTATATAAAAGTACTCCTACTCAATAAAGACGATGAGAAAATACAGATGCCTGATCATATTGACATTGCCAATAAAGACAATGAGAAAATACGAATTCCTTCTCCTAACTTTCCATTCAAATACTAATGAATAGACAAGGAGGAATGAAGAATTTCAATAGCTCTAGAGACTAAGAATATTGAAGAATAATCTGCCAGATATTAGCCAAATGTGTCATGAAGTCCTGAGGCAGAAAGCAGGACCTTAATGGAATGAAGGAGATAGAGGAAGAGGTTCCATCCAACAGCTCCTACTGGATAGCTCTTCCTCTCCACTAAAGCTAGAGAAATATTCTGCCCCTATGCAAGGGCTTTCTACGGTCATCAACACCACTTCTCTTTCATTTCTATCACCCTTATTATCTCCTCCACTCTTTTTTCTTGCTGTGTGTACTATTTGTCCTAACTTTTTATCTTGAAGGAATTCTAGACTCATGTAAGAGTTGCAAAAGTAATTCAGAGAGTTCCCATATACCCTTCAACCAGCTTCCCCTAAGTGCATTGGTACAATATTATTAACTATGCTACAGACTTCATTCAGACTTCACCACTTTTTGTCTGTGAATGTCCTCTTTAAGAATCTAATTAATATTGCATTAAATTGCATCAAGTTGATACTGCAACTCATATTGCATTTAGATATCATGTCTTCTTAGCTTCCTCTAATCTATAGCTGTTCCTGTCTTTCTCTATCATGATCTTAACACTTTTGAAGAGCATCAGTCATTTTGTAGAATTTCTCTCAATTTGGGCTTGTCTGATGCTTTTTCATGATTAGATTGAGTTAGGAATGGTTGGAAAGGATACCAGAGATGTGATATGCTCTTCTCAATGAATCATATCAAGGGATACATGATATCAATATGCCTTAACTGGTGATGTTAATTTGATCACTTGGTTAAGGTGTTGTCATTTAGGTTTCTCCACTGTAAAGTTACCATTCTCCCATTTGTATTTAATAAATATTTAGTTTCAGTCTCCCTTCATCTTTATTTCTCATATTAGAAATTCTCTCTTTTTCTCTGGTACTTCCAGTTGCATTTCACATTGAAGCTCAACCATGACCTCATGACAGTCATTCCCCAGGTCACTGGGAATTTATGGAATGCACAGTGCTTCACAATAAGACAAAGGCATGCAAGTATTGTCTCACCCTTTCAACTGCAAGTTACAGAAGCCAAGAGCTCAAACCAGTTTAAGCAACAAAAGGAATCTAATAGTGGACTTTTGCAGAAATAGTAAAATATTTGGGCTCAAGTGACACCATTAAGGCTCTTTCTCTTCTTCTCTCAACTCTGCTTTTCTCTGTGTTCATTTGGACCTGCAAAGTCTCCCTCCACATGGGGTGGAAGATGACTCACCAACAGCTCTACATTCACACCCTGTCAACCTAGCATCGTGTGCACAAGGGCATTTCCATTTCTAGATATTTGTATATCAGTTTGGCAAATTGTTCTATTTGCCTACTTAACCTTTGCAGGACCACAGCTAAACCAATCCCTATGGTCTGCAGAACGGTTTACTCTGTTCATGGATTTTTATTTGATTTTCTCTGGGGTCTCTTTCCTTTTACAATGAACATGCATCAGTCTTGAAATTACACAGTAATTAATGAAATAATTACTGTAGTGGTTAAATAAAATATATTTTAAATGAGAAAAAAATGTTCATTTTAAGAACTCATCAATACTTTGAACTTCTCATCTACTGGGTCTCAGAGAGTCTCAGGAGATGTCACGAGCCTTTGAGGAGGTAAGAGACTCTATTAGGAGTACCTATTGCTGTGATCTTTTTCTACTAGGAACTAATAATGTGCCCACCACTACAAAACAGAATTCCTGAGAGGTGATGGTGAATGTCAGCACTTTTAAAAGAGCTCAGCCTGAGAGCTGAGCTCTCCTCTTATGGCTCGATTCTCGGAGACCATCATCCCTCTCTTCTATCCCAGTGTGACTACATACAAGGAAAAAAAAAAATACTAAAATCTCACTGTCTGCTTAACATTCATTTATGGGCTGAGACCACAGCTTTTTTAATAATATCCTTTGTTAAAGAGAAAGAGTAGCAACTGCCCACCAGAAAATTGAATAAAAAACTTGAGGAGCCAGAAAATCTAGGCAGCAGCTTAGATCAATCACAGACTTTTTATGACTATGACCTTGCTGGGAGGCTCATCTAGGGGGAAAATGCTTATCCAGAAGAGATGAAAAGTAGCCTGTAAGCACACAACTTAGACGATTCTGGGATACTGTACTTTAAGAACTATTGACACAATAATAATTCCTTGGGAATTCTCCTAAATAATGGCATATCCCAGCAACAGCAAAGCCAAGAAGCTATTAAGGGAGGTTGTTAACAAGCACTACCAAGGCCCAGGGAAGGCTACACATTTGCCTATGGATCCAGTAGCTTTTATTATTAAATCGAGAACAGGACAGTAGCTATGCTAGGCCCAGATATTTCAGTTCAAATTGTGTCTCCACATCAAACAAAATGCTAGAGCTTTCCTAAAGTCAGCCAGAATCCCTATAGCATCTGGTAAATTTGAATAATGCATGGATGTAAAAAGATAATTTAGACTTTAAAAACACAAACAGCATTGACTGTTAGACATTTAATATTAATTTGCTTCCCCAAAGTAAACCTACATTAAAAGAAATCAAATCTAATATAATCTCACGTTATATTTTTTGAAAGCACAGTAGTACACTATGTGGAATCATGCATAAATTTATTCATTGTTAGTAGTAGTTTTGTGCAGTTGAAACCATAACCTAGGCTTTATTTCATATCTTGTTCCATGCACACTATGGAGATGTTTTTGGATTTATGCAAACTAGTATACTTGATCCTCAGAGGCCAAACATATCTACATTATGGTTCATTCAAATTCTCCTGGCTAATTATGTAATTACTTTAATTAAGCATAATTAACTATTACTTAAAAATAACTTTAATTAAGTCACTATAATTAGCTAAAAGGGCACTGTGATTTTTAAGGGTTTCATAACAAATCTTTTGTTCTTGCATCTATCTCCTTGAGTGCAGCAGATTCCCATTACTTTATTTCTGAACTCTTTCTTGCTTTAGGTAAAGAAATGGAAGTAAGTTAATCACCATCAAAAACCAACATTGAATTAACTTGTTTTTGTTACCCTAATTATCTAGATGTTAAATTGCAAGTGGTTTCTGGAATATTGAGTTTATTGACTTTTATGAACTTAGATGAAACTCATACAGTAAATAAAACTCCAAAAGCAGAGGACAATTAAAGCACAAAACTGTTTTCTTACATAGGCGTTTAGTGGTGGTGATTTTGAGCTTTTTCTAGTAAGTACCTTAGGTAAGAAAAAGTAGAGGAATATGTCATGTACAATCATCTTCTTCCCATTCCAGAGATATTAAGTAGTCTCATAGACAAAGCGTGGGGCTTGAGAAAAAGATAATTCCAATTTCATATCCTGGCTCTTCCTTTAACTTGCTGAGTAAAGTTAGAGAAGTTCCTTTAGCTACTTCAATTTCCTTTTCCTTATTTTTTGTATTCTATTGTGAGAATTCAATGAGATAAAGTTTGCCAAGTACTTAGGACTCAGTAGACACCCTAAGAATGTTGCCTTTCCTTCCACTTTCTTCATTCTTTTTCTTTTAGATATCAGCTCAAGATCTGAGTGAAGAAACATCTGAGATGACGAAAGGACCTCAAATTTATTTATTTATTGTGTTTATTTACACACAAAAACTGTTCTCAGAAAAAAGTCAACCATCAACTATCCCAGGTTCCTCCATTTCTAACTACATTTCACTCTAACATTCTCTAGAGGAGGACTTTCTCTTAATCTAGGTCTGTGGGCCACATCAACTTTGGGGATTCTATAGATCCGCATGATTTTTTTTTGGTCATTTAAAATATTTAACTTTTAAGTTCAGGGATACATGTGCAGGTTTGGTACATAGGTGAACTTGTTTCATGAGGGTTTGTTGTACAGATTATTTCCTCACCTAGGTATTAAGCCTAGTACCCATTAGTTATTCTTCCTGATCCCCTCCCTCCTCACACCTTCTACCCTCTGATAGGCCTTGGTGTATGTTGTTCCTTTCTACGTATCCATGTGTTCTCAACATTTAGTTGCCACTTAAAAGTGAGAACATGCAGTATATGGTTTTTTGTTCCTGCATTAGTTTGCTAAGGATAATGGCCTCTGGCTCCATCCATGTCCCTGCAAAGCACATGACCTGGTTCTTTTTATGGATGCATAGTATTCCATAGTGTATATATACCACATTTTCTTTATCCAGTCTATCACTGATGGGCATTTAGGTCAATTCCATGCCTTTGTTATTGTGAACAGTGCTGCATGTGTCTTGATAATGAACATACATGTGCATGTATCTTTATAATAGAACAACTTATATTCCTTTGGGTACATACTCAGTCATGGGATTGCTGAGTCCAGTGGTATTTCTGTCTTTACACGCAATGACATACATAGGCTAAAAATGAAGAGATGGAGAAAAATCTACCAAGCAAATGCAAAACAAAAAGTAGGGGTTGCAATCCTACTTTCTGACAAAACAGACTTTAAACCAGCAAAGATCAAAAAAGACAAGATCATTACATAATGGTAAAAGTTTCAATTCAACAAGAAGATCTAATTATCCTAAATATATATGTACCCAACACAGAAACACTCAGATTGATAAAGCAAGTTCTTAGAGACCTTAAAAGAGACTTAGACTCCTACACATTAATAGTGGGAAACTTTCACACTCCACTGACAGTATTAGAGCATCAAGACAAAAAATTAACAAAGATATCAGGACCTCATCTCAGCACTGGATCAAATGGACCTTATAGATATCTACAGAACTCTCCACCCAAAAATACATGATTCATATTTAAAATTGTAAAAGTATATAGCATGTGTTCAGGGGGATAGTGTATATGACTGTGCAATCTTGGACGCACACCATTTTTCTGGGATAAGTAGATTTAATCAAATTCTCAGAGATCCATAACCATTGATCTAGAAAAGTTCAAGCTCCTTAATGCAGCCAAAAATCTCTTTGACCTCATTGCTCATAATTCCCTGCCTCGCTCTCTCACTCCAGCATCACTGAACTTCTTACAATCTTTCTACAAAACATACCACACTTGGTGTCTTCTCTGTGCTTGGACCACACAATTCCCTCTATGTGTAGTGCTTTCTCCATTTCAGCTGTCTCTAACTGGTAAGCTTTTTATCACTAATTAAGATTCATATGAAAGAAGAGTCACCTTCTCCCAGAAGAATCCCTTCGTGACATAATCCTCAATCCCAAGCACTGCAGCAAAGACCAAATTAGGCATCTCTCCTCTGAGCTGCCATGAGGGAGATATGTATAGTTCCTACACATATCTGCATATTACAGTCCTGAATACATATTCATCATTGCTTTACCAAATGTTATTACCATTGCCTGATTATGTGTCTGTTTTCCCTACCTGGCTGAACTCCCTTAGGTTAAAAGATAGGTGATTTTATAATCATCAGAGAAATGGCAAATCAAAACCACAATGAGGAGCAGCATCTCACATTAGTCAGAATGGCTATTACTAAAAAGTCAAAAAAAAAAAAAGATGCTAATAAGGCTGCAAAGAATAGGGAACATTTATACAGTTTGTAGGAATAAAAATTAGTTCAGCTACTATGGCAAGCAGTTTGAAAATTTCTCAAAGAACTTAGAACTACCATCCAACCCTGCAATCCCATTACCGGATATATATCCAAAAGAAAACAAATCGCTCTCTACATGTGCTCTCATGTTCATTGCACCACTATTCACAATAGCAAAGACATGGAATCAACCTAGGTGCCCACCATGGGCTCAATGGACTCAACAAAGAAAATGTGGTACATATACACCATGGAATACTATGTAGCCATAAAACTGAATGAAATCATGTTCTTTGGAGGTTATTATCCTAAGTGAATTACCACAGGAACAGAAAACCAAATACTACACGTTCTTTTCTTATAAGTGCGCACTAAACAATGGCTACTCATGGACATAAAGATGGGAACAAAAGACTCTGGGGACTACCCGAGGGAGGAGGGAGGAAGGGGAGCAAGGGTTGAAAAACTAACTATTGAGTACTATGCTCAGTACCTGGGTAACAGGATGATTCATACCCCAAACGTCAGCATCACACAATATACCCATATAATAAACTTGCATATGTACCCTACGACTCTAAAATAAAAGTTGAAAAAAAAAAACAAGAAGTAATTTTCATTGTTGTATGCACGTTGTCTAGTATAGTGTAGAATAGAGAAAGCACTCAAATACTTGTTAAATTAATAAATAAATGAATGGCAATATATCATAGTGGTTAAGAGCAGTTAGCTTTGGGTACACAGATATGTGGGTGCCCATCTCAGCTCTCTGTCCTACTATGTAGCTTTAGGAAAATCATCTGAGTCTCAATTTCTTCTTCAAAAATAAGAATGACAGTGCCTACACTACAGGACCGTTGGCAAGACTATAGGTGATGATGCATGCAAGGTATATGAAGTGCTTGCACATTCAGAAGTAATGGGGGTGAGGTGGAAGTGTGTATATGTGTGTACACATGTGTATGTGTAATTTCATGCTCTAACGACGAATCAAAGGCTAAAAATGTTATTTGGGGCATTGACACTTTTTCTTGTTATATCACAGAATCAATTGTCATTTCCTGGGAGATATTTAAGAAAGAACCTATATTGTCTTGTGTCATGAACAGGAATCAATGTGAAAGAGCAAGAAAAATCTGGGCTTTGAAACCAGAGCAAATAGATTTCAATCTTGAATCCACTAGTTTCTAGCTAAGAATCTAGAAAATCACTAAACTTTTCTGAACCTCAGTTCCAATTAAATAATAGCTAATTTCCATGAATTAAGTGAGATGTTGCAGAACAGATCACCCACTATCGTGTTTGCACTCAGCAGGCAATGAGTAAGTTTGATCTTCTCTCCTATCACTCCTCCTTGAACTCAATTATGAGCTCAATGGTAACCACTCTGCACTCACTCTCCATGTGCACAGCCTATCTGCGAAGGCTCAGGGAAGACATTAAAGGAGCCTGGGGCTGAGTACAAAGCCATAAATCCTGATTGACGAAAACCCAGGCTAGTCTATTCTGTCACTCTTGTTCTATCCAGGATATTAGGTGGCTGTAAGAGGATGTTTAAAGGAAGAATAATGATGAAACAGGACTCAATGAATTAGTGTATGAAAACAGAAAGGACAGGAAAGTCTATGATTTGTTTCCCATAATCTCATGATTTCCTCTCATGCAATGACCACAAAGCACATAATAGCTTTCAAATCAGTCTGTCAACTCCTTTAGGGCATATACACAACACATTCTCCTAGTTTCTTGATTCGTTGAATTCTCAGGCTTTGTTTTTTATTGTGTTTTTTTTTTTTTTTTTTTACATTTTGTGTTTTATTTTTATAGATTTAGGGGTACAAGTGCAGTTGTGTTACATGGATATTTTGCGTAGTGCTGAAGTCTGGCCTTCTAGTGTCACCATCACACTAATACTGTACATTGTACCCAATAGGTAGTATTTCATCCCTCAGCCCCCTCTCCTCCTCCCATCTTTTGGAGTCTCTGATGTCTATTATTCCACTCTGTATGTCCATGTATACCAATTGGTTAGCTCCCACTCATAAGCGAGAACATGTGGTTTTTAAGACTTAGTTTCAAATGAACTTAGCTTCAAAAGCTCTTTGAAACATTCTTCCACTTCAAGTTTTAACAAGTGAACTTTAATTCTGTTTGTAAATTATGAGAATACAATCTCTTGTTTCTTCATCATAAATTCTTCTTCCTTCTTTTTACAAATAGTGGCCAAGCAAAGAAAAACAACGTCAAAGAGCAACATGTCTGTTAAGGACATTCTCACCCTGACAGTTTCTTTTACTGCCAGCCGCTTTGCTCAGTGTTGGAGTGTGAATCACGGAGTACTCCACGCCAAAAATGCCTGATCACTGTCTCTGCCTAGGTCTCTTTCCCTGTGTCTGCTTTTCTACTCTGGTAAAAATGTGCTGGACAAACACAACTACTCCCTCATTTACTCTCCAAAAAAATTTTTTTTAATGTGGCCCTGGAGATAAAATGGCAAGCAAAAGCAGATTCAATATCTGCTATTCAGTAGCTCATAGTCTAGTAGAGAAGACAGAGGTTAACCAAAGAATGACATTAATAAGAGTGTTTTAATTTAAATTTGATGTCATTTTGTCCATGGAAAAGAGAAACTGAGTGCTTGGGCTAGTATTACATGCCTCAGCCTCAGTCATTGTTGAGAAGCAGAATGAAGAAAAAGAAGACTCAACATGCTATCAACTTATGAAGGCTAATTCTATGCATCAACTTGGTCAGGCTCTATGGTACTCAGGTATCTGATCAAACATTAATCTAGGTGTTGCTGCGAAAGTGTTCTTTAGATGTGATTAACATTTAATATCACTGACTTTAAGTAAAACAGAAAACCATCTGTAATATGGGTGAGACTCTTCCAATCAGTTGAAGTTATTAAGAGAAAAGACTGAGGTTTTCCAAAGAAGAAGGAATTCTGTCTCCAAACTGCAACATAGAAATCTTGCCTGAATTTCCAGCCTGCTGGTCTGGTCTGCAGATTTCAGACTCAAGACTTTGACATCAACTCTTGCCTAAATTTTCAACCTACTCTCCTGCACTAAAAGTTTTAGACTTGCCAGTTCCTGCAATTACAAGAGCCAATTCAAAAGGACTGCTTTTTTGGAGAGCCTCGACAAATACACTACCCTTTGCCACAACATGCACACATGCACACCCCCACACAAATGCACACACATCCAGCCTGGGCTACAAACCAAAAGCCCAAAGCCTAAACATCAAGATGCTGTCTCTGCAGTGGTGACTCAAACCTGATCACAGAAACTAATTTTGACGTCTTCCAATGCTGGATATCAAACCAACCCAGGAAAGCATCATGGCCTAAGTAACTCTACTAAGTGGAAAATTTCCTATTGTCTCAGAGGTTCAGCTGAAACCCTAAAGCTGTTAATGGTAACATATAGTTTCAAACATCTAGAAGGAGAATATTAAATGTTCCCAACATGAAGAAATGATAAATGTTTGAGATGGTGAATACAATTACCCTAATCTGATCACTATACATTATATGTGTTAAAACATCACCAAGTACCCCATAAATATGTACAATTATTATTTGCCAATTAAAAAAAATATAAAATTATACAACTTTTAAAGGGTGAAAAAGAGATGAAGAAATAGTATTTCTAATAAATAAGTACATCTTTAAAATTTTTTTGTGACGTCATCTCACAGAAGGCAGCTCTGCCAGATCACAGTACCCCAGTTGAATAAACCTTTGTCCTTTTCCTCCAAGTTGCGGCTCCCCTTTCACTCTGACCCTAAAGGACCCAGAAACAGCAGAATGAGTGGGGTGGGATTAGGACAAAGATGCTTGCCCCACTCCCCATTGCAGGCTTCTGAGCCTGGGAAGAGAAGAAGCTTTAAATTAGACAAATAGGACTGGACTTATAAATACACAACAGGAAGCTCACTGAAGAAGTTACGGATTTGCTGCATACTCAAAGAAATGTTGAGTATGTAGCAAGATTCTATGCTGAAAGGATAGTCTTTCCCTCTTTGTGTCAAACTTTGCTCCACAAAAGTGCAGCTTCATTTGCTATTTCCTCTACTCAGCATGTGCCCCAAATTTCCATCTTACTCAATTTTTCTAGACCAAATGATTTCCAGTTATAATTCTGTCTTACCCTAACATAATTTTAAGGCATACTTAAATAAAATATACTACCATTTGGAAGTACAGATAAAAACTCATTTTTCTGCATGCTAATAATTATGTCTGAATAACTAGAACCAGTAATAGAGGAAATAGTTTTAATATCTTTTAACCAGGAAACAGGAAAGAAAAATGTGCAGAAATCATTTACTAATGCTTTAATCTAACACATTACCTGTATTTAATGAATAAAAATTCCTATGAACACTTTCCTAACAGCCTAAGACTTAAAGCCAATCAGAAAAATAAATATAGCTACACATCCACACAAATTAATAAGCAATGGTTGTTCTTGTATTATTCATGCAACAACAACAGAATAGAGAGAGAGAGAAAGAGAATGCTATCAGAGCAGACTGTCTTGTACCAGGAGAAATTCGGAGTTCTAAAAACACGAAGATATTCAAAATAATGGTAAAATGAGTAGAAAAGGTAAATTTGGGTAATAAGCAGCTATTCTTCTAATTAAAACACAGTAATAAAAATTCTTTTTATAGCCCTTTAAATATTTTCATTTAAAGAGTAAAGGGCAATGAACCAGATACTCTAATAATCCTGGCTCTTCCATTTACTAGTTAGAACACTTTAGACTAGCTACTTAATCTCTTAGGGTCACCATTTTACTCATCTATAAAAGAAAATAAAATGGGTGGACTAGATCACACAATCTTTAAAATTCCGTCTAAATATAATATTCGATAAGTCAATTTCATACCTTACCCTCCCACCTTCTTAAAGTTGCATCCTATTTCTCTTATTCCACCTCCTCTTCCTATGGTAAAGGATGTTACGTGATGACAGAGATAGGAAGCAAGAAGGCTTGCAAAGAATGTAAATGGAATCTCAACATCAACTGTATCCTGATTGTACTGGTTTGTGCTCTTTTGTTATTTTTGCCAGTCTTCATTTTATGGGGCACCCTGCCGGAAAATAAACTTGCTTGGTTTTTCTCCTTTGGACTAGTTAGAGTGGAGGTACTAGAAAGTCTCCAGTGGTCACTGTTACAGAGCAGATCTCCTCTGATGCACTAAGGGGAGCTTGCCCCTGGAGGGTGAATATAGGGCTCTTTAGATTTAAGATACAGTTGTTCCTAGGATGGTAGATAGAAAACAAAGGACAATCAGACCCATTTTTCCTGCAGTTTGAGAAGAGAAATCTATAAATTAAATACAATTTTAAATATGATCTGGATGTGTTTGTCTAATTTTAAATCTTGACAAGCTGATTCTAAAATGTGTGTTAAAACACAAAGAAACAATTTTGAAGAGAAGAAAAGAGGAGTCACTCTATCTTGTAGCAGGTGTTATTATAAATAAAACTATTTGAAGACAGCAAGATATTGAAACAGAGAATAGAAGCCCAGAAACAGATGTTTCCACATTTGGTACCTTGATATATGAAAGAAATATCATTGGAGATCAGCCAAGAAAACATGGACAATTCAATAAATGGTGCTCAGATAACTGGTTAGCATATGGGAAAAAAGTTGGACTCCTTTCTCACATCATGAATGAAAATAAATTCCAGGGGCTTTAAGGACATAAAAATTAGCATTAAACTTTAGAACATTTAGGTGGGAAAAATAATAGAATATTGCTTTTCAAAACACCAAAAACTGAATCATAAAGAAAAAGATCAATAAGTTAGGCTACACTGCAATTAGGAATTTCTGCATATCAAATGGCAATATTAAAAGAAAAAAAGTCAAAACATAAATATCTGGCTGAAAGAAGACTGTAACCAACTCAGCCTCGAAGAGATCAATATCTACAATGAGCAAGCCAATAGAAAAACATGGGCATTGCCAGGTGCGGTCATTTATGCCTGTAATCCCAGCACTTTGGGAAGCTAAAATAGGAAGATCATTAGAGCCCAGGAGTTCAAGGCTGCAGTGAGCTATGATCGTGCCACTACACTCCAGCCTAGTTGACAGAGTGAGACCCTGTTTCAGAGTGAGAGAGAGAGAGGGGAAAGGAAGGGAGGAAAGGAGGAAGGGAAGGAAGGGAAGGGAGGGAAGGGAGGAAGGGAAGGAAGGGAAGAAAGAGAAGGAAGAGAAGGAAGAGAAGGAAAGGAAGGAAGGGAAGGAAGGGAAAGAAGAAAGGAAGGAAGAAAGGAAGGGAGAAAGGAAGGGAGAAAGAAAGAAATATGGGCATGATATTAAAAGGTAATTCATAAAAGGGAAAACTCAAATAATCAATAAATATATGAAAAGATGTTCAACCTCACTAGAAATCAGGGAAGTGTATAAAAAACTAAAACAAGTTGCCATTTTATACCCATCCAATATTATCAAGTGCCGAGAAGACCATGGCACAATAGGAACTCATACCCTATTCTTAGGAGTAAAATCAGTACACTCACGCCTCAGAGCAATTTCACAATACCTAATGATTTTGGATATGCACAGATCCTTTTTACCTAAAAAAATCGTGAAAGCAGAAAAGGTCTGAAATTCAGAGAAAACAATGAATTCGTTTTGGCTGGTGCTCATGTGAAGATGCATCAGATGAAATAAAATTTGTGGTTTGGCACGAGATGCTCTTTAATCTGGCTGCAGGCTGTATTTCCTACTCAAATGCTGTTTCATAGGCAATGAGGATCACTTGAAGACTGATAACCATGAGAACAGCAAACTCAGAGCAGAGCTTTGGGAATTCAAACTTAGGACAACAAAGAGACCTCCGAATGATTTTAAACTGAAGAGTGACATGGTCCATTATGCATTTAGAAAGATCACTCGGGCAGGAAATGGGCATTCTGTTTTTGTGTATTTGCTGCCAAACAGAAGTGATCCTCAATAACAGGGCAGGGAAAGGGCAAAGGGACAAATGACCAGCAGAAAACAAGAGGTGGATGGACCACACTAGAAGAAGGTAAATTCTGAGATTTTTTCCATATGAAAAGTTTGTCTGACACAGACCATATCACTGGAGAAATTTATTGGTGAATATGAAGAAGAGGAGCTGCTGTGGGACTCAGATACTGCTGCAATTTTTTACTTTAACAAAACTTTCCCTTTATGATAAAGCTTCTTCCTTTTTGTCAACGGGCATGTTTGATATAAGAATTATGTAAGTAAAAATGTTTGCCTTGTTATTACTTAGATATTTTTCACAGTCCAGATGTCTGCATAGCTCCTAAGAGAAGAACCCATAGGAAAAATGCATCAGCGCCTGAGAAATGTGAATGCAATAAAAGTAATATATATCTACCCCAATCGCACCTTGCAAAGGAATCAAGCTCCTTTGATTCATTATGACTTAATAATATTCTTTACAGAGATCTGTAACCAAAATAAATTTTCAGAGTCCAATGCCCATAATAGTGAAAGATTGTTTATTATAGATAATTGCTTATTAAGATAAAGCATTATGGAATTTATTATGTTGAGAAGAATAATATCACATTTTTATTTTCTTTTAAAAACAAAAAGCCTCAGTATATATAAATGTGGCATGTCAGAATTAATTCAATTATATTAACTTTGAGAACAGTCCTATAGTGACTGTCAGGTTCACATCACTATTTTTCACACTGTGCTTTTTTTTTTTTTTTTGCTTCTTTTCTTGCAATATCTGAAACTGAAAGAACATTTGAAAAATTTCATCAAAGTTTATCATTAAAAAACTACTTATCTCATTTATTAAAATCCTGTTGCCTAATTTCTACATAATACCAGAAGATAAAACTGATTTTCTTCTCAAATTTACTATTGAGAAACATATAAAAGTCACCAACTTTTGTATGAACATTTAAGAAATTACATTCACTCTAAGCAAAACATGACTGGTCACACTAAAATGGTGTTTTAGTCTAAAATTATTAGTTTCAGTTTAATACCACTAATTTTTAGTATTTTAATACTATATTATTTGACAAGTTTTGTGTTTATTTCCTTACAATAAGAACTTTCAAACCAGGAAAATATCATGTAAGTTAGCATCATGAATTTGAGGTGCTGATTTGAATATGCAGTCTATGTGCTTGCTTTTTCTTTTCTCTCCCCATCCCCCTGCCCCCTGTGCTCCCCCCTGAAATGGCAATGGTTAGGCCTTCGTGGCAACCAAACACAGATGCTAGATTGCTGAATGGACTCTCTACTTTCAAAAGATGTTCTTTTCAACGATATATAAAGCTACAGAACTAAAAAAAAAAAAACTAAAGAACTAATGTAAAATTACTTCCTCCAAACACAGAAAGGGCTGCGTTTGGATACTTTCAACATGTTGTCCAAATCCACTTCTCACAGAATGAACAAGGTAGGAAAATGGAGCACACATGGGGGATCATCGGTCCAGTTCCACGGATAATCACTGGCACCGCCATTGTTATCACCATAAAATATATAGAATGCTGGCATTACTAAGGAACATGAAGAAAAGGCTAAATTTTTGCATCAATTTTGTAACATTTTTCTGTTATTCTCTTTGACCTATAACCAGCTTGTTTCAGCTGCTATTATAACGGGAAAAGAAAAACACTCATGCCCCATATGAATGTAGGAGTACCTATTCTTTCCTTTTCTTTCCTTTCCAAGTGTCTCCTGATTACCCACTTTAGAAAAATCACAGGATGGCTTATTCAGACAGATATTTTTCCACAAAACTATCCTCTACTGAAACCTCTAGTAAAAAGGCAAGTATCAATATGAGAATCACATTTAAATGTATCTTAAGAGTTCATCAAAAAAATGAATTAGTAAGACCACTATTACCTTCCAAAATTGCTAACATAATTCCATGAAAGAATGGGATTTCATTTAGGCTTTCTAATATCTAACCATGAAATCTGACCCATCTGTATCATTTTTATTAGAAAACATAACTTACACAGCAAAGGATCACATCTCTGGAAATGGAAGTAACTATGTAACTAAATTGTTACTATACTTAGAACTCCATTTTCTGCAGAGAAAAAAACACTCTCATGAATATTTTTAAAAAATTATTTTATCTGATATTCTCAGTTACCTTCCAGGTAAAAGAAAAACACAAAATTTTGGCCTTTGAGTACCAAATAAAGAACATTAATGGTTAATTTTCTGAGTTTTTGTACTTACTAAAGATCTTATCATTATTATGTTAATTAATATGTAAATGTTATATTAATTCACACTTATCTATAGGCTACCACTAATAGAGAATTTTTACAAACTAAGGATTTATAAAGCCTTTAGGTAAACTCATTCTGTGCCTTCTGTATTTTCGAAGAAAAGGACCTTTGGCTAGAACTTTTGCTCTGTGTAGGAAATAATTGCTCATTGTTAATTGCTAATGGATAAAGAAGTGTACCTGAGTTGTATCTTTTACCTGAGAGCCACGTCTCCATGTGAGTTGCACCTGAGAGCCATGCTTGGCTCGCCATCCTAAGCTAGATGCTGATAACAGCCTCCATTTCCTATAGTTATGTTTAGCTCCTTTCATCTTGCATCCCTAAAAATCTCCTTTAGGATAAAAAAAGCTATGATTTGTCTCTTTTTAGAAGTAATTCATGACTCTAATTTAATATATTTAAACTGAGAGCAAAACATTCCTATGATGCACTAGGTTCCGAGCCAGCCCTTGCCCTCAAGAGGATGTTTAAAGCAGCTTCATAATGCTATGAATTAATTCTAGCACACTGTCAAGAAGAAACAAATAATTAAGTACCCACTGAAGCCAAACAAATACTCTAATATCAATACAGCACATAAAACAGCACAACTTGTCAGGTAATTTAGCATTTTGGAATTCTTTCAATATAACAGTAATAGCCCCAATTCTCAAGGTAATCTGCAAATTTTATCTTGTATTGAAATGCAATTCCTTTTAAACGTTGAATCCTGCACATTTTAACGTCAGTTATTTTATAGCCTCATACATATTCCCATTTGTTCTGCTGTCAGAACCGAGCTAGAGTTAGGAGCAAAGACCAAAGAAATCCAGGTAGAGTATTCTCTTCACCTCCAGAAAGGTCCCTAACTAAACCAATTAAACATTCATAAAGAACTAAAATTATAAGAGCAAACAACAGTGGGATTTTACTGATTTATGACAACTGCAACTAAAGATGAGTAGAGGCAGGAATGGTAAGAGGTAGTCTGAAATTTTTTGGTCTCTCTTTTTTACTGAGTTAACCCTAATGTGTAGGACAATGTTTACACATAGTGGGCCCTTGTTGAGTGAACGGGAGAATGAATATGTTTGAGTCTTACACTGGTTCCAACTGTACAATTAGTTTGCAATAGCTTTTCTTATCTTGAAAATAAAATAAATTAAATGTATCCTCCTTCCATGGGATACCTTCGGCAATTTAGGACCCAAAACAACCTCTCTATCCTCTTTGCCAGCCTTGTCCCTGCCTTTAACTCAGTTATTAGGTTTGGCATATGTATAATGCCTGGGTGAATTTACATGCTTTATTAGAGAAGCCCTAGCTGCCGTGACTAATAAAACCAAGAATTTCCAAGACCCAACATAATTAAAATTTCTTTCTTGTTCATCAAATAATACTGAGCAGGAGAACAGGAGAGGTAGCCCTTCCATGAAGCCACAGAAACCCAGGATTACATGAATTCTGCCATCTTCACCACAAAGCCTGCTAGTTCATCCCAGTGTTATCCTCATACCAACCAACTGTTAGAAAACAGAGCCTGGGGAAGAGTAGGTAGAAGGCTTTTATGAGCCAGAATTGAAAGTGATGTGCAGCACTTCAAATCACATTCCATTTGCTACAATCCAATCAATGGCTGCATCTAATTGCAAGGGGATCCTGGAAAATGTGGTCCCTAGCTGAACAACCACTTACTACCAACAGCTCTACAACATGTAAGGTGAGGGGTACAGGGAGGCACAAATACTTTGTTTGGCAGCTCAATGTCTTCATCACATGTTTTCTCATCGGAGACATGGCATTCCAAGGAAGCTTGGGACCACAGCTGGCTGCTGCCCGACGCTGCCAATCTCAGGCTACCTAAAAGTTACCTTTGAGACACATATTGAAAGGGATGCAAAGATCACTGAAGAATATATTTTGTGTGCTTTTTTTCTGTTTTTTCTAAGTAATTTTGAAAATAAATGTTATTTGTGACATCACCTGGGAGCCATCCAAGTGTTACAATTCAATTGACAATACAAGTTGCCCGTTCTGTGTGACTACTAGTTCAAATGCCTAGGAAACTAGAAACTGATGGTAGAAATCAGTAATCTCCTGGAGTGGAATATAATTTTGATAGCATTTGTAGTTTAAATCCGTGAAAAAATAGGTCCAGAACTGTGTTTAATATAGCCATGAATCTCCTTAGAAGAGCTGTGTGTCATAAACATGATCTTATTCATTTTCTTCAAAAAAAAAATTCTGATCCATAGTCACAGTAGAAACGCATAGTTCTGGAAGTCGAATTTAAAGAGTTTTACATAGACTTTTTTTTAAAGGTTTTAATGACAACATCCTCTGCAACCTGATCTTGTTACTGGCAGTTCCAAGACGACTGAACGGACCTAATGAAACAACTTGAACTCTTTCAAAGCGGTCAGTAATCCAGAGGAAACACACTAGTTAGAAATAATTAGTGCCTAAGCTCTTTCAAAAAGACTAAATAGAGCACTAGGTCTTAACCTTCCAAGTGGAAGTTGTAACTAATTCTGTCTATGTTTAATGAAAATCATTTCTCACAGAAAAAGCTACCGAAATTACACAGCTGCCTCTTCCATGGAACAAAGCAGAAAAACAATGTAAGTTGTCAGAGAGGCAGCCTGGGGTACAATATTTGTCATGGTAAGTGGTAAAAGTATTAATAACTAAGATTTAACCTTTCCTAGGAACAGACTGAAAGCTGTCATCATTGAAACTTCTAAGTCATACCACATCTCTCATATTAGACAGAATGAAAAAATACAGGAAACTTCACACTTCTCCATACAACACACACCACTAACTGCCTCTACAGTATCTTCTACTACCCACTCACCTGAATTACATGCATGTCCCTACAAAGCACTTGTCTCTCTGAAATTCACAACAAGAAATCTACATATGAACTCTAACTTTATATGAATTTCCTTAAACAGTAATTTGGTTGAGTATAATTAAGGGCACCAAGATTGGAAAAAGAAAAAAGTCTGCTCACAGAGCTGGCAGTGTTACACATAGCAACTTGATCCAACTTAGCTTGTGATCAATAGTGGTGCTTGGGGGTAAAGAGAAAATAGACTGAGCATATCAATTAAAAATTGGTCTGGAGTAACAGGAGCCACTTCAGATGAACTTTGACTACAGCTGAAAAATGTGATGTCCTAAAAGGCCAAAACAGTTTCTCGCCACCATCTACAGACTCCACCTTTACAACAGGTTTAGAAAACTCAGGGCTGGTCTGTACAAAGTATAACACTTGCCATTTTGCAGTTTCTCATTTGACAAAGAAATACGCAGGTTCTTCATAGAGATGAACTATGCAGTGAATGACAAGTACTCCCAGGCAGATATCCACGTGCAGTGTGAATTTATTTTCACCTGAGAGGCTGCTCCACCACGTGCCGCAACTGAGTTTCTTGGGTAATCTCTCAGGGACTCTCCAACCAGCCACTCAGCAACCGTGTCTGCCCCTTTCAACATAACACATTATGGTAACAACAGAAGCTGATCCCCGTAAGATAGCAGCAATATAAACTTGAAAACCTGTTTCTCCTCTCTGTATTTACAATTTTGTTCCCTGGGCTAGCATGGCATGACACTTATTCTTGTTAGCCTCTCAGGGAAAAAAAATTCATCTTATAATCTTGCTATGCTCTGTTTTTCATTTTATATATAAACATTATGTGCAGTCAGCTCTGAGGAGCGGGCAGAATATAAGCAAGAACATATTCTTGCTCCAGATAACTCAATGCTACTTTGATTGGAACTTTAATTTTCTCGTGTGAAGTATTATTAAATATTCTCCATAAACTAATTATTGAAACCAGCAATCTTAGTAAGGTAATTCAGTATCCTTGTTCCTCTAAAAAACCACCACACAATAGATATATGATACTTCACACATAAACTCTAATTACACTAATTGCAATGCAGGGGGGAAACAAGCTTTGTTTTGTAGATGCCTAATAAAATTGAGCATTGGAGCATTCCAAATGAACATATTAGGCACTGATTAAGCAACAAGTCTCCTTGTCAGGTTATTTACAGAAACTAAGAGAAACAACCGTCCTCCTATAGTTCCTTTGGCCATAATTCTCCTACATAGCCCCAAACATTTAATGACTAAAGTTAAAATCTAAAGTGGGGGGATACAGCAGAACAAATGGATGTTTATATTCATGGGCCAAACTAATTTTATTTACCTTTGACAAGACTAATTAAATTAGGTCACTATTTTATATCATGAGGCATCTTACCCTTCTATATTAAGACAGACTTGGGCTGAGTTAGGGAGAAGTACAAGAAGGACATCAGTGGTTCTTTATAAGCTGGCTCCAAGAAAGCTACAAAATATTGAAAGATGCATATAACCCTGAAAGTAGTAAGGTATTATCTACAGAAAGAGAGAGAATATAGAAAAGGAAAATGAAAGAAAATAAAGGATGACATATAACAGTAGTGTGGCTGATGATGATCCTGTGACTATTTTCAAATCTTATTTTCAGGTGACAGTCTTATCACTTATGCTATGATTACACATCAACTGAATATGAGTTATATTAGTCATAAAACTAACTAGTGAACTCACACAAGAAAATCTAAAATGCCTAGAGGTGAAGAAGAAAATTTAGTAAAGCTATTTTGTTCTCTAGTGTCAGTCTATCAGAAAAAATAAAAAATTCTGGGAAAATAATGGCCACATAGTTTTTGGATGTCTTTAAATATTTACATAAGTTAGCTAGACAATAAAGAAAAAAAATGGATAGTATTTATAACAAGCTAAGTGACAAGGGCATCCACACAAACCCCAAATAATAAAACAAGTGGAGACAATTCACCGATAACCATAAGATCTACATGGTATCAGTGTATGTGCGGAAGAAAGTAAAGGGAAACAACAGGATGTCTGAGGGCCCCAAGGACAAAAGACACCAGTAATAGCCAACAGATGTTCACTGGAAATCATGACAAGTACATTAGAAAACAGCATCTGAAACTAGGAGGGATTTTGCCCAAACTAATAGCAGGAGAGTATAAAAAAACTGCATTAGGAACTGAAGGAGCTAGAAATCTAGACTGCAGAGCAGTCTAGACTTTAAGAAACTGAAAAATGAAACTAGATCTCAATCACTCACACTTTACGAAAATCAACTCAAAAGAGAGCAAAGACCTAAATGTAAGAACCAAAACTTTAAAACTACTAGAAAAAAAAAAAAAAAGGAAAATACTTAGGACATTGCTCTGGGAAAAGATTCTATGAATAAAACCTCAGAAGCACAGGCAACAAAAGCAAAAATAAACAAATGAGATTATATCAAACTAAAAAGCTTCTGCACAGCAAAGGAAACAATCAACAGGGTGAAGAAACAGCCTACAGAATGGGAGAAAGTATTTGTAAATCATTCATTTGACAAAGGATCAACATCCAGAATATATAAGAAACCCGAACATCTTAAAAGCAAAAAATCAAGAAAGCAGGCAAGCAAGCAAGCAAGCAAGCAAGCAAGAAAATTCAATTAAAAAATTAGGAAGCAATCTGAATAGACATTTCTCAAAAGACAAATGACCAAAAAGAAAAAAAAATACTCAACATAACTAATCATCAGGGAAATGCAAACCAAAAACACAATGAGATATCATCTCATCCCAGTTAGGATGGCTGTTATTTAAAAATAATAATAATAAATTTTGGTAAGAATGTCGAGAAAAGGGAACTCATACACTGCTGTTGGGAATGTGAACAAGTATAGGCACCATAGAGAACAGTAGGGAGGTTCCTCAAAAAACTACAAATAAGGCTGGGTGCAGTGGCTTATGTCTTTAATCCCAGCACTTTGGGAGGCCTAGGTGGGTGGATCACAAGGTCAGGAGTTCAAGACCATTCTGACCAACATGGTGAAACCCCATCTCTGCTAAAAATATAAAAATTAGCCTGGCATGGTGATGCACATCTGTAATCCTAGCTACTCAGGAGACTGAGGCAGGAGAATCGCTTGAACCCAGGAGGCAGAGGTTGCAGTGAGCCAAGATCGCACCACTGCACTCCAGCCTGGGCAACAGAGCAAGACTCTGTCTCAAAAAAAAAAAAAAATGAAATAGGACTACCACATGACCCAGCAATACCATTACTGGGCATTCATCCAAAGAAAAGAAATCAGAATATCAAAAAGACCTCTGCATCCCCATTTTTATTGCAGCATTATTCATAATAGCCAAGATGTGGAATCAACCTAGGTGTCCAACAACAGATGAATGGATAAGGAAAATGTGGTATATACCCAATGGAATATTATTTAGCCATAAAAAAGAATGAAATTCTGTCATTGGTTGCAAAATGGATGGAACTGGAGGACATTATGTTAAGGGAAATAAACCAGGAACAGAAAGTTAAATATCACATGTTCTTACTCATATGTTGAAGTTAAAAAAAAAAAAAGTTGCTCTCATAGAAGAATAAAGTAGAACAGAGGATACTAGAGGCTGAGAAGGGGAAGGGGAAGAGGAAGGGAGAGAGAGGCAGAGATCTGTTAAATTATACAAAATTATAGCTAGGTAGGAGGAATAATTTCTAATGTCCTATAACACCATTGGATGACTCTAGTATTACCCTCCTATTTGAAACTATATGTTATTTTTAACTAGAGTCATCCAACAGTGTTATACGTTAAATGTTTCAGACGAAGGATACGCTTATTACTCTGATCTGATCACTATACATTATATGTATGGAAACATCCTATCCAAAAAATACGTACAATTATTATGTGTCTGATATGGTTTAGCTGTGTCCCCCCACAAATCTCACCTTGAATTGTAATAATCCCCATGTGTCAATGGCGGCGCCAGGTGGAGACAGTTGAATCATGGGGGTGGTTCCCCCATACTGCCCCCATGGCACTAAATAAGACTCATGAAATCTGATAGTTTTATAAACAGGAGTTCCCCTGCACATACCCTCTTGCCTGCTGCCGTGTAAGACATGCCTTTTCTCCTCCTTGCCTTCCACCATGATTGTGAGGCCTCCCCAGCCATGTGGAACTATGAGTCAATTAAACCTCTTTCCTTTATAATTACTCAGTCTCAGTTATGTCTTTATTAGCAGCGTGAGAACAAACTAATACAGTGTCAATTTTTAAAAAATAAAATAAAAAGTGAATAGGACAAGGAAAAGAGAGATGATGGAAAGTCAATGTCCACATGAAAGGTAAAAGGAGGACATAGATGAAGGAAGTCTCAGAAAGCAAGCCACCAGGTTTTGAACACTACTTGTCTTAGGCTGTTTGGGCTGCTGTAACATAACACTGTTAACTGGGTGGCTTATGAACAAAGAAATTTGTTTCACACAATTCTGGAGGCTGAAAAGTCCAAAATCAAGGCAGATCCAGTGTCTCATGAGGGTCTGCTTCCTGATTCATAGAAAACCATCCTCTCACTATGTCTTCACATGGTGAAAGGGGTTAGGGTACTCCTGGGACCTCTTTTCTAAGGCCACTAATCCTGTTTATGAGGGCTTCCCTTCCTAAATGATTAGGGTGACCTAATCACCTCCCAAAGGCATCATCACCTCCTATCACCTTAGGGGATAGGATTTCAACATATAAATTCTAAGGAGACACAAATGTTGTCTATAACGAAAAACGTTGTCTATAACCAAAAACGTTGTCTATAACCATTCAGAAACAACAAAAGGAGGAGTACTCTGATGTTAGAATAGCATTATTAGCAACAAGACTGTGGTTTTGAATTGCTTCTTCCTGTTAAAAGAACCAAGGGCTTCCTGGAGAAATGTCTGCTTCCATGTCTGGGCCAGAATATGTACAAGGTGAGCCTGAAATACCTTGTCAAAAAATAAATCATGACTACTAGAAACATGTCAATAGGGCAAGCCAACTTTATGAGATTTCTAATGGCCAAAGATGGAAAAATTTAGCCTCTATAAGGAAAATAATTGCCAATGGATTAAAATCAACAAATGTGAATAAATCTATTCATTAATATTTAATTATCAAAAAATAATTGATCACCTTCAGAGGATGGTAAATAAAGAGAAAGAATCAAGCATTTATTCTGCCTTTCCTATATGACTATATCATTGGGTAACCATAATAGATGAAGGAAAGTATCTGTTTATTTTTAAATTCTGGTAATAATTTTTTAAATAATAGAATATCACTATTTGGTACTGCCCTCCATTCAACGAATTGATGGATCAATATATTGGGCATTAATGTTTGCCAACAAAAACAGAGACATGTTTACATGTCTCCTATAGTCTTGCCAAAATGCCAAAATTAGTCTGATTAACCCTCTGAATGGTGCTGCCATTTTTCAGGAAATAGGAGAAAAGAACAGGATAACTTATCCAAGAATACACAGTTAACAAAATCCAAACAATAGGAATCTGACAGTTCAGATTGTCTGGGTCTTTAAATGAGTAAATTGTAAGGAAAAAAAGGGGGATAAGATGATGGGCGGAGGGAGGGGATGAGTAGATTAAAAGAAAATCTAAAAGCATCAATTTTTAAAATGGAAACAACTAAAATATAATGTATAAGGGCACACTCATGGGTGACAAAACTGAAAAAATAAAATGCAAGGATGCCATTACTATAAAAGTCAGGATGCTGTTTACTCTGATAGGAGTGATTATAACAGAAACAAGACTCACCCAGGTGCTTTTGGGGTGGCTGGCAAAGTTCTATCTCTTGGCCTGGGTGGTAATTATAAAAGTGTTTGCTTTAAGATATTCATTAGCTACAAGCAATATCAAGAAAAGGGAAAATAGAAGGAAAGAAACAACAGATTCATGGCAGTTGGAAGATGGTAGAAGCTGTGTGTAGGTTCTGTCTAAACATCAAAAAAGGCTGAATTAAGATTCTCAGACACTCACTTTTCACCTCCAGTGAAGCTCTAATTGGTACCAAGCTGAAGACAAGCAGCAGGACCTTCGTCGAAAGTGTTTTGTTTCCCTCAAATCTCTGTTGTTCAGATTCCTCGTCACAGCGTTTTTGTAGCACTTGGTTATTGTAGTCACTGTAGATCCTATGATCAAGAAATAGAAAAACTGTCCTAGGAAAACTATACTTTAAATTGACATAAAGAGAAAAATTAGCCTCAACGTTCCCTCATCTCAAGTAAAAAACAAGAAGCTGGAATTGAGTGTTCCAGAGGATTTTATCTTTTTTATTGTTTTTTTTTCTTTATATATTCCTAACTTCTGTAACAATAAAATAGCTTTGTCATGGCAATATATTGTTATATCTCCTATAACAATACATGAAAGCATAATTTAATGAAATAACAATTTTAAAGCCTGAAGCAACTGCAAATGCTTAACATAGGAGGAAGATGGGAGAGGAGGTAGCTAATTTCTTAAGTTGAATCAAAACCGTGCTATGGGCTGGGTGCTGCGGCTCACACCTGTAATCCCAGCACTTTGGGAAGCCAAGGCGAGTGGATCACGTGAGGCCAGGAGCTTGAGACCAGCCTCGCCAACATGGTGAAAGCCAGTCTCTACTAAAAATACAAAAAATTAGCCGGGGGTGGTAGTGCACACCTGTAATCCCAGCTACTCGGGAGACTAAGCCTGGAGAATCGCTTGAACCCAGGAGGTAGAGGTTGCAGTGAGCTGAGATCATGCCACTGCACTCCAGCCTGGGCGACAGAGCAAGACTCTGTCTCAAAAAAAAAAAAAAAAAAAAAAATCCTGTGGTTGCCAGCCTTCTGCTGGTGCCCATTGTGTTACCTGGGCACTAAACCTCTTATTGTAGAAGGGAGCAATGTCATGACAGCAACAAGAATGGTCTGTCTACTGTGGTGTGATGGGGTCCCATGCAGGATGTTTCACCATCCTGCCTTCCACTGTGAAGTAATCTAGACATCAGCTGGAGAAGGGAAAGAAAACGGCATCTACTTCCTATTTAAGCCATGAAGAATACATATAGAATCTTTAAAAATGTTCAGGTGGTTATTTACTGCAGGTTAAGCAATACAGAGCCTACAAGGGGAGCAGAGATCTAGGGATTCCCTGCCAAGAAGTCACAATCCTACTTATGGCATGGGGCCTGCAAGCTCCCCCTTGATGAAAAGAGACTCCCTCCTCAAGACTTTCCCCTGCCCCCCAAGTCATTCGCTCCAATCCTATGCCCCCTGTTCTCTTTTAGATGGTCTTCAGACAGGATGTTTAATCAGTCCTTTCTCCCTCTGGGTCCCTCACTGCTTAGGCAGAAGGGGTGCTCTGGATTTTCCATGGTGGTCTGGACTTGGAGGCCACCAAATACCCAAAAAACAACCAAGCAATCCTGTAGTGGGAAAGATAACCCCCTGCTGGCATACCTCCTCAATATTATTTTGCTAAAGGGGCAGCTTTTCCTTTCCTTCACTAATTACCAACCAGTGCTTTATTCTTAACATCTGGGAAAGGAGGCAGGATAGCCACAGAGCTAATGCAAGGGCAATCGGTGTGTATGTGACTTAATACCAGTTTCAAACTTATCATCTACACATTTCCAGATATAAGCCTGCCACACCACACCTTCTATGTTAAGTCAGTTGCTCAAAAATCCTAATGGAAATGTCCGGGAAAACAATGTTAAAGGAGGAGATTATAGAGGGTAAGGCTGGGTCTGCTGTGAGGTAAGGCAGGGTTGAGTTTCCAAAATCTGAGATTTAAGAGGCTTAATTTTACCTCAATACTGTGCTAATACAGACCCCGAATCTACCTGGAGACTTATGTATCCACAGACCTGCAGAGATAGGCCAGGGCTCCAGAGTGAGTTAAAGACAGAACTGGGATTAATAGCCAGGACTCCCGGATTTAGGTCTTTGGCCTAATCTTCTCAAAATTTTCCCAGTAAAAAATGCTTTCCTAACAGACTTTCTAAAAAGATGGCCAGGGGGAATGGGTGGCATTTGCTTATTCTTTCACTGAACCAATATCTTTGGAGAACCTCCTGTGTATGAAGCAAATGCAAGGTACTGGCGATATTAAGATAAATAAAGATATGGTCACAAGTCCAAGGTACCAGCAATCCTAAGAAATTGCAGGCACATGAGGATGAACATTTGTAAGTGCTAGGAGAGAGGAAGGCATGGAAGGATATGATGGGTGCATTGTAGTGGAGCACCCAAACACTTACGGGCTCAGAAGTAAAAAGAGAGCTTGCTGGAGAAAGTAAATCGTGAGCCAGATTTTTTTTTTTTTAAGTGAGAGGAAGGAAAATGGGGTATGGCAGTGAAGAGGCCAAACTCACAAGATGAAAAGGTACTTTGTATGCTCAAGACAACCTTGAGCATTTCGTATTGCTAGAGCATTCCAGCAAGATTTCAGGCTGGAAAGGAAACATGATCAAATTTGCAATATATTGCTCTAGTGGTTGTGTGGAGAAGGAACAAAACTAGAGTCCAAGAAACCATTTTACAAGGTTGGTAGTAACCCAGGCCAGATATTCTATAGGTCAGAACTATAGAAGAGCATGATGGAGAAAAGATAATAAAGGAAGACACAAAAGCAAAGGGTGAAAATCAACAGTACTATTTTTGCTCTTCTTTTCTTTGGAGCGTTCCATAAATTGAACTTAAGTGTAGAGTACATTGTATACATTTTATACTGAAGTGTATTACAGGAAAACATTCCATTAATCAATAAATGTGGAAGAGTAATTATTTTTTTAGTTAAAAGAACATGTATTTTCAAATAAAGAGGTCCCTGAAGCTTTGCTTTTACTGTGCTAACATGTTTAAATCTTGATTGTTGTCTGTAGAGTAAGGGGAATTGGATTTAAATGTTGGCTTAGACACTTTTTCAGCCTGAGTAGCAGATTCCTTATTTATGAATTTAGTCTAATTATTCTTTTATCAAAAAAAATTTAGAGATTCAAATGAGTTGGCAAACAAGAAAACAATTTCCCTGAAGGGGAGGAAATGTGTCTTATTTATCTTTATATTAACAAAAAGAAAAGCTTCTATTTGAACTTTTTCCAAGTATAGAAACAGGAAAGCATCAAAATTCTTTTTCTGAAGCAAGGAAAACTTTTATACTGCTATCTGAGATAATGATTAAGTTGATTAAGTACTATTCTAAGCATGTTTCATGAATTCCCTTTAATCCTCACAATAACAACCAGAATGTGTCAAGGCTGGGATTCAAAACCAGGTTGTCTGGTGCTGGCCTGTGAGATCTTTACCACCAAACTCACAGCCTCTTAATAATTATTTTAATGTGACTGTGAATAAAGTTGATATACAAAATGAGTAACATATATATATATAATAACAAGCAATTAGAAACTATAAAAGAAACTATAAAAAGAAAACAGTAAAAAAAGATCAAATGTGTTATAAGCTTAAAAAGAAATTTAGATGAATACTTTTAAATGCACCTGAAGAAACTAAATACCCAAATAAAAGTATAACTTGTTCTAGGGTGAAAAGAAACAATTCTCCCTATATTTATGTTTATACATATATACTCATAATGTGTATATATGCATATACATGTGTATATACGTATATATACACACGTATATAGGCGCATATACGTGTGTGTATATACGTATATACACACGTATATATGCCTATATACGTGTATATACGTATATACATACGTGTATATGTGTATATATATGTGTATATGTGTATATATACATGTATATGTGTATATACATACATGTGTTTATACATACATATACATATGTATACACAAACACATACATATGTGTATATATACATGCATGCATATGTATATGTATTCATGCATATATACATACATGCATATGTATGTGCATGTGCATGTTTATGCACGCATACATATGTGTATGTGTGTATACATATGTATATATGTATATAAATGTGTGTATACATACATATATGAATATGAAACATATATATGAATGTATGTGATCTCTAGAAAAATAGGCTTATTAACTTCTCAAGCTGATTTTTAAAACACCTGTATAAAAATAAATCAGCCAAGAAATTTTTAAATAAAAGGAATGTCTACAATATGACAGCAAAACATGTTTAAATCCACAGTAAATTTAAATCTGCAGTAATAAATTGTAAAAATACAGATCTATGGACTAACTAGAAATAAACTCAAGTACATATAGGAATTCTTTATATCAAAAAGGTGACATTTTATAAGAATGGAGGAAAACAAATTATTCACTAAATGATGTTGGGATAATTGAATAGCCATAAAGAAAACTGCAATTGAATTATCTTACCCTTTTTACAACAAAATTGCAAATAACACAAAGATTTAATTGTACAAAGAAAATACAGATAGAGATGTCTTATAATCTCACTGAAAAAAAAGACTTTTTCTTAACCTGACCCAAAAAAGAAAAACAGGCATTCTTATGAGAATCATAAATTCAACCACAATTTTTAAGAATTTAATTCATAGAAAAAAAAAAAAACACTATAATTAAAATCAAAAGACAAATGAAAAATTGGCCAAAACAAAAATATTACATATAGGTAAATGATTAATTTTCTTAATACATAAATCTTTAAATGGAAAAGAAAATATTGAATAATATCCCAAAAAAACAGTAAGCAAAAGATATGAACTATCACTAAAAAGACAGAAAAGCTGCAATAAATTTACATATATGTAGACATTTTAACATTGTCAGGAGCTCAGCTCAGCTGCCAGATGTCAGGGTAGCCAATGAAAACAATAAGCCAAAATGAAAGTTACAGTGAAGCTTTTAATTACTTCCTGCAAAGGGACTAAGCCAGAGAAAACATTGGCTCCTCCTGGCTCATTTCCTTCCATGGAACAGTGTCAGTAGAGCAACGTGGATCAGCACAGAGGAAGCCCCCAAAAAAAGTCTCCTGCAGCTTTATGGACTCAGAGCTAAAGGAGGGCAATGATGAAGTATGGAAAAGTACTGGGTACTGTAGTACTGAGTCAGAGTGGAGAAAAGTGTCTTCAAATCTCCCCATACCCCACTTGCCCAAAAGGAGATATCAACAGAGACACGTGAGGAATATCTCAGCGAAACCCCCAGATAAAGAGGCTTCTGAATGAAAGAGCCTGAGCTAGAAAGGCAGCTTTGCATAAGGGCATGGTAGGCCAAGGGTTCCTAGGTCCTTAACTGCAAGTCCTCACAGAGGCTGCTGTTCAGGGGCTATGCACTAAGTCTGTGTGGGGAGGGCAGCTTCCTCCAGGAGGCCTGCCAGGCAAAGCCTTTTAAATTGCCTATGGTCAGGTCTGAAAAATCACACAAAAGTTTTTTAGCAGGAGCCGGACTCCTCAAAGATCTATTGTATTAAGAGAAAAAATTAAGACTATCAAATTCCGTTTTTACTTACAATTTAGCAAAAATCAAAAAAGCTGAAAACCTGTGTGTGGCGTGAGTGTAGGGAAATTTGTATACTTTGTTCATAGGTGTATAAATGGTACTTTTTGTTGTAAAAAATGATCTCATGTTAAGGAAATTTGAAAATGTCTATCAAAAGTAATTATATATATACCATTTATCCAAGCAATTTTAATTCTAAAAATTTGTCTTCATGTACTTTCACATGTGTGAAAATTATTTGTCTTCTTATACTCAACGTGTGAAGATGCAAATTTTGGGGGATATTCTCTGTATTACAGATTATAATGGGGGAAAGATAGAAACAAAATAATAGTCATGATAAGAGTAGTTAATTATGATTTCTATAATTGAGTAATAAATAGCTGTCAAGAAACAGCCATATGTGTACAACAGTTCCCACTTGTCCAGTTTTGCTTTCTACAGATTCAGCTACCCATAGCCAACCATGATCTGAAAACATTACATAGAAAATTGCAGAAATAAACAATTCATAATTCTTATATCACAAAGCATTCTGAGTAGCATTGTGAAATCTTGCATGGTCCCTCTTCCACCCCGGACATGAATCATCCCTTTGTCCAGAGTACCCATGCTGTTAATGCTCCCTGCCCACTAGTCACTTAGAAACCCTCTGGGTTATCAAATCAACTGTCTTGATATTACAGTGCTTGGTTCAAGTAAGCCTTATTTTACTTAATAATGGCACCAAAGTGCAAGAGTAGGAATACCGGCTAACCGGATGTGCCGAAAAGAAGTCATAGTGCTTCCTTTCAGTAAAAAGGTGAAAGCCCTCAACTTAAGAAAAAAAATCACATGCTGCAGTTGCTAAGATACATGGTAAGAACAAATCTATGACATTGTGAAGAAAGAAAAAGAAATTTGTGCATAACACATACAGTATTCTGTACTATCCATGGTTTCAGGCATCCACTGGGAGTCTTGGAACTTACCCTAGTGGATAAGGAAAGTCAACTGTACTAGGATTGAACAATCACCACTAAATATTCTTAAGGCGAAAAGAAACAAAGTGGAGCACAGTGCATGTAATATACTGCATTGTGTAAAGAAAGGATGTTGCAGAGTGTGGTTAAGCCCAGCTCTGGTAAGACGACTCGGGTTCACTTCCAGGCTCTGCCACTTTCAAGCAGATCTTTAGCAAAGAAATTTTTTGGCTACTCAGTTTACTCACCTGTAAAGTGAGTATCATAGCAGTCTCTGGTCATAGAGCTGCTGTAGAAATTAAATAAGCCTGCTAGTTGTCTTCTTCCTGGCACACCCTTGGCCACATTTGCCAGCCTTCCTTATGGGAAGATGTGGCGTGTGAATGAATTCTGGCCGATGATTGGCAAGCCAGGCCCATAAAAGCCGCTCAGCTGCCACCTTCTATGCTATTTCTCCTTTTTCCAGCTAGATACTGATGGCCAGTGTGGTCTTGGAAGCCACATCCTAAGGATGGCAAGGCCCCCATCAGTCAGTGCACTCAACTGACTCACTGGGGTGCCAGAGCACCCCCTCATTTATAAAAATAAAATATTTTTACAATGTATTCAAACTTTTATTTTAGATACAGAGGGTACATATACAGATTTGTTAGATGGGAATATTGCATAATGTTGAGGTTTGGAGTATGGATCCCATCACTCAAGTAGTAAGCATAGTACCTAATATGTAGTTTTTTGACCCATCCCCGCCTGCACCCTTTAGAGGTACACAGTGTCAGTTGTTCCCACATTTATGTCCATGTGTGCTCAGTGATTAGCTCCCACTTATAAGTGAGAATGTCCAGTGTTTGGTTTTCTGTTCCTGCGATACTATCTCACACCAGCCAGAAGGGCTGTTAATAAAAAGTCAAAAAACAACAGATGCTGATGAGGCTATGGAGAAAAGGGAATTCTTAAATACATCCTCTCCTAATTGCCATTGCTGCTCACAATTCAGGGACTTAATCCCACTGAGATCTTGGAAATACAGTTCATCCATATACTCTAGGAAGTTAAATGACTTGATGAATCCATACCTGTGCTTCCCCGTGATGTCCTGAGAACTCTGACACTCCTGAAGAAACAGGCTGAGGGTGCTTTCTTGGTCATGTGCCATATTACAATGCCTCCTTTAACCATAAGCATGCAGATTAGAATCTGTCTCTAGAAAAGCTTGATATAGCAAGGCTTAGGCCATTCCAGATCCACTAGATAATTGATAGAAGATACAACAAATAAAAAGAATTGGAGCTTATCAATTCTTTCATCCTGATATCTTACACTGTGTTAGAAGAGCTTTTTGTGGGCTGCTTTAATATTTGTATTCTAGAGTTAAGAAAGCTCACCTCTCAGCACTCCAAATGAGAAAGTTAAAGCTTCAATCAGTCATTTTTACTGGCAATTTTCTCAGGTACAAAAAAGGAAGGCAGGTCACCTCAAGGGAGAAGCAGTGACCAAGTTATTTTGACAGCACTTGCCCATGGATATGCCTCTTTTTGCCTAACTCTCTCAGGACTTTGAAAATCAGAGAGGTCAGGAATCTCTGCTTGGACAGAGACTTCACTGGGGGCTAAGAATTAATAAGGGTATTATCAATTGATTTATTAATATTATCTTTAAAGAAAAGATCTTGGGCTGAAAAATTATTTTGATGTTTCTCTTATTTGCTAACTTTTTTAAAAACCATTTATTAATTTGGGTCCTGTCAATAAAGGGGGTGGGGTAGTATTCTCTGATCTTTATATGAATTCCTTTGAAATAATGTATTAACTATTTTTAGAAATTAATTAGCTTCTCTTTCTAAAAATGAACGCACCAGACCGAAAACTAAATGTCAGTATTGATGATTAGACCCTACTTCACTCTCTCTACCTCCAGGCAGGCTATTTATGGTTCTCCTCTCCCACACTCCCCTGCCCCCCTGCAGTAGACAGGACCAGGTGACTAGTTTTTGCCAAAGGGCTGTGAGCAGAAGCAAAGTGTGTCATTTTCAGACCAACGCATTTGGGAGCCAGTGCCCAGCTCTCTCTTTTCCTGTCATGGTGATCTGGAAGCCTCCTGTTTTCCATGGCAGAGCTACAAGCTGCCAGAGGCCTGAAACTTGCAGTCGCCATTTGGAAAGGAGCTGCTGTTTGAGAGTCACCACTGGACCATTCTGCATGACTGAGAAATAACCTTTATGTGTTAAGACACTGAAATTTAGAGGTTGGTTTGTTACCAAACACAGCCTAGCCTAAACTGACTAAACTACTTCCAGTTCTCTAATACATCTAAAGGACCTATTCCAATGTAATTCAATCAACAACACATGTTAAATAGCTACAATATATAAACATAATAGGTAGATAGAGAACAAGTATTTGCTTGCATAAAGTAGGTACTCCATAGAAGAACTAACAGTCAGACGTGGGTAGAATAAAAAAATAAATAACACATTGTCTCTCCAGAATATTTCCTAAGCTAGTTTGAAGACACCTTTATTTTACTTTAGCAAATGCCTACTGAATGTCTATTAAGTACAAAGCATCTGCTGGGCAGAAAGCTGCAAAGATGGATAAGAAAATCCCTGATCTTGAAAGGTCTGTCAGACCAGTGAAGAATACAGACAAGCTCACAGGTGATTACAGGACCCTGTGTAGGGTCAAGGCAGAAGAAAGTGTGAGTTGCCATGGAAGCACAGAGGGCTATCTGGCTCAGACTAGGAGAATCATGGAAGGCATCTTCACGGAAGTAATTCCTAAGATGCAATAGCTAGACTGATTCTCGTTCTTTTCTTTTTACAGAGGAGGACAGCTATCAAATCTAGATGCTGCATTGCTATTCAGTTGGAACTTTATATGTGTAAAGTAGTTGGCTCTTGAAGAAAATAAAATCAAAATGGAATTTCAGTTTGCTTTAAGCAAACAAAGATAGACATAAAACTCTTAACTCTTGCTGTGAATCCCAAACCATTGAGAGTCCCACCCTTGTTATGCATTTGCCCTAAATATAATCTTCCTCTGCACATTTATCTAATAAGATTCTAAAGCACATGTGTATATTCTATATTTCTGTTCCTTTCTATAGGTTATATGCCCATATCAACATGGCTTAGAATGCCAGTTGTATTTAGAGTGTATGGTCCAACAATTTAGTAAACTAGTCAAGAATTTGGATTTTGAAACCAGCTTTCCAAATCCTGGCTCTGGCCATAACTAGCTGATCGACCATAGATAGATTACTAAACTCAGAATGCATCTGTTTCTTCACCAGTGGAGATGAGATGATAGTGGAACCTACCCTCAAAGAACTGTTATGAGAATTAAATGAATTTATATATATATATATATAATCAACCTAGAATAGTAAATGTTTGATGAATTAGCTAATATTAATCAGAGTTTGTTGTTAACTCTGTAGAAGTGTTTTCACTTGGAATTTATAATTCTGTCCTAAAATATGATACTTAATTTGGTATGGAAAGAAAGCAATATGTTTGAGAAATTATAAGACTTTAAAGACAGTGGTTATTTAATAATATTAATAAACTAAAAAACAACAATTCCCCAGCAAGTTCATGAAAGAAGGCATTCTGAATGGAGGTGAGTAGCTATGGTACTGAACAAAGGCACTCCACTGAGTGCCCCAGTGTCCCCTTTGTAAAAGAGAGTATCTATTTTGCCTATTTAAATAAAAGGTCTGTTGAGAAGAATATGAATATTAAATCCTATCAATTTCATGTCTCTGTGAGGTGCCATCTCTGGAACATGGTCTTTTATACCTCAATAAGAAACACTGACTGAAAAACCCTGAGGTTAGGAAGTCATATGAAGCAGTCTCCTCACTCTAGTCAAATTCATCTGAATTGTTTTATTTTACAGATAATACAACTGAATTCCAGAAATATTAGTGTTAACTAAAATTAAGAGTTGTAGCAAGGATTAGAACTCAAAATTCCTGACTCCTGGTAAAATGGACTTACTGGGCTTTAACTTCAACCATACAGTGCTTAGTATTACAAAGTGTAACATCCCACTATTTTCTAAACTGAAAATAGATCAGTTGAGTGACTACAATCTTTGAAATCAGTAAATTTTAAACATTGTTCTGGTCCTGATTTGCTCTATTCTAACCTCCAAGTCATTTGTCATGTTAGGATTTCTCACACTCTAACAACAAAAAAATCAAAGCACTTTAATTCTACCTACTTCATGGGAAGGCAATAATAATTGTAAAGTTCTTTGAAATGGCAAGTACAAGAAAAAAAATATCTGATTCAGTGTTCTCTTCCTATTTCAATATCAAAGCCCAGTGCTGCAAGTTAAGGATAGAATGAAATCACTTGAAATCAAATGGTTGATAAAATTTCCCAAAGCTCAGCTGTATCTCATTATATCAGATCCTTTAGTTACTAGGGTATGCAACTATTACACAAAAAGTTTACACTGTCTGTTCAGAAGTAGGTTGACATTCTTCCCTTCACTCTGCATTACCTCATACATTTAATTTTTAATATTGTTCTAAACCTTCTTAGATTTCATGGTGTGTGTGTGTGTGTGCGTGTGTGTGTGTATGTGTGTATGCAATGCCCAAAGTGAGAGCTCACAGAATGTGAAAAACTCACTCTTCTTTACATAGAGAGAATTCTGTTTCCTTGGTCTTTTGTAAATGTACTTTTTCCAAAAGTTCTTTTTTGCTTCACTTAAACAAAAATAAAAATCTGACATCAGGATTGTGGGTAATAATGGGAGGTAAGTGATACAAGCATATTAAAGCAAAGTCCTTCATTTGAAAGACTGATCCATCCAATTCTTAAGTGTTTGTTGCTTTTCACTGCAGAATCTGGAGGACTTACACAGTACTTCTCTAAGTACCAACCACAAAGCTTCCATGAATTTATAGGAATTTTATCTTCTACCCTGGCCCTAATGAAACAGCACCCAGCCATCAAATGTAGAAATATAGAAGCCAACACCATCAATCTCAGGTTTCAAGAGCTCCACATTTTTCTTTGATTTATGTCTAATTCATCTCTGAAATACAGGATCAATAATCGAATTAATCCATTATTTCAAACATATCCAGAATAAGGTGGGAGGAAACTGACACTACAGCAGAGAACAGTTTAGGACTCACATAAAAGCTCTTGAATTTGACAAACAGACACACCTTGCTTTTCATACTTCAAATAATTCAGAGCTGTGGGAGCACACAAAATAGAAGTTGGAAGTTTATAAAAAGAGATGCTGAACAGGAGGCTGTGCACACTGTAAGAGTAAAATCTTGAAAAATGTGAACGCATATAAATAACTTTAAACTTTAATCTGCTGAATATTTTGAGCAAGAGATCAACATAATAAGGTATGTGTTTTAGGAGCAGATTATGCATTGGAGTCAGAAAGATTAGTCAGGAAACTAATATATGAATTTGGGAGAAGTTAATGAAGCCTGAGTCAGATCAATGACAGTGACCAGAAAGGATTAATTCAAGAGACAGTCAAGAGGTATATTTGAGAGAGTGAGAGTTAGAGGGCAGATGAAAGAATCTAAAATTCCCAGAAATTTGGTTTCGATTTACTATCAGACCAGACAATTTTCTGGAGACACATTATTCAGAGAGAGAATAATTGCATGATAAGAATAAAGAAGGAAAATTGGGTCCTTCTTTCCAGATGGTGGATTAGAGGTTTTTAGCATGCCTCTACCACTTGGAAATAGCAAAATAGTGCATAAAATCAAATCTGTGAGCTTTAATTTAATAAGGAAAATGGGAATCTACCACAATCATGAAGGACATCTTAGATCCTGCAGCGGAGAATGGCAAATAGCCCCTGTGATGGCAACTAGCTGATAAGAGTGAAGCTCCAGTATGCAAGGGAAGCAGAGAGCCTCCCTCGGTGACTTACCTTTCCACTGAGGATCTGAGCAGCCCAGGCTGAGGGACAGCACTTTGTTTCTCCCAAGCCCTTGAGCTAACTTGGGGAGACACTTGGAGATGCTGTAAGGGAAAGACACCAGGAATAGCTGCAGGCATTTTCCCAGACACGCAACACTGCATTAAAAATGTAGGTTGCCATTTTTAATCTGGGCATATACAAAGACCTCCATTGTTTGGTAACCTGGCAGTGTGGCTGCAGGGGCATTTTAGTCTTGGGCCAGAGATTGGAGCATCTGCTCTGGAGCAAGGTAGGGACCTCCACAGTCAGAACTGTGGAAAGTGCCTGAGCAGTAGCTACACCAGAACTGTGTTCTCAACCACTGTAGGCCTGGAGCAGGAGGAGAGCTGCTACAGCGGCAGTTTCCCCTGGATGACAAGACTTACAGCCAGGACCAGCTTAGCAAACTGGAACTGATCTTCACGTGTCATTTCTGGGTGCCCCAGCCTGCTCCTCTGAGATTATTGTGTAGCGGGGTCATCTCTTCTCCACCCTCAGGCAGAAAACCAGGTGTTCAGAGGACCTGCTTGCCCAGACCAGCAGCCTGAGCCACACCACCCATCATGGACATAGACCAAGGTGCAGCAGGGCTCTTCTGCTCCATAACCAGGCAGATCTCCAGGTCAAAGCACCCCCTCACCTGGATCAGCAACCTGAGCCACCCAACCCTTCCTGTGCATAGATCACGGTGCACTGGGACCCTCTCTGCTCCACACGGAGGCAGATCACCAGGCATGTGGACAACCACTCACATGGAATAGTGGCCTGAATCACCCTATCTTTCCTGTACAGAGATTCTTTACAGGGGGCACCTCTCCATTTCATGCCAGGCAGATAGATCTCCAGGCATTCAAAGCACCCACCCACCTGGATCAGCAAGCTGTGCTGCCCCACCCTTTCTGGGCATAGATTGTAGTGCAGATATCCCTCTCTGCTCCACACCAGGGGAGATCTCCAAGCATTCAAAGTACCTGCTTGCCCAGATTGGCAGCCTGAGCCACCCCATCATTCCTGTGCAGAGATCTGGGTGCAGGGGGGGCCTTCTCTGCTCCATGCTCAGGCAGATTTCCAGACATTTGGAGCAACCACTCACCTGGAACAGCAGCCTCAGCTGTCCCACCTTTCTTGTGCAGAGATCCTGGTGCCAGGGGGCACCTCTCCACTACATGGCCTGGCAGATTTTCAGGCATCTGGAGCACCCACTCTCCTAGATTAGGAGTTTAGGCCATCCCCCATCCCCATGCAAAGAACTTAAAGCTGAGGAAGTTTCCCAGCTCCACACCTAGGCATACCTCTGGGTGCTTGGTGGCTGCCCACTGGATTCTCCCTCAGTGCTGGGGCTGGTGCTTGCCATCAGGGAACCTGCAACAAACCTGCCCAGACTAGATCTGCTCATCTGCCCCACTATACCCCAGGACTGAGGATGGAGTTCAGACAACTGTGCACTTCATGAATCAGCCCATTGCCTGAGGCAACACAGAGCTTCTCCCAGTAAATAAGGATCAAGTATATACCCAGCCACATTGGCCATGGCCAGCTGTTACCCATAAGCACCATGCATCCACTGGTTTATAGGTCAAACTTCATACCCCAATAAAAACCTACTGACAGAAGTGCATAGGGCTATGGAAGCAAAGCCAAAAGACCCTACTCAACATTAAAGTCACACACACTAGGTAGGGAGGGAGAAAGGAAAGAAAATAACAATTTTATAGGGAAAGAAAGAAAAACAAAAATCCTACCTGCACAAAAATCTTTTTTTTTTTAATCTTACCTGCAAAAAATAAATCTTTTTTTTTTTTTTTTTAAATCAGAAGTGCCAGCATCTCCAGATGAGAAAGAACCAGTGCAAGAATTCTGGCACTATGAAAAATATGAATGTAACGATACCAAAGGATCACACTAGCTTTCCAGCAATGGTCCCTAACCAAAATGGAAACTCAGAAATGACAGATAAAGAATGAAAATCATGGATTGCAAGGAATCTCAATGAGATCCAAGAGAAAACTGAAAATCATCACAAAAAAACTTTGAAAGCAATCCAGGAAATGAAGGAAGAGATACATATCTTTAAAATAAATCAATCAGAGCTTCTAGAATTAATACATTCAGGTAATTTCAAAATTCAATTGAAAGTTTTATCAATAGACTGAACCATGCAAAATAAAAATTTTAGAGCTTGAACAACAATCTTTCAAACTAAACTAGTCAGATAAAACTAAAGAAAAGGACATTAACAAATAAAAAACATCTTCAAGAAATATGGAATTATGTAAAGTGACCAAAACTGCAAATTATTGGCATTCCTGAGAGAGATGAAGAAAAAAAAAAAACCTGGAAAACACACTTGAGGAACAACTGTTTTTTAAATTCCTAATCTTGATAGAGAAGTAGACAGCCAGATACAAGAAATCCAGAGAACACCTGAAAGATACTATAGAAAATGATCATCACAAATACATGTCATCCCCATGCTGTTTAAAGGCAATGCTAAGGGCTCGGCATGGTGGCTTATGCCTGTCATCCCAGCACTTTGGGATGCCAAGGCAGGTGGATTACTTTAGGTCAGGAGTTCAAGACCAGCCTGGCCAACATGGTGAAACCCTGTCTCTACTAAAAGCACAAAAATTACCTAGGCATGGTGGCAGGCGCCTGTAATCCCAGCTACTCAGGAGGCTGAGGAGAATCTCTTGAACCCAGGAGGTGGAGGTTGCAGTGAACCGAGATGGCACCACTGCACTCTAGCCTGAGTGACAGGGCAAGACTTCATCTCAAAAAAAAAAAAGGCAATGCTAAAGGAAAAATCTTAAAAGCAGCTACAGAAAAAGGTCACATTACATACAAAGAAAGCTCCACTGGGCTAATAGCTGACCTCTTAGCAGAAACCTTACAAACCAGGATAGACTGGGGGTCAATTTTCAGCATTCTTAAAAAAAAAAAAAATTTCAACCCAGAATTTCATATCCCATCAAACTAAGCTTCATAAGTAAAGGGGAAATAAAATCTTTTCAAGGCAAGCAAGCACTAAGGGAATTCATTATCACTAGACCAGCCTTATAAGAGATCCTTAAGTGGTTCTACACATGGAAATGAAAGAACAATACCTGCTACTACAAAAACATACTTAAAGTACATAGCCTACACCCCCTATCAAGCAACCACACAATAGAAACTACAAAGCAACCACCTAGCAACTGCACGATAGGCTCAAAACCTCACATATCAATATTAACCTTGAAAGTAAATAATCTAAATGCCTCACTTAAAAGGCACAGAGTGGGAAGGTGGGGGAAAAAAAAAAAGACCTATCTATCTTCTGTCTTCAAGAGACCCGTTTCACACATAATGACACCCACAAGCTCAAAGTAAAGGGTTGGAAAAAGATCTGCCATGTAAACAGAAAACATAAAAAGAGCAAGGGTCACTATTCTTATATTGGATAAAACAGACTTTATACCAACAAAGTAAAAAAGGACAAAGAAGTATTATGTAATTATGTAATGCTAAAGGGTTCAATTCATCAAGAAGACTTACTATCATATATATGCACCCAACACTGGAGAACCCAGATTTGTAAAACAAATACTTCTAAATCTACAAAAATAAGTAGACAGCCACACAATAATAGTGGGGGACTTTAACACCCCAGTGGCAGTGTTAGGCAGATCATCAAGGCAGAAAACCAAGAAATTATGACCTTAAATTTGACAAATTGGACCTAATAAATATCTACAGAACACTCCGCCCATCAACAACAGAATATACATTCTTCTCATCTGCACCAGAACATATTCCAAGATCAACCACATGCTCTGCCATAAAGCAAATCTCAAATTCCAAAAACAAATTGAAATCATACCTACCATACTCTCAGGCCACAGTGGAATAAAAATAAAAATAAATAAATACTAAGAGGATCCCTCAAAACCACAAAATTACATGGAAATGAAACAGCTTGTCCTAAATAACTTTTGAGCAAACAACAAAATTAAGTCAGATATCAAAAACTTATTTGAAATAAGTGAAAACAGAGACACAACATAACAAAATCTCTGGGATGCAGCAAAGGCAGTGTTAGGAGGAAAGTTTATAGGACTAAATGCCTACATCAAAAAGTTAGAAAAATCTCAGATTAATGATCCAACATCACACCTAGAGGAACTAGAAAAACAAGAACAAACTAGCCCCAGGGCTAGCAGAATCAAAAAAAATGATAATTAAAATCAGAAAAGAATTGAACAAAATTGAGACCCAAAAATCCATATAAATAATCGACAAAGCCAAAAGCTGGTTCTTTGAAAGGATAAACAAGATTAATAGACCACTAGCTAGATTAACAAAGAAAAAATGATCCAAATAATCACAATCAGAAATGACAAGGTAATATTACAACCAATTCCACAGAAATACAAAAGATTCTCAGAGACTATTATGATCACACTTAAAAGGCACAGAATGGGAAGGTGGATATAAACTATGCATATAAACTAGAAAATCTGGAGGAAATAAATAAATTCCTGAAAACACAATCTCCCAAGATTAAATCAGGAAAAAATTAAAACCCCAAACAGACCAATATTGAGTTCCAAGATTGAATCCATAATAAATAAATAAATGAAACTACCAATCAAAAAATAAACTCCTGGACCGGATGGTTTCACAGCCAAATTCTACCAGACATGCAAAGAAGAGCTGGTACCAATTCTACTGAAACTATTAAAAAAAAAATTTGAGGAGGAGAGATTCGTCAACTCATTCTACGAAGCTTGCATCACCTAAGTGACAAAACACAGGAAAAAAGAAAACCCTAATAAATATAGACACAAAAACTCCTAAACAAAATACTAGCAAACCAAATCCAGCAGCACATCAAAGTGTTAATTCACCATGACCAAGTAGGCTTAATTCCTGGGATACAAGGCAATTAGTAAATGTGACTCACCACATAAACAGTATTAACAACGAAAATGATATGATCATCTCAATAGACATAGAAAAAGCTTCCAATGAAATACAACATCACTTTATAATTTAAAAAAAAAACCCACAAAAAACTAGGCATTGAAGGAACATACCTCAAAATAATAAGAGCCGTCTATGACAAACTCTCAGCCAGCACCATACTGAAAAGGCAAAAACTGGAAGCATTCCTTTTGAGAACTGAAACGGGACAAGGATACCTACTCTTCCTACTCCTATTCAACATAGTACTGGAGATGCTAGCCAGACCAGTCAGGCAAGATAAAGAGATAAAAGAAATTCTAAGATGTTAAACCATCTCCCTTTACTGACGATATGATTCTATACCTAGAAAACCCTACAGCCTCCACCAAAGGCTCCTGATCTCAGTAAAGTTTCAGGATATAACATAAGTGTAAAAAAAATCAGTATCATTTCTATACACCACTTGAACATTATGTTCAAGCTAACAGGCAAATCAAGAATGCAATGGCACTTACAGTAGCCTCAAAAAATAAAATAAAATACCTAAGAATACACCTAACCAAGGAGGTGAAAGATCTTTACAAGAACTACAAAACACTGTTCAAAGAAATCATACATGACAGAAACAAATGGAAAAACATCCCACATTCATGAATTGGAAAAAATCAGTATCATATCAAAATATCATTAAATCAATATCATATCAAAATATCATATCAAATCAATGTCGCATCAAAATCATATCAAAATGGCCATACTGCCCAAGGCAATCTACAGATTCATTGCTATTCCAACCACTTACCAACTTAATTTTCCACAAAACTAGAAAAAACTATTTTAAAATGCATATAAAACAAACCAAAAAAAGCCTAAATAGCCAAGGCAATTTTAAGCAAAAATAACAAAGCTGGTGGCATCACATTACCTGAAATAAAACTATACTATAAGACTATTGCAACAAAAAAGAGCATGGCACTGGTACAAAAGCACACACATAGACCAGTGAAAAATAATAGAAAACCCAGAAACAAAGCCACACACCTACAGCCACCTGATCTTCGACAAATCTGACAAAAATAAGCAGCAGGGAAAGGACTGCCTATTCAATAAATGGTGCTGGGATAGTTGGCAAGCCATATGCCGAATGAAACTGGACTCCTATCTTTCACCATGTATAAAATTTTACTCAAGATGGATTAAAGATTTAAACATAAGACATCAAACTATAAGAATCCTGGAAGAAAACCTAGGAAATGGATATAAGCCTTAGGGAAGAATTTATGACTAAGTCCAAAAAAGAAATTGCAACAAAAACAAAAATTGACAAGTGAAACCTAATTAAAGAGCTTCTGCACAGCAAAAGAGACTATCAACAGAGTAAACAGATAACCTATAAAATTGGAGAAAATATTTGCAAACTATGCATCTGACAAAAGTCTAACATCCACAATCTATAATGAACTTAAACAAATTCGACAAGCAGAAAACAACCCCCTTTAAAAATGGGTGAAAGACATGAACGCACACTTCTTGAAAGAAGACATATATGTGGCCAAGAAACATGGTAAAATGCCTATCATCACTAATAATCAGAGAAATTCAAATCAAATCCACAATGAGATGCCATCTCATACTAGTTGGAATGGCTATTATAAAAAAGTCAAAAAACAACAGATGTTGGTGAGGCTGCAGAAAAAATGAAACCTTTATATGCTGTTGGTGGGAATGTAAATTAGTTCAGCCACTATGGAAAACAGGAGATTTTCAAAGAACTTAAAACAGAGCTACAACTTGACGCTGGAAAAGAAAATAAATTGTTCTACAAAAAAACACATGCATTCATATGTTCACTACAGCACTATTCACCATACCCAAGACATAGGAATTAACCTGGGTGCCAGTCAATGGTGGACTGAATAAAGGAAATGTGGTATATATGCACCATGAAATACTACGCAGCCATAAAAAATGAAATCATGATCAGGTGCTGTGGCTCACACCTGTAATCCCAGCACTTTGGGAGTCTGAGGCAGGTGGATCACGAGGTCAGGAGTTCAAGACCAGCCTGGCCAAAATGGTGAAACCCTGTCTCTACTAAAAATACAAAAATTAGCCGGGCATGGTGGCAGGCACCTGTAATCCCAGCTATTCGGGAATCTGAGGCAGAGAATTGCTTGAACCTGGGAGGCAGAGGTTGCAGTGAGCTGAGATCGTGCCACTACCCTCCAGCCTGAGTGACAGAGCAAGACTCCATCTCAGAAAACAAAAAAAGAAAAGTAAAGAAAAAAAAATGTAATCATGTTCTTTGCAACACCTTAGTTGTAGCTGGAGGCCATCATCCAAAGTGAATAACTATGAGAACAGAAAACCAAATATCACATATTCTCACTTATAAGTGGTAGCTAAGCATTGAGTACTCATGGACATAAAGATGGCAAAAATAGACACTGGGGACTACTAGAGGTGGGGGGAGGAGGGAGGGAGGAAGAGGGGCAACTATTAGGTACTATGCTCACTCAGTACATGGCTGATAGACTTAATTATACCCCAAACCTCAGCATCATACAATATACCCAGGTAACAAACCTACCCATGTACCCCCTGAATCTAAAATAAAAGTTTGAAAATATTTTTTTTAAAAAAAAAGCATAGGCCGGGCGCGGTGGCTCACACCTGTAATCCCACAACTTTGGGAGGCTGAGGCGGGTGGATCACGAGGTCAGGAGATCGAGACCATCTTGGCTAACACGGTGAAACCCCGTCTCTACTAAAAATACAAAAAAAATTAGCCGGGCGTGATGCCGGGCGCCTGTAGTCCCAGCTACTCGGGAGGCTGAGGCAGGAGAATGGCATGAACCCAGGAGGCAGAGCTTGCAGTGAGCCGAGATCACGTCACTGCACTCCAGCCTGGGCAACAGAGCAAGACTCCATCTAAAAAAAAAACCATAAAGAAAATGTACTGTACATCTTCTATGTGCCAAGCAGTGTATTAGGAGCTAGTATTACAAGGTTAAACAAAATTGCACCATCAACAGGTGAATAAACTGTGGTACATTTGGCAATGGAATACTATTCATCATAACAAATAAATGAGCTATCAAGCCATGAAAAGACATGGAGAAACTTTAAACACATATTATTAAGTGGAAGAAGACAATCTGAAAAGGCTACTTGCTATGTGATTCAAAGTATATGACATTCTGAAAAAGGCAAAACTACGACGACAGTAAAAAAGATCAGTGGTAAGGCATATATGGGAAATCTCTGTACCTTCTGCTCAATTTTGCTGTGAATGTAAAACTGCTCTAAAACACAAAATCTATTTTAAAATGGATTCCCAACTTAAAAATGTAAAAATAAAAAAAGATCAATAGTTGTCAGGGTGGAGGGGAGAGAGGGATGACTAGGCAGGGCACAGAGGATTTTTATTTTTATTTCTTTCCAACTTTTATTTTAGGTTCAGGGAATACATGTGTCGGTCTGTTGCATGTTGCGGGATTTGGTGTACAGATAATTTTGTGACCCAGGTAATCAGCATAATACCCAATAGATAGTTTTCAACCCCTGCCTCCCTCTCTCCATCCCCCATGGCCCCACTGTATATCCTGGGCTTACAGTCTTGCTCCCTCTCAGTCCTTTCAGAGTGTGGCGCTCCTCTCTCACCTAGTGCTGGCTGCAAATCTCGGCTCAACACTCCCAGACTGCACCACATCCCTGGGGTGAGCTCAGACTTTTTGTTCCCTCCCCAGCTTCTGGCAACAAGGGCAAGGGGGGCTTTCACTTATCTCTTAGGGCTTCACCCCAAAGAAACACAGATCCACTGCCAATCAAAGTGATCGACCCAGGGTGGGGGCTGCATTGCAGGCCCAAGCCGGAGGGCCCTGCCTGGTTATGAGCAGAGGAAGAGGGGGATTTGCAGGGAAGACAAAATGGCCTCTCCCTAGGGCAGCTGCAGCCTCCTGGAGGTCTAGTAAAGCATTCAGGATCTTGGTGCCTTCCCCAGCCCTAGGGCAGCAAGGGCAGTACCACTGGCAGTGGCAATGGCAGAGAGGCTTTTGGTTGCCCCGGGAGCTCCAACCCAGAGAAATGCAGAGCTGCTGCCAATGGGAATGTTCAGCCGCAGGTGCAGTGGCTGCACTCGAGGCCTGAGCTAGGAGGCCCTGCCTGGTGAAGGGCAGTGGGGTGGGAGTTCACAGGGAAGAGAGACTGGGTTCCACTCTGTATGGTGGCTGTAGTGTGCTGGAGGTACGAGTAAAGCACTCAGGCTCTATTGCTTCCCCAGCCCGAGGGCAGCAAGGGTGGACCCCATGCAGTGGCAATGGCAGAGAGCCCATGGCTCGTCTCTGAGATTTCCTTTTTCCAGAGAAGTGCACAGCCACCGCAGAAGTGATCAAGCAGAGGCAGGGCGGCTGTGCTAGGGGCCCAGATCCGGAAGCCCCGCCCAGTGTGGAGTAGCAGGGACAGAGACCTTGTGGAGAGTAGACTTGTCAATTTTTCATAAGGCAGCTAGCTGTACTGTGCAGGAGGCCCACCATCAAATCCTTTAGCTCTTCACTCCCTGTCCAGCCTGAAGGCAGTAGGGTCAGGGGCTGTGGCCGTGGCTAAAATGGCGGGCTTGTCTGTTAACCCTGGGAGCTCTGTCCCAGAGAAATGCAAAGCTGTTCCCAGCCCAAGACTCAGGCAGGGTGAGGTGGCTGTGCTGAGGCCCCAAGCCAGTGGGTTTTGCCTGGAGAGCTATAGTGGAGGTGAGGCCTGCAGCCCTTCTGCTTCTCAGCACTGTGGATGCAGCCTCTACTCTGGGACATGAGACAGAGTCTGGCCCTTCCTTGTTGGCAGAGCTATGGCAACTGGCGCCAGGGTGCTCAGGAGTCCAAGCCCTTGGGGATCTACATGGGCCTGGGTGTCTCTGCCCAGACTCCACTGCAGCTCTCAGTGTCAGTCTAAAAACACCCACGGGAGAGGGTCGGGGGGATCTCCTCTGCCTAGGATTGCAAAGGGTCATGGTAGAAGCGTGGGTCCCCAAGGACTCTCATTCACTCACGGTTTCCCAGCAGTGGGGGCCTCCCTTGGCTCTGAGCCAATCCCAGGTGGGTGGCTGCCCTGTCTCCTTGTTCTCTGTTCTCCATGGGTCATGTTGCTTTCTTGATGAATTCCAACCTGCCCTCCTGGACCATCCAGTTGAAGAGCTGGTGTTTAAACACCACTCTATCTCCTCTCTGTGAGAGGCGCACACTAGCTGCTTCTAGTCAGCCATCTTGGCACCTCCTCACTCAAGTCCACAGGGTTTTTAGAGAAGTGAAACTACTCTGTGTGATCCTATAATGGTGTGTGTCATTATATGTTTGTCCAAACCATAGAATGTACAGCACCAAGAGTGAACCCTAATGTAATCTGTGCATTTGGGGTGATTAGAATGTGTTGATGTAGGTTCATCAAATGTAACCAATATGCCACTCTTGTGCCCAATGCTGATAGTGAGGAAGGCTGTGCATGTGTAGGGGTGTGGAGTATTTAAGAATTCCCTGTACTTTCTGCTCAGTGTTGCTGTGAGCCTAAAACTGCTCTAAAATATAAACTATTTTTTAAAATTATGCCCTCTAGAGGAACTGTGTACATTCCAGGAGGGAGAGCTTACATTGAGAAGAAAAATACAAATTATAAACAAAGACAAATTAGTATCTGATTACCAATGAACCAGCAGGGAAAAAAAAAAAAAAAAAAAAGAAGTGGTTACTATATTGGAGTGATTGATTCTGACGATCAAGAAAATAGCTATAACGCAATTGGGCCAAAGACTATGTGTGGAATGCATGAGGTCCTCAGGGGATGCCTTTTAGTACTCCCATGTTATGTGATAAGAACACTGGATATGAGAAAGTGCTGGGGGGGTGGGGGTGGCAGGGGGCGGGGCCAAGAGGGCAGAATAGAAGCAGCAGTGATCAGAGGCGCTCATTGAAAAGAACCAAAACATGGTGCAAATCCTGAGCTGGCAACTGAGGTATCCAGGTTCTGTCACCAGGACTGACTAGGCAGCTGGCATGACCCTGGAAGAGGAAGGAAGAACAGTGTGGTGCGGCCGCCCACCTGAGAGCCACATGGGGCAGGGGAGCCCCCACCCCCCAAGCCAAGAGAGGTGGTGAGTGAGCATGCTACCCAGCGTGGAAAACCATGCTTTTTCCATGGAACAGTGCAACCCATGGATCAGAAGATCCCACTTGTGAGCCCACACCACTAGGGCCTAGGGTCCCAATCACAGGGCCGTGCAGATTCTCAACATCCACTCAGCTAGAATCTGCTTAAGCCTGCCAAGTCCCTGGGAGGAGGGGCAGCTATCACCACAGCTGTGGCTGCCTGCTGTCTAAGCCATCTGAGCTCCTTGCGGGAGGGGCAGTAGCCAACACTGGGACTGCTAGCTGCCTAACACACTAAGCTCCCAGGGCAGAGGAAGGGCAGCAGCCACCTCTATAGCTCCAGGCCATGCTTTTCTCCTGCTGAAGCCCAGGAGGCTGGATGGCTTAGTCCCAAGAGGTATTCCCCACAGCCCAACACATTGGGCTCTTCAGGCCTGACCCTGACCCATCCCTCCTCACTGGGTAGGGCCTCCCTGCAAGAACTCCAACAACTCCAGTCAGGGGCTCAGGAACAGAACTCTGATCTCCCTGGGCCTGAGCCCCTAGGGAAAGGGGTGCTGTAGTCTCTGCGGAGTGGCAGACTTAGTTTTTCCTCCTGCTAGTTTGGAGGAATCCCGGCAACCCAGATGAGTGGGTTACCCCCCAGCATGGCACACACCCTCCACCAAGGGACAGCCAAAGTGCTTCATTAAATGAGTCCTGCTCCCTGTGCCACCCAACTGGGTGAGACTCCCCAAAAGGGGTTGCCAAACACCCTAAACAGGAGCATCCCTACTGGCATCAGGTAGGTGTCCCTCGAGTCAGAGATCCAGAGGAAGGAGCAGGCACCCATCTTTGCTGTTCTCCAGCCTCCTTGAGTGACATCTCCAGACACAAGAGTGAACCAGATGAATAGGGCCTGAAGTGAACCCCCAGCAAACCACAGCAGCCCTACAGAAGAGGGACCTGACCATTAAAGAAAAACAAACAGAAAGCAACAACAACAAAAAAATTCCCCACAAAAATCTCAAAGAGTCAGCAGCCTCAAAGATCAAAACTAGACAAACTCATGAAGATGAGAAATAATTAACTAAAAAACGCTGAACACCCAAAAGGCCAGAGTGCCTCTTCTCCAAATGATCGCAACACCTCTCCAGCAAGAGGGCAGAACTGGACAGAGGATGAGATGGACAAATTGACGGAAGAAGCCTTCAGAAAGTGGGTAATAACAAACTCTGCTGAGCTAAAGGAACACATTCTAAGCCAATGCAAAGAAGCTGAGAACCTTGATAAAAGGTTGCAGGAGCTGCCAGCTAGAATAACCAGTTTAGAGAACATAAATGACCTGACTGAGGTGAAAAACACAGCACAAGAACTTCGTGAAGCATACACAAGTATCAATAGCCAAATTGATCAAGCAAGAGAAAGAATATCAGAGTTTGAAGACCATCTTGCTGAAATAAGGCAGGCAGACAAGATTAGAGAACAAAGAAAGAAAAGGAATGAACAAAGCTCTGAGAAATACAGGACTGTGTAGAAAGACTGAATCTATGATTGACTGGAGTACCTGAAAGAGATGGGGAGAATGGAACCAAGTTGCAAAACATACTTCAGGATATTATTCAGGACTTCCCCAACCTAGCAAGACAGGCCAACATTCAAATTCAGAAAATACAAAGAACACCACTAAGCTACTCCAGGAGAAGAGCAACCCCAAGACACATAATCATCAGATTCTCCAAGGTAAAAATGAAGGAGAATGTGTTAGAAGCAGCCAGAGAGAAAGGCCAGATCACCTACAATGGGAAACCCATCAGACTAACAGCTGATCTCTCAGCAGAAACACTACAAGCCAAAAGAGAATGTGGGGCCAATATTCAACATTCTTAAAGAAAATAATTTTCTTCTAAGCTTCATAAGTGGAGGAGAAATAAAATCCTTTTTAGACAAGCAAATGCTGAGGGATTTCATCACCAAGAGGCCTGCTTTGCAAGAGCTCCTGAAGGATGCACTAAATATGGAAAGGAAAAACTGGTACCGGCCACTGCAAAAACATACCAAAATATGAACACCAAGACACTATGAAGAAAGTGCTTCAACTAGTGTGCAAAATAACCAGCTAGCATCATGATGACAGGATCAAATTCACACAAAACAATATTAACCTTAAATGTAAATAGACTAAATGACCCAATTAAAAAACACAGACTGGCAAATTAGATGAAGAGTCAAGATCATCTGTGTGCTATACTTAGGAGACCCATCTCACATGCAAAGATACACACAGGTTCAAAATAAAGGAATGGAGGAAAATTGACCAAGCAAATGGAAAGAAAAAAAAAAAGCAGCTGTTGCAATCCTAGTCTCTGAAAAAACAAACTTTAAACCAACAAAGATCAAAAAAGACAAAGAAGGGCATTACATAATGGTAAAGGGATCAATTAAACAGGAAGAGATAACTATCCTAAATATATATGCACCCAATACAAGAGCACCCAGAGTCATAAAACAAGTTCTTAGAGACCTACAAATAGACTTAGACTCCCACACAATACTAGTGGGAGACTTTAACGCCCCACTGTCAATATTGCACAGATCAATGAGAGAGAAAATTAACAAGTATATTCAGGACTTGAACTCAGCTCTGGATCAAGTGGACCTAATAGACATCTACAGAACTCTCCACCCCATATCAACAGAATACATATTCTTCTCAGCACCTCATCACGCTTATTCTAAAATCGACCACATAATTGGAAGTAAAACACTCCTAAGCAAATGCAAAAGAACTGAAATCATAACAGTCTGTCATACCACAGTGCAATCAAATTAGCACTCAGGATTAAGAAACTCACTAAAAACCACATAACTACATGGAAATTGAACAACCTGCTCCTGAATGTCTCCTGGGTAAATAATGAAATTAAGGCAGAAATCAAGAAGTTCTTTGAAACCAATGAGAATGAACACACAATATACTAGAATCTCTGGGACACAGCTAAAGCAGTGTTAACAGGGAAATTTATAGCACTAAATGCCCACATCAGAAAGCAGGAAAGATCTCAAACTGACACCCTAACATCATGATTAAAAGAATTAGAGAAGCAAGAGCAAACAAATTCAAAAGGTAGCAGAAGACAAGAAATAACTAAGATCAGAGAAGAACTGAAAGAGATAGAAACACAAAAAACCTTTCAAAAACCCAATGAAGAGCTGGTTTTTTGAAAAAAAAAATTAACAAAATGACCACTAGCTAGATTAATAAGAAGAAAAGAGAGAAGAACCAAATAGACACAATAAAAAATGATAAAAGGATATCACCAATGATCCCACAGAAATACAAACTACCATCAGAGAATACCATAAACACTTCTACGCAAATAAACTAGAAAATGTAGAAAACATGGATAAATTTCTGGACACATACACCCTCCCAAGATTAAACCAAGAAGGAGTCAAATCCCCGAATAGACCAATAACAAGTTCTGAAATTGAGGCAGTAATTGCTTACCAACCAAAAAAAAAAAAGCCCAGGACCAGACAGATTCACAGCCAAATTCTACCAGAGGTATAAAGAGGAGTTGGTACCATTCCTTCTGAAACTGTTCCAAACAATTGAAAAGGAGCGACTCCTCCCTAACTCATTTTACGAGGCCAGCTTCATCCCGATACCAAAACTTGGCAGAGACACAACAACAAAAAAAAGGAAAACTTCAGGCCAATATCCCTGATGAATATCGATCCGAAATCTTCAGTAAAATACTGGCAAACTGAATCCAGCAGCACATCAAAAAGCTTATCCAGCATGATCCAGTTGGCTTCATCCCTCAGATGCAAGGCTGGTTCAACATATGCAAATCAATAAACATAATCGATCACATAAACAGAACCAATGACAAAAACCACATGATTATCTCAATAGATGCAGAAGAGGCCTTCAATAAAATTCAACGTCCCTTCATGTTAAAAACTCTCGATAAACTAGGTATTGATGGGACATATCTCAAAATAATAAGAGCTGTTTATGACAAACCCACAACCAATATCATACTGAATGGGCAAAAGCTGGAAGCATTCCCTTTGAAACCCGGCACAAGACAAGGGTGCCTTCTCAAGTTCTGGCCAGGGCAATCAGACAAGAGAAACAAATAAAGGATATTCAAAAAGGAAAAGAGGAAGTCAACTTGTCTCTGTTTGCAGATGACATGATTCTATATTTAGAAATATGGAATCATCTCAGACCAAATCTCCTTAAGCTGATAAGCAACTTTAGCAAAGCTCAGGATACAAAATCAATGTGTGAAAATCACAAGCATTCCTAAACACCAACAATAAAGCATAGAGCCAAATCAGGAAGGAACTCTCATTCACAATTGCTACAAAGAGATAAACAGTTGTGCTACAGAAAAAAGAGAGAGAACATCCTTGGCCAAGTGAAGAAAGGGTTGCAAGAAGGAATGAATGATCAACTGAGGAGTGAAGTAAAATAAGGAATTAGAATTGTCTATTGAAAACAGCAATAGGGAAGCGCGGTTTTTGTGAAAGGTGATGGGGAGAAACTTGGTTGCAATAAATTCAAAAGAGAAAAAGAAGGATAGGAATTGGACACACTGATGATAGACAAATGTCCTAAGAAGATTTGCTATAACTGGAAACAAATAAGTGTTACTGAAAAAAAGATGTGAGATTAAGAGAGTATTTACCTGTTTAAATTGGAGAAAACTATACCATGTTTACATGGTGGGAATGAATGACCTGCTAAAGAGGAGATAATTTATGATGCAGAAGAAAGGGGGAACAACTACAATGCCAATGTCCTTGAGTAAGATCATTATTCAGGATTCAGTCAGTGAGGCAGAGCATATTACAATTACTCGTATGGAAATAAGGAATTTGTTATAGAGATTAAAATTTAAACTTGCGAGGGAGATGCTGGGGAAGTAAAGGTCTTCAAGAGGAATTTGCAGAGTCACAATAAAAAATAAGAGTTACTAAATCTGCCTGCCTAGCTGGCCTGGGTGGATAATTTGGAGCGTGCAGGGAAATCCAAGAAGCCAAGCATTTCTAGCCACCAAATTGGGAACACAATGATGGGGCACATGGAGGTTATCTATGGGAAGTTGGATTTGTGTGTAGCTACCACCTGTGCAGGTTCACAGCCAAACATCTGTTGGTAGGCTTGGGACCACCGTTGGTCAGCAGGGCCAGCAGTTATAACAGAAAGATGAGCTAGACACGGAGCAGAGGAGAGCAAGGACCAGCTGAGACCTCACAGACACCTCTGCACCTGACTGCCACACTCTCTGAGCACTACAACCTTCCAAAAATAATAGCCACTGATTTACTCTCCCTCCTAAATCTTGTGCAATTTCCTCTATCAGCTACTTCTAACCTAATCATATAAGGGATTCTAGAAAATACAGTTTCTAAATTGACAATAGCACAATCTAGGACTTTGCAACCCTTTCAACCTAGCAGCCACATATACCTCGTTTAACCGTCCTTAACTGTCAAATGAAGATAATAGTAAAAGGATGCTTCTACTTAATATGATGCAGTGACAGGTTATCCAAAATGCTTGCCCCACAAGTGTTTCATATTTCAAATTTTGGAATATTTGCAAATACTTACCAGTTGAGCATCCCAAATCCAAAATTCAAAATGCTCCAATGAGCATATTTTTTGTGTCATGTTAGTGGTCAAAAGTTTTGGATTTTTGAGCATTTTGTATTTTGTATTTTTGAATTAGGGATGCTCAATTTTTATCATACAACCAAAAACTGCTAATGCGCTCCCTAAAAAAAGGATACACATACTTAATACATCTTCAGGTGATATTTATTACTCTTCTCCCTGAGTTACATGCTTGCTTTGACATCTTGTAACTTAAATAAGATATAATCACTATTACTCATTTTTTTTTAAAGAGACAGGGTCTCATTCTGTCACCCAGACTGGGGTGCAGTGGCATAATCATAGCTCACTGTAACCTCAAACTCCTGGGCTCAAGTGATCATACCACCTCAGCCTCCCAAATAAGTGGGTCTACAGGCATGCGCTACCATACACAGCCCCCAAATTACACACTATTAGTCTTATATTAGTTGGTAGGAAAAGGAAAGAGGGGGAAAGAAATTTTCTAATTTGCTAATATATATTATATACAAACATATCCATATAAAAGCAAGGAAGAAAACATATAAATACTAAAAATTCTGTAACTGGCTGCATAGTTATAGAAGTATTTACAATGTCCTTTCTCTACTACCTATTCTATATTGACTTTGCTGTCACCTACCTATTCTATATTGACTTCAGTCAACGTGGAGTAACACACGGCTTCATTCCTAAAGGCCCTGCTGGTTTGGGGTGGTTTTCTATTACCTCTGTCAACAGAACATGAGAATACTAAAAAAGTACCTCCCCACACACATATCTCTAGCACTCCACATACAGTCTTCTCTGGCCCAATTGTGTAATAGCTAGTCTCTTGACAGTCGGGATAAATCACCCAGTATGGTAATTGCTTCTTTTTGCCTGTTGTTTTACTAGCATGAGAAACACTAAGTTGCCAGGTGACTGGCAATAAACAAACCATGGCTTAATTCAGAATGAGAGAAACAGGACCATATAACGGTCAACAATTCAGAGACTACTTCATCCTGGAGGACATTACTATAGCCCCACATGGCATTCCCACCCAGATGGTGCTCTAACTCAGTCTTCAAAGACATCCACCATCCTCTCAGGATAAGGGAGATGATGATAAGAGCAGTGAATTTAGCTGGGCACGGTGGCTCATGCTTGTAATCTCAGCACTTTGGTAGGCCAAGGCGGTCGGGATCACGAAGTCAAGAAATCAAGACCATCCTGGCCAACACGGTGAAAGCCCGTCTCTGCTAAAAATACAAAAATTAGCTGGGTATGGTGGTGCGTACCTGTAGTCCCAGCTACTCGGAAGGCTGAGGCAGGAGAATCACTTGAACCTGGGAGGCAGAGGTTGCAGTGAGCCGAGATCACGCCATTGCACTCCAGCCTGGGTGACAAGAGCGAGACGCTCTCAAAAAAAGAAGAAGAAGAAGATAAAGTATCCCAATCACTCCCTCTCAAAAAAAAAAAAAACAGTGAATTCCATGAGCATGAGCCCATCTTCTATAAAATGAGTTGCTTTGACAGAAGCAATGCTGTGTGGAATACCATGACAGTGAATATAACATTCTGTAAATCCATGGATGGTGGACTTGTCAGAAGAAATATAACAGAGAAGGCAAATACACATGTACAGTATCTATTTCAGTAAGAACAAAGTTCTGTCTCTTCCAAGTTAATTTAGTGCAGCATAATCACACTGCCGCCCAGTGGCTGGCTGGTTATCCCAGAAAGTGGAGCCAAATCCAGGGCTCAGTGTTGATCTCTTCTGTTGGCATATTGCACACTCAGCAGTGGCTATGGGCAATCAGCCCTGGTGAGTAAAAGTCCATGTTGCTGAATGAACCTGGGCATAACTTTCATCCCTGCCACCATGGTCATTTGTTCCTGAGTCCACTAGAAAGGACATAGGTGTCTGGTGAAAGAGACTGACCAACATCTACAAAATGGGTCATTTCATCTGCCTGATAATTTCTCTGCTGAGATTTTTCTTTGGCAAGCATTAACATGGGACACAAATATATGGACAGTCTATACCCTTTTGGACAGATTCATCTATGTACTTCTTCCCAGACCTCCTAGTTATTAGCTTTCCAATCTTGTTCCTTCCAAGTCCCTGACCATCAAGCTGAACTCTTATCCACTTACCATGAAATGATGCAGATCTCTACCTACCTCTGATCATCTCTCTCCTTCCACGAGAAATGGAAAAAAAAGAGTAGTGCTCAAAGTACTGCCTCTCTTGAGAGAATTTCTCTCCACCACATTTTTTTAAATAATTTTTTTATATTTTAAGTTCTAGGGTACATGTGCACAATGTGCAGGTTACATATGTATACGTGTGTCATGTTGGTTTGCTGCACCCATTAACTCGTCATTTACATTAGGTATTTCTCCTAATGCTATCCCTCCCCCATCCCCCCACCCCACAACAGGCCCCAGTGTGTGATGTTCCCCAACCTGTGTCCAAGTGTTCTCATTGTTCAGTTCCCACCTATGAGTGAGAACATGCAGTGTTTGGTTTTCTGTCCTTGCGATAGTTTGCTCAGAATGATGGTTTCCAGCTTCATCCATGTTGCTACAAAGGACATGAACTCATCCTTTTTTATGGCTGCACAGTATTCCATATCCACCACTATTTTTCAAAAATACCCCAGAGTAGGGTTCCAGTGCTATCTCTGTACACTTTCTGGTGATGCCAGCACATTTTGCAAAATCATCTGTAGAGTAGGCCCTATTTTGTCTTCCTTAGCCATCAAGTAATGAGAGAACTTCGCCCAAGGCCATGGGTACAGACTGGGAAGGAGAAAGCAATGTGGCCAGAGGAACGACCATGGACATCTGTACTACTTGCCTGTGCAACTTATCTGAGACTTCAAGATCTATTCAAACTTAGTCTCACATATACCACCTACACTTGATAGAATGCTGCTACACACATGCTACAGCGTATTACTGAATCAGACAACAAATACATTATGATAGTTATAATAAGTTGCTGATGTCATGTGTAGGGCCTAATAGCAAGCCTGAAGTTGTTTCTCAAAATAGTTATCTGAAAAAGGTCACATAGCTTCACTCCAAAATTCTAAAGGTTAGTGATATCATTCACATATTACAATCTGCTAAAGGCCCCATAAAGCATTTCTGCCCCTGCAAGTACCATCAAATCGATCTGTTGGGTTATACTGCTTAGTGGCAGAGATCAGCGCTATGCCACTACCTTTGTTGTAAAAGAGTTTACATGCAGCAACTTTATTCTTCAATTTGGAAGGAATATGTCAATGTACCATGAGATTGCCTAGAAATTTAACAAAGTGAAAGGTCTCTACATTTGTTTGGGGAGTGGGGGGGCTTAGTCATTTTCTACCCTCTATTTTGCATGTGTTTTACCAAGATATCTAGACTAGTTGCTACTTTCTGCTCACTAGTTCAATTAGCTCAACATCATTAAATTAGTGGTGCAGCACAATGTCTTATGGAATGAAGAGGTAATCAAGTTTCCTATGGACAAGATGGTAAGAGAATTGGAGAGGAATTTTAATCCTGAGGTGGGATACTGAAGAAGTATTGCTGGCTTTGCTTATTAAAAGCAAACGGCTTCTGATGATGTCTGTTAACAAGAATTGAGAAAAAAAATCACTGTATCAGGGTTGAAATAGAACATATATATATATGATTGATGGCAGGGAATTGGTTTATGGAATTGTAAAGGCTGGCTGGGCAAGTCTGAAATTCATAGGACAGCCTGTCAGAAGGACAGGCTGGAACACTCAGGCATGGGTGCATGCTGCTGTTCACAGATGGAATTTCTGCTTCTTCAGGGAAGCATCGGCTCTGCTATTCAGATGTTTCAACTGAGTGAATCAGCTGCTCCCAAACCACCTAGAATAATCTCCCTTACTTAACATCAACTGGTTATAGAATTTGATCAAATTTACAAAACACCTTTGTAGCACCACCTAGATTCATATTTGGGTGAGTAACCAGGGATTACAACCTATTCAAGTTGTATAGCAGGTACCAGGGGTATTGATGTTTTCTCCAATAAATAAACCCTATCTAGAATAACAGTTGTAATAAGATTCATCACTTAGTTCAGTTTTCAAAAATACTACTGTTGTTCTCTAAGATCCATCTACTCTCTGCAAAGGCCAAATAGGTGAGTTGAATTAGGATATGGTAGGAATCACCACTCCCATATCCTTCAAGTCCTTGATACCGGCAGAGATCTGAAAAACCCCTCCAGGAATACAACATAGCTTTTAGTGTATGATTTTTAGAACAGAGCCATCCTAGTGGCTTCCACACAGCTTTTCCTACAAGACAGCCCTCTCTGCATGTGTGAGGGAATCAGAGTGAGGGTTCTCCCAGCGGCTAAGTATGTCTCCTCCAACTATAAATTTCTGACCTGAGAAAATAAACATTGAATAGCTTTGGGGACCAATTGAGCCACTTTGAGATGGATACAAGCCAAAATTCCATTAATTATCTCATTTCCTTAAGTCCTTATTCTTATAGGTAGACCACTGAGATGTTTTGAGTCTCTAACAATTAGTGTCACTTCAGAGCCAAAATGTCTAATTAGTTCTCCTTTCCCAATTCACAGACACCCAGGTAAGTAACCACCGGTCCTTTTAAAGAAAGTAGAGAAAAAGATTTACAGTATAATTTCTGGCAGAGTAGGGGGATTCTTCCTCAAAGAGACCCAGGCTTCTCTTCACTTAAGGGACTGTGTGAGCTGGGTCAGTCCAGGAACAGATTGAGGGGCTACAACACTTTTTGTGGTGATTAGAGTTAGTCAACTGCTCACAAGACCTAGAGCTTTCCCACTTATTCAAATCAAGTAAAGTGTTAGCAGACTGCTTGTCTATCTTAGTCCTAGGGATACCATGATCAATTAGTCAACACCAAAAATATCCATGTCAAACCATTCTGATTTGACATCAGAATGGTCAAATTTTAGCTCTGCTGTTCATTACAATAACATGCTTACTTTGCCTCATCTTACTACCTGACCACCATCTAACCCTTGACCATTATCCCCATTAAATTTCCATTATCCCCACTGGCTTCAGAACAGACTCCCTGAATTCCTCTTACCCTTTCTGAATTCAGGCAGTTCATTTCAATGTATTTCCCACTCACTTTTCTGACCTACAGAGAATAACTATCACAAAGCTCTTTAAAGATGCTGGTGCACCCCTTACTGTTTTCTCAGTCCCCTGGTGTCTTAGTTCAGGCTGCTAAAACAAATTACCATAGATTGTGTGGTTTAAACAACAAACATTTATTTTGCACAGTTCTGGAAGTTGGAAGTTTAGATCACGGTGCCAGCATGGTCAGGTTCTTGTGAGGGCCCTCTTCCCAGCTGCAGGCAGCTGGCTTCTCTTTGTGTCCTCACATGGCAGAAACAGAGCTAGTTTGCTCTCTGGCCTCTTTTAAGAGCACTAATCCCATTCATGATAGCTTCATCCTCATAACCTAATTACCTTCTTAGTCCATGTTGTGTTGTTTAACAGAACACCACATACCAGCTAATTTATAAGGAAATAAAATTTATTTCTCACAGATCTGGAGGCTGAGAAGCCCAACATCAAGGTGCCAACATCTGGCCAGGGCCTTCTTGCTGCATCATCCCATGGCATCAGGTGGAAGGGAAAGAGAGCGTGCCTGAGAGCAAGAGGGCAAGAGAGTGCCAAATTCGCTTTTATAACAACCCACTCTGGCGATATCTAACCCACTCCTGCAATAATGAGATATAATCCATCAATGAGAACAGCCCTCATGGTCTAATCACCTCGTAATGGTCCCACTTTTTGATATTATCACAATGCAATTAAATTTCAACATAAGTTTTGGAGGGGATATTCAAACGACAGCACCTCCCAAAGGCCCTACCTCTAACTACCATCGCATTGGGATAGGGTTTTAACTTATGAGCTTTGTGGGGACACCTTCAGTCCATAAAATTTGGTAAATGGAGTGCCTTCTGGACTATCCTCTCCCAGGTATATTTTTAAAGGATGGGTGAGTGAATCTTTACAGTATACCCATGATATAGATATTCTTCCCCGTTTCACAGATGGGGAAATTGAGGGATGTGTTTAGTCAAAGCCATTCAATTAATCAATAGATTCAGAATTTGAACACTAATTCAGTTTAACCCCAAACTCATACTTCTCTTAATTCAACCCTTACAGCACAAATTATGAGTTTGCTCCAGTTACTAAGTGAAGATAAAATGGTGCTTAAGACCAGGTTCTACTGCACACCTTTTATAGGTTTTTATATAATAAACATTTTTATTACAGATTCTGAACTCAAACATTACTGACAAATTCTTTGTTGTGCCAATAAAGTCATATGAGTAAGAATCTTTTCAAATTTTCATAGATACCTATTTGAACTAGGTAGAACTTGCCCATTAGAATCAATACGTTGGTGCATTTGATAGGCAAACCAGGTAAGCAGCACCTTGAACAGAACTCAGCCTAATGAGGTTTATTTCTACCTGTGCATGCTATATGCTAAACTGTCCCCTTTCTAGGGCCCATGGGAGAGCTTTCCCCTTGGTCCTCTGAAGGTTTGCTGAAAAATCAACTCACAAAGGTGGATAAATTATAGAAAAGGCATATGAATGTATTTAATGTGTATAAACAGAAGCCTTCAGAACAAAGACCTGAAAATTCAGGGGAAGTTATCCATTTTTTTGCTGAGGTTCAACAACGTATGGACAGCCATGTAGAAATATGATTGGGAAAAAAGGGTACAATCTAATGTTAATAGACTGAGCTGGGAAACCCAGCAAGACTTGTCTCTCTAGAGTCTTCTTGGCCTCTTTGAGCACATATTCCTTCCTTTTGTGTGGACGCAGGTCCCTTTCTGAAGTGGGTGTCTTATGACCTACAAACAAGGTAGGTCAGAAAATTTATGACCAATTTTTATACCGAAAGGCAGAGGGAAAATTAGAGTAATATATTTAGGTTTTATGGCTGGCTTTAGGGCAAAAGGGTTCTTTTTTGAGACAGAGTCTCGCTCTGTCACCCAGACTGGAATGCAGTGGTGATCTTGGCTCACTGCAACCTCCACTTCCCGGGTTCAAGCAATTCTCCTGCCTCAGGCTCCTGAGTAGCTGGGATTACAGGCACATGCCATCACACCTGGCTAATTTTTGTATTTTTAGTAGAGACGGGGTTTCACCATGTTGGTCAGGCTGGTATCAAACTTCTGACCTCGTGGTCCGCCTACCTCGGCCTCCCAAAGTGCTGGGATTACAGGTATGAGCCACCGTGCCTGGCTAGGGGTTCTTCCTTCTATGACCTGCCTTGGAGAAGAGGGATTCTAGTTTCTATGACAAACCTTGGGGAAGAATGGGACTGAGAGACAGGAGGGAAGTAAAAGGTCAAGGAGAAACTTTTGCTTCTGAGGCTGCTTCTAAGGCCTTCATTTTTGGATATTGTACTCTGAGCCCCAACACCTTCATACCCTTGAACTTTTGCACATGTTATTCCCTATTCTTATGCAACTATTCATTTTTTCTCCCTGAGTGGTTGCCTACTCATCCTTTAATACTCTCTCTTCTACTAGGTCCTACTGGACTCTCCTGAGTGAGAAAGACTTTCTTCCTTTAGGTGATACATTTTTAATGGAGGTGACAGCACCTCTGTATTAGTCAGTTTGCCTGCTATAACTGGATAGATTATAAACAAGATAAATTTATTTCTCATCATTCTGGAAGTAGAGAAGTCCAAGATCAAGGCCGCAGGAGATCTGGTGTCTAGTAGGGGCACACTTCCTGGTTTGCAGGCAATGCCATTTTCTTGTATCTTCACAAAGCAGAGACAAGAAAGAGCAAGAGCCAGCTCTCATGTCTCTTCTTATAAGAGTACGATTCCCATTATGGGAGTTCCTCCTTCCTGACCTAATTACCTCCCAAAGGCCCCACACATCCTAGTATTATCACATTGAGGGTTAGGATTTCAACATATGAATTTGTGTGGGAGGAACACAAATATTCAGTCCATAACAGCCTCCAAAGTTTAGGGGGACAAAAATCTTACTCTTTTTTGCAGTAAAACACAAATAGACCTACTAGAACATAAATATACAGTATACATGTGGTAATAAATTTAAAGAAGGGGGATGATTGGGGGAAAGAGTCTTAAAAGGCTCATATAGAGGGTGGTAATGGGGAAAATAGATTAAGAAACACTGCCCCCAAGCTGACATTGTGTCTGTACATGCCTAAATTTCAGTCCTTCTCATGCTTTATTGTATTTGTTCATTTGTATGTCTCTACCTCCCACTACACTTTAAGATGTTGAAGTCAAGATCCAGGTGTTATTATTTATAGCCCTGCCTGAAACACAGTAGATACATGTTGAATAAATGAATGAATAAATCATATGAAAGACTATTTGCAAACTTAGGATGAGATCTTTGTCTTTCTGGGAAAACAATCCCCATCCTACACTCTTCTCCATTTAGAAAGGAGTCATTTCAGGTCCCAGAAGCCTCCCACTGTCAGCCCCAAAATTCCTCTTTTGCTTTCTCACAGGATGTTTAGTGGAAGAAAGCAGTTGGGAGAGGAGAATCCTCATGAAATTAGCATTCCTGAGTACCTTATGCATATGGAGAGTTCCCAGGGAAAGCATAGGGACAAATCACTTTACTCCTTTCTTCTCCCCACTCTTTACAGGTATATTAATTTGGGTTTAGGAGAGAACTGCTTGCAAATATAGTTATCCAAGTCATCACTAACAACAGCACAGGGCTCTATCCTAAATTACTTTCCAGGTGAAAAATAGCTGAGGTCCAAAGACTATACCCTAACTACCCTAACAGATAGAATGTATCTAAGAGAAAAAAAAAAGCAGAAACATAGCTATCAAATTGGATTTTCTGCCTCCCAAAGGCAGTGTTATTTTTGACAAGGTTCAATACAAAATACTTCCACAAATGAAAATGTATGATTCCTAGCACTGCCTCTACCCACAGTCTGTGGGAGGGCAACATCAAAAAGCCACTGGGTGCTCATTAAAGGCTGCCCTTAGAAAATAAGAAACCATTCTCCACCAGCCCACAGCAAATAGAAAGACCAAGCAATGTCTTCAAGGGTTTCAGAACGAGCAGTTATCCAGCCAGCCAGCAGCAACCGCCTCTCAAATGGGAATGTGCATTTGGCCTCCAATAAAGAGATTCTGTGTACTTGATGCAGCGAATTATATTAGAGTAGAAACGCGGCTCTGGTTGTGGCTGTTTTTCTTCCTTAGAAAAGCCAGGCTGGGAATGTGTAGGTGTAAAGCAATTAACCTTTTAATACAAACATGGAGATTGGAGCTAGCATTGACCCAGGAAAGAGCTAAATCCATTCCCTTGCCAAGATGAGAAGAGCCACTGAAGCATCCCTAGCAACTCTGTCCACAGAAAGGAAGAGCCTCTTAGGGAACACTGGGGTGTCGCATCACAATCAGCCAGCTCAATCTCAGTCCCCACACACTCCCACAGAGCTCTGGGCATGCATGCGACATTTACAGGTTGAAATAGGAGCACAGATGAGAGATTAATCAGTCCTGGGGCAGGGCTGTGGTGTGACAAAAGCATGGCCCCTCTGGATTGAAAAAGGAAGTGAAAATATTAAAGTAAGCTGACCAAATGAGGCACGGTTAATAGAAAAGATTTGTTCCTCTGTTTATTCAATTTCTATATATCAGAGACTTGGTATTAGGAGTATAATAGCAGAGGAATAAAAACATGATGTTGCCATCAGGGGATTTATAGTCTAGGTGCAGAAATAGAAAATAAACAATTAAATGGATAAACAAGGTTATTTTGGATTAAAGAGAAACCAATGAAGAAAGTAAGGTGCTATGATAGAGAATGAGGCCTGCACCCATACAGAGCTCTGCTCGTGGGTTGCTTCCATCCTGAGTTTCAAGCTGTTAGCAGGCAGGGGGCCTAAGAGTTATCTTTTCTCATGACCTGATTTCGTTTGGGAAGGGATCTATGAGAACACGTTTTCCCCTTGGTAACTAGGGGAAGGAAATAAATGTGGGAGACAGGGAGGTGTGTGTTTTCTGCGAGAGCCCAGAGACTCACCACTGAACCCTAAGGAAAGTCACTCTGCCACTTACTACCTCTGTGACATTGAATGGTTTTATAAAACCCAGATTTCTTAAGATACGGGGTTGATATCTGTCGTAGAGTTGTTTTGAAGGTAAATATATGTACAAAAATGTCTACCGCAGTATCACTCCTGGAGCAGGGCTCTAGTGTGCCAAGCACGGCCCCTCTGGATTGAAAAAGGAAGTGAAAATACTAAAGTTGCCCAAATGAGTCACAGATAATAGAAAGGTTTGTTTGTATATAGAATCTTAGCTTCTTAGCAGCAATGTGACTGGCACTGCTTGGGTGCCACATTAGAAGAAGGAGACTCAGAGTGAGGGAGGGAGCATGGAGCCCTTCCATGTGGAACCAGTGTGGCTGTGATTCACAGAGTAATCAAGGCATGCAGCACTGTGAGCAGCTGGAACACTGCCCTGGGCACAGACAGCGCTGTTGTGGCCACCCTGGGACTCCATTGGCAGCTGTGCCCAGAGAACAGCACCTAGGGAGTGAAGGAAATGACAAGAGGGAGGGCTGCCACGAGCTTCTGTTAAACATCACCTCCCCTTCCAGCCATGTACCTGGCAGGGCTGTGATTTTGACAGGAGGGTGCTCATACTATAAGAGACAAAACACACGAAAGAAATTTGAATTTAACACAAAATTATCATTTGCTATGATTGTGTCCCCCAAAGTTCACATGCTAGAAACTTAATCCCCAATGCAACAGTGTTGAGAGGTAGGAATGTTAAGAGGAGACTACATCACAAGGGATCTGCCCTTAGAATGAATTAATGTTACTACCACACAGTGGGGTTTTTTACCACAAGAGTAGGTTTGTTCTAAAAGCAGGTTCAGACTGTGCAAGGTGAATCACACCTGTAATCCTGGCACTTTTGGAGGCTGAGGCAGGCAGATCACTTGAGGTCAGGAGTTTGAGACCAGCCTAGTGAAACCCCATCTCTACTAAAAATATAAAAATTAGCCGGGCATGGTGGTGCACGACTGTAATCCCAGCTACTCGGGAGGCTGAGGCAAGAGAATCACTTGAACCCAGGAGGCGGAGGTTGCAGTGAGCCTAGATCACGCCATTGCACTCCAGCCTGGGTGACAGAGTGACTCAGACTCAAAAAAATAAAATAACGAAAAATAAACAAAAGTAGGTTCAACCCCCTCTTGACCTCTCTCACCTTCTCTCACCCTCCCTCACCCCTGTGATGGCTTTTTCCATGTTACGACACAGCAAGAAGGCCCTCACCAGATGCTGACTAGCCCCTCAATCTTGGACTTCCCAGCCTCCAGAACTGTGAGAAATGAATTTATTTTCTTTATAAATTACCTAGTGCCTGTTATTCTGTAATATCAGCACAAAACAAACTAAGATGCCAGTATTATGTGCCTGGCCAGTATTAGTCATTGTAGCAGACTTTTTTGTATATATATTAACCTTCAAAACAACCCTATGATAGATGTCAATAACCCCATATTTTAGATAAGAAATCTAGGGTTCATAAAATCACCCAGTATCACAGAGCTATTAAGTGGCAGGGCAAATATTCAAACTTAAGCTTTCTGCCATCAACACTAGGGTGTGAAAGAGTCTGAAAGTGTTTTTAAAAGTAGTAATACAACATCATTAAAAGTTCTCCTTTATTTAAGACCCATATTTCCAGCCTCTGTCAGCTCCCAACTTATACCTTAAACATTTAAAAACTAAATAAAAATGATTTGTTTATTATTTTTTCTCCTTCATTCCCTGGTCTTCTCTTCTCTCACCTGCATTCAATGAGGATCAAGACTTTGGTCTGAGTCCAGTTTCCATTTTAACTGCCTTTCACAGAATAGATGGTTATAAAATGTAGCAGATAGATGTGCATGTGTTCTGGTCTGGCTCCATCTATCAAGAAGCCACTTTTCACCATGTGGCCACTTGATTCAGCCTACAAAGGGTATGCAATTACTCTTACCTTCCATGAGATCCAAAGGTCCCTACATGAATAATATCTAAATAAAAATTTCTCCATTTGTCTTGTTTCCTCACTCTTTTCTGATTTTTTTTTTTAACACTTGGTTTGTTTGTCCAATATCTAAAGTGCCCGTGCCATTTCTATGTTAATACCTTTAAGGTCTGAACTTGAGTTTAAGGATGCCATTAAGAATGCACTTCTTGCTACAGCCGTATTTTGTATTCCCCTAACAAGTCTGAAGCCTCGAATACAAAGGATTATAGACATTACCAAGTTATTTTTAAAGATTGCATTTATATTATTCACAATGTTTTTGCCAGAAACACATCTTACAATGCAGAGAAACTGGAGATCATATAGTTATTACAAAAAGGCTGAATGTTACATAAAAGAAAAATGTCAATTTGCAGTTGATTTTTGGTAGTTGCATCATGTTTCTATACTTGATACCTGATATTTAAAATGTATTCCATTGTTCCTGTGTAATAGATTTATGGATGATGATGACGATAAGCATCATAAACATCAGATAAATTATTACTGAATACCAGAGGGATAAAAATTGTTGCTTAAGAATTAGTATATACAGCACTATTCACAATACCAAAGACATGGAATCAACCTAAATGCCCATCGATGACAGACTGGATAAAAAAAAAAATGTGGTACATACACACCATGGAATACTATGCAGCCATAAAAAAGGAATGAGATCATGTCCTTAGCAGGGACATGGATGGAGCTGGAAGCCATTATCCTCAGCAAACCAATGCAGGAACCGAAAACCAAACACTGCATGTTCTCACTTGTAAGTGAGAGCTGAATGATGAGGACACAAGAACACTGGGAGGGGAACAACACACACTGGGGCCTGTCAGATGGGCAGGGGAGGGTGAACATCATGATAAATAGCTAATGAATGTAAGGTTTAATACCTGGGTGATGGGTTGATGAGTGCAGCAAATCACCACAGCACACGTTTACCTATGAAACAAACCTGCATGTCCTTCACATGTATCCTGGAACTTAAAGTAAAATTAAATTTTTTTTAAAGAATTAGTATAAAGACTTAAGAACTGGACAAATCCTCTGTCTTCAGGAGAATATGTTGAACCAAACATACCAGATCATCACCAGTGAACACCTATTTGTCACACAAGAGATTCATCCTGATATTAGCAATGTTTGCTTTTCTTTAAAAACTTGAAAATCATTTCAAAAGTCTGAGTGGATTAGTAGCAGTTAGTGCATTTGCAGAAAGCTCTTCGAAGGAAAGATAATATATAAACAGAAACTGACTCGGGAGTTGAATAAAAGCAATAAAAGCTTTTCTGGGAAAGCCAGTCATGTGCCATCTCCAGACATTTTTTATATGCCTCAATATGAGCATGCCCCGGAAGCTGATGCATTGAGGCAAAAAGTATGCAAACAACCAAGGTCTATATTTTGGGACAATTAACTCATACACTGGGCAGCCAGTGGCCACAAAATTCAGAACCCGACTCCAGCTGACATTCAAGGCAATCACTTAGCTCCTCCCTCGCCTTCATCTCTCATGTGCAACCCTAAGGAATTTCAGGCCTGCCTTAGTCCATTAACTCCTTACCTCCTGCTTCCTTAGTCATGGATGCAGAATTAGGCAGAAGTCCCTACAGTATATACAGATACATATATATTTGTGTGTGTGTGTGTGTGTGTGTGTGTGTATTTATGTATATCCATATAAAATACATTTTATAAATAATGCTATTTTAGAAGTGATACCTATAAATATCTAAGTATATATTCACCTAAAAGTATATTTTAGTATTCAGTTAACATGTGCATAATTATAATGGATTGAGTTTAAAAAGCAGCTAATACCTGTCATGTTCTTTTCAGAATGTCAGGTATTAGTAAAGTCAGCAGTTCTGCAAACATGCTGTTTCTGCTGTTAGTTTCATGGCTACTTTACCTGCAGAAGAGTGGCTGGCACAAAGTGAAAGCTCAAGAAACACTAGATCAAAAGGAATGGCATAAAGGAAACACTAGACTTGCAGATAGAATATCTACATTCAAGTTTGAACTAATTCCCTTCAAATCTTTCTGAACTGTAAGGTGGGAATAATATTCCCTCACTTGGCTCTACTTTCCCCATAGAGATCTCCATGATAGTAACAGTTTCAGTAACAGTAATTTTATCTGTAGAACTGGCTTCAGTAGCAGGAACAGTAGTAATAAGTGGAAATTATTTTTACTATAAACATTATATTGGAATGGATTCATTGATTCATTCATTCCACTGTACCAGGAACCACATAATTGGCTAGATACACAGAGAGAAGACAGAATTACTACCCCAGGTAGGGAGGGTTATCACCTAGCTAGGGAAAAACATATTGCATGACATGGGATAAATGTTTGTACACATGGATTTACCTGAATGTTTTCTCTTTGCTTCTTGTCAACGTAAAATGTTCCACCACAATTTTCTGGGAAATACAACTAGCCTTTTCAATGTATCCCTTTTTCTTACTGTCTAAACTGGAACAAGTTTCTTTTCTTGGATAACTTTTACATCCTCTCTTATTAACCTAGGTCTTCTTTTTAACAAACTTTTCATTGATTCACTTGGTACGTACCAGACACTTTGCTAAAGCTCAGATTTCAAAGATAAAAGAGTCCTACCTTCGAGCAAAGAATTTTCCTCTATTTTCAGGAAAGCAATAAAAAAAAATCCAAAGCAACCACTTTGAAGATAGTTATAAGCTCACTTTGTGAATGAAGTCTTAGTATCGAGGGTAAAGTGCTAGGATATCTAAAACTTACCTTCAAATAGTATAGCAAAAAAAATATGTATTTATACACAGGGAGAGAAAGAAAATTTATAACAGTTGAATGCAACAAATATAAGTTCATTGTTTTATTACTTCAATTTTTTTGTATGTTTGAAATATTTTCTTATAAAAAGTGGAGGAAATGAACAAAAGTTTCAATGGAGTCAGATCACTCTGGGTTACAATCTGATTCCAGAACTGTCCAGCAGTATGAGCTGGACCTCATACTAGTTATTAACCTCCCAAGATCTCAGTCTTCTCATTGCTAAATGAGATTTTACATGCCAGAGTGGGTTCTTCTGCACATTAAATTAGATAATTCATGTAAAACATGTAACACAGTCCTGATGCTTAGAAGAATAAAACAAATATTAACTACTATTATTTTATCTGTAAAAGAATACTTCAGCCGGGCATGGTGGCTCACGCCTGTAACCCCAGCACTTTGGGAGGCTGAGGCAGGTGGCTCACAAGGTCAGGAGTTTGAGACCAGCCTGGCCAAGATGGTGAAACCCCGTCTCTACTAAAAATACAAAAATTAGCTGGGAGTGGTGGTGGGCACCTGTAGTCCCAGCTGCTTGGGGGGCTGAGGCAGGAGAATCGCTTGAACCCAGGAGGCAGAGGTTGCAGTGAGCTGAGATCATGCCACAGCACTCTAGCCTGGGCGACATAACAAGACTCTGTCTCAAAAAAAAAAAATCTGTGAAATGATGTAGAATTTAAAATATGGAGATCAGGAAGATGGCATTTCCAGGAATAGTAGAAAGTGTGTTTCCCGAGAGGTAGGCAAGCTTTGGAGCAGCATGGCTCTGAGGGTATATACCAATCTCTGGTGGTTTTAATCCAGAGTTCTAAGGGTCCCATGACTGGGGAGGACAAGAGACCAAGCTTGGGGCTTAGAGAGTACAAAATTTCAGATCAGAGACAACTGAATGAAGCTGGGGCTTTTGTAAAGCGACATCATCAATAAGCAATCTGAAGAAAAGCCCTGTTGGACAATGGGAGATGGGGAAGATTCTTGCTTATATCTGCCTACCTAGTGAGTCAAGTGAGGCTTTGGGTGGAGCCCACATTCACAGGCAGTTAGAACCAGAAGTTTTATTTCTGTGTACTTGAAAATTTATTTGAAAATGAACTCAAGTTAGTAGCATCCTCTAGCATCTGGCAGAAGCAAACACGATCCTACGGAAGAGAAGGCACATTAAGTCCACACTTCAAAAAATTCCTAAAGATTCCATGGAACATTAATTCACAATCAAAACTAATAAAATACATAAGGACCATGGAAACATGGACAGAAGTCAACCAAAACAACCAGCTACAGAATCAGACTCACAAAACTTGTTTAAATTCAATAAGCTTGTTAAAATAAATTCATTTTAAAAATTAGAGGTATTAAAAGTATGACAGTAGAAAAAGACACTACAGAAATGCCCAGACTTTTGAAAGAACACAAATTTTTACTGCTAGAAGTGAAAATCTAAAATGAAAATGAAAAAATTCTTTACAAATTAAATAGAGGAGAAGCAGCGTAAAAACTATTTAATGAACTGAATCATAGATCTGAAAAAATTATCCAGAACTTAATATAGACAACTAAAGAAGTAGAAAGTATAAAATTTCAGATGGAAAGAATAAAAGGAAGAGGATACTGGCAATATTCAAAGAGAAAATGACTAGAAATTTCCCATAATTGATAAGATGAATCCTCAGATTCAGAAACAATGTAATCATAAGCAAAAATAAGTAGAACTAAATCTACATTATATTGTAACTGCAGAACATCAGAGACAACAAGACTATCTTTAAAATTTCAACAACAATGGAAGCCAGAGGAGAGTGGAATTATAGATTTTAATGCTAGACGAAAATAACAAAGAATTATATAAGAAAACTACACAGCTCTTATAGATTCATAACTAAAAATAAAATAATTGTTAAGGTAAGAAAACTTTTTCAAAAAAGTCAGATAAGAAAAAAACTGAGAGTGTTTATGCCAACAGAAACACCAAAGAAATTTCCAAAAGAGGAATACTACTAAGAAGAAAAATTATCTCAGAAGGAATGCCTAAAATGCAAAAAGAAACTATGAGCCAAGAAAATAATAAACATGAGGTAAATGTAAACAAATATCAACTGTAGAATATATTAATCAAAATAATAACATCTGATTTTTTGGATTTTTAAAATAAAGATAGAACTGAAATACTGCAATGGTTTAAGAGTGGGAAGTTATTAACATTAATGCTTTTTAGGATAAAAGTAAAGATGTGAATTTTATTCATTGCTAAGTTTAAAAAGTACTTTAAAATTTTTATTGAAATCTAAAAGAAGAGAAATGCAGTATATAGCTTCCTCACCTCATGAAGTTTTTTTTAATTGAAAGAAAAATTTTTATTGAAACACTAAAGGAAGAGAAATGCAGTATATAGCTTCCTTGCCTCATGAAGTTTTTTTTAATTGAAAGAAACTGTACAGTTAAAGGGCCAAATATTTCAAGCTGTATTAAATATAAACAAAACCCACTAAATGCCATTTCAACATCATACTGTAGGTCCTATTTAACAGTTAACATTTATTAGATACAACCATGTATCAGGCACTGTTGTGAGCACTTTACAGAACTTAATACAATATCTTATAAGGTATGTATAGTGTTATCCATTTTTGCAGATGAGAAAACAAGCTATATAGCTTGTCCAAGATTATATAACAAGTTAGTAGCAGAGGATAGACCCAGACAGTCCAAATCCAGAATCTGTGCTCTTAACCACTACCTTATACTCTACCACCCTACTAATACACTAATATAATTTAGCAAAGTTGCTAGATATAAAATCAATATATAAAATTCTATTGCATTTCAGTAAACCAGTAACAGTTTGAAAACTCTACTTTTTTTTTTTTTTTTTTGGAAATGGAATCTCACTCTGTCACCAGGCTGGAGTGTAGTGGCACAATCTCGGCTCATTGCAACCTCTACCTCCCGGGTTCAAGCAACTCTCCTGCCTCAGCCTGCTGAGTACGTGGGACTACAGTTGTGGGCCACTGCGCCTGGCTAATTTTTGTATTTTTTAGTACAGACAGGGTTTCACCATATTGGCCAGGCTGGTCTTGAACTCCTGACCTCGTGATCTGCCTGCCTTGGCCTCCCAAAATTCTGGGATTACAGGCATGAGCCCCCGCACCTGGCCGAAAACTCTACTTTTAAAACAATGCTATTTAAAATAGCAATAAAAAGATGCCTACTAATAAATCTAACAGAAGTTGTGGAAGATCTTTATTTAGACAATTATAAAAATAGTTTTAGAGTTTCTAAGGATCATGTCTGTGAGTCAGGATTCCAGAGACCATGGTCCTGATGGGATGGAGCCTGGAGACGTCATTGAGAGTAACTGGAATGAGGTTGACGACAGCTTTGATGACATGAACCTCTCAGAGTCCCTCCTCCATGGCATGTACATCTACAGTTCTGAGAAGCCCTCTGTCATCCAGCAGTGAGCCATCCTACCTTGTATCAAGGGTTATGATGCGATCGTTCAAGCCCAATCTGGGACTGGGAAAATGGCCACATTTGCCATATCGATTCTGCAGCAGATTGAATTAGATCTAAAGGCCACCCAGGCCTTGGTCCTAGCACCCAGTTGAGAATCGGCTCAGCAGATACAGAAGGTGGTCATGACACTAGGAGACTACATGGGTGCCTCCTGTCACGCCTGTATTTGGGGCACCAACGTGTGTGCTGAGGTATAGAAACAGCAGATGGAAGCTCCCCATATCATCGTGGGTACTCCTGGTCATGTGTTTGATATGCTTAACCGGAGATACCTGTCTCCCAAATACATCAAGATGTTTGTACTGGACGAAGCTGACGAAATGTTAAGCCATGGATTCAAGGACCAGATCTAAGACATATTCCAAAAGCTCAACAGCAGCACCTAGGTTGTTTTGCTGTCAGCTATAATGCCTTCTGATGTGCTTGAGGTGACCAAGAAGTTCACGAGGGACCCCATTCGGATTCTTGTTAGGAAGGAAGAGTTGACCTTGGAGGGTGTCTGCTCATTCTACATCAACGTGGAATAAGAGGTAGAAGCTGGACACACTGTGTGACTTGTATAAAACCCTGACTGCCACCCAGGCAGTCATCTTCATCAACACTTGAAGGAAGGTGGACTGGCTCACTGCGAAGATGCATGCTCGAGATTTCACCGTCTCTGCCATGCATGGAGATATGGACCAAAAGGAACGCGATGTGATCAGAAGGAGTTTCATTCTGGCTCTAGCAGAGTATTGATTACCACTGACCTGCTGCCCAGAAATATTGATATGCAACGACTTTCTTTAGTCATCAAATATAACCTTCCCACCAACAGGCAAAACTATATCCACAGAATCAGTCGAGGTAGATGGTTTGACCTTAAGGATGCGGATATTAACATGGTGACAGAAGAAGACAAGAGGACTCTTCGAGACATCAGGACCTTCTACAACACCTCCATTGAGGAAATGCCCCTCGATGTTGCTGACCTCATCTGAGGGGCTGTCTTGCTACTTAGCCCCAGCCAGCGTTCAATCTTGGGGGGCTGAGAAGCAGCAGGAGCGGGTAGGGAAGGGAGCCAAGGGATGAATATCTTGTCATTTTTTTTTCTTTAAATAAATGTCACTTTTTGAGGCAAAAGAAAAAAGTTTTAAAACTTAAACACATAAATTTATAACCATGTTTGTGGACAAAAGTAAACAATATTATAAAAATTAATCTTTCCAACATATTCTGTAGATTCAATGCAACTGCAGTAAAAGTCTACCAGTGTATTTTCTGAAATTTGCAAATGTGATTCTGAAATTTATATAGAAGATCAACGATCTAAGACTATCTAAAACACTCCTAACAGAAAAAAAAATTTGAAATGTTTGTCCCCCCTGGATATTTATTTAGTATAAACCTGTAGTAATTTAGTCACCATGATACTGACACAAGAAACAAACTAACGAAACTGAATAGAGAGCCCAGAAATAGGCCACGTGTATGTTAATACCTGATATAAAACAGTGCTACCCACTACAGTTAATGAGGAAAGAATGGACTGAAAAACAAGTGATTGTAACTCATATGGGGAGAAAAATTGATTCAAATACCCACTTTACTATTCACAAAAATCAATTCCAGGTGGATCAAGAACTTAAACATAAAAGGTACAACTTTTAGGAAAAAATATGAGAGAATATCTTATGGCTTCGGTGTAAGATAGAATTTTGTTTAAAAGACTCAAAAATGCAAACTGTAAAGAAAGATGAGTGAATCAAACTGCATTTAAAGTAAGAATTTCATTCCAAAAAGCTGACAACACACACACACACACACACACACACACACACATACCCCATAAAGGCAGTGAAAGACAAGCCACAGACTATGAGATATTTGCAGCATCTGTGATTGTTAAAAGGTTAGTGTCCAGAATACATACAGAATGCCTGTAAGTTACTAAGAATAAGACAAATTACCCTATATTAAAATGGTCAAATTATATTAACAGGCATATCAGAGAGAAGGAAGCACAAGTGGCCATCAAACATGTAAAAGAAATTCACACTCTTTATTAATCAAGAAAAAGCAAAGTAAAACCACTATAGTACATCATTTTATTCTGAGATAAAAATGTAAACACATTGGCTAAGATGTAAAACAAAAGAAATTTGAAGACATTATTAGCTCGAGTTTAGATTAATACAATTTGTAAAATATTTAGGCATCATCTTTTAAAGTTGAATATATGCATGCCTCATGACCCTGCCATTTTATTTGCATATGAATCTTAGAGAAGCTGTTATATATGTCCACCAAGATATACCTAAAAATGTTTGTAAGAGTATTATTTACAATACCAAAAAACTGAAAACATAACTGTACAAGAGTAGAATGCAAAAATGAATTGTGTTACCTTTATGCAGCAGTATATGACACAGCAGTAAAAGCAAATTAAATACACCTACATTCATCAATATAGGTGAATCTCAAAAGTTATGTTGAGGGAAGAAAGCTAGACACTTAAGAATATATATAGTGTGATTCCATTTATACACAGGTCAAAAGTATAATCAGACAAATATATTACTCAGGAAATCATACCTATGTAGTAAATGCATTTTTAAAAAGCAAGCCAAGATATTAGCAAAATTGCAGAATAGGAAGCTCTAAATTTTCCTTTTCCCCCATAGACACATCAATTTAAAAGCAATACATGGATCAATTCCCATTGTGAGAAATCAAGAAGCTAATTGACACTACAGCAAGCTTCAGATTAGAACAAACAAAAGAAAGAATCATCAAACTAAAAGATGGGTCATTTAAAATTATCTAGTCAGAGGAGCAAAAGAACTTGAGGGACTTACAGGACATCATCAACTGGACCATTAGAAGTACAGGAGTTTCAGAAAGAGAAAAGAGAATGAACCAGAAAGCTTATTCAAATGAAATAATGGCTGAAGACATCCCAAATCTTGAGAAAGAAATTGATCCAGATTTATGAAGCCCAAAGTATCCAAAATGAGATAAATCTAAAGAAATCCACACCAAAACATGTTATAATTATCAAAAGTCAAACACAAAGAATTTTGAAGGAAGCAATAGAAAAGCAACTTTTACATCCATGAGAACCCCCAAAAGAATATCAACAAACTTTTCAGCACAAACCTTGCAGTCCATAAGACAGTGGGATGATATATTTAAAATGCTTGAAAAAAACTGCCAATCAAAAAGAATATACCTGGCAAAACTATCCTTTAAAAATGAAAGAGATGTAAAGACTTTGCCAAACAAAAGCTGAGGAAGTGCATCACCGCTAGACCCGCCTTATAAGAAATACTAGGGAGTTCAACATGGAACAATCATTAAGCAGAAACACAATAGCACAAGAATGTATAAAACAACATTGGTAAAAGCAAATATATAAACCTATACAGAATGCTATATTAATGTAACAGTAGTGAATAAGTCACTTTTTTTTTTTTGAGACAGTTTTGCTCTTGTTGTCCAGGCTGGAGTACAGTGGTGCGATCTCGGCTCACTGCAACCTCCACCTCCCGGGTTCAAGTGATTCTCCTGCCTCAGCCTCCCAAGTAGCTGGGATTACAGGCGCCCACGACCAACACAGCTAATTGTTTGTATTTTTAGTAGAGATGGGGTTTTCACCATGTTGGCCAGGCTGGTCTCAAACCCCAGACCTCAGGTGATCCACCTGCCTCGACCCCCGCAAAGTGCTGGGATTATAGGCGTGGGCCACTATGCCTAGCCAAGTCACTTTTAATTCCAGTATAAAAGGCAAAGATAAACGTATTAAAATAACTATAATTTTAAAATATGTTAATGAATACAAAGCATAAATAAATGTAAATAGAGATATCTATAACAAAGTGTAGTGGGGTGAGAAGTAAAAATATAGAGAAACTGTATGCAATTGAAGTTATCAGCTTAAAATAGACTGTTCTATTTTAAATTCAGTTCTTTCCTATAAATAATGACTTTAAATTTAAATAAGTTAAATTCTGAAATCATGTAGAGCAGGTGAATGTTTTTAAAAAAAAAAAAAAAAAAACAAGATCCAACTATATACCATCTACAAGAGACTCACTTTAGATTTATGGACCAATACAGGATGAAAATAAAGGGATGGAAAAAGATGTTTCATGCAAATCATCTAAAATTGAGCAGGAGTGATTATATTAGTATCAGAAAAAAATAGACTAAGTCAGAAACTATCACAGACAAAGAAGGATATTATATAATGATAAAATGGTCAGTTTCCTAGGATAATATTACAATTATAAATATATAGAAACCCGACATTAACACACTTAAATGTACAAAGAAAACACTGGCAGAAATGAAGGAGAAAATAGATGACAATATAAAAATAGTGAGAGACTTCAATGCCCCACTTTCAATAAAAACATCCAATCAAAAAACCAGTAAGGAAACAGCACACTTGAACTATTGCTTTAGACCAAAGGAATCTAACAGACATATGTAGTGCATTCCACCCAACGGCAGCAGACACACTTTCTTCTCAAGTGCACATGGATCTTTCTCTAGGAAAAATTATGTTATGTCTCAAATATATCTTAACTTAAAAATATTAAAATACCAAGGATCTCTTCTTACCCACAATGGAATAAAACTACAAATCAATAGAAGAAAAACTGAAAAATGCAAAAATATGTGGAAATAGAACAACACACACCAGTGGGTCAGAAAATAAATCAAAAGGAAAATTAGAAAATATCTTGAGACAAACAAATCACAACATACCAAAACCTATGGGATGCAGCAAAACGTACTAAGAGAGAAGTTTATAGTAATAAATGTACATATAGACAATGAAATGGAAGAAACAGCCCAGGAATATATCCACATATATAGTCAACTGATTTTCAACAAAAAAAGCCAAGAATATACAATGGGAAAAGGACAGTCTTCCCTCAATGAAGGAAGTTGGAAAAACTAGATGTCCATTTAAAAAAAAATGATCTGCAAATAAATAACCTAACTTTATGATTGAGGAACTAGTCAGGGAGAAAGAACAAACTAAGCCCAAAAGTAGCAGATAGAAAAATAATAAATATTAGGAATTAATGAGTAGAAAAACAATAGAAAAAAAATCAATGAAACTAAGTTTTTTGAAAAGATAAACAAAATTGACAAATCTTTAGCTAGACTAAGAGAAAAAATTCAAATAAAATCAGATATAAAAGAGGAGACATTACAACTTATGTTACAGAAATAAAAAGAAACTACTATGAACAATTGTATGCCAAACAACTTGATAATCTAGAAGAAATGGTAAATTCTTAGAAACATACAACCTACCAATACTGAATCATGATAGAAAATCTGAACAGATCTATAACTAGTAAGGAGATCGAATCTGTAATTAAAAAAAAAAAAACTCCCAATAAAGAAAAGCCAAGGATCAAGAACAAAGCAAGGATGCCCACTCTTACCACTTATAGTCAACATAGTATTATAAGTCTTAGCCAGAGCAATTACACAAGAAAGTAATAAAAACCATCTAAATCAGAAACGAAGGAATCAAATTGTTCCTGTTTGCAGATGACATGATCTTATATATAGGAAACCCCAGAGACTTCATATACACATACACACGCTCACACACACACACACACGTTATAACCAATAAGTGAACTCATTAAAGTTGCAAGGTATAAAATCAATATATAAAAATCAGTTGTGTTTCTATATAGTAACAGTGAACTGCAAGAGAAATAATGGAAACAATCCCATTTACAATAGCATCAAAGGAATAAAATAGGAATAAATTTAAAGAGTTGAAAGACTTATATACTGACTACAAAACATTGATGAGATAAATTAAAGAAGACAAAAAATGAAAAGACATTCTGTGTTCACGGACTGGAAGACTTAATTTAAATGTTCATATTTACCAAAGCAATCTACAGATTCAATGTAATCCATATCAAAATCTCAATGGTAGTTTTCATAGAAATAGAAAAAAAAATTCTAAAATCCTTATGGAACCACAAATGAGTAGCCAAAACAATCTTGAAAAAGAACAAAGCTGGAGAAATCATACTTCCTGATTTCAAAATATGTAACAAAGCTACAGTTATTTTTCAAAGTATGGTACTGACATACAGACAGACACATAGACCAATGAAACAGAAGACAGCACCCAGAAATAAATCCACATAGATATTGTCAACTGATCTTCAATAAAAGAGCCAAGAATGCATAATGGGAAAAGGATTTTTTTTTTTTTTTTTTTTTTTTTTTTGAGATGGAGTTTTGCTCTTGTTGCCCAGGCTGGAGTGCAATGGCGCGATCTCAGCGCACCGCAACCTCTGCCTCCCAGATTCAAGCGATTCTCCTGCCTCAGCTTCCCGAGTAGCTGAGATTACAGGCATGCACCACCACGCCCGTCTAATTTTTTTGTATTTTTAATAGAGACGGGGTTTCTCCATGTTGGCTTGGCTGGTCTCAAACTCTCGACTTTAGGTGATCTGCCCGCCTCAGCCTCCCAAAGTGCCGGGATTACAGGTGTGAGCCACTGTGCCGGGCCGATGAAAGGATCGTCTTAACGAATGGAGTTGAGAAAGCTAGAAGTCCATATGCAAAAGAATGAAATAGTACCCTTACCTTACACCACATACAAATATCAACTCAAAATGGATTAAAGACTTAAATGTGAGACCTGAAACTGTAAAACTACTATGAGTCATAAGGGTAATGATTCATAATATTGGTTTTTTGGATATGACCCCAAAAGCACAGGCAACAAAAACAAAAATAGACAAACGGGATTACATCAAACTAAAAAGCTCTGCACAGGCAAAGAAACAATCAACAGAGTGAAGACAACATCTATGGAATGGGAGAAAATTTTTGCAAACATCTGATAAGGGGTTCATATCAAACAGATATGAATAACTCAAACAACTCAATACAAGGAAACAAATTAACACAATTTTAAAAACAGGAAAAAAAAACAGAATACACATTTCTCAAAAGAAGATACACAAATGGCCAACAGGTATATGAAAAAATGCTCAATATCACCCTATCAGGGAAATATAAATTAAAATCACAATGAGGTATCACTTCAAATCTGTTAGGATGACTATTCTAACAAAACACACACAAAAAAGATAACAAGTGTTGATAAGGATGTGGAGAAAAAGGACCATGGTACACTGTTTGTAGGTATGTCAATTAGTACAGCCATTATGAAAAACAGTATGAAGATTGCTCCAAAAACTGAAAATAGAACTACCCATTTGATCCAGCAATTTCACTTCTGGGTATACATCCAAAGGATATAAAATATGTCAAAGAGATATCTGCACCCCAGTGTTCATTGCAGCATTATTTGCAATAGCCAAGATACAAAAGCAATCTAAGTTTCTGTCAGTGGATGAATGGATAAAGAGAATATGTTGTATATGTACACAATGGAATACTACTCAGTCTTTAAAAAGAAGGAAATTCTGTCATTTGCAACAACATGAATAAATTTGGAGGACATCCTGTTAAGCAAAATAAGCCAGATACAGAAAAACAAATATTGCATGTTCTCAATCATAGAATCTAAAAAAGTTGAATTCACAGAAGCAGGGAGTAAAATGGTGGTTACCAGGTGCTGAAGTGGAGGGAAGGAAAGGTTTGGAAGATGATGGTCAAAGGATACAAAATTTCAGTTAGACAGGAGGAATAAGTTCAAGAGAGCTGTTGTACAACCTGGTGACTATAATGATAATGCATTGTATTCTTAAAAGTCACTAAGAGATTTTAAGTCTTCTCATACCCAAAAAATGATGAAAGGCACTATGTTAGTTTGATCTAGCTATTCTACAACATACACATCTTTCAAAGCATCATGTTGTACATGATGTATATATTTATAATTGCATTGTATATATTTATAATTGTATTGTATACAATTTTTAAAAATTTAAGTAAAAAAGAGAAAAAGGAAAAAAGTATATTCACTCAAAAACCAAAAGAGAAAAAAAGCAAGCCAATAATAAATACAAAATTCTGAATTGCAGTTACCTTGTAAAGGGGAGAAGAAAGGGATGAGATTATGGAGGTATTTACAAGGACATTCAAAATTGATATTTTGCTGTATTATTGTATTTTGTTTTGTTACTTTTAAACTGTATGAATAATATTAAATATTCTGTGTGTATGGTCTATCTCTCTAAAACTAAAATTAAAACACGGACCATCTGAAAACACACACTATTTGCTTTGTACCTTTCATGTGTATCATCTATATTTATTAAAACTAGCTCAGATCCTAACATGAACAAAAATAAATATAATTATATAGGAAAATACATACCCTCTGTAAAACTCCAAACACAATTAAAGAATTATTGTGGTCATTTTAGCATACGTGTAAAAATTTGCACTGAACACCATTTACTGCTAGGGTACTAGAAGGAAGATGGAGCTGTCACGGGTGTCCTCTTCCACATAGCAGGTGGCAATTAGCACTCCAAAGAACTGAAACGGGTTTAATCCTGGAAGCCACAGGATTCCATTTGTGCTTTAAAAGACCACTTGGACTGCTATTTAGTACATTGTAGAAACAGGGAGTTAATTACTGGTAGTCCTAGATTGGAACAGAAGCAGAGGGTAGAACTAGGATTGAGCGGTGTTCGCAGCAACAAAGTCAACAGATTTAAAATCTGTTTTGAAGGTAGAATATGATGTTGATGAATTAGATGTGGAGATAACCTTATAAAATAGTAATATGTCAAAATATCTATAGTTCTCATTCTCTAAAGATGCTTTAGTTACTTCAACAGATTTCTCTGTTGTCTTCATAAGTTCTACAGAAATTAAAAAATAAAAATAAATATCTCTTGGCTAATCGTAACACTGGCAACATGGCTCACGCCATGTCCATGCATATACCTTCCACCAGGGAAAACACGTGGAACCACCAGAAGGTGTCAGAACTGCCACAAACTCTTTCAATTATTGATAATAAATTGTGACACACTATTTTATTCTTTAACATTCTCAAATTTTTATAAAGATAAAGAATTAAAGCCTTTTGCTATCATAGCCAGCTACTGTATGACCCCATTTCCAAATATATTGGTTACATTCTGACCCTGCTTCCTGGAATAATAAAATACACAAATGCTTACTGAGTGCTTGCTAGGTACCAGGCACTGTTTGTAACTCTTGTGAGAATTAACTGGTTTAATCCTCACTTCGGTCCTGGGAGGAAGAGAGTCTCATTATCTCCATTCACAGCACGTGAATCAAACATGTTTATTGCTTCCCAGACTTTAAGTTACAGAAGGAGCTCGGAGTCACACTGACACCGAACTGTGTGTTTTAACATGCCCAAGTTGCACTTGATGGATCTTAAGTGTCTTTACTGATTAATTTTGTTGAAAATACCCAAGGAAGATTCATAAAAATGTAGAAAACATACAAATATTGAGAAAACAAATCAGTCCCTCCCCAAAGATTGAGGATAAGCAATGTCTGTATCATAAAGAGATAAAGAGAAACTAGAAATGCAAGCAAATTTCTAAGCAAATAAACTTGATAGTACCAAGTATTCCAAATGTTATAAAAAATATACAATGAAACCAGCAAGGACCCAAGGACCCCACTTAAAGCTGGAAAAAAAATATGTAACATTGGGATACATAATGCTGAGCTTGATTTTCTTTTTCAACTGTCACACTCTAAACAGATTAAACTTAAAATTTTCTCAGAAGCCACAAGAACCGTATGTGTTTGTTGACAGGGAAGCCATACCACTGGGGCAGAAGTCTCTTACTTGCTTACACTTAAGTACTAAGCCTGTAATGAATGGTTTATAGTGGTACTAAGCCTGTAATGCACGGGTTATAATGGTTTTCAACCTTGACAACACATTAAAATCACCTGGTGTGCTTTCTTAACTAGCTTTCCAACCCCTGAAAGTCTATTCTGTTGGTCTGGAAGCTATCTGAGGCACCAGGAGTTTTTATAAATCCCCAGGAAATTCCAACGTACGATCAAAGCTTGAGAACTACTGCTTTAGATCTAGGCCTATGGAGGTTCTCACCACTGCAACATAGCCATGCTCCGGGCTTAACACTACCTTGAAAGGTAAGAAAATAAGCAAAAGGCTGAAGCCATCTTCTGAATTCCTATAAACCATCATGAGCACTTGGTTAGATTACTTCTTCTGCAAGCACTACCTGTTAGGAAACTTAGCTATCTAGCGAGCCAGCCACCGTTGACAGCTTCTTTTAGATGTATTTGCTTTAACATAACATGTGAACATGCTTGGACAGCAATAAATAGCACAGCTTTCTTCATTGTAACTACGAATTACGTTAACTATGGATTAGACAAAAGAGAAGATGGGAAAGGGAGAAATTGAGGACCTGATATGTGCTAGACATTATGTGCATTTGGCTTTGAATCTTTACAACAATCCTATAAGGAAAGTGTATTTTATTTTATTCCTCAGGAAACTGAGGTTCAGTGGGGATTGAGTGGTCTCCCAAGATCCCAGGGCTACCACAGAGTAACAACACTGGGGAGGTGACACAAACTGCTTTTTACTATACCACACTGCCCCCTAGGGCTACAGGGGTCTATGGCACGCGCTGGAAGTTAAAAGAATTTGAAATACCAGAAGGCAGCAGCCGGCTTGAAATCTTCCCTGGTAGACCTAATTGGATGTGATTGCTCTTTCTCCCAACACTTACAGCCTTTTCTGTGGGTACCACTGGCTTGGCACGGAACTCTTACTGCCTTTTGTTAATTTCTAATTCATGTGCTTTCAACTAATTGCCATTTACGCAAGCTCAGGCAGGGCGAAGACATTCCTGGTATTTTTTAATCTACCTCAGAGCCTAAAATTGCCTTAGAGCAGTGCTTCTCAAACTGTAATGTACATAGGAATCACCTGCGGACCTTGTTAAACTGCAGATTCTAATTCAGAAGGTTTGGGTGGGGCCTGAGATCCTCCATCTCTAACAAGCAGTCAGGGGATGCCAATGGTGCTGGTGAGATCATTCTTACCGTGAATAAAAAGAAGGCAATTATTCCACATAAATGGGGTTTTAAAACTAGACTTGAGGAACAAGCAGCTATGGTTGTGGCTTGTTAACTGAGGTTTCACCACGTATTTCAATCATTTTTTTTAAAAAGGTGCCTCAGTGCTGCATGCAACTATCAAGACTCTACAATCATCCCTTTCCTGTTTAATGAATCTTTGCAGATTGGTTATTTGATAGGTAGGACATCTCAATGTGAAAAGAAAGCACCTACAAAATACAGTTGAATTTCTCATGAATAACACAAAAGAACATTAACTGGTTGGTCAATGTTTTGTTTTGTTTTTAATTAAGGATAGCAGTCTATTCCTTCCACAATTGCTCCTGTAAGCCCTGGGACCTCCTCACATGTGGCCACAGTGTCCTTGGAGCTCCCAGAGTGATTGGGATACTTTTTTTCTTCTTCTTTTGAGAGCATCTCGCTCTTGTCACCCAGGCTGGAGTGCAATGGCGCTATCTCAGCTCACTGCAACATCTGCCTCCCAGGTTCAAGCGATTCTCCTGCCTCAGCCTCCCGAGTAGCTGGGACTACAGGCATGCACCACTACGCCAAGCTAATTTTTGTATTTTGAGACAGGATTTCACCATGTTGGTGGGGCTGGTCTTAAACTCCTGACCTCAGGTGATCCGCCTGCATCAGCCTCCCAAAGTGCTGGATTACAGGCATGAGCCACAGTGCCCAGCCCATGATTGGGGTACTTCTGGGGAAACCTGTGGGTAAACTCTATTAACATATTCTGGACCAAACACGGGCATTACAAACAGCAGCCTCCAGCTCAGCAGATGTGAGTTCAAGCTCTGGCAAACATTTTATTTCTCAAAGCTTCATTTTTCCTCCAGTACCACCCTCATGCAAGACTAAGGACCTTTGGCATAATCCAAAATGCCCAAACTCAATTTATTCACAAGATTATATTCATACACCCCATAGAATAGCTTTTCTCATTCACAATATTTCATTATTGATTTTGTGGTGACACAAAAGAGGGTTTATGCTGTATGTGATACTTTATAAATACTCCTGAAACATGTCATATTGTGGCTCAGAAGAAGACATCTCTATCCCACATTCACCTTTGTGCCCCCCGCTCCCAGACACCATACCATGATGGCATGGAGTTTTATACAGATGTAACTGTGTCCCTTGAGCAGCCTCAATTTCCTCAACTTTAAAAGGGCTAATAATGCCTAGCCTGGATGTTTCCATGAAAATTAAACATATATTTTCCTCCAGAAGTCCCTGGCAACCTCTAGCCAACAAATCCAGACCATTTCCCCCCATGCACCCTCCAATCTTCATCTTACTACCCTCATCCATAACCTCATCTCCCTGTATCTTCTTTCTTTTTAGAGAAATATGACTCTCTGTTAGTCTTTCCAGTTAGGATTCATCCTCTTTTGATGACAACAGTTAGAAATAACAAATAACTTCACACAGTCAGTTCTCTATAAATATTTGTTACATGAATAAACAATTGATCCACCTGTAAAACAAATCAAGGCCAGTAGATCCTAAATATTTAGTTCTAGAAATCTCTACTACTGAGCAAAATCAGTTGGGAAATATTAACAAATAGCAGCTGTTTATGACAAATTCCTTTTAATTCAATTTATTCAAGCCCCCATTCACAAAAAGAAAGGAACAAATCAAAGGTACCACCAATATTTAGAAATCATTTGAGAAATAGTGCAGCAGCCAGAACATCAGGCTGTCAGAAGTACTGTGAGTTTGCCTAAAGCTTACATCTATGACAGCTTTTTTTTTTTTTTTTTTTTTTGAGATGGAGTTTCGCTCTTGTTGCCCAGGCTGGAGTGCAATGGCGTGATCTCAGCTCACCACAACCTCTGCCTCCCAGGTTCAAGCTATTCTCCTGCCTCAGCCTTCCTGAGTAGCTGGGATTACAGGCATGTGCCACCACACCCGGCTAATTTTGTATTTTTAGTAGAGACGGGGTTTCTCCATGTTGGTCAGGCTGGTATCGAACTCCCGACCTCATATGATCCACCCACCTCGGCCTCCCAGAGTGCTGGGATCATAGGCATGAGCCACCATGCCCGGCTATGACAGCTTTTAAGATGTATATAGAAACATGCAAGAAAATGCCCAGCACCAGGAAATTTGTGTGATCCTCTTGATACCCATGTGAGACCACTCATGAATGAACTGAAGATATTGCTACTTCACATTGGAGATTATTATAAAGAGTAAAGGAAATGGCATATGGGTTTTCTATTCCAGCAGCACTTAGTAGATATTCAGAAAATTGCCCATTCTGGCTCATCTTGGTGGCTATTTCCATCCCATTGGCATGGGGAAGAAGAGAAGCAAAGGCTTAATTGACATGTTCGTTGACCTTATTAAAAAAGAAAGCTCTGACCATGACAAACATTTTATGTTAGGCAATCTTCGCTCTTGTAGTCTTCCAAAATCTTATGAGAGGTAGTGTCAAATTCTAAAACATGTAGTTGTACAGGTATGAAAAAATTGCACTCAGTGGCAGGGAAACAGGAAAGATAAACAGAAGAATGGAAAATCCCATCATTGCAAAGAAAAAAAACAAACTTCACAAAAAAAGATCAAATCACACCACCAAATAACATGACACTAAAAAGCTGTAAAAGAAAATCTATGTCCGGGCGCAGTGGCTCACACCTGTAATCCCAGCACTTTGGGAGGCCGAGGCGGGCAGATCACAAGGTCAGGAGATCGAGACCATCCTGGCTAACACGGTGAAACCCCATCTCTACTAAAAATACAAAAAAAATTAGCCGGGCCTGGTGGTGGGCGCCTGGAGTCCCAGCTACTTGGGAGACTGAGGCAGGAGAATGGTGTGAACACAGGAGGCAGAGCTTGCAGTGAGCCGAGATCATGCCACTGCACTCCAGCCTGGGCGACAGAGCCAGACTCCATGCAAAAAAAAAAAAAAAAAAAAAAAAAAGGAAATCTATAAGAAAGCCTTAAAGAAATGTGAAAAAAAAAAGATTATTAATTGAACAAAATTTGGCCTATAAGATAGGCAAACAAGAGACTTTTATCAGAGAGAAAATTTTATTAAAATGAAATTCATATATAAATGGCCCATTTGAGTGAAAGCAATTACCAGCTAAACAAGATTCATAGCAAAATGTCAGAGCCAAATGATTCAATGGCAAACGAAAAACAAAAGTCAGGACACAAGAAAGAGTGCATGTTATTTTATGTTATATATTTATGTACCAATGAAATCACCTTTTCTATTTTTCCCTAAAACTGTTGAGTATTTAAGTAGTAATTGCCTTTAGTGTACTAACTGAAAATCTACTTGATATCCTGTTAATTAGGTTATACATAATATAATCTAGGGGTTACAGTGAACACATTCAAAGGGAATGTGCTCATTATAAAATCCTATTACATGTGGTTACAGTCCCTAACGTCAGTAAGAAAACCTATGGGAATCCAGGTAATTTCCACATTTTAGACATGTGTGGAAATGTCACACCTCCTCCTCTCCTGGAGGTTTCTGAGGAATGTGTTTTATTCCATCTGAAGCCTCAGGCATGTTAGAACTCCTCAGCCAAAGTGTATTCTACACCTTATTCTGCCCTCCACATTGAGGCACCATGCTTCACAAATTTATATCAATGATTATGCTCAGAGGTGTCCTCAGGTATTGTTTTGAGTTTTGGATTTTTTCCAAATTCACATATCCATCTTCCTGTTGATTATCTCCCTAGTGCTGTGACTTAGGTGTGCCACCTCCACTTAGAGAACTATGAGATCTATTAAAAAACAATCTAACATCTTGAGCCAAGAAAAGTACTAAATATCATTGAGGACTAGTTTTGTTTTTCAAAAAAGTAAGCAGACATACCCCAGCTCAGCGCATTCATTTATATTTGCTATTGAAAAACAAAACTTAAAAAATAAAATGCTAATACTAGGAATGCAAGTACTTTGTCTAAGCGAAACCAGAGTAAAAAAACTGAAAATCACTCCATCTCATATCCAGTTCCTGAGTAAGGAGGATTCATGCCCTTGACTCTGAAATGAACCTCATGACTGCCCCAAAGAGTTCATTGTCTACAAGGAAAATTCCGAAGTTGCAGGAAAATATTTCCATCTTACCCACATCTCATTTCCACATCCACCTCTTGGATGATGATTGAAATTTTATGACTACGGCTTCTGCCCTGGGCTTTACATTGTCCTCCACTGAGATGCAGACAGTATTACAAAGTTAACACCTTTAGACTTATCAGTTAGTTTCATCCTCATGTACTGCAAGTTATCTGCCCTTTCCTGAGAGCTGCTTCTGCAAGAGGCAGTGACAGGAAGATTCTAAGAGAGGGTGAGGCCAGGTGCCTAGGAGGAAAGCAGCAGCAGAAAGGGAGAGCTAAGGACACAGAAGGCAAGCCAACCTCTTCTCAATTTTACCTAAGGCTTCAGCAGGGAAAACTGTATGAATACAATTGCAAATGGAACATCTTTCTAAAGTACATAAGCCCAGAGCTGCTTCAGGTGATGTTGCAATTGGAGTCTGGACCTCTGTCCACTGTACTCGTTTTTCTAGTCCCCAAGACATCACAGAGTTCTAGGGTTTCTTGGACCCTAAGGGTCCAGGAAAGATGCTTTGAAAACCACTGGCCTATTGGAAGTTGCTCTTGTGAAAGAGATTTTCTTATCTATAAGAACCATTTCTTTTAAATCTATAATCAAGGATTTATTATTTCAGAGGTTAATTTCTGGATAGGTGGTTGGGAGATAAATTAGAAAAGAAAGATATTGTTATTTTTCAGCCAGATTCTTTGTGCTATTAAGATCTTGATTTTCAAATAAGATGGAGCTAGCAGAAGCCAAGAGGCCAAGGGAGTTTCACAGCTCCATAGACAGAGGCACTGCTTGAGAGCTGTACAAACCCAGACATTCTGTTCTCTCCATCTCCTGTTGCTGCTTCTTTCTTGCTGCAGGTGGGTTTATTCTGTTCTAAGCCCATCTGAAGGAAATGGTCTCAATACTAATTCCCAATTTATATCTTCTCTATTCATGAAACTAGCCAAACCAATTCCAAATCTAGAAAGTACATTCCTCAGCCCAGTTGAGCTGATTATTCCCATCATTCTGATTATTCCGATTATTCCTGTCAGAATAATCTGTGTGTCAACTGTGCCATGGTTAGGACAAGTTTCAGAAAAGGAGACAAAACACTAGACAACCTCACAATAGTTGTCCAGCACTCTCTTCCTGGAAACCATGCCCCTGATTTAGCAGCAATGAGCCGATTCTCCCTATCACCTCCCAACTCCGTATTCAGTGATGTCATATTAGTAGCCTGAAATCAGCCAGGAGGGGAGTATTTATATCATGAAAACTGGCAAATGCTACACATCAGGGCTTTTTTTTTTTTTCCAGACAGCCAATTTACCAGCACACCACTGTCAGGTAAGTCCCCTATAATTTGTGATTGGAGACGGCCACATTAACATCCACCCACACACTGTGAAGTACTGCAGATAACCTTAGTGTCCTTTTCTTCATAAATATGTTCCTCTAGAAGGAACCCAGTAAATATGCTCACCCAAGTATTTTTATGTGTTTAAGAAAATAGTCAGACTTGTGCATCACCGTGGTCAAGTGACCACATCCCTGAGCATTTAGAGTAGTATTTCAAGCATCTCAAGCATTGTCCACTATCTTCATTACAAGGTTAGACACAGGTTAGAAGGATCTTAAAAATTATCCCCTTTCCTAGTAAAAATTAAAAACAACAGCAAGTAGAGAAATCCAGGACAGAAGGTGTGAAGAAACAGAAGTTACAGAAGCACTTGCTGGTATACAGTAGGAGCTCAACAAATATTTGGGAATGTATGAAGAAAAGAAATGAAGTAGAAAGAGGAAAGGAAGTATGGGGGTGGGAAGGAGGGAGGACAGAACATAAACCAAATGAGACGACAACCAACAAAACGACCCCCCACTAAGATAATAAGCAGAAGACATTAAATAATAAGTATAAAAGCATTCATTCACTCAACAAATGATATCAAGTGCCAAACATATGGCAGGGACTTGGCATAAAAAAGTCTATAAGTCACGGTCCCTGCCTCAAGCACTGTACAGTTTTGTAGAGGAGAGATTCAAGTAAATTGACATTTCAATATTAGCAAGTGCTATGATTAACTACCCCATGCTGATCATAAAAAGGCTGGAGATCATAAAAAGGCTTCTAATCCAAACTTGGAAGTCCCAAAAGGTCACACCCACCAAAAAAGAAACATCTAAACCAAGACCTGAAGAACATATAAAAGCTCCTTGAGTGAAGAGGGTGGGGCAAAGGGCATTTCAGGTGGAGGAGAAAGTATACAAAAAGGGTTTGGTGTTGAGTGGAAATAGGCAATGTTGGATTTAACAAGTTCTGACTGGCTCAGGATAGTATCTAAAAGAGAAAGCTGGAGATGTAAATCAAGCCAAGCTATGAAGGTCTCACAAAGCCTTCTCAGAATTGGCACTTTGAGGGCAAAGGAGAACCATCAAAGACTTGAAAGAAGATATCACTTTAGAGAAATCAGGGAGTCCTGTTCATTTTATCTTCTGAATCACTCTCAGACTGGTCTAGCCCTCTCCATCATCACAACTTTCTCTGTCAACTGGATTGACATGATATCTCCAGCTGGCCTCCTTGCCTCCACTCTGTCCTGCCTCTACACTATTTTTCACATGGAAGGCAGGGAGAACAGCTGGGGAGATTGTTGCAACAATCCTGTTGAGAGACTGTTTTGGTGAAGAAGAGAGGTGGTCCAATCTGAGAGCCATTCAAGAGATCGAATAAGCAGGGCTCAGTGAGTAACAGGACTTGGGGCAAAGGAGTCAGGTTTCCAGGTTTCTGACTTGGGCAGCTGGGTGGATAGTGGTGCTCTTTACTTTAAAAAGAAATAAAGAAAAAATAGGTTTACCAGGTGGTATGGTTTGGATATTCATCTCCTCCCAATCTCATGTTGAAATGTGATCCCCACTGTTAGAGATGGGCCTAGTGGGAGGTGTTTGGGTTATGGAAGTGGATCCCTCATGAATGGCTTGGTGCCCTCCTCCCAGTAATGAGTGAGCTTTTGCCGTTAATTCACATGAGATCTGGTTGTTTAAAGGAGCCTGGCACTTCCCCTTTCCTCTCTTGCTCCCTCTTACCATGTGACACGCTGCTCACCCTTCACTTTCCATCTTGATTGTCAGCTTCCTGAGACCTCACCAGAAGCTGAGCAGATGCTAGTACCATGCTTCTTGTACAGCCTACAGAACTGTAAGCCAAATAAACCTCTTCTCTTTATAAATTGCCCAGCCTCAGATACCCCTGTATAGCAATTCAAAGTAGACTAACACAGTGAGATAGATCAGGAGTTTTTGTCCTTGAGGTGCTGTGGGACATCCCGGTAAAGATATATAGTTTATTCAAAAAGATATATATTCATATATATAAAGATTAAAGATATATTGAGATATATGAAGATAGATATAAAAGATTAAAGATATATATTAAAGATCATATATAAGTTATTAGTTATCAACAGTTTATTCAAAAAATAGGTCACCATGATTTATAATTTTTACATGTTGGGTTTTGAGGTGGTTAGTAAAAAACATTGCTTTTCCCCAATCAAATGAGGCATGGGCATAAACAGAAGTAAAATATTACCTTTGATGATTGAGACATATCATGTTTGGGAGACACAGGTTGCAAATGTTTCATTCGTGATTTAGAGAGATGGCCCAGTGATCCCTGCCACCTGGTATTCATGTCCTTGTGGAGCCCTGTTCCATGCTGTATATGGCTGACTCATAGGACTGATAGGATACTGTGAAAATGACAAATGTGACTTCTGAGGCTAGGTCACAAAAGACATTATGACTTGTCTTGCTCTCTCATGGATCTCTCTCTCTCTGGGAGAAGCCAGCTGCCAGGTCATGAGGTTACCCAAGCAGCCCTGTGGAGGCACTCTTATGGTGAGGAACTGAGGCCTCCTGCCAACAGCCACGTGACTGAGCCACCTTGGAAACAGATCATCCAGCCCTCAAGCCCCCAGATGACTGAAGCCCCAACCCCCTTGACTATACCCACATGAGAAAGCCTGAGCAGAACCACCCCTCTAAACTGCTTCTAAATTCTCAACCCACAAAAACTGTGAGATAGTAAATGTGTGTGGTTTTAAGCCACTAAGTTTTGGGGGCAATTTGTTACACAGCAACAGATAAGTAATATAGAAACTTACCTGCCAGGTCACAGCACATATAGTGGAGAGCTGTAGGCCTCCCCACTGGGGCCCTCCCCCTATAAAACTTGAGGCAGTTGTTCTCAGACTCCCACAGGCAACAGAATCATCTGCCAGGCTTATTAAAATACAGATTACTGGGCCCGACCCAAGAGTTTCTGATTCGATAGATCTGAGGTAAAATCAGAAAATGTGGAATTCTGGAGTGAGTTCCAGGGGTTTGGGAGCTGATGAAATGTTGTGGCCATGAGAGGGCACTAACACACAGCAAGCTTTATTTGGGTGACACTGAGAAGTCCGCTCCTGGCAGAAGTTTCTCAGAGCATGAGACCATTCCAAGAGAAAGAGGACAAGGGAACTCCCGAGAGAGAGGGAATCAGAGGGGAGAACTACAATTACTAAGTGGTACCCTCAGCAGCCCAGCAGAGTCTCTGGGTCAATGAGCTCCCAAGGGTAGCAGAGCTAGGAGTCTTGGTATAGAAGCAGGATTTCTCCTGTCAATGGCTAGCAGATGTCAGGTGCAGTTTCACAGGGTAGGCAAAACAAGAAGTATCTAAATGGCTAAGAACCTACTTATCTGGGCTATGTTTAAAACAACTGGGTGTGTAAACATTGAGTTGGGCACTGCTCGGCTTTTGAGCTCACTGCTCCCAGCCTCCTGTGAGGGAGTAAATAATAGGCCCAATATACAGAGGCCATCTTGGGCATTTATGTAACAAATTCTCACGTCTCCAGGTGCTGTTACTGTTGGCCCAAGAACACATTTTGAGAAGACTGGCCTAGAGGAACCAATAATGTGGGTTTCTTATGGGCAGGATGGCACTGGAGAAGAGGGTGAGGCTCAGTGTCTTCTCCCAAATTTTCATATCAAATAAAACCTCTTTCCCCGGAGAGAAGTAACAAGAGAGGCAGAGGGAAATGATTCTAACAGAAGTTCTAGCCACATGGAAGGAAGCATTAGCAGTGAGGAATAACTGTTCTCTCCCTAAACATACCACCCAAGGTAATGATTCTACATCCTAAGAAAATGTATTTTTTCACAGGGGCATTTTTTTTCCATTGTTTAGAAGAAGGAACTCCAATGAGGACTGTCTGGTTTTCTATAAACAGAAACCAGTTTCATTATTCTGACAAACAACAGTACTTTGCCTGTGGGTGGTAAAAGCTGTTTATATATCCTTACCTTAATTAAGTCATCTCTGACTAAAAATGATTATCTCACAAGTGTTCTCAACAGACTTTCTTTAAAGAATTCCAAGAAATACATCTATTTTTAGTGTTATAATAGGTATGTAAATTGAGATCTAATACTGAATCTGTTTCCTTTAATTCCATTTTGAGTTGCTTTTATTTCTCCTTTATAACATTCATGTTCCCATAATTATCCATTCCTTCAATCATTATTTATTTAGTCTTAATGAGTATGTTCTGTGCATTAAGAAGAGCCCTAGGTGCTTTGAGATGATAGAAGTTAAAGCCAGAGCTAAGACTAAAAAACAAAAACAAAACGGAACAATTTTTTTTTTAAATTATGAGAACTTATATGAAGAAAACTTGGTTACTGGGAGCTTTTGGTATACTCTATTGATTTCAGCTATTTTATTTTCCTTTCCCCCTCCATTCACATTTAGGGAAACTAACACTAAATTAGCATGAAGAGCATACGCCTGTGATCTCAGCTATTCGGGATGCAGAGGCAGGAGGATCACATGAGCTCAGAAGCTCAAGCCCAGCCTGGGCAACGTAGAAAGACACAGACTAAAAAAGAAAAAAAGGGAAGAAAAAAAAAGACGGAAAAAAATTAGCATGAACAATTCAAGGGAGACAAGAGAACTGAGCCACCTTCCTAGCCAAGAAAAACCCCAGCTTGCAATTTACTGAATAGAAGTGTGCCACTTGACAGAGTAGTTTTAATGACACTGAACCTTTTGTGAGTCTTGCACTTCTCTTGGCTGAAATCTTCAAACTGGCTCAAAGAAGCTCCAGTCTCTTCATTCTGTAAGTGTTGATACCATTTGCATAACTACCTGTCCTTATCCCCTACCAGGTGCCTCCTTTCCAACCTTGAACGTTTCTTCTTGATTCATTATAATTAAAGAGCTAATGTAGCCATTCAAGTTCACATTGTCAATGACCATGTAATCATCTTCCCTAGTGGCCAGAATTCCTTTCTTTTTATGAGGTTACAATTAAATTCCCTCCAGCCATAAGGTCAAAAGAATCCGGAACAGTTAGCCTTCCCAGTGACTAATTTCACACCTGTGACTCTGACACATATAAAATAAGACATCTGAAATGGAAGGTGTCAATTTAAGAAATAATATACATTTGACTACACCTGAACTGAAGTCAATTAGACGTAAAAATTAAAGGCGGTGGATTCTTTTCCTGTTACTGGAAGTGATGCTTGACATTCTACTTATCAATGTAAGACATCTGTGTCCCTTAGAAATGTTAAGGTAATTTGTAAGTTGGAAAAGAATTAAAATGGCCCAAAGCCTCCGGGAGATTAAGATAACGTGTTCATGTCTGTTCTGTGTAAAAACTTGTCTATCACTTTATTTTTTTTTTCCCTTCTCAGGATTTAAGTTTTTCTAAAATAGATTTTATTTTTCTGCTATTGAGGCTTCTAATATTTTGTTAAGAATTACATGTATTATTTTGTTAATAATCAATATGCACAACTAAATACCAGGAGCAGATTTAGCCTCTTGACTTCCAAGATGTAACATTGACCAGTGGAGCCGCCTTTTATTTCTGTCACCTTGAAATGCACTGTGGACCTTCCCCTTCACCTACAGCTTTTAGTGATTCTCAATCTCACAAGTCACACACCACCACCCCCAACTCCTTATGCCTTTATCCTCCTTTCTCCTCTAAGAATTGCTTTGAGCCGGGCGTGGTGGCTCACGCCTGTAATCCCAGCACTTTGGGAGGCCGAAGTGGGTGGATCACGAGGTTAGGAGTTCGAGAACAGACTGAACCATGTGGTGAAACCCCATCTCTACTAAAAATACAAAAATTAGCCGGGCGTGGTGGCGGTCACCTGTAATCCCAGCTACTCAGGAGGCTGAGGCAGGAGAATTGCTTGAACCTGGGAGGCAGAGGTTGCAGTGAGCAGAGATCATGCCACTGCACTCCAGCCTGGGTGACAGAGCAAGACTCCATGTCAAAAAAAAAACAATGTTACTCATCTGAAATCATTTTCAACAAGTCCTACTGGGCACATGCGTTTTGTCTTCCCCTGGGATTTTCCTGGCATTGAGCCTCTCAAAGACCCAAAAACACCGAATACTAATAATGGAAAAGGAACATATAACATATCTGATGAAATTTGTACATTACAATAAACTGGAATAATGTGCAAAGACTTCAGAATGACAGAAGATAAATTCTAAATGGCAGGCATATGAGTTCAAATAATAAAATAACACCCAAATTACAAGCATATGAATTAACATATATTAGGGAATAACCACACACTGGAAAAGAGAAAATAGAATGAGAACTGCACAAATTAGATAAAATTTTAAAATATGAAAGGGTAACCATCAGGCTACTTTTAAATTCCAGACACCCAGAAAGAAGTTTTGAAAGGGCTCCATGATCCAAACAAAATACATTGTTAGGGTCCTGGGCAGAAAGAGGTGCTCCTGAATGGGAGTCTGGATAGAATTTACACCTAGGTGAGGTTTAAAAAAAATTAAAATACTAGTTGATTTGTATGCAAACAAGGGAGAGGACCGGAGAGCTTTTTAGGGATTCTGGGGAAAGCCAAAACTCCCTATGCGAACTGTTAGCCCAACATAGAAGAAACTGTACAAACCTGCGAACCACAACATGAGCAAGAGAAAGCATTAGGAAAATATGAAGAAATTAGAGGGGATGACTATTTATGGTCTAGACAGGATTCATATCAAGCCAGAAAGCTTGACTTTGAATAAAACACCGAAAAAGACTCAGATATCAGAAAGACAAAGAGAAACAGAAAGAAACATTTACTGATTGACTTAAGGGATCAACAGCAGCAGAAGAGATGGTTTTGCTCCCTTCCTCCTTTCTCTCATACCTCTGTTTGAGAAGGACCCTACCCTTCTTACATAACATGGGTTGGGGCCATGTAAAAAGACAAAAAGGAGGGCTAGCACCACTCAGCGTGTTGTGGGTGAAAGACCACGAGCTTTGGGTTAGCCCAAAGCAGAAGCACAGCTCTTCTCTTACTAGGTATGTGATCTAAGGCACATCACTCAACTGCTCCTACAAGATTAAGATATGGTTTATCTCTATATAGGTGATTCATTAAAGTTCTGTAATTATTACACATTAGAATAAGAAGGAATGAAACTCCTGTTCATTATGTTTGAGTTGTTACATTTTGGATTGTTACAGTAAATTAGAGAGTATTTTGGAGTGGTTAACATAACCTGGTCATAAGAATATTTTAATTCTTAGATGTGTCCTGTAAGATAGAGTAATTGAAGCAATAATAAAGTCCTTGTCTCTGAGTGCGTCTTAGGAGAGACTGATGAGAACAAAACCATTGGTCAGAAGTGATACCCTGCTCTGATGGACAGAAGCTGAGCTGAGGATACATGATGTGTAGACCTGGCCTCAAGTAGGAGTACATGCTGAGAGGGTGCTTTGAGTCCCAACCTGATCTCTAGGACTTCCCCTTGGCCAGAACAAGCTGTTGAAAATGGGGAGTTCAAGGTGGTCAATTAGCTGACATGGCGGGGAGCCACATCCATCCTGGGGAAAGACACAAACTGACAGTTTCTTGCCTTGGATCACAGGCAGAACAGGCAGGTGGGATTGGTGAAAACGAAGAAGCCAGGAGTGGGAGAGCCATGCCGCTTTTTATTTGCTTCTTTTTCCCATTCAAATCCTAACCAGGATCAACCCTGCTTAGCTTCTGAGATCAGACAAGATCAGACACATCCAGGAAGGTATGCTTACAGACTTGTACTTTTTTTCTTTCTCAGTAAGTGCGTGGTTCTCAGAGTGCCCAAATCTATCAAAACATATGGATGAGAATTTATAATAGGCTGCTTTAACTCTTTGCTCCTCCTCCTGATGTTGGTGCTACAGCTCTTTCTTTGAAAGATAATCATAGCCATCAAGCACATTCTGTAGAGAGAGCAGTGTGGGAAGCTAGAATGAGCAAGAGTGGTTGGGATGCAGAGCTCTCTCATCATAGAGAAGTGCTGGAGTTAGCCAATAATCCAGGGTTGACCAGCTGTCCAGATTGGATGGCACATTAGGCAATGGCCAGCTTGGTCTTCAGCATCCCTATGCCAATCTCTTTAGTTATAAACAGCACTTCCCCATTTAGTTTGTAGCTCAGGTAAGTCTTAATTCTATGGGGTTTCACATGATCCCTGTCCTCTGATAGCCAGCGTGACTAACTTCCCATTTGCCCAAGACTTTCCTACTTCTAGCACTGGGTCCTGAGAAACCTCTCAGTCTCAGGCAAACTGGGATAGTTGTTCATACTCTACAACACAGTGTCTTCAAGGACCTCTCCTTAGACAGAATCCTGGTGACATGGGATCCCTGGGAACTCACATGTTGGGACCTGAGAGCAGATTTGACTCCTTCGGCCACTGAACAGTCACCATTCACATCCTTGCCTCTTTGTTAAGGCAGCAAAGCCTGGAATGCAACAAGCATTGCCTCATAAGAGGTTTGCTAAGCTGGTGAAGACATGCTGTTTCTCCTCCTGGGATCTGGTTTTGAATAGGATTATGGAACAAAACGAGAAGATGGGGAAATAATTTGTCTAGATACAGTTAGACAGCCATACCAATTTAATTTTGCAATAAAACGGATATCTTCTGCAACTGAAAGACAAGTGGTGAGGCAAAGCATCTGTTTAACAGTAAACAGAGCTGTAAGTCTGCCTTTGGAGTCTAAGACAAAAAGCAGCCACCTAGTCAGAGTATAATTCATTAAACTGGTCAGATTCCATTACTGTGAACTTCCACCAACACAGAAACAAGAAGAATATTAGCTAAGCCTTTTAATCACTTGGGTGTACAGAGATTTTCAACATGAAAGCAGTCGTTGCTGTGGGATCCAATTGGTCCCAATTATGCCACACACACAAGTGATGCTAATACATTGTTGATTTGTTTCTGGATGCCAAGACAGTGATGTCATGATTGAAGGTTCTTTACCTGGTTGGTGTATTTGTGTAAGAAATTAAAATGAAATTAGTGGAGAAAATAGGCGAACAACCCATATAAATAAATATTCAAGAATATCAAAAGCTCTGGACTCAAATTTGTGTTACTTGCCTAGAATCATGTTTATCAGAGATAAGCTTTAGTCAACACAAGATTAATTTAGACCTGATATCACAAACTAGCAGCTCATAAGACAAAGAGGCCCAGTTTGTGGTTGTTTCATTTTTAATTCAATTAGGGTTAAACATGGCAGATCAAACACATGTTTATCTTCTCTCTCTCCTGAAATGTCACTAAATAGTAAATTAATAAAACTAGTATGCACTCCCAATGATGAAGAGAGTGGGAAGAGAGGCGGCAGAGTGCAAGAGATGCAAACAAAATTTTGGAAGACAGAGTGAATTAAGAAGTGGTGACTGATTTAGCAAAGAAAAAGGTGAAATTTAAATACCTTCAGAGGGCAATAATAACAAGAAGCTGTGTAATCTACCCTTTGGAGCTAAAGTGTCATAACTCAGAAGTAACAGATTTCAGAGTATACTTGCGGTCCAAATACCAGGATGGGTATAAAAGCCTTTTCAAGGGGCAGTTGGACTCTCAAGTCCCTGTTCCCAGTCTGTGTGGTTAGGCAATTCCCCTTATGCTCACCTCCAAGGAGACCAGATGTTTACTCTTTTGAGGGACTGAACCTGAGCCACTCCAGACTCAGAGACATCTCATACAGTAGAGGACTGAGGCAGGAGGCCTAATTGGAAGTCTACATACAGAACTACTGAGAAGCCCAGTGCCCTCTTCTGCTCCCCAGCCCCTAGAGCACCAAAAGCCAGACTCATACGGCTAGGATATCTTTTCTGAAAAACTGAAACTATCCCACAGAAGAAACTAATTATATTGATATTTGAGCACTCCAAAGAAAACACAGTTACTGCCCAATAACCCCACAGCAAACCCACTCTTGCACACAGAGCTTGCAAACAGCTGTTTAGCACCTCCCTCTGTGTATTATTAGACAGCCAAGAAGCACCAGGTTATTTGATAAATCCTTCAACATGCAAGAGACCAAAGCCCCCAAAAAATGCATATAAAAGACATTCAAAACTCTAAAACACAATTTCAAGGAAAGGAACAGAAGAAAACTTTAAAGAAACAGAAGAGAAATTGCTGTAAAAATAGAAATTCAGAGATCAAAGAAGAGATCAGAAGTTAAAAATGTGAGAAGTTATTTTTAAATCTATAGAAGAGATGGAAAATAAAGCCAGGAAATCTCCCAGAAAGCAGAACAAAAATATACAGAGATAGGGAACAGGTGAGAAATAAGAAAATCAGCAACTCGATCAAGAAGATTCCACATACAACCAATAGGCGTTCCAGAGAATAAAGTGAAAGAGAGGGAGAGAGGGAGAGAAATTACTCTCAAGGTATATAGACAATTTTTCTATTCAACACTCTTTAAATGAAGGCCCCAAGTGCCCAACACAATAAATGAAAGAGTTCCAGGTCCCAGACATTTCATCATGAACTTTCAGAACATCCAGAATAAAGAGCCTTTAGAGATGAGAAGCTAAAACTACTTAAAGGATAAGTAATCAGAATCATTCTGGAGTTCTAATGACAATATTGGGTGCTAAAATCCAGGGGAGAAACGCCTTCAAAATTCTGAGTGAAAATTATTTTTCACACTCAAGTTCTTTACCAAGCGAAACTATTAAATAAGTGTGAAAGCAGGAATTTTCAAACATGCAAAGACAAAAATTTTACCTTCCACACACTGTTCAGAAGCTAGTGGCAGCTGTACCGCTGCACAGCAAATGGGGAGACCTGACACAGAAGGAAATGGCACACAGGTCAGAGAGGCTTAACCCAGGATGATTCCAGGGGCAACTCTGGGAGGACGCGGTACAACGAACTTGTTGAAAATTATCCATGTTAGGGAGGAGGATTCAGGAGTGGGGAAGGAATGGTTAAGACATTTCTCCATTTGATTATAAATTTTCTGTACTCTCATTTTTAGCCAGTATGTGTTGCTTCGATTTTTAAAATATCATTTTTAAAATGTTTAATTGATTGCAATGTCTGAAAATTAGGAGATATTCCACATATATGGTTTGTATTAGTCTAGGTGGGCTATTTTGAGGCACAAATGACCAAAAATCCCTCAACTTTTTTTTAAATGTATTTCTTACGCTATTTGTCCATCGTCTGCTGAAAAGGCCTCTGCTTATTATCAAATCACTAAAGAAAACTATCAGAGGTTCTCTCCTAAAATCTGTTCCCATGATTTGAAAGGAAGGAAAGGAGAGCATAGAGCGCCATGCACTGCTTCTTAAAGCTTCTGTATGGAGCTGGGTGCCATGGCTCATGCCTGTAATTGCAGCACTTTGGGAGACTGAGGTGGGCGGATCATCTGAGGTCAGGAGTTTGAGACCAGCCTGGCCAACACGGTGAAACCCTGTCTCTATTAAAAATACAAAAAGTAGCCAGGCATGGTGGCAGGTGCCTGTAATCCCAGCTACTCAGGAGGCTGAGGCAGTAGAATTGCTTGAACCCGAGAGATGGAGGTTGCAGTGAGACGAGATCGTGCCATTGCACTCCAGCCTGGGCAACAGAGCCAGACTCTGAGTTCATCAGAGTAGGATTATGTAACGCATTTACAGGAGGGGGCATCCACTGGGCCCATGTTTATTTTTAGCAGAAATCTTCAGGAGATAAGTAGCAATTAGACCATTAAATACATATGCATACTTCAATTTGCTAAAATCTTCACCCTAACATCTCCCTAACACCAGACCAAATGTTAGTTGCCATTCATTATGGCACTTGCAATTTTTTGTAGCATAGTATTTTTAATGGTAGCAATAAAAATAACATGAAATATTTCTCTATACACGCAGAAGAAAAAGAAAAATAGAATGAGAAATAAGCTCAAGATAAATGGAATGAATCTTGTATTATAGAAGTCAAGAATACTCCTGTGCATTTAGTCTGCCAACAAAGCATTGGTTTTACCTCATTTGCTTTATTTTGCTTTCGTGATTTGAATTGTGTTCCCCCAAAATATGTGGAGTCCTTATCCACGGTAACTCAATAAGTGACCTTATTTGGAAATACTGTTCTTTTAAATGTAATTAGTTAAGATGAGATTGTACTGGAGTAGGGTGGGTCTTTGATAGAGAAAACGCCATGGAGGGCGTGGAGGCAGAGATTGGATTTTTGCCACCTCCAGCCAATGTATGCCTAGGGCTGTGAGAAGCTGAAAGTTTCCTCCCTTACAGGCTTCAGAGAAAGCATGTTCTTGCCAACAACTTAATTTCAGACTTCTAACTTCCAGATCTGTGAGGGAATACATTTCTCTTGTGTAAAGCCACTCAGATTGTTGTGCTTTGTTACAGCATCTTACTGATACGCTTCCTAATCCCTATAGGATCAAAGCCTCTTACTCCTAATATGGAACATTTCTGAACAGAGCTGGGCGAGAACACTACAAAACTCCTTACTCCCAGCACTTTGGGAGCCCAAGGCGGGCGGATCACCTGAGATCAGGAGTTTGAGACTAGCCTGGCCAACATGGTGAAAACCCGTTTCTACTAAAAATACAAAAATTAGCAGGGCATGAGGCGGGTGCCTGTAATCCCAGCTACTCAGGAGGCTGAGGCAGGAGAATCGCTAGAACTGGGGAGGCAGAGGTTGCAGTGAGCAGAAATCACACCATTGCACTCCAGCCTGGGCAACAGAGTGAGACTCCATCTCAAAAAAAAAAAGGAAAGAAAAGAAAACCTCTTTACTCAAGTTCTACATTTGTCTCTTTGAGTGAAGACTTTCTTCATTACATTACATATGTAATGGTGATACAGCAGACTGCAAAAATCATTCTGATCCTGATGTCAATTGGCAAGTCATGAACAATTCATTACAGTTAGCTCAGGAGGGCATAAGACTGCAGTCATTCTAGGTCACCAAATGCTACACAAACCACACTCCCATTAAGGAACTGGATTCTCCAAAGAGGGGCATGTGAACACCACATTTCACAAAGACAAAGCAACCTCAGAGTTGAGTTCTGAGCAGCCAGGAGGGAGCAGATTCCAGGTAAGCCAGCTAGGGTTAAAATCCAAACAGAAGGGCATGAACAAAAAGATCATTTCAGAAAGCATGGATGGGAGTGTGGTCTCAGTCTCAGAACGAAGAAGTAAATCCACATAAAGAACACAGTGGATGTTGACAATTTATTCCATGACAGAGATCTGCTGTCCTCTGCAGGGATAGACCTGCTAGGTCTCCGCTGAGAGTAATGGGCTTTACCACCCCCAGCAATTGTTTGGGGAGCCCTAGACGGCGTATCCACAGGTGGTCTGTTGGCACCTGGTGCCTCCCTTCGGTGCTGCCTCTGAGAAAGGTCACAGCACAGTGATATGAGCAGATCTGAGTCAAGCACCTAAACTATGGAGATGCTGTATTGTCAAGAGGAAGAAATAGCATATTTTGTCCATAAATGCCATGTGGTTCAGGAAGATGATGCTTTAATTGCCTGTTGATAGTCTAGCCTGGCTTTTTATCTTCAATTTAGGGCTTAATGCCTTTTCATTTGTGTCATGTCAAAACTGTCCTCATCACATTGTTTGTGATGCTTTCTCTATTTTTCACAGATCACATACTTTTTCATTAGGATATTACAACTTGCATCTTTATTTTCCATCATGTTCAATCAATTATAAGCCTCTGAAATCATTTCTTTCTCCTAGATATACAAAGGCACATCAAGATAAAAGGGCTAATTGTGACTTTCATCTTGTGCTTCTTCCCTGTTCTTTTTAGTAAAACGGCCAAAGAACATCATTTGTTGGTCATATATATAACAAGCACTAATTTTCACACTTCATTGTTATTGATCTAAATAGCAAACCATAGGAGAATCATTAAAAAAACTATATACTTGCCACATGATGGAAGATTGGGAATGAATAAGCATGATGCTCAAAAATAATTTTTCATATCCTGGGGAAAGACAATATAAGTAATCAGTATACAAAATACAGATATCGTATTGTAATAATATATGTTAAAATCTGATGTTTCTTTTTCTTGTTCCTCCCTTCTGTGCCTTTCAAAGTTCCAATTATTAGCACGTGTATAAAATTTTTAAATATTTTTACAGTAAAAAATAATCATCAGAAAAAGATAAACTTATTTTTAAAATTTTGGAAGATTAATGATATTCACATTACTCATTTTTGCAACACTACTTTGGAAGACTTTATACATTCTAAATCATTGAATAGAATTTCACATTTAAAAAGAATAAAATTTAGACCAGGTGTGGTCGCTCATGCCTGGAATCCCAGCACTTTGGGAAAGTTGAGGTGGGCGGATCACTTGAGGTCAGGAGTTTGAGATCAGTCTGGCCAACTTGGTGAAACCCCATCTCTACTAAAAATACAAAAATTAGCCGGGCATGGTGGTGGGTTCCTATAGTCCCTGCTACTCAGGAGGCTGAGGCTGAAGAATCACATGAATTGGGGAGGCAGATATTGCAGTGAGCCAAGATCATGCCATTGTACTCCAGCCTGGGCAACAGAGAGAGACTCTGTCTCAAAAAAAAAAAAAAAAAAATTAAAAATAAATGTTTACATTTATACATAGGCCAAAGTGTTCACACCTGTTATGTGGCCCTCAAGAAAGTACACCAAGAATAATGCTGGAACTTGACAGCTGAGTCTGCAAACTGTTTCTTAAAGGATGAGAGAGTAAACAGTTAAGGCTCTGAAGGCCACACATTCTCTGTCAAAAGTATTCAACCCTGCTGTTGTAGCACCAAAACAGCCATGAACAATACGTAAACACGTGGACATGGCTGTGTCCCAGTAAAACTTTATTTATGAAAACAGGTGGTAGTTTGCCACTCTCTGCTTTAGAGCAGTGCTCATATTTTAATGTGCACATGAATTACACAGATTTTGCTAGAAAGCAGACTCTGATTTGGTAAATGTGCACTGTAGCCTGAGGTTCTGCATTTCTAGCAAGCTCCCGGGTGATGCTATTGCTACTGGTCTGAGGACAACACTTTGAGTAGCAAGGTAGAGCATTGATTTTATTAGCCACATAATATTTAGATTAGAGACTCATGGAATAGACCTCACCAGGAGATAAAAATATATTACGTTAATCCCCAACACATATGCATGTTAAGTGGGAGATAGATGGCTTTAAATATTTAAAAATAGTTTACTCAAGAAAAATAATTAGGCTGACTTTTACATAGAAAAAAGTTATTTGCTTATTCATTATAAAAGCATTTGTTTGTTGTCTCTAGACACTAGGTTGCCAATTGCTTGGAATACAGGGATAAAGGGAGCACAGTATCTGACTTCAAGAAGCACAAAAATCAGGCAGTAGAGACAATCACACAAATAGATCATTACTTTTATTAAAAGAAATTGATGGGCCCCAAATTAGTTTTGTCTGGAAGCATTCAAATCTTTCCACAAAGATTTTAGATTGTAGAGAGAGATGGTATTCCCCTGTGCTAAAAATCCAGCCACTTACCAAACTGTCTCACGGACACATCCAACTTCTAACAAGTCATAATGGCTCCTTTTGCAAATATCTCCTCAAAACTTTCTACCTCAAGGGCATGTGTTGATTGTACCCCAGATTTCCCCAGGATTCATCTCTTGCAGTAATCATGAGGTCACATTACTAGAAATAATTAAAGTTTTGACATCTCTACTTGGATGACCAATAGACATCCCGAAGTCAATATGGCCAAACCCAACTCCTGAGCCCCATAAATCTGCACCACTTCCACTTTCCTTTTTCTTTTGAGATGAAGTCTCACTCTGTTGCTGAGGCTGGAGTGCAGTGGCACAATCTTGCCTCGCTGCAACCTCTGTCTCCCAGGTTCAAACGATTCTTGTGCCTCAGCCTCCCCAGGAGTTGGGATTACAGGCACCCGCCACCACACCTGGCTAATTTTTTTTGTATTTTTTGTAGAGAGGAGGTTTCACCATGTTGGCCAGGGTAGTTTTGAACTCCTGATCTCAGGTGATCCACCCACCTCAGCCTCCCACAGTGCTGGGATTACAGGCGTGAGACACCATGCCTGGCCCACTTTCCTACTTCTTTGATGGCAACTCCATCTTTCCTGTTGCTCAAGTCAGTTATCCCTAATGCCACCTTCTCTCTAACACAACAAATGCTGTTGGCTTTACTTGCAGAATATATCCAGATTCTAACCACGTCTTAACATTACTACCACCTGGCCCAAGCTTTCACCTACATTACTGCAATATTTCTTCAGTAGACTTCTCAGATTCTACACTATCCTCACCAGCCACCCAAGAGATCCTTTTAAAGTTAAATGTGATCATGTCATTTCCTACTCAAAACCCCACAGTCTTTCTCCATTTGACTCAGTACAAGGCCCTTTGTGATCTGGCCTCAGATCATTTTTCTAAACTCATGTCCTACTACTTGCTCCCCCGCTTAGTCCCCGCCAGCCACACTGGCCTCCTTCGGGTTACTAGAATATGCCAAGCACATTCCCACTTTAGGACCATTGCTGTAGCTATACCTTCTGCCTGGGGCACACTTTCTTTAGCCACCTGCTTAGCTAATTCCCTTACCTACTTCAATTCTTTGTTCAGACAGCATCATATGTATATACGTAGCATACATCACTCCTAGCATGCTAGAAAACATATCTATATATACACACATATATATGTATACATATAATTTCAACTTTCATTTATTTATTTTTTGAGATGGAGTTTTGCTCTTGTTGCCCAGGCTGGAGTGCAATGGCGCTATCTCGACTCACTGCAACCTCCACCTCCCAGGTTCAAGCAATTCTCTTGCCTCAGCCTCCCGAGTAGCTGGGATTACAGGCACCCACCTTCATGCTCAGCTAATTTTTGTATTTTTAATAGCTAGGCTGGTCTCGAACTCCTGACCTCAGGTGATTCACCTGCCTCAGCCTCCCAAAGTGCTGGTATTACAGGCGTGAGCCGCTGCGCCCAGCCTAAGCCACTGTGCCCCACCTCAACTGTTACTTTAGATTCAGGGGGTATATGCACAGGTTTGTTACCTGGGTACATTGCATGATGCTGAGGTTTAGGGTGTGATTGATTCCTGTCACACAGGTAGTGAGTGTATTACGCAATAGTTTTCAACCCTTGCCCCCTCCCTCCTTCCCCCTCTAGTAGTCCAGTGTCTATTTTTGCCATGTTAATGTCCATGAGTACCCAATGTTTAACTGCCACGTGTAAGTGAGAAAATACAGTATTTGGTTTTGTTTCAGCATTAATTCACTTAGGATAATGGTCTCCAGCTACATCCATGTTGCTGTAAAGGAAATGATTTTGTTCTTTTTATGACTGCATAGTATCCCATGGCGTATGTTGTGCCACATTTTCTTTATCCAATCCACCATTGATGGGCATCTATGTTGATTCCACATCTTTGCTATTGTGAATAGTGCTGCAATGAACATACATGTACATGTGTCTTTTTGGTAGAACAAGAGATCACCTTTTTAATAAGTCCTAGTCAGAATACCTTCTTCCACCCTATACTCCTAATCCATTTGTTCAGCTCCTCTTTTTAAAATTTTATAGCATACATGCTATAAACATGCTAAGAAACTTATACAACATATTATTTTACCATCCTGCCCACACAGGCACTTTTTGTAAGCTCTACAAGTTCAGGAAGTTTTGTTTCATTTGCTGCCGTTTCTCCATCTCCAAGAAGTGTGCTTGGCGCAAGTTTGTTAATGATTGAATCAATTCTATTGCCCAATATGGGACCTTCTGCAACCCCTCAAAGTCTTGCCCAGGAGTTTGGGAGAGTCTCCAGCAGTGTCTCCCATAAGTTCATGAACAGTCCTTCAGATCTTTGCCTTGCTGTTCATGATGATTCTTGAGGAAACCTGCCACCCACCTCTGCTGCCAGACCCATGATCACTATAACTACTCCCTGCCTGTCCCAAGGAGGAAAGCTCCTGAAGCCCCCAAGCAGCAAAGCTTGCCATGCTTCCTGTAACCCTCACTGAGCTGCACACTGTGTTCTGGAAGCAGCAGAGAGAGTGCTCATCTTTCCAGTTTGTGACCCTGCTTTGTTACTAGGACACCACCACAATAGGCCTGCATACAGAAGCCTCTGAACTACCGGCCCTGCAGACTCCTCTGAAAGCCCAGCAATGTCTGAATTCTACCAATAGATGCTACTTAGGGCCAAACAAGGATCCCTTCACCACAAGTTCACATTCTTCACTTCCAAGATCATGCTTCCAAGTTATGCTGATGAATGGAGTGGACCATGCAAATTTGTCGCTTTGTCAAGGTGTCTCTCTGGTTATTAAGGGCTACTCTTATAGGCTCAAATTGGTACTGCTGTATCCAAAATGTTTAGGTTAGGTGAAAAAGCATGTATGCAATACACCACGCCTAACCTAAAGTGCACAAGGTACTTGTAGTTCCTTGAAAGACACTAAATGAATAAAGAAAACCTTTCTTGTTATATATTATTCAAAGGCAATTTGAATATACATCTTGTTATACATTATTCAGATGCAATTTTTCACAATAACAAATAAATTCTCTAGACTGCCCAGAGCCAAAGGATATATCAATATTGGATGAAGTTCATTCACAATATTTTATTTAGAAACAATTTAAGAGTCACAGTCTATTATTTTTATAAATGTAAATTTGGTAGCTTTTTTGTTGCATTACATTTAAATTCTCTTTTCTTCAAACTATTCTAACTTCAGTGTTTCTGTTTTCATCAAAGGCAGTTTAAGTGTGTCTGACTGGCTCTGGCAGCAGTGTGGTGTGATGGTAATGCTTTTACTCAATTTTCCTGTCCAAAAAATAAAGTGGTTGAATCACTTCATCTCCAATACCTTTTCCAGCAATACATTTTCATGATCCCATGATTTAAGAAGAAACAACCCAATCTTAAGGATTGGAAATGAGTATTAGGGCACATTCAAACTCAAGATCAAGTACTAAATTGCAATTTCAATTGATCTTTAAGAGTTCAAAATAATTATATATGTATATGTTTAAAATTACACATATGTATGTTTAAAATTGCCACATATATTACCTGACAATAGTCTTTTGAGGTATGCCAAACTGTTTCCAATTTCATAGATTAATTCATTTGATCGGTCAGTTGGTCATCCTTTTTTGAACACCTACTAGGTGCTGGGTATTATGTTAGGCTCCGAGCATGCAAAGTTACAATGTAGTCTCTACCTTTAAGCATTAGATGAATATGATATAAAATAACGGCAATAAAAATGCAGCAAATATAGAGCAGAATTCCATATAGGGTACAAAACAGATTCAAAGGGAAAAAGTCAATTCTGTCTGGAGGGAGGGGCTGAGAAATTTTTCCCAAAGGAAATGGAGCTTGACCTGACACTGGAAAAAGGAGATGTTCCGCAGGTGGATGGCATAATAGGAAAAATGAAGGTATTCTAGACAAGGGATACATGGCCAGAGATAGTAAAGCATGAGCAAGGGTGGCACCTTTGGGGGATGCAACTACAGCCGACCCTTAAACAACATGGGGGTTAGGGGCACTAATCCCCAGCATAGTCAGAAATTTGCCTATGTGTTTTGATGCTTCAAGAACATAATTACTGGCCAGGTGCAGTGACTCACGCCTGTAATCCTAGCACTTTGGGAGGCCGAGGCAGGCGGATCACTTGAGGTCAGGTTCAAGACCAGCCTGGCCAACATGGTGAAACCCCATCTCTACTAAAAACACAAAAATTAGCCAGGCGTGGTGGTGCATTCCTGCAATCCCAGCTACTCGGGAGGCTGAGGCAGGAGAATCGCTTGAACCTGGAAAGTGGAGGTTGCAGTGAGCCGAGATCACACCATTGCACTCCAGCCTGGGTGAAAGAGTGAGACTCCATGTTAAAAAAAAAAAAAAAAAAGCTACTAATAATCTACTGTTGACAGGAAGCCTCACTGATAACATAAACAGTTACCTCATACATTTTGTATATGTATAACATACTGTATTCTTACAAAAATAGAGAATGTTATTTTAAAAATCATAAGAGAAAATATATTTACTATTCGTTGCATTAAAGTGGATCTTAAACGTCTTCATCCCCATCGTCTTCATGTTGAGTAGGCTGAGGAGGAGGACGAGGAGGGGTTGGTCTTGCTGTCTTGGGGCGACAGTGGCAGGAGTGGCAGGAGCGGTAGGAGGCAGTGGAGGCAGCGGAGGCAGGAGAGGCAGGAGAGGCAGGAGAGGCAGGAGAGGCAGGAGAGGCAGGAGAGGCAGGAGAGGCAGGAGAGGCAGGAGAGGCAGGAGAGGCAGGAGAGGCAGGAGAGGCAGGCGCACTAGGTGTAACTTTTATTGAAAAATTTTCACGTACAAGTGGACCCACCCAGGTCAAGCCCGTGTTATTCAAGGGTCCACTATAATTCACTACGGCTGGGGCTTAAGTATAAGGAGAGTCAGGTGAGAGAAAGTAGGAGCGGACTTTGTATCTCGTGCTAAGGAGTTTTATCCAGCAACAGTGAGGGATCCTGTAAGGATTTTAAGCAGGAGAGTAGCTTCATCAGGCACACATTTCTGAAAGCTTCTTCTAATAGTGTTTTGCAAGGTGGATCAGATCCTGGCAAGGAAGGCGGGGAGATAGTGTATTAGTTTTTTATGGCTGTTATAACAAAGTACCCCAGCCTGGGGGGCTTAAACTGCAGAAATGTGTTTTTGCACAGTTGTGGAGGCTGGAATCTGAGATTGAGTTGGAAGCAGTTTCTCCTGAGGCCTCTCACCTGGGCTTGCAGGTGGCCATCCTCTCCTCTGTCTTCACATCATCTTCCCTCTTTACGTAGGTCTGTGTCTTAAATTCCTCTTCTTAGAAGGACACCAGTCACATTGGACGAGGGCCCACCCACATGATTTCATTTTACCCTAATTACCTTATTAAATGCCCTATCTCTAAATGCAGTCAGATTCTGAAGTATTGGGGGTTAGGGTTTCAACCTATGAACTGGGGGGACACAATTCAGCCCGCAACATGTAGGGTAGGTAGTGGCTGCTGCAGTGGGCCAGGCGAGAGATGAGGAAGGATAGGAAGCACTGCAGGAGCAGTGAGGATGCGGGGTGCTGAGGAGCATAGCACACATTTAGGAGGCAGTAAGGGGAAGCAGGACTCCCAGGTGTCTGGGAGTCTGACAGGGTGTGGTACACGTGTGAGGAGGTGATATATTTTGATACGATAGGTTTTCATTGTTTTTAAGATGTTTATCCACATATTATATGTATACATCTTAAAGGGTTATTTATTGTTAAGAGGCTTAAATCAAAAGGAAAACCATTGCTTCCCCCACCCACCCTCTGTGCCTTTTCTTTTCCCCAGAAGCAACCACTTTTAACTTTTAGCTCATTCATCTGACATTTACCTCCCTCTTTCTCAATAATATTCATACGCTGCTGATGGAGCTTAACAGCACTCTTCCCAAGTTCAGAACACACTGTGAGGCAGGCTTGGGAGGTCAGATGGTTGAAGATCAAAGCATCAGCTTGAGTTTTGGCCAAGGCAGATGGGTTTCCTAAGAGCTCACGTTGAATTTAACTGACCTGCCCAGGCACAACAGAAATCGAAAAACTGCAGGTAGAGCAGGACCCTGAGAGCTTCTCTGTAGCAACAGCAGATGTACAGGACTCCTGCAGCCTGCTTGCCCTGAAAAGAGTTCAGAAGGGCCTGACCAGGCTTAGCTCCTATGTCCCAATTTGCTAGTCAGATAAGGTAGAAGAAATAGAGACAGAAAGAGATCCATCCCACCCTCTAAAAAACAAGCAAAAAGATCAAAAACAAAACCAAAAAAAAGGAAATTGACTATATTAAGAAATTATTTATATGCTAGTTGGCCACATGTATGTCTTCTTTTGGAAAGTCTGCTCATGTCCTTTGCCCACTTTTTAATGGGGTTGTTTTTTTCTTGTAAATTTTTTCAGGTTCCTTATAGATGCTGGATATTAGACCTTTGTCAGATACATAGTTTGCAAATATTTTCTCCCATTCTGTAGGTTGTCTGTTTACTCTGTTGATAGTTTCCTTTACTGGGCAGAAGCTGTTAGGTTTAAATGGATCCTATTTGTCAATTTTTGCCTTTGTTGCAATTGCTTTTGGCATGTTTGTTATAAAATTTTTGCTAGGTCCTACGTTCAGAATAATATTGCCTAGGTTGTCTTCCAGGGGTTTTTATAGTTTTGGGTTTTACATTTAAGTCTTTAATCCACCCTAAGTTCATTTTTTTATATTGTGTAAGGAAGGGGTCCAGTTCCAATCTTCTGCACATGGATAGCCAGTTATCCCACCACCATTTATTGAATAGGTAGTCCTTTCCCCATCGCTTGTTTTTGTCAGCTTTGTTGTAGATGAGATGATTATAGGTGTGTGGCCTTATTTCTGGGCTTTCTGTTCTGTTCCATTGGTGTATGTGTCAGTTTTTGTACTATACCATGCTGTTGGCCCCGCAGTGAAGTTTGAAGTTGGGTAAAGTGATGCCTCTAGCTTTGTTCTTTTTGCTTAGGATTGCTTTAGCTATTCAGTCCCTTTTTTGGTTCCATATGAATTTTAAAATAGTTTTTTCTAGTTCTATGAAAAATGTCATTGGTAGTTTAACAGGAGTAGCATTGAATCTGTAAATTTCTTTGGGCAGTATGGCCGTTTTAACAATATTGATTCTTCCTATCCATGAACATGAAATGTTTCTGCATTTGCTTGTGTCATCTCTGATTTCTTGGTGCAGTGTTTTGTAATTCTCATTGTACAGATCTTTTACCTTCCTGATTAGATGCCTAGATATGTTACCCTTTTTGTGGCAATTGTGAACATTACTGATCATTAAAGAAATGCAAATCAAAATCACAATGAGATACCATCTCACCCCAGAGTGGCTATTATTAAAATGTTAAAAAATAACAGATGCTATTGAGGTTGCAGAGAAAAGGGAGCCCTCATACACTGTTGGTGGGAATGTAAATTAGTTCCACCATTCTGGAGAGTAGGGTGGTGGTTTCTCAAAGAGCTAAAAACAGAACTACCAGCAATCCCATTACTGGATATATACACGAAGGAATAAAAATCATTCTACCATAAAGACACATGCACTCATACGTTTATTGAAGCACGATTCACAATAGCAAAGACATGGAATCAACCTAGATGCCCATCAATGACAGATTAGATAAAGAAAATGTGGTACATATGTACCATAGAATACTATGAAGCCGTAAAAAAGAATGAGATCAGCTGGAGGCCATTCCCCTTAGCAAACTAATGCAGGAAGAAAAAAATCAAATACACCATGTTCTCACTTATAAGCGGGGGCTAATGATGAGAACACGTGACCACAAAGGAGGGGAACAACAGACACTGGGGCGGACCTGAGGGTGGAGGGTGGGAGGAGGGAGAGAACCAGAAAAAATAACTATTGAGTACACTAGGCTTAGTACCCGAGTGATGAAATCATCTGTAAAACAAACCCCTGTGACATGAGTTTACTGATATAACCTGTGCATGTACCCTTGAATCTAAAATAAAAGTTTTTTAAAAAAGAAATTATTGCTAATAATTTTGCCAATTACACTATTAGGATTATGCTTTTTAAAGAGTTCCTTTTTTTTGTAATACAGACTGAAATATTTGTGAGTGAAATGATATGCTATCTGGAATTGCTTCAAGTTATTAAGAGTGGGGAGTCAGTGAAGGTTTAGATGAAACACAGTTGGCCAAACACTGAAGCTGGGTGATGGGTGCCTTAGCCTTTATTGTTTTTTTTTTCCTACTTTTATGCATGTTTAAAATTTTCCATAATAAAACGTTAAAAGAGAAGGAAAAACAATTGTTATAAAGACCAAAAGATGAGTGAGTTTCAACAAGGAAATGATCAAAAATGACAAAGCTATTGAGAAGTGAAGTCAGATAGGCAGAGTTCATTTGCTTTGATGATTTAGAAGACAATTATTCATTTCTTGAGCAGGTATTATGTTCTTGGCACTGCTCTGGGGACTGGGCACACAAGGGTGAGCAAAACAGACAAAATCCCTACCCTCATACAAGCTTCCTTCTAGTGACACAGATACCTTTGTCAGAAAGAGTTTCAGTGCTGTGTGAAGCATAACTGTCTAACAGCTGTTGGAGATAGAGTTACTGGGGGGGTGAGGAAATAAATTCAAAAAGGTAGAGTGAAATTTTCAAGGGGAAGAAAAACCACAGTGCTATGGTTAAAGGATTTTAAATATATAAATGAGAGAAACTTGAGAATGTAAGCAGGCTATGGGGTGAAGGCAGGAGAGAGAGAGAAATGGTAAAACAAAATAATCGATAAATTCCTGGAATAGGTGAGAGGGAATTGAATTGCATCTGATCAGAGTGGAGGTGTCTTTTTTGCTATTAAAAAAGTAAAAAGACCATCTTTCCTTACATTTAAAGGAAAGGAGGTGAAGGTGGATTCTGTGGAATGGAACTAGGCTCAGAAAAATTAGCCTGGCCCAAGTCACATGCATCATGCAGAAACTGGACACAGATGTTCTGACTACTAGGCCACCTGGAATGATCCTCCCTCCCTTCAATCCCACCTGCCACTTAGGTAATGCCTGTTTATATTTCATTCACTTCCTCAAAGGGCATTCCAGAATCCATAGTTTGAATTAAGATTCAATGTATAACAGTTAGAAATGCATTCAGCTGCAAGTAGCAAAAACCTTCAGTAACAGCAGCTGACAAACAACAAGAATGCCCATTAATAATGACACTAAGGCTCTAAGCTTGCTCCTTTCTTCTCCTCTACTATTTTCGCTTGATGTTTCATCCTCATGGTCACAACAGGGCTGCTATAGCAACAAGCAGGAAGAAAGGGGAAAAGACAGCGCCAGATGCATCTGTCCTTTTTACCAGAGAAAGCACAGTTTTTTCCCTGAACTCTCTAGCAGACTTCTGCTTGAACATAGCAGCCAAAAATATGTCACTTGGCCATTCCTTGCCACCAAGAGGCCAGAGAAACTGAGTACTTCAGTTTGCCAAACAATATACTAGGTATGGAAGACATCTGAAATTTTGCTGGTCAAGCATCCCTCCTTTTCCCCTTCTTTTGGCATCAGAACCTTGATTTTCCCTCAGGGCATGGCCTCTCCCCCAGTGCGTGCAATTCTTGGTAGGACCATCAGTCAAGATGTCCTGTTCCTCCAGCCGAGATGTGGGAAGGGATTCAAGTTAATCCATTCTCTTGTCTCCTGAAAAATTGAATCTTAAGAAGCAGATAACCATCAGACAAAGGTCTAATATCCAGAATCTACAAGGAACTTAAGCAAATTTAAAAAAAAACAAAACAAAAAAACCCCATCAAAAAGTGGGCAAAGGATACGAACAGACATTTCTCAAAAGAAGACATTGATGCGGCCAACAAACTTATGAAAAAAGCTCATCATCACTGGTCATTAGAGAAATGCAAATCAGAACCACAATGAGATACTGTCTTATGCCAGTCAAAATGGTGATTATTAAAAAGCCAGGAAACAACACATGCTGAAGAGGATGTGGAGAAATAGGAATGCTTTTACACTGTTGTTGGGAGTGTAAATTAGTTCAACCAATGCGGAAGACAGTGTGGTGATTCCTCAAGGATCTAGAACCAGAAATACCATTTGACCCAGTGATCCCATTACAGGTATATACCCAAAGGATTATAAATCATTCTACTATAAACACGCATGCACACATATGTTTATTGCAGCACTATTTACAATAGCAAAGACTTGGAACCAACGCAAATGCCCATCAATGATAGACTGGATTAAGAAAATGTGGCACATATACACCAGGGAATACTATGTACCCATAAAAAAGAATTCATACCCTTTGCAGGGACATGGATGAAGCTGGAAGCCATCATTCTCAGCAAACTAACACAGAAACACAAAACCAAACACCATGTGTTCTCACTCAAAAGTGGGAGTTGAACAGTGAGAACACATGGACACAGGGAGGGAACATCACGCACCGGGGCCTGTCAGGGGGTGGGCGGCAAGGGGAGGGAGAGCATTAGGACAAATTCCTAATGCACGTGGGGCTTAAAACCTAGATGACGGGTTGATAGGTGCAGCAAACCACCACGGCACATGTATACTATGTAACAAACCTACACGTTCTGCACATGTATCCCAGAACTTAAAGTAAAATTAAAAACAAGAAGAAGCAGGAAAAAGGATGAAAAGATTTGGAAGCCTGGAAAGACTCTCTGTTGTTCCCACTGCTAGATGCCTGGAGCTTTCCTGGTTCTTCTCCTGGTAGTCACCTTGGTTCAGCTTTTCTTTCTTTTCTGTTATTCATACCTTTACCATCACATTTTTTACTTGTATTTCTTTTGTATGTGTGTGTGTTTTCTTTTTTTTTCTTTTTTATATTTTACAGTCTGAATATGTTCATAGTGTTTGGTTTTTTAAGGAACACAGTCCCATTCTATTGACTAGGTTGGAGGGCAGTGGCACAATCATAGTTTACTGCAACCAAGAACTCATGGGCTCAAGCGGTCCTCCCACCTCAGCTTCTCAAGTAGGTGGGACTACAGGTGCAGGCCACCATGTTCAGTTAACTTTTTTTTTTCTTGGAGCGAGAGGGTCTCACTATGTTGCCCAGGCTGGTCTTGAAATCCTGGCCTCAAGCAACTCTCCTGCCTGGGCCTCCCAAAGTGCTGGGATTACAGATGTGAGCCACCATGCCCAGTCCCTTTACCATACATTTTAAAAATCATTCTATTCCTTTTATGACTGCACCAAAGAAGCCTGACACAAGTGGGTATTTAATAATAATTTGTTGAACGATTATTGTTTTAACTAAAAGTAAAATATAAACCAGAGAATCCTGAAACCAAAAGGAAATAACAAAATAAGTAAGATTCCAACTTTCATTTCTGGCCAAACTTACTGATTTATGTAAGTTTTACTTCTGAGACTACAAAATGTTCCTCTTTGCCAATCTCTTTATCTTAAATATCAGTGATTATACTTCTCTAGATGTGATTTAATCTCTCACGGTGTTTCTATCCCAATTTCCCCTGTCTGCGGAGCCCATGCCCTCTTTGTCCTCTTACCTCATTTCCTTTGAAAGGTGTCAGTCATCTCCAGACAAGCAGTTATCAAAGGAATTTCTTTTTCACACAAGTCTTTGTGAGTTGTCAGAATGAGCCTCTGAGGGATGTTATATCACCGCCTGCAACTCCGAATAGTGCATTTTCTTTTCCTCCAGGTTTGTCTCCTAGATTTACGGTTTTAAGGTCATATTTAGAAACCTTTTGTTCACAGCCAAGTTGTCTCTAAATGTTCCTCGAGCTCCTAATTCAGCCTGATAGAAGGTTAGAGGTGAGAGGAACTTTGGAGATATTATCTTCCGCCTCCTTCCCTTTGTGGAAGAGGACAGGAGGCTCGGGGTGATGTGACTGCTCCAAGGTCATGCACCAGGCTGTCAGCATAGCTGGCATGAGTGCCTGGTCCACGGATTTCCCAGCTGTTAATCTTTCCACCAGACTACTCTGGTTTCTTAATTTTTACCTTTGTTGATTCTCCTCTAGAACCCTACATCCTTTAAGATATGAAAGTACTTTATCTTAAATATTCTTCCTCCAGTCCCTTCCTCCAGTCTTATTATTTTTTAACCCCTGCTAAAAGGTGTTACAGGTAGGCTTCTCCTGGAAACAGACCTGAGCTGGGATTTAATGCACGTGTTCATTAGGGAGGGCCTTGGGACAACCACCTGTGGAAGCAAGGGGTGAAAACAAAAACGGACAGAGAGGCCGGGCGCAGTGGCTCACGCCTGTAATCCCAGCACTTTAAGAGGCCGAGGAAGGCAGATCACTTGAGGTCAGGAGTTTGAAACCAGCTTGTCCAACATGGTGAAATCCCATCTGTACTAAAAATATAAAAATTAGGCTGGGTGCAGTGGCTCATGCCTATAATCCCAGTACTTTGGGAGGCCGAGGCGGGTGGATCACGAGGTCAGGAGTTCAAGACCAGCCTGGCCAAGATGGTGAAACCCTGTCTCTTCTAAAAATACAAAAATTAGCTGGGCATGGTGGCGCACTCCTGTAGTCCCAGCTACTCAGGAGGCTGAGGCAGAGAACTGCTTGAACCTGGGAGGCGGAGGTTGCAGTGAGCCAGGATCACGCCACTGCACTCCAGCCTGGGCGACAGAGCGAGACTCCATCTCAAAATAAATAAATAAATAAAATAAAAATTAGCCAGGTGTGGTTGTGAGCGCCTGTAATCCCAGCTACTCAGGAGGCTGAGGCAGGAGAATCGCTTGAACCTGGGAGGCGGAGCTTGCAGTAAGCAGAGATCGCTCCACTGCACTTCAGCCTAGATGACAGAGCGAGACCGTTTCAAAAAAGAAATGGGCAGAGAGAAAAGTTAACTTGCAATGCAGACCCTAGAGAGTTTTGGCCAAGCCCACGGAGAAGCTCTGGAGCTAGAATGGCCCTTCAGAGTTGCCCCCAGCCAGGCAGAGATGGCCGGCCCAGTCCTTGGGTGTGGCCACCCCCAAAAGATTGTGACCCTGGGCTGAGGTAGCTCTCTACGGCTGAGACTATCCCTGGATGGGTTGAGAGCTGAAGGCTATCCACTGACAAGCCTGGCAGCCTAAGTAACAAGCCTTCCTTGAAGAGGGATCTGGAGGATGCATCGCCACACCCATCATAGACACCGTGATGCCCCTTCTCCGCAAGAACTCACACTTACTGACAGCTTGCTCTGCGCGGCATTATCCTAGACACTTCTCATGATCCCTGCCCTTGAGGAGCCTATAGTCTGGTGGAAGACACAATACATCATGATGATAATGAGAAGCACAAAATTATACACATAAAGGTAAACAGACACACAAGAATGATGAGATTTACACACAGACACGAAGAGGAAGGGGTGCCTGACTCTGTATGGGGAGGACGCAGGGAGACACTGGAGAGGGCCCAGAACTGAGCAGCCCTTGCCTTTAGCGAGAGGAACCAGCTCCGATTTACACAGTAAAGTCTTCATTCCTTCTTCCCATTTAACGCCTCTCTTTCTTTCTCCACCAATAACTTTCACTGAATACAATCCTCTTAATTTCATTTCTCACTGATTTCATGCATTTTCCTGATTTCTTCTAATGTTTATGGAGCCATTTTTCTCTATCTAAAAAGCTAGTCCCTTGGCCTATTTTAAGTTAAGCTTTAAAACCTCATTGTTTCATGACATTTTTGCGTACTCACCGCAACTGTACACCTGGAAAACAGCATTTGCAAGGGATCTATAGACTTAATGAGTTCAGGTTTTAAATATGTACATAATTAAATTTCTGATCTTAATGAAACACATTATGGACTAAATGCTAAGTAGAAATAATATCATGGAAAGGAAGGGGAGTGGGGAATGGAGTCAGTTAACAAGTATTTACTCCTCAGGAGATTTCTAACAGATTATGCTGCCAGATCTGAAAGGTTATATCGCAAAATTTACAAAGGAAATATAATCAGGAAATGCAGAATTGAGACTTAAAATTCTGTGGCCTAAAACAAAGGGAAAAAAAGAAAAAGAAAAACAACTTTCCACATTCAGCATTGAGAATTGGAAGAAAGCAATACACCACAATGCATTTGAAAATCACTGACAAATTGTTAGCCTCCTCAGAGAGCCTGGATGCTTTCCAGTTGCTGGTGGAGCTGGCCTCAGACACACACAATGGAAGATCATCGATAAGTCTAGCGTGCCAAGCCACTGCCTCACTTCCCCGGGGAACTTACCACGCACGATGCGTACGAGTGAAGACAAACCTCAAACCCACAAAACATTGCACTGGAACACTTTCAAGCCAGGCACTTCGACTGCACATTGGCTGCAGCCTTTTGGCAAGTGACAAATGGAAAGCACCCCGGAGCAGGTACACTTCCATGCCAAGAAAAGCCTGTGCAGTCTGGGACCAAAAGGGTTCTTAGCCTGGAGGGCTCCGGTGGGGTGGGTGGGGGGTGGTTAGTAAGATGCAATAATTATACTGAGTCAAAGTCCTCTCTCTCCTTTGAAAGCGCGTCAAGCCCAATCTGCATTTGACAGCCTGTGACAGTTTGTAATACTATTCACTAAAATTTTGAGAAGCGGAGGTGGAATTTTATCCAGCTTGCTCAGCCTCACCTGGAGGGTTTGGTAGATGTCCCAGGACACAGAATCTCTCTGTTAGATGCCAACGCAGCTTCCGAGTGGTTTGACCTTTACATCTGGAATCCCTTTTCCCCAAAGATGAATTATAGCCGAATAGCACAGCTGAAAGGTGTGGCAGGCCTCTCTAAATCCGTTAATTATGCATGCTCCTGAGAGGAGGAAGCAGACAATTATGCAAGTTTAGATTTTGGCATCTGTCTCTATTGCCTCTGAGTTCGGAGAGTCATACCACAACCTTGAAGAGGACTTTGTGACATAGAAAGCCAAACCTCAACCTCAAGCACTAGGTGCTAGTAGAATAACAGAAAACAAGTAGCTGTGTGTCTGTGTCTGGGTCTGGGTCTGGGTCTGGGTTACAGGGAATGCAAAAACAAAGCCAGGTAACCAAATATCCAGTAGTGACCAGAGACTGAACTGTTTGCACATAAACACTTTCAACTTAAAAAGTGATTTAATTTTTTTTTTTTTTTTGAGACAGTCCTGCTCTGTCACCCACGCTGGAGTACAATGGCACGATCTCGGCTCACTGCAACCTCCAACTCCCGGGTTCAAGTGATTCTCTTGCCTCGGCCTCCCAAGTAGCTGAGATTACAGACAACTGCCATCATGCCTGGCTAATTTTTTTGTATTTTTAGTAGACACAGGGTTTCACCATGTTGGACGGGCTGGTCTTGAACTCCTGACCTCAGGTGATCTGCCTGCCTCAGCAGTTATAGGATTATAGGCGTGAGCCACTGAGCCTGGCCAATTTAATTTTTTTTTAAAAAACAGCAAATTGTTTACAAATGTGGCTTCAGTGCAGGTTGCATTTGATATATGTGATTTTACTTGAAATTACGTGAATAAACCAGAGACTTGAATACGTGAACCCTGAATATCTGAGACAGGTCTCAGTTATTCTAGAAAGTTTATTTTGCCAAGGTTGAGGATGCATGGCCGCGACACAGCCTCAGGAGGTCCTGGCAACATGTGCCCAAGGTGGTCAGGGCAGAGTTTGGTTTTATACATTTTAGAGAGACATGAGACATCAATCAGCATGTGTAAGATGAGCACTGTTTTGGTCTGGAAAGGCAGGACAACTGGAAGCAAAGGGGGAACAACTTGAATGGGGAGGAGGCTTCCAGGGCATAGGTAGATAAGACAAATGGTTGCCTTCTTTTTAGTTTCTGATTAGCCTCTCCAAAGGAGGCAATCAGATATGCATTTGTCTCAGTGAGCAGAGGGGTGACTTTGAATCAAATGGGAGGCAGGTTTACCCTAAGCAGTTCCCGACTTGACTTTTCCCTATAGCTATGTGATTTGGGGGCCCCAAGATTTATTTTCCTTTTACAGATATTAAAAAATTAGATCAGAACTAAAATAAATCAGATGAATGGAGTAGAATTGAAATTTTTGGACTACCTACCATGTGCAAAGTACTGTGATTTGCTTATTTTAACTTGATGAATTCTCAGAACAAACTTGTGAAGTAATACAACATGTTCCACAGCAATATAACATACAAGTAATATAATATGTTCCATATGGACATTAATGCATGGGAGGTTTAAGTAGGTTGCCCTGGGACTCAAAGATAGTACAGAGTAACACCAGGCACTACTATTTGAACCCAGGTATTCTGCGTTCAGAGCTCAAGCTTTTTTCTCTCTGTCTTTCTATTTCCTTTAAAGTAAAATGCTACCTCCAAATTTGTAACTGCCCAATGAGTTCACCTCAACAACTGCCTAGACAGAGCCGAATTTATCAAGATAGGGGAATTACTATAGAGAAAGAGTAATTCATGCAGAGCTGACTGTGTGGGAGACCAGAATTTTATTATTACTCAAATCAGTCTCCCTAAAAACTCAGGTATCAGAGTTTTTAAGGATAATTTGGTGGGTAAGGGGCCAGTGAATCCGGAGTGCTGATTGGTTGGCTCAGGGATGAGATCATAGGGAGTCAAAGCTGTCGTCTTACGCTGAGTCAGTTCCTGGTTGGCAGGTCCAGGTGGGGCTGTATGGTTTTTAGAAATGCAAAAACCTGAAAAGACATCTCAAAAGACTCAAAATAGTGATATTACCTTTAAGAGTAATTGAGGAAGTTGCAAATCTTATGACTTCCAGAATAATGGCTGGTAATATTTTGAATTCCAGCCCTTCTCATTCTAACTTGGTGGCTGGTAGCCTTTCATTCATTTTACAAGAACAGTTTAGCTTTTGGGAAGGGCTATTATTGTATTTAAACTATAAACTAAATTGCTTCCCAAGGCTAGTTCGGCCTACACCCAGGAATGGACAATGACAGTTTAGAGGTTAGAAGCAAGATGGAGTTGAGTAGGTCTGATATCTTTCACTGTCATAATTTCCTTAGTTATAATTTTGCAAAGGTGGTTTCAAGTTCAAAGAAATGTCTTCCTTATTGGTTGCATCACATCTTATCTTCTCTTAAGCATTGTAAGGATAGTCTCATAATGTTAATCCTTTTAGAATCTAACAAAGCCTTAAAAGTAGCTGGTATAAACTTCAAATTAGTGGCAGATTGAATGAATAAAAGGATGGATAAATGGATGGATGAATTAATGGATGGATGAATTAACACCTCTCTTATCCTTATTAATATAACAATGTTAATGCAAAAACTAGGGATTAAACTTTTAGCCATATAGCATGGATTTGAGTCTATATTTGTCCAAGCATAATATCTGTAAAATTTTTATTAGAATTTTTGAATTTCTTTAATTGACTTTATAGTATGCATGGAAGTAAAATCTATTTTTGTCCCTATACACCTTAAAATGTAATTAGAGAGAGTTTATAAGAAATTTAAATTGCACATTTGGCCACTTTAAAACAGTTCATTTAAAATGTCATGATTTTAAATGAAATTGTGACTGAGTTTAATAATAAAAACCAAAATTTTCATGCATTGTTTGAAAATGCTATGTTAAATGAATTCTCAGAAGAAGTAGGTTGCTATTTAGCACTTTAAAAAAAACTGACAACTTCTACCCTGCTATTCATTAAACTGTACTTTAGAATACACAATACACTTTTGAGACTTTCAATTTTGCCTTGTAAAGCAGCATTAAGATTTTTCTCCTGTAATTTGTTCAGTAAATTTTATTAGGTCTTCCTCCGACCCTCACTAGGGAGAAGATGAAGAACACTCAGTGAGTAAAGATACAGAGCAGGGAAGGTGTCATTGACAATAGAAGACAAGTTGATCATTCAGATAGCAAAGGACTGGGAGCATGGGTAAAATGTGATTCATGGAGCCTAAAGCATGACAGACAGTATATTTTAAGGGAGATAGTGAAATTTATGGTTCTTGCACATGGGATAGATAGTTGCCACCTATGGAGCACCATTGGTATTAGGTGAGAGTGCCCATTTTAAAGTCCAGAATGCCAAGTCCTGTGTAACTAGTCAAACGAGAGGGTTCCCTGATCCCCCTTGCAAGACGTGTGACAGGGGTGTGGCTTCTCTGGCCACTGCTGTTGCTCAAACCCCTTATGGGAAGGGGAGCATGCAGACAGTCAGGGGCAGGAACCGGGATGAGGGCTTTTGGACTCTGGCCCCAGGGTAGCATCTAGGGGTGGGTGCCTGCAGCTCCCGAAGCCCCAGCGGGTATGCTGCATACTCTTTTAGCTCTGCAATCTGCAGATGGCTTAAGTGTTAACCAGCTCAGTGCCGTCTTGGCACCTAAGTTCTTGTCCAACATCCAGGAAGAATCAGGTCACACACAGACTTGAAGGATGGTGAATGCAGGGATTTTTATGGGTGATAGAGGTGGCTCTCAGAGGGATGGATGGGAAGCTGGAAAGGGGATGGAGTGGGAAGGTGATCTTCCCCTGGAGTTCAGCTGTTCTGCAACTGATCACCTCTCCAACCATCCCCAGCCAAACTCCTCTTGACATTCAGACACTCCTTCTCTTCTTTCCTTCTCTGCTGCATCACTCTTCCATTTGTCTGCTTGTCTGCTCTTGGAGCCTGGGGCTTGGGGTTTATATGGGTACAGGATAGGGGGGCATGGCGGGCCAGAAAGCAACATTTGGGTGCAAAAACAGGAATGCCTGTTCCCATTTATGGCCGTGGTTTCCAGGCTTGAAGGTGGGGCCTTTGCTGGTAAACTGCCCTCTCCTACCCAGTATTTCCCTGTCTCTTGTCTGTATCACTAGCTTCGGTTCTTGCAAGAGCAGCCACTATCTGAAGTGGATCCATATGAGTAGGTCCCAGACTAGAATCTTTATTTGTTGATTTATGTGAGACAGAGTCTTGCTCTGTTGCCCATGCTGGAGTGTAGTGTGGTGATCTCGGCTCACTGCAACTTCCACCCCTAGGTTCAAGTGATTTCTGGCTAATTTTTGTATTTTTAGTAGAGACAGGGTTTCACCATGTTGGCCAGGCTGGCCTTGAAATCCTGACCTCAAGCAATCCACCTATCTTGGCCTCCCAAAGTGCTAGGATTACAGGCATGAGCCACCATGCTGGGCCAGACTAGATGCTGTAGATAGCGAAATTTGTGGTCCTTGCATATGGGATAGTTGTCACCTATGGAGCCCCATTGGTAATACACAGGTGAGAATGCCCATTTCAGTATCCAGAATGCCAGGCCCTAGATAACTAGCCTCATTTCTTGCAAGAGGAGCCTCTATCTGACGTGGATCCATATAAGTGCAGCCCAGACTGGATGCTGTGCTCACATTATCTCATTTAAACCTCACACCTGCTCTCTCAGGTGTGTATGTTCATTTTGTGCTCTGTGAACTGAGGCTCACAGAGGTGAAGTGAAATGACCCAGGTCTCACCAGGAGTGGCAGACTTGAGATTCAAACCTCCAACTGCTAGCTCCAAAGTTGCATTCCACCTGTATGGTGTAGTCTACCAAGTTTCATCACATCACTGAGGTTTACGTTAAAAATTCCACTACACCCAGTTCTGCCATACCATGAAGTATCTTCTACAAAGATCCACCCTACTATTAAGACTTACAAGTACACTGGGTTTCTTCTAGGTTGTCTAGATAGTTTAGTGGAATAGGAATGGAGATAAGGCAAAAAATCCTGTAATGAAGACCTATGTTAGAATACACACTGCATATTTGTTCTACCTTCTTTTGTGCTGTTCCTGTACTACTTGAGTATACCAATTATGGTAGAAGAATTATGAGCCTTGAAACATAATAGTTGTACATATTTTGTGGGTACCCTCAAGGTCCTGCTACTTGCCTAAGGAGAAGCAAATTCATGCAGTATAGTTTGAGCCTTCATAATATTCTAGTTATTCTAAAAGCACCAATTAGGGGCTTACAACAAGTAAGATGGGTAACTCCTGCCCGTTTTAGAAATGAAGAAAATAGAGGTTTTTTTTTTTAAATAAAAAAATAAAAAATAAAAAAAAGAAGAAAAGAAAATGTGCCACAACGGGCAAATAACATGGCCTACAGCAGAACCTGCTTCTCCCCACAGTCTCGGATCTGCTCATTCATCCTATGTCCTCTCTGTGCTAAAAGGCAAATGGCTTAATCAGTCCCACTGAATTTAGGGTTTTGGTGTTGGGGAGGGGATATTTCCACCCTCCTCAAATCTCAGTGCATCGGTGCCGCTTGTCAACACCCAGGCTCCATCCTACTTACCAGGGACACACAGAGCCCGGGAAGGAAGTGGAGACGTGAGGAGCCAGGCAGGGAGGGGGACATGAGTGAGCAAAGGAAGTTTAAAACATGGGGAGGATTGTTCTAGATTTTAAAGCCCACTGAGATAAAATTTCAAACCCCATCAGCTGTAAAAGGCAAAGTCTAAAGAGGAAGAAAGATAGAGAGAAATATCACAGAGAAAAGAGTTGTCCTGGTGCTTGTTTTCTCAGCATTCTGAGAAGCATTCCTCATCGCTGAGCCTGCGCAAAGCAGCGCCCGAGGCAACCAGGATGCAGCCTCTTGGAAATACAGGGCTCAGCCAGAGGCTGAAGAAAGCGCCGCTCAAAGTAGAGCTTGGCAGGCAGGCTGTAAGCGCAAGTGACCTGTGCAAGCCCAGTGCCGGCTTTGCGCTTTGCTAACTCATGGCCTGGTGCCTGGACAGGGCAGCCAAGGTTAGCACGGGGCATGGGCGGGACAATGAGCCCTGTGGTCCTAAGGGACCCTCACAGGCTGATCACATGGCCCTGGAGACAAGGGAATAAGCTCCCCTAAATCTGTGGTTTCTGCAGAGTGGGTAGGCTCACTACTTCTCCTGGGGAACCTATGATAAATATTTGCACCTGTTGGGGGAATAGCATTAAAATCTTCTGTCAATCCAGAAAACCTCTCCTCAAAGGTAATAGAGACAGAAAACAGTTTTATTATGTAATAAACATTAAACCAGAATGTGAGGCACATCACAGGCAATCTGCAAAGAGATCGCAGTGAAAGGAAGAAATTTCACCCTTTTATAAATAGGCAAGCAGATACAACTTAGTGTAACCGCCCAGCAGGGCGCTGCCTAGGCAGAGCCGATTTATCACGACAGGGGAATTGCAACAGAGAAACAGGAAGTCATTCACGCAGAGCCCGGTGTGCGGGGAGACCAGAGTTTTATTATTACTCAAATCAGTCTCCCTGAGCATTTGGGAAGGAGAGTTTCTAATGATAATTTGGTGGGTGGGGGAAGGCCAGTGAGTCGAGAGTGCTGATTGGTTGGGTCAGAGATGAATCATGGGAAGCTGAAGCCGTCCTCTTGTGCTGAGTCAGTTCTTGAGTGGGAGCCACAAGATCAGATGAGACAGTTTATCCATCTGGGCGGTGCCAGCTGATCCATCAAGTGCAGGGTCTGCAAAATATCTCAAGTACTGATCTTAGGAGCAGTTTAGGGAGGGTCAGAATCTTGTATCCTCAGCTGCGTGACTCCTAAACCATAATTTCTAATCTTGTGGCTAATTTGTTAGTCCTACAAAGGCAGTCTAGTCCCCAGGCAAGAAGGAGGTTTCTTTTGGCAAAGAGCTGTTATCGTCTTTGTTTTAACTATATAAACTAAGTTCCTCTCAAAGTTAGTTCAGCCTACGCCCAGGAAGGAAAAAAGACAGCTTAAAGGTTAGAAGCAAGATGGAGTCAGTGAGGTTAGATCTCTTTCACTGTCTTGGTCAGTGGAGGGGAGGGGAGGCGAGGAGAGGTATAGTTTATTACTCATAATTTTCAAGAGGAGGGGCGGATACCCTGCCATGTAAGGCCATAGTAGAGATTACTGAATCAGGTTGGTCACAGGCAGAGAGGGAACAGGAAATCAGGGGAATAAAAATTTTTATTATTTTATTTTCCAGGAATGGGTGAGGCAGGGTGAGTGGGTTGACCAGGTTTAAGCCCAGCAAGTTTGAATCATTTCAGTGGCTCTGGGGTGCAGAGGATGTCCCTAGTTTTCTGAAGCCTGGCTCAGGGCAATTACGACAGGGGGTTAATGTCTCAGAAGCATAAGCGGGCTCGGGATTGGTTTGTTTGCATATGAAAGGCAGTCATTCCCTTTCAGTCTCTAGGAGGAGCAGTCTCTCCCTAGACAGCAAGGCCCCAGATGTCAAAACATCAGATAGAGAAACTAGAAAATGTGGTTAATACAATAGGATTTGATCTCGTGTTGGAGGAATTCGGGATGGCTCAAGAAAAGTGGGTGCTGAGCATTGAATGTTGTCAAGACACAAGATGATTCTCTGAGTAGGTATCTTGATAATGTCTATCTGGATGGTGGGATGAACAAAGCAGAGTGAAAGCCGTAAGAGGTAAAGAAGCAGCAGCCATTCAAATTAGCCGGAAAAGGGAGGGGTTTCATCATTTTTGTGGTTTGGACAATATTCTTATTTTGGTTTTGGCATTTTTCCTTTTTTTGCTTCATCATGGTCACGTGGCCCTGTCTGATCTTGTGTTCTGTGAAATTGTTTATGGGCCACAAGAGAGTTGGGTTGAGTTCCAGGCCAGCTTCTAGATGTCAGGGCTGCTTCTTTGTCACTTAATAGTCCTACAGCGTAAGTAATACTATTGTTCCTGTTTCCCAAATGGGGAAACCGAGGCTCAGAAAAATTAAGCTCCTTGACTAAGGTCACAAAGCCACAAGTAGATGCTTTGTTCCCAGCTACTTCATGATTCTACTTCCTCTCTGCTATAAAGGTTCCTTCTGAAACTATGGCTGAAGATAGGAGGAAAAGCTACACTGAGCAAAAGGGGGATGAATAAACGATTCAGATGTCCACCATAGTACAAGTGTGTTTAAGTAATTTAATAAGTAATTCCACTGGTGCCTTGTTTGTAGTGTGACATTGATAATATAAATAACTTCCTTTTATTGATGTCTAAAAATCTAAGTAAATAATGGATTCAAAGGTTGTAGAAACACTTCAGCACAGGAAAGCCCGACTGAGCTACTGGACATGACCTTGATACCTAAGTAGGAACTATTTGCCATGAAGACTCCAAGAATTAGGTTCCAAGAAGCGGTATAAATGGCACTTCAAAAGAGCAATTCCTGTTGGGATAAGCTGGTTTCATATAAGCAGCTTATTTGCAACATATGGCACAATTTTCTTGTACTAAATCACTCAAGTTCATTCATGGAAAAAATTATTTTAGGAAATAACTAAACTATAATCTAGCCAGCCCAAGATCTGTTTCTTCTCAGGTCGTTCTTGAACAAGCAAATGGTAAATTACCTGAGTTCCTGGGCCTTGTTACTCAAATGACTTCCTAAAACTTTTTAAAGGGATACAAAAAGCTTAGATGGAGACAGTTGTATAAAAAGGGTATTGTTTTGCTAATAACATGAAGACATGAAAAAATTACTATGATTGGGCCAGGCACAGCGGTTTACACCTCTAATCCCAGCACGTTGAGAGGCCGAGGCAGGCAGATCACGAGGTCAAGAGTTCGAGACCAGCCTGGCCAACATGGTGGAACCCTGTCTCTACTAAAAATACAAAAATTCGCCAGGCGTGGTAGCGTGAGCCTGTAATCCCAGCTATTCGGGAGGCTGAGGCAGGAGAATTGCTTGAACTCAGGAGGTGGAGGTTGCTATGAGCCGAGATCGTGCCACTGGACTCCAGCCTGGGTGACAGAGCAAGACTCCATCTCGAGAAAAACAAACAAACAAATGAACAAACAACAAAAAACTACTATGGTCCATGTCAGAATGGAGTGTTTCATATAAAATGGTTATGAAAATCTTCAACTTTATGATAATCACACGTGTCTAGATGTCTCTATTGAATGTATGAGTTTCAGCATGTTAGAAACTCAGTGCCACAGGTTAGGACAAAATGGACACTTATTCATACACATAAACCTGAGTCCACAGAACATTAGAGTTATTCGTTGTTGTTGTTGTTTTTGAGATGGAGTCTCACTCTGTCGCCAGGTTGGAGCACAGTGGCACGATCTTGGCTCGCTGCAACCTCTGCCTCCCGGGTTCAAGCAGTTCTCCTGCCTCAGTCTCCCAAGTAGCTGGGACTACAGGCACGTGCCACCATGCCTAGCTAATTTTTGTATTTTTAGTAGAGACAGGGTTTCAGCATGTTGGCCAGGATGGTCTCGATCTCTTGACCTTGTGATCCACCCACTTCGGCCTCCCAAAGTGCTGGGATTACAGGTGTGAGCCACTGCGCCCGGCAGAACAGAAGGGTTATAATCATATCAAAATACTTCCATATAAGTGTATTTACTTTAGCATGTTTATGTCACATAGATCTATTCCAAAATAGGTGGGGGAAAATTATTTTATGTTTCAAAAATGACGTGTAAAGTTTAGAAGAATTCAGAGTATGGTAAAAATACCAAAGCTAATAATCTATGAGCCATAATTTCCCAAGAGATTGAAAGTATGTATGAAGTTAAAACAAGTACTTTTAAAGTGGCAAATTAGGTAGTAGAGTTATTACTGTCAATACTCGAAAATTGCACATTAAACATAAAGAAGCAGATAGAAAGGGCACACGTGGCCAAATGTTTCCTATTGAAAACCCTAGTCCTGTTAAATAAACGACTGGGACTTCAGATATATGAAAGTTTAACAATAGCAAAGCTAGGCACACACACGTACGGACACATAACAATATAATATTTATAACAACTTATGTGCCCTCTAAGAATTAAGAGCTTTACAAATAATAGTAAGAATTTAAAGACTCCTGATCTCTAAAATGATTACAAAGCTAGTAATATTTTTGATGTTAAATATTCCCTAACAAAGGCAGTTATAACTGTCAATATATTTCTACCACAACCTAGTGAAGAGAGGATAGCTATAATGTGACTTTTTCATTGAATGCAGCAGTTATGTCTGACATTCTTTCTTTCTGTTTTGTTTTTTGTTTGTTTTTTGAGACAAGTTCTCACTCTGTTGCCCAGACTGGACTAGAGTGGTGCGATCTTGGCTCATTGCAGCCTAGACCTCCTGGGTTCAAGCCATCCTCTCACCTCAGCCTCCCAAGTAGCTGGGACCATAGGTGTGTGCCACAATGCCCAGCTAATTTTTCGTACTTTTTGTGCAGATGGGGTTTCACCATGTTGGTTGGGCTGGTCTCAAACTCCTGGGCTAAAACGATCCACCTGCTTCAACCTCCCAAAGTGCTGGGATTACAGGCATAAACCACCATGCCCAGCCATGTTTGACATTATTTCAATGGGTTAAGTAAAGAGCAAGAAAAAGCAGCTTTATTGAGGTATAATTAGCATACAGAAAAGTGCACATAGAGATGGAACAACTTGATAAATATTGGCATAGGTATAATCGGGAAACCATCACCACAATCCAGACAAGAACGTATCATGCCCCAGAAAGTCTTTTCACACCGCTAGGTAATTCCTCTCTCCTATCCCTCCCTACCTCCCCATCTTTAGACAACCACTGATTGATCTGGTTTCTGTCACTATAGGTTACACTGCATTTTCTATGGTTTTCTATAAATGAAATCACACAGTATGTCCTCCCTCCTGAAGTTTCTGCCTTCTTTTACTCAGCATAATTATTTTGAGAGTCATCCCTGTGTTGCATGTATCAATAGTTCATTCCTTTTTACTGCCGACTAGTATTTCATTTATGAATATGCCACATTATGTTTACGCATTCACATGCTTATTTATTTTGTTTTGTTTTTGGAGACACGGTCTTACTCTGTTGCCCAGTTTCAAATTCCTGGACTCAAGGGATCCTCCTCTTGAACCTCCCAAGTAGCTAGGACTACAGGCCCATGCCACCACTCCAGTCTAATTTTTTTTTTTTTTTTTTTTTTTGAGATGGAGTCTCACTCTGTCGCCCAGGCTGGAGTGCAGTGGCGCGATCTTGGCTCACTGCAAGCTCCGCCTCCCGGGTTCATGCCATTCTCCTGCCTCAGCCTCCCAAGTAGCTGGGACTATAGGCACCCGCCACCACGCTCGGCTATTTTTTTTGTATTTTTAGTAGAGACGGGGTTTCGCCGTGTTAGCCAGGATGGTCTCGATCTCCTGACCTCGTGATCTGCCCACCTCAGCCTCCCAAAGTGCAGGGATTACAGGCGTGAGCCACAGCGCCCGGCCCAGTCTAATTTTTTTTAAATGTAATTTTTGTAGAGATGAGGTCTCCCTATGTTTCCCAGGCTGGTCTCAAACTCCTAGCCTCAAAAATCCTCCCACCTCGGCCTCCAAAGCACCGGGATTATACCACACCTGGCCCCCATTCACATGAAGATGGACAGTTGGGTTGTTTCCAGTTTGGGGCTATTACAAATAAACACTCGTGGACAATTCTAAGTATGAACATATCCTTTCATTTATCATGGGTAAAGAACTAGGAGTGGAATGACTGAGTAATATACTAGGCGTATGTTTCTTTAAGAAACTGCCAAACTATTTTCCAAGCAGTTTGTACCACGTTACATTCCCACCAACAGTGTATGAGACTTCAAGTTCCCCTACATTCTCTCCAACCCTTGGTATAATGGCTCCTTTAAATTGTGGTCTTGACAATAGGTGTGTAGTGGTTAATTCATTATGGTTTTAATTTACACTTTTTTAAAATGTATAATGATGTTGAATGTCATTTTCATGTACTCATTTGCCTTCTTTGTATCTTCTTTGGCCAACTATTTGAATCTTTTGCCCATTTTTTAAAAATTAGGATGCTTTCCTATGGAGTTTTGAATAATTCTTTAAATATTCTGTAAGTCCTCCATCAGATCTGGAAATATTTGCAAATATTTTTTCCATGTCTGTAGCTTGTCTTTTTATTTCCCTAACAGTGTCTTCAAGGAGCATAAGTTCTTAATTTTGATTAAGTGCAATTTATAAATTTGTTTTTATGAATAACAAATTTATAAATTGCACTTCATCTAAATTATACTGGTGTTAGATCTAAGAACTCTTGTCTAACACAGGGTAACAAAGAATTTGTTTCTCTCAGATGATTTATAGTTTTTGGTATTACATTAGGTCTATGAACCATTTCTCTGGTATTCTGCCTTGCAACGTCTACTTACCTAGCCTTTCCTAAACTCCTCCATCTCCTACTCAGAGACTGACAGGCACTGCCTGGGTTCCCCTATACCATGGCCTTGAAAATTTTGCCAAGCAGTAACCTGGACAAACTGTAGAGCTCATCTAGCCTGCTTCCCAGCTCTCCAGGGTCACTGCACTTTCTGGCCTGGTGTCCAATGTCTGGAGTGCCAACATCTTGTATATTTTGTCTAGTCGTTCAATTGTTTCAGGCAAGAAGGTAAATCCATCCCCTGATGCTCTATCCTAACCATAAGCAGAAGTCCTGTGAATTCCTGAACTTGAACAAAATTGCCTTTCTTCAGTGGTGAAAGAGTGAGACCTTGCTACCTGAAGCTGGAATGTCACCACATTCCTCTAAATTTTGTTCTTTTCCTATAAACCTCAAAGCATTTAACAGCCTGTGATAATTATGAATATTTCTGTACACTGTTAAACTCGCTGACATAAAAACAGGTTTTTTTAAAAGTTCTGCCTGCCCTTTCACGGGGGCATTTTTCCTTACTACAGCTCTTCTATAATTTATTATTTTTTAAAGAACTAGCCTTACGAAATGGGCAGCTAGCCTCTCACAGCCTTTTATAACTGTCTCTCGAGGTTAGCCTCAGCGGGCCCTGAATTGAATTAGTATATTACTTCAAGTAAGGCTATCCCAATGTGAAACTAAATATCAGGTCATCATGATTTTCTCAAGTCATAATGTTCACTACCTTGGATTATATAATGTGCACCTGACAATTCAGCAGGCAGTGTTTTGAGATTTTTGACCTACATTGTTGATCTACCCATGGTCATAAAAGACTCTGTTTACTCTGTGTTACTTAGAAAGAAGGCAGATGGGAAAATTAGCAAGAAATAGAGAAAAGAGTCACAGGATGCCAGCAAAATCCACACTACTGTCCAGAGACCATCTCCAGTGAATTAAAACTCAGGAGAGATCGCTTAACAGGTTCTACCATTAAGATTTCCACATCCTGAGTAGGAGTGGGAGTCCTCTCTTGGAGAGTGAGATGTAAAAGACTCCTCTCGGTTTTCAGGTATTTCCCGAAAAGCCCTTCTTTTCTTTGGTATTTCTTAATTACTGTTAGTGGTTCCTGGCACCACTGGGTCCAGTCAAGAGAAACAGTTCCATCCTCTTGTGAGCAGAATCTGATATTTATAATGAGCATCTCTCTAAGGCCCTGTTCTCCAAGTAACAACCATAGCTTTTCTTCGTGTTTCTCTAGCCCAGGAAGATCCCATGTTTTTCGTAGTAGGCACTGTACTACTAGTGTGTTTCATACCTGTGTTCTCAAAGGCTGAGAGGAAAACAGATATCTGACAAATGCTTCTCTTTATCAAGCCTGTCATTTCTCAGATTTTGAAATGCTTAAGCATTAGTCAGCTTTGCTTCTAGAATGGGGGCCCAAATACCCCTTTCACCAGCCTCTTTGACCAAAGCAGTGGATTGTGACCCTATTTAAGTCACATACCAGGCCCTCCTTCCACACTGGCTGACAAACCAGTGTGGCAATAGAAAGGAAGCCTAGAGGATTGAGCTCTTGTGGGTGACCCCACCAAGTCTGCACCCTGAAACCATGCCCACCTTGAGGTGCAACTGCCTTAGTTCCAGACAAGCCTGCCTTTTTCCCAGTGCTGCACTGCTACCCACTGCTATCAATCAGGCAATGAGCAGCAGAGGCTCCCAAGTCCACCTCTATCCCAGGAGGAAAACCTGTCCTGCATATGAGGAATCTATTCCTGTGGCTGAGGAGAAGACCCACCTATCTCTCTTAATAGAACTTTATCTCTCCCATCATATGTAAGCTCTAGGACACAAAACTCAAGGTTTCCCTTTTGTAATTAACAAAGAAATTGAGCTAGTCCTGTTCTCTTTCCTATTTATATAAAACCATTTTTTTTTAAATCTGTGGCCTTGTCTTTTTATGTAAACTTATTGTCTTCATGAATATTCTTATCTTCAGTATTTTACCTCTAGAAGTGTTACTGGAATGGGAGACAGGGAAGAACGATAGACATCCTAGCACTTTTTACTTTTGAAAAATGGCATAAAATATATCTATCCATCCCAGAAGGGGACAACAGACAGGGCCTAGTAAAGGTTCTCTAGGCCACGCACTGACATTCTAAGTCACTCACACACAGAACTAGATTTTGTTTTCCTGTGTGTGCTAAGCTAGTCAAAGGGTCTGTGTTGGCAAGACTGATGGCCACTGTGGCCCAGTCACCGTGGGAGCGTAACTCTGACACTGCCGGTCATGTTTTCTTTATTCCCATGCTTATTCCTTGCGGTCAGCTGAACTAGGCATGGGCTTAGCCATGATGTTAGCTATGAGCTACAAAGAAAGGTGCATGAGAGAGAGACGTAACTACATAGAAATAGAGAATCACATGAGGCTGGAGTGTTGTCTTTATGGCCTAAGCCTGAAGGGTCAAGTAAACTACATACTCTTCAGTGAACAGGACACTTCTGCTTTGTGAGCAAAGTGACCAACCTTTCTGAAGGATATCAGCTACTTTGGTTGTAGAATGGAGATAGTGACGCCTACCTTACAGAGCTGTGTGAAGATTTTAAGAAATAATGACTGGTAAATGTTTTAGTACAGTGCTGGGCACATAGGAAAACCTTGGCAAATACTAACAATTATTTTATTATTACATACCCCATCCGCATCTAGGCCTGCAGCTGCCCTTAATAATAGAAAGCCACAGTGAAACTTAGTTTTTGATATATTTAGCCAACTATATCTTGCTCTGGCAGAAATGAACTCCTCACCCTTTAGTGCCCAGTTGCCACCAGCAATCAGAACAGATGGGTTGGCTTCACTTACTGTCCACTTCACTACTGTCCAATTTAAACTTTTCTTGAGTCTTCAGGTCAAATTTATAGATTTATAAATCTATAGCTATCTAGATAATATATATGATCCATATGTCATTTTAATATATATGATCTAGATATCTATCATTTTGTATAAACACATTACCATATGGAACTGTTCTTAAGGACGGTTGAGTAATAACTCCTAACCAACACTAGTATTTATTGAGTGTCCATTTTAGGCTTAATGCTGTATTAGGTATTATTGTCCCCATCTAACAAATAAGTGCCAACAGCCCACATTTTAAACTACCCTCAGGACTCCGTTTCAGTTCTGCTGCCTCTTCCCTTATTATCAGCTGTCAAACGCATCAAAACTGCCATGGGCTTCCTCTGTTTCTCAACCTAAGACACACATTAGAATCATTTGGAGATCTTTAAAAAAATAGCACTGCCCAGACTCACCCACTTCTAGTTAATTATGATGCACAGCATGGGAGGCCTGACAAAAACAAAAACCAAAACACCACTGCTAGACCCAACTATTAACATCTGTGGGCTAATAATGAAAATGTACATAATAGGCCCTGAGGGAATGCCTGAGGACCTCTCCTTCAAAGCACATTTTATCAATTATTTTGCCCAGTGTTCCCTCTCTCTTCTTCCTCCCTCCCTTCCTCCTCCTTCCTTCTTCTGTTTTTAATTGTTCACTCTGGCTTCTCTTTCTCTTCTTCCTTCCTCCTCTGCCTCCCTTCTTTCTTCTATTTATTTGTTCACTTCTGGCTCCACAAGACTGAGACTATAGGAAGACTATTAAACGAAGAGTTTGTAGCTCTGACAATTGGTTTACTGTAATGGATATTCTGGTTGCATCACCAACACCTCTCCCTCTCCTCTTGGCAAGTATCTTGACTTTCAGATGCATATCCTCTGCCTCCAATCCAGTCCCATTGCCAAGCGTGGGGCACATAGATCAGGCCTGAGGTAATCTCTAGGCCTTGCTGGAGTTAATGGTTCACAGATAGAAAAGTAGCCCAAAAGAGCTAAATGCGGTCTAACGAGAAAAGTTGTTCTCTTCTGAGTGCATTTCTGGAAGCAGCCCCAACCCCACCCCTAGGCTCTGGGAGTTGCTGGAAGCCATCTTGTGGCCGCATGGGGTAGGTAGCCTGCTGTAGAATGAAGCTGGTTCCAGAGAAAGCAGAAATGAGAGATAAAAAGAATCAGTCTTTCGGCCGGGCGCGGTGGCTCACGCCTGTGGCAGCACTTTGGGAGGCCAAGGCGGGAGGATCACAAGGTCAGGAGATCGAGACCATCCTGGCTAACACGGTGAAACCCCGTCTCTACTAAAAATACAAAAAAAATTAGCCGGGCGTGGTGGCGGGCGCTTGTAATCCCAGCTACTGGGGAGGCTGAGGCAGGAGAATGGCGTGAACCCGGGAGGCGGAGCTTGTAGTGAGCCGAGATCGCGCCACTGCACTCCAGCCTAGGCGACAGAGCGAGACTCCGTCTCAAAAAAAAAAAAAAAAAAAAAAGAATCAGTCTTTCATGACATCCCCGAGTCACTGAATTAGACCAATCCTGAAACCTACTATGCTTCTGGCAGTGAAGTGAGCCAATAAATTCCCTTTAATGTTTAAGCTGGTTTGAGATGGGTTTTCTGGTACTTGCAACCAGATGCATCCTTAAAGATCCACTGCACCTTTTATGAGGAAGGGAATACCTGTTTTTTAAAATTGAATTACATTTGGAAAAGCTACCTGAGTGTTATAAACAACATATTCAAGTTTTAAATACTTTTTGCCATCATATTTAGCAGGTATTACCATACTAAGAACTGCTATTTGGCTTCAGGCTGTTTTTTTAAGAAATGCGGCAAGCTGTGTCAGTTTATTCTGTAATTGTAGGGGGAGGCTTCAGTATGCTGAAATTGCTATTCTATAGAAAGGCAATTAGTATGGGGTTAATACCAGATGAACAAGAAAGATAACATCAGGCAAATAAAACACACAGTAAAACAATAATAGCACAATGGTTTTATTGACGGCAGAAGAAAAATTCTTCCTTTCACTTGTAAAAGGTATTTGCTTAATTTAACTCAGTATTTTTTTCCATTCTTTGTGTGAGTTGACTGTTTTTTCCACCCTAAAATCTGTTTTTTCTTTCTTCAAATAATAATATCCACCACAGCTACTTATTCTGAAGAGAAAGTGGAAGGTCTGTCAACAGGTTTCCACCAGGGTGTTTCAGTCACTGGCTCGTTTCTTCACAAAGAGTCTACTTTAAAAAGAAATGAAGAAAATGAAATTGAAGCCTCAAATTAACTTTTCCATACTTTGTCAAGATACATTTCTGCTGAAACTTATCTGTAAATGTGAAGTGTTTGTATAAATAGATCTTAACTAGAATTTTGGATACTGCTAATTTGTAAACAATCTTTATAAAGCAATATGAAAGAAAAAAGCAAAATTTTTTTGAAAATAAATTTTTTTTTTAGACTTTGTTAAAGTACATCTCTGCCACTGTTATACCATTTATTGCTGGCATGTTGATTTCAGGAATTTGGATTAACCGAACTGTTTGTAACGGAGGATTACCGAAAACAGATGCAGTCTGCCAATGAACCACGTCTTTCCCTATCCTAACCGCCTCCAGTTCTTCTGTGAACGCCTCTGAATTGAGTTGCTCCACACAGGTGATTTATTTTGGTCTGTCACCTCCCCCTGCCTGCTCCCCACATTTATTAGGCACCACTCTAGTTAAAACCACTTTGGGTGGTGACAAGAGAAAGAGCTGAGATAAATGGCGAGAGAAGACTTGTATGCTCCAGGCCTATTTTAGCCTCATGCATGACAGCGTGCTTAGGCAGGGACTAGTGGAGTTCCTGCGGCTGCATACAAACAGCTCGTAAGTCTTGGGAAGTAAACAGTCTCCTGCTTAGAAAATACAGAGCGTCGGGTACTATAATCCTCACCTGCTGCCTGTTCTGCTGGCATCATGGAGTTCTGTAACAGTTATCTTTACAGTGATCATTTTCCTGACATTGATGCTGGACCAGATTGTCAAAAAAAATTTCAACATTTAAAAATACATCTTTTAGTAGTTAAAAATGGTGTTAAAAACCAGGACTTTGAAAATAAGTTTACAGTACCTATGTAGTAGTCTATGCTTAGCTATTGGTTTTAAGGTTTCTGACTAACACGTGAAACTGGGAATACCATTCTTTCATCAAACAAAGAAGAAACTGGAAGTTCCAAGTGAGTCAGCGTTTATTTAACTGCTTTACACATTGAGCCTTGACCTCCATGGCAGCAGGAGCTTCCTGCTGATCTGTCTTACAAAGGCTTCCTGCACAGGTCTCTGCCATCTCTCTTTTCACAGCAGGACATGCAACTCTAACCAATGTTTGAATGGACCAGTGCAATAGCTTCTTAGATTCTTTCCCTCCTGGTGCTATAATCCATCCTACATCCAGCTGCAATATTTCCTAAGCTTAATTTTGATCATATCACTCTCTTAATCAAAAGTTCATGACAGCATCAAACACAACAAATTCAAACTCTTATGTATTTGAAGCCATGCTGTTTTCATCACCGAAAAATATTTCTAACACCCATTGTTTTGGTTCATATTCTCTATTGTAGCCACTGAGAGCCACTTGCTGTGGACTCTGCTTCCCTCGTTTAAACTTTCCTCTGCCTATACAGTGTCTTCAGAGGACTCCACCCCACCAGGAATGTGAAGCTTAAACTTCATGTCTAAGGGCTGCTCCTACTAATTAGTATCTAGTTCCTAGGACTCCACTCATGTCAGAAACCTCTCCAAACGCACAAAGTTTTGGTTGGACTAAAGAACTGTGTATAATTTCTCTATTTTATATCTGCTCATATTTCCAAGCTGTCTTAACAGTTATGACAGTGTCCAGGAACTAGAAGTTTGGAGTTTTGGGCTCTATCTCCCCTAAAGTCTCATATCTGACTTGTCACCACTTTTTCTCAGACTTGGGCCTATTTTTCCACATGCTCCCCAAGACCTTCTCTCACCTAGCCCTGATTCCTAGGTATCTCCTGCTCTGTCACTGAAGCTGTCCTTAGTATTTGGCTCAAGTGGAATCCAGTTCTCTCACCACAATGAGGAAGTATATGTGTGTGGAGGGTTGGGGGAAGGGGATCTGTGGGGGCCTTGAAAAAAAGTTTTAGGATAATCAAAGAATGTGCAAATTACAATATAAAACTTTATCAAAACATACTGATTTAATAAACACTTACTGAACAGCTACCATGTGTCATTCATCACCTAGTGAAGTACTCAAAACATAAAAAGAAAACCTATGACTGTGAAATTATGTTTTTTAAAAGTGATAATAGAAAGCACCTTAAGTGTTTTTCACTACCTTGATAATTTCAGATAACAAAACCTTAGAAAATTTCAGCATATATTAGAATTCATGCTTATATTTGCTGGAAGTCAAATGGCTGGCTACAATGTTTATCTTTTTTTAGATGTTTAAGTTAATACAAACCAGGAATGAGGAAACAAATATCTTTTATCTCAAGAATATATTCCGTTATGTAACAAGAGCAGAACACTATTATTTTTGAACCTCCCATTCAAAGATAGTATGTCAAAGAGATATTTCATTCTACTTCATAGTCTTTCATAACATATGCTTGAATTACAATGCAAAACTAAGTAAAATTTTCTTCAAACAAGATTACATGTCTTATTTTTTAGGGTGAATTTTGTAGTGAGAGTTTTAAAATGATACCTCATGGCACTGTCCCCCACCAATTTTTTTTTATTGATGTCAGGAATCCAAAATATCTGCATCATATATTTCCTGTTAACAGTACAATCCAAAGCAAGCATTTTGTCGATGGAAGTTTTAACTCAGGGAACATAGAAAACCACCAAAATTGTGATGTTTAAGTTGATTAGGAACTGTGTGCGTTGTTATTTGATATGGATAAGCTACAGTTACCATATGGTAATGGTTTACAATTTACTTTTAAGCAATATATTATTTTTCAAAGGAAATTTCCCATGGAACCCTAGTATATAAAATATATGAAAGAAACTAAAGAAGGGGTCAAGGGGACTAAGAGTTCCCCTCATCTGGCTGCACCCTCATTCATGTTCACTGCCTCCTCTCTACTTCTAGCTCTGCTAGATCCTACCTGCCTTCAACAGCCCTGAAGAAATTGAGTCCACTATTAAACAATGGCTGCCTTCCAGCAATGAGGGCATTGACAATCTTTGGCCACAATTTAAAACTTTGTTTGAAGCAATTAAAAAGAAATAAAATACCCTGATTTCCTTTCCTTTGGATAAATACACAGTAGTGGAATTGCTGGATCATATGGTGGTTCTATTTTCAGTTTTTTTAGGAACCAACTTACTGTTCTCCATAGTAGCTGTGCTAATTTACATCTCCACCAACAATGTAAAAGGGTTCTCCTTTCTCCACATCCTTGCTAGCATTCATTACTGCCTTTCTTTTGGATAAAAGTCATTTTAACTGAGGTAAGGTGATATCTCATTGTATTTGATTTGCATTTCTCTGATGATTAATGATGTTGAGTATTTTTTCATATACCTGTTGGGCATCTGTATGTCTTCTATTGAGAAATGCCTATTCAAGTCTTTTGCCCATTTAAAAAATCAGATTATTATTTTTTTTCTTGAGTTGTTTGAGCTTATATATTCTGGTTATTAAGCGCTTGTCAGATGGATAGTTTGAAAATATCTTCTCCCATTCTGTGGGTGGTCTCTTAACTTTGTTGACTGTTTCCTTTGCTATGTAGGATCTTTTTAACTGATGTTATTCCATTTGTTCATTTTTGCTTTGGTTGCCTGTGCTTTTGAGGTCTTACTCAAAAAGTTTTTGCCCAGACCAATGTCCTAGACTGTTTCTCCAGTGTTGTCATCTACGAGTGTCATAGTTTCAAGTCTTAGACTTAAGTATTTAATCCATTTTGATTTTTGCTTATGATGAGAGTAGGAATCTAGTTTCATTCATCCATATACGGATATCCAGTTTTCCCAGGATCATTTATTGGAGAGACTATCATCACTCCAATGTATGTTCTTGGCACCTATGTCAAGAATGAGTTGGCTGTAAATATAGAGCTTTATTTCTGGGTTCTCCATTCTGTTCCATTGGTCTGTTTGTTTTTATGTCAGTACTATGCTATTTTGTTTACTACGGCTTTGTAGTATAATCTGAAATTAGGTAGTCTGATGCCTCCAGCTTTCTTCTTTATGCTCAGGATAACTTTGGCTTTTCTGGGACTTTTGTGGTTCCATATAAATTTTAGAATTATTTTTTCTATTTATATGAAGGATGTCCTTAGTATTTTAATAGAGATTTCATTAAATCTGTAGATTGCTTTGGGTAGTACTGTCATTTTAACACTATCGATTCTTCTAATCCATGAACATGGAGTATCTTTTCAGTGTTTTGGTGTGTCCTCTTCAATTTCTTTTATCAATGTTTTACAGTTTTCATTGTAGAGATCTTTCACTTCTTTGGTTAAATTTATTCCTAGGTGTTTTATTGTATTTGTAGCTATTTTAATTGGGATTACTTTCTTGGTTTCCTTTTCAGATTGTTTGCTGTTGAGGCTGGGTGCAGTGGCTCTCATGCCTTTAATCCCAGCACTTTGGGAGGCTGAGGCAGGCAGATTGCTTGAGCTCAGGAGTTTGAGACCAACCTGGGCAACATGGCAAAACCCCATCTCCACAAAAAATACAAAAATCAGCTAGGCATGGTGGTGTGCACCTGTGGTCCCAGCTACTAGGGAGGCTGAGATGGCAGGACGTCTTGAGCCCAGAAGGCAGAGGCTGGAGTGAGCTGAGATGGTGCCACTGCACTCCAGCCTGAGTGACAGAGCCAGACTCTGTCTCAAAAAAGAAGAAGAAAAGGGGGGAAAAAAAACAATTGCGGTTGACATATAGAAATAGTAGCATTTTTGTATGTTGATTTTGTATCCTGCAACTTTACTGAATTTGTTTGTCAGTTTTAATAGTTTTTTTGGTAGACTCTAGGTTTTTCTAAATATAAGATCATATCCTCTGCAAACAAGAATAATTTGACTCTTCCTTTCCAATTTGGATGTTCTTTATTTCTTTCTCTTGTTTAATTGCTCTAGCTAGTACTTCTATTTTATTCAACTATGTTGAATACAAGTGGTAAAAATGGACATCTTTGTCTTGTTCCAGATCATAGAGGAAAGGCTTGCAGTTTTTCCCCTGTTCAGTATGAGTCTAGCTGTGGGTTTGTCATATATGGCAAAGCTAAGAGAGAATTCTCAGTTTTCATTCACCTTTAAAATTGCTTTAATTATAAGCACACTGAGCTTATTTTATAAGTGTTAAGTTCTGTCTTATACAACACAAAGTTGCCAAAGTCCTTACATATTCTTTTGATTCTGCTTAAAAGCAGACATGGGCACTAAATGACAAACCAGTTATTCCATGCCGTAAGAAAAATACCTAGAGTCAAGAAGTAGCTCTTCTGTGACACTATGGACAGTAGGTCAGGACTGTTTACTTGATGACCTTGCATTAGGGACACAAAACAAGCCAGTGATAAAAGGAAAAAGGTGCTACATTGGCTGGCTACAGTAATTCAGAAGTCAATTAGCATTAGACTTCCACTCTAGGCAGACTACTACTACATGAGAAGCTGAGGGTTAGAACAGATGAAAAAAATTTCTTCACTTAGGATGGCAGAACTAATTTTTAACCAGGGAAGGAACTCTGGGGAAGATAAAGACATATCACATTCTAGGACAGTGCTGCCCAGCAGAAATATCACAAGACATATGTAATTTTAAATTTTCTAGTAGCCACATTAAAAGGCATGGTGGCTCACTCCTGTAATCCCAGCACTTTGGGAGGCCAAGGCAGGTGGATTACCTGAGCTCAGGAGTTCAAGACCAGCCTGGCCAACATGGTGAAACCCCATTGCTACTAAAAATACAAAAAAAAAAAAAAAAAATCAGCTGGGCATGGTGGTGGATGCCTGTAATCCCAGCTACTCGGGAAGCTGAGGCAGGAGAATCGCTTGAACCTGGGAGGCAGAAGTTACAGTGAGCCGAGATCACGCCACTGCACTCCAGCCTGGGCAACAAGAGTGAAACTTCGTCTCAGAGAAAAAAAAATCACTAATTGGACTTATATGCTTAACATGAATTTCATCTTTCTTTATATGAAAACCACTTCACAATGTTAAGTTTACCTTTTCCTATTAGTTCCGAGCCCGGGGTGGTTGGTAAAACTGTTGGGTTGGCCGAGTGGATCGTCTTGGCTGGCCATCACCTCCCCTACGGAACTCCAGAGTTTGATCGTAGGTGCCTTCTTCCTCCTATTTGCAAAGAGTAGTGATTTTACATGTTCAAAATGGCTCCAAGTTTCTTAAGTAAAAAAAATTGTATGGTCCCTATTTTAATAATATCTCTCTTAAGCTGCCCTGGAATTCACACATGTCAACTTTTACAACAGAGGGAGGCAAGGGGAAGGGAAAAGAAAAGAAAAGAAAAGAAAAAGGCAGGGATACTGTTAAAACTCTTTTGATCCTTGGTAATAGAAAAACATCATTTATAGTGGTAAGATTAGAATTGAATTTTATTCTAGAAAAGGAAACTATTTCCAAATAATAGCAAGATCATCTCATCAAATGGCTTGACACAATGTGGTAAAAACATACAGAAAAGCAAGCATTATAATGACAATTTTCTTGAATATTTGGGCTTCTAAATGTTTCTAGGTATTTATCATGGAAAAGTGTTTTGGTAGAATAAAGAAAAGGGGTTGAAGAGCCAAAGAATGTTCATCAGCTGTCTGTCCCCATCTGATGAAATCTCCAGCACTGTTAAGAACCTTACATCTAGAGACAGAAAAAAATAATGGTTTGGAATAGGGGAGGAATACAATTTACATATAAAGAAAGCTTCATGCAAGATAGAGAGATCACCAGAGTAAGACTCAAACTATTTTATTTTTATTTGCTTTCTTACTGAGTGGGTATATCTACCAGTTCAAGGAGTAGCATAGGGAAATTAGGATAAGCAGATTAAATAGCATAAAGAGTATAGTTAATGATAATATTTGAAAAGGACTTAGAAGCAACAAAATACAGCCAAAGCCACACTGGTTTCTTACTGAGTACTGCCACCCTGTTATTTAAATGTTTTTGAATTAACACAGCTATGAAGTATGTGCCCTATTAGAGAGAGAAAAAATTAGCTCTCAGTTTTGCTTATGAAAAAGAAAGCATCTATTTCACTAAGTAGGGAGTTTAAATTCCAACTGAATTATCAGAGCACAATAATTTGCATTACTTTGGAAATTAATCCTATTTTTTCTCTTCCTTACTTTATCTTTGAATCTTCTTTCTCAAAATATTGCTTTCCTTTGACCTTATTAATAACATAGAAAAGTAAATAAGAAGACTGAGTTCTATTCTTTAAATCTTTATAGATCCAATTACTGCAATTTTACCTAATGGAAACAAAGATGGTAAGATAATTTGGTCAAATCCTATTATTTAGCAATGATTTTTAAATTTGGCATGAACATAATTCTCATTTTAGACATCCTGCAAAGTAGTCTTAAAAAAAAAAAAAGAACTATTATTTCCACTTTATATAAAGAATACTGAAGCTTGGGAAAGCTTTGTGACTTTGCCCTAATACTTCTAAGACAGTAGTATCTTTCGGTTTTGCATTCTAACACTGCTGTTTAAATCTTTAAGTTTCAGTCTGCATGTAAAAGAAAGAAGCCAATAGCCAAAAATTAATGATCATCCTGAGGGGCCTATCATCACTGAAAGAAGAGAATGCAGAAATCTGACAATATATCTGGTATAATTAAATAACTGCCTTTTAGAGATCAACTTCCAGATGAGTTTTCCTTTCCCTATATCCCTTTCATTAACAATCAATCTCAAAATGGTTAGAAGTATCAGATATTATATCTGTAATTTAGCAAAGCAATTAAAAGTAAGAAAATCATAAAAGTATTCAGGAAAGAAGTTATTTATTATTATTCTGGTCAGTGTTCTGAATGATTTTCAAGTATTATAGCTAAATGTGAAAAGTAGCTATTTTAAGACAAATGACAACATTTGAAACTCTGCATATTAACTGAAAACTATGAAAATATATTTGGTACTGTAGGAGATGAAGTAATTATTTCAGGAATTAGAATGGAATACTACTTTTCTCCATATTTGGCTGCAGAATTGGCTGGAGAACATCTAAAAATCTGTATTTTATTAATAAAATACACAGAGATAGGACACTGTATTTGCTGAGAGAATGAGCTGGATTTACATAATAAAAACGACAATGCTATTTGAAAATCTATTTCTATCTATTGTGTTTAAAGAATTCACGAACTGAACTAACCAGATCCAAGTAAATGGTTTTATAGAGATGACCAACCATGAGATTTCTTTCACGTAACTCATAACTTGATGTCTTTAATCTGTCTATATAAAGTAGAAGCTAAAAAAAAGTAAAAAAGATACTGACGGCCGGGCGCGGTGGCTCACGCCTGTAATCCCAGCACTTTGGGAGGCCGAGGCGGGCGGATCACGAGGTCTGGAGATCAAGACCATCCTGGCTAACAAGGTGAAACCTCGTCTCTACTAAAAATACAAAAAATTAGCCGGGCGCGGTGGCGGGCGCCTGTAGTCCCAGCTACTCGGGAGACTGAGGCAGGAGAATGGCGTGAACCCGGGAGGCGAAGCTTGCAGTGAGCCCAGACAGTGCCACGGCACTCCGGCCTGGGCGACAGAGCGAGACTCCGTCTCAAAAAAAAAAAAAAAAAAAAAAAAAAAAAAAAGATACTGATAGTTTGGTTTTCAGTTCCAGTATTGTCAGAGTCACAATCTGTGCTTTTTAACTTTTAAATACTCATCCTGCAGAGCTGTTGAGAGCAAATCTGGTTACCCATAACAATCACTTCTTATAGTATATGGCTAGTAATTTTTAGCACAGAATGGGTACTTCTTTCCTCTTTATTTAACACACAGCTTGATTTAATAGATCAGTTTATTTTCAGTCATCTTTGAATGAAATTTATACTTTATTCCTCTTCTAGCCTATCTTCTTCCTTTAGGTCTCAGTACTCTGTAAGAGATTTACAACTCAAAAAAATAATTTTAATTTCATAGTTTACAAACATTTTTTAAAAAATCTGACACTACATTATAGCTGGCACAGTTCTGGAAGGCCATCTAATCCATCCTTCTAGATTCGACAGATGAGTCTATAAACCAAGAGAGGTGAAGTGATTTTCCCAAGTCACAGAGCTAATTAGAGGAAGAGTCCAAACCAGGGCCATTTTCTTTCTGACTCACAGGCAAGATTCTTTACAAGATCTGCAATAATTTTCATAAACGGGAACTGTCCAATGTCATCTTCGCCTAAGATTCTGAGATTCAGAACCATTTTATTGGGACTCAGATTTTGGCACCAGAAAATCTTTTAAAATCTACCTGTAAGCTAGAAGCCCCGCTTCAAGTTGTCCCGCCTTGACCAAACCAATGTATTTCTTAAATGTATTTGATTGAAGTCTCACGTCTCCCTAAAGTATATAAAACCAAGGTGCATCCCGACCACCTTGGGCACATTTTTCTTAGGACCTCCTGAGGGCTGTGTCATGGGCCATGATCACTCATATTTGACTCAGAATAAATCTCTTCAAATATTAAAAAAAGACTTTTGCTTACCTCACCCATGTTATCAGATAGGTTTTATAAAACTAAATAACTAATACTCAATATGAGCTTTTATACTAATATTTACTAGTTTATTGCTCCTTCTTAATGAAAAGATACAAAACCGCAATAATCATTGACGCCAAACATAAATGAAGTGGTATTTTGAAAACAACAAAAGACAAAAACCAATGCAAAAAGGAGATACACAACTTCATCTATAATGTGCGTTTGACAAGTTACAACTGCGTTTTTCCTGCATATCATCTTCAATCTCTCATTACTGTATACTGTATCTGGAGTGAGAACACAGACAAAACTACATATTCCCCATTTATAAATGAGCCGTGTTATAAAAGTTCATCATAAATTGGTCACTTGGAACACACTTCAGAAGGAAGTATGAAACACACTTAAATAGAAGTCAGGTTCTGTGTTCCACAAATAGTAAGGTGAAATGCAGCTAAGCATACAAACCAGTCCTTTAAGGAAAGAGTTCTCAAGTGAGAGCTATCTGCCTCGGCTGGGGGCATCAGCCAATCCCTGGAAGGAGTTGTTATTCCCTCTAATGGGTAGAGGCCAAGGATGCTGCTAAATATCCTACAATGCACAGGACAGCCCACACAACAAAAAATTATCCAGTCCTAATGCCAGCAGTGTTGAAGTTGAGAAACCCTAGGCTAGGCAAATGACACTTCCTACTCCTAAGTATCAGAGCAGCCTGGAAAAGAATTCTAACCTCAGGAAGTTTGAGTTTGGAAATTTGGGACATTTCTTCCTCTGCTTCTACCCCTAAGATGTAAATGCTGACCCAACTCTCTATAGAAATTTGGCGGGGGCTCTATTTGCTGAAAATACTTAGATACTTACCTCAGCTCCAGCAATATGTTCATTTTTACTTAATGAATCGCCTTGCCTTTTTTTTTTTTTTTAAATTGATATGGAGTCTTGCTCTGTCACCCAGGCTGGAGTGCAATGGTGCAATCTTGGCTCAAGGCAACCTCCGCCTTCCAGGTTCAAGTGATTCTCCCCCCTCAGCCTCCTGAGCAACTGGGATTACAGGTACCAGCCATCATGCCTAGCTAATTTTTGTAGTTTTGTAGAGATGGGGTTTCATCATGTTGTCCAGGCTGGTCTTGAGCTCCTGACCTCAGGTGATCCACCCACCTTGGCTTCTCAAAGTTCTGGGATTACAGGTGTGAGCCACCATGCCTAGCCCACTTTATCTTATATTACCATTCCTTCAGCATTTTCCCAAGTCATAACTTTGTGAAGAGCCAGTGATACATTATTTGGTTGGTGGAGGTGGGAAATGGGAATGGCAATTATTCTCTTCAATGAAAAAAAAAATAAAAACTTAGAAAAACTTAATACTGTCACCTAATAGCTATGTTATGTATAATTTAATAAAATTGAATCATTTGTTTCTTTTAACAGAATTTGTATAGTAGTCACAATACATACATCAGCATATGAAATTCAGTGTACTCTGCAATAGTCCTTGAAATTGAGGATATTTTGAACCATGAAATGTTAATGAGTACATATCTCCTTCAGTGATTCATACATGAACCACTTATTCTATGAATTTCCAAGCCACCTTTTGCCTGAGGTGTTTAGCTTGTATGTATGGAAGTGTAAACTGATTTTCATATAAAACCTAAGCAATCATCATGAAGACAAATCTGCTTTCCCAAAACATGTAATGGACTTTAATAAAACTTAAAATATCTTTAAAAACAAGTCTATTTTTAGATTAACTATACTAATATTCTTCTATATTAGAGTAGCTAAAAATTGAAAGCTGAATCAGCTTTTCTTTTCTTTTTTTTTGCCGGGGGTGGGGGGAAGGGAGACTGAGTCTTGCTGTGTCACCCAGGCTGGAATGCAGTGGTGCAATCTTGGCTCGCTGCAACCTCCACCTCCTGGATTCAAGCTATTCTTCTGTCTCAGCCTCCCGAGTAGCTGGAATTACAGGCACGCACCACCAAACCCAGATAATTTTTTTATATTTTCAGTAGAGATGGGGTTTCACCATGTTAGCCAGGCTGGTCTCGAACTCCTGATCTCAAGTGATCCACACACCTTGGCCTCTCAAAGTGCTGGGATTACAGGCATGAGCCACTGCACCCAGCCTCAGCTCTTATTCTCTATGAAGATTACAGACAACCTTGGTGCCCATGGGAGTCATGTATTATTATCAATACTGAACTTTACCAATTATCCTTGTTTAAAAAAATTCCACTTTAATATTTGTAGTTCTACTACAAACAACAACAACAACAACAACAACAACAACAAAAAACCTGGGCCCATAGTAGCCTGGAACCACAGATTATAAAACAGGAAGATTTTGTAAAGAACAGTTAGTCAAACTAAGAGGCTATCACTTGCTCAAGTAACTAGTGCCACTACTTGGGCTAGAACACAGGTCTGATTCACAAGCCCGACTGCCCCTCACTGTGGTACCCAGTAATGAGGGTAAGGAATACAGGTATCGTAAATCTCAGAACTGCAGGGGAACTGGAGATAAATCTAACAGAGCAGATTTATATTTTTTTATTATTTATTTTGAGGATAAATTCAGCACTCTTGTTTCAAATGAAATCTCACGTAGAATTCCTATATAAAATATATGGGCCTAGGTTAAAGTGGGTGTTTTTACATATTTGTGAGCAGTACCCCTTTGGCTTCCTCTTCCTCACTTTCTTCAACCTCTGTAGCCCTCAAGCCACAGAAATTAAAAACCCAACCTACTTCAACCTTTGCTACTCACTGACAACCAATTGGGTGGAGTGATTTGATTAATAAAATGAGCTAGTGGAAGAGCCAGAACTGGAATGCAGGCCTCTGGCTCTGAGTTCAGAGCCTTTCTCCCTTTGCCTTCTATCACAGAGAAAATTTAAACCCTATACTTGACTCCTATAAATTAAATGTCTCATTTTATAATTAAAAACTCACCTCATATACCTAAATTGAAAAAAACCCTCGGGTTTCATTAACATATGAGAAAATTATTATGATATATAACCAAATATAGTAAGTTTTATAACAGATTATCTTGGTTTCTGAAGCTCTGAGTAAAACAATTCCCCTTTAGAAGAAAATATATTGAAGAATTATAGTCTCCCATCCCTCCAGAGCAGCTCTAAGATAATCTCTTTTTATGTACCTCATCCAGCACATTTTATTTAAACAAAACATTTTATGGCAGAAGAGAAAAAAATGCTAATTGAAGACAAAAGAAAAATCAGATCCAAAACCTTATCACTAAACAACTGTTTCAAAATGCATGGCTGACATAACATAATATTTTCATTCCAGTATCACAGAAAATTTCGGGAGGACTGTGGGACATCCCATTGTGGTTCTAATCTTTTTTCTTTAAATACTATATTTTCTAAAGTTATATTAAAATTGTTTATGATTCTACAGGATATCATGAAATCATCTGAATACCTAACTCAAGGGTTTTATTATAAGCTCTTCTTAGTAAAGCACAATCTAAACAAGACATCTGAACTTTAACATAAATGAAAAGCTAATTTTTAAATGACACTAGAAGCAAATACAGTACTATTCATCATTGTCCTTCCTCTAACATCACTAAGATCTACACATTAATATAATGTAAATAAGCTATTTTTGGCAGGTTAAGCACTTGTGAAAATTCAGTGAAAACATCAAAAAGCTGCATCCATATTTTAATCAGAATATAGTACAAAAAAGACAGTAGGAGAGAAGTCACCCTTATTAAATTCCAAATGATAAAAGTTATGGATCCTCTTCCATTTGAAAACACATGAGTTTACAACTTGAAACAGCAAAAAGGAGTATGAATGCTTATTCCATTGTGTGCCTGGCATTTTGCATGTTATCTTATTTAATCCTTACAATAAGGCTTTGAATTAATCTCACCATTTTATAGATGAAAAAACTAAGGCTCAGAGTACTTAGCTCAAAGTTGTGTAAATGGCCATGCTTCAGTGAGACCTTTAGGCTGTACACCTGAAGTTCTTTTCATTGCATCATACGGTATATATTTCCATTTCTTGCTTCACATAGTTTTCTATCAGGAACTTTTTTCTACAGTCAATGTTATTCCTGAATTTTTTCTGCTTTATTGAGGTATAGACACACAGGAATCACATATATTTAAGATGTACAACTTAATGTTTTGATATATGTATACACTGTGAAATAATCACAATCAAGGTTAACATATCCATCACCTCAGTTTCCATTTTCTTTCTTCTTTCTCCATTTTTGTGGAAAAGAACACAAGATCTACCTTGTTACCAAATTTCAAGCATACAATACACTACTGTTAATTGGAGTGACTGTTTTGTACATTAAATCTTCAGAACCCATTCATCTGGCATAACTGAAACTTCGTAACCTTTGACCAACATCTCCTCATTTCCCTCACCCTCTGCTCCTGGCAACCACCATACTACTCTGTTTCTATGAGTTTGACTATTTTAGATTCCACATATAAGTAAGATCATGTAGTGTTTGTCTTTCTGTGTCTGGCTTATTTCATTTAGCACAATATCCTCCAAGTTCTATGGTTAATTTTAACTAAACGGATGGCTTCAGCCATGAAGCTACTATAAACATCATGTAATGATTATTGTCTTTGTTGAAATAGTATAGTTAAGTACAGGAACGAATATATAATTTTTAAAAATGTGTACCTCTCTGAAACCCATTTCTAAAGATTAAATAGATTCCAAAAGCTTGCCCAGAAATCAGAGTAGGGAACATATTTCTGTTCCAAAACGTGTCAGTTGGCTCAAAGATTTCCTTAAGAGATACTATATCACAGCACTGGCATGTAAGAGCTCAACCTCTTAAGTCAGATCTGAGTCTGGGTTTAGATTCTACCACATCATAGGCACGTTACTAATCTTTTCTACATCTTCGTTTTCTCATATAGATTATAGTAATGACCTCAGAGGTTTATCAGGAGAATTCTATGAGAAATACCTAAAAAGAGCTTCACAAATAGGCAGTGTTGGCTATTAGTCTCAATCAAATAACTCTAAGTTAATAAAACATACTTCTATTCAAAACACATGAGTTTGTTTACCTACTTCAATTAAACTAAATAGACTGATAGATTTTGCTGAAAATCAGGAACTTAGCTTATTGTGAGGGTATTCTTCAAATTGCTTTCAACAGAAAAAAAAAAAAAAAAGCAAAAATGTCTTTGGAAAAAAATGAAAGAGCCAATGCAAGAAGAAAGGTTCTTGCCACCAGCTTAACTTTTATTTCTTCAGAAGTTCAAAAACTATTCACAAAAACTAATAATTTCATATAATTCATTTTATTGTTACCATTTTTTTTGTTTTGGGGAGAGGTGGGGTGGCCTCTTTTTCTTCTTTTTTAATGTATAAAGAAAAAAGGGCAAATAGAACAAAAGGAGGAAAGAAATTAGCAAAGGAGCATTATTGAAAATGATCAATCAAAAGTTACAGACACGCTATAAAGTCTGAGTATTTTAAGATAAAGCAAAAAATAAATTAACATGATTAACTTCTTTGAACATCTTGCCTTTAGCCTACACCCTTAAAATTTTAAGATATCCCATAAAAAGAAACCAGTTAGAAACAACATTTTAAAGGTAGAAGTAGAGCAATTATGATTAATAATGAAAAATGCATATGCCTATCTATGCCTATTGATATGTTTTCAGGTCAATGCCTGTAAATTATTTTTGCAAAAGCAACTACTTTCCCAAATATGCTAACTAAGTATGTTTTAGAATATTTTATGGTTAAGACATATGAGCACTAATCACAAGTGGTTAACTATTTCACTCTCTCATAGTTTATGTCATTTTTACATCTTAAATTGGTAGGCTAATATAAGATGAGTTAACGAATTCTTTCTCTGAGAGCAATGATTATATCATAATGCCAGAATGCTTTTAATGCTAAAACAGGCCAATATATTTTATGTATGTGACTGGGCAACAATACAGACAGATACAGTATGCCACGGACACCTATAATACAGATTTTAAAAAATCAGAATAAAAGGGTCGGGTGCAGTGGCTCACGCCAGTAATCCCAGCACTTTGGGAAGGTGAGGTGGGCAGATCATGAGGTCAAGAGATCAAGACCATCCTGGCCAACACGGTGAAACCCCATCTCTGCTTAAAATACAAAAATTAGCTGGGCGTGGTGGCGTGTGCCTATAGTCCCAGCTACTCAGGAGGCTGAGGCAGAAGAATCACTTGAACCCGGGAGGTGGAGGTTGCAGTGAGCCGAGATTGCACACTGCACTCCAGCCTGGTGACAGAGCGAGACTCTGTCTCAAAAAAAAAAAAAAAAAAAAAATCAGGAAAAAAAAAATCCTTTATGCCAAATTGCTAAAATACAGGCCAGATTGATGCCACAAAAAAGTACTAAAACTTGGAGTGGTAGGAGAGATAATTATAAGAAATGCTTGATATAAGAAAAAATTTTTATATCAAATGATACAAAAATAGTTGTTTGCTGATGTTTTCACCCTCTTAATGAGAGTTAAGAAATATAAAAATGACAGGAAAAGAATGAAAAATTTAAGCCTTAAAGCAGGCAGGGCCCAATGTACCAAACACCATTATCACATTTAACTCCCTATTCATGTCCAACAACCCATAGTTTGTTATTTCTCTTCAGTGAAATATAAAGAAAACTATGGTTTACAAACCTTTATCAATTATCAGGCTGAGTACTAAAGCTATAGTTTCAAAAATGTGAGGTACTCCAGCAGTCACTGCTCTGATCTTCCCTTTAGCACAAAATTCATCCATGGCGTTTCACACAAATGGTGGCTCTGCCTCTTGCAAATAACTCTGGTGAAGGGAGCTCTCTGGCTTTCTCAGGCAGCCAACTCCATTGGTTTGCATCCTTCACTAGAAAGTGCAAATCTGAACTTCAGGAACTACTTTTTTTTTTTTTTTTTTTTTGAGACAGAGTTTCGCTCTTGTTGCCCAAGCTGGAGTGCGATGGCACAATCTCGGCTCACCGCAAGCTCCGCCTCCTGGGTTCAAGCGATTCTCCTGCCTCAGCCTCCAGAGTAGCTGGGATTACAGGCATGTGCCACCATGCCCGGCTAATTTTTTGTATTTTTAGTAGAGACGGGGTTTCTCCACGTTGGTCAGGCTGGTATCGAACTCCCGACCTCAGGTGATCTGCCCGCCTCAGCCTCCTAAAGTGTTGGGATTACAGGCGTCAGCCACTGCACCCGGCCTCTGGAACTTCTATTTACATTTTCTTAAGTCTGTTTCCTTTGCTATATGAAAGATATTATTTAAAAATAAATATTCTACTTCTCCTTATTCTATTAATAAGAATTCTTGGTCAAATACCATTATTTCCAGAATCTCCATCATCTTGATCATCTTTTCCTTTATACATTTTCGTAGTTACCATTCTGCATAACCTAGTACTAAGAATAACATTCCAAGTATGGCTTACTTGGAATACAATGCTATTAGTTCTCATGAAGGTACTCTATTAGGCAATATATAAATCTATTAGGCAATCTGATATCTAATCTTGCTTTAATATTTTTAGTAGGTGCTCAATTACTGGTCACTCATATTGTGCTTGCCATCAAATGAAATGCTTACAATCTATTCCCAGATCTATTTTATTCTAAATTTGTAGAGAATTATTTTCCCAACCTAAATACAAAGTTTTAAATTTAAGTATAGTTAAAGTCCATGTGTTAATGAAAGATATTATTTTGGCACAGTATTATTGTTGGTATATTCTGAAATTAACTATGTAATATTACATCAGGTATTTCTGAAAAGTTATTTTGGTGACTTGTCAGCCTTTATTTTTACAAACTGAGTGGAAGTTAGAAGACTACCATCTAAAAGGGTAACATCTAAATGGGTAGTTGAAATGTACCTTAATCTTGAACCAAGATCCTATTGAATTTTAGAAGACAATAAAGATAGTCTTAGTGTAAAATTAAGTTCTTTTAGCAATGGAATAATAGGTTAAAAGAAATAGGTTGGGCCGGGTGCGGTGGCTCACGCCTGTAATCCCAGCACTTTGGGAGGCCGAGGCAGGCAGATCACGAGGTCAGGAGATCGAGACCATCCTGGCTAACTTGGTGAAAGCCCGTCTCTACTAAAAATACAATTAGCTGGGCATGGTGGCGGGCGCCTGTAGTCCCAGCTACTAAGGAGGCTGAGGCAGGAGAATGGCGTGAACCTGGGAGGTGGAGCTTGCAGTGAGCCGAGATCGCGCCACTGCACTCCAGCCTGGGCGACAGAGCGAGATTCCATCTCAAAAAAAAAAAAAAAAGAAAGAAATAGGTTGGTTTTTTTTCCTACCCTATGTAAAATACTTCTATCACCTTGAAAAGTACCAGCTGATACCTCTAACCACTACATTTTCCATTCTCACCCTTATAGTTTGTGAGAACTAAGATTGAATGAACTAAATGATACTCATCAGAACAATTTATCACATATTGAGAATCAATTAATATGCTAAACATTTTTATAAACATTATTTCCTTAAATTCATACAAAAATTCTCAAGTACGTTGGTATCATTTACCTCCATTTACAGATAAAGTGAAGGTTCATGCTCTATGATGTCACCAAGTCCTAAACCTGACTATCAGCTCTGCAACTTACTAGCTCAAAGATTTTAGGCAAGTTACTTAACAGCTCTGAACCCATATTTGTAGTTTTCCTAGTGTGTAAAGTAAACATTAATATTTGTTTTATAGAGATCCTATAGATATTAAATCAGTTAATGTACATCAAGAGTTATACATGGTGTCAAGCACACAATAAGCATTCCAATGGTAATCATGTTTTGAAACTCTAATCCTCACATTATCAACCATTTATACTACTTTACCTCAGTAAGTTAGTAGAGAATATATCATCTTGTTATATAAATGCTGATTTTGTGCAATATGCTTAAATGTATGAATTTTTGCTTACATTGAGATTTCAAAAGGTTCAACATATTAGTAATTAGCTCTCTTTTAAAAAGAATTATTCTCTTTCCAAGCTTAGAAAACCTTCTCAGTCATTTTTGATGGGAGTATGGTTGAAGGAAGAAAAAGTATCCCCAAGATTTTCTACAAGAACAATAAGAAAGATGAACTTACTTCTGTCAACTTAGATAAAGGAAAATTGAATGACATGTATCATCTGATTCAACTAGGACTACTAGATATATTACATTTTGGTGTAATGATTCTATTTCTAGGTTTATTGAAATTCATAAACCGTATTTTAGTAACCTGTAATTCCACATCTGAAACATCTGAGATGTTCAACAGAGGTTGGGGGAACTGATTACAATCTGGAGAGTAATTTGCTTATCATCTTACACAAAGGAAGAACATAATAAATGTATGATCATATCAAATATGTGTTATATTCTTCTCGTTCAAGGATGAAGCTATTTCTCCTTTGCCATTCAGCTGTAGCTAAAACAGTGACAGCAAGAACAAGTTAGGAAAGCACGAAGTCTCTGTATTAGAGTCACATATTTTCTTGGGTTTTTCAAATAGTATCTTCCTGAAAAGTATTAAGACAATCAACTTTTTAAAAATTCTAAGTTTATCCATAAGATTATTTAAAGTGTGCCCCTTTGTTGTGCCCCTGCCCCCAGTGTAAATTGTTTATTAAAAAGTAGAGCAAATAGATCCTCCGGACAAAGAGAAAGGTACACTGGAGTATCAATGATGATGTCTATATTGTAAAGCAATGTGTAAGACTGGAGATTATTAATTAAGGCTCAAAGAGAAATAAAAAAGACTAGGAAAGTTCAAGTTATTCTAACAGTGTTGATAAGCTACATTCTTCAGAGTACAAAATGCATGATACAATAGTCAAATTCACTTTCATTATCTTTGAATAAGAGCATGACAGTCTTTTAAAAGCTGCTCTGAAGTGAGGAGGAAAAGCCTGTCCAGGGTTAAACACTAATTTATGCAAAACCCAGGTTTTGACAAGAATCCTGTCAATGTCAAGCAGCAGGTACACTGACAGCAGGACTGGCTGAAAAACTTTATGCCAGAGCTAAAACGAAAATCACTGATTTATGAAGGCTGTTACAAACTGCAGGATTTCAAAAGTGTGAAGGAAAATGGTTTTCATAAAGAAAAACCTGAAATCTTTATAACTTTGCAACCAATATTGTTATCTTAAAGGAGCACGGTTCTTTCATTCTGTGAGAAAAACTAGTTTACTTTAAAAAGAGTTGTAGATTTTTATACTAAATCTACATTTTAAGATTTCTAATATAAAACCTCATTATATTAGTAACATTGTGATATAGTTTGACTCTGTGTCCCCACCAAAATCTTTTCCCAAATTGTATTCCCCACATGTCAATGGAGGGACCTGGTGGGAGGTGATTGGATCATGGGGTCGGTTTCCCCCATGCTGTTCTCGTGATAGTGAGTGAGTTCTCATGAGAGCTGATGGTTTTAGCAGTTCCCCTTTTGCCCTCTCTACTGCAACCTTGTGAAGAAGGTGCTAGCTTCTCCTTTGCTTTCTGCCATGATTTTAAGTTTCCAGAGACCTCTCGAGCCATGCAGAACCGTGAGTCAATTAAACCTCTTTTTTTTTTTTTTATTTAAAAAAAATAAATTACCCAGTCTCAGGTAGTATCTCTAGAGCAGAGAATGGACTAATACAGAGAATTGGTACCAGCAGAGTGGGGTACTGCTAAAAAGATAACCTGAAAATGTGGAAGCGACTTTGGAACTGGGTAACAGGCGGAGGATACAACAGTTTGGAGGGCTCAGAAGAATACAGGAAGATGTGGGAAAGTTTGGAACTTCCTAGAGACTTGTTGAATGGTGTTGACCAAAATGCTGATAGTGAATGATGATTTAGGGTATCTGGCTGAAGAAATTTCTAAGCAGCAAAGCATTCAAGAGGTGACCTGGCTTATCCTGAAAGCGTTCAGTGATCTACATTCACAAAGATATGGTTTGAAATTGAAATTTATGTTTAAAAGGGAAGCAGAGCATAAAGATTTGGAAAATTTGCAGTGTGAGCATGGGGTAGAAAAGAAAAACCCATTTTCTGGGTAAGAGTTCAAGCCAGCTGCAGAAATTTGCATAAGTAACTTGTTAACAGCCAAGACAATGGGGAAAATGTCTCTAGGGCATTTCAGAGATCTTTGAGACATCCCCTTCCATCACAGGCCCGAAGGCCTGGGAGGGAAAAATGGTTTGTGGCTGGAGGGCCCTGCTGCTCTGTGCAGCCCCAGAACTTGGTGTCCTGTATCCCAGCCACCCCAGCTCCAGCCATGGCTAAAAGGGGCCAAGATGCAACTTGGGCTGTGGCTTCAAAGGGTGCAAGACCCAAGCCTTAGCGGCTTCCACGTGGTGTTGGCCCTACAAGTGCACAGAAGACAAGAGTTGAGGTTTGGGAGCCTCCACTTAGATTTCAGAGGATGTACGGGAAAGCCTGGATATCCAGGCAGAAGTCTGCTGCAGGGACAGAGCCCTCATGGAGAACCTCTACTAGGGCAATTCAGAGGGGAAATGTGGGGCTCCAGCCCACATACAGAGTCCCCACTGGGGCACTGCCTAGTGAAGCTGTGAGAGAAGGGCCACCATCCTCTGGACCCCAGAATGGCAGATCCACCTATAGCTTGCACCGTGTGCTTGGAAAAGCCACAGGCACTCAACACCAGACTGTGAAAGCAGTCATAAGGGCTGCACCCTGCAGAGCCACAGGGGCAGAGCTGCTCAAGGCCTTAGGAGCCTACCCCTTGCATTAGCGTGCCCTGGATGTAAGACATGGAGTCAAAGGAGATTATTTTGGAGCTGTAAAATTTCATGAGTGCCCTGCCAGGTTTCAGACTTGCATGGGGCCTGTGGCCCCTTTGTTTTGGCTGATTTCTCCCATTTGGAATAGGAACATTTACCCAATGCCTGTACCTCCATTATATCTTGAAAGTAACTAAGTTGCTTTTGATTTTACAGGCTCAAAGGCAGATGGGACTTGCCTTGTCTCAGATGAGACTTTCGACTTGGAATTTTAAGTTAATGCTGGAACGAGTTAAGACTTTGGGGAACTGTTGGGAAGACATGATTGGTTTTGAAATGTGAAAAGGATATGAGATTTGGGAGAAGCCAGGGTGGAAAGATATGGTTTGGCTCTGTGTCCCCACTCAAATCTCATCTCAAATCGTAATCCCCACATGTCGAGGGAGAGACCTGGCGGGACATGACTGAATCATGGGGACAGTTTCCCCCATGCTGTTCTCATGATAGCAAGTGAGTTCTCAGGGGAACTGATGGTTTTAAAAGTGTTTGCAGTTCCTCATTCACTGTCTTTCCTGCTGCCTCATGAAGAAGGTGCTTGTTTCTCCTTCACCTTTTACCATATTGTAAGTTTCCTGAGGCCTCTCCAGCTATGCAGAACTGTGAGTCAATTAAACCTCTTCTTAAAATAAATTACGCAGTCTCAGGTAGTATCTTTATGTTGACAGCAGTGTGAAAACGGACTAATACACATTGAAACAGAAAAGAAAATTTTAACAGAAAAAATAAAAGGAAAAGGAATTAGTCTAAAGAAAAGGGTAGTGCAAAGAAGCAGTTTGGGTTTACTTCCTAGAGAGGTAATTTGGAATGGATACTCAACTCCTGATCTGGAAATTTCAATCAGTGGCTGCTGCTGCAATTAAGGGGCAACAAGCATTACTTTCAGGAGGTGAACAATAAAAGAGACTGTTCTTTCCAAAGCCTTAAAGGAAAACAAGAGAAATGGAACCAGCATTAATTAACAACCTGTGTGCCAAGCATTTCAAACATTCAATGACCTAACAAAATGTTTACTGAATAATTATTATGTTCCTCACAATAATCCTGTGAGGTTACATGTTTTTATAGGTATTTTCCATAGAAGAAAACAAAACTAAAGTTAAAAAATATTCTATATCTTTCCCAAGGTATGTGGACTCTAAAATTCATGCTCTTTCCACATATCCCAGTGGATACAGAGGCTAAAGAAGAGAATTAGACTGACCACATTAAACTCTTAAAGGTTTATATAAGTAGACCAAAAGGAAAGGCTTTCCATCTCACTCGCATTTTAAATACATAATGAAATTAGTAAAACAAAGTAGATATAATTTATATGCTATAGTTCTTACTGTCAAACACGAATTATCCATAATACTTTCTACTCTCAACAGACAGAAAGAGCTATCCTGAAATGGCTGCAGTATCCATAAGCAGCTCCTATACTTAAATGAATTAATGTAAGTAAAAGAGCTTAGAATAATGTCTGGTACAAAGTTGAGTGTTCAATAGTTCAATAAAGTGAGCTATTACTATTACTTCACAAATGTAAAGTTTTATTTTTTATAATGCCAGGTAACAACATAAACAGTTTTTCTTTTACTGGTTTGAGTCAAGCAATTTGACTATTTTATCCCAGTAAGTTAACCTAACACAAAATGCGAAACTAGCTCTTAACTGGCACTTTACAAAGTGATTTTACAATTCATCTGGATTACTTGACTAATGTAATACTAAAAAGAGACTAAGAATCTTGTCATTCACAAAATGTTCATTTTTCTTCCAATGAAGAAAGGAACCCAGAGGCAATCTATTTACTAAGACAAATCCTACCAGTTTATCAAATACAGTCATCATTTTTATAAAATTCATGCAAGTTAAAGTTTTTTCCTCTCTTCGTATCTACAGACACAGAGCATTAACTCCTCCAAGAACATGACTATTGAGAAGAAAAGTGTAATAAAGCAGTAAAATTCACTAATACAAATATTTTCACACCAAATTCTTCACATTACTGCATGTTCCAAGACATTTATCCTCAAAGGCTTAGATGAATACAAATAATTCTGTTCTGTATACTTTATTGGCAAGTTCCTAAATTTACCAAAGAATTTATCACTAGAATACATTTTTCAAATGGGATGTTCATCAATTTCATAATTTGATAAACCTCATAGTATTGTGTTTCTTCATTTAATGAGTGTTATAACATGCAGTGGCATAAACTTTGAAACAGACTATCTTTCTAAGCTCTCTCTACTCTTAGTGACACACTGTAAATTGTTTAGGTTCTTTTTTGAACATTTACCAATATTTTGGCATGGTACCAATTAGAAAGAGATCAAGTGTTCATGATGCAGGCATACTATTCAATGCCACAACAAGATTATTATATGGTAGTTTACAAATTAATTATATTATCATAAAAGTATGTTCTTAATAGGATTACTTGGTTTCCTATTTGGATTTTGTTTTATAATTCCACAGCTAGTAGTGGACAACACTTTGTCATGAAAAAAAATACGATGAGCACTAAAAAAATTTTTTCTCATTCAAAAGTGTGCTCCATGTTAGAAAAATTGCTTTTCATAAAATGGTCAATAATAGACAGATAAGTCAATAGGTTAAGCCTCATGAGATTAAACAAAAGTTTAAACAAAATTATTTTCTACGTTTTCTTACTTTCTTTACTGAGATAAGCCCCCAAAGGAAAAATTTAGTAAATATCACAACTTTTTAAACACTGATATCTCTCACGTTTGTCCACGTGCACATACACGTGCACACACACACGTGTCTTAGAATGCTCAAGTATATAATTAACATTTCAATCTATTTAATGTATTAATATCTGGCATAAAGATGAGCTCTAGAAGGCCTGAAACATTGTCAATATTTTTAGGATTATATTAATGTTACCAGCAGAAGCTAAAACCAGCTTTATAGGGCATTTTCCAATACTGAATTTTGCTGACATCCTAGGGCAATAATATAGTCACTATGATGACACAGATTTTCAAATGGCAGGTTCTTAATGAGAACCTCTACTGAAAATGGGCTGAGAGGTTAACTGTTACCAAACTTTTCTTGCAGCTAGAAACTAATAATGATCTGTCACAACATGTTTCTATTTTCATTTTGTTTCCTTTTACTTTTTAAAAGTAAAATGTAATCCAAAATTACAGAACATTTATAAAATTGAATACACATACCCAGAGACTTGACTCTAAAACCACCACTACCTTGAGTGTCTTTTCAAGCTATAAATTGCTTTTAATCACTTATATACATTCCTCATACAGCCTTTGTAATGATCTTTTTTATCACAGGTGTATAATAGTTCATCCAGCAGATGAATGACAATTTACCATTCTCCTACTGTTGGATGCTTAAGTAGCTTCTGGTTTTTCACTACCATGATAATCCTACAATGATAATCTCCAAGCAATTAGCTTTTTTCTTCTACTATTTCCCTAGGAGACATTAGCAACTATGGGATTACTGGTTTAAAAGTTATGAACATTTTTAAGTGTTGGGAAAAAATAATCAAAAGGATCATACTAATTTTCAGCACCATCAGCAATGTATAAGAGTACCCATATCACTGCATCCTTGCCAGCGTAAGTATTATGATTTCATTTTTTCCACTAATTGGTAAATTTCAAAGTGTATTTTACTGTTTCAATTTGCATTTGATTTCTACCATATTTTCCTCTAATTTTTAGTTATGAAAGATGACACTGCTACTTCAGCAAGAAACCATATTGAGCATAAGTGAATGGTTCAAGGCTTAAAAAAACAAAATAAAAAAATCTTTAATAATGTAATCTAATCATGATATGAGTAATTGTTATTATGCTCCATGGTAATTAGGCATTAATGGCAAGCGGCTCATGTAAGTGGCTATTATTACTATTATTTACAGATAGTCAGACCAAGCATTCTTAGATTGTTGGAGAGGACTGGAACAAGTACAGTGACAAGCTCTTCTTATGCCCTCATAAAAATCCCTTGATCAGAACCCAGGTGTGATCCAGAAGGCAAGTTCTCTTTCTTCCTTAGCTGCAAGCACCCTCTATAAACTGAGCACCCAATAAAGATAGCATTTTAAGTTTAGTTTGGCTGAGGGTGGGCTAGGACTTAATTTCTGAGAAGCTGAGGCAAATCAGATAATATTCAAAGCACTGACCAAACAAATAGCCACCAAATTCTTATGTCTTCCCTCTACTATACTCCTCAGGTTAAGCTTTCAGTGAGACCTCTGAAGAACTTTTAACTCTGAACTATTTCCATTTCCTTTCCCACAGAGAAAATGAATGGACTAGAGGCACATTTATATAACCATTTTCCCAGTCAACCTTACTAACTAATGGAGCAGTGAGCTAAGAAACAGGATTCAAGGGACTTCCCTCTGCCAAAATCTTTCTCCTCAACACTGTCTGAATTTTCATGCATTAGAGATTCTTTGATGTTTCTAAGCACATAATTCTGGGAATATTAAAGAAGAAAGGTGAGAGTGGGAAGGTTAAGAAGGGGTCATAATAATCCACTCTGTATAGTGAAGATTAATTTAACCAACTGGGTTTTACATTCTTAGAATACTTAACTGTTTATCAGACAGAGGATAGAAATAATATTTTCAATATGAAGAGGAGATAGGGAGAAACAAAAGTAGTTAAGTCATTCTGGCTTGCTTTAAAAAGGGATATTTGAGGACAATAGACTACAGAATAGGGGAGAAGAAGGCTAAGCCTATGATAATAAGAATTTATATTTCTATAGCTCTTGGGAGGTTATAGAGCACATTTACATAGATCATTTAATTCTCACAACAATCCTGTACTGAAACTGGGACCCAGAGATATTAGGTAACTTACCCAAAGTCACATAGGTAGTAAGTGGCAGAGCCAGGACTCGAACCCAGGTCTTCTGACTCCTCCTGTGCATTTCCAGCTCCCCTGGAGCTGAAGCAGGGGCAAAAAGGGAGGTGGAAGTAATTTGCCCAAGACCAGCCTTGCCCACTCCCCTTCTCTCAAAGGCCAAGCAGAGCAGATATTCACCTCAGAGATCCCTTTTCACCAAATCCTTTCAGGATAAAGCACAGTGTCTGAAAATGTTTTCCAGCCTTGGGTCCAAGAATGGCAAAAGTGGTGAACAATGTCATGAGATTTTTTTTGGTTATACTTTGCCATTTATGTGAAATTCATTGCAACCTCAAAGTATAGTAATTCTCATTTCAGAATATAAAACATTTTTTATAATGAAAATTATTTAAAGCAGTTTGCTTAAAAATTTTGCTTAGCAGTTTCTGTCAAAACTTTGAAATTATTTTTTTTCAATCTAGACATTTTATTAAGTTCTATTAAAAATATTAAGACATCTGAAAAACTCAGAAAGTTTATAAAACACACTCATACTCAATAATTTTCTTATTCTTTGATAGCCAGTGCGACATGTTGAAGACGTTACACCAAAACCAACCCACCATACTGCAAAAAGCTGTATCTCGAGTTTAATCAACATCCATCCTAATTAAGAGGAAATACACTCTTGTATAAAAGAGTGTAAGTTTTTATTAAGTTGTTTTTAAAAATAACTTTTCCCTTAAACTTAGGAAGGGTTGATTTTGCTAATTTACCCTGAAATTATTTTGAAAACTGCCTAAGAATCAAGACACCAAATCTACCTGCAGCCTGGTATGACCACTTTTTTCCTATCTTAATCATGTTCTCTCAATGACTATTTCATTAATGTAAGTATAGTCATTAGAATAGATAGGAAATTCACATATTCAGTCTTTTCATGACCACTTTAAATATTTTCAATAAATAGGAAAGTGTATCATCACCACCTTGAGATATATATTTTTTATTTCTAAATTATGCCTAAAATTTTTTAATGTAGGCTTTTATAATTAAACTTCTATAACAAAATTTAGACTTTCTAGTCTCTAGTTCCTTACTTTTTCTTAAATGAATTACATATTTTAATTTCCCATCTTAATTATTTATGTTTCTAATGAGTTTTAAATGTATTTAATGAGAAATTTTATTTCCCTTGCTAATTTCTAAAGAATACAACATAAATGGACTGGGCATATGATCAATATTTTATCATTTCTAGATCTTTTTGTAATAAGTTCCAATACAAGTCAGTCTCTAAAAGTCTTTCCATTTATGAGAACCACCACCAGTATGGCCAAGTACAAAGCAAGCATTTACAATAATCAGGGCATACAAAAGATCAACCAGGTATGTCAATGTATTTGTGCCCAAAGCTTTTAGAGGCTTTCTAAACTTTAAATGATGCTCTATTTATTTAGACTTCATTTGAGCACTAGTCCTGAGTTGGAAAATATGCAACCTATATAAAAGCCACATGACACGCATAAGATGAATAAAAAGGTAAACACATAGAAAACAAAATAAAAGAGGAGGAGAATGAGGAGGAGGAGCTTAGATAAAGAGAAAAAAGAGAGAAACAGAGGAAGAACAAAAAGGAAGAGAATAAACAGTTCACCTAAAATAGACTGAAAATTTAGAGTAAGTACCAATACTCTCAACCCCTTGATATGTCTCCTTTTTCCATTTGCTTTAATACTTCAATTTCATATTCTAAGAATCTAATCAAGTCTAACATTCTTTTGGGTACTGATGGTCAAATTCATGATTTCCTAATAATAATATTTATATTATCTGATCACCTTGAGAAAAAAATACATTCGTGTACATTCTCCACATTATTTTCAGCCTTATTAAGTCTTTTCAAGATAAGATGGTCACTAGTGTCCTAAGTCATTCATTAAGTGGTACCAAAAAAATGGTTACCAACACTTAAAATTACATGTCCCTAAATTTTACAGTTTGAATCATACTGAACTAAAATTAAACTGACTTCTAATATCTTGCTTTGTATAATAAACTCTTTAATAATCATGACCAAGAGGGTTGACCCTAATTTCCTAATTACACAATCTGGGAAAAGTGAACATAATCAGACATGATAAAAGATGCCAATAAAAGGCTGTTAAATAGAAGTTTCTGAAAAGTCTATATTGGGCTTCCCGAATTACTTCCTAAATTATCTCATTCACTTAACATGCTGTTATCATGTAAAACTATAATCAAGACCCATGCCAGCAATGGTTCCCAGACTGGTATCATCTCAGTGTCATGGTAGCCTTAACAATATTAGGTGGCTTCTGAAGGGAAGAAAACATACCTTCTACTTCTCTTATATCCTTTTAATCCCTTGAGCATATAGACCCATCTATTTTTCTAAAGTAGCTTTGGTACAAAAAGAACTCAGAATATTTGTTGAAAAGCTATCATATTAAACTGTCATGTACAGGCTTGGTGTCTGAAGAAGGACTTTTCAGTAATAAAGGTGACCACCAGGAATATACCATCATTCAATAAATAATTACTGATCTCCTTCCACTGTTTTAGCTAACAACCCAGTTCATATACTAACTTAAAATTCTGATACTATCAAGATTTAAAAGAGAAGGTACTTATAGTATACATCTATTGATTATTTATAGAGTTCCTTTGCATGAACTCACTTTGAAATCTCTCAAGTGAGCTCTGGAGTTTGATATGGAGTATCACAGCTCATCTGATTTATCAACTGGTATCAGGAAAGTAAGAATAGGAGATCAAGAGCAGTTAAGTACTAATAAGAGTTTGTTTTTTAGAAGGTTCTGAATAACAAGCTTTTAATGAATTAATATACTATTCAAAGGCTTCAGAGACAACACAGTAGCCTATTAATAAAAGAGCAATATAAATGTTGACACAAAGTAGAAATTGTGGTCTTTTAGGAGGCCTCTTCTCCATTTAAAAATGTACACATACCCAATGGAATTTACTAGTTTTGACAATTTTTTCTTTTCTTTTTTCTTTCTTTCTTTTTTTTTTTTTTTTAAAGAGATATGGTCTTGCTTTGTTGACCAGGCTGGAGTGTAGTACAGTCATAGATCACTGCAAGCTTGAAGTCCTGAGCTCAGGCAATCCTCCCATCTCAGACTCCTCAGTAGCTGGGACTATAGGTTCATACCACCTCACCTGGCTAATTTTTTATTTTATTTTATTTTTGTAAAGTAAGGGTCTTGCTATGTTTGCCCAAGCTGGTCTCAAATGACCCTCCTGTCTCGGCCTCCCAAAGTGTTGGGATTATAGGCATGAGCCACCATGCCCAACCCAACACTTTTTTTGATTTAGTAGCCAATGCTAGCTTAACGACAGAAAAAAATTTAAAAAAAAAGGAATTTCAGGTTTTGGCTTAGACTAGGTTATTGTGGAATAACAAATACAAAACCCAAAGAAATGATGAAAATACCTCACTGCTGGGACATATAAACTTCATGTAGGTTATAAGGTAAGAATCACAAAAAAAAAAAAAACAGCTATATTACAAAAACGATAATGGGAGTCTTCATAAATAACAATTTCTGAAAGTTAATACATAAAAGTTTCCAGAATTAGTTAAAATAAAATTAAAAGATCAGTGAGTTGTATATAATTATATGTAAAATAAAATATTTGTATGCAATAAAATAGTATTACTAATGACACAAGTACTTAAAAGGGACAAAATTTCAGGAATATATTTTGTCTTCTACTCACAGAAAGGAAGAGGCTTGGAATGTGATTGAGGAAAAATTGCTGTTTATATATTTAATCTCTATTAATAACATAAAAATACCATATTAGTAGAGGTTTGGAAATTCTAAAACAATGTATTCCAGAGATAAATCTTTACCCATGTTATGAATGAGAAATGTAAAAACTAGAAAGATAAAAACAAATAGTTAAGATGGTTTCCAAGTATTTCCTGTAGACATTGTATAATAGGTTCTATACAGGAAAAAAAATTCCATGAGAAAATAACTTCGTGAAACACATACATTATATATCTCTCTTGGAGATTTAAAATACATATTAACTTGTTATTGACTCAAAGAAGTCCTGTAATCAAAAAATGTACTTAAATTTTTTTAAATCTAGATTTTTCCAAATTTGTTTAACCATGAAGTGGAACTAATGTCCTCAGAACATACTTCAGAAAACCCCAAGCAGGGTGGATGAGGCAAGAATAATTATGTACAAAAAAATAATAACTTTTGTATTCTTATGATGGTCTGGGTTGTTTACTAGAACCTCTTCATTATGTTTACTCTTATTAAACTATATGAGTTTTTTAAGGCAAATAAAATGTACTCACTGTTGTAGTACTTCCTTTCCCTTCTGAATGGAGCTCTCAGCCAATGACAGGCTACTAAAAGAGTTATTTCAAGCCAAAATGTAAAACTCTTGCCAGTGGTTCCCAAGTTTAATGGAGCTGGAAGCTCTATAATACCAGAATATTTCTCACAGGGAAACAGAACAACTCCACTCTTTTACTAGAGGTATGACAGTGAAACCCATTATACACGATGCTAGAATAAACAGCACAGGTCCAGTAAAGTTCAATAAATTAAGATCAGTAGTAAGGGTAGCCCATATACATCAAAAGATACCACTCACCAGAGGTAAAAAGAAAAAGAAATTTAAAAATTAAAAGGCCAAAAGGATATAATGTTTAGGAAACAATGGAAATTGAGAGATGACTCATAAGACGATAAAAGTAAGACTAAAGAGAAATAGTATTAAGTAGAGACATACATAGGATTTAAAAAGAGAATGAACAACTGACAACTCATTATGGTATGCAATCAAATATGTATCATAAGTCCACTTTTAGTCCATCACCATCAAGGTTCACCATCACTGACTTATAAAGGAGAGAAGCTGCACTGAGGGAGTTCCATCTGAAAGGGAATAAAGTCTATGGTAAAATGAGCAATATTATTTTTCTGCTTTTTTAGATGCAGATGAAAGAAGCTCAGAAATTCACCAGAAACTGAAACAGGTGTGTGTGTGTATTCAACAAGGATGCCTTTTCAATTTGTACAAAATTTTTAAAATATATTGACATGAGTGTCAAGATGCATGCCCAATAGAAGACTAACATCTCTGAGACCATAGAAATAAGACAAAACAAAAATATCCTTCAGATCCACTTATTTTACTACTTTATTTCCTGTGCACTGAGTATATTAGCAAGTCTTCTACATATATTTGCGAAAGAATGGTAAAATTCAGGACAGTCTAAAATTATAGCTTTAAAAGTATCTATAAGTAAAGTAAATGAAAAGATAAAATTTGCACTTCCAGGAGAACAAGTTTTAGGACTACTGAACCATAAGTATCAAAGGGAAAAATAAGATCACCTGAACAATTCCAGCCCCGTTCAGTTGTGGCTCTCACCGATGATGCTTCCTTAAGAATATGCTGAAGGAGGCCAGGTGCGGTGGCTCACGACTGTAATCCCAGCACTTTGGGAGGCTGAGGCAGGTGGATCACCTGAGGTCGGGAGTTCGAGACCAGCCTGACCAACATGGAGAAACCCTGTCTCTACTAAAAATACAAAATTAGCTGGGCATGGTGGCCCATGCCTGTAATCCTAGCTACTCAGGAGGTTGAGGCAAGAGAATTGCTTGAACCCAGGAGGCGGAGGTTGTGGTGAGCCGAGATTGTGCCATTGCACCATCCTGGGCAACAAGAGCAAAACTCCGTCTCAAAAAAAAAAAAAAAAAAAAAAAAAAAAAAGACTATGCTGAAGGAAAAATCCATCTATTATATAATATTGGATATACATGAATGAAAAATCAATCTATTATATAATATTGGATATACAAGTAAAGTATCATAAATATACTTCTTAATTAACCAATGCCATATATTCAGAAGTCCATACTTTAGGTTACCATTAATAAAGGGGAGATTTAGTTGATAAAAGATTAATGTAATAGCTTCTGGTATTATTCACGTATACAAAAAAAAATAAAAGAATGCCGTGGACTGGGCAAGGTGGCTCACACCCATAATCCCAGCACTTTCGGAGGCCAAAGCAGGCGGATCACCTGAGGTCAGGAGTTCAAGACCAGCCTGGCCAACATGGTGAAACCCTGTTTCTACTAAAAATACAAAAATTAGCCTGGATAGTGGCGGGTGCCTGTAATGCCAGCTACTAGGGAGGCTGAGGCAGGAGAATGGCTTGAACCCAGGAGGCAGAGGTTGCACTGAGCCAAGATCGTGCCATTGCCCTCCAGCCTGGGTGACAAGAGCAAGGCTCCGTCTCAAAAAAAGAAAGAAAGAAAGAAAGAAAGAAAGAAAGAATAGAAAAACAAAAAGAATGCTGTAGATTTTTCAAATAGTTATGCTAACCTAATATTTAATATTTTTAATCTAGCATTTTCCAAATTTGTTTAACCATGAAGTGGAACTAATGTCCACTTAGTAATAGTTAAATAATTTGAGGCTTAAATTATTTTATGAATTGTAATTAAAGTTAGAAACAGATGCATTATTATTAAAATAACTTTAAAAAGAGTGACGGCATGTGTTAGGTAATATCGTGTCATGTTATTTCACTTTGGGATTTACTTCACCATCAGAAAAATGAAACATGAAATAATAACATAATCTATATTTTCATTACTCAATAAAGGAAAACTCAGAATACCCAGAAACCTTTTAAATATGTTTTTACATATAGTTTAAATAGATTATAATATGTTATTATCAGATATTAGAATTCAAACAATACTTTGTACAGATTATTAAAACAGCATATTATTTTCTTAGTATTAATTTAAATGGTCAATTAAAATGTCCCCATTGAATAATATAGCTAGATCAAAACTAAACCTCAAGTTTTTCATAATATTCCGTTAGGCTTAGCTATCACAAACTGAATTTGGATTTAAGAGTTAGATACGAACGAATTTTAAGGTAACATTTATGCATATGGAATACATTTATGAATAAATGCTCTGTCCTTCTGTGTCAGCAGTTTTTATATCTCCAGCAAAGTGTTTTTGTATAATCCGCAACCTCCCACAAAAATGGTAAAAGGCTGGGTGATAGATGAGGAAGAAATAAATAAAGCTCCATCTAACACAACCAAACTTTACTAAAAGAAAGCTTAAAGATACTGCATGGAATCCCTAAGTTCCATGTACCATGATTTGAAAATTATGTTCTTAAATGGGGCTAAACTAGCCATACAGTTTCCTTCTGATTTACTGTTGTTTATATTGCAAAAGAAAATGAGCACTGCTCACATGGTGATCTCTGAAAGTTTCCCAAAATATGTGTGGTAGAAGAAGATGTATTTCAGTGACCTGAACCAGTAAGTATGAAAAATTATAACTGCAAACTTATTTAAGAACTTATCAGTAAAAATGAAAAATCTTCTGGACTAGGGTCACATAGGTGCTTGTATTGTTTACTAAATACTAATTGGCAAAACCACACTGTTACATAATTCTAATCCTCCTTTGAGGTCAATGGTTTTTGTAAGAATTATCCTTTTTAATATCTACTATGATATTTTATTATCAAATAAAACTAGATGGAGCCTAATTTTATAACTATGCCATTAAAATTACTAACACGACCTTTATCTAGGACTCATTTTAAACTCATGATTATATGTATCACAACTCTCCATCACCCTCCTCATTAGAATTATGGAAGGTTCTATTTTTCTTTTTAATATTATAATAGTGATGGAATAATTTATAGCTTATTAATATTATTTGAATTTGAAAAGGTAACTTTCAAATGTGCTTCCCAGGATGACATTATAAAATAAATTGTATACAAAGTTACTTCAAAACTAAAACTTGAGATTGATAGCTCTTCATTTTAAAGTACGCTAACATGAAAATATATATAATTATCATAAAAAAAGAACCCAAACCCTCCTAAAAACAAATTTTACTTTTTAAATAGATAAAATATATAAGAACTTTTTAAAGAGATACAATTCTTTAAGTTATGCTTTCTTCTTCCACATTAATTTTATCTTTAAACTAATATGGAATAATAACCTATAATTATTTAAATTAAAACTTCAGTAAGATTTTCTCTACTCATATTTTGTTTAAAGCTTCAAGAAGAATTCAGACCCTAATTAGATATTTCAGTTTGTTTCATATAATAAAAACTATGACTTTCTTATCTTTGTGCAGAGGGCAGGGATTTTTGTGTTTTATAGACTTACATATACCCTCACCTAGAACAGTGCCCGACAACTAAGAGATGTACTAGATACATAATGAATATTTGTTGAATAAATGAGTATTCTACAGAAAAACACTTAAGATAGGATGCTCACCTAAAAGACGATAACAATTTGCCTATCACCTTCCAGAATTACTGGCCAAGATGATGTGTATTGTATGTTAAGGTCTTAGAACTAACAATTACCTACACAATAATCATTTTTCTAGTTGAAATAATAGCTGAACAATGATCATTTCCTGATACCAAGAAGCAGATACTATGAACTTTTAAAAAGAAAGTTTAGACATTAGCACACTGTAAAACACTTCTTATGATATAAAAGTCTCAATATAATTCAGGTCATTAATATATATGGAAAATGAGGACCCAACAATGTTTTCCCAGGTTTAGGAGAGCAATTCAGAAGCAACAACACAAAAAGTTTGCCTGACCAGCAGCACCAGAGTATTTTACAAGCCTCCAAATTGCCTGTGGCATCTTTTTACTGGTTTCCTGGAATTCGTTTTAGAGTTTAAAGGAAGCAATTTGGAAAGGGCCTGTGGGAAACACAAGTAGCAGGTTTTCTTTGCCCCTAATGTTTTCTCATACAGTGGTAGGAAATAGAAAATAATCTGTTGTTTTCCATATATAATTTTACTAGTGAAACATGAGACTCCATAATGTTTCATTTACTTTGCTAAAATAAGAAAAATCCTACAATGTTCAAAGAACTCATTTTTTGAGATAAATAAGAGCATTTATCCAGTTAATAATAAGCTGTGCATCTCATGTGTGTTAACTAGAAAGTTCACTGCAATAAAGACATCAAATTAAGATAGAATACCTTAAGACAGCCAAAAAAAAAAAAAATACAGGTGAAATCTAGCTAGAACAAATAAATCAGGGATGACAACAAAAGTTTAATGAATCATTTTGAAGATAATTAGAATTTAATCATAATCGAAACACAATTTTGGCCATATAAATGTGTACTCAAAGACCACAACATTAATACTTTCAAAATATTTCAAAAATATACTCCCTGAGTATGTTCTGGAAGTAAAAATACATATCCACACGAAAAGGAGAAATAAATATTTGGTCTACTGACAAATTTAAGGCAAATAATTTCTAAATTTCATGAGAAAAACATTAACACTTAGATTTAAAGTATTAACTTGATTTTTATTTTAATTTTCCATACAACAAGGTATTAACTTAGTCATCGAGTCACTTCATATATCATGCTTTCTATTTAATGATTTATGCTTATACTTTTAAAAGACAACACAAGCAACTAATTTTCTACAAAGGCTTTTGGCTTATATGCAGGCTTTTTTGACTGTTTTTCTGCAAACTAGTTTAAAAAAATCTTCACTAAATGATCACTGCTACATTTAGGAAAACAAGAGTTTTCCAAAATCTTGTGGCAATACAAACATAAATCTTAATGAAAGATACAATACCATTTCACAATAAAAAAAATTGTAGTGCACATATATAGTGCACAAGTTAAAAAATTAAAAATTCCACAATCCATAGTGTAATTGTGCTAAGGCCTCTCTAACCATTTCCCTGCAGCTTTGCAGCCCTTTAATTTTTCTAGTATGACTTATCAGTTACAGTTACCTTCTTATTGGTACAGTGAATGTTTTGTTTTTTGATAATTTTGTACATTTTTGACTTAAAACTTGTTACAGTTTCCTCTTACCAAAATTTTTAAAAAGTACTCAAAGACCCCAACATTAACACTTTCAATACTCTCAGGGGCTAAGAGAATTCTATATGAACTCTACATTGCATGTACTGACAGCAACACAGACTATATTTCTTCAGGGTTTTTTTACATCTATATGCACACAAATATTTTTTAAAATAGAAATAGGTTGAGATATGTTAAGCTGGTGGCCTCTATATTTCGAGGAGATATTTCTCTCAACTAAGTTAATTATTTATGCAGATAAAGAAGAAAGGCTGATCATAATGTGCATGATCCAGAGATGTCTGTTATAGTAACCTACGCAAATTCATAAAACGTCAACAACCACTTGATTATAAAAGTAGGAGAAAAGAAATACCAGAATCTCCAAAAGATTTAGTGATTCTATCCTGCTTCTTTCTGTAAAATATTTCAAATATTTTATAAAAGATTTCTAAGTTGACTGCAGAGAAAGAAAATAGGTTAATAAATGACATAATAAAGGATAAATATTCACAAATAAGTAGGAAGAATATGAAAGTATTGCTGTAGTTCAGAACAGAATCACTAAATGAGCTGTACACCTGATAAATTTATTGTCCAGCTAAGTTTATACAGACCTAAAATCAAGGATAAAGCAATGAGGACTCTTAAGGGAGAAATAGGAAAAGTCACTGACTGTAGAAAGAAAATGATCACTTCAGGACCAAACACCTCTGAATAGAAGAGCTACAGTAAGGAATAAGAAATGTGCTCATCAGCTATGGCCACCCTGGAACAGCAAAAGGAAGGAGAGAAGAAGCCACGTAAGAAAAGTAAATTTTTCTTTAGGGAGAGAAGAATAAAATTAATCTCTTACTAAGTCTTCTAAAAAGTAAGAAGTAAATAACATAAGAATTGTATTTTCAATCTTTGACTGCTATGGCTAAAAACAACTGGGAACATAATAAATAGCAAACCAGGACTCAACTTGTAGAAATACAGATTCAATAAATAATTACTTTCATCATCAAAACTAGATTAAAATGTGTGTATTAATGGAAAAGAGAGAATGAAAATAGCCATCATATGAGAACCTCTCAGAAGAGTAAAAATATGGTTACACCAAATTTCTCCAAGAAAAGAAAGATGTAAATTAGATATTGATGATTTGGAGTTTTTAGGCAAAGAGCAATTAAAGTTTAGAGGATAAGAGTTAGGGAAACGATCTCTTAATTAAACATATGAGCCATTAGCAATCTTATGTTGTAAAAGTTGGAATAATAAATTATTTAGAAAATAATTTCTCTAGAACAAAAAGGCAAAAAATAAAGATCCATGGCCCAAAACATTATTACTACTATTAGGTTTTTTGTTTTTCTGTTGCCGTTTTATTTCTCTTTTTGGAAGGTGGAGAAGGGGTACCACTGAAGATATGACAGAAAAATTTTAGAAGACCAAAACTAAAAGCAGTTCATGAGAAAACAATGTACCCTTCAATGATGAAGTTACTCTGGATGATATAATTTTCTAGAATATTTTGCTATTTTAGGAAAATACCAACATATTTGTTGATATTGGCTTATAACAATAAATTTATTAACAGCTACTCACAAATTAAAGAAATGAAAGAAGTACGAAAAACTTCACAGAGCTAATTCTAATATGTCTTGTATTCCTGTTTTTGCCTAAATGTAAGAATCAATCTATATAAAATCACATAAGTTCTTTATAAAATGGACTCCATGAGTCAGTAAGTTCTAAGTTACATCATCAAAGTTATCACACAGCTTTGACATAACATTTGGTAACAAAACTACTCCAATAATTAGCAAACAGATAATTTATAGTTAATCTGTACATATATACGTCAATATATATGCAGTAAATGCAGTGTAAAATTGTATATAACTTAAAGTGTTTTTTTTAATTTTACCTGTAACTAAAATAATAAATGACATTGCACATCCAACAGAGATTTGAATTTGACAGCTGCTGGACATAATTTAGTAAAATTCAAAGTAACAAACTGGGAAAAAAACAAAATATGCATAAAAACCCATTTCACGCATACAAATTTTTGGCAAATGTAAATAAGGGCACCTATTTCCAAAGCATAATACAACAAAACATTATACAAGAAAAGTAATTCAATGCATTCATTTTTATTGTAGTTCATTCAGTGTAAGCATTGAATTAAAATCTTACTTTAGGGGTAGCCAGTTATAAGTAAATTCAAAATATGATTCCACTTGCATATTTTGTATGGCTATCTAATTCTTTAGAGCTATATATTTTCTTCAAAATAGTTTATGCCTTTGTACAGAATATGTATCACGTACCCATGCCTCTGTTTGAATGGGCTTGATATTGCTCAGTAGCACCTCTTCATAGTTTCCGTAGTCAATGAATTTAACAACTGCTGTCATACCCGAAGAATGGAGGGCTTCAACTTCTGCCCGGTAAAACTGAGGAGGCAAAAGGAGTTTTAAATATGACAACTGGTATTGTCTATAAAGGGCAATATTTGAGGGAAATGTAAATTTTTAAAGTGTTCCAATGTGTAATATTCTTTAGAAGGAAACTTACCTTTGGAACCCTTTTGAGTCACATTAGTAAGACAATTCTTTTTTTTTTTTTTTTTTTTTGAGACAGGGTCTTGCTCTGTCGCCCAGGCTGGAGTGCAATAGCAAGATCTTGGCTCACTGCAACCTCCGCCTCCCCAGCCCAAGCGATCCTCCCATCTCAACCTCTTGAGAAGCTGGGACTACAGGTGTGTGCCACCACACCTGGCTAATTTTTTGGTATTTTTTATAGAGATGGGGTTTCACCATGTCGCCCAGGCTGGTCTCAAACTCCTGAGCTCAAGTGATCTGCCTGCCTTGGCCTCCCACAGTACTGGGATAAAAGGTGTGAGCCACTGCGCCCAGCCAACAATTCTTATATACTAATCAGAATATATAACTATAGAGTAATTTATTTTAAAAACAGAAATATCTGACTAAAAAAAAAATTGCAAAAAAGGCTGCTCAGTGCTTCAGTCATCACAAGTGGCTAGAATGAAGTAGGAATGTCAGGCAAGAAGCTAAATGCATCACTTAGATCCAGTATTTATAGGATTAAAGACATTGCAAGTCCGGAGGCTTATCAGTTTCCTTAGTGTTAGCCAGCTCTAAGAACTGATGCATATTAACAAACTCACAAGGAACTGATTTACTTAATAACTATAATTTTATCTACTTATTTATTTATATTTATTTCTAGAGACAAGTTCTCACTCTGTTGCCCAGGCTGGAATGCAGTGGTGTGATCATAGCTCACTGCAACCTCAAACTCCTGGGCTCAAGTTGTCCTCTTGCTGCAACCTCCCAAGTAGCTGGGTCTACAGGTGCATACAACCATGCCTGGCTAATTTTTAAAAATTTTTCATAGAGACAGGGTATTGCTAGGTTGCCCAAGCTGGTCTCAAACTCTTGGCCTCAAGTGATCTTCTCTACTTGGCCTCCCAAAGTGTTGGGATTACAAGCATGAGCCACTATGTCTGGCCAATAACTACAATTTTAAAATTTATCTGTTAATTAACTAGGAATAGGTCATCTGATTGCAGTAATCTTTCAGTACAGATCATCCCATCCAGGACCCAAATTGTAGGTCTGAATGTTGCTTAACTACAATTTAAAAATTTATCTGTTCAATAACTAATATATAGCTCTATTTATCTGTTAAATTAACTGGGAATAGGTCATCTGATTGGAACAATCTTTCAGTACAGATCATCCCATTCAGGACAGAAATTGTAGGTCTGAATGTTGCTTAGGAAAGGTGAAATGGACACAAAAAACAAATTGCTCTTAATGTTTTCTTCAAGCTAGGGTATTTGAATACTCTATTACAGTATAACACTATCTACTCTAATAGCATCTCTCTTTTTTTTTGAGACAGAGTCGTCCTCTGTCACCCAGGCTGGAGTGCAGTGGTGCAATCTCAGCTCACTGCAACCTCCGCCTCTCGGGTTCCAATGATTCTCCTGCCTCAGGCTCCCGAGTAGCTGGGATTACAGGCACGTGCTACTACACCTGGCTAATTTTTGTATTTTTAGTAAAGACAGGTTTTTACCATGTTGACCAGGCTGGTCTCGAACTCCTGACCTCAAGTGATCTGCCCGCCTCTGCCTTCCAAAGTGCTGGGATTACAGACATGAGCCACTGCGCCCAGCCAATAATAGTATCTCTTAAGAGGTTCACTAAAATTAGAAAATGCTACAGGCAACAAAAATTCATATTTTTCACATCCTTCTAAAAAATGAGTTACCCTCAAAATAGTTGGTTTTTAACTAGTATATTTAATATTACAAAGGTATTAAGTGAATCCACGGTGTTTCCTTTCCAGGTCTGAATGTTAGCAAGTTTAGAGACATGATGCTGTACTTTTCCTCATCTTAGAATTCTTGTTATACCTTCCTATCTCTCCCCTCTTCCTTTATTTCTTAGCCCCACACTTTTGTGTTCTGTGAATTGTTCTGAGTTGCCAAATTATGCCAGTTCAGGTAAATTAAACAAACACTGAATCATGCTATATCTTAGCATGACTAAGATATATGTATTTTTGACTTATGATATTTTCAACTTATGATGGGTTTATTGGGATATAAACCCAATAAAAATGCTAAAATCTATATTTATTCTGTCAGTGAAGACTTTAACTAGAAGGAATGACATGGTCTAAGACCAGGATCACAGTGGTGGCAATACTGAGGACAAATTTAAAAGGAATAAAGTTTCAGGCAAGGAAACTAATATGGAGGTTGTTGTAATATTTCAGTTGACGAAAAAAATAGCTGAACTAGTTTAGCAGTCTACAGGAAGAAGAACTTTCCAGAAGTTCCCAAATTCTCCTATGGAAATGAAGTTAGAAAGAAGGCAAGATATTGTGAGGAAATTTTTTAAGCAATATGTATACTAATGTATTAATTATCTCCAAAATATCATTACAATGCAATTAAGAAGATTATGGTATCTTAATGATAGTTACACTCAATTCCTTTTCTTAAATGTCTACCCTTGTCTCTGCCTAAAAAACACTGGAAAGTTGTCCATTCTTGACAAGACATTTAGAAGCCACCTCTTCAATTTGTGGTTTCAGAAGATTAACTAATTCCATCTCTTTCACAGGGTATTCTTTACCTTTTTCCCAATGGTTAAGGGTGGTGTAATCTATTTAGAGTCCACAGTTCCTCACTACAACTGAAAGTACACATCTAATCTGAATCAAAGTAGCCATCGTAGAAGATCATTCAGTTACCCTAAGAATGCTCCAATCACTCAAAACACTTTGGGTACTGTTTTGTTAGGTACTGAATTGTTAGGTACTGTTTTTTAGATGCTACATGACATTTTGAACATATTCAGCAGAGGCAATAAATTTGGTACTTTGATTTTTTTTAATTTAATTTTTTCACCACAGCTATTACTGATGGACAGTATTAATTTTTTATACAATTACAATTAACATTAGACCTTTATTAACAATTGTAACAGGTATTTGGAGGCCTTTTAGTACAGCACAGCCATAACTATCTGATATGCCCCAATCACCTGGCACATAGCAGTAGCTACTCAGTTATGATTTGTTGAATATTAGATTAATATTTGTTAAAGAACTCTGCTCAATCTAATTATCTGTAGGCCTATTCTTTTTTGTTTTTGATAATCATTCATAGTCATTCATTCATTCTTTGTTTTTTTTAACTATGGCTCATAACTTTTTAAAGGATATTAGACACTGCAGATAAGTACTGGAAAGGTTGTAGAAGATGTTATTTTTTTCCCAGTAAAACAGTTACATTTTCTACTGGCAGAGAGAATATAAGCAGATATCCCTGATCCTGTAGAGAGTTGCTTTTGACTCTGTAAGGGTTGCCTGTTTTAATTTTGCAGTTACTACCCAGGGTATGATCTTTGTGGGATTTCAATGGAAAGCCTGAGTCACTTACCAAGGCTTTCAAACATTTTGAACGTGAATTCCAATCTCTTACTTCTGCTCTTGTCAAGGTCACCAGTAACCCCACATTATCCAATACAGAAAACACTTTTCCATCCTCACCTTAACCTTTCACAGGAGCATCAGATACAGTGACTATTATTTCTAGGGTAGCTACTGTTGGCTCAACAAACACTGCTTTCCAATTACTTCACTTTTTCTTGCCTCCACCATGAAGGAGAAATATCTAAATATAATGAATCTCCCACTACTCAAAACAAACAGTTCCTGAATTTTGGAAAGTAGTCTGAGTTGGAAGAATAAGAATCTGGATAGTGAAGACCACCTGCATCTGCTTTTCAAGTCTTCCTAATAGCCAGGAAGTGGCCATGTGAAATAGTTCCAAATCTGCTGGTATTCCTGGGAAGGCTTTTGCTTTTCCAGAGAAAAAGAAAAGACACCCAGTGCTGTCTCTTCCCTTCTTTCCAGGCTTAAGTAAAGATGTGACAGAGATGCTGTTTCTAAATAATCATCATCCCAGTCACACAAAAATCTTAAAAGCCTATGCCATCTAGCTGTTTCACTCTGTACTCCTCCTTATTCTATCATCAGGCAACATCTAACACTCTGCTTATACCTCATTATTTAATGAGCACAAGAAGGCCTGGTTCTTGACCCCAAATCCTACAGCATCCTTATTAAAGGATCCACCCAAACCCCTAGTGTGAATTTCAATTCCTTGAAATCTTCAGTTACCTTTACTTACACCATTCCCTTTAGCCACACACTCTCATAGGCACATCCTTACTGTATCAACTGCAACCTATAAAATATTTATTTTGGGCCGGGCGTGGTGGCTCACACCTGTAATCCCAGCACTTTAGGACGCCGAGGCGGGTGGATCACCTGAGGTCAGGAGTTCAAAACCAGCCTGGCCAACATGGTGAAACCCTGTCTCTACTTAAAAAAAAAAAAAAAAATACAAAAAATTAGCTGGGCATGGTAGCGCATTTCTGTAGTCCCAGCTACTCAGGAGGCTGAGGCAGGAGAATTGCTTGAACCTGGGAGGTGGAGGTTACAGTGAGCTGACATCATGCCATTGCACTCCAGCCTGGGCAACAAGAGTGAAACTCCGTCTCAAAAAAAAAATTATTTAAAATATTTTTCCTCTTTTGAGTTGCTTCTCACATCCTCCCAGACCCTTCGCTCTGTAACTCCCTTACATACGTTTTTACTACCTTGCTATTGTCTCCATCCCCACACCATCCTACTTTTCTCATATGTAATTGCTCTCTCCAGAATTAACTAATTAACAGAGTTAACAAATAATTATGAAGTCCCTATACTGTGAAAGAAGCAAGACTACAGACGGAAACCAGAGAGGCACAGTCCAGCCTTCAAGGAACTTAATATCATGGTAGTGCAAAAAGATACCAATTCAAGAACCAAAACAAAAAATATTTACAAGTTGTCATAAATTTTAAAAAGTAATTAAGGCACTGATTAAGAGAATAATGTAAGTAGGAGGATGGGGCAGGTCAAAGAAGGTTTCTTCTAGGAGGTGATGTTTGAGCCAAGCCCTCAAGGATGAGAAGAGTAGCTGATAGAAGAGCATGTTGGGCAGAAGGAAAAAAATGTGCAAAGTCCCCTTCTCTCTGATGGTCCCTCTGTCCCTTTCCCTTTCTTGCTCTCACTGGGCTGGTCTTCTATCTCTTGGGTAGGCTTTTACTTGACCCACTGCACTCTTTCTTGCCCTCATCTTCTGTCTTTCCTTCCTTCTTTCCCCTACAATTTCTTTCTTTGCCTTTAGCCACCATATAATATAAAACTAAAAATTGGTTTAATAATTTTTACACTCGATCTTAGCCAAAAGGCCGAGAAGCAATGGTTTAATAATTTTAAAATTATTATAAAATAAATAATTAACTTATATGTTAACTTTTTAAAAAAGTAAGCTGAATGTGTACTATTTTCTTCAACTGAAAATCTGCAGAATTTTACTTTGTGCCTCTCAACTGATTTTCTTCCTTGTGAATCAGTGTAATTTTACCAGAGTGAAAAGCAAACATATGTAATTCAGTTGATGATAAGTAAAATAAAGCTCAACTTCACATAATTACTTTTACAATACTTTTCTGGCATGTAAGCTAAAACCAAACCGAACTTAACCAAATCTTACGGGACAGATTGTCCCTAGGCATCCATAAAAATATTAAATATTTTGTTTATCCTTTATATATCTATAAATCTGTTCAAAGATTTTAAACAGGTACAATAGTAGAAAAAGACTCATAGTTCCAAAGTGACAGCTTCTATAAAGTCCCACTAGAATGTTACATTTCGTAATATTAGTGTATAATATCTTTAAAGCATCCATACCTTGTTGTCTTCCCAATAAAGTGCAAAACATTCATCTCCAGGTTTCCACATTTTTGCATACTCCATAGGAATAGATGATTCTAGTATTTTTTCTGGCTTAATTGGCCCAGATCTTCGTTTGGGCCCACTATTGTAAAATATTTTATCATCACAGGGTACAGCTGTGACAGGTCCTGCTGGCTTAATAGGTCCTATTCGTCTTCCTTTCAGTGGCATTTCTACTTCTCCATTTGGAACACCAATGAAACTATTACTTCGAACTGGATTCTGATAATCAGTATTTACATTAAAATGTTTTTCAATTTTTATACCACTGAAAGCTTCATTATTTATTGTTTGTGATTTCCTGTCATAAAAATAATCAGGAATAGATGTTTGGCTTTCTCTTTTTCCACGTTTTTGATTATTATAATCTACAGATCCTTGAGGAAGTGGATTTTCTTTTGCCTCTGCAAAGGAGGGACCTTTTCCTGATCTGCTTTGCATAGAGTTATCTCTTTTTTTAAAAGCACCATCACTATGCTGAGAACCTAAAGGATATGAAGTATCTTTAGTTCTGTCATATCTAGAATACGGTCTATCACATTTGATTCTGTCTTCAGCCCATACTTCAGATACTGAAGAAGTACTTGGTCTTTCAGAACCTCTATTTCTAGGTAATCCACTGCCTTCTAAAACTGACTTTGAATTTTGGGAGTCTCTTTGAAAACGAGGCGGTTTTTCATTTCTTGGCTGCCTGGTATCATTTCGAGGAGGATGTCTCAGATGATTATTATCTTTTACTCCATTTTGCTCAGTATTTGATGATCTGTATTGTCCCTGATGAAGCTGCTGTGGCTGTGATTTAGGTTCTGAAAGGTAAAAGTATACCATATGCAAATTAAGATGAAGACTCTGCATTAATAATTATTTTAAAATGCTTTATTCTATTAATACAAAATTATCAAACTACTATTCTAAAATCTTCTTCCATCTTCCTACCTCATTATCTTACTCCTTCTTTGCTTCCTTGGAGTCCTGCATTTCTAATGTACAGTTTTCTTAGTCAGCAACATTAATAAAGTAAAGTAGTAAAAGGGACCACAGAAAAATGATGGATAATCCAAATTCTTATAATACAGCTACCTACATATGCTATTCTGGTAAATCATTTCCTAAAACATTAATGAAATAGAACTGCAAATTGCTAACTCAGAAACTGCTATGAAACTGCACAAGTACAACCCTGATCAACTCTTTCTGAATGCCACTCTAATTTAGAAATATATAGCTATTATTATCAGTCATGTTCTAGCCTTTGCAAAAATGTTTCTTTTCAAATCTTTCTGGATCTGGAATTGCTAAGTGTTTACGTTACAAACAGATATCCTACTATAAAAAAGAGTTTATGTTACAAATAGATATCCTACTATACAAAAGGGTTAATTTTCTTGATCTGTTAAAGTAATTAAGAGTGGGTACTACTTGGAAATACAGAAAAGTGTCAAAAGTGGAAATACCGAAAAAGTGTCAGAAACATTACTAAGCATAATACTGCCTATAATGTCCAAGAAATAACGTGATAAATATAGAAAGGTAATTTTTAATGACTGTATTTCACATAGTGATTTTTATTCTGTTTCAATTTGTACCATGTCATTTATACTTTCTTCCTCCATAATTTCACATAGCATGTCTATAACATGATTACCAAACATACTCATTGGTCTTTGGTGTATGTGTCTTGTTTCCTTTGTCATACATCATAATCAACATGCAGCTGTAATTATTCTTATATTTCCCCAAGGTTACACTTCCAAAGAGGGCCTCCACTGACATCTTGGGTGAGACTGTTCCCTCTGTTGCAAGGAAATTAACTGCAAGAAAATTAACTTCATTGGCCTACAGATATGAAATGCCAAAAGGACCCTCCCCCAGCATCCCCAGGGATGTTGACTATCAAAACTTTCCCCAAACATTTCCAAACAGCCACTGGAGGCCAAAAGGTATCTGGTAAATTGTTTAAAACAACAGGAATAAAGGTTTAAAGGTTACTGAGTGACAAAACAGGTCACTGATTAAAGATCAAGACTCAAAGTGGTCAGGCCAGGCATGGTGGCTCACACCTGTAATCCAAGCACTTTGGAAGGCTGAAGCAGGTGTATTGCTTGAGGCCAGGAGTTCGAGACCACCCTGGGCAACATGGTGAACCCTTGTCTCTACTAAAAATACAAAAATTAGCTGGGTGTGGTGGTGCACACCTGTAATCTCAGCTACCTGGAAAGCTGAGGCAAGAGAATCGCTTGAACCTGGGAGATGGAGGTTGCAGTGAGACGAGATTGTGCCACTGCTCTCCAGCCTGGGTGACAGAGCAAGACTCCATCTCGAAGAAAAAAAAAGACTCAAAGTGGTCCAAAAAAATCCATTCTCAACCGAACCAATGGAAGCTAGAAGCCAAAAGGCTTTAAATACTTTTAAAATTATGGAAAATTTTCTAAGGAAAAAAATTAATCCAGTCAAACCACCCCTTAACTGTGACAAAGAATGAAGATTTTTCTAAGATATAAGATTTCAAATATTAGCCAAGGCCATAAGAGAGATCTTTAAAAAAAAAAAAAAAAACTTTCCCCCAAGAATATCTGCCTAATAAACATAACACAATGTCTTATTTTAACAAATGCAGTCAATATTAAATTTTTCTTTAGAGAGAAGAAAAATGGTCACTTTTAGTTTCTGCTGGCATTGTTTACTGCCCAGGAGTAAAGATTTCGGGAAGAATAGCAGTGACCATAATCAGGACACAAATGAGCACTTTCAGCAGAAGGCATATATTGGCTTTTGTTCCAGACATTTTTATAAAAGCAGCATTTGCCTCCTGTTGATTATCTGCTATGTATTACATAGCCCACACTAGCACTTTATATACATTATCAATAGTCTCCAAGATAGTTTTATGATACAGGTGTTATGAGGCTTAACAGAGAGAGGTAAACTAAGGTCCCTTGTATAGTACATTGAATAAATATTTGGGGAGTAAGCTTTTCAGATCTGCTGTTTAGGGAAGAATTTTTCTTAAATTATTCCACTGAGGGCCCCTAATATTTATGATAATCAGGAGGAAGAGAAAATATTAAGTCATCACGAGAGTAACTAAGTATCCTGGACTACAGATAAAGGATGAATAACGATGCATACAGAATGAAAGTTCAGCCAGGCTTGGCAGATGTGGCAGAATTTGATTTCAATTCTTCTAAAAGGAAAATACAAAAAATTTCCTAATCTACAATTTAGAATTAAGGGGTACTATGGGTCTATGGAACTATACTGGAGAACTATATTAATAGGAAAATATAAAATCTTTTCACTTTGTTCCAGATCCAATCTACTTAAAGAATTTCTGATTTTTTATTATTGTTTTCACTAACAATTAACACTTTCATTTATGTACTCAAGCACTCTCATGCACCAGCCTTCTTACATCAAAAGTACTATCTTAGAAAAGAGAATGAAAAATTCCTGAACAGCTTATTATTTAACAAATAAACAAACTTAGGAAATTGCTGATAGTAAAGAGGAAAAGTCATTACACTTGGTACTTAAAATATTATTTTCAGTTACTGAATTGATGATGATGTACATTAGACTACAGAATAAAACAAGTAATTTTGTTAATAATGAACATACTTCATATCCATTACTATGCTGAGATAATATAGTGAGAGTAAAATTTATAAAGAAAATTATTTTTTAAAAATAAGAATTCCTGGCCAGGTGCGGTGGTTCACCCCTGTAATCCCAGCACTTTGGGAGGCCAAAGCAGGTGGATCACCTGAGGTCAGGAGTTCGAGACCAGCCTGGCCAACATGGTGAAACCCTGTCTCTACTAAAAATGCAAAAATTAGCCAGGCTTGGTGGCGCGGCCCTGTAATCCCAGCTACTCGGGAGGGTGAAGTGGGAGAATTGCTTGAACCCGGGAGGTGGAAGATGCAGTGAGCCAAGATTGTGCCACTGAACTCCAGCCTGGGCGACAGACAGAGATCTCGTCTCAAAAAAAAAAAAAAAAAAAAAAAAAGAATTCCCTTAATATAGTAAAATAAACTCACAGAGGTAGAAAGTGAAAATTGTGGGGTTTTTTTTTTTTTTTTTTTTTTTGAGAGAAAATTTTGCTCTGTTGCCCAGGCTGGAGTACAGTGGCGTGATCTTGGCTCACTGCAACCTCCACCTCCCGGGTTCAAGTGATTCTCCTGCCTCAGCCTCCAGAGTACCTGGGATTACAGGCGCCTGCCACCACGTCTGGCTAATTTTTGTATTTTTAGTAGAGACGGGGTTGGCCAGACTGGTCTCAAACTCCTGACCTCATGATCTACCCGCCTAGGCCTCCCAAAGTGCTCGGATTACAGGTGTGAGCCACTGCGCCTGGCCGAAAATTGTGTTTTTTAAAGAAGTTAGTTTTCATATATATCCATTTCATTCAAAATGAAATAATACCTAAGAAGTCATTCTTGGATTTCCAATCATTCTTGGATTCATCATCCAATCATTCTTGGATTTCCTTAAGCCCAATACCTTTTATCTTAGGTTAGTTAAATCATAAAGTCATATATAAAGTAAGTATTTTGAAACTGAGCTCATCTATTAAACACATAACAAATATACTCAATTATTAAATTGTGGGAGAGGCAATCGTTCTTTTCTTTTCTCTTTTTTTATTTATTTATTTATTTTTTTTTTTGAGATGGAGCCTCACTCTGTGGCCCAGGCTGGAGTACAGTGGTGCAGTCTCGGCTCAGTGCAACCTCCGCCTCCCGGGTTCAAGTGATTATCCTGCCTCAGCCTCCCAAGTAGCTGGAATTACAGGTGCAGACCACCACGCCCGGCTAATTTTTGTATTTTTAGTAGAGACGGGGTTTCACCATATTGGCCAGGCTGGTCTCAAACTCCTGACCTCAAGTGATCCACCCGCCCTCGGTCTCCCTAAGTGCTGGGATTACCATGAGCCCCGTGCTCAGCCAGAAAAGCAATTTTAAATAAACTAAGAAATATATCCCAAATCAACTGAAAAGGCAGCTCCTTGGTTCCCCAGTCAGATTCTAAGTTCTCACCTCCCCTTTTTGAGAAGGCATCATGATTCTAAACTACATTAGATACCAATGGACAGCACAGGTCAGGTCTGCCATCACTCTAATAAATATACTAAGATATTTTTCTGTACAGTCAGCAGAGTACAATGCATCACATTTTTTTAAATCACCCCAAAGGAAAAGGTGGAAAAAAAAAAGCACAAGTAGAAATGGGTAACATTTAATATTAAATAGCAGAAAAAAGAAAAGGTTAGCAAAAAGTGATAGAAAAATGTACTACAGGACCAGTGCTATGGCTCACGCCTGTAATCCCAGCACTTTGGGATGCCAAGGTGGGTGGATCACTTGAGGTCAGGAGTTCAAAACTAGTCTGGCCAACATGGTGAAACCCCATCTCTACTAAAAATACAAAAATTAGCTGGGCGTGGTGGCATGCACCTGTAGTCCCAGCTATTCAGGAGGCTGAGGTAGGCGAATTGCTTGAACCTGGGAGGTGGAGGCTGCAGTGAGGGAAGATGGCACCTCTGCATTCTAGCCTGGGTGACAGAGCAAGACTCTGTCTCAAAAAAAAAAAAAAAAAAAAAGAAAAATGTATTGCAAAATAGACAAAACTGTGAAAACATGTAAAAGATCTAAAAGACCAAGGTGGGGAAAGCTCATATGAGAAAACTAATCAAAGAATGCTATATGAGTTTAGTATGATTTGAGAGAAAACATTCCTATTATTACAAGATTTTAATTTTCAAAATGTATGTTTGTGAGATAATTGACTACAATGTTTTACATCACCATGATTTGAAATGCAAGAATAATTAAGAATAAACTTATTAATTGTCACAAATCATTTAAATCTGTACATAAGGATGTACTAAATTAATCAGGCATCTTAAAATATTAATACTTTTTTGCAGAATATTCTCCAGAAGCAGTTGTACCTGCATTTTGTAGTAGAAAATCAGGTAGAATTTGTTTCCCAAGACTAATCCTCATTTTATTCTGATACACCTACCTGAAGAAATGCCTTAATATTTATTAAGATCCTAATATATGCCTGACTCTATGTTAAAGGTCTTTTGCCTACATAATTTCATGTAATCCTCACAGCCATCCTAAAAGGGCAGTATTATCATCTTTATTTTGCAAGTGAAAAAATAATGTGCCTCAACTAAAGGCTGGTGCTAGAAAATGCTGAAGCCAGAATTAAACTGAAATCTAACTGAAGCTAAAACACATGATTTTTCCATTATGCCAAGCTGCCCACCCAGAGGAAAAAAAACAGAATGTAACCAACAACATGTTACCTTCAATTTTATCACCTGTATCTGTTCATTTCTGGTGAGATGTAGAAATCACAAAGGCTCTTTCACAATCCCTGATGGGGCTGAAAAATACATTTGGACGCTAGGACTGCCAGAATCCTGACCTAAAATTAATAATCTCTTTCTATTAACGCAGAAAAACCTAAACTTCTATTGAAAATTGGATTGCTATTTAGAGCTCACAAACTGGCACTTAGAAATAGCAAAAGAAAGACTACATAGCTTTTTATCATGGGGTACCACTTACTAGTTCTGTAACCTTAGGTGAAATATTTAACTTTTCTGAGCCTCATCTTTAAGATGGGGGTAATAATAGAGCATACCTCGGAGGATTAACATATGTAAAGTACTTAGGACAGTATCTGGCTTTAATAAGCACCCAATAAATGTTTAATTAGCATTAAAATTAAGCAAATAAACTTAATTGATGACACATCAGGAAAGACAAAAAATCAGAAAATAAGGTGCTTCCCTATTTATACATTCCCACTACCACCAACTCCTATTTTTAGTTCGGATCTTTATCTTGCTTTAGTTTTCTTGTTTATTTGTTTTTATTTGATTCTTAATGAAAACAGGGCAGGAAGAATGCTTTAATAAAAACTTCTTTATTCTCATATTATAAAAGTCATATTACAGAGAAAATTTAGATACATCAGAAAATCAAAATCATACTCTAATACTGTTTTTCACTTAAAATATAGTATATCTATAAACATTCTCCATATAAAAATATTCTCTACATCCTTTAATTTTTTTCTATATTAAAAATGCTAAGAAATATTTAAAAAGTAAAAAAATTACTCTTGATCCTATCATTAGAAAAATGTATAGAAGAAAGTTCCACCTTCTGCTTATCAAATCCCACTTCCAGATATAGTAATTATTCAGTTTTGGAGGTTACTCTTTTTTATATAATTCATACACTTTCTTTTTTTTTTGAAACGGAGTTTCACTCTTGTTGCCCAGGCTGGAGTGCAATGGTGCGATCTCGGCTCACCGCAACCTCCACCTCCCGGGTTCAAGTGATTCTCCTGCCTCAGCCTCCTGAGTGGCTGGGATTACAGGCATGTGCTGCCATGCCCGGCCAATTTTTTGTATTTTTAGTAGAGACGGGGTTTCTCCATGTTGGTCAGGCTGGTCTCGAACTCCTGACCTCAGGTGATCTGCCCACCTCAGCCTCCCAAAGTGCTGGGATTACAGGCGTGAGCCACCGCACCCGGCCCATACACTTTCATTTTTAACAAAAAGTAGACTCATGCTACATCTCGTGGGCTGCAATTCAGTTTTAAAATGAACAGTATCTCATGGGCATCTTTCCAGTTTAGTGACTATAGGTATCTCATTCATTTCTGTATTACATTTTTTTTTTTTAAGAAAAAGCTGCTTTAAATATTTTTACATAGTTACTACGTTGAGAGTAGGGTCTGAGTCTTGCTCAGCATTGTTTTCTCCAGTGCTTAGCTACGACAGAATCAGGCAAATAGGTGGCACTCAGTAAATATTTGCTGAAAGAAAGACAGAATTACTGAAAATACTGGGAATGAAACAAGCCTCCAAGTTCAAAATTGCTATCTGTTTAACACCATTACCTGGGCTTAGCTAAGGGTGCAAGATTGAAATAGAAAATATACTCCTTTACTTTTACTTCTTTAGGAGAAGTTTGCAGCAAAGCACATTAGGGTAGATTTAGATTGAGTTCAAATGATCACAGAAAAAGATTGCACAACACACAAAAAGTAAACTTATAAAAGCCATCTCTGATTTGCACTAGAGAACACTGAGCTTGAGACCAAATAAACTGCTTTTCTAGTTTTGCAGTAATGCACCTTTGACAAAGTCACAAAGAACCCCAGTTTCCTCATTTGTAAAATATCAGTAATGATTCTTTCCACAGGATTATGGTAACGATTCAATTTGAAAATATATATAAAACTGCTTTCTCCTGGGCCCAAACAAAGCGTTTGGAATTAGACTGACTACTGGAATTAAATTCCAGTCCTAACCACTGAGCAGCTGTGTGACCTTGTAAAATTGGGATGATGCTACTTACCTCTTTCCTTCACTGTTACTCATCATAGTTACTGAGCATCAACTGCTGGTGGTGTCGTCAACGCTCTCCTAGTCACTCTATATGAAAGCAGTAGTTAAGACCCATTGCCCTCTATCCTGTGGAGCTTAGTTATAATGGGCAGAGGCAGACAACAAATAGGTAAAAAGAACAAATAATGTAGCTTAAAGCTGTAATAAAATCTATGAAAGAAATCAACTTATGAAAAAACTAGGAGGAGTGGGGAGTACAGCAATGTAGAGGGAAAACGTCTGTGGAGAAATGGGGTTTAGGTGAGCCCTAATGAGAAGAAATGTGATGAAAGTAGGGAAGAGTCGTCCAAGAGGAGAGAACAACACATACAAAGATCTTGGGCTAGAAACCTGCTTAACTTCTAAGTAAAGCCATAATCAACATTAATTATTAATTTCAAAGGAAAAATTATTGTATATTCCAATATCATAAAGTTGATGTCCATTATGCTAAATAAAAACACCAGATCCCAGAAAAAATGATCACAAGAATTAACATTAGTTTTAATCTGGCATGGTATTTTTCTTTCAATTATAATTTGTATAATTATTCAAATATATACAATTGTTTTCCTGTTCTCATTAAAATCTTTATAGATACAACACATATTAAATTGAAGACTAAGCTCAAAATAAACATATTTATGATGCCCAGTGTTCAAACAACTAATTTTTTGGTGTTTCAAAGCCCCTTTTAAAAGAAAACTGAGAAAAGCCAATTTTTAAAAAGTTAGCATAAAGCATAAGACTAGTGCTGTTATAAATGAACAAATCATGAGAATTCTAAGAAAAAGTGCCACACACACCAACAATACAACTGCAAAGATTGCCCTGTTTAGTCCCATGTAAAATGCATGCAAAGCCCAAACTAGTCCTTACAAATACAAAAAAGAAAAAAATTTCTAGTTTAGTAAAATTTCTCACATAATTAAAAAACCAAATGAGCTTACCTCAGAGTACAGTTATAACATCCCTATTTCACAGATAAGGAAGCTAAAGAGGCTTGACAAGGTCACACAACTAGCACAGGGTAGAGCTGGGGGATTAACTGAGTAGATTCCAGACCCCAGTATTAACCTCCCTCTTAAACCTCAACAAAGCTACCATTATACTACTGGCATTAAATCATTAATAACCATGAGTTATTTTCAGTATTTCATCATGAAACTCAGGTTAGGATTACTATAAAAATATTTTTCTGCCAGGGTTAAAAAAACTACTAATGGACAAATTGATCCATTAAATGAAAATACATGTATCTGAGTAATTTAGCTACTTAGATAAAGTCAGATATGGCTCTCTTGTTGATAAACAGGTATTTATATACGAGGCACTAGACTTGTGGGTCAAAAACCATTTAGAAATAACCTTATGTTATTTTTGCTTTAATACAAATATTAATATACAAACCTATTTCCTTATCTGTCAAACGGAAATAATATATATTTTGCATTTACAGATGATAAAATGAATTAATAGTATGCAAAGCACCTAGCATAGTCCTGGCACATAGCAGATGCTCAATAAATGACACATTATTTTATCTTATGGTTAATAAATGTATAAGCGAACGGACAATTAATTGAGGAGGAAGAAAATAATGGCAAAAATGAAAAAGAGGCTCATGTGTTCTAGTATTCTAAGAAAAGCTATATCCATCTTCTACAGATCCAAGTACCAAAAAAAGTAATAATATTATCATATGCAAAGAAATTAAGTTAATTTAAAACAATGTAGATTTAATATGCAAACCCTACAACAGAGGAAACTTCTTCAGTTTACTAATGCTCAATTATATTAGATATAACATCTTTCAAAAATTCACAGCAAAGTATATTAGGATCATCTGAATTTAGAAACGCCCCTAATAATATTCTAATAAAACTGTGGGCTAAAAGGAACCTACACATCCTCTTTTCATGGTATTTTACAGAGACTAGTTCTGAAAAATCAGGTCCTTTGGGTTTGGCTCTTAGTAAAGTCTGGAGATGTTTGTAGCTTAGTGCTGGATACATTATTAGTCTAAGAAAGCATCCATGTATATAATGCATTAAGCATAATTTAAGGTTCATAAAAGATGAAGCCTAGAACTCGCACATACCTAGGCAATTAAGTATGACACTGAAATTATTAACTACCTTTTTACATGTATTTACAAAGTCAAAATACTATAATGACTTAAAAAGCAACACATCAATGGCAGGACAAGGTGTTTTTCACTCACCAGTTTTTTTTTAAATCACAATTCTAGGTGAGGCCAATTTTTAGGGATTTTTCCCCAATACTACAGTTATGTAACAAACCATTACTCAAACTTAGTGGCATAAAAGAACATTCGCTTTATTATGCTCACAGATCCTGTGGGCCAGGAATTCAGAAAAGGCACAGTGAGGACAGTGTGTCCCTCTCAGATGTGGAGCCTCCAGTGTTAAGATGCACAGCTTGAGAGGGGCTCAACAGCCAGCACCAGAATCACCTAAAGATTCACATACCACACACAGGTCCAGGGCCAGGGCTGGGAGCACTTACAGACTAGGACTGAGGACTGGAGGCAGCCTCTCCATGAAGCTTGGGTGCCTCACTGCATCACTGTCTCAGAGGAGGCAGCAGTGTAGTATATTTTCACTTCCCACCTGGTACTGTGCCTGCCATCTTAAACTACCTGCCTGGCCTTGTTACTCTGACAAAAGCTATCATGCTGTCAGAATGCAGGTAAATCCAGAGACTGCAATGTCCTAACAACATAAACCAGAACATTTCAAACTTACTGTAGTGAAAGACCAGGGTTTTTGTTTTAGCTGCAGGTTCTGGTTTTAATTTCCAATCTGCTGCTGACTGTTACTTTTGTAAAATGCAGTAACAAATGTTTAGGTACTGTCAAATTGCTAAAGCGGTTTCTAAACACTCTCAATTTCAGCACTGAATCTGTACTTTTTTGTTGACTAGATACTAAGTGGCTCTGGCACAGACTATTAACTATTAAAGGTAACAAGTTGTCCACAAATAGAATTGGAAATAATTAATTCAAGTTAAGCTTAAAGTACTATCTAGAAATTTGGGGTACATTTGCACTTCAAAACGAATGGAATGGTAAAAAGGAATCAGCTTTACAGGAAGAAAAATTCAAGGGCTGGGAAGCCCATAGAGATGGCTAGGAATAGAAAGAAAGTGATAGGCTGTGGGTAGATAGCTACACATTTCTTCTGCTTTCTGCTGTGCTGGCAGTTGATGACTTTACTCACATAGCAACCATTTATCCCTGGTTTCCAAACAGGCACTCTACCATAGATTTCCATCAATATGTAGTAATGCTGTTTGATGCAATAAGATATAAATATACATAATAGTCAATACATAGATGATTCTTGAGGAAATCCCTCACAATAACATCTAGCCTAATATATACACATTCTCTCTTGTCTCGGCCTAGTTTCCTTCCTTTCCAATTAAGCTATTACCATTATATTACATTCCCTTTGTGAGGTCCCTATTCTTCAGTCTTCAAAGTTCAAGCAGTAAATCTACAAGGCAAACTATCCAAAGTGACCTGAAACTTGAATAAAAAAAAAAAGCAAAAACAAAGCCAAAAAGACACCTTCCATGAACTATCAAAGATCTGCAACTTGATGTGAAGTGCCCATCAACCATTAATGTATCTTTATATCTGCTAATATCTAAACAGATTATTTACATCTATATATTCTGTTAACCAATATAAATACTAATTCTCACAAAATCCACAGAAAATAAAAATAATGGAACACCATAAAAACAATATAAATAATGTAGTCTGAATTTTATCCTGCCAATGAGAAGAGTCAATGGAGCATTTTAAGCCAGCAGGTAGTGTGATCAAATTTGTGGTTTGAAAGGTCACTGACCACAATATGCAGAATGGGATCATAAGGTTCTGCAAAAAACAGTGAAAGCCGATGAAAGCCTTGATGAAGGCCTGAAGTAGGGCAGTGAAGGTGGAAATGATACATGGTGAGTGGAGGATGCTGTTGCATCTGCTGCTGTTGCTGATGCCAAGCACTAGGCTTAGCACTTCATATACATTATCTAATTTGATCTTCCCAACGACCTTGTAGCCCTACAATAGGTGCTGTCACTACTTCTCCATTTCCTGATGAGAAAATTAAGGTTAATAGTTCTATATCTTGCCCAAAGACATACAACTAGTATACAAGAGCTGTGAGTTTAGTGGTGGAATTAGTTGTATGTATCTGCTCCAGTACACTGTCCTTTTCATTAGATAACAGAAAACAATGCAATCCAACCTCACTTTTTTCAGAATATTAATAAAAACGTCAACTAGAATTATGTTTTATTCCAATTTAAAGATATAACAACAAAAAGTCAATGCTGAGAAAAATTTCTAAGAAAAGTAAATGTGATAATCAATTATTTCTAATGAAACTTTTAAAAATCAGAATATATATTTTTTTCCAACCAGCCTGACAAATTACTGTCCAGAATCTGATATGACATAACAAGTCCATCCAAGCCAAGGCTTACTGCGCTAAATTCTGACTTCTAGAGGTACTAAAACTAAACAAAATCCTCAGACAGCTTATGCTGATACAAAACACAGAAGCAAGAAAGGTTTGATTATGCAACTGTATTAGAAAAACAAACTTTTTAAACCCTAAATATATGCATATCACTGAATCACAATTACTTCTTTGTAATGTCAATTTGAGTCTATAACAGACCCAAATAAATGATGCTGCTAATATGAACATAAATAAGATCTTAACTCTCTTCATTAGCTGTCCATAATGCATTTAACCATTAAACATTATGAAGATGTTATCCTGAAACACTTTCTAGATTTATCTTAGAAAAATGTCCAACATTTTCTCCCATCAATGAAGTTAATTTTAGAACAAGAGATTTACAGAAAATAACCAAATTTTCCACCAAAGTGGAGATTCAACTTTATAAAAGTAAAAATTTACTCTGGGCTTTAACTCCAATTAAAAATACATGCTATCTTAAAATGAGCTGAAAAACAATTCAGTAGCTTGCCTCAACTGTTTTTGTGTTTGTTTGTTTATTTTACAATATACCCCAGCTCACCTAAGAATACTGGCACTGAGTAGTGTGAGCAGGTCAACAAGAGAAAGTAACACAACGATACCTGCTAAAGATACCTGAGGGCAACCAACACACAGCTTTCCCATCAATCCTGTTATCTTCATTGTACCCATGAAGACAGAACCAAGAGAATATAAGAAATAGCTACAGGCAAAATAATCTTCCATATATATATGTGTGTGTGTATCACTTTATCGTCTAGCTATTTGTACTTATGTGTGTTATCATGAATCTCTTCTGTGTGAGGCCAACATCATCAAAGAGAGTTTAGGGTCAGAAAAGCTACTAGTAATGGTGCAATCAGGTCCTGGTAAGGTAAACCTTTAAAACAATGAAATAGCAAACCAAATAGTGTTTTCAAGTCTGCCTGATTAAAGTATTTAGTAGCCATTCGAAACAATGGGTAGGTCTTATTTTGGCAATAAAACTTTGAAATAAAAGACTAAATATTATTACAGGTTACAAATATACCAGATCAAATCTGATTACTGTTTTCAAAATAACTTCTGCTAAGCACTTATATTTTGCTCAGTACTGTTTTGTTTTACATTAAGTAAATGATGAAATCCTTTGAAAGTAAGCATTCCTATGTCCCTTTAGTTTATGACTTCTTCTGTCTCACACACTAGACAGTGAGCTTCTTTGGGACAAGAGGTACAAAATCAATCTACTTCCCTGTGTTTTCTGAATGAGGTATTTTAAATACTAAATAAAATACTGCATTTATTGAATGAATAATTCCCCACAACACATACAACTATTGTCTGTTTTCAATCTCAATCCCATCTTACCCTATTTTCCTTTTGCAGACAGGAAATTTTTTCTTAAAGCACCAAAATAAACCTCATGGCTCTTATGCCAAAAACCCTTTAATGCCTTTGTATCACATTCGGACAGAATTAAAACTCCTTAGGACAAAATCCTTGTGATCTGGCTCTAGCCTACCAATTCCATGTCTCTCCTCACAGCACTACCTCTACCATACATTCCCAGGCACAGGGAATTGGTGCTCTGATGCCTCCATGCCTGTATACATAGTGCTCCCTCCACTTGGACTGCCCCAACACTTCCCCTCAGTCTTAACTAGATGTCATCTCCCCTAAGAAGCCTTCTGCCCATTTCCTGAATCTGTCAGTGTGCCCTCCCCACACAGTACATCTAGGAGAGATTAAAAATTTTGCTTCCTGTATGTAGTGTGATAGGCCCCCAACAAAGTTACTAAACCTTGAAGGCAAGACTGTGAGCCAAGGTCATGGTGCTCATCCAAGGAGCAGGTGTCCCTGAGAACCCAAACATAAATTTTCCAAACTTTTATCATGTGTTTTCCCTTTAAAACTGAATGCCTTTAACAGCAACCAGGTCACATCTTGAATGCTTTGCTGCTTAGAAATTTCTTCTGCCAGATACCCTAAATCATCTCTCTCAAGTTTAAAGTTCCACAAATCACTAGGGCAGAGGCAAAATGCTGCCAGTCTCTTTGCTAAAACATAACACCTTTGCTCCAGTTCCCAACAAATTCCTCATCTCCATCTGAGACCACCTCAGCCTGGATTTCATTGTCCATATCATTATCAGCATTTTGTTCAAAGCCATTCAACAAGTCTCTAGGGAGTTCCAAACTTTCCCACATTTTCTTGTCTTCTTCTAAGCCCTCCAAACCATTCCAACCTCTGCCTGTTACCCAGTTCCCAAGTCACTTCCACATTTTCGGGTTATCTTTTCTGCAGCACCCTACTCTGCTGGTACCAATTTACTATATTAGTTCATTTTCTTGCTGCTGATAAAGACATACCTGAGACTGGGTAATTTATACAGGAAAAAGAGTTTATGGGACTTATAGTTCCACATGACTAGGGAAGCCTCACAATCATGGCAGAAGGCAAGGAGGAGCAAGTCACATCTTATGTGGATGGCAGCAGGCCAAGAGAGAGCTTGTTCAGGGAAATTCCACTTTATAAAGCCATCAGATCTCATGAGACTTACACTATCACAAGAACATCTCGGGAAAGACTTGCCCTCATGATTCAATTACCTCTCACCGAGTGCCTCCCACAACATGTGGGAATTCAAGATGAGATTTGGGTGGGGACACAGCCAAACCATATCAACTTCTATAGTGTCTCCTAAATCATGAAGTTATGGGAAAATATAGCATAAAAGTCTGGAAAATTTGCAGACTGACAATGTGATAGAAAAGAAAATCCCATTTTCTGAGAAATCCAAGTCAGCTGCAAAAATATGCGTAAGTAACAAGGAGCTGAATGTTAATCCCCAAGACAATGGGGAAAATGTCTTCAGGGCATGTCAGAGGTCTTCATGGAACCCCTCCCATCACAAGCCAGGAGGCCTAGGAGGAAAAAATGGTTTCATGGGCTGGGCCCAGGGTCCCCATGCTATGTGCAGCCTAGGGACTTGGTGCCCTGCATCCCAGGCACTCTAGCCATTGCTGAAAGGGACCAATGTAGAGCTGGGGCCGTGACTGCAGATGGTGCATGCCTCAAGCCTTGGCAGCTTCCACATGATGTTGAGCCTATGAGTGCACAGAAGTTAAGAATTGGGGATTGGGAACCTCCACCCAGATTTCAGAGGATATATGAAAATGCCTGAATGCCAAGGCAGAAGTTTGCTGCAGGGGCGGGCCCTTCAAAGAGAACCTCTGCTAGGGCAGTGCAGAAGGGAAATGTGGAGTCAGAGTCCCCACACAGAGTTCACCACTGGGCACTGCTCAGTGGAGCTATAAGAAGAGGGCCACCATCCTCCAGACCCTAGAATGGTAGATCCACCAACAGCTTGCACCATTTACCTGGAAAAGCCACAGACACTCCTCGCCAGCCCATTAAAGCAGCTGGGAGGGAGGCTGTATCCTGCAAAGTCACAGAGGCAGAGCTGCCCAAGACCATGGGAGCTCTCCTCTTTCATCCGTATAACCTAGATGTGAGACATGGAGTCAAAGGAGATCATTTTGGAGCTTTTAAGATTTGACTAACATGCTGGATTTCGGACTTGCATGGGGCCTGTAGCCCCTTTGTTTTGGCCAATTTCTCCCATTTGGAATGGCTATATTTACCTAATGCCTGTACCCCCATTGTATCTAGGAAGTAACTAACTTGCTTTTGATTTTTCAGGCTCTTAGGCAGAAGAGATTTGCCTTGTCTCAGATGAGACTTTGGACTGTGGACTTTTAAGTTAATGCTGAAATGAGTTAAGACTTTGGCGGACTGTTGCGAAGGCATGATTGGTTTTGAAATGTGAGGACATGATATTTGGGAGGGGCTGGGGGTGGAACGATATGGTTTGGCTGTGTCCCCACCCAAATCTCATCTTGAATGCCCACATGTTGTGGGAGGGACCCAGTGGGAGGTAAGTAAATCATGGGGGCAGGTCTTTCCTGTGCTGTTCTCGTGACAGTGAATAAGTCTCACAAGATCTGATGGCTTTATAAGGGTTTCTCTCCACAAGCTCTCCCTTTGCCTCCTGCCACCTACATAATAAGTGACTTGTTCCTCCTTGCCTTCCACCGTGATTGTGAGGCTTCCCCAGCCACGTGGAACTGTAAATCCAATACACTCTTTTTCCTGTATAAGTTACCTAGTCTCAGGTATATCTTCATCAGCAGCATGAAAACAAACTAATACAGGAGTCAAAAGCAAATGTAAGGGGACAGGAGGATGAAAGGAAATCAAAGGATCTCTCAGTGGGACAGTATGAAGAGAGGCTGGGACAAAAGTACTCATTAAGTCAGAGTCAGGAAAAAGAAAGATCTGAAGCAGCAGCAGAGACTCTCCTGCTGGCTTTGCAGAGCAAACAATATGTAAATTGCCTATGGGGTGGCCCATGTGGCAATAATCTGAAGGCAGCTTTTAGGAGATAAAGCAGTCTCCAGGCAACACCAAGCAAAAAACGGGACTTCATTTCCACAAGAAAATGAATTCTGCTAGAATGGGTGAGCCTGTAAGAGGAACTCAAGTCTCTGATAACATCACCGCTCCAACCAAAATCTTAACATCAGCATCTGAGACTTTAAACAGAGGCCCCAATGAAGCTGTGCCTAGACTCCTGACACAAAGAAACTATAAGGTAATAAAGTTGCATTGTTTTAAGCCACTGACTTTGTGGTAATTTGTTACACAGAAATAGAAAACTAATACATCATGCTTATAAATCTTGCCCACATCAAACATTTGTTTTCTCAAATGCTACACTGCCTTTTCTATATAATCTAGCAAACATGCTTCAATTTTTATGAAATCTGAACATTTCATATTTGTTATAAAAGCATTTTATCTCTGAGCTTATTTGGCTAGATTCAAAATATATCTGAATGAGAAACTGAATTTAAAAGTATATTTCCTTAACTTTTTGGATTGTATTTTGAAAACTTACCATTTTAGAAAATATTTACTATATTATGTGCTTAGAAAAAGGCTGCATATTTACCATACTTACTTCTCTTTTCAATATAGTAATCACTAAAGTATATAAAAAATATACCACATTGTGAAAGCATTTTCACTCATTGTGTGAACATTTTCAAACTATGTAATATGGGGAGAAAGAAGAGATATATCAATTTCACAAGCAAAATAAGTTATATAAGATTATAATAAATTTCCAACACAACAACCTGTTTACACAGTTATATCTGTCATCTAGATATGAGCAAATTTGGGAAAACTGGTTTGGTGAGATTACTAATCCCAGTTAGGGGGCAAAATAAGCTGCCATTATGTTTTCAGATTAAGTAAATTTATAAACAAACACTCAGGATATACGTTCATATTATAGTTGTTTTACACTACAATTCTAAATAAAGTTTGGTCTTTTAAAAAGAAATACGCTAAAAAAAAAAAAAAAGAAAGAAAAGAAAGAAAAAAAAAGGAATCAACTTTAAATTAGCTTACCTTCCACATTCAAAGTTCCCATTTTAGATTCCAAGAAATCAAATAATGTGCTTGGTGCTGATGGCCTTGCATTTCCCAGGTCCTCTTCATCTTCAGATCTTATTCGCCCCCTGCCTTTTCCTCTACCTTTAGATGCAAAAGCAAGAAATATGTACTGTATATGCAAAAACAAAAAGAGAATATATACTAATATATAACCAACAATAATTTTAAATAAGGATTTTAATTTCTTTTCATATTTTTTGTATAGTCTACATCTTTTAAGTAATTTTTTTAGGTTTTTAAGTAATTATATTAAGTAGCATATTTAATCCTCTAAATAAATGATCTATTCAGAAGTCCGAATTTGTTCATATAAACTAACTTTTAAGGAAAAATTATAATTTATTCTTTAACCACAGATATTTTTAAAAGAATATAGGACTGGGACCACATAAGAAACTTGACCATGCAATGATTAAAGAATAACACCAAGTAAATGTAATATTTTTGTTAATTTTTAAAAGCTTAGTCATTTACTGAGGTGGCAGAGTTCTAGAAATAATAGAACCAGTCACATATTTTCTCTATTACTCATAACAACCTTGTTAAATAAGGTATTGTTAGACCCATTTTGTTTTTGTTTTGTTGTTGTTGTTAGATCCATTTTGTACAAAGATGAAGACAATGAGACTGAGACTACAAATGTCTCTATGGTTCCCAAACTGGTGTTCCTTCCACTTACCATAATGTTAAACAAAATTACAGCCCTCACAGAAATAACAGCCTCTGTCAATAACATATATTACTCTGAAAAGCAAACAATACTATCTGGCACACTGCTTAATAAATTATACCTCTCAGAGGAGGACCCATAACAGGTTTCTGTTTATTGCTTGTAAGAAGTACGTTCAGTGCTGCTTCTAAGTTGTTGCCATTATCCATAAGAGCTTGCCTCGATGCTTCCTTACTGAAGCCCATTTCCGTTATGTGCTTCAGAGCTTTCTCATCAACCTGGAAGGAATAAAGAGAAAAGCTGGCTGATAGCCCACAGATAAGGCAAGGCATAAACTTTTAACTACTTACTGTCTTTTAACTAAAAATTACATCCCATACTTATGTAAAAATGTCATTCTAATACAACATTCTCTTGCTGATTTTTTACAAGAGGCAAGGAAGAATCTGTATGATATGTGGGGTTGTGCCTTGAGTATTCTCTGACCTCACAAGTAACACTGCAAAAGCAACACACAAAAAATAAATTTTATGATATGTTAGAGTATGGCCTTTGAAAATAATATAGACAGTGAGGAGAAAACTACTTAATGAAAATTTTTCATGGTAAAAAATGGAAATTTTTTGATACTTCTCCATACTAGAAGGGAAATGTAATTCATACAGCACCTCTCCAAAAATGTAAACTATTGAAGCTAACAAAATGATACCCCCCAGGAGCTTTTTTTTTTAAACTAGTACTTGAGTATTCTAGCTATATTCATTAGCAATACTATCTATGATGCTTTGACAGCTATACCCCAATAAGAAAATCTACTTTACAAATGCCAGAATCCAAATCTCTTTTAAAAATCTAGACCTGAATAGAATTCAAGAACCACTTAAGGAGTATAAACATATCCTACGAAGAAATTTCTTGAACCAAAGCCAGCTGAGAAAAACAAAACTTTAACTTTTATACATCTAATAGTTAACATGTTTATACATTGTTTTCCTGATTTCTTTAGTTCTTTGTCAATGGTTTCTCTCAGACCTTTGAGCATATATAAGACAGTCCATTTAAAGTCTTTCTCTAGTTAAGTCCAATGCATGGGCTATTTGAGGTGTGGTTTCTATGGATTTCTCTTTTTCTTGTGAATGGGCTAAATTTTCCTGCCTTTTGTAGGCTTTGTAATTTTTTGTTGGGAAGTGGACATTTTGAATCCTGTAATTAGGTAACTGAAAGTCAGATTGTGCCTCCTCCCCAAGGATCACCACTGTTAACTTGATGAAGGTTACAGTGATCAGTTTGCTTAGTGACTTTTCTAAACTTTTTTCACAAGAAATATATTGCCCATGCCTATGTCCTGAATGGTATTGCCTAGGTTTTCTTCTAGGATTTTTATGGTTTTAGGTCTTACATTTAAGTCTTTAATCCATCTTGAGTTAATTTTTGTACAAGGTGTAAGGAAGGGATCCAGTTTCAGTTTTCTGCATATGGCTAGCCAGTTTTCCCAGCAAAATTTATTAAATAGGAAATCCTTTCCCCATTGCTTGTTTTTGTCAGGTTTGTCAAAGATCATATGGTTGCAGATGTGTGGTGTTATTTATGAGGCGTCTGTTCTGTTCCATTGGTCTATATATTTGTTTTGGTACCAATATCATGCTGTTTGGGTTACTGTAGCCTTTTAGTATAGTTTGAAGTCACGTAGCATGATGCCTCCAGCTTTGTTCTTTTTGCTTAGGATTGTCTTTGCTACATGGGCTCCTTTTTGGTCCCATCTGAAATTTAAAGTAGTTTTTTCTAATTCTGTGAAGAAAACCAATGGTAGCTTGATGGGGATAGCACTGAATCTATACATTACTTTGGGCAGTATGGCCATTTTCATGATATTGATTCTTCCTATCCGTGAGCATGGAATATTTTTCCATTCGTTTGTATCCTCTCTTATTTCCTTGAGCAATGGTTTCTAGTTCTCCTTGAAGAGGTCCTTCACATCCCTTGTAAGTTGTATTCCTAGGTATTCTCTTTGTAGCAATTGTGAATGGCAGTTCACTCATGATTTGGCTCTCTGTTTGTATATGACCAGTGTATAGGAATGCTTGTGATTTTTGCACATTGGCTTTGTATCCTGAGAGTTTGCTAAAGTTGCTTATCAGCTTAAGGAGATTTTGAACTGAGACAATGAGGTTTTCTAAATATACAATCATGTCATCTGCAAACACAGACAATTTGACTTCCTCTCTTCCTATGTGAATACTCTTTATTTCTTTCTGTTGCCTGAATGCCCTGGCCAGAACATCCAATACTATGTTGAATAGGAGTGGTGAGAGAGGGCATCCTTGTCTTGTGCCAGTCTTTCCCTCTACAAATTGCTTTAAATGTGTCCCAGAGATTCTGGTATTTTTTGTCTTTGTTCTCATTGGTTTCAAAGAACTTATTTACTTTTGCCTTAATTTTTTTATTTACCCAGTAGTCATTCAGGAGAAGGTTGTTCAGTTTCCACCTATTTGTGCCATTCTGAGTGAGTTTCTTAATCCTGAGTTTTAATTTCATTGCACTGTGGTCTGACAGACTGTTATTATTTTCGTTCTTTTGCATTTGCTGAGGAGTGTTTTACTTCCAATTATGTGGTCAATTTTAAAGTATGACATAGTGCTGAGAAAAATGTATATGCTCTTGATTAGAGGTGGAGAGTTCTGTAGATGTCTATTAGGTCCGCTTGGTCCAGAGCTGAGTTCAAGTCCTGAATATCCTTGTTAATTTTCTGTCTCGATGACCTCATATTGACAGTGGGGTGTTAAAGTCTCCCACTATTATTGTGTGGGAGTCTAAGATCTCTTTGTAGGTCTCTAAGAACTTGCTTTATGAATCTGGGTGCTCCTGTATTGGGTGCATATATATTTGGGATAGTTAGCTCTTCTTGCATTGATCCTTTTACCATTATGTAATGCCCTTGTCTCTTTTGATCTTTGTTAGTTTAAAGCCTGTTTCATCAGACACTAGGATTGCAACCCCTGCATTTTTTTTGCTTGCCATTTGCTTGGTAAATATTCCTCCATCCCCATATTTTGAGCCTATGTGTGTCTTTGCACGTGAGATGGGTCTCCTGAATACAGCACACTGATGGGTCTTGACTCTTTATCCAATTTGCCAGTCTGTGCCTTTTAATAGGGACATTTAGCCCATTTACATTTAAGGCTAATATTGTTATGTGTGAATGTGATCATGTCATTATGATGCTAGCTGGTTATTTTGCCCTTTAGCTGATGCAGTTTCTTCATAGTGTCGATGTTCTTTTTTTTGTTTGTTTGTTTCATTCTGTCACCCAGGCTGGAGTGCCGTAGTGCAATCTCAGCTCACTGCAAACTCCGCCTCCCAGGTTCCAGTGATTATCCTGCCTCAGCCTCTCAAGTAGCTGGGATTATAGGCATGCACCACAACGCCCAGCTAGTTTTTGTATTTTTAGTAGAGATGGGCTTTCACCATGTTAGCCAGGCTGGTCTCAAACTCCTCAAACTCAATCCTGACCTTGCGATCCGCCCACCCTGGCCTCCAAAAGTGCTGGGATTACAGGCATGAGCCACTGCACTCGGCCAGTGTCAATGTTCTTTACAATTTGGTATGTTTTTGCAGTGGTTAGTACCGGTTGCTCCTTTCCATATATAGTGCTTCCTTCAGGAACTCTTGTAAGGCAGGCCTGGTGGTGATAAAATCTCTCAGCATTTTCTTGTCTGTAAAGGATTTTATTTCTCCTTTGCTTTTGAAGCTTAGTTTGGCTGGTATGAAAATCTAGATATGAAATTCTTAAAGAAAACTCTTCTTTAAGAATGTTGAATAGTGGCCACCACTCTTCTGGCTTGTAGGGTTTCTGCAGAGAGATGTGCCATTAGTCTGATGGGTTTCCCTTTGAGGGTAACCTGACCTTTCTCTCTGGCTTCCCTTAATATTTTTTCCTTCATTTCAACCTTGGTGAATCTGATGATTATGTGTCTTGGGGTTGCTCTTCTCAAGGAGTATTTTTGTGGTGTTCTCTGTATTTTCTGAATTTGAATGTTGGCCTGTCTTGCTAGGTTGGGGAAGTTCTTCCGGACAATATCCTGAAGTGTGTTTTCCAACTTGGTTCCATTCTTCCTGTCACTTTCAGGTACACCAATCAAATGTAGGTTTGGTCTTTTCACATAGTCCCATATTTCTTGGAGGCTTTCATTGTTCCTTTTCATTCTTTTTTCTCTAATCTTGTCTTTCCACTTTATTTCATTAAGTTGATCTTCAATCTCTGATATCCTTTCTTCCACTTTATCAATTCGGCTATTGATACTTGTGTATGCTTCACAAAGTTCTCGTGCTATGTTTTTCAATTCCATCGGGTCATTTATGTTCTTCTCTAAACTAGTTATTCCAGTTAGCAATTCCTCTAACCTTTTTTCAAGTTTCTTAGCTTCCTTGCATTGGGTTAGAACATGCTCCTTTAGTTAAGAAGCACTGTGCTGAGAGATCCGCTGCTTGCTTCAGAGCCGGCAGGCAGGAATGTTTATGTCTGCTGAAGCTGTGCCCACAGCCGCCCCTTCCCCCAGTTGCTCTGTCCCAGGGACATGGGAGTTTTATCTATAATCCCCTGGCTGAGGCATCTGCCTTTCTTTGACAAATGCCCTCCCCAGAGAGGAAGAATCCAGAGACGCAGTCTGGCTACAGCAGATTTGCCAAGCTGCGGTGGACTCTGCCCAGTGAGAACTTCCTGGTGGCTTTGTTTACACTGTGAGGGGAAAACTGCCTACTAAGGCTTAGTAATGGCAGACACCCCTCTCCCCAACCAAGCTCAAGCATCCCAGGTCAACTTCAGACTGTGGTGCTGGCAGCGAGAATTTCAAGCCAGTGGATCTTAGCTTGTTGGGCTCTGTGGGGGTGGGATCCGCTGAGCTAGACTACTTGGCGCCCTGGCTTCAGCCCCCTTTCCAGCAGAGTGAACAGTTCTGTCTCACTGGCATTCCAGGCGTCACTGGGGTATGAAAAAATAACTCCTGCAGCTAGGTTAGTGTCTGCCCAAAAGGCCATCAGTTTTGTGCTGGAAACCCAGGGTCCTGGTGGCATGAGCACCCAAGGGAATCTCCTGGTGTGCAGGTTGTGAAGACTGTGAGAAAAGCATAGTATCTGGGCCGAAGTCCACTATTCCTCATGGCACAATACCTCATGGCTTATCTTGGCTATGGGAGACAGTTCCCCGACCCCTTGTGCTTCCCAGGTGAGGCAACGCCCCACTCTGCTTCTGCTCGCCCTCCATGGGCTGCACACACTGTCTAACCAGTTCCAATGAGATGAGCCAGGTACCTCAGTTGAAAATGCAGAAATCACCTGCCTTCTGCCTTAGTCTCGCTAGGAGCTGCAGGCCGGAGCTGTTCCTATTCAGCCATCTTGCCAGCCACCACCGAATCAAATATTTTTTTAAGGAAAGATAAAAGCTGTAATGCTTTTTAGTTCATGTGACTTTAATATTTAAGAAACAAAATGTCTTAAGGATGGTAAAATGCAAGTGTCATCAAAATGCAAATATGTGGTCTAAATCATACAAGTCAGATACTAGGTTTGCTAAATGTTTTAAGGTTGTAAACTGCCTGCTTTACAGACAGGCAAGTCCTGGGACATATGGAGTTAGATGCTGGAAAGTCAGACCTTATCTGCACTTCTGTCTGGGTCCTAGGCTCCATACCTGGTACACAATTAAAACTGCTTACTAACCAGGTTTTTCACCAAAAGTAAAAGTTGCTAAGAGTTTACATTGCAACATGTATTTGAGATCACTAAACAGTTTTACAAGCAAGGTGTATAAAAACAGTAACTTTTTTTAGTAAAAGATTATCAGAAAGCATGAAAATGTAAATTTTGCCCAGGGATGAGTGATTATCTCAGATTTGATAAGATAAACCTAGAGGTAATTAAGCAAATTATAAAAAGATTTAAAAAATTCTAAAATTTTTAAAATTAATCTTGCAAAAACACACAAACATTAACTAAATTCAAAAAAGTATATGATCTTTTCATAAATTGAGCATTGAAATAAAAGCACAGCAAGGTTTTCTTCTGATGCCAATCTGCCCTTTAGCAAAAAGCATTATAAAAGGTTTGTAAAGATTTCATTTATGGTCAAACTGGTTAAGATTAGATGGAATCGTCTATAAGGTTTCATTTAAACCAATTGGGGTTAACATTAATAAACTGATGCAAGGGTACAATTTGGCTTTCAACAGGATTTTCATGTAATAGTAAAGGCTAATGAAAGGCTTTTGCCTTTTGAGTTATCATTTTGGCAAAATAAATAATTTGTAGCAATATGGAATTCTATTTCATAACATCAAGTGTTTTAAGTCCTCCAACATTTAGCAGCCTTCCCAAAATCAAACTTCAAGTTTCAAAATTTTCTTTCCGGATACCTTGCTTTCTGGATGGTTCAGAGGGCCCCTGAAACATCCAGAGAAGAGATAAACAGGATTGTTTGGCATGTTTAGTCACATTGGATTTCCGAAATGATGTGCAATCTTCTTTAAGTTATATTTTGGTGAATAATACTAATATATGTTCCAATATTGTATGGAATTTCTAAAAGTCGAATGTCTAATTATATCCTATTAATCATAATTAAGGTTGTCAAGTTATTGTAAACCACAGATAACTAAACTTTATCAGTCATGTTTTTAACTGTAACTACCCTGGAAATGTCATTTGCAGACAATTCTTGTCTTGCTCTGTTCCTTCTCAAAAGATGGGTTACAATCAAGCTATACAACTTTAACAGGTGCTCTCAAATGCAGGATTCTAATAGCTTTGAAGATTGTAACACTGGAATAGAGAAAAAGGTACAGGACTCATGAAGAACTGAAATGTTCACAAGTATCAAGCAAAACAGAAGTTAACTAAATGGACTAAACTCAGAAAGCTAAAGGAACCTTTTTTATTTTTCTTAGAATATTGATGATCCTTGTTTGTCTTTCAGAGTCAAGGAAACTTATTTTGAACGATTTACAGCCTTTAATAATTGAATAAGGTATTCTGTGAACAAAGTTTGGAGCATGTTTGTTTCTCTCTGCCTGGTTCCTCTAGAATTTCAAAACTATCTCTGAGTACTCTTAAGTTATCACAATATAGTAGTTTGCATCAGTTCAATAAGAATCCATTTTCCTTTTGCAACAGGACACAATTAGAAAAACCGGTTATTTTATCAAGGCTTTGACTGGAAGGATATGCTTCCCTTTAAGGAGTCAATCTCAACTTGTAGAGACAATAAAATTCCCATGGAGAGAACTGGCCTCATACCTATATATATAATCCTGTACAAGGTTCCTGACCTGTGGTCAGTAAAGAATGTCACTTTCTAACAGGACCAGGAGCTCCTGGTTTATCCTGGGGCCTTTAGAGGAGAAGATCACCCAACTCACAGGTATTTGAAGATACAAACCCATGGCTGAGCTCAGCTTTAAAAGATCTTATCTGAGGTTCCTTGTGGAACAGAGTTCCATCAAAGACAATCCAAAAGGCCTATATAGAAATAATCATTCTTGCTGCACTTTATGCAAATAATCAGGCCAAGTATAAGACTAAAGTTTATTCTACAAAAAACACAGTCCTATCATAATTTGTTTTTACCAAAAATAAGGACTAGAGAGAGAAAAATTATGATCCAAAGCTTATACATTTGTCATTAAATTCCAGTCTCATTAATTGTTTTTTAGTTTATTTTGTTGACATTTTAGACTAACCCTGCTTATTCCTGTGAATCAAGTGGTGATCTCTTGCAGCTTGGAAGAAACAAAAAGGCATGGGTAATGTAAAAATCTGGATCAATATCCTAGTTCTGGACAATTATCCTGCAAATTCTGTCAGGTAATGAAAGTGAGTAGGGTGCCCATAACCCAGAGGTTCATTTGGGAAGATAAAACTAAGGATCTTCATAGAACCACAAAAGGAAATTCTGTATCTTAGCAAGTAAAATTTTAGATGGAAATTATGTACTACACAACACTTGCGGGAACTGCTATACTCACTCTACTATTTGCAGTAGGGTTATACACGTTACCACCTTCTAACTGGAATATCAGACAGAGAGTTTCCATTGCTATAGTATTTTGTGTAATTATTATCCTGATAGCAGGAATAATAGTTACCAACAAAAAAGAAGCATAAAAATTTTACTATCACTGAGTCTGCTAGAACTTTATTGGGTTTGGTAACATGTCACACCCTGGCTATGCAAATAAGGTTATAAAGGAAAGAGATTTTATATAAGAAAGGATCTTGTATAGTAAGTACTTGTCCTAAAGAGAATAGTTGGTTGTTTAAAAGAGGGATGTTCAGGACAAGTCAGAAGGTTTAAGCATTTTGTGGATGGTTTGGGGAAGTCATAAAATGATTTTATGGATGGTAAACACTTGTCCTAAAAAGAATCTTTGGTTGTTTAAAAAGAAGGATGTTTAGGACAAGTAGGAAAGTTTAAGCATGTCTTAGATGGTCTGTGTAAGTCATGGAGGGATTAATAATTGCAGAAAAGATTTAGCCAGGGTTAACACTGAAGTTACTCTAGCCATCCAAATCCAATGCTACTTATCCCAAAAGGAATGTTCCATTTATATTAGTGTTTCAGCAACATCTGGTGGAGGCAAACCAGTATTACAACCCATCGGAATGGCTGACAGCAATCAAACTCCAAATGGTGCTGTAGACAGAACAATGCATGGACACATCTTTCTGCTGAGGACCTTTAGATTGATCCTAGGAGGAGCCCTAGCTGTTGTTCCCCACACAATGCCTCTCTTAAGCAGGAAGTAGCCAAAAGAGTCATCGTCCAACACCCCCTAACAGCAGTTAGAGTTACCACTCCAGCGGGGGGAATGATACAGGAGTTAAGAAGAAATTACTTAGGCAGATAGTGAGTGGCTATTCCAGTGAGAACAAACCTCTGCCCTTTCCATGATGGAAAATGTGCAATATAATCAACGTGCCAACAGGTAGCTGGCTGATCACCCCAAGGAATAGTCACTGGCCATAGCCAGGTCAGCCTTGGTGAGTGGAGTTCCATGTTGCTGAGCCCAAGCGTAACCTCCCTCCCTCCCACCATGGCCACTTTGTTCATGGGCACATTGGAATATAATAGGTGTGGCTGGAACAGAGGTTGAGGTGGTGTCCACAGAATGGGTCATCCTATCCACTTGATTACTAAAATCCTCCTCTGCTGAGGTCACCCATTGATTAGCACTCACATGGGATACAAACATCTTCACAGTTTTTGACCACTCAGAGTGGTCCATCAACATACCTCTTTCCCAAATTTCTTTGTCACCAATTTTCCAATCATGCTTCTTCCAAGTCCCTGATAATCCAGCCAAACCATTGGCTACAGCCCATAAATCAGTATATAATCGCACATTTCGCCATTTCTCCTTAAATGCAAAGTGCACAACTAGGTGCACTGCTTGAAGTTCTGCCCACTGGGAAGATTACCCTTCACTGCTATCCTTCAGAAATGTCTTAGAAAGGGGCTGTAGGCTGTAGCTGTCCACTTTTGGGTGGTGCCTGCATATTGTGCAGAACCCTCTGTGAACCAGGCCCCAGTCTTCTCTTCCTCTGTCAACTGATCATAGGGACTCCCCATGAGGCCACTGGTGCAGACTTGGGGAGACAAGGCAGGGTGGCAGGATTGGAGACCATGGACATTTGAGCCACTTCCTCATGTAACTTACTTGTGCCTTCAGGACCTGCTCAAGCCCAATCACATATACAACTTCCATTTGATAATGGAATGCTGCTGTGCATGAGCCATTTTATGGTGAGATAGGTCAGAAAGCACCCAGTTCATGATAGGCAGTTCAGGTTGCATGGTGACTTGATGACCCATAGTCAAATGTTCGGTTTCCACCAAAACCCAGTAACAGGCCAAGAGCCGTCTCTCAAAAAAAGAGCAGTTATCCACAGAAGATGGCAGGGCCTTGCTCCAAAATCCTAGAGGCTTCTGCTGTGATTCACCTATGGCGGCCTGCGAAAGGCTCCAACTAGCATCTGTGCCACTGACACCTCAAGCACCATTGGATCTGCTGGGTCATATGGCCCAAGTGGCAGAGCAGCTTGCACAGCAGCCTGGACCTGTTGCAGAGCCTTCTCCTGTTCTGGACCCCACTCAAAACTGGCAGCCTTTTGGGTCACTTGATAAATCCGCCAGAGTAACACATCCAAATGAGTAATGTGTTGCCTCCAAAATCCAAATAGGCCCACTAGGCATTGTGCCTCTTTCTTGGTTATAAATGCAGCAACTTATCCTTCACCTTAGAACGAATATCTCAACACGCCCCACACCACTGGACCCCTAGAAATTTTCCTGAGGCAGAACATTCCTGAATTTTAGTCAGATTTATTTCCCATCCTCTGGCATGCAAATATCTCACCAATAAGCCCACTGTGTTTGCTACTTCGTGCTTACTGGATCCAATCAGCATATGTCATCACTGTAAGAGACCAGTGTGATATCTTGCAGAAGTGAAAAGTGATCAAGTTCTCTCTGAATACAATTATGACACAAAGCCAGAGAGTTGATATACCCCTGAGGAAGGACAGTAAAGGTATATTTCTGGCCTTGCCAGCTGAAGGCAAATTGCTTCGGGTGGACCTTATGGACCAGAATGGAGAAAAAGGCATTTGCCAAGTCAATGACTACATACCAGGTACCAGGAGATGTGTTAATTTGCTCAAGCAATGAAACCACATCTGGTACAGCAGCTGCAATTGGAGTCACCACTTGATAATCCACTGTAATTCTCCAAGATCCATCTGTCTTCTGCACAGGCCAAATGGGAGAGTTGAATGGGGATGTGGTGGGAATCATCACCCCTGTGTCTTTCAGGTCCTTGATGGTGGCACTAATCTCTGCAATCCCTCCAGGGATGCAATATTGTTTTTGATTTACTATTTTTCTAGGTAGAGGCAGCTCTAATGGCTTCCATTTGGCCTTTTCCACCATAATCACCCTCACCCTACCAGTCAGGGAGCCAGTGTGAGGGTTCTGCCAGCTGCTAAGTATGTCTATTCCAATTATGCATTCTGGCACTGGGGAAATGACCACAGGATGAGTCCGCGTACCCACTGGACCCACTGTAATTTGGACCTGAGCTAAAACTCCTTTAATTTCCTGACCTCCATAAGCCCCTACTTTAACTGGAGGACCACAGTGACATTTTGGGTCCCCTGGAATCAACATCAGCTGAGCCAGTTTCCAGTAGTCCCCAAAACGTTTGATCATTTCTCTTTCCCCAATGCACAGTTACCCTGGTAAAAGGCCGGAGGTCTCCTTGGGGAAGGATAGAAGAAAGACTCACTGCATAAACTGTCGGTGGGGTCTTTCCTCAAGGGGACCCAGCCTCCCCTTCATTCAAGGGATTCTGGGTCTGTAAACTGGCTGAAAATTGATTGAGGGGCCACAAATCTCTACTTTCATAATTCAAATTAGTCTTTTGTCCATTAGACCTAGAAGCTTTCTGCTTGTCTAAATTATGTAGGAATGCAGTAGGCTTCCTATCAATTTCACATCTAGGAACACCATGATTAATTAGCCAATGCCAGAGCTCTACACAAGTCAGAATATTCTGATTGCCGTTTTGCTTCTACCGTCCATTACAGTAGCCACGCTTAACCTTGCCTTTGATGGTTGAGTGCCACCACTTGGCCCCTGCCACCTTGGGATCCAATTATTCCCACTGCAGTTAAATTTTGTAGTTGAGTGACTGCAGTTCACACTGTTAGCTCTGACATACAGAGAAGAGCAATTACAGGGCATCTTCAAAGATGCCTGTGCTGCCCTCACAAATCTATTTTGCAAGGCGTTGCTCAAGGGTATATCTTCTGGACCCTCCCAGCTGGAATGAGTAGGTCTAAAGAGACTAATCCACTCCACCATCCCAATCTCCCTAAGCCATTGTATCCCTTCCTCTACATTAAGCCAAGGGAGATCAGGCATTTCCAGCTTGCTCACAGTGGGCCATCTTTTAATCCACATTTCAGCTAACCAAGCAAATAAACTATTAGCCTTTTTTTTTAACCCCCCGAGCTGCAATATTAAATGCAGATTCAGGCCTACTTAGCAGGCCTGAATCAATAAATTCAGCCTGATCCAACTCAATGTTGCTTCCACCATTATCCCACACCCTTAATATACATTCCCATGTCTGCTCTTCAGATTTCTGTTTATATAAATTAGAAAACTCAAGCCATTACTGGGGATGGGGAAGCTGTTTCTTCTAGCAAAAAAAAATTCATCAGAGTTTACAAACTCAGTGTCCCCAGCTTCATCAGGGCCCACCCACACATCCCCATTCCAAGCTACAAGGTCCTACTCTTTTCCAACCAATGCCCTCACTTTAAAAGTAGACACCTGGCAAGACTGTGCATGCACCTTTCATTTCATGTCAGCCACTCACATGATAAGAGCTTGTGTCTGTTTTTCCACAATTTCAGCTTTTTCTCCACAGGAGATAATGAAAGACAGGACTAGCTGGATTTCCTAGGCCGACTAAGAATTCCTAAGCCTAGCTGGGGAAGGTGACTGCACCCACCTTTAAACACGGAGCTTAGTTCACACCCGACCAATCAGGTAGTAAAGAGAGCTCACTAAAATGCTAATTAGGCAAAAACAGAAGAAATAGCCAATCATCTATCACCTGAGAGCACAGGGGGAGGGACAATGATCGGGATCTAAACCCAGGCATTCGAGCTGGCAATGACAACCCCCTTTGGGTCCCCTCCCATTTTATGGGAGCTCTGTTTTCACTCTATTAAATCTTGCAACTGCACACTCTTCTGGTCCATGTTTGTTAAGACTCAAGCTGAGCTTTCGCTTGCCATCCACCACTGCTGTTCACCGCCGTCCCAGACCCGCCGTTGACTTCCACCCTTCCGGATCCAGCAGGGTGTCCACTGTGTTTCTGATCCAGTGGGGTGCCAGCTGCCGCTCCCAATCAGGCTAAAGACTTGCCATTGTTCCTGTATGGCTAAGTCCCCGGTTCGTCCTAATTGAGCTGAACACTAGTTGCTGGGTTCCACGGTTTTCTTCCGTGACCCACCGCTTCTAACAGAGCTATAACACTGCATGGCCCAAGGTTCCATTCCTTAGAATCCATGAGGCCAAGAATGCCAGGTCAGAGAACAAGCAGCTTGCTGCCATCTTGGAAGCAGCCCACCACCATCTTGGGAGCTCTAAGAACAAGGACCCTCCAGTAACAATAAGACTCTTACTCAGGGCAATCTTAGCAGATTTGAGGCTCAGTATCTGCTTCTGAAGCCAGGAGATAGGATGCCTGAGTTCATCATTTTCTTTCATCACTTTGTCCACCAAACTTAGAAGCAACCAACCAGCTTCATTATGTTCCTTGGTTCTCCACATATGGTCAAAGGTATTATGTATAGAGTCACTAAACTCCTTGCCTCTCATGAGTGATGAATCAAAAACAGTAAATGCATTTATTTTGCATAACTCTCTAAAAAGTTCATGTGAAGGACTATCAGTGTTCTCCACACTATTAGAAGTAGAGTCCATAGCAGTTTTGGATCTAATCATATTAAGCAGCCAACTCCAAAAATCCCAAATCTAACGAAACAAATACATCCTTAATATTTTGTTCCTCTAGAACCACTCCTGGTACCAAAATCTGTATTAGGGTTCTTTAGAGGGACAAAACTTTAGAGGATATATATATATATATATATATATATATATATATATATATATATATATATATATATGGGAGTTTGTTAAGTATTAACTCACAAGGTCCCACAATAGACCATCTGCAGGCTACGGAGCAAGGAGAGCCAGTCCAAGTTCCAAAACTGAAGAACTTGGAGTCTGATGTTTGAGGTTAGGAAGCATCCAGCACAGGATAAAGATGTAGGCTGGGAGCCTAGGCCAGTCTGTCTTTTCACATTTTTCTACCTGTTTATATTGTAGCCATACTGGCAGGTGACTAGATTGTGCTCACCCAGATTAAGGGTGGGTCTGCCTTTCCCAAGTCACTGATTCAAATGTTAATCTCCTTTGGCAACACCCTCACAGACACACTCAGGATCAATACTTTGTATTCTTCAATCCAATCAAGTTGACACTCCATATTAGCCATCACGGCCACAAGATTAGAAACTATGGTTTAAGAGTTATGCAGCTGGAGGCTACAAGATTCTGACCCTCCACAAACTGCTCCTAAGATCAGTGTTCTTGGCTCACTGGCTTCCCCCACCCACCAACTTGTCCTTAAAAACTTTTATCCCACCGGGCATGGTGGCTCACGCCTGTAATCCCAGCACCTTGGGAGGCCGAAGAAGCGGGTGGATCATCTGAGGTCAGGAGTTCGAGACCAGTTTCACTAATATAGTGAAACCCTGTCTCTACTAAAAATGCAAAAAATTAGCTGGGTGTGGTGGCAGGTGCCTATAATCCCAGCTACTCAAGAGGCTGAGAGAGGAGAATCACTTGAACCCAGGAGGCAGAGGCTGCAGTGAGCCAAGATTGAGCCATTGCACTCCAGCCTGGGCAACAAGAGTGAAATGCCATCTCAAAAAAAAAAAAATACCTCTGATTCCTGAATGATCACTGAGATGGATTTGAGTATAATAAAACTCCAGTCTCTCACGATAGCTGGCTCTGCATGAATTACTCTTTCTCTATTGCAATTCCCCTGTCTTGATAAATCAGCTTTATTTAGGCAGTGGGTAAGGTGAATCCATTGAGCAGTTACATAACACTAAGGAGAAAGCCAAGAAATCATGGAAATACCCACAAATGCCCTAATATTGTTATACTGCTGAATTTACCAACACTTGTAACCATCTACTTCTGAACTTCTTGTTATATGAAATAATAAACCTCCATGGTTTAAGCTGTTTTGGGATATTCTGTACCCTAAAGACAAAAATCAACCAAAGTCATTCAACCTCTAAAGGGAGAGGAAAATGAATTTTTGCAAACATCCTTAGATCTGAGAACACTACAGCATGCCAGAAATATGTTTGACTCCACTCATTTATCTTAAAAATTCAAGAATATTTTGCAATTGGGTCCACATAATACATATGCTTGTTTCACAATATTCTTCCCAAAGAGCAGTAGAAAACAAAACAAAATCACTTTAGACAAAATTTGACAAAAGATGTGGGGAAGGTGGGGAAGCACAGAAAAATGTATGTTTTTGATGCATCATCTTTTGATGGCTTTTTATCAATCCATTCCAAAATATATTATTAGGACATTAGTAATTTAAGTGAGATAGAAGTTTTAAGTAAATTATTTTTCAAACAATCCAAATTTTTAATGATTTAATTGTAATCCTTAATGAAAGCCTTCAAGAGTTATAACATCTATCCATAATACATTGCACAAAGCCAGTGGTGGTGGTAAGAAAGAATAAAAGAATCATTTTAAGAAATAACACTTTAAATTTGTGGTTAGTTCTTTAGCCTTACCAGTTCTCTATAGACACCTTCATGTTTTCCCTCTGATTTGGTTGACTTTTCTTTCTGTAAAACTTCCCTATTTCGGTTACCAGCAGCATTCATATTGAGATTACTTCTAGCACCACCACCACCTCCTCCAAATGTCTTGGTCTTTACATAAGAGAAAGATAAAAGAGAGGTATGTAGACAGCATTTAAAAATAGTTCTAAAAACTAAGCTATGACTAAAAACAACTGAAGTAATTAAGTTTCCTAATTATGTTTTACATGAAAAAATAAAATATTAACTTACTCCTTTTGAATAGCAAAAATATCTACTAGTCACAATCTCTTATTCACAAATCCAGGCCAGGCAATAAAAATAATTACATGATTTGTGAATAAAAGGGAAGTCATGAAAATGAGTGTACAACTATAGAGAAGAAAATACTACAAGCATTATGAAGACTACTTGTTAAAATGATTTTAGGGTAAAATACTTGACTACTGCCTTGAGAGTTGGGTTCTAAATCCAGCTACCAGGCAAGGTTATCTTGAATCATTAAAATTATGTCCATAGTTCAGTATTATGATTGCATAATCTTAGTAAACAAGTTTGAACATTAGATTGAAACTCTCATTACTAATTTATTATTTTCATTAATCATGTAATATGTCATTTCTTACCGACTGCATATAAAAGCTTTTAAGTCTGTATTTCTTATTTGGCCTGTCTTTTTTGAATAAATATATATGTGACATTAAATTTGAAAATTTGATTTTATCTTATATTTGTTTTTCAAAACTATTAGGAAAAGATTAGGACATAAATAATATTGGTTTTGAAAGACACAACTTCATAACTGAAAAGCATCGCCAGTTGTTACCTGTACAGTATGAAACATTTGGTTAAACAATATTTTTATAGATTTTGTTTTTGTTTTTTGAGACAGGGTCTTTCTGTCACCTAGACTGGAGTGCAGTGGTGCAATCTCAGCTCACTACAACCTCCACCTCCCAGGCTCAAGTGATTATCCTGTCTCAGCCTCCTCAGTAGCTGGGATTACAGGTATGTGCCACTACCACCCGGCTAATTTTTGTATTTTTAGTAGAGATGGGGTTTCACCATGTTGGCCAGGCTGGTCTCGAACTCCTGACCTGAGATGATCTATCCACCTTGCCCTCCCAAAGTGCTGAAGTTACAGGCATGAGCCACCATGCCTGGCAAATATTTTTATAGTTCTCATGGATATAATAAAAGAAGAAGCTAAAACAATTTTTATTAGAGACAATGACCAATATTTTAAAATATGTTTTAAAATGATTACAGTAAGGAAACATCTTACATATAAATTATATATAATACAATAACATTAGAAAATTATTTGAGGCCGGGCGCGGTGGCTCACGCCTGTAATCCTAGCACTTTGGGAGGCCGAGACGGGTGGATCACGAGGTCAGGAGATCGAGACCATCTTGGCTAACACGGTGAAACCCCGTTTCTACTAAAAATACAAAAAATTAGCCGGGCATGTTGGCGGGCGCCTGTAGTCCCAGCTACTTGGGAGGCTGAGGCAGGAGAATGGCATGAACCTGGGAGGCGGAGCTTGCAGTGAGCCGAGATCGCGCCACTGCACTCCAACCTGGGAGATACAGCGAGACTCCGTCTCAAAAAAAAAAAAAAAAAAAGAAAAGAAAGAAAATTATTTGAAACGGAAGAAAATACAAAGAAGTATACATGAAAACTTTTTTAAAATGTTGGATGAGCACTAATGGATAACATATTAAGCATCTCTATTAGGTAGCTGATAAACTACAGTATTTACATTTAACTCAAATCAAAATTAAAACCACATCTTCAATTACCAAGGATTCATTACTAGATTCATTCAATTTTGGGTTTATGGAATCCCAGCAAAAAAAAAAATATTTGAAATGCCTTCATAGTCATTACTTGTATAACTAGAAAAACGTATTTATTAATGTGATACAAAATTTATTAGACTAGGAGGCAAGGTAGCACAGTTAAGCACATAGGCTTTGTAACTAGACAAGGCTGGGACTTATCTTGGCCCAGCCACTATCTTTAGCCTTCAGGCAAGTCACTTAACTTCCACCTTCCACAGAGCCTCAGGTTTTTCATCTTTAAAACTGGGATTAGAAAACCTACCTCATTGGGATATTTGGAGAATTAAATGACATCATTGATATGAAGTGATTATCTCAGTAGCTGGCACATGGCAAACACTCAATAACAGATGGTATTTACTATTTTGGTTAATATACTAGAACAAAATTACCTGAAAAGTCTGGAATCTCACCTGCTCCAAATTAAATATATTTCCAAAATTTACATCCCCTAATTCCAAAAGTGTTTTTTCCTTTGGTGCCAGTGAAATAGTCCCATCTTCTGGATGCATTTACTTATAATTTTCTTTCCATTGTATGGATTAAGGAATAGGATAAGCAGCATTTTCGGAGTTGCTTTTTACTGCTCTAAAATAGTTACTACTCACTCATATAAATATCTAGAACCATCACAACCTAAATATTACCCATAAGGTAACTGGTGTTGCCCTTTATGAGCCACATCTTTTTGCTCATATTATATGAATTAGGCATCCATGAGATCATCATGACTGTGAAACTCAAGTGGGCCTTAATGCTGTCTAGCAATCTTACCATATTTCCCTAGCACACACATATACCTAATCTTCTAGACCACTATTTTACACATTCTCCTCACTTCTCAAACCTCCTTCTCATGTCACTGTTGACCATGCTTACTTCCTTATTAAAAAAAAAAAAAACCTGAAATAATCATTAAAGAACTCACATAGATTTTGACCACATCAACCCACACACTGTTGGTAAATGCATGGTCATACTTTATCTTAACCCCATATGGTTTATCATACCACCAACCATATGCATGTTAAGAGGAATGAGGATGGAATAAACAACTTCCTCGATTCTATATTAATTCTAAGTCCTCATCTTATGTAACTTTTCAATTGCCTTTGATAAGTTTAACACTTCCTTCTCCATAATGTATTTTCTGCATTGTCTGTTTTTATCCTGTTACTGGTCACACCTTGGCTGGTTCCACTTCTGCCATCTAGGCTCTAAGTTCAAATTGAAGTGTTACAGGGTTCATTATTAGCTTTTTCTGTTCTCTATCAACACTCATTCCTTTGGTGATCTCATTTGGCCTCATAATTTTCAATACCATCCATATGTCTACAACTCTCAAGTGCATGTATCTATTATAAAGCTCACTCTTCAGTCTTACTGTCTATTAAACATTATTACTACATGCATGTCTGATAAGTACCTCAATATTCACATGTTCAAAATGGAGCACCAGATCCTCCTCCCCTCACACCTGCTCCACTCCACACTTCTTCATTTCAAGGCAAGCAACTCTAACCTGCCAATTTCTCTGGGTAAAACTCTTAGATTCATTCTTCTTCTTTTTTTTTTTTTTTTTTTGAGATGGAGTTTTGCTCTTGTTGCCCAGGCTGGAGTGCAATAGCACAATCTTGACTCACCACAACCTCTGCCTGGGTTCAAGCGATTCTCCTGCCTCAGGCTCCCGAGTAGCTGGGATTATAGGCATGCGCCACCACGCCCAGCTAATTTTGTATTTTTAGTAGAGACGGGGTTTCTCCATGTTGGTCAGGCTGGTCTCAAACTCCCGACCTCAGGTGATCTGCCCACCTCAGCCTCCCAAAGTGCTGGGATTACAGGCGTGAGCCACTGCGCCTGGCTAGATTCATTCTTGATACCACATCTTCTCTTGTACCCTATATCCAATCTCAGTAACCCTAATGGCTCCTTCAAAATTCCAGAATCTGACCACTCTGCACTACCTACACAACTGCTATGTTTGTCCAAGGCATCATCATTTTTTTTTAAATCCTAGATTACTTCAATAATTCTCTACTTGTTGGTTTCCAATTCTCCTTCTCTGCAACCAAGTCTGAACACAGCAGCCACAATTACTCTTTCAGAATATAGGTCAGCTGAGGTTATTGCTGTGCTCAAAACATTCCAAAGGCTCCCATTTCTCCTTGAATGAAGTACAATGTCTTTACAATAGTTTACAGGGCCCTACATAAGGTAACCTCTATTATCTCTCTTGACTTTATCTTCTACTACTTGTCCCTCTGTTCTCTCTGCTTCCACTGGCCACTCCGCTGTTTCTCTGTGCTCCTGCTTTAGAGCCTTTGCCATGGCTTTTCCTTCTGCCTGGAATACTCTTGCTCAGATAACCAAGTAGTTAATTCTCGTACCTCCTTCAAGTCTTGGCTCAGCTCTCACTATCTTGAGGACTAAACAGACTATTATATTTAAAATTGCAATCTGCTTATTTAGTATGCTTATATTACTATGATTCAGATCTTCTGAGTTACATCGATTGAGTCCTACAATTATCACTGGATAACCTTGCACAAGTCCCAAGTTTGTTTGTTAGTTTTAAGCCTCCATAAATTCTCTCATATATAAATTGAGATGTTTTGATGTCTGCTGTAAAAAAAAAAAAAAAAAAAAAACTAAGATGCTTTAATTATCAAATATTCATGGGAAAATATAATATCAATTGTGACAACAAAAAGAAGCACATTATAATAGGTTAACTATGCTCCAATAAATAGACAGCTGTAACTGCATCCAACAAAATCCTTGGTAGAAAAGTTCATTTGAGATAAATGTAAATCAAAAGAACATCTTTCTATAATCATTTTAAAAAATATATTCTCAATATCTTCTGAAACTCCATAATTTTATGTATTTCTGGAAAAAAATAAATATATTTCATGCAAATTATATAAAATGTATTAATTTAAGAAATGGTAAAACTGTTTTTTTAAAAGTATGCCTTGTAGAGGAAAAAGTAAAGAATAGCAATAGTCGTGTTTACTGAGAGCTTTGAGCAAGAGTGTTATGATTTGTGCCAAGTAGCAGTAGTATTAGCTCTAAATGTTTTAATTCTCACATATGAAGTAGGTACCATTATTATCTCCGAGTTTCACAGATGAAAAAAATAAAAAACAGGGGATACAAAAAAGCTGAGTAACCATCCAAAGGTGTCAGTAGGATATGCTTCCAGCCTGTGATTCCAGAGCCTGTGCTTCTGGCCCCTTTACTAGACTGACAACAGAAAGACATTGCGGGAAGAACAACCAAAATTCAAGAACACTACTACTTACACTTCAAAATTAAATAGGAAAGCAGTTGTAAGCTAAGCTTCATTACAGGTTTTGAATAAAGGAAACAATTTCAATCTCACTGGTTAAGAAATGTCTATGTAGCAACTAATTTATGACCTAAAATTTCTTATCAGTCTAAAAGAAATCAATAAATAACTAGGAAAAACACCTATTACAAATAAGCAAATAATTCAAAATAATAAAAAGAGAACTTTGGCTATCAATAATATAAGAGAGAGGGGTTTGTTGTTCAGGATGTTGGTCTGGGCAAAGATTTTTTGGATAAGACCTCAAAAACACAGGCACACAAGTAAAAATAGACAAACGAGATTATATCAAACTAAAAAGCTTCTGCATAGCTAAGAATTCAATCAACAGAGTGAAGAGACAACCTACAGAATGAAGGAAAATAATTGCAAACTATCCATCTGACAAGGAGTTAATATCTAGAATATATAAGGAACATAACAATTCAAAAGCAAAACAAAACTAAACAAAACAAAAAATAAACCCGGCCAGGCATGGTAGCTCACGCCTGTGTAATCCCAGCACTTTGGAAGGCCAAAGTGAGCGGATCACCTGAGGTCAGGAGTTCAAGACCAGCCTGGCCAACATGGTGAAACCCTGTCTCTACTAAAAATACAAAAAAAGAATTAGCCAGACACGGTGGTGCACACCTGTGGTCCCAGCTACCTGGGAGGCTGAGGCTGGAGAATAGCTTGAACCTGGGAGGCAGAGGTTACAGTGAGCCAAGATCGCGCCACTGCACTCCACCCTGGGCAACAGAGCAAGACTCTGTCAAAAATAAAAAAAAACAAAAAAACCCAAACAATCCAATTTAAAAATGGGCAAATGATTTGAATATCATTTTTCAAAAGACCATACAAATGGTCAACAGGTATATGAAAAAATGTCAACATCATTTACCATTGAAATCAGCCCAATAGTCCCATAGACAGTTTTTTTGTATAAACAGAAATTGACCCTTCTGATCTTAAAATCTGAAACTTTCATTTGATTTATCTTTATCTGAGTTCTTTCCTCAGGAAATGACACTCAGGCCTTTCAAAAAGTATCAAAGAACTAAAATTAACCAGATCACCACATCCAGACAATGAGATGCCACACCCCTCATTCATCAGAATTGCTTCCTTACCCCTCCTTAGTTCCTATTTTCCTGCACATAGATTTCTTCTCTGCTATATAAACCCCTAATTTTAGCCCATCAGGGAGATGGATTTGAGACTGACGACCCATCTCTTCAGCTGTAGCACCCAAATAAAGCCTTCTTTCCTGGCAACACTCATTGTCTCAGTGATTGGCTTACTGTGCAGTGAGCAGCAGGATCTAGACTGGGTGTCTCAGTAACATCATCAGGGAAATGCAAATCAAAACAAAATGAGATATTATCTCATTTCAACCCAGTTAAAACTGCTATAATCAAAAAGACAAAAAAATAACAAATACTGGTGAGGATGTGAAGAAAGAAGAACTCTTATGTACTGTTGGTGGGAATGTAAATTAGTGCAGCCATTACAGAAAACAATATGGAGGTTGCTCAAAAAAACTAAAAATAGAACTAGCATATGATTGAGCAATCCCACTACTGGGTATTTATCCAAAGGAAAGGAAAGCAGTGGGTCAAAGAGATATCTCCCATATTTACTGCAGCACTAGTCACAATAGCCAAGTTATGAAATCAACCTAAGTGCCCACCATCAGATGAAGGGATAAAGAAAACGTGGTATACAGTCATCCTTTGGTATCCGTGAGGGATTGGTTCTAGGACTCCCACCACTCTCCCACTCCCAGCAGATTTCAAAAACATGCTCAAGTCGCTTACATAAAATGATATAGCATTTGCATACAACCTATGCACATCCTCTTGCATACTTTTTTTTTTAATTTTTATTTTTTGAGATGGAGTTTCACTCTTATTGCCCAGGCTGGAGCGCAATGGTGCAATCTTGGCTCACTGCAACCTCCGCCTTCCGAGTTCAAGTGATTCTCTTGCCTCTGCCTCTTGAGTAGCTGGGATTACAGGCATGCACCAGCATACCCAGCTAATTTTATAATTTTAGTGGAGACAGGGTTTTGCTAGGTTGGTCAGGCTCAGGTGATACACCTGCCTCAGCCTCCCACAGTGCTGGGGTTACAGGCATGAGCCACTGCACCTGGCCATTCTTGTATATTTAAATCATCTCTAGATTACTTATAATTCCTTATATGGTATAAATGTTATATAAATAGCTGCTATACCATATCATTAGGAAATAATCACAAGACAAAAAAAAAGTTTGTACACATTTAGTACAGATGCAACCATCCTTCCCCGCCCCCACCAAAATATTTTTGATCCACTGTTGGTTGAATCCATAGTTAGGAAGAGTTGAATCCACAAATATGGAGAGCTGACTGTCTACACATAATGGATTATTATTCAGTTATATAAAAGAAAGAAATCCTGCCATTCTCAGCAACATGGATAAGCCTGAAGGACATTACATTAAGTGACATAATCCAACCACAGAAAGACAAATACTGCATATTCTCTCTCATATGTGAGAGATAAAAAAGTTGTCTCATAGAAGAGCAGCATAGTAATTACTAGAGGCTGGGAAGGGTGAACGTTAAGGGACAGTGGGAGAGGTTGATTAATGGGAATTAAATTACAGTTAGGAGGAATAAGTTCTAGTGTTCAATAAAACACTAGGGTGATTATAATTAACAATAATTTATTGTATATTTCAAAATAGCTAGATGAGAGTTTTGAATGTTCTCAACACAAAGATGGTAAATGTTTGAGGTGACAGATATAATTACCCTGATTTCATCATTACATATTGTATACACGTATCAAAATATCACATGTACCTCATATATATGTGTAATTATTTGTCAGTTAAAAAGGAGGATTTGTGTGTGTGTAAATAGACATATAATGTAAAGATAAAATTATTTTTTACTATACACTAAATAAAATAAAGTATAAAGACAAAAATGTTAATCCTGACACAGTGACAGATCCGCTGATTTTTATTCATCTCTCAGAAGCTGCTATTTCTCATAAGTTGCTATTAATAAGGGGAAATTATCCCCAAAAAAGTGGCAACTAGCCCAACTACTAATAGGAAACTCCCTGCCAGAATAAAAAGTGTGTTCAGTTACTACATTGTATAAAAAAAAGGAAGGAGAAAAGGAGGGTAATTTGCCAGCAAGAGTAACTTACTGGAACTACCATGGAGATCTGGAAAAAGAACACATGAATAAAATATGTAAGATCCCATGAAGTGGCAGGGCATTCCCAGTTATGGAATATGCAAGAAGAATAAGGTTAAGCGTTTGTTGAATTAGTTAGCTTATATGAAAAGACAATAACGATCACAAATAATCTAAATAGAACATAATGATAAGAAATAAAACGTGTAATGATTTGATTTCTTACTTCCTTGCTCTTTGCAACTTCAGCAATAGCAGCCGTCCTTTGCTTTTCAAATTCATCATTATCATTTGTAGGTTTGACAGGCATTGTAACTTGCAATGTTTTTCTTCGATCAAGTTCTCTGCTATCCACTTGGACATGAGATACACACTTCTAGTAAAACAAGTAAGAATAAGTCAACTTAGTAGTTCCAAAAGAGATTCAAGTTTTCGTTAGAAAGTAATACTTCTTCAAAAGTATCTTGTATCTTTTACAATAGCTAAAAGCCTACACAAATAAAATTCTATCCCATATATTTAAAAGTAAAAGTAGAAAACTGGAAAAGTAACTTTTCAATAAACGTAACTAGTAAATAAAATTAAAAGCTATATAAATATGTGGCTATCTAAACAGGGCACATATTTAAAACATACACTGGATCAAGAGAGCCTTCATTTTAGGGTAATAAATAATTTTAGATTTCAAACAATCTTGACTAATGCACAATAAGACATAAATTTGGTTTTGTAATTAAGAGCTTAATTTCCATATTATACCACAATATACATATGTGGATTGGTTAGTACAATTATATTAACATATAAAAAGATGTCTCTGCACTTATAAACCACACTCTAAAAACATACCCACCCCCCGTATCAGGCTTCAAAGTTTTTATATTTTTGTCTCATAAAGTAAAAAAAAAGGCATCACTGCCTAAAAAGAAGCCCTCAATTCTGATCTCCAGTCCAATCTTACCAGTAAAAATAGTATAAAATGAACTTTTTCTCAACTCATTAATAAAAAGGAAAATGGGAAGATCTCAAAGAAATGTGTTCCACAAATACAGAAAAATTTCAGTAATATAAACATATCATATTGACACCAATAAATACACAGTCAGCATTACCTATCTTCAGCCCATGTACAAGGCTGCAAGATGCTATACAAGAATTTTTTCAGAATGAACTTTATAACCAAATAATATTATTGAAATTATAGCTTTTATTATATTCTCTAACCCCTAAGAAGCTATAAAACACACTTCAAAGTCTTAAGAATAATTAGATCATAAGTCTCTGGAAGAGAAATATTATCACCAAAATGTTTAAGGGTAAATTTTTACAAATATACTATTATTTTCAAATATAAGTTATTAGAATGTTTACACTGTTTTCCCTGTGGAGGTTTTCATTACACTGGGAGAATACCAACCATCAACATGGATCACACCATAGGACTTCACACTTTCTTTTATCTTGGCTATTTCTTCTTCCAAACTCAGTAAAAAAAAAAAATCAACATTATTTTTTAAATGCTTCAAAATAGGTTTGATGCAAAAATGACTTATTTAAGTGAGAGTATATCTTACAAAAGGCTTTCAGAGAGGGTGACAGTCAAATGATTTTACTAAATACCAAAATTTGGACACACACACACACGATAAACCTTATTATGGAAACACAGATCTGTTGCCTACCTGTTATGTCCACAACTCATTGCTACTCTTAGCCCAGCACTCTTGAATAAAATTAAAGAGCAAATGCAAGACAGATTACCAACCGCTAAATTTTGATGGCATCATCAGGAGAAGAGCAAGCTGCCACAAGAATTATTCTTAGAATTGTCAGGGATAAAGCAAGAGCAGGCTGGAGAAGATTGTTGAGAATCAATTTGATGCTGAAGACAAGTGAAGTCACAAGATACTGGTCAGAAGGGGGGCTGCTTCAAAGTAGCACTTTGATCACTCTGTGTGGCTTTATTTTTCTCTCCCCCTCTAATGTTTTTAATGAACAAGTGAGAAATTATGATGTATTTTTGTCTTCTTACTTTTGAATTTCCCTCAAAAAAAAACCCTCTCCCATCCTATTTTAATTAGTTATAAGTTACTCTTCAGATATGGCTCTTAATTGCTTCAATCTTTGGGTTAACAGCTCTCGCAAACGTCAACAATATAACTACAGTGAAGGAAAAAAACCTCAAAATTATTAAATTCCTTGAACTTCATATTTCCAAATAACTCCATAACCTCTTAATAGTTCAGCACATAATGAAACACAGCTTGAATGCTAATGAAAAACACTTTTTCCTAATTTAAATTCATCTGCCAACACAAAAGTCATTACCTGTCCAAAAGGCACAAAAGGCGGTGGTCCACCTTCAGTTCCAATATTGCTTCTATTGTGTTTTGATAAGCTCTGCGGAAAAAATCCAGTCACAAAAGAGCAGTTATACATAAAAAATATATTTCCAGCATTTATAATGTAACAGGAATCTACCTATTTGAGTAGATTCTTATAAGAAATAGGAAAAAAAAAGGCCTTCCATGAAGTATTTCAAACCACAAAAAAATATATTATTCTTAACTTCAATAATTAGGCAAAGACTCTCCTCACCTCCCCTTACCAAAACACATATTCACATAAAGCTTTCAGAAATATTTATCAGGCCATTCCCCTAAGGAGAAAACAGTCTTCTTAAGAAGCAAATTCAAAAATATCAAACTTTGGTAACAGAATTCCATTTTAAAGCATAAAGCTATGACAGACAAATATTACCTGGAAATTATCTTCAAAAATAAATTTTTTAGACACCAAATTTATTAGTTAACATAAGGGTGATTTCTAATTACTTAAAGAGAACAGATTGTTATAGTGTATAATATGGAGGTTCTTTTAATTATACTAAAATTTCCTTAACCTTCCTTATACTAAATTTTCCTGTTTTGTTTTGCAAAACAATTCATATTTTGAAAAAGTATTCAACAAATTGTTCATTAACTAAAAATAAGCTTCCAAATCCAACTAATTTTAGTTTTCTTTTTTCCTGAAATCTCATAAAGCTAGAGAGATAACAATGTATTATGAAAACGGAAAGAAAATCTTCTGGCAAAAGCAATTTCTCACATGATAAAGTCTTTCTAAAATCCCATAAGGAGTCTCCAGGACTCTCTTCAGTTATCTCTTCCTCTGATTTATTTTGGTTTTGAGGTATTAATATATACATACATTTGTCTTACTAGTTGTTACTTAATACATCTCAACTTTAAACTTTTTGTGCATTTTAATTGTTATCACTACAGAAACCATTATGATTAAAATATGTAAAATAGGTGACAAAGTTAAAAAAAAAAAACAACCACCATGTGCACTTTCAAGCATATTCCAGAGTTCCTGAATTGTGTAAACACTGTATATTTTATAAAGATAATTAAGAGTAACGACAGTCAAGCACAACATTCAGTTTATTGAGCAAAGAATAATTTAAAGTGTATATGAGTGCCACGTTTCTTTAAAACCTATATTTAAGATATTAATCTAATTTTTCACAACAACAAATGCATAAAATTATCAAGAGGCCCTTTCCTTAATTTAAACATTAAACAAAGACTATTCAAACAGCTATAAATCATTTCAACTTATACTATCATTTCCTTGAAAAGTTCATGAATTGCAAATAATACCATAGCTCAATAACATTACATAATTAAAAGCATATTACAGGACCTGATAAAGGCACATGAGCAATACTTACTCTCTCTTTAAAAACAACTAACAATCTTAACAATGTGTAAGAAACAACTGTTTTAAGACATAGGATAACAGATAATGCAAGACTATTATCCCTGAGAGAAAGAGAAAAAAAAACAGGTGAGCTATGGCTTTCTGCTTGTAGCCATGATGCAAACAGAGGTCATAGGGAGCTGAGTTTAGAATATCAGTCTCACAGTTCAAGCAGGCTGATGCAACTGGAAGTTGTGGGGCTGTTTCAGAAAGAAGAACCTGTCATAATAAAGAAGCTCCAGAAACCCTCAAAGGAGTTCCCTTGAGTCACTGCTGAGAACAAGGCTGAGCAAAAAACAACTGAGAGTTGTAAGCTGAACAATTCCCAGAACTCATAAAGGGTATACAGACAATCCAGCCAGATCAGACCATGCAGACTAAAAACTCTTTGGACATTCATTCAGGACAGGGAGTAGAAATCCAGAGAGCTAAAAAATATTTGGAACAAAGGCTATGCTAGATACTCCTTTCAAAGCTTGAATACACATCTTGAAGGGGTCAAACTGATCAAAAGTAAATTAACTGTTGACCAAAGCTAATTCTTATACTCATTAAAGGAAAATAGCAAAATCCAGGCTCTCAACAACTACCAACATCACAATGTCCAGCATCTAAGCAAAAACTACAAGGCATGTCAAGACAGAAAAATGTGACCATAACCATCTGAAAATTTAGTCAAGAGAAACTGGGCCATAGATGACAAAGATGATGAACTAATAAATAGGGCGTTAAACAGCTATTAAAACTATGTGTAAGTATTTAAAAGAAAACATAAATTCAACTAGTAAAGAAAAATACAAAAAAAAGAAGAACCAAATGGAACTTCTATAAAAGAAAAAAACCACCAACAATGAAAACTCATTGGATGGGCTTAAGAGTAAATAAAATAAGACAGAAGAAAAGATCAGTGAATTTAAAGGTATAGTAATAGAATCTACCAAAAAGAGGCCAAAGGAAAAGCCTAGGGTAAAAAAATGAATAGATCTTCAGTGACTGGTTGGAAAATTACCAGCAGTCTAATGTATGTGTAATTGAAGATATAATACAAAAAAAAAAAAAACACAAAGAGGGAAGAGAAAAAATACATATGAAGAAATAATGGCCAAATCACATTTTCTAGATGTGATGAAAACAATAAACTCATAGATCAAAAAAGTTCACTGAAAACCAAACAGGATAAAACGCACACCAACCATGTTAGGTACATCATAATTAAACAATTGAATTGTTGAAATCAGTGATAAAGAAAACACTCCTCTAAGAGTCCCTGCCTGGCCATGCCTGCAAGCAGTGCAGCCCCCACTGCCCCACCAGAGCACTTTTGCTGACAGCCTCCTGCCAGAATTTGTTTGCCTGTGACCTCGCTGCCACCCCTTCAGAAAACTTCCCACCTGCTGAATCCCTGCCACCCTATTAGAATGCCCCCCTCCTGTGGTGCCCCTCACCAGAGCTATCCACCCAAGACAACCCAACTACCAATACCAGAGGGCTTCCCACCAGAGTGCACCCCCATCCCATATGGCTCCCTGCCTGCAGTGCCCCAGCTGTTACCAAAGGAGCATTTCCTGCATGTGGCCCCCTCGCTTGCAGCACTCCCCATCATGCTGGCTATAATACCCCCTGCCTGTGGGGCCCTCCTCACTGGAGCACTCCCACTTGCAGCACCCCACACCCATGGCATTCCCCTGTGAAAACACCCCCAACCTGAGGTAAATTATAATTTAGAAAATGAACAAAACCTCTAAGAAATATGGGGTTATGTAAAGAGACCAAACATACAACTCTGACATTCCAGAAAGAGAAGAAGAGAGAACAAGCAACTTGGAAAACATATTTGAAGACAGAATCCACAGAACTTTTCCAAATCTCACTAGACAGGTCAACATGCAAACTGAAGAAATTCAAAGAACCTCTGTGACATACTATGCAAGATGACTATTCCCAAGACACATAGTCATCAGATTCTCCAAGGTCAATGCAAAAGAAAAAAATCATACAGGCAGCTAGAGAAAAGGGGCCTTACAAAAAGAATCCCACTCAGCTAACAGCACACCTTTCAGCTTAAACCTCACAAGCCAAAAGAGAGTGGGGCCTATTTTCAATATCCTTAAAGAAAAGAAATTCCAACCAAGAATTTCATATCCTACCAAACTAAGCTTCATAAGCAAAGGAAAAATGAAGTCCTTTTCAGACATGCAAATGCTAAGGGGATTTATTACCACCAGACCTGCCTTACAAGAGCTCCTAAAGGGAGTGCTAAACATGGAAATGAAGAAATGATACCTGTCATCACAAAGCACACTTAAACACATATTCCAGTGACACTATAAACTATGCAATCATGTCTACATAACAACCACCTAGCAATATGATGACAAAATCAAACCCTAACATATCAATATTGACCCTGAATGTAAACTGGTTAAATGACACACTTAAAAGGAATACGATGGCAAGTTGGATAAAGAAGCAAGACTCAACTGTTTGCTGTCTCCAAGGGACCCATCTCACAAGTAATGATACCCAGAGGCTCAAGGTAAAGGGATGGAGAAACATCTTTCAGGCAAACAGAAAACAAAAAAGAGCAGGGGTCACTATTCTTCTGTCAACTAAAACAGACTTTAAACCAACAACAATTAAGAAGCACAAGGAAAGAAATGACATACATAATAATAAAGAATTCAACTCAATAAGAAGACTTAGCTATCCTAAATATGTATATACCCAACACTGGAGCACCCAGATTTATAAAATAAGTTCTTCTTTACCTATGAAAAGACTTAGACAAACACAATAATAGTGAGAGATTTCAACATACCACTGAAAGCATTAGACAAATCATCAATGCAGAAACATAACACAAAAATTCTGGACTGAAACTCAACACCCAATCAATTGGACCTAATAAACATATGCAGAATCCTCTGCCCAACAACCACAGAATATACATTCTTCTCATCTGCACACAGAACATAGTCTAAGATTGACCAAATGCTTGGCCACAGAGCAAGTCTCCATTAATTCAAAATAATCAAAATCATACCAAGCACACATTTGGACCACAGTGCATTAAAAATAGAAATCAACAGCAAGATCTCTCAAAACCATGCAATTACATGTAAATTTTAAAACTTACTCCTGAATAACTTCTGGGTGAACAATGAAATCAAGGCAGAAATCAAAAAATTATCTGAAATTAATGAAAAAAGAGACATAAATCTTTGAGATGCTGCTAAAGCAGTGATAAGAGGAAAGCTTTTAGTGTTAACCACCTACATCAAGAAGTTAGAAGGTTCTCAAATTGGCTGGGTGTGGTGGCTCATGCCTCTAATCCCAGCTCTTTGAGAGGCCAAGGCAGTCAGATCACTTGAGGTCAGGAGTTCAAGACCAGCCCGGCCAAGATGGTGACACCCTGTCTACTAAAAATACAAAAAAAAAATCAGCTAGGCATGGTGGTGTGTGCCTGTAGTTCCAGCTACTTAGGAGACTGAGGCAGGAGAATTGCTTGAACCCCAGAAGCAGAGGTTGCAGTGAGCCAAGATTGCACCACAGCACTCTGGCCTGGATGACACAGTGAGACTCCATCTCAAAAAAAAAAAAAAAAAAAAGTCCTCAAATTAACAATCTAATGTTGCACCTAGAAGAACAAGAATAAAAAGAACAAACTAACCCTGAAGCTAGCAGAAGAAAAGAAATAACTAAAATCAGAGAACTAAGTGAAAATGAGATGCCAAAATCCAAATAAAAGATCAATGGAACAAAAAGATGGTTCTTTGAAAGAATAAACTAAGATTGACAGACTGTGGACCGGGCACGGTAGCTCATGCCTGTAATCCCAGCACTTTGGGAGGACAAGGTGGGCAGATCACTTCTGGTCAGGAGTTTGAGACCACCCTGGCCAACATTCTGAAACCCCATCTCTACTAAAAATGCCAAAATTAGCCACATGTGGTGGCACGGGCTTGCAACCCCAGCTACTTGGGAGGCTGAGGCACAAGAATTGCTTGAACTCTGGAGTTGAAGGCTGCAGTGAGCCGAGATTGCATCACTGCACTACTCCAGCCTGGGAGACACAGTGAGACTCTGTCTCAAAAAAAAAAAAAAAAAAAAAAAAAAAATTGGTAGACTGCTAGCTAGATTAACAAAAAAGAGAGAAGATCCAAATCGGTACAATCAGAAATCACAAATATGGTATTACAACCAATCCCACAGAAATACAAAAGATCCTCAGAAACTATGAACATCTCTATGCACACAGACTAGAAAATCTAGAGGAAATGCATACATTCCTAGAAGCAATCTCCAAAGACTGAATGAACCAGGAAGGGAGTGAAAACCTGACCAGACCAATAACAAGTTTTGAAATTGAATAATTAATAAAAAAAAATCTCTTAACCAAAAAAATCCTAGACCAGATACATTCACAGCCAAATTCTTTAAGACATACAAAGAAGAACTGATACCAATCCTACCGAAACTGTTCCATAAATATCAAGAAGGAGGAAATTCTCCCTACTTCTTTGCACAAAGCCAGCATCATCCTGATGTCAAAATCTGGCAAAGATGCAACAACAACAAAAAACTTCAGGCCAGTATTCCTGATGCACGTAGATGAGAAGATCTTCAATAAAATACTAGCAAACTAATCCAGCAGCACATCAAAAAGTTAATTCAATATAATCAACTGGTCTTTATCCCTGGGATGCAATGTTGGTTCAACATATGCAAATCAATACATGTGATTCACCACATAAACAGAATTAACAACAAAAACTACATAATCATCTTAATAGATGCAGAAAAGGCCTTCAATAAAATTCAACATTCCTTCATATTAAAAACTCTCAACAAACTAGACATATAAGGAACATATCTCAAAATAATAAGAGCCATCGAGCTGGGCACAGTGACTCAAGGCTGTAATCACAGCACTTTGGGAGGCCAAACAAGGAGGATTGCTTGAGGCTAGGAGTTTGAGACCAGCTTGGGCAACAAAGAAAGACCTCATCTCTATAAAAAATTTAAAAATTAGCCAGACTTGGTGGTGTGCACCTGTAGTGTCAGCTACTCAGGAGACTGAGGCAGGAGGATCCCTTGAACCCAGGAGTTCAAGGTTGTATTGAACTATGATTCTGCCATTGTGCTTCAGCCTGTGTGACAGAGCAAGATTCTGTCTTAATAATAATAATAATAACAATAATAATAATAATAACCATCTATAACAAACGTATAGCCAACATCATACTCAACAGGCAAAAGCTGAAGCATTCTCCTTGATAATTGAAACAAGACAAGGATGCCCACTTTCACTACTTCTATTCAACATAGTACTAGAAGTCTTTGCCAGAGGAATTATGCAAGAGAAAGAAATATATGACATCCAAATAAAAAAAAAAGTCAAACTATCTCTCTTTGCTGATGATATCATTCTATATCTAGAAAACCCCACAGACTCCACCAGAAGGCTTCTAGAGCCGATAAACAAATTCAGTAAAGTTTCAGCATACAAAATCAATGTATAAAAATCAGTTGCATTTCTGTATGCCAATAGCACCCAGACTCAAATCAAGAATGCAAACCCATTTACAATGGCCATAAAAAGAATAAAATACCTAGGAATACAGCTTAACAAAGAGGCGAAAGATCTCTACAATGAGAATTACAAAACATTGCTCAAAGAAATCAGAGACAACACAAAAAAATGGAAACGTTCCATGCCCACAGATATTGGCAAGAACCAATATCATTAAAATGGTCACACTATCCAAAGCCATTTAGAGATTCAACACTATTCCTATCAAACTATCAATGTTATTCTTCACAGAATTAGAAAAAAAAACTATTCTAAAATTCATATGGAACCAAAAATGAGCCCATATCACCAATACAATCCTAAGCAAAAAGAACAAAGCTGTCCAACTTCAAACTATACTACAAGGCTACAATAACCAAAACAGAATGGTATTGGTACAAAAATATAACAATGAGTACTGGGTACAAAAACAGACTCACGGACCAATGGAACAGGATAAAGAACCTAGAAATAAAGTGATACAACTACAAACGCCTGATCTTTGACACAGCTGACAATAACAAACAATGAGGAAAGGAATTCCTATTCAATAAATGATGCTGGGATAACTGGCTAGCCAATATGCAGAAGATTGAAACTGGACCCCTTCCAGTCATCATACGCAAACATTAACTCAAGAAGAATTAAAGACTTTAATGTAACATCTAAAACAATAAAAACCCTAGAAGAAACCCTAGGAAATACCCTTCTTGAGACTAGCCTTGGCAAAGAATTTACAACCAAGTCCTCAAGAGCAACTGTAACAAAAAACAAAAATAAGAAGTGGGACCCAATTAAACTAAAGAGCTTCTGCACAGCAAAGGAAACTATAAACAGGGTACACAGAAAACCTACAGAATGGGAAAACATATTTGTCAACTGTACATCCAACAAAGGTCTACTATCCCGAATCTATAAGGAATTTAAACAAATCAGCAAGCAAAAAACAACCTCATTAAAGAATAGGCAAAGGACATGAACGAACATTTCTCAAAAGAAGACATACAAATGGCCAACAAACATATGAAAAAAATGCTCATTATCACTAATCATTAGAGAAATGTAAATCAAAACCACAATGTGATACCATCTCATAACAGAATGGCTATTATTAAAAAGTCAAAAAACAACCAATGCTGGCAAGGTTGCCAAGAAAGGAAAATACACATACACAGTTGCTGGGAATGTAAACTAGTCCAGCCACTGTGGAAAACAGTTCGGAGATTCCTCAAAGAACTAAGAGTTCAACTACTATTACTGCACATAAGACACATGCACTTGTTTGTTCATTGCAGCACTCTTCACAACAGCAAAGACATGGAATCAGTGAAGAGGTCCATCGACACAGAACTGGATAAAGAAAATGTGGTAGATATACATGATAGAATACTACACAGCCATAAATAAGAATGAAATAATGTCCTTTGCAGCAATATGGATGCATCTGGAGGCCATCATTCTAAGCAAACTAAGGCAGGAACAGAAAACCAAATACCATATGTTCTCACTTATAAGTGGGAGCTAAATAAACACTGAGTACACATGGACACAGAGATGGGAACAAGAGACACTGGGGACTGCTTAAGGGAGAAGGGTGGGAGGAGGAAATAAGTTGGAAGGCTACCTATAGGGTACTATGCTCACTACATGGGTGATGGGATCTTTGATACACCAAGCCTCAGTGACACACAATTTACCCATGTTAAGAAGCCTGCACATGCACCTCCTTAACCTAAAATAAAAATAGGAAGAAAAAAAAAAGGAAAAGACTTAAAAGTAGATAAAGAAAAGATACATTACATAAAAAAAGATTACTACAGACTGTAGATAGTATACCAGGTAATTGACAATGAGATGATGTCCTTAAAACACTTAAGAAAAATTTAAAAAATCTTTCAATGTAGAAACATACATTCAGAGAAAATATCCTTAAAAAGTAAAGAAAAAAAAAACATTCTGACAAACCAAAACTAAAACACTTCATCATCAGCTAACCTGAACTAAAAGACACACCATGCAGGAACTTGATCTTTACCAAAGAAAAGAGAGAGGGACGGAAATGGTAAATGTGTAGAAAGACAAAAATATCTTTTAAAAATTGTTTCATTGTTTTAAAAACCATTTAAGGGAAAAAAATTAAAACGTGTTGTGACCTTCGTAACGAATGTAAAGTATATAACAAAACCAGCATAGAGACAAAACTGGGTACATGAAAGCATATAATTGTATGGGTCTTACAATACGCATAAAGTGGTATGTATTATTGAAGGTAGAAAGAAAGAAGTCAAGGGTACACATCTTAAACCTTACAGCAACCACTTAAAAACAAAAACACAGTCATATAGTATAGGGCCCAGCCCTACAAGGTCTGTGGGTTTTTTCTCCTCGTGTGTGGAGATGAGAGTATGTAGAAATAAAGACACAACACAAAGAGACAGAAGAAAGGACAGCTGGGCCCGGGGGGGGCCACTACCACCAAGGCGCGGAGACCGGTAGTGACCCCGAATGCCTAGCTATGCTGTTATTTATTGGATACAAGACAAGGGGGCAGGGTAAGGAGTGTGAGCCATCTACAATGATAGGTAAGGTCATGCGAGTCACGTGTCCACCAGAGGGGCCCTTCCCTGTTTGGCAGCCAAGGCGGAGAGAGAGAGAGGACAGCTTACGCCATTATTTCTTCTATGCATTTCAAAGACTTTTAGTACTTTCACTAATTCTGCTACTGCTATCTAAAAGGTGGAGCCAGGTGTACAGGGTGGAACATGAAAGCGGATCAGGAGCGTGACCACTGAAGTACAGCATCACAGGGAGACAGTCAGGCCTCTGGATGGCTGAGGACAAGCCTGCCATCAGTCAGGCCTTTCACAAGAGGTGGTGGAGCAGAGTCTTCTCTAACTCCCCCAGGGAAAGGGAGACTCCCTTTCCTGGTCTGTTAAGTAACGGGTGCCTTCCCCAGGTACTGACGCTACCGCTAGGCCAAGGTCCACTAGGTAATCGGCACCTTCCCAGGCGAGGGCGTTACTGCTAGCCCAGGGAGCCCTCTAGTGGCCTTGTCCGCTAGACCAGGGAGCCCTCTAGTGGCCCTGTCCGGGCATAACAGAGGGCTCACACTCTTGTCTTCTGGTCACTTCTCACCATGTCCCTTCAGCTCCTATCTCTGTATGGCCTGGTTTTTCCTAGGTTATAATTATAAAACAAAAATTATTATAATATTGGAATAAAGAGTAATACTACAAACTAATAATTAATGATATTCACATATAATCATATCTATAATCTATTTCTAGTATAACTATTCTTATTCTATATGTTTTATTATGCTGGAACAGTTTGTGCCCTCGGTCTCTTGCCTTGGCACCTGGGTGGCTTGCCGCCCACAATATAGCTGATAAGCTAATAATGCAGATAACAGAATCATTTAAAAAATGCAATTCATTTAAAAGGAAGTGCTATGATTTGACTGTCTCTCCAAAACTTATATTGAAATGTAATTGCCATTGTAACAGTGTTAAGAGGTAGGACCTTCAAGGGGTGATAAGATTATGAATATTTTTCCCTCATGAATAGATTAATGCTGTTATCACAGGAATGGGTTAGTTATCTTGGGAGTGGGATCCTGATGAAAGATGAAGTTTATGTCCCAGCCTCTCTCTGTCTCACATGCTTACTTGTCCTTCCACCATGTTATGATGCAGCAGGAAGGCCCTGGTGAGATACCAAAGCCATGTTATTGTACTTCTGGGCCTCTGGAACTGTGAGAAATAAATTTCTTTTCTTCATAAATTACCCAGTCTGTGGTATTCTGTTATAGCAGCAGAAAATGGAGTAAAACAGGAAACAAAAAGCAAAACAACAACAAAAGAAATAGCAAGATAGTAGAATTAAAACTTTCCATACTGAATTCCATTAAAAGTAAATGGTCTACTAATGCTGAAACTCTATACTCATTAAACAATAACTCCCCCATTCTCTCCTCCCCCAGTCCGTGGAAATCACCATTGTACTCTCTCTCTATAATTTTTGCTACTTTCAGTACCTCACATAAGTAGAATCACACAGTATTTGTCTTTTTATACCCAGCTTATTTCACTTAGCATAATGCCCTCTGCCGCTGTAAACAAGGGTACACAAATATTTCTTCAAGACCTGTTTTCCATTCTTTTGGGTTTATAGCCAGAAGTGGAATTGATGGATCATATGGTAATTCTATTTTTAATTTTTTGAGGAACTGCCATACTGTTTTCTGTAGCAACTATGCCATTTTATATTCCCACCAGGAGTTCACAAGGCTTAGTTCCAATTTTTCCACATCTTCGCCAACACCTGCTATTTTCTGGGGGTTTTTGTTTGTTTGTTTGTTTTACAGTAGACATTGTAATGGATAATGGCTGTAGGGTAGTATATCTCGCTGTATTTGATTTACATTTTGATTAGTGATGTTGAACATTTGTGAATGTGTTTTAAACTACTGTACATCTAAGATGGTTAAGATGGTAAATTTTACGTTATGTGTATTTTACCAAAATTTTAGAAATTAGGAAAAAAGTAATCTATCATCAATGAAAAACCAGTAATCAGAATCCCATACCATATAAAAAGCATTAGAGACCATGACCAAATGTGATTTATTCCCAAAATACAAGAATGCTTCGACATATAAAAATCAATCAATGTAACGCATTAACAGAATGAAGCAGGGGAAAAACACATGATCATCTCAATTGACGCAGAGGAAGCATCTCACAAAACCAAACACACTTTTATAATAAAAATATACGACAAACTAAAAATAGAAAGGAACTACTCAAACCTGATAAAAGCCATATATAAAAAACCCACCACTAACATCATATTCAATAGTGAAGGACTGAAGGTGTTTCCTCTAAGATCAAGAACAAGAGAAGGATGTCATTTTCATCACTTCCATTCAACACTATATTAAAAGTTTTAGCCAGGGCTAAATAAGGCAAGAAAAATAAATAAAGGTATTCAAATTGAGAAGGAAGAAATAAAATTAACTCTTCACAGATAACGTGATCTTATATGTAGAAAACTCCAAACATTCCACACTAAAAAGAAAAAAAAACTGTTAGAATACTAAATTCAATAAAGTTGGAGTACGCAAAATCAACACAGAGAAATCAGTTGTGTTTCTCTACACTAACAATTTAGAACAATGTGAAAAGGACTTCCCATGGTCATGAATTGAAAGATTTAATATTGTTAAGATATCAATACTGAGTGGTCAATAGAGTCAACATAATCCTTATCAAAACCCCAATGATTTTTTTTTTTTGCAGAAATAGAAAAATCTATCCTATAATTCATAAGGAATCTCAATACTGAATAGCCAAAACAATCCTGAAAAAGGTCTCACTTTCCAATTATGAAACTTAATAAAAAGTTACAGTAATCAAAACAGTGTGGCATAAAGATAGACATTTAGACCAGTGAAACAGAACAGATAACCTAGAAATAAATTTGTTCATATATGGCCAAATAATTTTTGATAAGGCTGACAAGATCATTCATTAAGAACACTATTTTCAAAAAGTAGTGCTGGGAAAACTGGATATTCACATGCAAAAGTATGAATTTGGACCCTTTACTAATACAAAAATTAACTCAAAATGGATCAAAGACCTAAGCATAAAAGCTAAACCTATAAAAACTCTTCAACAATTCTGTGCATCAAAAGACACTACCAACACAGTGAAAAGGCAACACATGGGATGGGAAAAATATTTGCAAAACATATTATGTTAGTAGGAATTGATATCTAGAATCTATACATAACTCATACAATAACAACAACAACAGCTGACCTGATTAAAAATGGGCAAAGGACTTGAATAGAAATTTCTCCAAAGAAGATCTACGCATGGCCAATAAGCACACAAAAAGATGCTCAATATTACTAAGCATTAGGGAAATACAAATCAAAACTATAATGAAGGCCGGGCATGGTGGCTTACACCTATAATCCCAGCACTTTTAGAGGCTGAGACCGGCAGATCACCTGAAGTCAGGAGTTGGAGACCAGCCTGGCCAACATAGTGAAACCCCGTCTCTACTAAAAATACAAAAATTATCTGGGCATGGTGGTGCACACCTGTAATCCCAGCTACTCGGGAGGCTGAGACAGGAGATCGCTTGAACCTGGGAGGCAGAGGTTGCAGTAAGCCGAAATCGTGCCATTGTACTCCAGCCTGGGCAACACTCCATATCAAAAAAAAAAAAAAAAAAACCCAACTATAATGATATTCTATTTTACCCATGTTAGAATGGCTACTATCAAAAAGACACAAAATACCAACCGTTGGTGAGGATGTAAAAAACTGGAACCCCTGTAATATCCTGGTGGAAATGAGTGTAAAGTAAATATAAAACAGTATGGCAATTCTTCAAAAAATTAAAAATACAATTATATGGTCCAGCAATCCCACTTCTAGATCACACAAAAGAATTGAAAGCTGGGTCTCAAAGAGGTATTTGTGTACCCATGTTCATAACAGCATTATTCATAAGACTTAAAAAGTGAAAACAACCCTAATGTCCATTGATGGATAAATGAACAAAAGATGGTATAGATATAGAGTACTATCCAACCTTAAAAAGGAAGGAAATTCTGACACATGCTGCAACATAGATGAACACTGAAAATTCTATGCTAAGTGAAATAAGTCAGGCACAAAAAAGATATATACTGTATGATTCCACACATATGAGTTACTTCGTCAAATTCAGAGACAGAAAGTAGAATGGTGGTTGCCCAAGACTGAGAGGAGGAAGGAATGCAGAGTTACTGTTTAATGGGTACAGAGTTTAAGTTTGGGAAGATGAAAAAGTTAGGGAAGTGGATGGTGGTACCAGCTGTGCAACAATGCGAATGTTCTTAATGCCACTGAAATTTACATTTAAAAAATGGTTAAAATGTTAAATTTTATGTTATGTATACTTTGCCACAATAAAAACATTTTTTAATCTACAGTTTGGGGGCACTAAAACTTATAGAACTACAGTATTTTGTAAATTACATCTGGCACCAACTTGCTACAGTTACAATGCCTGCATATAGTTTACTGAATGCTTAGTGCTTCTTCACTTCCAACATTAGCTTTATGGTTTATAATTTCTATGTATATCACTGCCAGCTGCTCAAGTAACTGCACTTTCCCTGTTTCCTACATTGCTGTGGCTACCAAATCAAAAACTATAAAGCCAAAAAGAACTATAATCATATTAAAATGTTTTAAAATGATTTTAAATGTAAATTTTTATCACTCCCTAACAAGAAATACTAATGTGGCTTGCAGGAAGTCAAGTGCAGAGACATATAATTAAACATTTCAAGGGCAACTATTAAACTACTACTAAACTCCGTGTGTGTGTGTGTGTGTGTATGTGTGTGTGTGTGTTGGTGAGAAGGTTACTAGGAATGTTTACAGTTGTTAGCAAAGTGGTCCTGGCTATGGGACTGGGTTGTGGGAAAATTATATAAGGTATTAGAGTTGAGAACTTTTTACCACACTTTAAAAAATCTCTACTGATTAAAAAAATACAATTATATCAACATATGAAAAGATCACATGAAATGGGTAGTTTCTCCAGGAAATTCAAAGTTCACAAACTTGGCTGTTTATGTAGAACTATTAAGCTACTTCTGAATTACTTTTTTGGGACATTTTCAATTAAACAATGCAGTTGTGGAACATTACTTTATATTGCATAGTACAGCAACCCAAATCACAGCACATTAGTATCATAAGAAATTAGTACTAAGGAATAAAAATGTGCCTAAGGTCCTTATCTATTTACCTCCCAAACACAGGCACTTCCCAACTAAGAAAATAGGAGAGAGTAGTGTATCACAAAATACCAAAAGCTTGAAATATTGCTTAGGCCTTTGGCTGACTTTACAAAACAGGCAAGATTTGAGGGTGTCACAAGAATACATTTCAGCTCGAGGAGTAATCAGTTTTGCTATTCATTTGTTCCACAAATATTTTTTATGTGCTTTGTAATTCATTTATACCACAAGTATTTTTTATAACATCTATTACATGTAAAGTTCAGAGCTACTGCTTTGGAGATTGCAAAAAGGCTACTCTGGTATAACAGAAAAAAATGGTCTTGGATTGTGCTCAGATCCATCATCTGTCTAATCATAAAGTAAGTTATTTAACAGCCCTTATAAAGACTACTAGGAGGATAACTTGAGATACAGATGCAAGATCCCAGCACAGTATCTACACATTGTTCAACAGATACGTGCAGAACTTAAGAAAGATGATACAAACAAAAATTCTGACCTCAGAAGCATACTATCTGTTACAGGAGATGAGAAATGAACATAATTTTAGTGCTAGGTAAAAAGCAATACACAAAAAGAATAAAATGTTTAAAGAATTCAATAAGGAAACAAGTACTTCACCTTGAGAAGAAGCAATCATTTGATCTGGGTCTAAAAGCACAGGGATGATTTGGCTATGCGGGGATCAGGAGAGAAAAAACAAGATGAATAATGTAAAAATGGAAAAACGTTTAATTAAAAATGTATAACTGAGGAAATCATAGAGCATCAAAGAAAGACGAAGCAACTCCATTTGGCTACAACAAGATCTATGTGGAAGAATTTAGAAAGTTGAAAATTAAACGTAAACTGGAACTAGGGCTAGAATATAAATGGCATTCAATCTCAAATTAAGGCATTTGAAATAAAAGCATCTCAACTATGCTGAAGGAAGAAAACCTGGTGAAAGTACATAAAATAAATTAGAAGATGGAGAAAGGATATGTGGATAGACAGTCAGAAGGCTAATACAGCAGTCCAGGCAAGAGATACTAAAGACCTACACTACAGTAATAATAAGAACTGGAGAGCAAGGAAGTGATACGAGATTTGACTGCAATGGATCAACAGAAATGGTTGTTGGAAGCAAAGTAGAGGAACAATTACAAGATAACCTACATGACTGGAAAGATGAAGATATTGTTAATATAAATGGGGAAAAATATTAGCTAATGAGACTAGGAAGTCAAGTGCAACAAGAACTCCTCCATTACAGTGAAATTCTAACTTACTTTTACTTGCACGTATGTGTGTCTGTAGATAAGACAGGTATACATATATTCACATAGATGCACTTTTGTTTTTTGCAGAAAGAATTATACACAAATAAATTGTACATAGCTTATAACTGGTATCTTGACAGTTTTGAAACTTGTCAGGAAAGAATGTTTAAACATAAGTAATAAAATGTAACAAATACTGAAAAAGTATATCTACTTTAGAGAAACAATACACTTAGACAAAGATAGTTTCTCTAAAGATAATCATATTCCATTCTATTCAACTCCGACACAAAGAACTAATTTTACTCATTATTGAAAGAGCTCTTTAATGCAATAAAAAAGAGTGTAATGTTTCAAAAGTTCAAGCCATAGTTTACACTTACTCTCTGTAACTCCCATTTCTCAATAAGGTGTTCCACTTCACCACCAAGAACTGTGGTGTTAGAGTCATTCAAGAGCAGGAATCCATTTTTTATGTCAACAATGCCTGAGAGCTTAACTTTAGTTCCAGGTGGTGTGTTCAGGCTAAAGCAAAGAGAAAAGTGTTAAAAACATATTGAAGCTGAGAACACATGGACACAGGGCGGGAAACAACACAGACCGGGGCCTGTCAGGCAGTGGGGTAGTGGGAGGGAGAGCATTAGGAAAAACAGCTAATGCATGCTGGGCTTAATAGCTAGGTGATGGGTTGATAGGTGCAGAAAACCACCATGGCACATATCACCTATGTAACAAATCTGCACATCCTACACATGTACCCTGAAACTTAAAACAAAAAAACAAAAAAACACACACACATTTGAAGCTCTTTCCCAAAACTGGAATTCAGTCTTATATTATGACCTAATCAGGTTCTTCAAAATGCACTAACACCAAAACTAATTTTTCAGGAGGCTGACTATATCATATGAATAGACCACCAGAGAGGAAGTGAGAAGACCAGGAACAAGATTTTTTTTTTTTTTTTAAAAGACAGAGCCTCCGTCACCCAAGCTCCTCAAGTGCAGTGGGCAGTGGCACAATTTTGACTCACTGAAACCTCTGTCTCCCAAGTTCAAGTGATTCTCCTGTCTCAGCCTTTCGAGTAGCTGGGATTACAGGCATGCGCCCCCACGACCAGCTAATTTTTGTATTTTCAGGAGAGACAGGGTTTCACTATGTTGGCCAGGGTGGTCTCCAACTCATGACCTCAGGTGATCCACCTGCCTCAGCCTCCTAAAGTGCTAGGATTATATGCGTGAGCCACTGTACCTGGCCAAGATTGTCATTTTCTATCTCAATGACAAAGAAATGAGGTTTAGTCTTCACTTGCAAAAGAAAAAAAAAGGTGGACAATAACCACATGTCACTAAGCTGTGATAAAGACATGATAAATAGAATAAAAATATAAAATACTTTTTCAACTATGCTATGCTATATAAGATTTGACATTTTTTCCCTCTGAGCTTTAGCTGTGCACAGAAAAAATACTGTTTTTTTGTTACAAAGTTGAATTTCAATACAGAAGATATCTGACCAGTAATAAACCTAAAAATTTAACATCTATATGAGCCATAGTGATTTATACAAAATAATGCTCTTTTTTTGTTCACCATCAAGTCAAAGATCAAATGAAAGTTATTTATGCACTAACTTTAAAAGGATTTTTATATGCTAATTTTTAAGCTATTTATATACTAACTTTAAAAGAACATTTCTATAGTAGGCTATCAGATTTGGGGCAAACATTACACCATGACTCTTCTTATAGAAAACCAGAGACAAAATGTTTACCCTCTTAACCCTCTGGCAAAGGAAAACAAGGAAAGAAATCCATGCTGTCACTTAGGTCTGTTCTAAAATAAAAGCATACACACCAAGCCCCACCCCATCTCTTCTCACATACAGCAAGAAGTACTGCAAATAGTACTTCTAAGGTAAATACTTAGGATAAATTAGAAAATTATTCTGAAATGGCTTTGCATTGTTCACATCTTAAAACCTCATAAAATTCACCACATGCTAATATATGCAAGAGCAAACCAGTAAGAATGCTAATATCACTGGCCTTTTTTGGAGAAAGATAATTAATAAAATAATTATTAAGAAGAAATAGAGGATGTCTGATTTTAAAGCTTCAAAGAGCCCATACAGAGTAAGATAGATTATATATTAAAAATTATTCTGTACATTTTGCATATATACAATTTTTATACACCAATGCTATCTCAATAAAGCAATTAAAAAATTATTTTGAGGGCCCCAAGCTTAATCATTTTTAGTGATCAATCACAACTGACAAAACAAATGGTCATGAACAGCCTTACCTAACCTAACCCTTAAGTAGAGAGCTGTGGTGGTAAATGTAGTAACCATCTATTACCGTTCAAGATCAGCAACAGCTGAATACAATTACAATAGTGAAGAAGCGTTCCCAATTCCAGACAATCAGCAAATTCAGATTTTCATAACTCTGACAGTCATTGTACAAGGATAAATAAAAATAAGCACCAAGGACACCAGGCTACTGTACTCTTTACCTCCAAAGAAATTGCTAATGAATTAGATCATTTACCTAAGACCTATGTAGTCAAGTTATTTGAAGCTGGACCTACAATTTCACTGAAACAATTGATAGTCTGACCAGATTAAATTCAAGTTCTATTCCCACAAAAGGAATTAGGGGCTAAATTTTTATTTTTGTGTTGTCATAATTATACATATTTTGGGGGTATGTGTGATATTTTGACACATATATACAATGTGTAATGATCAAATCAGGGTAAAAATGAGATATCTATTACCTCAAACATTTATCTTTTCTTTGCGAGAACATTATGAATCTACTCTTTTAATTATTTTGAAATATTCAATAAATTACTGTTAACTATAGTCACCCTATTATGCCACTGAACACTAAATCTTATTCCTTCTATCTAACTGTATTTTTGTACCCATTAACCAACCCCTCCTTATCACTCACTCCCCACTATCCTTCCTGGCTGCCATTTTACTATCTCCAGGAGATCAATTTTTTTTAGTTCCCACATGAATGAGAACATGCAATATTTGTCTTTCTGTGCCTGGTTTATTTCACTTAATACAATGCTCTCCAGTTCTATCCCTGTTGTTGCAAATGACAAGATTTCATTCTTTTTTATGGCGGAATAATATTCCAGTGTATGTGTGTGTGTGTGTATGTGTGTGTGTGTATGTGTATACACACACATATACATACATACATATGTTTTCTTTATCCATTCAACCAATGATGCACACTTAGGTTGATTCCATATCGTGGGTATTGTGAATAGTGCTACAATAAAAATGGGAGTGCAGATGCTTCCTCAATATGCTGACTTCCTTTCTTTTGAATATATATCCAGCAGTCAGACTGCTGTATCATATGGTATTTCTATTTTTAGTTTCCTTAGGAACCGCCATACCGTTTTCCATGGTGGTTGCACTAATTTACATTCCGATCAGTGGTGTTTGAGCATTCCCCTTTCTCTGCATCCTCAACAGCATTTGCTATTGTCTTAGTCTATTTGTGTTGCTATAAAGGAATACCTGAGGCTGGGTAATTTATAAAGAAAGGTTTATTTGGCTCATAGTTCTGCAGACTGTACAAGCAGCATGGCATCAGCATCCAATTCTGGTGAGGGTTTCAGGTTGCTTCCACTCATGGCAGAAGGCAAAGGGGTATATGCAGATCACATGAAAAGAGCAGCAAAAGAGAAAAGAGGGAGGTGCCAGGCTCTTTTTAACAACCAGCGCCCACAGGAAGTAATAAAGAACTCACTCACTGCAAGGATGGCACCAAGCCATTAATGAGGGCTCTGCCCCTCCATGACCTAAATACTTCCCACTAGGCCCCACCTCCAACACTGGGGATCAAATTCCAATATAGGGTTTAGAGGGTCAAATATCCAAACTATAGCAGTTATCTTCTGTCTTTTTGATAATAGGCATTCTAACTGTGTGAGATGATCTCTCATTGTAGTTTTAGTGATGCTGAGCATTTTTTCATATGCCTGTTGGCCATGTGTATGTCTTCTTTTGAGAAATGTCTATTCAGGTCTTTTATCAATTTTTAATTGGATTTTTTGTTTTTTTGTTTTTTGCTATTATTTGAGCTCCTTATATATTCTGGATATTAATCCCTTGTCAAATGGATAGTTTGCAAATATTTCCTCCCATTCTGTAGGTAGTCTCCTCACTTTGTTCATTGTTTCCCCTGCTGTGCAGAAGCTTTTTAGTTTGATTTAATCCCAATTTTCTATTTTTACTTATGTTGCCTATGTTTTTGAGGTCTTATCCAAAAAATTTTTGCCCAGACCAATGTCTTGAAGCATTTCCCCAATGTTTTCTTCTAGTAATTTCATAGTTTTAGGTCTTATCTTTTTTTTTTTTTTTTTTTTGAGCCAGAATTTTGCTCTTGTCACACCGACTGGAGCGCAATGGTGTGTTCTCAGCTCACTGCAAACTCTGCCTCCTGGGTTCAAGTGATTCTCCTGCTTCAGCCTCCCAAGTATCTGAGATTACAGGTGTGTGCCACCATGTTTCACCATGTTCGCCCAGCTAGTCTTGAACTCTTGATCTCAGGTGATCCGCCCGCCTTGACTTCCCAAAGTGCTGGGATTACAGGCATGAGTCACCATGCCCAGCCACATTTAGGTTGATTTTTGTATATGGTGAGAGACGGGAATTTCATTCTTCTACATATGCTAGTTTTCCTAGCAGCATTTATTAAAGAGACTATCCTTTTGCCAATGTATGTTCTTGATGCCTTTGTTGAAAGTGAGTTGGCTATAAGTATGTGGATTTATTTCTGGGTTCTCTATTCTGTTCCATTGGTCTATGTGTCTGTTTTTATGCCAGTACCATGCTGTTTTGGTTACTATAGATTTGTAGTGTAGTTTGAAATCAAGTAACGTGATACCTCCAGCTTTGTTCTTTTTACTCAGGGACTAAAATTTTAATACAATTTTTACTATCACCTTCAGAACCATAATTAATTCTTATTCAGAAAGTATATTTTGGTTAATATTTTCATTGGCACCCAAAGGTTCCTTTAATCTCACTTCATTGTAATAATAATAATAATAATAAAAACTAGCAAGGGGCAGGGCAGGAGGTAGGACAGAAAAGTAGAAACAAGCACCGCAGAGAAATGCAAAGCCCATGTAAGGTAACACATCCGTATTAGCACCTGGTTTATCCCATCTAGAGAGTTGTTTCACCTTCCTTCTAAGATAACTATAAACTTATTTTGTATAATGTCTTCCAAATTGTTTACCTGTAAGAACTATTTTGTCAGCTGCCATTTTTACGGCACCAAAAGTAGGCATGCTGCTTCAATGATGAGTGAAGAGCATACGACGATTAATTTTTTCAGTTTTCAAGCTGCAATAAATTCAACAAGGGATGACAGTAGACAGCACTGGGCAGATTGGGCAGTGACACTCAGGGCTGACCTTGTGTTTTTATTCCTCAGAGAAATATACAGCCATAAAATCAGAGAATGAGCCATTACATGGCAAGTCTTTCTTCTCAGTCATCTGTGAGCTCCCTTGCAAGGGGTGTGACTGAATTCGTCATAGGAATTTGAAAAGCTGTTTCTACACAAAAGTACGAATCCTACTCTTCAAAAAGAAGAGAATATAATCACAATGTCAACAAATCTCCCTTTGTATATAGAAATCAACATTTTCGACAAACATATCTTCTGAGGAGGGGGCCTCATTTACCAGAGGCAGACACCAGATGAAAGAAGAAAAAAGAAGGGAAATCACTGAAAAGGTCATACAAGGCCTCAACCTACCACATTTCCTCTCGCATACCCACTGTTCTAAATCACCTAAGCTCCACCAAATGTAACTTCTCACTCTTTCTGTTGTCAGAACACTGTGTCTCTGCATGTGCTATTCCCTCCCTGCACCTTAAAATACCTACTCATATTTTAACCCCACTCCTGGTTACCCCAGGCAGAAGTAATTTTTGAGACTCTTAGACCTCTCAGTTTATATATGTCTTACAATATTTGTATGCCTACGTGCCTACTTAATTAGCATATGAGCTACTAAGAGGCTGAAATCTAAACCTCATTTACCTTTGTACCTCCAGCACTGGATTAAAGGGCTGGAACACCTGATAAATGCCTGCTCAAGAGAAAAGTATGGTATACAAGTTTATATTAAGTGAAAAAGCTTAGAGGAGCCCGAGCTGCAAACGTGAGTGTATAAAATGACAAAGAAGACCAAAAAAGGCAGGTGGGAGGAGGGCTGCAAATGTCTAGTGAAAGTTTCCACCTCAGAAAACAGAGCTCAGAATGGCCAAATGGAAATATCAAGAATAGAGGGGACAATTTCCCTTCCTTCTCATTGTTTTCGTCCATTCCATTGGGCATGGCTCTAAAAGATTCTTATTAAAATAACCAAACAAAGGGTTTGGAAAATCATTCCCAATGATTTCCTAGGAAATGACTAAAGTCAATCACAAACCTCCCTGACTTCAATCATTTCCTAGGAAAATTTATTAGCCTATAAAACTCTGCAAGAACATTAAACAGTGTGATGAACACACTATTATACACACAACTACTGAACTGTCAAGGATGAAACCGTATTTTTAAAAATTCTGTTTGTTCTAACAATTGAGTGACCTAAAGTATCTGACAAAACTGAAAAGATTACTTTCATTTTATAATTAACATTCAATCAAGAAGTAACTATATACTTAACTATTTTTTAATTTATTTTTATTTTATATATATATATTTTTGAGACACAGTCCCACTGTCACCCAGGCTGAAGTGCAATGGCATGATCTCAGCTCACTGCAACCTCCGCCTACCAGGTTCAAGCTATTCTCCCACCTCAGCCTCCCAAGTAGCTGGGATTACCGGCACCCGCCATCATGCCTGGCTAATTCTTGTATTTTGTAGAGACAGGGTTTCACCACATTGGTCAGGCTGGTCTTGAACTCCTGACCTTGGGTGATCCGTCCCCCTTGGCCTCCCAAAGTGCTGGGATTACAGGCTTGAGCCACCACGCCTGGCCATATATTCTTAACTATTTTTATACAGGTGAAGCAGAAATGCAGAAAAGCTCTATAATTTCATCTGAAAAACTGTAACACACAATTAAGGGTCCATTCCTACTTTTCAAAATTCTTAAGTTATTCCAATTGAATAGCACCTTCAACATTCTGTAACAAATACACAAAATAAAGTGCCAATCACCTTATTTTTGACATATAACTAAATTCTACTGCTGTGCAACTTATATGACCATCAGTCATCTGTAATCGCAGCATCCTTGGTGCAGCCTGAGATTCTTCATTATCCTTTGGTGCAGCAACATTGCGAATTTTTTGAATTTGCAAAACACATGGACCTTCGAGCTGTCAAAACAGAAAAGAATAAAAATCACTTTCTAGTCATGAAACTCTATTCAGGGCTGTGTTTTCATTTATAGTGTTTCTCTTTTCCTTAATAGTCATGCTTTATGATTTATAATAACTTCAATTAAGATTGAAACTGAAATTATATATTATCAAGTTTTTTCTTTGTTTTGGTATTAAAAGAGAAAACTTCAAAAAGGTCTCCTGAAGAACAATTTTGTTTTAATAATTCTGAATTCATTTTCAGAAGGTAATGAGAAAAGAAAACCCTAGGAAAACAGTTATATTTCTGGATGAAAGGTATATTTATTGCTGTTGTTAGTCTTATGCACTCTAAATCATACCCATAAATCCCACTTCTCCCTCCTTTTACATTAAGGGACACCTTGAAAATAAAGAACTTTGCAGTTTTTTTAAGTGAATCAAATTTATGGCAGCAATCCAAAAGAATGCTCTCTGGACCGGGTGTGGTAGCTCACACCTGTAATCCCAGCACTTTGGGAGGCCGAGGCAGGTGGATTACCTGAGGTCAGGAGCTTGTGACCAGCCAGGCCAACATGGTGAATCCCCGTCTCTACTAAAAATACAAAAATTAGCTGGGTATGGTGGCATGCACCTGTAATCCCAGCTACTTGGGAGGCTGAGGCAGAAGAATCACTTGAATCCGGGAAATGGAAGTTGCAGTGAGCCGAGATCAAGCCATTGCACTGCAGCCTGGATGACAGAGCGAGACTCCGTCTCAACACAACAACAAAAGAGTGTTTTCTGTTCAGAGACATCAAGTTTAAAGTGCTCCCTCTCCTGGTATACATGAAGCATACAATACCACCAAAACTAAAAAGTTGAAGAAGTATGAGTTGTAATTGACATATTTTCACATTTTCCTTTTTAAAATAAAAACTTTAACTTCGATATTAAATCTAATGCTGTATTATATGTGTTGGCCAAATTTCAATCAAAGATAAAAATAAAACAAATATACTTAGAGCAAAGTTGAGAAATAACAGTAAAATCTGCTTACGTGTCTGAAAAGTAAATTTAACTAAAGTGGCAACTTCTACATCTTTAAGTAGTATCATACCTTAGGGGAAAAAGGCTGTTTTAAAAATAGGCTTTTAAGTAAAATCTTTCTGTGCATATTAATTTATATTTTCAGCAAAGAGAAATGTGAAATGATAGACAAATATTTACACTACATTTCCTAAGCAAGCATGTTCCTAAGTTGAAAAATTTCTACTCCATATTTATCAGTATTTTGCCTAAAAAAGGAGTAATTTTGTTATTATAAATTTAGGCCTAGAGAACATAATTGGAAAAGATAATCTAAAATTTCATCTAATTTTCACTTACGAAAAAAAATTCCAAGTTGAAGCAAGTCCGAAACTGTTAACAAGTATAGATAAGCTGCTAATTCAGGATGAACTTTTTATTTGGCTTTTGTTAATGCCATTAAAATAAGGACATTTAAATTAAATCACAGGCATGTTATGGTTATTATAGCTCATAATTCTGTTTATTTTGGTATCCCATATTTTTAGCCTAGGCATTGACAAATATCTAGCCTATGCTGTCCAATACAATCCTCCAGCCACATGTAGCTATTTAAATTTTCACTTAAAATTAAGTGAAATTAAAAATTGTTCAATCGTACTAGCCATATTTCAAGTGTTCTATATATGGAGAGCACAGAGTTAGACCACTTTCATCATTGCAAAAAAACCATCACACAGTTGGTGATGATCTAGGCCTACATGTTCCAAAATGAGACTCATGCATCCTAGGCACCGCACTTCCATTCAAATGTAGGAGGGAAACATTTGCTTTTATTTAATGTTTAGTAGTCAAAAAAATCCAACTTTACCAATATTCGATATCTGGAGCAACCATGGCACCCTTATTCAATCCATACAACACAGGTCACTAGGCATCTTCATGGAATTTTGGGAGTTCTACGTCCCCTGGGTGTTGACATGACACCTTCTCTTGTTTGCTTTCAATGTGTTGTGACAAACTGCCTTTTCTTTGTACAGTTAAATGGACACATGCATTACATTACCTAGTTTTACTCACTATTGCTCACAAAGTGGACATGTCACTTTAAAAGATTCTGTCAAAGGAACACAAATTGAAGACAATGCCATTGATGCAAACACAGGGCAGGAATAGGACTATTTTGGTGATCTCCTACATCTGGTTGACTATGAGAACAAAGATCTGGGGAATGAAGGATAAGGAGGAACACCTGCCCCCAAATGCCGATTTCCAAGCAAGCAGCAAGTTTACTTATTTAATTAATCCAACTCCTGGCCTCTCCACCTCTTTTAGTGGGTTAAATAGTGGCTCCACCAAAAGACAAGTCCACCTAGAACCTATAAATATGACCTCGTTTGGGAACAAGGCTCTTTTCAGATGTAATTAAGGTAAGGATCTAAAGATGAGAACACTGTGAATTACAGTGGGCCCTAAAGCCAATGACGAGTGTCCTTAGAAGAGAAGGGGAAACAAACACAGACAGAGTATAAAGACCATTTGAAAATGAAGGCAGAAATTAAAGTTATGCATCTACAAGCCAAAAAAGGCCAAGGACTGCTACAGCTACCAAAAGCTAGGTGAGAAGCATGAAACTGATACTCCCTCAGAGCCTCCAAAAGGAACCAACCCTGCTGACACTTTAATTTTAAACTTCTGGCCTACAAAACTGTGAGAAAATAAATTTCCATTGTTTTATAGCCACCAAGTTTGTGGTAATTTGTTACAGCAGCCTCAGATAACTACTATACCCACTTATGGAATGAGTTACCTGATTGCGAAGAAAATACTGTATATTGGCCTCAGCCTCACTCATCTTCCTCTTGAGATCTAGCCTAGCTAGGGAACATGAGGGAGGGGGCACTTATTCAGCCTCCTCACCGGATTGGCACTTCTACGAGTGAGTGTACAAGCCTACATGTTCTGTGGTTCAGTTAATGCGTCCATTTGGCTGTCCCACTAAGCCACATCTTCAAAATACATTTTAATCAGTAATAAAGTTATTTTGGCCCACATATGCCACTCTTGTACTTGTTAACTGGTTCAAAAGCAAGGTAGAAAGGAGGTATTATTTATTAGATCCTCCTGAGAAACCCACAGATTTTACAGAATCTCTTGTCACTTCTTAATTTGAATCATCAAGCCTTAAGTTAGTAGTTCCACAATTCAGAAATATTCTATGAGTAAACCAGTAAATATAACGATTTTTTTCATTATTCTGCTTACAATATTCAGTTTCTTATACTCTGTAGTTAAAACATAGGGAAGTAATGGACCTAGATAAAATATACATAATAAAATTTTTTAAATGTTATGGTTCTAAGATCCTAAATCCTGAATCTAAAATCATCTTAAGGCTGGGTGCGGTGACTCACACCTGTAATCTCAGCACTTTGGAGGATGGAGGTGGGTGGCTCGCTTGAACCCAGGAGTTTGAGACCAGCCTGGGCAACATAGGGAGACCCCATCTCTACAAAAAATACAAAAATTAGCCAAGCGTGGTGGTGTGTGCTTGTAGCCGCAGCTACTTGGGAGGCTGAGATGGCAGGATCTCTTGAGCCTGGGAGGTGGAGGCTACAGTGAACCACGATTGCGCCACTACACTCTGGCCCAGGTGACACACATACACACAAAAAGGTGTCTCAAAAAAAGTCATCTAAAACATCCACAAAAATAGACAAGAATTAATTTCTAAATCTTTCTTCAACTACTGTTAAGAGCAACTCCAAAGTAAAAAAAATACCAATTTCAAATGAAAATAATAAAAAGGATTAATCTTGATCACCCAAGTCTTCTTTAATGTCTGATTTTCTCTTTTGTATTAGTAATAAGAAAAAATCAAAAGAAATTACTCTAAAAAATTTTAGTGGCTTAGAAAGATGTATCATTGCACCTCCAGGTAAGCATGTCTAACTCTAACAAACAATATTAAGTATCTGCTAGAAATATTCTCTCAGGCCATTAATCCAGGCATCATTCCTTCTTCTCCTGAGGTAGACGAATACCTCTGTCATCTAAACTCCTAACTAGTCATACCAACGGATATGAAATATCAGATTTAAATGGTTGTGTTAATTTATTAATTTATTGATCATACTAAATAACATTCTTGTCTATCAATCAGACTCCAAAGTTTGGATGACAGGGGACTAATTCTCTACAGTATAATCACATCTGGATAAACACTTAAAACAATTTTTTTTTCTTAACTCTAGAAACCATTTAAGACACTTAACCTGAAAATACATGCCAGCCATTAATCTTTTTTTTTTTTTTTTTTTGAGACATAGTCTCACTCTGTCACCCAGGCTGGAGTGCAATGGCTTGATCTCGGCTCACTGCAACCTCCGCCTCCCAGGTTCAAGTGATTCTCCTTCCTCAGCCTCCCTAGTAGCTGGGATTACAGGTGTGAGCAACCACACCCAGCTAATTTTTCTATCTTTTTTAGTAGAGATGGGTTTCACCATGTTGGCCAGGCTGGTCTCGAACTCTGGACCTCAGGTGATCCACCCACCTTGGCCTTCTAAAGTGCTGGGATTACAGGCGTGGGCAACCATACCTGGCCTGTTTTTGTAATCTTATTAATTCTCTTGAGAAAGAAATTTCTCAATCTGTATACCTAACAACATAAGCATCACACTCTCCATCAACCCTAGAAACAAACCATACACCCAAAAGGAATATATGAGTGTGATTCAGTTCCAATCAATGTTCCACCATTATTGCAAAGTAGATTAAAATTAAGAGAAAATGAAATAGTTTAATCTTCCATAGTTCTTTTATCTACTTAAAGTCTTAATTCATTTCCTTCTCTACCCCATCACTACTTCCAAAAGCATTTCCAGTGGCTTCAGGGGAGATTTCCTAGGGATCATTTTTTCATCCATTCTTTTATTTCAAGGGAGGTTTTTGACTAAATTATTCACATCTTTACCTTAAGGCCCATTGCCCTTAACAGGGCAATGTTTCAAGAAAGCTGCCTTGGAAGAAGAAATACTAATTCTGCCTATAGCTGCTTTAAAAGCCTGAAAGATAAGCTTTAAATAGCACTTATGACGACCTCTTTTTTACCTACTTTCTCTGTCAAAACATCTCTTAGTATCATTTCAACACAATTTGACTTTAATAAATAAATATAAGCCAGGTGTGGTGGCACACACCTGTAATCCCAGCACTTTGGGAGGCTGAGGTGGGCGGATCACCTGAGGTCAGGAGTTCCAGACTAGCCTGACCAACATGGTGAAACCCCGTCTCTACTAAAAATACAAAATTAGCCGGGCGTGGTGGCAGGCGCCTGTAATCCCAGCTACTTGGGAGGCTGAGGCAGGAGAATCGCTTAAATCCGGGAAGGAGAGGTTGCAGTGAGCCGAGATCGCGCCACTGCACTCCAGCCTGGGCAACAAGAGCAAGACTCTGTCTCAATCAATCAATCAACCAATCAATCAATAGAGGTGGGATAGGAAGAGAGAAAAAAATAAAGTCTGATTTGTCACATACACCCTGTACCATTCTACGTATGGTATCAGACCCAAGAAAACAAAAATAAAAAAAAAAAAGAAATATACATTGTTAGAAATTTCAGAAACATTCCCAATGTCATCCATGTACGCATCTAGGGTGAACCCCAATTTGGGCTACATTTCCCTCCAAAGAAGATGTTTGCTTCTGGCAGTAACAACACTGCAACTAAGAGTTTCAGCTTTGGGCTGGTGGCCAAGGGGCAAAGTTAACCTTAGCCAGCACTTTAACTCACTGTAAGTCAAGTAGCACCCCCACTAGCTCAAGGCAGAAAGAAGCACATATCCCTTCTAAAAACAAAACAAAACAAAAAAGCATTTCTGATTCAAGTGGCCAGGATTCTCACAGAGAAAGATCAAGAAAAATGAAATCATAACAAACTATCATGAGACTTACAAGGAAACAAGCTACGAAGATTGAGAAATATTAAAAAAAATTATTAAAAAAAATTTTAAGCCCCTAAGGACTTGAGAATTTGTAAGTATCAAACACAGACTACAAAATAATAAGCCTAAACTAGAAAATTTATACAAAACTTTAAACCCAATAGGAACAAGTATCTTCTCAAGCATACATGTGACATTTACCAATACATATCAAGCCATAAAGACTCTACAAATTTCAAAATACAGCTATCATTCAGTCCAAATTCTCTGATCACAACGTAACTGAATTAGAAATCCGTAACCAAAACAAACCTAATATTCTGTAATCAAAATAGGGAAAGAAGTAATCATAAGGTTAATTGAAAAATATTTAGAGCTGAATAATGAAAGTACCATGTATAAAACCTTTATACCTGAATATAAAGTTATGTTTGTAAATATGTAAATACACATATATTTCCTATGTAAATATAGGAGTATAGTTAAATCAGTGCTAGAAGAAAAATTGATAGCCTTAAAGAGAACTGAAAAAAAAACAAAAAAAACTAATGAGTTGAATTAAGAAGTTGTCTTTTATATCATGAACAGCACTCCAAGCCAGCTCAAGAAGCAAAGCAGGCCAATAGAAATGCCGTATTTTTAATTTATTCTACTGAAATGGTTTAAAATGCTTTGTATTTACTGAAAGCTTAAATGGGTGGGTGTTTGTTCACATAGCTCTACAGTACCTCACCAGGGAGCATTCCAGTATCCTGCAGGGTCTTGTGATCTAGCCAAGAGCAGCCATTAACCTAGTGATTAACATGGGAGTCACTGTCTTATGGAGAATGGGATGCTTAACTTTGTCAAGAACCTCGGTTAAACATTTGCCTTTTCTAGAATTGCACTTCCCAAGTGCTATTCCAATAAGAGCTGATATTCATTTTACGTACCAAACCTTTTGAGTTCAACTGATTAAAGGAAAGTGTTGCTAGAGAAAATTAGGGAAAAGGTGAAAAAGAAAAACTGGTACTAATTCAGTAGAAAAACAATTACTCTAATTTATATATGTATTGATTGGTAACCAGATTTATCTAAGTAGAACTGAATTGGCTAGGAAAAGAAAAACTACATGTTACTCGTTTTCCTAAGCTGTCTTTTTGAGGCTTAGTCAGTCATTGGGAAAATGTTTAGGATTGTTTCTTGCTATTAGTCCCCATTTTATGTATGTTACCCTTCAGTAAGTTCTTCCCATTTTAGTTTTCTAGTATTGAAAGGCTTATTATATACATTATTCATGTGTATTGTCATATTTAGCTTTTGCTATATATTTTAACTTCATCGTTAAACTTTTGTATTGCATAGTTTCTTTGGTATATCTTAAAACCTATTTTTGAAAAAATAAAACTAATGAGTTGAACTAAGAAGTTGAGGAAAAAAAGCAGTGAGTTCAAATCAGGTAGAAGAAAAATAAATGAATCAAACTAAAAATACAATAACAACATTAACAAAGTCTATTGTAACAAAGACTAATGAAACTGATAACTGACAAGAGTAATCAAGAAGCAAAGAGTAAAGGCACAAACCAACAATTTAAGAACTGATAACAGTAATAAGAGACATATACATTTAGTAATTAAAAAAAAAAAAAACTAAGAACAGTGATCAAAATGTCCAGAAACTATTAGGTTGGTGCAAAAATAACTGTGGTTTTTGCCATTACTTTCAATGGAAAAAACTGCAATTACTTTTGCACCAAACTAATAGTAAGTGGAAGGACAAAATGTGGGATATCCATACAATGGAATATTAATCACCAATAAACAGGAAAAACTATCAACATATGCTATGTTATCGATTATCCTAAAAAATATTACACTAAATGAAAGAAACCAGATACAACAGGCTATATATCATGTGATTCCATTCACGTGAAATACCAAGAAAAGGCAAATTTATAGAGAAAACTCAAAAGAATATACAGAATAATGTAAGAATATATTATTCTTGTTGTAAATGGTGTTTTAAAAATTATATCTGGAATAAGAAGAAGAATAGAATATATAAGAATAATAATGTAAGAATAACTGGCAGGTGACAGAATTACAATCAATATGCAAATATCAGCTGCCTTTCCATGTACCAGTAACAGAGGAAATAGTAATTAAAAAATTTTTAAACACCATTTACAATAACAAAAATAGATAGGTCCAGGAATAAAGCTTACAAAAGATGCACAGCCCATATACTTCCAATAAATTATAAAACTTTATGGGAAAAATAAAGGAAGAGATATACCCAGGGTTGTGCTGGAGCCAGCTCATGCAAGCTCACAAAAACTTTTTATGTACATTTCTTCCTAATTCCCGGTTCAGTGATTTTATAACATAGCTTACAATCAGCCAAACAGGGAATATTTATACCATAGAAAGTGGCAAATGCTATGTGTCAGGGCTATTTTTTGCTCTTCAGAGAAGCATTTTACCAGCATTTCACTGGTAATATCATATCATATAAAGATGTCAATTGTTTTTAAGCTAATGCGCAGATTCAATGCAATTTCAATCAAAACTCCAACATGATATTTTTAAGAGTCTTAATCATTTGATTCTAAAATCTGTATGGGCAGGGGAGAGAATAGCCTAAGGAAGAATAATGTATTTTACAATCACAAGATTAGAAAATTTTGATCAAGTGCCACAAAAGATATGGCTCAATTGAATCTCATATACAATACTGAAGGTAACATAGTTGATACAAGTGCTTTGCAAGATAATTTGGCATTATCTTGTAAAGTTGAATACTGGCTTAATTCCACAATGCAGTAGAGTTCCATTCCTGTTTATATTCCTTAGGGAAACTGTTATATGTGTGCAGAGGTGTGTTGGTAAAATACTTCTGGTAGAGGGACAGGGGAAAAGCCACTGTAATCTGTAATTTGTGCCAATTTCCATGGCCAACCACAACCGTCAACTGGAGGTTATTGCACTCTAAATTGGAAAAAGATGCCGACAATGAACTTCACGAGCTGGAACAAGCTGGATCCAGCACACGGCAAGCATCTAACACTATTTCTTGTACCAGAGATCTCAATGGCTCTGGACACTTACTCTGGCACTCCTGCAGCCACTACTCCAGAAACAATCTTGCTGCAACTTCAACTATTACTGACAGGATTCTCCACAGGTCCCGCTTTTTTGTGTGTAACTGGCCCAACTCCAAGGCAGCTACACCTGACTAGCATAGCTGCAAAGGAGGCTGGGAGAAAAGTATCTGGCATTTTCTTCTTCTCTACCACCAAAACTCTTAAAATGGGAAATTCCCCCACAGGGAGATAATTCAGGTTTTAGAAATTACAAATATCCACTATACTTATCTTCCATGTATTGTTACCAGTCAAGATCTGTCAAGCTTTATTTTTTATTCTTTAGTTTCCACTACAAAGGAGCTTTTTGTGTAATAGAAAACATTAAATATAGTGTGTGTGTATGCGTGATCTGTGTGTGTATGTGTGTATGTACCGTAGAGCTATAACCTAAGATTTTAAATACGCCCGATATGGGGCATCTACCCACTATTCCTTCATTGAAAATCACATCTCTAAAAGCTAACAGTCTAGCAAGAAAAGCAACCTAATACCCTCACTAAACTGAAACAGCTGCCCCTTTATTGTACACACCTTTGACATAGCATTTGTTTCACTACATTGACACGGCTGGTTTCTCAATCTCTCATTAGGCTATGTGCTCCAATAAGACAGAGGCTATCTTGATCTCTACATCCCTATCTCTTGGCACAAATACACATTCAGACACCGTCTGATTAAAAAAATATATTTTCTAGTGCTTTAACTATAATTTACTTAGCACTTCCTAGATACATACCAGAAAATATAGCAGGATCTTTACATAAGTTCTTTAATTTACCTCCAGAAATATAAAGTACCCTAGGATTATTTGTATTTACTAAATAAGAAAATTAAGGACAGAGGATAAAGTACTTTACCAGTGGTCACTCAGTCAGTAAGAGGCAAATTAGAATTCCAATTCGGATCTATCTCATGCCAAAGCCTGTCTTTGTAGTGCATATTCTAAAAGTATGATAATATTTGTTACATACTAAAAACAGATGTAGGTATAAAGGGCAATGAGAATATTCGTATTTAAAAATTAATTCTGCTCAAAAGAGGTCAAGAAAATTAGAAGAGAAGGGTCACACCTCAGTTGGAATCTGAAAAATAAATAGCAGTTTGTCTGACAGCTGAGGGAAGGACACTCAGGTGCTCTAGCAACAAAAAACTGTGATCTTAGGGAAGGTGCAATTCTCTTATCTCTAAAGTAAAAGGGAAGGCTATAATAGTTTATATTTTCTGTGTTGTTCTGAATATTGTATAGATAATACATATAAATTATTTAACATGGGACCTAGCATAGAATAGGTACTCAACAAATGACAGAAGAAAAACAAGAACAAGAATTATTAGAATTCACTAAAAACCAGGGTTCTCCTAGGTAAGGTAGGTGCTTGTGCCAAAAAAGATCAAGAGGGAAGCAGATGACAAAAGCATCAAGAATATTGAAAGAAATAGCTTTAGGGAAGGGAGTACCTAATCCTAATCTCAAATTTTTCAAATGATATTCATATGCAGCAAAGGAGTTTAAGTGGAAAGTAAATAATAAAATTAAAACTTTCTAAATTATAAATATAGTTGTATATTTACTAGAAGATCTACCCCTTAGGAATTTTTAAAACATTTAATAAATTCCTTATAATTAAGAAATTGACAACATAATCTTGAATAGGTTTTTGCAAACGTAAGATTCCCTGAAAGTAAAAAGCCTCAATTTAACCCTCAAAATAACAGTAGGGCACATAAGTTGCTCGTATTCAATCACAAAGTAATTATAGCAAATGAATACAAGGAAAGTATGTGGGACTACCAGCCAAAAGCAACACTTTTCCCAGTGTATCATTTGACAATTTCCACATTTCTATTCTTCACTTCTCTAACTTTTTGTTCCTTGGAACCAAAAACAGAAAAAGGTAAGTTGAATAGTTTATTTTTCAGTTATCTATTTAAACTCCACAGAAGTCCTATTAGTAATTACCAATAAGGACTTGTAAATAAAGCATGAAAGTTTTAGTAATCCATTTTTTCTAATACAAGTAGATGTTTAATTTTAATATATAGCTCACTAAAAGAAACAAATTGTATTACTTAACACAGACTAACATATAGGAAACATATTATTTTATTAAATCAAAAGTTAAAACTTTTTTCAATTCCTTTTCTTTTTAAAAACATCCGATTTCTAGACTATCCAAGGGCAAGAGAACCTTCACTTTGAATTTTAAGGCAGTGAAGCCATCTTGTGGTTGATGTCAGTATTGCTGAGGTTTTGAGACCAGTCACTCCTACTTGGGAAAATTAGGTCTTATTCATAGTTTTACATTTAAAAAGGTATATACAACCTGTCATTCTTAGAACTTAGAAAAAATAAACACAGAACTCAAAGACTGTACAGTTAGGACTCCATAGCAGTACATAAGGTCCTCGAGTAGCTGAATTGATAAGAAAGTATTTTGAAACTAATCTGTATTTTATAATTAACTTTTACGCCTAGGTTTAAAAAGCTACAGCAAAATATTAAAATTGGGGAAGAATATTAAACAGTTATACTTCCTTTTTATCATGACTTTTTCCATAATTTTTAGCTTACAAGCTGCTACAGCAGTCCTAGGACTTTGTAATATCCAAGAAAAACAAAGCATGCCCTGAAAAACTCAGAAAATAAGTTGCATAATATGGCTTCCCTACCACACTTCCTTCCAGTCACAATTTTTACAGCTTTTGAATCAAATATGAAGTGCCTATAAGAAAATCTGGAAGCCTGGAAAAAATTGTGATTGTCCAACTCTCACCACTTTTTAAATTTTTCTGAAACTTTTGCATCAAGGTTCTGGGGAAACTTTGTGGAGAAAAGACAGAAATTGAAAAGTATGTTAAGAAGAGAATGGAAGAAAGAGAAAAGAACCTGAGCAAAACTACTATATTAATTAGTAATAAAGCTACTTCTACTTTTTGCCATTCTGTCTTCTCCCAAAATAATCAATGATAGTAGCAATTATTAAGACTTCAGTTTCAAAGCTTCAGGACGACGCCTTTCTGAAGGCCTCTGATGCGTCTTAGAATGAGAGCTGTAAATTCAATATGTCCAGGATTAGCTGGTCTTCTAACTGCAGACTTACAATCTTTCTTACCTGATGACAGATCTATCAGCTCTCCATTCTCCCTTCCCACTCTCAAGTTCCCAAATGCTGAAAACAGCATTATCTAAGTCTTATTAACTATAAAAATAATAATACACACTGTGTGATCATTTACTTTGGGCTTTCAGGAGATGAAGTTTGAAGACTCGTCTCTACACTCCTTTAATCTACTTCCAAAAAAGATTACTGATATGTCTTGGAGAAGCTCCAGTGCATTGTACTGAGCCTCAGGCCTAGTGAATGAGATTCCAAGGTGGTTGGAAAATACATGGGTGAGGCCCTTTCAAAGGCACCACACAACGTTAATGGAGGCAGTTTCTACTAAGATGACACCCTCCTCCCCGCAACATGTTGCTTTTTAACTCTTTGCTTCTTAAATACTGGGCCAAATGCTCTCCAATCCTCACTCTCCTTTGGCTTTCTCTCTCAGAAATGGTAATATCAGATGGGCTTGGAACTTAGTAGAAACAGTCAGAGAAGGGGTTTTAGCTTGCTTTCATTCTACCAGAGACCAACCTACCTCAAGTAGTAGAATTCTGCATGGGGTTTGGGGCCAAAACCCAGACAATAATGATTTACCAATTTGCCTTACCTTATTTATTGAATCCCCTTGAAGATCTCTCAGTAACAAGATACCTAGCTGACATAATAAGGATTCACATATTCTTAGACTTTCAAGATAAAAATACCATCCTAAATTGCTCATAATTCTCGAAGCTTGCCATATGCATTGTACTGGATTTAGTATTATCTCATTTATGTCTTCAATGTTGTAAGGGAGTAGTATTTAAATGATAAGGAAATTAAAATCTGGCAAGATTAACTGACTTATGAAAAGTCACAAAAACCAATAAGCAGGAGAAAGAAGATTTAAATCCAGGGCAATGACCCTATGTCTGGATGTCTCTAATCTGTTCCTGGTCCGTATCATTTAATGCCTCTCCACCCTCAATCAGAAACATGCCACAACCATGCCTCCTCTGCTTCTTGAAATAGTCTATTGTATATTTTAAGTTTTCTAAGTTAGTTTTTGGAACATTGGTTTTTAGTACGCCCTATTTGAAAGATCACTGGATAACCCAGCTCTTTCTTTCACTCTTTTCTAATATAAAAAGAAAACTAGAAAATATCATTTTATACCAAAATCTGGCATGGTCAAGAGATAGGCAGATTACTTATTCAAATATTCTGTTTGCCAACTGTTGTCCTGTATCTTATGCACAGATTCAAACAAAGTTGATTTAAACAAGAACTATAACTTACATAATGTTAGTAAGTAACGGATCAGTAGTGACTGATTCTAGAGTCATGCATTTATAGTCATCATTAATGGTAAAATGCTGGTTAATAAAAGCATTCCAATGAAGACATAAATAAGGAGCTTTTACTATATTAGTCTTATTTTACTAACAAAGAAACCAAAATAATTCCATTCACATCAAAAATATATTCCTTGAATATGTACTCTGGTTTAAGATAGTTACATTTTTATATAACATATGGATTTTTAGCTAAAGACAAACCAAATGAGTAATTTCTGTGTGCCAGCTTCTAAAATGTTTATTTAAATTATTTTTCAAAACATCTTCATTAATACTGGTGAAGACAATTATTAATTCTGTGAGAATAATATATATTCTTATATGACATATAAGAATAATTCTGTGAGAAGGCCAGGCACAGTGGCTCACACCTGTAATCCCAATACTTTGGGAGGCTGAGGTGGGCAGATGACTTGAGGTCAGGAGTTTGAGACCAGACTGGCCAACATGGAGAAATCCATCTCTACTAAAAAATACAAAAATTAGCCAGGCGTGGTGGCATGCACCTGTCTGTAGTCTCAGTTACTAGGGAGGCTGGGGCAGGAGAATCAACTGAACCCAGGTGGTGGAGGTTGCAGTGAGCTGAGATCATATCACTGCACTCCAGCCTGGGCAACAGAGCAAGACTCCATCTCAGAAAAAATAATAATTCTGTGAATAATAATTCTAGAAAACTATTAGTTTATTAATATTGTGTTGGAAGTATGTAATGAAAGGAAAAAATATAATCAATGAGGAAGAGCAAGCAGAGATATCAAATTTTTGTTTCATGTGAAAAGTTACATTTGCATTAAGAATGTTTTAAAAGATAAAATTTGACATAATAATCTAGATCAGAAAGTTTTAAAGTTATTTTTCTTCTTGCTAGCTACATTCAAAGGAAATCTTAAAGAGACCACTGTGCAAAACTTTTAAAAGTAAAAACACTCTGAAAGAGTGAAGGGAGCAGACAAGAATCTCTGTACTACTATTCTATGAGCTTGTAGCAGAGGTGAGTTCTCAGCATCTTTTTAGGACACACAGAGAAAGCAGAAAACCAAGAATCAGAAAGCTTCAAAATTTTAAGTAAAATAATGTAAGGATGTACAGACACTGCTTTGATATTATTTACTTTTCCTATAGAGATTTGTTGCATTCAACACACCTAGTCAAGATTGTTGCCTACTTTTCTAAGTATCCTTCCTAGAACTCTACATCTCCTGGAAAACTGTTCGAAATGCAAATTCTTGGATTCCATCCTAGTCCTACTGAATCAGAAACTCAGATGGGAGTAGAGGTTGTTTGAGGTCCAGCAATTTGTGTTCTAGCCAGACCTCTGGGAAATTCTGGTGCACACTGAAGTCTGAGATAGCCACTATAACCAAAAGAAAAAGAAATGTAAAGAAACTGGAGAGGATTCTAAGAACAATAGAGATGAAAAGTAAAGCTTGAGACTAAAATAAACAAAGGAATCAAGATAGATGGCTTTAGCAAAAAGAAACCTGTGGCACTGACATTTATGTCTTCACGTATATAATTATTTACAAAGGAAGGTAACCAGATGTACTCCATTTCTCCTGATGAAAGACAAAGAAGACATGGACTTTAACTTGCAGCATAAAATGTTTAGGTAAAAATATAATTAAAGTTTGCTGACGCAAAAAAATTCATAACACGAATACATATGTGTGTACTGCAAAATGATTGCAATAGACAAATGCACAGCTTCACCAACTTGCTCCTAATACTTTCATAATCTTATATTTGTATATAATAAGTTCATTAAATAAACATAACAGTTTATTAAGGTAACTAAAATAAAAAGGTAAATAAAATTGAAAGGTAAGAAAAGGTCATTGTAATGAGTGCCAATTACATCTGGTTTTAAGTCTCACCGTTCATGTAAGCATGCCATAGTTACAAATTCTGAAACAAAAGGTTGCTTTTTTTTTTAATGTTGAAAAGTCACCAAAAGTTGAATTCTTAATAATTTTCCATGGAAGTCACCATAACAATGACTTTGTGACCTGTTCACCTCCAGAGTATTTTGCAATTGCAGTCTTTATTGACAAAAAGTAATTCCAGTAATTTAGTTCATATTTATTGTAACTAAATTAATTAATGTAAGAAGTTATTGATTTTCTTTACCTTTTCTACCTTTCCACTATTGATGTCACTGGGGAGGAATTTCTTGCCAATTGTTCTCAGATCTGTCTAAAATAAAAATATTATTATTAAAATGGAATTATAGAAAAGAGTAAATTTAAATCTAACCTCATGAACAAAAGATGAAATTACTTATGGTTTGTGAAACAAAAATTCAGTTTAACTGGTCATGAGATCTACATGTATTATCAATCTTTCAAGTAACAGTGTCCCATAATACGTTGTTTAAAGTATACCAGTAAGATGAACAGTAACACATAAGGCCTTAATCCTGGTCATATTTCTTTAGGTAACCTTTTTATTTACTAACTCTTCTCTATTAAAATCCAAAACTTAATTTATGTAAATTGTGATCTTACTAAAAAATATCACATTCCAAAATCAAATGACAGCTTTTGAATACATATACATAGTATGTTTTTTAAAACTGAATCTCATATAACCTTGACATTACATAAAAACATATCGCCCTATAGGCTATGATATCTGTAACATAAAGCTATATAACATACAATATCCCAGGATACAATACCACTGGAATACCAAAGAAGTTATAGTAACCTTTACTATAGTAATTTCATTTGCTTAAACAAGTTACAGAAATAGAAGGTGGTAAACAAATAACTATGAAAATGCAGAAGTACCTGTAACTCAACAAGGAAAATATAAGGACTAACAAAAACAAGGCTATAGCATTCATGACATAAGAAAAGGAAATTCTGACTACACAATCTACATAAAAAGCAGAATATTTTACGACTGTGTCCTCTTTAGAAAGTGAAAATATAAAGGAATGGTAAGAGATTTGTTCACAGGAAAACTGTCAGTACTCATAAAAAAGATCCAATTATTTAAACTAATAAATTATCCTGATGGTTGAGATAGTGAGATTAGCATAATAACTGAAGTTGTGTTGTTTTATTTTTCCTTATAATATAGTAAACAGTAGCTCTTCATCACCTTAAGAACAAGTTAAAAGAAAACAGACTTAAAGTGCATTTAACCACATAAATTATAAGGGAAAAATTTTTGTTAGACTTAAGGAGAAAACACTAGATGATTAAAATTACTGTGATGTGAAATGAATACATACAGAGGGGCAGGACCATCTTCTTTTAACACCTACCATAATAAAACATCCTCCTATTTGAAATATCCACATGTAGTCAGCTTAAGAAATGAGAATATAAGTTGTATAATCCCTACAGATTCTTTCCAGTTTTTTACTACTGTGATTCATAATTTATTCCTTAATGTAATGCAGGGATCACTCAAAGTAAAACTCACTAAATAGAACTGCATGGCAAATTAAGAGCCAAATCCAGACTCATGTGTAACAATGCTTTAGACTTATGCTTTTTACAACCTCAATCCAATGACAGAATTAAAAGAAATATAAACCGTACCTCACGTTGTACGCCTTTTCACTTGGAAAGTACTGAATAACATAAGTGTAAAAAAATACTTTCTTACACCAGCCTTCCCTATATTAAGACGGTTTTATAATTAAACATTAATAGATGTGAAGCACTCAGTATAATGACTTGCACAGAGTAAGCACTCAATAAATGTTAGCCATTCTGTTTATTTTAGTGAGTATAAAACATGTACTTTTTTTAATCATCTGAACATACATAACCATCATATCAATAATGTAACTAACAGTTCATGAAAACATTTACATTATTTTGAAGTCACCCAAAAGCTGAAATATTTAAATATGAATGAGAAACAGAATACATACAAATTTTATAATATATCATGGTCCCTCATTTCTGGTTTTCATCAATAATTATGAAATTTAATTCAAGTGAAAATGAGCCATCACTGTAAAGTAAATGAGCACTAGACAAAAATCCTAAACTTTGATCCATCCCAACGGTAATTAAAGAATCATATGATCTAGGACACTGTCACTAATTCTCTAAACCCAGTTAATTTACTCCTCTATAAAATGGAAAAACACCACCAATCCTATCTCACAAAGTTGTTGTCAGGCTAAAAAAAGACTACACGCTCAAAGTTTACATAATTTCTAAAGTGCCATACATATATATAGTATGTGTCCTTAAATATACAAATGTTATTTTGATGTATTTTTAGCAAGATGAAAATGATCTACCAAATCTTTAAATGCCCTAAATTCACACTATAAAGACAACTTTATTATTCAGATGCCATTGTATCAGGATTGCTAGGACGATGACTGGGTCCAAGAATGCTGTTATATTGAACAACAAAAAATAATAATACAGGAAAACTTTTAGCCTGTAAAACTTTAAAAATAATTTTCAAAGCATCTACCTACCCACGCACACATACATATGCACACATAAATACACACACACACACACACACATAAAATCCCTATTTACTTAAGTAAATGCAAGATAATATCTACTTGGTGAATCATTTTATATTATACAAAATCTTAAAAGAAATAAAAATATAATTTGTTTTTAAATTTTTACTAATGGATAGTGATCAGTAATTTAAGACTGGTCTATCATTAAATATTTTTCTGAATAATTCCAGTATTTGAACGTAAAACTTACATGCTGGATTTCAATGTCATTTCTTAATATTCTTACTCCCCAATTTAAAAAGCAAAAATTAAAAACATTCCTTTTCAACATAAAAAGCTAAGCCTAAAAGTTACATAGCAGATCTGAGGCAGCTATCTTTAGAAAGGCCAGCTTACAAGGTTAGCCCTAGGCTGGCAGCTAGGGACTTTGCACTTGGACCACTCCCTAACTAAAAATGTAATTCACTGCATGGATTATTCATATAAACAATATGATTTATGGTGGACATCTGTTTTCTGGGAGGGATCTGAAATTCTGGTACCTTTGCGGGCAGCCCAATAAAGGCCTTGGGTATTAGTCTTCAGAGGGCTTCCCTGGAGAGAAACACTATATACATGTTACTGCAGTGTTCATTGTCAGATAAAGGAACAAGCTCAGTGTCTACCCCATAGAAAGAAGAGAAGAAAACTTGTTCATGGATTATCCTCCCAATATATAATTAGCTATGCATGTGTGGGTACGTACATATATGCACAATAAGAATCAATAATACACGTCTTTCTCAACTCGTGGTTAATTTCCCACAATCACTCAAAAGTTGAAAAAAATTCAACAGAATACTACAAATGCCTAAATTTTATTAAAAGATGATAAATTTGGAAAAATAGATGATTTGTCTGGTATAGGCTTCACCCTAATCAAAATGGTTTTTTTTCCTATCATATGGCATCATAGCTTTGGACTGCAGTATTTAACCACATATTTCAGGGAAAATAAAAAAGACAAATTAACTCATTCAGATAATAGTCAGCATGCACCTCTTACGAACACAGCACAAATACTTCATCCTGATTTATTTTATTCAAATTTTCATACCAATTATAGTTTATTGCTATTTACCTAAGAATATAAATAAAAAAAAACCCCAGCAAATTGTCATAAAATCTCTTTCCTAGAATCTGTAGAAAGTTTTTCTTAAACAAGAAGAGTCCTTTATAATATTTTTAAGCAATAGAATTAACTAATTTCAGTGCAAGACAAACAGTTTTTAGTCATAAATAACATGCATAATTTCTAGCTAATGCTTATTATTAAAAAATTAGTCTTTTATTTATTAAAAACCTAAATACTTAGCTCAGAAACCAAAATAAAATGATCTTACTTGTCTTGTTAAGTAAAATTCAAAGAAGCTGAAAAAAAGATGACTCAGTGTAGGACATAAATTTTATCTGTTTAAACCCAAGTTTAATTCTATAAATATAAATTTAAGTAACTTTTTTAACGTTAGATTTATACATTTATTTATGTTTTAAATGTTCCTTGTGCCCATCATTTCTGCTTTACATTGATTTTGCAGTGATATGATGGATTTGTCAGACTATAGTTCTCTTAGGAATTTCATTGACCACATATTGTAGTACATACATTTGATTGTTTATAGCTTATTATAAAGCTACATAGAAAAACAATCAGAGGGTAATTGCAGGAATGAGAAAAGAACATTTGTTTACTTACTTTTTTTTTTGAGACAGAGTCTCACTCTGTTGCCCAGGCTGGAGTGCAGTGGCATGATCTCGGCTCACTGCAACCTCCACCTCCTGGGTTCAAGCGATTCTTCTGTCTCAGCCTCCCGAGTAGCTGGAACTACAGGCACACACTACCACGCCCAGCTAATTTTTGTATCTATGCTAGAGATGGGGTTTCACCACATTGACCAGGCTGGTCTCGAACTCCTGACCTCATGATCCTCCTGCCTTGGCCTCCCAACGTGCTTGGATTACAGGCGTGGGCCACCATGCCCAGCCTGTTTACTTACATTTTTATTTCAAACAACTTTTATAACTCTTGAAAAAACCCAAAAGCCAATACAATTATGGAAAAAAAAAACAGCTAGAGGGTTGGGTGGACAAAGAGTTGAAAAGAAATATACACTAAAACATTAATAGTAATTATAAGCAGATTTAATTTTCTTATTTTGCTTTTCTGTTTTTTTCTGAAATGTTCCACAATAAGTATTATTTCTATCATCATGAAAAGTTATTTTGAAACAATAAATACCACTGTCAAAAAGCTATAACCTAGCTAGAGTTTCTATGTAAATTAAATGGCAATTCATTTTAATGAATAGTCAGTTTTTACTACTATTACGTAGCTATTGTAAATGTTAAAAAAGTCTATGACTGATCAGTGGGTGAAAAAAAGGGATGTTAATTTCATTTTTTCCTTTTTCATTGGATTCTGTATAACAGATATTAATAACTTGCTAATATGAGATTATTAAATTCAACAAACATCATCACTACAACTTAAAATGGACAAAATAAGAAAGATGTTCTCTATATTTGTTATCATATAACCCAATTTACTCTGAGACTTTTTTATGAATACAGCTTCCAGATTTCAAATGTTTACAAGTTAATAAATATAACCTACATTGAGAGCAATCAGGATGATGTCATTTACATTGACTTTGTCTGGAGAGCTTGTGCAAGCTTCAATGCCTTCATCTGAAAGATACCTGTTAAAATAAAATAAATGGCTTAATATTATCTAAAATCAAAATTAACCAAAATTCTTAAGTCTACATGCAATTTTGTTTTCTACTATAAAGTGCTTCTGCTACAAATACTAGGGAAAGAGTCTTGGATATGGATTCCCTGTTTATTTACTATGTCTTATAGAAGAGATGAACAGTGCATACTTTTCTTTTGTACCCTTAAAGAGCTATTGTGTCAATAGGATTATTCATACGCTTTCTGAGAAAAGCTATTTAAATGTCAATATACTTAAGGGATGTATAAGCTGCTCTTTGCTATTATACAAATATAATCTCGACTTAAGTATCTGTTAATACCATAAGATCTTAAAAAGAGATTGAGATGTGTTATAAAAATAAAACTAAAATAAACACTGTTTTAAACTGAGTACAGCAGAACTTCTCTCTGGACTTTCTCACATTATCTTCTCAAGTCCCCTTTCTTTCACATAAGGTTCTCAAGGATCCTTCAATAAAGGCTATTAATTCCAAGTAACACAAAGATAGGCAACTTTTTACAATACATCTTTTACTTTTCCTATCTCTTTTCAGTTTTTTTTACGCATTGTCTTATTTGCCCTTTTTTCTTTTATCCAGTCCAAATCAGCCATGCATCTGTCAGAGACAATTAATTCAAGAGTAAAGAGATTACTGAATCTGAAGGAAAAAAATTCGTCTCTACCCATACCCATGGACATTTTGAAACTCTTTGATAAACTCAACAATTCTAAAATCAACCATCAAAAATCCACTTGTAAAAACCCCAATTAATATCTCACATTTTTTATAATCAGTATCAACCCCTTTAACCAAATGGCTAATGGTACCATCACCATTGCAGACATTCTTCCACAGTTAAAAGGATCCAAGACTGCTAGTCTAAGAGATCTAACTCAAGCTCATTTTTGATGAACAGCAATTCCACCATCAACTCTCAACACTAGACTGATTCTAAGATACTTATCAAAGTAAACCTTACCCAGAAATAGCAACCAAAAAAAAGTGCCTTTAAGAAGTAGAGAATAATTTCTCCAAAGTAAAAAAGCAAGTGAAAAGAAATGTGAATAGTTAGAACAGTACAGAAGAGCAATAGAAGATTAAAGTAGATAAGCCAATGAGCAAGACCAAGGCGATAAAAGTCAGAAAAATATATATTTAAGTCAAACCAAGAATGTTAACAAAATGAGGTACTATTAAAAGTTTAAGACCATGACACTGTTAAACCACAATGATAAATGAAGGCAAGTAGTTAAATGGGTGACAGAGAAAATACAAATATATCGATGAGTCAGTAAGAATGAATAGATGGTAGGCAGGAATGACAGTATATAAGTGACCATGGAATACAAATATCTGCAGTCAATTTTGATGGTTAAAATACTGCTTTAACTCAAAATGGCTATAATAATTTATTATCCTGTTAATTTTTCACTATGAATAATGAAAAATTGTCCAACTGTATCTGTAACTCTAATTAATAATCTTATAAATTCACTTTCATAAATATTATGCCCCGCTTATGTGAAAAGTATTGTGTGAAATCAGTAACAAGATTAGTAAAATGATGAAAACTAAACACCTGCCCTCAAGAAGTTTACAGTCTGCTATACAGTATAACACAATACATAAACAGCTATCATACAAGGCCAAAATAACTATAAAAATGTTATAGGAGCTCAAAGTGGCTGTGGGATGGGAAAAACACAGAAAAGGAATAGTGTAATCAAAAACATGGAAGTGAGTAAGTGTGAAGCACCTTCTAGGAATAATATCCTAGAGCTTTCTGGCTGGAAAATGGAGAAGAAAAAAGAGATAAGTATAGGTTGAGACCAATTTTAGAAAGCAACAGTACACAAAAGGATATGGGTGATAAATTAAATTCTGATTGAGTGATTACAAAAACACAGCTTTCCAAGCTCCTACACAAGAGGGAAATAGTATGTAATGACTAATAGAATATTTTGTTTTCTAGAAAGGAAACTGTAGAATTAAAGAATTATAGGATGTCAGATAAACTAGAATAGATTAATTAATTTAAATTATAATAGATTATTTATATTATAATAAATTAATTTAATTTAAAAATAACCAAAATTCACCTCTTCAACTTTACAGATGAAGGAGTCCTAGAGATGTAAAATTAAACTTGCCCCAAAAATACAAATTTAGAAGATGCAAAGTTAAAAACAAAAATGACTCCTAACTCCCAATTCAGCACTCTTTCCATTATAACACACCATTTTCAGCTGGGCACAGTGGCTCACGCCTCTAACCCCAGCACTTTGGGAGGCCAAGGCAGGTGGATCACCTGAAGCCAGGAGTTTGAGACCAGCCTGAGCAACATGGTGAAACCCCGTTTCTACTAAAAATACAAAATTAGCCAGGCATGGTGGCACATGCCTATAATCACAGCTACTCGGGAGGCTGAGGCAGGATAATTGCTTGAACCCGGGAGGCAGAGGTTGCAGTGAGCCGAGATCATGCCATTGCACTCCAGCCTGGGCAACAAGAGCAAAACTCTGCCTCAAAAAAAAAAAAAAAAAAAAAAGTTTAATTTATCAAACAATTAATGCTGATACTAGTGATATGATAATCTCATTAAAAAAAGCCAGTAGCTATCCAAATCAGTTTCCTAATCAGCTAGATACTTCAGCTCACACAGACAAAAGCAGAACTAGACAAATTCAATTGGTGAGCTCCAAAGTACATTAAACAAGAACAGGTATAAAACTCAGTTGATAAAAGCAGTCATGCTGTTCCCTTCTGCATCGTAGAAGATCAGGAAACTAATATCAACTAATTATTAGATATTCAAGTTTTCAGAAGAATAAAAATATTCCATCCCTACAAAATATTAAAAGGTAAAGTCTAACAAAAATTCTAAAGGCAGAGTTGTAAGGGTTTGGAAACTTGCCTTTATCCACATAAGTCAAATATGTGATTTCTTTCAAACAAGGCCCATACATCACATTGCTAGACTTAAAATTATACTACAAGGCTATAGTTACCAAAACAGCATGGTACTGGTATAAAAATACGCAATGATACCAATGGAACAGAATAGAGAACCTCGAAATAAAGCCAAATACAGCCAACTGATCTTCAACAAAGCATACAAAAACATAAATTGGGGAAAGGACACCCTTTTCAATAAATGGTGCTGGGAAAACTGGCAAGCCACATGTAGAAGAATGAAAATGGATCCCCGTCTCTCACCTTATACAAAAATCGACTCAAGATGGATCAAAGATTTAAATCTAAGACCTGAAATCATGAAAATTCTAAACATTTTCATGGTTTAGAAATTCTAAACATTGGAAAACTCTTCGGACATTGGCATAGGCAAAGAATTCATGACTAAGACCCCAAAAACAAATGCAACAAAAATAAAAAGTAAGTAGAACTTAATTAAACTAAAAGCTTCTGCACAACAAAAGAAATCATCAGCAGAGTAAACAGACAACCCACAGAGCAGGAGAAAATATTTGCAAACTATGCAAAAAGGACTAGAATCCAGAATCTACAAGGAACTCAAACAAATCAGCAAGAAAAAAAAAAAAACAACCCATCCAAAAGTGGGCAAAGGATGGAAATAGACATTTCTCAAAAGAAGATATATAAAAACAGCCAACAGACATAAGAAAAAATGCTCAGCATCACTAATCAACAGGGAAATGCAAATCAAAACCACAATGAGAAACCACCTTACTCCTCTAAGAAAGGCCATAATTAAAAAGTAAAAAAAAAAAAACCATAGATGTTGTCATGATGTGGTTTACACTGCTGGCAGAAATGTAAATTGCTACAACCACTACGGAAAACAGTATGGAGATTCCTTAAAGAACTAAAAGTAGATCTACCATTTGATCCAGCAATCCTACTACTGGGTATCTACCCAAAGGAAAAGAAGTCCTTATATGAAAAGACACATGCACACACGTTTACTGTAGCACAATTTGCCAGTTGCAAAGATGTGGAACCAACTTAAGTGTCCATCGACCAAAGAGTGAATAAAGAAAATGTGGCATATATACACCATAGAATACTACTCAGCCACAAAAACGAATTGAAATAATGTCTTTTGCAACAACTTGGATGGAGCTGGAGGCCATTATTCTACATGAACTAACTCAGGAATGGAAAACCAAATACTTAATGTTCTCACTTGTAAGTGGGAGCTAAGGCATGAGGGTGCAAATACATATAGAGTGATATAATGGACTTTGGGGACTCTACTGGGGTAGGTTTGGAGAGGGTGAGGGATAAAAGACTACATATTGGGTACAGTGTACACTGCTTGAGTGATGGGTGCACTAAAATCTCAGAATTCACCACTATAGAACTTATCTAGGTAACCAAAAACCACCTGTACCCAAAAAAACTATTGAAATAAGAAAATAATAAGGCCTATAAAAGGTTTTCTGAACATAACAAAACCAAAAAACTTAAGCCTTATAGGTTTACTCCATAATTTTCAAGAAACAGGGCACCCATTCACAGCTCTCCCTGAATAATATCTTACTGATCCTTTTGTTAATACTGGACGATTGTCACAGAAGGACTGAGCCTAAATTAACAATAATTTGGGATTTACAAATTAATCTTTTCATTTTTATAAACATTTAAAACTCCAATATTACCAATGAATAAAACAAGTGATAAAAAACAAAAACTCAAAGACCAAAATGTGCTTCAAGAACTTCAGTAACACAGTAACTGAAGAACAACACAACACAGGATTCACCAGTCTTAATTGAGGTAATCAGGAAAGAAAGCAACTGAAAAGTGGAGCAGGCACTCCAGTTACGGTCCCTGTGCACACCCACCTGGTGGACCTTGAGAGAAGAGAATTATCATCAATTCCCATGTGCCATCTTTGAACACCTAAAACCCAAGGGCATTGATACAAAAGAAGAAACTGACACCAGAGGGTTCTTGTTTACTAAAACAGCCAGCAAAAGCACACTTTTTTTTTTCACTCTCTAATGGAGATTTTGGACATTAATATTATAAAACCACTTATTACTAATCTAAACTATGACAACATCTGAATACATTTTACTGACAAGCAGGGCATTAAAAGGCTAAATTTCTGCATTATACTCACAGAACAGACAAATATTTCTCACTAATTTTACCTTCAAATAATGCAATTTTTAAGTCACCGCAGTTTAGTAAGTGCTCAATTTTTTTTTTTTTTTTTTTAAACAGGGTCTCACTTTTCACCAGGCTGGAATGCGGTGGCACAAACACAGCTCACTAGAGCCTGAACTGCCTGGGCTCAAGCAATTCTCATGGCTCAGTCCCCCAAATAGCTGGGATTACAGGCACTCTCCACCATGCCCACTTAATTATTTTATTTTATAGAGATGAGATTTCACCATGTTGCAGAGGCTGGTCTCCAACTCCTGAGCTCCAACAATCCGCCCACCTCGGCCTCCCAAAGTGCTAGGATTGCAGGCATGAGCCACCACACCCAGCCTTAAGTGCTCAAAACTTTTTAAAAAGGGATTTTAGAAAATGCTTCCTTTAGTAAATGCTTCTATTTATGAGATGTCAAAATTCCGTCTTAGAATCACTTAACTGTCTTCACGTCGTGTTCAGAAGTCACTTGGCATATAAAACAGACATGTCCAAACCATAGCTCAAGAATCTCAATTGGCAGAAAACTGTGATAAAACAAACACTATTGTTTTAAACTCATTGTTCCAGATAGTAGATCTCCATTACCACCCTTTACCATCAGTAAGGAAAGAAGAGGGCCAATTTTCTTTTGATCCATTTCTTTGAAAGCAGGTAAAATCGGTGAATCTAACTTACTCACTGGCTATAATGTATAGATAATGAAACGGAGCAAGGCAAACTACACATCAGCTGACTGAGCTAAAGGGGGCAGCCATGTCTGCACGAGGACTAGTAAAGCAGTTACTGCGTCAGATTTGATTTTTAGCTTTTAGATTTCCGTAAAGCAGTGTACAAGCCAAACAAAACAGGGCTCAGCCTGCATGTGGTACATGTACTTTGTACTTATTAAACACATTAGTTTATTTAAATTATTTGCTCCTGTTCACTTCCAAGTTGTCTCTGACATACAGTGTTGTGCCGTAAGTGTACCTCAGATAGTATAACATTCATAGCCAACTTCCTTTCCAAGCAAGAAAAGAACCAAGTATCTTTTAGGTCACTTTGTACGCACTGGGAGAGCAAAGAACACAATTATGCCTGTAACAAATGTTCTCTGGTGAGTTGTTTACATCACACTAAAAAGTATCAAATCATTCAGTCTGGTCATTGACATAAATATTTTACAAACTGGACATATAAAGAACCCATGCTTACTTCAGACTTTGAGGACTACTTATATTTTTAAGGAGGAGGAATGTTTTAATTGGCCAGAAAGTGAGCCATAAAAGCAAACATTAAAGTTTTATTCTCTTTTACCCACTGCCACCCATTGAAATAATGAATGCCCATTCAAATCTGAACTGCAACTTGACTTCCTGAAATAATAAAATACAGAATTATTGCACATTGATATAAACTGGGCTGATGACACATGAAAAGTCTTTAAAATGCCAATGAGAAAACCAAGAGTGAAAACATTCTTCACAAATGGATAGGGACTATGTCAAAAAAAATAAGAAGATATCTGGACAGTGACTGGTACATGGTGTTCTTAATTGCCCCTGAATAAAACCCAAATCAAATGGCTTCATGCAGTTTTTGGGGTTCTAACCTACACCTGATTATCTGCTACCACACTGAGGTTACTAGCCCCCGCACATGATATCCAAATACCAAAATGGGAGTTTGATAAATGAATTCTTGCTTAGCCACAAAGAAAATAAAGATAACTAATTCCCAATTACCCAAGCTAAGGTGGGACAAGAGAGGGAAAAAACATAAAAGATAATTTAAAAAATAACTTCTATTAAAGGATATTTTTGATCTTAGCAAATATGGAAGTAACTGACCTACTGCAAATTCCCAAAACTTCAATGTTGTAAAGATATTTTTTAAAAATTACCCATACGAAGATCTCTCTGTTCACTCTGCCTAAACTGTTTCTCTCTCCATAGTGTAAATTGATTGTAATACACCTGCCAAAAATTTGTTTTATATATTATTCTTATAGACTCTTACTATACTATACCTAGTCAGAGACACTGAAAGAATTAACTTGCCAATTCCCTCCTCTAGGGCAGAAGGAAAATGGCTTGAAAGTTCTTGTTTATGAATATAACTTGGGAAAATACAGTATTTTGCCATAATGAATAACAAGATTAGTAAGGTAAAAATGCTAGTAAGAATTGGGGCACAAGATTTTCTTCAGATAACCTGTTAAAAATAAAATCAATATATTCAATACAGCTTACAGATATATTGGAAAGATAGCACATGAGAATATAAAATGGAACACCAGCAGTTAGTTGAATGAATCCATGAATTCCATGGCAAAAGCTCTATTAAGCATAATAAACAGAAGGATCAGAATTCTACAAAAGGTAATTCAGAGGAGTGAGTACTATGAAAAATGGTGGAAAATGAAAAAAGAGGTCTTTTATTTTGTTTCCCTTAACAACTAAGTACCTCTTCTATTAATATTACCACATTTTCTTTTCTTGTCTAGGCAAAGTAGCCACTTCCTATCCCACATTGAATACCACAATCTGTATTCCAACAATTAAACCAGGACTTGAATCAATGCTAGCTTAAAAATTTAATTTTCTCTGTGGCTTATATATAAATGGATCAGATAAATAAAGGTACGTACTATTTAAAGTACTTCTAAGTACCAGCATGTAGTGTTAATCTTAATGTAGTAAACTACTTTCAATATAAGATTTATTTTACTCATTAATCAACTATCTATTAATATGCATTATTTTTTCAGTTTTTAGTTTTTATGATTTCTTTGCCATCATAAATATACATTAGTTCCACCTTTTTTTTTTTTTTTTTTTTTGGTAAAGATAGTCTTGCTTTGTTGCTCAGGCTGGTGAAAGGATTAATATGCAAAAAAAAATTTTTAATTACTTAACACTATTTAAGAATCTTCTTCTAAATAAACAACTTCTGATGATGCAAAACAATATGAAATGCCTTGATATCATCATGGTTAACATCCACACTGGTCAAATATCAGTATTTCAGTAGCCAAACAAAAAATTTATTTTAAAAATTGAGATGGAAATTTAAAAAATTTCTAGGGAAAATCCTTTGTAAGTTTATATCTAATTTAACAGTATTCAAAAGTGTTTAAATTCTGAAAAGTTAAACCTAGATAGCTTTTTGTTAAGCACTTCCTTTAAAAAGCTGAAGACTATCAGCTAGCTAATTGTGAAAGCTGTACTACTTGAAAGCACCACTAGATGACAACCTTGTTTCACAAGTAAAATATTATACTCCTGTTGAAGCTAAGACCCTGAAGAGATACTAAACTAGCTTAAAGGTTTCTGACATTTGTTTTTTGTTGGAGAGTAGGGATAACAAAGAAAATAAAATAGACTACTATAATTTTGAATTTGTGTTTGATATAAAGATCACTCAGGGTTTAAAAAAAACTCATTTAGTAAGCATTCAAGAAATACCTCACCATTAGATATATTAAGACAATTTTCTCTTCCCGTCTCTTCTACATCTATATCGTCTGGAAATAGATGATTTTATAAAAATAAAGTACACATAAATTATTACAGACTAATGCTTTTTTGCTGTAGAATAGTTACAAAAAGTATTTTCAGCATTATTTCAATAATTGCTTTTCTGTGACATCAAAATACAGCATGACGATTTTAAAATGATCGTGAGATAGGTAATAAACAACAAACTTCTATTTTATGACTCATATTCAAAATATTAAAATATTTTCCCCATACATAAACCAATCCATGAAGGCATTCACCCTAGAATGCTTATTTGGTATTAAAAAAATTGTAACAGCTGAGCAAGTAAAAATTTGTAAATAATTCCTTTGAAATCCCATAATTGATATATTACATAGTATAGTGGCAATGGTAACCTAACTATGTTGTTATTCATCTTTGTAAACCATGACTCCACATAAATTTAAAAGTATAAAATGAAGGCCTAGATATTTTTACTTTCATTGGGGTTATAATTTACAGCCTTCCTCTAATTCTATATTTTCATACATTAATTCAGAAGCAGAACTGGGGTTACTTTTTAATAAATCAGATTTTAAGATGTGAGATTACTTAATATTTCTGTCCTCTTTTTCTCAGCAAAAAGGTAGTGGCTATAAAACCATATATCAGTTCAAAAGGCTTACATGAAGCCTAATGCCCTAAACACTACACTGACTACTGCACTCATAGCATTGCTGCCTACAAAGTCCATGCTGAGGGTCTCTCAAGGTGAGGCCTTCCAGAATTAACCCCAAGGAGATCACATACTTGGTTAAGTTTCCATAAGAAATGCTATTTATAAATGTAAGGTATTACAAAAATTGGAAGGCATTTTCATGAGTAGCTGGAGAGACTATCACTTTTTAGTGAAACTAGTGAAAACTAGATGAAAATCTCAGCCTTACCTTTCAATACATGTGGGACCCTAGTCAATTTACTTCATCTTTCTGTGCCTCAGTTTACCCTTGCCGAAAAAGACCGTACTGAAAATACTGATCTACAGAGTTTTTCTAAGAATAAATGAGGAGACAGCATGTAATACCTAGCATATGCTTGGAATACAGTAGGTGCTAAATAAGTATTAGTTTTCTTCCTTCTTAAACATGGTGCCCTTGTTTATTCTACAAAATATTTTCAAAACATAATGATATTCAAAAATCTGGATTCTAATGAGAAAGAGAATACAATTTCTCTAATGAGAAAGAAAGAGAATAAAATTAATGATAAAGGGAATTTCTTCAAAGGCTACAGCTAATAGTCAAAAGTGTATATGCTTCCTTACTGGTAAGCCTAACTACATATTTCTAGCAGGCTACTCACATGGAGTTCACTGAGAACTAAAGAAAAGTGTCAGAAAGAAGGAAATACCTTTATTATTTATTTTGTTTAAATCATTCAGTTTTACAATTGAAAGTTTTTTAACAATAAGAAAGTAAGTTATTCCATTAGACTGTGCAACTGTTTCTGCCTGGAACAGAATTTCTAATGCAAAATGAACTGCTATTGTTTTTGTTCAACCTGCCATTTATGTCAAAATTTAAAACAATAATGTCAAGAAAGAGCTAGTAAGCAATAAAGTTTAAAATTATATTGCACAGAGAAAAATTAGCCATTTTACAATTTACATTTAAAATTTATTTAATGTCATTCAAACTCTTAAAAATGAAAATCTACTTCAATTATCATAGGCAGTTAAGACAAATACCTATTTGTTTCTAGTATATGCAATCATATGTCTTACAATCTAATAGCATAACGATTCCCTGTACATTAAAATGAAGTAAAAAATGAAAGAGGCATATAAAAAGCACAATATTACAATTAAAAAGGGCAGCCATTTAAATGTGTCACTAAACAGGTAAATACTAAACAATAAATTTTTTGTCAAAAGAGTGAAATAGTCCCATATATATGTCAGCTGATAAATATGAATTAGTAATTCTCATTTCCATTTCTTTAAAATGCATCTTAAATACAAAGTGCTTAGTGTTGCTTACATTTTTGAAATAGAAATGCTGCAAATAAATTAGATATTTTTTTCTATTGAAGGAGACCAGGAAATTTCACCCCAAAATATGGCACCCTGGTATGCTGATTATTTTAAATTAAAGGCCCTTGGAGACTGGCAGATACTAGAAGAAGCTTTACTCTGATACTCCCTTATCTGCTTAAACTCCAGACTCTTCAAAGAAGAAAATTACCACTGGTCCTTTCCTTGAGTTTTCATTAACTCATACTGCAGGAATAAAGACTGAAGTCTGTCAACACACCTGGACAGAACCACTGTCTTCTCTGTGGGCCCACAAGGCTTTGTCTCAGGATGCACGAGGACGTATGTCTCAAGACGTATGTTCTCCAAGCCCATTGAATTCCCCTAAAAATCACTTTTCACCTTAAAATTATCCACATCTCCCTTTCCTCTGTGAAGAGTATATAAGCTTCTGTACCCCCACTGCACTATTGTATAAACAATCATTCTCTTGTAATTCCCTTGTGCTATGCACGATAAAATTAATTTTGCATGCCTCTGCTATTAATCGGCCTTTCTTCAGCTGATCTTCAGCAAACCTTCAGAGGCAGAAGGGAAAATTTTCCCTTGGCCCCTATATTAACTTAGAAAACATAATTTGACTACATCCCCCATACCTCTTCATAGTAGCCTGAATGGTGGCCCACAAAAAGATATGCTTATGTCCTAATGCCTGGGAATCTGTGAATGTTACTTTATTTAGAGACAGTCTTTACAGAAGTAATTAAATTAAGAACTTTGAAATAAGAAAATCATACTAGATAATCCAGGCAGGTCCTAAATCCAATGACAAGTGTTTTTATAGGAGAGAGGCAGAGGGAGTTTAAAAATAAACACACAGAGTAAAGTGACACACAGAAAAGTAAAAGGCCATATGAAGCTGGAGGCAGAAACTGGACTGATGATGCCTCAAGCCAAGGAATGTCAGCAACCACAGAAGCTGTAAGGGGTAAGTTACTGATTCTCCCCTAAAGCCTCTGCAGGGAGAACAGCTCCAAAGACATTTTGATTTCAGACTTCTGATCTCCAGAACTGTTAAGTGAATAAATTTCAATTGTTTTAAGCCACCCAGCTTGTGGTAATTTGCTACCGCAGCCACAGGAAATAAATATACCCATTACAAATTCCAGTAATTACTTGAGAAGTATTGATTTAATTAAATAAAAAACATTATTTTGAAAGGCCATCCATCCCTTAGCTTAGAATCTAGAAGGACATTTTCTATTCAACTTAAAATGCCTTGATTCATTATCTCTTCCTGAATGAATACTTTCAGTGAACCTTATTGGTTAGCTTAAGTCTATAAATAAGAAAATACAAATTACACAGAGTGTCAGTGGCCCTTCTTATTATACAGAAAAGGATAGTGGGTAAACCAGGAGCACTGAACAGTGTGGAGAGATCAGTCAAAGGAAAGACGTAGAGAGGGGATCACCAAACTCTGTCTACCTACACCTGACTGACCTCCAAATGACACGTGCGAAGCCGACTCCAAACATCCCAGCTGAAGACAAAAGATTTGAAAAGAGGATGGAGCTGCTGCATTAGAAACGAAACTGCAGTTCAAACCCAGCCTCCCCACAAAAAAAAAGTACCTTTAATAACACAGGAAACAATATTCATCAGTGTAAAACAGAACAAAAATCTTTACAATTTAACACTATTAATATGCACTACAAAATCCAAAATTACCCAACATACAAAGAACGAAAAAATGGAACACATTCTGAAGAAAAAACAAAATCAATCAAATCTGTCTGATGCCAAGATGAACCTGATGCTGAAAATAATAAAGATTTAAAGTGGATATTACAGCTATTTGCTCTTAAGAAAAAAAAGTTTTCAATACAGTCACACTCCACATAACATTTTGGTCAATGACAGATACATATATGACTGTGGTCCTCTAAGATTAAAATACTGTATTTTTACTGTATCTTTTCTATGTTTACATATTTTTTAATATACAAATATGTTTAAATACATAAATACGTACACAATACTAAATTGTGTTACAATTGCCCACAGTATTCAGTACGATAACATGCTGTACAGGTTGGTAGCCTAGGAGCAACAGGCTATGCCATATAGCCTATGCGCGTAGTCGGCAATACCATTAAGGTTTGTGTAAGAACACTCTGTGACGTTCCCACAGTGACAAAGTTGCTTGAGAACACATTTCTAGAACATACCCCATAAAGTGATGAATGACAGTATATGGTATGTGAAGGTTTTATAGAATTCCTCTGTGAAACCATTTGTCCCTTGGTGCTTTTATGGAGTAATCTCTCCTTAATTTTCTCTATTTCTTCTATAACATTGGTCTGCTTAAGCTTTCTAACTCTAATGGGGGCAACTTTGGTCATCTGTACTTTCCTAGAAAACTACCCATTTCATATAGGTTTTTAGAATTATTTGCAAAGTGTCTCATGACATTTAAAAAAATTTTTATTGTGTATATTCAAGGTTTACAACATGATGTTACAGGATACATATAGATAGTAAAATAGTTACCATAGTGAAGCTTATTAACATATCTATCATCTCACAGTTACTTTTTGTGTGTGACAAGGGCAGCTAATATCTACTTATTTAATAAAAATCTCTAATTTTAATAACTTTAGTCCTCATGTTGTACATCTCTCAACTTGTTCATCCTACAGATCTATTTTTTGTCCTTGGACCCACATCTCCCCATTTCCTCTGCCCTCCCCACTGCCTGTGGTAACCACTGTTTCATTCTCTATTTCTATATTTGAGCTCTTTTTTGGTTTATAATATTGCACATATAAGTAAGATCACATAATACTTTTCTTTCTGTGTCTGGCTTTTTTCACTTAGCATAACATCCTATAGGTCCATTCATGGGTGAGAAACGGCAGGATCTCCTTCTTTTTAAAGGCTCAATTATATCCCATTGTAAATACAAGTCACCCTTGAACTCGGGTGTTAGCAGCACCAACCCCTGCACAGTTGAAAATCTGAGTATAAATTCTGACTCCCTAAAAACTTAACTACTAATAGCCCACTGCTGACCAGAAGCCTTACCAATAACATAGTCAATTAATACATATTTTGTATATGTATAATGTACTATATTCCTACAATAAAAAGAAAATGTTACAAAAACCATATGGAAAACATATTTACTGTTCATTATGTGGAAAGAGACCATCATTAAGGTCTTCATCCTCATTGTCTTCATGTTGAGTAGGCTGAGGAGGAGGAAGAAGAGGAGGGGTTGGTCTTGCTGTCTCAGTGGTGGCATGGTAGAAATCAAAGAAAATCCACGTATAAGTGAACTCACACAGTTCAAATCCGTACTGTTCAAGATCAACTGTATATACCACATTTTCTTTATTCATTTTTCCATCGATGGACATTAGATTGTTTCCATAGCTTGGCTACTGTGACTACTGCTGCAATAAACTTGGAAGTGCAAATATCTTTATGAGGTAGTGATTTCATCTTCTTTGGATATATACTCAGAATAGGGATTGCTAGGTCATACTGTAGTTCTATTTTTAATTTCTTTAGGAGTTTCCATACTGTTTTCCACAAGGGCTGTACCCATCTACATTCCCATCAACGGTGTACTAGGGTGTTTCTCCACACCCCTGCCAACATTTGTTATCTTGTATCTTTTTTGATAATAGCCATCCTTATAGGTGTGAGGTGATACATCATAGTGGTTTCAATTTGCATGTCCCTGATCATTCGTGATCTTGAGCACCTTTTCATACACCTCTTAGACATTTTTATGTCTTCTTTGGGGAAAAGTTTATTCAGATCGTTTGCCCATTTTTTAATCAAATTATTTTTAATGTATTCTGTTTCAAAGATGACTTCTCTTTGTTATTTCTTATTTTACATAGTTATGCATTTTTTCCTTGAATAAGTTAGCTAATGGTTTGTCTATTTTGTTAACTTTTTCAAAAACACCAAGACTGTTCATCCGATAAATGAATATAAACAAAATGTGTTATTTCCACACATTGTAATATTATTGTCATAAAAATAAGTGAAGGAATGATACATGCAGCAACATGAATGAACCATAAAAATGTTATGCTAAATGAAAGAGGCCAAACATTAAAAGCCACAATCTGTATGATTCCACTTATATGAAACGTCATATAAAAAAATCCATAGAGACAGAAAGCAGATGAGAAGTTGCCAGGGTCTAGGAGGAAAGGGGAATGATGCCAATGCATATCGGGTTAAATGTTCTTGAATTAGATAGTAGTGATGATTACAAATCTCTGTGAATATACGAAAAGCTACTGAATGATATGCTTTATTTTTATTTATTTTTTCAGACAGAGTTGCCTTCTGTTGCGCAGGCTGGGGTACAGTGGCACAATCTCTGCTCACTGCAACCTCTGCCTCCTGGGTTCAAGCAATTCTCCTGCCTCAGCCTTCGGAGTAGCTGGGACTACAGGAGCATCCCACTATGCCCAGATAATTTTTGTATTTTTAGTAGAGAAGGGGTTTTGCCATGTTGGCCAGGCTGGTCTCGAACTCCTCCCTCAAGTGATCCGCCAACCTCAGCCTCCCAAAGTGCTGGGATTACACGCGTGAGCCACTGCGCCCAGCCAGAACTGTACACTTTAAAGAGGTGAATTTTTTTCTGTGATTTATAACTCAATAAAGTTGTTTTTTAAAAACCACTGTCTGGGGGCGGTGGCTCACGCCTGTAATTCCAGCGCTTTGGGAGGCCGAGGTGGGTGGATCACGAGGTCAGGAGATCCAGACCATCCTGGCTAACACAGTGAAACCCCGTCTCCACCAAAAATACAAAAAATTAGCCGGGCATGGTGGCGGGCGCCTGTAGTCCCAGCTACTCGGGAGGCTAAGACAGGAGAATGGCGTGAACCCGGGAGGCGGAGCTTGCAGTGAGCCAAGATGGCGCCACTGCACTCCAGCCTGGGCGACAGAGTAAGACTCCATCTCAAAAAACAAAAACAAACAAACAAAAAAAACCACTGCATGGCCAGGGAGAGAAAACATCAGGATTTTGGCTTATTTGCTAGATTTACTGTTTTTCTATTCTTTTGCTCATCAATTTCTGCTTTTATAGTTATTATTTTTCTTCCTTTCTTTTGACTTACCTTGATCTTTTTTAGTTTCGCTGAAAATTTAGTTCATTTATTCATTTTATTAATAAAAGCAGTAAAATAAATTTTCCTCTAATCACTGCTTTAAATATACCACATAAATTATGATATAAAGTGTCACTGTCATTACATTTTTTTACAATTAAATACACTTAATTGTATTTCTCCTTTTACAATTTTTTAAAATACTTTTTAAAAAGTTGTTTAGTCAAACTTTTTAATTTCTAGGTGAAAGGGCTTGTATTTGGTTTTGTTAGTAAATCCTAGTTTTAGTCCACTGTAATCAGAGTGTTTATAATAGTTCTACTTTATGGAAGTTATTAATGTTTTCCTTATGACATAATATATAATCAGTTTTTGTGAATGTGCCATAGGCACTTAAGAAAATGAGTATTTTCTCTTATCGAGGTATAGCATTCAATATACAGTATACCCAGAAGATCAACCTTATTGGCTATATTGTTTACATCTTCTACCTCCTTATATTTTGTCCACTTAAATCTATCATTACTAGTAATGAAAGCAGTATAACGAAGTATCCTGTTACTGGTATGTTTCTATGTATGTGTCCCTGCAAACTCCTGAAGTTTCTGTTTCAGAAAGCCAGTTGCTCTATCTCTTGATGCATAAAAGTTCTGGTATGATGAAAACTATTTTTATATGGCCTTAATATTTAAAAAGCAGCTTGGCTAGATATAAAATCCCAAATTCATACTTCCACTGACTTTTCTTTGAATGCTGCTCTATTTCTGCCTTGCTTTATATATTGGTTTTGAAAAGCTTGATGCTACTATAATTCTTTTGCTTTTATTTGACTTGTTTCATGTCGGTCCTAAGGATTTTATTATCTTAATAATCTGATAATTTTTAACTGGGATATGTCTTGGAGTTAATTGCTGTGGATTAATCTTTCATTGCACTTGACATACTTTCAATGTGTGGATTTACATCTTTTTCCATCTGGAAAGTTTTCTTGAATTATAGTTTTAGATATCAGCTCTTTTCAATTGTTTTGGTTTTTTCCCCTTAGGGACTCAAATAAAACAAATATTATTCCTTCCTTGACTTGAATATTATTCCAAAGGAATAATATTCGACTACTTTCTCTCTGACATTTCTTATTTAAATTCTCATAGTTGTTTTTCTTTCTTCAATGCTCCTTATCAATTTTTCATTCTAGTCCATTTTCCCTTGGGTATCTTGTAATATATTCTTTATTTCTAAAATAATTCTGATATTTTCTTCCATTTCTTTCCAAAGCTCCATCAACATTTTCCCCCATTTGTCCCTGTTTATTGTCCACTTCTGTCTTTAGTTTTTTAATTTCTGACTCAAGTGATTTTTCATACTTCCAAATGCTCGTTGGAGTAAATTTAATTCTGTTGGAGTATGAACTTAGAGTTATAGTTCACGGTTGTTTTGGGGAAAAAGAATTTTCCTAGGTTTGCGTGCAAATTTGTTTCCTGATTTAGAAATATTTTGTTCATTTTTGTGACATTGGGCTGTTTTACAATATTTCTAGTCCAATGTCACCCTTTCCTACCAGTCAATCCATGCTATATACTTTAATGAAGTGGTTGGTTTCATTAGGGGGCATATTATGAATCCTCCACCTGTGTAGTTCTATTTTGTCTCACAGGGCCTTAATTTTTCCCTTTTCCTTCTTTTCCTCTTCATTATCCAATTGCCAAAGGAAACGCCTTCCCTCCTTTTTGTTTCTTTCTCCCCCAGAAGCTATGCATTTCAAAAATTGAACCCTTTAAATCGTACCTATTCTTTGAAATCAGACTTACCCATTTAAATAGAATCTATCCCTTTAATTCACACACCAATTCCTTTATATGGCATGTGTCTATTTTAAGTTACATGCCTGACCCACTGTTTTTCATCTGTTTCTTTCTGGCCCTTTACTTGGCACCTGTCCTTACTTTGAAATATCTTCCTAATAAGCCAAATTTCTTTATTTTTCACATTTAGGGTGGATTTGATCTTTCTGGTGGTCATTCCTACCACCCTCCAGTCATTTCATTTGCATCTCTCCTCTGCTTTTCTGTAGTTTTTTTCGAGGTCTGCCTTGGATCACCAAAGCCCCACAAGTGGGACAAGATTGGCACAGGAGTGTGTGGAACCATGGGGCTGGCTTTTAACTTTTTCTTTTTACTCACAGGTCTTTGATAGTTTCCACATTCTCTGTGCTCACATAAGGTTGAGAGCATTGTTTTACACAGATTTTGCTTAGGTGTGAAGTCATCCGTATAGTTTGGGGGAAAGATTTTGGGAAGTTATTTACTACACTGCCACCATTTTCTAGTTATCATAAGTCCTAGTAGGATTTTCTTCAGCAAATAGACAAACTGATGTTAAAATTCGTATGTGATATGGTTTGGCTGTGTCCCCACCCAAATCTCATCTCGAATTGTAGCTCCCATAATCCCCATGTGTCACAGGAGGGACCCAGTGGGAAGTAATTGAATCAAGAAGGCAAGTTTTTCCTATGCTATTCTCGTGATAGTAAGTAAGCCTCATGAGATCCGATTGTTTTATAAAGGGCAGTTCCTGTGCACATGCTCTGCTGCCTGCCACCATGTAGGATGTGCCTTTGCTCCTCCTTCGTCTTCTGCCAAGATTGTGGGGCCTCCTGAGCCATATGGAACTGTGAGTCCATTAAACCTCTTTTTTTTTATTAATTACCCAGTCTCGGGTATTTCTTCACAGCAGTATGAAAATGAACTAATACAATATGGAAACGCAAATGCTCAAGAATTCCCAAATTAACCTGAAAGAAAAGATGAGGGCTCACACTAATTGTTATCAGTACTTATCATAAAGCTTCATTAATCCAGACAGTGTGATATTGGCATGAGGACAGTCAAATAGAATAATAAAACAATATAGACCCACAAAATACGGTCAACAGATTTTCTTTTTTTTTGAGACGGAGTCTCAGTCTGTCACCTAGGTTGGAGCACAGTGACGTGATCTCGGCTCACTGCAAGCTCCGCCTCCTGGGTTCATGCCATTTTCCTGCCTCAGCCTCCCGAGTAGCTGGGACTACAGGCGCCCGCCATCACGCCCGGCTAATTTTTTTTGTATTTTTAGTAGAGACGGGGTTTCACCATGTTAGCCAGGATGGTCTTGATCTCCTGACCTCATGATCCACCCGCCTCGGCCTCCCAAAGCACTGGGATTACAGGCATCAGCCACCACGCCCAGCCTGGTCAACAGATTTTCAATCAAAATGCCAAGTCAATCCAATAAAGAAAATTTTTTTTTACAAATGTCACTGAAATACCTGAATATCTGTATAAAAATAAAAATAATACCATGCTTCTTTCCCACTCCACAAACCAACATAATTTGATCATATACTTAAATATAAAACCCATATCATACAGCTTCTGGAAGCAAGCATAAGAAAGTACCTTCACAAACTTGAAGTAGGCAACAATTCTTGAACAGGACATAAAAAGCCCTCATTATAAAAGAAAAAAAAAACTGATAAAATTGATCTTGACCAAAATTAAAAATATTTAGTCATCAAAAAATATCATTAATAAAGTAAAAAGGCCACAGATTGTAAAAAACATTCATAGCATATGTATTTTAAGACTCATATCTAGAACATATAATCAACTCCTACAAATCAACATTAAGAAGTCCAACAATCCAATTTCTTTTTGTTGTTGTTGTTGTTAGGTAAAAAACATTAACCTTTATGGAAATAATTACAAGTAGAAAAAATCATACTTCTTATACACTGATTAACTTGATGTAAATGATATCTATCTTCTAAGTCTATATTTGTAATATTAATAATCTAGTATATCTATCATTACATGATGTATTACATATAAAACACATAACCACAATAATTATAAGAGAGATGAAAATACCTTTTCATCTCTTTTTGTCTTCTAATATGAAATATTTTTACTTATAGGAAAAACATTAAAAATAATTTTTAAAAATTCCTGCTCACACCACCTAGATTTTTAAAATATTAGCATTTTACCATATTTACTTTAGATTATTCCTTTTCTTCCTTTCTGCTTTCATCCATCTATTCTTTTTTTTTTATTTTACTTTAAGTTCTGGGATACATGTGCAGAATGTGCAGGTTTGTTACATAGGTATACATGTGCCATGGTGGTTTGCTGCATCTATCAACCCATCATCTAGGTTTTAAGCCCCACATGCATTAGGTATTTGTCCTAATGTTCTCCCTCCCTTTGCCCCCCGCCCCCACAACAGGCCTCAGTGTGTGATGTTCCCCTCTCTGTGTCCATGTGTTCTCACTGTTCAACTCCCACCTATGAGTGAGAACACATGGTGTTTGGTTTTTCTGTTCCTATGTTAGTTTGCTGAGAATGATGGTTTCCAGCTGCATCCATGTCCCTGCAAAGGACATGAACTCATTCTTTTTTATGGCTGCATAGTATTCCATGGTGTATATGTTCCATATTTTCTTTAGGCTATCAGTGATAGGTACAACAATCCAAATTCTTAACGGACAAAAGACTCAAATAGATACTTTATGAAGAGCTAATAGTCACATTAAAAAGTACTCAACATCTTTAGCCATCAAGAAAATACACATTAAAACCACAATGAGATACCATTTCACACCAGATGAACGGCTAAAATCAAAAGGACTGAAAATAGAATATTGGTGAGGAAGTGGAGAAACCAGATCTCTCATACACTGTTGGTTGGAGTATAAAATGTCACACCCACTTTGGAAATAAACGTTTGGCTGTTTCCTATAAAGTTAAACAAAAATGTGCCCTATGGCCCAGCAATTTCACTCCTAGATATCCTCTAAGAGAAATGAAAACATATGTCCACAAAAAATACTTATAAATGAATGCTCCAAGCCTTATTCATAATAACCAAAAACTGGTTATTGTCTATCAAAAGGAGAATGACCAAACAAATTATGGTATACTCAAACAGGAACTACTACTCAACAATAAAAAATGAACTACCAATACAGACAAGAATATGAATGAATCTCAAAAGCATTATACTTCTAAGATGTCAGAAGAAATAAGGTTTCCATTTTTATAATATCCAATTACAAGATAGTGAATTCATGATGCCAGATGTCAGAAAAAGACTATCTGTGGGCACAGAAGGAACAGAGCAGGAGAAAACTTTCTTGGGTGATGAAAACATTCTATATAACATTTAGAATGGGGGTTACTTAAACGTACACAACTATCAAAACCTATCATGCTAAACACTTAAGAGCTGTGCATTTTAATGTACATTAATTGTGCTGCAATTTAAAAAGACAAGTCCATTCAGTTTATTTATTCAATAAACATTTGTTGAGTCTCTATCTACTCTGTGGCAGACACTGTACTAGTCCCAAGAATTCAAAGATGAAAAAACCATGGTACTGACCTCAAATAAGTTTAGTCCCAGTGAAGCTTGGTTTACTTGAGGAGACAAACATATAAACAATTATAGCACAATGAGCTAGAGACAGAATGTTAAAGGACCTCAGAAGAAGGGTACCTACTTTCTATCAGGGAAGACTTCTTATAACAGATGACAGTTATGTTTTAAAATGATGGACAATAATTAACTAACTTAAATGGAGAAAAAAATCCAAGCAGAAAGGACAAGATCAGAAATGGTACAGTGGCAGGACATAAAATACCATGTACATAAGAGACCCACAAGCAAGTTGGTCTTGTTAGAGCATAAACTGCTGGAGAGGTAGGAGCAAAAATGGATGCCACAAAGAAACAAGAGGCTATGCATACCTTTGTAAGACAGACTTCATCCTGTAGGTGACAAAAGATCTAAAGATTAGACAACCTTTATAGATAACTCATTCTAACACCTATAGAAAAGACAGATTTGAGACAGTAAGCAAGAAGACCAATCAGGAGGCTACTCTCAAGAATAAAGGCCTGAAGTAGAAAAATATTTAGAAGGTAAAATTGGCAGGTCTGATTCTTAATTTAGATATGAGTGAATAGGAAAAAGAAAAAAATGACTCATGAATGGTGAGATGAGTGTACCACCTCTAAAACAAGAGTGTAAAGAGAAGAAGAACTTGGGAGATGGAGGGGAAGAGAAGTACAGTGAAAGGCATGAGGAGTTCGAGGTGCCCCTGGGATACCTAGTTCGAATTGTGCAGAGTATTTCATATATAAGGCTGTATTTTGAAGTTCAGGCCCAGAAAGATTTAGGAATCATCAGTATATAGAAATTAGTTTAAATCGGCCAGTGTGGCGGCTCACACCTGTAATCCCAACACTTTGGGAGGCCGAGGCAGGTGGATCACCTGAAGTCAGGAGTTCAAGATTAGCCTGGCCAACATGGTGAAACTCCATCTCTACTAAACATACAAAAATTAGCTGGGCATGGTGGCAGGAGCCTGTAATCCCAGCTACTCAGGAGGCTGAGGCAAGAGAATCACTTGAATCCAGGAGGCAAAGGTTGCAGTGAGCTGGGATAGCCTCCAGCCTGGGCAACAGAGTGAGACTCCATCTCAAAAAAAAAAAAAAAAATGAAATTAGTTTAAATCATGAAAGCAAATGAGACTGGGTCAAGTACAATGGCTCACACCTGTAATCCGAGCACTTTGGGAGGCTGAGGCAGGAGAAGCCCTTTGAGGCCAGGAGTTTCAGACCAGCCTGGACAACATAGCAAGAGCCCATCTCTACTAAAATAAAAAATTGGCCATGTGGGGTGGTGTGTGCCTGTAGTCCTAGCTACTTGGGAGGCTGAGGTGGGTTTATCACTTGACCCAAGGAGATTGAGGCTGCAGTGAGCTATGATTATGCCACTGTACTCCAGCCTGGGCAGCAGAATAAGACCTGGACTCAAAAAAAAAAAAAAAGAGAGAGAGAGACTGATCAGTTAAAGTCAGAAGAACAAGAAAGTGGACCAAAGATAGAACTTTGTTAGTACCAATAAGGAAACTAAGAAAAGCCAGGGAAAGGTATGATAAGAATATCATAAAAAGACAACGAATGATGAGAAAGGAATGAAGAGAACAAGAACAAGATGAGGAGAACAGTGTTAGGGGAGACAAGGAATAGTGAATTTTAAGACACTATGTCTTAACAGTGAATTCCAAGATAGACATAAACCGTCCAAAGTAACAGAGCCAGTAAGGAAAAATTTGAAAGATATCTCACAACTGGAAGGTCACTGGTACTTTAGCAAAAGCATTTCAGCAGTGTGGAAGAAGCACAAGCCAGACTGTAGCAGACAGCCCAAAGAAACAGTAGCTATAAGTAAGACTAATGCAAACAAATGTGCACATGAACACAGTCATACATGTGCTAAACATTACAACAACAAGAAAAGGCATTCGTAAAATATTTTCTTAAAAAAGGAAACTCAGATTTTGGAGAAAAAAGTCTTGCTTAATAAATATCTACTTGGTAAATGAATGTTTTAAATACAGCTTCATTCACATACTGCTTTGGAAATAGCACTAAGAATGGAATTAGTAGTTGACCATATCAGCTCAACTGATCATGGGAAAGGTAAGAGCAAGTATCACCATCTTTCAATAATCACTGTTTTGTAAATCTGTTCTTAAAACTTCCTTAGTTAAAAAAAAAATCTCATTAGAAATTTAGACTAAGAACTATATTATGAGTACTTCCACATCTTCCTCTAAAAATCTTTACACTTTACACTTAGAGAAACCTTAATTATTGAAAAGAGTCAGTGAAATCATAAAGTGGATCATTTTTGCCATGATTTGATATTGTACCATGTTAAATCTAAAATCAATACCTTATCAACTTCCAAAACACAATTTTTGAGCCATCCAACAAAGTTATTAATTCTTAAGCAAAGGGTATTTTAAAATGTCCAACATTAACACTAATAAACATTATTAACTGATTCTATTTTTAAATAGGGGAAGGAGACAAGTCAAGGACACTGACGGCCAACCAGAGTTCTCCCTTTCTTCACTTTTCCTTAAGAAAAAGATATATTGATGAAGTTTGTCTCTAAAGAATGTTTTTCCGTAAATTGTCTTTGCTTGAGCCTTGATCTCTTCACCTATCCTTGAAATAAAGGCCAGAACTATCTTTGTAAACTTGGCAAATCTGATCTTTTCATGGCTCTTATTTAAAACTCAATAAATCTCTGGACATGGTAGTTCCCGGAAGATCCATCAAGGCATCTGTACAAAGCTTGCCCATTTGAGAAAAGAAAGCAATTTTATTTGCATACATCTTACAATTTGATATTAATCATGTTTTACAGAAAAATTAATGTACTCTTCAAAATTCTCATATTCTTTAAGTGTGTGAATGAGTTATAAAGATTGCATTGGTCTGTTTAGTTAGCTAACATTGAGGGCCTAGTTTTCCCAATAATGGCATTTGCCTATTATTGCTTACATTTGTTAAATGAGTATGTTTGCTTATTACCAATATGTTAATTATAGTCCTGATACACCCAAGTGGTTGGCTGAAGCGTAAAGATTCTGATGAAATAGTAATGTAATCAGAATAATATAATCTGATAATAAAATAATAATATAATCAGAATAACATCAAAAATGAAAATTGTGCACTGGATCCCGGTTGATATGAATGTCCACAGAGTGGAATTGGTAATTCTCAAAGTTTCAGAACACAAATCTAAAAAGGAAAAATATGAATGAGAATGGCAATGAATATTGTAAAACAGGATCTCATTAGGCCCTTCATGCCTAGTTCCCTAAACACTGTTATAAAACATCAATCTTGGTCAAATCAACACATGAATTTTTTTTTCATAAGTTCAATTTCTTATATAAAATAATCAGTATGCTGATGACCAATCAGTTTAATTTAAATATGATTGGCTACCAAATATATTTTGATATCTAAGAACAAACTCCTCCTATATTTTACTCAAGACTGATGTGTTTTAACAGGTTTTTCAACCTCATATTCACCCTTTTCCCTCTGTTTAAGCAGTACTGATTTTATTTTTTAAAAACAAAAACAGAAAAAAAAAACCACTGTCTGTTGTCTAGGTATTCTACAGAATCCAAAAGTTGTCCAAGTGTGATAGGAATGCTCAATTGAAACCAATGAAGGATTTCTATCTGCCCTAGGATATAATGGAAAGTTCTATTAAAATTAGTAGACCATTTCAAAACACCTGATAACTCTGTATTTGACAAAAAGCCCCCACTGCAAGTACTGACACATTCCTATCAAATAGTTAGGATTTACTAATTTATGAGGCAGCCCTATTCATACTAGTCACTACAAATAAGGATAAGAACAAGGATTGTGGTTTTCTTGGCAAGTTATTTTTGACAAATTCTGGTACCAATAGCATATACTACTTGTTCCAACTTCAGTTTTTTCTAAGTAATAAAGAATTAATATATCTATTTTACTAATTACTTAGGGCAGAGATTGGCTAACTTTTCCTGTAAAGAACCAGATAGTAAATATTGCAGGCTTTCCTACAATATTTGATTTCTGTCACAACTACTCTTTGCTCCTGTAGCACAAAAGCAGCTACAGACAGTAGGTGTATGAGTGGTTCTGGCTGTGTTCTACTAAAATGTTATTTACAAAAACTGGTAGCAGGCCAGATTTGGCCCACTGGTCATAGTCTGCCAACTCCTTAGGATAAAGCTATATAATCTTTCTTTCTTCAAAAACTAGATGTAATAGACATGTCCTTCTCTCAAAAAAAATGTATCTGGACTTAAAAAAAAACGTACATTGTCTCACAAATTTACATATTGCACAACTGGTTCCACACATTTAATTTTTGAGGAGGGCAACACATTATTCTTTAAGTGAAATCCTTATTTATAAAAATATAAGGCAAATACTTAATAACAATGCAACATTTCAACAAGAATATGAAAATACCTCCCTTCAGCTGAGACTTAAGTTCATGTCCATATTAAGAGACTGAATATTGACAGTTTCCTCTCTCAAATTTCTATTCTTCCTGTACAAGTGAAATAATGTAATATTATGTGAAATATTCTACCTGTACCTTTTATCTTTAATTTGAGACACTAATATTTATAAGATTATAAAATGCTAATGGTATGATATATATATTTGAGATTAAAAATCCATAAGATATAAAGATTTTATCTTTATTGAAGTAACACTCTCACAGGCTATATAAGGTAATCTAAAATAGAGTAAAGGGCATCAACTTTTTCCAAAGGTGACACAAGATCAGAAATTCATGTGTGCAAGTAACATGAATGTATTTAACTGACAACACTAATTTAAGTGAGTCCAGTCTTGACATACAACAGCAAGAACATTAAGTATTTACTGGGCATTCAGCATATGCCAAGCAGTATTCTAAGCACTTTGTGTGTATTAACTTATTAATCCTCCTAACAATACTATGAAGTAGGTATAATATTGACACCATTTTATAGATAAGCAAACTGAGACATGAGCAGTTAAGAAATGTGCCCAAGGTTATAGCTAATCTGTGGCAGAACCAGGACTGATCTCAGCTCAGGAGAATTGGTCTTCAAGAGCCCATGCTCGTAAACACCAGCCATACAGCTTCTCAAGCAGATATATATCTAACTGAATATAAAAGGTACATGGCAGTGTTTTTGTAACTATTTTTTTCCTCAGTAATCTCTCACAATAATTCAGTTTTGTGATGAAATTCTAATTAATTATAATTAACTAATTCTAATATAAATGTTTATTCAAAATCATTTAATTTACACATCTCAGTTTCAAACACAAAGTGATTCAAGCTTTTGGGCCCATTCCTTGGCAGCATTTTCACATGCTAACTTCCTGTTGACCTATTAGTTCATATATATTGGGTACTTAGGCAAAAAAAAAAAAAATTGGGAGTACAGGGATACTGCAGGGAATACCAGGCAGGCCGTAACAGCAAAAAGCAAGTTGAAAATAACAAAAACATTCAGTCAAACATGAGCCTGTATTTCAACTTTTAAAGTACGCATCTTAGATATGTAGAGATCTATAATCATATTTTACATATACTTTTGCTTAAAGCATTACTTTAAGCAAATGTTTAAGAATAATGATAAGCAATTTAATTTACACATGAAATGAAAGCTACTGCGATAAGGTAAACCATTTTAAAAGACCACTAACAGTCCAATTCAATTTTATTTTCCATGAAAACATGTCAAGGCAAGAATAATAACAAAAAAAATCAAGCAGTTGGCCAATATAATGGCCCAGATAAGTTTCATAACACCAATTCAAAACAAATACTAATTAATAACTAAAAGTATAAGAAAGTTACAAAATACATAAAAAGAAGGCATCATTTCATTAAAAAAGCATCCATTTCTTGATGTGTCATACTAGTTATCAGCATGATTAAACCAACAAGGCTTGTAATCCCTTTTTATAAGCAAATACAGTCCATACTACCTACTATTATAGAATGCCATATAATGTAGGGAAAAGGGCTTTTCAAGCTGAAAAGTCCTTACAAACGTAAGATTATCACTAAAAATAAGTGATATCACTATTTTTTAAAAAGTAGAAGAATATTAAGTAAACTAAATCAAAAAGTATCAAAGGCCAAAAAAATAGAGCCTCATTTACTCACACCAATTCACTCAAATTTACCGTAAGCTGAACAATATCACTGAATGAAAAATTCAAATATGTCAAATATGACCTACTTCAAGTGTGGTTCATGGATTAATGCCAATCCACAAACTCTGTTACTGTCACATGATTGGATATGTACAGAAACTTTTGGAGCAATCTCACACTACCACAAGGTTTTACAGTTTATAAGATTTAACTAGTTGTTTGTTTGAGAGTCACTGAGCTAGGCCACAGTTCTCAGAATCCCTTTCAGGTAGATGTCAGATTAAAGTTCTTAGAAACCAAGGATACGATGTCTCTCTTCCTCAGGGAACTGACTCTATGGCTCTCTGCTGTTCTTCCCATTCCAGCTAGGGAAACCCAAATTTGTCAGCTACTCTGCTATGACCATGAAGACAATGACAATACCCTAAAGTGCTGCTCCTCAAACCTTAATGTGCAAAAGAATCACTTTAATGTGCAATAAGATTCTTTAATAAGAATCTTACTAAAATTAAGATGCTGGTGAGGTTTGAGATTCTACACTTCTAACAAGCTACCAGGTGATATCAATGCTGCTGGCCTGTGGACCACACTTGGAGTAGCAAGGGGTGAGGGGACATCAAAGCAATAAGATGAAAGGAACCTGGGTCCTTAAATGACAGCACAAAGCAGAACTGTCTAACTATTTTGGGTTGTTTTGTGACCAAAAAAAAAGAAAAACCAAAAAAAACCTATGTTCTCCAGGCTTCTCTTACATCAGCCTAGCCTTCAACCTAATTAAGGCAGGGCATTTTTTTTAAGCATTGGAAAAATGTAGCTCAGGCCAGTTTCGTATTTAATCTGCTTTTGCATTTTGCTTAAAATAATATCAAAATAAATGCTTATTCACATAAGTAGAAACTAGTAAAAATGTCAAGGCTCTGTTGAACTTTCAAGATAATCAAACTTCAGTAGGCACACCATAATTTCTGTCATGTATTATTTAAGTATTAAGTCCATTCTCATTACCCTGTAACTGTAAAAGTATATACCACTACACTGCACTCTTTTCTTCATGAATTTTTAATTCAACTTGTTAAACTCTCAATTTGTTAAGAAACTACATCTAATTATATGAGAGTGTCTTTTAATTGTGAACTATCATAGCTAACTAAGTCTTTATAACTAGTAGAAAATTTAATGAGTACTATGGCAGGTGTCTGTGTTGCAAAGAGCAGCTAGATATGTTTATTAACAAAGTTAAATATTTTGGGTGGCCACTTTGCACTAACAACAATGTAAACACAGGCACAAAAATGGTCACTGAAATTTCATGGTACTGTACAGCCATTATGTTTTTAATATACGCATATACAAACTTTCATTATGTATCAACTTTACTAGGGAAACATCTAATTAATATGTTTATAAAGACTTTTGATGAATGAGTAATTAAACAGGGAAAAAACATAAAACCAAAGCAAAAAATCCACAACCAGAAAAGGCAGTCAAAAAATTTATCAGCAACAACCAAAATAAGGGAAAACGTACATCCAGCTCTTGCACAACTTCAAAATGTAGCAACCAAAGAAGATTCTCATGTAGCCTGAGAACTAACCCTACCCTATCCATCCCCAAGAAGCAAAACTGAGGAAAGAAGTCAAATCAAAACGATCCTGAGAAATCTCATTATTACTCAAATTAGAACATACTAAGGGAATCAGCAGGCAGCCTAGAGAAAAGATCGTGGCCAATTCCTAGGAGTAGAGGCCCCTGAATATCAACTTGCACTCTCAGCACAGACACAAAGGGTTGCCAGTACTTGCCATTCTGAGTACAGTGAACTGAGCAAGGATACTGAGGAGCCCATTTTACATGCTTTATGTCCTAACAGTAACACATACACGTCCTTTTTGGTGCTCATAATTGCAAGATAACAAGAGTAAACTCTGTTTAGCAGAGTCCTCAGGTAAAACCCCAGTGGACTTGAACTCTATGACAACTTAGACTGCAAGATACCTAGATTCCTACTTCTTTGCCTCATTAAAGGCCCTAGCATGAAATATAATTTCATCATCTTAACTCCTTTCTAACTGAATATACTAGACCATTTTCATGCTACTGATAAAGGCATACCCAAGACTAGGAAGAAAAAGAGGTTTAACAGGACTTACAGTTCCACATGGCTGGGGAGGCCTCAGAATCATGGTGGGAGGTGAAAGGCACTTCTTTCATGGCGATGGCAAGAGAAAAATGAGGACGAAGCAAAAGCAGAAACCCTTGATAAACCCATCAGATCTTGTGAGACTTATTCACTATCATGAGACTAGCACAGGAAAGACTGGCCCCCATGATTCAATTACCTCCCCCTGGGTCCCTCCCACAACACGTGGGAATTCTGGGAGATACAATTCAAGTAGAGGTTTTGGTGGAGACACAGCCAAACCACATCATTCCAACCCTGGCCCCTCCAAATCTCATGCCCTCACATTTCAAAACCAATCATGCCTTCCGAACAGTCCACCAAAGTCTTAACTCATTTCAGTATTAACCCAAAGTCCACAGTCCAAAGTCTCATCTGAGACAAGGCAAGTCCCTTCCACCTATGAGCCTGTACAATCAAAAGCAAGCTAGTTACTTCCTAGAGACAATGAGGGTACAGGTATTGGGTAAATACAGCTGTTCCAAATGGGTGAGGTTGGCCAAAACAAAGGGGTTACAGGGCCCAGGCAAGTCTGAAATCTAGTGGGACAGTCAAATTTTAAAGCTCCAAAATCATCTCTTTTGACTCCAGGTCTCACATCCAGGTCACACTGATGCAAGAGGTGGGTTTCCATGGTCTTGGACAGCTCTGCCCTTGTGGCTTTACAGGATACAGCCTTCCTCCCAGCTGCTTTCACAGGCTGGTGTTGAATGTCTGCAGCTTTTCCAGGTGCACAGTGCAAGCTGTCAGTGGCTCTACCATTCTGAAGTCTGGAGGACAGTGGCCTTCTTCTCACAGCTCTACTAGGCAGTGCCCCAGTAGGGACTCTGTGTGGGGGCTCCAACCCCACATTTCCCTTCTGCACTACACTAACAGAGGTTCTCCATGAGGGCTCTATCCCAGCAGCAAACTTTTGCCTGGGCATCCAGGCATTTCCATACATCCTCTGAAATCTAGGTAGAGATTCTCAAACCTGAATTCTTGACTTTGTGCCCCCACAGGCTCAACACCACATGGAAGCTGCCAAGGCTTGTGGCTTCCACCCTCTGAAGCCACAGCCCAAGCTATATGTTGGCCCCTTTCAGCCAAGGCTGGAGTGGCTGGGACACAGGGCACCAAGTCCCTAGGCTGCACACAGCACAGGGACCCTGGGCCCAGCCCACGAAGCCACTTTTTCCTCCTGGACCTCCAGGCCTGTGATGAGAGGGGCTACTGTGAAGATCTCTGACATGGCCTGGAGAGACATTTTCTCCATGGTCTTGGGGTTTAACATTAGGATCCTTGCTACTTACACAAATTTCTGGAGCTGGCTTGAATTTCTCCCTAGAAAATGGGTTTTTCTTTTCTATCACTTAGTCATGCTGCAAATTTTCCAAACTTTTGTGCTCTGTTTCCCTTTTAAAACAGAATGCTTTTAACAGCACCCAAGTCACCTTTTGAATGCTATGCTGCTTAGAAATTTCTTCTGCTAGATACCTTAAATCATCTCTCTCAAGTGCAAAGTTCCACAAATCTCTAGGGCAGGGGCAAAATGTTGCCAGTCTCCTTGCTAAAACATAACAAGAGTCACCCAGTTCCCAACAAGTTCCTCATCTCCACCTGAGACCACCTCAGCCTGGATCTTATTGTCCATATCACTATCAGCATTTTGGGCAAAGCTATTCAACAAGTCTCTAGGAAGTTCCAAACTTTCCCACATTTTCCTGTCTTCTTCTAAGCCCTCCAAACTGTTCCAACCTCTGCCTGTTACCCAGTTCTAAAGCTGCTTCCACATTTTTGGGTATCTTTTCAGCAATGCCCCACTCTACTGGTACTAATTTACTATATTAGTTCTTTTTCATGCTGCTGATAAAGACATACCTGGGACTGGGAAGAAAAAGAGGTTTAATTGGACTTACAGTTCCACATGGCTGGGGAGGCCTCAGAATCATGGCGGGAGGTGAAAGGCACTTTTTACATGGCATTGGCAAGAGAAAATGAGGAAGAAACAAAAGTGGAAACCCCTGATAAACCCATCAGACCTCCTGAGACTTATTTGGGCTTACAGTTCCACACGGGTGGGGAGGCCTCAGAATCATGGCGGGACGTGAAAGGCACTTCTTACATGGCGGCGGCAAGAGAAAATGAGGAAGAAACAAAAGCGGAAACCCCTGAAAAACCCATCAGATCTCACGAGACGTATTCACTATCACAAGAATAGCATGGGAAAGACCGACCCCCATGATTCAATTACCTCCCGCTGGGTCCCTCCCACAACACATGGGAATTCTGGGAGAAACAATTCAAGTTGAGATTTGGGTCGGAACACAGCCACACCATATCACTGAAGTGCTAAGCTGTAAGCAATTCTGAAATATCAAAAAGAAAAGAATTTGTTGCTATCTCATAAAACATCAAATGTGAAAGAAATAGTTCTGAAAACAGTTTCTACTAATATTACCTTGAAACAGAACATTTCAAAGACCCTAAAGAGACAGCTGGTTGTCTCGGGCAAAGAAATGTTATCAACATATTTCAAACTTTTCTTCTAACTAAATACAAACATATACCTTTAAGTGTATTATCTTCATTATCACTAGTTATATCTCTTAACAGTTGAATTCTATAAACAAGGTAGAAAATATCAACAAATAGAGAAAGCTTTCTATAACAGGCTATTTCCTGCATTTCTGAGGAGATCACATTTTTCATAACATTTTGTTTAAATTTCACAACATTCATTTCAGAAATAACAATTTTCTACTCTACAAAAAGCTTGAAGAAGTTTCATGTCCCTTGAGGACACAAAAGCAAAATGATGAATGATACCAAGACCAACTAAGATGAGAGTAACATTCATTCCACAAGTATTTAAGTGTCTACTGTGCACCTTACATCGTGCTAAATGCTTGGAATACTACAAAAATATGAAGACTTGATCTTTCCCTTACAGAAGCTTACAAAGTCATAAGGCATCAATCAAACTATCAATGTTATGGACACCTAAACTTAACATATGTCCCTATTTCTCTCTCAAAACAAAGCTTGAACTGAGTCAATTCCAAATTCATTATAAAATACTGGCTTAATTTATTTAGCAAGTTTTTCCATCAATACTTACATTTATTATTTCACATTAGGTATTTTACAAAATCCACCTTTATTAATTTTTAAACTCTTCATGGTCCCACTTAGAAATTTAATAAAATAAAATTTTGTTTTCTTAACATCTTCATGTAATATCCATGACAGACTGCCTTCTGAAAAGCTGCAGCTAAATTTTATTTGTATTTTATATATTTAGAGGAATTTGGGGAAAGATTGTGGGGAATTTTTTAAAAGACTTTCAGATATCTAAATTTATAAAGAGTGTTTTAAAAGGTGCTCTGAGTCTCCAATATCAGCAAGTCAATAAACTAACAGTGACCATATCAAATAGTCTTATCAAAGAACTCCAAAAGATATGTCCATTTTCTGTTCTTAGAAAACTCAATGACTTTATAATGCATTCTAAAGCTTTTTCCCCTAACTAGCAGGTCCTTAAAGGCTAATTCTCCTCTAAAAATGCTAAAATTTCTCAGTACTTGAACCTAGCCTCTTACTCAAAGCTTGGTTCTTACATCAGTACTGTCCAACAAATATAATGTCCACATATGTAATTTTAAATTGTCTTGTAGCCATATTTTAAAAAGTAAAAACAGGTGAAATTAATTTAATAATTATTTTAACAAAATATATTTTAAAGTATGATCAATATAAAAATTACTGAGATCCTTACACTCATTTTTAGTACTGTCTTCCAAATTCAGTGCGTATTTTACATTTATAGCACATCTGAATTTAGACTAGACATATTTCAAGTGATCAGTAGCCATATTTGTCTAATGTCCACCATACCGGACAGCTGCAGCCTTAGATGATCTTATCCATGCACCATTTCAATCACCACCTATACTGGAATGACTCCAAATTTATCTCTAGCCCAGTCTTCTCTTCTGAGTGCAAGATTGGTATTTCCTAATGCCTAACATCTTATTTTAGATGACTTAAAGGGACCTCACACTCAAGTAATGACCAACTTAACTCATGACCCAACCCCCAAAAATGCGACCGTCTTCTAACAGTCCCTAACTGAATTGTAATTGATTTGAGGATACAAGTCCAAAACCTAGAAATCAAGCCTTTAACAACTCCTGTGTCACATTCATGTCCAATCTGTCAAAAAGTCCTGTCCATTTACCTTCCAAATATCTGTCAAGTCGATCTGCTGCTCTCTATCTCAACCATCACCATCTATTTCATAGTCCTGCCCAGCTCCATTTTCTTCAGTCCAAGGATACTTCAAAACCATGATGTTATTCCCACCATAACCCTCACATCATGATTAAAACTATTCAACTGATTCCTATTGCCTTCAAAATAAAAATAAATCCTAACATGGCCAACAAGGTCCAAGCTATGTGACCTGTCCCTAGGTAGCTCCTAATTCCATCTCACTACACTGTCCCTCTGTCTTGCCCTCTAGCCACCCAGGTCCTTCAGATGTTTGTATTCACCATGCTCCCTAGTGCCCTATGACTTTTGCAGATGCTGTGCTCCCCTCACTTAGTCAGTTACCACTCATTCTCCAGATCTCAGGATAGCATTCTCTGACCACCATGAAAACACGAACTCCCCTTTAGTAATTCTGCTATTCTCTGACCACCATGAAAAGGCTAATTCCCCCTTAGTACATGCATTTGGAATGATGTCTCTTCTCCTCTCTAGTATTCTTTATAGATGCAGTATGTTTGAATATGTAATTAATGGGTTTTTTTTCTATAAGACTATATCTGACTATACTAAGAAAGTGCCTGCCACAATATGCTGTTTAAGAATTATTTGTTGAGGCTGGACACTGTGGCTCACATCTGTAATCCCAGGACTCTGGGAGGCCGGGACAGGTAGATCACTTGAGGTCAGGAGTTCAAGACCAGCCTGGCCAACATGGTGAAACCCTGTCTCTAATAGTCCTTTTTCATGCTGCTGATAAAGACATACCTGAGACCGGGCAATTTACAAAAGAAAGACATTTATTGGACTTAACAGTTCCACATGGCTGGGGAGGCCTCACAATCATGGCAGATGGCAAAGAGGGACAAGCCACATCTTATGTGAATGGCAGCAGGCAAAAAGAGAGCTTGTGCAGGGCACCTCCCATTTTTAAAACCATCAGATCTTGTGAGACCCATTCACTATCACGAGAACAGCATGGGAAAGACCCATCCCCATAATTCAATCATCTCCCACCAGGTCCTTCCCACAACATGTGGGGATTATGGGAGCTACAAGATGAGATCTGGGTGAGGACGCAGAACCAAACCATATCAACTAAGAATACAAAAATTAGCTGGGTGTGGTGGTGGGCACCTGTAATCCCAGCTACTCAGGAGGCTGAGGCAGAAGAATCTCTTGAACCTGGGAGGTGGAGGTTACAGTGAGCCAAGATCATGCCACTGCACTCCAGCCTGGGCAACAGAGTGAGACTCTGTCTCAAAAAGCAAACAGGGCCGGGCGCGGTGGCTCACGCCTGTAATCCCAGCACTTTGGGAGGCCGAGGCGGGCGGATCACGAGGTCAGGAGATCGAGACCATCCCGGCTAAAACGGTGAAACCCCGTCTCTACTAAAAATACAAAAAATTAGCCGGGCGTAGTGGCGGGCGCCTGTAGTCCCAGCTACTTGGGAGGCTGAGGCAGGAGAATGGCGTGAACCCGGGAGGCGGAGCTTGCAGTGAGCCGAGATCCCGCCACTGCACTCCAGCCTGGGTGACAGAGCGAGACTCCGTCTCAAAAAAAAAAAAAAAAAGCAAACAAACCAACAACAACAACAAAAACGAATTATTTGTTGAATGAGTGCATTGATGAATGTGCCTTGTTTTTTCCTTAGCCAAATATCAGAAGACACAATATTTAAAGAAAACATATACAGTGCCTTGTTTTTTCCTTAGCCAAAGAGCACAAGACATGATATTTAAAGAAGACATATACAAAAACCTTGCTTATACATCATCAGTACTGGAAAGGCTTCCAACCTTCCCAAGTCTGGGTTAACTGCTCTCAGATGTGTTTCAACAAAATCTTGCAAGTAAAATAACAGTGTATATCATGTTTAAATTCTGCCTGTCTTGTACATCATAGCTCAGCAACACAGTGCTTTGTGTACAGGAGGTATAAATATTTACTAAATGTATTTCAGTGCACATATTATTGTATAGAGTTACATATTTCTCTGTATATGCCTTACTTATTATTGTAAAGATATTATAATTCAAGAGCACTATACTGCTATTTGTCTCTACTTTTAAGGCCATAAAATTGTACTACATGTGAAAAGTACATACACACACTCACATCCATCCAATAGAGATGTGAATCCTATTGGAGTTCCAGTGCTATGGTACATATAGGCTCTCTGTCTATGCAGTTCTTTCCTCCTTTTGTCCATCACCAACCTGTTTCTTTTCTGCTATCAGTGTCTTTGATTTCACACCCTTCTTAATACTTTACATTATTACCATACATTTTTGCCCCATCTTGTTTGCTTTTCTTTGCTGTGCTATGACTTCACAAGTGTTTCTCAAATTTTTACATGAAAATTTCTGGGCATTCAGTATTCTTCTTCCAAAATTTATCTGGCAATACTGTTCTTCGGCTACTTCTATATCCTAGACCTTTCAGAAAGAATGAATTTCTAGACTGATGGCACTTAACTGAAACATGATAAGTCAAAATGCCAATATTCTTTTGTCAAAAGGAGAAAACATAAGCCAAAAAAGTTGATATAGTCATATTTTTATGGTTCTTAAAATGTTACTATGCAATTTTAGTTGATTTAGCAAATGCTGCTGTATGAAAGGAGAAAATTATTTTCAACCTGCTGAGGTAGCAAGTTTCTTTTTATACCCCCTTTATGCTTAAGGCAGTCAAGTCTACAGGCAGTTGAAACTAGATTTATAGGTTAGTCACCAGAAAAAAAAAAAAAATCACTGCAAACAGCACCTTGAAACCTGAACACTTGCACAGTTTAACAAAACATCCAGTCATTTTTCGCAGTTTACAGTATCAGCAGAAGCTGTAAAGCAATATGTAACATATTTTGAGACAGAAAGTCGGCAAGGCTTATTACCTTTGAACATTTTCATTTCACAAACAATATAAGCCAAAGAGATAGTTACAAATGTTCATTAAAGAAATAGAAAATATTTCAAAATAGAAGGATGTCTCCAATAAGCTCCACTAAAATCTGATTAAAAAGCAATTGGCTAGCCAGGCGTGGTGGCGCATGCCTGTAATCCTACCTACTTGGGAGGCTGAGGCAGGAGAACCTGGGAGGTGGAGGTTGCGACGAACCAAGATCGCGCCATTGCACTCTAGCCTGGGCAACAAGAGTGAAACTCCGTCTCAAAAAAAAAAAAAAAAAAAAAAAGCAATTGGTTTCCTCTAATGTTCTTCAGCATCTAAAAAAGTGTTTTAATGATTCGAATCCTTTCCAAAAGAGTATACCAAGCTATTTATATCTGCCTGTCTTGTACATGTGACTTACTTTAAAGGCCATGAAGCATGGTAATTAAAGGTATATCATAATTCTAGATTTTAAAAACCCTGCACTTAATATTAAACCTTATAAAGAACTACCAATATTCTCTACAAATATTTACCTATTTCTAAGAGATGTACTGGAATGGTGAGGGAGCAAAACTTCTAATACCCTCTTATTATATGCATAAACTCATATTTTATGTCTATTACCACTAGTATAAGAAGGTATAATTACATTACTGCTACTGCAGAGGTTGTACTGATGCTGCTACACAATGTTTCTCATCTGAAGAGTGAGATCATTCACCAGCAATCTCCTGGAAAAAAGGTGTGTCTCTAAGAAAACTAGAACCAAACAAACAAAGGCACAGCAGTGGCTGCAGGCTGGGTATCTGAATTTCTTAGTCATGATCATTAATGTGTTTGAGAAGAAGCCTCTATGTAATGGAATGTGAAAAGAAGCCCTTCATCTGTGGACAGGTCAAAAACTAGGAATTAGAAATTCCAGCAAAATATCCTGAAGTTGTTCCACATCTTTGTAGTAGCTATCTTCAAAGTAATGTGGAATAGAGTGGGCCCTTGAATACAAGAGTGCAATAATCACTTTATAACCTATACTGTCATTATGCTTCTTATTTTTTTCTATTTATCCCATGGTTGTTTTCCAGTTCTACATTTTGACAAAGACCTTAATAAGCTGTAGGCTTTCTTAGTTGTTCAAAGGTGAAATGAAGGGAAAGGAGTTATGTATGCACTTGGGCCAGAGGATGTTAGCATGGTGATAGCACCAATAATCAAATGGAGATAACCCCAAAGGGGAAAGTGAAATTCAAGAGGTAAGAAGGAGACCTTTGTTTATCCTCTCCATCCCATCTCTGCCCTCAAAACAAACAAACAAAACAAAACCTGGAGTACTCCATGGCTAACACCTGGGTGTTAGAAAACTGGGCTTCCTAAGACTACATGTTCTTTCAGAACAAAATGGAAATGCTATTTCATATGCTACCTTAAAGGGTCTTCAACTCAAACTACTGGGTAAAAGAAGCAAAGACACACAATACAGTGTCCCACTTTTTCAGATACAGTCATCCCTCAGTATCCATAAGGGATTGGTCCCAGGGCCCCTACAGATAACAAAGTCTACTGATGCTCAAGTCCCTGACACAAAATAGTGTAGTGTAGTATTTGCATATAACCTACACACATCCTCCTGCATACCTGAAATCATCTCTAGACTACTTAAAATACCTAATACAGTGTAAATGCTATGTAAAATTATATTTTATTTTTTATTCATATTATTTTTGTTGTTGTATTGTTATTTTTATTTTTTTTTATTTTTCCAAATATTTTAGATCTGTGACTGGTTGAATCCAAGGGTGCAGAACCCACAGATATGGAGGGCCAACTGTATTCTTAAACCTTAAAAAATACAGAATTTACCAGATTTTCAGATAAGCCTAGTACACAATTAGTTGATTCACTGCAAGGCAAAGATTTATTTGATTCTAATAGGATCACCCCTCAGAATAAGCCCTTTATCTTTCCTGGACTAGGAAAGTAAATTTACACACCACAAAATGCTTCAACCCAATTTTCAATTTTTAAATGTGTCACTTTTGATCAATAATTTAAATTAGATGCGGTCACTTCTGTTAATTTTTGGTGGAAATGAGTACTGAATCTTTATTCTAGACATCTGGGCTCTATTCTTGGTTCTGCCATTTATAACTCTGAGCAAATTATTGAAACTCTCTGTGCTTCAGTTTCTTCATATGCACAGAGAGAGAGTTAAGCTATGCAACATTAATTCCATGGAAGACACTTTTTTTTTTTTTTTTGAGACACAGTCTCGCTCTGTCGCCCAGGATGGAGTGCAATGGTGCAATCTCGACTCACTGCAACCTCCGCCTCCTGGGTTCAAGCGATTCTCCTGCCTCAGCCTCACCAGGTAGCTGGGATTACAGGGGCCTGCCACCACGCCTGGCTAATTTTTTTGTATTTTTAGTAGAGACGGGGTTTCACCATTTTTGCCAGGCTGGTCTCCAACTCCTGACCACCCGCCTTAGCCTCCCAAAGTGCTGGGATTACAGGCATGAGCCACCACTGCGCCCAGCCAGAAGATACATTTTCAAAAACAAAAACACAACTGATTAGGTACCCCGTGACAGGTTTCTGTTAAAAACAAACAAACAAAGGAGGAGATGGAAGAGAAAAATTCAAAATGTCCAGAGATCAACATTTTGAATCTTTCTCCTGTGAGTAGAATTTTATATTTCCACTCACAGTGATCAGGGATATCATCCTAAAGGAGAATGAACCTCTGAAGAGAGAAAACAAAAATGCAGAGTGAGTAAAATTGTTATCTAGATAAATTCAGAGTCAAATTTCTTCTCCCCGTGAAGTTATTCCATGCATATAATTAAGCTTTACAAGGTACCATTTAGTGCATTATTTAAACATTATCACTACTCTGTAGAAAGCCCTGGAACATTCAAGTTCAAATCAGCAAAATCTAATAGTTTGTGTGCTACTGGCCATTGAAGAACAAAAATTATTTTAAGTCCGCCAGGTAGCTACTTTTGAAGTTATATTTTAAAATACTGATTTTTATAGGGGTTCTAATGAAGATTAAAACCTTAAGAAGGAAAAAAACTGCGCTTAAAAATAATGTAAACTTGAACAGATTGGTCTACATAGATCTTCTGTACCCCCCTGAAGATCACATTTTCAGAATTGTAAACTTTTCAGCACTAAATATTTCCCTAATCTGCTATTTTAGGTGAAGCCTATAGAACAGATTTAACAATAGTGTGTCCATGTTTTAGCATCTACTTCTTTTTAGCTTCTACAAGTAACTAAGTACATAGATTTGAATACTAAGAAAAATGGTTTGTCAGTGACAGTTAACAGAGAACCCCAAGTGTAAGAGCAAACTCAGGATATAAGAACTAAAATGAGTTGGTGAAAGCCCTTCAGTCAGAAATTTTCCCTCCAGTGCTCTTTTCTGCCTTTAAACCTTTGTGATTCTAAATTTTAACATAGTAAGTCCCCAATTAAAGACCTAGTAGAAGCCACCTGAAAGCCTAGGAGATCCTCATGCCTAGTCTGTTCGAGACCTAGCAGGAATTACATGAAACTCACAATTCCTAGAAAGATAGTGTTTTTAGCCCCGCAGATTACTACTGCCTTTATGAGTCACTGCCATACAGAAGCAGCACAGACAGGTGGGAGAAACATAAACAGTTAAGTTGCAATATAAAGTAGCAAATGCTACAATATAACATTGCTGAAGATTTATAACAATATAACGAAGCAGGGTGGGACTCTACCTAAGCTTCTGCAGAGGCCCTGCCCAGAGAATTCTGACTGGCAGGGGCATTCCAAGGTCAACTGTATTAGACTTTACAGAGAACCTACAATCTGGTGCATTTCTTGACAATCCAGATAAGGAGAAAAATAAGACTCACTTCCCTGCCCTGGAAAAGCATAAGAGGCCAGAGAAAACAAAGTCAACACGTGTTCGGGACCTAAAAAATGAGACTAATCTTTCCAAAGGAGGGGGGGTCATGTTGGAAAGCAGTAAAATACTGAGTTTGTAAATGAAAATATTACTAGTGTGAAGGATCAACGCTCAACCTAATGAGAAATGGGGAGAAAGGCAAATGAAAGAGGGATCCAAGATTATTCAGGACACCCTTGTGGGTAAAAAAACTGAAAGAAGAGATTCCTATTGAACAGAAACAAAACTGAAGACAGTGTTTTTAACTCTACAATCTTTTACGCCCATGCTGTTCTGCGAAAAAACTGTAACAACAATAACGCATAAGCGTTAAAGGAACCAGGCCCAGAGCCAGGCCCTCTGTGCTCAACATTCAACTCCACCACTTTCTAGCTATGTCATTTTGGGAAAGTTACTTAACAGCTCTTTGCCTCAGTCTCCTCACCTGTAAAATGGGGTGTATAATAACACAAGTGCCTTTAAAATCAGGAGGGGCTTCTTCAAAGCACAGTTGTGATTATATCCCTCTACTGATCAAAAACTTTATTCACAAAATCAAATCCACATCTTTCACGAACCATATAGATCTTGTGTAGGTTCTGCAAAACAATAAGCGCTTCCCTGTGTCATCTCCAGCAGCTCTGTGCTAGAAAGCCTTTTCCTTACCATCTTTCCAAGTCCACTTTAGGAAAGTAACTCTCCCTCCCATTCCACAGTGCACTCATCTGTTCCTCTGTACGTACGGTTTATCACTATTCCCCCTGGTTTTGTTTGGTCTTTTAATGCCTCACTCTTTCTCCTAAAGCAGTAATTGCAGAGAGCCGTTGCAAATCTTTTTCATCCCCGTTCCTACCCTTCATCCCAGAATGTGCCTGTGCAAGCCTGGGAAAAGCGTTACTGAATTAAACGGGATGATTACAACCGTAATGGCCGCAATTCCAGAAACTGCCTAATTTCGCATAATTTTGTATTGTTTTCAAATCCTGAAAATCTTGACACGAAAGGCCTCTTAAAATCAGAACACCATCCTTTCAAGAAAAGTTCTACCGAGCACCCCCACGAGTTGACATTGCGGTCATTCTTAGCTCCAGAAGTTGTGTGTGTGCCGCGGAAGGCAGATTCACACTGGTCCACACTGTACTTTGAAATAAGGGGTAAGAAGAGGCGGCTCCGGCCGCAGCGCGGGCTGTGCTCTGCTCTGCCCTCAACTTCCTATGGGCCCGCGGGCTCCGGCCGCGTTCGTCCCTCTCCGCCGCACTTCGTTCCCAGCCCTCGCCTCCCGATCCCGCTGCAGAAACACCCCCTCCCCGGAGAAGCCGCGCGGACGGCGCTGCAGGTCCTCCCCGGCGCTCCGGTCGGCCGGGGTCTGGGCCGCCACCCGCCCGGCTCGCGGCCCCCGGCCTCTCCCCAGGCCCGCCGCCCGCCGCCCGGGGCCCAGGCCCGCCGCCCGGGGCCCAGGCCGCCGCCGCCGCCGCCTCCAGGGGACCTAGGGGAACTCGCAGGGCTCCGCGTGGCGCCGGGGGCGGAGCCGGCCCGAAGGGCCCGGGGAGAGGCCGGGGGCGGACGACAGCCTCCGCCTACCCCGACACGCACCCCGCCGCCCCCAACCCAACCTCCCTGGGGCCCCGGCCCGCACCCGCGGCCCGGCAGCCGGCGGGACTCGCCACTTACCAACCCGCCTGGGACAACGCCGCGCCGGCCACCTGGGCCATGGTAGCTGCTTAGGCCGGGGGTGGTGGGGGGCTGGGGTGGGGGTGATGGGGAGGCCTCCTACTTGAGACCCCCCCCCTTAAAAAAAAAAAAAGAAAAGAAAAGAAAAAACTCCTCTGGTCGGCTCTGCAACTGGGCATGCTCAGTGCGGCCGGCGCTTCCGCGTGCGGGTTCCGCTCGCCGCGTTTTCTGAGCGGCCGTAGGGGCCGGCCTGGTGTGGGGCTCCCAGGCTGCGGAGCTCCGGGACCTGATCCACCAAACACCGGCTGGTGGCTGGAGTCAGGACGGTTCAGGGACTTTGCCTCTTCCCCGAAGGCTTTTACTTGTTTTGGGGGGCGCTTTTCTGAGTTGCACACCTTGGAAAGTCGCGAGGAGGTTCTTCGTAGAGCAAAAGTGTGGCGTTTGCAGCGCCCACAGGCGGCCACCTCAGAGAGGGCAGGATAAGGCCTGAGGAGACTGACGGGTTGGCTGCGAGGGAACGCGTCCAGGACCGCGCTAAAAAGGTCACGTTGCGGGCAGCAAAACTCAGAGGTGTCCCCAGCCCATTCTGCACAAAAGTTTACTTTCTTATAAACACTCGTTCCCTTCACCTCGCCTTTTGGTCCGCCCGGACGCAAAGAAAAAATGCAGCTCAAGCTTTTTTGAGTCCCCGCGGGCAGATCGAGTTGCCCCAGTCGGACACCACAGTGAAAATGCCCTGGTCAGCCCAAGAAAACCTGCTTTTAGGGGACATGGGGAAATGGGGCAGTTGTGTCAGTGCTTGTTTTTCCTGTTGCCCTCCCCCTGGGACCATCCGTGTCCTAGCGCGGCCCTGCCACCTTGGCTCTGTACTGCCAGATCTGGCAACCACAGCCGCTTCCCCGCCGATGCCCTTCGCCCGCGCTGTAGAGGGCTGGGGCGCAGGGTGGGTCCCTGAGTGGGCATGCGCGCCGCCGTCGCCCAGCGGCACGGCGGACGCTACCGCGCGATTGGGCGTCCGTGACTCACGCTGGCCAATCAGAGAGGAACAGGCGGAAGGGTACGCGGGCCCAAGAGGCGCTCCCTAAAAGTTTGCTCCACCTTCTTGGTCTTTCACCTCTGCGGCGTCCCGTATTGCGGGGAAAAAGGCTTCTAAGGGGCAGCGTCCCCATCTGCCAGGTCAGGGGAAGAAGACTGTTAGGAACTTAATCCCTATCTCCGCCGCTTGCCGCTGCCCCTGCTTCTAAGGGCATCATCAAAAACAGACTTGGAGCAGAGACTGCGGAACTGGGCAGAGGCGCTCTTGGGATTGGGGAGGAAATTGGCAGTTACGGAAGGAAGGGGATAATTGCCCTGGGTGGAGCTAAAATTCCTTAATACAGATTTTTCTCATTTCAGCTGGGGTATTCCGTTTGGTCTTCCCAAAAGTCATAGTTATAAAATCGCGATGCTTTCGTTAGATGGAATGCTATTGAGATTTGCTCCCAAGTATATTGTTTAGATAATTTTAGATCACAAGTAGCTCCATCCTGTTCGCTGCAATGTGCAGTAGTATGCAGTGTTTAAGTCATACGTATGCTACAGGTATATTTCAATTTATAGTCATCGGCCATCATATACAGGAGCCAGGAATAGATATGCCATTTTAAAGGTAAATAGATGACTCAAAAATAAATTGCCAATAATTTTTATTGGCGGTTAGAATTTTCTGTTACCAATTATTTACATTTTTCAGTTAGTGTAACCTGTTAACTATGAAAATATGTTGTACCAATCATCAGAATTTCTCACTGGTTATAAAGTCATTTGTTCTCACATGTCGTGTGATTCAGTAAGGATTTACCACTGCATGGTCCTTACAATAATAAAGTACTCCACAAAACACTAAATTCTCTTAAAGAATGGGTTTTTTACTGGAGAAATGTGGGACAACATGAGCATCCAAAAAATGGTGACAATAATTGATGAAACACATTGAATTTCTTCGGAGTGCCACCAAAAATGAAGGAGGACAAAATCTTTTCTTTCAGAGCAATACAAGATAGTAAATGTAGAACAAATGATAGAATTAGAAAAATCACAGTTTTCCAAGTCAACCACAATTGATAGAGGAAAATTTATCAGACGATACTAAAAGCCACAGGGTAAAAGACTAGGAGTACAGGATCTTCACATGGTCTCAAAGTTTCAAGCCATAACTTACTTATTACAGAAGGGAAAATGTAGCTTTACCTTTTAAAAAAAAAAATCACTGCCTTAAGAGATCAAAGCTAGAATCACTAATAATGGGACAATCTAATGTATTCTGCTTACTGATGTAATGCAACTAGACATACACATCACTTAAGAAGTATTCTTGCCAAAATGGTTTAACCTGAGTTTAACCAAGCTTGTGGACAGTGGATCCTAAACCAACCCCCACACCCCCAAATCCATTTAGCAATGTCTAGGTTGTCACAATCTGAGGAGGTAGGAGTGTTGTTATGCATCTCATGGGATGCAGCAGGAATGCTGCTAAATATCCTACAAAGCACAGGACATCGCTGAACTCCAAAGAATGATGTGGCCCAGAATGTCAGTAATGCTAAGGTCTAGATGTAAGAAGAAATGTAAAGGACGTATAGGTGATATTTGAGCAAGTTAAACATGAAGACGCAGGCACATAAATCCACAATGAGGCATATTCTCCTCTGGCCTAGACTGTTAAAATGTAATTTAAGACTTTTTTTTTTTTGAGACGGGAGTCTCGCTCTGCCGCCCAGGCTGGAGTGCAGTGGCACGATCTCGGCTCACTGCAACCTCGGCCTCCCGGTTCAAGCGATTCTCCTGCCTCAGCTTCCCGAGTAGCTGGGACTACAGGAGCCTGCTACCGCGCCTGGCTAATTTTTTGTATTTTTAGTAAAGACCGGGTTTCACCGTGTTTGCCAGGATGGTCTGGATCTTGTGACCTCGTGATCCGCACGCCTCGCCTCCCAAAGTGCTGGGATCACAGGCGTGAGCCACCTCGCCCGGCCAGAAATAATTCTTTAGAAAAAAAAAAAGAAGGCTGGGCGCAGGGGCTCACGCCTGTAATCCCAGCACTTTGGGAGGCCAAGGCGGGCGGATCACGAGATCGGGAGATCGAAACCATCCTGGCTAACACGGTGAAACCCCGACTCCACTAAAAATACCAAAAAAAAAAAAAATTAGCCGGGCGCGGTGGCAGGCTCCTGTAGTCCCAGTTACTCCGGAGGCTGAGGCAGGAGAATGGCGGGAACCCCGGAGGCCGAGCTGGCAGTGAGCCGAGATCGCGCCATTGCACTCCAGCCTAGGCGACAGAGCGAGACTCTGTCTCAAAAAAAAAAAAAATATTATTTCAGATTTAAGAGATGCAAGAGACATGAAAACAAAATTCAATCCTGGATCTAAAAAATAAATGAAAAAAATAATTACTGGTGGCCAATTGCAGAAATTTGAATCTGGACTGGATATTGGATAGTATAATGGAATATGGTTTTCTTAAATGTGATAATGTTATTGTCCTTAAATTGAGAATTTTATGTCAAAACATTTATGGATGAAGAAGAATTGGATCTACAAGTTATTTGCAAATGAGTAAGAGAAATACATTTGTAAAATATATAAAACATATAAACATTGATACATGTATATAGGTAAGAAAGAGAAAGGAGGCTGAGGCAGGAGAGTCGCTTGAACCCAGGCGGCGGAAGTTGCAGTGAGCCCAGATCGCGCCACTGCACTCCAGCCTGGCGACAGAGCGGGCCTCCGTCTCAAAAAAAAAAAGGAAAAAAGAGAAAGGAGGTAAATATGGCAAAATATTAAAAATGGGTGAATCAGTTGGAGGAGGGTCCACATGTTTATTTTTTTTCTCTAGGTTTGAAATTTTCCAAAATAAAAAGAAGCGTGGATTACACTAATTTCACATCAAAATTTTAAATTGGAATTATGTTCTGTATAGATAATTTAGTGCCATGAAAAATGGTAATAGCTAACTAGATAAAATGAATTTCCATTTTTAATTAGATAAATCATTGATTTACAGAAAATAGAAAGTCTACAATGAGCTGAAGTTGGGGGAAACCCTAAGGGTAGAAAAAAAAATTGTTAGGTCCAAGAAAACAAAAACGAGGAATGAAATCTATTTCGAGTCTGTGGTAAATTAACAGAAGAGAGAGACTGAAAATCCATTCTCCTCTGTTTCGCCTCTTATCATTTTAGTAAAGGAAAAGTTTCTCAGACTGAAAAGGGTAAAAGAATATGGGTAAGTAAGAATAGAAGCTACAATAAAAAGTGAGATGATAAGAGTGCCTGGCCCTCTGAGGCAAATTACATCTTGTGACTGTAAGCCATTTGCATCCTACGGAATACTAAAATAACCTATGAATGACAGATGAGCCAGTGCCAGAGGGCCCTATTATATTTGAAATCACCTGAAGAACCTATAATTTAAAAGAATGCTAGTTGCACTCACTTATAAAATGAAACATCACAATTTAATGTATCTTCTGGATACATTTTAGATTCCCATACTCACTTTGATTTCAGTAAAAATCAGTCACTTTCCAACAGTTTTACCATGTGACTTTTCATAAGTATATACAAGAGGAATTGGCCTCTTTTGCTTTCACATCACAAGATACAGCTGTATATATTTTAGTTAATTCATTTCAAGCACTAAACTTTGCCATATTAAAGCCATTAAACTTACCATTTTAGCTATTTAGGACAAAGAAAGACTACATCTATTTTGTGTTTACAGCATGATACAGTGTGCAGGAACGTCTGTTTTTTAAAGAGAAGTGGAAAATGACCCCCCAAAAAACTTTGTAAACTTTTGGTGTAATTTTCACAGTTAATGAAATTTGCAAGATTACGTCCCATATTTTCTCACCTTCCTCATGAGGGAAATAATATATACAGTGGTCCATTTCCAAGACAAAGTGCCTTAAGTCGGCTTAGGCCAACAAACTACAGAAGAAACAGGATGTACTAAGCTCCTGTTTGGATAGCTGATGCCTGCTTGTTGGCCTACCCTCCCCCCTTCCCCGCCCCTACTTAGTTGCCCTCACCTGAATCAAAGAAGTTTAGTCTAAGATGAAAGTTTACTAGCCTGCAAAATAGCTCGTTTTTTCTGTTCTTATCAGCCTACCCAGCTACTTAAGTCTTAAGTCAAATACTTGAAGAGCCTCTGAGCTAACTAGATTGCAATGCATTGTGGGCTGCAATAAAATGCAGCAAGACAACCCTAAAAAAAAAAAAAAAAAAAAAAACACCTAAAGCCCCTACCCAACAATCAATATGCAATGTCCAGGAAAACTGTGACCCCATAGTACTCAGCCAATGAGGAACCGGGGGAAGGACCTGTGCACTAGGGGATAAATTGCTTGTTAAAACTGTGCTGGGTGTGCCTGCTCATCAGACACTCAATCTTGCAAGACTATCATTAAAAGTCTCACTTTCACTGTTCTCCAGTTCTCTAAGTCCATTCTTTGGATTTGGACAGGTGACTTTATGTCTCACACTCAAAATTACCATAGTCTAAATATGCTACAAATCTCTCACTCTCTCTGAAGCTTACCATTAACACTTGGCCTAACATGCAGTCCCCTCTTCAGATCTCCTGAAGAGCTCAACCACTGTCACTTATCCCTGGTCTTTAGTACAAAGCCACTTTTCAGCACACTGAAAGGACTCTTATCTAACTATTTTGAATTAATTTTAGAACTAACACTTCATGAGAAACTATGTAAAAGAAAAAATATATACGCTTTATTATTCACCTTTTTTCAACTAATGTTAACACTTTCCTTTAGAGTGGTCAATAAAGTAATGAAATTCAAGGTTAAAAAATATGTTAGCTCTATTTCTTTACAGACTATTTCTGCCACTCTCCACTTCTCTTGAAGTATGAGGAAGTTTTGATCTCATATGTTTAATGGCATCTTGTTGATGCGTAATTTTCTGTTAAAATTGGTAAAATGTAGAAACAGGACTCCAGAATATTCTGACTCCAAAACGCATGCACTTAGCTCCTATATTCATAAGGAACTGGAAATATGACGGAATCATCGGCAAGGAACAGAGGATGAAATGAATGTGCTGATTTTAAATCTGAATCTAAAGTGACAAGACATGGCAATTATCAAATAGAGATGTGGGCTGGGAAGAGGTAAGGGCAGATTTGGAGATAATGATTTTAGAAGTCACTTTATAAGACATTGCTAAAGCTTTAAAAATGAATAGGCTTCTGAGGAGTTGTGTAAAAACAGAGAAGAGGCGCAAAGATGCAGCCTAAGGAACAACCGCAGTAAACAGCAGAAGAAGAAGCCACAAAAAGATAGAAAAGCCATACTCAGATTTCGAGAAGGAGGACTAGAATGCTAGAAGGACAAATAATATGACTGGGTTTTTAAAACAAATAAGCTAAATTAAGTTAAAATGTATTTGCTTGACAACCTATAGACAAAACCTTAATAAAAGGGCAATTTATGTATACAGCCAAGCCTCCTCAGCCCATCTTGCACATCAGTATTCACATTATTAACATCATGATTGCAACAAAATTTATTCAATGTGCTAAATATTTTCTAAATAAAAATGAAGAAAGGATAGCAGTAAAATGACCATCTTAAGGTAGCTTCGTCGTTAAGTGACAAAGCTGGGATTTAAATTCATGTCTGTCCAACACTCATACCACCCTCTTAACCAGTACACTATTCCCAAAATGTTGGACAAGTAGAGATAAACAGCATTTCTACGTGTTCGTAACATGACATTAAATAACATTGACTCAATAAATATTGCTGGATCAATCCCATAATGAGAAAGCTATTTCCCCTTCCATTTGTCCAACAGCCTCAAAGAGAAGGTGTCAGTTTGGAGTGAGTTAACATCCCTTTAACACTTGCCAAAATCCATTTTTAACAAAAAGATAGCAGGCCTCAAGGTCATAATCTTCTGTAGACTACAATATCTAGCTATAATTTAATAACATTATTTTATTTTTATTATATTTATGTTTTATACTTATGACACATTATTTTGACATTTCATTAACAGTAGTGAATAAAGTTTTCTGTTTAAATACACACAAGGCCAGGTGCAGCGGCTCACATCTGTAATCCTAGCATTTTGGGAGGCTGAGGTAGAAGGATCACTTGAGGCCAGAAGTTCAAGACCACCTAGGCGACATAGCGAGACTCCATCTCTTCAAAAAAATTGAAAATTAGTCAGGCATGGTGTTGTATGCCTGTAGTTCTAGCTACTCAGGGGGCTAAGGCAGGAGGCTCGCTTGAGCCCAGGAGTTCAAAGCTACAGTAAGCTATGATCATGCCATTGCACTCCAGTCTGGGTGACAGAGTGAGAACCTGTCTCTAAATTAAAATAACAACAACAATAATAAATACACATAAGATTTTTTAAAGTAACTGTTCAAAAACTCATATTAAGCAAACAATAATACAGGAAGTGTGTGGATGTGGCAAAATTGTAAGGGAGGCTTGTGGATAATTAAAATTTAGGGAAAACTGCACTGTCTTAACTATCTTCCTTCTTTCTGTGAAATCCTTAATCATAAACTTGGTGCCAAAGATCAATTATTTATTTTCCACCCTCCATTCCTATAACTCACTATAGCACTGATCCAAGTAATACCTTCCAGGTGATTATCCCTCTCACATAGTAGATTTTTTTCTCTTTCTTTTTTTAAAATCCCTATTCACCAGCTGTCAGAGCACTAGCTGTCATACTGAGTTTCGATGGGATGTTTGTAGGCCAAAAAAGTAGAGCTGAGCTTTGAAACGCTGCTCTCACAGTCCAACTCTCTTCACTGACTTTCTAGGGCTAAAAATATGAGACCTCTGCATCACCAGCAAGGAGTCACTTCTGCTCATTTTTGCTATAAAGGACTTAGGGGCAAATTTTCTAAGCGCAGAGGAAATGAAGCAGGTTTACATTCACTTTTATGCCTAAAATGTTTCAGTAATAAATAAACGCTATTTTTACTTTTCAAAGCTTTTTTTTTAAAACCTCTCTGCACATTCAAAACTGTCCAATTAACATCTATGCTCCACTTCTTGAGAATGACCTTTAGAAACAAACCAGCTCATGTAGAGGAGTATCATGTAAGCAGGGATTAAGGGAGGTGTTGGGTGGAGATCGCTTTATCCAGTTAGCACTTTTTGAAAAAACTTGGTGCATAACTCTTCCATGACCTAAATAAGGAAAGTTCCTGCAATGAGAGCCACACCTTTTTATGTATTAGATCATTTAATCCTAGCAACAAAGCTATTAGAGGTGTGTGTGTGTGTGTGTGTGTGTGTGTGTGTGTGTGTGTGTCTAAAGTCCTCATTTTGCAGATCAGGAAACTAAGGCCCAAATTTGCATGCATAGTTGGTCAGTGGCAGAGCTGGGGTTTGAGCCTAAGCTTTGGATAACACATTATCCACCCTCCAACCACCTACGCAACCCTGTCTCCACTTCCATAAACCATCCTAACATCGCTTTTGTGATTTTTGTAAATTTCCAAACCCCTCTGGATTTTAGGTGGCATGAGGAGACTTGGAACTTAGGGAAAATTAGGATTCTGGGAACAGCAAAGACTGAGACAGTAAACAAGACATCCAGATTACAGAGGCTGAGGATCTCTAAATTACAACAACAGCAACAAAAGAAATCTATAAGAATGATTTCAAATAGATTCTTCAGTAAATGTTTTTGTAAAGGGTAATAAATTGGGTAATTTTATAATGCTTCAGCTTGACTCAGAATGAAAGGAGGAAAAGGTAACAGTTTAGGTATTTTTAGACAAAACTTACCCAAATGATTCTTTCAAATACCCTTCAGAATTCTAAGTCAAATAAAATCATTGCTAATTAAATGTTAACTATAATTTATTAGCGCGATCCAAATATTCACAGGCTGTATCTGCCAGCAGGTTCAACTGAGGCTACATAAGCATTTATACTCAATTTTATTGTCACTCTTCACAACATAACTACAGGATTTAAACATCATCCCCCTAACCCCTGCTCTCTCACAATAATTCATTATAGTTTTGCAAGGATTCCTCAGGGGCTGTGTAAACATGGACAGTAACAGTCCTCCACTATCTTCTGTTCCGACCCCTTGTATCTATCCACCGTTCAAAACCCACTAGAGAAAAGTAACTGTGCCAGGCACAGTGGCTCACACCTGTAATCCCAACACTTTGGGAGGCCGCGGTGGGTGGATCACTTAAGCCCAGAAGTTCAAGATTAGCCTGGGCAATACGGCAAAACCCCATCTCTACAAAAAGTACAAAAATTACCCAGTCATGGTGGTTCATGCCTGTAGTCTCAGCTACTCTGGAGGCCGAGATGGAAGGATTGCTTAAACCCAAGAGGTCAAGTCTGCAGTAAGCTGTGATCCCACCATTGCACTCCAGCCTGGGCAACAGAGTGAGACCCTGTCTCAAAAAAATAAAAATAAGAGAGACAGAAAGAGAAGTAACTGGATATTATCACGCTGCAGTGACTTCTTTGAAAATGCTGTTTCTCTGCATAGAAGATTGTTACTGACCCCAAACCTGCACAATCTCAATATGTCAAGCAGCAATGTGTTCTCTCCTGTTTCTGTGCATGAAACGAGGACTGCCCCTCTCCAAATCCCAGTTGCATTTGAGTCACCTGGGACCCAGGGCAGCTCAGCTTACTCTGTGGTCTCACAAGTTCCTTTTGGAGCAGCTTTTGCTTCAGCCCTCTGGTTCCCTACAACCCAAACAAGAAACTGCATGGAACAGGGTTGAGGAACAGACACTATACTGTCCTCTCCACTCCTCAGTCTTGCTGAAACTGACCTATACATCCAGCTCATACAAGTAGATGTCAGGGAGATCACAAGCTAGGCTGTTTGTCAGACACACCAACTTTTTTTTTTTCAAGTTAAGTCTGGATTTTTAATTTATTTATTTTAAATTTCAACTTTTATTTTAGAAACAAGGGGTACATGTGCAAGTTTGCTACCTTTGTATATTGCACCTAGGTAGTGAGCACAGTACCGAATAGGTAGTTTTTCAACCCGCACCCACCTCCCCACCTCCCTTCTCCAGTAGTCCACAGTGTCTGTTGTTCCCATATTTATGCCTGTGTGTGCTCAATGTTTAGCTCCCACTTATAAGTAAGAACAGGTGGTATTTGGTTTTCTCTTCCTGCATTAATAATAAAGACATATTTCATTCTTGTTTATGGCTATGTAGTATATGTGGTACATATACATGGTGTATATGTACCACATTTTCTTTATCCAGTCCACCACTGATGGGCACCTAGGTTGATTCCATGTCTTTGCTATTGTGAATAGTGCCGCAATGAACATATAAGTACATGTGCCTTTTGGTATAATAATCTATTTTCCTTTGGGTACATACCCAGTAATGGAATTGCTGGGCCAAATGGTAAATATGTTTTAAGTTCTTTGAGAGATCTCCAAACTGTTTTACATTTCATTAGTAAAATGAACTAATTTACATTTCTACCAACAGTGCATAAGCATTTCCTTTTCTCTCAACCTCATCAACATCTGTTGTTTTTGACTTTTAAATAATAGCCATTCTGACTGGTGCAAGATGGTATCTTATTGTGGTTTTGATTTGCGTTTCTCTGATGATTAGTGATGTTGAGCATTTTTTGTATGTTTCTTGGCCACTTGTATGTCTTCTTTTGAGAAGAGTCTTTTCATATCCTTTGTGTATTTTTTAATAAGGTTGTTTTTAGCTTGATTTAATTCCTCTAAGTTAGACTTTTGTCAGATGCATAATTCGTGAGTATTTTCTCCCATTCTGTAGGTCATCTGTTTACTCTGTTGATAGCTTCCTTTGCTGTGCAGAAGCTTTTTAGTTCAATTAGGTTCCACTTGTCAATTTTTGTTTTTGTTGCAATTGCTTTTGGAATCTTAACCAAAAATTTATTTGCCAAGGCCAATCGTGAGAAGGTTATTTCCTAGGTTTTCTTCTAGGATTTTTATACTTTGAGGTCTTACATTTAAATATTTAAAACATCTGGAGTTAATTTTTGTATGTGGTGAGAGATAAGGGTCCAGTGTTATTCTTCTGCATATGGCTAGCTAGTTATCCCAGTACCACTTACAGAATAGGGAATCCTTTCCCCATTGTTTGCTTTTGTCGACCTTGTTGAAGATCAGATGGTTGTAGATCACACCTACATCTTTAAAACTCCCAGCTGGGGAATATCCTCCTCTAATATTAGTTTTAATAATTCAGATTTCTCATATAAGGATTGTGTTTTTTATACAAATGGATAGTTTAAAATACATTGAGCCCTTTTTAAAATCAACGAACAAACTCAGACATATTTTATAGCATATTTATAAGGTAAATCACTATAAAATTGAGATTCAGCAAACCTGGGTTTAACTCTTGACACTGGAATAACCAGGTGAATGGTTCCATTCAGATAATCTATTTCTCTTAGACTCTATTTTTCATTCAGGGGGTTAAATTGCTTGAAGAGGTGGAGAATAAAAATCCTCTAGAACCTTCTACTTTCTATGATTTTAAATAATAAAAGTATAATTTTATTATTTCATATTATTGATAGGTTAGCAAATTGCATTTTCCGAAGATGGCTGCACCAATATATAGCTCCTCCCATGCTCTTCTTACAGTGTGGCATCCACATGCCTCCAGTGAAAGATGGAGTTTCTATTTCCACCTTTTGGATCTTTGTAATTTCCTTGACCATAAGAATCTGGCAGAGGTAAGGCTGCTTGATTTCTGAGGCTAGATCATAAAAGGCAAAACAACTCCTGTGTAGTATGTCTCTCTGTCTCTCTCTCTCTATCTATCTATCATCTATTAAGCTATCTTGATGCTTGTCCTTAGACTCCAACCACTATGTTGTAAGGAATCTCAGGTGACACAGAGAGGCCACCTGTAGTTGTTTCAGTCAGCAGCCCTAGTTAGGTCCCCAATCAAAAATCACCATCACCTGCCAGACATGGGAGTGAAGAAGCCTTCACATGAAGCAGCCATTAGCCTTTGAGTATTCCAGCTGAGGCTTCAGATGTTGTGGAGCAGAGGAAAGCTGAGTCTGTGTGCCCTGTCTGATTTCCTGGCCCACAGGAACCGTGAAAGGGAATAAGTGATCATTACTATTTAAAGCCATTAAGTTTTGGGGCAATTTGTTAAGCAGCCAAAATAACCTTATTCTGGGATATGAGAAACTAACACGTTTGGTTTGGCTCCCATATGCCAGGCACTCTTGCTGGACCTTTATCTGCATCATTTCCCTTAGTCGGCACTATGCCTCAACATTTGCTTTTATGCCGTATTATTGGACATATCTTGATTTATTATATGCCAAGTTTTGGGTCAGTAATGCAACTCCCAGATATATCATTGTCCCTTGGGAAAATTTCCTAGTGCTGTTCCCAGAAATGCCTGGTACTGTCTGATTAGTACAGAGGAAAAACTACCATGAGGTAATGAAGACCCACTTCAGGGTTGATGCTTACAGATAAATGTTTTGACAATGACAATTTTAAAAAACCTGTTTTTAAAATGATTAAAATTGAACTCTAAACTGCCTTCCATCTCTAAGGTTTAATTCTATAAAATTATCAATATATTTATTTTTCAGATGCCTTTTAAAAAGAGGGAATGTTAGTCACTACTCTAAAATATTTCTTCTACCTCTTCTCTCATATTAACTAATATCTATCTTTCTTACTTTGCTGAAGGTAATAAATATAAGGAAAATGTGGTCAAATGAGATAGAGGTGTTTGCTTTTTTAATTCTTAAAAAAATAATTTTTTATGCCAGACTTTTGTTACAGAAATGTAGCTGTTTTATGCCTAGTATTTGAGTGAGATACCTATTTCCCCCAATCAGTCTCTCTTATGCAAAAGTAAAAATAGTAAATATAGTAATAAAGCAATATTATAGTGATATATATGTTTACTTTTATGCATTATGATTGGTGTCAATTAGTATCAGACATAAATATTATTACTATTAATTATAAATATTATTTGTATTAAAATGCTTGAGGTGGAAATTCTACCCATATTTAGTTCAAAGCAGAATTCAACTGCTTTGTTTTATCAGTCATCAACAAATGGAACAGATGCAGCATTTTGTTGACAGATAATATTCAGCGGTATATTGGATCTTCAGCTAGAAACACTGGTGAATATTAAAGTCGTAAATAATTCAATCCTTTATAGCGTCAGTGAATGACCTCAAAATAACCCTGTTCAATCTGAAGCCACTGGTAATGGCCCAAAGTTCGGCAAGGCCAAATCATACCCTGCCATATATAGTAACACACTGTAATATAGAATTTCAACAAAGAAAATACAGTTAGCATAATAATGAGGCATTAGCTGAAATGCACATGGAATTGTTGACCTAAAACAAAAAAATCCACAGAAAGGATGTGTTCTGAAGGATGCTGATAAAGTAATAAAAATAACTAGAGAAATAGACCTAGCTAAAAACTTAGCAAGTCATAAGTCCTGTCTTAGTCACTTAACCTCTAACTTATGCTCTCTAATCCTCGCAGACTATTTTAATATTCAGTTATTCAATAGAGTAAATTCAGAGCATCGCCGTAGTTAATTCCAATGCTCCTGCCACAACCACCTCTACCCCAATATCGAACTTTGCATGATTTCCATAACGTGCTAATGCCTTTTCCTCTTTGATGGCTTTTTACTGATTGTGTCCTTAGTCTCGAATGCTGCTCTTCTCATTTGTGCCTCAGCTATCACTTCTGCGAACCCTTGCCTGATTTACCCAGATGCAATTGCTGCCTCCCGCCTCTATGGTCACATGCCATTTTGTATATCCATTTTCTACAGTTCTCGCTGTACCACATTGATATCATTTATGTGTTTATGCATTCAATTCTGAGATGTGAGGTGCTTAACGTCAGCATTATTTCATCCTTTTTCAACCATTTATTTTCCTTTTCAACCATTTTCAACCATTTCAACCATTTTCAACCATTATTTCATCCTTTTACTACTCAGCCTGGTCACAGAGCTTGAAAGTTAGACATGCAGATTTGAATTTTGGCTCCACCTTTTATTGGCAGTGTGATACCAGAAGAGCTACTTAACTTCTCTAAACCCTCTAAACCCTCATTATCTTTTCATGGACTGTCTTGGTAGGATTGCTTTGAGGATTAAATGAGATAAAATACACATACAGTGTCCGTTATACAGCAAATACTCAATAAACACTGATCACGGAATGTGATAAACGTGGGTCATCATCTAACTAACTTGAAATGTTTATGCCAGGTTAGATCAGACTGAAATTAGTGTAGTGATAGCATTCATCCTTTCTAGATTAAAAGAACTTCATGTACTTTTTCATTTACATGTTCGAATGTTATCAAACAAATCACCAATTCATCGTAAGAAGCAATGAAAAAAATCCCTAGAGGCATCATTTGAGTCTATACCTTTATCTGTCCCAGGACATCCTCAAAACTACAAAATGATCACGACCATCATCATAATAGTTATCAATTACACTAAATGTATTCCCCCATAATTTTTCCTTGTTAATATGAAGTGTATTTAAATTAATTGAATGCATTTAAATTAATATGTTTACATTTATATATGAAAATGGACCCATTATTACCATTCTAACAAATATTATTTTATTATATATAAAAGGTTCAAAATATATTACTTAATATCTTTAGAGATGGTGATTAATGGCAAAAATAGGAATCATGGGAAAATAGTTTTCTTTGTGTTTTCTTAAAAATATTTTTATACACACACACACACACACACACACACACACATATATATACATATATACATATATATATATACACACACATATTCCAAAATATTTATCTGCAGGCTCACATAAGGCAAAGGAACTCTGTGTAGAATCAGACTTGTCTCCTGCTACAGGACAAGGAGCTTGAAACATTTTGCATTTTGCAGTTTCAAACTAGGCTATAAGGGAAAATTTGGTCTGGATAACTGATTGGATATAGGTTAACCTTATTTATAGCCCGGGACAGTAACAATAATCAGCTGCCAATGTCCTGAAGCCATAGTCCCGAATACAGGACAGTGGCTGAATGAAGGACAAGTGCCTGTGTGGAGTAAAGTCAGAAGTCAGGGGACTGGAGGGTGTTCCTGAAACACAGCAAAAATGAATCCTGTCTCTCCCAAGCATGCCAACCTCTTTGTCTTCTAAGGACTGGAGATATTTTCCTCCTCCCCACATCAAAATGCAAAAAAACAAAAAACAAAAATACCCCACCAAAGATAGCCCCTACTGCTGAAAAACAGCATGTGGGAGGCAGAAGGTAGGAACTGAGCTGAATAATAATATTGTTCAGCATTTCCTTCCATTATCACTGCTCTTCATTACTTCCTGTACTTAAGCTCTGTTCAGAAATGTCAAGCAAATAGCCAGGATAGTATTACCTCCAAATGCACATTCTATCTACAAATGAGCGGTGGGGGAGAGGTTGATCCTTATTATATATAAACTGTAAGTCTTTTTAAAATTCAAGGCTCTTAGAAAAGCCTGCATAAATTCATTCATTCTCAAATTTAGACCTTCCAGCAGATGATAGCTTTAAAATTGATTATTCTAACTTTAACAAAGTAAAATGAGATTTCCCAGGAAGTATTAATAAGTGGAATTAAATATAGTGGATAAAAATGTAAATAGATTAATAATGCCTGGAATGTGTATAATTTTGTTCATTATACCTCAAACTACTTTTTAAGTCTATTTTTTATTTATGTTGCAGTATTGTATCTGTATTTTTTAATCTTCATTTTATTAACAATAAAACTAAAAATATATATCAGAAGCTGTTTCTTGATCATTTTAGGTAATAAAAAGAACTCAGGGATCCTGGGTAATTCAAGTCACTATATATATTAGCTGTCATAAATTCTCAACAAATGGCCCTGACTGTGACCCTTGTTATACTATTGACTAACAGCAAAAAGGTAAAAGGGTTTTTTTAAAAAACAAAACAAAACAAAACAAAAAAAACACTCATTTTTGTAATACCTATAGATTCCATAAGGTGGTAATGAGTTAGGCTCATTAGAGTAGTTACAGGAATGTGACAGACCCAGTAGAAAAATACCCTTCTCTTTGAAAGTAATATATTGAGGGGCATGCAGTCAAAAGCTTATTGGGTTAGAAATAATATTGGAAGCTCTTCTTCACACCAAAACCCTGTCAAAGACTTACTTACTTTCTCCAATTTCTCTCCTCTATTTTCACTTAAACCCATCTCATTTTGTCCCCATTACTCCTTTGAAACTGCTCAAGGTCATCATAGGTCTGCAGATTGCCAAATCCAGTACTCAGTCTTTCTTTACCCTTTTGTGGCCAATCAGCCTTGACAATGGACACAGTTGAGCATTTCTTTCACTCTGATACATATTCTTCATTTGACTTGCCAGATACCATAGTCTCTTGATTTTCTTCCTACAAGAGAGAGAACAACTTCATAGAAATTGACCCATTTGAAAGATTTTAAAAATATTCTCAGAAAGACATTCTTTGTCAATGCCCTATAATCCAAGATGGCTGAGGGTTCAGTGATCTGAAGGTTTGCAATATTATACAAATAAAATAATCTGCACTAAGCTAGAGAAATATAAACAAAGCAGGAGGTGGGAAACCTAGCATGAGATGAAACTGGCACTTAAAAGAAGTCTGATGGTCTGGCTCCTACCTAGCATCACTTGTTATAAATTCTCTTCTTGCAACAGGGGATAATTATTTTAATTGCAAATATTCACTGGGTTTGCAGCTTGGGGGCCAAAAGTCAATTAGCCATTGCCTCTTCACTGGCAGACCATATGTTCACTGTGCTGGGAGACAAAGGCCGAGATAAAGGTCCTGAAACTGGGGTCTAGGCAAACAAAGAAGGAACTGAAGGTAGTTGCTAAGAAGTACAAATCCCCTGCCCAGCTTCTATGTTGAAAGACTCTAACTTTACATCAACAGAGTTGGTGATTAACCCATGGAATTTACAGACTCAGAGCTAACTAAATTCTTTTAAAAACTGCGCTGCCAAAGAAATTCCAAGATTAATAAACAAAAGTTGATAATTACTAAACCCCTAAGTCCTAAGAAATCCCTTCACTTCCTCTCAGTGATGTCCTGGTAGAATGGTAATACTGGCTATGGGGAGCATTTGATTCATAGTTGCTGATTTTGTGGTATAAATACTCCCTTCATGGCCATTTCAAGCTATCAACATGTTTCACTGGATACAGAGGTGAGAAGGGATGTATACAATTGGCTCTCACACTCCTGTCTCCTCTGTACCAGGAAGTGGGGTGTAAAGATGTACATCCACCACAAGGGGCTTCCTTCCTATTACTCATTATCTATGGAGGATACCAGATTTGGGAGAGCTTTCCAGAGGGAAGAAAAGAGGCAGCTAAATTCGCTGTCCAAAAATTTTCTTTTACCACCCAGTCAAAAAGTTCCTCATCTGCAGGACATGATATATAATATTGAGTCAGTCACCACTTAAAGTTGTTTCCCATTCTATCCTCCTCTCTAAAAGAGTTCTAAGTTGATATTAGCCTATTTCTATCTACAATTACATTTTGAGTGTATTGGGAGGGATTAGATTTATCATTTATCTATAAGTTCTCAGACCATGAGAATTATATTAAGATCTAAACATGCTGATATGGTTTGGATCTGTGTCCCTGCCCAAATCTCATGTTGAATTGTGATCCCCAATGTTGTAGGTGGGGCCTGGTGAGAGGTGATTGGATCATGGGGGAAGGTTTCCCCTCTGGTGATGTTCTTGTGACAGTGAGTGAGTTTTTGTGAAATCTGGTTGTTTAAAAGTATGTAGCACCTCCCCGTCTCTGTCTTCTTCCTGCTCTGGCCACATAAGATAAGCCTGCTTCCCCTTTGCCTTCCCATGACTGTAAGTTCCCTGAGGCCTCCCTAGAAGCAGATGCTGCCATGCTTCCTGTACAGCCTGCAGAACCGTGAGCCAATTAAACCTCTTTTCTTTATAAATTACCCAGTCTCAGGTATTTCTTTATAGCAGTGTAAGAATGAACTAATACACATGCATAACCGAGATATTATAGATTTATAGTTAGATGCAGTAATTGTACCAAATGCTGAGTTGTCTCACTTGCGGGAAGGCATGAGTACACATGAAAGTGTGTCATTACGTGGCAAATTAAGACATGTTTGGAAGCTTATCTACATGAAGAAAGATGTGTAGTGATGTTAAGTTAATCAAAGGGTAGGTTCCAGATGATTTTCTTAAGTCATTACCCCGCTTTTGCTAGCAGTTTTGTATTTGAACTTCTTTTGGGTTCCCATTTCTCTGCAACTCTTGCATCCATGTGGTTCAGGTACAATTTCATCTCTTGTTCCAGGGATGAAGCATATGACTCAGGCCTGGCCAGTCAGACTACTAATTTCCCCTAGGGGATAATTTGATTTGGAATGGGAATATGACCCCAGTTGGTCCAGTAAAAATAGCATCTAAGATTCTGCTGGAGTTACCAGTAAGAGACATGTTCCCTTTTTACATAGGTTTAAATCCGGGATGATACAAGCCTGGAGATACAAGAAACCACTGCTTGAGGCCTTAAAATGATGCCCCACAGTGGATAGCATGGTTGAAAAAGATAACTTGATTTATTTTAGCCCTTGAATCAAGCCAAACCTGATGAAATTAGGTTGTACAGGCCAATACATTCTTCAGCCTGTTTGAATTGGATTTTCTCTCTTACAACCATTTCAAGCACTTCTCTGGTGTATTTCAAATTGAAGAGAAAAAATTTACACTAGATTATAGAAGTTGTATATTTAATATGCACACTTCATCTGATTCCCTTAACCACAATCTACTTGTTTAATTAAATGGAATGCTACCATTTCAAAAAGAAATCAAATAGCATTTAGGAAAGCTAGAATACTGATTATTTTATTCCCTATCTGAAACCTTTCAAAAACTCCAGAAAATTAATGCATAAAACAAACACTGGCATATTTTATGTTTACCAAATAAAATTGAAAATTGAGATTTCCACAGTAGCTGGTTTCTGTGACATTGCCCCAACTGTGTCATCTTATGATCAAAAATTCTACTGCCATCAAGGTCTTGTCTCTGCTGTCTGTGTTCCATTCAATTTTATTGACCCACAGACCTGTCAGATTTTTTGTCTCTACAGAAATCAAGATGATAAATAGCTCATATAATTAAATAATTTATATAATCACAATAGGAGATGGGCATGCTCTACTAAAATATCCCTTTTTGCCATGACATACAGAAATATTTTGGAACAAGCTGACCTTTCGGTGTCCTCCAAATAAAAGTTGTACTGGAAACTACCACTTCACCAAATTATTCCAACAATGCTAGTGAGTCTTCTTTTTAAGTCATAAGTTAAACTGAATTATTTCTTGAAAGAGCATGGGACTTTGAACATGGCAAAGCTTTACTTACATTAAAGATGATTAAGTATCATCTGGTACAGGAAAATTGCGATCCAGACATAAATTAATCTATCTGCTCTCCCTACATTTAACAATTTTTTTTTTTTTTTGAGACAGAGTCTCTCTCTGTCACCCAGGCTGGAGTGCAGTGGCGTGATTTTGTCTCATTGCAACCTCCGCCTCCCGAGTTCAAGGGATTCTCATGCCTTAGCCTCCCAAGTAGCTGGGATTACAAGCATGAGCCACCATGCCCAGCTAATTTTATTCTATTTTTAGCAGAGACAGAATTTCACCGTGCTTGGCAGGCTGGCCCCAAACTTCCAACCTCAGGTGATCCGCCCACCTTGCCCTCCCAGAGTTCTGGGAGCCACCATGCCCGGCCCTAATAATCTATAAAATAAAATATTTGTCCTTCCATTGAACAAAGATGCCACATTTTCTTTTTCTCATTTCTTCATATGGTGTTTTATGTTTAAAACATATTTCATTTTCTCATTCTTATATTCATAAGAAATGATTTCTGTCTATTACACAAGGGTCAGGTAACTTCCAAGGTTAAATCTTAAAGTACCAGATCTCAGTTGGTAGTCTCAGAAAGTCTAGAGTTTGAACAGAAGAAAGTAAAGAATTTGTACAACACAAGAAGGAAAGAAATTAGGCACCAAATTTGTATCTGAAGAAAAATATTTAGACACTTAATGGGATACAAACATTCAGGGAACAATTGCTCTTAATTTGCTGGGCTGGGGCTAGACCAGCACTCAGTCAGAGTTCAGAGGGTACTGCTCAGTGAATAACAAAATTAAGCAAAATGCTGGATCTAGTCCTCTGGCTTCATATTCTTTTTTTTCCTCGAGACAGAAGCATGTTTACTGTGCCTGTTTTATAAAATTTGCAAAAGAAGGATACTTTACTCACTTAGCTAAAGCCACTGTCTCTTTCTACTCTGCATTGTCATTGTGCAGGCATTTTCTGGATTTGCCTAAGGGGAACTGTGTTGGGTTACATTTAGTTTGGGTTTGGTGGCATGTATTTAATGTGGTTTGTAGGTACTTTTCTTTTTTTTGTTTTTTGACGTTTTATAGCACCCCCCTCTTTATTGGTCTTCATCGCCAACAGAAAAACTTACAAAAGAAAGAAAATGTGCTTTGTTATATTTAGAAAATATATTAATTTTCAAAGTGGGGGCACATTGCTATATATGCATGTTGTTTAGGTCAGACATATTGAAGAGTCACAATTTGAAGGTAAATATTAAAACATCTTTTTAATTAAAGGCATTTCCGCAAATGCCTAGGGATTATTCTTTTTTTGTTATTATTATACTTTAAGTTCTGGGGTACATCTGCAAAACGTGCAGTTTTGTTACATAGGTATACACATGCCATGGTGGTTTGCTGCACCCATCAACCTGTCAGCTACATTAGGTATTTCTCCTAATGTTATCCCTCTCCTAGCCCCCCATCCCCCAACAGGCCCTGCTGTGTGATGTTCCCCTCCCTGTGTCCATGTGTTCTCATTGTTCAACTCCCACTTAAGAGTGAGAACATGTGGTGTTTGGTTTTCTGTTCTTGTGATAGTTTGCTGAGAATGATGGTTTCCAGCTTCATCCATGTCCCTGTAAAGGACATGAACTCATCCTTTTTTATGGCTGCATAGTATTCCATGGTGCATATGTGCCACATTTTCTTTATCCAGTCTATTATTGATGGACATTTGGGTTGGTTCCAAGTGTTTGCTATTGTGAATAGTGCTGCAATAAGCATACGTGTGCATGTGTCTTTATAGTAGAATGATTTATAATCCTTTGGGTATATAACCAGTAATGGGATTGCTGGGTCAGATGGTATTTCTAGTTCTAGATCCTTGAGGAATCACCACACTGTCTTTCACAATGGTTGAACTAATTTACACTCCCACCAACAGTGTAAAAGCTTTCCTATTTCTCCACATCCTCTCCAGCATCTGTTGTTTCCTGACTTTTTAATGATCGCCATTCTAAATGGCATGAGACAGTATCTCATTGTGGTTTTGATTTGCATTACTCTAATGATCAGTGATGATAAGCATTTTTTCATACGTCTGTTGGCTGCATAAATGTCTTCTTTTGAGAAGTGTCTGTTCATATCCTTTGCCCACTTTTGATGGGGTTGTTTTTTTCTTGTAAATTTGTTTAAGTTCTTTGTAGATTCTGGATATTAGCCCTTTGTCAGATGGATAGATTGCAAAAATTTTCTCCCATTCTGTAGGTTGCCTGTTCACTCTGATTTATAGTTTCTTTTGCTGTGCAGAAGCTCTTCAGTTTAATTAGATCCCATTTGTCAGTTTTGGCTTTTGTTGCCATTGCTTTTGGTGTTTTAGACATGAAGCCTTTGCCCATGCCTACATCCTGAATGTTATTGCTCAGGTTTTCTTCTAGGATTTTTATAGTCCTAGGTCTTACATTTAAGTCTTTGATCCATCTTGAGTTGATTTTTGTATAAGGTGTAAGGAAGGAGTCCAGTTTCAGATTTTTGTATAAGGTGTAAGGAAGGGGTCCAGTTTCACTTTTCTGCATATGGCTAGCCAGTTTTCCCAACACCATTTATTAAATAGAGAATCTTTTCCCCATTGCTTGTTTGTGTCAGGTTTGTCAAAGATCAGATGGTTGTAGATGTGTGGTGTTATTTCTGAGGGCTCTATTCTGTTCCATCAGTCTATGTATCTGTTTTGGTATCAGTACCATGCTGTTTTGGATACTATGGCCTTGTAGTATAGTTTGAAGTCAGTTAGCGTGATGCCACCAGCTTTTTTATTCTTGCCCAGGATTGTCTTGGCTATGTAGGCTCTTTTTTTGGTTCCATATGAAGTTTAAAGTAGTGTTTTCCAATTCTGTGAAGAAAGTCAGTGGTACTTTTCTTACATAGTTTTTTTTGTTTTGTTTTATTTTTTGTCTTTTTGAGACAGAGTCTTGCTCTTGTCACACAGGCTGGAGTGCAGTGGCCCGATCTTGGCTCACTGCAACCTCTGCCTCCCGGGTTCAAGCAATTCTCCTGCCTCAGCCTCCCGAGTAGCTGGGATTAGAGGCTCCCACCACCACACCCAGCTAATTTTTGTACTTTTAGTAGAGACGGGGTTTTGCCATGTTGGCCAGGCTGGTCTCGATTTCCTGACCTCAGGTGATCTGCCCCCCTCGGCCTCCCAACGTCTTACATAGTTTTAAATGCTGGCTGTTCCAATGTAGGAATGGCTTCCAGCAATCTTCTAACACCACACTGTACGGAACCACCGAACATCTTAATACAAAGGCCTCAATTACAAATTTTTTGATCTCCTATCAGCTCATATATGAAAGAAATTTTATAGAGATAGTTTCTCAAATTTAGCAACAATATTAAAATTGTACATCAACCTTATCAAGAAGGAGTTGTGAAGCTGAAACTTTTCTAAACTTTCAAAAGGAGAACCAAGTTTACATCAACGATGCTAGGGAGAAGCCTGAATTATTTTTCTATTCCCTGGATAAAAAATTATATTCTGAAATTATTGTCATATGAAGAGACAATCAGTGAGTTTGAGGATAAAAAGTGTAAGGAAAAAATTTTTATAGAGACATATCAGAAAGTTCATCATTTAAAAGCATTTTGTTAAATTTCTGGATATTACGATCTTTGTGGTATTTTTTAGCTTTTTGAGATTTATAATTTGTTGTGCTTTTCACTATATTTCTAAGTAAATACTCACTTTCTTGCCAAATATTTGTGCGTAATTTTGTATTCTATTTCTTAAAGAAGTGCCACCCCTCCCAAATTGTATAAACTTGAGGACACATAAAATATGGATCCACACATTCCTTCAAAATAAATATCAACAAAATTATATCTATATGAATGCAAAGTAAAAATTTGTGTCTGTCATCCCAGAGTTTCCAAATATCTAGATGATTTGCTGAATTAAAAAAAAAAGCTCATCAAAATGTTTAGCATCAAATGCCCATAATCAATGGATGGCATTGCAGGAACAAACACATTAGAATCTGATTTACAGCCTCTGCCAATTCTCCAGGCAGTGAAACATCATTTGTTTGAGGGTTCAGTCCTACTAAAAATTAAAGAAAGTTTTAAATTACTCTCTTTATCATGGAAAATTATTTCTGACTTCTTGCCTCCTTATCATATAGTTCTTCTCATCTAAACACAGCGAGTTCTTCCTTTGCATTTTTATTCATTATCTTTTACCTAAGCATAAAACAGTCACTATCAATTTCTCACCAGTTCCTGAACATTTCTAAGTTGAAATTATTTTAGAGTAGTTATTCATGGGGCTTGCAAATTGAAATGAGAAAGCACTGAAAATCAATTTCATTATAAGCTTTGAAGTAAAGGGATGTTGCATCAAAAAACTTTACTGGTTGGCAGGTGGTATTTACTTATTTTATTCTGGAATGCTACAGCACAGCAGCTTTTAAACCACTGAAAAACCCAGCTGGTGATTTTCTGAACATATTCCCTATACATAATCAGGGAAGTCTCAGCTTGACTGGGTGTTTGCACAGAATTCACTGAAAAGAATACATCTGTATTATTTCATGGCAGTGACTTCATTTATAACATTATGCACTTTCCTTCTCATAGTGGCTGCTTCAGTTAACGATCCTGTTCCATAGCAGGTTGGTTATTTTCCCTGGTGGGTATCAAAATAGTGAGACTAACAAATGATTCTCAAAACCCTGAGGACAGTTCAAAAATCAAAGTTTGCTGTATTTAATGGGCCAAAAACCTAAGGTTTTAAAGTCGTGCATACACAAGCAGTGTGATGTGGAGAACAGCAATTGACACTCTGAAATTTTAATACCCTAAAGTGCTAGTGGCATCTGACCTCTATGGGAGACCAAAGCTCTTCCCTACCCCTACTCACTCCAACTAGTGAAAGAGTCAAGGACAAAATGGAGTCCAAAGAACACCAGATTTAGGTCTTTGTATTAGGGAAGGACATTTTAGTGGAAATTGCAAAGATATAGTTAATAGAATTATAATAAGAACATCAGCCTCTTTCCTTCCTAAGCCACTGGACTGATTTTCTTCATTCTCATCCCCTCCATGTGACTATACATCAAGGCAGAGCCTGGGGGTATTTCCCATAGGGGAACTCCACCCTACTACAACTTAAACAGTGTAGTTCTTTGGAATACTGGGATATCTGAGAGCAAACAGAAGGCTGTTTACCAGCAGAATTCTTATTGGGAATGCCTTAAATTTGGAAGGTTTAAATGGACAGCTGGGTGACACCAGGGAAAGAAGACAATGAAAGCTCTTCTCCAGTCCTTACAGAGAAGTCTCTCTTTTTCTCTACCTAGCTTCAGAGGTGAAATTCCAGGGTGCCAGGGAGAGTGGTGCAAGCCTCCTGAAGGAAGCCAAGGAGCAAGCCTCCAACTTGTCTCTGGTGTAATTTGAAGAAAGTCTCCTGATCTTGTGTTGAACGACAGCACCAAGCAGAAAACCAGATAGGAGTTCTGACCAAAGTCCAGGCATCAGGCCTGAATAACATAATGCCTGTAGGATCAGGTAGGTAACATGACTGAGCCAGGCAGGCCAACTCTAAGGTAAACAATGGCATGAGTGCCATGATAAAGGATCAGTGCCATTTGCCTTCAGGGTCAGAGACAGGAGAAAGCGGTAGGGCTGTGGCCAACTAGAGTGCCTGCCCTGTCCAAACTGGGCAGCTGCTCCTCTACTCTGGCTCATTGCTACCAAACATTCCAATTTTTCAAGGGAAATTGGAAATCTGGGTTTTTAATGTGAAATCTCCTGATTTTTAAGGTTCTGTCAATTAATTAAAACTTTTTAAAAAACTGGCCGACACCATCCAGGCTAAGCAAAATATCTGCAAACTGGATGTGGTTTATGGGCCATCAATTTGTAGTTTCTGTGTGGTGTCCCCCCTGTGTTACATGATCTTCATGTCTTAGCAACTGCGTGGCAGTAGATAGTTGTTTAAAGAGTCAGGAGATCTGGAGTTCGTACCTCTTTATATCATCAGATGGTGGAACTAAGACTACCTACTTAATAAATAATAAATTCTAAAAACAAAAAGCAATGATTAAAATTCAAAGTAATATGACTATTATATTGCATTTAATTGGAATTGAAGATGATAATTTTGCTTTAATTTCAAAAGCTGGATAGAGAAAAACCAATGGGATATAGGCCAAGCTACAAACCATAGAAAACGCAGGAAGATTGCAGTGCTATAAAACACATGTTGACAATAATGAATGCAGATGACATCTTAAGGATAAGCTTTAATGTAGGATAAATTACTCAATTCTATGGTTTTTAGAATAAGTAATTTTAGCACACAAAACAGAAATACATTATATTAGATGTGGATGAAAGTAAAAATAGGAAGTCCTATCTATAGAAAATCTGATCATATACCATTAATGTATGAGCTATCTCAATATAATTAAACTTAAGGGAAAATAAAAAAATGCTATAGCACATTTACCTTATTTTACCAATACAATAAGATAAGTGCATTTATGAAGAAAATAATCATGAATTAATTTAAAGTAAATAAGCCACAGGCTCTCTGCAGATAATTTAAAAACTACTCACCGGGAGCTAAAAAAAAAAAAGTGTGGCATGAACGAAAATGACAAGGATCCTTCATGGTTGATTAAAATGTCTTTTAAAAAAGGCAACATTGGCCCAGCACAGTGGCTCATGACTATAATCCCAGCACTTTGGGAGGGTGAGGTGGGCGGATCACCTGAGGTCAGGAGTTTGAGACCAGCCTGGCCAACATGGTGAATCCCTGTCTCTACTTAAAATACAAAAATTAGCCAGGTGTGGTGGCATGCAGCTACCTGTGAGGCTGAGGCAGGAGAATTGCTTGAACCCAGGAAGTGGGGATTGCAGTGAGCCAAGATCATGCCATTGTACTCCAACCTGGGTGACAAGAGAGAAAGTGTCTCAATAATAAATAAATAAATAAATAAGGCAACATCAAAGGTTCTATTACAGAAAAGGATAGAGATTCTCTCTAAAAATGTGGGAGGCTAAGGAGGGAGGACTGCTTGAGCCCAGGAGTTCAAGGCTGCAGTGAGCTATGATCGTACTACTATGCTCCAGCCTGGACAACAGAGCAAGATGCTGTATCTAAAAAAAAGTAAAAAATAAAAATAAAATCAAAATGTAAAGATTGCTCAAGCTGAAGGCCATTTGAAAATTAAATTATGTGAGGAAAAAAATTAAGGGCTTATCTTGAATTAAAATATCAATGATATAAAACAGAGGTCCCCAACCTCTGGGCCACAGAACAGTACCAGTCTGTGTCCTGTTAGGAACTGGGCCACACAACAGGAAGTGAGTGGCGGGTGAGCAACCGAAACTGACATCTTCCTCCTGTCAGATCAGTGGCAGCGTTGGATTCTCACAGGACCGTGAACCCTATTGTGAACTGCACATACAAGAAATCTAGGTTGCATGCTCAGTATGAGAATCTAATGCCTAATAGTCTGAGCTAGAACAGTTTCGTCCCAAAACCATTCACCCATCCCCCTGACGAAGCCCGTCCCTGGTGCCAAAAAGGTTGGGGATTACTGATATAAAGAACCAAACACACACACACACACACACACACACACACACACACACACACACACACCAGGAAAACTGGGGAAATCTTAATATGATTGGTGAATTCTGTCAATGTCAATATCCTCATTGTGATACTGTATTATTGTTCTACAAGATGTTACTATTGGGGTAACTGGGTAAAGGGCACCTGGATCCTCTCATATTATTTCTTACAACTGTATGTAACTCTATAATTATCTCAAAAAAAAAGTTTAAGCACAAAAACTAATAAAAACATAAAAGATTAATAGTTTTAAAAATGTTAACAGGTATGGATCTTGCTAGATAGGCACTTAATAATCACAGTGTAAAAGAAGGACAGAGGAGACTAGAGAGAGAAAAAATGAGTTGCTTGCTTCAGTCAGAGAAACATATGAGAGAACTTCTCATTTCCATATTGTTTTTTTGAAAGAGAAAGGTAGCTGGTGCTATAGCAAATATAAAAAATGGCATGTCCCAGCTTCAAGTTAGTGCTAGTTAAGTTATGGTACTATTCTTCAGAATCTTTAACTTGTTGCTGTTAGCCACTGTCAGCCTGAGGGCAGGCACAGTGCTATCTATTACCTATGAGAGTAGCTGGCATATAATAGACATTTAATAAATGTTTTATTTTTATTTTTTTAAAAATGAAAGAATAAGGAACTGATGGCCTAATGATTGAAGAAATGCCAGAGTAAGCCCTTTCTTCAGGAGGTAGTATAACCCAATAATTAAGTGTATGAACACTGGACTTAGTCTGCCTGGGTTCAGATCCTGGCTTTGTTCCTAACTAGCTGGACAAGTTATTCAACCTCTCTAATGTTTAGGTTCCCACCCTTGAAATGAGGATGATGACAATAACATGACCTACTTCAAAGGTTTTTGTAAAGCTCAAAAAACAATGCAACTAAAGCACACTAGCACAGAGCCTAGTTGACAATAAACACTAATGAACATTAGTTGTTACTGTCCATAAAATAATCCCAGTGGTAACACTGAGAATTGCAGGCCAGTAATCTTTCTGCCATATGGATGAATTTGTTAAATGTAGAATAATAGTAATCACTAGCAACTAAGCTAAGTAGAGCAAATACAAGAGGATAATCCTTACATAATGACTGGAGTTATGCACAAATATAATTGTTTATTAAATACTTAGTAAATACCAGCTACTTTATGCAGTAGTTAACTCTCCTAACAACCCTAGGAGGTAGGTACTATTATTTTGCCCATTTTACTCCTCAACAATGTGAAAAAAAGAGGTAGGTAAACTAACTTGCTCAAAGCCAAACAACTTGAAGCTGGAAGAGCCAAACTTTGAGCTGAGGTATTACCTCCAGAGCCATTGCTTTGATGTCCACGACAGCTGGTCTTTTTGGGGAGATAATTAAAGATAAAATTTAAAGCATGATCAAGGACCTAAATATTGATACTAAAGTACTTACTGTAGATTCTCAGGCAGTGCATACTTTATGAGATAGTAAGCACCAAAAATTGCGGGGAAATAAAGGTCTCCAGTGTCAATAGAAATTCTTTTTTTTTTTTTTTGAGACAGAGTCTCACTCTGTTGCCCAGGCTGGAGTGTATTGGCACGATCTTGGCTCACCCGCCTCCTGGGTTCGAACGATTCTCCTGCCTCAGCCTCACAAGTAGCTGGGACTACAGGTGTGTGCCACCATGCCCGGCTAATTTTTTGTATTTTTAGTAGAGATGGGGTTTTACCATATTAGCCAGGATGGTCTTGATCGCCTCACCTCATGATCCACCCACCTCAGCCTTCCAAAGTGCTGGTACCACAGGTGTGAGCCACAGCGCCTGGCCAGAAATTATTTCTAATGGATATCTAACTCATATTAAGGCAGTTTTATAAATAAAAAAGTATGTATAGATTAACTTTTGAATGCCTCAATGATTCTGGAGAGACACTTCTAAAATGATCAAGTAATTTCTGGAAAAATAAACAAAAACTGTTGAAGAGAAAATTGGTGACCTGTTGCATCTGAATGAACTTGAGCAACTAGAAGACAGAGGGATTGAGAAATATATATATATATATATATAAATATATATATAGTTATATATATATCTAATTATATATATAGTTATATATCTAATTATATATATAGTTATATATATATCTAGTTATATATATCTAGTTATATATATAGTTATATATATAGTTTTATATATATAAAATCATTGTACATATATGTATAATCAGTGTATATATATGTATATAAAATCACTGTACATACTTGTAAGTTCTAATTTTTTGTTTTCCATGTATTATTTACAAAAACAAATGACTAAAAAATGAAATGACAAGGGCTAAGTGTATTTGTTCATTCACACACTGTTGTAAAGAATAACCTGGGACTGGGTAACTTATAAAGAGGTTTAATTGACTCACAGTTCCACAGGCTGTACAGGAGGCACGGTTGGGGAGGCCTCAGGAAACTTACAATCATGGGAGAAGGGCAAAGGGGAGGCAAGCACATCTTCACATGGTGGCAGGAGAGAGAGAGAGAGAGAGTGAAGGGGAAAGTACTATATGCTTTTAAATAACCAGATCTCCTTAGAACTCACTCAGTATCATGAGAACAGCAAGGGAGAAATCTGCCCCCATGATCCAATCACCTCCCACCAGGTCCCTCCCCCAATATTGGGAATTACAATTCAACATGAGATTTGGGTGGGGACACAGAGCCAAACCATATCACTAAGTATCTAGTTTGATGCTATAAAAAGCTAAAGTATTAAACAAATCATCCCTAGGTATTTACTAGATTAGATAGATGTTGGCTTCAAACAATATGCCGTTTATATTTTCTCTTAAATTTGATTGTGGTTAATTACCTAATGTTAACTTTTGATTTCACATAATATTACCACCTGGTTTAATAACTTTTCTTCCACACAACTTCAGTCTTTTAATATTAAGGTTTAATTAACATTTTTAAAGTCTGGTCTCAACTTTATATATTTCCTTGCTTGTCTGATATAACAGTAAGGAATGTTGTGGTAGGCTGAATAATAGTCCTTCCAAAGTTGTCTACGTCTAAGCCCCAGAAACTGTGAATATGCAACCTTACATGGCAAAGGGATTTTGCAGTTGTGATTAAAGTGAGAATCTTGAGATGAGTCTCCTGGATTATCTAGGTGGACCTGATGTAATCAGAAGGGTCCTTATGATAGAAAGGATGGATAGTCAGAGAAGGAGATGTAAGGACAGAAGCAGAGGGAAGAGCGATGCAGCCCAAGAGCCAAGGAATACAAGCAACTTCTAGAAGCTGGAAAAGGCATGCAGCATATTCTCATTAGAGCCTCCAGAAGGAATGAAGTCTTGCCAACACCTTGATTTTAGCCCTGTGAGACCCATTGCAGACTTCTGACCACCAGAACTATAAAATAACACATTTGTGTTGTGTTACGTCTCTAAATTTGTGGTGATTTTTTTACAGTAGCGATAGAAAACTAATATAAATGCTGTGTTTTCAGTTTTTGAATATTGTAAATAAGAGAACAAATGCATAGATAATAGCAACATCTAGAGCTAATGTAACACAATAAATAAAGGTTTTACTATAAGCAAGAGGTTTAACCACAAAATCCAATGCTGTTATAACAAGAGGAGAAAATAAACAAAACTAGTTATATCAGCAAGTAAATGTGTAAACATTAAATAATTATATTGGAAGTAGAAACTTGTTATTAAAATTAAATTGGATTAAACAAATGTTTATTGACCTAGGCTGGGGTGTCAATCAAGGTCTGAGTCCCAGGTGAGTTGATCCAGGGCCATAAGGTAAGCAGAGAGCAAGAGCAGGATGGAAATTCATGGGTCTGCCATGAGGCCATGAAGGATAAGAGATTGTTTCTGGAAGCAGAGCATGGAGAAAAGCCCTGATGCAATGGAGTGCATGGTAGAAGGGAACCTGTAGGTGAGGAGGAATCCTGCACCTGCACCTACATCAGTGGGAAAGGACGAAGTCATTAGGACTTTCCCAAACAACTAGAACGGCCATGGTGATTTGCCTGATTAGTGATTTTATTCTTTAGCTGATAAAAGGCAAGTAGACTTTTCTCAATCCGGTCCGCAATATAAGAATAATTGATCGTCACTATGGCCGTAATGTCAATACAACCGTCAGCACAGTGCCCATGTGGAATCAGAACTCTTTTTCCATCACATGGTTTTATAAAAGAATAAAATAATACCGATAGTTTATTTCGCTATGTCCCTTCCTTCCCTCCTTCCCCCAACTCTCAGGTTCTTGAGCCCAATAGATGGACAGTGAAACATTTAAAAGAAACTCTTCGACACATTTACTTTGAGTTTTTGTAAATATAAGTAATAAAAGTTCCAAAAATTGTGTTCACTTTAGAGCAATTTATTAGTAATTACTTAAACATATCTTCTCTTAGAAACTAAAAATGGAAAGGAGTGTTGCTAAGTGGAATTACAATTCATTGGTAAAACAGAATTAACATTTTTAGAGTATAAATATGAAGAGTGACATTTCATATAGACTGACTAATATAATCATTTCTATTTCACTTTCTTGACTTTTAAAACAAATCTACCTAACTTCTAACTTCTAAAACAAAATTGAAAAAGTTAGTGGTCTTAACTCACTTAAAAGCAGGTTAAATATGTTATGATTAAATGGGATAAATCTAACTATACTTTCAGAAATAATTCAGAGAAATACTTGTGTACACTATAGTACTGTTAAGACTAACTTGTACTTATTGTGCTCAAATTAATTACCCTATTATCTTCATTTTACAATTCTCTACACTTAGTTAAACACATGGTTCACAATATATTAAAGGATGATACCGAAAATAAGAATTAGATAAGCTTACAATATGATCATTAAATCAAATTAACTTGACTGTAGATTAAAGATAATAAAAGAAACACCATTCTTACAAAGACATGATGAGTCAAGAATGTTAAGTACTTAATACATTTTGGTTTGTCACTTGCAGAATATTTGTACCATATAAGTAAGGCTGAGATTAAGCCTTGACCTTGGATCCAGATAATTTTTACAAAATGTTTGCTCCCCCTGACTTATTTTAAGAATAGAAAAATGTTTGTATACCATTTTGCAGACAAACACGGGCACAGGGGAGGTTTCCTGGTTATAGACTCCTACTCCATGAATTGACTTTCCTGGACACAGCAATGGATACAGGTAGAAGGATTCAGTCTAAAGTGAGCTATTTATGTTACTATGAATCTGGGAATGGGCAGGTGACTCAAGGTAAGCCTATGGAAACCTGCTCCAGTAGCTGAAGTTTCCTTCCTTCATGATGACAAAACTGAGAGGAAGTAAACTTAGGGCTAGTGTTTGCCCCCTCTATGACCCGAAAACTGTCCTCACCGAGATCACCAATAGCTTCAGGTTGCCAAAGCTAATCATCACTTTGACCTCTTACTTAACCTCTCAGCAGCATCCAAAGCAGTTGACCACTTTATCTTCCAGTTGGCCACGTTGTCCTCTTTGAAACTCTTCTCTTGATTTCTATGACACCACACCCTCTTGCATTACTCCTCATTCACTGGCCAGTTCTTCTTAGGCTTCTGGCTGTCTCCTGTTTTCAGCTGCTCTAAATGTTGGAGTACTCTAAGATTATTTCCTGGACATCCTTCCCTTTTCTACTTACACTCTTGCCGTAGAGAGTCCTATCTAGATCCTAGGATTTTTAAAAATTATTTTATTTATTTATTATTATTTTATTTTACTTTTGAGAAAGGGTCTTACTCTGTTGCCCAGGCTGGAGTGCATTGGCACGATCTTGGCTCACTGCAACCTCCACCTCCCAGATTCAAGTGATTCTCGAGCCTCAGCTTCCTCAGTAGCTGGGACAACAGGTGTGCACCACCACACCTCCTGTAATTTTTGTATTCTTAGTAGAGACAGGGTTTCGCCATGTTGGCCATGGCTGGTCTTGAACACCTGGCCTCATGTGATCCACCCACCTCGGCCTCCCAAAGTGCTGGGATTACAGGTGTGAGGCTCCACACCCAGCCCCTAGGATTTTTTTAAATCTATTTTTTGATTGAGATAAAATACATACGTATAATTTACCATCTTAATCATTTTTAAGTGTACAGCTTAGTGGTAATAAATACATTTATGTCCTTTTTTTCCCTTCATGCTATCTATATGAAAATGGCACACAAATCTCTGTGTCTCCAAGTCCATCCACTCACTTCTGCCTATTGGACATTTCTCTTAATGTCTTTGAAATCTCAAACCTACCATGGTAGAACATAATTCATGATTCTCACATTCTACCCACTTACCCTCCATCGTAAACTATCTGCTTCCCTTTAACTTTTTCCATCTGAGTAAATAGCACCACCATCAACCCAGACCCAATTTGTAGCATAAAAAATATTGACATCCCTGATTCCTTTCATTCCCTTAGCCTCCAAATCAACAAATCTTGTTGATCTACCTAGTCCAAAACGTGCTCCAAGTATGGTGACTTCTGTCTCCATTATTACCACCTTAGTCCGAACACTATCATCTCTTACCTAGACTACTGCCAGACCTTCCCACCTGGTCACCTTGTTTCCACTCTCATGTACAATAACTTCTTGCCACAGCATCATCAGGCTTCTTGTCAATCGGATTCAGCTTAAATTTTACTGCACAGGGGTCTTCCATGGCCAATCATTCTCAAGCAGTCCCCCCACCTTGTTTTAATTCTTGGGATAGCTCTTCCCTGTCTCACTCTGCCTTGCTCTCCTTAATCTACATTCTTTCACAACAGGAAGATATGCTCCATGTCTTGCTCCCCACTGTGCCCCTGGCACCCAGTAGAGAGTACAGACGAGATAAACATTTATTGAATGACTAATTAAAGGAGTAATTATACTCCCTGGAGCTTCTCAACATAATTTTAAACCTCCTTCCAACCAAGAAACCTCCTTGTATTTCACAGTAGTTCTCTATACTTCTATACCAAGTTGTCAACATTAACCCCCCTCATGGTCTTACTGAGTTGTCCCTAAGGAGCACCCAAGTTTACAAAACTGAGGTCTTTGCCCTTTACTTATTGATTTGAAAGGCGCTTTATACATTAAGATATTACCTTTGCCTAACACATTGCCAATTTTTTTTTACCATTTTGTCATTGATACTTTAAATTTATTAATAAGCTTTAGTATTTGTTTGCTGATTTTTTTACTCCTATATAGAAGTTTAAATTTTTATGTTCCTCTCTTCAGTGTTGTGCTTAGAAAATTTTTTCCTTCCCAGAGATCATATGAATTATACATAATTATATCTATTGTTCTCTGGCTTATTTTAATGTAAATTGTTTCCATTTAATCCCTCTGGAAATTGCTTCACTCCGATGGGAAGGATCCAACTTTATTCTCTTCCAAATAATATATCAATTGCCCCAACATCAGCTATTCACTAGTCTAAACTTTTGCCAACAATGTCACCTTAAGGCTATATTGACGGTGGTTAAAAGGATGGCCTCAATGAAGTCTACTGTTTTTGATGCCAAATTGCTTCAGCTGTAAAAGTGGAATAATAATAGTATTTACCTCAAAGAGCGTGCCAAAAATAAAATAGTTGTGAAATACTTAACATGATTCCTGCCACATGGTGAGCATCATTATTAATCTTGTTAATATTAGTATTACTATACTTCTATTTATCTAGTCTCTGGTAGGGTAAGTTTTCATGACCTTTTAAAAAATTTCTTAATCTAGATTTTCAACTTCAAATGGAATTTTTATTGGACTTGTATGAAATATATAGATTAAATTATAGAATTGCAATATTTTTTTGAGACAGGGATCTCACACTGATGTCCAAGCTGTAGTGTAGTGGTGAAATCATGGCTCACTGCAGCCTCAAATTCCTGAGCTGAGGTCAAGCAATCCCCCTGCCTCAACCTCTGAAGTGCTGGGATTATAGGTACATGCCACCATATCCGGCTAATGTTTAAAACTTTTTTAGAGACACCCAGCCTAGAATTGCATATTTATAATATGCAATCTTCGCATTCAAGAGCACAGCATGTCTCTGATTTTTCAAGTCTTTTTAGAGGTTATATTAAAAAGTTGTTCTTTCTTTCTATTCTTGTTAAGCTTACTGCTAGGTAATTTATATGTTTCTATTGCTGTTTTGAATGGGATTACTTTTCTCATTATCTTTAATAAATGGTTAGTTGTACTTAGAATTCTATCATTATTTAAAAATTTTTCTCTGTGATGTATATTTCTCTTTTCTCATTGGTCAGATTTGTCTGATGTTTGTCTTACTAGCCTTTTAAAGATTTTCGCGTATCAATTCTATTTCTGTTTTTGTCTATTTTATTGTTTTTAACATATTCAATTATAGATTTATTAATTAATTCTTCCTGCTTTCTGTTTATTTTTTGTTTCCCCCCTCCCAACATTTTAGTCGTGTTGTACATTATTCATTTAAAAATATAGCTTTATAGCTTTAACTATATCCCATAAAAAATGTTCCCCCATGGTATTCTCTCTCTCTCTCTCTTTTTTTTTTTTTAAGTCCAGGTCTCACTCTGTCACCCAGGCTGGCATGATCACAGCTCACTGCAACCTCAAGCTCCTGGGCTCAAGCAATCCTCCTGCTTCAGCCTCCCTGGTAACAGAGACTACAGGTGCAAGTCACTGTGCCTGGCTACATTATTGAATAAGCTATTGACATCCTACATATATTTATTAATGTGCTGTCCTATTTAGTGGTTTCAACCTTTACATTTAATTCTCTCATTTTTTTTGGAACTCAGGTTTTGACTTGCATTTATTTATTACTGTGTAGCAAACTACTACAACTGGGTGACTTAATACCACTTATATTTATGACCCTTCAGTTTCTGTAGGTCAGGAGGCCAGGCATGGCTTAGACGGGTCCTCTGCTCAGGGTCTCACAGGCTGAAATCACATATTGACCAGGCTGTGATCCCTTCTGGAGTCTGGAGTTCTCTTCCAAGCCTACATGGTTGTGGGTAAAATTCACTTCTTATGATTACAGGACCCTCTTTCTTGCAGGCTCTCTGCCAAGAAGTATTATAATTCTGAGAGACCCCCACAGTTACTGGCTATGTGATCCCCTTACATCTGGATGTTTGCTTCTTTGAGGCCAGTAGGAGAATCTCTGACATTGAAACTTTTCATTAGAGGGCTCACCTGATTAGGTCAGGCTCACTCAAGAAAATTTCCCTTTTGATTAATTTAAAGTCAGCTGATTAGAGACCTTTATCACATCTGTTAAATCTCTACTTTTTCCCAGTAACATAATCTAACTACAAGAGTGACACATATTCATAAATCCTGCTTATAATCCAGTAGAAGGGATTGTAGAGGCCATGTACACTAGGAGGCAGGAATCTTGGGGATCATCTTGGAATTATGCCTCTCAAAGGGTGTTAAGTATCTTTTTAAAGTATTTTTCAGAATGCACAACAGTTTTTTCAACACCACTTTTTGATTAGCTTTTTTCTCAACAGCTTTCAGATGTCTCATTTATCATATACTAATTTATACTATATATTTGGCTCTATTTCTGAAATTTTGATTCTTAACCTATTTGGTTGTCTGAAGGCCTTGTAATATTTTAATACTTCGTAAGGTTAGTTCTACCTCACTAAAAATTCATTTCCTTTTTTAAGAGTCATTATGTTTTATTCTTTCTAATTTTTCTATGTGAAATTTAGGAACAACTTGTCTAGGTAAAATAAATCTGTTGTATTTTCACTGAGACCATATTAAATTAGCAAATTAACATAGAGGAAACTGATTTGAATCCTAATCAAGCACATGATATGTCTTTCCATTATTTCAATTGTTTTATATGTGTCCTTCCTTTGTGTTTTAATATTTTTGTGTGTGGGTCTTGCAAACTTATGAAAAAAATTGACTTAGAATTTTAGTTTTTCTCCATACTTGGAATAGTTCCAATAGCATTGGAGTCATTTTTTTAAAGGTTATGCAGAAATTCCTATAAAATTGTCTGGGCCTGGTAATTTTTCAAAGAAGATCACTTCTTGACAACTGTTATTTCTTCTTAGAAATTGGTTTGTTTACATTTTCTATCTTTTTATGGTAATTTATTCATTTCATCTAGGTTTTTCATTTATTTGCATAGAGTTGAGCAGAGTAGTCTCAGAATTCTGTGAATGTCCTCCTTCATGGGTTACTTCCTTACTGTCATTTATTAATTTGTGTAGTTACACTTTTTTTGTGTTTTTTTCTTTATTAAGCCAGCTAGTTTGTGTACTCTATTGTTTTTCCACCTCAAATAATCTGGTTTTGGATTTATCCATTTTATTTTTCTATTTTTAATTCATTAATATTTTATCTTTATTACTACTTCCTTATTTCCTTCAGTTTATTTTGATTTCCTTTTTCAAACATTTTCGGTTGCTAGCATAAGTCATTCATTTTTATTCTTCTTTGTTAAGTAATATAAATATTTAGGGCTATAATCTTTTTATTTAGCTGAGTTTTATAGTATTTTCCCTATTATTATTTTTAGAAATTCTGCAATTTAAGCTTATAGCTCTTTTTGACCCATGCCCCAAGTTGCTTAAGAATTTTTAAGTTATCAGATGAAAGGACCTTTTTATTTTCTCATTAAAGTTTTACTTGATTGTGATCACAAAGTTATTTGATTGTGATCAAATATACTATTTGAGGAGTAATCTATGATCTAAAAGATGACTAATTTTCATTACTTACTCCGTGGGCATTTGAAAACAAGGTGTATTTTTTATTTTCAGGAACAAAGTTCAACATGCATCAGCTGGATTTATTTTAATAATGTTTAGGTCTTTTAAGACATTCATCTTCTATACTGATGTATTTTTGTCCATTTCTCCTTGTAATTTCTATCATTTCTGCCTTATGAGTATGACTGCTATTTTGACTGGTGCATAGATTTTCATGACTTTTATATCTTCATTGTCAATTTTCTGCTTTGGCATTATAAAAACATTTGTTATAAAATGCTTTTTATTCTGAATTTTACCTTATCTGATATTTACAATTCAAGAACTACTGTATTTTGTATTTTTAGAGACAGGATCTCTCTCTTTCACCCAGTCTGGAGTGCAGTGGTACAATCATAGCTTATCAGAGCCTTGAGCTCCTGGGCTTAAATGATTCTCCTGCCTCAGCCTCCTGAGTAGCTAGGACTACAAATGCACACCACCACATCCACCTAATTTTTTTTATTTTTGTAGAGATGGGGTCTCGCTATGTGGACCAGGCTGTTCTCAAACTCCTGGCCTCAAGTAATCCTCCTTTACTCAGCCTCCCAACATGTTGGGATTACAGACATGAGCCATCACACCTGGCCAAGATCTACTTTAATTTTAACTCTTCTGAAAGTTTTATATGTGTCTCCTGCATATAGAACAAAACTAAATTTTTATTTATTCTCCAATAAAATTTTTTGCAGAAGTGAGTTAAACTCATTTACACTTATGGATATGGTAGATATATCTGGCCTTATTGTTTATGCTATGTTATCTGATGAGAGTTTTTTAAAGTACTTTTAATGTAATTTGTTTATATTTTATGTAGTTTTTTTATATTCAGGAAGGCCTATATTTTTATTTTTCGATTTACCCTTATTTCTTTAGATACCATTAGTTTCTATGACGTAATCCTATGAGATAATATCAGAATGTTTTCTTCTTTGCTATCCTTTTTTGCCTTTGTCCCCATTATGAGTCAATACAATTATATTTATTAGTATTTATTCATTTTCTTTTACTTCTAGTATTTAACTACCAACTCACAATAATATCTTGTGACTTTCAGATATTACAGATGAGACAATCTTCCTTTTTCTCCCCCTTACTCTCCCAATTAATTAGCTAATTAATTTCAAAATTGTGACCATGTATACGAGGTTTGCTTTCTACAGTAGAGTGGTAGAAAGTAAACCCTGTATACATGTACACAATTTTGAAATTAATTAGCTAATTAATTTGTCTTGGTTTTATTGTTAAATGAACTTAATTCTCACTGTAAGTTCTTTGCTATTGTTTCCTTAGTCACTCTTTGTTAATGAAGTTTATCCTTCAATAATTTCCTCAATAAGGGCTCATGGGCATTCTATTCCTCAAGTTCTTAAGTGCTCAAAATGTTTTCAAAATTTACTTCAAGGCCTTGAAGGACAACTTGGGTAGATATAAAATTGTTAGCTTGAGAGGCTGGGCGCAGTGGCTCACGCCTGTAATCCCAGCACTTTGGGAGGCCGAGGTGGGTGGATCACCTGAGGTAGGGAGTTCGAGACCAGCCTGACCAACATGGAGAAACCCTGTCTCTTCTAAAAATACAAAATTAGCTGAGTGTGGTGGCACGCGCCTGTAATCCCAGCTACTAGGGAGGCTGAGGCAGGAGAATCGCTTGAACCTGGGAGGCAGAGGTTACGGTGAGCTGAGATCGCACCATTGCACTCCAGCCTGGGTGACAGAGCAAGACTCCATCTCAAAAAAAAAAAAAAAAAAAGCAATTGATAGCGTACAGGAACAGAAAACCAAACACTGCATGTTTTTGCTCATAAGTGGGAGTTGAACTGTAAGAACACATGGACGCAGGGAGGGGAACATGACACATCAAGGCCTGTTGGCGGGTGAAGGGCAAGGGGAGGAAGAGCATTAGGACAAATAAGGCATGTGGGGCTTAAAACCTAAATGATGGGTTGATAGGTGCAACAAACCACCATGACACGTGTATACCTATGTAACAAACCTGCACCTTCCGCACATGTATCCCAGAACTTAAAGTAAAATTAAAAAAATTAAAATTAATATAAAAAAATTGTTAGCTTAGTAATTTTGCTACGATATATCTTCAGATTGACCATTTTAGGTCAATTTTCCTTGAACTAGTATATACCCTTTCAACAGGCTGAATCAAAAAGTATCTTTAAATTTAGGATTTTTTTAAATTTCATCTTCCTTTAAGGATTTCAAGATGCATACACTGAAGCTTCTTTGCCTGATTTTTCTATTGTTTTCCTTCTAATTCTTTTTATCTCCTCAATTTTTTTCTACTTCCCTAATTTCTATTTCCTCTATCTCTTATATCCCCATGAATTTCCACAGTGTCTATTTTCCCTTGTTTTCTAACCAGTTCCTCTTTTTCTGTAATTGCTTTACCTTTTTGCTTCAACTTTCAGTTCTGCACTTCATATTTCATTTCTTTCTGTTATTTTACAAAATTCTTATATATAGCCCTGCTTCATGGTCCCTTTTTCAGAGACAGTTGTTTCATTTACCATTTAAAACATATTTGTTGCAATTAACTGAATGTTTGTGTTTCCTTAAAATTCAAAGGTTAAAACCGTAAGCCCAACTTGATGGTATTTGGAAGTGGACCCTTTTTGAGGTAGTTAGGTGATGAGGGTGGAGTCCTTACGAATGTCATCAGTGCCCTAATATAAGAAGAGGCCAGAGAGCAACCTAGCACTCCTTCTACCAAGTGAGGACACAGCAAGAAGATGTGTCTCATAACCCTACCTTTCTGCAGGAAAGGTAAATACAGAATTTTCTTACAGGAACAAGCAAAGGAAAGACAATAGGCCATTCTGCAGACCCCCTTATATGTCATTGCTAGCCTTAGCTTTCCTCACTGTACAACTAGCCAGTACCTCAAGGTAAGAAAAGCTGAAACTAATGTTTTAGATAATTCCATGGGACACAGAGTTGAAAAGGCTCTTCTTTTCTCTTCTCTTTTCTTTCTTTCTTGCTTGCTTGCTTTTTCTCTCTCTCTCTTTCTTTCTTATTTCTTTCTTTCTCTCCTTCCTTCATTCCTTTCCTTCCCTCCCTTCCTTCCTTCCTTCCTTCCTCCCTCCTTCCCTCCCTCCCTCTCTCTATTTATTTATTTATTTATTTATTTTCTGAGATGGAGTCTTGCTCTGTTGCCCAGGCTGGAGTGCAGTGGCGCGATCTCGGCTCACTGCAAACCCCACATCTCGGGCTCAAGCAATTCTTCTGCCTCAGCCTCCCGAGTAACTGGGATTACAGGCACACACCACCACACCCAGCTGCATTTTGTATTTTTAGTAGAGACAGGGTTTCACCACACTGGCCAGGCTGGTCTCAAACTCCTGACCTCAAGTGATCCTCCTGCCTCAGCCTCCCAAAGTGCTCGGATTACAGGCGTGAGTCACTGCACCTGGCCTGAAAAGGCTCTTCTTTCTTTTTCCTACATTTTGTTCCCATCCCTGTGTCTCTCCCTTCATTGTCTCTTCTTGATGTAGCATGACTACTATCGTACTTCTCTGACTCAACAAACACATAGGTTGTGTCTACCATATTGCCAGCATTGTATTAAATACTGGAATTGGTGCTTGAGAAATAATTCTTATTGAAAGTTATAAAATCTTGATCTATTCTGAGGGAAAAGCTATGGAAAGCCAATTAATAATGTAGGGAGGCTGCCTTACTATAGCTTATTGTTATGTCTGATTTGGAAATACAGCAACAAACATAGTTTGTGGTTTGCAGAGTTTTTGTTTATTATACATCATTTTCTCCTTCAGCCAGATTTGTGGCTTATAAAAATAACCAAATATTTGCTTACAAATTGTTATAATGAAAATCTGTAGCTTGCTGCAGTAAGATTCATGGTCATGATAACTTTGAAAGCATTTGTTTGCATTTAGAGTGTGGGGGAATAATTTAAATTTAAAATTTTTGCCTAAATTATTTATATGTTGAGTCCAAGATGCAGTGCAATTACAGCATTTTTTAGAAGTGAGGCAGAAGTTTAAAATTTATAAATACCTCTTTACATTTTGGTGGCACTCGATATAGTTTTCTAGAAAGCTGTATTTTTTGTTGTTTGAATAGCAGTTAGCTGTTTTCACTCTCTCTAACAGATGGAACCAAAGCATTGTGAACATTTTTATTAAAACAGCAAATGAAGCTATGAAAGAAGTGTCACATTGCCAAGTATTCATCTTGCAAATTAAATTCTACAACTTAGCAGGTGGTTTAAGTTCCCTTTAGAAATTTAAAATCAGCTTATTTCATTTCTCTGTGGTTTAACAGAGACACAGGTTCACTGCTGCATTCACTTACACAGATTCTGTTTGCATGTTTCTTAGAATTGACAGTTGGGAAAATATTTGCTAACTCTCACTCAAAATGGCTCATAATTGCCACATTCAGATGGTTGAGTCTTCAATTTTCCTCACTATTAAAGTGTACCATTTGTCTCTGCAGTCTGTTTGCAAGGCCCTGATGGATCCAAAAATTTGAAGCCCACATTCAGTATATTTTTTGACCATTTCAATACATATTATCATTTCGTGTACTGACAGTATACTACCCAATTTAGAAAACTCCAATATCAGTTGATAATATTCAGCTAGTCTGCTTCTAGTTTAGAGAATGCCAGTGAAGTAATTGGCATTTCCAGGTCTCTACAGAACCGTACTGATGAGCTAAGGCAAGTCTAAAGAGCCACCTTTACTGGTCCTTGCAGAGGAGAGAAAGTAGAATTTCCTGTACTGCTTCTAATGTCACTGCAATGAGATTAATTTCACAAAACATCATTTTCCCTCTACATAAATTTTCATACTTTCACTACCTGCATAATAAAACTTAGGCTCATTGTTCACAGCCTTCTTCAATTTAGCCCCCAAACTCTTTTTACATCGATTTTTCAACAAATGTTCTTGGCCCAGGTAAAATGGTCTATTTATTATTGTCTCCCAATAATAAAGGTTGACATTTCTTTGCCTACCCCTCTGTTCACCTGTACCAATGCATTTTCCTTCTCCTTTTTGATTATCCAAGTCCTTTTTTTCCCAGAAGGCACAGCTGAAGTCACAATGCCGAGAAGCCCTCCTACCTTCTCCTAGCCCCCCATCTCATCCTCATTCCTTCTCCTTTAATCCTCTCTAGCACCACTTATTACATGGCACCTTGCATTATTCTTTATTTTCCATGTATACATCCTGTTTCCTCAATTAAAATGTAAGATCCTGAGGGTAGAGATACCATTTATACACTGAATTACTGGCACCTCTGTATCCAAAACACAACAGTCAGTCATGTGTGTTGATGTTGGTAAGGTAACCAAGATTTACAATAAGGGCTAGCTCAAAACCCTTGGGGTTTAAAATTAAAACTAGTTTTGCTTATCCAGCATACTTTCCTATTTCTCTTCTTCTGGCTTTCTTGTGAACTTGACCCCTACTCTATGTAGAGTTGTCAATTATAGTTCTGTATTTGTCAGGACAGACCACTAAACAAAGAACCTCTGGATATTAGATAGTTCAAGCAAAAGTTTAATTTTCACTCACACTGTATGCCTGTGTGCTTTGTCTCAGAGCTCTTCATGTTACTATCACTCTGAAATCCAAACTAAGACTTCAGCCTCTTTTGGGAGCATTGCCAATGAAAAGGCAGAGGAACAAAGTGTGGTAAATCATTCACTTTCTCTTAAAGCCTTCACATAGAAGAGACACACATGTCCTGGTAGAAAGCTAGACATATAGATCAATGATACAGAATTGAAAGCCCAGAATTACACCTTTTTATTTATGGGCAACTGAATTTTGAAAAGGTTCCAAGACTGTTCAATGAGGGAAAGAATAGTCTTTCCAACAAATGACATTGGGATAACTAGATATTCACATTAAAAAGAATGAAGTTGAGCCTCACATCATATACAAAAATTAACTCAAAATGGATCATAGACCTAAATGTAAAAGTTCAATGTAAAATGTAAATGTAAAGCTAACTGTAAAAACTAAACATAGAAATAAATCTTTATGACCTTGTGTTTCTTTTTTATGACAGAAACAACAACAAAAAAATGAACTTCATCAAAATTAAACTTTTGGCTTCAAAGAACACTATCAAGAAAGCAAGATTACAACCCAAGGAATATAAGACTATATTTACAAATAATATATCTGATAAGAAACTTGTATTCAGAGCATACAAAGAACTCTTACAATTAAAAAACAGCAACCCAATTTAAAAATGAACAAAGGAGTTGAATAGACATTTCTCCAAAGAAGATATACAATTGCTTAATAAGGAGGTGAAAAGATGCTCAACATCATTAATCATTAGGGAAATGCAAACCAAAATCACAATGAGATACCACAAGGATAGCTAAAGTTAAAAAGAAAGAAAATAAATAGCATTAGCAAAGAAATTAGAATGCTTAAGCATCGCTAATGGGAATGTTAAATGGTGTAGGTGCTTTGGAAAACCGTAGAGAAGTTGTTTGTGTGTGTTTTTCTTTAAGAAAACATTGAGTTACCCTATGATCCAACAATTCCACTCATAGGTATATAACCAAGAGAACTGAAAATATGTCCACACAAAAACTTCTACACAAATATTCATAACAGCATTAGTTGTAATAGCCCCCAAATGGGAATAGCCCAAATGTCCATGAACTGATGAATGGATGAACACAATGTGGTATATCCATAAATGGAATACTATTCAACCATGATAAGGAATGAAGTACTAATATCAGTTACAACATGCAAGAACCTTTAAAACATTATGAAAGAAGCTAAAGCTAAATGAAAGAAGCCAGTCACAAAAGGGCCACATATTGTATGAAATGTTCAGAATAGGCAAATCCATAGAGGCAGAATATAGATTAGTAACAGACAGTGAATAGGGGGAGGAGAAAATGAGCAGTAATTACTAATGAGTATGGAGTTTCTTTTTGGGGTGACTAAAATATTCTGGAATTAGTGGTGATGGTTGAGCAGCTCTGTGAGTATACTAAAAACCACTGACTTCTATAATTTAAGAGGGTGGCTTTTATGGTATGTAAACCATAGCTCAATAAAACTGTTATATTTTTAAAAAGTAACTCCCATCACTTCTGTTTAGTTTCGTTAGTCAAAGAAAGCCACAAATTACTCCAACAGGCCAAGGAAGTGCAATCCTTCCTTACATGTGCTTAAAAGGGAAATGGAAACATTTGTTGAACAGTACTAATGACTACAACAAGGCCCCCAGCCTTCACGAGGGTATGAGTCTCAGAGTAGGCCAGTCGTGATCTTACACCCTCCTGCATACAATGATTGGTCCACTAGTGGTCATATAACATAGGCAGGCCAACCAGCCCTTTTATGGAATGAATGTATGTTACAGGCAGAAACATCTTGTGATTACTGAATAGGAGGATGGGAGACTGGGACTGTCAGAAGCCATCCTATCAGCTTTATGGAGAGAGCCTGCATCCAGTTGTGACTGTTCAACCTCGAGATTTTCAAGATGCAGAAGAACTTTGCTTAGTAAGTCATTAGCAGCAAAATGGAATTCCAATCTTATAACTCTTTGCCCAGCAGATGTCTCACATTATTTCCTAAGAAATCCTGACAGTATTTCATCTTGCCACCTTCTAGACTCTCCTCTCTTCCCCATACTCTTTCCAATGCTTAAAAGGGAAGATCCCCCTTCTCAGCCTCTCATGTTCCCCTTATTTACAACCTCAGGCTCCATCTCCAATGTTATCTCTAGATTGAGAGATTTTCAATGGGGCTTATTCTTCCCATGTTTTCCTACCTGTATTAAACACCTCCTAAGATGGCTTGTAATCTCCTCCTCTTGCAAGTGGGCTGGACATTAACTGCTAGCAAATAGAGCATAGGGCACTTCCAAGATTAAGTTACAAAAATGTTCTGATTTCTGATGTGCTTGCCCTCTGATGGACACCAGATGCCATGTTGTTAGCTGCCCCGTGGAGAGGCTCACATTGCAAGGAACTGCAGCTGGACTCTGGCCAACAATCTACAAGAAAACTAAGCCCTGCCAATAACCACAGGAATGACCATGGAAGTAGATACTCCTCCAGATGAGCCCTGAGATTTCTGCAGCCCAGCTGACATCTTGATTGCAGTCTGTGAGAGACCTTAAAGCAGAGCATCCAGCTAAGTCATGGCCAGATTCCTGACACGACACAAACTGTGAGATAATAAATATTGTTGTTTTAAGTCACTAAGTTTTGGGTTAATTTGTTATGCAGCAATTACATAACAATTGGTTATCAATGCAGTGCCCCTCCCAAAAAATCTTGGCAGAATCTGTCTTTAGATCTGGGTTGGGAATCATGTAAACTTTGTTCTAAACTGCTCTTAAAAATGATCTCTCCTAGGCTGAGCGCAGTGGCTCGTGCCTGTAATCCCAGCACTTTGGGAGGCCAAGGGGGGCAGATTACCTGAGGGGAGGAGTTCGAGACCAGCCTGGCGAACATGCTGAAACTCCATCTCTACTAAAGATACAAAAAAAAAAAAAAAAAATTAGCCCAGCGTGATGGTGCATTCCTGTAATCCCAGCTACGCGGGAGGCTGAGGAAGGAGAATCGCTTGAACCTGGGAGGCAGAGGTTACAGTGAGCTGAGATCATGCCATTGCACTCAGGCCTGGGTGACAAGAGCGAAACTCCGCCTTGGAGTTAAAAAAAAAAAAAAAGAGCTATCCTTACTCATAGCTTATTTAAGGTCCTAAACCAAGCAGGTTCACCTTACCACCCTTCCTTTCAGTGAGCTGCTTCTTCATTTCAGTATGCTATCTGGGGAGGTTACTGAATAGGAAGATGCCATTCATGTTCTTTCTTATCTTGATCCTAGAGTTTCAACCTAATGTGCCCAGTAGTTTCTTATTCTGAGACTACGATGCTGCTTTCACACTAATAGAACCTCATTCCTCCTGGACACTCTCTGACACGTTCCAATTTGCAGTGAGCATGCAGTTAATCATCCACTATAGGAATCTCATTTTACTAAATTCTGAGACTGAATGAGAATCAGGATAGTAGTAAGTAAATTTCAGAATAGGCTTAGGTGGGCTTTTTATATGAGCAGGCAATGGTTCTACAATAAGAATCTGATCATATCCCTACTACTTTCAGTCATCTGAAGCCCTATAAATCTCTGCAGAATAACGTCCAAGATATTTAGCCTTCCCCCTCATCTGTCACCCCTAATCCTTCCTCACATCCTAGGGTCCAACCATGTTGCATTCTTTGGCATTTCCTAGACTTGCTGGGATCTCTCATGCCTGGGATCTTTGGCATATGGCTCCCTCTGTTAAGAATACCCATTTCTAGGTTTCTTCATGCTTCAAAACTTTATGCACACAGGACTCTTGACCTCTCTGGAGAGCTCCTCTCACCCAGTCCCTTCACCATACACTTCCCCCAAAATAGAGGAATATTGTTATATTTGGTCATCTTAAAGGCATTTTACTGAGTTCCATGAGAGGAAAAGAGCTTTTCTTTGGGTTGAGAAAAGACATCACATGGTAAACCCGTGCATGGACAGTCTTTGTGGTTCCTTCATCAGTTGCTGGAGAGGTGCAGTGGGCTCAGGGACTGTCCCTGCAGCCTCAGCCTGACGGGGTTGGAGGTAGTTGGTCTGCTCTTGGGTCGAAATCAGGGTGAAGGACAAAACAGAAGGAGGCAAAGGATTGTGGGGTTACTTTTGTTGTAGGCACTTGATCTGCACAATCCCCACGGTCTGTCCTAACTTGCTCATTTCACTGACTTAGGGCCAGAGCTGATCATCAGTTTCTGTGCACACATTTCCCTGCAGAAGTTTGAAAGAGCAACTACTGGTTAAAAAAGGATTTTATAGCTCAGTGCTCCCGTCCCAGGTCTGTCTGTCTGTCTGTCTCTCTCTCCCCCCCGCCCCGACTCCCCTCCTGGCTCTCTCCTCCTTCCTCTCTCTCTCTCTCTCTGTCTCTCAGTGTAAGATTTACATCCTAGTTGACATGACTTTCTTTGTCTGGGAGGCTGTTTTTAGCTCCCAGTCTAAGTAGGGTATTCTCCCTTGGCCTTCCATAAGACTTGTTGCTTGTATGTAATATAGCAAATTAGGCTTTTTTTTTATTTATTTAACTCATGCGCTTCTCTACTAGACAAGGAGCTTCTTGAGAACAGTGGTGATATCATTCATCTTTGTGTCTTCAGTACCTAGTATGGGTCTTGTCCCATAGCACTTTCTCAACAATTATTTAATACATGAATCAATGCTCTATAATGCCCTAGTTTTTATCCAATCTGTGTCATGTAATGACAAATGATCATATACTGTCTTGACTTGTTCTATAATAAGTTATTCACAAGTCTCTTCTGCCCCCTCAGAAATCAAACTCTGTCCATATTGATGGCAATTCCTGTCCCTGTCTTAGCCCCTTTCCAGATGGTCCAGATGACCCCCTGCAGCTGCAGTCTGCTCTGCCTCAAAATTAAATCAGAAGATATTGAATCTGCATATCAACTTTTTCATCCAAGGAAGCAATAGGGTGTGAAATATTCAAGCCTGAGACAAGATTGCTAGGGGAGCCTATGAATCCATCTAAAAGAACCCTTTGAATAACTCCAATGGGGGGCATGCTGCCTAACTGACTTCTTCCACCTGGGTGTTTAAGATTCCTCTCCCCTGGTCGACATCGCCCATCCACAGACTCACAACTCCCACCACCACTCACACACAGACCTTAACCACCCTGGTCAGAGCCCCGGCTCCCTGTGGGAGCTCAACCAATGTCTCTTGCCAGCAGCTAGGATCTGCTCATTACCTTGTCCCTGCCAGCCCTACTCCCAGAAGATTGAACCCACTTACTGCCTTCCTTGATCTGGTGACAGTAGTGCCTAAAATACGGTAGGCAGCCATCAGTTCACTTCTCTCCTGTAACCTAGGGATCTCCTGGGGCTCCCCTCTCCATCAGAGCTGTTAGAAATGCCCGTCCCAGCTGGTGTCCATCTAGAGCCCTCCCTGTGATTTCCTATAGCTCTCTGGGAAGGGAATGCTTTCCCTTTTCTTCATTATGTTCTCAACATCCATCTCCACCTTTCCCCAGTTTCTACAAGAAATCCAACCAAACTTGGTATTTTGTAATTTTCTGTGGATCTTTATTCAAGTTGGGAAGCTTGAAGGGCATGGGGGAGCTTTCAACACAGGCTTCTACTTCCTATCCGGCCCTATCAGCCTGTCCTGCCCTCGGCATCCACCCAGGTGACCTATCCAGCTGAGCACAGTGCCTGGGAATTCTATCTGGCTGTCATACACACAGCACCAACTCTGCCAGGAGTTTTGCTTTTAAAAGTTTTTTCCTTATTATCTTGTTTTGGATGCAGTTTTTAGTGCGACCTGGCACTATGCCTGCTAATAGCTACCTTCTCTGTAAATCCCTATACTTCACCTATTCAACCACATTCCCCCAACAACAAAGCACCCCTTTTGTTTTCAAGGCCTGTTCTAGAACCGGGCTGCATCTGCCAAGCCTTGGATGTATTGGCCTGTTCCTGAGGTTTGGTCTCCCTTCTCCGAGCTGATCCTGCATTGTTTACCACTAAACCCCTTTTTTGGGAACACTCTAACAATAGACTGGGACAGCAAAGCTTTTTCTGTTTCATAGATGTGTGTACTGAGCCTGAGGCAGTGTTTTCTCTTGAATCTGCATGCAGGGAAGCAGATTAATCAAAAAGATCTTAAGCAGGCACTGTTTGTTTTGCATGAACAAACAGCAATTGCTCTTTGCTTAAATTTAATAGTTAAAAATGAACAGTTCTGGTGATAATTACCACATATTTATATTGGCATTTTATCTTTTAAGTTCCAAAAGAACAGGAGTTTCACTCAATTGAATCATATTTATCAAGCCAAAGGTTAAGTTCTACACAGTCTTTTAAAATTAGAGAAGGCAGTGAATTACTAAGAAAATGCCCCAAATTAATAGTCGTGTATAATATACATATATTTTGTTGGGAAGGTGTGAAGGGAGAAATACGAGGAATAGCAGACCAAAAGAAACAAATATAACATTTGTCTACCAATATCTGAGACGGTTCACAGAAAATCATCATTGCTGTTCACATTTGCACATGCTGACTTAGGTCACTGGACCATTGAAACATGTTTGTCATTGTAGGCACTGCAGCACAAATCAAACACTATAAACTTCACACCCAAAACTAATCCTGCTGATGCGGCATGTACTACACTATAAGTGAGAATGTCAACAGTGGCATTTGCAATAAGAATATTGTTAATGATAATCTCATGGTTTATGAAATACACTGCTGGTTTAAGAATCATTCTTAATTTTAATCCTGTTTCCAGCCAACACAAAGAGGAAATTTTCCCTTTTCATTGTGACAATCTATTTGCACCTCTCATTAAAATGTGTCTTGCCAGTGCATAGTATGCAAGTATTTTAATTAAAACTCATCTATATGGAAGCTTCCTACCTGCTCATAGTAAATAATTCCAAATAGAAATGTTTGAAAAGAGACCAAGTTATGAATTAGAAGCAATTACCAATTTGGAATTGGAAACAGAGTAGATAACATAAAACATGTTTATAAAAATGTGTCTATAGTTATTTTTACTTTAGAAATTGAAGACACAATTAAATTATAGAATTAGAAAACTAGAAGAACTCCACAGGTTACCAACCTCTCCTCATTTTGCTAGAGAAGGTAACAAGAAGTTAATTATGTCCCTGAGACCACACAACTGGTGGCAGGGATGGAACTAATACACAAAGCTCCTGATTTCTAAATTAACATTCTTTCTACGACCTCAGTGTTCCAGTAGTAAATAAAATTAATTTGAAGTATTAAGCTTCATTGTATTTTAATAAATCAATTTTCTAAATGAAATTAAGATATCAATATTTCAACCCGTCAAACCATTGACTTTGTGTAGATATATTTTCACGTTTATAGTATTTTGCATATTTAATATTCAAGATGTTCTTTCCATACACCTAATTTTCAATCCCTACAATTGCTCAAGGTTGAGGGAAGGATAAGATATAGACTTTCTATATTTGCATCTTTTATTCCAAATGAGAGTTCAAAAAATTAGTTTCAGTGAGGCTTTAATATTAAAATATGACTTGAATTGTAGAACGCATTAATAGGAAATATATATTCATTTTCAGATAAGTAAAATGCTTAATCCATTATTCCTAAGCTGATTTTTTTGTTGTCTTATAAGATTAGGTTGCTGATTCCATTTTATTAGAAAAGTGCTTTACAAAACTCATTGAACAATACTTCATACAAATAATCTTTCTTGAGAATTTGAAATAAATCAGTGACTCTCTAACAATTAAAAATAGAAGGAGCCTTCATATATCACTGTATCAGATAAGTGGCTTCCAGCTACAAGTAACAGAAACCCTAAATTAAACTGACTCAACAACAAGGAAGTGTATTAACTTGCATAACAGAAAGTTTGGTTTGGTAGATTTGGCAGCTCAACCATGTCATCAAGGACTTTGGTTACTTTAATCTCTGTATTGGAGTCTAAAGTGCCAGCTTCATCCTTTATGATGCATTATCCCCATTTTACAGATGAGGAAACTTATGGTCTTAAAATGGTACCCTCATTATCACTTCATGGTTGTAAAATGGCTGCCAATTACAGTCAGTGCTATTATTTACATCCAATGGGAGAGAAAGTCACTGGCTTCCTGTGGCTGTTTAGTAAGAGAAAGAAAGGACTTTCTCAGAAGTCTTTAATACACTTCTTGCCAGAATTGGGCCTCAGGTTCATTCTTGAACCAAACATTGGCAAGGGAGCATAGGATTGCTTTTTACTCTTTCAGATTCACTGTTGAGTCAGAGTCCCTTCTCCAAAATATGCGATGGCGCTACTCAGTGAGGAGGAGAGAATTTCTGAGTTCAGCAGAGGGGACCACAACTTCCTCCCTGAAACATTTTAACCTCTTGACTTCCATAACATCACATTCTTAGCTCTTGGTTTGCCTTCTACCTCTTTAGCCACAACTTCTCAGATTCTTTTGTAAGCTACTCTACCTCTTCCCTCCCTCTGAATGTCAAAATTACGGATGCCTCAATCCTAGGTCCTCTTCTTTTTCTGTCTCTAACCCTCTGCCTAGGTTATCTTACCCATTTTTATGGCTTTAAATATCATACTAAGCTGATCGTCTCCCACCCAAAACTATCTCCTAAGCTCCAGATTCATATATCCAGCCTTATTCCACATAATATTCAGGGACTCGGGTTTCTCTCATTTTGTGTTTTCTCCTTCTCTTAGAATAGTGGCTCTCAAACTCCAGCATGCATCAGAAGCACTTGGGGGGCTTGTTAAAACACACATTGCTAGGCCCTGTGTTAGTCCGTTCTTCTACTGCTATAAAGAAATACCTGAGGCTGGGTAATTAATTAAAAAAAAGAGAGAGAGAGATTTAATTGTCTCACAGTTCTGCAGGCTGAGCAGGAAGCATGGTGCTGGCGCCTGCTCAGTTTCTGGTGGGGCTCCAAGGAACTTTACTCATGGTGGAAGGCACAGTGGGAGAGGGCACTTTACACGGTGAGAGAGGAAGCAAGAGAGAGGGAGCAAGAGACAGAAAGGGGAGATCCCAGACCTTTTTAAACAACCAGATCTTCCATGAGCTGAGAACTCACTTCAAACCAAGGGGATGGTGTTAAGCCATTCATGAGGGATCTGCCCCATGATCCAGTACCTCAAATTAGGTCCCACCTCCAACATTCGAGGTTATGTTTCAACATGAGATTTGGAGGGGACAAACATACAAACGATATCAGCCCCATCCTCAGAGTTTCTGATTCAGTAGGTTTGGGATGGGGCTCAAGAGTCTGCCTTTCTAGCTAGTTTTTGGGTGATGTTACTACTGCTGATCTCAGACAACATTTTAAGAACAAGTATTTTAGAGTCTTCTCCACATCTAAACACCCAAAGCTTAAATTGCCACAAAGAGGGTGCAGTTAAACATTCAAAGAAGCTGCTACAAAGAGGATGCAGCCAGTTGGAGTGGGGGAAGAGAGGATAAGGAGGTGCACCCATTGTATGCATTATTGGCCCAAAAGTATTCCACATCACTCCCACTGACATGCCACTGCTCCTCCTAAATGAGGGGAGCCTGGGAAATATATTGCAGTTGTACCTCCATTCACCTGGCTGCATTCTAGTGTTACAAAAGAAGAAGACAATGGGTTTTTGTGAAGAGCTAGGTCTCCACCCCTCTCTAATCTTATACTACCAACAAATCAGCAGTCACACTTGCTTTCTTTTATTTTAACTGAGGGTCTCTATACATGCTTCTATACACTCCTCTTTGCTCTGCTCATGGTTGACTCGTTCTGTTTCTTTGGTTTCAGTTTAAATGTCACCTTCACAGAGAAGTCTTTCCAGAAATACCCTGTCCTAAGTAGACATCAGTCTACTTCCCAGCTCCTTGTTTATTTCCTTTTTATTACTCATCACAATGTATAATTTTATTTTTTAAATGTAATATCTATCACCCTTGCTAGGTGATTTTGTTGTTGTTGTTAGCTTCATCAGGACAAGAAACTGTGCCCCTTTTACTCACGTGTACATTACTCATCTAACAAGACCATTTCTGTTGTTGGCTCAAAATTCATTTCCCTTTCTTTCTTACTAACATAATCTCAATTTAGTTCAAGTATCAGAAGATTCATCTCAGGCAATATGGGACTAGTGTTCCAGGGGCAAGCGTGTAATCCAACTGTGGACAGTGGAAAGCAATGAGAAGTCTGGAAAATGGAGGAGAGCTTTTCTTCCCTGATAGTAAAGAGATGGTGAAACAGAACTCTGCCCTGCATTTCTGTTTCTTGCTTCTGAATGCAGTTATGTGAGGGCATGATTTCTGGAGTTGCAGCATCCATACTGCAACTATTAAGTCAAGAGAATTGTAGAGATATGAATCCTAAGACCTAACATCATTAAGCCACTGCACCCGCCTAGCAACCTCCTACCAATTGTTAAGGGAGATAATAAAACACACTCTATGTTTAAGCAAGTTTCTGTTGAATAGTCGTATAGAGCCAAAGTATTGTGACTTAGCATATTACTTGGTCCATACAAGCAGTATATGTTCAACTTATTTAGGAATTTGTTGTTGAATGAATAGAAGAATACATAGCTTGCTGGCCACAGTGGCTCTCACCTGTAATCACAGCACTTTTGGAGACCGAGGCAGGAAGATCATTTGAGGTCAGGAGTTCGAGACCAGCCTGGCCAACATGGCGAACCCTCACTCTCCCGTTTCTACTAAAAATACAAAAACAATTAGTGGGATATGGTGGCACATGCCTGTAATCTCAGCTACTTGGGAGGCTGAGGCAGGAGAATCGCTTGAACCCGGGAGACAGAGGTTGCAGTGAGTTGAGATCAGGCCACTGCACTCCAGCCTGGGCAACAGAGTGAGACTCCATCTTGAAAAAAACAAAAACAGAAACAAAAATTTAAAAAAAGCCAGAAGAAGAATAAATAGCTATTCAGATACTTTAAAAAAACAAAACATAATTCTGTTTCTTTGGGTTACATCTGAGGGGAAGACAAGTGAGCACAGGGTACATATTATACAGACTGGCTATCTTTATTAGAAAATCATACAAAATACTCTTTCATTCTTTTAAACATAATAAAGACTTACTACTTTGAAAAGTAAGTAAATAAAGAAGCATATAGCACACTATTTGAAAATACAGGATTTGAGTTTTAATTTAAGGCAAGTCACTATCTGTCATTGACTTCAGTTTACTCATCTTTAAAAAGGAAATATTTATGCCTTTAAGAGTTAGTGTGATGAATAAGTGAGATAATACACGTAAAGTGCTCAATGTAAATATACCCATCTATGGTAAACAATAAATAGTATTATAATTGTTATTATTATTAAGCATAGTTGGGACAAATGGGACATAAAGGTGAAAAATACATAGCCCATTCCATAACTAAAATACCAAAGAACATTTAAGTAATACAATCAACATGAGAAACGTGAAGGAAGGGAAGGTCTTTCTGTCGTGGAAGATCAAACAATGTTTCAGGAAAAGAGAAGACATTTAATCTGGACCTTTAAGGAAATGTTCAATTTAATACACAGAGATGAGCAAGAAGCATGTGTATTGTGGTGGCTGGAAGAGGGAGAAAAGATAAATGTGTTACAGACAATAATGTATGGGGAAAGGAGGACAGGTGTCTTAGTCTATTCCTGCTGCTATAACAAAACACTGCAGACTGGGTAATTTATAAATAATAGAAATTGATTCCTCATAGTTCTGGAGGTGGAAAAGTCCAAGATCAAGGCGCTGGCAGGTTCAGTGTCTGGTGAGGGCCCGATCTCTGCTTCCAAGGTGGCACCTTGAATCCTGCTTTCTCTGATGGGGAGCAACACTGCGTCCTCACATTGCAGAGAGTGGGCTAAAAGGGTTGGGGTGCTCTCTCAAACTTCTTTTATAAGTTCACCAACCCCATTCATGGGGTGCTACCCTCATGATTTTGTCATCCCCGAAAGGCCACTGCTTAATACCACCACATTGGCAGTTAAGTTTCAACATATGAATTTGGAGGAACACATTCAGACCATAACAGCAGCAAAGTACAAATCATGGTTATGTAATAGCTGATAGAATGGTTTGGCACCAGTAGAGCTATACAGAGGAGGTCCATGGTGATGAGACTGGGGAAGTGGAAGGGCTACCTCATGGAGGAGTCTTAATAACTGCTGAGCAAGGTGAGAGCACTTTGAACAGGCGATGTGGTGACATGAAAGGGTTTTGAAGCAGAGCAAGAAAGTGACATGATGAAAGCATAGCAGACACTGTTAACTAGCTCCCCAGTAGCTGTTCTTTCTTTCGGCCTGCCTAGCTTTAATGGATGGAGACCACTAGCTCTGGCAATATAACATAAGTCTGAGCAATAAGCTGTAAAATAAATCCACTGAATGCATCTGGGGGAAAAAAAACATTTCTCAAAGAGAAAGACATACCTTTTAAGAGAAAGACATACCTTTTTAAAGGTAGAACAAGAAAATCATCTTGCTACCGCATTCTCCAAATCCATCTTGTTCCCCTTGTGAATTCCGTTGTGTAAGGATGTGGTACTTATGAGCTTCAGCAGCAATCTTAGCTCCATAAGGAAGGCTCTCATGTTGACCACAACCTTCTAACTGATGCGGAGATGGATATTTTAGAAAGATCTGAAAGGAACCAATGGGGATGGATTGTGATGAAACTAAAGGCAGGAGATAGAAAAACAACTATTGAACACATCTTGTGTGCAATCGTTAAATTAAGAAACGTGTATAGCACTTACTATGCACCAGACACAATGAAGCACTTTGCTCATCTATTCCTCATAAAACTTCTATGAGGTTGGAATACTATGCAGCCATAAAAAAGGATGAGTTCGTGTCCTTTGTAGGGACATGGATGAAGCTGGAAACCATCATTCTGAGCAAACTATTGCAAGGACAGAAAACCAAATACTGCATGTTCTCACTCATAGGTGGGAATTGAACAATAAGATCACCTGGACACAGGGTGGGGAACATCACACACCGGGGCCTGTCGTGGAGTGGGGGGATGGGGGATGGATAGCATTAAAAGAAATACCTAATGTAAATGACGAGTTAAGGGGTGCAGCAAACCGACACGGCACATGTATACATATGTAACAAACCTGCACATTGTACACATGTACCCTAGAACTTAAAGTATAATAAAAAATAATAAATAATAAATAAAAATAAAAAATAAATTAAGGTAAAAAAAAAACTTCTATGAGGAAAGTACTATCATTATCCCCATTTTTCAAATGAGTCATAGACAGATGATACAATTTGCCCAAAGACACAGAGCTAGTAGGTAGCCGAACATTAAACCAAGCAGTCTGGCTTTAGAGTCTGTGCTCCTAACCACTAGTGTGCATTTATTTTACAAACATGTACTATCTTGCTTCTACATAACAATTCTATGAGGAAAAATACCATGGCTATTGCCATTTTACAGATGAGAAAACTGAAGCAGAGAAGTTAAGTAATTTACAGTGACACATGTAACAAGAGATGGAGCAGAAAGTCAAGCCCAGTTCTACCCAACTCCAAAGTTCAAGCATGATACCAAATTCCTAGTTAGAAAACTGTTTTAGGCATGCTTCTTGGGGGAAAAAATATATTTCAAAGAGAAAGATATACTTTTTAAAGGTAGAAAGGAGAAAATCATCTTGCTACCTCCTTTCAGAGACCTGAATCAAGGCAGTGGCTTCAGAAATGTAAGGGAAGAAATCTATGTGAGACAGATTGTGAACAAAGGTTAGATAAGAATTATGGGTAGGTTATATACAAGGTAAAGAGATGAAAGATGATTCTGTCTTTTCAAAGCTAAGTTAAAACACAGGGATACTTTATTTTAAAGGAAGCCTATAAAATGAATATTTTAAGTGTATATTTTAAGTGAATACTTCAAAGTCATTGTCAGCATATCCAGTAAGCTAGGGTCAACTCAAAAAGTGGGTATTATGATTAACTATTACTTGTTTAAGTGGCAATTTCTTTGTGCATCTAAAAATGTAGCCCTGTAAGAGTGGGTAGGGGTGTCTTCTATATAATGCTTTTGCAGTTTAAATCCTTGCGTCAATTGTCTAAAGTTCCCTGATAACTCACCTCCCCTAGAAGTAGGGTATGATTAAATTGCTTGTCCCTCCCACCCAGGCTTCTCCCACTGTCACGCACAATCTTCCTCAGTGTAGGACACAAGTAATAGTTTAAGAACTTGACATATTGTACTGCTGTGGAAGGATTCTTATATATATTCCCAGGGTTTTGGTGGGCTATTTCCTGCCCTTTCTTCCCAGGGTCCCTTTGCCCTCTAGCTCCAATCTTTAATCACTCTGCTCGTTCCTCATTCCACACCATACTTTTTATCTCTGAGCCAAGGCAGATTTTCTTTGTTTGTTTTGAGACAGAGCCTCACTCTGGTACCCAGGCTGGAGTGAAGTGGCACCATCTCCTCTCACTGTAGCCTCCACCTCCCCAGCTCAGGTGATCCTTTGGCCTCACCCTTCTGTGTAGCTGGGACTAGAAGCATGTGCCACCAAGCCCAGCTAGTTTTTTTCTTTGTATTTTTTTTCTTTTGTAGAGACAGGGTTTGCCATGTTGCCCAGGCTGCTCTCAAACTCCTGAGCTCAAGCGATCTGCCCACCTCAGCCTCCCAAAGTGCTTGGATTACAGACATGAGCCACTGTGCCCAGCCCAGATGATTTTATTTAGTTTCTATAGTCACTAAAAGTTTAGCTGTAGCTCAAGGCATTGGTTTTGGGTTGAAATCAATTTCTTCATCTCCACCTGTAGCTCAATTTGGTAGCTTCTAGGAATTCAACTTAATTCATTCAATAAATTTCCATTAAGAGTTGACTAAGTGCCAGGCGCCATGCTAGAAGCTTAAGGTCTATGAAAGTGGTGATTCTCAATCTGTAACATGCATAGGAAGCATCAGGGTATCTTGTTAAAAATGCACTTGTGAGTGCTTAGTTCTGGGATAGGGCTTGAGCGCCTGCATTTCTAACAGGCTCCCAGGTGAGGCCCATGCTGCTAGTCCTAGGACCACATTTTGAATAGCAATAGAGGACAATGGGAATATAAACAATGAAGTTCAACAAAATAGTTACAGATGCTAGGATAAATATGTTAGAAACTGAGAATGGAAGGTATGGGGGTCCCATATCTCTCTGGTCTGTGCTAATTCCTCAGTAACCCCCTCTAACCTCCCCTCCGCTGCTCTTGATTCGTTTAAGTATTTTTGGTCCTATTCTGAACCTCTGCCATCAATTCTCACTCTAAAAATTTACTAAGCACCTACTAACAACTACAGTTGATCCTTGAACAACATAGGAGTTTGGGGAGCTGATACCCTGCCAGTACCCGTGTATTCGAAAATCTGAATATCATTTTTGACTTTCCCTAAACTTAACTGCTAATAGCCTACTGTTAACCAGAAGCCTTACCAATAACATAAACAGCCAATGAACACATATTTTGTAAGTCATATGTATTACATACTTTATTCTTATAACAAAGTACACTAGAGGAAAGAAAATGTATTAAGAAAATCATAAGGAAGAGAAAATGTATTTACTACTCAATTAAGTGGAAGTGGATCATCAAAAGGCACTTTATCCTCATCATCTTCATGTTAAGTAAGCTGAGGAGGAGGAGGAAGAGGATGGGTTGGTCTTGCTGTGGGAGGGAGGGAGATAGAAGTGGTGGAGGAGGTAAAAGGGAAGGCAGAACAGGCAGGCATACTCTTTGTAACTTTTATTGAAAAATTTTCACATATAAATGGATCTGTGCAGCTCAAAGCCATGTTATTCAAGGGTCATGTGTAACATTCTTCTTTCCACGTCTACGAAAGCATCTCTTTGCTCTGCTATTTCCCTCCTTTGTTTCACTTAAACCTTTATAGAATTCCTTCATCCTGAAATATCTCATCCTTGGTCATCAGTCACTCTTCAGAAAATTCCATTTTCTAGGCATACAATGCTGAATTTTATCTCATCTTTATAATCACTAGCAGTGTCTAAACATATACATGTAAACCTATTCATTTATATGTTGGTTATTTGTACCTAATAATAATAACAGCTCACATTAGGGGAAGCTTAAATTATGCCAAGCACTGCTATCTCATAATAGCCTATGGGATCAATACTAATACCCCATTTTGCAGACTGAATATAACTGAGACATAGAGCTTAAGGTCACATTGCCACTAAGTGCCAATTTGAATATAAACAGGTCTTCAAAGAATGGTGCCCCTTAAAATGAATTGCAATACAATCTATTCGCCGTCCTGGTATGGTTGGGAATGTGTGTGTTAAGCATTCCTGTGGCATGGGAAACCTCCATGATATGGAAAGAACTGGACATTTTCTCCTCTGCCTATGAGTGAAAGGGTATCAGGGCAGATCCAGTATCTAAGAATCATCTTTCAAACCTGCATAAAATGCATGCCAAGGTAACTTATTTCCCTAAGAGTCACTTAAACTCTTAATTCAGCTCTGCCTTATTTAGATGAGAGACTCACTTTTATTTGACACTTTATGTTCTGATCAAGCCTCTCAGTCAAGTGTCTCAAAATGCAAACACAAATTTTGGTTTTATAAAATCATCTGGGTTTAGCAGTAAATCTGATCTTGATAGAGAATTGTATCATATTGGGTTTCTTTTATGCTGTGACTATAATTGAATTGCCTTTTCACCAAAAGGATTATTTTGAACTCATAGAAAACTTCTTAAAAAAATGACAATGAAAGCCCAAAGGACATTCAATATGAAACCAAATTATTATGGCATTAAAGGATCTAAGTTAAATCCATGAAGGCAAGAAAATTCAAAGCAAGGTTTTAGGAGTAAAATTCCTTTAGTTTCATGCCTCACCGCATGTACATGACCACTTCTGTTGATATATAGCAAGGAGGAGAGGCAGTTAAATTATTTTGCTGATGACAACTCCTATGGGCCATTACATAATCAAGAAACAAAATATTGGTAATAGGAGTGGGATCATAAGGGAATGATCAACTTTTTTTTTCAAATGAAACCTTTCAAATGAACCTACTCTTCTCCCATCTTTTCTTTGTCCTTAGTATTTTCTTCAGCATACTTCCTGGAAGCTATCTTTTTGGCCAACAGAATGATATCACAAAAAATGAGATTCTGTTTCAAATGCTATTGCCATCTCTTTACCTCACTTAATCACCTCCCACCCCCAACCATCACTATTTCCCTGATTCTGTCTCATCTTCATTTTCTATCAGCCCCTCCTAACAAAAACAATCTTTCTTTGTTCTTTTCATTTGGCCCTCTATAAAACCTCAAATACATGGGCAGCATGGTGACTCACACCTGTAATCCCAGCACTTTGGGAGGCCGAGGCAGGCAGATCACTTGAGGTCAGGAGTTCGAGACCAGCCTGGCCAACATAGTGAAACCCCATCTTTACGAAAAATATAAAACTTAGCTGGGTGTGGTGGTGTGTGCCTGTAGTCCCAGCTACTTGGGAGGCTGAGGGATGAGAAAGGTTTCAACCCAGGAGGTAGAGGTTGCAGTGAGTCGAGATCGTGCCACTGCAGTCCAGCCTGGGTGACAGAGTGAGATCCTGTCTCAAAAACAAACAAACAAACAAAAAACACCTCAAATACAAATTCATTCCCTATATTAGTGCCTTCACCAGATCTCTGTACTATCCTGATGAAAATGTATAACAATTTCCAACATACATACGTGTGGGGTGTTTCAATAAGAAAAGCAGTCAAGGACAGTGCTCCTGAGTCAGTAGGCAAGTAGCCACTTTTGTCTGTTTAATCAGATCATTCCAAGGGCCTTGAATTTCCTTGTAATGTGCTTCACCTCTCCTCTCCATTGTGGTTAGCAACATCTTTGGTTCAATCATATACACAGCTTTGCAGTTTAGAGCATCAGACATAATGTTTTTCTCTTCTTTTTCCCTTTGGAATAAAAATGTTCTGAAATTTGGTAGTTCCCCTTGCACAATTTCAACTCAATATGTTACCCTTGCCTTTCTGGCTATTATCCAGGCTACAGAAATATTTAGGCAGCTGGGAAACCCATCTAAATTCTATTTTTTAACATTAAATCTAGCTAACAGAAATATGCTGATTAATCTTTATTATGCACAACTTTTAGCTCTATATCCCTTTCCCCTGTTATATTTCAACTTACACAAATAAATTAGTGTAATGCAGTTCTGCATCTTTTTCACAAGATGGCACTATACGTTTCTGTATTTATTATCAAGCAAGGAAACAATGGAATTCTAAAAATTTATAGTTTAAATTACATAAATTGTAGTTGAATATTAAAGGGAAAATAATAGCACAAAAACTATATGATGATCTAGTTTTCTTTAAGATATTTTAACTCCCTTTTAAAAAGTAATCAGTGAAAATTAGAATGACCTCAAGGAAATTTGTGTTTTTATTTCTTCCTGGTTTTTAATATCTATTAAGTCAGGGAAACCTTTCCTCCTTTAGAATAATATGATATGGTATTTTCACTGGTGCAGTGATGCCAGACCTCTACTTGGCTCTACTTTCTTGATTTAATTTTTCTAATAATGTAATAAATACTTACTTGGAGAACAACTATTCCAATATTATTAATATATAAAAAAATCAGATTTTTTTCAGAAATATGGGGGAAATCATAGAACTATGAATTCAAATTGGATTCTTAATGACATCTATGAGCATGGCCCTATAAAGAGTAGATTTTTTTTTCTTTTTTTTAATTTAAATAAAGATGGGGTCTCACTATGTTCCCCAGGCTGGTCTTGAACTCCTGCCCTCAAGTGATCCTCCTGCCTCGACCTCCCAGAGTGCTAGGATTACGAGCATGAGCCACCATGCCCAGCCAAGAGTAGACATTTTTTAAAAGAAGATATAAAGAATGAAAGTAACAGGAAAAGTTAAAGAAGTTAAGGGAATGCATAATTATTTAATTCTTCTATGTCTAGGCCCTGAGATATGCATTTCAAGTAACTATATGGAATAATAATAATAGTTAACACTCACTGAGCTCTTACTCTATGCTAAACGCTATGCTGGGTTCTTTGCAGAGGTGAGCTCACTTAATTCTAAAGCCCTATGGCGAGGTTACTATTATTGGCCACATTTCACATAGGAAGAACTGATCCTTAGCTAAATTATCCATCCATTCATTTATTCCTTCAACAAGTAATTGTTGAGTCCCTACAATGTGGCTTGAACATCTGAGTGTGGCACAGTTGAAATTTAAACCCCGAATCTGCTGAAACCAAAGCCCCAAACACTTCTGGTTAATTATAGAACTATAAAGAATAAATTTCTCAGATAAGCCTAACAGGAAATTCCACAGTGAAAAAGAGAAACAACTGCTATAAAATGAATAAGCAAATTGACACACTATCAAAAACAGTATTCTTCTCTTGTTTTGTGTATTTTCCTTAAGATTGATTTAAAGCTCCTTTATACAAGGTCCAATTCAGCCAAAGTGTGCTATAAACCTTAATTATATAACAATTCAACAACTATTTCTTGAGCATCTAATCTGTACCAGAGTGAAAATTACTTTTGTGGTAAAGACAAGAAGACCTGGAATGACATCCAGTCCAAATGGTGGACTAAGCAGAAGGGGAAATCCTTTTCACTCCTCCAGAAAAGCAAAAAATCAAAAAACATAGACATCTAGATAGGACATTTAAAATATTTTAATAGCATGTATCTAAACTAAACACTAAAAAAAAAAAAAAAAATCCAGGTTGCATAAATGAAGAAGTCTCCAAGTAAAGAGGAATTAAAGCTTCATTGCCTATGAAGTACCAGGATACCATAATTGAGGCTTTAATACTTTGTAGAGATAAGACTCAAAGTGCAGAGCCTGCACACAGCAAGAACTAGATTCATTGCCTAAAGTGAGAAGCCAAGGAAGAATTTTCCTGCCATGAGGCCAGTAGACTTTAAACAGAGCCCAGAAACAGCCCATCTGGTTGGGGATATGGAGGAGTCTACATGGAAAAGTCAAATCTATGCTCAGGTGAAAGTATCTAAATTTACATTATTCACATTATGCAGAAATCTCAAACTGGAAAACATGATAGTTCAGAACCTCAATAGAGGCTATGGGAAAATTTCCTAAGGGAAACCTCTAGGGCTCATATGATACTGCTAGGAAAGATAACTTACAGAAGGTGAATGCATAAAAAGAAATTATAATATATAAGAGAGTTTAGTGGTAAACAAGAAACCCAACAAAGTGGAGATTTCACAACTATGACAATACAGCAATCTAAAGGGGACTTTAATATAAACATATTTAAGATGTTCAAAGATATAGGGTTTTTGATGAGTAAAACTTTAAAGCTGAAGGAATTTGGACCATTTAAGAACAATAGAAAGGAAATAACAGTCACTTAAAAATAAACCTTTGATAGACTTGTTAAATAACGGTTTAGATACAGCAGAAGAAAAAATTAGTGAATTGAAGATAAATCTTTGAAAATAAACCAGAACACAGCACAGAGAAATAATAAGATAGAAAATGTGAAAGAGAAGTTAAGAGAAATAGAAAATAGAATGAAAATATTGGGATAAGAAGATAAATGGCTAAGAGAATTCCAGAATGAAATGAAGACATGAGACCTCAGACTAAAGAAGCATACTTTATTCTGAGCTAGATAAATGAAACAAATCCATTCTTAGACATATAGTGAAATTGTGGGATAAAGTAATCAAACTTACAAGTCATGAGAAAATCTTAGAAATAACCAGAGAAAAAACAGATTAACTTTTAAAGTGGACTATCAGCATGAGCACTGAGTTTTCACTGGAAAGAGATGTGTTTTTTTTAAGGGCTAAGAGTAAGTATAGTAAGCTAAATTTTATTCTAAAGTGAAGGCAAATTGAAGATACTTCAGATTTACTGATACCATCTAAAAGAAGCATAAGTTGGTCGACCTTTCCCTCTCACACAGCAGTTTTCTTTTGAACTGAAATATTGCCCAAAGTGGAGGGGAAAACTGACAAGTACAGTAAACTCCACTTCTAGGTAAGGGAATCTGTAATATTTCAAGTACTGGGAAGGACTTCCTCTTTTACCACCTGCCCTGCTAAAAGAGATTTTTAGTTGTCTTCTTAAGAAAATTCCTGTTACCTAAAAGAAAAAATAGCTTTGATAAACACCAACTTTTGTTTCAGTGAGAAAGATGCTGAAGGAACCATAGGATTTTGACTTCAAGATGTCCAGAATAAAGGCTTTCCTTTAATAATTTCATGTACAGCTATAAACCCAAAATATTGCTTTCTCTCCAGCTGGTATACCCATCCTTGGGGCAGAAGATTAGGGACATGCAACTTTTGGAATTTTAGATTTGTGGCAAGCCAATTCTTCCTTGTGTAGGTCTGTCCTGTGCATTGCAAGTTTAGCATCTCTGGTCTCTACCCACTTATTGCCAATAAATCTCCCACCCACACTATTTTAAAAACTAAAAATTTCCCCATATTTTTGGAAGACCGGTTCTGTGTCACCGCAGAACTAATTGCTTTTCTTTTCCAGTAACCTCCAGAAATACCAATTAGCTCAGTGCTTATCTAAAGATAGCACTTACCGCCTTCATCAGCCATCTTATCACCCAGCCATTTAAACAAACTTGGCTGCAACCAGAACAGCAGTTTTGCTCTGATTGGTGCTAATTCCCAATCTCTGTCCAATTATAGCCAATGCAATCTACAAAATACAATGTTCCCTAATGAATCAATCATATTAAAGTCAGCTCAAGTTATGAAAACTCATGTTGTAGCAGAGAAGCCTGCACTCCTGAGACCTCTGCACACTTTTTGTTCCCCTGTACATTGGCAAATCTTTCAACTTGTTCTCAGTTCTGAGCTCTGAGTACAAACCCTTTCCACCTCTTACCCACCCACCTAGAAATCGAACCTCAGATTCATATTGTGTAGAATACATTAGGTCAGAAGTCTAAAGAAATCAGTATTTAAGCCCATTTGAAAGTCAGTGAGAAATTTGAGAAGAGAAGCATTACTTCCCTCCTGGAGACAGAGCACTCTCAAAATTATAAATAAATAAGAGGCAGGAAAGAGTGAAATGTTTCCTGCTGAACTCTCTCCTTCCACCCCTCCTCCTCAGGCATAATGGGACCAGGCAAGTAAGGAAACCAGGGAGAACCTTAGAAACTGTGTGTTCTCTTGTTTTCTCTTTTGGGTGTGGTGAAAATCTTCAAATAGGAAATCAGTTCTATTCTTTTATAACACAACGTTTTCTGATAAAGAAAAATATTCTCTCCTATTAGAAGATATAATGAGAAAAATGTGATCAGTAAAGACAGTTAGTAACAAAGTGATGAGGTAAGAAACGGGCTTACTTTAGTGGACAGGGCTTTTTGGAGGCAGCAGACAGGGCCTTGTTGAGATTGAGCTGCCCTGTAGCATCACAGGCAGAAAACGCAGAGGAGATCCTCTGTAAATGCAGAGAGGAAATGCAGCAAGGTGTCAGACTGCACCTGAGGCTTAGGAGGCAGCCTGCAGAGGACTGACAATGGACAAATCAGCAGCCCAGAGAAGGAGCAGCCCGTTGGTGCTGTGCTCCACAGATAAGATGGGTGTCCAGGGGAAAATATGCAGGAGAGCAAAACTGCAGAAAAAAAGAAAATTATGCTCATATCAGGACATTCATACACAGGACAGCAAGGACTAAATCCAAAGATTTATATCTTCCTTCCTTCCTTCCCTCCCTCCTTTCCTTTCTATTTTTTTTTTTTTTTTTGAGACGGAGTCTTGCTCTGTCGCCCAGGCTGGAGTGCAGTGGTGCGATCTTGGCTCACTGCAACCTCAGACTCCCAGGTTCAAGCGATTCCCCTGTCTCAGCCTCCCAAGTGGTTGGGATTACAGGCACGTGCCACCAGGCCCGGCTAATTTTTGTATTTTTAGTAGAGATGGGGTTTCACCATGTTGGCCAGGCTGGTCTTGAACTCCTGACCTCAAGTGATCCGCCTGCCTCAGCCTCCCAAAGTGCTGGGATTACAGGCGTGAGCCACTGCGCCTGGCCAAAGATTTATATATTCATCCATCCATTCCTTCATTCAAGGAGTCTTTAGGAAGCTATAATTCCATGCCTGGCAATGTGCAAGGTGCTGCCCCAAAGTGAGCATAATAAAATCCCCTTTGGAGTTTGGCGAGGAAGACTCACAAATAAACAGACACAAAACAATGTGATCAAGTGATACAGAAGAATACAGGATGCTGGGGAAAGAATGGAGTTTTCCTGGGGTTATAGAGAAGGCTGGAACATACTTCACAGACTGTTTCTTTCAAGGGCGAATAGAAAAGCCAAGATGTAAATGTATAGGTCCAGATGCTGACGTGTAGGAACTGCAATTCATTTACAATGGTCAGAACCTCAGTTGTCTATGGGAGAAGGTGGGGAGAAGGCTAGAGAATAGGCCCATGAAAGGCCTGCCATGTAAGAAGTCTTGGCTTCATGTTGTAAGAAATTCAGAGAAAGAGCTTCTAAACTTGGAAAATCCTGTGGTCTAAATGTTTCCATACCCTGAGAATTCATTTGTTGAAACCTAATCCCCAATGCAACAAAATTAAAATGTGCAGCCTGTAGGAGGTGATTTTTCAAGAGGGATTCACCCTCATGAGTGGGATTAGTGCCCTTAAAAAAGAGGCCTAAGAGAGCTCGTTTCCCCCTTCTACCATGTGAGGACACATAGAAGGCACCACCTCTGAGGAATGGGTACTCACGAGACACCAAATCAGCTGGCACCTTGATCTTGAACTTCTCATTCTCCAGAACTGTGAGCAATACATTTTTATTGTTTATAAATTACCCAGTCTAAGGTATTTTGTTATAGCAGCCCAAATAGACTAAGACAGAAAACATGGCCAACATTTATTAATGATGCCCAACACTCATTTCCAACTTCCTTCTTCCTTGCTCATCTCTCCCTCTCTAGAAGCTGGAAAAAAACAAAACAAAACAAAAAACAACAAAACAAAACAAAACCCATATATTTACTTTCCTGGTCTCCCTTGTAGCTTGCATGACCATGGACCCAGTTCTGGCCAACGTGACCTGAGAGGTCTCATGGGCAGGCTTCTAGGAAAGGTTTCTCTCTCCCTGATAAACAGGAACAGGCCTGTGGGAGGAGCTCTCTCACCACTCTGGCCTCACTCTTGCTTCTTGTCTTTAAATTTTGAGGCCCGAGAATGTGGTGCCTGGTGCTGCAGGGATGTCCAAGATAATCACAAAGACATCAAGCAAGTACCCTAAAATCTGGAGCTGCTGATCTAATCCTCAAATCATATGCCTCCAGGCTTTTGTTACATAAACAGTAAGAATTCTTATGGCTTAGGTCAATATCAGCTGGAGTTTTCTATTACATGCTGCCCAAAACATTTCTAAGAGAGTTAATAATTTGTAAGTAGTTACTAAGAATTACTACAATGTGGTATTCATAAATTAAATTAAACTTATTTTGGAATTTACTAGGGACTCTAAATTAACATTCTACTGGCTTTTAAACAAATTTGCAAACTGCTCACTATTTATACATTGCAGATACTTGAAATTCTTTCTGCTTTTTGAAAGTACCCTTTATCATCAGTGTATCAACAGTATTATGTTGGGTTAGTCATAATTTTCTTCACTACTAGTCTTACTCTTTAATTATATAGGACTGTTCACTTCATCATTATTAATCTAGTTTATTTTGCATTCTTTGGTTAAACTTATAGTGTAGGCTTATTTTCATTTGATCTATAAATTTCCAAATAATAGACTTTACTTCATGTATACATTGTGGTTCCAAATAGAGCTCAACAATGTTGCTACTGATAAAGGAGTAACTCTCAACAAAAAGTTATTTGTCCACGTTTCGTTGGTGTTAGGCTACCAGCGGATTTGTGATTTTTTTTTTTTTAACTTACAATGCTATCACGGTGTCATATTATTACTGGATTATTTTTAAGATTATCTATGAAATCATGCTTATATGTTACGAACAATTCATGTGTATTATGAAATGCAAATGTTTCCTAGTTTCCTCTTTTCCCCTTTCAGGGAAGCATTCTCCAATCTATAAGGGTTGCCAGGTTTGGTCTTACATTTCTTTGGAATACTCCTCTAAGACTGCCAAACAGCACTGCTAATCACCTCGTGGAACTGTGACCCACGGTCCACTCAAGAAGCTGATGCCGTCTTCCCTGAGGGCACCATGTTCCTTTGGTCTCTTTAAACAAGCACATCACACACAGCTAAATGTAGATTGCTCTAGTAGAGCACTAGCAGAGTAAAGGATAAGTTTCTAGCTAACATAAATTTTTTATTTTGTTATCAAAAGGAAAGACACCTTTTGATAACAAAATACCTACCTTCACAAAGAGGTCAGTCTTCCTTCATAGCTGCCTTTCCTGCACACAGAGGAAGTCAGGTCTCCTTACTCAGTTCTCTCCCTGTGGAACTCTCTTCTTCTGGGAGCATTACACTTCTTTACACAGTAAGAGACCCCATTTTCTGGGTTTTTTTTTCCATCATACAATACCCCAAATATAAAACTTCTGTCAGGTGGTAGGGGTCAGGTTCTATTTTCATGTGTAAAAATTGATATAGATTTTCTATTCTGAGTTTCTGTTCCTGTGGTTTCTTCATCTGTAACAAGATAATAATAGTAGCTATCTCAGAGTGAATAGGAAGATTAAGTAATAGCTCATGTCTTCTAACAGTGACAGGCACATAGAAATAGCTACAGAGGAATTTGTTTTAAAAAAATCATGTGATGTTCCTTTGACTAATGTATCTAACTAAGATAGGTATATCTCTCCACGACAACTACCAATTTTTTCGGATATGGAATGGTCAAGTCCTGTGCTGGGGCTGTTAGTCTATTTAAACAAACGAATAAATAAGTACTAACTGGTTCAAATAGTGCACTTCCAACTAGCAAAAAAATAGAAATGCAGGGAAAAAAACTGAGACTAGAAATGGGCATTAGATTATTTTTAAAACAACATAAAAAGAAACTAATGAAATTAAAAGTGAAATAAGAACGGGAAATATAGTAAGAAAACACAGAAGAACAAGAAGCAAAGAGGAAGAAAATCAAGTTGTTTGTTCCAGGAAGCAAGCTTCAGAGTTAATGAATATAGTTTCCCGTGGATTACAGCCAGGAGAAAATTAACAGTTTAGGTAACAGCCAATCCTCACTGGATGTGGAAGTCCAGGAAATTGCCAAGGCAATAGCAGCTATTTATGACATTTTGAGAAGAAGGGATACGGGGAATTTCTCGTTATTAAGCAGCTGAGACAATGGCAGAAGGCCATCAAATAGTGGAGGTGAAGAACAGAACATGTCCAAAACTCAGCAGAAATGCAGTTACCAGCCATACAAATGTAGGGGAATGCTCCAAGTGTTTGTTGAATTCAGTTGGGTTGAACAGTAAAAGAGATGTAAGAACAGTGGGGAAAAAATGTGGAAATGAAAAGAGAAACGAAAGGAGACGCTGTGGGCTTTGCATCTTCTGTAAAGATGGGATGTGGCCTTTAGTGCCAAAAGAAAACTTGGCTTTGAATCCTGATCATATGTCACTGGACAAGTTAACTTAAATGCTTTGAACCTCAGCTTCTTCACCTGCCAAAAGGAGGTAATCCTAGAGGATTGTTATGAATTTAAGTGAAATAATGTTATGTCATTTCTGCCTGTTCTGTTGTTAGTGCTCCATAAATTTTAGACCTCTCCCCCTTTCTGTAGCTTTCTAATATTCTAAAAAATATTAAAAATATTTTTATAATGGAGAATTCAAATATTCAAAAATTAGAAAGCATGAAGCTGAAAAAAATTAAATGGTGCTGTGTTTGGACAATTAAAAGTAAAAAATAACTTGAAAAATCTGAGGTTTATTTCAGCTCTGTAAAATCAAAGAATTACATTACTAAGCATAATCCTTCATGTTGTGTATATTGATATATTTAGGCTAACTACAGAATGTGATTGACTTTATATTCATAATATATATATAATATAATATTAGCTCAAGCTCATAGATCTGACTTTCTAAATTACACCTTTACTTGAATTTCTCAGAGACATCTCAGATTGCATGTTCAAAACCAACCTCCTGATCTCTCAACACACAGATCTTTGTAGGGTTTCTCAGTTCAATACATGACACCATGTTCACATATGAAACACTCAACCCAAGAGGTTTCCTTGATTCGTCCAATCCTTCAGCCTCCACATCGAATTCAGCTTTAAGTCCTTTTCATTCTACCACCAAAATCTGTCCGTTATTCTTTATGTCTTTTGCCAACCTCTGCTCTAAGCCACTCTCATCTCTAGCCTGGAATAGCGCAATAGGCTTTTTTTCCTACTTAGCTTCAGACATCCACTTTAGCTTGTTTATATCTATTCCTCACATAGCCACAAGGGTGATCTTTTGAAAACATACGTTCCCTTTCAATTTAGAGTAAAATCCCACTCCTTTGCAGGGCCTATAAGGCCCTAAATGATCTGGCCTATGACCACCACTTCCTCATTTCATACCATTCTTCACCAGGCTCACTGACCTTTGACAGTTCTAGAACAGTCTACACTCTTTCTATTTTAGGGCCATTGTATTTGCTATTCCCTTTATCTGGAAACCTCTCTCCCAGCTCCTAACATAGCTGACCCCACTTTCTTTCGTTCTCAGACAAGCCTTTTCTGAATGTCCTGTGTAAACAATTCCTCGTTTTTACTTTCAATCACGATCACAACCTGTAGTTATTTATTGATTTATTACGTTAGCTTTTACTTATCTGTTTATCCCACTAAAATTTAGGCTATATCAGGGTAGAGACTGTGTTTATCTTTTTTTTTTTTTTTTTTTTTTTTGAGACGGAGTCTTGCTCTGTCACCCAGGTTGGAGTGCAGTGGCGCGATCTCGGCTCCAGGTTCACGTCATTCTCCTGCCTCAGCCTCCCCAGCAGCTGGGACTACAGGCGCACGCCGCCACGGCCGGCTAATTTTTTTGTATTTTTAGTAGAGACGGGGTTTCACCGTGTTAGCCAGGATGGTCTCGATCTCCTGACCTCGTGATCCGCCCGCCTCGGCCTCCCAAAGTGCTGGGATTACAGGCGTCAGCCACCGCGCCCAGCCTGTGTTTATCTTATTCTGTGGTGTAACCTTTACAATTACATTCAGGACTTCCTTGCTCTATAACTATGTGCAAAATAAGTACGTTTTTAGTGAATTTCCCATGTTTCCCTTTCTGCTAATGTGTATGTGTAGGTATATACATATTTACACATACACTCAGTGGTTTTTTGTTTTTAAAGTAAGCCCACCGAGAGTATAATCAAAATTTTTCTTCTATTTTCCCATTATTTTTTAAATATTTGCATTTTGTTGTTTCTGTGGTTATTCAAGCCAAACATGAAGATTACTTTCTCCCACAATAATTAGCTCCTTCTGGGAAAACTTTCTGGAAAAATTCTTTGTAGTCTTGCCCAATTTGAGCTCTGGTCTTATGTTAGCTTTTTTCTTTCACCCCTTATATTTCATCTCAACTGGCAAAAATATTGATTGACAGCTTAAAATCCATGTCCCTCTCTTGGAGCAGGAATTGATACAGGGATTAGGAAACCCCAGCACAGGCTAAGAAGTCCAACTGGCTGCTACAAATGTGAGGTCCTAAAGAACACCCAGGCCAGATGCTTAAACATATCTCTTTGCTAATAGCTTAGTACAAAGAAGAAAAAGGGTCCCTTGCTAGATACCATATTTCAAATGGTTTTAGAGATGGGATTTAAGGTAATGAAAACAGGTGAATAAATACCAATTTTTCTTGTTGAAAATACAGGTGGTTCTTTCAAGTGCAGCTGCTGTGTTTTAGGGGAAGATACTAGAAATATATTTTTCTAATTTCATTATTCTGAAACTTGATTTTTCTTTGGAAAAGTTTGAAACACTACATAAATGCAAGATACTAGGACAGTTGTTAATATTATTAATATTGACATTATCATTTGTATTAGTTATCTATTGCTGTGTAACACGTTACCCCCCAAACTTGGTAGCTTGAAACAACAGTTTTTGTAAAGTAGGAATCTGGCCATGGCTTAACTAGGTCCTCTGCTCAGAGTCTCACAGGCTGCAATCGAAGTGTCAGCTGATCGGCAGAAATCTCAAGGCTCAGGGGAGGAAGGATCCACTTCCATGTGCACACATGTGGCTGTTAGCAGTATTCATTTCTACCTGGGCTTTTGGCTGGAGGCCACCCTCAGTTCCTTGCATTATGGGCCTCTCCATAGGGCAGCTCACAGCATAGCAGTTTGCTTTATAAGAGCAAGTGAGCAATAAGGCAAGTCAGAGTGCTGCTAAGATGGAAGTCACAGTCTTTTATCATCTAATCTTAGAGTGGCATCCCATCACCATTGCCACATTCTGTTTATTAAAAGCTAGTCACAGGGAGGGGATTACGTGAGAGAGTGAATATTAGGAGGCAGGGATCATTGGAGACCTTTCTGGAAGCAGTCTACTATCTCATCATGACTTCAGATATACTGAGGCAATGTCATATTGTACTTAAGAGCACAGGCTTTGAAGACAGAGGAGATTGAGTCCCAGAACTGTTATTTATTAACATGTGACTGGACAAGTCACTTAACCTCTGTAAGTTTCCATTGCCTAATCTCTAAAATTCATGCATACTCCACAGAGTTAGAGGAATGATTAAATAAGACATCTGGCCAGGTGTGGTGGCTCACACCTGTAATCCTAGCAATTTAGGAGGCCGAGATGGGCAGATCACCTGAGGTCAGGGATTCAAGACCAGCCTGACCAACATGGTAAAACCCTGTCTCTACTAAAACAAAAAACAAAAAACAAAAACAATTAGCCAGGCATGGTGGCGGGCGCCTGTAATCCCAGCTACTCAGGAGGCTGAGGCAGGAGAATCGCTTGAACCCAGGAGGCAGAGGTTGCAGTGAACCAAGATTGTGCCACTGCACTCCAGCCTGGGCAACAGAATGAGACTCCACTTCATAAATAAATAAATAAAACATCAAAGTCAAGCACTTAGTACAGAACTTGGCACATAGTAAATACTCAATTAACATTGCCAATTATTATAGGTATGATACGAGACCAGACAAGTGATGGGGCCATCAATGTTTTCTTAATTGCACATCACTCCTTTATTATACTGATATGGAAAAATCATTTAGTATATTATACTAAAAATGAACATTGGGCCCATGTGGCAGGGCTAAGCAATTAAAACATGATTCAGAAATAAGACAGTGAAAAACACACTTGGACATGATCAAGGGGCATTACTCTGCCACAAAACAAGGTGGGGAAGATATTCTAAAACACACAGCAGGATGCATTCTTACCCCTTAGAAGTCAAGGAGCTTATCCCATATTGGTGTGGGACTATTTCTAATACTTTCTAATGATTTCGTGTGGGACTGTTTCAACTACCACTAGAAACCCCAGAAGGGCTTTTGTTTTGTATCATTATATATATACATGTATATACATGCATCATTTTATATATATATACACACACATATATATGTATCATTATTTATATACATATATATATATAGAGAGAGAGAGAGAGAGAGAGAGACAGTGTAAATATAGCATATAATCTTAATTTAGGATTGCCCTCAACCTTCTGGAGCCAGCTCCTCTAGAGTCAGGAAGGAAAGAAATAGTTATTTTTTTACATCATCAGGCAGGTTACATTTATCTTTCACTGGAGTGACTAAAGCCCCCTAAGGCAGTGGCCTGGCTACAGGAGAGCACAAGACTGGGGGGCAATAGGCTTTCTTGCTTCTCCTCATTGGTCATGCCTCAGCATGGTTCCCTCCCTAACCCCTACTTAAGCAGGTTCTTAGTAAACAAAGCACTAGCAAAAACCCGAGTTACTACCTCAATATTACCTTGAAAAAGAGGAGCCTTCCCTCAGCTTGGACTGAGAACCCAGGCCCCAGAGGTGTCATTCTGACTAGACTGTATGAAGGAAGTAGGTGCAGGAGACAAAATGGCTAAAATAAAAATGGGAGGCACCAGTCCCCATCTGCAGCTACAACTTGAGATGCCTGCAGTTGTGTTCAGTGTGGTACCTGCAATGGGCTGGGCAGGGAGGGTGTTCCTGGGGATAGTAGCCTGCCTGTTGGCCTTCACTTCTTGGCCTAGCCCTGGCAGCCATGGCTTCCTTAGCTTTATCTATGGAAGTTAATCCCCCAAGAACTGCATGGGCTTAATGGGCTTCCAGATCTTGTCCAATACTTAAACAATGGGAATACCAGTCAACAGGTTCAGCTCCATGATGGCCTCTTCAGGGAGACTCTCCAGATGCTTGTCAAGGAGACATCAATATTAGAAAGGACTCTTTAAAAAAAAAATTTTTTTTTTTTGAGACAGAGTGTCATTCTGTTGCCCAGGCTGGATTGCAGTGGTGCGATCGTGGTTCACTGCAACCTCCACCTCCCAGGTTCAAGCAATTCTCGTGCCTCAGCCTCCCAAGTAGCTGGGATTACAGGCACGTGCAACCACACCCAGCTAATTTTTGTATTTTTAGTAGAGATGGAGTTTTGCCATGTTGGTCATGCTGGTCTCAAACTCCTTAACTCAGGTGATCCGCCTGCCTCAGCCTCCCAAAGTGCCGAGATTACAGGCATGAGCCACTACATCTAGCCTACAAAGGATTCTTATGTGAAAAACCCAAGCCCTGGGATGATGGGATGATATCAATATGAGCTCCTATAGCAGCCATCTCAACAATTCATCATTATATCCTATGGATTTTACCTCCAAAATATACCTTCAGTTTACAGCTTTCTTCCTCGTTCCTCAGACACTTTCTGTCACCTGCATGAGAGCAATGCCCTCCTAACTGGTGTCCCTAATTCCTCTCCTGAAGGACATCCACTGAAGCCTTCATATGGCAACCAAGGTGATCTTTATGGTATCTTAAAAGACCAAAGCGGCCGGGCGCGGTGGCTCACGCCTGTAATCCCAGCACTTTGGGAGGCCGAGGCGGGCGGATCACGAGGTCAGGAGATCGAGACCATCCCGGCTAAAACGGTGAAACCCCGTCTCTACTAAAAATACAAAAAATTAGCCGGGCGTAGTGGCGGGCGCCTGTAGTCCCAGCTACTTGGGAGGCTGAGGCAGGAGAATGGCGTGAACCCGGGAGGCGGAGCTTGCAGTGAGCCGAGATCCCGCCACCGCACTCCAGCCTGGGCGACAGAGAGAGACTCCGTCTCAAAAAAAAAAAAAAAAAAAAAAGACCAAAGCACTCTCCAGATTTAACACCTTTCAATGGCTTGACCTTTTACATGAAATCCAGGTATTTTAATCTGGTCTACATGGTTCTATCTTTCCAACCTCATCTTTTCCCTACTCACCTTCCCCTTTATACTGAGCCACACCAGCTTTCTTTTGGGCCCTTGGGCTTGACAAGTTCTTGCCTGCCGTGGGGCCTTTGCACCTTCTGTTTTCTCTGCCCAAAACCCTCTTACTCAGACACTTCATCTAGCTGACTCCAGTTGTTCTTCGGGTCACAGTACCAGTCACTTAGTACGGACTTCCAGCACCTTCCTCTTTCAGTTTAAATGGGGCTTTGCCATCATTATTTCTTGTAGTAGCTTGTGCTCTCTCTCTCTCTCTCACTCTTTCACAGTTTCTTTTTATTTTGAGGGAATTATATGTTTAATTTCTGTCTGTTCTGAACAAACCGAGACTGTCTGTTTTATTCACCACATTATATTTAAGAATAACACAATATCTGACACATACTGTTAAGTAGGAAATAAAGGAGAAAGGGGAGAAACCTCGCAACTTGAATTACAGCATACCCTAATACTATACTTCTCTACTTACTTAAAACACCTCACCTACTTTCAACATTCTATCTGCTGTTAAAAGAGGCACCTGACCAGGCGTGGTGGCTCATGCCTGTAATTCCAGCACTTTGGGAGGCCGAGGCGGGTGGATCACCTAACATCAGGAGTTCAAGACCAGCATGGCCAACATGGTGAAACCTTGTCTCTACTAAAAATACAAAAATTAGCTGGGCGTGGTGGCGGGCACCTGTAATCCCAGCTACTCGGGAGGCTGAGGCAGGAGAATTGCTTGAATCCAGGAGGCAGAGGTTGTAGTGAGCTGAGATCATGCCATTGCATTCCAGTCCGGGCAATAAGAGTGAAACTCCATCTCAAACAAAAGAGGCACCTACACGTTCTCTGTTTCAGGAATATCTATATCCATTAGGGAACAGCTTTCTCTCTATTTCATTCCACCTTAAGAGAATTTTTGATACTTTTTTTAAGTTAAGCACTTAAAAACTCAGAATAGTCTCATTATTTGGTTATTTTATATTTTCTTTTACATCTGAAATAATATTGAGAAATGTTTATGGAGCCTGTATTTTAGAGATATATGCAATACTTACAGATGAAATGATATATTATTGGGAAATTGCTTCAAATAATTTGGGGCATTGGTGGGAGCTACAGGTTTAGATGAAGCAAGATTGATAATTTTTGGAGCTAAGTGATGGCACACAAATGTTTGTTATACTATTCTATTTTAATTTGTTTGACATTTTTAATAATAAAAAATGTAAAAGGATCCTTACAATGTAACTTTAAAACCTCCCAGATTCTATATACCTGTTTGGTTTCTCCTAACTTCACCTTAGGTTCTTACCATACTGGACTTAGAACCATAGTGACTGAGAGTGTGGTCTGGTCCAGACTACGTGAGTGCAAATCCTGGCTCCACTACTTACTAGCACACATAATTGGTATATCCTGAAAGAGGCAGTACGACCTTTCTGTGATTCAGTTTCCTTTTCTATAAAGTGGGGATAAAAAGAAATCTCTAACTATTATGAAGATATAATGAAATAAGGAATATAAAATGTCATCTGGCATGTAATATATGCTTCTTCATGCTAATAATGACAATCATTTATAAATTAATCCAATTGATAATTTATTGAGTACCTACTCTACATAGGACACTGCTCTAAAGGTAGCTATTCTTATTCCTAGATTTGACTGTTGGCTATAAATACACAGAAACCTGAAAAAGCAGGGAAATTTCCAGAAACTCAAGAGTTGAAACTTGGTTCTTGAAGGACATAAGACCCTATGGGCAGAAGATCTATTTTGAGGTTGTCCTCTTTATAATGGATAAGAACCTAATTGCCTGGTTAACAACAACAACAACAAAAACAATTAAAAACCTATACACTGGGAACCCTTATCTATTCAGTAAGGACAAACCCAGGAGAATTTTTATCTCAAATTCAAAACTTCAGGGGTACAAGATTCATGGATTTAATATGCATTTCTTTCTCAGGTTGCCTCTGAGGGAAATGCCCTCACCCTAGTCACCTGTCTGGTGTTGCTTATTTAGCCCATAGCTACCATAGCCTCAGAAAGACCAGAAGCAGGGGCAGACAGAGAGTTTTTTCCAAAGATAAAGTTTCTTTGACATTGTGAGTGCCCCCTTCTCTATCTGCAGCTGCCTGGTCCTGTCCCTGCCTACAGATTCTCCCCAGCCTCTACCTCTAGTCAGGGGCCTCAGACCCCCTGATGTCGGAGCCCTGGTGTGAGATCTTGATTTCCTCGCTTCTGCTCCTGCTCGTCCAAGGCTCACACCCGGCTGCCCTCCTGGCTTGGTGCTGTCCACCTCTCTACTCTCTGGGTCCACAGTTTCATGAACCTGATGCCACCTCCTGCCTTGGTGCTGTCAAGAGAAAGAAAGAGAAAAAATTACGACCTTGGAGATTAAGATTCTTAGCAGCACACTTATTGAGAGTTGTACAAACAAGAAAGGGAGAAAATAAGTTAAAAAAAAACTTTTTTAAGAGTACACAAATGTCTTAAAATGTGGAAGTTTTCTTTAGGAAAATAATTTTAAGGAATTCTTTTAGAATTATTTCAGAATGTTTTTGAAAGACTTAGAAACACAAACACTTTTACATAAGCCTCAATTATCTAATTCAGGGTGAACACAGAGTGACTGCTTTTCTTAGGAAATCAAGCCTCCTCTCACCTAAGCATGTGGCATCTGACAAAATATGTTGACCACCACTACCTTAAAAGTTATTTTCTCATTTTTATATATTTGTCAAGATCTAAATTAAAGGTTTTTTCTTTTGTTTTTTTCTTTCTTTTTCATTTCTTAAGTCATTAGCTGGAAAGAAAAGGAGAATCATCCTATGGTATCTACCAATGATATCTGTAGCAGTTACAGGGGAGAATTTGAAACTCAGTTTGGCTGATGTGATCTTTTAAAAATTGCTGTGGATTATGTTAAATAAGTGATGCACTCTAATGACCTTTTTTCTAGTATTGGTGGAGTTGGTAGAATGCCCACTTTTTGAATCTCGCGGGGAAATCAGCAGAATTCTGTTATTGACGTGCTCAGTAACTATTCATCCTCCCATGTTGATTTCCTGTAGATATCACCATAGCAGCCACCTGGACATTTCCTACTCTCCTTAACACTTCCAAGCTTCCCTACTCCAGCCACTCTCTGCTGTTAATATCACTTCCTCTTCTTTTTGAGACAATCAGAGCCATAGAATGTGAGCTTTTGCTTTCTCAGCTTTCCTTCTCTCCATGGTGATTCTCCACATCTATATAAGCTCAATGAAGATTAAAATGTGTGTTGGCAGAGGCAACAAATAGGTTTGCAAAAAAAGTACTGGCAGTAGAATTCTCCAGTAGGAGAATTTTAAGGGATTGCTTCTTGCTTCTTAAAGATTCTATCCATTGCAAATTGTCAGAAAAAAACAGTTAATATTTTGATCAGAAAAAAACCCTATATTTTGCAAATAACTGAAAGAATTTTTTTTGTTCTCTGCAGCATCTCTTCTCTTTTACCCTTCCTAGCACCCCTTTCATTCCTTAAAAGAAAGCCAGTATCAATTTCAGAGCAATAGGGGGTAAAACAGGTTTATTTTGTAGACCTCAAAAGAAACTGTTTTTCAGTCTTAGCTCAGTTCCCAGGGGCCCGATTTCAGTCTGTTCACAAGACTCCATTTCTATCCCTCACACCTTGGTCTTGTTCCCGGTCCCTTTTCAGACTCTCCCTCATACAGTGCCTAATCTTACCCAATCCCTCACCCTTTCCTCTCCTCTCTTAGCACTTCTTTTGTCTTATAGAATTCTAGATCCATGATCAGCAAACTCCCCTGTAACTCCGACTTCTTGAATGTACCTTGTACTTCTGCTTACAACTGAAACGAGGCTGTTCCCTGAGGATATGGCTCCCTTACAGCCTTCATGCCCTCCCTTTATCTTGGGCTAGAACTAAAGGGTAGAATGTTCATTTCCATACCCAAGCCATTTCTCTTCCTTCAAAGCCCCAGATCTTCTGAGTCTCCTAACTTCTTATTTGCTGCATTTTCATCTCCTGTTTAGTTGCCATCTACTGACCCCCTTCCCAGACTCTTTTCTTTGAGGAGTTTTGCTCACTGTCTTCCTCTCCACCCCTGCAGTTGGCACCATTCTCAGTGACTTTTGACATCACAAGATGTCAAACATCCCAGTCTCTCTGGTCTTGGCCCACTCAACTTCAGTCAGCTTTTCCTTCATCCTGCTCCAGCCACGCACACCTATAGTCACAGCCTACTCATCCTGATCACCACTAATAGCACTCTGCTGAAATCACACTTTCAATAAGCTGTCCTTTTTTTTTTTCTTAAGAGACAGGGTCTCACTATGTTTCCCAGGTTGGATTCGAACTCCTGGGCTCAAGCAGTACTCCTGTCTCAGCCTTCCAAAGCGCTGGGATTATAGGCTTGAGACACCATGCCGGGCTAATAAGCTGCCTTTTAAATACAAACGCCTATCTTTCCAGCCCCCTTGTTCCTCTATAGACACTGTAATAACTCTTTGGCCCCCTTGACATGTTTAAGTGACCACTTTCTTTTTTAAAGAAAGGTGAGAGGAGGCTTGATTTCCTAAGAAAAGCAGTCACTCTGTGTTCACCCTGAATTAGATAATATAATTGAGACTTATATAAAAGTGTTTGTGTTTCTAAGTCTTTCAAAAACAAAAAGTGTTTGTGTTTCAAAGTCTTTCAAAAACATTCTGAAATAATAATTCTGAATAATTCCTTAGAATTCTTTTAGAGTTCTAAATTACATTTCTTTTACTTATTTATTTTTATTGATGTATAATTATTGTACATATTTTGGGGGTACATGTGATATTCAGATTTCTGTATACAATGTGCAATGATCAAATCAGGGTACTGGGATATCCATCACCTCAAAGATGTATCTTTTACCTGTGCTGGAAACATTACAAATCTTTTCTTCTAGCTGTTTTGACATACACAACAAGTTATGTTTAACTTTAATTTTCGTACTATACTATCATTCCTTTCTTTTCCTTTTTTTTTTTTTTTTTTGAGATGGAGTCTCACTCTATCACCCAGGCTAGAGTGCAGTGGCGCAATCTTGGCTCACTGCAACTTCCACCTCCCAGGTTCAAGCAATTCTCCTGCCTCAGCCTCCTGAGTAGCTGGGATTACAGGCGCACATCACCACATCCAGTTAATTTTTGTATTTAAGTAGAGATGGGGTTCCACCAAGTTGGCCAGGCTGGTCTCAAACTCCTGACTTCAGGTGATCCACCTACCTCGGCCTCACAAAGTGCTGGGATTACAGTGTGAGTCACTGCGCCCAGTCTCCTACTGTACTATTAAACACTGGAACTTATTTCTTCTATCCAATTGTATTGTTGTACTCCTTAAGTAGCTTTTCTTCACCCTCCCAACCCTTCCCTTCCCAGCCTCTGGTAACCATCATTCTACTCTCTACCTTCATGAGATCCACTTTTTTAGCTCCTGTATATGAGTGAGATGAGAATTTACAATATTTATCTTTCTGTGCTGATATAGTTTGGATGTTTGTCCCTCCAAATATCATGTTGAACTGCAACCCCAATGTCGGGGGTGGGGCATGGGTAAGAGGTGTTTAGATTCTGGGGGAAGATCCTTCATGAACGGTTTGGTGCTGTTCTCACGGTAATGAGTGTGTTCTTGCTCTGAGTTCATGTGGTGATTGTTTAAAAGAGCATGGCACTTCTTGCCTCTCTCCCGCTCCCTTTCCCACCATGTGATACATCTGCTCCCCCTTCACCTTCTGCCATGATTGAAAACTTCCTGAGGCCTCATCAGGAGCAGGTGCTGGCACCATGCTTCCTGTACAACCTGCAGAACTGTGAATCAAATTAAACCCCTTTTCTTTATAAATTACCCCGCCTCAGGTATTTCTTTATAGCAATGCAAGAATGGCCTAACACGTGTACCTAGCTTATTTAACTGACCATTTCCGACTATTCATCATTTCTCTTCTGTTTTCATGTCTTTGCTTCCCAGTCTAGAGTTCCTGGTCCAGCACTTCCATGCAACCATCCTCAATGAACTTTCCCCTCTTCTCTTACATCATATTCACCTGTCAAAACTCCAACCTCTTTGAACACATATCTGTACCAAAGTTGCTAACCTTTGCTAGGAAAATGATACATAGGACCCATGGGGTGACTGGTTGCATCAAAATTCATGATCATAAACCCCAAATGAACATCCAACAGTGCCCAACTATCCTGCTCATTCATTTCTAGTGGGTTTGTTTTGCTTTCCCACTCTCTGAAATTGCTTTTTTTTTTTTTTTTTTTTTTTTTAGAACAGAGTCTCAACCTGTAGCCCAGGCTAGAGTGTAGTGGCACGATCTCAGCTCATTGCAACCTCCAGCACCCAGGATCAAGCAATCCTCCTGCCTCAGGCTCCCAAATAGCTGGGATTACAAGCATGCACCACCATACCCAGCTAATTTTTGTATTAGTGGAGATGGAGTTTCACCGTGTTGGCTTGAACTCCTGACCTCAAGTCATCTACCCGCCTTGGCCTCCCAAAGTGCTGGGATTACAGTTATGAACCACTGGGCCCAGCCTGAAATCACTCTTTCACAAGTCTTACTTCCCACATTTTCTTATTTCCTCACTCCAGCTGATGACCTTTCCTTGCTGTTGATTGATGGAATAGAATTAAGAACTCTCTTATTCCTGCTACCAAATAGAAAAACCTACCTATTTTTCAGGTTCTCCTGTGTTACTTCTTCCTCTTGTTACCGCCCCCTTCTTGTGACTTGAATACCATCTCCCCTCTCAAGGACTTCATTCATCTGATTATTTCCTCTCTCCAGTATCATCTGTTTCTCTCTGTCTATTGGCTCATCTGATCAGTACAACAGATAGGCTGTGTTTTGTCCTATTTAAAACAACAACCTTCCTTTGCCTCACATTTCCTACCAGGTTTTTCCTTATTTCTCTTTTGTTTTTCGCTGCAAGGTGTCCCCTAACTGGTTCTATACTTACTGTTTTCACTTCTTCACTCCCATTCTCTCTTCCAATAACTTCAGCCTGGTTTCTGCCTCCACCATTCCAACGAAATGCTCCTCTCAAGGTCACTAATGACCCCCAGGTCGCCAAATAAAATGGGCACTTTTTTGTCCTCATTCTGAACTTTTAGCAATTTTTGCCAAACTCGATAACTTTCTGTTTCTAGAAATTCTTCCCGCTCCAGGGGTTCTCTTCTACTCCCTCAGAACCCTTTGCTGGTTCCTTCTTCTCTTTCTTCCACCCCAAATATTGGAGGGCTCCTGTACTCCCTCCTTTTCCCTTGTTTCATCTACAAGCCACCTCCCTCCCTCCGAAGGCAACCTCCTCCTCCTCCATGGCTTTGAGCATCACCACTATACTGCTTACTCTCAAATGTAATCTTGGGCACTCTCCTCTTTCCCCTGAGCTCCAGACTCATACATCCAACTGCCTATATGTCTCCACTTCAATGTCTAGTGTGCATCTAAAAATGGAATTGCCCAAAGCATTCCCTACCCCTCAAAACTGTCTGTCTGCCAGGCTTCACAGTTTGAATAATGGAACCACTATGTACCCAGATGCTCAAGTCAAAAATCTAAGTGATATTTTGCTTCATCTCATTCCCTCCTTCTCACTCCAACACATTAGAATATATCCAGAATATGCCCATTTCTTTTGTTTTTGAGATAGTGTCTCACGCTGTTGCCCAGGCTAGAGTGCAGCGGTGTGATCGCAGCTCACTACAACCTCCACCTCCCAGGTTCAAACAATTCTCGTGCTTCAGCCTCCTGAGTAACTGGGACTCAGGCACATGCTGCTATGCCCGGCTAATTTTGGTATTTTTAGTAGAGATGGGGTTTCGCCATGTTGGCAAGGCTGATCTCAAACTCCTGGCCTCATGTGATCTACCTGCCTCAGCCTCCCAAAGTGCTGGGATTATAGGTGTGAACTTCCATGCCTGGCCCAATTTCTCTTCTTATCTACAGTTGCCACTCTTCCAGGACACTTGGAATATTCCCTTGAACAGGCTTAGCTTCCACTCCTGCCCCTCTTCAATCTGTTTTGTGGAAGAGTAATCTGTTTAAAGACAAATTGGATCCTTTAGCACACACTTTACTGGCATCCCATTATACATAGAATATACTCCAAATCTCCTTACCGCCTACTCCTCCCTCAGGCCCCAGCCCAGATGTCACTTTCTCCCGCTCTCCTCTTCTTTGACTGCACCCACTAGTCTGAATCATTGGCCTTCCCAGAGCCACGGAACAGTCTACTCTTCCTTCACAGCTCTTCTCCTACAGTGCTTCCCCTGCAACTCTATCTCACTATGTTTCCTTATTGTCTGCCTCTCTTATTATGCTGGAAATTCTTTTAGAGCAGGGAATATGCCTATGCGGTTATTATTATATCCCAGGAACTGAGCACAGTGTCTAGAAGATAAATAATTATAATAGATGAATGACCCTCCCTACTATGTAACTCTCCCCTGTATTCACCACAGTTCACACTTCACGTCACTCTGGTAGTGTTTTCTCCCTATGAGTAACTGATAAAGAATCTTGCTACTGATTTAAGTGAATTTTTTAGACAATACAGATTTATTGACCTTTATTTGATGAACACAAGGCAAATAAAATAAGCAAGCAATTTTTGCAGTCTCTAGAAGATTCAGAGATATGAAAGTGCTCTGTGAGTGTATTTTCTCCAGTTCCAGCTGCCAGAATTACATGTGGAATGGTGACAGATATTCAGGACCTTCAGCTTTCTCTTGCTAATTACACAAAGATCTATCCCAAGGGCCTAACTTCAGGCAAGATAATCAGTGAAAAAAAAAAAATTATGGCCACAACTAGGAGTAGAAACTTCCAGCTTAGCAGTTTTCTTCCAAGCAAAGCTTAAAATGAATTCAAAGCTAACTACCAAGTATACCTCATTTGAGTTTTTGTTGTTGTTGTTGTTTTTGTTGTTTTTGCAGTTTCTTTCAAAACACCTACAACAGTCCAGGCATGGTGGCTTACACCTGTAATCCCAACACTTTGGGAGGCTGAGGCAGGCAGATCATTTGAGGTCAGGAGTGCGAGACCAGCCTAGCCAACATGGTGAAACCCTGTTTCTACTAATAATATTTTTTTAAAAAATTAGCCAGGCATGGTGGCAGGCACCTGTAATCCCAGCTACTTGGGAGGCTGAGGCAGGACAATGGCTTGAACCCAGGAGGTGGAGGTTGCAGTGAGCCGAGATCGTGTCACGGCACTCCAGCCTGGGTGACAGAACAAGACTCTGTCTCAAACAAAACAAAACAAAACAACCTGTAACAAATATTAAAGATAAAGTTTGTTTTTAATTAATTCATTCATTCATTTAATAAATATTTCTTGAGACATTCTATATATATAAGTATATATAAGGCGTTGGGCCAGGTACCAGAAATTCAGCAGAGAAAAAGACACAAAAGGTATCTGCCTTCAGGGAGCTTACATTCTAATAGGAAGACAGATGCTAAACAACTAATTATGCTATCCCTTTTTTATTTAAAATTGTGATAAGTGCTACAAATAGTAACTATGACAACACATGGGATAGATTATCTTCATTTCCTCCTCCAAATGCATCCTCTCCCTTCTCTGCTCTGTGCCATGGGAGACTGGCTTTGTTGGGCAGCATCAGTGAGTTCCCCTGTACACTGGCTTCCCTTTGGGTTCAGTAGGAGATAGGAGGGCCAAAATGTATCAAGGTCAGGGTAGTTATAGTCCCAGCTCCCTCCCAGCCAGGCCATAGTATGACAGTAGTTGCCTTCCTCTGCAGTTTCTGGGAACCACTTCCTGTGCCACTCAGGCGTGGGTGTGGTCACAGCTCCCACGGGCCAGGCTGGCATTATTGGTCTCCCTTAACCCTGCATACACCTTTGTGGATTATCTCCTTGTTGAATTCATCAGTTTCCCAGTTTGAGTGTGCCGCCCACTTCCTGTTGGGACTAACTCAGACCAGATAGCTTGGGGGATCCGACTTAGCTTAGACAGAGGAGGCAGCGTCAAAGATGATCTCCTTGACAGAGTTATATTTAAGCTGCATGCTGAAGGATGTTAGTTTCCTAGTCATCCCTCCTCATACCTCCTCTTTTCCTCCATTCCAGCCTAGAAATATCTCTGTCAAGTGGAGAATATTGGCATAGTTCATCATTGTTCTTTTATTTATCTCTTTCTTCCACTGATCTCCCACAACCAGCAGTAAACACTTTCTTTTTTTGGCTTTAAAGCCCCTCCTCATTGGTCTTTTTGTCCTCTGAGACCTTTCCTTCTCAGTCTTCCTCCCAGATCTTTCATTTCCTGTCAGTGTCTATCAAATATGTACAATCCCTCCCCATATGACCCACCTTTGATCAGCAGTTGCCTCATCTCTCCCTGCTCCTAGAAATTCAGCCACACTAGACCACTCACTGTTCCCACGCCTTTGTTCACTCTGTTTTCTTGCCCTGGATCTCCCTAACCTCACCCATACCCTCTGCTGAAATCCAATCCAGTTTAAATGCCACCACTCTGCAAAGCCTTCCTAAAGGTCTCAGCAGGAAGTCCTTACTGCCATTATTTTTTGCTCTCATAAATACTTTTTTTTTAACCTTTGTTGCACTTCCTACATGCTTTATAGTTTTGATATTTGTGGAATGTCTTATTTCTCTCCCATGACCATTAGCTCTGAGCAGGCAGGGGCTAGTTTTTCTCTGGAAAGTCTGCAACATCTAATGCAATGCCCAGCACGTAGTAGGAACACTATGGCTTTCATATTGACTGACGCCTATTTTATCGTCTGTGTTGTAGAAAATCATTCTAAAGTTATTCCCTTATACAACAAAGTAAATGAAAACATTAGTGTGCTCTCTCTGTATGAGGTCCTTGGCATGGTTACTTTCATTATGTAGTTTTTTATTGCAACGTAATTAAATTGTATAGTTAAACCCAAAATAACTAGGAGAAATAGAGCTAAGAATATTTTCTCCAGTTAAATCTTGGTAGGCCTGATTTTATTCCTCTATTTCCAGTCTTTTCACATTTGAGAATCAGTGATGCCAAAATATTTATTGTCTCAGGAAAAATAAAATAGAAATATTTTAAGGGCCTCCAGATACCATATAGCTGCATAGAGCTGGAGAAGTAGAAATGAGACATAGACAGATTAATTGGGAGGAAAATAAAAATATGTTTCCCCTATCTTACGGTTCTGCACTCCAAATTGGGATTTCTAAAAGTTCTCCTCCAGGAGGGTTTTATTATATCTAATGTTTGGTTTGAAAATGTTGGAAGATGACAAATATGAGAATTTTAACTCCTAAAAGGCTTTTCAATTAAATGTGTTCTGTGAAATTGAATTTGGTTTTAAGTGGTAGTTTCTCTATTTTTAAGATATATTTAAAACAACACAGTAATAACCACCATTTATTCATCACCCAATAACTATTTTAATGTTATAACCTGCTCCAATGCAGGTAATATTGCCCCCATTTCATAGATGAGGAAACAGAAGCTCAAGATGTTAATTGCTGTATTCTAGGGCCCAGATTTTGGGTGACTGTCTTCTGTGGTCTCATGCTCATGTTTTTAGCTAATAAGCATACCTCCTCCTGTTGTGAGTGCACATTTGCTTGGCCATCCTCTGTGGATGCTGCAAATATTCTATAACCCACTGGAACACTTCCCCAGAAGGCCCGTCTCTCAGGAAGGAGAGATGAACAGGAGCTAAAGAAAAAAATGAACTGGCCAGAAAAATGCTGGAAAATGAACCAGACAGGATCCCCCAGAGTGGTGCACCTGGGTGCATCCTGCCTGGTTCATTTTCCAGCAATTTTTTGGTGCATTGTGGTGCATTGTGGAAGCTGACAGGGCTTCCTGTGCCTTCCAGACCCACAATGGCAAGGAAGTGAGCCTGTCAATATGCTAGGACAAGAATCTGTGGAAGGACAAAAAGACATTCTGCCCTGCACACACAAGTGAGCATGCTCCAATAGCTTATACTTATCATCATCTGTTAAAACATTACTCAGGTAAAAGTGAGTTTTCAGGCAATTTGAGGATAGATGTTTTACATTGCTTTCTATGCATATTTAAATGCATCTTTTCCTCAGTTGTCACATGTTTAAACATCAAAAGCCTCAAAGACATAGAAATCTGAGAAAAATAGTTTGTATTGAATTGAAGCTATTTTTTTTTTAATGGAGAAAGAAGTCAATCTAAGTGGTTTTTCCTATTTTCTATCTCACGTATAACAGAACATCTCAACAGTAATGTGAGAGACAGTATTCAGAAAGCAATTCCAAACACATTAGAAGAGCTGCTTTGGAAAAATGAATCTAGTGAGTTTTTTTCCTTCAAAGGTCACAAAAAAGGAACACCCTTCCTATGGTGCAATAGGTTGAAAAGGGGATAAGAAGAGAAACACAATATCTCATCTAAAATCTTGCAGGCAAAAACATTTATTACTGCAGGAAGCAGAAGGTGAACCTAGCTTATAAATGAGATCCTGCAGACGAGGGAGATGTATCTTACTGAAGTATTACTGTACAGAATGAACCTTTAAAGCTTGGACTCTGAAGACATAAACTATTGTCCAATAAATCTAAACTGATATATTCATTTTTAATAAAAGTAAACGTGACATCACATTGCCACCATAATATGTAATTTCATCCTTGCATTTCAATTCTCAGGGATTATTTAATTTTCCTTAAAACATTACAGGAAACCACAAGGGGTTGGTTGAAAATAAATCTTGTCACCTAACACTGAGAAACAATAGTAGAATTCTCAAATGTAAAGGTTCGTCTATGGTTGATCTGTTTAATAAGTTTAAATACCGAAATTGACAAATACAAGAAGAGATGGCTAATTTTTTTCCTTAAAATTAGTCTCTTCTTTGGATATTTAAATTTCCTACAAAGAAGGTGACTCACAGGAAAGACATAAATATTAATTGTGAAAAATAAAGAGAATGGAGTCAATATAGGAGTATTTTATTGAAAATAGTCCTCAATATGAATAATCGATGGGGTTAATTGCAGTCCTGAAACCAAATGATGGCCAAAGGTGTTTGTTTAAAATGTTTTTCTTAACGTTACATTAGGTTTTCTTACCTCAGCTGTTTTTCTCTCTTTTTCCCTTTTCCTCTTCCCTATTTTCTTTCCTGCATCCTTCTTTGCTGTTGCTTTCAAAGTCAGATTTAAGTCAGTTATATTAAAGAACACATAAATAAGAAGGTAAAGAAAATAAAAAATGAAAATTACTTGAAACTAATAACTTTACTATAATGCTCTATGAAGATTGTGGAATCTTCCTGTGTCCCTGAGAATGCAGCTGAGTGAGTTTTATGGTGACCCAGGGAGGGAGATGTTAGGCCTTCTATCAGTGACCAGTCATCAGTTACTTAACCTCCTCCATTACCTATAACATACCAGAGAAACTTTTAGTTTCTAGTACATAACTGTATTCAATGATTTAACGTAAGAATGTTTTTCTTGAAGCTCATATCATTCAAAAAAAAAAAAACCCCAAATATACAGTTGATCCTTGAACAGTATGGATTTGAACTGCATGGGTCTACTTATACATGGATTTTCTGTCTCCATCAACCCTGAGACAGCAAAACAAACCCCTTCTCTTCCTCCTCCTCAGCCTACTCAACAAGAAGATGAGAATGAAGACCGGTGTGATGATCCACTTCCATTTAATACATAGTAATTGATATGGTTTGACTGTGCCCCATCCAAATCCCATCTTGAATTATAGTTCCCATAATCCCCATGTGTCATGGGAGGGACCTAGTGGGAGGTAATTTAATCATGGAGGCAGTTACCCTCATGCCGTTATCATAATACTAAGTGAGTTCTTATGAGATCTGATGGTTTTATAAGGGGCTTTTCCCCCTTCTGCTTGCATTCTTCTCCTTCCTGCTGCCCTTTGAAGGACATGTTTGCTTCCCCTTTGCCTCCCACCATGATTATAAGTTTTCTGAGGCCTCCCCAACTCTGTGGAACTGTGAGTCAATTAAACCTCTTTTCCTTATAAATTACCCAGTCTTGGTTATGTCTTTATTAGTAGCATGTGACAGGGCTAATACAGTAAATTGGTACCACAGAGAGTGAGGCCCTGCTATAAAGATACCCGAAAATGTGGAAGCAACTTTGGAACTGGGTAACAGGCAGAGGTTGGGATAGTTTGGAGGGCTCAGAAGAAGACAGGAAAATGTGGGAAAGTTTGGAACGTTTTAGAGACTTGGAGGATTCAGAAGACAGAAAGATGTGGGAAAGTTTGAAACTTCTTAGAGACTTGTAAAATGGCTTTGACCAAAAGGCTGACAGTGATACAGACAATGAAGTCCAGGCTGGGGTGGTCTCAGATGGAGATGAGGAACTTGTCGGGAACTGGAGTAAAGGTCACTCTTGCTATGCAAAGAGACTGGTGGCATTTTGCCCCTGCCGTAGAGAGCCATGGAACTTTGAACTCGAGAGAGATGATTTAGGGTATCTGACGGAAGACATTTGTAAATGACAAAACATTCAAAAGGAAGGAGAGCATAAAAGTTTGAAAAATTTTCAACCGGATGATTTAATAGAAAAGAAAACCCCATTTTTCTGGGGAGAAATTCAAGCCAGCTGCAGAAATTTACATAAGTAACGAGGAGCCAAATGTCAATCACCAAGATAGTGGGGAAAATGTCGTCAGCACATATCAGAGACCTTTGTGGCAGCCCCTCCCATCACAGTTCTGGAGGCTTAGGAGGGAAAAATGGTTTCCTGGACTGGGCTTAGGGGCCCCCCTACTCTGTGTAGCTTCAGGACATGGTGCCCTGCTTTCCAGCTGCTTCAGCACCAGCCATGGCAAAAAGGAGCCAAGGTATAGCTCAGGCCATTGCTTCAGATGGTACAAGCTCCAAACCTTGGAGGCTTACACATGGTGTTGAGCCTGAGGGTGCACAGAAGTCAAGAATTGAGGTTTGGGAACCTCCACCTAGATTTCAGAGGATGTATGGAAACATCTGGATGTCCAGGCAGAAGTTTTCTCATGGAGAACCTGTGTTAGGGCAGTGCAGAAGGGAAATGTGGGGTGGGAGCCCCCACACAGAGTTTCCACTGGGGCACTGCCTGTTGGAGCTGTGAGAAGAGGGCCACCATCCCCCAGACCCCAGAATGGTAGATTTATCAACAGCTTTCACCATTTCCCTGGAAAAGCCACAGACACTCAACACCAGCCCATGAAAGCAGCCAGGAAGGAGGCTGTACCCTGTAAAGCCATAGGAGCAGAGCGGCCCAAGGCTGTGGGAGCCCACCATCTTGCATCAGTGTGCCCTTGAAGTGAGATGTGGAGTCAAAGGAAATCATTTTGGAACTTTAAGTTTTAATAACTGCCCTACTGGATTTCAGATTTGCATGGGGCCTGTAGCCTCTTCGTTTTGGCTAATTTCTCCCATTTGGAACAGGAGTATTTACCCAATGCCTGCACCCTCATTGTATTTAGGAAGTAACTAATTTGCTTTTGATTTTACAGGCTCATGGGCAGAAGGGACTTGCCTTGTTGCAGATGAGACTTTGGACTTGGACTTTTGAGTTAATGCTGGAATGAGTTAAGACTTTAGTAGACTGTTGTAAGGGCATGATTGTGTTTTGAAATGTGAGAACATGAGATTTGGGAGGAGCCAGGGGAGAAATGATATGACTTGGTTCTGTGTTCCCACCCAAATCTCATCTTGAATTATAGTTCCCATAATCCCCATGTGTTGTGGGAGAGAGCCAGAGGGAGGTAATTTAATCATGGGGCAGTTATCCTCATGCTGTTCTTGTGATAGTGAGTGATTTCTCATGAGATCTGATGGTTTTATAAGGGGCTTTTCACCCTTTTGCTCATACTTCTCCTTCCTGCCACCCTGTGAAGAGGGATGTGTTTGCTTCACCTCCCACCATGATTGTAAGTTTCCTGAGGCCTCCTCAGCCATGTTGAACTGTGAGTCAATTAAACCTCTTTTCTTTATAAATTACCCAGTCTTGGATATGTCTTTATTAGCAGTGTGAGAACAAACTAATACAGTAATATATTTTCTCTTCCTTATGATTTTCTTAATAGCCTTTTCTCTAGCTTACTTTATTATAAGAATACAGTATTTAATACATATAACACACAAAATATGTGTTAATCAACTATGATTGGTAAGGCTTCTGTTTAACAGTAAGCTATTAGTGGTTAAGCTTTTTAGGGAATCAAAAGTTACACAAGAATTTTCCACTGCACAGAGGGTCCGGACCCCTAACCTCCATGTTCTTCAAGGGTCAACCAAAAATAATCAAGTAATTGATTATTTTGAATTTTTTTTTTGAGACGGAGTTTCACTCTGTCACTCAGGCTGGAGTACAGTGGCATGATGTTGGATCACTGCAACCTCCACCTCCCGGGTTCAAGCGATTCTTCTGCCTCAGCCTCCCGAGTAGCTGGGATAACAGGCACACGCCACCATGCTTAGCTAGTTTTTGTATTTTTGTAGAGATGGAGTTTCACCATGGTGGTCAGGCTGGTCTTAAACCCCTGACCTCAGGTGATCATCCCGCCTCAGCCTCCCAAAGTGCTAGGGTTACAGGCATGAGCCACTGCACCTGGCTGATGACTTTGATGTTAAGACTCTGGGTGCAATTCAAGGAAAACTGACTTTCAGAGATATTTCATCTAAAACTTTAGTTTTTGTTAAAGAGAAACTTTACAAGTTGAGGAAAACACATTTGCAGTTCCTCAAAAAAATAAAACACAGAATTACATAACACACAGTGATTCCATTTCTAGATGTATCCCCTAGAGAACTAAAAACAGGCACTCAAACAAATACATGCACACGCATGCTGGTAGCAGCATTATTCAAAATAGCTAGAAGGTGGACAGTTCAAATTTTCATCAGTGGAACAAAGGACAAACTGTAGTATATAAATATAGTGGAATACTATTCGGCCATAAAAAGGAATGAAATACTGTTACATGCTACAGTGGAAGAACCTTGGAAATACTGTACTAAGTAAAGGAAGGCAAACACAAAAGGTCATATGTTGTATGATTCCATTTGTATGAAATATGAAGAACAAGTAAATCCAGAGAGATGGATGCAGACTGATGGCTGCCCAGGGCTGGGAATGGGAAGCAACTGCTTAATGGGCACAAGGTGGTGTTTTGGAACCATGTAGAATAAGTTTTGGAACTATGTGAAACCAGCACTGGGAGTGTACTCCATGCCACTGAATTATTTACTTAAAAATGGTTAATGCTATGTTTTGTGAATTTCACCTAAAAAAAACCCAAAACTTTCCAGTAAACAAAAAAGTTTAGAAATGAAGCCTCAAAGCCACTGCAGCTTAAAATATGGCTCAGAAAAATATGTATAAGAAAGGCATTGGACAGTCAGAATTTTATGTAAATGAACATGTGATAAGATCAGGATACAGAGAAGAAAACTGAGCTCAAAACAAGTTTAAAAAAAACAAACTTCCATAGAAAGGCACACCTAACAAAAGCAAACCTTCCCTAAAGCAAACTTTGGAGCTGTTTTTAAATAAATGAAATATAAATGTAGACATGTTTTAAAATGTTAGATTATTGACCCAATTTCCCAATAAAGGTTCTAATTCAATTTTTTCATTGATAATAGGTAATTTATTTATACTTAGCTTATGAAATTATATAATTATTTTCAAATGTATGGCATAATTCGAGGAATTAAATGTACTTCCTCAATCTTATTTATAGTTTTGCTCCATATGCCCCACTTTCAGAAAGTAATGCAAAGGAAAATTTTAGTCTATCTTTGGTCTGTTGTCAAAAGAATTCTATGTAAGTTAGGTTTAATTAGTTTTAGCATACAAAACAAAGAACCATATCAGAATAAGGGATGTGGAGCAACTTCTAAATACAAAAAGGGGACTATAAAAGTCCACATGTTGAGTCTGAGTTATAGCGATGGTACGATACAGTTATTTCAAATCATTTTAATGATTAGGGTACGTTAATCTGAAAAAAGAGAAAAGCAATTTGAAAACACGGAGACCATATTGAGTACAATACAGAGGGATAAGCGAGAAAATAGGAAAAGAAATGGAAAGTGTTGAGGAAGCAATTACTCGGTCTCCCAGGGTTCTGTGAATGATCTAACAGTAGGTGCCCCTGGAGTGGAAAGGGGCGACTACAAGAGAATAGGACCTGGAGGAAGTAATCAGAGATAAGAATAACGAGTATTAGAGGCACAAGATACAGAATATAGAGAGAGGGTGACAAAGTTTACAGCCTGAACTTCAAAGACATTACACAATGAGAAAGCAAGTGAAAGCTGAAAATTAAATGAAGTGTCTGCTCACAAATACTATGAAAATGTAAGATGATGGAATACAAGCTCACTGAAGGAGGCAGTAAGGGCGGGTGAGAGAAAACCCAGGAATGATGTGCAAAACACAGTGACATTATGAAAAGCATAAGTGAATTTTCAGCCTTCATGTTCAAATGTATAGATAGGCAAGATGAATAGGTGCTGCAGTCAGGAATATAATTCTCAGAAGAAACAATTTTGGAAAACCAAGTCCACCTAAACTGAAAAACAGAAAATGAGTCCTTGGCAATCAGGGATGCACTGAGACCAGTTTCCCTTCTAGAAGTTTCAAGGAGGTGCAAAACAGTGAACTTAGAGCCTTTCCCAAACACTGACTATGTGTTTGGAGAATACTGAACAAATACCGCAAACTAAATATTGGGAAGAAAATGATAAAAATGATACAAGAAACAATTCCTTATCCTCTACCTACATCTATACACAAATGTGAAAATTGAGAAGCATGTTTGATTACTCAAATTATACCAGAAACAGTTCTAACACTTCATATCCCCCTCAAAAATGTTTATGTGTAAATATGATGTGAAGCCAAATGTGTTGTCTTTACTTACTGTTTTAAATGACAGATGTTATAGTTTTATATGCAACTTTGTCTCTTTCCAGTTGTGTCACTTAAGATTCCTCCCTCTCAATTTTCTTATCTGTGGAAAGGAGCTACTGACACTATCAGTATATGCTGTATGCCACACACTGTTGACATCAAAAGAAACAAGAGATAATGTTGTGACATGCCCTGCAATTTGTGACACAGTATACTGCTGTTAATTTTGTTGTCATTATTATTATTATTGTCAGTATGACTCTGTCAAATAACATGGAAAGGGAGAAGAAAATCTTTTGGTCACAAACAATATAAAGCTTATTTGGTAGCAACTTACCATGACACAAGAGAAAATGACAAGCTTCTTTCCTACATATTTTTTAAAAATTAAATGTTATATTTTATTAATAACCATATTTTGTCAGAAAAGAGGAAATGTGCACATTAAAAATGCTTCAAACCAAAATTAGTCCAATGTAATTAGTGTGAATTATCAAAATACCGGCATATAAGAGTATATGTGTCCTGTTATAAAAACCAGGTGTTTAAATAAGATAAAACTGCCTCCTGAATTAATAGGAGATTTGAATTATGCTTTGCAAATGTAGAAAAGATTGTTTCTAATTGCTTTTCCATAGGTACCAAGTTTTTACATTTTATAAAAATGTTTCAAAAAGAAGTTGTCAATGTGATGTGGACATTTGCATTCATTTTATCCCTTCTCAATGTATATTTGGCCCCAAGAAAAGAAATTTAAATATCAATCTATTATAGAATATTAGTTGGGAAAATGCTAACTACAATGAAAGGAAAAAATGTTTTTCAGGATCTTGAGTTTAGCATAGAAATTTCTGCATAAAGTTTTGAATCCTAGGAAGGGTATGTAAAGACAGAACAAGGCCCTGAAAGAGGCCAAAGGTAACTGGCTCAAGGGACAGGTAAAGGGTTTGGCGTTAGGCAGGAAAAGGGAACACCTCAGCCTCTGAGACAGGGTGAGAGAAACTGAGTGCAGGCATGAATGAAAATAGTTTATGGGTCGAGGGGCAGGATTCAAGAAAGATTGTGTACCCAATGGCCTCGATTTTCTTGATTAATTGGGAGGCAAGATTGTCTGCTGAGAGTGGGGCCAACAGGGGTAGGGCCAGGTTGAGGGAGCTAAAATTAAAAGCAAAACCAAATGAAGCATTAGTTATTGTCACGGACTCCAGGACTGGGATTAACCTGAAGAGATGTTAAGCTTTTTTTTTCATTTTACATATTTTCCTAAAGAAGTAAAAGATTATAATCTCATATCCTAAATTTTTTACATGGCATCAGACTATCCTTTCATCTTCCATGTAGCTTTCACATTTTTCCTTATAAATATTCTTCACTAAACTGCCAGAAATACACGTATGTTTTGCTCTGGCTGAAAAACCAATGCATCAGTCTCCGATTCTTCCAGGTTATCCATGCTTGCAAAAATTGGTTCATCTCAGATTGATAAGAGAAGTCATTTCTAGGGCTTTATATTTGCACGAGGCTGTCTCAGCAATAACATCACTATGAAATCTTGGTTCCTACTGAATATCTTAGTCTCTGAAGATAATATCCCAAGGAGTATGCCTGTAATTTCTACTCTAATTACTATAGTTCTCCAAAGGAAACTCTGTTTGACAGTGAGGTCAATTTGCCTACTCCTTCCATTAGCCAGGAAACAAATTCAGGATCCTATCTCTTCCATTTTTGCCCAAAAAAAGTCAGATAAAGAAAAGTTTTGAGCATCTTGTCAACAAAACTTAGCTGTCTAATTGGCAATAACAAGCATCTTTTCACTCCTCAATAATCAACAGTTAGATGTGGACTTAGAAAGGTGGCCCATGCCTCAGTCCAGGTAACATCAATTTGTCAAACCACAGCCTACTGGGAACCATAATATAATGGCACCTGGTGAAACAGTTGTCTTACTGTTGGATAAGCCCTTTAGTTGTATCCAAAATGATTGTATCAGTTAATGTTTAAGTTCCAGGCAAACAAGATGTTGAAACCATAAAAGAAATCTGCTGCGACTTCTATTGGCAAGCCCCCTTGTGTCTGATTAATCTTCATAAAGTCCTGGAAGAGTTTTTCAAAACAGTTGGTGGAGGAAGGAATTTGGATTCCTGGGGCTTGAATATCTGTGAAACTATTAAACTTAAATAAGATACATAGGTGAAGGAGACAGGAGAATATATACCATTGGAACCTGACCCATACTGAAAGCACAGTTTCATCACCCACTTCCATCTACAGCCAATTCACATGGAAAATCAAATTTCTGGATAGTATAGACTGCAATAATACAGCCTTAGATGAATGACTAGGAGAAATGAAATGATGAAGCTGCATGATGTCCTAGCAAGAGCCGGGACTGATTCAAAGAGATGGAAGTTCAATTAGCTAGAGCACAGCCTGTCCTCTTACTAACAAACACTCAGCAGCTGAAAGGCTGTTTTTTGTCTGGTCCCCCACATATTTGAGCACTGGGAATCTGTGGTTTGATAGTGTGCATTGACTTGAAAGTCACGCATCTCAGAGATCAGCAAAGACCCAGGACCCAACAAAATGCCAGCACCCAAGGAGAGGCAAAATGGGATGTCATTATTAGATGTAAGCACACTTGCTAACTCACTTTCCAACCATCCAATTCTTTCATTTTTTGTTTTTTTTGTTTGTTTGTTTTCGAGACAGAGTCTCACTCTGTCTCCCAGGCTGGAGTGCAGTGGCAGCATCTCTGCTCACTGCAACCTCCATCTCCGGGCTCAAGTGATTCTCCTGTTTCAGCCTCCTGAGAAGCTGGGATTACAGGCACCCACCACCATGCCTGGCTAATTTTTGTATTTTTAATTAAGATGGGGTTTCACCCTGTTGGCCAGTCTGGTTTTGAACTCCTGACCTCAAATGATCCTCCTGCCTCAGCCTGCCAAAGTGCTGTGATTACAGGCATAAGTCATTGCTCCTGGCCCTATCCATCCAATTCTTAACAATCATATTTTATCAATCTGACAGAAGATGCAGAAAAGAGGATGCCACTCTGAGTCACTTTGCGTTAACCCAGACAAAAGCCAATGTAATCAAAGATGGAAGCTCTTCTTTTGTTGATATAAAACAAGATCCATCTGTCTGTTAATAATAGGGTATTGCATTGCAGAGACATTACTAAAAAAAAAAAGAAAGAAAAAAATAGGATATCAGTGTCAATAATATATTTTTAATAATATATTATGATCACGTAAGAGGCTATCATCAGGGAAAGCCAGGTGGAGGATACACAGGAACTCTGGCAATTCGTGAGTCTTACATAAAAAGTTTTTTAAAAAGTCAACCAAAACAAGACATAAAGGTCCTTCTGCATACAAATTTGTCTCAATCTCTCTCCAGTGATCTATTTGTCAAAAAAACATGATCTGCATTAACAGCAGAAGAAGTGGTTTCCTTTCTGTACTTGTTCCAGGAGATTTCCACCTTACTCATAGGTTCAAGGTGGCAGTAAAGATGGTATGAGGAGTGGGCCAAGACTGGGAAGCTGAAGGATGGGGAAAACATGTCATACGAGGGCTTTTGTGTATTTGTCTTCTGTGGGGAAATAAAGTCCAGAAAGTCCATGTGGTTTATGAGGAGTTGGTGTAGCTGGGCCAGGGCTGAGAATGCCTGAGCACACAATTTATGTCCCATTCTGGATGTGGGCTCCTGGATAGGCCCAGGGACCACATCTCTCTCCAAGGTCAAAGAAAGTGGGAAGGCCAACTTGCCAGTCCTTCTACTTCCTCCATTTATGCCCCTGTTGCCCTATCTCTACCCTGCTGGCTAGATAAAACCAGCCAAGGCCTCCTTGGCTCACCTGTCTACCCAGAAGCTGACTAGGAAGTGTCCTCCTCTGAACTGGGTAATGCAGACTGATCACACTCCCAGATAATCCCCACTGCTCAGCTCTCCAGCCCTACCCTTACCCTATGGCCAAGTCTTTCTCCAAAGCTCATTCTCTGATTTTCCACAAGGCCAAAGCAAGGCCCTGTTATTACACAGTGTCCAACTTCACCTTTAATTTGGCCTATTCTGTTTATGATTAATCCATTTTAAATTACTATACCATATCTGCTTGGGTCACCTGTTATACATGATCATTTCATCAAAGGTATGTAGAAGACAGCATTAGCACCATGCTTGTTAGCCAGCTATGTATGTTGGCCAATTTAGACACTGGCCCTGAGTCCCCAGAAATATGCAAGGGAGATTAATGGGAGAAGTAAGTGTCCTCATCTCATATGCATCTGACTCCTGCGATGTTTCTAGTGCTACCTCCTATGGCTGATGTGGGAGAGACCTCAGATGGGCTTATGAAGAAAGCATTGGAAGAAAGGGTCATGAAATACCCTGGACATACAAGTTCTTCACTTAGGCACTGATATTGAGAGGTGTTGGATGAGTGTGAGGAACACAAACCAGAACTGAGCCAAGAGGTGAGAAGACCGAGGTGGCAAAAGGTAAGAAACAGATGGGAAATGTAGACAAAATACTAAGTTGAACCGTATGAAATAGCCATTTGTGTAGATCAAAAATAGAGTATCAGGCTTGGTGCTGTGGCTCACGCTTGTAATCCCAGCATTTTGGGGGCCAAAGCAGAAAGATCACTTGAGTCTGGGAGTTTGAGACCAGCCTGGGCAACAAAGTAAGATCCTGTCTCTACAAAAAAGAAAAATTAGTGTGTATATGTGTACACACATATACATCCAGACATAAAAACATTGACTATATATAGTCTATATATATATATAGTATGTTAGTAATATGCATGCACACATAGTATGTTTATCTTAGTATTACTATCTACATCAGTCTAACATTATATATATAATGAATGAGTGTGTGTGTATATATATACATAGTGTGTGTATGTATATACATATTTAGATAGTAATATGTACTATGAAGAAAAATAAGAAGGAAAGGAAAACAGGTAGTGCAGGAGGTGTAATGTACAATTGTAAATAAGGTAATAAAGAAAGTTTTTATTGGTAAGTTGACCTTTGAGCAAAGACCTAAAGGTTATAATGGAGTAAACCATTAGGATATCTGGAAGAATGCTCCAGGAAGGGGGAACAGCAAAAACAACAAGGTGACAGAAATGGAATGAGCAAAGGAGAGCATAACAGATGATGTCAAAGAAGCAATGCGAGCCATATTATATCGGGCATTGTCAAGTTTTGGCTTTTACCCCGGGGGGTGTCAAGGAAGCCATTGGAGGGGTTTGAGCAGATGAGATCTGTGCCCTGATGTACATTTGTAAATAATCACTCTGGCTTTTCTGTTGAGAATGCACTCTATAAGAGCAAAGGTGGAAGCAGGCAGCAAGTTAGACAAGTCTTATGGTAATTCAGAGGAGAAAGAGAGAGTGGTAGCGATAGAGATGAGGAGAAGTAGTGAGATTTGAGGAGTATTTTGAGGGTGGAATAAATAGGGTTTGCTGAAAGATTGGCTATGGCATGTGAGAGAGAAATAGAGAGGTCAAGAAGACTCTGAAGTTTTTGGACTGAACAACTGGAAGAATAAAAACCTGAAAGAATATGAGCCGGACATGGTGGCGCATTCTTGTAGTCCCAGCTACTTGGGATGCTAAGGCAGAAGGTTCACTTGAGCCCAGGGGTTAGAGGCCAGCCTGGGCAACATAGCAAGACCTCTTCACCTATAAACAAAACACAAACAAACAAAAACTGAAGAAAAAAAATGGGGAAAACTGTAGCAGAAGTAGTTATGAGCAAGATATAGGGAAATAAAATATGAAGAGTTCAGTTTAGATTGTGTTAAATTTGAGATGTCTATTAGACATCTAAGGATCATAATATAACATTTATTCCAGAGCTAAAGCTATAAAAATTTTCATACATTTATAATTTTTAAGCATCCTCAAATGATTGCCTGTGCAGTTATAGAAACACCTAGTTCTTTAAAATTAACCTTATTTTTATGTTAGCTTAAATGTTAACATACTCTTTTCTCAAACAAACAGGAATTATATCAACTGACTGTAAAGTGTTGTACAAAAGAATAGGCAAAGGTAGAATTTGATCCACATTTTGCATGTTAATCACACAACTGAGAAACTTTTGCATTTAAAAATGATAAACACATTCTTCACTTTATCCACATGTACATGAGAAATAAAATTTGACTCAATTCTAATTTTTAAAATTCATGAACTTATATCTGGTGCTCAGTCATGCAGGACTGTAATTTGCTACTCTTATGTTCTCTTTACTTTTTTTTAAGTTCAGCTTCTTTGACTCTCTGGTGTCAGAACAAATGTGTCCAGAGTCTTCCAAAAGCATGTATGTCATCTCTTTTTGTTTCACAGAGTCCTAGACAAGTCAAGATCTAAGCCCGGGGCAGTCAGAACACAGGTTGTGTGTAAGTGGGTCATGGTAATCGTCATTTCTGTGGATCAGAGACAAATGCAAAGCAGAAATCCAGTTATGTGCATTTTTTTTTGTTTTTTTTATTATTATACTTTAAGTTTTAGGGTACATGTGCACAATGTGCAGGTTAGTTACATATGTATACATGTGCCATGCTGGTGCGCTGCACCCACTAACTCATCATCTAGCATTAGGTATATCTCCCAATGCTATCCCTCCCCCCTTCCCCCACCCCACAACAGTCCCCAGAATGTGATGTTCCCCTTCCTGTGTCATGTGTTCTTATTGTTCAATTCCCACCTATGAGTGAGAATATGCGGTGTTTGGTTTTCTGTTCTTGCGATAGTTTACTGAGAAGGATGATTTCCAATTTCATCCATGTCCCTACAAAGGACATGAACTCATCATTTTTATGGCTGTATAGTATTCCATGGTGTATATGTGCCACATTTTCTTAATCCAGTCTATCGTTGTTGGACATTTGGGTTGGTTCCAAGTCTTTGCTATTGTGAATAGTGCCGCAATAAACATACGTGTGCATGTGTCTTTATAGCAGCATGATTTATAGTCCTTTGGGTATATACCCAGTAATGGGATGGCTGGGTCAAACGGTATTTCTAGTTCTAGATCCCTGAGGAATCGCCACACTGACTTCCACAATGGTTGAACTAGTTTACAGTCCCACCAACAGTGTAAAAGTGTTCCTATTTCTCCACATCCTCTCCAGCACCTGTTGTTTCCTGACTTTTTAATGATTGCCATTCTAACTGGTGTGAGATGATATCTCATTGTGGTTTTGATTTGCATTGCTCTGATGGCCAGTGATGGTGAGCATTTTTTCATGTGTTTTTTGGCTGCATAAATGTCTTCTTTTGAGAAGTGTCTGTTCATGTCCTTCGCCCACTTTTTGATGGGGTTGTTTGCTTTTTTCTTGTAAATTTGTTTGAGTTCATTGTAGATTCTGGATATTAGCCCTTTGTCAGATGAGTAGGTTGCAAAAATTTTCTCCCATTTTGTGGGTTGCCTGTTCACTCTGATGGTATTTTCTTTTGCTGTGCAGAAGCTCTTTAGTTTAATTAGATCCCATTTGTCAATTTTGGCTTTTGTTGCCATTGCTTTTGGTGTTTTAGACATGAAGTCCTTGCCCGTGCCTATGTCCTCAGTGGTAATGCCTAAGTTTTCTTCTAGGGTTTTTATGGTTTTAGGTCTAACGTTTAAGTCTTTAATCCATCTTGAATTGATTTTTGTATAAGGTGTAAGGAAGGGATCCAGTTTCAGCTTTCTACATATGGCTAGCCAGTTTTCCCAGCACCATTTATTAAATAGGGAATCCTTTCCCCATTGCTTGTTTTTGTCAGGTTTGTCAAAGATCAGATAGTTGTAGATATGCGGTGTTATTTCTGAGGGCTCTGTTCTGTTCCATTGATCTATATCTCTGTTTTGGTACCAGTACCATGCTGTTTTGGTTACTGTAGTCTTGTAGTACAGTTTGAAGTCAGGTAGTGTGATGCCTCCAGCTTTGTTCTTTTGGCTTAGGATTGACTTGGTGATGCGGGCTCTTTTTTGGTTCCATATGAACTTTAAAGTAGTTTTTTCCAATTCTGTGAAGAAAGTCATTGGTAGCTTGATGGGGACGGCATTGAATCTGTAAATTACCTTGGGCAGTATGGCCATTTTCACGATATTGATTCTTCCTTCTCATGAGCGTGGAATGTTCTTCCATTTGTTTGTATCCTCTTTTATTTCCTTGAGCAGTGGTTTGTAGTTCTCCTTGAAGAGGTCCTTCACATCCCTTGTAAGTTGGATTCCTAGGTATTTTATTCTCTTTGAAGCAGTTGTGAATGGGATTTCACTCATGATTTGGCTCTCTGTTTGTCTGTGGTTGGTGTATAAGAATGCTTGTGATTTTTGTACATTGATTTTGTATCCTGAGACTTTGCTGAAGTTGCTTATCAGCTTAAGGAGATTTTGGGCTGAGACAATGGGGTTTTCTAGATATACAATCATGTCATCTGCAAACAGGGACAATTTGACTTCCTCTTTTCCTAATTGAATACCCTTTATTTCCTTCTCCTGCCTAATTGCCCTGGCCAGAACTTCCAACACTATGTTGAATAGGAGTGGTGAGAGAGCATGCTGTTATTCTGTGGTTGAACTGGTTTAACTTGGGCATTTTACTGTGTCTATCATTGTTTCAATAGCCTTTAGGTAAACAATAAGAAGACCTTGGATTCAACTAGCAGGATAAATTATTGGATGACAAAAAAGATAAAAAAAGAAATGAGGGAAAGATGCAGTTTAGGATAATGATAGAATATACATGTTCCTTGACTTATGATGGGGTTATGTCCCACTAAACCCATCATAAGTTGAAAAAAAATTAAGTTGAAAATGCAGCCTAGCCTGCCTTTAACGTGTTTAAATTACATTCGCCTACAGTTGGGCAAAATCATCTAACACAAAGCCTATTTTATACTAAAGTGTTGAATATCTCATGTAATTTATTAAATACTGAAAGTGAAAATTAGAATAGTTGTATGGGTACTCAAAGTATGGTTTCTGCTATATATGTATTACTTTTACACCATTGTAAAGTTAAAATATAGTAAGGCAAACCATAGTAAGCCTGGGACCATTTTTATTTTTTTAAAAAAAGAAGAAAGAAAGAAAGGAAAGAACAAACAAGGCACTCCCCAAAATTCAGCCTTGTGTTTATTATATTTTACACAGTTTTCTGTACCTCCCATTTTGTAGTTTTCAGACTTGAACTGGGCTGACTGTGATTTCAGTCCGCCATTCCCTATTCACCTTGCTTTTTACCTATTATCCTTCTGAGAGCTTTGAAACAGGTAGGCATGTCTTTTAATGTAAACACGATAGTTTGATCTAAGTAAAAAAACCAGAGTGAGTAACTGGTTACACAGTTAACAAGGTGCTCCGTTTTCACCTCAAGATCATCACGGATTCCTTCTCAATACCACCTTAGAAAGAAACAAATTCCCTCTAATCAGCTAGAACCACTATAAATTCTCAGTCTTATGCTTGGCCTGCTTTATAAGTGAACACAGTGTTTGCATAGGAAAGGCTACAGACTGGTATTTTTTAATTAAATTATCCAGATAATTATGCAATTCTTCATATCATTCCACTAATATACACATAGACTGTGCTAGAGGCTTGCTGACAGTGCTAACTACGATCCCCAATGGTGCAACCACTGAGCTTTCCTATGTTCTTTTTTAGTCTCTAGTTTTAAAAGTAAGCAAGAGGCGAAAAAAAAACCTAGAATGAAGGAGGAAAGATGAGTGATTTGATCATCACAAACCCCAGAGCCCCGTTAAAAAGTATTTGTACTTTAAAAAATCTTTTTTGCCGAAAGCTTTTTCAGGAGAAATAAATTATACTGACTATATAAATAAAAGCAGAAAGAGCAAAGACGAACATGAACATATATTACCAATGCCATTCATCAAATATAGCTGATACTTCAATCTAATCCAGCAAATGAAAACACAGAAGTTTATAGAGTTATAGGAAGTAAGTAAGCAATTTAAACATACCAGGGTGCAGGGTCATCTAACAACACAACTAGGAAGATGTTCCCTTTTTCTTTTCTCTTTTTCTCTCTTTCATCCTTTCGAGCCTCTCAAATACTGATTTATAATCCATTTTTCTCACAGGATGAGGTGATCTTTAAATCATATAATTGATAGTAGCAGTCCAAATGTTCTTAACAAGTCCACCTTCCTCTAATGTCATAAAATAAAAGGACATTTCATCCTATCATTAGGGTGCCAGGTTTCTCTTTCCATAATAAAGTAATACATTTCTTAACTAATTAGTTCATTAATTTTAAATGTGATTCCCAGTAAAAACTCTTTGAGATAGTTAATCTTTCCTAAAAGTGTGTGAGGTTGTAAAAAACAGTTCTTAGAGCACTGTCACCACCAATCATGAACAGTCGGAATGGGTGAGGAAATACAGAGCTGCAAAGACACATCTCATTTGTTTCTGAAAGCAAACCTCCAAGGCTGCTTTATAACCAGAAATCATATCCACATCATGCAGATGCTGTGGTAAACTTTACGATTCCAATTAGGAATGGACAGTTTTCAATGCACTGCTCAAACACTTTGCTAGTCTATATGTAAATACTTCACTAAAACCACTGAACGGTGATGGAGTTCAATATTAATATCACAAATTAAAGATGACATCTGAATGCCTACTATCCAGAAGAGCGATCAGAGCTCATGGCAAGGCAATAATCAGTGGCTTAAGCAACTTTCAAGCACCATGGGGGGAAAACCAAATGGGATAGAGCTTGGAAATTGCACTGGTGCATGAAGAACATACCATATTAAAGAGCAACTGCTGATTGACCTGGTGATGAAGTGGAGGATATGACCATATGCTTCTATAAAGGACATTTGGAAAAGGCTTCGAGATTATCCCCTGAGAGCTCATGACTATTACCTGGTGTATTCCCATTAACTGACAATGTAAACTTTATCTGTAACAGTGAAATAAGCTGTCAAAATAACCGCCTGTCCTCCTGGGAGGAAAAAATTACCTGAATAATTATCATGCCAAGCATATTCTCCAGGCAGAACTATCAAAGAGTTATGCTGGCTGGATTCCCCTTACATATTGTACTCATTGCCTTGGAAAGAGGAATGGTTTCCACTTCTTTACTTGGATCATTTGGATGGGGAACATAGGTGTGTTACAGTGGGAATAAGAATACAAAGTTATAGAAGAGGTGAAAGGTGAATCAATAGAATCAATAAAGAGTTTATAATGTCAGTACAGTGCCCTTTGCCTTATGCTAAGAATACTGTTCTGGGCCTGCATCCTTTAGTAAACCATGTTTTTACTTACAGAAACCAATAATAAAGAGTGTGTAAAGAAGATAGCCCCAGACATGATGTCCAAATCCAAGAATCTCTATGAGGAAAGCTATGCAGTTCCTAAGACACTGCACCATCATTTCTTACTGCATGTTGGGAAAATGACAGGAGTGAAGATGAGCATAGATGTGAATAAATGTTATTTCCCTGTGGCCCTACGTGCAATGGTCAGAAGTGCAGACTCTGGAGTCTGGTGGCAGGAGTTCAAATCCCTGCTCTGCTATTTGCCAACTGTGTGGCCTTGGTTATTTATCTGTGCTTTGGCTTCCTGTGTCAAATGTGGCTACCCCACAGGTCAGGGCGTGGTATACATTCTATGGATACTGCCTCTTATTTTTGTCTTCCTGGCCCTAGAACAGTTTAGGGACATGTTTAGGGAGCAAATTTAGAGTTTGACAATTGTCCTGGCCCCAATTCATCCCTTTGCTCTCTTTGGTTCAAAAAGTGAGAAGGGGGATTTTGAGTTGTTGTCATAACTCCCTTTGTCTGTGTCTGTCCTGGCTTCACTGAAGAAACCACAACCTGGGCTGCTTCCCCTGCTGAACCTGGGCCCAACAGGGATGTCACTCCCCAGGTCCCTTCTCCACCTGAGGAAGAGCCCTGGGCCATAGGCTGGGGTCACAGCAACTCTTGCCCCCACTGCCTTTCTTTGTACTGTCTTCCCACATGTTGTTCTACTCTAGGTCCCAGGAGATAGATCAAGCACCATGAGGAAAATGGAGCCATCCCACTCTGGACACCTGTCTCCGACATCCCCCATAACTATGTAAAGCACCAGACCTCTGATGCCAGATGGCACCATCTCCCCTGATTTCCCAGGACCAACTCCTAAGTAAACAATTTGCACTTAGGATCCTCATCTTGGGTTCTGCTTCTGGAGAAAACCAAACTAAGATATTCAGTGGTCGTTTTTTTCTGGTGGCGTCCCTAGGGCTTGAAATAGGTCAGGGAACTGCAGTAGTTACATTGCTTTGGATGTTAGAGACACAGCGTCAGCAGCAGCAACCAGGCAGACACCTGCGAGCAGGTGAACAAAGGGAGAAATGTTCATAAACATTTGCATGTCATGCTAATCCTTCTTTTATTTATGGCCTTCTCTTTTCCTGAATATTCTTTTTCTTTCAAGAGGCTTTAAAATAGGAATTTTAGAAGAAAAGAAACAGGATACAGAAACAGGTCCAAAGAGAGCACTTCTTCCTCCTCTAATTGCTGTGAGTGTAGAGACAGACTGTGAAGAGCAGGTGCCACATTAGGTTGAGATTTTCTCACCTGCACTTTTTCCAGGAGGCTGACACAAATGGAAGGATGTGACATGAGGGCAAACTCTCTGGAACAATCATCTCCCGCAACTGTATAGGCCATAATAGCTTTAATAGAGAAAGCAAACAATAATAAAGGCATGCTACCTTGCCTCTGTGAGATCAAACAACGCTCAGGTTGATGGAGGGGACACTTTTATGTCTCCTGAAAAGTCCATATTTCTGGATATCAGTGAACTACCAAGACTTTTCCTAAGGGAAGGTTAAAAAAATAATTGTAGTTTGGGCATCTGTTTCAAAAGGAGAACAAACTGTTATTTAAGTTCTATGAGAGAACAACAGAGACACTGACTATAGACAGTGTCTCTGACCCATCGTGTGACAGAAGAAAAATAAAGCGGAGGCTGCCCATTAATACCCTGCCCTGAAGTCAGGAGTTGTTGGAGTGGGTAGGACAGGCAGGAGGTATTATTATTTTTTAATGGCTACTTCAATGGAGATGTGCACGCTAACGTTGTTCTTGGAGAGAAAGCTTTTATTCTGTGAGATACTTGTCACGCTCCAATTAAAAACAGAATTTATTGTTAAGGGGTAGGAGAATATCGGTTTCTTTCCACCTGTATTTTGTCTATTGTTGAAAATCTTACATAAGGAAAAGTTTGAGGCTGAGAAGAGCTTTTTTTTTTTTTTAAGTCCAAAGTAGGGAACATTGCCACTTTAAAAAATATCATTTCTGAAAGAAAGCAGAGGTGTCAGAGACAAAGAGAAAAGGAGGGAGATGTGTCAGTCAGTCAATAGTATTTATTGAACACTCACTGTGTGGGGAGAACACAAAGGGCATAATACACTTGGTACTCATTTGCCAGGAGCTAGTAAGCTACAGAAAGGACCAGCATTAACACAAGTAAACACTTTTAAAGCAGACACATAAGAAACCACATGACTAATTGTAACTTTTAAGAAGTGTGTGTGTGTGTGTGTGTGTGTGTGTGTGTGTGTGTGTGTGTGTTTAAAGGGAGCCTGAAAGTAAGAAATAGCCATGGTAATGAAATCAGAAAATAAACGCCACCAAACGTAGGAGAAATGATATGAGAATACAAATTATCCTGTAGCACTTTTGTCTTTCAGTTGACTCTTCTCTGAGTGTAAATCAGGAGTGGAAACATAACACAGGATACCTTTCTTGTCATTGGAACATCGGGGAACTGGCATCTCACCATGTCTGATCGCTAATGCTTCAAAGATATGTGTCATATATATTACGGTTCCACCTCGTGCAAGTGATTTGACTTGAAAATGCAATGACAGGGAGCCATATTGGGGAACAGAAATTGTTTACATAATTGCTTGGTCTGTTGGTGAATCTAGGCCCTCATTTAGAATTCATTATTTTATAAACTGCACAAAGGGATTTCCAAGTTGTCAACTTAGTTTGTAAAAAATAAAATAAAAAGATATGATAAAATGTCTGGCACAAGCTTTTCTGACTTTAATTTTTTTTCCTCTGTCCTATTCATCTTCCCAGTCATAGCGGGTACTCCATCAGCTGTGATAGCTGCTATTTTCTCTGGATTTAGATCAAACAACCTCAGAACATCCATCAGGGCCATTTTTACATCCTTTCTCCTTTGATGCCAAACCCCAAAGATTCCCCATCATGTACAGTCTGCAAGTTGTTGGACTGACAAGCATTAGTAACCTTGGAATGTCACCCAGACACCAGCTTTCATCCTGGAGGAGGCTAATGAATTTTGCTGCAACCAACTTGGTCTTGAAATGATTTTTCTTTAGGTCACCTTTCATAGTTAAAATAGTTTGCTTTCTTATAGTTTACTTTTTGTCTGCTGAGTTAAAGTGGCAGAGAGAATTGAGCCCGAGGACATGAGAGTCTGAAGCACAAAATTCTAATACCGACTTTTAATGCTGCATATTTTTTAATCATCTGAGCAAAACTTTAATTTCTGAGAGTGTCCTCATCAGTGAAATAGAAGTATAAAAGTATAATCTACTATTTAGGGTTTTTGACTTTTTAAGCATAGGAACCCTTTTAAAAATACATATATACAGTATACACACATTTAACATACTTTTAACATAATGTGGGTACACACACATACACACAGAGACTCCTGTGTGGAATTAATTATACATATGGTATATCTTAAAGAGGAATATACCAAATGACATAAATGTAATAAAATTTTAAGCAAATTTATATCTTATTAAGCACAACAGCCACTCTACATACCCTTTAACAGGACAGTACGAACACACGTGAGATATATCAATTACTAATGCAATTTCTGTATGCCTAAAAATGTGCCTGTTCTTCAACATAACTGAGTTCTAGGGGATGCCACAGATTTAAGAACCAACTAGTGTTGGCATAATATGCAATAACTATTTCTGGGTCTATAATTTATTCATTTGAGAAGAGTGTTAATGTGGCCCAAGTCAAATGTTCAATCTCAGGATCCATGCAGTTATGTAATTAGTATTTGTTGAAGACTAACCACATGCATGTCACCCCTGTTTACCCAGCCATTGCTGGAGGCAGAGGAGACCCTCAACATTTCAAATAAAAATAAATAAATAAATCTATGTCACCTAAGTTGTCCTCCCTCTCTCTAGTTTATAGCTTCTAGTGGAGTTACCTGATTTACGGATAACTTCACTGGCTTCCGCCCTCGCCCAAATATTGCAGGCCTTTGGCCCCTGAAAACCCCACCTAGGGACTGTATTTCTTTTCTTTTTGTTTTGTTTTTGTTTTTGTTTAGTTTTTTTGTTTTGTTTTGTTTTGTTTTCGGTTTTAAGGAGCGTTTAATAGGCAAGAAAGAGGGAAGAAAAAAAAGAAGTTCCCCTGTACAGAGACAGAGGGAGGGGGGTTCCAAAGCCGAGAGATGGAACCCCACACTTAGGTAATACCAGCCAGCTATATTTGATGGCTAGAGGAGGCCGTGTCTGATTTGCACAGGGCTCAGGGAATTGCTTTGACCAGGCATGTCATTCACGTAGACCGCGAAAAAACTGGCCCTCCCACCCTAGCCTTTTAATATGCAAATGCAGAGCGGCAGGATGTTCCACATAAGTGGGGATATGTGGGGGTGGCCATGCTGCCAGGCACATGTGCGGGCAAGGGCAAGAGGAAAACGGTGGGAATTGCCATGTTGGGTGGACGCAGTTTCCAACGGCTGGCATTTGCATATCAAAGATTGCTGGCTGGCCCGGGTCAAACAGCCAGGGCTTTCATGCTAGACAAGAGCTATAGAAAATTAGAAAATTTTCCAAGGACCCCTTTTTCCTCTCTATGTGCCTAATTACTTTTTTTTTTTTTTTTGAGACGGAGTCTCGCTCTGTTGCCCAGACTGAAGTGCAGTGGCTTGATCTTGGCTCACTGCAAGCTCCGCCTCCCTGGTTCATGCCATTCTCCTGTCTCAGCCTCCCGAGTAGCTGGGACAACAGGCTCCCGCACCACGCCAGGCTAATTTTTTGTATTTTTAGTAGAGACGGGGTTTCACCGTGTTAGCCAGGATGGTCTCGATCTCCTGACCTCGTGATCTGCCCGCCTCGGCCTCCCAAAGTGCTGGGATTACAGGCGTGAGCCACCGCACCCGGCCTAAAATAATTTCTTAATAACTCCTACCTCATTTCCCCCTGTGGAGACATCACTCTAACTGCTGTTAGGGGGTTCTGGGCGACGACTCTGTCTGGCTACTTCCTACTGAAAGGGGGCGTTGAATGGGGAACAGCAGCTGGGACTTCTCCCGTCTTGTCTTCTCTACGTGTCTCACACGTGCCCTCCTTTCCTATTCCTCATTCCCACCATGGCCCACGGATCCACTTGAGGGTGCCAGCATCCTCCTCCCGAAGGCATGGTCTCCCAGGGCTTCCAAAGCAGAAAACTGGTCATTTTAGAGGATGGTCGCATTCCCTGATGACTTCTCATGCAAGTTTCACCATGTTTGTCACAGAATAGGGGGGGATTGTGCTTCTTTCCCACTTTGTGCCACATTTTATCAACGAGGCATCGAAAAGAAAGATGTCTCACCTGATCCCTCATGAAAGCAGCTTGTCCTGGTAGCTTCCGCTTGTTCCATAGCCACTGTTCCACAAGGCTCATGAGGAAGACCTGAGGAACAGATATCTGAAATGTGCCCCACACTGTCCTCTCCAATCCTGCCCGCCCCCCTGCACCCCATCCCAACAGCACTTCAGCAGTGCTTCTTGAATTTTATTATGCATCTCAATCACCTGAGGATCTTGCTAAAATGCAAATTCTGATTTAGTAAGACTGACCTGGGGCCTGACCTTCTGCTTTTATCAGGGCCAAGACTAGGCACAAAATTTAAGGGTTGACAAAAAATTCAGCAATGAAGATAATAATATTTTCATGCAATATTTTGAAAAATCAAAATGAATACCAAAAATCCATGATGAACAGAATACCCAAATTTTAAATGCAGAATTAAAGATCCCAATTGATGTTAATCAGACCACATTTTGAGAGGCAAGTTTCCATAGCCAAAAAAACATTAACTTACTCCAAGGGGTTATGCCACTTATTTACACCAATTATGCACTAATCTGCTGAGTTGGGCATATGCTAGGACTACACACACACACACACACACACACACACACACACACAGAGGCATCTCATCTTATGCTTACGTCATCATGGGAAGGAATTATTATTATTATTATTATTATTATTATTATTATTATTTTTGAGACGGAATCTTGCACTTTCCCCCAGGCTGGAGTGCAGTGGCGCAATCTCAGCTTACTGCAAGCTCTACCTCCCGGGTTCACCCCATTCTCCTGCCTCAGCCTCCGAAGTGGCTGGGACTACAGGCGCCCGCCACCACGCCCAGCTAATTTTTTGTGTTTTTACTAGAGACGGGGTTTCACCGTGTTAGCCAGGTGATCTCGATCTCCTGACCTCATGATCCATGCGCCTCGGCCTCCCAAAGTGCTGGGATACAGGTGTGACCCACCACGCCCGGCCCATCATGGGAAGGAATTATAATTAGTTGAAGAAACTTACATTTTCAACTAGGGAGAGGAGTCATTTTTGTGCCCCTGGGAGTGTTAGCACTACCTCAAGACATTTTTGTTGTCACAAGATCTAAGGAGTCTACTGGAATCGGGTGGTTAGATGTCAGGATGCTACTAAATATCATACAATGCACAAGACAGCTCCCCACAACAAATAATTATCTGGCCTAAAATGTCAACAGTGTCAAGATTGAGAAATTCTGCTATAAAAATAGTATACAGCACATAAGTATACCATAGACAATCAATGTTGTCATAACTGAGTTTGATCTCAAGTATTCTTGAGTTTTTAATCTTTCCTACTCACCATCTTCTCTCACTATGAATAAAGGATTTTTACTTCTAACTTTGTGCATGACTTAGTAACAGTCAATAAATAATACCTCTTTATGTATAAAGATATAATATATAAAGAAATTAATATTCTGGGAATCTTCGGGAAAGGCCATTAGGTGACAAATTGAAAAGGTTGGGAAGAGTGGTTACATGTTTCTAATTTAAAGCCAATTAAGGATGCAAGCCCACTGTGATTCTGTGGAAAATTGGCTGCGACAATGTTTAATGAAAGTAGATCTCAAACCACATTATCTGGCATTGAATTTGGAAAGCTGAACTTACCCTGAAGTTTTGCAGGGCTTTAGATTTGAAGCCAGTAGAAAATTCATCTAGCTTTCCAAAATTGTTTATCTGTCAGTTGAATAATAATATCAAATGCCAAAATAAAAAATGCATAAGAACATAATTTAAAATGTGTGAGTATATGAATTAATAAAACATCAATATAATATTTTCATCTTGCAATAGTATTTTAGGGGTATTAAAAATGATAGGATCCAATCTTACTCTGTACCCCTTGTGATCACAAAGTCCCAAGGTATAAAACAACTATAAATGGTTTCAAGGAGTCTTAAGGAAAAGTAAAACGTGCCTGCTTGTACAAAAATTTAGACAAAAAGGTACTATATTAACTAATAATTATTGCAGAGCTGTGGATTGATGATTTGCATATTGTCTTTCAGCACTAAAGCCACTTTTCTATGATCTGCTGTGTGATGCTGGGCCCGCGATTTTACAAAACATTTCCAAGGCTTCCTTGACTTCTACCTTCTCTTAGGCTAACAGAAGGCACAGACAGGAGATTGGAAGGCAGAAAGAAGGGAGAAGATATTTCTGTCATGTTCTCCAGTTTCTGGACAGCCACTGCTACAGCCTCCAAGTTCTTTTGGCACTCCCGGCAGCACACATGCCCCCAACCCAGGGACAAACATCAGCAGTGGGGTGGGGTGGAGGCCTCCTCCAAGCTCCTCTTCTCTTCTCTTCTCTTCTCTTCTCTTTTGTATCCCTAGGCCTAGGGGTAGTATCTGCTCTCAGCAGTTACTGACATCAGGGTTTGTGACGGTTAATTTTATGTGTCAACCTGACTGAGCTAAGGGATGTCCAGATAGCTGGGAAAACATTACTTCTGGATGTGTCTATGAGGGTGCTTCTGAAAGGGATTTCACGGCTGAGTAAGGAAGAATGTCCTCACCAATGTGAGTGAGCATCATTCGATCCATTAAGGGCCTGAATAGGAGAAAAAGGCTGAAGAAGGGCACATTTTTTTTCTCTTCTTGAGCGGAGATAACTCTCTTTCCCTGCCCTTGGACATCAGTGTTCCTATTTCTCAGGCTTTGTATTTGGACTGTGACCACACCAAAAGATTTCCTGGACCTCCAGCTTGCAGATGGCAGATCATGAAACTTCTCAGGCCCAACAATTACAGGAGCCAATCCCTCAAAATAAATCTCTTTATATGTACCTATCCATATCTATCTATCTATATAGGCTAGAGAGATGGAGAGAGGGAGGGGAAGAGTGAGAGAGGGAGGGGAAGAGTGAGAGAAGGAGAGGCAGAGAGGGAGAGGCAGGGAGGGAGAATTAAGGAGGGAGGGAGAGGGATGGAGGGACGGAGAAGGATGGAGGGAGGGAGGGAGAGAGAGAGAGAGAGAAAGAGAGAAAGAGAGAGAGAGAGATCTCCTATTGTTTGTTTCCCTGGAGAACCCCTGACTAATACAGGGCTACCTCAGCATTCCCTTTCTGTTCTTTCAACCTTCAAACACCTGAGTAAATAATTCTCTGCATGAAGTCCCTCTGCTTGAAATATCTATTCTCCTTCTGTTTTCTGAACTAGAACTTCACTGATGTAGCATACTAACAACAAAAATATAGCAGATATATAGCAATAAAATGCATGTAAATGTGCTGGTTACATCTTTTCATATACAACTTATCAGTTGTGCGTTTCTCCGTGACTGTGCCAGGAATGAATAACACGTGTAGAACATTACATTGTATGCCTGGAACAGAATAGGTAATTATAAACAGGGCACATTTCTTTGCCGTTCATGCTTTCTTTTTTCCAAACTGGAGGAAGTTGAAGATTAGGCAGATCAAAATTTTATTTAAAAAAAAAAAAGGATTCCAGCTGTTTGACCAAAAGAAGAACTGTCCAGAATGTATTTCAATAATGTATCACTACCAGATGTTATCCTTTTTAAGAGCAATGAAGCCTGTCCAAGAGAAACACTTAATCATCCCACTTTTCCTTTGGGACTGTGGAAAATTGCTACCTGCAAATGTTGCAGGCCTAGTTGATCATATGAGAGTATATATGTATGCCTGTGTATAACTTTTGATTTGCCTGTTCATTTTAAACAAATACATCTCGTTTTTTTCTGTGGATCCTGGATGTTCTTAAGTCTTAAAGAAACTTGAATATTTTGGCAGCCTGGCTTCAGTTATCTAAATTATACTCTGCATAACTGTGAAAGTTTTCCCTAAAAAACCAAACCTTAGGAATGATGACAATTTCTGAATCTTCTGACAATCATTTTATTCTACACAAACACAGCAGTTAGTGATTTTATGCCAATTTCAATGACATTTGGTAGGTAAGGAGAAGACAAATGAATGTCTGTATCTTTATAAAGCCAGTTATATATCTTATTATAGTACCTTGTTGTTCATAATATTCATGTTAGAGGAAAATATTTTTCTTGCCCTCACTTATGTGATTGTATTGAGTGAGATCTACAGTTAATAGAGATATTTATACAGCCACTGTCTGCAGGTTACCAGTGGCACAACACCATGAATTATCCATTGAATTTGGAGCAACATCCTGGATGCTAAAAAGGAGAACCAAGGGAACATGAGATACGGGCCCTGCTTTTTAGTCTTTAGCAGGAAGTGATGGGATAATCATGTGTGTCTTTATTGCAGTGTGATAAACTTTATAAATACATGTACATATGGAGGGCTCTTTGTGATGCACTGAGACATGCTTAAGTGACAGATAATTCATGGAGAGGACATTTGAAATCAGGGGAATGATTGCTGTGACCTGTGGTATGAGTCTGCTGTCTTAGCCTGACTTCCCCCTGGGAAAACAAAGCCTGAGATTCAGGCTTTTGTACAGGTAGTTTATTTTGGGAAGGAATCCCCGGGAACAGGAGTGAAGGATTAGGGATTATGAAACGAGGAAGGAAGAGAAGCCAAATCAAGGATATATTCTTGAGTTGGTCACCTCTGTGAGTTTACTGGAGCTCTACCATGCTGGTACCTTGGGTGGCCAAATAGACAGTCCACCCAAAGGATCATGGGGAAAAGCATTTATCCATTGGCTCTAGGATGCCCCTTGGATCTCCTCTGGGGGTTTAGCACTGCCCTTTGGCACCCGCTTCCAGAGTCACAGGGGTCCCATTCCACAGCATGAAGAGCACAGGGCAGGTTATGAGAGAAGCAGTGCTTTCAGCATAAAATCGGCCAAAGCTCCTGCAAGCTTGTTTACAGTAGCTGCAACTACAACAGGAAGCAAGATTAAAATGGCATGAGGCAGTGTCCAAGAGGGGTCCAATAGGTCCAAAACAGAGTTTAAGCAAGGAAGTCTTCTAGAAAAGATATTTGGCCTTCTCTGCTATGATAAATGTTTTCATAAGGAAGTACCTGTCAATATGTCCTGGTTTATCTTTTCTTTCTTTCTATCTTCTTCTTCCTCCTCCTTCCTTCCTTCCTTTCCTCCTCTTCCTCCTCCTCCTTCCTTCCTTCCTTTCCTCCTCTTCCTCCTCCTCCTTTTTATTCTTCTTCCTCCTCCTCCTCATGCTGCTGCTGCTTTTGTTTTTGTTTTTGAGAAAGGGTCTCACTCTGTTGCCCAGGCTGGAGTGCAGTGGCAGTCTCGGCTCACTGCAGCCTTGATCTCCCAGGCTTAAGTGATCCTCCTGCCTCAGCCTCCCTAGTAGCTGGGACTACAGGTGCACACTACCACACTCAGCTAATTTTGCTCATTTTTTGTACAGACAAGGTCTCACTATGTTGCCCAGGCTGGTCTCAAACTCCTGGACTCAAGCAATCCTCCTGTTTCAGCCTCCCAAAGTGCTGGGATTATAGGCATGAGCCACCACACCGGCCTTCTTTTTCTTATGAAGCACCTCATTTTCACAGACTTTCCACTAACAAAAAACTAATTTATTTCCTGGCTCTTATATAAGTGATATATATGTCATCAACTTTGAAGAAAGGGAAACTTTCTCGTCTTACTTTAATCTGGCTAGATTGTAATCTTTATTGCTTACTATAACTAACTACGGGGCCACCCTTACCTTGGGATGGAAGGAGGAAGGTAAATATATTTTTATTTATTATTATTATTTTTAGAGACAGAGTTTTGCTCTCTTGCCCAGGCTGAAGTGCAGTGATATGATCTCGGCTCACTGAAACCTCCACCCTTCCAGGTTCAAGCAATTTTTGTGCCTCAGCCTCCTGAGTAGCTGGGATTACAGGTGCACGACACCATGCCTGGCTAATTTTGGTATTTTTTAGTAGAGACGAGGTTTCACCATGTCGGCCAGGCTGGTTTCAAACTCCTGACCTCAAGTGATCTGCCTGCCTCAGCCTCCCAATGTACTGGGATTACAGGCATGAGCCATCACACTCAGACCGTTAATATATTTTTAAAGAGCTACTGTCTACATAAACAATTTGAGTCACCCCAAATCAGCTCGTTAGCAACATTCTGATGGTTCATCTCATGCAATCCAGCAAAAGAAATACTGAGCCTCCAGCAAGAATCACTTGCTCACCAGGCTGTCCTCTGGGAACTGGCAACTGGCAACTGGCCGCAGGGCCCTAGGATGGTCCCACAGATTCGAGTACTGGGATTCCTAAGGGAATCTGGGTGACTTACACTTTGGACATGGGGAGAGGATTGGAGTACCTTAATGGGTAGCCATGGGGTCCAGGGCACCCCACAGGTGTTGGTCCAGCTCAGGTCATCCTGCTGGGATGGCACTGCTGCTCTGGCTGGTCTCAGCCACAGAAGGAGGGCTTAGAAGCTTTTGAGGAAGTTGCTCCAACACACAATGGGGAGAGGAGGACAGGACCGGGTCCCTGCTACCCTGCTCCCAGCCCAACCCAGGGCCCAGAGTTGGAGCCTTTTTGCCTAGATCTGAGAGCAGAACTAACTCTCCTAGTTGCCTCCTGTTTTGAAAACATCTTTCCTAGAGGCCAAGTCACTGTTATTCTGACAGACTAAACACCTGAAGAAATTGACTTTTCCTTTGTGTGCTAATGCTGAACGTTTATAAATCAGGCTTTATGCACTGTAGAAATGTGTATGTATATTGGAAACCCGTTTTTATCTGCAATACAACCAAGGGGCAACTCATTAGCAGTATTAAAAAACCATCTTCATGCTTTATATATTACTCCCCAGACATTCATATTCTACTTAGAATGCACTCCTGGTTTAAGCAGAATGGAACTTACCTCATTTTCATTTGATCTGTAATAGAATCTGTAGGCAACACTGTATATTTTCTTCTTTTCTTCATGTTTAAAGGTGCTGCTTTATTATTTTAACACTTGGTTAATATTTCTTAAAACCCACATTTAAATCACAGGTTCTACAGAAAACAACATTATCAAGGTCATATAGTGCAAACATTGTCACCTATATACCCTTTCTTAAGATGACAGCATTAATGCTGCAGTTACTGTTGAACTGCTCCTTTTTCCATGAGGTTAACATATAAAAATGTATTATTCATGAATGAAAATGCATTTCATATATTTTACCAATTGTTATTATTGTTCTAGAGGGGGAAATAAGTGAAAATGGTGGTGGTTGTAGAAATGCATCCTTATTCAGGACTTAATATACACTACCAATTTAGACTACTTACCTTCTTCAACTTTAAGCCTTCCATTAAACTGCAAAGCTTGATGTCAGCTAAACTCTATAAATGTTAATTTAAGGTCAAGGTGCTCCTGGGAAGCATTTGAATGCTTAGAGCAAAGCCCAAGAAAACTTCTTTTCAAAGATTTATGGGATGATATGGCTCCTTTCTGAAAAATAGGAACTCTATTTCTACCTTTTCCAATCACTTTCTATTTCAAGCTCTAGGACACACTTTCCTTTATGGATCTTTCTGAGATATTTAATAGCATTCTGGAGATGTTAAAATGCAAATTTTTTCCATGTGTAATATATGGTGTCTCTCCAATTTAAGCTTCATTTAGTAATGCCAAATGCTTTGTACAGTGAGGGATGAATCATCCATAACTCAGGAGCACCTTCGTCCATAAAGATGGCCAAAGCACAGTTGCATCATTTACAATATCCAAATTATCACAAGGTTGGATTTTTAGCCAATAAGCACTTTTTCTGAAAATAAATCACATTTCAAAGTGCATTTAAGGTTTGGTTCAAAGGGGCCCATCATCCAGTTTTCTTGTTGCCTAAATTACTGTATGGAATAAAGTTGAGCATATAGGAATCTAAAGTTGTTTTCCATATTTAGGCTACCAAAGTTTTTTCAACAGGGATCTGGAATCTTTTGGGGAGATCAGAAAGAGCAGCCTGGTTTATTATTTGCCTGGAAGCTATGGAGTCACTTCATTTCATGCATGAACATGAGGTGCTGACAGTGAAGTCTCACAAGGAGAGAGGAAACACCATCACCACATTCAAACTTCTTTCTCGGGTACAGAGTAGTTAGGCCAAAGTTTATTGGCTTTCCTAGGAATCCCCCATCCACAGCTGCTGGTTAAGGAAAGCAAATTTAGACAGTCTCTTAAGTGTTTTTTTTTTTTTAATTTAAATCAGTTTTAAGAATTTCCAACATTGACAACTCTTATAAAAAGCATCCAAGCACAGGACACAGAACTGCAGCAAACAGCATTCTTATGGCTAGCTAACAGACATTAGAACTTCCACCCTTCTTTGAGACACCTGAGCTCACTGGTGAACTCTGCTTCCAAGTACTCCTGCAAAGCACATTACAAGCTCAGTCCATGTTCTCAACCCATCAGCTTTAGTTCACATCACCACACTTACATATCAGTAACAGAAGAGAACACACACCATACAGCATTCACAGCAGTTGACAAAGGGGTGGGGGGGGGGGGTACAAGTATCGTTTTACTTAACACATTCAACTAATGTGGGTTATCTAAGAACAAAAACTCATTTAAGGTCTTCCAACAGATGTGGATGTGCTTTGAATGCAAAAAACATTTGCACATTATTTGCTATCATTGCTTTCTGCACACTCTTTCACCGAAGCCACAGGATTGAGAGACATAGCTCACCAAGTTAAAAAATATCCATTATGCACCACCAAGTCTCTGCACGCACTTTCTCCCTTTCTTGCTCATACTAGCCTTTCATGCTTTGGCACCACCAGCAATCCCACACAAGGTTTCAAAAGTTCAAACAGCCTTCTGGTTCCATATCACAGCCTTGCGTTCATAGCGTTGATACAACTCCATGAAATAAAGAGTAGTGGATAAAAATCAAAGACACGGCCTGTGATGCGTGATGACGAATTCTTGAATGAGAAAGGATGTAGACAGAAGTATTCCTATGGCAGAATATTTACAGCACTACTTTCAATGAAATGCTTGTTCCATAAACATTTGAAGTGAGATGAACTGCAGAGAATAAATGAAGGCTTCATATTGTGCTTTTGTATATGAGGGGAGACAAATGTTAAAAAACAAAACAAAAGAACCAAACACTGTGACACCATGATCTCCCAAAAGGATATTTTCTTAAGGAAAAAAATTCATATGGTGGGGTTCACATTAAAACAAGGAGTAAAGAATGTAGTTCTAATCCATGGTTTCCATTTTGAAAATGCAAAGAATTCACTTGACAAGTCCAGGGATAAAATATTACAGGAGAAACTCTTTGATATCAATTGTAGTGTGTTGGTTTACCAATCAGGCAAACAGCAGTTCACTTTCAACCACTCAATATTTCAACCTTTCATGTAACAAAACTTATTTTTATTTATATATTTTTTTTTATTTTTTGAGATGGAGTCTCACTCTGTCACCCAGGCTGGAGTGCAGTGGTGCGATCTTAGCTCACTGCAACCTCCGCCCCCCACATTCAAGCGATTCTCCTGCCTCAGCCTACTAAGTAGCTGGGATTACAGGCACCTGCCGCTGTGCCCGGCTAACTTTTGTATTTTTAGTAGAGACGGGGTTTCACCATCTTGGCCAGGCTGGTCTTGAACTCCTGACCTCGTGATCCACCTGCCTCAGCCTCCCAAAGTGTGGGGATTACAGGCATGAGCCACCGTGCCAAGCTCTTGTAACAAAACTTATAAAATTCCTTTAGCTCTTCATATGTATATGTATACTTTAAGTTCTAGGGCACATGTGCACAACATGCAGGTTTGTTACATATGTATACATGTGCCATGTTGGTGTGCTGCACCCATTAACTTGTCATTTACATTAGGTATACCTCCTTACTGCTGAATATACTCCACACTGAACAAACCAATTTTGAAAATTCTTAGTACATATGTATTTTTACAATATACTTATCATGAGTTTAGAAAAATTTGAATTCCCACCATTCTATATCAACCAACCACAACCCCACTGTCTACATTCCCCAGCCAGAAGACTTAGAATCCATGCTTGAGCCAAAGCCTCCATTAAAACCACTGCCCGACCCTGCATTTGATGCTGATCCCCAACCAATTGCTGCACCAGAATTAGAACCACTATAGGAGTTATTTCCAGAACCGAAGGCCTGGTTTGGCTCCCTCTGCATGTTGCCTTGGCTTTGGTTATTACCCGATGGGCCTGACTGGTTCTGCTGGCTGGCTAACATGCATATCATACCCCAACTGCTTTGTAGCACTGCCTGGGCTGCAGCCATCATGGTTGGATTTATGCTGAATGCACCCAAGTTTATCCCACCACCCATATTACTACCTTGATTGTTTCCCAAAATAGCTCCACCCCCTCTACTATTACCACATTCACCCTGATTCCCAAAGCCACCTGGATTACCACCAAATCTTCCACTTCTTTCTGTCTATTGCTGTTGTGCTTAGGTTCGGCATTGGATATATGAATGCTGATTCCTTTAATGATCAAGTCCTCTCCACAAAAAGACTGTGCAACCTGATCATCTGCAAATGTAACAAAGGCAAACGTCCTGAATGGCTTGAGGATGACGACATCCACCACTTCCCCGTACTGACAGAAGAACTGCCGCAGCTCATCTGCAATCATGTCCTCTGTTCAGCGCCCCACTTTCATGCTTCTCAAAGGCTTATCTGGGCTTTGCTTAGAATTGGGAAGTTTACAGTCACACCATCGTCCATCTATCATATGTAGCTGTGACATTACTTTCACCTGTGTTTCATCTTCCGTAAAACAAACGAAGCCAAACCTCTTTGAATGACCAGTGTTAGTATCTTTCTTGACCTGCACCATAAGAACATCTCCAAAGGTACTTAAATATTCTTTCAGGTCCTGCTCAGTTGTTTTCCATGTGCGACCCAACACTACTAAATCAGATGTTTTCTGGACTGCTCTTTTCACTTTCACAGCTGATGAAGCATCTATCTCATCCATTTCTCTTTTGTTATCTTTAGGATAGTTGACAACATACACCAGATTTCCCAGCCAGCATCGGGGGCATGAAGAATTCCTTCTACCAACCGGACACCTCTCATACACTGAGACACTGGATTTCTGTAGCGAAGCCCACACACCCCTGGAAACTGGGCTGTAACCATGGACAGCAGCACCGTCCCATCGTCTTCCGATGGTATTTCAATGGGCTCATCCTTCTCATCTTCGGTACGCGAATATATTCAGATATCTTTTACTTTTCTGCTAGGCCACTGCTGGGAAGCATGACAGGGACACCAAGGCAGCGACCGCTTTGCCCCCACTTTTAAGCGTTTTATATAACATTTTATATAACACAACATTTCCTAGACCAAGTGATAAAAGGCCAGCCAATATCCAGAGGTTTATTAGGTGGTTTGACAGAACAGCTTTGTCTAGCAAGGGATGATGTTGATTAGGCAGGGCAATGAGATTTTTCTCCCAGGAATTTGAAAGTGAAATAAAAAACAGAGTTGAGCAATTAGCAGAGGGGTTGAAGGTAAAAGGACTGCAGAGAAGGCCATTTGCAGAGGCCATTAATGCCATAGTCATAAAGTATAAAATGCACATGTAGAAAGAAATTCCTCAGAAACAACAGGAGACAGAAGTTAAGTCATGTTAATCACAAAATACCAGAATACAAACCTTCTCCATGAGGCCTTGAGGTAGGCCTTTTTCTAATCCCCTGAGGCACTTGCTCTCCTCATTCCCATATGTTTTTTCACCATAAATGTTTTGTTTATTGACATAACCTGAATTCTTTTCATAGAACCAACAAAGAGGGGCAGGATGGTCACTTATGGAGCTGCCTGTAAGGCTGAGAAAGTAACTTAGGCACCCTTATCATCTGATGGAGGACTGCTCCTGTCTCATGACTGACAAAAGGTGAAATTATGCAGATTTCACAATAATCATTGCATTCCTGAGGAAAGTCCTGTCTAAATAGCACCACCTTTTTGATGGAAAGGAGACACCTGGAGGTTGGCATGGATGTGCCTGGCAACAGCAACATGAGGAATCCAGGTGGATCCAGAACAACTGCCATCCTGAGAGCCTGAAGGAAGAAAGTCAGCCTTAGACTTACTCTTAGTACTTTCCCCTAGTTGATGCTGTGAGGCCTCACTTTCAAGACAAATGTACACCTTGAGTCCCTTCTCTTGGTTAACTGAGTCTAGAAGAAAGACGCCAGAAGGAAAGAGTCTCTTAGAGTCCTTGACAGAACAGACTTGCTTTGACCAGTGTTGGGCTCCCACTAGGAACTCATTCTCTCAGGGAAAATCTGGTCTAAAATAATTAGAAATAAGATGGGGAGTGAAATTCCAAATAACTCAAGCAGCCTTATTTGTGAAATGGTGGACTGTGGTAGAAAGTACTGGGGCAAGAATTTAGAGCCTATCTGTGACTAAGAGCATCTCACTTCACCCCTCTGGGCCTCAGTTTCTTCATGCCCTCTGCTACCTGCAAGCTAAAGACCCAGGAAAGCTGGTGATATCAATCCTACTCTGAGCCCAAAGGCCTAAGAACTGGGAGCATTAATGGGGTAAGTCCTAGTTTAAGGGCAGGAGAAGATCAATGCCTCAGCTTAAGTAGTCAGGTATAGAGAAATAATTCAACCTCACTTCACCTTTTTGTCATATTTGGGCCCTCAACAGGTTAGAGAATGCCCACTCACATTGGGAAGGACAATCTGCTTTACTTAGTCCACCAATTCAAATGCTAATTTCTTTCAGAAACACCCTCACAGACATGCCAAGAAATCATGTTTAACCAGATATCTGAGTATCCCACACCCCAGTCAAGTCAACGTATAATTAACCATCACACTGCCCATAGGTAAGAAATAGTTCATGGATTATTTACTTATTTATTACCTCTTTCTAAAAATGATCTAAGACAGATTTATATAATCATAGTTTTTTGGTTTGAAGAACCTTCCAAAGTTTTTAGAACCATCACTCAACTGAGATATGTAACATATATTTGTATACTACCCAAAAATGTGAGAACGTTCTCACATTTTTGGATAGCATTCTTCAAAATGCTATTCATTTACTCATCTATTAAACAAATATATAGTCACATTCTACAATGTACTTGGAACTATGGTAGCTGCTGGGAATATAATGAGGAATAAGATGTGGTCCCCACACTCAAGCAGATTTTCCTCCAGTAAAAAAAGATGGGGTTGGGCGTGGTGGCTCACTCTTGTAATCCCAGCACTTTGGGAGGCCAAGGCAGGCAGATCACCTGAGGTCAGGAGTTCAAGACTAGCCTGGCCCACATGGTGAAAGCCCTTCCCTACTAAAAACACAAAATTAGCTGGGTATGGTGGCACATGCCTGTAATTCCAGCTGAGGCCAGAGAATCGCTTGAACCCGGGAGGCAGAGGTTGCAATGAGCCAAGATTGCACCACTGCACTCCAACCTGGGCAGCAAAGTAAGACTCGTATCAAAAACAACAACAGCAACAACAAAAAGATGGAAAAGTAAACAGCCAAGTACAATACAGCGTGATGAGTTCATTGATTAGGTATGCACAGAGGGTGCCACATAGGAGTGTACCCACAAGGAGGAATAACACTGAGTCTTGGGGTGTTGCGGACCAGAGGAAGAAAGAACGAGTTAGTAAGGCAAGGGTAGAAATGGGAAGTGTGTGGGGGTGGGTGCACATGGATATATGCACAATATGTGTGTGCATGCAAACTTGTTCTCTTTTTTTACTTCTATATGTGTGGATTTTGAGGGAAGCTGGTTTCAGGCAGAGAGCTACATGTGCAGAAGCCCAGGAGTTAGGAAGAAATGGTGACTTAGGAAAGTGGCAAGTAGTTCTTTGTAAATAGAGCTTAAATGTGGGGAGCAAGAAAAGGTTAGAGATTGAAGCAGGGGCCCTTGAGCATTTGGATTTTGTTTTTGTGGTAATCAAAAGTTATTGAAGGCTTTTAGTGGGGGAATCAGGTTTTCCTTTTTGGAAATATTACTTTGTCTGCAATGTGGATGAAAGAATTGAAGCAGCAAAGCTGAAGGCAGGAAGACCAGCTCTGAGACAGTTTCAGAAACTCAGATGAAAGATAATGGAATTTTGCATGAAGTGGTGTCAGTGAGGATGGAGGAGCTGCCCTTGGCACCCGCAAGCAGATAGTCCAAGCAGATCTGTCCCCAAGGCAGATACAGGCTGCCTTCCTCTATTCTCTCACTGAATACAATACGTATTGTTTGCATTTATCATGATCTGTTATAATTGTTTGCTTGCATGTCTTTCCCACTGGACAGTAACTTCCTTGAAGTGAATAAGTGCTGATTTCCATCTTGCATCTAGTTTCTCAGAGCTCTACCCGATACCTGGCAGTTTCTTCAATGTTTGTTGAAGGAGAAACATGCATCCCTTAAACGTTTCACCCATTTTCCTAGTTCTACCACTTGGCAACTGTAAGACACATATTTAAACCCACTTTCTATTTATTTTATTTTATTTGTTTGAGACAGAGTCTTACTCAGTTGTCCAGGCTGGAGTGGAGTGGAACAATCTTGGCTCGCTGCAACCTCTGCGTCCCAGGTTCAAGTGATTCTCCTGCCTCAGCCTCCCAAGTAGCTGGGATTACAGCTTTTGTATTTTTAGTAGAGACAAGATTTCACCATGTTGGCCCGGCTGGTCTCAAACTCCAGACCTCAAGTGATCCACCCGCCTTGGCATCCCAAAGTGCTGGGATTACAGACGTGAGCCACCACGCTCAGCCTCAGCCTCCACTTTCTGTTTAAAGTCTCTTCAGAGCTCCCCTTTCCACTTCCAGGGTCAACGACTTAATCCTTTCAACAGTTCTTTGTCTGACTTAGTTTTGAATCCTTCATAATCCTACTTCCAGTTTACCAACTTATACCAAACTCCCAGGACAGTGCACTTGATTTCTGGTATCTTGGAAGATACAAGCCAAGCTCCAGAAGGTAAGTGAGATGGAAGAACCTAGCCTATACTGTTAACCAATGTTTATCTGCAGTTTGCATGATCTTCTTTTCCAAAGACTAAGCTAAAGACTAAAGCAAAGAGAAAGCACTTTAAGGAAATGAACAATTTCCTCATACATTCTACGAGAATGTCCTCTATGTAAAGATTGGGGAAGGAGTGAGAAGCTGTGGAGGAAGGTTCCAGGTAGGCAGGAGTGAATCCAGCCCCACTAACAAAGAACAAAAGGAAATGCAAGCAGTTGAAATGAGAACCCAAGAGGGTCTACATTGCATTTTATCCCTTAGGCTGCCAAAGCACAGAGTATCAACTTCAATCCCACTCACAAGTTACCCAACCATCTCTCTCCCACAAAACTAAAATATTTAACATTCCTTGTTATTTTTCTTTAGATATACATGTATAAGCACAGACTTTCTGGCTGGAGAAGGAGAGAGACAGCAATATTGAAGAATAAAAGTTCCATTGTTCTGTTGCTTCTAAAGTAAATGATGGAAATTATAAGCTAATTTACATATGGGAGATTAGCAGAGTATCCCTTTATTCCTATTAATATATTTTCCCTTCCTAATTATAAAGATTTGAATCTTTTTAAAACAACTTTATACAAAACATTTGTGTGGATATAAGAATTGCATGTTAAATGCTAATTCTGGATGAGTTATTTGCATAACCTTACAAAGGAGCTAAATTGCTTGTATTTAATAATAAATAGAGAGTTTAAAAAGGATTGAGGATATCTTGAGAGAATGTGAAACAGAGAAAAAATTTGCTTCTATTTTAAGATATGGAACTTTTTTTCCACTTCGAATTTAAAACTACTCTCCACCCTCTAGGGAAAACTTGTCCTAACTTTCCGATAAGCTTAATATTCCAAGTCTCCTGTAACATGACAATTCAAATACGTTGAAGGTGAAGAGCTAATCTGTTTTTAAATGAACATGGATAATTTTCAAAAGACAATAAACTGCTTCTAAAATAGTTTTGCATTTGAAAAGTGAAGACTTGAAGATTATAGATTCTGCATATGTTAGCAAAATAAAGAGAATTGTGGAAATTATCCAGAGAATTCAGGGAGAATCAAAATTTATGAAGAAAAAAAGATTAAAGTCTTTTTTTAAAGTATGAGATTTGACAGTGCTCATGAATCAGATAGTAGTCATCACTCCTGCAGGAGAAACATGATAGTAGGTGAAATACACATGAAATAAGTATGATAAATACTTCTAAATTTGATTTGATGTTTATGCTCTTTGAAATTAAGAACCAGCCTCTTCCTTACCAGTATTCAATACAGTAGGCAGTTTATCTTTCTTTCTCCCCTTCTACCCTTAACTCTTTCCTTAATTGACACCATCCTCTCTTGGGTTTCCTTCTATCTCTCTGCCAAATCCTCCTCACACTCCTTGTGAACCCCTATCTCCTTTTGACTTCTAATTGTTGCGTTTCCCCAGGATTTAGTCCTGAGCTCTCTTTTCTTCCTTATTGCCCTCTTTCTAGGGGATCTCTTCAGTTCCCATGACTTTAAATTCCATTTATATGCCCCCGAATACCAACTTTACACCCAAAACCTCTCCTCAGAGTTCTGGTTTGCAGGTTCCTGCTAGCTATCTGCTCTCAGACATCTCCCAGCATCTCACAAGCAACAAGGCAGTCCCAAACCACACAATCAAGGCAACCCACCACTCTTATCTCCCCAAACTCCTCCACTTCAGCAACGATACTCATTCTGGTTACACCGTATCAACACAATCTCTCTGTCATTTCTACATTGAAAATGTACATCGAATCCTTCCACTGTTCTTCACTTCCACCACTGACACTCTAGTCTAAGCTACCATCTCACATTGACTATTTTGCAGGCTTCTCTACTGGGTACTGACATGACTCCAAAAACCGGTTTTCTCCACAACAACTACAGTCATCTTCTTATATCACAGATCATTACTGGCTGCCTTTCCTTCGAGTTAACAAGCAAATTTTAGACCCTACTGCAAAATGGCTACTCTGGATTGCCATGAGTTTGACCTGATCTGTGAACATGTCACTTTTCTATTAAAACCCATTCATTGGCTTCCTACTGCATGAGAATAAAATCCAAACTCCTTACTATGGTCTACAAAGACCCCATATGATTTGGCTATTTCCTGTCTCACAAAACTCAACTATCTCCCGGCCCCTTCCCCTTTCTCACTACTCTGCAGCCACACTGACCTTCTTTCAATACTCAAAGGCCCCATGCTTTTTCCATTCTCAGGAACTTTACATATGCTGTTCTTCTATTGCCTTCCTCTACAGCCCAGTGCAGTGGTGAGAGGAGGGGCTGGCTGGGCTTCCTGGGTCGAGTAGGGGCTCAGAAAGCTGTGAAACTCCCTTATTTCCTGCATCAGGACTTACTTTGGTCCTGGATGGATAATATTGAAGATACATGCTTAAACTATTCCTAACACCAGGATTTCTGCATGTGTTTTCTTCCCCAAGAAAGCCATAAACAGCGAAAATTTTCCTGTACGTTTCTCTGTGTCCTCTCTCCCTCTCTCCCCTTCCCCCTCCCCCGAAACTAAAGTAAAAAGAATGTTAACTGGCCATTTTTCTGTGACCAGTGGACCTTATCTATACTCCCAATCCCAATTCCTTGTGAACATACTTTGTAAAGTCCTGTAAGATGCTGTCTCCTTTGCCATGCCGCTGCGAGGTCATAAAATAAATAAAACCTAAGTTGCAATTCCGGTTTTCCTTAAGATCTAAGACATGTCACAAATGGTTGTCTTTTTTTCTTGCTCTGGTAACATCTTCCCGCTGCACGTATTTCCCACCTTAAAGAGTTTAAAAGGCAGTTGTATAATCTAACTCTGGCTACCCATTCGGGAGGGACCCCTTCCACGCTGTGGAAGCTTTGTACTTTCACTCTGCTCAATAAAGCCTACCGCTTTTTCTCTCTATCAGTCCTTGTGTCTATCACTCGCTGCGGTCAGCTGCCACACCAATTCTTTGGTGTGGCTAGGCAAGAACCTTACGTGTTACATTTTGGCGAGCCAGCCAGGAGTCTCCAGGAAAGGCATCTAGATCGTCACATGGTGAGTATGATCGGACCTCTTTCACTTGCTATTCTGTCCTGTCCTTCCTTAGAATTCGGAGGCTAAACCGGGCACCTGTTGGCCACTTAAAGGCGATTAGCACGGCCACCGGACTAAAGACACAGGTGTCAGGCTGTCCGGAAAAGGGCTCTGTGACAACCCCTGACCCTTCGGGTTTGGGAGCGTTGGTTGGCCGGTTGGCCTGGAACCAGTTCCAACTCTTTTGCTTTCTGTGGTGGTCCCAAGGTACACCGGGAGTGCTCAGCAGACGTCTTAGTCTCCCGGATATCCTGGTTGAGACCATGGCCCCACCAGAGGCTCCCCCTGCACAGGTTACTGAGCGTGAGACAGCCACATCTTCTGACTCCTGCCTCCTGGGTCCTAATGTCCGCCAGTTAGACTTCTTTCCTAATCTCATAAGCAAGGTTATTCCCGCTAGGCAGGATCAAGATTCCCTATTTAGAAGTCTTTAATTCTTCAGGTGGTGCCCAAAAGATCCCTGTTCATGGTTCCCTCCAGGGTTTAGGCAGATGTCGCCATTTGATGGCTATTTTGAAGGGCCAGTTCCCCACCATGGTGTATGGTCCCCCACATCAGGACAATTTAAAGGCAGGTCTGTAATTTTCATGTGGATAATAGAAGCCTTAGGGCATTTCCTCCATTGCTCCCCAGATAAATTTTCCCCTTCCTTGGTGCCTCTCAAGTACAATCTGTGGTGCATAGGCACAGGTCTTAGAGCCGTTGAATTGTTGTTTCAACCATTCAATAATTGGTATTGGATGGAAGAAAATATGGTCAACTGGGACACAGGATACTGGTACCGCCTTGAGAGGGGGGCTTACTCCTTTGATGGCAAATGGGGACAGAAGGCTAAAGTACAGCAGCTGTTCTCTTGGCCCTGGCCTAGAGGACATCCACTACCTCCTTTAAGCTTACTAAGCCTCCTGTGGCTAATTCAGAGATTTCTCCTTGAAAGACGGTTTTATGGCCAGGCCCACATAAATTGGGCCTTAGTATGCAAGCATCAGTGGTGCCCCTGACCCAAGCCTTGCCACCCTGGAACAGGTAGGATGTGTTGGCAGAAGGACCACCATAAATCCAACAATCCTTGTGCTCCATTTAGTGGTCAATGGGCCCATGGCAGGGGCAAGGGAAGTTTCCACCCTGCTGGTAAGCATGGTTAAATGCTGTAGATGGAGAGCTCAGGAAAAGTGGCCATGAGCTTTGAGCACAATTGGACCTGACCCTTAGGGAATACCCTAAGGGAAGACAAGTCCCAGGACTAACCAGGGGTGCGGGCGTCCCTGTGTTTAAAATTCCAGATGGGCATCACACCTTCAAAACTGGACACTCCCTTAAGATGTATCCTGAATTACTGGAACAAATTCAACCCTGAAACCTTAAAAAAGAAGCGGCTGATTTTCTTCTGTACCAATGCCTGGCCACAGTACTCCTTACAAAATGGAGAAACTTGGCCCCCTGAGGGAAGTATTAATTATAACACCATTCTACAACTAGATCTTTTCTGTAAAAAGGAAGGTAAATGGAGTGAAGTCCCTTATGCACAGGCTTTCTTTGCCCTTTGTGACAATACTGCCCTGTGCCAAGCCTGCAAGCTTTGCCCAAATGACAAAGGCCCACAATTGCCTCCATACTCAGGGCCTCTTCCCTCAGCCCCACTCTCCTCAGTCTGTGTCTCTATCACTCGCCGCAGTCAGCCGCCACACCAATTCTTTGGCGTGGCTAGGCAAGAACATTAGGCATTACAGTGGCACATGCCCGTAGTCCAGCTACTCAGGAGGCGGAGGCAGTAGGATTGCTTGAGTGGAGGAGATCTGAGCTATATCACGTGGTGACTGTGCCTGTGAATAGCCACTGCACTCTAGCCTGGACAATATAGTGAGACCCTCATCTCTAAATAAATAAATAAAAATAGAGGTCTTCCTCTGCAATACGTAATACTATGTATTATGTGTTTGTTTCCTTCGGTGCACTTAGCGTAATTTATATTTATTTACTTGTCTATTCTGTTCTTGTTTTGATACTCTTTCTAGACTGTTAACACTCTAAGGGCAAGGATTACATTTGTTTTATTCCCCAAAATACCTAGAGCTTAGTACAGTACCTGTCACAGACTAGGCCTTCAAACATTTCTGTAGAATGAGTAAAGGAATGAAGAAATGAATAAGCTGTGGAAATTACAGAGATAAAGTGTTTTATCAAATTCTTAGGGAGTGAATAAAACTAGTCAACTTCTTAGCATGTGGAAACTCAGTGGTGGGTGGCTGTAGTTTGCTACTTAGAACTTGATACACTTTAGGGAAGCAATTATGTTCTATAGCAACATTTTCATGTCTGGAGAATATTAAAAGTTTTGTCATGTAACCTTTCAAAATGTCAAGTGCCTATTGTATTAAGGTTTTTAATGTTTTTAAATGATTTAGGCTAAACTGCATTCTCATTATTTACTCACAAAACCCTTGCATGACCCCAAGGAATAGAGTCAAGACCTACAAATGAAGACAAGGAAGTCAGCACACAGAGACTGAAATGGCCTGTCCTGTCATTGCAGGTCTCCAATTTTCCTGGCATGAGATGGAAAAACACTGTAGCAAGGTGACTGCAGAAAAGAATTATTCACCAGTGTGGGTTGGGACCAAATGACTTTAGGAGTACATGATTCAGTGACTCTCAACATAGTCAGTGAGTTGATGTGGCTCCTTGGACTTCTATGCTATTTTCTTTGTTCCAATATAATTTTTTGAGTCCTAAATATTGCTTCTGGAGTTATATAAAATAATAACCTATGCAAGGCCAATGTCAAATCCTTGACAATTAAAAAAAATGTATTGAGATCTGCCAGAAAATAGCCTGTGCCCTGCTAATTCCCTCTGAGTGACATTTCAAAGCTGATTACTTAGCCCCACTCAGACAGATATCCTACTGCAATCAACATCCTTCTTGTGTTAGCCTAATAGGGATTTTGCCTTAATAAGAAATATAGAATTGGGTTCTTAGTGATAATTATGATAATAATTTTCAAAAGACAAGTCTTTCCTTTAATAAATAATCCTTTTCTAAGAGCAAGCATCCTTGAATCTTACCTCTGCTGTTTTTCAAATTAACATTTTCAAAAATCAATTTTGATACTTGAGACTTATGCAAGGATAAGCGGAACTCAGAAGTGACAGATTCTGCTTTTATGTGGATATAGATGTGTACCTGATGCCAACAGTAGGGGCAAAATAAGCAAATTTACTCATTAAGGTGTTCTTTAATCTTCAGATGTCAAAGATAACCTCCAATTTATGTTAACCTAAATATCCCGTCTTCCTAAATTAATTAATTAAAACGAACAGAGGCTATCATATCAGCATATTGTTATCATTATAGCTTAAAACAAGACAAGTGATATCTCATTGAGGTTTTGATTTGCATTTCTTGATTACTGATGAGGAGCATTTTTTCATATGCCTTTTGGACATTTGTATGTACTGTTTGGAGAAATGTCTATTCAAGTCCTTAACCCATTTTTAAATCATGTTATTAGTTTCTTTGCTACTAAGATGTAGGAGTTTCTTAATATTTTGGAGATTAGCCCCTTATATCAGATATATGGTTTGCAAATATTTTCTCTGATTCTATTGGTTGGCTTTTCACTCTGTTGATTCCTTTGCTGTGCAGAAGCTTTTTAGTTCCATGTAGTCCTACTTGTTTATTTTTGTTTTTGTTGCCTTTGCTTTTTGGTGTCCTATCCATTGTCTTAATATGCTCAGACTGCTATAACAAAATACTACAAGCTGGGCACTGTGGCTCGTGCCTGTAATCCCAGCACTTTGGGAGGTCAAGGCAGGTGGATCATGAGGTCAAGAGATCAAGACCATCCTGGTCAACATGGTGAAACCCCATCTCTACTAAAAATACCAAAGTTAGCTGGGTATGGTGGTGCATGCCTGTCGTCCCAGCTACTAGGGAGGCTGAGGCAGGATAATCGCTTGAACCCAGGAGGCAGAGGTTGCAGTGAGCAGAGATGGCGCCACTGTACTCCAGCCTGGTGACAGAGTGAGACTCTGTCTCAAAAAAAAAAAAAAAAAAAATTAAAAAAATTTAAAAAAATACCACAGTCTGAGTTGCTTATAAACAATGGTAATTTATTTCTATCAGTTCTGGAGACTGGGAAGTCCTACAACAAGGCACCAGCAGATTCAATATCTAGTAGAGCCCACTTCCTCATAGATGGCCATCTTCCACTGTTACTTCCATGTGTTCCATATGTAACCTCACATAACCAACAGGGGTAAGAGCTCTCTCTGGTCTCTTTCACAGGGGCACTATTCCCATTCATGAAGGCTCCATCTTTATGAACTAGTCACCTCCCAAAGGCCCCATCTCCAAATACTCACACATGGGGGATTAGGTCTCAACATACAAATTTGGAATACAAACATTCAGCCTATAGTTTCCATGAAATCATTGTTGAGACCAATGTCAAGAAGCTTTTCTCCTATGTGTCCTTGTAGGGGTTTTATAGTTTCAGGTCTTACACTTAAGTCTTTAATCCATTTCCATTGATTTTTGTGTACAGCACAAAATAAAGGTCTTATTTCATTCTTTTGCATGCAGATATCTTGTTTTCCCACATCACTTACTAGTCTCAAAGAGACTATTCTTTCCCTACTGTGTCTTCTTGGTACCCTTTTCAAAGAAGAGTTGACCATATATGTATGGATTTATTTCTGGAGTCTCTATTTTGTTCCATTGGTTTATATGTCTGCTTTTACTTGAGTACTATACTGTTTTGATTACTTTAGCTTTGTAATATATTTAAAATCAGAAAGTGTGAAGACTCCACCTTGGTTCCTCTTTCTCAAGATTGATTTAGTTAGCTATAGTCTTTTGTAGTTCCATATAAATTGGAAAATTGTAGAAGAGTTGGTAAGGATGTGGGGAAGTTGAAACCCTTGCATACTATTGTTGGGACTGCAGAATGCTACAGCTGCAATGGAAAACACTATGGATGTCCCTCAAAAAATTAAAAATATATTTATCATATCATCCAGCAATTCCACATTGGAACATTTGTCCCAAATAACTGAAATCAGGATCTCAAAGATATATTAGTACTTCCATGTTAATTGACACACTATTTACAACAGCCAAGACATGAAAACAAATCTGTCTGAATGGATAAAGAAAATGTTGTATATACACATAATGGAGTATTATTTGGCCTTTAAAAAGAAGGATATCCTGTCACTTGCAACAACATCGATGAACCTGGAAGACGTTATGTTAAGTGAAATATTTCGGTCACAAAAAAACAATACTGCATGATTCCACTTATATGAGGTATCTAAAATAGTTAAATTCATAGAATCAAAGAGTAGAACAGTGGTTTCCAGGGACTGGGGGAAGGGGGGAATGGAAAATTAGTAATCAACAAACAAAGTTTCAGTTAAGCAAGATGAATTTCTAGAAATCTGCTGTATAACATTGTACTTATAGTCAACAATACTGTATTATACAACTTAAAAATTTAAGAGGGTGATTTCATATTAAGTGTTCTCGCCATAATAAAATAAAATTTTAAAAATACATAAGGCAGGTGGTTGGATGACTTGAGGCAATTTAACACTTCCTATTTCCATCAGCCATCTCCCACTCTACCTCCTATAAATATATAATTAAGTAAAAACAGAGCATTTGCTAGGCTATAGCTATAAGTTCACAGCCCTCTTTTAAATTCACATTCCTGCCTCCAAACTGCTCATATATGGAAACTCTGGACCCATCATCGGAGACAGGCAACATGGTGAGGCTGCTAAAACTGTGCAGAGGTTCTTAAAGAGTACAGATGATACAGGAAGTAAAAAGAAATTATTTAGGCAGTTAGGGTAAGAGAGTCCTCAGTAAGGCTTCCCTTTTAACAAAAAGCAGCCCCCAACTAATTTCTTTTCTAACAAAGAACAGCTGTAAAATCGAGCTGCAGACATAGATAAGCAAGCTGGAAGCTTGCACGGGTGAATTCCAGCAGCTGTGTCAATAGGAAAAGGCTACCTGGGGGCCAGGCATGTTCAACATGGAGGCTCCATCTTTCCTTTTGTCAACCACCTGTACAGTAAAGGAACAGGCAACATGACGCCGGCCGGGCAGAGAACCCATCTGCATAATAAAAGATCAGCGTGGAGCAGCCAGCTTCTTTACGTGCTATGTAAATGACACACCTGGTCTGACCAATCTTTTGGGCCCTATGTAAATTAGACACTGCCTCCTCAAGCTCATCTATAAAACCCCATGCATTTCACCAGGGAACTGGCAACCCATTTTTCTCCAGGACCCTGCTCTGCACAGAGAGCTCTTCTCTTTCTTTTGCCTATTAAACTTCCGCTCTTGATCTCACTATGGTGTGTCATGTCCTTGATTTCCTCGGTATGAGACAACGAACCTTGGGTATTACCCCAGATGAATGACACTGCTTCACAGAGTAAAGAAAAAAAGTTGCCGAGAGTCAGTGGCAGTCCCTACAGTGTTTTTATGACACTGTCTCTTGTTACATCATCACAGGTACACATCCTTTCAGTATCAAGAAGATACCCAAATTTCACTGTTACAATGATGAGAGCACTGAATGAAGTGCTGCAAAAGTAGGTTTCTAATTCTGTCATGCCACTAGTAGCTGCAGATCCTTACCCAAGGTTTTAGTTTCCTCATCTTAAAATGGAATGTGTTGAATTTCTGCTTCTTGGAAAATAGAGTAGATGTATTTTTCCTATTTGTCCTGTTAAACACAATTTTAAAACCCTGAGCTTTACAGATAAAACAAATACAAGAAGACACTGAAAGGTAGAGAGAAGACAGACCAACAAGAGATTTTGGGACATAGGAAAAGAAATGGGGATGAGTTTCCTAAATTTTCTTTTAGCCTCATATATCCCAGACTTAGAGCTGAAGAAGCCAATAATATTGGAATGCCAGTGGGCTCAAACAAACAAAAAAAACCACAACAAAAACCTGCTCTCTCTAGCCAAAGACAGAAAAAGGACAGTCTAGCAAGGCAGAAAGCTTTTAGACAATAAGAGCGAAGCACCACAGTTAAGACTGTGGCCCCAAACTCACTCGTGCCTGCAAAGGCTGATTTAGGAGCTGAGACTTTCAATCACACATCACTATAGCTAGATGGCCCAAAACCCCCACCAGAGGGCTGTTTGAGAAGGCCAAGTAACAAGCCAGGACATCCATTCCTGCTGACTGGTTATAAATCCCCTCTCCTCATAGTAACGCTGGAAACCATTTGAGAGTCTGTAGTTCCACCCCCATTCAGCGGTAATGAGGCACCACTCCCTGTCCCTGCTGGAGTGGTATCAGAAAAGGCCCAGAGGATAGTGGGGGCTTTCACCATTAACTAGTAATAATAAGGCCATCTCTACTGTAGTGTCAACAGAGACCACAGGGGGAACCATAAGTCCCACCGTTTCAGCAGTAATGTGAAGCACCTCTTTTCCCCAGGTGTCAAAAGAGGCTGGTGGGAAACTTGGACTTCTACCTCCACCAGGCAGTAACAAAGAGATTCCCTCCCCTTTTCCTGACAGAGAAAGATAGTTAAAGTAAAATGCTTAGATAAGATCCAGAGTCTCATTTAAAAAATATAAAAAGGTTAAGATTTTATTTGAAAATCACTCATCATAACACAAAGACCTGAGCAATGTAGCAAGAACCTATCTCTACAAAAAAATAAAAATAAAAAAATTAGGTGTGGTGGTATGCACCTGCAGTCCTAGCTACTTGGGAGGCTGACACAAAAGGATAGCTTGAGCCCAGGTGATTGAGGCTACAGTGAGCCATGATTGTACCACTGCACTCCAGTCTAGGTGAGAGTGCAAGAGCTCATCTCATAAAAAAATGAAAAATAAAAATAAGACCTTAAACTTAACTAAAAATACTAACAATAATGCCAACAGTGAGATGACACAGATGTTAAATATTATTAAAATCTTTTTTAATAATAGATTTTAAATTAGCCATCATAAAAACACTTAAATGAACTGTATAAACACTCTTGAAACAAATGAAAAATAGAAAGTCCCAGAAAAGAAATAAAAAATATAAAAAGGAACCAAAGGGGAACTTTATAACTTAAAAATACAATAACTGAAAAAAAATGAGTGCAACAGTAGAATGGAGGGGACAAAAGAAAGAATCAATAAACTGGAAGACAGAGCAAAAGAAATTACCTAATCTGGCAGGGTATGGTGTCTCACGCCTGTAATCCCAGCACTTTGGGAGGCCAAGGCAGGCGGATCACGAGCTCAGGAGTTCAAGACCAGCCTGACCAACATGGTGAAACCCCATCTCTACTAAAAATACAAAAAAATTAGCCAGGCATGGTGGCAGGCACCTGTAATCCCAGCTACTCGGGAAGCTGAGGCAGAAGAATCATTGAACCCTGGAGGCAGAGTTTGCAGTGAGCAGAGATCTCGCCACTGCACTCTAGCCTGGGCAACAGAGCGAGACTGTCTCAAAACCAAAAAAAAAAAAAAAAAAAGGAAAAAAAGAAATTACCTAATCTAAACAACAGAGAGAAAATAAACTAAAAAATAAATGAAAAGAGCCTGAAAGACATGGTGAACTGTAACAAAAGATCTAACATTTGTGTCATCCTAGTTCTGGTGGAGAAGAAAAATAAGATTTCTCTAAGTACTTTAAAAAGTAATAATTTATACTTTAAAAAGTACTCAAAGACATAGTGACTAAATACTGCCCAAATTTGGCAGAAAATGTAAGTCTATAGATTCAAGAGGCTGGGGAAAGCCCAAACAGGACAAAACCCAAAGAAATGCATGAAAAGACACATAGTGATTAAACTTCTGAAAACTATAGACAAGGAAAAAATATTGAAAGCAGCTAGGAAAAAATGACACCTCACTAATGGGGGAAAAATAATTCAAATGACAGTAGATTGCCCATCAGAAATCACAAAGGTCAGAAGCATGAAGAAATCACAAAATATACTGGACTGAATAAAAATGAAAATACAACATGTCAAAATTTGTGTGGCACAGCTAAAGCAGTGATGAGAGGGAAATCTATAACACTAAAAGCATAAGTGAATCAAGAGAAAATTCTCAAATCAATACTATAACATTCCATCTCAGTGACCTGATAAAAGAAGAACAAAATAAACCCAAAACAGGTGGAAGAAAGGAAATGATAAAAAGCAGAAGTCAATGGAATTAAAAACAAAAAAACAACATAGAAAATCAACGGAACAAAGAGCTGGTTCTTTGGAAAGATCAAGAACATTGACAAACCTCTACACTGCGAGGGTAAAACCACCTACTCAAGCCTCAGCAATGGTGGACGCCCCTCCCCCGACCAAGCTCGAGCGTCCCAGGTTGACCCCAGACTGCTGTGCTGGCAAGGAGAATTTCAAGCCAGTGGATCTTAGCTTGTTGGGCTCCGTGGGGGTGGGACCCGCTGAGCCAGACTGCTTGGCTCCCCGGCTTTAGCCCCCTTTCCGGGGAAGTAAACGGCTCTGTCTCACTGGTGTTCCAGGTGCCACTGGGGTATGAAAAAAAAAACCTCCAGTATTATTAACAAAGAAAAAGAGAGAGAAGATAAATTACCAATATCAGAAATGAAACAAATGATATCACTAAAAACTCTCCAGACATAACAAAAGATAATAAGGGAATATGGATTGAGTATACCTTAACTGAAATACTTGAGACCAGAAATTTGGGTTTCAGATTTTCTTTTTCCAATTTTGGAAGATTTGCATATACATAATGAAATATCTTGGGGATGAGACCCAAGACTAAACACAAAATTTATTTATTTTTATGTAAACCTTATACACACAGCCTGAAGGTAATTTTATACAATATTTTAAATGATTTTTGCATGAAACAAAGTTGTGTACATTGAACCATCACAAAGCAAAGGTGTCAGAAATGAAATTTTTCACTGTGGTGTCAAATTGGTACTCAAAAAGTTTCAGATTTTGGGGTATTTCAGATTACAAATTTTCAGATGAGGGATGCTCAACCTTTCTCAAGGTAGTTTCCTTGAGAAAACTACCATAATCCATCCAATATGAAATAGATAATTTGAAATAGACCTATAAATGTTAAAGAAATTAAATCCATAATTTTAAACACTACCAAACAAGAATTCTTCAGTCCCAGATGGTTGGTTCTACTGGAGAATTCCACCAAACATTTAAAGAATTAACACCTATTCCACACAACATCTTCCAAAATCTAGAAGAGAAGATTCCCAGTTCATTTTATGAAGCTAGTATTACTCTATATACCAAAACCAGACAAAGACAGTGCAGAATAAGAAAACTGAAGACCAATATCTCTCATGAACACAGATGCAAAAAAAATTTAAGAAAAATATTAGCAAGTAGAATTTAGCAACATATAAAAGAGAATTATACATGATAAGTAAAAGAGATTTATTCCAGTGATGCAAGGCTGATTCAATATTTGAAAATCATTCAATGTAATCAATTTGATGTAATCCACTATATTAATCAAAGGGAAAAAAATACAACACAATGAAATAAATCAATGCAGACCAACTTATTTGACAAAATTCAATGCCCATTCATGATTAAAACTCTCAGAAAAATAGAAGTAGAGGGGAATTTACTCAACTTCATAAAGAGCATCTACAAAAGAAACCTACAACTAACATTATACTTAATGTTAAATTGCAAGGATCTACTTTTACTACCCTTGTTTGACATAAAACTGGAATTTCTAGCCAGTGTAATAAGGCAAGAAAAGGAAATAAAAGGCATACAGATCTGAAAAGAAGAAATAAAATGGTCTTTATTACAGACGAAAGAATTTCAAATTCTACAAAAGAAAAAATCTTGTAGAACTAATAAGTGAAATTAGCAATGTGGCAGGATACAAGATCTACATGTAAAAATTAATTATATTTCTATATACTAGTAATGGATACTGAAATTTAAAACATGATACTTCTACATTAGCTTTTAAAAATTACTTAGGTGTAAATCTAACAAGACACATACATGATTTGTATACTAAAAACCACACAATGCTGATGTAAGACATCAATGTTATAAATAAATGAAGAGACATACAACGTTCATGGATTGGAAGAGTCAAAATAGTAAATATATTGCTTCTCTGCAAATGGATATGCAGGTTTCACACAATTCAGCAAGGTTTTTGGTAGATAAATAGCATAAGATCAGTCTAAATTTTACGTGAAAATGCAAAGGAACTAGAATAGCTAAAGTAATTTTGAAAAAAGAATAAAACAGGAAGAATCAGTTCTGTTTTAAGACTTATGATATAGCTACATTAATCAAGACTCTGTGGTCTTAATGGAGGGATAGAAAATAGATCAATGGAAGAGAATAGAGAATCCAGAAATAAATTCACACAATTATGCTGATATAATTTGGGTCTGTGTCCCTGCCCAAATCTCATGTCAAATGGTCATCCTCAGGTTGGAAGTGGGGCCTAGTGGGAGGTGATTGTATTATAGGGGTGGATTTCCCCTTTGGTGCTGTTCTTGTGATAGTAAGTCATCATAAGATCTGATTGTTTAACAGTGTTTAGCATGTGTGTCCCCCCACCCCCAATTCCTCCTGCTCTGGCCATGTGAAATTGTGCCTGCTTCCCCTTCACCTTCCACCATAATTGAAAGTTTCCTGAGGACTCCGCAGCCATGCTTCCTATACAGCCTGCAGAACCATGAGCCAATTAAACTTCTTTTCTTTATAAGTGACCCAGTCTCAGGTATTTCTTTACAGCAGTGCAGGAACAGACTAATACCTATGCCCAAAAGATTTTGACAGAGGTATAAAAGCAATTCAATGGAAGAAAGATGACCCATTTAACAAACTACTGTATCAAATGGACAGCCGTAAGTTCAAGAAAACATGAAGAAACTTGGCCTAAGTCTTATAACTTATTCAAACAATGAAGTTGAAATGAATAATAGATTTAAATTTAAGATGTGAAATGACAAAACTTTTAATAAAAAACAAAATTTTCAGTAATTAGGGCTACACAAAGACTCCTTGGACCTGATACCAAAAGCATAATGCATAAAAAAAGATGATAAATTGAACATTATCCAAATTTTAAAATATTTACTTGGTGAAAGTCCTCATTAAAAGATGAAAAGACTGGTCACAGACTGGCAGAAAATATTGGCAAACCACATATCTGACAAAGAGCTTCTATCTAGAATATATAAAGAACTCTCAAAACTAAACAGTAAAAAAAAAAAAAATACTATCAGAATATTGGCAAAATACATGGAGAGACACTTCACTGGAGAGAACACACAGAGAGTAAATAAACACATGAAAAGATGTTCAACATTATTAGCCATCAGAGAAATGCAAGTTAAAACCACAATTAGATATCACTGTGCATCTATCAAATTGGCTAAAATAAATAATAGTGACAACACCAAATGCTAGAAAGAATATGAAAAAATGGAATTACTTGCATATTGTTGATGAAAATGAAAAATGATAGTCACTTTGAAAAATAGCCTGAAAGAAAGAAAGAAAGAAAGAAAGAAAGAAAGAAAGAGGAAAAGAAAGAAAGAGGAAAAGAAAGAAGAGTAGAGGAGGGGGAGGGGGAGAGGAGGACTGGAGGGGAGGGGAGGGGAGGGGAGGGGATGTCCTTCAATGGATGAAGAGTTAAACATATGGTGCATTCATACCAAAGACTACTACTCAGCAACAAAAAGGAACAAGCTATTGATACATGTAATAACTACATGAACCTCTAGAGAATTATGCTGAGTAAAAAAGCCAGTTCTCCAAGATAACATTTATGATTTCGTTTCTACTACATCCTTGAAATGACAAAAGTATGCTCTTTGGTGCTGAAATTATGTCAGGAATTAGTATACAGGGTCAATGTGGAAAAGAAAGGTAGGCAGCTTAACTGGCTTCTTTTTTTTGGTTTTTATTTATTTTTATTATTATACTTTAAGTTCTAGGGTACATGTGAACAATGTGCAGGCTCGTTACATAGGTATACGTGTGCCATGCTGGCCCGTGGCACCCATCAACCCATCATTTACATTAGGTATTTCTTCCAATGCTATCCCTCCCCCCGCCCCCCACCCCATGACAGGCCCTGATGTGTGATGTTCCCCACCCTGTGTCCAAGTGTTCTCATTGTCCAGTTCCCACCTACGAGTAAGAACATGCAGTGTTTGCTTTTCTGTCCTTGTGATAGTTTGCTCAGAATAATGGTTTTCAGCTTCATCCATGTCCCTGCAAAGGACATGAACTCATCCTTTCTTATGGCTGCATAGTATTCCATGGTGTATATGTGCCACATTTTCTTAACCCAGTCTATCATTAATGGACATTTGGGTTGGTTCCAAGTCTTTGCTATTGTGAATAGTGCCACAATAAACATACGTATACATGTGTCTTTATAACAGCATGATTTATAATCCTTTGGGTATACTCCCAGTAATGGGATCGCGGGGTCAAATGGTATTTCTAGCCTAGATCCTTGAGGAATCACCACACTGTCTTACACAATGGTTGAACTAGTTTACACTTCCACCAACAGTGTAAAAGCGTTATTTCTCCACATCCTCTCCAGTGTCTGTTGTTTCCTGACATTTTAATGATCGTCATTCTAACTTGTGTGAGATGGTATCTCACTGTGGTTTTGATTTGCATTTCTCTGATGGCCAGTGATGATGAGCATTTTTTCATGTGTCTGTTGGCTGCATAAATGTCTGCTTTTGAGAAGTGTATGTTCATATCCTTTGCCCACTTTTTGATGGGGTTTTTTCTTGTAAATTTGTTTAAGCTCTTTGTAGATTCTGGATATTACCCCTTTGTCAGATGGGTAGATTGCAAAAATTTTCTCCCATTCTGTAGGTTGCCTTTTCACTCTCATGGTAGTTTCTTTTGCTGTGCAGAAGCTCTTTAGTTTAACTAGATCCCATTTGTCAATTTTGGCTTTTGTTGCCATTGCTTTTGGTGTTTTAGACATGAAGTCCTTGCCCATGCCTATGTCCTGAATGGTATTGCCTGGGTTTTCTTCTAGGGTTTTTATGGTTTTAGGTCTAATATTTAAGTCTTGAATCCATCTCAAATTAATTTTTGTATAAAGTGTAAGGAAGGGATCCAGTTTCAGCTTCCTACATATGACTTTTTTTTTTTTTTGAGACGGAGCTTTGATCTTTTTGCCCAGGCTGGAGTGCAATGGTGCGAACTCAGCTCATTGCAACCTCCACCTCCTGGGTTCAAGTGATTCTCCTGCCTCAGCCTCCCGAACAGCTGGGATTACAGGTGCGTGCCACCACACCCGGCCAAATTTTTGTATTGTTAGTAGAGACGGGGTGTCACCATGTTGGCCAGGATGGTCTCAATCTCTTGACCTCGTGATCCGCCCACCTCGGCCTCCCAAAGTGCTGGGATTACAAGCATGAGCCACTGCACCCAGCCCTTAACTGGTTTCAATCCAAAAGGTTCAAGCTGAGAGAGCAACTGTAGATATGAGATATCAAATCAGAAACCAGAGATGGTAGAAATGCTGCCCAGAGCAAAAGAAGGCTGGATAAATTCTCCATATTGCTGGGACATAAATGAAGACACTTTTATAGGATATTTGTGCTTCAACTGCAGATGAAGAAAGCTGTTCTATGTTGGTTCAGACACATTTCTTTCTTTTTTTTGTTTTTTTTTTTTTTTGAGAAGGAGTCTCGCTCTGTTGCCCAAGCTGGAGTGCAGTGGCACAATCTCGGCTCACTGCAACCTCCGTTTCCCAGATTCAAGTGATTCTCCTGCCTCAGCCTCCTGAGTAGCTGGGACTATAGGTGTGTGCCACCACACCTGGCTAATTTTTGTATTTTTAGTAGAGATGGGGTTTCACCATGTTTGCCAGACTGGTCTTGAACTCTTGACCTAAAGTGATCTGCTTGCCTTGGCCTCCCAAAGTGCTACAATTACAGGTGTGAGCCACTGCACTGGGCCCCAGACACATCCTTTTATTTGACAGATATATAGTGAGAACTTCCTATATGTGCCAGGCCTTGTGCTGAGTATTGGGGAAGTAAAGGCCATTAAATGCTTACAGTTTAGTTGAAGATAGAGATAAAGTAGCAATTACTAAGTCCTATGAAAAGATAGAGGTAAACATGGGGAAATATAAGTGCTCCCAAAGAGGCATTTCTGTTGTTCATGAGTTTGTATTGGTAAGGGATGGTGAGGGGGTTAGGCCAGAGAAAATGTTTCTGAGACCTGCCACTTGAACTGGGTCTTGGAAGGACAAATAGGGGTTGGCAATGTGAAGGAGAGAAGGAGGGAGAAAAAATGTCAGGCAGAGGAAAGCAGAAAAAGTCTGTGTGAAGGCACTGAGGTTCAAAAAACCATGATGCCTCTATGCAAATTCCATTACTGAAGAAATTGACCAGGAAAAGGTGGTGGTTTGGGAAACACTGGACAGAGCCTCTGCTGAGAGTGAGTCGTAGAGCTGAAAGCAAGAGCATTAAAAGGAAGACTGCACAAGAAAGGTGAATCTTCAAGCCCCGACCCTGTGTTCAGAATGCCAACATCCAGGCTTCTACCACCTGGGACAGAAGTTTATTCTAGTTCAGTGTTTATGACACTTTAACGTATGTATGATTATCCTGGATATCTAGCTTTGCAGATTCTGATGCAGTGGGTTTGGGGAGGGGCCTGAATATTGCATTTCTAGGAGTCTTCTGAAGGATGCTCAATCAGCTGGTATGTGGACCATACCGTGAAGAGCAATGGTTTAGAGTGGACTCGTCTCCAGGGCAGACATGAAAACATTCCATAGGAGTGATGGAAGACAATATTAGAACTTGTAATTTTTATAAAAACTGCTTTATTAAAAAAGTAGGAGTGAGGGAGGAGCCAAGATGGCTGAATAGGTACAGCTCCGGTCCACAGCTCCCAGCGTGAGCGACGCAGAAGACGGGTGATTTCTGCATTTCCATCTGAGGTACCGGGTTCATCTCACTAGGGAGTGACAGACAGTGGGCGCAGGTCAGTGGGTGCAGTGCACCGTGCGCGAGCCGAAGCAGGGCGAGGCATTGCCTCACTTGGGAAGCACAAGGGGTCAGGGAGTTCCCTTTCCTAGTCAAAGAAAGGGGTGACAGATGGCACCTGGAAAATCGGGTCACTCCCACCCAAATACTGCACTTTTCTGACGGGCTTAAAAAACGGCGCACCAGGAGATTATATCCTGCACCTGTCTCAGAGGGTCCTACGCCCACGGGGTCTTGCTGATTGCTAGCACAGCAGTCTGAGATCAAACTGCAAGGAAGCAGCGAGGCTGGGGGGTGGCGCCCGCCATTGCCCAGGCTTGCTTAGGTAAACAAAGCAGCCCGGAAGCTCCAACTGGGTGGAGCCCACCACAGCTCAAGGAGGCCTGCCTGCCTCTGTAGGCTCTACCTCTGTAGGCAGGGCACAGACAAACAAAAAGACAGCAGTAACCTCTGCAGTCTTAAATGTCCCTGTCTGACAGCTTTGAAGAGAGCAGTGGTTCTCCCAGCACACAGCTGGAGATCTGAGAACGGGCAGACTGCCTCCTCAAGTGGGTCCCTGACCCCTGACCCCTGAGCAGCCTAACTGGGAGGCACCCCCCAGTAGGGGCAGACTGACGCCTCACAGGGCCGGGTACTCCTCTGAGACAAAACTTCCAGAAGAACGATCAGACAGCAGCATTCGCAGTTCACGAAAAACCACTGTTCTGCAGACACCGCTGCTGATACCCAGGCAAACAGGGTCTGGAGTAGACCTCTAGCAAACTCCAACAGACCTGCAGCTGAGGGTACTGTCTGTTAGAAGGAAAACTAACAAACAGAAAGGACATCCACACCAAAAACCCATCTGTACATCACCATCATCAAAGACCAAAAGTAGGTAAAACCACAAAGATGGGGAAAAAACAGAGCAGAAAAACTGGAAACTCTAAAAAGCAGAGCACCTCTCCTCCTCCAAAGGATCGCAGTTCCTCACCAGCAATAGAACAAAGCTGGATGGAGAATGACTTTGACGAGTTGAGAGAAGAAGGCTTCAGATGATCAAACTACGAGCTACAGGAGGAAATTCAAACCAAAGGCAAAGAAGTTAAAAACTTTGAAAAAAATTTAGACAAATGTATAACTAGAATAACCAATACAGAGAAGTGCTTAAAGGAGCTGATGGAGCTGAAAGCCAAGGCTCCAGAACTACGTGAAGAATGCAGAAGCCTCAGGAGCCGATGCGATCAACTGGAAGAAAGGGTATCAGCAATGGAAGATGAAATGAATGAAATGAAGTGAGAAGGGAAGTTCAGAGGAAAAAGAATAAAAAGAAATGAAAATAGCCTCCAAGAAATATGGGACTATGTGAAAAGACCAAATCTACGTCTGATTGGTGTACCTGAAAGTGACGGGGAGAATGGAACCAAGTTGGAAAACACTCTGCAGGATATTATCCAGGAGAACTTCCCCAATCTAGCAAGGCAGGCTGACATTCAGATTCAGGAAATACAGAGAACGCCACAAAGATACTCCTCGAGAAGAGCAACTCCAAGACACATAATTGTCAGATTCACCAAAGTTGAAATGAAGGAAAAAATGTTAAGGGTAGCCAGAGAGAAAGGTCGGATTACCGACAAAGGGAAGCCCATCAGACTAACAGTGGATCTCTCAGCAGAAACTCTACAAGCCAGAAGAGAGTGGAGGCCAATATTCAACATTCTTAAAGAAAAGAATTTTCAACTCAGAATTTCATATCCAGCCAAACTAAGCTTCATAAGTGAAGGAGAAATAAAATACTTTACAGACAAGCAAATGCTGAGAGATTTTGTCACCACCAGGCCTGCCCTAAAAGAGCTCCTGAAGGAAGCACTAAACATGGAAAGGCACAACCGGTACCAGCCACTGCAAAATCATGCCAAAATGTAAAGACCATCGAGACTAGGAAGACACTGCATCAACTAACGAGCAAAATAACCAGCTAACATCATAATGACAGGTTCAAATTCACACATAACAATATTAACTTTAAATGTAAATGGACTAAATGCTCCAATTAAAAGACACAGACTGGCAAATTGGATAAAGAGTCAAGACCCATCAGTGTGTGGTATTCAGGAAACCCATCTCACATGCAGAGACACCCATAGGCTCAAAATAAAAGGATGGAGGAAGATCTACCAAGCAAATGGAAAACGAAAAAAGGCAGGGGTTGCAATCCTAGTCTCGGATAAAACAGACTTTAAACCAACAAAGATCAAAAGAGACAAAGAAGGCCATTACATAATGGTAAAGGGATCAATTCAACAAGAAGAGCTAACTATCCTAAATATATATGCACCCAATACAGGAGCACCCAGATTCATAAAGCAAGTCCTGAGTGACCTACAAAGAGACTTAGACTCCCACACATTAATAATGGGAGACTTTAACACCCCACTGTCAACATTAGACAGATCAACGAGACAGAAAGTCAACAAGGATACCCAGGAATTGAACTCAGCTCTGCACCAAGTGGACCTAATAGACATCTACAGAACTCTCCACCCAAAATCAACAGAATATACATTTTTTTCAGCACCACACCACATCTATTCCAAAATTGACCACATAGTTGGAAGCAAAGCTCTCCTCAGCAAATGTAAAAGAACAGAAATCATAACAAACTATCTCTCAGACCACAGTGCAATCAAACTAGAACTCAGGATTAAGAATCTCACTCAAAACTGCTCATCTACATGGAAACCGAACAACCTGCTCCTGAATGACTACTGGGTACATAACAAAATGAAGGCAGAAATAAAGATGTTCTTTGAAACCAATGAGAACAAAGACACAACGTACCAGAATCTCTGGGACACATTCAAAGCAGTGTGTAGAGGGAAATTTATAGCACTAAATGCCCACAAGAGAAAGCAGGAAAGATCCAAAATTGACACCCTAACATCACAATTAAAAGAACTAGAAAAGCAAGAGCAAACACATTCAAAAGCTAGCAGAAGGCAAGAAATAACTAAAATCAGAGCAGAACTGAAGGAAATAGAGACACAAAAAACCCTTCAAAAAATTAATGAATCCAGGAGCTGGTTTTTTTGAAAGGATCAACAAAATTGATAGACCGCTAGCAAGACTAATACAGAAAAAAAGAGAAGAATCAAATAGACGCAATAAAAAATGATAAAGGGGATATCACCACTGATCCCACAGAAATACAAACTACCATCAGAGAATACTACAAACACCTCTACGTAAATAAACTAGAAAATCTAGAAGAAATGAATAAATTCCTCGACACATGCACTCTCCCAAGACTAAACCAGGAAGAAGTTGAATCTCTGAATAGACCAATAACAGGAGCTGAAATTGTGGCAATAATCAATAGCTTACCAACCAAAAAGAGTCCAGGACCAGATGGATTCACAGCCGAATTCTACCAGAGGTATAAGGAGGAACGGGTACCATTCCTTCTGAAATGATTCCAATCAATAGAAAAAGAGGGAATCCTCCCTAACTCATTTTATGAGCCCAGCATCATCCTGATACCAAAGCCGGGCAGAGACACAACCAAAAAAGAGAATTTTAGACCAATATCCTTGATGAACATTGATGCAAAAATCCTCAATAAAATACTGGCAAACCGAATCCAGCAGCATATCAAAAAGCTTATCCACCATGATCAAGTAGGCTTCATCCCTGGGATGCAAGGCTGGTTCAATATACGCAAATCAATAAATGTAATCCAGCATATAAACAGAACCAAAGACAAAAGCCACATGATTATTTCAATAGATGCAGAAAAGGCCTTTGACAAAATTCAACAACCCTTCATGCTAAAAACTCTCAATAAATTAGGTATTGATGGGACGTATCTCAAAATAATAAGAGCTATCTATGACAAACCCACAGCCAATATCATACTGAATGGGCAAAAACTGGAAGCATTCCCTTTGAAAACTGGCACAAGACAGGGATGCCCTCTCTCACCACTCCTATTCAACATAGTGTTGGAAGTTCTGGCCAGGGCAATGAGGCAGGAGAAGGAAATAAAGGGTATTCAATTAGGAAAAGAGGAAGTCAAATTGCCCCTGTTTGCAGATGACATGATTGTATATCTAGAAAACCCCATTGTCTCAACCCAAAATCTCCTTAAGCTGATAAGCAACTTCAGCAAATTCTCAGGATACAAAATCAATGTACAAAAATCACAAGCATTCTTATACACCAATAACAGACAAACAGAGAGCCAAATCATGAGTGAACTCCCATTCACAATTGCTTCAAAGAGAATAAAATACCTAGGAATCCAACTTACAAGGGATGTGAAGGACCTCTTCAAGGAGAACTACAAACCACTGCTCAAGGAAATAAAAGAGGATACAAACAAATGGAAGAACATTCCATGCTTATGGATAGGAAGAATCAATATCGTGAAAATGGCCATACTGCCCAAGGTAATTTATAGATTCAATGCCATCCCCATCAACCTACCAATGACTTTCTTCACAAAATTGGAAAAAACTACTTTAAAGTTCATATGGAACCAAAAAAGAGCCCGCATCACCAAGTCAATCCTAAGCCAAAAGAAAAAAGCTGGAGGCATCACGCTACCTGACTTCAAACTACACTACAAGGCTACAGTAACCAAAACAGCATGGTACTGGTACCAAAACAGAGATATAGATCAATGGAACAGAACAGAGCCCTCAGAAATAACGCCGCATATCTACAACTATCTGATCTTTGACAAACCTGACAAAAACAAGCAATGGGGAAAGGATTCCCCATTTAATAAATGGTGCTGGGAAAACTGGCTAGCCATATGTAGAAAGCTGAAACTGGATCCCTTCCTTACACCTTATACAAAAATCAATTCAAGATGGATTAAAGACTTAAATGTTAGACCTAAAACCATAAAAACCTAGAAGAAAACTTAGGCGTTACCATTCAGGACATAGGCACGGGCAAGGACTTCATGTCTAAAACACCAAAAGCAATGGCAACAAAAGCCAAAATTGACAAATGGGATCTAATTAAACTAAAGAGCTTCTGCACAGCAAAGGAAACTACCATCAGAGTGAACAGGCAACCTACAAAATGGGAGAAAATTTTCGCAACCTACTCATCTGACAAAGGGCTAATATCCAGAATCTACAATGAACTCAAACAAATTTACAAGAAAAAAACAAACAACCCCATCAAAAAGTGGGCAAAGGACATGAACAGACACTTCTCAAAAGAAGACATTTATGCAGCCAAAAAACACATGAAAAAATGCTCACCATCACTGGCCATCAGAGAAATGCAAATCAAAACCACAATGAGATATCATCTCACACCAGTTAGAATGGCAATCATTAAAAAGTCAGGAAACGACAGGTGCTGGAGAGGATGTGGAGAAATAGGAACACTTTTACACTGTTCGTGGGACTGTAAACTAGTTCAACCATTGTGGAAGTCAGTGTGGCGATTCCTCAGGGATCTAGAATTAGAAATACCATTTGACCCAGGCATCCCATTACTGGGTATATACCCAAAGGACTATAAATCATGCTGCTATAAAGACACATGCACACGTATGTTTATTGCGGCACTATTCACAATAGCAAAGACTTGGAACCAACCCAAATGTCCAACAATGATAGACTGGATTAAGAAACTGTGGCACATATACACCATGGAATACTACGTAGCCATAAAAAATGATGAGTTCATGTCCTTTGTAGGGACATGGATGAAATTGGAAATCATCATTCTCAGTAAACTATCGCAAGAACAGAAAACCAAACACCGCATATTCTCACTCATAGGTGGGAATTGAACAATGGGAATACATGGACACAGGAAGGGGAACATCACACTCTGGGGACCGTTATGGGATGGGGGGAGGGGTGGAGGGATAGCATTGGGAGATATACCTAATGCTAGATGACGAGTTAGTGGGTGCAGCGCACCAGCATGTCACACGTATACATATGTAACTAACCTGCACATTGTGCACATGTACCCTAAAACTTAAAGTATAATAATAAAAATAAATAAATAAAAAATAAGTTGGAAATTAAACTTTGCTAATGTAACACAGAGAACAACGCTGGCACCTTCACCCGCTCTGTCTAGTGCATGCTTGAGAGGTATAATATGAAAGGAATTTTAAAGGCAGTGTGACATTCTGGAACTTGGAGGCATTGACAGTGGCACTTTTTCTCCTGTCAAATTTCAACTTATAGCCACATATTGCAGTTATAACATATTGTTTAATGGATATTATATTATCTAGCATTAACTAACATTCATAAAATGAACAATTAGCTTAAAAGGATCCTACAAACAAACCACTGATCAAAAGTAATACTAGGTATATAAATACAAGTGAACAATAAAGTAGCAGTGAAAACATTTCCACTACTCCCTTCACATAGGGAAGTCAAAACAGTGATTCCAAGATCTGACTCCAAGTTGGTCAAAATAAATCAAAATTATGAATAAGACTTTGTGAGCTATGAATTTACATCTACTAATATTAGCAATGAAGCTGGCTATGATTTTTTTAAATTACCTATATGTTGTTTCCACATGAATGTGTTTTGTTTCTTAGGATATTAGTGAAGCCATCATGATTGGCAAGACTTTTTAAAACAAAGCATCACCGTGAAGCAAACCTCTACTCTTTTTTGATTACATTTAAAGACATACAATACTCAACCTGGGACAACATTGTTTTAAATTTGATGGTAAATTTTTAGAAACTGATTTTGAATTTTCTTGCATAATAGCAGAGGCAAAAAATTCATGACTTGCTCTTTCTGGTGGAGTAAAAATGGCTGAAACATTACAGGGAAAACAATCTGGCATCCAAGCATGTTGAATATACCCTGATCACCAATACTGTTTGAAGACCCATAGAAAAATCTGCCAGTATTTAAGTCCCTTAGAAAAATCTGCCAAATATTTAAGAAACAAAAGCTGATTAAAAACTAGTCAGCTTTTCACAGTTTCACTCTTAAATATGAAGAAACATCCAAGGACCACTAGATATATGAGGAAATTCTCCGATGTGAGAAAAAGAAAGAAACAAGAACTAAATCTAGAGCACATAAAGAAAGCAGAAAAAAAAGTTTTTAAAAAATTACCAATAACACTTTGAGAGAGGAGAGAAAAGATATTGTGTATTGTATCCATGAAAAAGATGAAGGGAAATAATCAGAAGATAAAAATAGTTCTTGGAAATTAAAAATAATACAGCAGAAATAATTCTGTAGAAGAGCTGGGAGCTAAAGATGATAGAGAGATAAGGAAAGTTGAACCAAAAGACAAATAGATTGAAAGCAAGAAAGATAAGACAAGCTGATAAGGCCCAGAGGTTCCATATATGAGTAAAAGGATTTCTAGAAGGAGATTGCAGAGAAAACAAAGGGAAAGAAAAAAGCAATATCGAAAGCTTAAAGAAATGTCTTTGAAATTTTGAAGAAAACAATATTTCAAACAGTCAAATTATTGCATCAAGTGTGAGAATTTTAAAAAGACATTTTCAAAAATGTAATTATTTAGAAATGTTACCTACCATGTATCTTTCTATTTTTTTGGCAAGCTACTAGAGGATATACAGTAAACAAACCAAACAAAGGCAGTAGATCAAGAAATATCTATTAGTCAGGGTGGGCTAACTGCTATAAAAAAAATCCCTAAATCTCTGTGTTTTGGCACAATAAGTTTATCATTTATGCATCAGTCCAACAGCAACTCTTGAGACCAACTCTCCTCCAAACAGTGATTCAAGGATCCATTATTTTAGGTCCCTGAGTCCCCTCCATTTGCGGGAAATTGGGAATAATATCGAGGAAATTTTTGATGGGCCTGGAAGTGGCTTGCATTACTTTTACTCATATTCCACTGGCCTAAACTCAATAACTTGGCTGCAAATAATTGCAAAGGAGCCTGGGAAATGTTATCTACCAAAGACTTAAAAAGAGCTGAGTTGGTATCCCTGTTGAGTAAGACTGGATGCTGAGAAGTGGGGCAGGGTATATCATTTTACTTACTGGTTAAACTGTGTGCATGTTGGCTTTTAAACATTATTTTGAAGAATAACTTTTTAAAAATAATAAAAGCATAAAATAAGTGGACATCTAGCAAGGCATTTAGAATCAGCAACCAATCTGTTTTAGGCATGTATGTGTGTGTGGTTTTAATTTTTTGGAGGATATACCAGTACCTAGATCTATTTGAAAATATAGATAAACAAACAAGAAGGTCAGCTAAAATTTTATTCAAAATACATACAAACAACTTTTTACTAGACACCTACAAAAAACAATGAAAATATTCATAAAATTTGGGGTGTATGATAAAGACTAAGCATTAAAATATATGAATCTAGGTAAGTTTACTTTCTTTTAATATTAGTCTATAAAACTACTATCTAAAATTACCATTTATAAATGCTTAATTGATATCTAATAATATTCTCTAGAATTTAGGGAATTAATCTAATTAATTTTGTTAAGCTGACAACAAAAAGCACAGAAAACAACTCAAGAAATGCAGACCATATAACAGATGACTGTTCTTATTACCTCTGGAAATAATAATTCCCAGGGAAGATAAAACGTTCATCATACTGTTGTAAAATGAATGAAAGATGCAATTTAAAATTCTAAATCCTGATAGCATAACTGTACAAGAGGGGAAAGTGAAATTTACAAGGAACAATTAGAAAAATTATAAATACTTTGGTTTTCTAAAATTATTTTATAATGTATTTGATCACTGAGCTATTAAGACTTTTCTCTCACAAAATTATAATAAACCCTAGGCAGTCTGAAAATCCTATCAGCAGGAAGCATGTGTCTTTTTTTTAATGCAATGTGGCTTTAAAATGAGCAATTCCCAATTATTAACCTTAAAACATTTCAACAGACAGAAATAGAGATAAATTCATTGTTTTTCTGGAGCCCCACACTAGGCATTTCCGTCATCTCCTCTTTCCTTCATGGGAAGCAATTAAATTTTGCATATAAGATTTACGGTCTTTGGAAAAGCAAAATCATTAGAACAAAACAATGTGGCCATTTGAAAAGAGTATCAGGGTAGGTAATAACAATTGAACTTTGAGTTATTAAAGCAATAAATTTTTTAATCAATTTGGAAAGTATGATGAGTATCTGAAATCTTTACTTGGTATTAGCTAATTTTTCTCTTCTAAGACAGGTATTCTCAGAGTGACCTCTCAAGATCTCTTCAAGACCTAACTCAATTATTACATTTTTCTTCAGACTTCCTGAAGAAATATAAAATACTTTTAAAAATCAGTATGATCTTTATTTTGTTTAATTCTTGTGAAAGTTACTTGTTCTATAAGTCTAAGGATTTTTATAAATACACTTCCCCTTTTTAACCTGAAGTGATATCTGCAGTTGCCAAAAGCAGTAACACTATCATTTATTGCTCTAAGTAGAGTTAAGGTTAATTCAGGATGGTATCTAGCACCTCATAGCTGATAACATCACGCTGGGACAGTCCCACCAACAAAGGAATGAAACAAGTTACTTAACAGTTTCAGCATTTGAATACCAATTCTTGAAGTTGCAGACAGGATCCAAGAAACCAAGACTGGAATATTGTTTCAAATCTCCTGGGAAACCCTTTCCACTCAGGAGAGTGTAAACACCATAAAAAAATCTTTCGGTTGTTGAACAGCTGAATGCTGATGAATGTGTACCCAAAGTGCTCACACCAGCAGATTTGCTGGATATATGGTATTGTTTGGGGGAGTCAGCACAATGTGTGCTCATGATCAACCAAAGACCCCAGACAGGCTGCAGCCCAAAGATACAGACAGGAAAAGACACAATTCAGAAACATATGACTGTGAGCCAAGATCAATTCAAAAATGCTCCCAAATATTTCCAAAGGGATGAAACCATTTATGTCGTAGTTACTTTTAACAAAACAACAAAAATTCTTACAGTACTGCCTCCATCCTTGTCATGGTCCTAATACCTCTCACCAGGTTTACTGATGCAGCCCCTGATATCTCCTTAATTTCAGTCTCTTCCATGAATTCTCATATCTCTGTGAACTATTGCCAAACTAATCTTCCTAGAGAATTGCTCTATTATTTTTCATATCCTCTATACTTCAGTGAGATGGCCCATGCGGAAGATTGCGAAAGTAGCCTTCCCTGTATCCTTTATGATGTGACTTTGCAGCTCCTCCCATTTAAGTCTCTACCGCTGGAATCCAGGCTGGCCTTGTGATATGCTTTCACTAATAGAATTTAGCAAAAAGTGATAGTGTGCCAGGTACACCTCAAGAGACTTTGGAACACTTCTGCTCTTGCTCCCTTGAATCCCTACCATGTGAGGAGAACAAGCACAGACCAGGCAATTGGAAGATGAGAGAATAAACAGAGGTGAGCTGAGGTACTTCGGCCAACAACCAACCAACAACCAGCCAACAACCAGCCAATGAGCCTAACATGTGAGTTACTCCAGACCAGCCCACCCCTGCCTGACCTTCCAGCTAACTGCATCCCAACTGATAGCAAGTCCAACTAACATCCACAGAGCCTGTCCCAGATCAGCAGAATCACCCATCCAATCTTACAATAATGGACAATGGCAGATGGCCTTTGTTTTCAGTCACTACGTTGGGAGATGATTTGTTACATAGCAAAAACAAATGAATATAGCCCCCACACACTACTTGCTTATTCTCACCTCTAAGTTTACATCTACACATTGATCTTCCTGGAATGCTTTCTTTCTCTTTCCTCCACTTCCATCTGTCCGGACACTTTAGGTTCCAAGTCAGGTCCTATCTTACAAAGCTTTCCTTGACTACTTCAATCCAAATAAATCTCTCTCTTTAGTTTAGAAAAAAAAAAGTTATCATTATCTCATATTTCACATATCCTTTATTATATTATACAATCCCATAGTTATCTCAGTCCCTAATATAGAGCTAATTCATTCTGGAGGCTTAATAAAAATTTATTGGCTGGAAGCAAATATTCTCCCAACCCCTCCAACCTGTGGCCTGGTTTAGGCATCAATATAAACTCTGTCAACTGACTGTGTCTTGGAACCGATTAACAGGTGCAAAAATTTCCCTGTGGAAGATCTTTATAAGGAGAATTGATGAGTATATAAATACAGTTTACTTAAACCATCACTTTCCTTTAAACAAAAGAACTATGTTGATAGATTTTTCATATATATATAAAGCTTAAGAGAATTCCCCCTTTGTAGGGGCTATCAGTTTTTGTTTCTACTTCTTAAGGATGTACTTCATATTCATTTTACTTGACACCATAGGAAATTGTGCATGCCTCAGGCTACATAATTCTGAGCCTATTTCTGAGATGCTTTGTCTATTATTTCAAACTGTCATAGGTCGGCTGACTCTTAAAATACATCAGGTAAAATAAGGTCACCTACTATTTTATTTGTAATATTAATTTAAATGCCATAATAAATATCCATGTTCAGTAACATCCATGATTGCCTCATGTTCTGACATTACTTTTTCCAGAATGTATGATACATACACATGACAATGCAAGAGTTACAGCACTAGAAATTTCATGCAATAAACAATTTTAGAATTATTTATAATTTTGGACTCATTCGTCACCCCCAAATAATTCCAACAATTAGGATGAAAAATTTAACTATTCAACCTATTTTAAATATATGTTTTCCCTTTACTGAATTTTCCTTAGAAATCACAAATGCATACTCATTACCAAAAAAAAAAAAAAACTGTCTCAGCTCAAAACTCTTATTCTGAGATTAATATTAAATAGTGATACTACCGAATATTATATACAGGCCACTCAAGAAGAAAATTTAAGCCAATGTGCAATTTGATTTATGCAGAAAAAGTTATCTGTTAGAAGTGGTACTGGCTAGGAGTGAAAGTAGCTATTCTTTATTTAAAGACAACCACTTACTGAGTATTTTCTATGTGATGTACATGTAAAGGGCTTTACCTTTACGATCTGATGTAATTCTCACAACAATCTCATGAAAGAGGTATTAATATCAGCTTCATTTTTGTGAATAAGGAAACTGAGGCTCTTCAAAGTAAAGTAACTTGCTCATAATCACTCAGATAATGGGTCATATTTTTAACATCACGTAACTTGCAGCTTGCTCTTGTTTTAAAAAATTCCAAATGTATTGTTAAGTGTTCCCCTTGAGATTATTCTGAAGGCAAAGCTTCTTCCTATTAACATTTCCACCCATATCACCTTTACCTAGGTAGCTGCTGCCTTCTGTGTACAACCAGCGCAGGACAGTGGGTGTGCTGCATGTGTAGTTTCCACACATGCATAACTATAACTTTAATGCTTGTGTCTTCATTTTAGAAGTCTGCTAAACTCACTAGTCTAAATTATTAGAAACTTGATGTATTAAATCTTTGGAAAAAAAATATGTTTTAAAAGAAGATAACCAAGAAAGGAAATAACCAAAAAGGAATTCTTTAGTCTGAAGGAAACAGTTACTCATGGTAGAATTTTAGACAAGTGTGAGGATGTGTAATTAGATGAGTGGTTCTCAGTCTTGGCAGCACATTAGAATCACCTGTAGCACTTAAAAAAAGCCCTTACCCAGCAATCCCTAGAGGTTCTGATTCAATTGCTTTGTGTGGTGGATACTGGGTACCAGCATGTTTGAGAAAATTTCCCAAGGTCGTGATAATTGTCAACCAGGGTAAGAAAACCACTAGTTTGGATAAGGAGCTCCTAGAACCGTTCACAAAATGCTTACATATCCAAAAAATTGGATCTGTCTTTGGTTTTCCTCAGACAGTGAATCAGTCTGTGGCACTGAGCTTGCTCTCTAAATGAAACCCAATTTTTTTCTTCACCAACATAAAAGTATGTGCACTTTAAGATTTTTTTAAAAATATTTTTCTAGGAAAGAATTAGAAGAAAACATTGGGAAAATGTTTTAACTCTGAAGTGTGGAATGGCTAATAAATTAATCCCAGAAGCAAAACAAGAATGGTGGGCAAATTGGGCTGCAAAATGACCAATTATTTCCGAACAGGAAAAAAATCATCATAAATAAAGTCAAAACAAAAACTTCCCACTGAGAAAAGCTACTTGCAACACAAGTGACAAATGGGTAATTTTCTTAAATGATAAAGAAAGGGCTTGAAAGGCCTGAGAGAATTGGGAGCAGCAACACCCCAATAGCAATATGCACACCTAGCAACCAAAGTTTAGTTTCTAAGTACCATTTGCCATTAAAAGGAACTGGGGTCCTTAGAGAAATGGCTGATTCCAGGGCTGGGGCAGAAAAAGGACCAGATGAGCCTAGAACATCTTCTTGTGCCAGGAAGTAAGAAAGTACTAAACAAATGGTGAGGACATGTGAAAAGGACATGGGAACCACCTTCAACGGGATCCCACTGTCATTTGAGTATCAAAATAAATATAGTAACATTATAATCCATTGAATGAAGTAGGAATCCAAGAGCCCGCACTGAAATAAACAGGAAGTTAGATATGGAACAAGATATTTATGTAGCTTAAAGTATCTCCCCATAAAGCATTTATTGATTTAAAAGGGGAAGAGGTAAATACAGATAAGACTGGCAGGTCTTTAACATCAGCTCATCAGACAAACCAAAATCACATTCCATCTGATAGGATACAATGAGAACCAACATCCTTTTGGTGGCATTCCTGCCAAAAATTCATACTGTGAATCTAATCATGAGGTAACAAAATGACAGCCATTCTATTAAAAAAAAAAAAAAACTAATCTGTAATCTTTAAAATTGTCAAAGTAACGAAAGTCAAGGAAAGAGAAACCCATTCCAAAGATAAGGCAACTTAAAAACAACTAATGGAAACACTTAATTCTGAACCAGATTTTTTTTTCTGTGAAGGATATCGTTGTGACAGTTGGCACATCTTGAGTGGAATCTGAGAATTAGATGGCAGTAAAATATCAATTTTGATCTCCTGATTTGCGTACTTGTATTGTGGTTATGTAGGAATATGCCCTTGGACTAAAGTATTTAGGGATTATGAGACATCAGGTCAACAATTTACTCTCTAATGGTTCTAGGAAAAAATCTTTGTACGGCATTTGCTGTTTTTCTGTAAGTAAAAGTGTTTCCTTTTTTTTTTTTTTTTATTTTTGAGATGGAGTTTTGCTCTTGTCACCCAGGCTGGAGTGCAATGGCACAATCTCAGCACACTGCAACCTCCACCTCCCAGGTTCAAGCTATTCTCCTGATTCAGCCTCCGGAGTAGCTGGGATTACAGGCATGCCCCAGCACACCCGGCTAAATTTGTATTTTTAGTAGAGACGAGGTTTCACCATGTTGGCCAGGCTGGTCTCAAACTCCCAACCTCAGGTGATCCACCCACCTCGGCCTTCCAAAGTGCTGGGATTACAGGCATGAGCCACCGCACCCAGCCTGAAAAACTGTTAATGCATTGGAATTAGGAGATATCAGTGAGGTAGAGATGTGAATATACGTATTCACAGGAAAGGGAGAATAGTAGAAATCCTCTAGATACTATACATGGCTAAACAATACAAGACCTTGCTAGCTAAGTATCAAAAGATCCTACCTTGAGGCTTCCATGACAGGTTTCACCCTGCCTTCTGACATTTAGGATTGCCACTAAAAACCATAGCAGACTGCTGGAAGCAGAGGGACTTCTTGGAGGAGAAATGACTTATTTTCCTCCTCAAAATTCAGTGGAAGAAAGAAGGAATCTGTAAAGAGAAAGATTATGTAAATAAAGCTCTGAAGTTTTGCAGCAGCTCTCTAGCAAATCTGAACATTTAACTGCAGTTAAAATATTTTTTAAAGCACAGATATTTATGAAGTTTCAACAAATACTTCACAATGCAATTTTTTTCAAAAGCAAACTCAGTTTTTTAAAATGCTACCTCTTCTCAGAGATAAGAAAGACAGTCTTCATTGAATTAGAGCTTAAAGAGACCTCTGGAGCTCAACTAACCCATATACCTCCTGCTGGATTATAACCCCATCCTTTTTGTTCTGCCCCGGTGGGTGTGGAGAACAGATGGAAGTCATCCTCTGATCCGAATGAGCTCCAGGGTCTGCAGATAGAGTGCCTAGCCCCTACGCAGCCTGCAGTCATGCCATGCCTGATTCCCATCAGATCTCCTCCAGCTGATGTCAATATTGATGTTTTGTGGTTCACAAGCTCCACGGGCCACAGGCTTTTCAGACAATGCTTACCTCCTGGCTGGCATTTTGCTAATCCTCCTGAACCGTGTAGTTTGTGGACCAAGCTAAATGGGAAAGGGTAGAAATTGGCTTTCATCATATTCTGAGGATATCTGTGGGATGCACAATGGTCATATTTCACCCCTTCCTAGAGTATAATCATCTTTCAAACAAGATTGCTTCCTAAAATCACTTGTCCAGTTTCTATTCCCAGACTTCAAATGCCCTGCAGAAAGAACAGCACTATCAGTCTCCTGTTCCTCCTTCCTTGCCCCTTCCTTCTATGTGATCTATTAACCAGCCATCGAGTGGATTGACTGAATGACGCCTTTATTTGTTTGCTTTCACCTAACATGAGATGACTGGGCCCAAAGTGGAGAGTTCCACAGGAGAGGGAAGCCATGGACAGAAATAATGCTAAAATCAGGGAAATCTGTCTCTGAGAAATCCGAGTTCACATGTTTTATACCTGAAATAAACTGCAGGAAATCAATGAATCTTCATAAAACCACAGAGTGGGAACAGACTTTATAGCCACTTGTTCCAGCTGAATCCTGTTTACCATGAATACTCATAGGAGTTCTTAAGCTATAATCCACATTTCATTTACAAAAGCTTTTTCCTTTCCTCTTTCGATCCATAGAAGAAGCAAGTTTGTGTAGTACTGCTTTGTCCCTACAAGTTGTAATGTCCTTACCTTCTGCCTAGATAAGAATAGACAAAGTCAGTATTTCTTAAGCCTCCCAACTTACCTATGAGGTAGGAACTATTATTTTCCCCATTTCCCAGATGATAAAACTGATTCTTAGAGAGGTTAAGTGGCTTATTCAGGATAAGTCGCAGAAGCTAGGAGTGGCAGAACCAGGATTTGAAACCAGACTGTCTGATTCCGACTTGTGTTAATAATCTCATTTCTGAAAAAAAAAAATTGTAGTGTTTGATGCATACAAAATAATATATGTGACATCATGTTCTGGCTATCTCTTGTATGACCAACCATTTCCAACTTTGTGGCTTAAAACAGTGATGTACTAATCTCTCTCACAGTTCTGAGGGTTTACTGGGCTCAGTTGGGCAGTTGTCTCTTGGAGTTTCTCATGCAGTTGCAGTCAGATGGTGGCTGGGGCTGAAGTCATCTGCAGACTCAACTGTGCTGGACACCCATGATGGCTTCTTCACTTATATAACTGGTGTCTCAGCTGGGAATAGCTAGCCAGACATCCCTTGTCTCCAGGCAGCCTTTCCATGTGGCTGACTTGGGCTTCCTCACATGGTGGTGTCTGGATATTTGGACTTCCTGCATGGTGGCTTGCTTTCTCAGAACATGTGTTCTGAGAGGCCCAGGAGGCAGATACAAGGCTTCTTATGACCTAGGCTTAGAAGTCACACAGTGTCACTTCTGCTGCATCCTCTTGATTAAACCCCCAGGTTCAATGTGGGAGAGGACTATACAAAAGCATGAACACTGGGAGGCACCGTGCTTTGGAGAGCCATCTTTACAGACTGGTTACCAAATATAAGTTGTGAAGCATAATCAAAACACAAACAGCCATCAATCCACCATTCAACTAGTGAAACAAAATGTTATCATCACCATTGAAGATATTATGTATTTTATCCTTAGCCAAATCCACTGACCTCTACAAGTGGTAATGCTGTCCTAAATTGTGTAGTTTTATTCCCTTGCTTTGTTGAAAAACAATGTGTGTATATAACTGTTTAATTTTGTTCACTTTAAAACCATATTTGAATGGTATCATATAGTATTGTCAACCTAAATAACAAACAGAGAGAGGCTATCTAAAAATATTTAGTTTAATCAGGAACAAATAGGGCATTGCAACGTGGGACACATGCTGTGACAAATCATACGCACATCCAGGAAGGCAAAGAAAGACAAGCGTTTTTAAAGGTAAAATGAGGAGGGTTACATAAGTTGTGAGACAATTATCCTTGGCTACAAGGATCAATAATAAGGGTAGCATCGGTCCAAGACTGGAGAGGCATTTGCTAGGCAGATGTCCTCACAAAAGTATTTTCTTTTTCTTTTTCTCTTTTTTATTTTGGCAGGGGGCGGTGTGCAAGGTTGTGGTGGTTTTATGCAATCTTATGGGTTTGGCAGAATCTTTTGTGATAGTTTCTGGCAAATATGTGTAAGCATCCCCCCACTTCATGACTGCCTAACTCCATTTTGCCAGCGTCTGACATAAGTCAGTCCATTTTGATACCAACAACTTTCACAGTATGTAGTCTTTCATTACTGCTTTTTTTTACTCTCAAAACTCTATAGTAGTCCCCACTTATCCACAGTTTTGTTTTCCGTAGTTTCAGTTACCCATGGTCAACTGTGGTCCAAAAATATTAAATAGAAAATTCCAGAAATAAACAATTCATAAGTTTAAATCACATGCCATTCTGAGTAGCATGATGAAATCTTGCACTGTCCCACTTCTTCCCAGCTGGACACAAATCATCCCTTTGTCCACCATATCCACACGTCCATGCTACCCACGTGTAAGTCACGTAGTAGTGGTCTCAGTTATCAAATCAACAGATCATAAGAAGAAGGCTAAGTACAGTAAAATAAGATATTTTGAGAGGGAAAGAAAGAGAGAGATCACATTCACATAACTTTTATTACAGTATAATAGTTATCCAATTTTATTATTAGTTGTTAATCTCTTACTGTGCCTAATTTATAAACGATAAACTTTATCATAGGTATGTATGTATAGGAAAAAAACATAGGATATATAGGTTTCAGTACATCCAAGATTTCAGGCATCCACTGGAGGTCTTGGAATATATCCCCTGAGGATAGGGGGACCCCTGTGTTTGTAAGATTCATCTATTTAATTGCATATAGATTTGATTCATTCATTTTCACTGTTGTAGCAAATTCTCTTATGGGAAAATACCACAATTTATTCTCCTATTCATCGATATTTGGGATAGTCTTTTTTTTTTGCTACTACACACATTGCTACTATGAACACTTTTCTACTGTTTCCTAAGGTACATATATTAGATTTTTTTCTCAGACACATACCCAGGAGAGGAGGCTGGGTCCTGAGTTATAAAGAAAATCATCTTTTAATCAGTCTCCCTGTCTCCAGGATCACATCCCTCAAGTCTGTTCTCTACGCTCTTTGCAGAGTGATCTTTCTAAAATACAAATCTGGTGTTACTCCCTTACGCCAGGGTCTTCAGTGGTTCCTCACTGACTATACCAGTGGCTCTCAAACTTTTGGGTACACTAGAAGCACCTGAGGGGCTTGTCAAATACATGTGTCCTGATCCTGCCTCTGGAGATTCGGATGCTGTCACTCAAGGGCAGACGCTTGTGTTTTAATAAACTCCTCCAAGTAATTCGATTGCATACTAAAATTTGAGTATTACTGGATACATCATTAATGTCCAAATTCTTACTGTAATGCAAAAGACACTGCACAATTTGGTCCCTGCCTATGACTCCAGCCTTATGTTCGGCCCACCTTGTCAAGCACCCTCGAATCTAGCAAAGCCAAAGGGCTTGAAATTCCTGGAATGCCTATTTCTGTCTCTAGCCCCATCCCATCTATTTCTTACTGTGGCACGTGTAGCTCTTTATTATTATTTTTTTACTGCCAGTCTTTCTCAGGGGAAAGTTGAAGAACTTTTCCTATTGTCATTTTAGCTTCAACATCTTGCATAGTACCTAGGTGCTTAAGGAATATTTATCAAATTCATTGATTTTTCCCAAGGTCACAAAACCAGTTAATGATGCATCTGGGATGAGAACCTACAGTTCCTTTTTAGTCCAGTGACCTTTCCACACCATGCAGTCATAATAACCAAATATCGCATTACTATAGTGCTCCTAATATCTGGACTAAAAGAAGAATGACCCTTCATTCCCCTTAGGAAAGGAGTACAAAATCGGTCCTGAAGGATTACACTGAAAAGAATATCCTCCTTTCAGAAGTACAGGTTGAGCATTTCTAGTCAGAAACCTCAAATCAAAAATGCTTCAAAGCTGAGCACAGTGGCTCACACCTGTAATCCCAGTACTATGCGAGGCCAAGGTTGGCTGATCACCTGAGGTCAGGAGTTCGAGACCAGCCTGGCCGACAAGGTGAAACCCCGTCTCTACTAATAATACAAAAATTAGCCGGGTGTGGTGGTGCATACCTGTAATCCCAACTACTTGGGAGGCTGATGCAGGAGAATCGCTTGAACCTGGGAGGTGGAGGTTGCAATGAGCCAAGATCATGCCATGGCACTCCAGCCTGGGTGACAAGAGTGAAACTCCATCTCAAAAAAAAAAAGAAAAAAAATGGTTCAAAATAGGAAACTTGTGGAGTACCGACATCATGCCCCAAGTGGAAAATTCCCCAACTGACCTCGTATGTCAGGTTGCAGTCAAAACTTTCTTACACAAAATTATTTTAAAATATTGCATAAAATTAGTTTCAGGCTGCGTGTATAAAGCGTGTATGAAATATAAATGAATTTCATGTTTAGACTTAGGTCCCATTCCTAAGATATCTCATTGTGTATACGCAAATATTCCAAAACTAAAAAAAATTCTAAATTCAATAATACTTCTGATCCTATCATTTCAGAAATACTCTACCAGTACATGTAAATCCTTGAACCTCAATTTCTTCCCAACTGGACTAAATTATGGTTCTCCAAATAATACAAAGTTTGTTTTTGTTCACTTTAGTAAATAGCTTTGAAAATCTACCTTTTTTTTTAATACTTTAAGTTCTAGGGTACATGTGCACAATGTGCAGGTTTGTTACATATGTATGGATGTGCCATGTTGGTGTGCTGCACCCATTAACTCGTCATTTACATTAGGTATATCTGCTAATGCTATCCCTCCCCGCTCCTCCCACCCACGACAAGCCCCGGTGTGTGATGTTCCCCTTCCTGTGTCCAAGTGTTCTCATTGTTCAATTCCCGCCTATGAGTGAGAACGTGCCTACCATTGTTTTTAAAGGTTGCCTTTGGAAAAGTCATAGAGGTTTGTTTATTTTGTCACCCATCTTGTTTCTATTTGTTTTAAATTTATTTACCTTCAATTACTTTATTAATCTTTTCTGCACTATTTATAACTGATTCCATTGTTTTAATAAACTCAGGCAAACCATGTGTAACCTATTCAAAACTATCCATATTTTATTATGCATTTCTGGGAGGCCTTTTTTGGAGATTTCCCATAGATCAGAATATGAATGGAATTGTTATTGTTGTGTCGTTGGACTTGGCTTCTAGCTTTAGAATTCCTTCTAAATGTTTTTTCAATCAGACTTCTAGGGTCTTCTATAGTTTAATGTTCTCATGCTTCCAAATTTCTGCTCTTTTAGAAAAGCAATGTTGTATGCAACTTCAAATAAAATATAAACAACAAAAAGATTTATCTGAAAACTCATTTAAGGTGATTATTGGGTAAATGAAGTTAATCTCATGTTGAAATAAGCCAAGATATTTCCATTTAGCAACATATCCTATTTTACCGATATGAATTATTGCCCTGACAGTGAGCCACAGCAGACAACTTGAGACAAGAATAATTAATTAAAAGATACATTTCTTGAAGCAGATGACATTGACAGAGTAAGAAATAAGCAAAGCAGGAAGGCAAAACAGAATTTACAATCTACAGATGAGGCACTAAAAAAGCTCAGCCCTTTCAAGTGGTATAGGTATTTTCTTCCGATGAACAAAAATGCAGAAGGCAATTCAACCCTTTAGAGGTCTGTTTTTCATCAGCTTTGATCTGAAAATTGAGACAAGTGTTTGGAGTACTGTCACTGATAAGGAGGAAAGTGAGGGCTGGAAGCATAGTCGAACAGAATGTGGTTACTCACACCCTGAGCGATTAAACACTCACTGCATTTTTTAAGGCAAATTCCACAAGTCACACAGTTTCAGAAATCATTACAGGGAAAAAGAACACCACACTCAGTACTTTCATAAGAGCAAAAGCTGTCATGACCACAGAATACCAAAGCATAAGCTGTGCACATATTCCCAGTTTCATCTTTAGTTTCTCTTATTTGTTTCTAGACACTGTTTTCTCTGCCACCGACAGTGTTTACAGTCTCTGACTGTCACATAATGAAACAGAAGCAGAAAGCCTTTATTATGGTGTTCATACTTTGGAAGACACCAACATAGCTAGGTGCCAGACTTGCTTTTGTTTTATTTTATTTTTATTCTCTCTCCTGGAGAAGTTTATTTCCTTGCTCTGAGGATCTGAAGAAATTTCAGGTCAGCAGATTGTTAGTAATTAAAAGGTCAAATTAATAAATCCAGTTGCATGGTTGAGACACAACCCAATGGGACCTAAATTATTATAGACATTTGCTCCTAGAAGAGGAAGAGCCATTCCATAAGCCCATCCATCATTGTAATTCTAAGACTTTTTGGTCCGGGCAAGAGTGAAACTTCTCCTACTGGCCTGGATTGAGCATGTGGAAAATCTGACCATTTTATTCAGTGCCTCTAAGGCTGGGGCAAGATCTCATCAGCAGCTAAAAAACAGAAACTTCTGACTTAACCATAGTGCTTTAGTTTCCTCCTTATTAGCAGAATGCGTGAAATCTCTTTAGAGTTGCTCTCTTTCTGTATCTGTGCTAAATGACTGTGCATGTGTGACAAAGTATAGTTAATGAAATCATTTAAACATTACTCAGCACCCACTATGTGGCAGATACTGCAAGGCACTGGAGACACAAAGAAGAATGAAACATAATTATCCCAGGCCTCAAGCAGTCATGGTCTAGTGGGGGGAGACAGATCTGCAAACATCTAATTACTATATAATGACATAATGTGGAAAATGCTGTAATAAGAAGTACACAGGGAGCTGTAGGAGCATAGAGGAGGGATGAACTCATTCCACAGGGTTTCCAGGAAAAGGGAGACTGGGACCATGTGACAAAGATAATGATATATTTATCTGCTGAGCCAGAGTTCTCCAGGTAGAGGAGTAGAAAGGCACTCCCAAAAGAGGATCTAGCAAAGACCAAAGCTAGTTGAATGTTTGAAAATATGTTTAGGAAACAACTGATTTGGAAAGTTTGTTATCAAGGGACCTCATTCAACAGGGGAAACCTTGGAGAAAAGAAATAATCCCCTTTCTACCGGCACACAGAGGAGAGTAGATGAAATAAACATTAGAGTTGCTTTGAAAAGGAAAAGAAGTAGAGATGGTTCAAAGAAGCAACAGACAGTGTGATGGGGAGGGAGGAGGGTAGGATAAGGTAAAGCCAGTCCCAGATGGATGCCCTCATGTTTCCACATTGTTTCTAAGTCCATACCTTTATCAGGTGCATTTTATTCCATTTTTACACACGTTCCCCTAGCCACCTGGTCTCTGAAGCAGCACTGAACCCCTTAAGTGACAGGGTTCAAAGATGAAACCGGATTCGGCCATGCCCCAGGGATGGTGTTATCTAAATCCCAAGAGAGACATAGACTAAAGGTCCCCTCAAAGAACAAAAATAAAAGGGAGACAAAGATTTCATCAGCCAAATTTGGGATCTTGAGGAGGAGAAAGGCTCTCTGGACAATTGAACTCCTGTCAGAACTGGGGAACAAAGCAGAAGCTTGTTACCTAAAAGACCAGGAACGTTCAGCCAGAAACTAGTGATACGGATTAATTTCCAGGATATATGTTTTTTGTTTTTTGGGTTTTTTTGAGACAGAGTTTCGCTTTTGTTGCCCAGGCTGGAGTACAATGGTGCAATCTCGGCTCACCGCAACCTCTGCCTCCCAGGTTCACGTGATTCTCCTGCCTCAGCCTCCTGAGTAGCTGGGATTACAGGCATGTGCCACCATGCCGGCTAATTTTGTATTTTTAGTAGAGACGGGGTTTCTCCATGTTGGTCAGGCTGGTCTTGAACTCCTGACCTCAAGTGATCCGCCCACCTTGGCCTCCCAAAGTGCTGGGATTACAGGCATGAGCCACCGCGCCCAGCCCCAGGATATACTTTTAAGTGAAAAAGCCAAATGTAATCCTAGGATGTTATGTACATCCTAATGTGTATAACATAGTATTAAAAAGTACACACATAAGGCCAGGTGTGGTGGCTCATGCCTGTAACCCCAGCACTTTGGGAAGCTGAGGTGGGTGTATTTCTTGAGCCTGGGAGTTCGAGACTAGCCTGGCAACATGGTGAAACCCTGTCTCTACAAAAAATACAAAAATTACCAGGGTGTGATGGCATGAGCCTATGGTCCCAGCTACTCAGGAAGTTGAGGTGGGAGGATCACCTGAGTCTAGGAGGTCGAGGCTGCAGTGAGTCGTGATCATGCCACTGTACTCCAGCCTGGGAAAAAGAGTGAGAATCTCTAAAAAAAAAAAAAAAAAAAGGAAGAAGAAAGAACGAAAAGAAAAAAAAGAAAAAAGGGAAAAGAAAATATACATGTATCTTCTTATTTGTGCAAATAGAAACATAATAAGAATAAACTTGAACTAATGAGATTGGTTACCCAAAGGAGATGGGTAGGGACTCAATAGAAAGAATGGGAGAGCAGGAACAAAGGAGAAGGGCTAAAGGGAGGTGACATTTCTCTGATTATACCTTTAGATATATATGTATATGTATATATATATATGTATATGTATATGTGTGTATATATATGTATGTATATGTATATATATAGATACATATGTACACACACACACACATATGCTTTGACTTTTGGTATCATGATCACATTAGTCATACTGAATAAATAGTCAAAATGAATTAGGAAGTAGAGAACATCGAAAATGAAATACAGTAACAAATTTGAAAAACAATGTTTTGACTATATTTTGTAAGGCTAAAGACAAAAAAAAACTGTTCACAAATATTGTTAGTTACTGAATTTGTTTTTCACTGGAGTATGAGTTAGCAATTCAGTAACTACTTTGTGTATGTTCTAGGACTGCTCAAATAAATATATTGGGGGTAATGAGAGTCTGGTTCCTCACTATTGGAGACAGAGATGGGACAGGCTTGAATGAACACTGAGGTGGTGGTTTGGAATCTGAGGTATCAATGTGAACTTGTGTTTTTGATATATTTGAGATAGCTAGAGATAGAAAAAGATGTAGATGGATGTATGTGGAACTTATGTATGTGTATACATGTATATATTTCTCATCTGTTTTCTCTGTGAGCACCTAGAAACAACATCACCTTGGCAAATGAGCCCCACCAGCACTCAGATCTCATTTTCATTTTAAAACCATTCTCTAATAAAAGGAACCAGTGCTCCTTGGCTGATTCCAGAGTTGAGGAAAAAAAAATACAAGGGGAGCCTGAAATATCTTGTGATGCCAGAAAGTAAGGAAATGATAAAAAATTGATGAGTCATGTGAAAAGGACACCAGAGTCCACTTGAGGGAACTCCCCATGGTCAAAGCTGGGAAAGGCAACAAAATAAATGAGACTAATAGATTATAACCTACTGATTACAATAAGTATTCATGAGTCCACATTGATAGAAAGACATACTGTTTTCATGTGGACCTTTATTTTCTACAATATCCTCATCTATAATAACGGAATTAGTAATGTTTATCTTGCAATATTGTTGTGAGGATTCATTTGGGAGAGGGTTTGAAAGAACTATTTAAAACACATAAAAAGTGCCTAGAAATGTTAATTGACTTCCCTGCCTTGTTCTCTTAGTACACAGTCATTTTCCTGGAAAACCAGACTATCACAATTTTGAAGCTGAATCCCTGGTAGAGTTTTGATTTAGTTTTAGAAATATGGTGTTAATCACTTTTTAGCAGCCTCCTTCAAAATGAAACCTTCTACCCATTGACTTGTCAGTAGTATTTAACCTAGAATAGTCATTAGGAATTCATCATCATTTCCCTATGCATTCTGCCTTCAGCTTCTTCCCTCCAGGTAAATTGCAGACGTGATGCTCAGAATTAAACTGTCAGGATGCTGCCATTCTGCTGCATGCTCCGGACAGCTGGCCGTTAGGGAGCACTGCAGGCTTGGAAGAGGTGACTTGTCTCCCTGTGTACAGCCCTCTGGGTAGAGCAGCTGTCATCTAAATACAGATGCTGATCTCCAAAAGAAGTTCCAGTTTGGTTACAGAGGTAATTTCAGCATTTTTCCTTTCTCTCAATATTTGAGTGGTCCATTTTTAGGATTGTTTAGAAGAGCTTCAATGGACCTATTTTCCTACCTATTTTCTATGGGTATTGTCTTCCCCTTCAGGTAATATGATCCTTGAAGGCAGAGAATGTTTCTACTTTTCTTTGCTAATCCCTCAGCATCCAATTTAATAATCTGCACACTAGACTTGATGCTATCAATCCAGTTATGGGTGCAAAGTAATCTTAGGAAGCAGATACAAATCCAATCCTCCTTCTGTTAGAGGGAGATAATAATACCTGCTTTTTACCTATCATACAAAGATGTATGTTCAAATCATTTTTTTTTAAGTTGGAAAAACATACTATGATTTGTGTGTAAGTGCTTTAGACTCTCTGGCATAAAGACAGTTAATTTGTTGATAACACTATGATGTTACTTATTCAACAAATATTTATCAAGCATTCATGTTAGCCCTGGTATTGTGTTAAATAGTGAGGATAAATAAAACTCAGGGCAAATAAAAGACTGTAACATCTGTCCTCAGTGAGTTTATAGTCAAATAATACGTGACAGATGTATAAATATGTTCAGCAAAGTGCCATAGTGTATGTGCTATGACAGCCATCTGTACAAGGCACATTGAGGCACAAGGAAGGTCAAGACATTCTACTGAAATTATTGAGAAAGGCTTCACAGAGAAGCTATCAATGTGAGCTAAGTTGGAAAGACAACCTAGCAACAGCATGAAGAACAGGTAAAAAGGAGAACTGACTGTAAGCAAGGAAACCAGTTATGAGACAATTCCAAGAGTCCAGGCTGGAGACAATGAGTCCTGCAGCAGCGACAATGGCAGCAGCCAGCACTCTGCAGGTCTTGTATGAAGAGCTCAGTGAATATTTGTTGAATATGTGAGGAATATCCAAGGAAACTGAGACGATAAATGTTGAAGGAGTAGGTATGACAGGAATTAATCATACAGTCATTTAACAAATGTATGTTTTGTCTCTACTAAAGATTGAACACTGTTCTAGGGGATGAAAATATAGTTAGTAAGCTAGACCCTGGTTTCAGGGGATGCACATTTTAATAGACAAGAAAAATGAACAAACAAAATAAGTCAGGTGTGTATAAGTGCTAAGAAGGAAAATGAAGCTGGATAGGAAGATAAGAGAACAGTAGGGGAGTAGGTTACTAATTTTATGTGGGGTGGTTAGGAAAGGGCTCAATGACAGATATTTCTATCAGTAGACAGATGAGCAAAGGAAGGTGGGGAGCTGTGTATCTGGAGGAAGAAAGGTCCAGGGAGAAGCAGGAAGGCTAGCATTTCTGGCACAGAGGAAGCAGGAATAAGAGAAGCAGAAGGTGAGGGCAGAGAAGAGGAATACACTGTGATAATGTGGGATGTCATTCCAGGATCACAGGTTGTCCCACAAGTCCTGTGTGCAAACCGTAAGTGAAATTCTGAGGGCTTCTGTTGGCAGCTCCACGGATGCTGGAGGTGGTGTCTTTAGGAGTACTCAGGTCTCTAGCCTTTGAGGAAAAGGAATACTCTAGAGTGGCTTCATGCTTCCTTGTTGAATTCCTGGTGCCATTCAACGAGATAAATAGTAGAGGTAAAGCCAGCCAGAGCGGTGGTGAATGAGCTACGTAATGAGTGTGTTAAGATATGTTGAGGTTGAGGTGTCTATGAGTGGCCAAGAGGGGCTGTCTAGTAGGCTGCCTATATAAAAATCTGTATCCAGGAGAGACTTCAGAGCTGGAAATAAGTGTTGTGTGCTTGTTTTTGATAGTTCTCTCATGGGAGTTGGTGTGGTCGTTGAAGGAGGGGTGAGGGAAGCAGAGGATGATGCTAGCACCTGACGATTGCCAACGTTTTAAGAGAGGGCAGAAATAAATGAGATTCCAAGTAAGACTGAGAAGGAATGTTTGGAGGTAGAAGAAGGAATAATAAAAAGTGATATCATAGAAGTCAAAAAGAAGAGATTTCTCAAAAAGACTGGAGTGGCCAGGTGCGGTGGTTCATGCCTGCAATCTCTGCACTTTGGGAGGCCACGGTGGGCGGATCACTAGAGGCCAGGAATTCAAGACCAGCCTGGCCAACATGGTGAAACCCATCTCTAATAAAAAATACAAAAATTAGCTGGGCATGGTGTCGTATGCCTGTAATCCCAGTTACTCAGGAGGCTGAGGCAAGAGAATTGCTTGAACTCAGGAGGCGGAGGTTGCAGTGGGCCGAGATCGTGCCACCACACCCCAGCCTAGGTGACAGAGCAAGACCCTGTATACCTCCCCCACACAAAAGACAGGAATAATGAACATTGTGCATTGAAGAAATGCCAAACGGGAGGTAAAAACATAAAGACACTGAGCACAGGTTACTTTTTCAAGGAACTTTGGTATAAAGGAAAATGTGTGGGATGTTAGCAGGAGAAAAATCAAAGGAATTGAAATGAGGCAGTTCTTCCTTTTGTTTTTGTTTCAAAGGTGGTTGGAACTTTAGCAAGTTTGTAGGCTTTGGGAAATGAATGCCTATACAGAGCTAGAAGCTGAAAATTTAGGAGAGAAAAGAAAGAGCTAATTGAGCAAACTCGCGGGAGACAAATGAAAATGGGAAGAAAGGCATTCCACTTGGAAGCCTGGTTCACTAGTGGGAACAGCACCCTTATCCTAAAGTCTAATCCTGTCTTTATTTCAGATTTTGATATTCTATGAATCATGGGTTTTTTGCATTAAGTTTAATTTTTTAAATATATTAAATTAAATACTATTTATCTTTATCACAGAGTTTTTTGGTCCTCTGAAATTTTACAGCAGAACTCTTACACACACACATACACACACACACACAGACACACACACGCACACATATATATATCCCTTACTTACCAATGAAAATGTTATTAGGATTAATTATTCAGGAATAAGGTTAATAATTAGACAAACACTAAGGACTGGGGATGCAGGACATAGGTGGAGGTGAATATTCTCTGGGGCTCAGGGCCTGGACTCCCAGGGAGCAGCAATACTGTGACTTCCCTGGTGAAGGAAACGAAACAGAAAGGCACCACACAAGGGATCCCCTCTACGGATGGGCCTGGCTTTGAATGTGAGCACATTGACAACAGCCATTAGATGTTCACTAAATCATTCTTCTGTGACCTGATCCCAGGATCTTCAGTAAAGCTTTCTATCAGGGACAAACTACTGCCCAGAAAACATATAGCAACTAATGAACTCATATTATTACCAAATTATGAACCCATGCAGTGCATTTCCTTATTTTAGTACATTCTTTTCACAAAGCACAATTTATGTCCCTCCCCTTGTGATAGCTTTTTCTCCATCTCTGACTGATATATTCATGCAATAGATTTATGAGTTTCATATATTTACTTATTTTCTAACAGCATAAAATTCTACCCACATAGTTGATTGGCATCATTTTTATTTCTTGTTGAAACCCAATTTAATTCTTTATTGCTGCTGATTTACAATTTTCACTGGTGATAAAGAGAGAATGAGGGAATTCAGTTGTGAGTATCAAGGCTCACAACATTATAAAAATAGCTAGTTGATGGCAAAATGTCTCACTAGCCAGTCATGTAAACATAAGTAATTGTTTTGTCAAGTATTGGCAAAGGAATTGACATCTATTTATACTCTCGTTGTCAATGGTGTGATGGTAAACATTTAACAACTAGTTCTCTTGAAATAAAAGCCCTATTTTTTTATGTTTGCCAATTTCCATGGTGTAAATGCTCATAGTTGATTTCAAGCTACCCACCTGACATCGCTGAATGTGGAGTGGAAAAGAGTTGCACACTTTTACATGATATTTCTACCATATAGATAAAATGAACATAAATATTGTGTATAGATTGTTGTAAAATGTAGTAAAATCACCAAGATGTGAAGAGTTTGGATTATTTGTTACCTTTTTTTAAAAGAAATTTATTTAATTCTAAGGTTATACAATTTAATTTTTAATAGTGGGATGTATTAGTTTGGTGCAAAAGTAATTGCAGTTTTTGCCATGACTTTTGATTACTTTTGCACCAACCTAATAAAATAAAATTCCTAAAAATATAACAGTCAGCTCTAATGAGGCTGTATTGTCCAGCTTCAGCATACCACTGTTCCTTCTAACTTTAATGAAGAGAGTTAGTTATGAGGAGACAGATAGGAAGCACATAACTTCTTATTTACTATAATAGCAGCAGCTCTCAGAGATGGTGGCTGCCTGCTTTGAAGGAACAACAGAGAAACTGAAAACACAGTCAAAGAAGCTTTCCATGCAAAGGTACAACATTGAAATATATAATCATGATTATCACATACTATGAACAATTCATAACGCTTTGACACATCTAGCTTTGCGCTACGCAAGTAGGTCCTTACTATTGAATCTGCCCAACGTAGCTATTCTGCCAGGTAGCTTTGTTTAGGATATGGAAATGTTTTTCCCTTGTAGATTTATAAAAACCAAGGATCCCACTCTAGAACTGGAAAATGGGGGCTCATCCTAAAGATGGTTAGTCTTCTCAAATATAATGCAGGGAACTGTTGTCTGTAGAATAGTGCCTCTGGGATCAAAGTTCCCTTTAGCAAAGTAAGGTTTGGCATGCTTGCTTGTGTTGGAAGAAAAATTCTTTTCTCTCCAGTCTTATGTCAAAGTCTAAGCAACTTAGGAGTATATCTTTGTGATGCAGGATTTTTGTCTGCCACTTTGCCAGTTGGGGCCCTCCATGGCCAGCGATGCCCCCACCTAGGCCTCACTTGGCCCCAGGCTGGCTGCAGGAGGCACTTCATCCACTCGGCCCACCAGGCTGCGCCTGGCTCGTGCACCAGCTCAGCCCACAGCTGGGCTGGGTGTGCCCCAGCCTGCCTGTGTTACAGCTTGTACCCACATTTGCTGGTTCCTGAGTTCTTGTCCCATGTCCAAGAATGAGGTTATACTCACAATAGAAGGGTAAGGAGGACGGAGAAGAATTTTATTGAGCGATTGAACAGTTCTCAATAGAGAGGGGAGGCAAGGGTGGTCCCCCGCCCAAAGTTGGGTGGTGTCTCTCTCAGTGTGTCTAGGTCCGGGGCTTTTATGGGCTCAGAATGGGAGAGTACATGCTGATTGGCTTGTGAGTATGCAAAAGAGGCTAAAACAAATCACCACAAAAGGTGGGCATGACAGTGTAAAAAACCAATTAGGGAAGGGTAGGTATATGTTAAATAGGTGAAGGGTGGAGATCAATCAGGGGAAAGTGTGCCAAACAGGAAGAGATGTTCTTAATCCAATCCATGGATTTTTCCGAGATTGTGGCTTGATTTTCAGGATTTAAACTGTCTTTGGTTTCAAAGTGGGGTTTCACCAGCAACCTGCCTGTATCTGCCTAGGCATTTGTCTGCCTCCTGCCACTATCATTTGTACTGTCTCGACTGGGAATGTGGGTCCAGAATATGACCCATTTAGGTTTTCTTCCAAATGGGTCATATTCTGAACCCACATTCCCAGTGTTTGGATCAGTTACCCAGTTTGAAAGTCCTGGGCTTACAACATGTACAACTTTGAATTATTGGGAGGATATCCATTCAGGAGAGAGGCAAGAGAGCCAATTGCTAATGTGCTGCTCCAGAGCCCCAGCCCTTCCAACCTGCAGGAGATGGGGAATGCAGACTGGGAAATTCAGTCTAGAACCTGTGTAGCCATTTCTATTTCTGGTCACAAAGCCTAATCCTGGAATTCAACTTTTTCATGACTACAGTTACTATATGTTATTTTCTACATATGTTACTTAACAAATTTCTATTCTTTGAGCAACTTACATTTTTTGAGGAACTTACATCCTCTATTCTGGCTAGGAAACCTGTCAGTGAAAGTATTTTTGGTATAGGGCAATGATTTTCCAATGATTTTCCTGATAGGAGATACTTCCTGAGCAGTTCCACTATGCTGTTGGGTTCTGAGTCAGATTTTATTTGATAAGAGATTCCTCAGCTCAAAACGCAAGTTTGAAAACCACTAGGAAAAAAGAGACTGTACCTGTGCTATATGACAAAAGTAAGAAAGAATTAATCTGGAAGCATTTGAAAGTCACTGTTGGAATTTAGACTACGATACAAGTCAGTTTAAAGTTAAAAAAGATGTGAAAAAGGGCCCTCAATATTAAATTGAAGATTGTTGTCCTGATATCATTCTTATTCAAGGACTATTGATTTTTTAAAAATCAAGCTGTTTAAAAATGTTGCGCTAAGGATGAAACCATATTCAATGACAAATGAACTGCATAAACTGTCTTCACAGGGCCTTATCAAAGCCTTTCACATGGTGCTTGGATGGTTGGTTTTGATGGGCAGAATCTGAGTCATGTACCCTTATCTAGCTTCATTATGATGGATATGGACTTGGTTCCCAGAGACTCTCACTAGTTCCACAAAAGGAGATTTTTTAAAATGCAGCCTGATAAATTCTCCATTCAATGAGAGATGGGGAATGTTTTATTCTACTGTATTGCAACTTAAAGACACCTGACCTGAGTTTCTGCAGGAAGTTGTATTTATAGGGAGAATATTTGGGTTACAATCCTCAATGTTGCTCTCCTCCCTTCACTTTCACTTTCTCCAAACCAGGTTTAAGTATTCCCTGCCCCATCCACCCCCCTCCCACCCACCCCCTTCACTTAATAATCCAGGAGAACTTAGAATGAGAGACTATGATTGGAATAGAAGGAATTGAGAGCTTTGCTAAACATCTGGAAAAGCATTTTGGAGGAGTATCAATTTGCTTCATCACTATAGTAGCTCAGTTCAACTCCCCTAAGAAAAAAATAAGACTAATCTTAGATCTGAACCCCCGCAGTGCTAGATTTGCTATGACAGATTCTCTCCAGTTTATGCAGTTGTTCTTTTCAGTTTTTGTCATAACTTAAAAGTAGGAAAAGATTTAATATGTAGGTCAGCAAAAGAAGAACCCTGCCATTGGGGTCAACAACATTAAACTCTGAATTTACTAGCAAGGGTATTTACTACAGGCTGCTATTATGCTAAGAGTACCTGATCTATTTCTGTATGAGTACCATGCACTAGTTGATTGTGCCACTGAAGCTCCATACCTGATCTATCTCTTATAACAACTCTGAGAAAGAAAACATTACTCCTACTTCACTGATTAGAATATTGAGGCTTAGGCCAGGCATGGGGAGGTTCATGCCTGTAATCCCAGCACTTTGGGAGGCTGAGACAGGCGATCACCTGAGGTCGGGAGTTGGAGACCAGCCTAACCAACATGGAGAAATGCCATCTCTACTAAAAATACAAAATTAGCCAAGCATGGTGGCACATGCCTGTAATCCCAACTACTCAGGAGGCTGAGGCAGGAGAATCGCTGGAACCTAGGAGGTGGAGGTTGCGGTGAGCCAAGATTGCAGCATTGCACCCCATCCTGGGCAACAAGAGCGAAACTCTGTCTCAAACAAGAAAAAAAAAAAAAGAAGAAAGAAAGAAAGAAAGAAAGAAAGAAAGAAAGAAAGAAAGAAAGAAAGAAAGTAAGTTGAGGCTTAGAGGCTTTAGGTGACTTACTCAAGGTCATTCAGCTAGAAAATGGTAGAAAAAGGATACAAATCCAAGCAGCCAGATCCCAGGGTCTGAGCGCTTAACTGCATCCTGTACTATGGTACAGTCAAGGATGCAGGGCTGTGATTCTAACACATGGCAATGTGACATGATGCATCAAAACACTTTGGGAGGCAATTCATCTATGCACTAGGCTACTTTTTGTTTTCACATAAAATGCAAATTTTCTACATTTCTAAAACTTTACTGTGTTCCTTATATAATAATTTGTATAAGGTCAAATTTGCATAAGTCAAGTGTTGAGTAACGTGGTGAGCATCTGTACATCATTATACTGTAACTAAATAGAACAGGAAAGGAGAAAGGTAGGTAGGATTAGGTTTGGTGTTTTTGTTGTTGTTGTTATTGTTGTTGTTTTGAAGGGAGAGAAAGGATCACAAAGAATAAAGAAGTGGAGGTGGGGAGGAAAAAAACAGCAATTGGAGGACAGAAGTCAGCTTTTACTTGATAATAAGAATGAATACGCTAGCTCTGATCACACGTGCTTCTTTCTCTCACTCTCTCCCTTTCTCTTTTCTTCCTTCCTTTCTTCCTTGGTGGTTTTGTTATTAAACTCTGTCAGATTCTCAGGATCATAAACATGCCTAGGGCATCTCAGGTAATAGGAGTTATTTGTAAGGTACGTTAAAAATAAGGAAGGAAGGTAGGTAAGGTAAACGCACACACACACACACACACACACACACACACACACACACACAGAAAAACATCCAGGAGTTAAACAAAACAACCAGGCCTTCAGGATAATAGCCCTTTGCTCACCAAGTCACACCTCAAGGAGAACTGGAACACCCTTCAGCTACCACATGGTTGTGTCTCATTATTTCACCCTCTTCATCCACAGGCTTCCAGTGTTTCTCTCTGTCTTGGCTTCTACTTTTCTTGACACCGCAGATTCTCCTGACTCTCTGTTCACCTCATACCTTTTTCTCACTCTAGACTTCTGCTGACCCATAGCTTTGCCTTTCTTCTGTTTATATCACAGCTTTTGCCGAGCCATCCAAGAAAGTTCTGTGTATTAATTCTTTCACTCAAAGAATATTTAGCTTGGATGAGATGTCTCTCACACATATATTCTGGACACCCATTTTTGTCCCTGTATTGAAGACCTTTTAAAAGCTCTGATCAGTTCGCAAGAAATTCCCTTAACTGCCCCCCTGTTACAGGTAGTTAAGCATGAGCAGGGCAGGAGAGGGCTCCCTCCCCTCTACCAGGAATGTTGAGTGATGATGGTTTGGCAGTTATCACATAGCCTATCTAAAAGTGATAAATTGGCAGCCAGTGCCAGGGAGAGGCCATTTCCTGATGGTCTACACCTGTCGCACCAAAGTGTTGACTGAATGCAGATGTGAGAAAAAGCAACTTCCTGGGCATGCACATTATGAGACAAAATGATGGAGCATGACTTTCCTGTGGCACTCCATCAGAAAAGGGAAGAAAGCCTCAGATGGCTATGCATACAACTTCCTAAACACACTAGGAGTGTTCACTTCCCAAAGGTAAGGAGGACACTGTGCATGCGGGCAGCCCACCCTAAGGGAAGAAATCATGGGAAAGGGATGCAAGACCCCAGAAGTGGGCCAGCCTTCTAGGATCAAGGTTAAATGCCGCATTTGTCCTTCAAGTTGCTTGCTTGGGTCTCTTCCAAGTGTACTTTCCTTTCTTTCCTATTCTAAAGGCTTTTAAAATAAACTTCCACTCCTGCTCTGAACCGTGCCTTGGTCTGTTTTTCTGCCTTATGCCCCTCAGTGGAATTCTTTCTTCTGAGGAAGCAAGAACTGAGGTTGCTGTAAACCCGTACGGATTCGCCGCTGGTAACTCAGATACATTCCACTGGTAACACCCCAGCCCACCCCAACATAAATGTGGATCCAACAGTCATTTTGTACATAATCCCACCCTTCTATCTGCCCCTCTTGTCCCAAGATAAGCCAAGCAGAATTCTTTCCTGGTCATCTGAAATTTAACGAAGAGAATGCATCAATCTCTCCAGGTGGCCAAGTCTTTAGCTTGTGTGACTTGGTTGTCCCTGCTCCCGGCACTGTCTTGTTTTGTTGCAACCCAGACAACTCAGTTCTTTTGTTAGTTTCTAGTAAAATATCTATCATCCCCAGTATCTTATCATTTTAATAGTCTTTACTATAAATGGAATGGAGAGGGGAGAGTTCATTCAGTCCCTCCCCTCTCCCTCTCCTTCCTAACTCTGTCTCTCTCCTGGGCCACACTAATTCTCCTCCTTGTTTTGTGCATAGCAATTTACAGCAATCGTCTTTTCAGACATGAGCATGCCCTGAGGGCTCACCCACTAAGCCAATCAGCTGATCGAAGAGCTTATTGAAGCATTACTTTCAAGAGTAGATATTCCTCCTTAGGGGAATTCTGGTCAATATAATTGTCTTCTCTGGACAGGTCTGTACTTAAAAGCTGTGACCAGTTTTACAACAGCACTTGGACTGGGGAGCAAATAAGACAGTTTTGGGGTAAAGAAAAGGAGAAGCAGAGAGGAGAGTCAGAAAGAACATTTCCTAGGGAGACAATGACTCTCCAATTCCCAGTCCCTGTCCTCCCAAAAGTCAGGCTGCGTTCCCCCTCTTGTGTTCTGTGAGACACCCCATTACCTAATAATTCCCTTTTTAACTTGGATTAGCTAGGCTGTCTACTTGTCACACCAAAACTATAACTAATCATATATTCCCCCTATCAAAAAAGTATTACTTGGCCAGGGGTGGTGGCTCATGTCTGTAATCCTAACACTTTGGGGGTTGAGGCAGAAGGATCAACCCCCTAACACTTTGGGGGTTGAAGCCAGGAGTTCAAGTCCAGCCTGGGCAACAAACTGAAACACCATCTTTATAAAAAAATTTTTAAAAAATTAGCTAAGGGCAGTGGCACATGCCTGTAGTCTCAGCTACTCAGAAGATTGAGGCAGGGGGATGGCTTGAGCCCAGGAGTTTGAGGCTACGGTGAGCTATGATCATGCCTCAGTACTCCGGTGTGGGAGACAGAGTGAGACCCAGTCTCTTAAAAAAAAGTATTACTTTTTATTATGATATCATTGCCAGTTATCATCTTCTCTGTGCTTTCCACTTGAAAGCTTCTTAAGGGCAAGGACTGCACTTGTCTTGCTCACTATTTTATTCTCAGTAATTAGCATGTTCTCCAGACACTTAATAAATACATTTTGAAAAACTGTAGAGTTATTGACTGCCAACTGTGTACCAAGCACTATTTTATGCACTGTGATTAAGAAGATGAATGATATAATCCTTTACCTCCTATTGCTTAGAGCCTAGATTATTCCCAAATCTATCTTGTTCATCTTTAATTTTTCCTTGTGTTAGTTAAAACTCTTTCATGGGGCAGTGTTGGCTCAAGTGGCCAAATATTATAAAGGGCAGAGATAAAACTGGACCTAAGGGACAGCTGGAACCAGGTCACATGTGGTCAGGACTCTTTCCCCTCTTGTCTCCATCCACGGGTTGACTTCACCATCTCAGACTCATTTCCTCCTGAGTATGGAGTATGGGACACTCAGCGACAGCAGTTTTCAAGCTTACATTATTCCAGTTTTATCACTTTCCATGGTTGCAACTTGAAAAATTGGGAGAAGTCCTCCAGTCGGCTCAGCTCGTGTGAAGTGTCCTTCTTTGGGCCAATTACCGTGGAGGAAGGCGCTAGGATGATTTTAATTTAGGTTTCCATTTCTACATCAATCACCACAGCAGAATCTGTAGGAGGATGGCAGCTTCCAGTCTCAGCCGTATGAGTGGGGCATGGCCAGAAGGGGAGTGGATTCTCTTCTATGCAGATAAAATAATAGTTGTGTGTCCACTCCATTCCATTATTCTCATATCCATAAACTCTTTCCCTGACTTTAAGTAACAAATGTTTATAAAATGCTCATTGAGCACAAAGCATTATTCTAGGCTCTTAGATTAAGCTTTTAGATTTCGTATATCGAAATTAATTTTTAAAAGAAAAACATTTTTTCTCAATTCCTGCAATAATAGCCTGACCTTTTCTGTGTTTCTTTTCCAGAGTTACAGCATAGTGAAACTTCAAGAACTAGGTTTTTCTGGACCATCCCAGTGCGCATGAATCAGGTGATTTTATCTTTTGTTCCTCTCCTTGCTATCCCTAATCTGTCAGGCAGTCCTAAATCTATACCATCAGGCTTGTTTGTTCTACTTCTCTATCCTTTTATTATGGTTCCATTAACTCACATCCAAGGATGTCAAGAGAATAAATAGCCCAATAAAACAAAAGAATATACTTCCAGATTTAAAAAGAAAGAAACATACAAGAAATACATAAATCATACTATATGACGATAGCCCAGAAGATTGCATGGAGGATCTTTGTGTTTCCTGTAGAAGAAAAGAAAAATGGAATTTCCATCTCTTGCATCAGCACTTGACAGCTGGAGTTATTGTTGACCAGGCATCAAGAAAGGAGGGATATGCATCAGAAATCATTTTGCCTGAAATAAGCACAACTCCATGGAGGACAATGACACATTTTCTCTGGTGATCTTGTAATTGGGGATGATGTAAACATGAGTCTAATCTGCATTTTGTCTAAGAAATTCTTCATCATGAGCATCTTCCAATAAAACGTGGTTCCTTACAACATGAGTTTGCATGACAACTTCTTACCACTTACTTCATGTCACACTTATATAATGGAGACTCATGTCTCAATGAACGCTTTCCAGATAAACAGAAGCACTTCTCCAAGAGTAATAAACACCTGCCATACAGGTTGCTAAGAGCTCAAATAAAGATAAATTTGTTGGCTTGACCCAAACGTTCTCTGGATCTCAAATTAATCTAATGTTATCAGACATTTGGCACTTTCTCTATCTCAACCAAAAAGACCAGTCTTTGATCATGGTCTCATCACTCTTTTTCAAGAAGTAATTGTTATTTTTCTTCCTGGTGTTCACGTGCTGCTTCAGTAGGGTACATCATGATCTCCAAACGTAGCACCCAAACTCGAACAGAATATAATTCCCAGTCAAATTGAATGTTTGCTTCTTGGAATTACTGTTAATGTAAGTCTAAGTCCAATATCAAGGGAGAATTTATTTTTTTAGGTTCTCTACAAGACTTGATTTAGAAATTATATTAATATTTTAAAATATTTAGAAATTATATTAATATTTTAAAATGCGCTTTAAAGATTTCTTAATTTAGGCTTATAGTTTTACAGTTGACGAAACTCAGACACAAGAAAGCCCTTCCCCAAGGTCACACAGATCTTAGTGACAGAGTGCTAACTTACACTAGAAGATAACTTTGTTTTACTTTAATTATGAAGAAATTGAAACTATTTAACTTCAAAATATGTTCTATATATCTTAATATATTTAGTTATGACAAACAAAGAATTTTTTTATGTCAATGAAAGCTGTCTTGGCAAGTAGCCAGCAAGCTTATCTACCAGCTTTTATAGATTTAAAAGTTAGTAATTACCTTACCTTTCTAGGAAATAAAGATTCGATATAGAAAACTCAGAGGGAAAAGTCAATGCAGAGAGGGAGAGAAACCACTTGAGAAGGTCACCAGCTGTGGATGCAGAAAACACCTGCCCCAATCTCCCCCATTAGATAAGAACAGACTTACACTATTAATATTATTATTACTATTACTAGTTTTATTCCATTTAATCTAACCTCTGATGTCCTCCCAGAGCAAGCTCTAAAACATGATTTACAGCACTTAGGAAACTTTTATTTTTTTTTCCTGAGCAAACCCTTTCTGCTGTTGTCTGGAAGCCTGGAATTTGCAAACAGCAGCTTTCTGACAGCTGAAACTGTAAAAAAGTTTTTCTTCTTCATTCCCACTGGAACCTAAACTGATCTGAAACAGGTGAGATGGGCTTACAGTAGAACAGAAGAGACCACTGGAATTGCACTGCATCTGCCTCAAACCCAGGAGTCCAGAGGGTTTTGGGATTGCTGTGTGCTTCCTGCAAACCCTCCCAGGAGTGCAAGCTTCCTTTGTTTACCATTTTAGCCAGCTCGTTATCTCTCTGTTTTCTAGTTCTGCCAACACTCTCCACAGGATTACCACACAATCTTACTGATTTTCCCAAACATCTGCCCATTTCATTTACTCGGAAGTGACAGCTCTCTAGCTGACTACATCTGCACTTCGGTTGTAGTCAAATGCTCTTAAATGACTTTTTTTTTTTTTAAACTTTCTCCCCTTAAACCAGTTTATTTAACCATGCATTTATTTTACATCACAGTGAAATTTAAACAGAAGGAAATGCACTATTCTATATTCTGCAGGAGGCAGATTACAGAAATCATTAAGTCCAGTGACAATGAAAAACAATCAATTCCAGTCTCATGCACATCATGGATGAATTCCCCAGACATAATGCTGAGCAAGAAGAAGGAGATGCAAAAGAGTACGTATTGAGTAATTCCATATTTGTGAAACTCAAAAGCAGCAAACCTAATCTGTGGAGATATAGGTCAGATACCGGTTGCCTTCAGCAGTGGTATCAACTGCATGTGGGCATGAGCAGGCTACTGGTGACACCAAAAGATCTCTCTTGACCTGAATAGTGGCAAAATGAATTTATAGTTATATAAATATTCACCTAGTTGTAGATTTTAGATTTTTGTACTTTACCATATATAAATGTATATATAGTCATGCTTTAATTTAATTTAATTTAATTTAATTTAATTTAATTTTTTGGGACGGAGTCTTGCTCTGTCGCCCAGGCTGGAGTGCAGTGGCACGATCTCGGCTCACTGCAACCTCCGCCTCCCAGGTTCAAGCAATTCTCTTGCCTCAGCCTCCCGAGTAGCTGGACTACAAGCGTCCACCACTACATCCAGGTAATTTTTGTGTTTTTTAGTAGAGACGGCGTTTCGCCGTGTTGGCCAGCCTGGTCTTGAACTCCTGACCTCAGGTGATCTGCCCACCTCGGCTTCCCAAAATGCTAGGATTACAGGTGTGAGCAACCGTGCCTGGCCAATAGTCATGCATTAATTTTAAAAGTTTTAAAAACATGTTATATCACTACTTGAAAGTATAATCTTTTTTTTTTTCCTTTTAAGATCCAGTGTTGTGCTCCAGTCATTGATTCACATAAGAAGCATTCCTTGGGGTTACCACCCCTATCATCACAAATTTCCTTCTAAGAGTTCACAAGTCTATAGTCCTACTGTTTGTTGATGGAGGGGCTCACCTCTCTCCGCCAGCCTGGTTGCTCCACCAGGGGGATAATCCTGCCAAGCTGCTCTTCAGGGAAGGTAGACTCCTCACACTTCTTCACTGGAGTCAGCTAGATCTTCCAATGTGGCTGTGATCTCTTGGTGTTTTCTCCTGGTTGGAATCATAGTCCAGATATCCAGGGTACCCACATATCTTTCACCCACAAGCATAATTTCTGAAAGCACTCCGAAATCATCTTTAAAATATTTTAAAACATTTTAAATATAACAGCATCATAATGGCAAAGAATACTGTGGTACATTCACAATCATCACAAAAATAATATTAAAAATACAGGAGAGGGATCTCAACAATTATAGCAAGCTAACAGGCCATTTATTTTCCTGGGTTCATGTTCTTTATCAGTCCTTGTCTATAGGTATAAATAATTTAAAATATATAATATAAAACATTTTTACTTAATTGATCAAATATTTTTTGAAAAATTAGTTGAATTGATAAAGTGTTAAGTATCCTCATTTTGTACAATACTTGAGGTTTTCAGTTTTTTAGTATTGTAAAGAATAAATCTTCAGTCATATAACTTTCTTCATAGTTTCAGCACTGAGCATGGTTTAAATTCCCAGGGGCAGGATTACTGGATGGAAAGACTTGTACAGCTCACGGAAAGTATAGTCAAATTTGCTTCAGAAAAGAATTGTACTGATTTCTAAGCTTTAGAAAAGAATTGTACTGATTTCTAAGCTGCTAATAATATGTAATTGTACCAGTTTCATCAGTCTTGACAACATTGAATGATACAATTTATTTAAAGAACAGATTTATTGATATATTGTTCACGTATCACCCATATCCATTAGGAGCCACTCCCCATTTTCCTTTCCTCCTAGATCTTGGCAACCTCTGTTTACTTTCCGTTTCCATGGGTCTGCCTATTCACAGAAATGAAATCATGTAATATGTGACCTTTTATGACTGCCTTCTTTCACTGGGTCTAATATATTTTAAGTTCATCCGTGTTGTAGCATGAGTTAATACTTCATTAATTTCCATGGCCAAATAATACTGCATTGTATGGAGATACATTTGGTTCATTGATTCATCAGTTGATGGACATTTGAGATGCTTCCACTTTTGGCTATTATCTGCTGTGAACATTTGTGTACAGTTTTTGTATGGACATGTCTCAAATTATTTTGGATATATAACCAGGAGTGGAATTTCTGGGTTATAGTAACTCAGGTGACTATAACTATTTCTGGCTTAGCTATAACTCAGTAACTATAACTCTTTCTGGGTTAACTTCATGAGAAATTGCTAAACTGTTTTCCAAAACAGTTTCATTTTTTACATTACTACCAGCAATGTATGACAGCTCCAATTTCTCCATATCCTTGTCGATATTTGTCTGTCCTTTTTGGTTATAACCATCCTCATACATGTGAGGTAGTATTTGAGTTAATTATGGTTTAATTTACATTTCCCTAATGATTCATGATGTTGAGCGTTTTTCTATGTGTTTATTGGCCATTTATATATCTTTCTTGGCAAAATGTCGATCCAAATTCTTGTCCATGTTAAACCGAGTTATTTGTATTTTTATTGCTAAGTTGTAGGAGTTCTTTACATATTCTATATACAAGTCCTTTGTCAGGAACTTGATGTATGATTTGCAAGTATTTTCTCCCGTTTCTGGCATTGTCTTCTCACTTATTTAATGATATCTTTTGAAGCACAAAAGTTTTAAATCTTGATGGAGTTCAATTTATTTATTTTTTTCTTTTTGTCATTTTTACTTTTGATGTCATATCTAAGAAACCATTTTCTACTCCTAGGTCACAAAGATTTATGCCTATGTTTTCTTCTAATATTCTTATAATTTTAACTGTTACACTTAGATCTATGAACCATTTTGAGTTAATTTTTGTGTGAGGTAGAGTCCAGCTTTATTTTTTTTCATGTAGCTATCCAGCACCATTTGTTGAAAAGACTGTTCTTCATTGAACTGCTTTGGGATTCTTGTCAAAAATCAATTGCTGTAAAGTATAGGATTTATTTCTGGATTCTCAGTTTAATTCCTTTGATCTATATTTCTATCCTTATGCAATCTATCACATTGTCTTTATTACTGTATCTTTGTAGTAAACCTTGAAATCAAAAGGTGTGTGTCCTCCAAATTGGTTCTTTTTCAAGAATGTTTTGGCTTTTCTGGGTTCTTTGAATTTCCATAGGAATTTTACAATCAACTTGTCAGTTTTTGCCCCTAAAAAGGCAGCTTGATGTTTTTATAGGCATTGTGTTGCATCTGCAGATTAATGCGAAGTGTATTGTCATCTTAATAATACTGAGTATTCCGATCCAGAAGCCATGGGTTGTCTTTTCATTTATTAAGGTCTTCTTTAATTTTTTTCAATGACGTTTTCTGGTTTTCAGTGTACAAGTCTTGCACATATTTTATTAAATTTATTCCTATGCTTTTTATTTTTTTGATGCTTTCATAAATGTAATTGCTTTAATTTCGTTTATAAATTTCTCACTTATAGTCTATATAAATACAATTGATGTTTGTATGTTGCTCTTATAGCCAGCAACCTTGCTAAACTCATTTATTAGTTATCATAGTTTTTTGTGTCTTTCTTTAGATTTATGTCATCTGCAGTAGAGAGAGTTTCTTTTTTATTTCCAATCTGAATGTCTTTTATTTCATTTTCTTGCCTACTGGCTCTAACTAGTACCACTAGTACAATATCAAATAGAGCTGATGAGAGCAGATATTCTTATTCTTGATGTTAGGAAGAAGTCATTCTGTCTTTCACCATTAGTTTTGATGTTAGCTATGGGTTTTTGTAGATGGCCTTTATTAGGTTGACATAATTCCCTTTTACTTTTTTGTTTTTTTTTTTCATGAAAGGATGTTGTATTTTCTTAATGCTTTTCTTTATTATTGAGAAATTGTGTGGGGTTTTTTCCCCTTCGTTCTGTTTGTGTATGTGTGTGTGGGTGTGTGTGGGTGTGTTTCTTTTTTTTTTTCAAGATGAAATATGGCTCTGTTGCCTAGGCTGAAGTGCAGTGGCGTGATCTCAGCTCACTGCAATCTCCATCTCCTGGGTTCAAGCAGTTCTTCTGCCTCGGCCTCCCAAGTAGCTGGGACTACAGGTACGCACCACCATGCCCAGCAAATTGTTTTATATTTTTAGTGGAGACGGGGTTTCACCATGTCAGCCAGGCTGGTCTCAAACTCCTAACCCCAAGTGATCCACCTGCCTCAGCCTCCCAAAGTGCTGGGATGAGCTACCACGCCCAACATGAGCTACAGGCATGAGCTACCACGCCCGACCCCCTTCATTCTGTTAATGTGGTCTATTACATTGGTTACCTGGGCTAAAGCCTGTTTGGTCATGATGTATAACCTGTTGTTGTTTTTTGTTTTGTTTTGTTTTGGTTGTTGTTGTTTTTAGAGACAAAGTCTCTTTCTGTCACCCAGGCTAGAGTGTTGTGACACAATCATAGCTCACTACAGCCTCTACTCCTGGGCTCAAGTGATCCTCCTGTTTCAGCCTCCCAAGTAGCTAGGACTATAGGCACATGCCACTGCATCTGGCTAATTTTTTTATTTTTAGTAGAGACAAGGTCTTGCTGTGCTGCTCAGGCTGGTCTCCAACTCCTAGGCTTAAGCAATCCTCCTGCCTTAGCCTCCCAAAGTGCTAAGATTACAGACATGAGCCACCACACCCAGCCTGTAATCTTTTTTATATGTTACTAGATTTGGTTTGCTAGTATTTTGCTGAGGATTTTTGCATCTGTATTCAGAAGAGACATTGATCTGTAGTTTTCTTTTCTTATGATGTTTTTGTCTGATTTTGGTATTAGGATAATACTGGCCTCATAAAATGAGTTGGGAAGTATTTCCCCCTCTTCTTTTTTTTTTTTTGGAGGAGTTTGTGAAGGATTAATGTTAATTATTCTTAAACATTTGGTGGAATTCACCAGAATATCATTTCTCTTACACATTAAAGTGGTGTAGGATATTAACACAATTATTTTAGCTTGTTTTTCTTTGATAACTAGCAAGGTTAAACATTTTCCCATATGTTTGCTTGCTAATTATCTTCACTGGCATGTATTGTTTATTCATGTCCTTTGCTCATTTTCATATTGGGGTCTCAGTGTTTTTCTTATCAATTTTAATGAGCTCTTTAGAATAGTAACCCTCAGACCATTGTGTTCTAATCTGGTAATTTTTTACTGTCCAGAAGTATTAATGTACTATAGGCATACAGAGGACAAGTCATGTTTTAAAGACCCTTCTGTTCATAATTTTCTTGGCCAGTCACGGTGGCTCACACCTGTAATCCCAGCACTTTGGGAGGCTGAGGCGGGTGGATCACTTGACGTCAGGCGTTCAAGACCAGACTGGTCAACATGGTGAAACCTCGTCTCTACTAAAAATACAAAATAATTAGCAGGGTATTGTGGTACACACCTGTAATCCCAGCTACCTGGGAGGCTGAGATGGGAGAATTGTTTGAACCTGGTGCGGAAGAGTGGGTGGAGGTTGCAGTGAGCTAAGATCATGCCACTGAACTCCAGCCTGGGCAACAAAGCGAGACACTGTCTCAAAAAAAAAAAAATTGTTTTTCTCACAACTTTTATCCTGTTGGCATACAAAATTATTCCATATTTGGAGAGGGAAAAACAGGAGATCACAAATCTAATTAAAATATATTTATGTCTCTTGATGCCCAGACCAATTTTTAAAATTTATTTTATTGACTATTTTATCATTGTTACTACATCAAACTAGGTATATGTGTCAGGCATACTCAAATCCATCACGTTTTATTCTTCCTGTGACTTCTTGCTGTGGGTTCCAGCCAGTGAGTTTGACTTACTGTGTATCATGCCTGAACACTTAGTTCAACATCTAGTTCAACTTCCCCTTTTTCATTTCAGGAATATAACACAACAGGAATAAAAAATTTAACAAAGATGTATATTCAAAAATTAATTTTGTCCACTATGCTAATAAAGAGCCAATTGTATAAAAAACGCTTGATGACCCCACTCTAGAGTCGAGCATCTGTTTAAGAAGACCAGTTGGTATAAGCTATTATACCCCACAGGCCTATCACAGTGCCTGTACCTCCCCCATTAAAAATGTATCGTTTGTGATTAGATCTGGAAAAGTCCTATTCCAAATATATTTTGTGTGGGTTATCGTGTGTGTGAGGGTGAATGTGGGTATGTGATTTGAAATGCAAGAAAAGTAAATAAAACACACAGATGCACAATGGTGTATTTTTGCTAGCACAGATTAGGAATCAAATTACTCTTAAAGTCTGTCTCAAGAAAGTAATTTAAACTGGCTGGTAAACTAGAGTTTTGTTGGCTCTTTGCACTGTCACCAGAAACAAAAACTGCCATTTGGGTTAGGAGATTTTTATCTCCTACTATGTTGTCACATTGGATGGGTACTGCACACAGTTGTACAACTTCTTCCCATTCCAGAAACTATAGAGATAATGTCCATGCAGACTATCTGGAGAGCAGAGAGAAAAGTTTACTTTGTTTTCGTCATTCTTAGGTTTTCCCTTCTTCTATTTTAGTCCACTTCTCCTGATCATAAATTGACACCGATCCTACACTTTAAAAATCGTCCCCACAAAATATGTTGCCATATGTATAACTTAACAAAGTATAAATATCACCAGAAGCTTGCTAGACAGTATATTGAATACAATTCTCTTTCCCCCCAAGTTATCATTTTCATTTCGCTGTTTGAGCTAGACAGGCCTGCAGGCGCTATCATTTATATCTACATAATCGTAGTACAAGTCACCTAACCTCTCTGGGTCTCAGTTTTCCCATTCTTAGTAGGATAATTCTTCCCTTTTGAGGTTGTTGAGAGGGTCTGTCAAACTTTTTTTTTTTTTTAAGTAAACTTTAATGTCGAAAATGCAAATTGGGGAAGGCAGAAAGATCACACACAAGGCTGTCACTTCACACTTGGAAGGTTGCACAGCGGCCGGGCAGAGGCGCTCCTCACATCCCAGACGATGCAGGGGCCGGGCAGAGGCGCTCCTCACTTGCCAGACAGGGCTGCGGCCAGGCAGAGGCACTCCTCACATCCCAGACAGGGCAGCAGCCAGGCAGAGGCGCTCCTCACTTACCAGACAGTGGGCAGCTGGGCAGAGGCGCTCCTCACTTACCAGACAGTGGGCAGCTGGGCAGAGGTGCTCCTCACTTTGCAGTCAGGGGTCTGCCAAACTTTTGCTCTCATGAAGCTCCAGTTGTAAGGCTACTTAGATGAATATAACATGCCTATTCTCTTCCAGCACAGCTGGATCCATGTTGACAGAATCGCTGGAAGATTGAGGAGTGCGAAGAAGTTTAAAACTGTTTCTGTATCCTTTCTCATTGTTATATCTTCCATGGATATTCCATCCCTTATTATATCCTAAGTCTTGACATAAATACTTAGATATCTGCTTCCTTTTTGTTGTTGTTGTTGTGGTTGTTTGAGATGGGGTCTCACTCTTTTGCCCAGGGTGAAGTGCAGTGGTGCAATCTCACTGAGCCTCAACCTCCTGATCTCAAGTGTTCTCCCACCTTAGCCTCCCAAGTAGCTGGGACTACAGATGGATGCCACCATACCCAGCTAATTTTTGTATATTTTATAGAGACAGGATTTTGCCATGTTGCCCAGGCTGGTCTCGAACTTCTGGGCTCAAGAGAGTCACCCGCCTTGGCCTTCCAAAGTGCTGAGATTACAAGTGTGAGCCACCATGTCCAGCCTTCTGCTTCCTTTTGAAGCAAGGTTTTTAAGCTACCCCTTGAAAACTTTTCTCCAACCTTATCACTATTTATGTTTGACCTATTGCTAATGGAAATATTTCACCCAATGTCCAGGAAAAATGTACACTTTACTCACCTTACTCACATAATAACTCAAATTATGAAAATATCTACAGTCCTAAGTGTATCAACACTAGAAATAATTGCAACTAGGTCATTGGAACTTGAAATAGATAAGCATTACTATTAGCAGAAGCCCAGAGAGCGGAGGCCAAGAGTTAGGTTTTCATACAAACTAAAGGCTTCTAAAAGCTTAACACAGGAAAGTGTTGATCAACTCTTTGCATCCAGTGACATAGGTAAGTTTTATTCATCTAGGAAGTGAACACTGAAGCTGTGAAGGAAGAAATTCCCTCTGTATAGACAACTTTCTCATCACCACTAAGCGATAAAGCTGTTGATAAAAGTCAATGCTGTGTGTTCACATTATCTCTTTCTACAACCTTAAGCCCTTCTCAGCATATCATCAAGAGCAGGAAAATGAAAACCTGAAAACAACTTGAAGAAAACGGAAGCACCTCATTTCTCATTATGGAGTTTAATCAACTGAAAAGTTTTCCCTGAGTTTGGTACATACTCATTTGGCAGCAAAACCTGAGCTGATATAAGGCTGTTTAAAGACTTTATTTATCCGACTTAGTATGAATATTCATTCCTTTCTCTGCAGAAGTGACAATGTGGTGATTACAGGGCACAGACCTGTTGGTGATGTTATATAATATATATCAGTACATTACAGAAGGCATGTGCATTCAAGTACCTTTCTGAAAGCCAAGAATTCTGAATTCTAAAATATTTCTAGCCTTAAAGGTTTTTAGGAAGAAAGGATGAATTTATACTAGTTTTTCCTATTCAGGTTATATGGAATATTTCTAGACACTTTTACTTTATATAGCCTTATACTTGGCCCATATTCCTGATCCTAGCTTCTTTCTTTCTTTCTTTCTTTCTTTTTTTTTTTTTTTGAGGTGGAGTTTCGCTCTTTTTGCCTAGGCTGGAATGCAATGGCGTGATCCCGGCTCACCATAACCTCTGCCTCCTGGGTTCAGGCAATTCTCCTGCCTCACCCTCCTGAGTAGCTGGGATTACAGGCATGCACCACCACACCCAGCTAATTTTTTTTGTATTTTTCGTAGAGACAGGGTTTCTCCGTGTTGGTAAAGCTGGTCTTGAACTCCCTACCTTGGTGATCTGCCCACCTCGGCCTCCCAAACTGCTGGGATTACAGGCATGAGCCACCGCGCCTGGCCAATCCCAGTTTCTTAATTTGTATCCTTAATGTATCTCATCTTAATCAGAGTACTAGGTAATTAATAATAGCTAACCATTTAAAATGATAATATGTATATTATCATATATGTATATTCATGTGTATACAAACACACACATAGCTGCTACAGCAAATACCTTGAATTTAGTAAACACAATTGATAATGGATACTTTCACTCAACTCTCAACAACAACACTTTCTCAACAACAAAGCTTTCATCAAGAGCCCAGGCTGCCAGCAGGTAGGAAAGTGAACCACTGAAATATCGTTTGGTTTTAAAGAGGCTATCTCTAGGCAGAGAACTCACGGATCATTCTTCCAATTGCTGAAAGTTTTAGAGGAGCCTAATATTCATACTGAAAATTAAGTTATCAAAATATTGTTTAAAGAGCTTATATGTGGCATCTATATCTATGCGGAGCACTGTAAGCATTTCTTGACTGTGTTGCAGGAGTATCTTAGGTTTCTATTATGGTTTTTCAAAGAGCTGCAGTATATAGTTTCTATATTTGATTTTACATAACGGGATGATAATATCACATCGAGAGTTGTTTTGAGAATTAACTAACGCAGTAAATGTCAAGCCCACTGCATTCCATTTGGTATCACTGTGCATTATTATCCCCAGTTTTCAGATGGGGCCCAGAAATTGTAGGTAGCTTGCCCAAGGTTACATGACTAGTAAGTTGGAAAACTGACACTTGATCTCATTTTGCTGTCAACAGTTGTTGTTCAGTGTTATTTACATACTATTTCACTATCTAAAATAAATGATGGTATCTTTTACCATAGCTTTTTGTAAGATGGAAATGACTCTGCTGTTTTTACTGATTATTCAAATAGTACATGCTTAGTGTAAGGACAATAGCACGGATCTAAAATTGAATCAATATAAAAAAGTACACAGAGAAATCTCTTATTCAATCACCCAGAGAGAGCCATGTCTGAATAGGAATATAAACTTTAAGACATTTTTCTAGCTGGGCATGGTGGCCTGCGCCTGTAGTTCCAGCTACTTGGGACACTGAGGCAGGAGGATCACTTGAGCTCAGGAATTCAAGGCCAGTCTGAACAACATAGTGAGACCTTACCTATAAACAAATAAATAAATAAGGCACTTTTCTATGCATAAAAACATGTAAATACAATATAACAATTTGAATATAATAACATGTTTTATAATGTGGTTCTTTCATATAATAATATATTGTAGACACCTTTCCCTATCAATACATATATATTTTGTTTATGCATTTCAAAGTAGTTACTAAGATGCACAAAAACGTACCTTTCTAAAATGCTATTTAATTTATTCTTAAGATCCACGACTAGTAGAAAAGTCAATCTGGCCAATTCATGGTCAACTCAGTCACTCCTTTGTTTTCTTGGTTACTCTGGTTTGACCTAATCTCATCACTTCAGGATTTTTTTCTCTCTCACTTCTCCGTCTCTTCACCTAGGATGATTTTTCAGTAATCAGACAAGAGCTAAAAATCATCTGGACAGCAAAGATGCTAAAGTCCTTTGCACAATGGCTTCTACACTTGCTACATCTGCGAAGAGGCTGGAATCATTCCTTGACATCTGCCTGTCAGATTCTTCATTCTTCATCCTCCTTATTCCAAATACAAGGCCTCTTCAAGTCTGCCCAACCAGTCTGTCTGTGCCCTCTCATCCAACACTAAACTGAAGTTGCCCTTGGGACCATCTGCTGACACATTTAACACAGTCATTGCTATTCTACTGTTAGGGGTACCATGTGGTAGTATGCAGAATAATGACCCCCAAAGATGTTCAAAATCTCATTCGCAGAACCTGTGAATGTACTATCTTACATGATAAAAGAGACTTTGCAGATGTGATTAAATTAAAGATCTTGATACGGAGAGATTATACCGATTATCCTGGCGGGCCAAATGTAATCACAAGAACCCTTATAAGAGAGAAGCAGGAGAGTCAGAAGCAGAAAAGGAGGTGTGATGTTGGAAGCAGAGATAGAAAGATTCAAAGGTGCTATGCTGCTGGCTTTAGAGATGGAGGAAGGACTAAGGAGCCAAGAATAGAGGCAGCCTCTAGAAGCCAGAAAAGTCAAAGAACAGATCCTCCCCTTAAGCCTTCAGAAGCAATGCAGCTCTCTCACCTGTCTTGATGTTTAGCCCACTGAGACTGATTTTGGACTTCTGACCTCTAGAATGATAAGATAACAAATGTATGTTGTTTTAAATCACCAAGTGTGTGGTAGTTTGTTAAAGCAGCCATAGGAAACTAATATATTAATACATACTGAACAGGAAGTTTCTTTAAAAGTCCTGCAGTGTTCCTGGGCTATACCTAGAAAAGTAAAACACAGATGCCTTCTCCATGAATGCTCCCCACCCAAACTCATTGGATTTCTATTGCTCCTACTCATCCCACCTTCAAAGCTTGGCCAAAAGGGCAGCAGAGAACTGTATTTCTTCCCAGAGACCACCACCCACAGCCAACTCCATCACTCTAACCTCTGTGAAAAATAAACCTGTTTCTCTGTCCAGTAAGGGGAAAACACTGGTCAGACATTATGCTTCCAAATCTACCATTCATTTTTAACATCTGAGGACTTTGGCTTTTAACATGCAAAGACGAACTTTTCAAACTAAACATCTTTCTCTTAAAAGGTTCAGCTCCGGCTGGGCGTGGTGGCTCATGCCTTTAATCCCAGCACTTTGGGAGCCTGAGGTGGGCGGATCACCTGGGGTTGGGAGTTCAAAACCAGCCTGGCCAACATGGTGAAACCCCGTCCTTACTAAAAATACAAAAATTAGCTGGGTATGATGGTGCATGCCTGTAATCTCAGCTACTTGGGAGGCTGAGGCAGAGAATTGCTTGAACCCAGGAGGCGGAGGTTGCAGTGAGCTGAGATCGGGCCATTGTACTCCAGCCTGGGCAACAGAGCAAGACTCTGTCTCAAAAAAAAAAAAAAAAAAAAAGTTCAGCTCTTACAAACCTAAAGCTTATTAAGTTTAAAATTTTATTCCCAAGCACCTATTTTCTCAGTTATATTTGTCCTCTTTTTGAGTCAAGAATGCATTAATTTAACAATAGGTGGGGATATAATGTGGGTTAATATTACTGCAGTTTAACTCTGTTCATATGGAACTCCAACAACACTTTTAATAACTGTGGAATATTCTATTATATGACTACTCTACTATCTATTTACCTAATTCCTTTTTGATGAACATTTCTATTATTGCCAAGCTTTTACCAATATAGATAATGCAGAACAGAATATTCCTGTATATACGTTTTGGTCAAGTATATAATCACTTTTTTAAGGGGAAAGCCCTAGGAACAGATTTTTTAAGCTAAAGTGTATAGACTGTATAGACATATTTTATTTGTAATTTTACAGCCAAACTGCTTTTCTTTTTTCTTTTTTTTAATTGGTAAATAATAATTGTACATATTTATGGGGTACATATATTTCAATGCATGTATACAATGTAAACTGATCAACTGAGGATAAATATCTTTCTGACCACAATGAAATAAAACTAGAAATCGATACAAGAGGAACCTTGGAAACTACAAATGCAGACATACCTCTTTTTTTTGTGCTTCACTTTATTGCACTTCATAGGTACTGCATGTTTCCCAAATTGAAGGTTTGTGGCAACTCTGTGTCAAGTCTATTGACGCCATCTTTCCAACAGCAGGTGCTCACTTTGTGTCTCTGTGTCACATTTTGGGAATTCTCATGATACTTCAGACTTTTTCATTTTCTATTATTAATGTTGTTTCATTATCTATTATGGTAATATGTGGTCAGTGATCTTTGATGTTACTATTGTCATTGTTTTGGGGCACCACAAGCCACACACACCCATATAAGATAGTGACCTTTATCAGTAAATGTTGCATGCGTTCTGACTGCTCCATTTAGGGGCCATTTCCCATCTCCCTCTCTCCTTGGGCCTCCCTAATCCTTGAGACACAGCAGTATTAAAGTTAGGCCAATTAATAACCCACAATGGCCTCTAAGTCTTCAAGTGAAATGAAAAGTCACATGTCTCACACTTTAAATCAAAAGCTAGAAATGGGCCAGCTTGAGCAACACAGTGAGATGCTATCTCTACAAAAAATGAAAAAGTTAGCTGGGTGTGGTGGTGCACACCTGTAGTCCTGGCTACTTAGGAGGCTGGGGTGAAAGGATTGCTTGAGCCTAGGAGTTCTAGCTTGGTGAGAGAGTGACCCTCTGTCTCAAAAAAAAAAAAAAAAAAAAAAGGAACAAAATCCAGAAATGATTAAGTTTAGTGAGGAAGGCATATCCAAAACTGAGACAGGCTGAAAGCTAGGCCTCTTGTGCCAATCAGCTAAGTGATGAATGCAAAGGAAAAGTTCTTAAGGAAGTTAAAAGTGCTACAAGTGCTACTCCAAGTAAACACACAAATGATAAAGAAGCAAAACAGCCTTATTGCTGATATGGAGAAAGTCTGGGTGGTCTGGATAAAAGATCAAACCTCCCACAACACTCTCTTAAACCAAAGCCTAATCCAGAGCAAGGCCCTAACCCTCTTCAATTATATGAAGGCTGAGAGAGGTGAGGAAGCTGCAGAAGAAAAGTTGGAACCTAGAAGAAGTTCGTTCATAAAATTTAAGGAAAGAAGCCATCTCCGTAATATAAAAGTGCAAGGTGAAGCAAGCAGCAAATGCTGATGTAGAAGCTGCAGCAAGTTGTCTAGAAGATCTAACCAAGATCACTGATGAGGGTGGCTACACTAAACAACAGATTTTCAATGTAGATAAAGCAGCCTTACATTGGAAGAAGATGCCATCTAGGACTTTCACAGCTTGAGAGAAGTCAATGCCTGGCTTCAAAACTACAAAGGACAGACTGACTCCCTTTTTAGGGGCTAATGGAGCTGGTTGCTTAAAGCTGAAGCCAATGCCCATTTACCATTCTAAAAATCCTAGGGACCTTAAGAATTATGCTAAATCCTCTCTACCTGTGTTCCAGAAATGGAAAAACAAATCCTGGATGGCAGCACATCTGTTTAAGAATGCTTTACTGAATATTTTAAGCCCACTGCTGAGACCTGCTCAGAGAAAAATGGTTCATTTCAAAATATGACTGCACGTTGACAATGCACCTAATCACCCAAGAGTGCTGATAGAAATGCATGAAGAGATTAATGTTTTTTGTTGTTGTTTGTTTGTTTTTGAGACGGAGTCTCACCCTGTCACCAGGCTGGAGTGCAGTGGTGTGATCTCAGCTCACTGCAACCTCCGCCTCCTGGGTTCAAGTGATTCTTGTGCCTCAGCCTCCCAAGTAGCTGGGATTACAGGCACGCGCCACCACACCCAGCTAATTTTTTGTATTTTTAGTAGAGATGGGCTTTCGCCATGTTGGCCAGCATGGTCTCTATCTCCTGACCTCATGATCTGCCCGCCTCGGCCTCCCAAAGTGCTAGGATTACAGGCGTGAGCCACCACGCCCAGCCTAATGTTGTTTTTATGCATGCTAACACAACATCCATTCTGCATCTTATGGATCAAGGAGTCATTTTAACTTTCAAGTCTTATATAAGAAATACATTTCACAAAGCTATAGCGGCTATAAATAGTGATTCTTCTGATGGATCTGGACAATGCACATTGAAAACCTTCTGGAAAGGATTCACCATTCTAGATTCCATTGAGAACATTTGTGATTCATGAGAGGAAGTCAAAATATCAACCAACATTAACATGCATTTGGAAGAAGTTGATTTCAGCCTCCATGGATGACTTTTAGGGGTTCAAGTCTTCAGTGGAGGAGATAACTACAGATGTGATAGAAACAGCAAGAGAACTAGAATTAGAATAGGAGCCTAAAGATATGCCTGAATTGTTGCAATCTCATGATAAAACTTTAACAGATGAGGAGTTGCTTCTTATGGATGAGCCAAGAAAGTGGTTTCTTGAGATGGAATCCACTCCTGGTCAAGATGCTATGAACATTGTTGAAATGACAACGAATAATTTTAAATATTATATAAGCTTAGTTGATAATTAAGTGGCAGGATTTGAGAGGATTGACTCCAATTTTGAAAGAAGTTTGACTGGGGTAAAATGCTATCAAACAGCATCACGTGCTGCAGAGAAATCTTTCATGAAAGGAAGAGCCGATCGATTCAGCAAGCTTCATTGTCTTATTTTAAGAAATGGACACAGCCATAACAATTCAGAAAACTTAGTCTCTAGCATTGCGATATTTGCTACACTGGTCAGGAACTGAATCCATGCTTTTCTGAGATATGCCTGTACATGGAAATTAAATAGCATGGTTTTGAATGAACAATGGGTGATTGAAGAAATTGAGAAGAAAATGAAAAGTTTTCTTGAGATGAATGAAAACAGAAGCACAACATACTAAAACCTATGGGATACAATAAAAGCAGTACTAAGAGGGAAGTTTATATTAGAGGTAAATATCAAATTAATTTTATTGTTGATGTAAAAGAGGAATCATTCCATTGCTTGTACAAATTTTTGCTTTCATATGTACCCCAAAGTGTGAAAGTCCTAGTTTATCTATACTCTGCCAATTATAGATGTTATTCTTTTTTCTTTTATTGTCTTAATAATCAAAATAATATCAAAGTGATATTTTACTTTTTACATCTGTAATTATTAGTCAGATTAATCATCTTTTCCTATGTTTATTGATAATTTTTATTTTTTCTCTAGATTCCTCAATCTTATTCACTGCCCTTTTCTAAATTTTTGAATATCTTTTTAGATTCAGGGTCTCACTCTGTCACCCAGGCTGGAGTGCAATGGTATGATCATATCTCACTGCAGCCTCAACCACCTGGGCTCAAATGATCCTCCCACCTCAGCTTCCAAAGTAGCTAGGACTACAGGTGTGTGCCACACACCCAGCTTTCAGACCATTTTTCTATGTTTGTCTGCTTTATATTAGCTTTACATGTCACTATAAAAATTTCCAACATCCTTTTTGCTTGCCTTCTAAAAAATTTTTACCTTTTATTTTACTTTCATGGTTTCTTTGCCCTAGGAGGTTTACAAGTATGTCAATCATTCCTTTGAATTTTCTGATTTAGATATTACTCCAGCTTTTAATTTTGGTGCTGTGGATGATTTGCAAAGTGTGATATCTGAATACTGGGGTTAAGTAGGAAAGTTTTTAAAAAACTTTTCAATGACACGTCAACAGTTTATTTCATAATAAATAAATACACTTTGATTGAACTAAAGATTCAGGGTCTTTAAAAGCTGTCAGGCATAATTGAATGGTTTTCTGAAATTTTACAGTAATGTTCATAGCAGCACGTCCCCACAAAACACACTCATTTAATGTTTCTGGTTCAACTAATGGTTTTTATTTCACATTTGGCATCTTTTTCTTCTACAAACTAATAGACTCTCCAGAACCTATTCACCTGAGATTTCTTTTTCTACCATGCCTGTCCTTTGCAGGATTGTTTGAATTTTCAAGAGAATTTGAAACACTTAGTCTCTAGACAGTTTCTTTCAATGTAGCCCTTTGCTCTTCAGACATATGTGACAGGAGTCAAATCACTGTTGAACACACCAGAATTACCTCTGTGTCTGCTGAAAGGTTGGCGTACTTTGTTCGGTAGGTGCATGTCTTCAGTCTCTGAGGGAAATGTAACCTTGAAAGTAACCAGGGGGAAACACTGGGGCAGTATTTATACTAACCTACCAGATTAAACATTTGGACTAAAATAACAGTCAATTCAGTTAGGCAACTAAACTGGCTGTTAAGCAAGCAGTTGTTTGTATAAATTAATGAAATCAATTAGTGATTTGGTATTTTGTAAATACCAAACTATATTTTGGATTCTTTAAAACTGAAATCATTGTCATGGTCTTGATATTTTATTTCTTTTTTACATTCTTCTTAAAATTTTTAAATATTTAATTGACAAATGAAACTTGTATGTATTCAAAGTGTAAAATATGATGATTTGATATATGTATACATTGTGTACTGACTATATCAAATTAATGCATCCATCACCACTCATAGTTACCATTTGTGTGTGTGTTTGTGTGTGTGTGTGTGTGTGTGTGTGTGAGGAGGGTGGTGAGTACACTTAAAACTCTGCTGTCATCAAATTTCAAGTAAATAATACAGTATTATGAACTATAGTCATCATGCTGTACCTTATATCCCCAGAACTGATTTTTTATTTCAACACATTGTTACTCTTGGTGCTCTAAAGTATGTGTGTGTGTGCATGTGTGTGTGTGTGTGTGTGTGTGTGTGTATTGGAAAGCGGATGGCAAAGAAAGTAATTCATGCCATGTAATTGTTTATAGATAAAACTTTTAACATGGGATTTTTTAAAACATCAATGACTCTTTCAAAGACATTCTTGATAAGCTGATTAATTAACTGATTAATAAACAATTCTCTAAATAAGTACTATTATAATTATGTGCCAGATAACTTTAATATTCCTACTTAAAATAGTTACATAAAAGATACTGTGGAATAGTACACAGCCACCAAAAAGAATTAACATAAATTGAAAATTATGTTTGTTGGCTCTTTCCTTCTAATGTAATTTTATCGGTTGAAACTTACTTTTTCTAACTGATACATACATTCAAGAATTGTTAAGCTATGAATGGAAGCAAAACCAATGTACTTATTTCTTAAAATAATAACTTCTGGCTCAAAAAAATTTATGTTGACTATTTCTAAATGTCAGATAGCTGGAATGTTAGAAATCTTTAATTCGGTTTTGCTAAAAGAGCTTGGTTGAAAGTTGAGACCATAGGTGCTATGCTTTTCCCCTGATAAATTCAAGTAGCTTGCATGAAAAAATCTGATATATTTTCATCTTATAATCTTTACTACAGACATAAAGAAAGCTTTGATTCCTCTTGACCACAGTCTATCTAAATCAAATTCATTTTTCTTCAACAAAAAGTTCAGGAAGACAGCACAGAAATATTATTAATGTTGAAATACCAAACATTTTCCAGATAATTCTACAAAAAGATAATTTTGAATGGGAGTTTTTATCTTGATAATGTGTTGCTATTCATTTTTCTTGGAACTATTTTTTCCTGATATATATAGTTTTTCTCCTGTGGTGGTGAAGCCACTGTTTTGCTAATAGTTAACAATATATCTCCCAGATGGTCACTCCCTCTGCTTTGGTTCCTTGACCTTTTCCTTCAGCAGTGTAAAATTCTTTTCAACAAATGCTTTTTAAAGGTATCTACCAGCTTTTAACAATTAAATTAGCAAGGAACTCAGTAGGTCCTCTGTCTAATTGCTTTTCATCTCTGACTAACTTGTCATTGGCTGCTGATTTATGTGTATCCAGAATCCCTAACTTCCTTAGCATGCTACCATGTTACCAACTGTTACTTGGGCAAGATCTTTCTTATTTCTAAATGGTAAAAATATATTTTCATTTTTCTTTGTAAAGAAAGATTTTTTAAAAATGACTTCAGTGGCACAGTCATAGTTTTATGCTTGTCCTCATTTATTAACAAATTTATTTCCTTTTGGTGATCTTCTTCGCCTGACATATTTGTTAACATCCTACTGATTAGTGTTAATCCTTTGTATTATTAGAATATTTTGCTTACTTGCAAACACATATCTTTTCATCTAAAGTATCTTCTCCTTATCTGATGTGTTTGCTTTGCTTCCTTGTCATCTTTTTATTTCCCACACAGATTTTATTTGTCAAAAATTCTTTTAGTGGTATGTACTCAAGTCACTGTTCTATAGAGTTCTCATTCTTAAAGGAGTGAAAAGATACGCTGGGTTTTAATTAACATCTCTTAGACTGAATACTTCCTTCACACTTCTTGATTTTAGTACATTTTTTCCTCTGAGCAATTTTCAAGAGTTACTATATAGTGAAGTCTCTACTATTATTCTAGAGCTAACCATCTTCTGCACTCCTACCTGTTTTTATATCTATAGTGTTCCACAAAATACGTATTTATGTTTAATCAACAAAACATCTTTTAAGAATTTCTAAAAAGACTTAGTCATTGTATTCTATGTTTTTTGCATCACCTAACATTGGAGATGAAGAAATAATTTAAGAATATAGTGGGCCGGGTGTGGTGGCTCACTCCTGTAATCCCAGCACTTTGGGAGGCCAAGGTGGGCAGATCACCTGAGGGTGGGAGTTCAAGACCAGCCTGGCCAACATGGTGAAACCCCATCTTTACTAAAAATACAAAAAAATTAGCCTGGCATGGTGGCGCATGCCTGTAGTCCTAGCTACTCAGGAGGCTGAGGCAGGAGAATTGCTTGAACCCCAGAGAAGGGAGGTTGCAGTGAACCAAAATTGTGCCACTGCACTCAAGCCTGGATGACACAGTGAGACCCTATCTCAAAAAAAAAAATAGTGATTAATACTAGAATTCTTTGGATTTTTTTTTCTTTTTTTTGAGACAGGGTCTTACTCTGTTGCCCAGACTGGAGTGCAGTGGTGCAATCATAGCTCACTGAAGCCTCAAACTCCTGGGCTCAAGTTATCCTCCCACCTCAGCCTCCTGTGTAGCTGGGACTACAAATGCCAGATGTGTGCCACCATATCTGGCTCTTTTTTTTTTTTTTTTTCTGTAGAGATGAGGTCTTGCTGTGTTGCCCAGGCTGGTCTGAAACTCCTGTCCTCAAGCAGTCCTCCTTTCTCAGCTTCCCAAAATGTTGAGATTACAGGCATGAGCCACCACGCCTCACCCTTATTTGCAATGACTACCTTCTACTTACTTATTAGCAAGTAACTTGAGGCAACTTGTTGAAATTGAAAAAGGATAAAATCTATATATTTTTAAAATATTTGGGTTTTAACACTGCTGTTTCCCAGCTATGATCTTGGATGGATTTCACAAGCAATTTATGTCTAGCATCTTTATTTATAAAATAATACAAAAGCACTTTGAGAATAAGAGCATATAATTGAAAGAGCTACGTAAAATGTAACAGACTCTCTAGACATCAATTTCTGTTAAAACTCCCTCTTTGTTTATGTATGGGTTCAGAAAATGTGATGTGAATTGATTTATATGTAAAGATTTGATCAGGGAAAACATATAAATTAAAAGAATCAAGGTTGGAGAAAGGAGGAGGAGAGGCCTTCTCATTCTTCTCTTGATGGATTTAATTATCTTTTCTCAATTTTCAATGGTTAAAGTTAATTAAAAGAGCTCCTCTTCTCCCTCCCACTATTGCTCTTTTCTACCTTTCCACTTACCCCATCATCTCAGGACAACGTTGACCTTGATTTGGAGGATGCAGCCAGGTCATAATAACTCTGGAGGATGGTAGGTCACTATTGCCTGATTAAGCCTTTGTAGATATTTTATACCTAATCACCTCTCCCCCATGAAAGTTTAATACCATAGATTTAGTGTATATGTGTTGTCATAGTGTGGCCCTTCAGAAAGCCGCAAACCATTGTAATAGCTCATTTTTTTAACCCTATGTAACAATTTTTACCCTCTTAGAGGTAATATTGCCCTTATTGAAAATTTGTGCTACGATAGAGAGACAGCAGAATTAATTCTTCAAGTTCATCCTCCTCTTCCTGTCCACTCTTATAATAAGGCTTCCCTTAGCTAAACACAGCAGAAAGCCAGGAGGCAGTAGTGTTCATAATCATAGTCTGTACAGCTCAGCCTCCTAGGACACAGAGATGAAAGAAGAATGGTGAAGAGTGGGTCTGGATGGGTGAACAGATGATATTAACACAGACAGTAAGCCAATAGCCATGAAATACCTTCAACCTACGTGGGTTGGTTTTGAGAATAGGCAAAGTCAAAAGTCAGATTTGCTGATGCTCTAGAGGAGACAGAGCAGACAGGAAATCAGAGCAATAAAGAGAGAGCTGAATACAACACACAAAACAAATAGCAGTGGCTAAGCCAATTCAACACCTAGATCTTCTTCCCAAATCTTCAAGGCAGGAGTCCTCAAACCTAGTGCCAGAATTGATGATACTCTACTGCGGGCGTCTTGATGGATTTTCTTAGTTAAATTAGGTTCTGCCAGGGATGTGGCCCAAAAGGGTTGAATAAAAGATTTCATTTAAAAGAATAAATGAGGCCCAAGAGAAGTGATTGGGAAAAATTAGAACTTGTGTTTAAATCTCTAATGTACTCCAGGGCTTTCCTGGTGTACCACATTGTGTCACAAGATTTCTCTTGCTGACCCAAATTTTCCAGCTCTTTCCTGAAAGTGTCCAGTTTATAACTATTGATACTACTTGTAAAATGTTAAGAAAAAGACTCCACTTTCCCTCCCTTAAAATTTCACAAGTAAGATTAACAGTTATAGTTATAAAAATCATACCTAATAAGTTTTTTTCAAGCATTCACATAGTTGACTTTTCCACTTTTGATTCATAAATAATCCCAGATTTTCATGCCATATAATACAGTCGTCTGTGGAGTGGCAATGGGCATATGTTCTAACAAATGCTTCATTAGAGCAGATTTGTTGCAGGAACATCATAGAGTACACTTACACAAATCTGCATGGTATAGCCTACTACACATCTAGGCAATATCCGTATAGCCTATTGTTCTTAGGCTACAAATCTGTACAGCATGTTACTGTACTGAATACTGTAGGCAGTTGTAACACAATGGCAGTTTTTGTGTATGTAAACGTGTAAACATAGAAAAGGTTACCCATTGTGCTACAACTTTATGACAACTACAATGTCACTAGGCAATAGGAATTTTTCAGCTCCATTATAATCTTATGAGACCATCTTGTACATGCAGTCTTTCTTTGACTGAAAGGTCTTATGCACACATGACTACGATTTGTAATTTTGCTGGGGATGCTGATTTTAGTTCTTTGTGTTACATGGTAGCTGTCCCTTAGCTAGTGAGTAAGGCTAGCCATCCATCCTGCGTGAACATTCAAATGAGCTTTGTGTTTAGCAACTTTTATGGCCATCACAAAGCAACTAAAAAACTTTGTGTTTATTGACTCATACGGTCATTTTTATGTCAGAAATTATGCATTAAGGTAGTATTTAGGAAAAGAGGAATATGAAAATGTAGGTAGGCCGGGCGCGGTGGCTCACGCCTGTAATCCCAGCACTTTGGGAGGCCGAGGCGGGTGGATCATGAGGTCAGGAGATCGAGACCATCCTGGCTAACAAGGTGAAACCCCGTCTCTACTAAAAATACAAAAAATTAGCCGGGCGCAGTGGCGGGCGCCTGTAGTCCCAGCTACTCGGGAGGCTGAGGCAGGAGAATGGCGTGAACCCGGGAAGCGGAGCTTGCAGTGAGCCGAGATTGCGCCACTGCAGTCCGCAGTCCGGCCTGGGCGACAGAGCGAGACTCCCTCTCAAAAAAAAAAAAAAAAAAGAAAAAAGAAAATGTAGGTAAAGTTCCACTATAGTTGAAAAACTAAGTATATAAAACATAAAAGAATGACTTTTCTCATAGGGTTTTAGTTTTGTTGTCTTTTAGATGACACGAGAGAAATCTTCAATAAATGCAGTTAGAAAGAAAAAAGGAAAGAGGCTTAGTCATTATTCTCTTTCTGATGAAGTCCTATCACAAACTAAAAGTTTTCTCAATTTATCTAACACTCTTTAGAAGAGGCACAAAATGAAACAAATGGTAATTTTTAAGAGCACAAATACTTACTCTGTTCTGCTTAAAATAAAATTACATATTCCCTCGTAAAAGAAAAGATGTCGAAGTTAGCACAGAAGAATGAATTCATGTTATTAAGAATTCACAATTAAAATATTAAAATTCTGACATTATAAAAATGCTCATAAACCCATAACCATCATTTGATGTCAGGATGATATTATAGTCATTAAAAAATAATATCACCTAGAAATTGCACTTCGAACAAAGAAATTAGATAGAAGAATTTTATTAAATAAAATTACCATTCCTAAAGATGTTTGGAATCTACTTTGGGTAACTTTTGCATTTGTGAACAGTAAATATGAGCATTAAGTACATATTTAAACCTGGTGAGTTACATTTACTTTTTATTTTTGTCACATATTTAGTTCTCCAGTTTGTAAGCAATACTAGCAAATTTATATTTAGAACAGCTTTCAATTTTTATATGCACATTTAAACGTGTTAAAGATACAGTTTTCAGCAATGTGATAACTTATTAGGTACCCATACATAGTCAACTTAGTACTGTGGATGAATTGTGTTCACCTATATATTCATCAATAAAATATAGAACATGCTTATTTATTTTTGTCTACATAGTAAAGTGACATTGACAGTGAACATTTAAATGCAAGTCAGAATCTATCCCTTAGCTTTACTTCACCTGGGATTAGAAGCAAGTATCAGTAATGATCCAGTTTGTGCAGTGTTAAGAATACACAAGGTACCTGCAAATTTATTACAAATATATTTAATCACACAAATGACTTTATAATAACAATAAAGCGTCATTTAAAAAGCATATTTTTCTCTGTGCCATGAGAAAACAAAAAAGTACACCTTTTTCTTTATGATGGAGAAAATGATATTTACTACTTTACGGAGCAGACATTTGGCCTTATCATATTGCAAATGTGGAAACGAGGATTTTATGAATGGGTTTCTTTTCAGATTTTAGGGGATAGGTAAATCTCGTATAGCAAATTATCACTTTTATATACTCCAGTAAACTGTTATTTTTCACTATCCTTATTATGTATGTTGACTCTCTAAGAAAACATTTTGAAATCTCAGGGTTTATTGTAGTTCCACTGGAAACATCTTCATTTTAACCAGAAAAATATTTGCTGGAAAAATATTTTCCACACCTATTTTTAGTCCCAGTAATATACATTTATTTAACTATCTGTCTTAATTTGTAAATAACAGTTCTGCTATAAAAATATTTCAGTTCTTATGAGTAGAATGATCTAAGATATAGAACATTCTTGCCCAGCTATTTATTCCATTTCTATGATCAAGAATTAATGTTTCATGTTTTCTTTCTCACTGTCACTTATGTTTAAAACGCCTTTCTCTTCTCATTCAACTAAACCTCCTCGCCTTCTTCATAGTCTTTCTGAAGTCCTACCTTTTATAAACATTTTCAAATAACTAAAATGGGACAGTTGCCCTTTAGAGTAAATGGCATCGGATGTTGATTTCTCTGGTAGGGATAATAATGGCCCACCAAAGATGTCCATATCCTAAACCCCTGGAACTGGTGAATATGTTATCTTACATAGGAAAAGAAAATAAAGGGTGCAGATGGAATGAAGGCTGTTAATGAGCTGACCTTAAAATAAGCAGATTATTATTGCAGTGGACCCAATATAATTATAGAGAGTCTTAAAAACAGAAGCAGAAGATTGAGTCAGTTAGAGATGCAATGATAGATGAAGAAACAGATGAGGTTTAAAATTTGAGACATCTTGACCCTTAGTTGCTGGATTTGAAGATGGAGGAAGAGAGCTTTAGTAAAGTCATCTGAGTGGTCTCTAGAGGCTGGGACCAGCCCTCAACTGACAACCAGAAAAGTAATGGATGCTCAGGCTACAACAGCAGGGAAATAAATTCTGTCAACAATCTGGATGACCATAGACATGAATTCTCCCCCAGAGCTTCCGGACAGAAATGCAGGCTTACTGGACACATTGATTTTAGCCCAGTAAGACCCATTTTCAAAGTTCTGAACTCCAGAAATATAAGACAATACATTTCTATTGTTTTAAGCCTATAGAGAAGGTTGGTTCTGTTCCACTGTGGCAAACTGAGCCAAAGGCTTTTACCACCCACTCTTCCCAGAATTCCATTGAAATATTAGTAAATAGAAGAATATATTCATAAAAGACTGAAAAACAAGGCTGGTCTGATGGTAGTGGGTTATCAAAACATAGCATTAGTGACACTAAAGTTAGTCTACAACCCCTCACTGCTAAATTTGACTGGCTTAAAAGAAAGAAATCAAAACCAAGAGAAGGAACATCCACAGATATTTAATGAATTGTAGAAGATAGAAAATAGTTGGGAACATATTGATGAGCAAGCTGAAGTGGAAGAATTAGAGACCCAAACCTGCACAGACAAGCCTGTGGTGGAAGCGAGCATGGGCATTTTCTGCCAAGTCCTGGAAGACTGGCAGTTTAAAACTAGAGAGTGAGAAGTGAGACAGAAATCACAGTGACTATGAGAAGAAATATCTATAGATCAGCTGTGCAAGTTTCTTCATTTTCATCCCCAGGTAAAAAATTAGTGGAATAATCTTCCAGAGGAGTACGGTTTCCAGAGTGGGGGTTGTCCACTGGTGTAAGCCGTCTTCAGAGTGAAAGATGGGAAAGAAGACTTCCTGCCTGTTCCTGGATCTTGTACTTAAGGGGAAAGAGTCAATAGACTTAATTATACTTTTGGTAAGTGGTATAAACTTTGACAATGTAAACATAACTAGTTGATAGAAATGATGGGGGGAGCTGCCACCAGGGAGGTAGAAAGAAATAATTTCCTCATTTTATGGTGGTTGAGAGATATTCTCTAAAGATGTAGAAATAAGAAACAAGATTTAATTATGTATATTGTTTAAAATTATAAGTGTGATCTATTGTAGTAGGTAGCCCCTAGGATCATCCCTACGGGTCCCTGCCTCCTGTTATTCACATTTTGTGTAATCCTCACACCTTGCCTGTGGGCTGGATTTACTAACTTCTAAAAAAACAGAATACAGCGCAAGCAGGACGTCACTTGAGACTAGGTTATAAAAAAGACTGTGACTTCCACCTTAAGTGCTTTCTCCTGCTCTCTCTTGGATTGCTTAGTCCCCAGGTTATGGGACAATCCTGTGGAAAGGTCTTCTTCCAGAGGTGAGCCTTTCGTTGAGACTGAGCTCCTGGCTCATAATTTGACTGCAGCCTCAAGAGAATCTTTAACAAGAGGCACCGAGCTAAGCCACATCCAGACTCTTGACCCAAAGAAACAATGAGATAGTAAACTGTGATATATTTATTTTTGTATTATTTATTTTATGTATTATTATTGTATTATTTACATTATTATGAAGGTAATTTATTATGCAGCAATAATTAATATACATATTTATATGTGTATTTACACACACAAATATATAATTTGTCTATTGACTTTGTAAATTTTGAATTTTTGTGTAATCAAATATGTCTCATTTCTTACAGAAATTTTAGTTTTCCTATTCATAGATTGTACATATAGTATCCCAGGTATTTGGGTAAGAATGTTTTTTCATTTTACATTTGTATTCTTGATCCATATAAAATTTATTTTTTGTCTAAAATGGAGTAATGTACTTATATGACCAGTCAGTTTTGCCAGCAACGTTTATTAAATAATCATTTTCCCAGCTACATGAATGAATATAGTAAGTTTAATGAATTATTATATATACTTGGATTTGTTTCTGGAGACTATTCTACAGATCCGTTTGCCTCTTCCTATACAAATATCATTGATTTGATAAATGTACACTCTGCTACATATGGTGGTACAAAAGTAATTACGGTTTTTGAAAAAAAAGAAAACACATTTACTTTTGCACCAACCTAATAGTAAAGCAAGGTCTGACCCCATCCAAAATGCTTTTCTTTTCCACATTTATTGGCTATTCAACCTATAACATACAAAGAGCTCAAGATGGGTAAGAAAAAGGCAGCTCAATTTTTAAATGGGCAAAGAACACAACAGTAATTACGAAATAGCAAATCTGGCTGAGTGTGGTGGCTCATGCATGTAATCCCAGCTCTTTGGGAGGCCCAGGAGCACAAATTGCTTGAGTTAAGGGCAGATCACTTGAACTTAGGTGTTCGAGACCAGCCTGGGCAACATAGCAAGACCTTGTCCCTATTAAAACATTTTTTTAAATCAGCAGGGCATGGTGGCACACACCTGTAGTCCCAGCCGCTCAAGAGGCTGAGTAGCCAGGAAGTTGAGGCTATAGCGAACCTTGATTGCACCATTGCTCTCCAGCCTGGGTGACAAAGACCTGTCTCAAAAAAAAAATCACTTTGCACGGTTTTACCTTACGTGGCCATTTCAATAGTGCTGTCCTACATGCAAAGAGATTGACTGCCTCCGTAGATTTTTTTGGCCATTGTTTAATGTTGAGATCATGTTACCTACACTTTTCTGCATTTTGCTTTTCTCATTTGACAGTTCTTTGTGGAAATCTTTCTAAATCAACTGATACAGCTTTAAGGGATTTGTAAATAATCATTGCAAATTTTGTGATATACATGTACTATAATTTATTGAACTATTCCCTTCTAATGAGCATTAAAATGTTTTCTGGGGGTGGCTGACGCCTGTAGTCCCAGCTACTCGGGAGACTGAGGCAGGAGAATGGCGTGAACCCAAGGGAGGCGGAGCTTGCAGTGAGCTGAGATCGCACCACTGCACTCCAGCCTGGGTGACAGAGTGAGACTCCGTCTCAAAAAAATAATAAAATACAAAAAAATTAAAAAAGCTTTTTTTTGTACCACAATAGTAATCACTTCGATAAACATCCTGTACAAATATTCTTAAGTACTGCTTGATATATTTATGTGAATTAGATTCCTAGGAGTGAGATCGCTAGGTCGAAAATATGTGGTCTTTAAAAATTCTTTTAGATGTCATCAGACAGATTTCCCAAAAGGTTGTGATGTTATACACTCTATTACCTGTAAGTAAGTTAAAGTAAGGAAAGTAAAGTTAAAAAGTTCCTCACTAGAAATAATTAGAGCTATTAAATTGTTGCCAGACTGATAGGATAAGATTATATCTCATTGTTAATTTAATTGGCTATTATTGACTATTAGAGAATTTGAACATATTTATAGTCTGTTGTCATTGAGATTGGTTTTTGTTGTTGTGGTTGTTGTTGTTGTTGTTGCTGTTGTTTGGATATAGGGTCTCACTCTGTACCCCATGCTGGAGTGCAGTGACGCTATAATGGCTCACTGCAGCCTCAATCTCCTGGGCTCAAGTGATCCTCCCACCTCAGTATTCCAAGTAGCTGGGACTACAGGTGTATGTCACCACCCCCAGTTAATTTAAAAAAATTTTTTTTTGTAGAGACAAGGTCTTATTGTGTTACTCAGGATGTTCTCTAACTCCTGGACTCAAGGGATCCTCCTGCCTTGGCCTCCAAAAGTGTTGAAATTACAGGCACTAGCCACCACGCCAGGCAGCAAAGTGATCTTAATAGTAAATGGAGTAAACTATAATTGTTTTGACACCTTTAAAAATTTAATCCAAACATTGTTTTTTTTTTTACTGTAAGTTATAAATATGTAGGGAAATAAAAAATTTTAAAACTAGTATTTACTTAGTACTCTGTAAATGAAAATATTAGAAGCATTAAAAATTAAAGCATCCTTTTTGTAAAATCCAATTAAAACAAACTTATTAAGTGTAGTTGCAATAGTGCTGCCTTCTTATTGTATAACTTAGAACATACAGCAAGCATCTTTTCTATGCCTTGGCAAATTGTCATACTTCTTTCTAAGTTTAGATCAGCTCTGACATTTTATTCATTGTACTTTCAATGTTGTCAAGTAGCTCCAGAAATTTCCTTAATGTGAAGTTTTTGTTGGTGTTGCTTCCTCTGGGACACTATCCTTTTTGTCACAATTATTTTCCTCATTTATGTCAATAAGTTCACTTTCACTAAGTTCCTCTAGCCACAATAGCTAGAGTCTTCTGAACATTGGCAGTGTCAACATTTCTGTGGCCAGCTATTTTTTTAAACATATGTATATATAATTTTATTTCAATAGCTTTTAGGGTGCAAGTGGTTTTTGATTACATGGATGAATTGTATAGTGGTGAAGTGTGAAATTTTAGTATACCCATCACCTGAATTGGGTACATTGTACCCAACTATTTTCTTCTATAACTCCATTTATGATCAATTTGAATTTCTCTTTCAGCATTATTTCCCCTTATTTGCAGCATTTTCATCTTTGTTGACCATTTCCCTCTTTTGATTATTTATTTTTGTACAATGTCATGTGTGTTTATTTCTGGGAGACAGGGAAGCAATACAACTATATGCTTTGCTGTCTGTGCATGAACTAAGTAAAAAATGTGCAGTGACCAATCACCAACAGATTTTGAAAGAAGTGACATGATTGGTCACCAACCATGATGTATATTTGTTGTCTACGGTGAGTTGTAGAGTGACAAGGTAGCAATGAAGTTTATATTTTTATGGAGTCTTTCACATTAATACACCACGGCAACTGATTTGACCCATGTTTTTGGGGTGTGGTGTTACTTAATTGAATGGTGGTAACTGAAATTTATATATAGGAATGGTATAAAGTGAAGACTTCCAGTATGTGTATTATTATATACAGGTATGTGGATACATATGTGTATGATTATAAATAAGTATACACATACATATGTGTACAATTATATAATTATGTATTTTTAAATTTTTAATTGTGGTGAAAAAACATGAAACATAACTTTAACATCTTAACCTTTTTTTGTTTTGTTTTTTGAGACAGGATCTGTCACCCAGGCTGGAGTGCAGTGATGCAATCAATGGCTCACTGGAGCCTTGACCTCCTGGCCTCAGGTGACCCTTCTTCCTCAGCCTCCCAAATAGCTGAGACTACAAGCATGCGTTACCATGCCTGATAATTTTTAAAAGTTATTTGTAGAGACAGGGTCTCACTATGTTGCCCTGGATAATCTCTAACTCCTGGACTCAAGTGATCCCCCTGCTTTGGCCTCCCAAAATGCTAGGATTACCAGTGTGAGCCACTGTGTCCAGCCATCTTAATCATTTTTAAGTGTACTCTCTGGTAGTGTTAAGTACATTCATATTATTGTGGAACAGATGTCCAGGACAGGCACAGTGGCTCATGCCTGTAATCCTAACACCTTGGGAGACCAAAGCGGGTGGATCCCTTGAGTGCAGGAGTTCAAGACCAGCCTGGGCAACATGGCAAAACCCTGTATCTACAAAAAAATACAAAAGTTAGCTGGGCATAGTGGTGTGTGCCTGTAGTCCCAGCTACTTGGGGGGCTGAGGCGGAGGATCGCATGAGCCTGGAAGGTTGAGACTGCAATGAGCTGAGATCAAACCACTGTACTCCAGCCTGGGTGACAGAGTGAGACCCTGTCTCAATAAAAAAAACCTGACAAAACAAAAACCAAACAAGCAGATGTCCAAAACTTTTCATCTTGCAAAACTGAAACTTTATATCCATTAAACAAAGTGTAAGTTTTATATAATTATATAATCATGAAGAAATATTGAAGCATTCTTAACAGGTTGCAAACGTGTTAATGGGAAAAGACTATTTCTGAGTTGAGGGAGGGAGAATTAGGTAAAAAGAAAAGAAAAAAGACTGCATTTAAACAAAACATATAATATTATATTTATGTACTTATAATAAATGTAAATATATTTGTGTGTATACTTATGAATAAAAATAAAGGTAGCTAATTGGATAGAAATAAACATTAGCAAAAATTAGGAGGAGGAGAAGAGATGGCAGAAGGTAGAAATAAGTTAACTTTTTCATTTTGTCATAATAGCCAGTTGATACCATTAAGCACCAATAAATTGAGAAAATGAGACCTAAGCATAAAATTCAGTATTTTGGAGGTAATGACCAGAAGAACTTGAAATAGAAACAGTTAAGTGTGGTTATCTCCGCTGAATAGAATTAGGAGTAGAGAATGGGAGATTTTTACTTGGTATTTCATAATCTTTTATAATGTTGAATATTTTTATTACCACATCTATCTTATTTTTATAATTTTAAGAAATAGAAAACATAGTACATATTCTCTAAGTGCTTAAAATCAAGTTATACATCACATAATTAATTAAAGTACCATATAGGGCAGTATCATTTGACAGCATAATTATCTGTTTTGAAATACGTATATAATATGATCATTTTTCCTTAAGAATTGAAGCTTAGTAGCAGCATTAATGAGGAGAAAGGAAGTACTACATTTAAAACTTCTGTGATCATTATGCAGACAGTAATATCTAACACCATAAAATACTGAGATGGATTAAGGTAAGTGGCAGGACAGCAGTAAGAACATTAACCTAAAATTTGAAACCAATTTAAATAGTCTTTGGTCAGCTATACCATATAATGGATAAGCATGTCAGTTTCCTCCTTAAGTGAGCCAAGGCACTTTAGCATTACTTGTATCAGGCAGACATAATAGAAAAATGGATCCCGATTTAAAAGGTTTTCTAGAACATCCTTGATATTGAGTAATTTAAGTAGAAGTTATTCATTTCTTTTAAAGTTAGCCATATTTAAATCATGGCTCTAGATATATTTGTGGGCAAATTTCCAGACTTTCAGAGAACATGTGTATGTATACCAGTATCAGAAGGGGCAATGATTGAATTTGCCAAAATGTATGAGTGAAGATCTAATAATATTTTGAAGATGTTAAAAACCCTTCGAGAACATGATAGTGTGGTAGTAGGTCTGTTTGTTTTCCTGCTGCTGTTATTAGAAAAATGAAGTTGTATTTTGGTATGAAGCTGAAGGTTGGTGTGGGTTTTTGTGTATGACATAAGACTGTGGTTGGTAACAGGCATTCTTCTCCCTAAATTTTGGTATTGAAAGGATAACATATTAATGGGAGAGATTAGATTTTGCTTACCAAGAAGAGAAAATTTGATTGTACCTTCTCAATACTAATTTTCAGAATGGCTCATGTAAATGGACAGAAGGAATAAAATAAATTAGCAAACCACATGGAGGAGAACATCTGTTGTCCAATCTTACACTTGGTAATTAAGGCAAATAGACTCATTTATTTGCCTATTTTTTGGTACCAGTTATTTCTGAATGCATGGGAAAATCCATTTTGTAGCAATGACTGTTGCTTTTCCAAGACTTCGACTTTATGTTAAAAAAGAGAGAAAAACATAGGGCATGTATTTAACATTTAACATGCTTTCTTGAAGAAAATATTCAATATTTACAGAGTTTCCATAAATGAGTGCACATTAAAAGGGTTATAACCTTTTAGTTATGTATTATATTTTGCAAACATACATACAGAAAAAGACCTATCAACCATCTGACATGATTAAAAATTTTTTTGGTCCTCCATGTAGTTCTGAAAGTATGTTCCATATTAACCTAAGTGAAGTACATAAAAAAACTCAAGGTAGTTAAATTTTCAAAATGTTTAGCTTTTAAGAAAACTGGCTATTTATATCAGTTATGAATCAATTCTCTGTGTTACTCTGCCAGTGTAATAAAAACAAAATGTTGATTATATTTTTATCTTTTACTAGTTATCTTGTTTGTAATAAATTCTCTATTCAACTATTCCTAGAAATTTAACTTTAGTCCTTTCTCTTTGAGAGTGTAGAGAGCTGCTTTACCTTCTTCGATGAACTTTCAATAATGCATGGGCTAAGGGTGTAACCAGTACACCCATGTGTAAAAGAAAGGAAGCTCTGGAATATACTTCACAAAGTTGAATGAGAAAGACACAGAAAGCTGTTTAGCTTGGAAAGCTGAATAGGTAATGACTAGTAGGGAACCTTTAGAAAAGGGCTTGTCTTAAAACTCTTGGAAAAGTTACATTTGGTAAATTTTTAAAATTCCATCTTGTTATCTCCAAATTTTCAAAAGAGCTTTATTTATCACTACAAATTGTCTATCTGTACTGAGGGGAATTAAAAGACAGATGATCAAGTTTTTACAAATAACGTGTACCATCTCTATTTAGGAAAACCTGTTCTGGAAAAAAGTCAGAGTCTTTATATTGTAAACACAAGTTTCCTGTCGCTTGTCCTGCCATTTGTCCTTTAGCTTTCTCTCAACCGTTACGTTAGTGGGTTTCGCGGAAGAGATTTAGAACCAGCCAGAATCACTGTGCGGTTCATCTTTACATACGGATTTGAAAACTGTACCTCTACCCCAAATTAATGATACAATTCTTCATCTGAGGCCCACACTATCATTAGAAAATATAAAACAGGCCGGGTGCAGTGGCTCATGCCTGTAATCCCAGCACTTTGGGAGGCCGAGGCAGGTGAATCACCTGAGGTCAGGAGTTTGAGACCAGTCTGACCAACATAGTGAAACCCCGTCTCCACTAAAAATACAAAAATTAGCTGGGTGTGGTGGCGCATGCCTGTAATCCCAGCTACTCGGGAGGTGGAGGTTGTGGTGAGGCAAAATTGCACCACTGCACTCCAGCCTGGGAGACAGAGTGAGACTCTACCTCAAAAAAAAAAAAAAAAAAAAAAGATAAAGAAAATACAAAACGAACTAATATAGGTTGAATGCCCATAATGTAGTATTAACCACTTCATTTAATCTTCACAACTGTGAATTAGAAAGATTAAAAAACTACAACCAGTAGGGTGGCAAATCAAACCCAGTGGGTTTTATGTGGTAATTTCAGTTTTGCTTGTTTAGGATACTGTTCCATCTCATGTTTACTGGTACGAACATTCCAGTTTCCTTTGAGGAGCCCTTCCCCAGTTCCTTGTGATTTGGATGTATGGGTCCATACCATTATTTCACATGTATAACTCCACCTCTTCCCTGCAGATCTCCTCAACAGAGAGGCTTTTCACTTAGGCCTGACCAATCAGAGCCCTCTCTGAGACCTTATGTGCTTGAATTAGCAAAGAAGACTGGCTCAACCCCTCTGCAGTAGGAGACAATGAGGAAAACAGAGAAGGAAAAGAAAAAAAAAAAAGAGAAAAGTAGATATGAGACATTTCAGAGTGTAAAAGGGAAGGGAAGTCCTGGTTGACTTGAATCTCCAGCAGGACCAGGTTTATGGGCATGTCACATATATAGTCACACGCAATTCTGATCCTAGAAGGGCCCCCACACTTGGTTTCATGCTCTACCATCTAGAAATTCTTAATAATTTTTAAATAGGACATTTTGCATTTTAATTTTGCAAAGTGTGTAAGCAGGCCTCATCACCACCTCCAGATCTAGTTGCTTCTATCATGTGAACTTCCCAGGTATTTTTCTCAGTGTTGTGAGAAAATAAAATGTCCTATGTGCTTAAACTAGTTTGAGTTGAGAATTTGTGACTTGCAATGAAGCAGTTCTGACAAATACATCTCTGAACCTGCACTTTCTATCAGTCCTCAGGTTATGGTACTATCAACCCCTGATTATCTGTGAAGGATACATTATTCACTTATGAATAATTTATGACACAGTTCTAACACTAAATGTTATTTTCCTGCCATCTGTCATGCTTTCAGCTAACTTCACAACATCAGTGAGGTAGTCCATGGAATGAAAACTAACGTTAAGAACATCTTAAAATATATCTATTTCTTATATACATAAAGTGTATTTTAATATATAATATAAAAATAATATAAATATTTAAAATATAACACATTTGAAAATATATATTCTATATATTTGTGTATATATAACTATCTCATATATATGTAACTATATATCACATATATATATTTATATATTCTGATACCTATATAGCATACCAGAGAAAAACATACTGGAGAAAATTACAACACATACAAGAAAAAGTAGTAATTTTTTTATGTATATGTGTGTATGTATATATATGTGTGTGTCTGTGTATGCATATATATATTTGGAGACAGGGTTTTGCTCTGTCACTCAGGCTAGAGTGCAATGGTGTGCAGTCACAGCTCACTGCAGCCTCAACCTCGTGGGCTCAAGCAATCTTCCTACCTCAGCCCCACGGGTAGTTGGAAGTACAGGTGCATGCTACCATGCTTAGGTAATTTTTAAAATTTTTTGTGGAGATAGGGTCTCACTATGTTGCACAGGCTGGTCTCGAACTCCTGAGCTCCAGAGAGCTTCCCTCTTCAGCCACTGAAAATGCTGAGATTACAGGCATGAGCCCCATGCCCAGCCCATAATTTGTATTTTTAGAGTGATTTCCAGTTTATAAAATGCTTTTACTTACAACATATTACTATAAGAAGTTCGAGGCAGGCAGATCACAAGTTCAGGAGTTCAAGACCAGCCTGGCTAACATGGTGAAACCCCGTCTCTACTAAAAATACAAAAGTTAGCCAGGCATGGTGGCGGGTGCCTGTAATCCCAGCTACTCAGGAGGCTGAGACAGGTGAATTGCTTGAACCCAGGGTGCGGAGGTTGCAGTGAGCCAAGATTGTGCCCCTGCACTCCAGCCGGGGTGACAGAGCCAGACTCTGTCTCAGAAAAAAAAAAAAAAAAAAAAAGAAGTTTTCTGTTTTGAAATAAACTCATGGGTCATTGTTAGGTAAACTATCTATTTTGAAATTGGTACATTTTCACATTTGAATCTTTTGAAAATGAATGAAAACCATATCCCATTGCCATATAAAAGCATGGTTCATTTACATATGAAATTCAGTCTGTGGTTCTGGTTATCACATGTTAGTAAAGACACAGAGAAGTAGAAAAAAATTCATCCAAAATCAACCAAAACATCTGAAGGGGCTGAGTGCTGCTATATTGAGGTAGAACTCAAAGATGGGAATGCTTTCCACCAAAAGAATGAGACTGGGGGAGGACATGCTCAAAAGGCCTAAAATCGTATGTGTTAATTCGATGGAAAAGAACATGTACTTCAAATTCTGAATTATTAGAATGAAGTCTTGTGTTCTGAATTCCCAGTTTAGAAAGTTAGGTCCAACTAGAAGTACCATTTAATTTTAAAAAGCATTTGGTCAAATTTACTAAAGACAGAGGAATAGGTGGTTACCAAAAGAAAACAGACTATGCCTGAACATTAGGGTTTAACATACATTTGAAGGAGGCTAACACATGTTTGCACAGTCTTGTGGTTTTTAGGTGGGACCTTTGGGAGGTGACTAGGGCATGAAGGCAGAGTACTCATGAATGGGGTTGGTGTCCTTATGGAAGGGACCGCAGAGAACTTTCTTGCCCCTCCAGCATGTGGGGCTGCAGAAAGAAGACATGCGCCTGTGAACCAGGGAGCCGGCTCTCACCAGACACTGAGTCTGCTGGCACCTTCGTCTTGGAGTTTCCAGCCTGCAGAACTGTGAGAAGTAAGTTTCTTTTGTTTATAAGCTGCCCAGTTTATGGTATTTTACTATAACAGCCCACATGGACTAAGACAAGTCTCCTAGGTGTTCATATCTCAGAAGAACTTCAGCAGGGCCATGGTGCACCAGAATTGTCTTTTTAGCATCTTCAGTAGCGCTTCTCCTTTCTTCCTTTGCCAGCATGGTTTGTCCTTGCTCAAGACCACTTTCAGGAAACAGGTAAGTTGCAACTCTTTCTTGTCATAGTGAATGTTTTATTTTGTTTATGACAGTTCACTCTCTCCTGTTAGTAAGAAGTGGAAATTAGGTTTAGGGAATCATACAACTGAAGAGGTGAGAAACAGTTATAGAATGGCAAGACCTTAAAATGAATTCAGGATTTAGTAGCCATCTGAAGGACAATGGCAGATGGTAAGTTTAGAGGTGTACAAATATAATGGGAAGAGGTCAGGTGAATTTTGATAGCAATTGCAGAAGAACTGCGTGATAGGTATGAGGAATAACGAAGAGAAGAGAAACCATATGGTGAGATGATAATTAGGCTCAAGTATTTGTCTTTAAGAAAAGAAAAATATTGGAGACATATTTATGAAGACACAACCTGAGGTAAAGGAAAAGAATTACTGGAAAAGAGAAAAAGGAGAGATGGTGATATAGGTCTAAACTGAAGAGTTTTGGAGAGATTTTGCAGTAGAATTAAAGCTAGGAAAATGGAGGAAGGAAATACAGTTATACGTTGCTTAATGGCAGGGATACGTCCTGCAAAATGCATTATAGGTGATTTCATCATTACGCAAACATCATAGAGTGCATTTACACAAACCTAGGTCATACAGCCTGCTACACAGCTAGACTATGTAGCATAGCCTATTGCTCCTAGGTGGAAACCCGTACAGCATGTTACTGTACTGAATACTGTACAGTATAATATACTGTGAATACCGTGTAAATAATTTTATTTTGTTTACATACTGTGTTAATAAATTTACTTTATTTTGTTTGTCCTCTTGCTGGATCCCCACATGGTGGAGGGGCAAGAAAATTCTCTGAGGTCCCTATTATAAGGACACTAACCCCATTCATGAGCACTCTGCCTTCATGTCCTAGTCACCTGCCAAAGGTCCCACCTAAAAACCACAAGACTGTGCAAACATGTATTATCCTCCTTCAAATATATGTTAAACCCTAATGTTCAGGCACAGTCTGTTTTCTTTTAGTAACCACTTATTCCTCTGTCTTTAGTAAGTTTAGCGAAATGCTTTTTAAAATTAAATGGTACTTCTAGTTTGACCTAACTTTCTAAACTGGGATTTCAGAACACAGGATGTCATTCTAATATTTCAGAATTTGAGAGACATACAATTACAACACAGTGGCAAACGTGTGTATCCAAACATGCCTAAACATAGGAAAAGTAGAGTAAAAATACAGTATTAGAATCTTATGGGACCACCATCGTATTTGAGGTCTGTCATTGACTAAAATGTTATGTGGTGCATGACCATATGTAGTAAATTAAACAGTACAGAACTATGAATCAGGCTTAATTGTAAGAATAGTAGAATATTGTTTTACAATATATTCTGTATACTAATTCTTAGAATGAGAAGATTGAGACTCACCTGACCTATAAAATTAGCAATTCTGTATTTCTGAATCCAGGATTACATTATAACTACAGGGGACCATGACACATGTAGTTATGTCCCTGAAAAATTAAAGAGTTCCCAAAGAAATTATTTATGAGAGCTAATAAAAAACATTTTGACACTGAAAATAAACTAAGTAAAACTTTACTAAACTCAGGGGTTACTCCTTTACCTAGGCTAGGCCCAAGTTTGTTTCTTTTAAGGTCAACGGAAGGTAGGTTTCATGACATAAAGCAACTAGTTAAAAGGTTTTTCTGCTGCCAGTTTTCTAGTCAAGGCAATACTGCTACATTGCTTTGTGGCGGTTTCTCCTGGAGTGGTTTCCCCCTCTCATTCTTTTGAGGTGTTGGAGGGGTGTGAAGTGGAGTAGCTGGATTTTAAACTGTGGGAGTTACGTAGATGATTAGATATCCTTTTTACAGACAGCACTGTGGCAACAGCCTGCAGAATGCGTTGGAGGGATCCGAGCATAGCCTCAGAAAGCTGGGCTGGGTCACCTGTCTGGGGGAGCAGGGGCAGAGCCTGTTCTCAGGTGGAGCAATGGTGTGGAGAGAATGGATTTGAACGATATTAAGGATGAAGAATTGACAGGATTTAGAGGCTGGATGTGAAATGGAGCAGATTTCTGCTTAGGTAATTGGGTAGGCTATGTTGCTATTGAGTGAGGTGAGTTTATTGGGTGAGACAGGTGTAGGGGCAAAAATGCTGAGTTTACATTTGTAATGCGTTGGATTTTTAGATGTCCGTGGGATAGGCTCATTTTTTTTCTCCTTTCCGATTCTGACGGCAACCTCTGGTTAATATTCTTCTTTGCTGATAGATTAATATACTCTTGAAGTAAAAATTACCAGTTTTTTAACTCAGAAAACAAACAAAAAATAATCTCCTTCCTATTATATGTTAATGTAATTGGTTTAATTATCAGCGAGGCAACCTATTTCATTCCTCCTTCCCAGAGTTTTGGGATGGTACTACTCTTTGTTCACCCTATGCCACCTTGAATTAGGTGTAATTTGTCAAAGAGAGGGAAAAATCAAAGAGAACGTTCCGGATTTCTGCTTGGAATACTAAAGAACAGTGCTAACGCCGGCAGACACTGGCAATCGGGAGGGGAAGGTGATAGCAGTAGGACTGTGAGAGGTGGCTTTTTATGTTTAAATTGGGAAGATCCAAGTAGAATTGTAATTTCATAGAATGTCAGACTGCATGAGACTTTCAAGGTGAAAAAAAATTAACCTTTATTGAGTATGTAATATGTACCAAGTGCTTTCTCCTGTTTTGTAAATGGAAATAGAGATTCTCAAGGATAAGAAAGTAGCTCGAAGTTACCCAATTATTTATTTAGTGGGTTATTTAGGTGATTTACAGTACAGGGGGGACTATTACCCTTGAAAATTTATTATGAAAATTCACATTTTTGAGGTTATGAAAATTGGTTCTTAGGGGGCAAATAAATGTTCTCTTTTTAGATACAAAACAGTGGCATACATATAGTACCTAAACATATACAGTATATCTAAAGTAGTAAAATTTCATAGAGGAGGACAATTAAGAAAAATGTCTAAAAGATTTTTTAAAAGGCTGATTTATTTATTTATTTGTTTATTTATTTTGAGATGGAATGTCTCCCTTGTCGCCCAGGCTGGAGTGCAATGGTGCCATCTCAGCTCACTGCAACCTCTGCTTCCAGGGTTCAAGCAATTCTCCTGCCTCAGCCTCCTGAGTAGCTGGGATTATAGGCATGCGCCACCAGGGCTGGCAAATTTTTGTATTTTTTTTAGTTTTAGTAGGGACCGGGTTTCGCCATGTTGGCCAGGCTGGTCTCAAACTCCTCTCCTCAGGTGATCCGACTGCCTCGGCCTCCCAAAGTGCTGGGATTACAGGCATGAGCCACCGTGCCCAGCCCAAAAGGACGATTTTGAAAAAAGGTTAAGAAACACTGATTTGGCCGGGTGTGGTGGCTCATGTCTGTAATCCCAGCACTTTGGGAGGCCGAGTTGGGAGGATCACTTGAGCCCAGGAGTTCAAGACCAGCCTGGGCAACATAGCGAGACCCTCATCTCTAAAACTGAAAGAAAAAAGAAACACTGATTTATAACCCATTTCATTTAATAAAGGTTTTATTCTTTTTTGCTGACTTCTTTTTTTGTTTCACATGGTACCTCGTGTTGAATAATAAAACAAACAGGTAAAAGCAATGTCAGTTTAAACGTCCCTAGAGGGAGGGTCTAGAATCATACCACATGGATGCTTTTTCCCTCACCTTCTGCAGTGGTCCCTGAAGTACTGGTGTGAAAGCTTAGAGCTCTGAGTATCCCAGTTTGAATGTCTGGGGAATACAATTTGAACTCCTCATTTTCCCCATGAATAAACTGAGGCAGATTTGTCCTGAGTAAGCATTCACTCCTCCAGTTGTTTTATTATTTGGAAGGTGCCCACATAGTGGAACTAAATCAGGCTTTCTGTCTCAAAGCATTCTACACAAAGAGGCATACCATCCCACTAGAAGATGGGGAGAGAAAGAAAAGCCCAAGCAGAGGTCAGGGAGATAATTTTTAGAGAGATGATGAGAGAAATAAGTGAGAAAAGAGTCTCAAGAAGGATACTGTGATCAACAGCAGCAAATAAAGAGGGATCAAAGACTGAGAATGAGGCTCTGGCAGTATAAAATTATCTGGTGACTTGTGACTGCAGTGTCAGGACAGTGTGCAGGCACAGCTTGATTTCACAAGAAACTGTAAATATTTCAGACATCTCAGCAAAAAGGTAAGGACGCTAACTTGCCCTTGTAACTGTTGCAACTAATTACACGTTACTCTTTCATGACCCAAATATAAACAGCAATACCTTAATCAAAGCAAATTTAGTAAATAATTTTAAGTCTATTGTGTTACAATGGGTTCAAAGAACAAAACAGAAAGCAAATAATGCACACAAATGGACACCCTAAGGAGAGACGTAGATACAGACAGGTTTTATGTACATTTGATCTTGAGGAATGTCCACAACACAGCAATTCACCTGAGGATAAAAAGAAAAGCATATGTGGTGATGAGACAGAAATATAGATGAAAGAAACAGACAATTTGAAAATCTCTATTGGGCACCACAGAATTCTTATCGTTTATTTTACATTTCTTTTTAGCTTTGGGACATAATTTCTATTTGCTATTGTCAGACAAATTATTTTCCAAGTGACTCAACAAATTATATTTAGGTTTTAGTAATTGTGCTTTAAAGGAATTAAACTGTAATCTTACAAGAGTCTTAATAATTACCTAATTCCTTTTTTCTACTTATTTAATACTGGGAATACGATCTGGTAGTGACATCTAACACTTTCAACTGAACCTTAGTTAAGTATCTCACACTAATAGGAATATTTCTGTTCTCCTTTAAACGGCTCTATCATCTACAAACAGGGGCAGATTAATTTTCTAATCAAAACATTCTGGGAAACTATTAAGCATGACATTAAACTGTGTTATACTAATTACATTCCCTATGAAGAATTTCTATCTGAACTTAGAGCATAAGACCTTGGAGAAAACTTATCAGAGCACAAATTGCTTTAATGTATTTTAAGAAGAATCACATATCCATATAATAATTTAATAATTTTAATAATTTGGCTTTTTTTTGCCATCTCTTCCTGCTATCATTTTGCTTTTCAGATGTACCTTAAATCAACTTGGTTCTCCGCAGTGATTCATTATGATGGCAAGATATTTTTGACCTTGTTAAATAGGTTAAAGAAAAAAAAAGGATTAAAGCCTGTGTGGGTGTATAATATGGCAAAGGCAAGTACTTAGCTCCATTGTGAACACTTGTCCAAAATTAACATTTACTTTTTACTAGAATACTACTCTCATTGAAGAAAAAGAAATAACCAAACAAAAGTAATTGTGATACAATAAGGGAAAAAACATCCTTTAGCAGGGCTCAGAAAACATTTTCTGTAAAGGGTTTGATAGCAAATTCTTTAGGCTTTGCAGGCTATGTGATCTCCGTTAAAACTTCTTACCTCTACTATTGTAGAGCAAAAGCAGCTATAGACAATATATAAAGGAATGGGTGTAGCTATATTCCAATAACATTTTTTTAACAGAAAATAGCAAATCAAAACCACTTCACACACACTAGGATAGCTAAATTCAAAAAGTCAGATTTTAAAATATTGTTGATGAGGATGTGGTGAAATTAGAACCCTCATGCACTGCTGGTGAGAATGCAAAATGGCCCAATTCCTCAAATATAGGATTACTGTATGACCCAGAAATTCCTCCACTGCATATTGACAAAGATTCTTTCCTTTGACCAAATTTGAGTCAGCCTCCTCTGAGTTCCTTCTGACTAGGCTTGACCTTGAGCTTCCCTATCTGTCCTTGTAGAGTCCATATTGAGCAATAATCCTGCTAAGTCAGTGTATCCCCCACCACTGGTATCTTTTTTTTTTTTTTTTTTTTTTTTTTTGAGGCAGAACTTTGCTCTGTCACCCAGGCTGGGGTGCAATGGCACGATCTCAGCTCACCGCAACCTCTGCCTCCCAGATTCAAGTGATTCTCCCTGCCTCAGCCTCCCGAGTAGCTGGGATTACAGGTGTCTGCCACCACACCCAGCTAATTTTTTGTATTTTTAGCAGAGATGGGGTTTCACTATGTTGGCCAGGCTGGTCTCCAACTCCTGACCTCAGGCAATCCACCCACCTCGGTCTCTCAAAGTGTTGGGATTACAGGCGTGAACCACCATGCCTGGCCTGACTGTTTTTATCACTCTGGTCTGTCTTCAACAATAATTCTGTTGAGTCGGTTTAGCAAGAATCTCCTTACCCCTGATGTTTCCTCTTGGTAATTTTCCATCCACTGACCCCCCAACTCAGCTCCTTGGCTATAAATCCCCACTTGATCTTCTTGTATTGGAAGTCAAGCCCAATCTCTCTCCCGCCCTGCAAAACCCCATTGCACTGGTCCCTATGCTTGCCTTGATGGCAGTTTGTTGAATAAAGTCCACCTTACTTTCTTTAACAAGTGTCATGGATAATTTCTTCCTTAACAGTGTATACGTGACAGAAGTAAATACTTAGGTTCACACAAAAAGTTGTACATGAGTATTTGTAGCAGCATTATTCAAAATAGCCACAAGGTGGAAATGTCCCAAATGTCCATCAACTGATGAGTGGATAAGCCAAATCGAAGTGTTATGTCCATATAATGGAATATTACTCAGCCCCTCAGGGATACTTGGCAATGTCTGGGGAAATTTTTAGTTGTCACAACCATGGGTCTGGGTCTGCTACTGGCATCTATTGAATATAGGCCGGGAATCCTGCTAAACATCCTGCAATGCACAGGACAGCTCCCACACAAACAATTATCCAGCCCCAAATGTCAATGGTGCCAAGGTTGAGAAGCCTTAGTGTAGACACATACATTATGTGACTATATCAGTGGTTAGTCTTTGTACCTATTTTGCTTCTTTCCCATGTAACCTTATATTGTTAAACAGCAGCAATCTTAAGACACACAAGCATGTGGAGAGTGTGGAAAGTGCCATGCCACAAATCCTGTAAGACAAGTAACAGCATTATATCTTATCACTGAGGGTTTGAAATGGAAGGTGCAAAGTCAGTGCTGTTGGCAAGATAATATTCTAATACCCTGTCATTAAGCACAAAATGCTATAAGATTTGTGTTCAGTGAGGTATATTTCTGCTGTAGTCAGATGGTGAAATAATAATGAAAGTTGTGAAATTAAATCAATTAGGCATTGAATTAGACAGGTAACTGAATGGTTCTTCTTTTAATATACTGACCACTTGGAAAGCATGCATGGTAAAGAACTGAATTTTTAATCTAACCTGAAACTGGAAGAGTGAAATGTTTTCCTGTCTTTTGACTCTGTCTCTGCACTACTTTAAGGGAGAGAAGAAAAAGGGATGTGAGAAGAGAGAATAGAAGAAAGTGGAAAGGCAAGGTGGAGGGGAAATAATATATTTTATTATCCAGAATTAAAAATCAACTTAAAATCATCCTGAAAGGAAATTAATTATTTTATACTTTCTTACATAGACTTAATATCTCATCGTGGGCTCAATGCCAATAAACCAAGAATTTGTGGAGGAACAAAGTTAAGGGGCCTAGTTCTAAAGTGTCTATTTTTCTGCTAATTTGTGTATTGTGTTAAAAATTTAATATGAAGCATTTCCAACAAACAGAAAATAATAATATAGAAACCAATATCCCACCACTGAGATTAAATACATGTTAATATTTTGCTAGATTTACTTCAGATCTTTCCCTATTAATAAATAAAACATTTACAGATATTTTAACTATGAAGTTCCAGCTTTAATTCCTTCCCCTTCTTCCTTTTTTCTCTCAAAGTAGGTGAAGTTGTTGTGTATAATTCCCTTGTGTTTTTGCTGTGTTATAACATGCACTTACATATAACATATTATGTATATATACACACACGTATATATACAATTTTGTTTGTATGCTGTTTATATTTTGCGACTTGATTTTTCTGTTTTTGAGATGTATCCATATGTAGGTTTAGATATTTATTTTATATGTAGTGTAGAATTCCACTGTAACAGCTCTTTCACACTGTAATCTCTTGCTCTTTCCCTGACTATAGGACAGTTAGGTTACCCATTTTTGCTTCTATGAAGTGTTTAGAAAAAACTCTCAGCCGGGCGGTGGCTCACGCCTGTAATCCCAGCACTTTGGGAGTCCGAGGCAGGTGGATCACAAGGTCAAGAGATCGAGACCATCCTGGCCAACATGGTGAAACCCGTCTCTAATAAAAATACAAAAAATTAGCTGGGCGTGGTGGCATGCACCTGTAGTCCCAGCTACTTGGGAGGCTGAGGCTGGAGAATCACTTGAACCCGTGAGGCGGAGGTTGCAGTGAGCCGAGATCACGCCACTGGACTCCAGCCTGGCGACAGAGTGAGACTGTCTCCCTCCAAAAAAAAAAAAAAGAAAAACTCTCAAACTGTTTTTCTTCTGCTCATCAACAATCTACACACAAGACTTCTGTGACCCCAAAATATGTAAGGATTTCTCCCCACCAGCAAGCAAGCAATCAGTTCTCCTGTGGACACCAGCTGAGTGTCTTCCAATTCAGTTCTGATACTCCTTATCCAGAGATAGTGTCAGATCCCACAGGTTGAGGGCTCAGTCCTACAAGATTGCGTCCTCCTTCCCATCAATCACAAGTCTGGGCCTCTAGCACTTCTGATCCACTGGCTTCAAGCAGGGGTTTCCATTATACCTTCTTTGGGCTGGATTAATTTGGAGAGAGGCACAAAGAACTCAGGAAACACATTTTCTGGTTTATCATGAAGGAGATTTTAAAGGATATAGATAAACAGCCAGATGACAAGATACCTAGGGTGAGGTCTGGAAGGGCCCTGAATGAGCTTCTATCCCTGTGGAGTTGAAGTGCACCACCCTCCCAGAATGTGGATGAGTTCCTGTTCACCTTCCTGTCAGCCTCCATGTGTTCAGCTCTCTGAACCCTGCGTTTTATGTAGACTTCATTGGTTGTTCATGATTGAAGCATGGATAATTGTGTCGAAATGTGATTGCACAAAAGGGTATGCTCTAAACCCAGCAAGGCCTGTCTGTTCTGTTCAGATTTTCCTGGTCTCTCTGTGCAGCATTCCTTTCTCTAGAGCGTGGGGCAGGACTCTCTCTGGCCTGAGGGTCTTATGACCCACCATCAGATTAGATTCCTGTCTTGGGCAGGTGAAAGGAGAGCAGAAGTTCCCAGAGAGAGATTCTGTTCCCTGAGGCCTACTTCTGAGGCCTAAAGCACTCTCACATTATAACAAAAGGCTGTAACAAGAGTTATGAAACTTATGAACTAGGAACCATGGGTGAAAATCTGTATCTATATATATATACATATATAGATAATCATAATATGGCAGAAGTGTTCAAGAAATATCTTTGTAGGTGTATGTTTGGGCTTTTCCAGGGAGACATCTAGACATGGAATTGCAGGGTCATAGGTACACATACCTTCACCTTTACTAGGTATTACCAAGTTTTTGTCCAAAGTGCCTATACCTGTTTTGCACTTCCACTATCTATCTAGGAATTCCCAACTTGGCCCAAACTTGGAAACATGGAACTTTGTAGTATTTGCCAATTTAATGAGGGTAAATGACATCTCATTTAAAAAAATTGATTAAGGATAATCACTTCCTTCCCTCAGCTTTCAACAACTTTCTCATATGGTCCATAAGAGTGAGCCATCAAAAGAAAGGCATTAATAATTTTCTGGATGTTGACACTGAACAGAAATGATAAAGGGAAGAAATATATTCCTAGATTCCAAGCTTTTCCAGGCCTTTTTTTTCACCTTCAACTTTCTATTTCCATGACTATTGACTCACTGGGGTGTATCATCTCGCTGGGTGATCAAAATGAGGGTCAGTGCATGCTGTTATGAGGTTTAAGTATGTTGGGGCACACATATAAAATGTACTTTAAAAAACATAAAACTTATACAAAGATATTTTCACTAGTACACTGAAGTTCCAGTGCATTTCTATGAGAAAAAATTCAGAGTGCTGTACGTAAACTTGAAAATTAATTATCATGGCTCCTGTTTACTTATATTTAGTACCTTCTATGTGGCAAAGACATGAGAAAGAAAGGAGCAGTCCCTGACATCAGGGAACTAGTTTGACACTTATAGCTAAGCCTCAGTGTTTTTAGAAACTGGCCTGACACTCATAGCTAGGCCATGTTGTTCTCCTGATGAACAGCATCTCACAGAACAGCAATATCAGACAGGGTCACTCTGTGACCATGATGAAGTGAGACAAAACAAGATCACTTCCATGTTTTGTCTAAGCACAGACAATAACAAGGTCAGTATGCAAATCAGAAAATATCAATGTTAAATAAATTCATGGGAAATGATTATAGACTAACCTTAGTTTTGGACTAATCTGCTGCACTAGGCTCCGGCAGACCAGACCAAAGCAGAATGGTCCCTCATGCGTATTGCCACATAATCAAAAGCAACTCTGAAACCAGCCAGTTTTCCAAAAAGCAGGAAATTCATAGCACCCAATCAGAAGGGGCCAAGTTTATCTGAGCTGGTATGCTAAGAAAGTTCCCCTGTTTTAACCCTATAAGGAAAGTAACTTTGAAACAACTCATCTGCTTCTCATTCCTTATTTCTGTTCTCTAGCTTTTTTCTGCCTATAAAGCCAACCTCCTCTGCTTAGCTCATTGGAACAGATTCTATTTTAGAGAATGAAGTTTTGCCTATTCTGGAATTGCAAATAAAAGCCAATTAGATCTTTAATTTGTTTTGTCTTTCAAAATCAAACATTCCCCTCTCTCCATGATATGGATGACTAATGCTTGTCAGTTACAGCTTTAGGCTTGTCTTTTAGCCTGCCATCCTCCTAGATAAGATAATCACTGAACTGTCTCCACTTCCTGAAGGCACTTAATCTTGAGCAACCCTTCCCACCTCTTTCCACGGAGTCTTTCCCAAATCACCTAATCAAAGCCCAAATCCTTTAAGTGCTTTCTAATACCATTTACCTAAGACACTTCATGGCTCCCCATAGTGCATGTTCTCCCTCCCTGAGTAATAATCCCAACTTCTTCAACTACAGTATTCCTGTAGGAGCATTGACAAAACTCTAAGGGCTTTACATATGCTATGTTATTTAGGCCTGAAAATGCCCCTCTTTCATAGGTATTAGTATAATTACCCCCCTTTTGTAGATGAAGCAGCAAAGAAAGTTAAACGTCATCTCCGGTATCAAATAGCTAGTAAATGGCAGGAATAAAATCTGTATCTGGGTCTGTCATCAAGATATAAGGAACTACTTGTAGTTCTCCTGACCTTGCTGTTCTCCTGTAAGTTTCCCTAAAGATTATGTGCTCTTTGAGGACAGAGCTGTAGAGTCTGGCACAGTAAAACAAATATTAAAAAAGAAAAGCTGTAGTGTGAAGACTTACTGAGAACTAAGGCTCATTTTTTGAACCTCTGTGCCAAACTCCTCAGAGTACCTAGAGTTGTTTCTTGTACCAAAATCAATACTGCATGTTTCCGAGTCTTGGCCTACACCACCTCCATATAATCAGAAGACAGATATCTTAAAGGAATAGTTCCAAGGAAAAGCTCATTTTTAAAGAGGGTATATTGATGTGTTGAGAAAACGGTGTTTGCCTTGTAGCTTGACCTTGGGTTTACACAACAAACTCTTTTGCATGGTTTCAGTTCAAGGCCCTTTGTTATGTGACCTTAAAGTTTCTTCACCTCTATGCTTTCTTGGCCTTGCTCCTGCCTGGAATGGAATGCCTTTTAAATGAATGCCCTGCCACTGTTTCCTGCCTAGTGAAAACCTATGCAGCTTTCCTTTTACCTTTCCAGATCCACTCCTTCAGATTTAATAACTTCCCTTTTTGTTCTCAAGGAACTTCTAAAACAACTGCTATAGACATTTACATTCCTTGGTTAATTGTGTTAGGGTTTGGAAACTACAGGAGACTGTGAGCTCCTGAAGGGCTCAGCCTAGCCTAGCTCTGTCTGATTTTGGGTGGACCCCTCTGCCACCCCAGAGCGAGCACTTAGGCAGGAAATATGTCCAGAAGGCTTCCTTTTGGAGCGTCGTGGGCCCCGTCGTTTCATCCTGCCTAGTACCCCTTCCAGCACCGTACCCAGTCCCAGAACTACTTTTTCCAGCCCCAGACGTGCAAGGAGAGGGCTAGCAGATGGTTTTATATCCCAGCGCTGCTCAAATGGTGGCGCAGGGCCTGTCTCGCCCACCTTCCAGTTCTGCTGGAACCCTATCTGCAAATCCAAAGAAATCCAGGCCGATGACTTCCTCCACGGTCCCCGGCGCTTCTCCAAATCTGACGCCACTCTGCGTCCTTAAGGTGAGCGGCCTGGACCGCCGGAAGGGTTGAGCGGCTGCATAGACAGGCCGCAAGGCCAATCATGTTTCGCAGTGCCCGGAAGGGGCGGTGCCTCAGCGTGTCATTGATCCGGCGGCGCGGGATTGGCCAGTCCCGGGCCAACACGGGTGGCGGGAGTTTTCAGATGTGTTGGCTGCGGCCCCGACTTCAGCGGTTGGGCTAGGCTGTGCTGACTGTTTGGGTGGCGGACCCCGGGAGTAAAACCTGTTGTCGATCCCTCAGCTTCCAGCTTGCGGCTTGCTGAGTGGCCACCTTCTTTCCGGTCCCCGGAGCTGCGGGGAAAGATGGAACGGCACCAGCCGCGGCTGCACCACCCGGCCCAAGGCTCAGCCGCTGGGACTCCCTACCCTTCCTCAGCCTCTCTCCGCGGCTGCCGGGAAAGCAAGATGCCGCGCAGGAAGGGCCCCCAACACCCTCCGCCGCCCAGTGGCCCCGAGGAGCCTGGGGAGAAGCGCCCCAAGTTTGTGAGTATCGCCTGGAGCTAGGGTGGGGCCGCTCCCGCCCCGCCGTAGGGCTGACTGCCGAGGGTGGGCCCACAAGAACTTGGGGACCAAGTTTTATTCTAGAGATCCAGAGGTGCCAAAGATCATAGATTGACAACGACCGGGTCTAGTTGTAGTTGGATCCTGTGACAAATGCCCAGATCTTTGTGTTGCCCCCAAATTTCTTAACGCTGATGTGAAAAGCAGTTCAAACGTGTATATGTATTGACGTCATCTAGGTGGACATTGCATTTTTTAAGTCGAAGTTCTCCCTTCCTCCCTAGTGTAAGAGGGTATAAGATATATCAAAATGAACTTTTAGGTGACAGGTTTTTTTTCTGCTTATTATTTTAATAAGAACTTTTAATTACATATAAGAACTTTTAAGGTAGATATAATTTTCCAAGTTGAAACAGCTAGTTTTAGAACTTGGCGGGTGGTGTGGTCACTGCTAAAGAATGTTTTGCTTAGCTTGGAAAGAATTCTAAATATTTGAAACTTGCTATTCTGGTTTGCTTGTGTTTAACACTTAAGGAAAGTGTCATGATTAACACCTTGTCTTTTCGTTGGTGTCAACTAGTGAAAGTATAGGCAGTGATGATTATTTTGGGGTTTGTGTGTGTAAATAAATCACATAGAGGGTTGATAGATTTGGGATGAGTCCAACAGAATTGAAATTTCACATTGACCACTCCACCATTTTCCTTAGGAATATGGAAAAACTGTGTGTGTGTGTGTGTGTGTGTGTGTGTGTGTGTGAGAGAGAGAGAGAGAGAGAGAGAGAGTACAGCATTTGCCTTATGTGGGCAAGTAAAAATTGTGAGAAATTTAAGTCATGATTCACAAATTAAGGGAATAATGGTTTGTGAACCAGTTGCTAACTATAACATTTAGTTAAAAATAATAGTTGAATAAGACTGAGAGCCCATATTCTGATACATGAGATATATCAGAATACTGAAAATGAGAAACAGCATAGATTAATTGAAAATGAGGAACAGCATAGATTAATTATGCCAAATTAAGTATCAAAATGGTCATAGGAATAGTGACATTTTGCAGAAGGATCAAGTATGGACTTGATCATTATCTTGACAAATCTGAAGAATGAATAGGACAGAGTTAACTTCCCAATGAAAGATTTTTGCCTAATGTGAGAAGAATCCACTAAGGCAATGACTTTTCTTCCTTTTATAGTCTACTCTCTGGGTTAATAATCTTATTTTATTTTGTTTTAACTTCTGTGGTCCAGAATACAGGAGGTGTTATTTTCTGTGACTCATTCCCAGCAAGGAGGTCATGAAAACAGGATCTAAATTAGTATTTATGTTAAGTTTCATTGAAGGATTTCATCATTTGGTTTCCAGTCTCTGTGCTGTTTTTCATTCTTATGTATGTCACATTGACCATCTCAGCATGCCATTTGTTAAATGGATTCTCATAAAGATGAAATGACATCTAAAAGATAACACTCTTAAGCTGTAAAGGTAAAAAACACATCTAAAACACTGTGTTTTTGGGTGGGAGTCTGGTATGAATCATGACTTCCAGTTAATTTAGAAGTAATTTGGACTCTTGGTACTTTGAAACTAATTTAGGTTCTTGCTTATATGGTAATTTCTTTAGTTATATCTTCCAGTTCATTAATTTTGTTATCAGCTATGTCTAATCTGCTACTTTTCTGAATATTTGATTTTAGCAATTATTTTTTATTTTAATAAGTTCCATTTGCTTATTTTTCAAATCTGTCTGGGCATTCTTGATAGTCCTTTGTTTCTTATTCATTTATTTCTTTAGACATTTCCTACTTGATTGTTCTTATTCTTTATTTGACAGTTCTGCTGTTTGCAACCTGGGCTGTCTACATTGACTCAGATTCATGATGGCTTGCTCTCTTTCTTGTGTGTATTTATCTTTGTAAGCTCATTGCTTTATCTTCACCTGTAGGATTCCAGAGATGCTTTTCTTTGGAGATAGTTTGAGTTTGTCTGCCAAGGAGCCTGGGCATGCTACTGATTTTGGACCACCTTCCTGTTGAACTGGAAATCTTAACATGGGCAGAAGTTCCAGGCACAGCTCTACTCTGTTCCTGTACTAAAGTTCAGTATCCCAGTCTCAAGACTGCTTCCTGAGCAGCTCTTCCCAGTTTGCCTACCTTTCACTGCTCTTGATTGCACACCAGTAACTCTTGTTTTTTGGATGGAGAGGGATCTTTGAGACCATCAAAGTTCCCAGCAATGCCTCAGAAAGTAATTGTACTTGTAGGTGTCAAGTCAGTCACTGTTCTTGCAGATGTCAAGTTAGTTCTTGGCTTTTTCTTGATTGGATGAAGTGACGTTATCCTAAATCTTTTCAGGTCACCCAGTCATTATCTGAGCCTGGGGCAGCTGTTTTTGATGGGAACAAGTAATATAGGTTGGTGATGTGATGGATAGGAGTAATTTAGGTGGCCAGTGTTTTGCACACTTCTGCAAAGCAGCAAGCGAGTAGTAGAATGGAGTGGTAGACTGGTCACTCCCTCCTATCTTAGTGTAAGAAAGCAGGAGCTCTGGTACCCGCTGAAATCTTGTTTTACTTTGAGTCCTGTTAAAGTTGGCAAATTCTTGTTTTCTACCAAATGTATAGTTGCGGGCTTCAAGTCACTTGTGAGTTGGGTAAAAGAGTTTGTAGCTTAGATATCTCTTCCCATAGATAAGTATAAATAGTAGAAATTAGTCTATTGTAATTGTATGATACTTTGGCTGTGCTACGAATCAATTGACTTTGGGATGCTTGTGAATTAACCAACTTGGTCTCATTTGAAAATATCTTAAGCCGTGAGCATTGAGATGGTAGGGATAGCTACTGGGGCATAGAAGAGAGATGGAGGAGGCTGAGAGGACAGGGCAAGTATCTGGGTGGAGACTTTGTGAAGGCAGATAAAATTCCGTAGGAATTAAACTTGGAACCTGCCCTAGGCCACACTCAATACCTGGACCTGAGTCCTATATCCTTTGTAGAACAGAACAGTTGTCCTACAGATTGTGGAAAGCCTTTCAGTAATACCTGTTTCTCATTACTCTTGGCAACACACAGGTAGTGGTGGCAGAGCAGGACATGTGGCTTCTAGAAGTGTCCATCTCTAGGATGTAGGTCAGTCCATTCAAAGGGAGCCTGTAAATTGGTGGTCCAAGTTGATGAAGGAGTTCTTTTTAATTAGGAGAGTCCTCTAAAAGTTCTCACAGACTTCAGTGTAAATCGTCTAATCGTTTCCATCAAATAGATTGTTAATTATTGATTGATTATGTCATTGTAGTACCTTCAGTGTTGGTTTTGAGATTTTTCTTTTCTTTTTTTTCTTTTTTTGAGACGGAGTCTTGCTCTGTCGCCCAGGCTGGAGTGCAGAGGCGTGATCTCGGCTCACTGCAAGCTCCGCCTCTCGGGTTCATGCCATTCTCCTGCCTCAGCCTCCCGAGTAGTTGGGACTACAGGTGCCCACCGCAACGCCCGGCTAATTTTTTGTATTTTTAGTGGAGACGGGGTTAACCGTGTTAACCAGGATGGTCTCGAACTCCTGACCTCGTGATCCGCCCACCTCGGCCTCCCAAAGTGCTGGGATTACAGGCGTGAGCCACCGCGCCTGGCCGGTTTTGAGATTTTTTCACCTTGTCCTTTAATTTCTGTATATTTACCATGTTTGGGCATTGATGGTAATACTAGTTAACCTTTCTGAGTGAGCCAAGCACTGTTCTAGGTGCGTTGTAATTATCAACTCCTTTAATTCTTAGAACAACCTTGTGAGGTAGGTAGTATTATTAATCTTGTTTGCCATAGGAGGAAACCAAGGTACACAGAGATTAAGCTGCCTAAAATCACACAGCTGCCAGTTCATGAGGCTGAGATTTGAATCTAGGCAAGCTGGCTTCAGAGTATACATTCTTTCTTTCTTTCTTTTTTTTTTTTTGTGAGACAAAGTCTCATTCTGTTGCCCAGACAGGAGTGCAGTGGCACAATCTTGGCTCACTGCAACCTCTACCTCCTGGGCTCAAGCAGTTCTCCTGCCTCAGCCTTCTAGTAACTGGGATTACAGGCACGTGTCACTACGCCCGGCTAATTTTGTATTTTTAGTAGAGATGAGGCTTCACCATGTTGGCCAGGCAGGTCTTGAACTCCTGACCTCAAGTGATCCACCCGCTTCGGCCTCCCAAAGTGCTGGGATTACAGGCGTGAGCCATCGCACCTGGCCTAGAATACACATTCTTAATCACTGTCCTGAATTCTCTCCCATAGCTGTTGGGAACTTTAATCTTTACTGCTTCTTTTCTCATCCAGGAACCATTAGCAATAATTAGTGATGCCTTTAATTAATATATAATATGAATATAGAATTGATTTTCTGATTATAGGCAGGCTGCGAGGTGAGAAGATATACAAGGTTGGAGAATTTTTGTTGATTGTACACGTAGTAGGAATTTGAGTACAGATGAAATCCCAGTAAGCTTAATGAGATTAGTGCATGTTTGCCAATTACTTTGGGTTATTTGGAAGCAGGTGTAGTAGGCCGAACAATGATCTTCTGAAAGGTAGACACTCCTTAATCCCTGGAACCTGTGAATGTTACCTTATATGGCAAAAAATGACTTTACAGGTTATTTGGTTTTTTTTTTTTTTTTTTTTTTTTTTAAGAGGGGCCAGGCAGGAGCAACAATTAAACCCAATGTATGACTGTGCTGTGGTGTAACTTCTGACAGCAGGATGTCTGAAAGAGATACTGCTCTTTGCTCTTCCAGCCCCTGAGAGACAGGGTATCTCATAGCCTCCAACCTCCTGCTGGGAGGATGAGGAACCATCCTTCAGTGCTTGCCTGCCTGAGTTTGGGCTGCCACTCTAGAACTCCCTGCTCAGCTTCCCAGCCAGTCCAGATTGTGGAATGTGGCTGCTTCTCCCCTTTTAGCTGGGGCAACCACAGGTGGTTCAAGCAACCTCTGCCTGGGCCTGTTGAACTCCACCAGGAGGAGGCAGCCCCAAAGTTCCACACATCTGGACATCTGGGGCCTTGGACAGTGATATGGTCAGCACATGGAGATTGAATCTATGTCTGAGGTGGATACACATTAACTAAGCTCACAAGCTTAATGAATAAGCTGTAACCCAACTCATTAATGTATACCAGCCAGTGTGTTGCAGCCAAATCCTTCCAGGCATGCAGGCCCCAGAACAAAGAGGATTAACAAAGAGCAGATGAAAACAATTCTAGCCAGTAAGCTAAAGGAGAAATCTGCTGGGGAATTCTGAGAAAGATGTCTTTGCTCTGTAAAAAGGAACTAACAAAAACTTTGCATCCAGTATTGGCTGAGATCTCATTGGACCACAGACCTCTCACATGACAAAATTATAAAAAGCAACTATTAAAACACTGGAGAGTGATCAAAAGACATGGCTATTGGAGACAATACTTGGAAGAAGGGACTAGCACTGGATAAGTTTGTCATTTTTTGTAGCTTTTTGCATAAGGGAAGCCCCTAATCAGGGTCATGTGGGGTGGTTAAAACTAGAATATAAGCCCACAGTTGTACTGGCATAAAAAACCAGAGGGCAGAGTTCTGGTGACCATATAGCTGATAAATGAGGAGAAAATCCTGGAGAGGAGAAGGAGCCACAAATGGGTAGCCCCAAATTCTGTGTGTAGAGTCCTCAAATTTCTGAACCCTACATGTATGGGACAGACTCCAAGCAGCACAGGTAGGGCTAACATATCTGAACTAAGATTTCAGGTCCCATCCAGCGGATGGGACAGTATGTGCAGTTTGAGAGTTCAGCCAAGTTAACTGCCTGCTAAAACAAACACAAAAAGCAATACTTCTCAGAAGAATAGAAGGAATTCAGAGTCCCTACACCATACATTCACAATGTTCAGGATACAGTGCAAAGGTATTTGACATTAGGAAAAAACAGGAAAATGTGACCCATACAAACAAGAAAAAGGAATCAATGGAGACCAGTCTCAAGATAACTCAGTTGTAAGCATTAATAGACAAGGATTTTAAAGCAGTTGTATAACCATATTTAAGAATATAAATGAAATATGCTCACAATGAATGAAATGATAGGAAACCTCTGTAGAGAAACAGAAACTATAAAAAGACCACAGTGGAAATTCTAGCATTGAAAAATACAACATCTGAAAGAAAAAGGCTAACAAGAAGCAATAGCCCATTTTTTGCCTTTGGCCATAGTCAGGATGTGATGCTTATTTTGCCATAGTCTTCTGGTCATGAGGATAGCTAGCCTGAAGACAAGGCCCATGTACTGCGCTACATATGGCAGAGCAAGAATATAGGAAGGGGTTGGGTACGGTGGTGCATGCCTGTAATCCCAGCACTTTGGGAGGCCAAGGCAGGCGGATCACTTGAGGCCAGGAGTTCGATGACAGCCTGGCCAACATGGTGAAACCCCGTCTCTACTAAAAATACCAAAATTAGCCAGACGTGGCAGTGGGCGCCTGTAATCCCACCTACTCCGGAGGCTGAGTCAGGAGAATCGCTTGAATCTGGGAGGCAAAGGTTGCAGTGAGACGAGATTGTGCCACTGCACTCCAGCCTGGGTGACAGAGTGAGACTCCTCTGTCTCAAAAAAAAAAAAAAAAAAAATATATATATATATATATATATGAAGGATCTGGGTCTCTGGGCCACTATAGGTTAGGTTAACCTGGGAACTTACCTGCCACCAGACATCTTGTACTGGGAGAAAAAGAAAACGCACTTATTTAAGCAACTTCTGTTTGGAGCTTATGATACTAATCTGAGAAAGAAAGCATTGTTAGGGCTCAGAAAATTATACCCCCAAATATGCCACTTTGGACTTCAAATCGAGAGAACCTGGGGAGCCAGAAATGCAAGAAAGGGTCTTCTCTGAAGTTCCCCTATCTACCTAAAGGTTGTATCCTCCAGAAGATATTCAACTTGTGAATCTCTTTCCCAGACATCTCAAGTCAAATAGATGTATACTGAAGGAAGATTGGAGTTGACACCACACCAAGCCCAGATAAACTTTGTCTCAGACTTTCATCTCTTCTTTGGGCCCATTCATCCCCCCTAAAGATTATTTACTCATCCTGTAAATTGCCTTACATACCCCACTTCCCTCTTCCCTATGAAGAGGGTATTTAAGATTTAGCCATCTGGCCCTTGTTTGAGTTTCATACTTTGTATGACTCCACACTTGCCACACTTGCACATAATACCTTTGTATGCCTTTTCTCCTGTTTTCTTTTTTAAAGGACTTTACACAGATGATTAAGGATTTTAAAATGAGATTATTCTGGATTATCACAGTGGCCCCTAAATGCAAACACATGTATTGTTATTTGACCACAGAAGAGGAGAGAGTGTTGTGACTGCAGAGGCAGAGATTGGTAATGCAGCCATCTGAAGCTGGAAGAGTCAAGGAAGGCTACTCCCCTAGAGCTTCTAGAAGGAGAGCAGCCTGCCTTCATTTTGGCACAGTGAAACTGATTTGGGACTTCAGGCCTCCAGAACTGAGAGAATGAATTTCTGTTGTTTTAAGCTGCCAGTTTGTGGTAATGTGTTACACCTGCCATAGGAAATGAAGCTAGGTATAGTTACAAGGAGGACCATCAGATTCATTTAAATCTCTGCCTTCACTTTATTTCAGAGGGTTTGTTTGTAATTTGGGAGGACAGACGATAACCAAATTACAATAGAAAAATAAACCACCACTGGAATAACAACCAAAACCTCCATTCATGTTTTGTCTACTCTGTATTTATAGTTTCTAGGAAGCTGGGAAAAGATGGAGGTGATATCTAAATGCTCTTTTTGATTTTTTGAACTTGTTCCTTCATTGAGTTCTCAGCTTAAGTGATGCTCTCAGTTGTCCTAGGGTTAAACTGTCAAGAATTGAGATACTGTTTTTAGTTGAAAGCTTTAGGCACCTAAATTTTATTCGTGTCAGAATTCTACCTAACACACACCAGGCATTGTAAGCTTCAGAAGGAGGTAAAATCATTTTATTCAGGCTGCTGTTCTAAGAAATTGCTCTGAATTTTCCCAGCCATTCTTTCCTTTCTATCCTTCTTAATAAAACAGAAAAACCCAGAAATTTTTTTAAATAAATGATTTATCAAAAGAAACAATATATATTAAGTGGCTTTTTGGGGGATACATTTAGTTGCTGAAAGTAGATAACATATGGCATTTAATACTCCTGGACCACTCTGGGTCTTTTCTTTGACGGTAAAAAGGGGTGGGGGTAGAGATAGGGATGATTGTCTCAGATTTAGAACAGGGCTTAATTGCTTTTTTCAAAGACTCATGTCTTTAATTATGAAGCAAGCAAACTGACATACATTTATTACATGGTGAAACCTTGCATCTCATCTAGTCTATCTTGTAGCAATTGCTTCTGAACAGATGTTACCTGAAACACCTTTGTGCAGTTGGTGGAATGCTAAAATTTGTCATGCTTTTATTATTGTTGTCTTGAATTAACTCTACTTTATGGCGTAACTTTATTGCTGTGTCCTAGAATCTTTATATATTTATTGCCTTATAAATTGGATTTAAAATTGGCTTTTTATATAGAATGTAAATTAACATGTGTCTAACTTGTTTATGCTGCAGAATAATACAGGAAAAAACTGCTACGTATTACACTAATGTAATTGTCTTTAACTTAGCACATAGTATCCTCTAAACTAGGAATCAAATGAATGCTAAAGAATATGCTTATCCTTACACTCTTGCTTGTTTATCTCAGAAACTAATTTGACTTTTAGATCTATAAAATATAGATTAAGCATAACCTTTTACTTCATGGGATATTAAGGATCAAAGCATGGGCTTTCTTTGAACAGGATCTACAAAGGTAACTTTTCTTTCAGTAGCAGCAGGATGGCATTGAAATACCTTACCATTGGGAGTAATTTTTCTCAAATAGCAAATTGAATAGTCTTTATTAACTTAGGGGAGAATTTAAGAGTTTAAATAAGCTTTGGTCCTGAAACATTCATGTTACTAGTTACTTAGTGAAATCTATTTGGAAATGCTTGCCATAGATTTTATTCTTCAAAAGACCCACTGCTATCTTTTCTTACAGTTTTTTGTAGAAGAAGCGTTATGAGTAACATTTATGAGCAGTGACTTGAACCACTCTCAGGGGTTGAATCCCAGCAATATCACTTATTAGCTGTGTGAACTGAGCAATTACTTAACCGTTCTCTGTGCCTCCCCTTTCTCATGTGTAACATGGGGTTGTCATGAAGATTAAAAGTTATGTTTTGGGCCTAGAATACCTGGCTCATTGTAACCTCTATGGAAATATTTGCCATTTATAGGATTGTTGTTTTTGTTATCATTAGTAGTAACAGTAATAATAGTACAATTTTTGCCTACACTTTAGGGCATTAGGAATACATTGGATATTTGAAAAGCTTTCTAATCTTGGAAAACTTAATTGAACCAGGCTATTTCCTCTTGGTGTGCTGGAGGCAGAGCCATTCTGTTCTTAGTTCTTATCCTGGCATACCAGGTAACATTTGGATTGATGCAGAGTTCTGATCTGATGACTGAATGGTCAGAGCAAGTTTCTGAAGCTTTCTTAGGGGCCTGTTCTTTATGTCTAAAGTGGGGATAATAGGATGATGAAACTTGGGGTACAAATGTAACTTACAAAAAAACGTATAAAGGAAACAACTTCAAACTTAGGAAAAAAAATTCTTGTGATACTCCAATATGGACTTGAATGATAATAAAAATAATGTTACTAATATATGTACAGATATAAAACTAAGTGTAACTCTTTATGCCTATCACTTTTTACAGCTATAAAACTAAAACAGATTTACATCTACAATCCAAAACAAAACTATAAAACCCATAAAATTCAAATTAACAGCAACATTAATTTAATGCGATTGATGATGTTTTGCTGAAATTAAGTCATCATTATTGGATTTAATAGTGGAAAAATATGTGTATATTTTGCTGTTTTTCTTTCTATCAATTTAATTCTTGGGTGGAAATGGAATCCCAGAGGCTGAGGAAGATATGTGTAGACTGAGGAGTTCACAGATAGCCTTACACTGTTAGCAGAGGCCTGTCATCGGACACCATTATCTTTTTCATAGGTGTTGGCTTGAGGATGTAGATGAAGTAGTGAACTGTTATAAACCTGTTTTTAAAAAGAAAATAGCCATATATAAACATTTTTTAGTAAATGTTATAAAACTGTTGAAGCAGCAGAAAAAATAAAAACTCTTATACTTCCAGCTTCTATATTCATTTTTCTCTTGAAATCTAATTTTCCATACCTGTGGGTGCATAGTTTCCAGAATAATGTGATTTTGGAATTATAAATAGCCATTTGGAACTGAACTCTTCCTAAGTGGAAGAGCTTGTGAAAATCTATTGTGTCATGATGTTGCTTGGCCCTCATTGAGAACCATATTGGTAGTAAATACAAAAGTATTTACAAAAGTAAAACCAAAAGTTCCTGAGAGAACATGGTTATAGAGTGGGTCATTCACAATGTCCAGAATATGCTTACTTTAGTTCTAATGTTTAAGATAATCTTGAAAAAACATAAGACTTAAGTAGAATTTGTGGAAGGCCTCTGTAGACCACAGTTTGGGGTACCCAGAGATGACTTGAGTTAAGAAATTAGATGTGTACCTGAACCAGGCAAATGTTTTTCACCTTAGTCCTTTGTTTAGTGATGAGGTAAAAGTGATTAGTAAGTATCAGTAGTGAAGGATGTATACAATGTGTTTCAAAACAGTTTGCTTCTAATAGTTTTTTTGGTTAAATAAGAAACTTGCAATCTTTAAAAAAATATATTTTATCATGTATGTATCATACAAAAGAGGTGTAAAACACTGTATACTCACTAATAAGCTTAAAACATTAAATATCATAAATTCCATTGAAATGTTCATTTTCTCCCTTCTTATCTTTATCTCCTTCTAATCTTTACTCTTCATTTCCTGGGTTTACAGGGCTTTTTTTTTTAATTCAATTTTGATTTTTTTAAATTCAATTTTGATTTTTTTAGGGTTCCAATTTATATATATATATATATATCTTTCCCTAAAAGTAAATCTGTGAATGGAATTAATACTCAGTAGCTTTCTGATCTCTCCATCTTTGAGGATCATGACAGATCTTAAATACTGGAAAGGAAGGGGGAGACTATGAATTAATGTACCAAGTGTGAGGTCATTCTGTGTGCTGAGGGATGTGGGATATATCCAAGTAGCTGTGGTCTAAGTACACACCCTCTTGAATTAAAGAAGACTGAATACCTGTTCAGTCATAGTTCTGTCAAAGGAGTTATGGTGTAGAATTTCTTGAAGCCCTTAGTAAAAGCCCTGAGTAGATTAATTGTGAGATCCATAATGCTGCATTTATTTAGTTAATTTTATTATGAAGTATCTTCCCAAGATACAGAGAGTTTATCCCGTAATTGCTGCATTTTTTTCCGAGGTTGGCTGTTTATTTGGGTGTCATAAAATGAAACTTTGTAACATTCAGTTTTTAAGTAAAAGATTTGCAAATTGGTGACATTAATTATGGACTTTACTATAGAATTAAACTGTTTTTGTTTATTAAAACCTTTGATTGAATTCCTTGCATAATGACAATTACAATTCTTTTTTAATGAAAAAATTGACAGCCTGGGAAATGAACATGAAAAATGGAGTGCATATAATCTGCATTGAGAAATTCAATATGACTATTTCACTTCTTTATAAAAGGTGACGGTCTCCAATTAAAACCATGTTCTAACTCCACTCAGTCTCTTTTGAGGGTATAATTTTGCTCTTATTGTTATGTTATATTGAACCTGCTTTTAGTTACTTTATACATGTGTTTGTAAGCTTTTGGAAGTCACTTTCTGTGTGGTGCCTGGTATAGACTTGTGCTTACAGTAGGAATCTGAATGTTTGGCTAATTGAAAATCAAAACAAAGTACTCTTGTAACTTTATATTGCCTGGTTCATTAACCCATTCATGATGAATTTGTTTAAATGTTATTAATAATTACTCATTTCTTTTTATAAAAGATCCTAGTGGTGGTGGGCAAGGGTATGTAAAGACTACCAGAAACATATGTGGGTTATTGAAGAACTTGGGCCTGGCAATGTGGCTCTGAAGTCCCACCCTTAAACTGTGATAAAAAGACTTGAGAGAGACTCAAACGTGTCTGTATATCCTTGGGCAAATTATCAACCTTTGTGCCTCTGTTTTCCCTTCTATAAAATGGAAGTAATTAGTCTGTTTGCTTATAGATTGTTGTGAGGATTAGTTGAGTTAACACATGTTACGATAGCTTAGGCACAGCACAATTAATATGTGACAACTATTATTAATAGGGGAGACCTCATCACTATAGTGTTAAGTTCTCAGTTATTGACAGTATTTTAACCTCTTCTTCCTGCTTCCTACTTCCTTTATCCTCATAGCTTTTTTTTTTTTTTTTCCTGGGGGACACTGGTATTGTGTCCAGGGACTCAGCCATTCATTGCAGTGGGACACACACCAGAGGTTTGTTTGGTGCCTGGATATATTCCCTTCCTTTCTGTTTCATGTAGACCTACTACAGCCTCTGTACATTGCCTCTCTTTCTCTGTCTGCCTCCTGCTGTCAACATTTGCTCCACACTAAACCCACACTCCACAAAAGTAACCATGGAGCTCCCTTTGAACTGGGATGCCTTCAAACTCCTCACTTCCTCACACCTCACATAAGGTAGAATATCAATAAATAATAGAACCTTTGGCCTCCTTGTTCAGTTGCCTCAGATCTCCAAGCCTGGAGCAACCTGGCAGGCTTCTGTGGCTGAACTGGGTTCCTGCATCCTGGTGGAAACCACTCCCAGCTTTGTGAACTGATGCCCTTAGACACTGGGTATCTGTGTGTCCTCAGTGCTGCTAGATAACAATCATCATCACAATAACCGCATTTGTTCAGCTCATACAACGGGCTGGGCACTATTTTAATCACTTATCCCTCACACAGTACTTTGAAATGGGCACTCTCCCTACTGTTATTTTGCACATGAGGGGGTTGAGACACAGAGAGATTAACTGGGAATAGGGCATGATGGGTCCTGACTTTTCACTAGCTCTTTGGTCATCTCCTTTTCAATTTCTCACAGCATTTATGCTAAACCTATCACTTCTTTATCTCATCTATTGGCCTGATTCTTTTTTGTCCCAAATAGTTTTTTTTAATTGAAAAAGCGGCCAGGCGCGGTGGCTCATGTCTATAATCCCAGCACTTTGTGAGGCCAAAGCAGGTGGATTGCTTGAGTCCAGGAATTCACGACCAGCCTGGGCAACATGGTGAAACCCCGTCTGTACAAAAAAATACAAAAACGTTAGCCTGGCGTGGTGGTGCATTTCTGAAGTCCCAGCTGCTTGGAAGGCTGAGGTGGGAGGATTGCTTGAACCTCGAAAGCTGTGGTTGCAGTGAGCCATGATTGTGTCACTGCACTCCAGTCTGGGAAACAGAGCGGGATCCTGTCTCAAAAAATAAATAAACTGAAAAACAACATCTGTACTTCTTAAAAAGTCCAACAATGTAGGAGTACAAAGGGGAAATTCCCTAAGCCTCCCTTCCATCCTAGACCACCAATTAAGGTCCCCCTCCCCACCACCTGCCATGATGACATTTATTATTTTTTCTTTTTTAACATGAAAGAAAGTATCAGAGAAGTAAAGAAACAAAAGATGGCTACTCCATAGGCAGAGCAGCCCCAAGGGCTGCTGGTTAGCTTATTATTTTCTTTTATATCTTTTTTTTTTTTTTTTTTTGAGACAGTGTCTCACTCTGTCACCCAGGCTGGCGTGCAGTGGTACAATCATGGCTCACTGCAGCCTTCACCTCTTGGGCTCATGTGATCCTCCCACCTCAGCTTCTGGAGTAGCTGGGACTACAGGCACGCTGCACCGCTTGGCTAATTTATTTATTTATATTTTATAGAGACAGGGTCTCATCGTGTTGCCCTGGCTTGTCTTGAACTCTTGGGCTAAAGTAGTTCTTCTACCTCAGCCTCTTAAAGTGCTGGGATTGTAGATGTGAGCCACTGCACCTAGCTCTTTTGTATCCTTCCAATGATATTCTGTGTGTATGTCAAGCACCCACTTTTTTCCCACATGGGAACATACCACAGCATTCGCTTAAGATCTTAGGAATGATTACTCCTGACTCTTAGCATGCCCCTTGATACCTTTTTCAGAGAAAGTTTTCCTAGAGCTTGCTGTAATTGTCTATATCTGCGACCATTCTTCATTGTTTCTCCTCCAATATCCACACAAGGAATATATTTTCCTATTTGAGGTTAATCTCTTTACTGCTGTTTTTGGCCCATCCACATTCTGTCAGGAAGGTTTTGCTTTTTACACGCTCCATCCTGTAATGGTGCTGAAATGTTTACCATTGTGAAAGAAAAAGCAGAAGGAAAACCAAACAACCCCTTTCCTCAACTTTCCCTTGACCCTTTGTCTCTCTGAATACCATGCTCTGCTTCCTTCCTTTTTAGCCACTTTCTGTGAATTACTTGTTTTCATTTATTCGGTAAATTTTTGAATGCCAGTTATACTGAGCATAGCACACGGGTAGATGCAATTTGGTCCTTGATTTCAAGAGGTTTATATTCAGTCTGGTATGGGGAAAGAGAGGTGTGAATCAACACATACTACAGTGTTGCTGGGGAGTTCATGTAGCATAATCTTTAAGAACTCAGGCTGTGGAGTTAACTTGGGCTTTTTTTTGAGTCAGGGTCTTGCTCTGTTGCCCAGGCAGATCAACTGCCAAACCCAGTGCTGATTTTTGTCTTAAGCCTCACCCTATATGACTTCTTCATTGTATTTGTACAAACCTTGCCCCCCTTGAAACCATGGTCTAACATGTTCTTCTCTTCTGATCTTTGGTTATTCCTTTCCCTATCCTTTAAAATGAGTCTTTCCAAGTAATCTCTTTGATTTTCTCTTTTTACTTTATACGTGCTTCTAGTGTGAACTCATCCATTTCTTTAGCTTTTACTACCACTTAGATTAGTGCTTTCTGAAATGATGGAAATGTTGTGTCCTGCCATGTCCAATTTGATAGTCACTAGCTATATGTGGCTTTTGAGCACTTGAATGTGGCTACTGCTACCAAAGAGCTGAATTTTTAATTTGTGTAATTTGAATTAAGTTGTGTTTAAATAGCCATATGTGGCTAATGGCTAGCATATTGGACAGCTCAGATTTAGAAGCTGATGACTTCTTAAAACTCCATCTTTATTTTAGGATGGTCTTTTGAGCTTTTGTCCAAAATATTCAACCTTATTTTACATGGATGGCTTAGAGGTACCTCAAACTCACTGTATCTCAACTCGAATTTATCTGCTTTCTCATAAACTTCTTTCTTTTGTATTCTCTTAGTCAGTGTCAACATTTTATCCTTGGATTTATTTTCAACTTCTTGATCTTTAACTTCCATATGCATTGGTTATCCAGTAACCTTGATTATGCTTCCTGGGTACTTATAGCACTTGCCTCTTCTCTTCTCCTACTGTCCCTGACCTCATCTATCTTACCTTCCATCTCTCTGCTGGGTTATTGCAATAGATTGCAATAGCTTCCTAACTGATTTCCTTGGCTCTCGTTCTTGGGTCTACTCTGTTTTATCCACCATGTTGCTGCTACAATAGTTTTCTTTGGAACCCAAGTGTGATTATGGAACCTGCTTAAAACCCTTCAGTTTCTCTCCTGCATCATCCACAACTTAAAGGCCAAGTAGCATGATCTTGTCCTTTAAATTTTGTCATTGCCCACATTTCTAGATTGGATCCCTCAACTTCCACCTGAAATTCCAGTTCCTATTCATACAATTTACTTGTAGGTCCCTGCATGATTGCAATGTATTTTTACAAGCTAGACCTCCTGTCTAGAAAGCTTTTGCTCTGTGCTGGTTTGGTCCATTCCAGTGTCCTCTGTGCATGCTTGAAGCAAATCTGGACCCTGAGGTGTTCCCTGGTATCTGTAAGCAGATCTTCTGGAATGCTTAGATCAGTGTCAGTTATAGCACTAATCTCACTGTACTGTACCTTACAGATTGAAGTTTCTGTTAGCCTTACTTATCTGATAGAGGGGAAGGGGAGGCCCAAGAGCAAATTTTCCCTATTTGAGTCTCTAGTTCCAAACATGTACCAAGTAGATTGATGAACAAATTTACCTTTTTTTTGTTTTGTCCCAATCTCCTATACTTAAGAACCTTGGCTGCTCAGTCTTCCAAAAATGGCTATATTTTCCAAATGACCTTTTCTCTGTAAATAGGAATTTGCACAAGTTGAAGACACATGCTGAGAATTTTCCTATGGTATTCTTGGCAGCATTTTTTTTCCTAGTTCTTCAGCTGACAGACATTTGCCTACATTCAAGTTTAAAGGGACTACCTATGGGCCTTGGAGGCTTCACCTGTGAGTCAGGTGTTTCTTATAGACTACCTTCCAGTAACGTGATTTAACTCTTATAGATAACATGGACATTTTATTCTGGCAAAGATGATGCAGTTTTATAGCCTATGGAGCTACCCTCAATAAGTTTACGAGTGAAACAACATCAGTGATGACAGAAACAGGCATGTGAGAATTATCTTCACATCCTTGTGAGATCTGCAGTCCTTAGTAATTTTCACTAGATTATTAGGATCAATGGGTGCCTTCCCTTACCTGTGGCTATCAGCTGCTGACTTCCTGCAAACCTTGTTGCCTTTTTTTATTAGTGTGTTTGAATGGTGCGATAATCAACCTAAAACTATTGTACTTTTAAAAGTCCTATACAAATATGCTTAAATCATTGCTGAAGTCTCCTTTGGCATTGTTGGAGGATTTCCAAGGACAGTTAGGCTGCAGTTGCTTGAGCTTGTGGCTGGACTACAGAAATTGGTGTGTTCATAACCAGACTGCAATATAGACTGTAATGTGTTAGGATTTCACTGTATTGCATATGGCACAGTGCAAATTAGGTACAGTATTGGGCCGCTCTGTATCAAATCCCATTCTAGAATTTCTCTCTCCAAATTCCCCACATTGCTTTGGATGACAAGTGCAAAGGAAAGCATTAAGGAGATGAATCTGTGTTTTTCAGTATGTTTAGCTCTGGCAGGCAGTTACTAATGTTATATTGTTTTTTTGAATCACCAAGAAGGGAAAATAAATGACCCAGCTTATTTCTTTTTCCTCTAGAACTTATTGGATTGTAAACTTCTTCAGGGCAGGTACCATATTTTATAGGTCTTTATGACCCAGCCTGCACCTGGTGGCCTGGTAACTTAGATGTGCAGTAACTATATCCTGTTTGGTTAATATTTCTGAAAGAAATGTAAAAGGTAACCTACATCTTATGCGTAGTACTGGAACTGCATGTAAAAACTGGAATTGTGCTCTTCATTTTTCAGATGCTCATTTTATAAATATGTAATCATCTTTTTGATTCCTTTTAAGAGATAAAACAACTTAGAGGGTGTAATAAGTAGTATTAAATTATACAAGAAAACTTAATGGTAATTCAGTTATTTAGAATAAGTTCAAACTTTATCAATAATTTAAGAAATTAAATTTTCTTTAGCTGTTGTATTATAATTCCTGACAAGCATTTTTTAGTGACATGTTGGAATGTGGATAATTTTGGCTTATGTTTCAGTCTGAATTGGGAGTGTATGGTTTATAAGGTTTGTGGTATATACCCCAGCTTTAAAAATCTATAAATGAGAAATAAAAAAGCTTTTCATTTCTATTACACATTTGAGAGCAACTTAAAAAAAAAAAGGAGGAAACACCCTAGCAAACCATGTATTCTTATTAGTGTTAGTCAATTGACAGAAATTGCAACCCCCCTCCATGCCCATTTATCTTTGAGGTTTTGTTTTTTGAGACGGAGTCTCGCTCTGTCACCCAGGCTGGAGTGCAGTGGCACGATCTCAGCTCACTGCAAGCTCCGCCTCTGAGTTCACGTCATTCTCCTGCCTCAGCCTCCCAAGTAGCTGGGACTACAGGTGCCCGCCACCACGCCCAGCTAATTTTTTGTATTTTTTTTAGTAGAGACGGGGTTTCACTGTGTTAGCCAGGATGGTCTCGATCTCCTGACCTTGTGATCCACCCGCCTCAGCCTCCCTGCTGGGATTACAGGCGTGAGCCACTGCGCCTGGTTTTAAGGTGTGGTTTTGTAGTCAGTGTTGTTGTTATCATTTAGTAATCATCCAATTGGAATTATGCTCATCTTTCTTGTTAAGATTTCATTTTTGAATTCTTTGCTCCATAAATAATTCAGAAACTGCTTCAGCAGCTGGCTGTCCCATCATAGTTCTGGGGACTGAGGGAAAGGAAGGAGAGTGAGGCTGGATTTTTGACTCATTCCCAGCCTAGGTACTCACCAACCCTTATAAGTCACTTCTGTGCTGTTCAATTTCCTGTTCTCTAAGATGGGGATAATAGCGAGTTTTTAGGGTTGCTGGGTATACTAGTAATCGCAAAGTGTCCAGTAAGGTGTAGTAGTAGTGATAAGGTGGGCTGTATCATATGGGTACCTAGGGACCCATTTAGCAATCTTGGGTTCTGTCTCAGTTAAAGGCCCATTTGGTCTAAAGGAACAGATCCCTATACAATATCTACTGTAATCCTGAAAGGAGGAATTGTAAAGATACACAAGAGTAGCACCTCTAATCAAGCTGGCCGTCACAAAGGACTGGAACCAGGAACTAAAAGCTGACAGCTTTTCTCAGTCTCTTTCCCTCTCAGGCCATCCAGTGTCTCTTTGCTTCTCACTAGGCATAGCTCCACTGTTGATTCTCTGCATTGTGTGGCTTCCTCTGCTTTGATCTTCACACAGCCAAGCCTAGAACCTCATAATTCCAGATAGACATACATGTCCTTGGTCCGTGCAAGAGTAGAGCCTGATTTTCATATCTGAATTCCAATTCTAGAATTCTGGGAAAATGGAGATTTGATTGGCTCTGCTTGGGTTTATATTCTGCCTTGTGTTTAGCTGCGGCTAGGGCTGGCTTACAAGGAACAGTGAAGACTGGTGGGCCTACCTCTATGGCATAGGCATTCTCAGAGAAGAGACAGTGTGCAGGAGGCAGATACACCCACAGGTGTCTACCTTGTTTACATGTGGGGATCTTTGGAGATTTCTTGATGACAGTCTTGGTGCTGAAAGACTGAGTCTAAAATAGTTTGCCTAGTTTTAGTAGTTTTGTTTCCAGGTTGCACATTAGAGTTACCTGGGGACCTTTAAAATTATCCATGGCAGGCTCCATCTTTGGGTATTGATTCATTTGGGCTGGGATATTACATAGGCATCCGTATTGGGAAAAGAAAACAAGCTTTCAGGTGATTCTCATATGTAGTCAGGTTGATAACCACTGCCTAAAATGTTCCCTGCACCATGGTAGGGCTGGGGATTCAAAGTTGAGGGGAACATAGTACCTGCGACATACAAACAGAAAAGGAGGTATAAACACAAACTGCAAGACAAACCATTATCGGTGACCCAAGGGAATTGTAAACAAAAGGGCTGTGGGAAGAAGGAAATGAGATCATTTCTCCATAATAATGAAGGTTGATCCACCCTTACTCTAAATTTTTATCTGCAGTACCTACTTAATCTGTTTACCTCACATCTGATTCGTCCATCTGACTGTGAGTCTCCTGAGGCCCTGGCAACATGCTGGCTCTGGGGATGGCATTAGGAAACTGCCACTGCATAGATTTTTCAACCCCCATATTTGAGCCCCAAAGAAATATGACAGCATGTGAAAGGCCCCAGAGGGCAGCCCAACATAACTGACACCCAGCAAAACAGAGCTGCTGGTAAATTGACCATGACAAAAATCAAGCCCACAGGAGAGGCAGTACACATTTAAAATGGATTTAGATGGATTACAGACTGGTTATGGGGCCCTAGAGGAGGAGAAGACTATTGGGAGTATCCTTGAGAATGAGTGAGCTGAACCCAGGTGATGCCTATATGGATCTTACTGTGAAGGAAGCAGAATAACATTGGTCAAAGTTTCTGAACCTCAGGTGTAGTATTTTGTGTACCATGGTCTTTTCTATAAGTCTTCTACCAAGCCTATGGGGAAGATGCTTGTTTGCCTCATAGTACAGTTAAGAAATTCAGGCTCAGAGAGTTTAAGTGCTCAAGATCACACAGATGATTGGTATCAGAGCTGGATTCTGATCCAGGTGAGTCTTATCCCAGAGCCGAGGCTGTTCACCTCTGCTCAGTACTGCTCTATTGTGCCACAGTGCAAGGCAGGATGTAAAAGTGCTAGGAAGGCACGCTTGATGTGGGCAAGCTTAGAGAACCTTCCTGAATCAGGCAGCATTTGAAAGGTGAGCCAGGTATTGAGAGGGAGAGGACTGCGGTAGTGTCTTGGTCAAGGCCCAGAAATAAACAGAAACCAAGGTAGGTTGGTTTAAGGTGAGGATTATTTAGGAAAGTATTAAAAGAGAAAGGCTGGCCGGATGAGGTGGACTCACACCTTACTGTAATCCCAGCATTTTGGAAGGCTGAGGCAGAAGGATCACTTGAGGCTAGGAGTTTAAGACCAGTCTGGGCAACATAGTGGGACCGCCGTCTATAAAAAAAAAAAGAAAAAAAAAATGTGGGGCATGGTGGTGTGCTCTTGTAATCCCAGCTACTTGGGAAGCTGATCGCTTGAGCTCAGTAGTTCGAGACTGCAGTGAGCTATGATCCCTCCATTGCATTCCAGCTTGGGCGACACAGCAAGACCCTGTCTCTAAAAAAAATAATAAAAAATAAAAAAGAAAGGAAAAGGGCATATTGGAGATGCTGAGGTAAATCAGAGATTATTAACTGCAGGAAGGGAAAGAGTCCCTGATGGTAGGAGCTGGAGGAGGGGCAACCATGGCTGGTGCTGGGCTGTCTACAAGGGTCCCTGTTGCTGGGACTCGCACACGTGTGGAGCACATTACCATCTGCATGTAGACCTCTTGGGGGGACTCCTTAGGGTTGGCGCTCAAACTTCCGAGGGGTCCTCAGAGTTATGTTTAAATTGTTGTAAATACTGTTTTTCTTACTGTTTTTTCTCTAGACATGCTAAACTGGTCCCTCTACCCCCTAGACTAATTCCATATTAAAAAAATAATTGATAGAATTAACTGAGTTTTTCCAAAAATTGCCTTTATTGGCTTTACAGTGTTTTGAGAGTATTTCTAATACCTTCTGGTAAATGACTCCTGGAAGCATAACTAAGCCACTTAAAGGGCCCTCAAGTAAATAATGATTATTTGAGTACAGACCTTCCTCCCTACCTTCAGTAATTTGTATAATATGCTGAATATGCTGATCTGATTATTATTTACTGTGTAAGTTGGTTATTTATATTTGTATACTTACAAAATATTTGTGACTATTCAGTTAGAAAAGTAAAAGCCCACGTCTTTGAAATGGTCTGGGACTGATCTGCCTCCTCCTTCCCTCTCACTGACTTCATTTTGTCCTGTTGGAGCCAACAAGCTCCCTTGTTTCTTGAACATCAGGCATACTCCTCCTGACAGCCTTGTTATGGCTGTTTTTTCTATTGCAAACACTCCCCTGCCCATCCATATAGATGACACCTTAGCCCACTGGCAACTCTGCTCAAACACCACTTTGTCAATGAGGCCTATGCCTACCTCAATTCCCCATGTTTAAAATTGCAACCTGCAAACCCTCTTGGCTTATGCTACTTTTTATTTTTATCAGAGCATTCATCACCTTCTAACATCTTAAATAAGTAATTTACTTATTGTGCTTATTGTCTGTTTCCCCAATAAAGATAAGTTCTTTTAGGGCAAAAATCTTTGTTTTATTTATTGATCTCTCCCTTGTCAAGAATATAGCAATATTTAATTAACAGTTGTTGCATGAATGAATGTTTTAGGAATCTTTCATTCTGTTAGAAGAACAAATTCTACATTCCAAGTTTTACCTGAATCATGGCTAAAATTTTATTTGCCTTTAGTCTTAGATCATTGCTATAATGCTTGCCTGTTAATTAGCATGCATTTAAGCATATATGATTAGCAGGTGGAGACTCCGCTTTTCTTCCAATCACCATTGAATACCTTATTATGAAGCATTTTGGTTATTGGTTTATCTTGTTCTTTTGGTTGCAAGCTTGTAAGGGGAGAGACTGGGTCTTCATATTTAATGATGTGTCTCACACATGTTGGCCTAATTGTGTAGTAGAAAAAATTAGAATTATGAGACTAGGTCTTGCTTAAAATCTTTATCTTTTATTTCTTATATTTTGGCATCATGACCTTATTTACATTAAGGAATTATCTAGTAAGTGGTATTTACCCTAACTTTCTCAAGATGGCATGATATCATTTACATTTACAATAAAGAAAAATGATAGATTTCTTTTAACTCTGCCATTAATAAGTGTCATAAAGTAGAAAAATAAAGCAAAGTCAATATATTATTGTTGCCACAGAAATTGAATTTGTGTCAAAAGGATTTGTGCTTGTGATGTAGTGATTCGTATATTTTTCTTGGAATTAAGTCTGTAGCAGGTGACAACATCAATAATTCACAGAACCAAGGAGCTTTTTGAGATTGGATAATTTATATATGTGAATTAGAAAACAGACGAATAATGTGCTTAATATATTCTGACATACTTGAAAATATGCATTAAAAAACTAGCCTATTAAAAAGTCTGTGCACATATTTATTAGATGTTTTTTAGATTTTCATTTTTTCTTTTACTAATACATACATTTTTATTTGAAAAGGAACAATCTGTATTTTCTGCTCAATCTGAAAAGTATTATCCATAGTAACTTAAAAAATACTTTCTGTATTAAAAGTAAATATGCTTATTGAGACAACTGGGAAAATACATGAAGATATGAAAAAAACCCACAAATCCCATAATCCAGATGTGTAAAATTACCTATGATTCCTGTTTTATTTTTTCCATATATATGTATATTAATGAAGTTGGAATTATGTTACATATGCAATTTTAAATGCACTTTTTTTCATGTACCATTGTATTGTAAGCATTTTTCCATGTCATTATAGTTCATATTGGTAGGACTGTGATTTATTTAATCTTTCCTATGTTTGGGGAAATCTCAGGCTGATTACAGTTCTAGCTATTTAAAGTAATGCTGTAGTGATACATATTTGTATATAAACTTTTGATTGTATTTCTTAATTCCCAAGTATGGATTCTAGAAGTAGAATTATTAGGTTAAAGTGTGAACATGGGATTTGTTTTACCAAATTGTTTCCTAAAATGGTTTAACCAAATTTCCTTTATGGTGATGCTGAAATATAAACAAAATCTTTCTCAAATATATGTGAAAGAATGGGTGATGCTCTGTCAGTCTCAGGAACATCCAATCTAAATTTGTGTTGTGGACAAGATGTCTAGGATGCTAAGCCACTCTCAGAAGTAATTTAGTAGTTGCGATAAGCTTCAAGGTGACTCTGGGAGTTCTGGGATCTCTAATTCTCTGTATAGCAAATACTGTAAATGCTTTTCAGCCTTCTCCAGACAATGAAAAAGGTCTTGGATTCCCATAACCTAGAACTGAACCTACTTGTAAAGTGGTTCAGAGATTCGATTTGCTTTTCCCTGGACATGTTGCAAAAGAGTTTTTCATCTGGTAGTATAGGTGAAAAGAACTGAAATAGACGAAGAGGCATCTTAAAATATGTACAAAAGCTGTGTTACTAAATTAGCCATTATATTTTTCCTTTTATTTTACCCCAACATTGAATGAGTTCATTCAAGGAAAAAGAATATTGGAGTTATGTTAGAATGAAAAATGACTTGTTAGGTTAGCCTCTGTGGGGTGCAATCTAGGTCAGAGTCCCAAGCCACAATATGATAATTGTTTTTTTCTACAGAGGCAGTTCTTTCCTAGCAGGTATGTTGCCTCCTTAAACCTTGTGTTCTCAGAGAAATGCATCTTTTCACTGCTGTGGACACTTGAATGATGCCTTCTCCTTAACGCTGATCTCTCGTTGGCTCTCCTTTCACGATGGAGGAATTGAGGGGCAGGGAGGTCTGGATACTTGAGTGCATGACAGTAGAGAAGCTTTGGATAGTGAGTAATACATGGTATGTTTGTCTTTCTGAGGTTGGCAGAATTGCAGTTTTGAATAAATGAGCAGATTAAAAGAGGCTGGAGAGCTTTTCCTAATTCTCACCTGTTCCTAACATCTCCCCTTTCACTTTTTTCCACCTTGGACTGAAAAAACATGTCAACTTAAAAGTTTTTCTTTGTAGTATCAAAGAGCCAGCTCTACTCTTGTCCTCAGTGCTATGAAAGCTTCAGTATTATTTTTGGACCTTTCTTAGATGTTAAATCTGGAGCCCTTGAAGAATAATATTTTCACATCTATGTGTGTTGTGTAGTTGCCAGGGAGATGATCCATAGACTCTGTAGGTGTGTCGAGAGTCATGGCTGGTAGGAATATTACTTTAAATTTTCATAGTCTTTATAATTGGTGTTGACGTTAAGATAAACACAGGTGTGTGGGCTAGAAATGTTATCAGATTGAAGTACATATTCATACATTATTGTTGGAAAGGAATAATCTGGACTTCAAAACAAAAATGTGAGCAACATCTCAACCTATTATCAGCCATAGATTATGATTAAGAGAAGATGATTAAGAGAAGACTAATCCTTTCCTTTTTTCTTTAAGATATCCTCCCCTCCCCTCCCCTCTTCCCTCTTCCCTCTTCCCTCTTCCCTCTTCCCCTTCTTCTCCTTCTCCTTCTCCTTCTCCTTCCTTCCTGTTAGTAACCTGTGATTTATTCATTTTGTCAAGCAAATGGTATCATGTCATAGTCTGATACAATGAACAATCTTTAATACTTAGGTACTAAGTTTATGTTTATGAGACTGAATGATTTGTACCTTAGACTAAGCATTTAAATAAATGATGCAATTGGTAATTCATCATACATACCAGAGATTGTTGAATTATCTTAAAACAGTGCTAATTGGTACCTTTCACTTCATGGCAGTAAGGCCTGTCCCAACTTTATCAGCTCTCTGTTTTCACTTCTTTGAAATACTCTTGTACTTCTTATCTATACCCTTCATGTGGCTTGTTTCAGGTATGTCCAGTTTTTAAAGTGAGCTACATGATGAGAAATTCATATGTGTGCAGGCTGAGGGAATGTTTAATGGCTGATAGTGGTGGAGTATGGAGTAGGGTTTCTCACGTGGTCCTGGGCATGCTGCCACATCATTACAGGCATGACTTCTTAAACATGTGGGTTCCCAGGTCCCACCTTAGACTTACTGAATAAGAATATTGGTAGACTGAGGCCCTCTAATCTAGCTTTTCAGAGAAAGTCTTGGTGTGATTCTTGTGCACGCCAAACAAACAAAAACCTGGAAAAACCAGCTGGTCCGGAGGATCTAGCTTATGAAAATTGTGTCTGAGTCTTTAATCTTACAAGTTTTCCTCATGTTGGTAATCCCTCATAACCCACTTAAATGACGTAAATTTTTGGCCAGGCGTGGTGGCTCACTCCTTTAATCCCAGCACTTTGGGAGGCCGAGGTGGGAGGATCACCTGAGGTCAGGATTTCGAGACTAGTCTGGCCAACATGGCGAAACCCTGTCTCCACTAAAAATACAAAAATTAGCCGGGCATGGTGGTGCACGCCTGTGGTCCCAGCTACTCGAGAGGCTGAGGCAGGAGCATCACTTGAACCTGAGATCAAGTGCACTGCTGCACTCCAGCCTGGGTGACCGAGCAAGACTGTGTCTAAAAAAAAAAAAAAAAAAAAGTCAATTTTAATGGAATTAAACTGTGTCAGCCAAAGATTATTTAAAAATGCTACCACATATTTGGTTCTGATAATAATAAATTGATGCAAGCCTACTGGCTTGAATCTGATGGTGGCTGTCATGTTCCTAATGATATCAATGGACAGATCCTTTGCTCCATTGGCCTGCTAGTTCAGATATGCTAACCAATGAAAGAAAACATAAAATTTGCGAAAAGTCTTGGGCTACAGCTTGGCATCTTTTTCACTGTGTGTGGACCTCCTGGGTTTGTATATTGCTTTGTGTACTACAATTTATCTGTCTTTGTTACTTGTAAACTAAGTTAGTGGGGAAACTATTTCACATGCCTCTTGATATTCACAGCATTTAGCACAGTTCTCTGAAAGCTCTAAATCCATTTTTTGACAGCATGTACTATCTTCAATAAAAGTTTTGATGCATTGCTTAAATGGGAATATAGAGACCGATGTTCTGTGTTTCTACTTTTTTCCCCCCGACTCCTATGTTCTTTTGAAGAAAAATCTATAAAGGCTTTTTTTCTCTTTCAATTCCAGAGTGACCCTCTTGACCATTCATCCTAGGAACTGTCATTAACAGAAAACATTGTTACCCATCTGTATGTGGTTCTCCTTACTTTTTAGGGAGAAAATAGAATTAGTATTTGAGAAACATAGGACCAGAGGAAGAAGGATGAGTTTTTAGCTTAGGAAAAGAGCCCTCATATTCTTTAATATCACACCTTAACCAATAACCAGTAGTCTTGTGGACAGAACGGTTATTTATTATTATTTTTTTTTTTTTTGAGACGGAGTCTCGCTCTGTCGCCCAGGCTGGAGTGCAGTGGCACAATCTCGGCTCACTGCAAGCTCCGCCTCCCGGGTTCACGCCATTCTCCTGTCTCAGCCTCCCGAGTAGCTGGGACTGCAGGCACCCGCCACCACGCCCGGCTAATTTTTTTTTTTGTATTTTTAGTAGAGACGGGGTTTCACTGTGTTAGCCAGGATGGTCTCGATCTCCTGACCTCGTGATCCGCCCGCCTCTGCCTCCCAAAGTGCTGGGATTACAGGCGTGAGCCGCCGCGCCCGGCAGAATTGTTTATAATTTAAAATCATGAGTTTTATTTGATTTCAGTGCCATAAAACATTAATAACACCTCTAGAATCATAGGCCAGGTAGGTAATATATGTAAAGGTCACAAAGTCACATTTAGATATGAAAGTTTTAATGTCTAAAACTGTATGCTTCTAACTTTTTTTTTTTTTTTTTTTTGGTAAATATAACCCTAAAAATTTGCTATCAGGTTATTATTTTTAAAGGTGTTTCCTAGTTGCTTCCATTTAATAGTCGGTTTTATGTTTCTATTTCCTTTTTGGAGTAGATGTCCACGGTGGCTACTCATGAACTGGATTGATGTTTGCAGTTAACTATTTTCCTGAACTAGAAGACAGTAAAGAGCATTGCTGGTGGCTATAAAACAGAGGTACTTCATTTTAAACAGTACCTCAAGTACCACCATAAAATCAATATTTTTGTGTTACAAAGTTTTTTCTAATTTTAATTAAGGATATTACCCTTATAGTTTTGTATTTACAAAAGTAAGGCTAAAACCCCATAGAATTATCTGAGGATTTAGTTAGTCATTTTCTTCCTTTCTCCCTCTTCTTGGCAATTTCTACTTCATGGATAGTCCCTATTTTATGTGTATAAGCCAAACAGGCAGGACCTTGAGATCATGTAAACTTTCAATGATAAACTTGAATTTAGTATTAACATTCAGACATCCTACAAAAGATTGCCACTTGATATAGTGTTTACATTTTTTCACTAAGTATTTAGTGTTTATTTTTTCTTTAATTCACGTTTAAAGTAAACTATGATGAGACATTCCAGTTTTTAAGGGAAATTACTAGTGCTTAGATTTATTTAGATTTTTAATGCTAGCCTATCTTTAGTGGTTTAAGATTGCATGTGTGTACATAACTATGTAATCTCTATTCTTCAGCAAGCTAAATCTTGAAATGAAACCTATTCTGACTTTATTGTTTTGGTGTAGAAAGAAACACAATTCTCAGATCAGTTTTCCAGCTCCTTACTCTGTTAGTGAGTTTCTCCAGTCCCGTCTGGACTCTTGAATTTGCTGTGATTTCCTGCCCTATTGACTTCTCTTGCTGATGGTGAGAATTGATAGGTAAGTGTTCTCTGGAAGAGAAGGAATGATGAATTTGACCTTCTTTTCTCTCAGACTCTGTTATACTCTCCACATCTACATCCCTTTGAGTTTTCTTCTCCATGCAGGATACACCTGCATCTTAATTCTGTTGTGATTCATCACATGTTCTTTGGGAAATATAATAACATAGGTTATAACTGGGCTTATGTACATACCTATATAGTTTGAAAACAGATCAAGCCTTTAGGAAATTAAATCTTTTAAAAAGCTATACCCTCAATGAGATAGTTTCAGAATGTATATATTAAAAAAAAAAAAAAAAGAAAACCATGACCAAAAATGGATCCCTGGGTTGCCTTGTTTTTACATAAGAGTGGCTGTTCTTTTTCCTGAACGTTGTGAGCCCAACTGAAATTTTAAAAAGATGGTCTAATTTTAGACCTTTGACAGTATATAAGTGTTTCTCTTGAATGTTTACAACTGGATTTTGCATCATGTAACTTACATTTCCTATTTTCCTGTCTAGTTTTATTTTCCTTTTACTTTCTGTATCTTTTATGTAGTTTTTAGATCATAAATCTTGCCTGGACCCTAGTCGTCTTTATTTTAAAATTATTTATCTATTTTTATTGTCTTTTACTCTTACTTTTTAAAATATCACTTTTATGGCATTTTCCTGAGGCAATTCAAGCTGGTTTTGGGAATATTTTATTTGTTTAAGTAGATGTTTTTCTCTTTATTGTGGCATACCATCCTAAATAGGATTTCAGCTTTATAGTTTATTTCTTTGGCTTTACTTTTTAAGCATTAGGCCACTTGGCATGCCATTGTGCCAGAAGTTCATTACCTGCCACTTTTTTTTTTCTTTTTCACAGGAACTTGAAATGAACCCTTTTGAGAGTGAAATGAGATGTGATTGGAGTGATACCTCTGATTGTGGAATAACAAGAGTGAAATGTGGTTAACCAAATGCAATAGGCTGGAAGCCTCTACTGGCAGGAAGGCACACATACAACAGGCTGTTAGAGGAAGGGCGCCTCACACAGGCATTGCCCCAGCTCCTTTCTCTGCAAACTCAAGAGCCCTCTACGTTTGGGTTTAATTTTAGTAATGGTCTCTGGGGTGACACTGTGGCCCTAAGTTCCTTACATACTTTACATCCCGCTCAGGATCCCAACCACTTTTAAGGACCACCGTGCGTACTTGTTAATTTCAAAGGCTGAAGATAGTATTGATAAAAAAGCAAATTCTATAGCCTGGTATTAGATACTAACCCTTAGTTAATCCACTATTATTACTTCCTTATTCCCAAGTCAAAGTAGGTGATTCTAATTCAACAAGGCAGTTTAATCTGGAGCCTAGTGGTGTGGCTAATGGTCTTTCATTTGGCTACATTTTCTTTGGTATACACAAAATTCATTTTAGATACAAGTTACCTTCTTTCCTTTGCACTAGAAGAAGGAACATCTTGGTGAAAGAAAGGGAGAAGAGAATCTGGGATGGTGATTTACATTGTACAGATTTTTAATCTGGATCATCACTGAGGTAGATTCATGAGCATGAAGGTGTACTTGAGTATACAAACATGAATGATAAATTTCATTCTATTAAGTAAATGTTGAATTTAACTGTGTACCACTTAGTCTGTTAGATAATGGTTATTAACATCTGTCCTTATAAAAGAGTAGACCTTGTTTCCTATTTAGAAAATGTGTTTGACCCTTTCCCTGCCCCTTTAAAAATTGAATGCTCCAGTGAATAAGAGAAAGGAGAATTGGTAATTGATTCCAGTTACTTGAATACAATATCTTTCCCGACACTGGGACTTATAAAACTTAGATTTCTGTGTTTTTTCTCTAAATAATTATTTTTTTCTTTTGAATTGTATTTTGCAGGAAACTATTCACTCTCTAGAATGGTCTTATGTTTGTCTAGCAAGGAAATCAGCAAAAGGGTCCTTGAAGCTAGCAATGAAATTGAAAAGTGTCTACTGTCACCACTCATGATAAATCAAACTGATGTTAAAGATGCAAATAGTCATTTTAGTACATTCTTCTCTGTTACTAGAATTGTTTAAGTTAATTAAGCCAGCAAAGTACTTCATTATCTATTATGCTGCATACTAATGGTAAATTTAAAGTTTCACTGTTCTATAATATGAAAAATTTTCTGAAAAATCATCACATTAAAATCTTTTATATCCAGTGTTCTTTTTCATTTTATTTTTTCTATGTGCCCTCATTCTCAGACAGATACATTGTGTTCTAAGTTAATATACTTAATGGTAATTAATACTGTTAATTGGGATAATATATTTATTGTACCATAGTTAATTTTTTAGTTTGTGAGTTTTACAAAGTAAAAAAATTTTAGTAAGTGTTTGGAACTATCACACGCAGGGTAACTTTTGTCCATCTTTTTGAGAAAGAGATTAAAACGATTATATATAATGTGTTTTTATTGGACTGTCAGAAATTTAATTATATTCAAGTTAGGATTGTAGAATTTTGAATGTACCCTATTAACTAAAATAAAGAAGCTGTTATAAATTACTAATATGATTGCTTTTTTTTAATTTGCAGCATTTAAATATTAGGACACTGACGGATGATATGGTAAGATTATCCTCAACTTTTCCTTTGTTATGAATTGTAACTAACCATATAACGTTGATGGTGTGCTCTGCTAACATCTTTGAAATGGCTAAAAGTCACATATATTGGAAACGTACTATTCTTATAGTGCTGAAATAAGAGGCAGAACTGGTAAAATACACTAAATTGTTGGTTTTAAGTTGTAAAGTGAATGGTGGATATGTTAATTAAAAAAATTTGTTTAATTACAAATTGTTAGTCAACTTTGAATCATTCAAATCAACTCTCATTCTTTAGGAATGAGTTGCACACTTCAAAAAAGAAGTAAAAATAGCAAAGACATGTCAGCTTTTCAGAAATATGTAGTTGCTAATTAAAGTAAGTCAGACTAAAATATTATGCATATATATTTTTAAAATTTTGCTTAAAAATGAGAGAACCGGGTATGCCTTACTACGTTTTTTATGTTGAAAATAATAGGGCTTCTCATAGTAACACTTTATAGCACCATTGTAGATTCTTGCATAGTCAAGTAAGTTTTTCTGAGAAATATATTTTTAAATGTAACTTGTGGTTAATAGTAAAGGAATAACAAGAAGAACAACAACAAAACACAAACAATGACACCAAAAATATGTAAGTGTGTTATAGAGGAAAAAGCATGGCCCCCCATTGACCAGGCTTTGCATTAAACTTCACCATATATGAAGCATGAAGGAGAATGCCTAGACCATAGTAAGCACTTAGAAAATAGTACTTCTAATATCCAAAGTACTGTCTTATGCACCTGGGTAAGGCAGAATACAAAGACGAATGAAACGTAGATCTTGACATGAATGACTTAAAAATTGTATTAGAATGTTGGTATGTTTTATTCCTTTGAATAGTACCTAAGAAAAGCATATTTACATATAATTTTCTGGATGACATTTTCATATACTAACATATAGAAATTGGTAACAATACAGATTTCTCACCTTGCAAGGTAGATGTCTTTATTTTACAGTTGACAATATTGAGGCTCAGACAGATTAAGTAGCTTGCTCAAGTGTGCCCAGCTGGCAAGTGATACAGTTATAGCTTGAATTTTGTTCCACATTGCTTTAAGTCTCATATACTTAGTGTGCTAACTTAACCCAGCTTGCAAATGGCTTCTTAAGGCTGATAAACCATCTGCAATTTTTATGTTTGAAGTTTTATGATATACAATGATATATTTGTAACAGCTTTGATCTGTTCAGAAGAATTGTACAACCATTACTACAGTCATTTTTAGAACATTTTCGTCAACCTTAAAAGAAACGTCATGTTCATAAATAATCCCTCTCTGTTTTCCCTCAACTCCCTCAGTTCTAGGCAACCACCAATCTACTTTCTGACTGTATAGATTTGCCTGTTCTGGACATTTCATATAAATTGACTCATATCGTATGTGGTCTTTCGTGATTCACTTATTTCGCTTACCATAATGTGTTCAAGGTTCATCCACATTGTTGCATGTATCAGTACTTCATTTGTTTTTTTTTTTTTTTTTTTTTTTTTGAGACAGGGTCTCGCTCTGTTGTCCAGGCTGAAGTGCAGTGACATGATCATGACTCACTGCAGTCTTGACCTCCTGGGCTCAGGCAATCCTCCCACATCAGCCTCCTGAGTAGCGGGGATTACAGGCATGCACCACCTCACCTAGCTAATTTTGAAGTTTTTAATTTTTTGGAGAGACAAGATCTCCCTATGTTGCCCAGGCTGGGTTTAAACTCCTGGGCTCAAGTGATCCTTCTGCCGTGGCCTCCAAAAGTTTTGGGATTGTAGATGTGGGCCACTGCACCAGCCTCATTCACTTTTATTGCTGGATAGTATTCTGTATGATGACATTTTTGAGGTTTATTCATATTTTATGGACATTGCATTTTTTTCTCTTTCAAACACTGCCCTTATTTTCATTATATGACAGTCCTTGCACACTGCCAACCCACGATCTTTACCTTAAGTTTTAGAAACTAGAGTCATAGGGTGGCTTCGGCATGCCATTCCAGAAGCCATGTTGCTCTATCTTATATTAATAATTGAGTTCCTCATTGAGGACTTTCTTAGTTCTTTCTCTGACCTTCCCCCATTCCTCACCTCTCCCTTTATCCTTGCAACTGGCCTTGGTAAGGTAAAAACTTTTGAGTTGTTACCATAATGCCTAGTGCATATCTTCAACAATACATCATTTATTATCTGCCTTTCTCAATGGTTTAAACCTTTTGAAGGCAGGGACGATGTGTAATGAATACTTCCAGTACCTAGCATGCTTTCTGGCACATAGTGAGTATTTTAATAAATTTTTTTGTTGAACAAGTGAAAGAGTCACTGTTCTGATAACCTGCCTGGTATTGGATCTCAGCCTGGCTTGGCGCTAGTCAGGCTTCCCAGAGACAGAGTCTTGCCTTTTTTGCACAAGGTAAGGGAGCTGTAATGAGGACCTTCTGTCAGTCTTTCTGACCGCTTGCCTGGATTGCCTTGCCCCTGCTTTCTTCTTAATTGTACACGTCTGTCTCTCCTGGATTCCTCATTGACCCTCTTCACATGGACTTGCTGACTGAACTACTGTCTCCTCACTCTCACTGTTCTCTTCTGATCTTGTGCTTTAGCTTGTCTCTTGGGTAGGCCCAGAATTTAGTCCAGGGAAGGATCAGGCAGGTAGCCTAGTTTAGGCATCTGTATCTGTTGCTGTAGAGATTTGAGAATAAGCATGGCTATCTTCAACAGGAGACACCAAAGAGTAAATTCTTTCTTATTCATTGTTGACTGATACAGTGTAGAAAGAGCATTGTTGGATTTGGAATCAGAAGATTCTTGGTGAAAGACAGAATTTTACCTCTTATTAGCTCTGTTACCTTGGCAAATCAATTATTTGATTGTTCACTTATTTAAATTGGGACTAATTATACAGTTTCTTCCTTTCTCATAGTTTTGGTGAGTTTCTTAAGTTTAAGTATGTTGACCTGCTGCATTCAGTTCTGTCCGTTTTTACCCCTTTAAAAAATATTTCTTGATGTACAGACAGAGAAGTGGTGTGACACATTTGCAGCTGAGCCTTCCAGGGTATATGTTATAGATCAATGCAGAGTTGTGAGAAGGGAAAGGGTAGCTGGATATTTTGAGGGCTCTTTAAACTATTTCTGGTGTGTTAGAGCTCAGGGCAGCATTTGCCAATGATGCTTTGATATGTACTGGCAATATGTTTTCTGATTGAAGTTTGCCCCCTTACAACATACACATTGCATGTATGCTTTCAACGTAGAAATTCTTAATGTGAATAGCCTTTTTTTTGGTCAGAACTTGAGAGAGGCATATAAGAATAGCAATGTGCTGTAGTCATACATTTGAATAACAGTATTTTAGAAACATTAAAACATCACGGGAAGCATTAATGTTAAAAACCTATCCCTTTAAGTTGTTTTGTTAAAGGTCTGCAAAAGTACTTCATGTTTTAAGGTTATTTCTTGAGTTACTATCAGAATTGAATTTCACTGTCTTGTTAAAGGAATAAAGGATTGCTATATTGTTGGGTTCCCTAGGCAGAGTTAATAGACTATAAGCAGTGTTTGTTCTATAAATATGAGCATTCTCTTTGTATAAAGTGCAGCTTAGGTGCTAGGGTAATAAATAAAGGTGAATAAATGTTTAGCTTATAACTTCCATTGCTTATACCTGGGTTTTGAAGAAGGTTTTCCTCATAGAGGCAAAAAGGTTGGGAGGAGGGGGGAGTGAGGGGAGACAGGTTTGAAAAGGTAAGTTGGAAGACATTGAATGTGGATGTGACAATGCTAAATTATCCATCAGTGTGTCCACTGAGTGTTTTTGGAGTATAGGAGTTGTTTTTGACTTGCTGTTTTCTCTCCTGTCCTTCATAACCATTTGTCTACAGTATAGTACTTCTATGATCCTCATCTCTTTGTTCATCTGACTGCAGCCTGCTTTACTGTTTGGCCTGCAGCAATGGTTTTCAAATCTTTTTGACTAGATACTGCATTAAGAAATATATTTTATTTTGTAGCCTGGCATGCATAAACTCCTAAACTCTCTGCTTCTCAGTTGAAACAAAAGTTTAAAAACCAGTATTTAACATTTCTAAGCAAAATGAATTCTGATCTTTTTATTTCCATTCCTTTCTAATTTTCTTCACTCCTCTCCATTCCTTAAAAAAAAAAAAAAGGTAATTGAATCCACTAAATTGATTTCATGACCCACAAATGGTTAACAGCTATAGCTAGAAAACCAAACATTGGCCTGCACAGAAACTAGAGGAAGTCATGAGGTCTTTGCATTAGTGTCTATTCTTTATTATATGTAGTTGCATGTAGGAAAGCCAGGTTAGAATGCCACCTCTGCCATTTACTAGCTGTGTGACTTTGTGTTAGTTATGTAGCTTTTGAGCCTTGGTATAGAGATAGTTTAAGGGACAAATTAAGTAAGATGCTTGGTAAACCGTGCATTTATAATTTAGTGCTATGTTTAGTAATACACACTTTCAAAAAATGAGGTATGATCCAGCAATCTCATTGCTGGGTATATACCCAAAGGAATATAAAATTTTCTACCATAAAGACACATGTACACGTATGGTCATTGCAGCACTATTTACAATAGCAAAGACATGGAATCAATCTAAATGCCCATCAATGGCAGATTGGATAAAGAAAGTATGGTACTAATACACCATGCAATACTATGCAGCCATAAAAAAGAACAAGATCATGTCCTTTGCAGGAACATGGATGGAGCTGGAGGCCATTATCCTTAGCAAACTAACACAGGAACAGAAAACCAAATACTGCATGTTCTCACTTGTAAGTGGGAGCTAAATGATGAGAACACATGGACACAAAGAGGGGAAAAACAGACACTGGGGCATACTTGAGGGTGATGGGTGGGAGGAGGGAGAATATCAGAAAAAATATCTATTAAGTACTAGTACTAGGACCAGTACCTGGCTGAAATAATCTGTACAACAAACCTATGTGACATGAGTTTATCTATATAACAAACCTGCACATGTACCTCTGAACCTAAAAGTTAAAAAAAAAGTTGAGGTATGATTTACTTACAATATAATTTACGTGCATTATATTGTACCAGTATTGAGTATAATCTGATGAATTTTGAGAAATATATACAATAATGAGTGCACTAGTCGTGATATGAAATATTTCCATCACCCCAAAAGGTTCCCTCTGTACCCGCTTACAGTCAATTCTCTTCTCCCATCCTGGCTTTTGACAAACACTTATCAGCATTCTGAACTATAGTTCAGTTTTTAGAATTTCATATAAATGGAGTCACAAAGTGTGTTGCCTTTGTGTCTGGCTCATTGTTTGGTAATACTACAATTGGTTTAACTTCAGCAGTTTGGGTTGTTTCCAGTTTTCGGCTATTATTAGTACAGTTGCTATGAGCATTTGAGTACAGCATTGTTTTTTTTTGTGTATATGTTTTTGTTTTTTGTGGGAGTCATATAGTAAGTGTGTCTTTAACTTGATAAGAAACTGACAAATTGTTTCCCACAATTACTAATGTTGAACTTTTTTTTATGTGCTTATTTAACATTTTCTTGTTTAAATGTCTGTTACTAGATATAGGACTATTCAAGTAATCTATTTTTTCCTAAGTGAGCCTTGGTAGTTTATGTCTTTCAAGGACATACATTTTACCTATATTGTTAAATCTAAATTTTTACCTATATTTTAAATTTTATCTATGTTGTTGAATTTATGGGTATAAAGTTGTTTGTGATATTTTCTTATCCCTTTAATGCAGGATCTGTATTAATTACCCCCTTTGCAATCCTCATATTGATAATTTGTGTTTTCTGTGTTTTTCTCTGTGACTAGTCTGGCTAGAGGTTTGCCAGTTTTATTGATCTTTTGAAAAACTAGCTTTTGTTTTCACTAATTTTCTTTATAGTTCTTTTGTTTTTGTTTGTTTTACCTTTATTATTTACTTTCTTTTGTTTTATTATTTTTTTCTCTGATTTCTTAAGGTAGAACTCTAAGTCATTGATTTAATACCTTTGTTTGCTAACATGTTAGATTTTTTATGCTATAAATTTTCCTCTGACATCTGCTTTAGCTGCATCCCACAAAATTTTATTGAATTGAATATTTTTAAATTTCTTATTTTCTTTGACCCATGGGTTATTTTGGTATATGTTATTTAACTTCCAAATATTTAGGGGTTTTCCTGATATTTGACTGTGTCTGATTTGTAATTTAGTTCCCTCGTGGTCAGAGACCTGTAGTTTGCATGAATTCTGTCCTTTCTGATTTTTTAAGTCTTACTTTATGTCCCAGAACATGGTCTATCTTGGTCAGTATTCGTGTATATTCTGAATGGTTGGTAGTGCTGTTCACATCTTCTGTATTCTTGTTAATTTTCTGTGTGTTCTAACAATTATTGAGAGAAGTATCGAAGTCTCCCACTGTGATTTTAGATTTTATTTTTCCCGTTCGATTGGTTTTTGCTTCACGTATTTTGAAGCTTTGCAGTAAAGTGCATATATAAGATTGTTGTGACTTCTTTATCTTTAATAAATGACGTTTTAAAATCACAAATAATTTTTATTAGTTTTTAGTTCTTGGAAATTTATTGGATTTACCTACTCTACTTGATATAATCATATGCTGCTTCTTTGGAGAACAAAGATTTCTTGACTTCTGTGACATCAAATTTTCTCAATTTCATACCCCTTTGACTTTTCATTATCTATCTGGTTGCATAATTTTTCCTTTTTGCCTTAAATTATTGTTTTTTCTCAGTTGTTTTTCCTGATTCTACTATTCTTTCCCTCGGTATGTAGTGTTTTACTTGGGTAATCACCTCTGAAGTTTTCAACTAACCATGTATATCTCTGTTTAGGACCTTTTCCTCCAATTGAGAAATAATTCATTGGCCTACTGAATAACCTCAATGGATGTCTCATCTATTCTAGAAGCTCTGTGTGCTCTAAGTTAAACCCTTTACTTTCCTCATAAACTTGTTTTATTCCTTATATTCTCTTAGAAAGTAGCTTCACCTTTCCAATGTTTCTTTCTGATTATTTCTTGAATCTCTTCTTCTCTCGTTTCTTCTATCAGTCCTAGTCTTCTCATTTTTTCTTCTCTGGACTCTGGCAGCTTCCTATTGCTACCCAAAATGCCACCTTCCCACACAGCTATCAGAGTGATCTATCTACATTGCCTATCTGATAATGTTTTATGCTGTTTGAAACTGCTTAATTGCAACTGTTTTATATAGGTCAAGTCTAACATGGCAGATAAGGCCTTCATGACAGGACCCTGCCTCTCTAACTTGATAATGCATCTCTCATTAGCGTGCAGAAACCTTCTAGGGAATACAAAGATATAAGATGCTGGAGAATTTACTTAGGGAGTATAAAAACATAATTAGGGGGCTGAGTGTAGTGGCTCATGTCTGTAATCACGGCACTTTGTTTGGGAGGCTGAAGTGGGAGGACTGCATGAGCCCAGAACTTCGAGATTAGCCTGGGCAAGATAGGGAGACCCTGTCTCTACCAAAAAAAAAAAAAAAAAAAAAAAAAATTAGCTGGGTGTGATGGTATGCAGATGTGAACCTGTAGTCCTAGTCCTAGCTACTTGGGAGACTGAGGCAGGAGAATCACTTGAACCCTGGAGTTTGAGGCTACAGTGAGCCATGATTGTGCCACTGTACTGCAGTCTGAGTGACAGAGGGAAACCTTGTCTTAAAAAAACAAAACAAAACAACATAACTAGGGAATTGTGGTTGCTAATTAGAAGAGCGGTGTGTTAAGTAACAGTAAGGACTATGTAATTGTTAGCTATGTGCTAAAGAGTGTTCCAAATGTTTACTATATAAACACATTTAATTGTAACACCAAACCTCTGAGTAAGCACTGTTACTGTTCCCATCTTTAAAGATGGGGAAACTGGGGGAAGAGAGAGCTTAAGTAACTTATTCAGAGTCATAGAGGGCAGCCAGGAAAACTCTGGCAGATTGGCTCCAAGTAACATGATCTTTATCAAAAGCATTATAATGCCATTTAAGTACTATCCTTTTCTCCGCTGAGAGCACCAAATGTAAAATCTAGAAGTATATCTCATTCTTTCCCCTTTTTTTTTTTGAGACAGGGTCTCGCTTTGTCACCCAGGGCAGTGGTGCAAACACAGCTCACTGTAGCCCCAACCTCCTGGGCTCCAGCTCAGACCCCCAAGTAGCTGGGACTACAGACATACACCACCTTGCTTGGCTAATTTTTGTATTTTTTTGTAGCGATGGGGTTTCTCCATGTTACCAAGACCGTATCTTAATATTGTCCGCTTTTCCCTTGATGCCATCGATATGAGACTTCTAATTGGAAAAGAGAAATTGTATCATAGCCATTGACCTTAATCCGGAGAAAATCATTATAATTATAAAGACATACTATATCTAAGATGTTTTCTAAGATGAGAAATGAACTATTTTGAATATCTCAAGTAAACAAAACTGAAAAAAATCCACCCCAAAAAATAGTGAGGTGTTGGACTGAGAGGTCATCTGTTAAAGGATATGAGATTCTTTTAATTACAAAGGACATGGAAAAATTTCTCTGTATAGAAAGCACTTCACATATCTCAGAACAACTGCTGCCTGCGCCCAGATATAGATACAGGCTTTCCTTGTTCTCCTCAAAGTTCCCGGGGTAATGGGGTCATAGAGCCACTGCAGAAATCACCTGCTGTGGATGTAGGTTCTAGTGAGTGAGTGGAAGCTTTCACCTCACTCTTCTCTCACCTCCTAACTGTTCTCTGGGCCTTCTTCCTCGGTATAACTGTTACCAGACAACTCTAGTACATTCCGATGTGATTTCTGTGAGACTTCACTCAAAGATGAATGCGGCCTAATAGGACTGAGCTTTGTTTACCTGTACCTACCTAGATGTGATGTGTCTTGTGGGATATATGCTAAATTATACATCATATTTATGAAAGAAAGGAAAATGACTTTAATTACCTGAATTTGTGCCTAACTTTAAAGTCAAGTAATAGAACATAAGTCAGTAGCTTTTAAAAATAAAGGCTCAACCTAGAATTATTTAAGATAGTTTTATCTTATTATTCTAGTAGGATATAAGGCTCTCTGTACTATAATTTACTTTCTATTTTCATTAACTTTTTATATTTTCCTTGGTAAGTTAATAACAATGAGTGATAAAAAGTGTGATGTACCATCTGCCCAACCACAGTTTTTCAGTAAAACTATATATTCATATTATACTCTTCTGTGTAAAGTAGAAATACCAGCATGGATTGGGGCGACTGAATGTAAAATACATCCAAACAAGTTCTGTTTTAAATAACTTAAACTGTTCATTTAGTCAGGTGGGCCTTTCTTAGCCCATTAATGAGTTAATTAGGACTTCCTGTACTTAAATTTTCAGTAGTAATACTTAAGTACTATCTTAGAATCTTTAAATATTTATAGGATAGTTTAGAGAGCTCCTCCTCAAATCAGCACAAACTTGGGAATAAGATCAAGAGCTCTCAGAGTTGAATATACTAATATGTAGTAGGGTGTACAGACTTGTATATTCATTGTTTTGTCCACTCATTCATTAATAATTTGTTGAGTGCCTAGTACTCTTTTAGAAATACAAATATGGAAAAAGAAGGTCTCTGTCGTCTGGGTGCAGTAGAGAAATGGATGTATAGACAATCAGTAGTTTTAGTGTGATATGATAGGGGCTGGAAGGTCACTTGATCTTAGAAGACTTCATGTGAAGGTGACTTTTCAGCTGAGTTTTGAAGGACAGGTTGGAATCTGGGCTGGCAGGAGTTGGTGTAATTTTTACTCCTTATTAATTTTACTTCTGGCATACCAATGAAATGGATTCGTAGTGGAAGCATGTCAGGTTGGCAAGTAGAAAGCGATTATTGATGTCTTCACATGACTTTTTGTTTATGGGTAATATAGGTCTATGCTTTTTAAAATAAAATGTAATATATACAGGGCTAATTTATATTACTTCTCAAGTATATATTATTAATATTTAAATATATGCAATTAGAATTGTACTTTGAGTAGATGGGTAGATAGAACTTTGGGGTTTCTTGAATGTTAAATTTTTTTTCAATGATATGTGTGCTCCTTTTTGAATGGATATTTTTCTTATTACCTTATATCATGATATTAAATAACATAAGTTATCCTTGTTTTTAGTGTAGGGGCCTACTCTAAATTATCAGTGTTAGGAAGAGTCTGGGTTTTCCTATTGAATATATAAAAGGCATAACACCTGGCATTCTCCCTTCATATGCTGTGTTAATTATTTTTTATTTAAAATATTGTTGAGAAAAATTTAGCATGGCAAGAAGCAATGGCTAGGGTGTTCCAGGCCTGGAAGATAGGAAGCTAATTATTAATTTATTCACTTAACAAATATTAATATAACATCCACTACATGTTTAGAACTGTGGTAAGTTCAGAGGGGGTTTAGTGAATAAAATAACAGTATCTGTTCTCAAGGACTTAAAGCCTAGTTCACAGGCATTTAAAGAATTGTATACATATTATATGATGCAAGCACTAAGTCTTTGAGCATCTAACTCAGTCTTGAGGAATCAAAATGGGCTCTTACATGAGCTGTAGTTTAAGTTGGGAGCTGAAGATTGAGTTGAAATTAGCCAGGTAAGGGGATGGGGTATGAGGTGTGGGTAGGTTTTAGGCACAAGGAACAACCTGTACATGTTTAGGAGATTCTAGGTTGTTCATTATCTCTAGATCATACAGTGTAAGGTGGTGGAGTGGTGAAAAGATTGTCTAGAGAGGAAATATGTTCAGATCAAGATGAACCTTTGAGCCAAGAATGTCATCCTTTGAGTAATGAGGGGCTATTGAAAGAGTTTAACCACAGGAGTGAGGGGCATGACTGGATTTGCATTTTCAGGTGGTTGAATGATGTTGGGGTAGAGAATTGCTATAGCATGGTAGGGGGAGAGGGCAGTGAAGAGATGGAGGCAGGTTAGAAGGCTAGGAGGCAGGTTAGAAGTGGCCTGAGCTAGCGACAGTAGAGACAGAGAGAAGATGAATAAAGGAGGTGTAGTCCACATGCTTTGGTTTATGTCTTTATTAATTTTCATTACAGTTATCACAATTCAAATCACCTTTCGGCAGAGCTGAGTCATAATCAATTCATATCATCAGTAATCACCCCTTTGCTTCTCTCACTATTCAGGTCCATTCATTCTTCTAATCTGATATCTATCAAGTCCTCCAGGCTTCCCAAACCCTCCTACTTTGCCCTTTGGAACTCGAAGTCTGTCGTCTTCTTTGAATGTTCTCTTTCCTCCTTGCTGTAGTTGAAACCTGGATGTTCTTTGATGGCTTTATTTTCCTGGTGGCTTCTTACTTCAAAAGCTTCCAGCTCTCTTTGAAGCATAAACCATCAGAGTATACAACCTGTTGGTTCCTCCTTGTTGGTGGTCTCAACTGTAGGTCTTCTAGTCCCTCCCACTGATTCACTGAAGGCATTGGAACTTGAGTTACTTTCTCCTTTTCCACCACAATTTCTGCTATCGTTCTGTACCCACCTACCAGGTGTTCTTAGCTTGTGGTCCATGGACCACCAAGGGGTCTTGGTGGAATTCGTGGTGTCCTTGAAGAAAAAATTAAATCTTTATTTTCTTTAATCTGTAAATGAAATTTAGTATTTCTTTCAGTTATGCATATAGGAAAAAAAAAACCTATCAGCATGCCAGAAAAACCCACAGTAGTATTTGGCCTGCGACTTTATCACCAACAGAAATCAGATATTTTCAAAGCACAGTAGTTACTGAAGACATTTCAAAATATGGTTTACATTTGACAATATGTTGAAATTAGACTTGTCATTACCTTTGTTATTTAATGCAATAGTGAAGAACATTTATTGATATATTAAAATTTAATAATTTTATAACCTCATTTTACTTTAGTTCGTATATATTTTAGGCATTTAAAAGTATTCTATGAGGAGCTCTGTAATTATCTATTGCTATATAACATTTCTCAAAACTTGGTGGCTTCAAACAATAATAAACACTTGATATTTCAGTTTCTTGCATCAAAAATTTGGAAACAGCTTACAGTATGGTTCTGTTTTGAGGTCTTTCATGAGATTATAATCATCTGCAGCCTTGATGGGGCTGGAGTATCTATTTCCAAAGTGGCTCACTCATGACTGGCAAGTGGGTGCTAATTGGTGCGGGGAGGCCTCGGTTCTTCCCTGTGCAGGCATCTCCAAACACTGCTCCATGGCATGACAGCTGGCTTTAGAACACGTATTGCATGTTGTAACTTATTTTCAAGCAATTGAAGAAATTTTAAGAGCATAAATTTGTTTTTCATTTAATAATATTAAAATACTATGTGAAACCTAAATGTGGACAAAATATTATAAGTAGATAATCAAGTATTTTTTGGTAGGGAGGGAACAGTAAGTTTTCGTCTTTTCAAAGAAGCCTCTGGCTAAAGAACTTCTTATAAATTCCAGTAAAATACAAATTAAGAGGTGAAGAAGCCCATTTGTAACATTGAGGAATATCGAAGTCAGAATGCAGTTGATCGGATGGTAGGAATTGTTCCTGGGTGGTTAAGTCTATGGCCTAAAACTGGCCTCAGCTTATCATACCTGAAAGATTGAATGGTTGGTTTTTCTCTCCACAGTGATACATCTTTGTAAAACCAGTGATGTCACTAGTGCTTAAATGTAAAGACCATGGAACAGGCAGACATACTGCTTAGCAGTTAACATGTTCTATAATTTTCATATCAGCATCACAAGTTCCCTGTTGTACTTACATTCCAAAGCCCCTCTCAAGGTACTTTTCCCCACTCTAGAATTAATCATTCATTCCTGTTGCTAGTTCACTTGGCTTATTTTCTTGGGGGCATTTACAATATTCTACCTTAAATTATGATCCTTTATTGTATATTTTTCTCTCAAATGGTAAGCATCTGTAGGGATGGTAACTATGTTTTATATATTTTATCATCTAGTAATTGCTCATTCATTCATACCTTCAACAAGTATTACTTGACTGACTGCTAACTATCAGGTACTGTGCTATAGGCTGCATACACAACATGACTATAATCGTTATCTGTTGGTATATAACGAGTTGCCCCAAAACTTAGTGACTTAAAATAGCAAAGATTTATCATTTCTTTTTTTTTTTTTTTTTTTTTTTTTGAGACGGAGTCTCGCTCTGTCGCCCAGGCTGGAGTGCAGTGGCGGGATCTCGGCTCACTGCAAGCTCCGCCTCCCGGGTTCACGCCATTCTCCTACCTCAGCCTCCCAAGTAGCTGGGACTACAGGCGCCCGCCACTACGCCCGGCTAATTTTTTGTATTTTTAGTAGAGACGGGGTTTCACCGTTTTAGCCGGGATGGTCTCGATCTCCTGACCTCGTGATCCACCCGCCTCGGCCTCCCAAAGTGCTGGGATTACAGGCGTGAGCCACCGCGCCCGGCCAAGATTTATCATTTCATACCACTTCTGTGTGTCAGGAATTTGGTAGTTGCTTAGCTGGGTGGTTCTGGGTTGGGTTCTGCCTTGAGTTTGCGGTAAAAATGTTGGCTGGAGCTACAGTCATGTGAAGGCTTGACCAGGACTTTCAAGATGGCTCACTCACATGGCTGTTGGCAAGAAACCTGTTTATCTTTTAGTGGAAGCCCTCAATTCTTTGTCATGTTCTTTGCCTCCCCTTAGGAGTTCTTGAGTGTTCTCATGATCTGGCAGCTGGCATACTCCCAAGAAGGAGCAAAACAAAAGCTGTAAAATCTTTTATGATCTAGTCTTGAAAATTGCACTTCATAATTTCCAAAATATCTGTTGGTTACATAAATCAGGATCACTGGGGCCATCTTAGAGACGGGCTGCCACAGTGATTAAAACAGTTGATGGTTTGTCTAGCATGGCACTTACATTTTAGTTGGAAAGAGACAGAGTTAACAATTACAAAATAAATGAGATAATTACAGATTTTCGTAAGTCATGTGAAAGGACATAGGAAGAGACTGTACTGTGTGCTGTGACGGATAAGGGGTGGGTACACGTGCTACTTTAGATAAAGTGGTCAGGGAAGGCATTTCAGCCTTTTAAATCCAAAGATGAGAGTGAATAGTACTTTTATTTCCTGTTAACACTTCTCTGTGATGGGTACCATCATGGAAGGTTTAAGTAGCTTAGTTGTGGTAACACACTAAGCAAGTGGCTGGACAGGATTGTGAAGTCAAGACTCCAGAGCCTTGCTTGTTTTTAATCACAAAGTTCCCAGATTAGTAATAAAGTTAACTAAAGAGCCAAGCTATGTTAGCTGTTAGGTTTTTACCCCCTCTTAAGCGTCGTGTAAGATTGCCTGAAAATAGAGAATTTCAAGCAGTAGATTTTATTCTGTATTTCAGGTATGTATTTGGATAGAATTGATTCTATAATGAGAAGGAATTTTTGTTTGCTTAATAATTCTCCTGGATTTCGTGAAAATTTCTACTCCCTTCTGGGTTCTAATGAAGTATGTTTATGATCATATGTAGTTTTTCATACTTGTGAAATTGTAAGATGACTAATTATATTTTCCTTTCATTTTAAATTAAAGAATCACTTGCCTTTTGGTGTTTAAAATGTTGTAATACTGAAAACCTTAAACACTGAGTTTTCACTTTTACAGTGATATACTATAGCTAAAAATTCAGATAGTTTTTTTTGAACCTTTTTTTGTTTAATTAATTTTATTTAAACTGTCATTACTGATTATTAGTGTAATTACTCAGTATGAGATAATACTCAGTAGGGTGCTCATTTAGCTTCCCCTGAAGATACGTGATATTAATTTATAAAACTTAGTGTACCCCAGACACAGTCAAAGCCATATTAATGAAGTGTGGTGTACCATCTCCAAATGGCATTATAACAGAATCTTCTCAGTCTTGCATATGTTTAACTAATTCTTCAACAAAGGCAAATTGTTTGTATACTTCACCTCTCTGGGTTGTGTTTCTTGCTCAACTTTAAGAGGAGAATTTCATATAAAATTATGGAAATTTTACATGAAATAGAAAGTGCACAAATTGTAATACACACACATAAACAACCCCCAGCCAAATTGCCAAATACAAGATAACCAACTTATGGTCAATATTAGGGGGATTCCTGTCATATTTTTATGTAAAAAGTATTTTTAAAGTTTGCTCAAGTGTTCTATTGTACCTTGGTTTAAGCAAATCGTGTGTGCAATTTCATCAAAGATAGATTAGGAGTGATTTTTCCATGTGTGAATGGAATCATAGTAACCTCTCTTTTAAAAAATGAAACTTCTTTTATAACATGTAAAATGATTTGATAGTAAAGCTCACTTTGTGCCTAGCTTTGTTATAGTGCCCAGATTTTGTAGAATCTACCTGGAGTGCTCAATAGGGCACGGAATGCTTTTACTTTTAGCCTCAGGTATTCATTAGATTCGAGTTGCTATTCCAGTATAGGAGGAAGGATTGTGCTTATTTTTCTTTTATGGTTCTTTCCTTATTTTTTTCTTTTATTCTTTCTTATCTGGGAAAAGAAATAAAAGCATTATATTGAAAATATGAAATACTGATTGATCCTTTTGTATCTCATATTACTATTTTGACCATTGTGGATTTATAAGCTAGAAGAGGGGAATGCTAATTTTTCCTATCTTGCCTTCATCCGTCTATACTAGTGGTAATGTACAAATTTATTTTTCCATTTGGGTAAAATTTATCTTTTCCCCAGAGTTTTAGGTGCTAAGCATATGGGGTAGGTGTGATAATTATATTTTATTATTAACGTTATTACTTTTACAAATTATGTTATTGATACAAGTACAGTTTTACTAGTTTTACTCCTGAAAGCATTAATGGCTGATTTTTTTCCTTTGTCCTATTTTTGAGCTCAATACTATGAAATCGTTAGGTACAAAAGTGTTTTGGAGCTTGTTCTTTTATTTTTTAGACATACAGTTTCCTCACTTTAAGGATTAAACCAACGTATTCAACCTGATGCTGCATTTCAAGCTCTTAGCCTGGTGCTTGACATATAGAAAAGGCTCAGTAAATATTAGTAAAAATATTGTTAATTTTTATGACTTTAGAGATTCTTTTTAAAAAAAGTTTTGGTTTTTGGTGAAAATTAAGATTTTATGTCTTCTATTACTGTTAGAACCATTAGGTTATGCATTTACAAATTAGCTTGTGAAGTGCTTAAGCTTATTATTCCCATTTATTGACATGTTTACATTTATAATATTGATGTTGCATTAATGAAGTTTTGCTTAATTTCACTTCATTATAAGTTTGGCATATTAATTAAGTTACACTGGGTTTTTTTTTTGGATGTGTGTGTATGTAAAGAACCAGAATAGTTTCTGTGCTTAGGAATTGATATTATCCGTACAGAAATGATGGCAATGAAGTAGTGACTTGGGAGATAGGTAACCAGTCCCATTTCCTAAAACAGTTTTTTTGGTTTCTCTCAGTTTTTGTTTTTGTTTTAAACAAACATCAGTAATGAGGGTACAAATGTACATAGGGATAGTAACTTCTGGACATATATTCATGTGGAGACAGTTTTATGTTTCTGAGTTATTCCAGAGTAGGAAACGCTTATGGTGGTGAGTTATATGCCACTCTTTTTTGCTATTATAATACATTTCACATACCTCCTACATTTTCTGTGTAGCTATATAATTACCTATGTGCTTGTCTCTTCCACTTGATAATTATTTAAGGTAAGTCTTATAGCTCATTTATCTTTGTATCACCAACATCTAATAGACAACTGTTGATTGCTCTTCATTTCTTTTTGTAGATCTAGGATTTCATCCCAGAACAAGTTAAGAAAAAGTTATATATGTATCACTTCCCTACAGCCTGAAAAAATTCTTTTATACTTTTTGTAGTACAGGTCTGCTGGAGACAGATTATCTCAGTTTTTGTCTGAAAGTGTGTTTCTTTTGCTTCTACTTATGAAGGGTAGTTTCACTGTATATAGAATCCCAGGATAACAGTACAGCTGATCCTGGAACAACATTGATTTGAACTGCCCAGATCCCCTTACACACAGGTTTTTTTCAAAGAAATATATTGGAGATTTTTGTAGATTTGCAATAATTTGAAAAAACTTGCAGACAAACTGGTTAGAAATCTCGAAAAAAGAAAAAGTTATATATATCTTGAATATATTTAAATAATAGTCTGTTTTCTCACTTAATACCATAAAACATTTACAAATCTATTATAAAAAAAGTTAAAATTAATCAAAATTTATTGACTTTAGTTCATACAAACATGAACTAAAGATGGTGCCGTTTGCAGTCAAGAGAAATGTGAACAAATGTAAAGATGCAGTATTAAACTATAACTTTATAAAATTAACTGTACCGCACACTATATTACTCTATTAATGTTGTAGTCACCTCTGGTTGCTATTCCGGTGAGCTCAGGTGTGTTGAGTATCTACTTAAAATGTCACCTGACACTAATCATCTCCACTTGAGCAGTTAATCTCTCCAGTAAATTGCGTATTTCAGTAAAAACTGATCTCTTGCAGTTCTTGAGTATTTTTCATCGTGTTTAGTGCAATACCGTAAACCCTGAGTAACACCATGGGACCCATACAAAGTGCCACTAGTGATGCTTGAAGTGATCCCAAGAATCAGAGAAAACTCATGACATTACAAGAAAAAGGTGAATTGCTTGATACGTGAATTGTATAGATTGAGGTCTGTAGCTGTGTTGGTCACCATTTCAGCAGACAATTCATCTTGTTATATGATGTAAACTTACAGTATTGATAAATATAGTACAGTATTGTAAATGTATTTTTTCTTTCTTATGATTTTAATAAGATTTTCTTTTCTCTAACTTATTGTAAGAATACAGTAAATACATTTAACATACAGCAATGTATTAATTGACTGTTTATGTTATTGGTAAGGTTTCCCATTAACAGGAGGCTATAAGTAGTTAAGTTTCTGGGGAGTCAAAATTTATATGTGGACTTTGACTGCCCTAATCCCTGTGTTGTTCAAGAGTCAACCCTACCTTTCTTTCAGCACTTTAAAGATGCCATTCCATTGTCTTTTGCCACCATTGTTTCTGGTGAGAAATTAGCTGTCATATCATTTTTTTCTCGTGTATATAATGTATTTTTATTTCTCTGGCTGTAGTTTTATGGTTTGCTGTTTATTTTTAACTTTCAGCAGTTTGACCATGAAGTGCTTAGGGGTAGGTAGGTGTGTGTGTGTGTTTGTGTGTGTGTGTGTGTGTGTGTGTGTGTGTCTTTTGTATTCTTTTTGGGTTTTGCTGAGCTTCTTGGATCTGTGAATTGAGTTATATATATGTAATCAATTTTGGAAAATTCTTAGTCATTATCTTCTGAAATATTTCTTCTGTACCATTTCCACTCTCTCTTCTGCTTCTGGACCCCAGTTACACTTGTGTTACAACATTTGATGTGTATCACAGATCATACTCAATTTTTTTTCTATCTCATTATTTTGTTTGTGTTTGAGTTTGGAACTTTCTATTGATCTGGGTTTAGGTTCACTGATTCTTCCTCAGCTATGTCCAGGTTACTGTTAAGCTCATCTAAGAAAATCTTCATTTCCGATCTATTCTTTATTTCTAATTCATCCGTGTTTTTTTTTTTCTTAATCTGTGACTTTGCTGCTGAAATTATTCATCTCATGTGTAATGTCCACTCTTCATTATATCGTTTCAGGAAAAAAAAAATGCCCATTTTAGGGTTAATGTAGAGTTCTCTTTCTGTTTTCAGTTCTACTTCTGGCTGTTTCTTCAGGAAATCTCTTTGACCAGGTACCCTGCCCCAGCCTTTAGATGGCATTATGACATGCTCTTTCAAAGTCCAGAATGTGTCATGGGGATTTCTCTCCAGTCTTTTGCCTAGTCTATGGCCTTTGGAGGGCAGTTGTTTGCATATGCCTCACGGAGTATTCATACAGCTTTCCTGTTCTGCTCCGAGCCATTGGCTTACTACCGCATTCAGTTGGTGAAGACTAGGGAAAGAGTTGGTAGGTGGGTGTAGACTTGCCAAATGGCTGGGGCTTCATGTGGGGCTCCTTGAAATTCTAATGCCAGCACCCATGCAGCTATCAATATTTCCTTAAATATTTGGCTGGCTTTTCTTTACCCTTGTTTAACTTATTCTTCTTCCTCAACTGTTTGTCAGGGATAAGAGCAGCTTGTCATTTTCTGGTATTTGATTCTTGTAGATTTCTTTGGGTCTTCAGTTTTCTGTTGGGTTGACGACAACAGCAAGTATAACTTTATACGTTTTCTGGTTTGTTTTGGTGGTTAGAATGAGAGCAGTGGTGTTTTATGACAACTTTCTAAATCCTACAGAAAGCTGTCGTATTCTTAGTACTTTAATGTTTAAGTGATGTTAGGTGGACCATGGGTGAGTGCAGTACATAGTATTTTTCCTAGACATTATCTTCATAGTAAATTTAGAAACCTATTTTGAAAGATAATACTTATCTTTACATCTCATTATTTGAAGAAATCCTATTTCTTTAGTGAATTGAATAAACAATACTGTGACTTAATTGTCCTTTTGAATTGAACCTTTGAGGTATCAGACGTTTTTAATGGCTATACCAGCTCTGTCCATTAAAACTTTTTGCAATGATGGAAATGTTCTATATGTATTAGTATGCTGGCCACATGTGGCTCTTGAGCACTTGAAATGTAGGCTAGTCCAATGAAGGAACTGAATTTTTAATATCATTCAATTTAATTTAATAATCATACATAGCTAGTGGCTACCATAATGAATAGTACAGGTTTATATACAGTATACGTGGTGAGAACAGTAGCTTAAAAATGTATACAACAATGATAAAAAAAAACTCATGGAATCACTGTGCTGTTTGAGTATACTTCTATTCTTGATGCCTGGTTCAGCTTAAGACTTTTTGCATTTTTGATTGTTGAAACATTGTATTAGTCATGAAATGTATGAGTCTGGGTTCTTTGTGAGCAATATAACTTGTGAAATTCAAACAATTTTGAATAAATGAATAATTAGCTTTGTAAACTAATATCTATGCTTTTTTGAATGTCAGCAAGCTATTTGATTATCTAGTTGTAGAAGAAATTTCATTGCAACAAAAATCTAGGTTTATTTCTTAAGGCCTTAACCATTTTGCCCTGTAGATATTCAAGAAGTTCACATACAGACCAGCCTGAACAAAGATAAATAGTTTATCAGGCCACTAAGCTATGAAGATATAAGTAGAATTCAATTCCTAAAAATTCCTAAATCATGTTCCCCTCCCACCCCCACTCCGAGAGACAGGATGCATTATGGAAAGGGCAATAGGCAGAGGGGCCAGGAGGGGGTGGGAGATGGGACAGTGAGTACTAGTTTGGGACCAACACTAAATTATCTAAGTAATCTTTCTAAACTGCTTAATTTGCTAATATATAAAGCAAAGGTCACCTGTCATTAGAAGCTCAAATCTATGTGTGGTTTTAAGATTAGAAGGAATCTTTCAATGTTGTCTGAGCTCTCTTCAATCTTTAGATAGAATGGTTGCTGAAAAATTTTCACCACTCTTTATTATTATTAATTTTAAATATTCCAATGCTGAATGCCTCTTGATGAAATCACAATGATAACACGATTGGCCCTCTTTGTTTTTCTCATTTTTGAGATGAGATAAATGTTGGGAAAGGAAATACTTACACGTGTGTCATTCTGTCTTTCTTTGTAGCTGGACAAATTTGCCAGCATAAGAATTCCAGGGAGCAAGAAAGAGAGACCTCCACTTCCCAACCTGAAGACTGCATTTGCAAGCAGTGATTGCTCAGCAGCACCTTTAGAGATGATGGAGAACTTTCCAAAGCCACTGTCAGAGAATGAACTCTTAGAACTTTTTGAAAAAATGATGGTAAGAATTTTGATTCTTTAGGAAATGTTTGAGGAAAAAGCCTTAGCTTTTGCTCATGTTAATGGAACTCTAAGCATTTTTGGTAGTCATACTCCATAGGCTAATTTCTGATGTCACTTAAGATAGCACTTCAGCCACAAAGAGTTTTTGGATTACAAAAATATGAAATCTGAAGAAAAACAACATACCAGGTTTTGGTTTTGTAAAGAGTATGTGAAAACAAATACTCCAAAGTATCGAACGGTATATTTTTGTCTTGAGTAGATATTTAAGTCAGCGGTCCCCAACCTTTTTGGCACCAGGGACTGATTTTATGGAAGACAATTTTTCCATGAGCGTTTGGGGGGTGGTGGAGATGATTTTGGAATGAAACTGTTCCACCTCACATCATCAGGCATTAGTTAGATGCTCATAAGAAGCGTGCACAGTTCACCATGGAGTTTGTGCTCCTTTGAGAATGTAATGCCACTGCTGATCTGACAAGAGGCGGAGCTCAGCTGGTAATGCTGGCTGGCCTGCCACTCATCTCCTGCTGTGTGGCCCAGTTGCTAACGGGGTTGGGGACCCCTGATCTAAGTGGTCTGAGTCCAGTCCATGTTAAAATGACAGTCACTGTGCTCTACTGTTTGCATTGTTATGGGCTGGATCTTAGACCTAACTTGTTTTATTCTTTTCTTAGTTTTTAGGATAAACAGGTTCTTTTTGCAACACTTAGATCTGTGGAGACTTGAACTCACTTTCTACGTCTTTTTCTGGATGCCTAACCTTTTTCTGGTTAGCCTTTGCCTCTGTTAATGAGGCCTATATGAAGGTAACTCTCTTCAGTACTATCTTTGAGGACTCAAGATCGTAAAGTGCACTTTTCTCCCATCCGTGCACTATATATCGAACCACTCACCTAGGTTATCCATCCATGAGATTTCAGGATGACACTTTTATGGTTCACTTGTGGCTACTAAGTTAAAAAATTTCATCATAATTGAGGGTGCCATCTGAGTAAGTGGACTAAGTAGCCCATTGATGTTAAACATTTATGGAGGCCACATTTTATTTCCACAAGTTAAAAGTACAACTACCTAGAAAGTACTGAATATAGTTTATGTTAGTTTTCTGTTACTCGTAGCTGGGAGGGGGCTAATACTATATATTTTAATATTATTTAGAGGTCAGATGAATATCAGCATTTTTGAAATATTTACAGAATACTTTTAAAATAACTGGGCCAGATCACTTTTTCACCCTTAAGCAGGTCTACCTATTGGCATTAGATTTTGGTGATCAAACCCTCACTGGAGTAACTCAGCAGAAATAAAATGAAATTGTTGCCTTCTCAGGGCTGTCCAATTTGCTAAGGGATGAGACAATTACAACTAAGCCCTTTTTAAAAAATAAGAAACAGATTCTTTCTTTCCCTTACTGATTCCTTGAGTATACTACAGTACTCTGTAGGGAAAAACTGCTATTGATTCTGAAGCTGAAAGGCTTTTGAAGGGTGTTGTTGCCTTCTTTAAATGTGGATTAGGATATTTTTCAAACTTCTCAGGGTACCATATTTTTGACAAATTTAGAGCTATTTCTATGTCTGTGGAGAATGCTAGATTTAAACTGGCTTGATTTTTGGCTTGTACGTATCTGTTACATTTTTATTAATAAGAATTCTCTTGAGAAAGCAACATTGAATAATCAGCCATGGTAACCTTTTGGCATTTGTACCTACAGAGGCTTTATACTATTTAAAGTTTGCATCTAGGTTCTTTGCTTTGGCATTGTGCAATTTTTACAATGATTGTTCTTATTTATCATTATCAAAGGTATTTAGTAATTTTTACATGAAGTAACAACTTTGTTTTGAAGAACACCTCTTTTCCCTCCTCAAGACAGTCCTTTGAAAGACTGTGCTGACTTGATTACTTAATGAATGTGAAGTACAGTGTAATAACTTCAACATTCATACTCATTTCACTTGGGAAATTGATTTACTTGGTCTCTGGGTAATAGTCTAGTTTCTGTGTGCATTCTTAAAAGTGGTGTTGAATTTTTAGTTATACTTAAAGACTTTTCCCCCCGTTTGTCTTTTGGTGAAAGCTGAAATTCTAGCTGAAAGCCCATATTGGTTTCTGTATGACTATTAGATACGTGAAATAGTTGTGTTCATCACTACATTTACAACTTACGTTTCTGAAGTCAATTTCAGTGATTACTCCTGAACTCTTAGATACCTGTAAGTAGTGTTTTTTGAACAAGGTGAACATGATAGGTGTAAGTTGGAAGTGGCTAGTTTATTCCAGCTGTTGCACCTTTAAATCAGCCCTCTGAGCTTATTTTTCTTCTGATCCTGGTTAAAAGTCCCAGGTAGGTTCCAGAGATTTCCTGTTGGTTTCAGATAATACAAACCCTAGCTTAATATAAATTAATTTTCACCCAAAGAAAGCTGCTCCTTTTCCCTTGTTCAAGCTTGTTCCATTTCTAGTCTCCAGTAGGGGCAGTTGTTGGGGATGTGGTTGGCCTCTTTTCCTCCATCTTGCTTTTCCATTCTTCCCTATTCTCTGGACTGAATTTGTCTCTTCCAAGACTAGATTGGGGTCGGGGGAGGGAAGGAATGAGCACTTGCTGGCCTAAGGTATCTATTGGTTTCCTAGAGTGTTGTATTAGTTTCCTATTGCTGCCGTAACAAATTACCACGGACTTTGTGATTTAAAGCAACACACATTTATTATAGTTCTGTAAGTGAGAAATCCTGGTCGGCTTGACTGGTTCTGTGGCAGTCACACACCGTGTGAAAGAAGTGTGTGTCTCTGTGACACACACTTCACTTTTCCTAATTTTCCTTCTCTCTGGCCAGTTTTTTCCAGTTTACTCTCCATATCCTTCTATGTGTTCTTTTACTTCCTCTCAGTGTTGCCTCTGCCTGTCAGTCTTATCTTTATACACTTGAGTTTTCTGCGTACTCCTTTTGGGAGACTTGAGCCCTTTCATGGAGAATATCTTTTATATTGTGACACCTTGGTATGTCTTCTACAGAAGAGCAGTTATAATCCAGCTCTCTAAAAGATGCTGAACCTCAACACATCAGAAAGTGAACTCATCATATTTCCTAAATACACACACACCTCCCCCCAACACACACACCCACTCACCAAAATTTCTGCTTCACTCTTAATTTCTTATCTCAGAAGTCCCCACTGAAGTCATACTTGGGAGTCATAGTTGATCTCATTAAGGCATCAGTCACATCCATTTACTTCTCTATCTTCATTAGCTCTTAAGTTTATTTCCCCCCTGCTTTAGTTCAAGCTTTCATGACCTCTTATCTAGGATACTGCAGTGTTCTCTGCCATTTATCTCCCTCCATGCCTCTGTTAGAGACTTCTTATACTTCATTTTTTAATTTTTATTTTTTTTTCGAGACGGAGTCTTGCTGTGTCACCCAGGCTGGAGTGCAGTGGCATGATCTTGGCTTATTGCAACTTCTGTCTCCCGGGTTCAAGCAATCCCTGCTTCAGCCTCCTGAGTAGCAGGGACTACAGGCACATACCACCATGCCAGCTAATTTTTGTATTTTTGGTAGAGATGTGGTTTCACCATGTTGGCCAGGCTGGTCTCGAATTCCTGACCTCAAGTGATCCACCCGCTTCAGCCTCCCAAAGTGCTGGGATTACAGATGTGAGCCACCGTGCCTGGCCTTATACATACTTTAAATCTTAGTTTAAACATTAGTTTTCTTTAATTATCTTCACATGTGCTGAGTTAAGGATTCCTTAAACCTGCCTCTCAAAACTGCTTATGAGTCTATTGTGAAATTCATTCTTTTTTTTTACTTTTCACTTTTTAGATATCTGTCTTCCCATTAGATTATATCCATGCAGTATCATCCATTGGTTTATCATTCCAAACAAATGTCTGTTAAGTGCAGCTTCCTAACTTAAGATTTCTAGGATACTATATTTCTCTTCACCTTAGACACTATACTTAGATGGAGATTAGCTTTAATTGCTAGTCAGCCCAATAACACAAAAACATTAAAATAATGAATGGAAGATAGCTTTTTTCATGCATTCATACCTTTTCTTATTTTCACTATCGGTTGAGAGAATGAAAGCTATGCAAGAAAGCTCATCTATCAGAATGCTATCATTAACAGGCATTAAATGAGTTCCAATGATACCAAAATCATTCTGACAAAAATTATTTAAATTCTGGACTTCCTGTCTAGAATTGTTGTAAGTGTAGAAAAAATGACCTGATAAAATTGCACGAAGTACTTAAGTATGAATAGTGATGTTCTATTCTTTTACTGGGAAGATGTTTATCAGGCTTTTTTGTAATGTAGGAGAAAGCACATTTATAAAATGCCATCGTCATCTCTTAAGCGTATGTTTGAAGTATGTCCTGGTAGTAAGAACTTAGATGACCTACTATTTAATACATACATTGGCTTTTCAGTGTGGGAAACCTGGTTTAGATAATACCAAAGGCATTAATATTTGACTTTGAAACAATTTTCTGTGTATAACATAGAGTGGAATCTAATTTTGTCCTGCAGTGTTTTTTTTAAATTATACAGTATTTCAGGCATACAAAAAGTATAGAACATAATATAAAAAATACCACCACGGATATAAGTGAAATCCCTTGTGTAATTCTTCTAATTCCCGCTTTTATCTTCTTTTTTTCCCTGAGGTTAACAGTACCCTGAATCCAATAGTTTTGCTCCCATACACTGAAGAAACTTTCCTTTTTTTTTTCTGTCTGTATAAGAATACAGTTATACGGAACAAAACCTTTTTTCTTCTGAGATATTTGATGGTAAATTGCTGATTCAATGCCCCATAATCCTGTAATACTTCAGTGTATGTTTTCCACAAGTAAGGACTTCCTTCTATATGACCACAATATAGCCACCAAAATCAGAAAGTTAACACTGATCAATTTCTACCTCACACACTATTAAAGTTTTACCAATAGTACCAATATCCTCTTTATAGCAAAAGAATCTAGTTCAGAATCATATGTTGCATTCAGTTATGTTTTTAAAATCTTCTTCAGTCTGGAATAGTTCGTATGTTTCCTTGTATTTTATGAATTTGAAAGTTTTGAAGATTGCAGGCTGGTTAATTTGTAGAACATCCCTGTTTGCATTAGTATTAGACTTTTTAAGTTTTGCAAGTAAACAAATGTAAACAGCATATCTCATACTAAAGGATTTATATTTTTCTGATTATAAATGTGTCCGAACATCTTTTCACATGCTTATTGGCCCTTTGCTTTACTCTTCTGTGAATTTTCTGTTTATATTTTTGCCCATTTTGTTGTTTGAGATTTCCGTCTTTTTCATATTGATTTGTAGAATTTCCCATATAGCCAGAATAATACTCATGTGTTCAGTTTATATGTGTTGCAAATATCTTGTCCTAGACCGAGTCTTGTCTTTTTACTTTTGTTAGCGGGAAAGGGGAGCTGAAGTACAAAAATGTAAAATTGTGGTCAGATTTATCAAACTTTTTATGGTTTGTCCTTTTTGTATATTATTGAAGAAATCTATCCTGACATCATAAATCTATTCTCCTATATTTTCATTTAAAATTATTAGAAATATATATCTCTATGCCTGATGTGAGATGTGGATCCAATTTTTTTCCACATAGTTTTTCCAGCAGCATTTATTTGAATAGTTCATTCTTTTTTATGATTTGTAATATCTCTAATGTTATAGATCAAGTTTGTGCACATGTGGGTTTGTTTCTGAGGTTTGATTTTTGTCCATCAGTTCGTTTGTCTAGTTCTGCATTTACGTCTGTTGTCTTAGTCACCACAACTGTATAATAAACCTTAATATCTAAGAGCTGTTTTTCCAGAGGAGAAAAGAAGGGCTCAGGTGAACCGATAAAAATCAGATGTGACCATGTTCTTTTGATATTTTTGGTATAGAGGTGGGGAGGGTTCATCTTGCTAAGCTTATTCCATATTGCCACTCTTAGGGTACATACTAATGACAATTTTTCTTTCTTTATTCTCTTTAATTCTTGGTGTTAAAGATTTATGCATAGCTATTACTTTGGTCAAATAAATGAATTTTGTGTTGAGTGTGCAAGGAATATCTTAAGGGTCAACCAAGAGTCTGAATGAAAAGAAAAACCAACAAAGACCCCTTTGTGTTAATTCTCTTAAGTGTTTATTGACTGCTATAGATTCCTACCAGCAGCTTATTTCAAGTATTAGTATTCTTTACAAATCTACTTTCCTATATCGTGAACATTTTCTATTTCTTACAATCTAAAAAAGTGTATTAAGGCTTGACTAGATAAAATGAGAGAGGTTCTGTGGGAATGCTTTGTTCTGATTTATTACTTGTCACTCTTTTCCCTCTCCATTGGGTAGAAATTGAAAAATTCAGGGAAAGGTGGTTTAAAAGCAATCCAAATAATGAAGAGGAAGAGGGAGAGAGTATAGTAGTTCAAGGCAATTATCAAGTTGATTCATGGGTTGTGTTTGTCAGGGGGATAATGTCAGTGTTTAGTTGTTTCTTCTAGATCCAGATAAATGAGAAAATAAATGATTTAGGTGTACTGGATTTTGCCTGGTGGGATTTTGTAGCACCAATAAAATGGTTAGAGGGAGGAATTTTAAAGGGGTAAATGTTATGGTAATATTTCAGCATGCTGTTTTGCCAGTTAGGAGCTGTGCAGGCAATTATTTGTGTATACCTGTGAAGGCCTTTTCTCAGTCATATTTTCTTCTGTAGAAAAGGTGGCCTTAAGAAAAAAGTTGTATCTTAAGTCAAATGACCATTTTATCCTTTATGTAAATGTATGAAGAAATTGTCATTTACTTAGAAAAGTTGAAAAACAAATATATGAATGAAAATCCTTTTTCATCACTGGCAGTTTTTTTTTTTTTTTTTTTTTTTTTTGAGATCGTGTCTCACTTTGTCGCCCAGGCTGGATGGAGTATAGTGGCGCAATCTCAGCTCACTGCAAGCTCTGCCTCCTGGGTTCACGCCGTTCTCCTGCCTCAGCCTCCCGAGTAGCTGGGACTACAGGTGCCCGCCACCACTCCCAGCTAATTTTTTTGTATTTTTAGCAGAGACGGGGTTTCACCGTGTTAGCCAGGATGGTCTCGATCTCCTGACCTCGTGAACGAACCGCCTGCCTCGGCCTCCCAAAGTGCTGGGATTACTGGCGTGAGCCACCGCGCCTGGCCAATCACTGGCAGTGTTCTTATCTGCAGGATTACACAGCAGTTGTTTGTGATTGTAGGTGCTTATGCATACACTTGAACAATTCTGGCAAGGTTACATTCCAGAATAAATTAGAGTTGTGCAGCTTTCTGAATATTCAGCTCTCTTCTTGTCTGTTCTGCTAAAATTTACAGTATATGAAAGAAAAGTGATATTTAAATTTCTTTTTTTCTCATCGTGTGTGTGTGTGTGTGTGTGTGTGTGTGCCTTGATACTGCATTAGGATAAACTGAAATTTGTTTTTCAATTAAGATAGTTTACACTCTTCCCATATTCTCCAGTTAGAATATTTGGCCAAAAAATAGTGTTTATGAGTTCATTATCAGTCTCTGGGTAAATGTCATTCTTTGGCTGCTGTTCTATTAATGAGCTAGCCATCTGACTTTCTTTTAATTTTAATGGGAATTGAGTAATCCAGTGTCTACTGGATAGTACAGTGGAAATTCAACCCCACTATTGGTAAAACCAAAAAATATAACTTTTAAATAATCATATTTCTGTTAAAAATGATTATTTAAAGGTTTATATAAGGACATAGTAAAGCTGATAGGCAAAATATTTTATAGCTGTTTTAAGCTATTTTATAGCTTCAATGTATTTATAGACATCTTGAATATAGAAAAGTAGTAATAAAGTTAATTCTAAGTTCCAGGTTCTTGGTAGTATTTATCTTTTAGTTTTCTAATTATGTCTAAACCCAATAAAATTTATTAAATTGCAGAACTAGATAAGATTCATTTAGTCTGCCCTGTTCAACAGTGTATAATGACCTTGAATGAGGTCATGAAATCTTCTGTTTTTTTTTATTTGGCACTAAGCCATTCATGGTAGTAAAAACCTTAGTGTAATGAAAAGCTTGACCGTTTGATATTGTGTGATGTCAAAGATGAATTCAAATGTAGTTAAGAACAGAATTACACTTTTAGCAGAACTCTGGATAAAATTGTGCTTATATGATGTTGAGCTCTGTCACAAGAGAGGGAATTAGGGGATCTTTGTGGACCTCTTAAGATGCTTAACCAATTTGTGGCTTTAATAATATAATGCTGGCAAAACAGAGACTGCTACCAAGAATAATTATGTTGGCTTTAACCCCTAAAACAAAACATAATGTTATTGAAATTAGATGATTGCTGTTGACTTAATAGGAATAAATGTTTGGTTTTGCTATTGCAGTGCTTCTAATTTTTATTTTCCAATATTATGCTTATTGGTCCATTATAATACTGTATTTCCCATATCCATTTTGTAATGCTAGTCATGCTCTGCCTGTCTGTAGTGTTTTTCCTTTTTGGTTGAATATCCTTCCACCTGACCATCTTCAGCAACTTGCTGCTTGTATATATTCACTTAATTCTGCAAATAGTCAATCATTTTAAATTTAATCTGACTCTCTGTGGTGTTAACTGTCCCGCTCAACTTGATGTATGTAAATTTAATGAGCATGCTGTCTTGCAAAATCCACAGCCATGAATGAAAATATTGAGTCTAACGTGTGTAATTCAGTTGGAAAAATGTCCACTCTCTCATTGCTGTTCTCTGCTTGATTGTGCCTTAGTGCTCCAACGAGTTGCATGTGTGTGCACAGGTACTAAGTTACATATTTCCCCCCCACCTCGGTTTTGCTAATAAAATGTGAAAAATATTTATTTGGTACTATTTTTAAAAAATCAGTCTAGTAGGGAGTTAGGGTCCCTAAAAACAGTAGCAAACTGGCAATTTGCTGGTGTGTGGGAACTTCTGGCCCCATGCAACTTGTAGGAAGACTCTTTGGGAATATCTTAAAAGTTGCTTGATTGACCTGGTTTCCAGGTAAGGGCTGCCGCTGACTAATTTGGTGTCCTTGTGCAAGTTACAGAATAGGTGTATGCTTTCATTCTGGATGGACACAGCACCACACAAGGTCACAAGTTTGGAAGTTTGGAATAGATGATGAAGTGAGTCTGGAAGGGACCTTGACCCCATTCATTCCTCAACCAGGTACTACTTGGCAGGGGTCAGTCGTTATATTGACTCTGTTCTAGGTCACTGAGGTTTAGTGTGGGTCTGCTAGTGTTCTCTGAAAAAGTGATGGATTTTAGCTTGGCCATCTTTGTGTCAGTGCCACGACCTGAAGATTTCTACCTCCAGAGTTGGAACTTATTCCCGTAACTGTTATCTGAAGATTCTTGAGAATCTTCTTAGGAGCAGCAATTGCTCAGTGTTCTAGTCTGGGGCTGTATCATCTCCAGCTTCAGTTCCATCTCCCAGAAGCTTACCTGCATCTCATGTTTGTCCTAAAATAGGATGAGCAAATTCTATTTGAGAACTTTTCTGACATCTTCTTTATTTAGCAAATATTTAAAAAGTGACCATTATGTTCCATGCACGGTGAAAGAGGCAGCAAGTATAGAAATATTTCTATTAAATGTTATCGGTGAGGGAGAAAAGAGTTACATATAAAGAGCCAGAGTTGAGGGAAGTTTTTTTGTTTAATTTTAATCCATTAAAGATTAACTTGCTTACATATTGATACTCAACCAACTGAGAGAATTTAGTGAAATAAAATAGAAGAGGATAATCGATGTGTAATGCCCTTTCTTGAGGTGGGAGGAAAAGGGATCTCGAGCATAAATGAATAGGAATGTCTTTGGATAAATGCATTGGTTGGGTAGGGAAAGATAGTAGTGTGCAAATAAAATGGTAAAACAGCAGAAAATGGAATTATAGCTTTCTTTTCATATAGGGAATTGAAATTTATTTACTGAGGGTGATAGGCAGAAGTAGTAGTTTCACAGTTCCTGAAAATAGCTAAGGTTTGAAATAAGTACCATATGAAATGTGAAAAGAGAGAGACTAGTAAGATTTGCCATAAATGTTGTAAGAATTGATGAATCAACAGTGGCCTGCATTGGAAGAAAATGGAAGGGTCAAGAAACTGGAGGTTTTTACTGGGGCCAAGAAAAAGATGGTTTGGGAGTGGGAGAAGTGGCAAGATGGAAGATTGAGGTCAGAGATAAGGATTATGGAGATTCTGATGATGCCTGTGGTGGACAGGTTTTAGATAATGAAAAGGTCCAGGTGTGGTCATTAGGACTGTAGCTGAGGACAGTGGAAGTGAAGCTTGCATTGGCAAGGAAGCCAAGGACACTCTAGGGCAGGGGTGCCCAATCTTTTGGCTTCCCTGGGCCACATTGGAAGAAGACTTGTCTTGGACCGCAACTAAAATACACTAACACTTTTGATAGCTGATGAGCTAAAAAAAAAAAAAAGAAATCGCAAAAATATCTCATGGTGGTTTAAGAAAGTGGTTTGAATTTATGTTGGGCCACATTCAGAACCGTCCTGGGTGCAATCTGGACAAGCTTGCTTTAGGGCCATTGTGGGTGATAGCAAGGTGTGGAGTGTCAGAGGAATCAACCCAAGTTGATGGCAGTGGAAGTGTTCAGTCAGATGTTACTAGCCCCAAGGAAATCGGACTTTAGATGATAACATAGATAAATAATATGGAAATAAGAATGAGGGAGATGAGATAGAACAGAGTTTAAATCTAAGTTAAAGAACCATGGTCAACTTACAGAATTTTCCTAAACCTCAGCTCTCTCCTCAATAAAGAGGACATACCTCAAGTTACTGAGGATTAATTAAGTAATGCTTATGAATGTTTAGCACAGTGCCTGGCTCAAGAATTTGACCATAGTTTAAGATTACAGGAGTACTAGAGGTCTTTGTAAAATGGTTCTGGGAGAATGGGTGAGAAGGTCAGTGCATAGAGCAGGTTTGGAATGAAAATAGGAGGAAATGTAAACAGTTGGAGAAGTTTGTGTTTTGAATGGAATTCTGTTACCTGTGTCTGACCTACTTAACCCTTCCTCTCAGGACCCTTGGATTTGTCTTGATTGTGGTTTCCTTAGTCTCCTTTCCTCCCTCAATTCAGTGTGTATTTACTATAGCCGAATATTCTACAAACCTCTTCTTTTTATTTAGGGGATATAAAAAAACTTCTTTTTTTTTTTAATAATGATGTTCTGTTTTTCTTTTTTTACCCCAAGTTATTTATAAAAAGTTCTATTAAAATATTTCAATTTAGTCTTTTAAAATAACTCTTTATTTTGAAATAATTTTAGACTTATAGAAGAATTGCAAAAATAGTATAGAGAATTCTTGTATACCTTTCACCAAACTACCTCTAATGTTTACATCTTATATAACATTAGTACAATTATTAAAACTAAGAATTGAATACTGAGACGATATTGCTAACTAAACTACAGACTTGCTTCAGATTTTGCCAGCTTTCCCACCCATGTCTTTTTTTTCTTCCAGGATCTAATCCAGGATCACATCTTGCATTTATTTGTCATGTCTCTTCCAGTCAATGACAGTTCCTTATCTTTTATGAGCTTGATACTTTTGAAAAGTTATGGTTAGTTATTTTGTAGGGTGCTCTCAATTTGGGTTTGCCTGACTTTTTTTTTCCTTGTGATTAGATTGAGATCTATTTTGGGATAAATACCACAGAGGTGATCAGCCTTCTCATTATATCATAGCTGGAGGTTTGAAATATCAATATGTCCTATTATTTGTGGTGTTAGCCTGGACAACTTTGTTAAGGTGGCATCTGCCAGCTTCTTCCCTTGTAAAGTTAGTATTTCCCCTCTATAATTAAGGAGAAAAAGGATATCTGCACAGTCTTAAAGTATCTCCTCAATTTATTTTGCTTTTTAGGTTATAATCTAATACTATCATTTTATTTTTCAAATTGTTCTAGTTTTGGCCACTTAACAGCTCTTTCAGTTTGGCTCATGTCCTTTTGACTTTCCTTCCTTCCTTCCTTCCTTCCTTCCTTCCTTCCTTCCTTCCTTCCTTCCTTCCTTCCTTCCTTCTCTTACTTTCTGGTACCACATTAATTTGGTCTTTTTAATTCTAGTCTTTTTGGATGACATAGCTGTGTTCCCACGTATTGAATGAAAAAAAAAGCTTTCCAAGTATTGTACTTCTGAAATCTGTTCCTAGTGCTAGTCAGATCAGCACAGTGATTCTGTTTAGATATAGATTTTAATTAGAAAGTAATTGGCCAAAGGGAAACTATTTTTTTTGCTGTTGCAACTCGGTTTCCCCTGGCAAGCCGAGAGTGGTCCCCAACATATAGTGGTTCGATTTAACGATTTTTCGACTTTACAGTGGTGAAAGCAACATGCATTCGGTAGAGACTGTACTTTGAATTTTGATCTTTTTCCTGGGCTAGCTATATGCAGTTTGACACTCTCTTGTGACGTGGGGCAGCAACTGAGAGCTGCAGCTCCCCTGTCAGCCATGCAATCATTAGGCTGAACAACTGACTGTACTGTGTCCCCAGCATTTTTTGGATATTGTGCTTTGTGTTTTCGCATCCCACCATGTCTACAAAATGTGCATCTGTGTATTCAAAATGTTATTATAAAATAGCATTTGTGTTAGATTATTTTGTCCAACTGTAGGCCAATGTAAGTGTTCTGAGGATGTTTAAGGGAGGCTAGGCTGAGCTGTGACATGCAGTAGGTTAGGTGTATTAAATGCATTTCTGCATTTCAATTTTTAATGGCTTTTTTGGGACATAACCCCATTGTAAGTTGAGCATCTGTATATTAAGGAGTACTATGAATGAGATAATTCATAATGTATATTACTAACATATTAATAGAACTTTTTAATAGAACTTTAACATCAAAAACAATAATATGCTCTTCAGAGAGATTAAAATTTTGAATAGGTGACTTGGCAAATGATGTTTTTGAGTGTGATATATTCAGCCCAATAGCCAGTTGATAAGATTTTTCCATTTAAAGGGTAGAGATTTATTTCATATATCCATGGAAATTTTAACCTCATTCAGATTACTCACTGAGCCTTATGTATTTATGTTTACTTTGTATTTCCTGTTCAGTATTTTACCTATAATAGATATTTAATGAGATACGTACATATATCAGCATACTGATATATTGAGGTAAACAGCCATTTTAGAGCCGTTTTACAATCTGTGTCTGCAGTGTCATTTTGTACCTATGTAGTGTGGTAGCACAGTAAAGCAGCATGTTTTACTGACCTGTGTTTGAATGGAAGGAGGAGTTAATACACAATAGTTTATATTGCCTTTTTTTTTAAGGTCAGCTATATGTGTTTCTATATTTATTCTGTTCAATTTATTCTGTTCAATTTGTTTCTATATTTATTCTTTCAATTTGAAAGAAGTCTTATTTTAATATCAAGTAAATTATTTTCAGATGGTATAGTAGGTACTTTTAGTACCCCCTCCCAGCTCCTTTTTACCAGGCTGGTGCACCCATGCCCCAGGTGATGAGTGTTGGCTTCTAATAGCTTATAGATGCCCCTTTCTCCAGAGATTTGCCCTCATCAGAACTAGGATTCTGCAGCTGATGACTAACTTGAGGTTGTTGAGGCTGGTTTCTGCTACCAGGCTATCCTGACTGTGGTGCATCTCAGGGTGAAGTGAGAATCCACCAGAGGCCACCTTTAGTATGTCTTTTTTCCTCTTTTGTCTTACCTCCTTTACTTTCTTATCCTGAGAGCAGCCCCACCTGCACCTGAATCCCTGTTTCAGGCTCTGCTTTTAAGGGAAACTGACCTTAGATAATGGAGATACAACATGATAATTTTGAGGAAATATAAACTAAGAAACATAAAAAATGATAACTTGCTCACTTCTCCCCCACTGACCTTCACCAAGTCCAGTTTCTTAGATAGCCTTGGGAGATGCTTCACCCTTCTGGAATTGCAACATAAAATATGGATATGCATTTTTTAGGAAAAAAAGCTCCCAATAAATTTTCTAAGGACTTCGTGACCCCCAGAAGTTAAGTGCCACTGCCTCATGGAGTTTTCTTCTTTCAGCCTTGTTTTCCATAAATAGAAATTCAAAATATATTCTAATAATACCATACCCCTCATGCTTTCATGCATATTTTCTCTCTACTGCCCCCTTATTTCTCTCTCTCTCTCTCTTTTTTTTTTTCTTTTTTAAAGGGCAGAGCTTTTCTTACGCTTTCAAATGCCATTTCCTCCTGGAAATATGGAGGATGACCTGTTAGATGAAGTTACATGCCTAGTGGGTATCCCACAAAAGTTTAGGGTGTTATGTAGTTGATTCCAAACTTTTGTATTGTTGTCTTAGTCCATTTTTATGTTGCCATAAAGGAATACCTGAGGCTGAATAATTTAAAAAAGAGGTTTATTTGGCTGTCAGTTCTGCAAGCTGTACAAGAAGCATGGGACCAGCATCTGCTTTTGGTGAGGGCCTCAGGGAGCTTCCACTCATGATGAAAGACAAGAAAAAGCTGGTGTGTGCAGAGATCACATGGTGAGAGAGGAGGCAAGGGAGAAGGTGGTGGGGAGGTTCCAAACTCTTATAAACAGCCTGCTCTCATGGGAATTAATAGGGCAAGAACTCAATCGCCCCCACCCCAGGAAGGTCATTAATCTATTCATGAGGGAGCTGCACCCATGACCCAGACACGTCCCACTAGGCCCTACTTCCAACATTGGGGATCAAATTTAAATATGAGATTTGCATGGGATAACATCCAAATTAGAGCAAGTATTATTTGTTTCCTTTTGGTTTTTTATACTAGGACTGTCATCATACTTTTGTCAGGAAGGCGAGTGCCATATTTAGGCAAAAGAGGTGGGATAAACCAGAGGAAGCAGCTGGGAGAATTTTGGGTTTCTCCCTTAATTCCAGATGTATCACTACTAGTCAGAGTTCTCCAGAGAAACAGAACCAATAGGATGCCTGCCTGTCTATATGAGAGGGGATTTATTAGGAGAACTGGCTCACATGATTATAAAGGGCAAGAAGTCCTACAGTATGCTATCTGCAAGCTGGAGAACCAGGGAAGTCAGCAGCGTGGCTCAGTTAAGGCCCCAAGTTTTCAAAACCAGGGAAGTTGTTGGTGAAACTCAGTTGGAGGCTGAGGTGGCTTTAAGGCCTGAGAACTCCAGGGAGAGTGTCACTGGGGGAAGTCCCAGGGCCCAAAGCTTGAAGAACCTGGAGTTCTGATGTCCAAGGGCAGAAGAAGTTTGTCTCAGCTCCAGAAGAGAGAGGGAGACTTAGCCTTTCTTCTGCCTTTTTGTTCTATCCAGGCTTTCAGCTGATTAGATGGTGCCTGCCCATACTGAGGGCGGATCGTCCTTACTGACTTACAGTCCAATGATTCAAGTGCCAATCTCTTCTGAAAGACGTACCTAGAGATAATGCTTTACCAGCTATGTGGGTATACTTTAAGCCAGAAGTCTAACCTAAAATTAACCATCACACCTAAAATTAACCAACCCCCAAAAATAACAATCACAACCACTTTTTTGTATGAACTGGTGTTATCATGAAGATGTCTTTCCAAAAAGAAAGCAGAGGCCTTTTTAAAAAATTCTTTCTACTACTCACCTTGAAATTTTATTTCAATTTCAGCCACAACTAAAGGGCTTTCTGTTTTTTGGTATTCTGTGTATATTAAGTATTTTAATTTACTAAAGAGACTGGGTAATGTTTGGCCATTAGCCTGAAAATAAAAATAAAGTGAATAATTTAAAACAGAATTTTCCAGTGCTCTCAGATTGCCCCACGTTTTATAACAATTATCCCCTAACTATCTCATTACTTTCTTCCAGTGAAATTCTTTGTGGATAATGTTACCTATGTTCATAAATTAAGAAAATCAATATGTCTTACTCTACTATATAATAAAATATGTATTTCAATTTAAACAATTGGCCATGACTACTCAAGAAGGTATAGTAAATTCATACTCTTGAATCTCTGCTTCATACCTCTGTGAGTACAGCAGTGGCATTGTAGATTGGTAGATTGATATAGTTGTGCTATTTTGGGGATTCAGATACCACAGACAGTATTTCCCTGGGATACCTACATTTCAGAAATGAAGCACAACTGTTGGTAAAGCTTAAAAAAAGCAGAGTGTAACTATAATTTACAGAATAGTTTGATTCTTGGAAAATTCAGTAAAGTAAAACTATGCAATACAAAGTATTTAATATGTAATAATTTTACATTTTACATCTATTTCTGGAATAGGAGACTGGCAGAACATGTTTTCTAGTCACAACCCTGCTGATCAAAACAGAAACTGGTCCAGACAGACTAAAATATTAAAAAAAAAAAACACAAAAAACAGCAATAACTGGCAAATGGGACAAAAGCAATCCCTAGCTGCCCTCATTAATTAGCATAAGACACTCTCACTAGCGCCATGACAATTTACAAATGCCATGGCAATGGCCCAGAAGTTACCACCCCTTTCCTAGAAAATTCTAAATAACCCACCCCTTAATTTACATTGACCCACCCCCTAATTTGCATATAGCTAAGTGAGTTTAAGTGAGTATAATTACAATTGCCAAGAGCCCATACATTGCTGACTCTGAGCACACTGCCTATGAGTTAGCCCTGCTCTGCAAGGAGCAGCACCATTCGATAAAAGGTTGCTGTGTAACACGACCATCTTGCCTTTGAATTCTTTCTATGATGAAGCCATGAGCCCCAAATTTGGGGCTCACCTGTCCTGCAACAGTTCCATTGAATTCGAGTCTAGGCTTAGTTAAGGATGATTCTTTCTCTCTCTCTTTTTTAGGTGTGTGAATCTCTCTGTGGGGCACAAGGTAGTTTTTACTGTACAGGTCAAACTGTGATGCTACCCCCTGTAAATGCTGGTAGCATCACCTCAATTATTGTGACAACTAACATGCCTCCAGAAGTTTCCAAAATTTCCAAAATGCTTCCTATGTCATATTAAGGCCTATTGAGCCTTCTCTCACTAGCTTAGAGAAAAAAACGAAACAAAACAAACACTTATTCACGTAACAGGATGTTTGTGTTTCTAACTAGAGCAGCAAAAGTGACATTGCCAATTACTACCTTTTATCGTAGTGTCAAATGGAACAGCTTCTAAGATCTTAAATATTTCTATCAAGGTAAAATGAAGGGAATTTTGACTTTTAAGTGCTCGAAGGGTTTGGTAGCCAAGAATTGAGTCAGCTAAAGGCATAAACTACAGCGTTTGATGAATGTAGCACCCTTATAAAATCTGTAAGAAATTTAACTTGCTAGGCTCCATAGGTGATCCAAAGTCCTGAATTTTATGGATCCATTCTGAGTAGATACGAAGTTTATATACATTCAGATATTTTACATTGCATATCACAAATGACTCAGGGCTAAGTTCACGAGGAAATTCATTTGAGCTGCCCTTCTCCTTTAGCCATTTCTGTCTTACCTCAGGCGCCCTTTCCTTTGCCAGAATAGCCTCTTACTTCAGGAGCTTAATTAAGAGCAATTCATATATTTATGTGGATATATACCTGACTTGAATTTTTAGTCAAAATTAAGCTTGTAGCAAGATCTTAGTTACTTAAACCCTTATTTTGGTTGGTGCTGTTGAGAAATGTTCGATTTTAGGTGGTAGCTGTTTTTATAAGTACAACTTTTATGTAATTTAGAACATTCAATAAATTAGTTAACATTTTTGATAAGAGTAGGGAAAAGACAAAACTATAAAGTGCTTTGTCTTTTGCTGGAACCAGTACTGGATATTTGATGTGGCTATCAGAATCTGAAAATTGGTTGGTTTATTTACCTTTTAATTTTTATGACACACAGAGCAGCTCTTTCAAAGCAGTGGAAGATAGCTTCAGGTGCAGCTGTTGTAAAAATAAATAAATATATTGAAATTGTGTGACCTTATGAATGGCAGAAATCTGCAACTGTCTAATTATCTATAGTTATGTGAATATAATTTTATTTGCCTGCTGTGAATTTTAAAAGTTCTTTTAGTAAGTGTTTTACCTGTTAAAATGATCTAGAATACTTTCTTCTCTCCCTCTCCACCTCTTTTCTCTCTCCTTCCTTCAGGCAGAACTACACGTAAATCATTCCAAAACAATTAATGCTGCTTTAGTCACAAATTATTGATTTTTCCATTTGTAGTGCATGTAGAATTGCTGCTCTACTTAGATTCTAAAATGAGGCATTTTAATTGTGTTTTCCAGGAAGATATGAATTTAAATGAAGATAAAAAGGCACCATTGCGGGAAAAGGACTTCAGTATCAAAAAAGAAATGGTGATGCAGTACATTAATACTGCTTCTAAGACAGTAAGTAAAACTGTCAAGTTGAAAAATACTGCCGAACATGTTTTAACATGGAAAACAGCACATTTATCTAATGAAGTACTTAAGTTTGTGGGCAACTGTAATCAGAGGGCTTCTGAATGTATAATTAAGGGCACAAGTATATTATACATTTGTTTAAATTAAAAATATTTCTCATCTTAAAACTTTTAAGCTGCTTCTGTTTTTTAGCTAGTTACATTGCTAAGAAACACTGGGAGGGGGTCTACTCTGTCACCTTTCCTTGTTAGTGAATTAATATAGTCATTGATTTTTAATGTCACTTATAAATCACAGTGATATCTGCATTATAGAAAAGTGAGACCGATTTTACTCTGTCTACATCAAGGTACATAATAGTGGCTTAGAAATGTCTTTAATGTGAGTCTCCCTATGAATAAAATTATCTTGTAACAAATTATAAATGTTGGTATTGAAAGGAGCATTAGGCCTCTACATGGCTGCCAATTTTCTAGAGAAACATGAAATATGTGGGTGGAAGTAATGACTAAATGTCTAAGAAACCATGACTGGCACACAGAATCAATTGCATTTATTTCATGGAAAACAAATGAGCTTGACTAGTCACATACAAATTGTGAATAAATGGATTGGATGAAAATATAAAATGGAAGCCAATGAAGAAGCAATCAGTAGAAAGACAGTGGAAAATGATTTTGGCTCAATTTACAACAGAATTGGATTAGGAAAAAGTAGCTTAACACACTAGTTTTCCTTGGGTATTTTAACCTAAGTTCAGGTTACAAGAACATAAGTTATTTATACTTTAACTCCACTTAACTGCTAGACCAGTCATTGACTCTGAGGCCTTTCTTTTGGAAGAAAGACACAAGTGATGTTTAATTTTTAAACGTGTCTCATGTTTTGGCAGCTTGCTCTTCAGGTATAGAAATCACTGTGAGTACTGTGCTTTTTTTAGCGGCACTTTTTTTTTTTCTTTTGAGACGGAGTCTCACTCTGTCGCCCAGGCTGGGGTGCAGTGGCGCCATCTCGGCTCACTGCAAGCTCCGCCTCCCGGGTTCACGCCATTCTCCTGTCTCAGCCTCCGGAGTAGCTGGGACTACAGGCGCCTGCCACCACGCCTGGAAATTTTTTGTATTTTTATTAGAGACGGGGTTTCACCGTGTTAGCCAGGATGGTCTCGATCTCCTGACCTCGTGATCCGCCCGCCTTGGCCTCCCAAAGTGCTGGGATTACAGGCGTGAGCCACTGCGCCCGGCCTTTTTTTAGCTCTCTATATAGATGGGCTCTGTATCCTGCTACTATGATACTGATACTAATTGCCTTTGTCCTTTAATGATACTTATATATCACAAATTGGTATTGGGGGTTTAAGAATCAGAGCTCTGGTGTTTTGGATCTGCTTATGTGTCTCTGCTTGACCTTGGAAATCTTATTTTACCTCTTTGATTCTCAATTTCCTTACTATAAAATGGGAATACCTACATAGTGGACTCATTATCAGAGTTAAATGGGCAGGTATGGTGGTTTGAGAAGTCAAGGTGGGAGGACCTCTTGAGGCCAGGAGTTTGAGAGCAGCCTGGAGAACATAGTGAGACTTTGTCTCAACCAGAAAAAGAAATTAGCTGGATGTGGTGATGAGAGACTATAGTCCTGGCTACTTGGGTGGCTGAGGTGGGAGGATTGCTTGAACCCAGGAGTTCGAGGCTGCAGTGAACTTCGATCACATCACTGTACTCCAGCCTGGGTGACAGAGTGAGACCCTGTCTCTAAAATAATAATAATAATAAAAACAAAATTAAATTGTTTATTTCATGATTAGAACACAACATATTTTATGACTGGTGACTGCCTCTTGTGGTAGCAGTGGTGGTAGCAATAGTTTGTTTTTCTTTGTAATTTGTTTTTTGTTCTTGTTATTGTAATCATTATACCATAATTTAAAATATAGAGAAAAGTACATCAGTAAAAATACAGATTTACTATTTGTAAGTTCACATTTCTAAGGCTTTTTTTTAGTTGTTGTTTTTTAAGTGTCTATAAGGCCAGGTGTGGTGGCTCACGCATGTAATTCCAGCACCTTGGGAGGCAGATCTCTTGAGCCCAGGAGTTCGAGACCAGCCTGGGCAACATAGTAAGACCCTGTCTTGACAAAAGATATAAAAATTAGCTGGGTGTGGTGGCATATGCCTGTAGTCCCAGCTACTCAGGAGGCTGAGGTGGGAGGATTGCTTGAGCCCATAAGGCAGAGGTTGCAGTGAGCCGAGATCGTGCCACTGCAGGTCAGGCAGCATTTTAGGCACTAGAGATGGTGTGTGACGATAGTCTATCACTGTGTCCTGTGAAGCAGCACTGGATGTACATAACAGAAACACATAAACATATATGTAATAGGAGGTGAAATGTGATGTGGAAAAAAAATAACAGACTGGTGAGTGTAGATAGTGTTTATGTTTTGTGTAGTCAGTGAAGACTACCCTGTTAGGGAATTGTAAATCTAACAAGTAGGAATTCATTTATTATAAGAGATACGACATCAGTTAGAACTGGTTTAGAAAACCTTGGCATGATAGTTCATATTAATTCTTGAATTTGAGATAATAAACATAATTTTAAGAAACAAACTGTTTTGAACTTTGTTATGTGGATCTATTTCAGTTTGCATTCACTGATTTTCAACTTTAATCCTCTAATCATTTTGGACTAAGGTTGAAATTTGTTTACCAGAATTAGGTAATTAAATTATCAGGATTGAAATAGATTAGTTATCTAAAGTGTGATTACAGCATTGACTCATTTAATTAGTGTGTGGAGGATCATGGCTCTTCCTAGGAAGGTTCTGAATAATTTGGCAGATGGTTAACATTCTAGAAAGTTCAAGCTGACCAGTCATTTGTTTTTGCTCTGGAAGTAGAAACACATTTTATTAACTCTAGGGTACAGACTTTGTCATGCCACTTTATTTACATTAATGACTATTGAAAAAGCTACTCTGAAAAGAACAGAATCAAAGTTTATGGATACATTGTTCTACACAGGATATGAAAAGGACACAGGATAAAAAAGATATACTTTTGTTATGGTTTTAGGCTTAGAATTGCTTTGAGATTCTCCTTTTTGGGTAAGCATTAATATTATTTTTTTGAAAATAGTACTGATGTCTAACAGTGCATGGTTTGAAAATACTTAACCCTCAAAGTATTAACCCTCAAAGTAGGCCTAACGTAGATAAGGTTGGTTTTTAGAATTAAAAAAAAAAGCCACCAATCAAACTAGGTTATTTCTAAGACGTTATTAAGTTTGAATTTAGGTGGCACAAGAATAAAACTGAATTTGTGCAGTTAGGAAGAATGATTACAATTTTATTAAGGAAGTGTCGTATTTAGAAGCAGAAAATACCAGATTTACATTTTTCTAACTTTCAGGGCATGGGAACGTGATCCAGGTTTGTCCGGTACACTCTGGTGGGCAGTTCCACTTTGGGGTTTTTGAGAAAGGTTTCCCTCCCTCATGAAAGGATCCAGAGTTGGAGAGCCACTTTGTTCCGCCATTGGATGTGATTGTGAGAGGTTGTACGGTGCTTGATGTCACAGAGCTGCTTCTCTGGCTTAATGCATTCCTGCCCCTAGACTCTTCATTATGTGAAGTGATGCAGGTTCTCATGGAAGCTACTCCGGGTTTTTTCTTTGCCGCTGTTAAAGAGTCCTGATATACCATCCACATGCATTTTTGCCTGTGCTGGATCTTTAATTCTAATTCAATCTGGAAATTACTGTTTCCATTCAAAGGAGCATCCTTAAGACGCTCCCCTCACTTAGTGTGGGCTCACTCATAGCATAGATGAGAGAGGTACTACAAGGCGCTGTGCCCATTCTATGGTAAATGACTCAACTCAGATGTTTAACAGCAAGTTTATTGGAGAAAATGTCTTTTAAGAAGAATATAGACTTGACTTGTTAGATCACGTAGCTGGAAGGTAAGACTGTGATGCAGTTAGTGGTAAAGGCCTTGATAGCAGGATGTGATGTGATAGGCCAAATGGAAGAGGATCCATGGTTTCCAATAAATGTAAGAACAAGAAAATTCTGGACCAGAACAGAGAATGCTCTTGTAAACCACAACTGCCTGAGGATTTTCATTATTTTTAAAAATAAAAAAGAATTAGAAATTAATATACAAATCTATTATATAAATATAGATGTATTTAATAGTAATGCTTAACCTTGAGTATAGTTCTCATTCTTTATTAGGGTTTGATTATTTTTAATCTTATCTTCCCTTAGAATGCTTAAAGTACTCCATCAGATACTGTTAAAAGATGATTTCTGTAGTCAAGCTTCTTATGTTTGAGTGGACAAACCAAGCATGGAAGATATATCCTAATAGAGTTGCTGCCTTCACTTAGTTTTCTTTTTCCTCTTTTCTCTTTGGGATGGTGCATCATACCTATGTCTGTGATAGAAGTGTTTATTAATGCTTATTTTCTTGTAGGTGCTTGAGTTGTGTTAAAGGTGAGCTGTTTCTGGATGTATTATTTCTGGATAATGTGAGAAAAATCTCATGATGGGGGTCATGGGAGACTATGGATTAATTTATATACAATTAAAGTATGTGTTAAAAAGGATTCTTATTGATCTAAATCTATTCTGAACAAGATTTATATATTTTTTCTCTATCAATTACAGAGGGTTAGTAAAAATAAAATATATGGCTGCGCTTGGTGGCTTACTCCTGTAATCCTGGCACTTTGGGAGGCCGAGGCGGGTGGATCATTTGAGGTCAGGAGTTCCAGACCAGCCTGGCTAACATGGTGAAACCCTGTCTCTCCTAAAAATACAAAAATTAGCTGGGTGTAGTGGCACAGGCCTGTAATCCCAGCTATTCAGGAGGCTGAGGCAGGAGAATCGCTTGAACCCAGGAGGTGGAGGTTGCGGTGAGCTGAGATCATGCCACTGCAGTACAGTCTGGGTGACAGAGTGAGACCCTGTCCCCCTCCCCGCCCCTCAAAAATAAACATACATTATACCTTTCCTATCTGTTGAGAGGAAGGAGTCTTCTATTTGCCGTTCTACTTTCAGGTTTGTCCGGGTAATCTGCGGCAATATGAAACTAGGGAAGTCCTGAGAGGCCAAAACCTATATTCCAGACAAGTGAAAGCAGACCCTTGAAAGGAGCAGCAGATTCTTGAAGGAAGCAGAGGGGCAGAGAGGGAGTAAGGATAGAGGGAAGGAGGACAAGTTTGAGAGATAGATAGGAAAGGAGAACCAAAAAGATGTCTGGTCCTTTGTGGGGAGGTGGGGTTTCTGGGAGAGATTTGGAGAGATATTTAAAGAGATTTTCGGGGGAATTTTGGTTTATGTTATGTAGTGCAGTGTGTTTATTGTGTCTCCAAGAATACTTAGTAGAGATGAACATTTGCTTATCAGTGCTTTGCGAGTTGTCTTTTTCCCCAATTAATTTTCGTAGGTCAAGATGATTAAACTGTCCAGACAGTTTAACTACCTACAGATTACAACTGGACTGCTACCTCTTAGCATGTTGCACTCCCCCGTGCCCCACCCCTTACTTTTTGGCTGTACCATTAGGTTTAGATAAAATGCTTTAAACATTTCTCTTTGAACTTTGTACTTCTAATTAAAAGCCCTTCTGAATGCACTAGCTTGGAGTCAGAAGTTGTGATAGACTCCTCACCTCCCTTATCCACGTATCATTGGCATCTGTATTACAGCTGCATTAACATGCCCAGTTTAGGTGAGCTGATATCGAAGGATAGCCCATCCCACATTTCTAAGATTCTTAATTAGAACATCCATTCTTTATTTTCTATTTATGTTTTTTTTTTTTGATATTTTGGATCAAGAAGCAGAATTCCTCTTTTATAAATGCTCCTGAAAGTTTGCTAGCTCCTTCTTTTTCCCTGTCAAGCTGGTTTCCAACTGAATGTAAGGGCTATTCTGAGGAATTTATTAGAAAAGTTTTGGATAAAGTTTTTATTCTTTGAACGCTTCCTTAAGTATTACTGTAGTAGTTCTTCCTCAGACTTTTTAAATGTGAAAGTTAAATATCAAGTATTAATGATCATAACTTTACGAGGCATAAAGACTAACAAAAGTTTTTTAAGCAACACAATGAAACAACTGAGTCTAAATTGAGTTCATAAGTGTAGAATTATAGTTTCTTGTGTGTATGTATATATTTGTGTGTATGGATATATGTATAATATAGTGTTTAAAAGTATTTTGAAAGGTCTTGTCATAGTACTGCTCTAGCTCAATAGGCCATTATGTTCTCAAGGATGGAAGACATTGTATTCTGCAGTATTACTCTTCTAGGCGTATCTTGATCAGAAAAGAACTATGTTTTGAGAAAAATCAGTCATATATTTAGATTTATGTATACAGTCGAACCTCTGTATCCATGGGTTGGTTTTGCATCCATGAATTCAACTAACCGTAGGTTGAAAATATTTGGAAAAACAATTGTGTCTACACTGAACATGCACAGCTTTCTTTTCTTGTTATTCCCTAAACAATATAATGACTATTTACATAGCATTTACGTTGTATTGGGTATCATAAGTCATCTAGAGATGATTTAAAGTATATGGGAGGATGTGAATGTTATATGCAAATACTATGCCATTTTTTATCAGAGACTGGAGCATCTCTGGATTCTGGTGTCTGTGGGAAGTCCTGGAACCAATCTCCCATGGATACCAAGGGGTGACTGTATTTTCTCTACATGGAAAATCTGGAATTGATTTGTTAGTTTTAGCATTGATTTGTTAATATTGTAATATTAGTAGGGAGTTTTAATACATTTCAGTGTCAGTTTTTCTTGCTTTCAGTTACAGTTTCCAATGTTAATTTTGGAAAACATTGTCAGTTACAAGTAAATTAAGTTCTTTTTATTTTCTCTCACTTTTTGGTTGTTCTTACTTAAAGGAGGCTTATATTTTAACCACTAGAAACTTAGAAGAACCAAAGTTTCACACATTCTTGTTAACATTAACGTGAATTTTTTTTTTTTTGCTTCTATTTCCGATTAGGGATTTGATAAAAATGCCCCTATAACACAAAAGCTTAGTAAAAAATTTGTGATTGACATTAGATGTATCTAATAAACACAATGCCCTTGCTTATGATGCTTTGCCTGCTTGTTTCCAGGTCTTACTTGCTGACTAGCAGAAAATTTCAGAGCCTCAGCACAATGAACCGATTTCTTGTTAAGAGTATTTTCTAATAATCTAGCTGGCACTTCAGTTTTCATTTATTCCTATATAGGGTAGGTTTTATGTATGCACAATTAAAATGATCTTCCAACAGCTAAAATTCATCCAGATTCCTTATGAGTTATTTCTGGGCAGCACCAGTGGTGTTTCATGTTCTCTAGTATTACTGCATTGTGTTTTTGTTTAGGTAGGAGATGATAATGAAGAAACTGATCATCTTTTCTTTTTTTATAGGAGTAAATTATATTAGGCTCACATTAGAATTGTATACTTTTGGTCTTTTAAAAATCGTATAGGTAGTTAAGACAGCTTTTCTTTTATTATAGCGTTTTTTAAAAAAGGCTTCATCAGATATGGAAAAACTGCTATTTACTAGTTGAATTTTATTAGATCCTGAGTTGGTTAATGATGTTTATACCGCTTGTTGGCATTAGAGGTCATCCAAGGTCATTTTCACCCTGTCACTGAGTTGTTTTCATCTTGTCACTGAGTTGTTTCTTGGCCTAAGACATTTTGCTATGCTCGTACTTACTTTTTAGATTTTTGTGAATATAATTAAAAACTTACCATGTCAGATAACCATGAATGTAGTGATAAGTTTGAAAGTGCCACAAGAGGCATGTGACATCTGTATATACAAATATAAAGAAGCTTTTAAAAGAAGGAACACTTCTGAAGGAAAAAGTGAAAATTTAAGAAAATAAATGCTATGTATGTGCAGGTGTCTTTCAGTGAACAAAGGGGCTAAGTAATTGATGAAATGAGGAAAAAGTATCCAGGAGCAATAACTCTTGATCTTGATATCCAGTAGAATGATCTGGGAACTTTAAGTATTTTAATGTCCAGGCCTTACCACTTAACACTTCCATAAAACAGTTCCTGTGGATGGGACCCAGGTATCAATATTGAGTAAAGCCCTCCTGGTGATTCTAGGATACAGCCGAGAATGAGAATTACTGGGCTGCAGAAGATGAGCCTTATCACCAGATGTCTCTTAGTATAACATTAATTTAACAAGAGACCAGGAATTGACAGAATTTAAAGGCTAAGCATGGACCATTTACTATTAAAACTATTATCTAGTCATGGTGGCTTCAAGGATAGTTTGCCATATGCATAACATCAAAATGAGTGTTCAAGTACCATACATACTAGTAGCTGCTAAGAAATTCTCTATGACATTTGGTCACTAGTAGAAATAATCAAAGGAGAAGGTTAACTATTGTAACAGAGAAGAACCTGCTTTCTTTTGGAAAAAGATGCCCAATAGAACAGATATTAGTAAGGAGAAGAGTATGCCTGGTTTTAAAGCTTCCGTGAATTTACTCACCTTCCTAGTTGGTGGCATTAAACTTAAACTCCTAAGCTCTTTTGTACTTAAGAGATATCCTTTGATTTCTTAGTTATTCCTAAAGGGCATAAATTCTATACATACTTAAAAAAAAATCCTTAATAGGCTAATCAATCACCTTGATGCCCAAAAGGCATTTGTTCCCAATTTAATGGTTTCCTGACTTATTACCATTTCCTAACCGGCTCAGTGTAGTGGTTTCCCCCACAACCCTCAAGACAATAAATATGGTTGGTATAGCCTCTTACTATCAATATGCTGCAAAAATTTTTCAAATGCTTTTATTACCAGAAGGCCTTCCAGAGTAGATTAAGTAAATTAAGGATCTGTCCTTAGGATTTGTTGAGATGTGGAAACCAAATAGTCCAACAGTAACTTTAATCTTAGGTTTTGACTATTCCTTGTATATTACTGTTATGGTAGATTTTATTTGTGGATTTTTTTTTTCCTTGGGAAACTGCTTTGTGCTACTTTGGTGAGTTTAAAACCTTTTTTCTGCATTTTTGTTAAGGATGACTTTGTTATACTCTCGTATTTAGTAGATATATTTAGTAGTAGTTCTTTTTTTTATTTTTATTTAGGTCTGGAAGATATCTTACAGCATCTTTAAATTTTGCACATGAGGGAATGGTCCAAGGGAATGTGTGACTTTCCCACATTAATGCCATAGCTAGGACTAGAAACTAGGGTTTTAGAAAAGAAAAAAACCGTTTGTCGAATAAAAATAGTTACAGAAAACATCAAAAAAAGATGTGTAGCTTAATGAATTATCATAAGGAGAATACCACACAGATAAGTAAATAGAACCTTGCCAGTCATCCTGGAAAGCCCTCCATCTGCCCCGTCCCATGCTAAACCTTTCTTCAGTTTTGTGTATATTTTAGCCTAAAAGTAATCACCATCTTGACTTTTATGGGAATCATTTCCTCGAGTTTCTTTCTAGTTTTATCACTCAAAAGTGCCTCTGCGGACTATAGTTTATTCTTTCTATCTATCTATCTATCTATCTATCTATCTATCTATCTATCTATCTATCTATCTGTCTATCTATCTATCACTCAAAAGTGCATCCTCAGACTATAGTTTATTCATCCATCCATCCATCCATCCATCCATCCATCCATCCATCCATCCATCCATCTGTCCATCCATAGGGTCTTGCTCTGTCACCCAGGCTGGAGTGCAGTAGTGATGATAGCTTACTGTAATACTGAACTCCTGGGCTCAAGTGATCCTCCAACCTCAGCTTTCCAGAGTGCTGGGATTATAGGCATGCACCACCGTGCTTGGTCTTTATTTAAAATTTTTTTTTGAGAGGGAGTCCCTTGGTCTATTCTGTCCAATCACTGTTGAAGCAAGTGATAGATCCATGGGGGCCACAAATGCACTACTGTTGCTTATATTTTAAAATTTGGATTATCTCTATGTCTTGTTTAATCTTCAGTTATTTTATCCAGGACATTCTGAATTTTGCTGATGTGTGTATTTGTGGTAAAGTTAACGTGTTTTCCTATCCTCTGTATTTCCTGCACAGAGACAGCTAGATCTAGAGGCATGATCAGACTCAGGTTTCATCTCTTTACCAAGATCATAAGAAGTATTATATTCTTTCATTAATATCTAGTTTGCAGTTAGAATTCTATAATTTCATTTTCATTTATTGGGATACTTTTACAAAGAGACATCTCTCAAATACTGTTTGGTTAGCCAGTGATATAGGAAATTTAGGATAAATGCTTGATTCTTTTCCTTTATTTGCCAGCTTTCAATATATTGATTTCATTCTCTATCATTCTCTGAAGATGATCAATCATTTTTAATATCATTAAAAATTGATGTGTTACAATTATTTTTAGTGAAGATCAAATTGTCCCATCTTTGGCCATTGGGACTTGTCTAGTTGGCTCCTAGTCATTTTGATCTGATGATCAAGCTCCTCCTCTAGAATATTTAGCCCGCTAGACCTGGTATCAGTTGACTCTTTCCTTTAGGGTGGGGAACGATATTTCAAAGTTTACAAGCTGAGGGCCAAGGATACTTACTGTTCTTTTTGTTTAATTACTGTTTTTAGTGGAGAAATAGAAAACTAAAAAAGCGTGTGTGGATGTGTATGTAAAAAGTTTTTATTTTGCATATGTTCTGTCTCCAACTGCTATTTTTGTCCTACTATGTCGACATTGACTAAGCATATAGCCATTACATTTCACACTCTTCCTTTTAGTTCTCATTTAGTTTTAACCTCATTTAGTAACTATATTTGAATGCTCACCATGGTCCTTATGTTATTTCTGCAGACTTTTTGTTTGTCTGAAGTTTCTTCTTTAGTAGATTCCTCTGAAGGACTCATGGAAACAGTATTTCCTGAGTTTTGCATGTTGGTAATAGTATATGCCCTTTATTGTTTAGTCAGCTTTGTTGGATATAAAATGCTTGGCTCACACGTTTTTTTGCTTAGGATCTTGAATAATACTATAGGATCTTGAATAATACTATTTTTTTTTCTAGCAAAAAGCTTAATGGCATTGTTGTCAAAAGGTCAGCTGATAACTAACTTTTAGTTATAAATTAATGTCTTTCTTTCTCTGGGATATCTGAGTTAGGATTATCAAGTATGCAGTATGCTCTTTTTCTTTTTTTCTTAAATTTCTTTTTTTTTCACTGATGTGTTCTAATTTTTTGCTTTGGTTTTCTTTTTCATGGATTCTGTTATCTGTATGTTGGATTTTTGTCTATCTTTAATATGCCGTCTTCTCCCAAATGCTTTTTATCTTATTCTTTATTTCTATTTAGGTTTTAAACATTTTATTTTTTTCATGTCTGCATTCTCTTATGACATTATGTTTATTCTTGTGTTCCTTGTTAGTTTTTATTTCTGAAATGATTTTTTTATTTCTATTTTTTTCTTGAATTCCCTCACTGCATTTTTGAGTGTGTCTTAGTCCACTTTAAATATTTTTTTCATGTCTTATATATTCTCTTAATGTCTGTTAGCTCACTTTGAAATTGTAAGTTACAATTTGATTTATAGGTTTGTCTTTGAGGTGTCTTTCATCTTTTACAGGAATTTTCTGCTCAATTTTGATTTCACTTTCAGCACTTTCTCTTCAATGTAGGATCCTGTTCTGGAAGGAGCTCTGGCAACTCATGGGACATTGAGTGCTCCAGCCCCTTCAGATCTTTTCTGGGCCTCTTGTAGTCACTCATACTCCTTCCAGTTCCAACTGCTGCTTTCAAATTGGTCTACTGAGATGTCCAATGGATATCTCTGGGCCATTTTGGAGTTATCTTGTTTTCATGTTCATTAGCTACTCTGTTGCCTTCCTTTGGTTCTTCCCATACACGTATTGCTACTGTGCGGATTTGTGGCTGTTGGTGGTTTGTCTTCAACCTCCTGTAGTTTGAGGATTGTTGAGAAGGTACTTTGTCACTCAATATTGTTGGGTGTTTGATTTTGCTACTTAGTTATTTTGTCTTTTTTTGTGGGAGATCAGGGAGTTTTCAAAACTGTATTGCTGCTGCCATCTGCCTAGCTCCTCTAGTCTCTGATTTTGAATCTCATATTCTTTTCTTTATTCTATGCCAATTTATGTCTTTGGTTAAAAAACAATTCAGGGTTATTAGCACCCCCGCTGCCCTAACTATTAGGGTAGAAAATAATGACATTTTTCTATGTAACTTTTAGCTGTTAGCTCTTGGTTTTGCTGTTATTTCATCCATAAACTTTCATTAAACCTCTTAATGGTCCATGACCTACAAATAGTTTTAAGTTTAATTTCTATGCTATGCTTATGCAGTGTTATCATTTCCTTATGTAGTTTCAAAGTTATGCAGGATGCATCCCTTTCTGAATCCCATTGATAGTTGGGAAATTCAGACTGCCCTTCAGTACTATACCCCACCCCTGGAAAAATAGGTCTCATCTGCTTGTATATGTCTATAAATTAGTGAGTGTGTTAAATCTATCACAGCAGGAAATCACTTCAAGCACTGTGAAAGACTATCTTAAAGAATTTAAATTGATTGCAGATGTTAGTGCAATTAAGCAGGCCTGATGAGCTCAGAATCATGTTTCTCAGATTTGAATATGAGCGCATTTTAAAAAAGCATAGTGATGTACTCCATGTAAATTGAGTTCATAGGCATCTAAGAGTTTTTATCACCTTCTGTTTTAAAATGGCTCAGTAATGTGAAAAGTGATGTGTGACCCCTTGTGCAGATACTTGTATTACTTTGGATAAATGTGTATTATTTGTCTTAAGTATATAGAGTTGACACTGAATGATTATTTCCTTTGTTAATTCATTTGTCTGCTGATTAGTTTGTCTACCTTTTGTGCCTATAATTCATTTAAAAATTATCCTATAGACAGAAAATGTAATGTTATTTCATTCCATTTTTAAGAAAAAAAATGAGTATGACAAGTCAAACGTATTGGCTTAGATTATAGGAGCATAGGATCTTTTTTACCCTTGAGTTCAGATTTCTTGACTAATCAAACTTTACCTACCTTAATTTCTTTTGCTTTATTTTAGCTGAAATGTAAAAGTTTTCTAATTATTATTTTAAAATGTAACATACTGGGTTTCAAATTAGAAAGTGAATTCTGAAACCAAACTATAACGAGATTAAGTAGAGTGTACAGTATGTTCATTTTCAATTTATTTCTAATTGATCTGTGCACATTAAGTAATTAAACTCATCAATTTCTATAACACATTGTAGAATGTTACGGACATTAGGGCTTTATTATATATAGAGTAGTAAAATAAAGTAGAAAAATGGTGAGTAATTGTATTTTGCTACTGTTTTTAAATACTAAGAAAATCACTGAAATATTGTTTGAAGGGTAACAACATTAATGATTTTTAAATAGGAACAAAATACAATATATTTTTTCTAGATGGTAAAAATTAAAGCTGTGTTCTTCAATATTTTATAATAACTTATTTAGCCCTTAAAACTATACTTTGTTTCCTGGAGTTAAGAATCTAGCTTTGTTGCTTCTAACTTTGTGGTTTCAGAAAATTCATTATTTTTCTCTAGGACTCGGTTAACTAAATTATAAAATTTAGGGGTTTTTGTGTGGGAAAGTTTGGAATAGGGGCTAGGTTTAAAGTCTTAACAGTTCAAGTCTTCTAATCCAAGTTCAAGTAAAGTGTAAAATGAGCCTGAGAAAATAAATGTTACAGTTGAAGGCTTCTTAAATCTGATTCATATTTGTAATAAAAAGTTGAATAAAAAGTTAATAAAACTGGGTATAAGAAAAAATAACACATATAATATTTTTCCCGCACATGAAATATACAAGTATGTATTCACAACCTGTCTTTAGATATTGAGCCAAACCCTTTTCTTTGAGTAGGAGTGGCTCTTACTTTTTTTTTCCCACATAAGACATGCCCATAAGACATCATCTGTGATAACCATTTTTGTGTATGTTTTGAGTAGACCAATAATTTATACTCGTAAAGCAATCTAAGTTTAGACTTATAGGAGATGTATATGGTATTTATAATGTGATTTTTTTGTTATCTTAAACCTATACCTAATTTTTAAGATAAGTTTTTTTAAGCAACTTACCCTAACCTTGTCTTTCTTAAGCCCTAATAATATTCTTTCTTTTAATTCTCATATATGATTACATTAATGAACACAGAACAGTTCATAAACAGGGGTACAAAAAGTCAACTCTTGGTATTCACAGAATTCAATTTATGGAAGTAGATGTGTAGCCTTCAGTATGCTTTGAGCATCTATTGCTTACTATGTATTATAAAATAATGGAAAGCCTAATATTGAACATCTATCTCTGGAATCTTAAATAAATCATGCTTTATTTTTTCTGGTGAACTTTGTTTTCTGCCCTTTCCCCAATGGGGTCATAGAAATATATTTTTCTATAACTTGTTTTATTTTTCCCTCAGTTAACTTTTCTGCCCTTTTTTCTGTCAGAAATGACCTACTGAATTCAAACTGAATCAAAAACAGAGCATATTGGCTCGTGCATCTGAGAAGCCTGGTATTGGCTTCCAGCACGCATAGATCTGGGTTCTCAAATGACCTAAGGATCGGTTCTTTCTGTATCTCTTAGCCCTGCTTTTCTAATCCTGGCTTCATTCATGTAAGTTCTTTCTATATCTAGAAGGTTAGTAGAACCTCCCAGTTTAACACCTGTATTTTAGGTCTAGTAGTATCCAAAAATTTTAGGTCTCTCACCCCATTGATTTTTAAAAAGTTGATTATATGTTACTAAGCTAATATATATGTATTTGTCTATACCTCATATTTGTTATTTTATATGTAATATAGATTTTATTTCAAATATATATGAATTGAAAATATAAATAAAATAATGTATTAATATTTCATCTGAAAATTTTGCCTCTTAAATCAGTTTGGTCTCTCTTTAATTTTTATCATATTTTAGGTATGTTAGATTCATGACATAATTCCTTTTATTAGTTTTCTTCTAAAAATTATCTCCATTTCTACTCCTGAATTTTAACTTTGAATGACCCATTCTATTCTTTCCTGTATAACTGAACTTAACCATATTCCCTCAGGGATGTTCTGGGATCATGTGCAAACATGCAGTAACCATTATACTTCTCCAAAGTTCATTCTGACCTCCACCTTGCCCACTTCAAGTCTTTTTTTGTTCTTGCCTTGCCTGTACTAGTTCCGCCCTTCTTATACCACAAACCAGCTCCTGTTCTCTCTTTAGTCACATTTAACTATTCAGTTTGAATTTGCTGTTTTGACTTCAGCATTGCCACCCTTTTTGCCTATTGAGTTAGTAGTTGAGGGCACTGAGTGAGATATAATATGCTTTGGTTCTCCCTTTTTGTGTTGCACTTGGAGGAAAAGACATGTACTGAGGTAATGTGTCATTTAGGCAAAATAAATCCTTAAAAGAGTATTACTTTTGTGAATTCTTCATTATTCACATTGATGGGGATCTTGGAGGCTCACAAACTTGATTGGTCAACATACAAAGACTCAGTTTTCATTTCATGAGCAGGTATACAATCTGTTTTAATGGAGACTGATGTTTAAAAATCCAAATGTCACTTTAGTAATTTACAATCAGAAATATTATTCTTAAGAAGACTCTTGTAGTCTCTTCTCTCCTTATAGGCTAGTCTACACAGGAAGCCAAATGATAGAGAGTTGCTTACTTGGTTTGTTGGATGATCCACTGTGGAGATAATGGGGCGTATATTTAGACTAAGATCCTGCCACTGTGCGTGCACCCAGCATCATGTGCTTTCTTTAATGTGATAAACTAGAAGCTCCACGAAGGCAGAGAAATCTTGCTGCAGCAAAAACTAGATAATTGTGTTTATGTGTCTGAATACTCCCTTTCCTGGGGAGTTGCAGTGGTATTTTGCAGCACTTTAGGTCTCTGGACATGTTTGCAGGTACCATGCAGACTGCCTCCTCCTGTAACACATATTCACTTCTCTTAGAGTACTCTGAAATTGATAAAGTCATACTTTCTTATGGCAACTAAAATAAATTTGTTTTATTTTGAGGTCATAAATTAATTTTATTCTGATATTGGTGCAACTGTGTGTGCGTGTAATCTCCTGGGTCATTTTACTGGGAGGCTCATATTATCTCATATTTTGATTTTCCTTAATTTAATCTGAAGTTAATTATAATTTAAGATTTGGGAATATCTTATAGTTGGCAAAATGTATCTCTCCTAAAGTATACTTCTTGTCTGGTTATGTTTTAGAGAAGTTAGATGAGAACTAGTGTTCTCATTTTATTTTTGCACTATTTAGATTTTATAGCTCGTGATCTTTACGCATTTCCCCCTGTCATTTTTGAGGATTTTTTTTTTAGGACACAAAGGTTGTTTCAGTAATCAAAATAAAATGATTAGAAATTCTAAGATAACTTGTTTAGTAATCAAGTAACATTCCAAGTATCATTCATTTATTCATATACTCAAATTTAAAATTATTAAAATCAAAGATACAACTTAAAAGAATAGAGTATCTCTTAATGAAGCAGTCTTTAGTGTGAAATAATTTGTTACTATTTTATTGCTTTGTTTTGTCTACTTATGTGAAAAAGGTGTATGATTTATATATACTTCTCACATTAACAGTGCTATAGAAGTAATACTTCTGATATATGATCAGAATTCAGATATCATTTTAATGCCCAATAAATAAGTAACAAGATAAATGAGTGAATAAAATGTCTTTAAATAATTACTTTTGTATAATGCTTATTTAAGATTAGTGGCAAAATCCAAGTTAAGATTGTGACCAGTGGGTAATGTGCCAAATAAAGGTATTTAAAATACAACAGTTTTAACAGTCTTTTTTTCTTCTTTCAGAAGTGATTCATTGTTGCAGAAAATTTAGAAAGTATAAGACATTATGAGGAAAGAAATAAAAATCCTACCAAAGATGAGGCATTTATCTCTAATATTAAGGTTGTTTTGATTTTTGAACAGCCTATATAGGAATTTAATAACAGTAAAACTAAGATTTCTATAACAGAAAAATTAAATATGACTTTCCTGTTATGTCAACGTTTTGACAGAAGCCCAGGGGCTGAGGATATCAGGTGCTGAAACAACACAGCCATGAAAAGAGACTGCAGAGCCTATTGTGCTACCATTAGCCTGTCATCTACTTTGAAACTATACAAGATAAGGTTCACAGTAATTTAAGAAATGGAAGATCGACAGAGGGGGTTTCTTCGGAGAGAGAGGTGTCGGAATGCTGTGATATTATTTCTGACCCCTTGTGAGGGACTGGAGCCAAATGAGTGGGCATTTGAGAGAAGCACTCAGAGGTTGATGTGTATCCCTTCCAGTTTGGAGACCCAGATTGGAAACTTACTGTGTTCACTCTGCTAGGTTCTAAAGGCAAGAGGCTATTCGAGCTGCTTTGGTGGCAGAGCAAAGAAAAAGGATTAGACTTATGGTTGGAACAAGCTGGACTTGTGCCAAAACATTGGTCAGATGTGGATCTTTCAGAAGGCATTGACTGTGACTTGTCTTAGGAGGAATTTTGTCCCAAGGGGACCCCCTGCATGTGCAGTGACCCCCAATAGGGACAGTTTATGCAGGGTGGACTGCTATTTCTTTAGTAGTATTTCTTTACTGTCTGAGTAATGCACATATGCATTCCATGGAAGATACGGTCAACACTTGGATATCAGCTACATCTGGAGGACCGTGGCACCAGAGTATAACAGTGATGCTTGATTATAGCAGTTTTCTGCATCTGTTTCTCTTTCCTCCCCACTGTCTCCAGCCCTGAAGGTAATGGAGGAAACCTGAAAAGTTGGCATGGTGGAATGGAAGTACAAGGTGGGAAAATGGTGAAGATCTGCAGCCCCGTTCATCACTATAGATTTCTTTGAGTGAGGTTCACACTGAGAAAGGGGAGAAACTTTAACATAATTAAGACTGAGGTTTTAATATTTTCTGTCTCTTGAGAAAGAAAAACTTACTTTATGAGGCTAGATAAGTTATCTGAAAATTACACTATCATCCTGAGATGATATTACCAAAATTAATCTTCAAGTGAGAGAGTGCTATTGAGCAGGTTAAAATCCAGAAGTCATAAGGGAAAAAAGATGGCTACATTTGCTAATACAACTAAAAACTTTTGTATGGGTAGCGAAGGAGAGAGAGAGAGGGAGCAAGCAAAGTTAGAAGAAATAAAAAGCTGGAAGAAAACGTTTGCTATGTATCAATAATGTGTAAAGAACACCTACAAATCATTAAGAAAAAGATGAACAACCCAATAGGAAGAAGTTTATTTCATGTCAATAGGCAATTTGCCCAAGAAAAATAATGAATGTCATACATCCACATGAAAAGACGTTCAATTTCAATATGTAAATTAAAATAGGTATGGAGAGCATTTTTTGTCTGTCATAATAGAAAAACTAAAGATTTTTGACAGTAAATGTTTGGTGAGAGTATAGAAATATATATCAATGCAAACTATTGCTAGTATAATTTGTCAGTATCTATCAAAATAAAAACTTGTATACCCTACTGATGTAATGGTTCCACTATTTTGAACCTATTTTATAAGAATAGCTTGAACATATAAAGATCTGTGTACCAGCATGTTCTTGCAGCACTGTGTGAAATGTCAGGAAATTTAAAACCAAAATATTTATCAATAGAGACATGATTAAGTAATTTATAGTACAGTCATGCAGTTGATGGATAATACAGCTGTTAAAACCAATGACTTAGATCTGACTTAGAAAGTTACCCAATATTTAAAAAAAAAAGCATATGTATAGTATGAACCAATTTTTGTTTAAAGACATTGTGAGTTTATACTGTGAATGAGTGGGTGTCTGTGCATATCTGCCCATGTAAAGGAAAACCCTTGATGGATTCTAACCAAACTTGTAAAAGCATTTGCAGTGATTATCTTGCACTAGGGCTGGAGAAACTGGGGCAAGAACTTTCATTTCCTTGTGTACTTAAAAAAGAGTAGTGAGATTATGGGTGACTTTTTATTGTGGTATTTTTGCATATCTCAGGATAGTATTTTTTGACACACACACACAAAGGATAATGTGGTATAAAGAGCTAGAGGAATAGGAAGGGCAGCCATCCCTCGGATCACGTCAATCTTCTGGAGTGGTGAGATGTAAACCATTGCATAAATGACTGCTCCTTGATTTTAGCCTAAAATAATCCAGTCTTTCTTCTGTTAAATGCAAGAAACTTGGGGTAGTTAATGTGAATAAGATAAGGTCTATAGCACTTCAGAGAGCTCACAGTTTAGTAGAGACAAAATGTATAAGCAGGTAAGAGGAGTACAATGTGATATATGGGCCCTAAGTATGTGCTAAAGTGCTGAATTATTGCCAGGACAGTGTTGAAAATGCAGTACTCTGACTTATTGGAGTTAATGGGAGAGACCCTGGATTGTCGTCAGCATCTTAGCAGGCAACCTAAGCACTGCAACAAGCATCTCCTACTGTGGCCTCCTTTATCAAAGTTTTCAGCATTAGTACCAGAAAATATCCCTTTAGAATAATGTTTTCTTAGCAGAAACAGAATCTGATATTGTTCCTAACAGAGAACACCATTTTTGTCTTGTTTACCAGGTCATTTTGCCACAGTGCAGATGGCCTGATAACATGGACCACATTTCAATTAGGAAAAATAAAAACAAATCAGCAGAGCTAATAGCATGCTGTTTGCAAAGCTTTTAAATGTGACTTGGAATAGCACAAAAATTCATTTTATATTCTTGTAGTAAATTGGCACTCATTTAGTAACTTTTATTTACAGAACTTAAAGTCTTGGAAACATCTGGGTAAATCTGTGAATAATTTAAGTGTTCAGTTTGTGATCATTGTCAAATAGTGTTTATTAAGCATTTACCTATGTGTTACAATGCTGGATGCCATAAATATCACCATAAATGAAAAATAGAGGCAGCTGGGATATTTACCTCATAAAGGAGGTATGTTACTACATTAAAATATATGAAAAGTATGATTTTATATTTGAAGAATTTATGTATTGTCCATCTGAGAGTTTATTTAATGTTACATAAACGGATTGCTTTTAATCTAAAAAATTAGAGGACTAGATTTGATAACATCTAAGTTACTTTCCATTTTGCAAAGTTCTTTCATTCCTTCATTTACTAGGAAATGCCACCCAGTTATAATTCTTGCTTCCAAAAGGATTCAGTTGAAAACTTGGTATTTTCATCTTTTTTTTTTTTTTGAGACAACATCCCGCTCTGTTGCCCAGGCTGGAGTGCAGTGGCGCCGCCTCGGCTCACTGCAACCTCCACCTGCTGGGTTCAAGTGATTCTTCTGCCTCGGCCTCCTGAGTAGCTGAGATTACAGGCACCTGCCACCACGCCCGGCTAATTTTTGTATTTATAGTAGAGATGGGGTTTTGCCATGTCTACCAGCCTGGTCTTGAACTCCTGACTTCAGGTGATCTGCCTGCCTCACCCTCCCAAAGCGTTGGGATTACAGGTGTGAGCCACTGTGCCCGGCCTATATTTTCATCATAACACAACTTTTCAAAAGTAATATATTATCATTGTAGAAAATACACAAAACAAAATGCAAGCCATCCATAATTTCTCCCCCAGAGGTAACTATTGTTAATATTTTTGGTTACTTTATTTTTAGTCCTTGAAAATGAGATTGAAGACACCAACCTCAAATGGTTGTTGTGAAGAATAAATGAATATTACTTTATGTGTGTAGGCTGGCAGATATATTTGTTAAAGCATCTAGCAGTACTAAACATAGGTGCATTCTTTAGTTATCTTTTAAGTGTCAGCCTTATTTCTGATATTATTTCTCCTTTTTTTCAATAATGTCTGGATTGTGTTTCAACTTTTTATTCTGAGATTTGTTAGAGACCTTTAGTAACTATAACTTATAGTAAGCAGTATGAGGTATATTTTGATAAAGATACATTTGTAATCTAGTGTTTCTTGGTACTATCCAATTTTCCATTTCAAGGAAAATTTTAATGTTCATATATATGAAAGTTTAAGTCTGATAGAGAAGAGCAAGGAATACACATTTTCCCCTGAAATTAATAAAATTAGTTATGGCCTGCTATAGATTGGTTTTCTTGTGCATGTGTGTAAAGGCATGTATGAAAGCTTATCAATGAAGTTAACTTAGCAAGAAGAGAGAAAAGATGGAGTGATAGTGAAAATGTCTGTTAAGTGGGTAGAGGAGGAGAAACTCATGAAAGGACAACGACCAGCTGCTACAAGCATATCTACATCTATAGGTACAGTGGAGAGAGGTAGAGAAGAATTAGATGAGATAGTCTAGGAAGAGGGCAGTTCAGGTAGGAAAACACAAAGTATCTTGCTTCAGGAGATTGGCAGATGCGCATCGAGAAGAGACTTGTAGATTATGAGGTTCCTGATGGTCATTTGTAAGAGCTACCGTGGGAGAGGGCCCATGTGGAAGGTAACCAAATCTATGGAGCCTTCTGAATTGAGTGTCTAGTGAGGAAGGGGGTTGGCGAATGTGCCCCACACTGCTCAGATGTTTGGTGATTAGCAGTGAGGGATGAATTAGTAGCCTGATGGGAAGCAGAATTGGGGGAGGTTTGGGTGAGAGGGTGAGTGGTTGAAAGGTTTGTAGAAAAGGAGTCACTAGGGAGAAAGAGATTGAAGATAAAAGAGGCAAATAGGTATTGGGATTAGATTGATTAGATTAGATTGATTAGATTAGATTTAGGGTTAAAAGTTTTAAAAATAAGGAATCACACATATTTCTCTGGGCAGAGGGATCAAGTATAGATAGAAGAAAACTTGTTTCCTTGACAAAGAAGAAGTTTGAACCAGTTCATACTATGTAGCTTCACTATTCTCAGTGAAGTAAGGGGCAAAGTTATGTGTTCAGAGTGGAGCAGATTTCAGGATAGTTTTGAGAAGGGCTCATAGGTTTGGAAGAAGCATTGAAGGAAATGGGATATGATAAAAATATCTGAAAGCTACCTTGAGGGCCCATTTGAGATTGGAAAATATAAACAAATAATAATGCAGAATAATGGTTCTTAAATTCTGTTTAGTGCAGGAAACCTTTCTGTAAAAATGGAGTCTTACACAGTCCTCCCTCCCCACTATATCTGAAGGATAAATATGAAGCTATTCTGTTTGAAAAAGGATAGTGGGACTTAGAAGCCACGGTCAACTCTCTTACAGTCAGTTCTGAATCCTAGAACTCTGAGGAATGCAATGCAGACTGCTATTGTCTGTCCTGATGGGAGAGGAGTACAGCAATCAGAAAAGGAAGATGATAAAAGAGAAATGGAAACTTTGGGGTCAACTTCTCCTTGGCTACAAATAGGTCAGAACAATCTCAATCTGTAAATAACACAATAATGACTCTGAGGTTAAGGTTAAGGCTAGAGAATAAACACGTAAAATGGGAAGTATTTTCTGAAATTAAGTATTAGCCATTGTATCCATAACTTTTGGGTGAGTGGAAGTGAGAATAAAAATTTTGCATGTTTAAGAAAAAGAAACATTTGTCAAATGGAAATTCTAAATGTATTATTACTGTGGTTCTTAGGAATAATTTAAATAATAATGTCAATTATACATCAATTTCAAAAGCTTTAGCTATTGTACATGAAGAAATAATTCAATTCCATTTCTCTCAAAATAAACCATGTAATGATATGTTCTTTGTATAAACATGTGGAGACTTAGGAATACTGACATGGGTAGTGAAAATGGAAAATAATTTATATAATACCAATTTTCTAGTACTGACATAAAGCCGCAGTGTATCAAACTCAACAATTCAGTTGGGTAAGTATATGGCAGTGTTAGTCAGATTTCTTTTTGTTGTCAGTGACAGAAGCCTAACTTGAGATAATTTGAGCAAAAAGGGAAATTTTATTGGCTTGAATATCTGGAAGGGAAGGGGTAAGGTTGGAATGACACCAGAATGAAGTCCGATGCCAGGGCATTTTCTCCCTTCTTCCCTTGGCCTCTTTCTGGATGTTGATGTCCTTTTTGCAGACTGCAGAACAGTTTTCTCCAAAAACTGAAAACTTGAAACTAAAATAAAACATAGACATGATCAACTTTTTTTTTTAAACCCTAAAACTGTTTTTATGTCAAATTAAGCACAGGCAAAAGACAAATAATAGATCTGGTAAGAAATATTTCTAATGATTTTTACAAAGAGCTGCTAGCAATACCCTGCAGTGGGCTTTTAGGACTTGGCTAGAAAAAAAGAGCAAAAAAAAAAAAAAAATCCAACAGAAAAGCCAAATCAAGAATGCAATCCCATTTACAGTAGCCACAAAAGGAATAAAATACTTAGGAATGCAGCTAACTGAGACATGAACAAACTCTACAAAGAAAATTACAAAACATTGCTGAGATAAATTAGAGACAACACAAACAAATGGAAACATATCCCATGCTCGTGAATAGGAAGAATCAATATTGTTAAAATGGCCATACTGCCCAAAGCAATTTGAAGATTCAGTGCTATTCCTATCAAGCTACCAAGAATATTTTTCACAGAATTAGAAAAAAAAATGTATTCTATAAATTCTGTGAGCCAAAAAAGAGCTTGAATAGCCAAGACAATCCTAAGCAAAAAGAACAAAGCCAGAGGCATTTCACTACCCGACTTCAAACTATACTACAAGGCTACAGTAACCAAAACAGCATGGTATTTGTACAAAAACAGACATATAGACCAATGGAACAAGTTAGAGAAATGAGAAATAAAGCCATACACCTGTAACCATCTGATCTTTGACAAAGTTGACAATAACGAGCCGTAGGGAAAGGACTCCCTATTTAATTAATGGTGCTGGGATGACTGGCTAGCCATATGCAGAAGATTGAAACTGACCCCTTCCTTACACCATATACAAAAATCAACTCAAGATGGTTAAAGACTTAAATGTAAAACCTAAAACTACAAAAACCCTTAGAAGAAAACCTAGGAAACACTATTTTGGACATAGGACCTGGCAAATATTTTACGATGGAGACTCCAAAAGCAATTGCAACAAAACCAAAAATTGACATTTGGGACCTACTTAAACTAAAGAGCACCCTCACAGCAAAAGAAACCATCAAGAGAGTAAACAGACAACCTACAGAATGAGAGAAAATATTTGCAAACTATGCATCCAACAAAGGTCTGATATCCAGAATCTATAAGGAACTTGAATCAACAAGCAAAAAACAACCCCATTAAAAAATGGGCAAAGGACACGAGCAGACCCTTTTCAAAAGAAGGCATACAAATAATCAACAAGCATATGAAAAGTGCTCAATATCACTAATCATTAGAGAAATACAAAGCTAAACCACAATGAGATACCATCTCACACCAGTCGGAATGGCTGTTATTAAAAAGTCAAAAAATAACTGGTGCTGGCGAGGTTGTGAAGAAAAATGAATGCTTATACACTGTTGGTTAGAGTGTGAATTAGTTCAACCATTGTTGAAAACAGTATGGTGTTTCCTTAAAGACCTAAAAACAACCACCATTCAGTCCAGCAATCCCATTACTGAGTATATACCCAAAGGAATATAAATCTCCCATAAAGACACATGCACGCACATGTTCATTGCAGCACTTTTCACAATATCAAAGACATGGAATTAACCTAAATACCCATCCACAGTGAACTGCATAAAGCAAATGTGGTACGTATACACCATGGAATACTACACAGGCATAAAAAAGAATGAAATCATGATCTTTGCAGCAACGTGGATGGAACCAGAGGCCATTATCCTAAGCAAAGTGATGCAGGAACAGAAAACTAAATACTGCATTTATAAGCAGAAGCTAAACATTGAATACACATGGACATGAAGAAGGGAACAATAGACACTGGAGCCTACTTGAGGGTGGAGGGTGGGAGGAGGGTGAGGATTGAAAGACTATCAGGTAGTATGCTCATTGCCTGGGTGGCAAAATAATCTGTACATCAAACCCCATGATATGCAGTTTATCCAAGTAACAAACCTGCACATGTATCCCTTGAACCTAAAATAAATGTTGGAATAAAAAAAAAGACAAAGAAAAATGGGCTAAGGATCTGAAAAGTCAATGGAAGAACAAATTCAAATAAGTAAGTACATCTGTAAAGACTGACAGTATGGATATCCAAATTAAAGTAACTTTATACCTACCAGTATCTTTACTTTTCTAGTGGAGAAAAAATACCTTCATACATGGCTGGTGGAACTGTGATGTAATATAGCATTTTTGGTTAAGTTATCTGAAATGTCTATGAAAAAAGAAAATATGCATTCTCATTGACCCAAGAATCCACTCCTGGAACTCTATGGTGTAGAAATGAAAGCACCAATAGATGAGCACATATGCACAAAGATGTGTTTTCTACAGTTTTATTCACTGCTGTTAAACAATTGGAAACAAAAGGAGATGGTGAAGTGAATTAAGACTATTCATGTTATGAAGCAATATGCCCATATTAAAAAGAATGAATTTGAATAATACCAGATAACTTGAGGAATTTCCATGAGGTGAACAATGAGAAAAGCAAATCTGCAGAAAATCATATAAGATGATTCTATTAAGAAATAATGGAATTATTCTCTATGTGTATATGTGTGTGGGTGCATGCACACACCTATATAGGATTTTATCTGTAGGGATTAAAATACAGAAGCGTATATATACCAGGCTTTTTACATGGATTACTTTATTACGGGAAGGAGATAGAAAAGCTAGGCAAAAAAGTGTGTTGCTATGGATTTATGAAAAAAATCAGATAAATATACACAATCAAATTAAAGAAGAGTTAAAAAATTGTTTAGAAAACCATATTAAAAGGGTAATATAGATTTGGTTACTCTCAGGAATTATGACTAAAGGATTTCAGAATGCCATATTTACAGTCCACTTTTCAAACTAAAGAAGTGGAGAAACATTAAAATAAATCTCCAGGCATAGTTTGAAGATGGCAGATAGACTTACTGTGAAGGAAATTAGCTTGAGGTAATGGCATATCTAAGTCTAATTGTATCTCCTCATCCTAGCAAGGGGTCGGCTATCTGTATATATCCATGGCTGTATCTGGCATTTAATAGATGTTGGTTGGATAAAGAGATATGTTTATGCCTATTTATCCAATATGTATATATACCAGGCCTGTATATATTTGACTTAATAAATGTTGGTTGAGTAAATGCATTGGAAGATGTAAATAGAGTGACTTTCAGTGAGAAAATAATTTTCTTTCTTTTTTTTTTTTGATATAGGGTCTCACACTGTCGCTCAGGCTGGAGTGCAGTGGCGTGATCATGGCTTACTGCAGCCTCAATTCCTCATGCTCAAGCAATCCTTTCACCTTAGCCTCCAGAGTAGCTGGGACTACAGGCATATGCCACCATGCCTGCCTAATGTTTCATTTTTATTTTTTGTAGAGATGGGGGTCTCATTTTGTTGCCCAGGCTGGTCTTGAACTCCTGGAGTCAAGCAATCCTCTGGTCTCAGCCTCCCAAAGTGCTGGGATTATAGGCGTGAGCCACCTCACCCAGGCAAGAAAATAATTTTTGAAAAATATAATTTCGAATACCAATTATATACTTCCATAAACATATAGTTCCTTTTAGGAAAGATCTGTAATTCAGTGTCACTTTGATACATTTTGGTTAACTTGATGATATTGAGATATGTATGAAATCAGATTGATGATTGAGCAATCTAAAATGAATGTAAGCTGTTGCCAATTTAAGATGGAAAAAATAAATATCTGTTTTAGATTTTTAAGCAGTTTAAAATTCATATGGCATGTGCCATTTCTGATTTTCACAAGAATTCTAATTTCATTGAGGGCAGGGATTATGTAATTTTTAATCTCAGCCTGGAATGTAGCATATGAACAATAAGTTATTGATGAATAAAAGTGATTTATAACTACAGTATATCTCAAACACAAATTAGTCTAGCACAATATATCCTTCAGTGGTGGTCTAGATTCACTTTCTCCTTTGCATTCAGTGACATTGCACTGGTTGCTTGTAATCAGCCATCTGGGAGTATTTACATCACATAGATTGGCAAACAATATTAGACTGTTTTTGCGTTACTGAGAAATGGTTGTTAAACATTTACCAGCAACACCACTGTATTTAAGTATGAATCATGACCTGTGATATGGTGACTATACAAATTAATTCATGAAGGTGAGTGTTACATTCTGTAATTTGTGATGTAATTGTTTCATCAGAAATTAGATATAACATTTATAATATATAGGATATTTTTCTCACTTAAAAATTTTATTGTTGTATTGATTATTATTAAAAAAATTAATCCATTAATGCAAGTGTGAATTACTGCACTTCCACTACTAGATTTGAGGGTGGTAGTATTTCAAGGATAAACCAATTTACTTTCATGTTTAATGAATGGCTTATTGCTTATGATTCATGTTATTGAGTGCAAATGACACTTAAAAATTATACTTCTATGAAAGTTATACTATTTTCTTGAATTTTCTTGTCTTGTTTCTGAAGAAATGATTTATTAAAAATGACATTTTATTTTGATATATATGATTTGTAGGAAATGTGTAGGTTTCTGCAGATCATCATGAATATTAATCATTCTGAAATATATCATCCAAAACAATGATTAAATAATGGCTTTTCAGGGCCACTGTATTTTCTCCTTGATTTTCCATTCAAAATTAGAAACATACTTAATTACCTACCCACCCCCACCAGTTTTTTGTTGCTCAAAGCTGTGATTGGTGTGCTTTTCTCTCCTGTTAGTAGTTATTTTAGTAGTTGGCCTGGAAGATAGCATATTTATAAACTATTCTGGGAACTTGGGAAAATTTTTTAAAGATCAACTCCAGAAATGGAAATTTGTTGATGAGTTGACATGGGTCATGTCTCCAAGTCATGAACTTTAGTTTGAGATACTGTAACAGCAGTGTATCTCTTAAATTAGTGGAATTGTTTCATCTCTCTCTCCCTTGTTCATTCATTTTTCTTTTGACAAATATTGCTGTGTTTCAGGCACTGTTACTAGGCAGTAGGAATACTATGATGAGCAAAGTTGATCATGTCCCTACCCTAATGTAGCTTACATTTTATTAGGGGAGTCAAACAATCAGTAAGTGCAACATAAGATCAGATTTGGGAACAGAAGAAATTATAATAGTTGTATTATAATAGTTGTAGTTTTACTATTATTAATATAGGTGTACCTTGTTTTATTATGCCTTGCTTTATTGGTCTTTGCAGATGCTGCTTTTTTTTTTTTTTTTTTTTTTAATAAATTAAAGGACTGTGGAAACCCTGCATTGAGCAAACCTATTGATGCCATTTTTCCAACAGCATGTGTTTACTTCATATTTCTGTGTCACATTTTGGTATTTGGTAGTTCTTGCAATATTTCAAACTTTTCCATTATTTGTTTGTATATCTGTTATGCTGATCTGTGATCAGTGATCTTTGATGTTACTTTTGTAATTGTTTTAAGGTGCCACAAACCACACCCATGTTAGAAAGTGAAGTTAATAAGTGTTGTGACTGCTCCATTGACCAGCTCTTTTCTGTTTCTCTTCCTCTCCTTGGGCCTCCCTATTCCCTGAAGCACAGCAATGTTAAAATTAAGGAAGTTAATAACCCTACAATGACTTCTAAGTGTTCAGTGAAAGGAAGAATCCCAAGTCTCTCATTTTAAATCAAAAGCTAAAAATGATTAAGCTTAGTGAGGAAGGTGTGTCAACTCGCTGAGATAGGCCAAAAGCCTCTTATGCCAAACAGCCAAGTTGTGAATGCAAAGGAAAAATTCTAAAGGGAATTAAAAGTGCTACTCCAGTGAACATGTGAATGATAAGAAAGCAAAACAATCTTATTGTTGACATAGAGAAAGTTTTGAGTGGTTCAGATGGAAGATCAAACTAGCTACAACATTCTCTTAATCCAGAGCCTATTCCAGAGCAAGGCCCTAACTCTCTTCAGTTTTATGAAGGCTGAGAGAGGTGAGGAAGCTGCAGAAGAAAAGTTGGAACCTAGCAGAGGTTGGTTCATGAGATTTAAGGAAAGAAACTACCTTCATAGTATAAAAGTGCAAGGTGACACAAGCAGCAAATGCTGATGTAGCAGCTGCAGCAAGTTATCCAGAAGGTGTAACTAAGATCATTGATGAGGGTGGCTACACTAAACAACAGATTTTCAATATAGATGAAAAAGCCTTATATTTGAAAAAGATGCCATCTAGGAGTTTCACAGCTACAGATAAGTCAATGTCTTTCTTTAATGCTTCAAAAGACAGGCTGACTCCTTTGTTGGGGCTAATGCAGCTGATAACTTAAAGTTGAAACCAATGCTCAATTACCATTCCAAAAATCCTAGGGCCCTTAGGAATGATGCTAAATCTTCTCTGCCTGCACTCCAGAAATGGAACAACAAATGCTGGATGGCAGTGCATCTGTTTATAGCATGGTTTACTGAACATTTTAAGCCCGCTTGTTGAGACCTACTATTCAGAAAAAATATTCTTTAAAAAAATATTTCTGTTCATTGACAGTGCATTTAGTCATCCAAGAGTTCTGATGAAGAGGTATAAGGAGAGTAATGTCTTTTTTTTTTGAGTTGGGGGTTTGCTCTTATTGCTCAGGCTGGAGTGCAATGGTGCGATCTTGGCTCACTGCAACCTCCGCCTCCTGGGTTCAAGTGATTATCCTGCCTCAGCCTCTCGAGTAGCTGGGATCACAGGTGCGTGCCACCATGCCTGGCTAATTTTGTGTATTTTTTAGTAGAGACAGGGTTTCACCTTGTTGGCCAGGCTGGTCTCGAACTCCTGACCTCAGGTGATCCACTTGTCTCGGCCTCCCAAAGTGCTGTGATTACAGGCGTTAGCCACTGTGCCTGGCCAGGAGAGTAATGTTTTTATGCATGTGAACACAACATCCATTCTGCATCCCATGGATCAAGGAGTCATTTCAACTTTCAAGTCTTAAGAAAGAAATACATTTCTCAAGGCTGGAGCTGCCATAGATAGTGACTCCTCTCATGGAAAACCTTCTGGATAGGATTCACCATTCTAGATGCCATCAAGAACATTTGTGATTCATGGGGGGAGGTCTATCTATGAACATTAACATGAGTTTTGAAGAAGTTGACTTCAACCCTCATTGATGACTTTGAGGGGTTCAACACTTTAGTGGAGGAATAACTGCAGATGTGGTGTAAACAGCAAGAGATCTAGAATTAGAGGTGGAGCCTGAAGATGTGACAATTTCTGCAATGTTATGATAAAGCTCAACAAATGAGGAGTTACTTCTTATGGATGGGCAAAGAAAATGGTTTATTGAAACGGAAACTACTTCTGGTGAAGATGTTATAAACATTGTTCAAATGACAATAAATGATTCAGAATCTTCCATAAGCTTAGTTGATAAAGTAGCATTTGTGATGATTGACTCCAATTTTGAAAGAAGTTTGAAAGTAAAATGCTATCAAGTAGCATTGCATGCTACAGAAAAATCTTTCATGAAAGGAAGAGTCAATTGATGCAGTAGACTTCATTGTTGTCTGATTTTAAGAAATTGCCACAGCTACCTTAATCATCAGCAACAACCACGCTGATCACTCAGCTGCCATCAACATTGAGGGCAAGACCCTTCACCAGCAAAAATAGGACTTGCTGAAGGCTCAGATGATCGTTACCATTTTTAGGCAGCAAAATATTTTAAAATTATGTATGTTGTTTTAAGACCTAATGCTGTTGCTCACTTGATAGACTGCAATATAGTGTAAACATAACTTTTCTGTGTACTGGGAAACCAAAAAGTTCACGTGACTCACTTTTTGTAATATCTATCTGCTTTATTATCATGGTCTGTAACTGATCCTGCAATATCTCTGAGGTATGCCTGTATTTTTGTTCAAGTTCCTTCACAGTACCACAGAACTTAAGAATCTGACATGTTCACCTTTTCTACTGGCACAGATATCCTTATTCATTCATGATGTTCATGAGGGGTTGTGCTTGGTAGATGTCAGAATGTAAAGGTTTAAAGGTAATTGGAAGGAAATAGTATACAGAAACACTGGTTTAAGTAGTAATCGTAAAAAAACTACTCTGGAAAGAATTACCCAGTAAATTGGTAAAATTCCCAAGCATGTATTTCCAGAGCTCAACAGGAATTTTGCAGGTTTTGTTCATTTTTGTATTTTTAACATGTAAAACACTGCTTGTATATAATAGATGTCCAGCAAATGTAGAATGGATAAATGGATGTAAGTATCTTGTTTTAACCAGTAGCCCCAATATGGTTTTAATCAAGGATTACAAAAATTTTTTAAAATGTTTTTTGAGTTCCTGTTTTCTGAGATGCAGGTAAAGATAAACCCAACATTTATCTTTCTCTCAAGGAGTCTTTAATCTTGTAGTCATAAAATGTCTAAATATGTCACTGAAACAAGGTAGAAGTAATTAAGATAAAATAGGGGAAATAAACCTAAGGTGGGAATTTGAGGGTCAGCACTATCTCCTGCCGAGGGGGTTAGAAGAGGTTTTGTTGGGAAGGAGCAGATAGGATTTGAACATTTGGAGGTGGGGTTGTGTAGGAGGCTGTAGGCAGTAAAGATGTTTGTATAGGGAAAACCATGGTGTGCATAGCTGGATTGGAAAGTTGTTCTCCCCCTCACCCCCCGGAGTTAAGGCTCTTACGAAAGAGAATAGTGGGATATGAGGTTGGAAAGGTAGGTTTTGGAAAATTTTTACTTTTTTTAGATAGTAGAAAATTGAATATTTTTGAGAAGAGTTAGATTGTTTGAGAGACGCTCCTTTGCTTAGCGTCTATTAAGAGGAAAAACAATTCTCCCTGTATTTTGTCTTTTAAGTTCCTTGAAGTCAGATGTGTTTAGTTTCCTTCTTACATGTGGGGGTGGGAGGTGTGTGTGGGGGGAGGGGCATGTTTTGTGATCAAATGTAGCAATTTTTTCCAGCTGTTTCTTTCTTGATTTTTTTTTTTTTAAATGTTATGGTAGAACTGAGAAGATGTATTTATTCATGTCCACCTGAACGTGCCTCTTTGTCTCTGTAACCTTCTAAGCCTCTGGAGAGGCTCATGTCTCAGTCTTCCTCACTGTTGCTTGAATGTATTTCTAACATACAGCTTTTTGTAACTTCATTTCCAATCAGTTTTGCAGTTCCATCCTATTGTCCATGGGTTAAGGTCTCCTTTCCTTAGTATGAGGTAGGCACATTTCACTTTCTTGTTTCTGTGTGTTTTGTGCTTCTATTCTCTCCCTTCCTATAAAACCTGTAAATGTGGACATCTAGCTCCTAAAACACACCAGCTCTTCCACCTGACTCTGCCGTGGCCCATAGTGCTTTTGTTATTCTGCTTTCCAATCCTGGTCTTTTAAGACCTGGTTCTTGTAGGATCTCTGCTGGGAAGCTTTCCTGACCTTCTAGGCAACAATTGGGACATCTTCCCTTCTGCTCCCAGAGACTAGGTTCATATACAGGATCCCTTACTTTTTAACTGTTTAGATGTTCTTACTCAGCTAATGATGAGCACCTCATGGGCAGAATTTTCTTATTTCTGAGTTTCAGTGGTTATTATAACAGTATATAATAGATACTTACATGGTTATTTGAATGTATCTTTTAGGTGGATAGCTGGGTTTTTACAGAACATCCTAGAAATTATGAATTTATAAAATCACTAGATATAATTTTGTATATTATTAAAATTTTAAATTTTCATGTTTGTGAATTTTCTTAGGAGCATGGTAGTTGAGTAAATTTAGGTCTATTATCCTTTTTACCCTCTCTTTTATTTAAGAAGTATTTATACATTTTCTGTTTAGAACATAATAGTGCCCAGGATTCTGGGAAATATAAAAGGCGTATGAGACAATCTATCCAGTTAGTTACAAAGAGGATGAAGTATAAGCAAATGAACAACACAACTCTTTTGGTTGGACTTTAGTTGCTTCTCATTTTGATCTATTCATTTGATCAAGTTGTTCCCTTACCCTACCCTGCAAACTATGGGTGAGTACTTTCTTCTTTTGCTTTACTCTATAAACTGCACAGCTTTAAAAACTGTTAATCATAAAAGAGAATATTTGCTTATTGTGACAACAATGCAGGCATTTTCCCAGTATATTTCAATTTTGCAGCTTCTTCCACTCCATAACCACTGTGAGCATTTTATACTGAGGAAATCGGAGACCAAACTCCCATAATGGATTGTAGTGGGGTGTGATCCAATGATCCAAAGATTTTGTTTTATCCTCTCTACTATTTATTTTTTGCCTGTATTTAGCTGGTACTATTATTAATATGAAGAATAATCTAGAAAGTGAATTAGATTTTGTTCTGTTTATGTTTTTGAGCTTTTTACTAATATAAACAGATTACATTTATAGGCTAGCTTGTACATATGAAGAGGCAAGGTGGTGTTCTTCCAAAAATCAAGAAAAGAAAAAAAAGGAAGACAGACTTAAAGTGTAAATGTAACAGTGACACTTGAAAGTAGTACTCTGAACTGTGGAGGCAAATAATTGTGCGATTACCTGGAGGGATTGGAAAACAAATTGCCTAATTTTAAAGACTGGAACAGCTGGTGTTTTCTTGTCCCTCCTCCCCTTTTGTTGGTAAATGCCCAATGAAGTTTTGTTGTGGCTTTTCTTTTTACATAAACATAATCAACACAGTAAAGACGATAATGAACCAATGACTAAGAATATCAGTGGATTTTTTCTATCCGTTCAGATGTGCTGAACACATCTTCATCCTTCAATGAACCATCAAATAGAGGCTGGCAAATTAGAACATCCATGTTTGTTTAATCAGCTCCCCCACCCCCCAACTTTGAGCTGCCTTTAAATCTTTAAATCACAATTTGTTTTTTAGGTGAGAGTAAACATTTTCCAATACTAGAGGTATACTGAAGATCCAAAATAAAAACAAGTGGTCCTGTGTGACACCATATGACCTTTTTATTTAATTTTATTGTTCAGAAAGGAAGCATATAATGATAATCTATGTAAAGTATTTTAAGTGGTATGTTTAAAAACCTGAATTAAGGATTTCAGAAGAATTTGATTTGAATGTACCTTATAAATAGCATAAAGCATGAAACATTTGTAAATTTAAAAATAGTTGTTTAGTACTTTTAAGATTACGTTCATACAGTAAAATCCATAAATCTTAAGGATACCACTTGATAAATTATCAATGAGTAGACACACCCATGTAATCAGTATCTAGCTGTGGAAATAGAATAATGCCCATAAACTCAAATGTTTCAGTCACTACCCTTTCTCCTCTTCAAGACTGCTTCTCTCCTGGCTTCTAACACTACAAATTAGTTTTTTTTTTCTATTTTATAAATTTTTTTAAAACATTGTATTTTTTAGTTTTTTAACCATTAAAAAATTTTTACTGGACATCTAATACATATATAGAACATGTAAGTCATACTTTTTATACATATTAACAGTTTTTAATCTAATTAATATTTTTAATTTTAATTTTATTTCAACAGCTTTAGGGGTACAAGTGGTTTTTGGTTACATGTATGAATTGGATAGTGGTGAAGTCTGGGATTTGATGCACTTGTCACTTGGGTAGTGTACATTGTACCCAAAAGGTAATTTTTCATCCTCCAGTATTTATTATACCACGCTGTATGCCTTGTGTACACATAGCATAGCTCCAACTTATAAATGAGAACATGCAATATTTGATTTTCAATTCCTGAGTTACTTACATAGAATCATGGCCTCCAGATCCATCCAAGTTGCTGCAAGATATGATTTTGTTCTTTTTTTATAGCCAAGTAGTATTACAGTGTATGTGTATGTGTGTATATATATACATACACATGTGTACACACCAACACACCACATTTTCTTTATCCACTCACCAGTTGGTGGGCAGTTAGGTTGATTCCATGTCTTTGCAATTGCAGATTGTGCTGTGATAAACATACGTGTCCAGGTGTCTTTCTGATAAAGTGATTTGTGGAACTGCTGGATCGAATGGTACATCTGCTTTTAGTTCTTTGAGAAATCTCCCTACTGTTTTCCATGAAGGTTGTACTAATTTAAATCCCCACCAGCAGTGTATAAATGTTCCCTTTTCACCACATCCATGCCAACATCTGTTATTTTTTGGCTTTTTAATAACGATCATTCTAGCTGAGTAATGCAGTATCTCATTATGGTTTTAATTTGCATTTCCATGATGATTGGTGATGAGCAATTTTTCATTTTTTTTGTCCATTTATATCTTCTTTTGAGAAGTGTCAGAAATGTCTATTCATGTCATTTGCCCACTTTTTAAAGGAATTATCTGGTTTTTTTTTTTGCTGATTTGAGTTACTTTTAGATTCTGGATATTAATTCTTTGTCAGATGCATAATTTGCATATATTTTCTCCCATTTTGTAGGTTGTCTGTTTACACTGATGATTTCTTTTGTTATGCAGAAGCTTTTAAGTTTAATTAGGTTCCATTTATTTTTTGTTTTTTGTTGCATTTGCTTTTGGGGTCTCACTCATAAATTATTTGCCAGGGCCAATGTCCAGAAGAGTTTTTCCTAGGTTTTCATTTAGAATTTTAATGATTTCAGGTCTTAGATTAATTCTTTAGTCTATTTTAAGTTAATTTTTATATATTGTGAGTGATAGGGATCCAGTTTTATTCTTCTACATGTGGCTATCAAATTTTCTCAGCACTATTTATTGAATAAGGTGTCCTTTCTCCAATTTATGTTTTTGTATGCTTTGTTGATGATCAGTGGTTGTAAGTATTTGGCTTTATTCCTGCGTTCTCTATGCTGTTCCCTTGGTCTGTGTATCTCCTTTTATACCAATACCATGCTGTTTTGGTTACTATATCCCTGTCGTATAATTGGAAGTCAGATAACGTGATGCCTGCAGATTTGTTGTTTTTGCTCAGTATTGCTTTGGGTATTCAGGCTCTTTTTTGGTTCCATATAAATTTTAGGAATGCTTTTTCTAATTCTGTGAAGAATGGGATTGTTATCTCGATAGGAATTGCATTGAATCTGTAGATTGCTTTAGGTAGTATGGTCATTTTCATGATATTGATTCTTCCAATTCTGGAACATGAGATGTTATTTCCATTTGTGTCATCTGTGATTTCTTTAAGCAGTGTTTTCTTGTTCTCCCTGTAGAGATCTTTCATCTCCTTGGTTAAGTATATTCCTTGGTATTTTATTTTTTTGTAGCTGTTTTAAAAGGGATTGAGTTCTTGATTTGATTCTCAGCTTGGTTGTTGTTGGCATTTAGCAGTACTACTGATTTGTGTACATTGATTTTGTAACCTGAGGCTTTACTGAATTCATTGATTAGATCTAGGAGTCTTTTGGAGAAGTCTTTAGGGTTTTCTAGCTATAAGATCACATCATCAACAAACGGAGATAGTTTGACTTCCTCTTAATGCCCTTTATTTCTTTCTCTTGCCTGATTGCTCTGGCTAGGACTTCCAGTACGGTGTTGAATGGAAGTGGTGAAAGTGAGCATCCTTGCCTTGTTCAAGTTCTTAGGAGGAATGAAAAACTTGTTTTAATTGGGCAAAATTTATATAATATAAAATTTATCATTTTAAATTGCACAATTCAGTGGCATTTAATATCTTTACAGTGTTATGCAACTAGCACTACCATCTAGTTCCAGCACATTGTTGTCAACCCAAAAGGAAACTTCATATGGTTTAAGTAGTAACTCCCTATCTCTTCCCACTCCCCCAGATAGATTTGGCCAATAGAAGTCTCTTCAAGCTAGTTCCTTTGTCCTTTTTTGTCCCTATCATTCTTTGAATACTTCCTATTGTCTTGTACACTGTCTTCCAGGATCATCTGGTACTATTCTACACCCAGCCTTGGAGTCAGACATTTCTCCAAGGACCCCAAGTTCCTTGTAGTTCCTTTTAGTGGAGAATGTTATTTAGAATTCAAGATCTGGATGCTAGGTCTTTTAATGGTATATCTTCTAGGCCCTTATAGACAGAGCTAGGAAAAATAAAATAAAATAAAAATACACAAGTACATATGGGTGTATATTTACATGTATGTGATATGTGTATATGTACATGAGTATGTGTGTATATGAAATACATGTAGATCCATGTATAGAAAACACATATTTGTATACACATACCCATCTTTATTCTTCTTTTCATCTATCTATGTCTATGTATCTGTATCCCTCCAACTCTCCTTTCTCTGTCTCTATTGCTCGTTCTCTCTCCTCTCTCTCTTTTCTATATATATAGCTAGATAATATATTATAGCAGATTATATATAACATATAAAATAGATAATAGATAATATATGTATTTTATATATATTCAAAAACCTCAAGTTCATGTTGATAATCTTTAGTTAGAGTCTAACATTACAGGGTTCATTCTAGCCTTCCATATTTTCATACTCTTATTTCTCTGACATTATTGTTCATTTGAAATACAATTAGGTTTCTTGTGTTTGGATTTTTAGGATTTCCTTCCACTCTTTCTGATATTAATATTTCTCATTTCAAGTGTATGAAACATTAACATATTTCCAAAAGTCAGAACTATACAAGGAGGACTATACTAAAAAAGTCAGAACTTTACAAAAAATAACTATGCAAAAAATTGTCACTTAGTCTCTCATCCCCCTTTCTTCTCTGGAAATTTTCTCTCCTCATCTTTTCTACCATATTCCCATCCACCCCGAAGGTATGCGATTGTATTAGTTCCTTATTCCTTCCTGTGTCTTTTTGCACAAATGAAGAGATATGTGTATTTTTTCATTTCTTTCTTTCATAAACATAAGGTAATATACTGTAGATATTCTTTGGCATGTTTTCTAGTTACACATGCTTTCTAGGATATGATTTTATCAGCTCATAGAGATATTGTCTTTTTTTCTTATAATTGCATGCTACTCCATTATGTGGTCCATCATGGTTTGTTTAGTATTCTCTGGCTATGGGAGAAACATTAGACTGTTATCTGTATAGTATATCCTTTTTGAGGCTTAAGAGCTAAAAGAATACTTCAGTTCTGGTCATGGTAAGCAGGTAGAAGTGTTATAACACTGGAGTATTGCATTCAGCAGTTGAAGCAACACTTCTTAAATATGTAAAATAGTCTAAATAATCAACTCTCTTATTGAAGGCACTGGGCCAATGCAGGACAGCTTTTCCATTAGATTGGAGGTCGTGCTGGTTAAATATTGATGGATAATAAGAGAATGTTGTGTGTCAAATTTCTTCTGCTATGTCAAGTTAATTTCTAATTGTCTAAAATTAGTATTAGATCACTATAATTGTTCTTTATAGAGATATTTTAGAAGTGAAAAGGGGGGAAGTAGCATATTTTCTGTACTTTATCTTTTTTTTGGGTAAAATATAGTTGGTAATTTTAAGCTTTTTAATGTACTCTAAAACCAGCTTCCAAATTATAGGCAGAGTTTTTGGCACGTAATGATACTCATTAAATGTTTTTTTAAAAAGCCAAGTAACTCTTTAAGGGAATCCCTTGCTAAACTTTATTTTGTTGGTGAATGCACCTTTCTGCAATATTCTTCAGCTTTCATAGTTTCTACTATGTGTTTGCATAAAATTATCTGTGAATAACAGATTTTATTGGCACTGGAGATCTGTTTGTATATGTTCTGAAAATGAGTTATTCATACAGCAGTGACAGCTTAGTGTTTCTGTTGATCATTGACATTAGAGATGCTTGAAATCATTTGAAAAATGCAAGGAAATAGTCGCAATGCATTTTAATAGTAATATGCATGATAGTAATTTAGATTATAATTACCCTCTTGGCAGCAACTGTGCTTACCCTTGTTTTGTACTGCACTGACTCTGCTCTGCTCTTAAAATATTGTCCCTACCAGTGCAAACTATTTCTTTAAATAGTCTTGACATTTCATATCATCTCATTCTTCTTCACAAGTCTCATCACCTGAGTAGGTACTGGGAATTCAGCAATTGCAAAATCAAAGAAAAACTGAGGCAGTTAATTAATGGTTATTGACTTAAATAGAAACCTACAGGCATAGAGATAGATACATATACCCAGGCAAGAGTGCATTTAACTCTCTTATCACTATGAGAACGTAAGCTTTTTCACTATTTAGGCTTTATGTAGATAACAGTTTTCTGTTTTCTGTAATTTACTTGCTTAAAATTACAAAGTAAATGTTATGGAGAAGGATCTAGAATCTAGTAACTAACTTCACTTAAAAATTAAAGTTCAAACTATTCTTACAGTTCTCTGATATCTTAATATTTTAATCTCTAGAGGCTATATATTATGGGCCTTCATGTTAAAAAAAATACTGGTTTTCTCTACAGGTTTAAGTGTGATTTAAAGATTAAGCTATCACCAGCAGTTGAAGATGTTGCATGGGGAATTTTGGTATAGGCTACTATCTGGGAGAAATAAGGTATCATTTAGTGAGTTGGAAAACAGTCTACAGTGATTGGAGTAGTGTTTAAGAATATAATTTCTGACTCCTTTGATATCACAGGTATTCTAGGCAAACTTTTGCTTTAAGCAACTACCATATGTTAGATACTTCATTAGGCAGATAAAGAAGGTCATTGTCCTGATTGATATTGGCATTATGCTGTATCATCTTCTTTCAGAGTGTGTAGATATATCAGATTTAGTTTTTTTTTACATTTATTATTTTAAAAATCTGGTCATTAATAAATGGTAGATTCTTTATGGTTGTATAAAAACCATTCAGTTATTTCAAAAATCAACTGGTAACTAGAAATTCAATGTATTCTTATACATTGAATAAAGCAAACAATGAGATAGAATAGTGAGTGAACATACACTGAATAAGTGTTACACCTGAACTGAGATGAAATGTAGTCATTTAGGTAGGGGCAAAGTAATCTTTTCAAGACAGGTCAAAGGGGAGGGTTACTATTACCTGTAATAGTTACCTAGCAAAAGAAAGAGCATTTAGTTTTAGACGAACAGAAATGGTATGGGAAAGGGTATATTACTTTTTGTACCTTAGAATACATTTAATAAAGAATATGATAAGAGGAATCTATGTACTTTTCTTTCTATGCTGCATTTGGTATTTTAGAATAAAATTTGCTAAAGGATTTAAAAAGATTTAAAAATTATGTTGGATAAATATCCTTCTAATTTTTGTGATGTCAGGCAGACATCCTTATCTCACTAATATGTTTTGATACCACAGGGGATAAGGCTTTCTAAGTATTTTCATCTTCATGGCTAATGGACTTAAAGATATGCAGCCGTGAGTATCCTTTCCTTCCTCCCCGTACTTCCCTCTTCCTTTGAAGTTATGTAAAATGAAATACAAGAGCTGTTCTTAAAAGGAGTATTTCTGATTATTCTTGTAATATAATATTTTCCCCCTCAATTTCCTTTTTTTCTATACCTGTGTTTGGATAGTAATATAATAAAAGGTAGTTAATTGTGTTGAAAAATAGTCTCTCTGGTCTATTTCCTATTTCTTTAATTTAAGAGGTGTGTGTGACTTTTCTTCTTTCTTATTATTATTTCTTTTTTTTTTTTTTTTTTTTTAAGAGGGAGTCTGGCTCTGTCACCAGGCTGGAGTGCAGTGGCGCGATCTCAGCTCACTACAATCTCTGCCTCCCGGGTTCAAGTGATTCTCCTGCCTCAGCCTCCCAAGTAGCTGGGACTACAGATGGATCCTACCAAACCTGGCTAATTTTTGTATTTTTAGTAGAGACGGGGTTTCACTATGTTGGCCAGGCTGGTCTTGAACTCCTGACCTCAGGTGATCCGCCCGCCTTTGCTCTTTTCTTATTTTAACCTTAGTCTATGTATACCTTCCATTTTATTATAACTTCATTCATTCACTGAAAGCCATTCACTTTGCAAAGAATTGGTGTTACAGTGATGAATTAGGCAGATGCAGACACTGCCCTGTAGGGTGTATTCTAGTGGAGAAGATGGCATCACACAGAGATGCTGGCATGTATGACAGACTTCTTATACCTTGAAGACTGGGCTACCTAGTTGATTGCTTTTCCTTATGCTACTACCACCTCCATCATCCCTAATGATTTCATTATTCACATATGTGATCTGTCCAACATCCCACTTTCTCATTTACTTGACTTTATCACTCCTAGTGAACTTTGTTTTTTCACCCAATCTCAGTCACCTGGGACAGTAAAATACCACTTCTAAATATGATTTACAGACTTCCTTTCCTGTGCACTGTCTATCTTTCCTATTTACTTAGTGCCCTCACTTTAAGAATTTTGCAATCCCATTGGCAATTCTGACCCATTGACTTTACATGTTTCATGTTCCTCACCTCCCTGTTCCTGCCATGCCCTTACTTCTCTCCTTATATACTTAACACCCTCAGATCTTCACTCTCACACATACCATCAGTTTGTTTGCCTCATCGTTCATATAAACCCTGCCCTTGGTTAAACTAAATTGCCCCCTCCTCTGCATCTGCACCTCAGCACAGCATGCATCTGGGAGGAAGCAGGTAGCTGCTACACTGACTAGTGTTTTTTGAATGACCACAGTTAATAAGCAAGCCCTTAACAGTGCTCCGATATCCTACCACATGACCATTTTTATTGCAATTCTTTACTTCCTGAAAACAATTTCCTACCTTCAGCTCGGTGTTCTCACTTTTAGTTGATTATATGGCTGCTTTTTTCACTGAGAATGTTGATGTAATCAGAATAGAACTGCCATACCTCACTTTCTAATCATCAGATCTGACAAGGTACCAGAATCTGTTCCCTTAAACTCTGCTTTTGCTCTTTTTACAGTGATAAACTTTCCTTGCAGCTGTATAAGGTCAGTCTCTCCCCTTGTATAGTAGGGCACATCCTCTGTCATCTACTCAAGTGGTTTTTGTTTTCTTGTTTTTTTTTGAGACGGAGTTTCTTGTTGCCCAGGCTGGAGTGCAATGGTGTGATCTTAGCTTACTGCAACCTCTGCTTCCCAGGTTCAAGCAATTGTCCTGCCTCAGCCTCCCAAGTAGCTTGGATTACAGGCATGTGCCACCACGCCTGGCTAATTTTTGTATTTTTAATAGAGACAGGGTTTTGACATGTTGGCCAGGCTGGTCTCGAACTCCTGACCTCAGATGATCCACCCGTCTTAGCCTCCCAAAGTGTTGGGATTACAGGCGTGAGCCACCTTGTTTGGCTGCTTGTTTGTTTTTCTGAGCCTGTACCTACCTCCCTGCGTCATCAGTTTTGTTTCCTTTTCTTGGTCATTCTCATCAGCATGCAAACATTACCATATATATATATTTTTTTCCCACTCCCCCCAAATTATACCCCAGGATTCCCTCTAGCCACTGCCCCAGTTCTTTTTTCCCCTTTACAGAAAATCTCCTAAGAGTTGTCCATTCTTCTTGCTTTTCTTCTTGAATTTGTGATCAGGCTTATCCCTAATCCACCACTAAAACGGGTCTTTTCAAGGTCACAGTGATCAGTAGACAGTATTCATTTACTTGCTGAGAACAAAAACCTGGACATCATCTTCACAGTTTACTTTTTTCATTCTTATATCTAAACTACCAGCCTCCTGTCTGCTGTACATTGAAAATTTATTTTCATATTGAGGACATCTAATGTTTTCCATCACTGCATCTTATGCCAGGCTACCAACAACTCTTGACCAGACAATGCAGTAGTCTTCTAACTGACCTCCTTGTTTCACGTTGTTTCTGTCTGTTGCCACACAGTAGATAGAAAAATCCTTAAAAAATGTTTATTTCATCTTATACTTTCTATGCTCAGAACTCTCCAATACTTATCCATCCCACTCAGAATAAAACCTAAAGTCCTTACCATGGTTTATAAGATCCTATCAGGGGATGGCATACTTTTTCTTAAATGTCCACACAGTAAATATTTTAGACTTTGTCACATATGGTCTCAGTTGCATCTGCTGCTGCTGCTGCTTCTGATTTCTTCACTTCTTCCTCCTCCTCCTCCTCTTCATTCTCTTCCTCTTCTTTTTAACAAGCATTTGAAAATGTGAAAATTATTCTCAGCCCCAAGATCATACAAAAACATTTGACACTCAGGCTGTAGTTTTTCAGCTGCCTGCCTAGAGGATCGGAGCCCTGCCTTTTCTGTCTGTCCTTGTCATCTGTAACTCTTGTCGTGTTCACTGAGTCTTCTTACTGTCCTCTAAATATGCCAAGTTCATTCCTGCCACAAGGCTTTGTATTTTCTCTTCTGTTTGCTAGAAGTTCTTTTTCTCAGCTTTCCCATGTCCTCTCCTCTTCATTCTGGTCTCTGCACAAGTGATATTTTCTTTCCTTCTGTCTTTTCTTTTTTTGAGACACAGTTTTGCTCTGTTGCCTAGGCTGGAGTGCAGTGGCACGATCATGGCTCATGGCAACCTCAAACTCCTGGGCTCAAGTGATCTTCCAACCTCAGTCTCCTGAGTATCTAGATCTACTGGCATGCACCACCATGCTGGGTTAATTAAGAAAAATGTTTTTTGTAGAGATGGGGTCTCACTGTGTTGCCCAGTATGTTTTCAAACTCCTGGCCTCTAGCAATCTTCCTGCCCCAGCCTCCCAAGTTGCCGGAATTACAGGCATGAGCTACCATGCTTAGCCGCACAAGCGTTATTTTCTTAGAACAAAAGATATTATTTTCTCTAGAGGCTCTTAAATAGCTATTTCCCCTATCACTCACTCTCTTTATTCTATCTCCCCCATCTAAGTAGATGGTACCATGTTTTGGCATAGACTGAAGTCCTAGGACTCATCTTTGACTTTTACGTCACTCCTGTGTCTGCATCATGTAAACAGTACTTGGCACACAATAGGTGTTCAATATATCCTTTAAATAATAAGTAGTAATGAAAGTTATTTTAATACAGAGTAAGAGTTATGAAAAATGAATCCATAGACTGGGGGAAGGGACCCATTGCGTGGCTCACGAGAGGCCTTTTGTGGGAAGCCACTCTCAGCCCAGGTCTAACCAATGTTTAGGAGTAGGCCTGGGTAAGGGTTGTAGTAGTGGTGGTGAGGGTTTGGATAAGGGCGGAGGGTGTCAGAGGCAGGATTCTCAGGTGGGAATGCAGAATCCTTGAGGCAACAAATTGTTCAAGTTGGACAGTTCAATATGGCTGAAGTAATTATCGTTAGCTAGTGGATTTAGTCTGTCTTTCCCAGTGTTTATTGGTTAAATCTACTTGCTGCCCTATTTAAAATGTTGCCTCCTTTTAATCCTATCCTCCAGCCAAACACACCAAATTTAATAGCTCTGCTTCTGTGCCTGAATTGTAATGGTCCTAGAGAAAAGATTGACAGGTTAGTTTTGGTTTTTCATATAAATAGAACCATCCACTGTGTACTTTTTGTTTGGGCTACTTCAACCTAGCATAATTTTTTGATTCCTTTGTCTTGTTGCATTTATCAGTAGTGAATTCTTTTTATTGCTGCATAGTATTTCATTGTGTGGTTATACTATAATTTGTTGATGAATACTTGGGTTGTTCTCAGATTTTAACTATTAAGAATAAAGGTATTCCATACATCGTAGATTTTTTTCATTTTTTTCCTCCTGCTTAACACTTAACTGCAATTGCTGAGTAATATGGGCAATGTATATTTAACTTAAAAGAAACAAACATCTTCCAGGGTGATAGTATCATTTTATATGTCCACCAGTAGTGTAGAAGAGTTCCAGGAGTATCAAATTCTCACTACTCTAGTAACTGCAATTGCTGAGTAATATGGGCAATGTATATTTAACTTAAAAGAAACAAACATCTTCCAGGGTGATAGTATCATTTTATATGTCCACCAGTAGTGTAGAAGAGTTCCAGGAGTATCAAATTCTCACTACTCTAGTAACTGCAATTGCTGAGTAATATGGGCAATGTATATTTAACTTAAAAGAAACAAACATCTTCCAGGGTGATAGTATCATTTTATATGCCACCAGTAGTGTAGAAGAGTTCCAGGAGTATCAAATTCTCACTACTCTAGGAGACTACTATAGGGACTGTGTAGCACTCCCTCATTTGTTGTTCCAATTTGAATTCCTCTGCTGACAGGTGATCTTGAACATGTCCTCATGTGATTATTGGCCATTCACATATCTTCTGTTATGAAGTTTTTAATCTGTTTATTAATTTGTCTTATTACTATTGAGTTATAGGAGTTCTTTATTCTGAATACTAGTCCTTTATGAAATGTATCATTGGGAGAGGCAGTCTTCCATGGGTCCTGAGTTTCCCTACATCTACTTGCTGGCTATGCCAAGAATGCAAGGTTTGATTGCTCTTTACCCATCCCATTTTTCTGAGTTGCATTTGCAGTGAGTAGCCTGGAGAGGCGAGGTTTTGCCTCTCTCTGCACAATGAGCATGCCTATTACTGCTCACTATAAAAATGGTGAATCCCCCAAGCTTTGTGTTCTTCTCTTATGATGCAATCCACTGCATGTGCAGGCATTCACCATGGGCCCTGCATTGTCCCCGTGCGACTGGGTGGGTTAGGGACCCAACACATGCATAATGAAGTCCTTTGGCTCTAATCCAGGAGTCTTGTGTTTTCTGCCAGCATCTGTGAAATAGTAACAGGCTAACTTAGCTTGTAAGTTGAAATCTCAGACTCTATACAGTTGAAATCTCAGACACTATACAGTTCTTAACTGTATTGCAAATATTTTCTCCTGGTTTGTGCTTACCTTTCATTTCCTTACTGAAACTAATTTAATAAGAGACTTTTGAATTTAATGAGGTACAATATTTTAGTTTTATAGCTAGTACTCTTTGTGTCCTATTTAAGAAATCTTTGCCTTCTCCAAGGCAAGGAGGATTTTTACCTGTTTTCTTCTAGATGTTTTATAGTTTTAGCTTTTACTTTTAGGTCTAGGATCCAGGTTCACTTTCTTTCATATGAAAGTCCAATTGTTCTAGCACCATTTGTTGAAGAGATTCTTCTTCCCCCCATTGAATCATATTGACAACTTTCGTGAAAATCATTGATGATATAAGTTATATTTCTGGACTCTCTATTCCACTGATGCCTGTATCACTCTAATTTGATTACTATAGATTTATAGTTAATCTTGAAATCAGATAGTGTAAGCTCCCCAACTTTGTTCTTTATCACAATTGTTTTTCCTATTTTAGGTCTCCTTTATTTTCATATAAATTTTAGAATGTAGTTTTCAATTTCTACAAAACACTTGATGGGATTTTGACGGTAATCATTGATTGCATCTATGGATTTTTTTTTTCAGAAAATGTACTTAATGGATTTCTTAATAAAATTAATTCTTCTGTTCTGTGAGTATGGTATAACGTTTATTTTTGTAGGTTGTCCTCAGTTTCCACAAATGTGTTGTAGTTTTATCTATAGGTATTTCCTTTTTCTTTTTTTAAAATAATACTTTAATTTCTGGGATACAAGTGCAGAACGTGCAAGTTTGTTACATAGGTATACACGTGCCATGGTGATTTGCTGCACCTATCAACCCATCATTTACATTAGGTATTTGTCCTAATGCTATCCCTCTCTTAGCCCCCCAACCCCCCGAAAAGCCCCGGTATGTGAAGTTCCCCTCCCTATGTCCATGTGTTCTCGTTGTTCAACTCCAACTTATGAGTGAGAACATGTGGTGTTTGGTTTTCTGTTCTTGTTGTTAGTTTGCTGAGAATGATGGTTTCCAGCTTCATCTGTGTCCCTGCAAAGGACATGAACTCATTCTTTTTTTATGGCTGCATAGTATTCCATGGTGTATATGTGCCACATTTTCTTTATCCAGTCTATCATTGATGGGCATTTGGGTTGGTTCCAAGTCTTTGCTATTGTGAACAGTGCTGCAATAAACATACGTGTGCATGTGTCTTTATAGCAGCATGATTTATAATCCTTTGGGTGTATACCTAGTAATGGGATTGCTCGGTCAAATGGTATTTCTAGTTCTAGATCCCTGAGGAATCACCATACTGTCTTCCACAATGGTTGAACTATTTACACTCTCACCAACAGTGTAAAAGTGTTCCTATTTCTACACATCCTCTCCAGCATCTGTTGTTTCCTGACTTTTTAATGATCGCCATTGTAACTGGCGTGAGATGGTATCTCATTTTGGTTTTGATTTGCATTTCTCTAATGACCAGTGATGATGAGCTTTTTTTAATATGTCTTTTGGCCACATAAATGTCTTCCGTTGAAAAGTGTCTGTTTATATCCTTACAGTAATTGAGCATTTTATGATTGGGACATATAATATCCTATTCAGTGATAATAAAATGAACTAAAGCATTAAGATTTTTGGATGCCTGAACTCATCTCTTTAGGGATGTAGCTGTAAGGACTTTATAAAATGTGGATTCAGTTAGCTCTCATTTCATGGAATGGCATCTTTTGGTTCAATTGAGTTTACCTATTGCTATTCAGGAGTTGGAAGAGAAGAGGTTCCAATGTTTGAAGATAATTAAATCCTTATTTTTCATAATACAAATCAAAGGTAATAATGAATATTTAGAAATCTAAAAATATCAGGTACATTAGACATATTAAGCAACTATCAGAAGAAACTGTTAAAGGAATTAAGAATTATTGTCTTTGTGAGACAGGGCTAAGATGTAGGATAGGTGGTTTTTGTTTTTTATCTTTTAATATCACTTTTGTTCTTATCCACATGCACTTACTGGTTATTCTCATACTTAAAAAGTATTTGCTACATGGAGCTTACTTATTGTTGAAGAAAAAAATCTATTTATTCAGTTGTGGTTTATTTTGATCCTACCCAAATTGCAAGTTTTTCGGTAATAAATTTAGAATGGGCTGCAAGAGATCATCTAGTTAACCTCCACTGCTGTATTTTTGGATAAAAATATTGGCCTGACAGCACACACAGGAAACTTGAAAAATTTATGATATCAAGAAATTGTAAACAACCTACTTGCCCAAGAGCCAGGGACTAATTAAGTAAGTAATGCAATAGTCTGTAGGCAGGAAGAGGTCATATTCTTTATGGCTTATGTTTTGAATTGGAATATGTTCATGAAATATTGCTTAAAGATAATAGCCTATAGAACAATAGGTATCAAACGATGTTTTAAATAAGTAAAGTGTATTGTATTAGTTTTTTCTCGCGCTGCTAATAAGATGTACCTGAGACTGGGTAATTTATTTATTTTTATTTTTATTTTTTTTTTGAGACGGAGTTTCAATCTTGTTGCCCAGGCTGGAGTAAAATGGCATGATCTCTGCTCACCTCAACCTTCACCTCCCGGGTTCAAGCGATTCTCCTGCCTCAGCCTCCTGAATAGCTGGGATTATAGGCATGTGCCACCATGCTCAGCTAATTTTGTACTTTTAGTAGAGATGGGTTTCTCCATGTTGGTCACGCTGGTCTCGAACTCCCGCCCTCAGGTGATCCGCCCGCCTCAGCCTCCCAAAGTGCTGGGATTACAGGCATGAGCCACTGCACCCAGCTAAGACTGGGTAATTTATAAATAAAAAGGTTTAATGTACTCACAGTTTCACATGGCTGGGGAGGCCTCACAATCATGGCAGAAGGCAAAGGAAGAGCAAAGTCACATCTTACATGGCAGCAGGCAAGAAGTGCCAAGCGAAGGTGGGGGAAAAGCCCCTTTTAAAACCATCAGATCTCGTGAGAACTCACTGACTATCATGAGGACAGCATGGAGGTAACCGTCCTCATGATTCAGTTACCTCCTACTGGATCCCTCCCAAAACATAGGATTATAGAAACTACTATTCAAGATGGATTTGGGTGGGGACACAGCCAAACCATATCATATATGTTTTAAAATATAAATATATGCAAATATATTAATATTCTCTCTATATATGAGAAAAATGCTTTATGTAGAAATATATTAACAGTAGTTATTTTGAGGCACCTTTGTTCCTGTTGCTTTTCTGTGTTTTCTAAATTTTCTCTGTTGAACAATCAGTCCTTTGGTAATTCAGAGCAAAAAGAGACATCAATAAGTGCTCTGTTGGTACAAGTTGAATATGTTCTTTGAATGATATCAGTGACTGCGGTAAAAATAATCGGATGTTCATTTTCATAGCTTTCACCATTTCCCCTTTTATTTTCGGAGATTGTACCATTGAATTCTTCTTTATTAAATTACTACTTTGATAATGACATGAATAAAAATAACCCGTCTTTACAGTGCTAATTTGTTTTGCTTTATTGGGAATGTTGTTTTGAATAACATTATAGTAAATTAATAAAAACAAAAAACATGAAAAACACCGAATTTCGTACCACTTCACCTGATCTTCTTTTGAACTTACACAATTCATTTCCTGCCGTTGGATGGTGAATCTGTAATTCAAATAATATAATTCAGAACTTTATTGTTAGTTCACCATCCTCATCATTTCCTATCTAGGCTATATAGATACCTTCTCAACAGATCTCTCTGCTTCTGATCTCAGAGTAAAAGTCCAAGTTCTTTCAGTGGACTGTAAAACCTACAGTTCCCTCCATCACAGCATTTTTTTTTCCTGTATATGCATGGTTAGCTGTCTTATCTCCTTCAGACTTTTTATTTAAACACTCAAGTTTGAGGCCTTTGAAGTCTTCTCTGTGAGGCTTTCTTTGACCATCCTGTTTAAAATTGCATGTCTCATATGAAGCTACTTATTCTCTTTCCTGCTTTTATTCTTCTCTACAGCATTTATTATTTACAGTGCAATGCATTTTCGTTATTTTATGTATTGCCTGTTTCTCCCCATATGTAGTAAAGCTACATGTAGGTAGGAAGTTCAATCTCTTATTCTTCTTTCATCTCTGCTCTATTCTCAGTACTTAAAACAGTGCCCAGTATTTAGTAGGTACTTAATGTTTGTTGAATAATGAGTGAACTCTAACTCTTCTAATTCATATTTCACACTGGAGTGATCCTTCCAAAACTCCCCAGGAGAGCTAATTGCATAGTAGTGCTCTATCACTCCATGATCTGGCCTCTGTCTTCAGTTGCATATGTTTTTGTTTTTCTCTGCATGTGTACGTGTGTGTTATGTTTTGGTCTGGAAGTTAATTCCTTTCTCATTCTTTGCCTCCCTAATGCTTACTTACAAAAGAAAAACCAGGAAGATGTAGCCCTGTTTTGCAAGCTTCCCTGATCTGTTCTGCCAAGTTAGATGTTCTTTCTTTGAGTCTCTTGGTGCTGTGTTACAGGAACTAGACTGTAAAGAAAATTATTATTTTCTTGCTTGCATTTCTTCCAGACTTCGCTTTTTGTTAATCCATGTGTCTACAGTGCCTAGAACTAGGCTTATAGTGATAGTTGAATGAATTAATACCTAATAGCCTTTTCTACACTGCTCAGAATACTAATTTTAATAGGGTAGTTCTTGTATTGAGTTTTGAATTTTATTTTGTGTGTGCCTAAAAATATTACTGTATTTTAAGATATTTTCTATAGTATACAATTGTTCTCCATGTCATTTTACATTTGAGAAGGCAGTTATTTCAATTTGCACACCTTCTGATGTTATATTACTATCTTTTGTGGATACCACACATTATGAATTCATAGATTTTTGGGCAGAAGTAAGGAAATTATTTACCACCCTTGCCCAAATAGTGTTAATTATAGTAGTTATGTGCTGCTGTTAGGGAGATTAACTTGTTATTTTTTAATGGGTAATCTCCATGCAGTATTAATCAAAACATTTTTTGACTTATTTTATAGGGAAGTCTTAAGAGAAGCCGACAGATCTCACCTCAGGAATTCATTCATGAGCTGAAAATGGGGTCTGCAGATGAGAGACTTGTCACATGCCTGGAGTCTCTCCGAGTGTCTTTGACCAGCAATCCTGTGAGGTAATTCATCTATTTGAACACCAACAGGGCAGATGTCATTAATGTGTTCTTTTAGTTTAATACTTTTTTTCATTTTGCCTGGTAAACCTCAACAGTTTCTCAAAGTACAAACTGAATACCTAATATTTATATGCAGGAAGAAATATAGTCTCAATAGTACCTTTTGCATTTATTACTGAGTGGTACATTGCTCAGGGACTGTAAAAAAGCCTTTTGCCCACATAGAATTTTTAGAAACTTAAGGTGTTTTCTAAAAGACAATTGTCATGTGAGAAACTATTAATTTAATATGACTGAGTTTCACCCTGAATTTTGTCATTGTATATTTACTTGCTGATCTTATTTGACACAGTAAGAAATACCACTAATTAATTTTTTCTGTTGTTGGAAATGATGTCGTTGTAGGGGCCTATAGGTTAGTATTGCTATATTTACCAAATAAAAGTACAGAATGACCAGAAATATTCAATTCTAGACACACACACACTGTTTATCTGACGTCCAAATTTAAGTTTGTATCCTGTATTTTATCTGAAAACAATACCATAGGTGTTTCCATAAGTCAGTTTTGGAATGGGGCTAATTTTTGGTGCCTCTAAGAAATAGTTGTGAACAAAATTGAACAATCAGTGTAAATATATTTTGATAAACTGGACATATTTAAACTTGTCAGATTATTGCATGGTAGGAGACAGACTTGTTAAAAAAACAAAAATCAGGAAGATGTACCTGAAATATATCATGTATGTTAATTGTGGTGCTTAAAAAGAGAGATTTCAGTCTATTCAGAGGCCATTTGCTAACTCTGAATTAGGTAGGTGGCTAAACAAGAGTATTCTTGAAAAAATTCAAGCAGAAGTTGTTATGAAATACCTAAACAGTCAGAAACAGAGAATTTCAGAGCTACAAGGATTGTAGATCAGTTTTGGGTTTTTATTGTGTAAGAAATGAATGATTATTTCTGCATAAGAATATATGTATATGTAGTCATGTATCTATACGTGTGTGTGTGTGTTCTGAAGGCTAGAATTGCATACTATAATTGGAGGTTCATGATATGGAGAAGAATTTGCTCTGATTATTACTTTTTTGGACATTTCTGTGGCTAGGATATAGTATGCAGAAATCTTTGACCGTACATGTATTTAAAAGAAAACAACCTTACCTGCTGAGATGTGAGACTGAGTGAGATTTATCTAAGGAGTATGATGAGTCAACAAAGAAACTTTAGTATATTTCAACTTTATTTTTCCATATTTTGCCATTTCCAGTCTGTCCTCTAGACTGCAGACTAATGGTTGGCATGAGACTAGGGCTTCATATGTGTAATTTACCTCGCGTTACCAGACACGCTGTTTAGCATGTAGGAAATGCTCCATAAAGATTTGTTGATTGAAACAATGAGGTTTTAATTTTAGCCTTCTTTAGTCTTACCTTGGCTAGTGTTAGAAACTGAGAATGGATTGGGGAATTTATTTGACAGATATATTCATAAATGAAGAGCTTTGGTGTCCAGCTTAATCTTTGCCTGTAGAATATGTTCATTTAAAAATATATTTGTCCAGGTTCATTTAAAAATATATATTACAGGCTCAAGCCTGTAATCCCAGCACTTTGGGAGGTCGGGGCAGGTGGATCACTTGAGGTCGGGCATTCCAGACCAGCCTGGCTAACATGGCGAAACCCCGTCTCTACTAAAATTACAAAAATTAGCCAGGCATGGTGGCAGACGCCTGTAATCCCAGCTATTCAGGAGGCTGAGGCAGGAGAATCGCTTGAACCTAGGAGGTGGAGATTGCAGTGAGCTGGCATCGTGCCACTGCATTCCAGCTTGAGTGCGAGAGCGAAAAAAAAAATTATTGAGCACCTGCTGTTTTCCAGTAGTATGTTGGGTGTGGGGCTTGAATAAACAAAGCAGATTCACATCGTATTTCTATGGAGTTTAAACATAGAAAGGGTATTGGGGGTGTTGACTGGGGAGACAATTCACACTCATTTCTCAGTTTATCTGTCAGCTAGTGGGCACTGGAAATATTCATAGTTTTTCAATATAATGAGGAGTAGACCCTTTATTTACTACTACTATTATTCTCCTCTTCATCTACTCAAAAGTAGATGTCTGTGCTAACAAAAGAAAACAAAATAGAAGGTTTTTATATATGAATTCATGCATCTTACAATGGGTTATTATTGTGATTTTACCTAAAAACACTGGGAAATTATGCTGTGTCTTGTTCATTTGAACCTTATTTAAAGAAGAAAAACTAGAAACTGGTGGAATTCTTTCTCTAAGGATGGACAATTCTAGAATATGTTATTAGGAATCCATGATGTTATCCATGAAGTAGTTTTTTTTAATTGAAAAGAATAGAAAATATCATTGGAGAATTTTTTCTGAAATCATGCCACTTTATTTAGAGAGAAAATTGAGAAGATCCTTTTTTTTTTTTTTTTTTTTTTTTTGAGATGGAGTCTCACTCTTTTGCCCAGGCTGGAGGGCAGTGGTGCAATCTCAGATCACTGCAGCCTCCATCTCCCGAGTTCAAGCGATTCTCCTGCCTCAGCCTCCCGAGTAGCTGGGATTACAGGTGCGCACCTGGCTAATTTTTGTATTTTTAGTAGAGACAGGCCTCACCATATTGGCCAGGCTGGTCTTGAATTCCTGACCTCTAATGATCCACGTGCCTTGGCCTCCCAAAGTGCTGGGATTCCAGGTGTAAGCCACTGTGCCAGGCTCAAGAAGATACTTTTGAATATTTCTTTGTCCAGTGTTCCAATTAGAGAAATGACTTAGCTGGACATGTAAAACTTGGAAGTTATGCCTGTGATCAAATTTTTGGACTTTCCTGTTAGTTATGATATGCCTGCTCTTTGAATCAGTTTTTAATTTTTATACAGTATGTGACTAAAAAGAATTTCTAATTTTTCTTAAGTTTGAGATCATTGTTAGACCTGTAATATCATTAAGTAAATTAGAGTTAAAGTTTTTAAAATGTCTGAATAGAACAAAAAAGAAAATTGAACTGATTGATGGTTTTCCAATGCTGGTGTAGGTTCAGGATTTATTTAAATAAAAAATGAAGGAAGGCTGAGTACGGTGGCTCATACCTGTAGTCCTGGCACTTTGGGAGGCTGAGACGAGCGGATCACTTGAGGCCAGGAGTTTGAGACCAGTCTGGCCAACATGGTGAAACCCCGTCTCTACTAAAAATACAAAAATTATCTGGGCATGGTGATGCATGCCTGTACTCCCTGCCACTTGGGAAGCTGAAGCACGAGAATCCCTTGAACCTGGGAGGCAGAGGTTGCAGTGACCTGAGATCATGCCACTGCACTCCAGCCTGGACAATAGAGTGAGACTCTATCTCAAAAAAAAAAAGAGAAAGAAATCAAGGAAAAAGTAGACTCCTCTGTACTCCCAATTAGCTCTCCCCTCTTGGCTCTGGATATGTAATATTTTTAGAGCCACTCTTCAACTTCTGAAACTGCCTAGCAATTGTGAGCCATGTCAGCCTTTTACTCTCTATGAATTATGTGAAAATCAGTATGCTAAATACTAGATTATTTGCCTTGCTTTATGAAGATTTGATGTAGAGATCACAAACATCTTCTATTTGTTATTTATTGATTATCTAGTATTCTCGGTGACAGTTTTGAGCTAGTTCTGAACACCAGGGAAAAGACCAATTTCTTCAAATTATCAAATATTATTTTTAGTGGATCTTGACATAGTCAATAATTATGTTTGAATTATGGAATACATTTGGGTAGAAACATAAAAAGGTAGACAGCAACATCATTTTGATTGATATCAGCATTTATAGATCATACTCATCTATGCATATAGCAAATTAGTGATAGAAGGTATCTTTATTTTCTTAATTTGACGTGCCTGTCAAGGGTAAGATTTTTTGTCTCAAAATCTAGGCTTATCAGGTTTTTGTGTTTTGAAATTTTAGGCATTATTTTCCATTAATCATAGTTAAAATTTTCATTTTCAAATTAACAAGAATAATTTTCTCATAAAGTTATCTTTTTGTTAGATTTCTAAAGAGATTCTTAAGTTGATAACTATAATTTTGAGAAAATCATTTTGGAAAATTTTGCAGAAATGTATGTGTTTACGTGAAAACAAGTAAACAGCCTTTGAATGTCATTATTCCATTTAATAAGTGTCGTTTTTGGAATCCATTTTTTCTTCATTTCTGGGATTAAAAACACAAAGCAGGTGGAACATCTTGATTTCGGAGTTGATCTAGTTCATACCATAAGTCACATGTGTAAAGACAGAAAAACTTGTGACAAGCAGTGAGATCAGTGTACTCATTTTTATCAACATGATCTGAGGAAGTCTTTCAAGATCAGAAATTTGAAGTTGCTAATACTTTGACTTACTTTAAATTTTTAAATTAGATATTAAACATTTCCAAAAGACAATTTGTCATAACAATATAACATGCATCTCCTTGCCTACTAATGAGGCTGAGACATATAATATTGCCTATAGCTTTGAAGCTTCCTTTCATCCCTTTTTAATCCTATACCCTCATTCATTCCTAAACACCCCTTCCCCCTACTATTCTGTGGTAACCACTATCCTGAGTTTTGGGTTTATCATTCCTTTCTATTATAGTTTTAGTATATACATATTCCTAATTAACCTACTGTTTGGTTTTATATGTTTTTGAACTGTATGTTAACCAGTCATCTTCCATGCATTCTTCTGAGAGTTGTATTTCCTCTCAATATTGTTTCATAGATTTATCCATCTTGATGTGTGCAGCTGTTTACATTTTTCCCAACTAATCATTTTCATACCTTGTATTTTAGGAATATCTATTATAAATAGCATATGAATAATTTTTTTATCCCGTCTGATAATCTTTGTCTTTATCTGGTAGTTTTAACTTTTTGTATCAATTGTGAAAATATGTTGGAATTTATATCTGATGTTTCATTTTGAATTTTTAATTTATGCTACTTTTTCCAGGTTCATCATCCAAACTGCTCCTGCTCCTCCTCATTTCTTCTTTCTGCTTCTTCCTTTTCTATATTCATCCTTCCTCTTTATTCTCCTTAACTTCTTTTGGATTGATATTTAATTTCTTATTTTATTTTTCCTCATTTACTAATCTAATTCTAATCTTAGAAAAGAAATTTAACATGAACACACTTTAAAAAGAAATTTAACTTGCATGTACTTCAAAGGTACAAAAGTAAGCAATATCTCTTCTCTTGAACCAAAGAATACTTTAAAATCTTTTTTCACTTGTATGCTAGTTTTGAGTGAAATTTCAGTGTATCTGTTTTCTTTTAATAAGTTAGATTTTACTATTATTGAGTCATATTATAACTGTGTGTATATGTATATATGTTTCTACACACATCATTCTTTTTGATTTTTGTCCCCGCCCCCCAGATTATTTTACTTTTGCTTTAAGTATATTATTAAGATTCCTTAGTGAGAGTGTGATGGCAAAATTCTGTTTGAAAATATCTTTTTTAAAAATGATATTTAATCAGGTTGACCCACAATTTTTTTTTTGTTATTATACTTAACGTCTCAAAATATCTATTTGCCTTTGCTTTGGAAGGATAGCCTTCCTAGGGCATGCAATTGAGATGCAATTGAGGGTTTTAGATATCTATGCTTAAGGTGTTGTAGAGTTTCTTTTACGTGTCTGGGTGAGATTTCTTTCTTTTTTATTCTGATAGGGAATTTTCTTTGGCTTTTTGAATATGATGGGTATCTTTCTGTGAAAATTTTGCCATTGTTTTGTCAAGTATTGCCTTTTCCCCTCTAATTTTGTATATGTTAGACCATCTTGCTCTATACTTTATTATTTCCTATTCTATCATTAATACTTTGCATTTATTTGTCTCTCTCTACTCCATTCTGGATATGTTTTTTAGATTTGCATGGCATGTTTTAGAATTTTAGATTAACAAGTTATAAAAACTTATTAAAAATTCACCTTAGGTTAAAAAGTGTTTGATAATTAACGATATATTCAGATTCATTTTGATACTAGTAGTGATAATTTCTGAAAGGGGCAGGTGGAGTAAAGGTTTTATTGGGTGTATTTCTTTTCTCTTTTTCCTTTCCTTTGTTTTTCTTTCTCTCTTTTCTTCCTTTCTCTTTGATATTGATACCACGGAGGTAAGTAATGCAGGCAGCTCTGTTTTCTTTCCTGTTATTCAATATGGTAGCCACTAGCTGCCTGTGGCTATTTAAATTTAGTTAACTAAAAATGAATGAAAAAAAAACACAACAACATATTAATTGCTTGAGAGCCACATGTAGTTAGTGGCTACCATTTTGGACAATATATATATATAGGCCATTTCTGTCATTGTAAGCAATTCTATTAGACAGTGCTGCCTAAGGGGCCTTGGTTCTGCATATCCACTTCTTTGATATATTAACTACATTATTATTACATTCTCAATGTTATATTCCAGATGGTGAGACTATTATAAAGAAAATAAACACTGACAGATTGAAGATTGTTTTTTAAAATCTGCAAGGATGATTGGACATTAATCTCAAGAGAGTCCCAAGGGAATAGAAGAGTGATCTAAGGAGGTTTCCCTTCAGCAGAGAGTGCTGGCTTAGCAGGATGAGGCTAAGGGAGGGAGTGGGCTTTATACCAGGTATTAAGGAATAGAAAAGGAGAGGTGAAGTATGTCTGACAGGAAGTGCTATAGTTATGGTCCCTGGCAGTCATCGGTGTAACAGCCTGTAGCTGGAATGAGGGAATCAGCAATATAGTACATCATAGAAGTTGTAGAAACATCTCTGGTAAATTAAAAATATTAGCGGGATGCATTTTTTAAACAGAGTTTTCATTAGAGAGATGTGCCTACTTGTACCTCTTAAAGGCATTTTTTCAAGATTACTTTCCAATAAGAAGTCAAAAAGTATTAGGTAGGTTATTAATATTGTTCTTTATTGTTTTGACACTGCCATCTATCTTCAAATATGCCTTCTATTATTTCTTAATTGCCATTCAGAGTTTGTAATGTTTATGACAAGTAGCATTGCTTATTAAATAAATATTTGTTGAAAATACCTTCTAATTTTAAGTCATGTGGCTGTCCTTTCTAAAAGCATGTCAAATTGATGAAATATTAATGAAAAAATGTCGTGGAAGAAAGTAACTATTAATGTTTTCAAATAAGTACTAACTTTACATTTTCAAAGGACAAGCCATTACTTTCTCATGCTTTCACAGTCCTTCCAAACCTAGCACCATTTCTCTAAGAGACCTCTAGAAGACTGAATGTTCCCTAGGGGTAGGAGGCTGCTTCTTTTGTATACCGTCATTCATTCTATAGCTTTTTTTTGGTTTATAGATGTAGCAAAATGTTGTATAAATATTTGGTTTCAAAGTGTATCTGTATCTTAAAAGCTTTGGCTTTGAATACAGGGTTAACAGTAAACAAAGAGCACATGGAAAATTTATTAATTGCTTTTAACAGACACGTGTATTCTATAGATGGTAAATAAGAGCTACTCAGCTCAATTTATAGTTGACCTGAGAGGGCCTGGAATTGTAAAGTGCTCCAAATCTATTTTTTAAAGTTATATCTATATCTATATATGCTGTACATATATACATGGCGTATATACATATATATGGTATATATATCTGCCATATATATCTCCCAGTTTATTTAAAATATAGCTGTTTAAATGGCCAAGATTGACTTTTTAAAAAAAATTCTGTTAACATGTAAAGTGAGTCACAATGTGACACAGAATCCAAAATCTTCATTTTTAACGCAGTTTCATATAACTACGAGAGCTCATGTATGTCTAGATTAGTTAAATTCAACTACTCTATTAAAAAATAGATTTTGTACCCTATATTACTGATACTTAAGTATAACGGGGAGAAAATGTAACTAAAACCTAATTATTTGAGCTGGGCATGGTGGCACATGCCTGTAGTCCCGGTTACTTGGGAGGCTGAGGCAGGAGGATCTCTTGAGTCCAGGAATTCTGGGCTGTGGTACACTGTGCCAATCAGGTGTCCACACTAAGTTCAGCATCAATATGGTGACCTCCTGAGCACGGCAGATCACCAAATTGCCCAAGGAGAGGTGAACTGGCCCAGGTCAGAAACAGAGTAGATTAAACTCCCATGCTGAACAGTAGTGGGATTGTGCTTGTGAATAGCCACTGTACTCTAGCATGGGCAACACAGTGAGTCCCTGCCTCTTAAAGCAAAGCAAAACAAAACAAAACAAACCTAATTATTTGAAACTATCAGTTTACTGTTTAAAAGACAACAACAGAAGGTAGAGTGTTAAACCAAAACAATTTGGAAAAAAAAACTCATTAAACTTTACAGTTTCTTATGGATATAAAGGTAGAATATAATAAACTTTCTTTCTTTTTAATTGTTAATGCCTGTTTTCTGAGAATGTAAACCTTATGTGTTTATGGCTTTACAGCTATCAGTATGAAGTTATTAACTGAATATTTTGGTTTCTTTGGTTTCTGTTGAAAGATAAATATTTTCAATGAGAGAAATTATTAAACTGCAGATACTAAAGCCTCTAGTTATTAGTACTCTACATACAAAGAATCAGTATAGTTTATTCCTTAGATTAATTTTCTGGGCTTGTTATTATGTCTTAGAGTATTGCCAAGTCGGTTAAGTAAAAGATTTTTAAAATGATGATGTTTATCTTGGTATTCCCTTACATATCTATACATGAAGAAAGGCCTTAATACAAAGGAAGGCATCACATTGACAATAGAAGAAGTTTTAATTTTTATCATTCAGAAAACTTTTTAAGAGTAAAACTCCGTCAATTAGATTGATGATGGATTAATAGTTCTTTTATTAGAGGGGCAGTATATGTCTGAAAGGAACAGGTACAGTTTATTTCAGCTTCTTGTATATTAAATTTCATAAATAATAATTGATATAGTTTGGATATTTATTCTTGCTCAGATCTCCTGTTGAATTGTAATCCCCAGTGCTGAAGGTGGGGCCTGGTGGGAGGCGTTAGGCTCACGGGAGTAGATCCCAATGAGCTTGGTGCTGTCTTTGCAATAGTGAGTGAATTTTCATGAGATCTGGTCATTTAAAAGTGTATGTCACCTCTGCCCACACTCTCTTTCTTGCTCCTGGTCTCACCATGTGATGTGCCTGTTCCCCCTTCACCTTCCACCAAGCTTCCTAAGGCCGACCCAGAAGGCAAGCAGATGCTGGTGTCATGCTTCCTGTGCAGCCTGCAGAACCATGAGCCAATTAAACCTCTTTTCCTTAGAAATTACCCAGATGCAGATTTTTTTTTATAGAAATGCAAGAATTGCTTAATGCAGAAAATTGGTAAAAAAAAGAGTGGGGCATTTGCTGTAAAAATATCTGAAAATGTGGAAGGAACTTTGGTACTGGGTGATGGGCAGAGGTTGGAAGAATTTGGAGAGCTCAGAAGAATATGGGAAATAAGGGAAAGTTTGAAACTTCCTTGCGACTCATTAAATGATTGTGACCAAAATGCTGATAGTAATATGGACAGTGAAATCCATGCTGAAGAGGTCTCAGATGCAAATGAGGAACTTATTGGGAACCAGAGCAAAGGTCATGCATGGTATGCCTTAGCAAAGAATTTGGCTGCATTTTGCTTCTGCCCTTGGGATTTGTGGAAGGTTGAACTTCAGAGTGATTTAGGGTATCTGGTGGAAGAAATTTCTAAGCACCAAAGCATTCAAGATGTGGCCTGGTTTCTTGTAATTGCCTATGTTCCAATGTTGGAGCAAAGAAATTTATATTTGAACAGGAAGAAGAGCATAAAGGTTTGGAAAATTTGCAGCCTGCCCATGTGGCAAAGAAAAAGGTTTTTTCAGAGAGGAACTCAAGAAGGCTGTGGAGCAACTACTTGCTAGACAAATTTGCATAACTAAAAAGGAGCCAAGAGTTAATGTCTAAGACGATGAGGGAAAAACCTTGAAGACATTTCAGAGACCTTTGGCAGCCCCTCCCATCACTGGCCCAGAGGCCTCCTGGGGAAGAATAGTTTTGAGGGCCAGGCCTGGGACCCTGCTGCTCTGTGCAACCTTGAGACACTGCTCCCTGCTTCCCTGCCACTCCGGCTCCAGCTTTAGCTCAAAGTGGCCCTGGTACAGCTTGGGCCACAGCTCCAGAGAGTGCAAGCTGTAAGTCTTGGTGACTTCCATGTGGTGTTAAGCCTGTGGGTGCACAGAATGCAAGAGTTGAGGTTTGGTAGCCTCCGCCTAGATTTTAGAGGATATATGGAGAAAGCCTGGGTGTCCAGGTAGAACACTGCTGTAGGGGCTGGCAGAATCCTCACATAGAACCTCTGCTAAGGTAGTACCAAGGGGAAATGTGGGGTTGGACCACTTACAGAGTCCCCAGTGGGGCACTACCTAGTTGAGCTGTGAGAAGAGGGTCAGTGCTCTTCAGACCCAAGAATGGTAGATTGACCAGCAGCTTGCACCCTACACCTGGAAAAGCTATAGACACTCAATGCTGGCATCTGAGAGCAGCTGTGGGTGGTGCACGCTGCAAAGCCACAGGGGCAGAGCTACCTAAGGCCTTGGGAGCCCACCCCTTGTACCAATGTGGCCTGGATGTGGGACACAGAGTCAAGAAGATTATTTTGGAGCTTTAACATTTAATGACTGCAGGCCAGGTGCGGTGACTCACGCCTGGAAGGCCAAGGCGGTGGATCATGAGGTCAAGAGATTGAGACCATCTTGGCCAACGTGGTGAAACCCCGCCTCTACTAAAAATACAAAAATTAGCTGGGCATGGTGGCCTGTGCCTATAGTCCCAGCTACTCAGGAGGCTGAGGCAGGAGAATTGCTTGAACCTGGGAGACGGAGGTTGCAGTGAGCCAAGATCGTGCCACTGCACTCCAGCCTGGTGACAAAGCGAAAGACCCCATCTCAAAAAAAAAAAAAAAAAAAAAAAAAAAAGATTTAATGACTGCCCTACTGGGTTTCAAACTTGCTTAGGGCCTGTAGCCCCTTTGTTTTGGCTGATTTCTCCCATTTGGAATGGGAATGTTTACCTAATATCTGTACCCCCGTTGTATCTTGGAAGTAAATGACTTGTTTTTGATTTTACAGGCTTGTAAGTAAAAGGGACTCACCTTGTCTCAGATGAGACTTTGCACTTTGGACTTTAGAGTTAATGCTGGAATGAATTAAGACTTTGGGGGACTATTAGGAAGGCATGATCACATTTTGCAATTTGAAAAGGATATGATATTTGGGAGGGGCTTGGGGCAGACTGATACAGATTGGATATTTGTCCCCACCCAAATCTCATGGTGAATTGTAATCTCTAGTGCTGGAGGTGGGGCCTGGGGGAGGTGTTTGGATCATGGGTCAGATCCCTCATGGCTTGGTGCTGTCTTTGTGATAGTGAGTGAGTTCTTGTAAGATCTCATCATTTACAAGTTTGCCTCCCCACCCCCTCTCCAGCCAACACACACACTCTGGCTCTGGCCATGTGACATGCCTGCTACCCCTTCACCTTCTGCCATGATTAGAAGCTTCTTAAGGCCTTCCCAGAAGCAGAGGAGATGCTGGCGCCATACCTCCTGTACAACCTGCAGAACTGCGAGCCAATTAACCTCTTTTCTTTATAAATCATCAAGCCTCAGGCATTTCTTTATAGCAATGCAAGAATGGCCTAATACAATAATATGAAAGAAACACCCAAAAGAATGTTAGAGCCACTGATATCACCTGCAGTCCCTCTGCAGGGCTAAGTAGAAGTTTAGCGCATTTGAACAGAAGCCTGATAGAACTTTCTACAATGACAAAAATGGTCTATGTCTGTCTTGTTCATTACAGAAGCTACTTACCACATGTGGCTGTTGAGCACTTGAAATATTGCTAGTGTGATTAGGATTTAAATTCAGAATTTAAATAGCCACATGTGTCTAGAGGCTACCCTATTGGACAACACATCTTTAGAGATCAGAAAAACATTTCTTGTGCACTTGTTTTGAGCCTTTGTACTCTTGAGTCTATATGTGTGGCTGCTCTCTCCACTGTGCTATGAATTTCTGAGGAGGGGACCCGGTATTGTATCATTGTGAAGCCTTAATATGGGACTCAGGAGAGAAGATCAGAGTACATGTTAAATGGATTTGAATAGTAAAAACAGAATAAGGAGATTAATGCTTGAAATAAAGTAAAATACATGAGCCTGTACTGCTCATTTGCAAGACAGGAGAGCAGGTATTTCAAGTGTTTTTATGTATTCTCTGTTTGGAATACTAGATGAGGTGCAAGGATTTCTTTTCTTAAATTGTTGCGATTCCTTTTAGAGAGAAACATCTAACATGTGAAAGAATAAAGCTCTTAAGTTCCTAAGTATGTGACATGGATAACATGCCACTAAAATATAGCACAGGATTTTGTAATCTATATATGCAACAAGTATTCCAAGGGCTATGCTAGGTACCACAGTAAAAGAGAAGCATATAGGAGAGAGAAACCTAGAACACAAATAAATAAAACAAAAAGGTATAATCAGTTCAGTGAAGAAAAAATGAGGACTGAGAGTAATTAATGGAGAGGTTTTTTGATTTAGCTGATTATAGAAAGTCTTTCTGAGGTGGTGGAGTTTGACACCAAAGGACAAGGAACTAGTTTAGAGAAGAGTGGGCAGTAGTACTGAACATGAGGTGGAAAAACCGTGTGGCAGAGGGATGGAGAGAGGAGAGGATGGTGGAATCCAAAAGGCTGTCAGAGAAGGTGGGCAGTGGCCAGGCCATGCGGAAGGTCATGGCCATAAAGCTCGTGGTAGGGTTATTGGATTTTCATTCTGTGGAAGTGGAGTCTGTTGAAGAGTTTCAAGCAGGAGATGAGCTATTCTGGCTTAACTTTCTAAAAGGATCACTTTAACTGCCACAGGAAGTGTATTAGTGTGTTCTCAGGCTGCTATAAAGAACTGCCTGAGACCGGGTAATTTATAAAGGAAAGAGGTTTAATTGACCCACAGTTCTGCTTTACTGGGGAGGCCTCAGGAAACTTACAATCATGGCAGAAGGCAAAGGAGAAGCAGGCACCTTCTTCACAGGGTGGCAGGATGGAGTGAGTGGAAGCAGGGCAAATGCCAAATTCCCCTTATAAAGCCATCAGATCTTGTGAGAACTCACTCACTTTCAAGAGACTAGCATAGGGGAAACCACACCCATGATCCCATTACCTCCACCTGGTACTGCCCTTGACATGTGGGGATTATGGGGATTATAATTTGAGGTGAGATTTGGGTGGTGACAGAGACCCAAATCATATTAGGGAGAATTGATTGAAGGGAGGAGAGAGTGGACAAGAAGGTGTGAGATAGGAGGCTCTGGCAGTAGTCACATGAATTAGGAGGGTGGCTTGTATAAGGATTGTAGCAGTGGTGGGCCAAGGGGTGGGTGAATGTTGCAGATAAATTGGAGGTGGAAACTGTAGGACCTGTTGGTGGATTGGATGTAGGATGTGAATGAAAAGGAGGAATCGAGAATAACAGTTTTTTTTTTTACTTGAGCAAATAGGCAGATAGTAGTGCTGTTAATTGGGGTGGAGGAGGTTGTTACTTGTTCCGTGAATTTTGGAGAAGAAAAAAAATCCCCCCTTTTTTTTTTGAGACGGAGTCTTGCTCTGTCACCAGACTGGAGTGCAGTGGCACGATCTCAGCTCACTGCAACCTCCGCCTCCTGGGTTCAAGTGATTCTTCTGCCTCAGGCTCCTGAGTAGCTGGGACTACAGGCGCATGCCACCACACCTGGCTAATTTTTGTATTTTTAGTAGAGATGGGGTTTCACCATGTTGGCCAGGATGGTCTCGATCTCCTGACCTTGTGATCCGCCCACCTCGGCCTCCCAAAGTGCTGGAATTACAGGTGTGAGGCACCGTGCCCGGCCAAAAATATCCCTTTTTAACATGTTAAGTTTGACATGTTTAAAAGAGTATCACAATTTGAGACATCAAGCAAACCCCTAGATGTGTGAGTCTGGAGCTTACATATGTGGAGTGGAGATATTTAAGTCCTGAGAATGGATGCAATCCCAGTGTGGGCAGGTTGTATGGAGAAGGAAGCTAAAGATACAGGTGAGCGGTCAGAACAAGTTCTGAAGGACTCCGGGTTCAGAAAGTGTCCAGAAATAGGTGATCCAGAAAGGGAAGAGGAGGCAGAAACACAGACTGAGGAGTAGCCAGTGGGGAGGAGAACCCCAAATGCTGGTTTCTGGACCTAAAGGAAGAGTGTTTCAAAATAAGGGAGTGACAAACTGCATAGCGTGCTGCTATGAGGTGGGGCAAGATGATATTATTGGAACTGGCAAGAGGAAGGTTGTTGGCGTCCTTTTAGAAAATAGATTTTTTTGGAGTCTTGGTGGTAGAAGCCAGACTGAAATGAGATTGAGTGAATGGATGGCAAGAAGTGCTGACCATGCTTGTGATGAAATTTTTTGAGACCTTTTGCTATAAAAGAAAGGAGAGAAATGGGAACTAACTTGAGGGGTATCTGAGGTCAAGTGAATGGAACTTGGTGAACACATGGAGAAATCAAATCAGCGAGAGTTCAAAGAAGAAGGAAATGTGAATTGGCCTTGAAAGCTGAAATTGTTTCAGTTGTTACAAAGGCAGTTCTGTGGAGGGGAGCATTATGAGTGCATTGCCACACAAAAGTAGCAATGAAATTTATAGAATCAAGGGAAGATCATGGGTTTTAATAATTAGGACTGCTCTGACCAGCATTGGGTAGTAGTGACAAGTATTTAGGGTGGGGACAAGCGGTGAAAAGCCTGAAATGTGACCATAACGTCTTTTCCACATATATTGTTGGCAAATTAGTCTATATTTAAAATGAATAATTTAGTGCTTTCTTGAACTAATGATGTTTAATTTGATACTAAGAAACTACTTACTGGTACTGGTAGTGCCCTTTAGTTAAATATTAGTGTACTAATATTTAACACATTCCAAATAAGATATTTCCTTTTTTATAATATGTTCCTTTTAATAGTGGACTTAAGTTTTGATTAGAGCACATACCAGTATCTATGTTTTAAAATCCATACTTGTTTTACTGTTTTTTCATCTAAAGGTCAAGAACTCTTGTTTCTTGTGCTTTGTTTTTTTATCATTCCTGTTAACCTGGTTTTATTTTCATTTTATTTGGAATGCTTTCTCTAGATATTTTATGCCTTTCAGTATGTTATAGCCAAAAAGAAACTAGGAGAATACTACATTTATTACTGTGTTATCTTATCTGATATGAAAAGTGGGAATAAATGATTGTTTTTAAATATACAGTTTCTTTAAGAAGTATATTTCAAGAAAATATACATATTAGTGGTTGTATTTTGAAGGTTAGTAGATTTTACAATCTGAACATTATTTATAATAGTTCCTGAATTCCCAGCCTTGCTCTGTAATTTAGTGTAATTTGGGTGGATGGGCCATTGAATGGCATGTAGGTGTATGTTTGTCTTGCCCCACAGGGCATGCTAAGTGCTTTGTACTCCCTCCTAGAACTGTTCATTTTAAGTATTTAGTCACCTTGGTAAAGGTAGGTGAAAATGAAAGCTTAAAATAAGCTATAATTATATTCAGCATTGGTGATATATTACTCTGACAGAAGAATGTAAATTGGATCTAGATATTATACAGTATTAAAGCTGACCTTCCAAGTTTAAGGTACAAAATTTGTTAGTTTGTCACATGTGAGCAGTAATGTATTTTTTCTCCTTTTAAGAAGCTTTGTGTATTGATTTTAAACCATCTAGATTTGTGTTTCCCTAGGCATTCATGTAAGATTATTCTTTTGGGTAATTAAAAATATTTTTCTTATTACAAAAAAGATAAGATCATTATAGGACAATAAGAAAATATGCAAAAGCAAAATCAAGAAAAATGTATAATATTATCTACTTAAATAGACACTAACTTCTTGGAGGAGAGAGAGAGAGAGACACTTTGTCTACAGAGGAAGTCTTCCTGTCTAATACCGTTGGTTGGTTGGTTAAAAAAGTTGCTTAAAGCATGTAATAATCAAATAAATGATTCAAATATACCCCAAACATTTTTTTTTTCAATCTAAAGCATAAACATTTTTTTCTGTAGACATTTCATATGGAGCCCAGACCTTTTCTTGGAGTGGGCAAAGGCTGATTGCATAAAGCATACTCATAATGCGTTGTCTTCCTGATATTGGTGCTTTAAAGAAGAACAGGATCATAAAGGCTCTGGCAGAGCAATCTGAATGCAGAAGTATTCTTCTGCTAAAAAAATTTTTTTTGGTACTACGATTTCCCTTTAATATATAGTTGTGCCCACATTTACTTCTACAGCAATTTAAAAAGTAATCTATTTTTAGCTTTCCAAATCATTACGCTTAGTTTTCATAGAAAAAGTACCCCTTTCCCCAATTATGTGTTATCTGTTTATATAATATTAATTATATAAATACAATAGTAGGTACAACTGTCAGGAATGGATTTGGAAAGAAACCCAACTGGTTCTGGTGGGAGCAGTGTGTGGGGATGTATAAGAGAGTAGAACTCAAGCCTTGAATTAGCTGACTAGGTGGAGGATGATTAAGAATGTTTGTATAGCTACACATATGTACATACATTTCTTATATGTGAACAAAAACATTTAAGAATAATAATAGAAAATGCCTTATATACCATTTCTGCTTTTTAAACTTAAGATATATGAGCATCATTCCACTTCAAGATTGTAGGCATAGTTTTTTCTTTAAGTTTGGTTTTGTTCCTAGGCCCTAGCTAAGTGTGGTAGCCATCTTCATTGCTCCTCTAATATTCTCTGTTTATTTTTGTAATAGTGTTTATGGCACACAGTTTTTTTTTAAATTGTCCTCATCTCAGTCCTCCTACAAATTTCTTCCATCAACTCTTTAATCCCAAATTATGTTTTTTTCTTTGTTCTTACTACCCCTTTTCTGTTTTAATTCTTTTGCAATCAGGATTTCACTTCTACAGAATTATTTATAAATTGTTGTTGAATTCATTTCTTTATAGTTCTTTTTAGCCCTTATTTTCTTTGACCTCATTTTAGCACTTGACTCTTGACTCTTCTCTTTTTGAAACTTCTTCTTTCCTTTGGATTTGTTATGTCAGGTTTACTTGGTTCTCCTCTTACCACTGTCACTGCCTTTTTCTCATTTTCTTGGTGGGAGCTTCTGCCTGTTCTCACACTCTAACAGTGGATGTTTCAGACTTGTGTTTGAAAGATAGACTAAATCTACTATTTCCTTTTTTTTTTTTTTTTTGCTAAGCACAACTAGAAATACTGGACATTATATGTGAAACAAATATAAGAAGACAGGCTAGGAACCTTGAGATTTAAGAAACAATATGGCGGTGAGTTTGCTGGGTTGTCTTTCTGCCTTTTTGTCAGATTTGGAGGTGAAGAAGTCAGTAACCCAGAAGTGACAGTGGGCACAGAACAAAGAAGTCCCAACAAAAGCCTTCTCTCTGAAACCAAAGGACCACAAAAATGGCAGCAAACAAGACAGAAAATGTTGGCAATAACTGCTTTGTATTTCTGCTAAATATCGCAGAAAAAAATATGTGGCCCCATCCCCCACCACACTATCAAAAAGCAAAGTGGGTAGCCTGGATTTCTACCCACAGATGGCATTAATGAGGCATTCTTCCCCCTCCCCACTGGCATTATGTCCAAAGAAGCCAATAGAGTCAGGGCTTTCACAACCACCCAGTGATAACAGACGTCCACATCCCCCTTCCATGGTGCTATTGTAGGTTACATGGTGAGCATAATGAGGCAGTCCTCCTTCTCTCCATCAGGGAGTACCTAGATTCCCATCCATGTCAAGTGGTAACAAAGAATCTCTCTTGGACTTCTGTTTCCACCTTGCAGTAATGAGGTGGTGCTTTCTCTTCTTCCACTGGAGCTGTGTCATAGGAAGCTTACTGAAATAAGAGGTTTATATAAGATTTAGAATCTTATAACACGATATCCCAAATTTTCAGCCTTCAGTATAAAAAATATGGTCATACCAAGAAGCAGGAAAATCACAAACTGAATGAAAAAAGACAATAGATGACACACTGATATGACAGAGATGGTAGAATTATCTGACAAGAATCTTTTAAAAAGCAGTCATCATAAAAGTGTTACAATAGGCAAATAGGAATGTGCTGACAAAAGAAAAAAAATAGAAAGTCTCAGCAAAGAAATACAGGAAACTATTTCTTCTTTTAAAGAACCAAATGTAAATCTTAGAAGTGAAAAATACAATAACTGAAGTAAAAAGCTTACTGGAGGGCCTCAAAAGCGAAACATGAGGCTGAAAGGAGAGAATTAGTGAACTGGACTATAGAATGATAGAAAGTATATAGTCTGGACCACCAGGAAAAAATAGATTGGGAAAAAATACATACAGAGTCTCAGGGAATTATGGGTCTATAACCAAAGATCTAACATTCTTGTCATTGGAGACTTGAGAGGAGAAAGAGGACAGGATAAAAAAGTACATGAAGAAATAATGGCTGAATAGGGTGGGCACGGTGGCTCATGCCTGTAATCCCAGCACTTTGGGAGGCTGAGGCGGCTGGACCACCTGAAGTCAGGAGTTTGAGACCAGCCTGGCCAACATGGTGAAACCCCATCTCTACTAAAAATACAAAATTAGCTGGGCGTGGTGGCACGTGCCTGTAGTCCCAGCTACTTGGGAGGCTGAGGCAGGAGAATGGTGTGAACCCGGGAGGCGGAGGTTGCAATGAGCTGAGATTGTGCCATTGCACTCCAGCCTGGGCGACAGAGCGAGACTCTGTCTCAAAAAAAAAAAAAAAAAAAAAAAGGCTGAATAGTCCCCAAATTTGGCAAAAGACATAAACCTACCTAAACTGAATCACAAACAGGATAAACTCAAAGAAATTCACACACAGACATATCATAGTCAAATTCCTGAGAACTAGGCTGGGCACGGTGGCTCACGCCTGTAATCCCAGCACTTTGGGAGGCTGAGGCGGTTGGGTGTCTTGAGGTCAGGACTTCGAGACTAGCCTGGCCAAAATGGTGAAACCCTGTCTCTACTAAAAATACAAAAATTAGCCAGGCATGGTGGTGCGTGCCTGTAGTCCCAGCTACTCAGGAGGCTAAGGCAGGATAATTGCTTGAATCCAGGAGGCAGAGGTTGCAGTGAGCTGAGATTGCACCACTGCCCTCCAGTTTGGGAGACAGGGTAAGACTGTGTCTCAAAAAAAAAAAAAAGTTCTGAAAACCAAAGATAGATAAAAACATCTTGAAAGCAGTGCCCAAATTGCGAATTTCATGAACTAAACAAGATATATTACCAAGACATCAACAGGATAATAAGGGAATACTTTGAACAACTTTAAATATACAACTCAACAACTTAGATGAACTAGATCAGTTCTTTGAAAAACTACAACACACCCAATATGAAATAGATAATTTGGATGGCCCTCTGACTATTAAGATAATTAAGTTCCTTCTCCCCACCAAAAGATCTTCAGGTGCAGGTGATTTCACTGGAGAATTTTACCACAAACTTAAAGAAGAATTAATGCCAATTTTCCATAGTCTGTTCCAGAAAATAGCAGAGCAGACAGCAATTAATTTTTTTTTAAAATGAGGCTTGAATTACCTGATAGCAAAACCAGACCAATACAGTACCAAGATAGAACAAAACAAAACCAAAACCCTCAAACTTACAAACCAATGTTCATCATGAGTATAGATACAAAAATCCTTATATAGTGCATTATATTGACAAGCAAAAGAGGAAAAGTCACTTGATCATTTGAATCAATGCAGAAATAGCATTTGACAAAATTCAACACTTGTTCATAATGAAAACTCTCAGAAAAGTAGGAATAGAGGGTGAATTCAGTTGTGTCCCTAGAAAGATGTATTTACATTCTTAACACTCTGCAGAATGTGGCCCTTTTTGGAAACAGAGTCATTGCAGTGTAATTAATTAAGATGAGGTCATAAAGGAGTAGGGTAAAGTCTTGATCCAGTATGACTTGTGTCCTTAAAAGAAAAAGGCAGAGATACAGGAAGAGTCCCATCTGATGACTGGAAGGATTGGCAGCTTCCATCAGAAGCTAGGAACAGGCAGTGAAGGATTCTACCCAGAGTCCCAGGCAGCAGCCCTGCTGACACTTTGATTTTGAACACCTTGCTTCCAGAACTACAAGATAATATATTTGTGGTTTTAAACTCCTCAGTTTCCTGCAGCCCCAGGAAACTAATACAGAGGGGAACTTTCTTAACTTGGTAAAGAGATCTACAAAAATCCTATAGTTAATATTCTATTTACTGATGAAAGACTAAATGCTTTCCCTCTAAGATAGATTGAGAACAAGGCAAGGATGCCTGCTTTCAGGACGCTTGTTTTACACCATAGGGAAGTTCTAGGTAGAACACTGAAGCAAGAAAAGGAAATAAAGGCATGCAGGTCAGAAAGGTAGAAATAAAACTGTCCCTATTTGCAGATGACATGATTGTTTACATAGAGAATCTCAAGAAATCTATCAAAAACTCCTAGAACTTATCACTGAGTTCAGCAAGGTTGCAGCATTCAAGATAAAAATATAAAATTGTATTTCTATGTACTAGCAATGTACTTGTAGAAAATGAAATTAAAAACACAATACCATTCATAATTGCTCAAAAAATAATTGTAATTCTAATGAATTACCCATAGGACTTTTATGCTGAAAACTACAAAATAACGATGAAAGGAGTTAAAGAAGATCCAAATAAATGGAGACATCTAGTGTTTATGAATAAGAGACTCAACTCAATTTGCTTGTCCATTTGGGTTATTGGCAGAACCCAATTTCTTGTGGTTGTGGGATTAAGATTCTTACTTCTTTTCTAGCTGTTCAGTTGACGGCCATTCCCAGGTTTTTCAGTCCACCTACATTTTTTGGCTCTTCTTTGGCCTCCTTCATTTTCAAAACCAGTAAAGGCAAGATGAGTCCCTTTTATGCTCTTTTTTTTTTTTTTTTTTGAGACAGAGCCTTGCTCTGTTGCCCAGGCTGGAGTGCAGTGGGCAACCATCTTGCACTTGTTGTCTGGGCAAGATGGAGCCCAGGCACCATCTTGGCTCACTGCATTCTCTGCCTCCTGGGTTCAAGGGATTCTCCTGCCTCAGCCTCCCAAGTAGCTGGGATTACAGGCACTCACCACCACACCCGGCTATTTTTGTATTTTTAGTAGAAACGGGGTTTCTCCGTGTTGGCCAGGCTGATCTCAAACTCCTGGCCTCAAGTGATCCACCCACCTCAGCCTCCCAAAGTGTTGGGATTACAGGCGTGAGCCAGGGTGCCCATCCCTTTTTATGCTTTGACTCTCTTTCTTTCATCTCATCTCTCTAACCAAGCTGGGAAATTAAGAATTACATGATTAGATTGGAACCACCTGGATAAACTAGGGTAATTTTCCTATCTTAAAATCATCTGATTAGCAACCTTAATTCCATCTGCAATCTGAATTTCTCCTTTGCTACATGAGGTAATATATTCATATGTTCTGAGTTTAAGATGTGCAGATCTTTTGGTGGGCAAGGGTAGGATTACTCTCTTTACTACACATGCTTAGTCCTTTTATGCCCTCCCATTGCCCATGGCATTACATATGTGGTTTTTCAAGATCAAGCCCTTTCTTACCTGTTTGGTTTTATCTCTGATACAGCTTTCTCTGTTGCTCAGCACAGGCCATTTCTTTTACATTTAATGTCTTTGTGCATATGCCCTCCTGCTTAGAAAGAAAGACTCAGGTCAGACAGCAGATGCTTTGAAGTTCCCAAGAGAGGTAGATATTGTACCTTCTGTTCCCAGAGCACCATGAGTATAGCATTTATTGCATTATGGAAATAATTTTGTTCGACATTTGTTTCAACCACTGGTCTGTGATCTTTTCAAGGGCAGAGAACATATTTTATTCAGTTTTGTATTTCTCATACCTAGTGCAGTATCAAGAATACAGTGTGCCCTTTAATAAAGGCTGACTTGGCCAGGCATAGTGGCTTACACCTGTAATCCCAGCACTTTTGGAAGCTAAGGTGAGAGGATTTGCTTGAGGCCAGGAGTTTGGACTGGCCTGGGCAACGTAGTGAGACCCGATCTCTACAAAAGTTAAAATTAGCTGAATGTGGTGACACATGCTTGTAGTCCCAGTTACTAGGAAGGCTGAGGCAGGAGGATTGCTTGAGCCCAAGAGGTTGAGGTGGCAGTGAGACATGATTGTGTCACTGTACTCCAGCCTGGGCGACAGAGTAAGACCCTGTCTTTGGTTTTATTATCTTTGATTCAGTATGGGCAAATAACAGTTCTGAAATTGCAATTGAAGTTTCTAGCTTGAAGGTTGAGACAGGTTCAGTAATGGTGTGGAGATCTGTCATCTCTTTGTGTTTATTTCTGCATATATAAAGGCCACAAGCCTGGTTATCAGCAGACCTAAATATTATTTCTAAGTGACTATAACCTCTTATATGTAACAATAGAAGGGGACTTAGTTTCATTCTAAAATGATTTATTGAGTGCTCAGTCTATCCCATGCTGGAATAAATATGATATATAAGAAACGGTCCCTATACTCAAGGAGTATGCATCAGGTAAGATTGCTCTTATGATCTGGTATGTTTATTCCAGATCATAAGGGTAATAATTCCAAGATTAATTCCATTATAATTCATGATGCATTTGTCTTTCCCTTTCTACGAGCACATCTGGGAAGAAAGGTAATAACTTTAAACAAAACAAAGGAAGAGTAGGAGATCAGTCTTTGGGAAAAATACTTGAGAGCGCTTTGTTCCTTTTGGCCAGGAGGTAAATCTGAGACCTGATTGTTGCCTCTATTGCTCAATGAGGTGACTGACTGTATTTACTTCTGTATTAAAGCCAACAACATGTCAGAAACCACTTTACACACTTTCAGTTTCATCCTGTGTTTCTGGAAGTAGTAACTGAATTTCAAAGTCTAAGCTGCTTTTGAACATTTAAAGGCGGGTTAAACATTGTAATTCTGGGAACCTGTTCTCCCTCTCCCTCTGTTTTTTTTTTTTTTAATTTTTATTAAGTTTTATTACCTCTTCATCTCTTCTTTTCTCCTATATTGAGACCCCTACTAGGAAATGCTGAAGGGTAATATACTTAGAAGTTTTCCTTGAAGCAATTAGAAGAGTTTAATATTTCCTGTTACAGAATTTTAAGAGGTAGATTTAGTATTTAGCACACTACGGTTGCTGTTTTAAAGCAGTTTTTTTCTGATACAAATGTCATACTGATCTCTATGTCATTTCTATTCATGAAGAAGAAACGTGCATATTTATCCATGAATGCAGTTTATAGTTAAACCACATAATGCCTGATGGTACTGTGCTGACAGGCATAGAACAAATAGTGCAGATTTTAGTTCGTGGAAATTAATCATTTATAGATCAGTTGATAATTTTTTTCTAGGTTGCTTCTTACACTGATGATGAGAAATTTTTTCATTTTTGTAGAAAGCTATGGATCTCAATAAACCTCTGTCAAGACTACAGACCTGCCTACTCAATATCACTTTTTATCTTGAACATCTTTTCCAGTGGAAATAGGAAGTGATATTCATACCCCTATCTTTAAAAATAATATTGCTGAAAATAGTAGGGGTGAGGGTGAAACACTTGAGATTATTGCTTTGTGAGTGACACCTGTTAATACAACAGTATGTTGAGTTTGCAAATTTTTAAGAAAACAGGGAGATGTTTTATGCATATTTAATTTTTAATCTTTTTAGTAAGTACTTTTGTTAGCTTTCTTTTAATTCTTATATTGTTTCTTTGGTTGTCAGGTGTCTCAGTTTTCTTTCCCTGTACCCTGTCCCACTTTTCTTGTTTTTGACATGTTTTATGAGATATAATGTATAATCTGGTTTTCAGAAGGCCATTGCCCAACTCTCATTTTATTGTTGTTGAGAAATTCCCACAGTGACTTAAAAGATTGTAATAGATGAAGTGATTTGGTTTAATGCCTCTTTACACGGAACTTTAATAAGTTTTGTTTTATAGAGAATTAGTTTATATATAAAATACATGAGTAGGCATAAATTCTATTTGAATAGTTCATATTCTGTAGTTTAGAAGAGAGTTATATAGTGGGTCTAGAAATAGTTGACTTTAGACCATCTATGAGTCACACTATTCTAGTTATAATTATGTTAAAGGTAATACATTTTAAATAGCTATTTTTTATTATTAATTATGTAGATCAGAGAACTTACTGATTTACATGGATTTGTGTTTCTTAAATTTTATAGTGGGTCATAATATAAGCATATTAAGTGTAACAAAGTCTTTTTGTTATATTAACATAATTTAAAATTACTTTGCCTATTTTGGTGTGAGGCAGTTTGATGAACAGTGATTTTATTCTTCACAATGATTAAAGGTGATAGCAGTATGAATAATCTGAAACCATTTATATTGGCTTTAGAATATCTTTGTGGCTATACTTTTGAATATGGATATTGTTGAAAACTTACTTCAAACAAAATATTGAAGGCCCTCTGTGAAGTATTAAAGAGGAGTGCCTTATGAACAGTCTCTCTCCATGCATCTCAATGTCAGCCCAAGTAAAACTCTCAGATTTCTCCTCACTTCCCTGCTGCATGTGAAATAGGAATAAATTCAGAATAGGATGTCAACAAGGCAAACAGTTAAGTGAGATGCTGTAGTTGTTTTCATGAAACATAAAAACAAGATTCAAAATGCCTACAGATAATCTGTGTGTCGCTGATAGTGAAGAGTAAACCCTTCACTTTTGAAGTAGCAGCCTGGTTTGAAAACAACCTCTGTTTAACTTTTTTCCTTACCTTAACTATAATAGCAATCTTCAGTCTTTTACAAGAGAGTATCTTTCCTGTTTAAGTGCATTTTAAAAATTAGTTATTTCATGGCTTTCACTGGCAAGAGATGAGTAAAATATTGTCTGACAAGAGATTGCCAGTCTAAATGGCAAATTTCTTTTTCTTTTTTGTAAAATCAGAAATCCTCAACATTGATAGGTGTCAAGTTGTATTTACAGAAATATGCAAATGAAGAAGCTGGATTTTACTCAATATTTGTATTTTTTATATAAATATGTTGCATTTGGTTTTTATTCTCTTTTCACTGGAAATGTTGTATCTTAAGAAAAAATGATATTTTGGTATTTTCTGATATATGACTTAAGCTTGTTTTTATTCTTTATAGTGTTCTGTTTTTCATTCCTTGAATTTTTTTTTTTTTTTGTGATGGAGTTTTGCTCTTGTTGCCCAGGCTGGAGTACGATGGCGCGATCTCGGCTCACTGCAACCTCTGCCTCCTGGGTTGAAGTGATTCTCCTGCCTTAGCCTCTCCGAGTAGCTGGGATTATAGGCATGCACCACCACCCCTGGCTAATTTCGTATTTTTAGTAGAGATGGGGTTTCACCATGTTGGTCAGGCTGGTCTCGAACTCCTGACCTCAGGTGATCTACCCGCCTCTGCCTCCCAAAGTGCTGGGATTACAGGCAGGAGCCACCACGCCTGGCCGAAATTTTGTTTTTAACATCTTACTGTTCAAACAGTACACATACACATATATAAAATCACATATATAAGTACAGGCATACAAATAAATATACACACATATATCTTTTCTTTCCTTCATTCTTTTGGTGACAGATTATTATCATTGTTATTATTTATTGGCCTAGGTTTACTAATCTCCACTGAGAAAAGGTATTCATTTCTAGCGAGGTAGTTTTCATGTAATCCAGGCAAGCTGTTGTCTAGTGACAGTAATGTTCTAGTTATGTAAAGGCCTGTGATTGGGTCAGTGGGTTTATGGGACAGGTTTGGTTTGGTGAACATGGAGATAACTCATTTAAAACCCAGTGATGCAGTTTGTTTGTTTGTTTGTTTGTTTTTAAAGCAACTGAACTTTGAAACTTAGGAAATTCTTAACATTTGTAGGAATGTATTTCAGTGGTTTGGGGAATTCTGCTAAAGCATCTCTTTTTTTTAATTAATTTTTGCCAGTAATCTTTTTCTTTATGTTGATCTACATCTTTCCTCCATAGATCTTTACTCACTTGTACAATTTGTCTTCTTTGGCATAGCCCCAAATGGGCTGTAATTAGTGGTATGCTGGTAAATGTTTAGAGCCAGCTCTGGGTGCGTGGGTGGGGGAGGCTCTGATTGGTTTGCCAGTTTCTTTGGTGTGAATACTTTCACTGTGGCTGATTTCAAGCTACCCACGTGATGTCCCTAAACATGAACCATGGAAGAGATGGGCACAGTCTGCTCTTACAAGCCTGTGCAAGCGGAGTTTAGCACACTATTGGCATATCCATCTTTGCTTCTTTCACAACTAAGATGAGTCATGAATAATTTTTATATATGGTGTTATTCTTATGTTTTAGTTACGATTAGGAATATAGCAAATATAAAATACTTGTAGGTATATAATATGATAACACAAGCTGCGTTACTGACAATGTGTAACTGTCTTTTTTCTGTTTTTCAGTTGGGTGGAAAGCTTTGGACATGAAGGGCTTGGATTATTATTAGACATTTTGGAAAAACTGATTAGTGGAAAAATGTAAGTATTGCTAATAATTATTTTCAAGTAAGCATCATTCATATGTCCAATTATAATTCCAACACTGCTATTTTTTATGTCAATACAGCCAAGAAAAAGTTGTAAAGAAAAATCAACATAAAGTCATACAGTGTCTAAAAGCCCTGATGAATACGCAGGTATGTACATACGTAATTAGTATTTGTCCGTCACCAATTTTGTAATATATGATTTTCAGTTGCAGTAAAGTGATGGTAAATTGTTCTGATGTGTTTTTTAGTACATGATGGAAAAATATTGAATTTTATTGAATTCTAGTTTCAACTGTCTTGCAATAGGAGAAACTTGATAATGAATAAACCTCTTCTGGTGCTGAACTCCTCATGTATAGGTTAATTATCTCTCCCCACCCTTTCCTCCCTCTCAACCCTGCCCACCCCAACCCCATCTTCTTTCTTTTTTTCTCTCCACCCACCACCCTTTCTCTGCTTTTTTGTCCTACTCTTCCTCTTTTCTTCCTTCCTTCATTTCCTCCCTCTCCTAACTCTCAAAAGTACGGCGTGAGTCAGCTTTAAGATCATGATTATTAAATGTGAGCTGCAATAATACTTATTACCAAAGGTTCAAGTTAGGAAGATTTCTTATATTCTAGGAATTTAAAATCTACAATGAAATTAATGTAAACAGATATAAGCAGGTCTCAGAAATAGAGCAATGAGGCTTAACCCAAGTAATATTGAGAATAAACGTAATATGGAGGAATTTGCATAGTTAAAGAGGTTACATTAGAAGGGAGAAACCTGCTTGTGGCTCTCACCTATAATCTTACCGCTTTGGGATGCCGAGGCAGGAGGGATTGCTTGAGGCTAGGAGTTTGAGACCAGCCTGGGCAACATAGTGAGACGCCATCTCTACAAAAAGTAAAACAAATAGCTGGGCATGGCGGCACATGCCTGCAGTCCCAGCTACTCAGGAGGCTGAGATGAAAGGGTGGCTTGAGCCCAGGAGTTTGAGGTTATAGTGAACTGTGATCGAATCACTGCACTCCAGCCTGGGAGACAAAGTGAATCCCTGTCCTTAAACAAAACAAAACAAAACAAAACAAAACAAAACAAAACAAAAAAACTAGAAAAAAAGAGGAATTCTTAAGCTCTTTACTGAAGTTAGATTTTAGGTTTATCTAGCAATGTTTCTTTTTTGCTTTTATACTGTTAACTGTAGAAATTAGCATTATCCTATGCTGTTTCTTTAAGCTCCAGCATCTAAACACATTTACCTCATGATGTGTGAAGTGATGATAGGTGTTTAAGTTGCTGTTAGACAGCAGGGGGGGAAATTTTACCTGTGGTGGTACGATTATTTTTGTTTTATAGCAAAAGCATCTGTATATTTCTGATTAATTTTAATTATAATATTTTGCCTTATTCTAATTTAAAAACAAACTTTTATAGGGCTACACACTTAAGTACTAGTACGTAAATTATTGATTTATTTTATATTTATTTTACTACATGTATTAGCAAATATTTATATTTTCTAATTATTTTTGTCTTGTTAAACTGTGTATTTTTAAGCATTTTCTGGAGCTAAGCTTTCTATTTTTAACCAATGAAATATTTTTTCTTCCTTGCCTCCTCTAAACAGATATTATTTTCAAAGAAAATATGTGATGTAGGAATCACAACTCCTTTCTATGCTGAATTCACGGTTCTTTGAAAATCAGATATTAGATATATAAGGTAGCTTTTTACATATCTGTTTTAAGAGTAAATGAATGAAAGAATCAAATTGCTGATAGGGAGAGGTCTTTGCCCACTAAGTACATAGAACTGGTTTAGGAAGCCCTTTTTAAAGTGAGAATATAGAAATTGGAAATTTCATTGGTGATGGAAAAGCCAAAAGTAGAAAAAATCTAGGAACTTTTTTTAAACCAAAGGGACATTTGGATCATAATTTGAATTTAAGAAGAATATCATGGTTAAATTAAGGTGGTAAATAGAAGATAATATTCTTACTTTGTTTCATAATGAATCTGAGGAAGATTGAACTTTATTTTCTAATTAATATACTATTTTTCTCTTAAGAGATTTTTGTTGCTTGTAGTTTATATACATGGAGCTATAAAATATTGCCATTTTATTTGGTGCTTTTATCTGTGTTATTAAGAATAAAAAGTTAATTTAAGTTATTGTTACTTAGTATTATAGTGTCTGAACTCTAAACCTAGCAATATGTGAAATTTTTGGTGAAGTTTTTTTTCCCTTCAAGATTGGTTAATGGTTGTCTTAATCTTTATTTGATCACATCTATAAGTACAAAATTTGTTAAACCTCACTTATACAGTCTTTATTAGCATTCATTGAATGGTGAAAATATAAGTTTTAAGAGGAAAAAAATGTGGTACCTTATTTGGTACTAGTAATTAATTATACAATTAATGGGCAAATTTGATAACATTACATGAAAGTGAATTTCTTATAACATTAAATTGGACTAAGAGTATTTTTTAAATGGAAGAGAATTTTAATTGCGTAGGGGAAAGAAAAGATAATAAGGATGAAAAGTTAGTATATTCAAATTGAAAGGTAATTAGAACAGAGACTTCAGTTTGGTCAGTTAACTGTGTGTGTTGCTTTGAAGAGTGCACCCAAGGTGCGGGTGCTTTGCTTCTGAAGCCAGCAACTTTAACCACATTATTTCTGCTACTGGGATTAACTCACTGTGGGTGGCTGCTCAGCACTAGTAGTCATGCTGTGTGCGTCCAGATGTTGGGCGTCCTACACGAGGATTTAGAGCATTAACTTTCCTCTACCTAAAACATCATCTTCAGTGCCTGAAATTCCATCTATTAGCTAATAATAGGCCTCATGTGGAATGCAGGCGGAACCTGGCATTGATCCTCAGTTTAGAACAGGCCAGTTACCATATTGTCCGGAGTGGGTCCTTGACATTCAGGAAAGATACATCCTTAGACCTTTCAAAATTTGTCATGCCTCTCTAACCTAAAACAGCCCTCATTAAATGCACTTTAATCCGAGCACTGGTAAGTTGACAACTTCTCACACAGAGTCAACAGTTTTTGTTTTGTTTTGCTATGTTTTTTAAATAATTGAGAGTAATTTATACAAGTAGCAATTCTGTATTTATAGATACTGAGTAGTAGTAATTGGCCTCATTCCAGTCTTAAAATGAGTGTGACACATTTTTGCATTACCAAAATCAGAGAACGTTACCTGTGATGGACTTTTGGGGTCACAGGATGATGGTTAAAACTGTGAAATCAGAGTATGCTCCTATTTCACCTTTCATACATGATAGGTTAGGGCCAGAGGGTTTGGCAGAGAAGGCAGGTAGTATCACTTGGAGGAAGTCAGCATGAGTCACCTTGGGTGGCTGGAGGAGTCACAGGATTCTGATTCTAGAAGGGCAGGTGTTAGCTAAGGACAACCAGGTAGGTGGGAAAAGAAGGGGAAATGCTAGAGGCAAGCTTTACTCAATTCCCAGATTTATTAGGACAGAGCCAGCTCTTGTGTACTTGGTAATCATTGACTGACTTTCTGAATTGAATCTAAGTGGTACTTTATAAACCTGACAATTCCCTGGAATGATTAGCAAGGCATATTGTAGTTTCTGGTCCTGTGCCTGCCTTTTCATTCTTTTTCCAGTTAGGTAATAGCCCAGGCTATCATAAAAGTAAGTATTTCCTGACTGTTTAGCTGTCTTGTTGTAAACTTTTCCCTATTACTAACAAGACAGAGTAATCTCTCCAAAATTCATATTCTTGGGCCCTTGGCCTTTCCTCATACTTTCTCCATTGTTCCTGTGTTTCTCAGATAGTGGTTTAAAGTAAATGGAGTATTTCAGCCCAGTACAAGGTTTCTTTGCATAAATGGCCATATACAAGATAGGAAAGTTATAAATAGGATTTTATCACAATCAAAGTACTTGGGTCTAAGCTGGTTATAGATTCAACTTCAATGCTTACATGTAGTGCTGATTTTGAGTTTAGTTCATAGGCTTGTAATTGGGAATAAGGCCCTTTTTTAGTGTTTGGTAGTAACTCTGATTAGTCAGTTCTCATGCTTTAGTAGGATCCTCTGAGATGCATGCTAGATAAATAGTACTGTTTTATTGTTTCTATTCATCTTCTGTATTTTGACAGTTATCTTTCATAGATACATCATTAACATAACTTATCTTCTAATTGGATTTGACTTCCTGGCAGTAGTAAATAAACTTTATCCTAATCCCAATCGTCTCATTTATAGAATGAGTTTACAACTGCATTGTTTTCCTTATAATAAATACCATTGTGATTAGAATACCTGTGCCCATTGTGGCAGTTTCTACATGGTATCTGCTCAAATCATCCTTCAGTTTTTGCTTATTTATGAACTAAGTGCTAATATCTAGGCCTGTATTTTGTAATATGGTAGCTACATGTGGCTTCTGAGCATTTGAAGTGTGGCTAGTCTGAATTGAGATGTGCTACAGTATAAAATACACACTGGATTTCAACTATTTAGGAAGAAAAAGAAGTGAAATGTCATCAATAAATGTTTTATATTGGTTATATGTTGAAATGGTAATATTTGGGGTATATTGGATTAATTTTATTGAAAATAGTTTTGCTTGCTTGAAATTTTTAAATTACTCATGTGGTTTACATTATATTTCTCTTGGACAGTGTTGATCTGTGTGTTTGCTTATGATAATATATCTCTTACCAACCTTCCTTCCCAGGAAAAAGATTTTCATGGCCTCAGTGTCTGGTTCCGTATCTGGCTGTTTGTTTCATATGCTTCTGTTGGCAAATCCCATGTTTCTGACTGCTTCCCACTTTCTCAATTTGGCTACTTAACCTGTCTTAATAATTGTCAGCTGTATTGTTGTAAGATCACCTTGAGTTATCTTTATTTGGTTTAGTTTTGTGGTTCTTGACATAAAGTGAATACCCTTATGAACTTTTTATTTTATTTTTTTTTTGAGACGGAGTTTTGCTCTTGTTGCCCAGGCTGGAGTGCAATGGCGTGATCTTGGCTTACTGCAATGTCCACCTCTCGGGTCCAAGTGATTCTCCTGCCTCAGCCTACCGAGTAGCTGAGATTACAGGCATGCACCACCATGCCTGGCTAATTTTGTATTTTTAGTAGAGAGGGGGTTTCTCCATGTTGCTCAGGCTGGTCTCAAACTCCCGACCTCAGGTAATCTGCCCGCCTCTGCCTCCCAAAGTTCTGGGATTACAGGCGTGAACCACCGTGCCCAGCCATGAACTTTTTAGAGTGTTACACAGTCTATATTTTTTAGCTTTAGTAAGTGTAAAAATGTCCTATAAATTTTTTTTAATAACTACATTTCCTTCAGGGTATTATTTTTCTAACTAATTTCTAACATTTGACCTCTTATTTTCAAAATATTATAGTATGGCTTGGAAAGAATTATGAGTGAGGAGAGGAGCCTTTCCTTATTGGCCAAAGCCGTGGATCCCAGACACCCCAATATGATGACAGATGTGGTTAAACTTCTCTCTGCGGTATGCATTGTAGGGGAAGAAAGCATGTAAGTGTTATCAACATATTCCCCTAATTATATAATAATTTAATACAGATTGATTCATTTAATGTTTCATTATCTACTCTAGGCTAGAATTTACTAGAATTTAAATAAATGTTGAGGTATATTTAAGCAGCTAATATAGTTTCTTATTGGCTGGAAATTTTTGAGTAATTATTTCTCTTAATTGATTTATTAGTTATGGTCTAACATACTTCTATGAAAAACTGATTTCCTTATCATATTTAAACTGTTTTTTTAACTGAAACCCTAAATTAAAAAAAATTCTAAATGGAGGCTTTGAAAATATACAAATGGTTCTATTTCTTATGTGATTTTTTTTCCCCACATAGAATTATTTCAAACTGTAGGTCTTCTCTATCCCCTTGTAAAAGCAAACATATTACGATTTGGAAATCTATATATAAGGCAGATTAGAAAGTGATTTATGTAATAGTAGTTTACTGGTTGAGGGTACAAAGTCCTTGAGCATAAAGCACACACTAGAGCTGTAAAGAACTTAACCACATTTGTTAGGAGTATAATTAAATACCATTACATACATATTAAAGATAATTATAAAGATAAAGATTTTTAAAAATTAGGGTTCTAATTATCAGGAAGCATTTAAAAATTATTTAAAATGCCTTTTAAAAAAGATAAAAATGTAAAAACTAAACAGGCAAAAGAACTAACAGAAATATCCCCCATATGTAGGGGTTGGCAGAGTCCTGTAAGGGGAGCCTCCTGTGTTCGTTTGAAAATCAGCCTTGTGGAGGTCCTGCTGGAGTTGGTGGGATTGAGCAGGTTCGGCTTGATGGTTGGATAGTCAAAGACACCACTCGGCCTCAGCCTGGCAGTCTGCCCGCAAAGTGTGCCTACAGTGTTTATCTATAGAAGAGGTGTTGCCACACCCAGCAGCAGTCCCAAGCGTGCAAAGCCAGGCATACAGCTTCAGTATTTAAGGCCATATAAATGTTGGTGTACAAATCTAAGAGTGAAATTTATGTGGACATATGATACTTTCTGAGCTTCCCTTCCCACTTTCTTCCTTTCCCCTTTCCCCCATCATTTTTTAATTCTGTCTTTTAACCTCCTCTTTTTCCCTTTTCTTCCTCCTCTTTCCTCTTGGACTCTTCCTTGCTTTTCTTTTCCCTTCCCTATTCTGTTATCCTTCCCTTTTCCTTGTTTCTTGACTTCAGAATGGGTATCAAGATCCTGTAAGTAACATTTAGGACTGCATGCCCATGTCCACGAACTGTGAGCTTCTCCAGTGTGCTGGATGCTGTTAACTATTACTTAAAAGAAGAGGAAGTATAGTTTTTGCATAATTATTATATTTTATATTTGAATATTTATAATACCATACTATTATATATTTTCGACTATCACTCAGCTTCATTTACTTAAACTTGTGAGGCATAAGAGTGCAGTGGTTGAGAGCATTTATATGGTGCCCACCACATAAACTGTCTGGTTTCAGATTCTTGCTCCACCATTTCACAGATATGAGACCTTGGACAGATTGCTTAACCTTTTTCTGCCTTAGTCTCCTAATCTATAATACGGGTTAATTATAGTACCTACCTCAAACAATTGTTATATACTTTAAAATGAGTTGATGTTTGTAAAGTGGCTTAAATGGTGCCTGATGTGTAGTAAGCATTATATAAATGCTTGATAAACATCTTCACAGGGTTATTGTCAGGGATAAATGATTAAAATGTAACATGCTTAGAACTGTGCTTGATACATGGTATGTACTCAGTAATCTACTTCTAAAATATATTGGCTGCTTAGGGTATTGACTTCTTTAGTAGGATAAAGCAATTGTATTATGGCATTTGTGTTTGCTACTTGCAATTTAATTGACTCAAATTTTCCAATAGCCTTGAAGAAGTTTTAGAAGCTTTAACTTCAGCTGGTGAAGAAAAAAAAATTGACAGATTTTTTTGTATTGTGGAAGGCCTCCGGCACAATTCAGTTCAACTGCAAGTAAGTTTTGTGTGTATATAAAATCTGTTTTTAAATGGCATATATTACTTTTAACGGTTTTATGATTGGTTTATATGAAAACATTGTTATGAAGCTCTGCATGCCTTTTAATATTCTTTTATAGCATTATTTATTTATTTATTTATTTGAGACGGAGTCTTGCTTTGTCGCCCAGGCTGGAGTGCAGTGGCGCGTTCTCAGCTCACTGAAAGCTCTGCCTCCTGGGTTCACACCATTCTTCTGCCTCAGCCTCCCGAGTAGCTGGGACTACAGGCGCCTGCCACCATGCCCAGCTAATTTTTTTTTGTATTTTTAGTAGAGACGGGGTTTCATTGTGTTAGCCAGGATGGTCTCGATCTCCTGATCTCGTGATCTACCCGCGTCGGCCTCCCAAAGTGCTGGGATTACAGGCATGAGCCACTGCGTCCGGCCTAGCATTATTTTTAGAATATAGAATTCCTATTTGTACTGTGTCATAATTTATCTTATAGATACATCTTGGCACACAACAATGGTTATTTCCTAGGTTGCTTTTCGTGTAGTAGAATTATTAGATTTCCCTGTATGAGATATTATCATAGTTCTATGAACTGTTTATTCTATGTTAGTCTCTTAAATTACTTTAACTTTTGAGATGTTTTGCCAATTAGGTCGATTAGGGCTTTTCATTGTTTTAATAACTGAAAAGTTGAGCTTACGTGAATAATAAGGAAACCCAAGGTTATAGATGTTTCCAAAAATACTGCTAAAAAGACACATTTAGACTTAAACATTTAAGTATTCAAGCTGAATAATATTCATTTAATTTCTCTTTCTTTTTTTAAAAAAAGGAAAAGAGGCTTTTATTGGTATAATTGTTCAAAAGTGGTCATCTTAAAAAATACTAATACCTGATTCTCACCTCCGTACTTCTAAAACTTAATTGGCATGGTGTGACCTGGACATTGGGAAATTTAAAATGATCCTCAGGTGATCCTAACGTGCAGCAAAGTTTCAAAGCCAATGTGTTAATAGATATGAAGTAAATCTCTTTCACACTTAATAAAAGTAAAAAGTTATAGTTTTTTTTTAAAGGTTCTGGGTGCTTGGCCATTTTATTGTTTCTTGGTATATTAGGAATAGAAAAGCTAAATCTGAAATAAAAAAATAAAGTGAAAAATTAAAAGTAAACAAATGGTATTTTAAAAATAATAGGCTGGGCGCGGTGGCTCATGCCTGTAATCCTAGCACTTTGGGAGGCTGAGGCAGGCAGATCACCTGATGTCAGGAGTTCAAGACCAGCCTGGCCAACATGGTGAAACCCCATCTCTACTAAAATACAAAAATTAGCCGGGCATGATGGCAGGTGCCTGTAATCCCAGCTACTCAGGAGGCTAAAACAGGAGAATCACTTGAACCCCGGAGACAGTGGTTGCAGTGAGCCAAGATCGTGCCACTGCACTCCAGCCTGGGTGACTGAGCGAGACTCTGACTCAAGAAAAAAAAAAAATGAGAATATGATAGGAGCTGTGAAACTAATAATTTAGTATGACATTTCAGATGACAGTGTTAGTGAATAGCCAGTGAGGAACCCTATGTTGTGATTTGGTTCTCTTCGAATAGGCAGGATTGAAGATCTGACCAGAGGGTCTCTATGGCATGGGTCCTGCAGGAACCTCTGTAAGAGAGCCCCTTTTCATGCATTCTGGGCTTGTTAGATGACATTGGCTTCGAGGTCTGGGATGTGTTCCCCATCTGTGACATCGACCTTGCCCATTTAGTTGCTTGAGAGACTAGAGTCTTTTAATTCATGTACTGCTAGCCTCATTTCCAGTCTCCTCCTCTTTTCTTTTCTCTTGCTTTCTTGTCTCTTCTCTCCCACCTCATCTCTGAGCTCCCCCTTCCCTGCTCTCCTTTTCCTTCCTATTGCTTTTCTTTTTCCTTTCTATTTTTTATGTCTTTCCTTGTCAGGTTGATCTGCTGTCATCTGGTGCTTTGAACAAGTTTCTTTGTCATCTGGTCCCAGGCTTTTTATTCATCTGAAGATTAATGAAGAGTAGCCCTAAAGAAAACTTTGTAGAGGAAAGTTGAACCATTACTTTATCTGATTTTTTTTTGCAACTATCTATGAATCTATAATTATTTGAGAGTAAAAGTTTTATGAAAATATTGGTAAAACTGGGGTCCCATCCTTTTGTTTACAACAGTATTACATTACATGAGGTTTTAAACTGTAAGGGAAGAGATAAATAATGGCTTGTTAAAGACAAAGCCCTGTTTTGTCCTGGTAAATGACATGATCTCCTCATTTATTGGAAAGTTTCGACTATTGCAGTCTAATTCTTGGTTATTTGGAATATTTGTTTTGGCTGTTAGACATAAAGGTAAATATATCTGACCTTTATTTTAATTAACTACAAATTAAATTGATGAGTATGAACTTGAAGGCAAACTACGTTGATTTAAAAAATTTAGGGGGTAAATTAAGTAATTTCTTTTATAGGTAGTTCTGCTTTTATTGAAGGTGCTCTTCTGTGGAAAAATAACATTTCTATAGTCATGATAAACTTATATTTAGTCAGTAAATATCTAGAAAGAGAACTATCAGTTAAAAGTTTGGGATTTTATAGGTTACTATTCTATAGAAGATATTAAGACTTAAATAAATATTAAGAATTCTGTTTATATAAAGTTTTGATACAGGTTTAATTTCTTTTATTAACAGCTCTAGTCAGACTAAATTAACGTATCATAAAATTTACCCATTTAAAATGTGCGTTTCAGGTCAGGTTGTGGTGGCTCATGCCTGTAATCCTAGCACTTTGGGAGGCCAAGGCGGGCAGATCATGAGGTCAGGAGATCGAGACCATCCTGGCTAACATGGTGAAACCCCGTCTCTACTAAAAATACAAAAAAATTAGCCGGGCATGGTGGTGGGTGCCTGTAGTCCCAGCTACTCGGGAAGCTGAGGCAGGAGAATGGTGTGAACCCAGGAGGCGGAGCTTTCAGTGAGTTGAGAACATGCCACTGCACTCCAGCCTGGGCAACAGAGCAAGACTCTCTGTCTCAAAAAAAAGAAAAAAAGTGTGATTCAATATTTTTTGTATATTAACAGCTTTGTGGAATCTTTACCACAGTCAATTTTAGAAGATTTTCATTGCCACCCAAAAGAAAGTCCCCATCCCTTAGCTATAACTCCACAATCTTTGATTCTCTCTAGCCTGAGACAACTATTGATCTACTTTCTGTCTTTATAGAGTTGCATATTCCAGACATTTCACGTAAATGTAATCATGCATTATGTGGATCTTTGTGATTGGCTTTTTTTACTTATTAATAGCAAAATATTTTAGAGGTTCGTTCATGTTGGAGTACTGCATTTTAAAAAATCGCCACATAATCGTCTGTCATGAGTGTACCACATTTTATCAGCTGTCAGTCGACAGACATTCAGGTTGTTTCTACTCTTTGGCTGTTATGAAAAATGCTGCTGTGAACATTTGTGGAGTTGATTTCTTTTTAAACTACTGCTTATTTGCCATATTTAGTGTTGAGTGAATAGAGGTAGGGAGGAGGAGAGCTTAGAGCAATGTTTTCCTTCCGTAGTTATGGAAGTCACGGGAATGATACAGTTTCTTTTTAATTTTTAATTTTTGTGGGACATAGTAGGTGATGATTCAATTTTTGAAAAATTTTTGCCAATATATAAGTAGCTGATTATATTTGCTTTTATGAAACTAATTGCTTTAGTTGTAATTATATTTTCTGTTACAGTTAGTAGTAGTGTTAATTATTTGATATCCTGTAAACACTAAAATAAATTTCTTGATATAGTTCTTAGAGCTTAATTTTTAAGAAGTGAAAGATTATTTTAGCATCATTCAAATTTATTTCTTTCTCATTTTTCTGATATGTTCAGGTTAAATTTCCATGCTCTTAATTGGGAATAGAAAATGGAAAGAATTGTTTTACATTCTTATTTTTTCTATTCAAATATTTTGTTGAAGGCTTTTACTCCTTAATAAAGGTTTCTCATTGTTTTTAAGCCTAATGTGTGAAATAGCTAGCAGGTAGCAGGCTTCAGAGTAAAAGATACCATTTTCTATAGTGCTAACTTAGGCCAAACAAACAAAAAAAGGTAACATAGATACTCTTTTCTGCATATTGCAGGTTATGCTCTTTCTAAAAATTGTAGTAATATCTAAAAATACCTATTTCTCTGTCTTTCTGAATTTTCCACAAATAAAGTAAATTTTGAGGTGGCTGGCTATCAATTTTCCTATAAAACTATTTGTACCCATTTTATTCCATTTTAATAAATTGCATTATTAAAATGTGCTAAACTAGATGACATTAGCAAATCGCCAATTAAAAATAAAACTTGTTTATTGGTGAATAAAATAGGAACCAATTGTTTACTTTTAAATTGGAGAAAATGAGATAGCAAAATAAACACATTCTTCATTATTCTTTTACTGCAAAGTATATTTATGACAAAGTATTTTTTTTAAAGGAGAATAAGGAGAATTGTTACTTTTTTGTTATTCTGATCCTAATAATGATAATTTGTTTATGATTATGATAGAATTGTGCACACTTCCCCCATTTGATATTATATAGTAAGAAAATGTTAAACTTTGTACTTGGAATAACTTTATTCTCAGGCCTTGAAGAATATTATCAGGGGCCGTGCGTGGTGGCCCACGTCTGTAATCCCAGCACTTTGGGAGGCCGAGACAGACGAATCACAAGGTCAGGAGATTGAGACCATCCTGGCTAACCTGGTGAAACCCCGTCTCTACTAAAAATACAAAGAAAAAAAAAATTGCCTTGCGTGTTGGTGGGTGCCTATAGTCCCAGCTACTCGGGAGGCTGAGGCAGGAGAATGGCGTGAACCCAGGAGGCGGTGCTTGCAGTGAGCCGAGATCGCGCCACTGCACTCCAGCCTGGCTGACAGAGCAAGACTCCATCTCATAAAAAATATATATATATCTATATCTATCTATCTATCTATATATAGATAGATAGATATATCTATATATATATGTATACACACATACATATATATTATCAGGAAAGAAAGTACAAATATAAATCTAGGACTTAAAATAAGCATACATTACTTTTTTTTCAAACATCAGACAGGGTTTCTCAGCTGCAAGCAACATAATCACTCTGGGTAATTTAAGCAGAAAATGTTATTACAAAATTAAATATGCTATGAAACAAATTGAACAGATTTCATCATAGCCTATATCAATTAATTACTTCACAAATTTTGTACCTACCTTACAAAATTTCTGGTAGGCCCAGGGAATCATGTGGGTGGTCTGTAGCTAGAAGTAATACAGAAGATACGCTGCACTGTATCACAGCAATGCTCTAATGGAAGTGCCACTCCCAACTCTCTGCTGTGGTCAGCACTTGTGACACCAGGGACAGACAGCCTTCTGCCACAGTTGCCCCAGGAGAACCAAACCCTCCATCGTAGTGTCCATTGTTCATGTGTGTGCTTGTCCCTCATGTTGGCCAGTTTTTCCTTAGTAGAAAAGGACTGGGATAAGTATTGGTTAACCAATCTCTAGTTTCTGCCGTCCTTTAATCTTCTGTTATTTTTATTTCTCTCCTCTTTTTCTTTTCCTTTCTGTGTCTTCTGTCTACTCTTGTCAGGGTCATACTTTCCTGGAGTATCAAGAGCATTTTCTAGATTTCAAAGAGTTTGTTGAAACCCTTGCTGTTGGTCATACGACTGATTGAATTGTGATATATTTTTGGAAGGGAACCAAAACATGGGAATCCTAGAGCATTTTGGGTGGATATTTGGTTCTTCTTCTGTGTATATGTCCTCAGGTCTGCAGTGATAGAATGCTGTAACTTCCTTTTCCTGTGGTTTCTCCCTGATCCAGTACCCATGAAGTTGCTGATGGGAGGGTCAGGAACATGAATGGTCTTAGACGATCTGCCACTTGTAAACTGACATGTTAGTCTGTCATAGTTCTATTGGTGCTGTCAAAAGACGTGAACTCCTAGGTTAAAAACAAAGGATTTTATTGCTCACAGCAATAGCAGTAGGCTGAGTATCAGCTTTGTGTCAGTCCCAAAGCCCATATTGTGACACTCATAGTGTAATGTGAATACTGCCAGTTGCAGTGGGTTGTGTTTTAGGAGAGAAACCTTGAGCATAGGGAATATTACTTTTATATTATGGGCAGCAATGACTGTAATTGATCTGATTGATACAGGCTATGATGAAATCTGTTCAGTTTGTTTCATAGCATACTTAATTAAGTTCAGGAGAGACTGTGGGCAGCAGAATGAGTCCTGTCTGAAGTATTTGCCTCAGTCCTGCCTTCCAGGTCCCAGATCTAGTCAGCTGAACAAATCCCATAATCCAGTAAATCATCAGAGTCTACCTTAGAACACCAGGTGGCTTTCTTTTTAAATTTTTTGATTCATCTTTCCACTTGGCCCGAGGTGTTAATTCAGATACAGTATGATGTGTTAGTGATTGCGCAAACTTCCCCTTGTTCAGCAAAGAAGTCTAGGACAATTCTTTCTTCATAACAATCCTGGTCAGTGAGTTGAAGCTGACCTGATTGCCTCCCAGGGCTGATGTGGTGTCACTGATCACTTTAGCTGAAATCAGGCACAGATTTTTTACCACTTCCCATTGTAGGGATAACTGCCTGCAGAGTACACATAGTAAGTCAGTTTTTTTCTCCAGGAAGCTCCCCAGAGTAACTAAGCATAGCTTCCATTTGGAGAGAACTCCATAGTTGCCTAAGAGTTGCATGACATACTGGTGGCATTTCTTTAAACACTTGAACATTTCTTATGATCATACCTGTAGGGTTCAAGTCATGGTGTTTTTGAAGAGAGAGGCAAGTTAATGCCTGTCTTTCACATAAGATAAATAGTCTTGAAAGGTGTACATGGTGCTCCTGGAAGGAAAGTGTTGTTTGTAGTTGTTGGGACTACCCAAATAGGAACTTTATTAGTTAAGGGACTACAGGGTGGCAGAGCTTTCAACTTGGCTTCCAGGTGGCTGATAAATTTTACAGTTCTTGGTTCAGGAAATAATTAAGTCTAACAATTTTTGGAGGGACTGTCTGAAGACAGTCAGTCCAACTTATTCCTTTTTGTCAGTGCCATTCACCCACTCCACAGAATGACTGAGCTACAGTTATGGGAGTTGGAATGGGGTTGACATCCAGAGAGAAGGGAAGATGTTTTGCATGGGAGATGCAGGAGCTGGATCTATTCTGATTGACCTCTTAGTAAAGTGTAGGTAATGGTAATCAAATCATGGTCAGAACTTTCTGGTGGTAAATGGCAGGATGTGCTGTAGGAGAGGAACTTTGAACTTGCCTGCACTTTGCTCTAAAAGACATTATCTTTATTATACTAGACATGAAGTGAGCCTGCTCTTTGCTCTGGAGAGATATGCTGTTTTCCAAGATTGTTTTGTATACACACATCCTTGAAGAGCATCTAGATCAAAGACCATCAATGTCTTTACTTGCAATACAAGTGGAAATGAAATATGAGAGACCCAGGGAGAATTGTCTTGCAACAGACAGAAGACCACAAATCTCCTAGTGTCACCTTGGCTACTTTTCCTTTAGCCCGGTTCTTCTAATGTTGTTCCTATACATTGGTTTTATCTTGGATGTAGATTGAATGGAATGAAACCCTCATTAATTTTGATTCTTGGAAATACCTCAAGAATATTTTCCCTATGTTAGTTACTGAATAAAGGGAAAACATGATTTCCAAAGTTTCTGAGTCCAGAGAGGAGAAATAATTATGTCAGAGAGCAAATAAAGGAAAAGATGGGAAGCTTGTTTCAGAGAGAAAAAATTGTTTGGTTGTCTTTGATGGTTTGATGTGAATCTGTAGCATCTTTAGTTCTGAGCTTGCTCACTTAAAATATATACTTAAATCCTTTTACTTAATTTCATTCAGGGTTCTAAATATCTGATTTTAGTATACTCTTTAGATATAATACCAATAGCTGGGTTTATGTTGTCCTTCTGTGGATCTCTACTTGTTATGATTATCTAGTAAAGATGACCCAGATCTTGTCATTTCTTTACCCACTGTTGAAATACATAGCCATTGTTTGCTTTAGGTTTTTTTTTTTCCTATTGTGGTAGGATATATATAACATGAAATTTACCATTTTAACCATCTTTGAGAGTATAGTTCAGTGACATTAAACACATTCACATTGTTGTGCAACCCTTATATCTTCAGGCTTCTTAAGCTATGGTGATAACAGTGATGCAGTACTGGACAGGGGTGATTGATGGTTGGTATGTCTTTCTAGGATTCCTGTGGTAGATATTTCTCTACCCTAGAATATATTTTTCAAGGAAGCAAAAGCAAGGAATATAATCCAGGCTATTGGTGTCTCTGGAAATATTACTAGAGAAAATCTGTGTTCCAAATGTATTTCAGTGTCTGGCATACACATGGTCTTAACCCGTATCTCATAGTAACATATGAAAATACAGAAGCTGGTCATATATAAAGAACAAGAAGAAAAAGCAAAAGTGTTCTGTTAAATACCTAAAAAATAAGAAATTTGATTAAGCTTCAGTTATAATACTTATGAGTCTGACAATTTGAAAATGATAACCCTTGTTGAAACTTGCATTGTGAAATGAGGCTGTTAGTCTTGGTTCTATGAGAAGCAAGAGGTTTGATGTGTAAGGGACTAGAGGAAATGCCTGTGAGAGACCCTGGAGGAGGAGCTGGGGGAGGCTGGGAGAACTGTCAAACTCAATGCAGATCTGACTCTAGGTGAAGGAGAGTGGGAAGGAGTGGAGATGGGGTGAAAGTGTCTCAGGCTGCCCTGAAATTCTAAGAGAGCTTGACAAGCCTGTTGGGGAATCCTTGAGCCAAAGTCCCATGTGTCCCAGGAACAGGTCTATTTTAGTATACTTGCTGTGCTCAAGCCTTGGCTGGGAGCAGGGAACTGTGACTTCAATTCAAATGCTGTGATAGCTTTCAGAAGGTAGCAGCTGGGGCTGTAGGCCATTTATGTTTCCTGCAGTCAAAGACTGAGAGTTGCATTGTTATGGCTGCTGCAAAGATAGTTAAATTTTTCCTTAACTTAAAAAAAAACTCTTCAATCTGTGGATTTCATTAAGTTTAATTAGAAGATAGATCTTTGAAAGTTTGATGGGATTGCATTTTTCCATGTCTGAAAAAGTAGAAAAAGCAATATTTTTATAAATTAAAAAGGATAACTTTTTATCATTATATAAATAGTTTCATTAAAGTATCAAAAATAGTACCAAAAACCTTTCTTAAGTGAGGGATAATCACTATATTTTGAAATTTGTCAATGGGCAATAATCAGACAAATATGCCATTGAATACTCACATTAAAACAAATTAGAGGTTAAATGCCTTTCTGGATTTAGCCAAGTATATTTGCTTTGGTTGATTTTGTTCCACCTACCACTTTAATCTTCAAAGTTTACCCAGGTTTTATTATGCCCAAGACCAAGTAAAGGTCTTATAATAAACAGTTATATCTTGATTTACTATTTTTTGTTTTAAGTGTCTCTTCTGTTCCATCAAATAATTATTAATTAATTTTCTATTTTAAATAAACTTTTCTCACATTTAGTGAAGGACTAAATGAAGAATACAGACTATTAGTAAAAGGCTTATTTTTAGGATCATTGTTGAGCTATCCCGGAAGGATGCAAATGTTAATTTGTTTTAATTCCTTTCTCTTCTGACTACTACTTTTATTGAGGTTTGCATGAATAGGGTTGATATATAAGTACCAATCAATTAAAACATCAACCATATTAAAATGGATCAGTAAATAATAAGCCAGTATGCTAGTAGACATTAAAGGAACAGATAATATTCTAATGTGAACTCATATTATCATATGGAGCATACCCAAGTATAAACTAATGGTTATCATTATCTAGAGTTTACTGGCAGTTTTCTGAATCTACCTAATAAGTCTATATAATACATTTCTTCATTTATTCTACAGTGGACAACTAGAAAGATAATTAATGTCTTGAAGGTAACTAAAAAGTTTCATAATTAACCGATCAATTACTTAGTTATTCAGTGACTGCTAGGTACTGGGCTATGCTGGGTATTGGAACTACAAAGTTGAGTGAAATACACCTCTGCCCTTAAGAAGCTTATACTCAAGAATTTAAAGCCATCTAACATTTCATACGAAAATTGCAATAAAGGCAGTTTTAGAAAAAGGCATGGGAGGACATAGAAGAAATTAATGATGTCTTGGGGGAGTTTTCAAATAAATATTTTAAGAATTCAAGTTTGTTCTTTAGTATCCCTGGTATAAATTATAGCTTCTTGAGTCCTGCATTTTATTTCTCTGAGTCAATGTGGGGTATATGCAGTTACTTCAATGCATGTGTATAAAATTTTAAAATCTTTGGAATTTCTCTATTTACACTAGAGGCAAAATATTTCTCCATAAGCATCATTTACTCATTTTAACTTGATAAATGTGAAATTTAATTGTGCAAAGAGAGACAGATGATTTCTGCTATGGGGTAGGAAAGATGAATAGCAGTCTAAACTGTATCTTCCAGGCCCAGATAATAAGCTTTTGCAGCCTCTGATAGAATTTTTATTTAAGTATTTTACTGGTTCTTGTTTTCAATCTGGATTTAGCTCCTGAAGCTGATATGTTGTTGCATTGTAGAGCCACGATTTAATTGTAAAAACATCTACTTATACCCAGGATGAACATGTTGACTCAAGAGTAAACTTTCTAAGAACTACTTACTTTTGCTATTAGACAACTTTCTAAATCTCATCAGCGCAATCAGGTTGAAAGCTTCTGCTCTGTCGGCCTTTGGAAAAACTGGATGGTCCTCGTGGATGGGGCTCAGGGATAGTACCTGTTAGTGAACCTTGAATTTTGTGCTTAAGTTTGTTGTCCAAAAAAGGGTCAGGGAACCAAAGGTTAGAAAAAAACAGTCTCATTACCGAGTATCCACCCAAAAGAAAATAAATAAATATTTCAAAGGGATGCTGGCACTCATGTGTTTATTACAGCACTATTCACAATAGCAAAGATATGGAATAAACCTAAGTGTTTATCAGTGGATGAATGGATAAAGAAAATGTGGTACATATTCACTGTGGAATACTATTCAGCCATAAAAAGGAACGAACTCCTGTCATTTGCAGCAACATAGATGGAACTGGAGGCTATTAAGAAAAATCAGCTAAGCACAGAGAGACAAATATCACATGTTCTCACTTATATGTTGGAGCTAAAAATTGTGATCACATGGATGTAGAAAGTGGAAAGATAACAGTCTGGGAAGAGTGAGTGGGGGCAGAGGAGGAAGGATGAAGAGAAGTGTGTAAAGGGTGCAAACATATGGTAGAAGGGATAAGTTTAATGTTTGATAGCAGAATAGAGTGACTGTATCTGACCAAATAAATATGTTGTACTTGGGGAATAGACACCCTAAATACCTTGACTTGATCACTGCACCTTATATGCATGTAACAAGATTTCTCATGTACAATAAATTTGTACAAATAAACACATTTGTCTTTTCTCATATTTGTGTTGAACATAGTAATTGCAGTAAATTATGTACCAAAGGAAATTTAGGTACTATATATTCACATATGAAGAAAACTTCTCACTTTATTTTCAAGGGCAGAAAGCCACTTTGCTGATTCAGTGATGTAGATGTAGTGGCATGTTCCTCTATCTTGTTGTTAACCTCTTTCGGCTTCTAATGATTTTCCTTTGATCGTTTGCCCTGTTCTTAAGATGGCCTTTGACTCGCTCTGCCCCACATATTGAATATCTTTGAGATTTCTATTTACAGCTTATCTACTTTATTGGCCCCTGTTATGTCTTTACCTTCCTACTTTATGGTATTGCTGACTTTTGTCCCACTCTTTGTCATTACCTTTTTGGCCGCTCGCTTTCCAGTCTTAGGCTGTCTGGAGTTTGCTGATGTCAGTCCTTGTACTATACTTTTAGTTTACTGCTGCCCTAAGGAAATCCTCAACTATCCTGAATCATAGATGGACACACACCCCTCCAGCTAGAAGTTACGTTTAAAATACCTTTTCTCACAGAAGACCCTTTTTGATAATTGACACAAGAGTAATAAAGTGAGCTTACAGTATTGGCTTTCCAAACCATTAGAATTGAATTTGTAATCCATAACACCTAGAGATAAGTGTCTTTACATAGACTTTTTAAAAACAAAGATAAAGGAGCAGTTACTTCTAACATATAAAGATGCATTTAGGGCAAAGAGGAGAATATTTTACAGCAATTGTTTGTTTACTGGCTGCATATGGCATCTGTGGGGAGGCAAGTAGTTTCTGCTTGGAACAGTAACTCTATCCCTTTGTAGAAACTATTCTTGTCAAGTCACCAGTGTTTTCATTTTGCCAAATGCAGTGGTAATTGATTAGTCCTTGTTTTATTTGACCAGTTGACACAGTTGATCACTCTCTCACTGTTGAGACCACTTTCCATACTTCCAGGACACCACAATCTCCTTGTTTTCCTTCTACCTCACTTATGGTTTTTAACTTTTCTTTTTCTTTAACTTATTTCTCTAATCTCCATGTTGAAACCTACGGTTGAAAATGCCCTAAACAGTTCTGACACCTCCTTTTTCCTCTATACTGTCGTGATTCCATCTGAGGTCTTGGTTTTTACGTATTATTGCTATGGCAATTGCTTTATTTTGAACTGGAGTCTTCTATCTTCAATTTCCTTCGCAGCTTTTAAGATTTAGATCACTAATAGGCATTTCCAACTTATCATCTCCAAAACTGATTTCCTCTCTCTTCCCAAGCCTGTTTTCTCCCGTGGTCATTTCTGTTTCAATAAATTACAATTTCATCCTTTAAGTTGCTCAGGCCCAAAACCTTGGAGTCAGTCTTGACTCCTCTTTCTCTCAAAGAAATTTCCATCTTTTTTCACAGCTGTATGTCTAGCACCAAGAACAGTGCCTGGTATATAGTAGGCATCAATAAATAGGCTTTGAAGGAATGAAGTATGTGAGCCAATATCGGGGTAAACTGCTTCTGATGCCCTAAGATGGAACCTTTAGTTAACTAGATGCTCTCAAGAAGATGGAAGTTCCTTGTTTTCTTACCCTTATTAGCGCAGAGGGAGGTTGGTTTTGTAATGTATCATAACGATTTCTGTAACATGCAAATTAAGAGAGATCATATGCTACATTTTTGGAACATCAACTAGAGCACAGAGATTACTTCCTTATGACGAACATCTCACTTTTGGTTCTCATTTTTTGAGTATGAGTATCTCCAGTTGACAGAAGTTGTAGGTAGTCAGTAATTGTTTTTTTAATGAATGAATGATTCTAATATACATCTCAATCAGAATTTTGAAAGTAGGATTTATCCTATTCTCTAAAACCTGTTGCTCTTCTTACATTTTGTATGTCTGCTAATGGTACCACTTTCTATCTAGTTAAATAACAAAAGTGGGAGGCCTCTTGTAAATGCTTTTCTTCTACCTCATTCTATCAATTTTTCTTCATATTTCAAATGTTTGAACCTTCCTCCTTGCTCAAAAATTTACTTCTACAACAGCTTCTGAACTTGAATCTATTGCCTCTGTTATTGTGCCCCTGTTGCATAAAATTCCTTATGATTTTCACTATTTCTGGTTGAATCTGAATTTTGTGACTTGACACACAAGGCTATGCCCTCTCTCCTGTCTCCTTGTTCAACCTCATTTCTTGACTTCTTCCCGTTACTCCCCTTTCTACCTTGACAAACCGCTCATAAAATTTGAATTGCTTGTAATTTAAAGGTTCCATGTCTTTGAACATGTTAATTCCTCGGCTTAGATCTTCCTTCTTCACTTCTTCATCAGGCCATTTTATTAATCCTTTAGTTAGTACTTTATTCAGCTGTCTTAGTTCTCATTTAGCATCTCCATATTCCCATTATTTACCAAACATATTTCTTACAGTATATAGTATATTTTTATCATTTTACTGATATATCTTCATTGGACAGGCAAAATGTCCTGTTAACCTTTGTAGTTTTTTAACGTTTCTCGATATCTCTAGGCGTTGATTGATATGGCATAAATGCTGATTGACACTCCCTTCTGCTGGTATGCTAAATTATTGTGAAATTGTGTGATACCGCAGGTATGTATCTCATTATGTATAAAACCTACAAGGAACTCCTTGGTCTTTACCTTGATTATAGAATTATTTATCCATAAAGAAACAATGCATTTTAGTGCATACCTATGTGTATTCACAGACATGTTTGCATGATTTAAATTAAATAGATTGTAAGCCATGCTAATGGCAAATTATGATTAGAATTGGGAAGCAATTTTATAAATTTAACTTGAATTCATTATTTCAATTTAATTTCCTATTTTTTTTCTTCTATGGAGAATCACCTTTTTGAATAGTTCCCGGAAATAATTTGGATTATCCTTTCCCTTATTTCTAAATTTCATGCTACTGTTGTCTACATATATGTATTTTCCATTTAGGTAATATTTGCTGCTAGTTTTTGTGTTCCTTGTTTTTGCTACTTTCTGTGAGTTATCTGTAATTTGTGTTTTTCTAGAAGCCAGGTGACTGAGTTTGATTTAGTTTCTCTGAATGTAGAGAAGCATTATTTGCTCTTTGAGATCTTTAAAAATTATATGGCATTGCTGAAGAAAACATTTGTGGGTCCTGGGTAATGACTGGCAAGGGGGTGGAAGGAAAACATTTTAAACTTGACTTTTTGACATGAACTGGTTACAGCTGAATGAACATGTACTGGAAAGGTAGATTCTGTTAAGTTTTTTTTTTTTTTTTTTTTAAGTATGTTTCTCTTCTTCCTCTCTCTTCTGACATATTTCCCATTCCCACTTTAAACAACCTTAAGTTTCGACAGTAGAGGCATGCTGGTCAGATTTTAATGCTTAGATATCAAATATAACAATTACTATATATTTCAAACAGCAGGAATTGAGAATTCTGTTGGTGTCTTACTCCAAAACAGCATTTTAAATTCATATAAACCTTGCCTTAAGGGATGGAGAAAAGACAATTTAGGGAACAGCATGAGGTTAAACATATTGATCAGTAGTCCAGTAGTTCTTGCTAGACTTGGATAGAATGTAGACTTTAGAAAAATAGTATTATCAACAACAACAAAGAATGCTTCTCTAGAAAGACTGTCTTTTGTTTCCATTTTATGGATTTTGGAGGATGAAAGATATATTTTAGCCAGGGATGAAAAAAGTGGAGAAGTTGAAAGTTGAAGTGTTAAACATGAGCTGAAAATTTTGTGATTTAAAAATTTTTATCATTTAAGCTATATATTAAAGGATTTAGTGAGCTCTGTTATTTATTTCTGGTTAAAACATAGGGTAATTTTGAATTTTTGCCAAAGTATGAGAACCATTGCCTGATAAATTAACTTCTAGAAATTAATTATACAGTGTTTATTTATAACCTTGTTAACTAGAGTTAAGACCCTTGTTGACCTTGAAGTCTTTGGGACTTTGAGTCTCTCTTGATGAATGGAAAACTATTTTATTATCCTATTTTAGGTAAGTGTTATCTATCCAATAGGTATATTGGATATGTTCAATTTCTGTTGTATGTGTGTAGAGTGATATTATTGGACAAGAACTTAGCTTTTGGTTACAAGTGTTTTTTTTTTTTTTTTTCTATTTTTTTATGGAGCAGTAGTAACGGCTAATATTTTTCCATCTTCCTTTCACCTCAGTAACCCTCAAATAAATGAGAAATAAAAAACGCCACTGAAACTTTATTTCTTCTGTAGTTTATAACTGACTGAAATATTTTGCTTACAAATTGTTTTAATAGGAAAGATATTTAATAATGCTGGAACAAAACCTTGAAGTTTACGTTTGTTACTCTTTCTTTAATGTTGGAAACCCAGTCTGTCTCACTGTTTGATCTCTTGTAGGTAGCTTGTATGCAGCTCATCAATGCCCTGGTTACATCTCCTGATGATTTGGATTTCAGGCTTCACATCAGAAATGAATTTATGCGTTGTGGATTGAAAGAGATATTGCCAGTAAGTGCCCTGCAGTCTCCTTATTAATATTTAAATTAAAAGAGTACTTGAGTAGGGGGAAATTTAGATAAATTACCTTGAAGAATAATTTATCTGTGGGAAAAGGCTTGAGTTAAAAAATCTATTTTTGAAATATAGATGATAAGATTCGAGTGTTATTTAACACTTTAAATGTTCGAATGCTATAAATCAAGTTGAATGGTTGGTTTATTGTTTATATGTTTTTTATTCTTTTGCATAATTAAAAACAAAATCATTCATCATAATTTCTATTTCATATCTCTAGAATTTAAAATGCATTAAGAATGATGGCCTGGATATCCAACTTAAAGTCTTTGATGAGCATAAAGAAGAAGATTTGTTTGAGTTATCCCATCGCCTTGAAGATATTAGAGCTGAACTTGAATATCCTTTTGTTCTGAAGTCTAGTCAAATCATATATAAAATTATTGCTAAATCCAAAATACTCAGCCACAAATATTTAGCTCATTTCTATATAAACAACATGAAATCAAACCTTCATGCATCAGAAGAATGTTATTATTTTATTAATTTGTGTGTTTTTATGAATACACATATATGTAAGCGTATGCTGCAACTAACAAATGGATTCTGTAGATTGGTTTCTTATATGTATGTGTGCAATCTATTTTGTTTTCTTTTTATATTTGACACTTTTCCTTCTACTTAGGGCTTTTTAGCATTAGGAATAGGGCAGCCTTAGTCACTGGCTGCTCTTTCCCTGCATCTTGGGTGCATACTCATGGGTCGCATGTTAATCTGTGGGTCTGCAGACGTCTGTGCTCCTCATGAGACCCAACAGGTTCCTATCCTCACCTGGGGCTTCTTCATGGTAGATAATTAACCTGACCACCAGCTCTGTTGGTCAGGCAACCTTTAGAATTCAACACAGTATTCATAGCCAGCTTCCCTACTACCTTTGTTCCCAACAGCATCTGTGCTTAGGGGAGACAGATTAGTTGGAACTGATTGTAGAAGGGAAGTCAGGAAGTGTCAGGTTAAGTCACCATTTCCAGAGTTTTTCCACTACCCTCAATCCTAAATATCTGTATTTTATGTTGAATATATAAGATGCCTGTATTACAGTTCCAAAACCTTACAGGACAAATTCTGTCATATTATTATAGTTGTTTGGTGTAGAGTATAAATAAATCCATATATTCCTTAATCAACTCACTGAAGCATATGATGTTTACAACATGGTGTGGAGCACAGTTAAAGAAACTAGAGCAGAGGGATATTTTATTTCTATTCTTCAGCATCTTTTGCTGATTCGAAATGATTATTTTATAAGGTAAGAGGAAGTTGTATTCTAATGTTTTCTTTCACTAATAAAAATCTATTAATTGTGAAATTCACATCATATTTGCCTTTGACAAGCAAATGATTTTTATTTTTGTCATAACACTGATTCATAGAATGTGTTGTTTTCTCTGGGCATATATTTAGGTAGACGATGGTAAAATGATATTACTATTACTTTTTAAGCTCCTGTGGATTCCTGGTTACAACCTTTCATCTGAATAAAAATGCAAACTAGCAACAAATTACTAGTTTATCATGTGACAGATAATATTTTCTAGTTATTTCTTAGGCAGTAGGAATGATGTTGATAAGTTTCTTCTTATAAGTTACATGAAGGGCACTAAACATTGCTTTTATTAGTGTTTAAGTAGCTGGCAAGTCTTAATAATACAGTTGCGTTTAATGTTGCTAATATATCAAAAAGCCAGACAAATGGCTTTTAAAGATTGATTATATCCTAGCCATCTGAGGTTAACAAATTATTTATCTTTCTTTTAACCTCATCTACATTATAATGTGACTAAATATGGAGATTAGTGCCTAACTCACTGGGTTGTTAGGCAGATGAAATATGGGAATGTGGGTAAAAGTTCTAGCCAAACCCTTGGCATATGGTGTATGCTTAGTAAATGTTCTCTATATCTACTTTCCATTTCTATTACTGTTTTATGGTGGAAGCTGAGCTCTTTGAATATAAAATCATTTTGTTGCCACCAATTTAGGTTTGCTGAAATTTCATTCTCTTATACTTTGGGTGTTTTTTTCTTTTCTACTTAATTTCAAGTAGAAGAGTTTTTTAGACAAGCTTCATTCAGGCTGTGTCCTCGGGGTAACATCAGAGGGTATGACTCAGTGATTTTTTGATGTACCTAACAAGCAAGGAGGAGACCCAAAATGTTAAAACTTTAGGTTTTTCAGGATGAGGATAGGACATGCATCAAAATTACTCTCTTTGTAGCCAGAAATCCCACTGATATTCTAAAATATGAGTTTAGTAACTGATTTTTTTAATTTGCTCCTTTCTGATATTTTATTAAAAATAAACCAGTTTAAATATTTATATTATAAATGCTAGATTAAGAATTGCTAATTTAGATTTTTAAAATATCATTTGTACCATGCTGTTTATGATACTATATTTCTACTCCAAATTTACTTAAAAATGACATTGAAACTTCTATTTACTCTAAAGTAAACTCCATACATTTTTTGATCTGTGTGTGGTCAGTCCTGTCGTCTTCTGGAAGTTTGATGCTGTTTGAGTACCCAAGAATTTAAGACTGTTGTTTGTTTTCAATGGTTTGAACATGCCTGTAGTCCTGCAGGGGTTTTATCATACTTATGACTTTGATCCCTTCATCTGTGCCCCAAGAGAGCATGTGGTTGTATCTAGCTTCAAAACAGATTAAAAAACACAACTGTTTTGGGTTATGTTCAGGTGATACTATCATTTGAGTTAAATCAAGAGTCTTGGAGAAAGATTAAATTGTGGCATTACCAAAATGACATTAAGGCATAGAAATTTAGATATTTGGCCATCTTTTGAGTATGAACTTTTACATTTGATGTTCACCTATGTTAATTCCTTCTTTGGCTCTTTAAACCCCGGGTATCTTGATTCCAGATATGGTTGCCACAAAGGCAGTGTTCTTCCTGTGACTGCTAGACTCAAGACAACTCCATCAGTTTTTTCCTCATGTTTCCAAACTCTCCTATTTATTATTGTTGTTGTTAATATTTCTTTAAAAAAATTTCTTAAAAAAATTCTTAAAAATATTTCTTAAAATATGCTTTTATTCCAAGATTGTGTCAGAATTGTGATAATTTACATATATTTTTGTCATGCATTTATTTTTTAAAATTTTATTTATTTACATACAGTAAAACTTACTCTTGTTGGTGTACACGTCTATGAGTGTTGTTTTTTTGGTTTTTACCTTCATTTTTTGGTTTCATCTACCTCAGAAGGACCTCTATTTTACCTTTTCAGCAATCTTAGATAACCTGTAACATTTTTTGTTTAATGAGCTCTTTAAACTACTTTTGATACGAACACACATAATTTTTCTTTTTCTTTTTACAAACAGTAGATTGTTCTATTGCAGAATGTTAAATGTTCTCATTTGAAAGAATTGGTGGATGGAAAAATTAGAATCTTTTTTCATTTCCACTTTTGGGACAAAAGAAAGTTTGACAGAAATGGAATTCGATTGGAGAATATATGTCAAAGGCAGCCCCTTTTCCCTGGGAAAAAGGGAGGGGGCTGAAATACAGCAAGATAATTGGGTGGAGAAGATCAAATTCAGTTTTACACCAAATAATTAAGGCTTACCATGTGTAAAATACCACGCTAGTTAAATGCGCATGGGAGATAATTTCTGATATTTGTTAACAATACCACAGAGAAAAGTGAAGATTTCAAAAACTCCTCCAACAAAAATAGCATTTTGTCAGTAATGACAACTTAATGTTCATCCCTTAATTAAGTTATTCACATATTCCTCAGACACATTTACTACCTCACCAATATTGCTCATGGAGATTATTTTCTAGATTGACATTTCTGGAATCCAGAAATGTTGTGTATTATTCTTTGATAGTATTGCCTCCCCAGTGAGTTTTTGCATGAAATTTCAGCCACATTATAGATGAACTCATAATTGGACATTGTGGAGTTGAGGAAAAACTTACTAAAATTATGATTTCTTAAAAAGATGACATGAAATAGCTTGTGTTGTTAATTTAAAACATTTTCATTTTAAAAACATTAGAATAATGTTGAGTAGAAAAGAAATACATCATCTAGATTTTTAAATGTAATAGATGTAAATGTGTTTAAATGTATGTACCACGTGTAAATGTGGTTATTATGGCAGAAATATTTGGGGATGGGAGATAATGTCTTGAAAGAACTTGAACAAATAGAGGCAAGCATAGATTAACACTTTTGATTTGTACCCAGGAACCGTTTCTTAAACATTTTCACTCTATGACAGTTAATGATCATTAGTCATCTTTGCTAGTGTTAAGCTGTAGTGGATTTTCTTCACTGTAATAGATGGTTTATTAGGTGTAAGGTAAGTAGGTCAAGAGCAGTGGGTCATAGTTTATGGAAAGGAAAGTCTAAATGGCTTGAGGGACCCACACTTTAGAATTTAGAGAGGAAAAGTATGTTAAAAGTCATTAAGGAAAGAAGTTCTAGGGGATGATCTGAGATGGAGGACTGTGCTTCATTAGAATAGTACCCAACCTGTTTATCACTTTAGTTTGGTTTTGCTTATAAAATCTTTTATCTGTTTTATTTACATTTATTAAATCTTTTTTTTTTTGTCCCTTTCTGAGACATCTTTCTTGTTCCAGTTTTCTCTTTAATCCTCTGTACTAATGATGAGTGACATCATTTTTCATATTACCGGCTTTCCAAAGTGAACTAATATTTGGCATAACCAAAAAGGTACAATATCTAAAAGCACTAGGATATTTTAAAACCAGTCTTCTCAAGAAGAGATGATTATGCTTTACAAGAGGAAATATTTCTACCATTAGCCTTATTTCACTAACAAGTTTCTGGCCAAAAAGAAAGCAATAAATACCTACTCATGCTCAACTAATCTCAAATAACTTTTTTTTTTTTTGGTTTGGTCTTTTTTTTTTTTCTTTTTTTTTTTTTTATTATACTTTAAGTTTTAGGGTACATGTGCACATTGTGCAGGTTAGTTACATATGTATACATGTGCCATGCTGGTGCGCTGCACCCACTAACTCGTCATCTAGCCTTAGGTATATCTCCAAATGCTATCCCTCCCCACTCCCCCCACCCCACCACAGTCCCCAGAGTGTGATATTCCCCTTCATGTGTCCATGTGATCTCATTGTTCAGTTCCCACCTATGAGTGAGAATATGCGGTGTTTGGTTTTTCGTTCTTGCGATAGTTTACTGAGAATGATGATTTCCAATTTCATCCATGTCCCTACAAAGGACTTGAACTCATCATTTTTTATGGCTGCATAGTATTCCATGGTGTATATGTGCCACATTTTCTTAATCCAGTCTATCATTGTTGGACATTTGGGTTGGTTCCAAGTCTTTGCTATCGTGAATAATGCCGCAATAAACATACACGTGCATGTGTCTTTATAGCAGCATGATTTATAGTCATTTGGGTATATACCCAGTAATGGGATGGCTGGGTCAAATGGTATTTCTAGTTCTAGATCCCTGAGGAATCGCCACACTGACTTCCACAATGGTTGAACTAGTTTATAGTCCCACCAACAGTGTAAAAGTGTTCCTATTTCTCCACATCCTCTCCAACACCTGTTGTTTCCTGACTTTTTAATGATTGCCATTCTAACTGGTGTGAGATGATATCTCATAGTGGTTTTGATTTGCATTTCTCTGATGGCCAGTGATGATGAGCATTTTTTCATGTGTTTTTTGGCTGCATAAATATCTTCTTTTGAGAAGTGTCTGTTCATGTCCTTCACCCACTTTTTGATGGGGTTGTTTGTTTTTTTCTTGTAAATTTGTTTGAGTTCATTGTAGATTCTGGATATTAGCCATTTGTCAGATGAGTAGGTTGCGAAAATTTTCTCCCATGTTGTAGGTTGCCTGTTCACTCTGATGGTAGTTTCTTTTGCTGTGCAGAAGCTCTTTAGTTTAATTAGATCCCATTTGTCAATTTTGGCTTTTGTTGCCATTGCTTTTGGTGTTTTGGACATGAAGTCCTTGCCCATGCCTATGTCCTGAATGGTAATGCCTAGGTTTTCTTCTAGGGTTTTTATGGTTTTAGGTCTAACGTTTAAATCTTTAATCCATCTTGAATTGATTTTTGTATAAGGTGTAAGGAAGGGATCCAGTTTCAGCTTTCTCCATATGGCTAGCCAGTTTTCCCAGCACCATTTATTAAATAGGGAATCCTTTCCCCATTGCTTGTTTTTCTCAGGTTTGTCAAAGATCAGATAGTTGTAGGTATGCGGCGTTATTTCTGAGGGCTCTGTTCTGTTCCATTGATCTATATCTCTGTTTTGGTACCAGTACCATGCTGTTTTGGTTACTGTAGCCTTGTAGTATAGTTTGAAGTCAGGTAGTGTGATGCCTCCAGCTTTGTTCTTTTGGCTTAGGATTGACTTGGCGATGCGGGCTCTTTTTTGGTTCCATATGAACTTTAAAGTAGTTTTTTCCAATTCTGTGAAGAAAGTCATTGGTAGCTTGATGGGGATGGCATTGAATCTGTAAATTACCTTGGGCAGTATGGCCATTTTCACGATATTGATTCTTCCTACCCATGAGCATGGAATGTTCTTCCAGTTGTTTGTATCCTCTTTTATTTCCTTGAGCAGTGGTTTGTAGTTCTCCTTGAAGAGGTCCTTCACATCCCTTGTAAGTTGGATTCCTAGGTATTTTATTCTTTTTGAAGCAATTGTGAATGGGAGTTCACTCATGATTTGGCTCTCTGTTTGTCTGTTGCTGGTGTATAAGAATGCTTGTGATTTTTGTACATTGATTTTGTATCCTGAGACTTTGCTGAAGTTGCTTATCAGCTTAAGGAGATTTTGGGCTGAGACGATGGGGTTTTCTAGATAAACAATCATGTCGTCTGCACACAGGGACAATTTGACTTCCTCTTTTCCTAATTGAATACCCTTTATTTCCTTCTCCTGCCTGATTGCCCTGGCCAGAACTTCCAATACTATGTTGAATAGGAGCGGTGAGAGAGGGCATCCCTGTCTTGTGCCAGTTTTCAAAGGGAATGCTTCCAGTTTTTGCCCATTCAGTATGATATTGGCTGTGGGTTTGTCATAGATAGCTCTTATTATTTTGAAATACGTCCCATCAATACCTAATTTATTGAGAGTTTTTAGCATGAAGGGTTGTTGAATTTTGTCAAAGGCTTTTTCTGCATCTATTGAGATAATCATGTGGTTTTTGTCTTTGGCTCTGTTTATATGCTGGATTACATTTATTGATTTGCGTATATTGAGCCAGCCTTGCATCCCAGGGATGAAGCCCACTTGATCATGGTGGATAAGCTTTTTGATGTGCTGCTGGATTCGGTTTGCCAGTATTTTATTGAGGAGTTTTGCATCAATGTTCATCAAGGATATTGGTCTAAAATTCTCTTTTTTGGTTGTGTCTCTGCCCGGCTTTGGTATCAGAATGATGCTGGCCTCATAAAATGAGTTAGGGAGGGTTCCCTCTTTTTCTATTGATTGGAATAGTTTCAGAAGGAATGGTACCAGTTCCTCCTTGTACCTCTGGTAGAATTCGGCTGTGAATCCATCTGGTCCTGGACTCTTTTTGGTTGGTAAACTATTGATTATTGCCCCAATTTCAGCTCCTGTTATTGGTCTATTCAGAGATTGAACTTCTTCCTGGTTTAGTCTTGGGAGAGTGTATGTGTCGAGGAATGTATCCATTTCTTCTAGATTTTCTAGTTTATTTGCGTAGAGGTGTTTGTAGTATTCTCTGATGGTAGTTTGTATTTCTGTGGGATCAGTGGTGATATCCCCTTTATCATTTTTTATTGTGTCTATTTGATTCTTCTCTCTTTTTTTCTTTATTAGTCTTGCTAGCGATCTATCAATTTTGTTGATCCTTTCAAAATCTTAAGGGATGTTTCACCTATGACCAGTGTAGATGGACTAGACTTAACTGTAATGACAACATGAAATCTACTTGGAGGTTTTAGTTAAACTTCGATTTTTGGACAAATATTATTATACTGAATTTTTCTATTTCCCTTTGAGTAAGAAATATGAATTTGATATTATATATAACTTACAGTACCAGTTTTAAATTTGATTTCACAAACACTTGGAAAACAGTATACCACATACTCCCATAAAACTTTTTAGAGAAAATTTTTGTTTATTTTGGTTGTATTAATGAAGTGAATTAATGATAGCTATTTCAGTGTGGTACAGTGGAAAGTTGATGACCTCTGAGCACAAATTTTAAGCACTTATCACTTCACTTTCAGCTAATTTACTTAATTCAAGGTTTTGACTTTTATAAGAAAATTAAGGGATACTGTATTTCCTAAAAGACTATAAAAATGATGTTTTGAATTCATTAAAAGCAAAGTGATGACAATTGTATTTACTCTCACTCCCAGGTAAAATCTGTTGTGTCAACTATTGAAATTATATTACTAATAAATTGTTGAACTTGAAATCAATCTTAGCCAAAAAGTTTTGTTTTGATGTAAAGTTACACTAATTATCAATTGTACATTTACTCTTTTCTTTGGTTTTAGGCAACAATACTTCAAATTAATTGATGAGTGTGTATCCCAGATTGTATTGCATAGAGATGGAATGGATCCAGACTTCACATATCGAAAAAGACTAGATTTAGATTTAACCCAGTTTGTAGGTGAGTATTTATTATTTAAATAGAAATATCTTATTGTCTCTTATTCTATGAATGAGCTCTAGGGCATTGGTTCTCGGGTTGTGTCTCTGGACTCCTGAGGGCCCTAATTGTCAAAACTGTTTTCATAATAGCACAAAAACATTATTCGCCTTTTTTATTGGGTTGGTATTTTGCACTGGTGGTGCAGAACAATGGTGAGTAAAACTCCTGGCACTTTGTTATGAATCAAGGCAGTGGCACTAAACTGTGGGAGTAGTCATTATCATCTTTACTGTCAATAAAACAACAAAAACTGCCATTTTTTACTTAAGAATGCCTTTGATAAGGTCCTAAAAATGTTAACTTTATTAAAGCCTGACCCTTGTATACACACTGTTTTAATATTCTGTGTTAACAAATGGGATTTATACATACAGTACTTCTGCTGCATATGACCAGTGCCTGATGTTACAAATTCTCCATAGGCAAAGATCTATTAAAAGAGTTCAATAAGAAAATATTTGTGTAATTGAGTTGCAAGCAGAATTGCCTGTCCCCCCCGAAGCCTTTTTTTTTTTTTTTTTAAACTTGGAATGACTCATACAGACGATGGCTTCTATAACTTGAGAGTTTTTTTTTTTTTTTTTTTTAAAGATAAAGCATTATTATTTAGTGTTGTAACATTTGAGTTTTTATTAAAGTTTTCGTCAGGCACTTGCTTTCTTAAAAATGAAATAAAGTGAGCCTATAACTTCAAAGAAAATGGCCGATAAATAGGCTGCCAATGAGAAAATTTGAGTTTTTAAGTGGAAATTTGAATTTTGGAAAACTTGTATCTGCTGCTTTTAGGCTGACAGGTTCTCAATACTAAAATTATTTCCTGATGTCACTGGTGTTATTAACCTATCTGATTATTCATTGTGATATTGTATAAAGACCTGTTAACGTTCGGAACATTTGCATGACTCAGCACACCATTCTTTCCATATGACCAGTGCCTGATATTACAAATTCTGCATAGGCAAAAGATCTATTAAAAGTGCAACATTTATCAAGAGATTTTAGGGTAACAGAGTACAAGTTAATTGATATGATATGTGATTCCACATTGTAACTACTGTTTAAGAAGTCACCATTTGTCAGATTTCGATATAACATCAAAGAAGATTACCCACAATGATTTGAAAAGGCTATTAAAATACACCTCTCATTTTCAGCTATGTATCTGTGCAGGGTTATGTTTCTTTTCGTATATTATCTGAGTCCTGGGAGAAGAATGAAATATAATTAGTGAAGAACTAGATAATATTAATGAAAATGCTTGTTTCTCTCTATAAGAGATAAGCAATTAGAAGTTCCTGGGGTGGGGGGAGTGGGAAGAGGAAGCAGAAATTAAGAAAATGGTGCTGTAAATATGCAGCAAACTAAAATGTGGAATGATTTTGAATAGTATCTGAAAAAATGTATTCCACTGGGTCATTTAGGAATGGCAGCTGAGAGGTTTTTTTCACTGAGCTCTTGAGAAGGAAATAAAATATTTGAACACCATTTGGTTGTATAAGTGATGCGTGCTTATGTAGTTTTAATAAATTAATTGTATTTACTGATTTTTAAATATTTAGAATAATCTCATAAGTAAATACAAAAGATTTAAATACAGAAGAGAATGTCATTGTATTTCTATGAATAGGTGAGAGAAGAACCAAAGGTGGGCAATAGGGGAGAAAAGGTATTGGAAAGCATGAGGCACAGATAATTTGACATACTGTGGCAAGAATTTTAAGTTATTCTTAATGTAATGGGAATCAAAATTAAATATTTCATGCTCTGGAGCAATCCAGTTTAGTAAATAAAATATCAAAAATTAGGATTAGAGAACAAATACTGTCTTAATCTTTTATAATAGAAAGTTATCTATAATGTCTTAAATAGATAAATCAAGAAATAATACTTATGTACATTTTATTTACAGTTAAGAAACTAACCACCAAAATAATCTAGTATAGAAATGGTAATAAGAGGTTGCATTTAGGAAGTGTGATTAAGATTTGGATACAGTAACTTTGTTGACTTATTTTTTATTATAAATTCTTCTGTAATATATTTTTATAAACTTTGTTCATGTATCGCTTTCATTTAATAAAAAAGAAGGGATAACATATGGGAAATCCATATGAATTACTTCTACATTGTATTCTATCATGTATATATATCATAACTTATTTAAGCAGTTCATTATTGATGGGCATTTAAGTTATTTTCAGTTTTTTTTTTTTTTGTCTAACATCAAAAAATATTTTAATGAGTTTTCAGGCCTAATGGCCAAGTCTCAGAAATGGAATTGCTAGGTTAAAAGAAAATCCATATTTACAATTTTAGTATATATTGCCTAGTTTTTCATCAGCAAAGTTCTTAGCTTTCACTATTGGTTTCCTCATGTCAACTCCAACACTTGGCATTATCAGTCATTTAATCTTCACATTCATATTGCTAATTTTCATATTGTTAGGGAATAATAAACATTTATTCATCTGTTTTGGTGATTTTTTAGTATCAATTTTTCTAATTTTCTGTTTATTACTGTTGGCTGTTTTTTTTAAGCTTGTTTATAGACATCATCTTTTTTCTTTAAAATATGTACGAGTTGGTGATAGAAACATTTGAGTGTTATTACAATTGAACATCTCCTTTTGCCTGCTAGAAGTTTAAAATTGTTATTGAGTTTGGCTTTTCCTGTGTTTTCTGTTTTCTGGTATCATGCTTAGAAAAGCCTTTTTCATTCCAACATTATAATATTTTTTCCATTTTGTTTATTACTGGTAGTATCAGTATTTAATTATTTTCTATGATCTTTTTTCTTTCTAAACTTTTGAAGTCATAATGAGTTTAAGAAGTTTCACATTAAAAATTTCCTGTCATTGCAATTTTAGACATTTGCATAGATCAAGCAAAACTAGAAGAGTTTGAAGAGAAAGCATCAGAACTTTACAAGAAAGTAAGTAGTTTTCACTAACTTTATAGTATTCTGTGGGGAACCACTGCAGGCATGCTTCTGCCTCAGGGAATTTGCTTGTTATTCGTTCTTTCTTCTTTATCTGCTTCAGGTGTGTGCATAGATGCCCTCCACCAAGGAGGACTACTGTATCTAAAAAGTCTTAACTCCCCACTCCCAACCTTGACCTTCCCTATTCTTCTTTCCTTATTTTTCTTTGAATGTATTTATCATCATCTCACATGCTACATAGTTTATGTATTTATATGTGAATGACTTATCTATTTCACCCTAACAGTAAACTTTGAGGCATTTTGTTTGTTTTATTCACTATCCCTGCACCAGGAACAATTCCTGGCCCTTTGTAAGAACTAAAAAGATCCTTTTTGAATGAGTGGATGATGGAGCAAAATGTATGTAATCAAAATTTTAAGGTTGTGGTAATTCTCAAGAAATGATATTAAGCCCTTAAGAATGAAATCATATATAAAAATTTTAAGAGAAAAGTTAACTTGCTTTTAGTTTTGATTAAAGTTGCTTCATTATATTAAGTTGAACTTTATAAAATTGCCATTTTCATAGGTCATAGCTGTTGGATATTACACAAACAAAACCAGTTTTGTTTCAACTCAGTAGTATTTCTAACCATCCAGCCAATTCCTTACTTTTCTTTAACCCATTTATGCCTGAGATTGCAATTTTTTTGAGTTTTGAAAAATCAGACATTGGCAGTGACCTTAAGCAGTAGGATATAAATAACTTCCACATGCTCAGCGTTCCAATAATGGAACAGTAGGCATAAATTTAAGGTATTGTTTTGTCCTTTTATCTCTGGCTTAGCAAGTACCTATTAGACTTTTAATTTGTTATTCCAATTCTTTGCATTTTAAATAGTCAATCTGATTTGAATTATTCAGGTGGTTTTTCACATTGAAGGAGTGACGATAATTCTTACTACTGTTGTCACCATGATGAACCCACAGCAAACATTTACGAAGTGAATATTTCCTGTGTGTTAGGCATCATGCCAAGGAGTATAGGTTTTTGATGTAGCAGATACTAAATGTATCTTGAGGCAGTTGCACATTTCTATAGCTTTGAAGATAAAACATAACTTACAAATTATAGGCACTGTTTTGTAAGTTAAGAGTAACTTAGGTAAAACATTATAAATGTCCTAAGGGGCCTTAAGGTTCTGACTTTACCAAACGCTAAATGAGAGGTTGTTATTTCCCACGCCTTCGGCTGCAGGTTAGGATTACAGTTGTGAATATAATATTGTTGTTGCTCTGAAGTGACTTAGTTTAGTGGGGGAAACAAATTAATGGATCATTTAAATTTAGTCTCATAGTGTTACAGTGGATAGATGTTCATGTTGTGGGGTGACCCTTCCCCCAGCCAACATTGTATTCTAAGCTGGATAAGCACTTTAACTCTTCATAGGAAAGTAGTAGTAGACTTTCAAGTACTTGATTTGGATACATCCCAGATAGTATAAATTTGATTTTGTTATCATTTTTAGGTATATAGTATATATGAATGGAGTCAAACATGAATGGAGTTAAAGTTTCTCAACAGATTTTTAAACAAATTGTAGGTTTTAAATATATAAATAGAAGAAAGACCTTGTTCAAGGTTACTTGTCTCCTTTTAGTCAGAAATTATATGTGTTAGTTAGATTCAGAAAATACTATTTGCTCCATAAAATATTTCTATTGCCATATCATTTTGTATATATCAGCAAAAACTTTGTTCTGATAGTTTTATAAGGACACATGTAAATACTTTGCTTTAGGCAGGAAGCTATCATGGTTGCTAGACACATTCTTTATTTTGGTGCATAAATTTGAAAAATGAAGACCAGAAATGTCAGAAAGTATATAGAGAATATTGAATTATCAACCTTCTTGTACAGATGCACTAATACATTCACCCTAGAGAATGAAATTAAGCAGAGCCTCAACCTTAACTGTGTCTTTCAACATTTTTTTGCATGTAATTTTGTAAGTGTAATATCGCTCTAGTAACTCTTTTTGGAGAAGGCTATCATATCAGTTTTTATAAGGTGTGCTTTTAATGGAGATTCATTTTTTCCCCAAGGCTACAGTGATTTGACTATAGATATTACAAAAATGCTAAAACAAAGTTTATATTTCAGCTATCTTTTTATAGGCGAGGATGTGGAAACTTATTTTTTCATAAGTAATACAGTTACTTTAGTATTAGCAAGTTAATTTAATAAATGTTCTTAGAATGTACTCATTATGACTGTGGTTGTTTTTATAATTTTTATCTTAAGTCCCGAAATAATTCTTTTTCCTTATGAATTTTAGTCTAGGATTTATGAAATAGATATTTCATAATTCACATATTGATATTGTAGAAAGGCTTTTTCATTCTTACTCTCATAAGAACGTAATTTTTTTTCTTGCTGTGTAACAGTGAACTTTGTCTTAGTTGTCAAAAAGAGAAAATGACCTCTCAAAGATTTCTGATGCTGGGAGAGTGACTATGTTGACATAGTCATTCAACATATAAAGGAAGATTTGACGAGGTTGGCTCATCACTTCGTTCAACAAATATTTATTTGACTTTAATTATAGATGTAAGACACTGGAAAGGTGATGAATAAAATAGAAAAGTTTCTCACATTTATGAGCTTTCAGGTTGGTGAGTGTTATTTTGACAATTTTATATTACAGTGTGCAATTGGTATGGTAGACAAACCCTATGTGGTATGTAAACCTAGAGGAAAGGTCCCTCACCTAGTCATGGGTGGCCAGGGAAGCCTTCTCCAAGGAAGTGATGTCTAATCTGAGCCTTGAGGAATCAGTATGAAGAACAACGCGAGATAGCCAAGAAGGATGCATATCTAAATTTCTTTTGAATTTCCTATACCTATCTCAAGCTGAGCATATCCAAACCAAATTTATCTTTCTTCTCCCTAAAAATATCTTTTCCCCCTGCATTTTATAACCTTATTTATTTTCCCCAAATAACAACACTTTTTTTCTAGCTTGTAAAACAACAAAACCCTGTAGTCATCTTAGATACACTCCTCTCGCTCATTTCCTTCATTCGGTCAGATACTAACATTTTTGGATTCTGTAGTCTTTTTTCATTTCTTTGTCATTACCCTCTCCTCCACCTCAATTCAGGAAGGCCTTCAGTTCTCGCTTGGATAACTACAATAGCCTCCAAACCAATTTCCATGCCTCTAGTATGTCTTTTTCAGCCCATCTTTCACACTGCTGCTGGTTGAGTTTTTGAAAGTAAAAATTTGATTATGTTGTTTACTTATTATACATACCTAATAATGCTCCAGGATTTTTAGGAAAAGAGGATTAACTCTTTGGCTTATTGCAAAATTCCTTTCAGCAGTTTTATTTCTGTGTTCATCTCTGGCTTTATCCCCTTCAGTTTGTTCTCATACCTCTTTTTGTGCCCCTTACAAAGTATTGCTTGTCATTCATCCACACGCTGAAATGCTAGTAAGTTTTTCAGACTTTGAGGTCAAACATCATTCCTCCAGGAATCATTCCCCAGCTTTCAGTCTCTCTCTGTCTCTCTCTTTATTGCTGGTATTTTTAATTGATTTAGGGTTGTTAGTTTGCTTTTACTTCTCCATCAGCCACTGTGCTGACTAAAAGTACACTGACCATATTCTGTTTAACTGTGTCTTCAGAACCTACCACTCTGAGGGGGCATATCTCGGGTGTGTTGTTAAATATTTATTGCGTAATGGGAAATAGGTAGATTAGGGCCAGATCCTACAGGGTTCTTAGATAGTAATGATTATAATGAAGTCACTGATAGTTTAAGAACAAAGAAGTCATGTTAGTTGAGCTGCCCTTTACAAAGAATAGCAACATTCAAAAAACAAATCTTGTAGGGGGAAACATGTTTGGTTTTGAAAATATGTTTTTTCGTCTGTCTTGAAAAGTTTTCATTAAGTGGTTGGAAATATATTCATGGACTGATTTGTAGTCTGGAATTCAGATGAGAAGCTGAGATGTTGATAGGGATTTGTAAGCCATCAGTGTATGCATGGTGATTTAAACATGGCTGTGGAAGATGAGACAAGCAGGAGGAGGGTGAGGAAAGAGTCCTATAGAATGCCATCATTAGTGGGTTGGATTTTGTAGAAACCCATAACAGGAATTGGTAGGAGCACTCAAGGAGTAGCAGGAGAACCAGAAGTGTGTGTTGTAATGGAACATACAGGAAAAGAGGTTGAATATGGAGGCCTATTTGTAGGTATTTATGCTATAGAACTGGCCTGTCTAATATGGGATGGTGGAAATGTTTTATAATCTATATTGTTCTGCATGGTAGTCATCAGCCATATGTGCCCATAGTGTACTTTTTAAAATGGCTGGTGTGACCGAGGAACTGAATTTTTAAACTTTATTTATTTTTGATAATTTAAGTTTACATTTACATAATCATTTGTGGTCAGTGGCTATGATATTGAAATAGCATGGCCCTAGAGAGATCACCTAAGATGAGGCTGAGAGCAGTCCAGGGAATTTGGACTTCTGGAATTGGAATTTGGTAAGTCAGCGTTTTTAGAATGAATTATAGCTAAGTGTGATAGATAATGAAATGAACAGAGTTCAACAGGTCAGAAAAGTGAGTGTGGTTTAAGAATACCCTTTGAAAAAGTTGACTTTTAAGCTAAAGAGGGATTATGGTAAGGGGTTATAAGGAGTAAAATGAGGGATGAAAGTACAGAGAGGTAAACTATGCAAGGGAGGTGTGAAGGCAATTGATTTAGCAAGTCCTTAGGGGGAAGCACTGGGTGACAGGAGAAGGTGGGCGGACCTCTGAGACTCATGCATGGCTTGTTTTGTAGTTAGTAATTTGATTAGATATAGGCTTAGAATCTTTTTAATTATTTAACGGTAAGAGGGGTTTGTAGGAGCCGTAGTAGTTGTGGGGAATGGTAGTGTTGCTGTGGCTTACGTCAACTGAAGGACATTTGGACAGTTTTTACCTATTAGTTTTTGTTATTTTAATAAAGGAACACAGGTTGAGACTGAGAGAATCAGTAGTCTGAAATTTACCTTCCTTCCCTGTAAAATGGGAATTAAAGCAGTATTTCTTATTTCACAGAGTTTTTGTAATGAAATTTAAGAATGCTTCTTTTTATGCTTCAAAAGCTATAAAGTATGGGGAGAGAGAATGCATGTGTAGGGTTGGGGGTATGTGGAAAATCTCTATTTTCTGCTCAGTTTTGCCGTGAACCTAAAACTGCTCCAAAAAATAGTCTGTTAAGTAAAACCGTAAAGCATTATCTAAACGTTAATTGCAGGGAGGTGGCATAGTTTCATTTGAACTTAGACTCTGAAGGCGGGGAATCTGGCTTTTTAATCTCACATCTTTTACTAGCTATGAGGGACTAGCAACTGCCTCTTAGTGTTATTAAGGACAAAGTAAGATTCCCTTTATAAACTAAGTAAAAATAAAATCCCTTTGTAAACGGTGGAGTTCTACATTGTTGTTATTTTCCTAATTAAGGTTTGAGTGTATTTAAAATGTGGAGGCCACATTTGTGAGATAGTTGCATTTTTTTGATTGATTTTTTTTTTCATTTTTCTTAAGAAAGTCAAATGCTTGTGTTTGTGAGCAAAAAGGAGGTTTTTAGTCATAATAATGGCAAAGTTGAATGTGTTTGAATGCAAGATGAGAACTGGTGATGAGTGGATATATAAATTATTATAGAAAATTCACTGGATTCACCAAATTTTATTGTTTCCTTTTTTTTCCAGAAGGTATTTCACTAGGGACTTTGAAAAATTAATTTATCATTACTTTCCCAAAGATATCAGGAGATATTATGTTGTTACAAGAAAAAAAGTTAGAAACTGAATAGAATGGAGTTGTTTAGTAATAAAAAATATTAAAATGAAATCCTCTAAATCATGTTGATATACTTCAGATAAGTTTCAAGAATAAGTTTTTGCAGGTGGAAGATGCAAGGAATTTGTACAATGCTTTGCTCTCTATTATTTTACACAAAGTCACAATAATATTTAGAGACTTTGAAGAAAAATGCCAATGCTGCAGATAACTGTGGCCAGTTTGCTCTGCAGAGAGAAGGTCACAGACTTGTCTATGGCTTTTTTCTGCCCCCTTGTGAATGAACGATTTTGGTTGGGACCTGGAGGGGCCTAGAGAAAGACTGTAAGTGACTTTTCAAAACTCTATCACTCCTTTCATAAAACCAATTCAGGAATTTGTGTTCTACCGGCAGATCATTCGAGTCACATTTCTATAAGAAGAATAGTGCTTTTCATTTTCATCTTCCTGTTTTTGTTATTATTTTTAATTTGTTTCAGTTTGAAAAAGAGTTTACCGACCACCAAGAAACTCAGGCTGAATTGCAGAAAAAAGAGGCAAAGATTAATGAGCTTCAAGCAGAGCTACAAGCTTTTAAGTCTCAGGTAAAATTCCACTCTGAGTGAATTTGGGTATTAAAAACACAGTGAGGGAGCAAAGGTTATGTTATATCTTCATAGCATCAAAATGTTTAAACTTTAATTTTGCTTGTATATTTTTATAGCATTATTTGTACTGTGTTTTGCTATTTTTTTGTCATTTTTTTCTATATGTATGTATATCTAAGCTTTTACTAATTAATCTGCTTTCTTATGTTTTGTTAGGGTTTTGTTCCTAATGTCACATGTTTCCTAAGTAATTCAGCATAAAGAGTAAGAAAATCTTTTACTCTCAGATTTGTTATTCATCACTGATCTTTATCCCACTACAAGAAATTATTGCTCAAGCTATTTATTTTTTAAAACCTTCAGCCTAGGGGTCCCTTGCAGTAAAAGATAACCTCTAGCTGAATGAGAACATTTTCTGATAATTTTTCAATTTCCAAAGTAAACAGATTTAAAACATGACAAAAAAGAGAGTAAATCTGGATTATGAAGCAGATAGCTCCCATGCACCCTCTACACATAAAACATTTAGATAGCAAGAAATACGTCATCTGCATGCTTTATGTGGATGTAAGTAAGGAGGTAGAATATTCATAGCTAAATTTCTTCATGTAGATTTACGTACAGGATGATGAGCAATAAGTATAGTTTTGCTATTTTCCTTTCATCTTAATTTACAGTTATGTTGAAATAGTCTCAGGTATACTATATCCTATCTTACTGGCAATTTTGTTTTCTTTTAAATGCTTAGTGGATAGTTTTGTTGCTGAGGCTGTCTGGAGATACCTTAAGAGATAGCTATCTGTTAGTATTCAATTTTAGAAAAAAATTAAAATCTCCTATCTACAAGAAAATTATTCTCATTCATCTTCTTTCTTTAGTGCTGCAAGAGGGAAGTATCACATTTTATTGAATTTTTTTTTTTATCTTTCCCATATGGTTCCTTGTCTCTCATATTGAAAGAAACATTTGATTGTGTCTGTACTTCAGACTGAGTTACAGACAGTGGCTGAAATATTTATAACAAGTTTTTCTTGGTCTGGGGTAACGTAAATTTAAGAACTTTCTTTTCTTTTTAATTATGTTCAGTTGAAGGTTTGTTTGTAAATCTCCAGAAAATTCCAGTTTATAAAAAACGTATCCACCATTTTTGAATAAGTTATTGCTGCATAGTGCTTTTACATAAAATGGGAATAAGTGTATGTTTTGAAAGTGAAATTAAATCAAGGAATCTCCTAAATTGTTTTAAATTGTATACAGTGATGACCCATGTTTATGGCTATGAGAAGAAAACCTAGAATTAGATACTTAATATTGGCCACCATATTCATGTTTGAACAACTGGCAAATTCTTTCTTTGGATTCTGGTTTATTTCTTATGAAATGTGGGCATTTATCTTAAGATCCTTCTTTTTGTTCAAAGCTATGCTGACTATGAAGAGTATGAATAAAATATGTTCTGTTATCTGTGATTTAATTCCTTTGCTCCCGTAGTCTCTTCACAACCAGGTAGTTTAGGTGCTGGAGAGACATAGTGATGAGCAAGATAGTCACAGTGTCTGGCCTCCCAAACCATATCTTTAAGTCAGTCTTCACACTTTATCAAATGAACTATTCTAGAGCAGAAATTCAGCCATATCTTTAAGACATTGATAGTTAATTATTAAATACGTTCAAAAGGAAGTATCATCTTTGATCACAGCAACCCAGAGTAACACTGAACTGGTTCTTCTTTATACTTAATGGTTTTGATAAGGCATGCTTTTGATTTGTGGCCTCAACTTCTTTTATAACACTGTTTTCTTTGTCATGATTTCAGACGTCATTGATTTCGAGCTTTTATACATGGTCTATTTTTCATAATTGTGCCATGAAAATTCAAAATTATGTAACATTTATTAAATGTTAAAGGTAGTTAGAATTGAAGTTTGTAATTTCAAGAAGCTACTCATATTACAAAAGTTATTTATTAACCCAGAATGTCTTCTTTGTATCCATCGAAATGCATCTGTTAAATTCTTATTATGCCATGGAAACATGAGGACAAAAGTGACCAGTGGACACAGGCGGTTCTTTTTTCACCCCTGATTTTACCTTGCTTCTCTGTGGCATTTGATTCTGCAAAGCAGTCTTTTAGGTGGTGCTCTCTTCATTCATAGTTTTTGACCCTGTGCCCAGTTGGCTTTTTCTCTTCTTGTCTTTCATGCATTTATCCTACGCATTTCTTCCATAGCTGTCATGCACCAGTCACTGCTTTAGGTGCTGGGGAAAGAGCAGTAAATAATACAAGATAGTCACTTACCTCATCAGCTTATGATCTGTCAAAGAGATAAATGCTAATGATTCCTTAAATAAATTCTCACTTTTGATAAGAGCTATTGAAAAGTACAAGGTGCTATCAGTGTAAAATGAGTGGTCAGATAAGGCTTTCCCAAGGAAGGGACCTGTTAGCTCAGACTGAAGAGGCTAGTAGGAGATGGTCAGGTGAAGAGAATGTTCCAGGCAGAGGGACCAGCATGTACAAGGGCCCTGAAATTAGCATGAGGTTGGCACATACACAGAATTAGAAGAAAGTCCCCTACAAGACCAGATAGCAGGGACTAGATCATGATATACTTATATAGGTCCTACGAAGAATTTTAGTTTGTTGTTGTTGTTGTTTTCTCAAGTGCATTAGGACACCATTGAGAAGATTTGAGCAAAGTCATGATGTGGCAATACCATTTAAGTTCTTTTGTTGAAATCTTATTTCTTACTTATCACTTAAATGCTTGCACTCCATAGAACTCTGTGCATAGACCCTTTGTCATGCTACATATTCTCTCCATACTATGAGTGAACTTCTCTGCTTCCCTGGCTTCAACTGTTCTCCAGAGACTACTGATTTTCAAATCTTCTAGATCCACATACCCATTTCCCTCCTGGACATTTCTACCTAGATGGTCATAACTACCTCAAAACAGGGAATTATACTTCTGGCAATTATGTTTTTATGAGGGAAAAAAAGCTATAATTATATTCTTAAATTAGAAGAAAAATTGTTGGAATTTTGATTTTTGGTTAAACCTTATGAAATTACTGATATGTAATTATTTTTGGTTTAAATGAATGCCTTATTTTTGAGTAAAGTGCATATTTACATGTTTTGTAGATATGTTCTTAGTTATGTCTCTTATTGTTTTTTTCTCCAGTTTGGTGCCTTGCCAGCTGATTGTAATATTCCTTTGCCTCCCTCTAAAGAAGGTGGAACTGGCCACTCAGCACTTCCTCCTCCGCCTCCACTGCCTTCTGGTGGAGGGGTGCCGCCTCCACCTCCTCCCCCACCACCTCCTCCACTTCCAGGAATGCGGATGCCATTCAGTGGTCCTGTGCCTCCACCACCTCCCCTGGGATTCCTTGGAGGACAAAATTCTCCTCCTCTACCAATCCTGCCATTTGGGTTGAAACCAAAGAAAGAATTTAAACCTGAAATCAGCATGAGAAGATTGAATTGGTTAAAGGTAAAAGAAATTAATAGAGGAAAATACTTTTACTTAGATCTAAATCTAATTTTGGATTTATATATACATAATTTCTAATGAGATTTAATTTATGCCTACATAATTTAATTTATATATACATAATTTCTAATGTCACTAATCAAAGTGACAATAAAATAGCTTTTTTTTTAAAGTATTGGGACAAATCCCTTTCATATTGACTAAGACTTTCTGCTTTATAAATACAGTGAGAGTTGATGTTGTTCCAGTGGAATCCGATTTGTAATTAAATTGATAATTAAACATTATTGCAGTGAATCCTATGTTTATGAAGTGTTTCTCAAAAAAAAATGATGGTGTTCTTAGGAAATTTTCTCTATTGATAGATGTTGGGAAAGTGTTAACTAGTTGTCAGAAGCTAATATCTAGTCAGATCTTAAGAATTCAGAATCCTGCAGAAAAATGGTTTCATGGTAACAGAAACATGGAAAATGCTGTATAATGTGTCCTGCCCACCAAAATGTATAGTGCAGGTGAAGATTATTAGAGACTATGAGAAATGCAATTGAGAAGAAGCTAATTAAATCGTATTTCAAATCCTCAACTATTGGATCATGGAAGCCTTTTCTTCCTAATAAGACCTTAACATCCTGCAGAACTTGTATCTTATTGAACACACTTCAGGGAAAAATCTTACAGATACGACTTTATAAATATCTGCTGACAGCTATGATACTCAGTGTATGCATAGTGCTTGACTTGGGACAGGTGAAACACTCACCTATTGATGAATCAGTCTTCTCTCTGATTGTAGATCAGACCTCATGAAATGACTGAAAACTGTTTCTGGATAAAAGTAAATGAAAATAAGTATGAAAACGTGGATTTGCTTTGTAAACTTGAGAATACATTTTGTTGCCAACAAAAAGGTAAGTTTAACATCTTGATTATTTATTAATTTGATTTTAGAATTTTAACATATACTTTTTATGTATCAATTTTCAGAAAACATTATTTTATGAATCCTGTACATGTTATTTTTACATTCCTAATGGGCAAATAAATGGTATAATGAAATAAAGTGCTTAAAAAGTAAATTCTGTTTTAAAAATGCAAAAGGTTAATATAAAATTTTGATTATTAAATTTTCTATATGATATTATTTTTGAAGATATTCCATTGGGATAAATTAGACTTTTGTAAAAGAGGATATTTTCTGTGACAGTTTTGGCATGAGAAGGTCCTTCAGTTTGAAAAATAGAAAAACAAAATGTGTGCTTTCTTGTAGTTAGAATTTTACTACCCTTTAATATTACAGTGACTAGGGGAGCTAGGAGAGGGATAGCATATAGCATTAGGAGAAATACCCAACGTAGATGACGGGTTGATGGGTGCAGCAAACCACCATGGCATGTGTATACCTATGTAACAAACCTGCATGTTCTGCACATGTATCCCAGAACTTAAAGTATAATCCAAAAAAAATTACAGTGACTATCACATAATTTAATTAATTGCTATGAGTCACATGGGATAAAAATATCAGATTTATAATGTCTTCAAAGTTAGCTTGAAAGAGAAGTATCTGAGTAGGTTATATGATCTTTTCATTAAAAGCAATGGCATTCATTTTCCAAAATGTTTTGTGATAGGTTTTACCTGTGCAGTGTGATTTTTAAAAAATTGTTTAGGTATTACATAAGTGAAAATTGAACTTATTTCATCCAATTTCGTGGGCCTGCTACTTACATTTCAAGGCTGATATCCACACAGAATTTTTAAGTATTATATAAAACTTACATTTTAGGTCTGTAGTGCAAAACACTTAGATCAATCATTACCTTTTAATTTTCAAAAAGAAATTTTTCACTATAGACTTATGCCACCTATATCCCTGGGCTCATAGAACAAAGGAAGAGGTGGCAGGGAGAGATTGTACTGGATGGATACAGGTCAGAGACCTTTGTGTAGAGGGTTGAGTTGACTTCCTAAATGTTGACTGTTAGCCAGGCACCATGCTAGATGCTTTATGTATCTGTTTAACTTGAGCACAGCAGCCAAAGAATGCTGGCAGATATTTTAAAAATGTATTAGTATTCCTTTGAATGAGTTTCTGAAAGATTAGAATCTCTTTCTAAAAGGTAATTGTAAATTAAGAAATTATTAATGTAAATTAGAAACTCTCTCCAAAAGGTAATTGTAAATTAAGGTAGTTTTCTAGAATTTGATAAAAACAGTTAACAGATATTTTTGAGTACCATTTATCCTGACTAAAGTATTAAAAATGGTATATTTTTGGTCTTTGAACACAGGGAGAATTTTCTCAGCAAGCTCACCCTAGTAAATTTGTGAATAAGATTTTAATTTTACCTTTTGATTATGGAGGATCAAAATTTTCTTCAAATAAGATTAGTGTACTCTTCTGGCAATCAAGGAAAATACATGGCAGTTAAAATTTGTGTTTACATGTAAAACACTTCAGAATTTCAGATTTCATAATCTGGAGTTGATTAGTTTTCCTTTTGCTTTCCTAGTAGGTACAAATGGTGGTACCTAAAAACTATTTAAGTAATTCTGCCATACAGCTACTCTCTTTTTCTCCTTACTCTGATTACTTTCTTAATTAATGAGGCTCAAAAGGGAAACTTGTTAGCATGTCTTTAATTTAGCTGCAATGTTAGCCCTAAATGAAATAATTGGACCTTTAAAAAATTCTTAAGTCATCTAACTTTAGCCTTGAGATTCAAGGTTGAATAAAAAAATGATGTATTTGCTCTATCTAATACTAGTTAGAAAGATTAAGGTGAAAAGGTGATCATTTTTTGCATACTCCATATTTCCATCTCTCTCTGCCTTTGTACTGCTGGTCCTTTGGCCTGGAATCTCTTTACTTGACTTAGAGGCTGGCAGAGGACTATGATACCTTCTGTCTCAATTCAACTCAAATGCTGCTTTCTTTTTTTTCTGTGACAGTAGATGACATTTCCAGGGGGAACACAAAGAGTGGGGAAGCCCAGGGTTGTGACTCCGAGCCCTGCTAACATTTCTCAGTGGTAAGCAGAGATGAGCTGTAAAGGTGACTATTTTTTTGGGACTTCATTTTAAAGAATAATTCCTAGAAAGCATTATTTGAGGAGTCCTAAGAGTGCTTTTTGGCATTACTGGTCATCTGGCAATCAAGGAGAATATATGACAATTAAAATGTGTATTTACATGTAAAACACTTCAGAGTATTTTATAGGAAAGGCCAGTCATTGCTACGTTCAGAGAAACAGGATTTTATATAGACATTTAATAGGAAAGATCAGAAAGGAAGGAAAGAGAAAGATGTCCAGAGAGCTTAGACAGGACTGGTCAAGTAGACAGGTCTACTTGTGGTCTTTTATTCATGGCCTGGCTGCTGAGGCATTGGGTCCAAATGTTACATTCACGTATCTCCCTGAGTCCAACATACTTTGTTTGAATCAATTTTGTAATTGCTGCAGAATTCAAAACTATGGCCGGGTGCAATGGCTCCCGCCTGTAATCTCAGCATTTTGGGAGGTCGAGGTGGGTTGATCACTTGAGGCCAGGAGTTTGAGACCAGCCTGGCCAACATGATGAGACCCTCATTTCTACTAAAAAAAATTAAAAAAAAAAATAGCCAGGCATGGTGGTGCACACCTGTAGTCCCAGCTACTCCGGAGGCTGAGGCATGAGAATCGCTTGAACCTGGGAGGCAGAGGTTGCAGCGAGCCAGGATCACGCCACTGCACTCCAGTCTGGGCAACAGAGTAAGACTATGTCTCAAAAAAACACAAAAAAACAAAAAAACAAAAACAGGCAAACCCCCAAACAAAAGTAAACCTGGTCACTTATGTATTGTTCACTCCAAGGTGAAAATCCATTTGTCTTTCCACCCTTTCGCAAGCCAGTGCAGGAGGTAGAGGCATTGGCTGCTGGCTGATTTTCATCACAACTAGGTAGGGAAGGATGGTAATTACTGAAGAATAGTGGGTTTTTTAGAGAAATGGTGTATCTCTGTTTTTCATTGCAGTAGTAACTGTTTGGACTGAGAACCGAGGCTATTTCTTTGATTACAAAGATGGACATTCCATCCCAGGCATTTAAATGATAGATGCCAATCCTTTGTGCTTCCCAAGCATTCAAATTGGGTAGTAAGAACAAAGGAACTGAATCCAATCATTTAAAGAGATCCTTGAAGTTTTCTGTCATGTAGACTTTATTTGTTGTCAAGTAAGTGGGGCTTTTTTCTTATGGTAGACACTACTTTAGGTTTTCAGGACTTCTAATGTTTAGACTACTGGGATTTACAGGTCTAATACACTTAGAGTTGGAAAAGGAGCTAATATCTATATCAGATATTGTGCATACGTGATATATCAGTGCCTCAGCTGGGTTCTCTTCATATTATCTTGTTTAATCTTTAGTGTATCTCAGCTGAGATCTTTTCTCCTGGTCTCCTGATGGCAAAACAATTCTGGCTTCTTGTGATACTATCCAACCCTACCTACATTTACATATTACCAAGATATTCTTGGTAAGGGCTTGGCTCTTTCCTCTTAATTCCTGTTGCCTTTTATTACATTCCTACTTTTTTTTTTCCAATTAGATCTTACCTATTCTGCTTTTTAAACTAATCTTTGTGACCATTTACAACAACGCTTCTGTGGGAAAGTACCTTGTGCCATATCTGTAGAGGAATAGGAATCCTCTCTAATCCTTTTCCTGTGAAAAATCAGTAATTTTTTCCTGATTCACTTACATCATTTTCTTTTACACTTTATTTTGCTGTTAAGTAGCTCACTTCAGTTTTCTTGATTCTCTCTGTTGTAAGTTTTTGGGAGACATCTTAGCTTTCTGTATTTTAAATTATTCTGGAAATGTATATAAGCACTTTTCCAGATTATGTTTTTTCTTTTTCTCATACCTCCTCTTTCATACCTTCCACTTTTTCTTATTGGCTACCACTGTTCCACTCAATAACTATTTATTGGGTGCATATTGCATGTTGTGCCTCATGCTTGACATTGGGGATACCAGCATGAATAAGGCAGGTGTGCTTCCCATACTCATGTTGCTTTTACATTCCTGATGAAACTCAGTCAAGTACTTAGTTGAAGCATAATAACAAGGAGTGGAATAACAAATGCTGATTTTGATTTTAGAAAAGACTGACATTTTACTAAATTCAGCTTCTGTTAAGACTTAACAAGGTTATAAAAAAAGATTGTTTATCTATCTCTCTGAAATTTAATCATAATATTCATATATTGAACATTTGGTATCATCAAAATAATGCTAATGACCTATGTATTTTTTTTTTTTTTTTTACCAGATTGGAAGCATCTGTTGGTTAATTTTTACAGGCTGTTGGAAAATGGATTAGAGTATACTAACAGGTTATTGGTGTTGGATTTGTCAAGTAAAATTAATATTAACTACTTTCATTATTCACAAACTGTTAATAGGGATTAAAGGGCTTTCTGAAAGTATATGAATAGTCTAATTCACTTAGACTAATTTATTATGAAAATGTGGTTCCACAATTGTTAGCTTTCTGAAGTAATCATATTTTATAACAGGTGTGTCATTTTTGCCAGATAGGGCCCATAAATTGGTTTATAAATTATTTCTCAACTGAATAGTTATGGCATATGGAAACAGTTAATGGATTATCCACTTAAAAACAAATCAAGCTTAGATTTCTGACATCATAGTTCAGTGGACAAAGAATTGAGGAAGTAGGTGATAAACGTGGATTATCCCAGCAACTTGGCGGTGTTCAAGATGTTGCATTGTGTTTGAAACATAATTTATTCCTCTATACAAACAAATGTGTATAAAATTTTTTAAACTACCTCACAAGGCTACATTAAGGTGAACACATAGAAATATGTTTTTTTGTAATGCATGCTAATAAAGAGATGATGCCAAAATAAATGCAACATGTTTTATAGATAGTAAAGTTTCCTGAAAAGAACAGAATATTTCACAAATACTGATTTGGAAAGATTGGGGAGAAAGTCAGTAGAGAATGAAATATTTCTCTAGGGACATATCATTTGGTTCTTGTCTGTGGCTGAATCTCAAAAGTAGTAAAGACTTAAAGAAATTATGAAATGGGTCAAGAATATCTTATCTTCCCATTAAAGGATCTTATTGTTACCAGTTATAGTATATTCTCTGTTGGGGTGCGGAAGAAATGGAAATTTATTTTGAAAGCTTTAGCGAAATGGGAACTAAAGACAGAGGCTAAAGAAAGTGGATTTATTTAGCTTGGAGCCAAGGAAGACTTGCAAGTCCACCTAATGCTTTGGTTAAATGCTTAGTTACAGCATATCTTTGGTATAGTGTGGTAGAAATTTATGCATTGTAACATCTGTACAGTATACAAAAAACATGTCTGTTTTGAATCCCTATAAATAGACATGTTTCTTGCATACTGTACAGATGTTACAAACAGAAAGAGAGGAAACTAGGGTGTATGTGTATTGGTGTGTGTATGTACATACACATAGCTTTTTCCTTCTTTTTTCTCCTTTCCTACTTCTACTGGAGAAAGGAAAGATACTAGGGTAATGGATTTGACTGGAGTCACTTGACGAATGGTAGATTGGAGGATACTGTTGCTTTTCCATATTACAAGTTGACCTTGATATTTTAATCTTGGTAGTAAGTTCTTAGTGGTGTGTCCGTAGCTATCATCCCTTAACAAAATTATAAAGTTGTTACATTTCATTGTTGTTATCTCACACCTTTTGTCTCAGAATTTATCTTCCATTTTCTCTGTCTTCTGCCTTACTCTCCATTTCACCAGGGCAATTCCAGTTGCCCTCCGATTGCTTAAAGTTCACTTCCCTATTTTAGGCAGTTCTTTGCCTTGTCTGCATCATGTTCTGTCATTCAAGACTCTGGCTCAAATTAGTGCTTGTTATTATTCACCTGGAAATTTAAATGAGGCTTATCCTTCTGAATGCACTATTGTAATCTTAGGGCATTAATAATATTTTGAGGCTGGGCACAATGGCTCATGCCTCTAATCTCAGTGCTTTGGGAGGCCAAGACAGGAGGATTGCTTGAGGCCAGGAGTTCATGACCAGCCTGGGCAATGTATTGAGACCTGTCTCTACAAAAGTAGAGATTGGGTGATAGAGTGAGACCCTGTCTCTATTTAAGAAGAAAAATTTGTAAATCTAGCTATTCATTTACCTGTTCTCCCCCTTCCCCTCCCCCCCATTACATACACTGTTTGCCTGGCTAGAAGAGATGGAATCACCTAGAGTTAGAATGGTAACCTGATACCATCCTTGGAACACAGGAAGAGAATAGGGTCAAGATAGGAGAGTCAGAAGTAGATACAGAGGACTTCTTGCTAGATTAAATGCTATATAGCAATTTGGTATTAAATAAATAGTATAGCAAATAAATGGTATAATATAGTAAGTAGTAAATTCTATGTAGCATTTTGATGTTAAACAGTATAGTATATTCTTAGAAAAATCTGTATAAAAATAACTTTATTATATATTTTAGAATCTTGAATTTCACAGTTTAGATTTTTAGGTGATTATGCATTCATGTGTTTAGATAAGCTGTTCTTGTCCCTCAAGGTTAAATCATTTGGGCATATGATCTTATAATGTATTCTGTGCATTTAATAGAAGCTTTCACATGTGCGTTGGCATCTGAGTAGGTAAGCCAGGTTAGAGACCTTTTGTTAACCACAGCTTTCACTTGTCTAAGTGCATCTCTGTATCTTAAAAGAATGGATGTTTCAAAATCAGACACTTTATCCCAGGATTCTTAACTTGGGGTCTGCAAATAGAATTCTGGGGTCTGAACTTGAATAGGAAAAAAAACCCACATACTTTAACCTCTAATTGAAATTTAGCTTTTTCTTCAATTATAGGTAACAAACATAGCAGTACCTATTAAGTTTCCATGAGTACAATTCACATATACTTTCAAAATACATTAGAATTATTTTAGTTAAGTTGAAATATCATTTAAAATGATCAGTATTTCAAAATTAAGGTAGTTATTAGACTTGCAACTAGATCTTGTTATTTAATTCATTAATAAAGAAGCAGATTTTGTTGATTGCTTCCACCTGGAAGCAGACACAGAGATGCTGGAGTGTAAATGTGTTTTTTTTTAAGGGTCAGGATGCAAGACCGGGCGGGAAAAACCTTAGACCATGGTGTAAACCTGATAAATTCTCAGCCAGTCTAGCCAGGAAGGAGCTCTGGAACAAATGATGCCTGTGAGGGGAGTCCCTCGTTGGGTCCTAATGGCAGTCCTTACTACTTGTGCCAGGCTCAGCCATTGGCTGGGGGCTGCCCAGGAGGAGTGTGGCCTGGACTCAAAAGCTAAGGAGGATTCTAAAGGTGCTAACAACTTGAAGCCTGTCAGCTAAATGCACTCCTTGCGGCTGAATGGAAAGTTCTTCCTAAATGGAGATCTGAGCAGCACATCTACATTGCTTCCTCACATGTGTATTACTATTTCATAAACTGCTGTTTAATGCATTTTGATAGCTGCATTCAAGTATAATTTACTTCCTTTGAAATCCTATGTATTTTTGTTTATGCATTTAAAAATACTATTTTGAGAAAGGGTCCACTTCTTTGACTGTCAATGGGGTCTTTGGCAAAAAAGGTTAAGAATTAATTTAGACTCTCTAATTTGTGCAGTGGTGAGAGTGAAGTAACATCAAAGACCTGGGCCTGAGCCTCAGCTTAACTGCTGCCTATTTAAATTTATATTGCCTTTTTTTCTTTTTTTTAATTCAAAGAACCAATACATGTAATGAAATATTTCATCCAACTTAGAATAATGTTTTAAGGCAGTTTCAACATCAGACTGTCCATTTTTGAATCTCACTTTAGCAGACTACTCTGATGCATTTATTAATAAAAGTATACTTAGGTCAAATCTGGACAAAATATGAAACTCATTAATTAGATAATAATAAAACAACATATTATTGATGTATTTTTTACTAGTCAAATGTTTGCTTATGTTACTTTATTTGCTCCCAGAAACATTTATGTGAAAGAATCAAGGCAGATATTGTATACATTTATATATAAGAAAGTTACATTCTTCGGTGAATTTCAGCTAAAAGAAGCAGCCCCTCTGAATGGAATACAGATCCGAGTCTAAAGCCATTGCTCTTTGTGCTATGCCATGCTGCTTCTCTGATTAAAAGAAATCCTATTATGTTTTATTTAAAGTGCTCTGCATTGATTTAAAATAATTTTCCTCTCATCTTCTGCCACCTTACCACTGCCCCACAGCAGTTCACCCTCATTCCACAATGTATATTAAAGGCTTTAAAAACTTGCCATTTTTTATTAAAACCATCTTTCATCATTTCGTACCTCTATTCACTTCTGTAAGTATTTGAGCTGTAAATACTAACACCATGCTGTGTAATATACACGCGAAGTGAGGGATGTTGTGGAGTCCACCCTACAAGTGTGTGACCCTGGCTTTTACAGCGTAGTTTCTTTCCTCTATAAAATGGGGGACATAATACCCATATCATGAGGTTATTGTGAGGATTATATAATGCATATTGTAAAGCATCTTTTGCAGTGCCCAGCTCATTGTAGTTGCTCAGGAAATGTTAGCTGAACTTAAATGTTGAGAATACAGAACTCATTTCAACTTGTAAAGTTTTGTGTATCATCTCTGAATCTTCCACAATGTAACAAGTTAAATGGCCTATGTTCACTGTAGCCTTGCTTTCAAGTGAAACTTTCTAAATCATGAAACTACTGTGTTAACTGACCTATGTTAATAGCCACTTATGGAGACTACTGTAACACTAGTTCATACCATTAACTTTAGAAAATAATAATAGATTATTCTGTATATCTAGTTTCATTTTTATGTATGTCTTAAATGTCAAGTGCTTCATTAAGTTTCTCGAGACAGGGATTTGTTGAATCAGGAATAAATATAAAGCTCGTTTTTATTTGCTGATTTTTTTTTTCCATGACTTTTTTCCTTTCAGTTGATGACTCATTTATGGGACTGGGGCCTAATAATATTTGTAATTTTGAGATTTGAAAGCTGAGATTCTAAACTGCTTTTCTTGTTGTGATTCAGTTTTAGAGCATAGAACTGGTGACTTTGGGGGTGATCTTGAAAAGCTCATTCAGTCTCATAAAATATTACTTGTTTTTGCTAATAATTCATTATTTTTGACAGTTATTTACATTTTCAGAGATTAGTGAGGATGGTAGAGATGGCTCAATATAATTATGGAACTGGGTTGAATTAAGGCATAGAGAGCCTTTATTTGATAGGCAAATAAGAGTGCCAGATAAAGCGTATGGCTAAATTCTCCCAAGGGTTTGCAGGAGGCGTGATAACTCTTAATGTTTTTAGTTTCATAGATTGCTAGCAGAAGGTTTGGAAGAGTGATAATTTTTTAGGAATGGATTACTCCTTTTTTTCTCCTCCATTTGTGTGGTGCAAGCTAATAGAAATTAGTTGAGTGAACTATATGCCATTATACCATTTTGACAATCGCAGCCTTCACACGGTTCAACTAAATACTTGTTTCCTAAACTGGTGACAAATTATTAAGGAAACACATAAAGAAATGTCTTTAGTTTTTAGCTTAAATGAAAGTGAATATTTATACTTCCCTACTAGCTTCACAGGTAATAGATGAGGAGGACAGAACTCTTGAAGTGAAAATTATTCAACTCAGAATATGACTTATAGCCCCCCAAATCTGTGATTGGAAAAAAACCTTAGAATTTTACATTCTGTATTAGTGTATATAAATCAGTCTTGTCTTGTGAATCATTGAGGAAATTTGCCTGCAGGGAATGATTAAAACAAGAAGTCTGGTGGTTGGTGGTCCTAGAATTGGTTAATTCAATATCCCAGTGATGTGAGAACTCTAGGTTAGCTTCTCATCTATTTTTCCTAGTTTTCCCTTCAATTTCAGCTTAGCTTAGCTAGAGACAGGAAGAATCATTATGCTCACAAATGGCCTTTGTATTAGTTTTCTATTGCTGCTATAACACATTACTACAGATTTAGCAGCTTTAGAAATGCAAATTTATCATCTTCTAATTCTATATAAGTCCAGTATGGGTCTCACTAATCTAAAATCAACAGGACCATGTTCTTGATGCTCTGGAGAAGAATGTGTTTCCTTGCCTTTTCCAGTCGCTAGAGGCCACCCACATTCCTCAGCTTGTGGCCTCCTTCCTGTATCATCAAAGCCAGCAATAGCCGAGCAAGTCATTTTGTTAGATCTCTCTCGCCTGGCTTCCATGATTCCATCTCCTTCTCTAACTCTGACCTAAGTTACAAAAGGTTCTTTTAAAGACTCACACGGGCTTAAATTGGGCCCACCTGGGTAATCCATTCTGCTCTTCCCCATCTCAGAATCCTTAACCTTGATCACATGTGCAAAGTTCCTTTTTTCCATGTGGGGTAAAATATCCACTGGGTCCAGAAATTAGGGCATTGATATCTTTGGCAGCAGAGGCTGTGGAACAACTCTATGCCATAAAATTTCTTATTTCACAGTTAAATGAACATATTTGTGTTATGTCACTTTCTTTTAGCTTGCATTCCTTTTATAGGAAGGCCATTTTAGGAGTCCTGGGGCATTTTGACTCAACTTCTTAAATCATTTATTCTATTCACAAAAGGTTTATTGAAGACTGGGTGCAGTGGCTCACACCTGTAATCTCCGCACTTTGTGAGGCTGAGGTGGGTGGAGCACCTGAGGTCAGGAATTTGAAACCAGCCTGGTCAACATGGTAAAACCCCATCTCTACCAAAAATACAAAAATTAGCAGGGTATGATGGCGGATGCCTGTAATCCCAAGTATTTGGGAGGCTGAGGCAGGATAATCGCTTGAACCCGGGAGGCGGAGGTTGCAGTGAGCCGAGATCGTGCCATTGCTCTCCAGCCTGGGCAACAGGAGCGAGACTCTATCTCAAAAAAAAAAAAAAAAAAAAAAAAAGTTTATTGAAGTTTAGATCTATATCAAGTCACATTAACATATGTTTTTGTCACCACAGCCAAAAATGCCTTTCTAGATTTTTAGGAAAAATTCTTATATTGTGTTTTCTTAAGTACCAGGAAAGATTTTTTCCCCTTCCTTTTCAAAATATTATATTTAATTAATGTGCATCAAGTATCATAGTGTATTATATATTTTGCAGTTTACAATATATACTACTAACTTCATTTTTTTCTGGGAAATAATTAAATTATATATGTTTTTATTTCATATATGTTTTTAAACCTGGAAATACTTTCTATAAACCTAAAGAGCCATTGGCATTTAAAAACATTTTTTGTGACTCTCACTACTATTTAAGATTGAAAGAGAAACTAGTTCTAATCTAGAGAAAAGATTTATACATTATTAACTTTTAAAAGATAACAATGTCTACATTGCCTGTTGATAAACTAAGTTTCCTTATCTTAAAGTTTTTATTTTAAAACACAGATTGTTACTCTTGTTTTATGATGTTTCACAACATATTTTTACTTGAATATTTCTGTTCATGTGATAGAGACTCTGGCAATAGAGACCTTTTCCTAGTTCAAATGTTACGCAGACCTAATAATGGATATGAATATATATAATTTTATCACAACATGGAAAATATATGTTATTATAATTGCATATTTAAATGGATAATTAAAAATACAGTATATAAAGTTTATTTTAATTGGAAAAATTTTATCACTGAGGGAAATCACATTTATCAAAAGATCTATTGCAGCGACATTTCACACAAAATAAGCAATTTATTTTAATTTAATTGTTGGCTTAGTCATTTTCCAGTCCACTCTTCTATCATCATATTACCTTAGACTCATTCTTCCTGAAGCAGGGCTCTTCTTTCTCCTTTAATCTTCTTTTCTTTTTGATTAGAGAACCAATTATTTTTCAGGGTTTCACAGGTCACAGTGGGACAGTTTGGCTTTCTGTTTCCCTAGCATAAGATTCAACCCAGGAGAGCTAAAATAGCCAATGGGATAATTGTGTTTGTTTTTAAATGAGGGGTATTAGTCTTTAGAGATTTTATGTTTTTCTATTTTAAAGTTAGGCTTTTTCTGAATATTTTACTTTCCCAAGTTTTATTTTACTTCATTTTGTATCTTCTGTATCTGTATATACATAAATACATTTTAAAATTGACCAGTTGTTTGTGTTTTCATTAAATACTTTTGCAGATTCGGCAGTTTTTCAGTACTAATAGCAAGAAAAACGGCAGTTTGTGTCAGCTTCTGCATGGTAACTATAATTGTCTGTTCTCATGCTGCTAATAAAGACATACCTGAGACTGGGTATTTATAAAGAAAAAGAGGTTTAATGGCCTCAGAGTTCCACATGGCTGGGGAGGACCCACAATCATGGCACAGGCAAAGGAGGAGCAAAAGCCCATCTTACATGGTGGCAGGCAAGAGAGCATGTGAAGGGGAACTGATCTTTATAAAACCATCAGATCTTGTGAGACTTATTCACTATTATGAGAACAGCATGGGAAAAACCCACCCCCATGATTAAATTACCTCTCACTGGGTCCCTCCCACAACACGTGGGGATTATGAGAGTTACAATTCAAGATAAGATTTGGGTGGAGATACAGCCAAACCATATCATTCCACCCCTGGTCCCTCCCAAATATCACGTCCTCACATTTCAAAACCAATCATGTCTTCCCAACAGTCTCCCAAAGTCTTAACTCATTTCAGCATTAACTCAAAAGTTCACAGTCCAAAATCTCATCTGAGACAAGGCAAGTTCCTTCCACCTATGAGCCTGTAAAATCAAAAGCAAGTTAGTTACTTCCTAGATACAATGGGGGTACATGCATCGGGTAAATACACCCATTCCAAATGGGAGAAATTGGCCAAATCAAAGGGTCTACAGGCCCCGTGCAAATCTGAAATCCAGCTGGGCAGTCAAATCTTAAAGCTCCAAAATTATCTCCTTTGACTCCATGTCTCACATCTAGGTCACACTAATGCAAGAGGTGTGTTCCCATGGTCTTGGGCAGCTCTGCCTCTGTGGTCTTGCAGGGTACATCTCTACTCCTGGCTGCTTTCATGGGGTGGTGTCGAGTGTCTGTGGGTTTTCCTGGTGCATGGTGCAAGCTGTCAGTGGATCTACCATTCTGGGGACTGGAGGACAGTGGCTGCCTTCTCACAGCTCCACCCAGCAGTGCCCTAGTGGGGACTTTGTGTGGGGGCTCCCACTCCACATTTCCCTTCCACACTGCCCTAGCAGAGGCTCTCCATGAGGGCTTTGCCCCTGCAGCATGCCTCTGCCTGGGCATCCTGGCATTTCCATACATCCTCTGAAATCTAGGTGGAGGTTCCCAAACCTCAGTTCTTGACTTATTTGCACCCACAGTCCTGACACCATGTGTAAGCCGCCAAGGCTTGGGGCTTGCACCCTCTGATGCAACAGCCTGAGCTGTACCTTTGCCCCTTTAGCTACAGCTGGGACACAGGGCACCAAGTCCCGAGACTGCATAAAGCAGCAAGGCCCTGGCCCGCCTACGAAATCATTTTTCCCTTCTAGGTCTCCGGGCCTATGATGGGAGTGGCTGCTATGAAGACCTCTGACATGCCTTGGAGACATTTTCCCCATTGGCTTGGTGATTAACATTTGGCTCCTCATTACTTATGCAAATTTCTGCAGCTGATTTGAATTTCTCCTCAGAAAATGAGTTTTCTTTTCTATTGTATCATCAGGCTGCAAATTTTTTGAACTTCTATGCTCTACTTCCCTTTTAAACATAAGTTCCAATTTGAAACCATATCTTCTGAATGAATAAAACTGAATGCTTTTAACAGCACCCAAGTCACATCTTGAATGCTTTGCTGCTTGGAAATTTCTTCCACCAGATACTCTAAATCATCTCTCTCATTTTCAAAGTTCCACAGAACTCTAGGGCAAGGGCAAAATGCTGCCAGTCTCTTTGATAAAACATAGCAGGAGTCACCTTTATTCTAGTTCTCAACAAGTTCCTCATTTCCATGTGAGACCACCTCAGCCTGGAGTTTATTGTCAATATTACTGTCAGCATTTTGGTTAAAACCATTCAACAAGTCTCTAGGAAGTTCCGAACTTTCCCACATCTTCCTGTCTTCTGAGCCCTCCAAGTCTCTAGGAAGGTCCAAACTTTCCCACATTTTTCTGTCTTCTTCTGAGCCCTCCAAACTGTTCCAACCTCTGCCTGTTATCCAGTTCCAAAGTCGCTTCCACATTTTTGGGTATCTTTACAGCAGCGCCCACTCTGCAGTGCCAATTTACTGTATTAGTCGCTTCTCATGCTGCTAATAAAGATATACCCGAGACTGGGTAATTCATAAAGAAAAAGAAGTTTAATTAACTTACAGTTCCACATGGCTGGGAAGGCCTCACAATCATGTAGGAATGTGAAGGAGGAGTAAAGGCACGTCTTACATGGTGGCAGACAGGAGACCGTGTGCAGGGGAACTGCCCTTTATAAAAATATCAGCTCTCATGAAACTTATTCACTATCATGACAACAGCACAGGAGAAACCCGCCCCCATGATTCGATTACCTCCCACTGGGTCCCTCCCATGATGGGATTATGGGAGCTAGAATTCAAGATGAGATTTTGGTGGGGACACAGCCAAAGCATATCAGTAGTAATAGTTTTATAATAGAATTTTTCATATATAAAAATACATATGTACAAATACAAATACAAATATATATAAAAGTGTGTGTGTATATATACATGTATATATATATATACATGTATATATATATATGAAAGAATATTCCATAAACCAGAAAATCTAAAGTTGAGTAATCGTTGGATTATTTCATTTGTTATTACCTTGATATGGTTTGTCTCCATGTCCCCACCCAAATCTCATGTTGAATTGTAATTTCTGGTGTTGGAGATGGGACCTAGTGGGAGGTGATTGGATCATGTGGGTGGTTTCTAATGGTTCAGCACCATCCCCTTAGTGCTGCCTCATGATTGAGTTCTCATGAGATCTGGTTGTTTAAAAGTGTGTAGCTACTTCCCCTTCACTCCCTTTTCCTCCTGCTTCAGTCATATAGGATGTACTGGCTTCCCCTTTGTCCTTCTGCTGTGACTATAAATTTCCTCAGGCCTCCCCAGTCATGCCCTCTCTACAGCCTATGGAACTATGAGTCAATTAAACCCCTTTCCTTTATAAATTACCCAGTCTCAGGTAGTTCTTTATAGCAGTGTGAGAATGGACTAATACACACCTATATTATTTAATAAGAGAGTTGAATCCAGAGAAGTCAACTAACCACCTGACATGGTCATCCCCTGTCCACTTTTGTATCTCTGAGGTATCCGTTATTAAGACGGTTGTTTTGTGAATGTGTTCTTGATGAATAAGCATGTCCTACAACCATAATAACCCAAATTTTATCATTATTTTTGATTATATTGGGGTTATAAGGCCAGAGCAGCTGTTAGAAGCAAAAGGGAATGAGATAAAGGAAGTAACTTACAAGTTAAAGGAAAAATGAGTGCCTTGCATAATAACCCCAGGGATGGTGCCCAGTCCTCACATTTGTAATTTAGGCTTTTGCCTTATTTTAATGTAAGAGGGTGAGACTCAAAAGTTAAAACTCTGTCTGTCAAGGTTGCATTATTAGAAAGGAGTTGAAAATCAAGAATTTACTTTTTGACTTCATAACTTTTGTTCTTTCCTCTCTATCCTGTTCACAGACATTAGAGAACAGGAGGGAGGGAAAGGCATGAGAGCATACTAGGTGCATCTTGAAGGACCTTATGCATTGGTATGGAATGGACCTTGGTGTCAGGAACCCTGACTACTTATACAGCACAGTTACATCTCCTATTTTGCCTTATTTTGTTTCTTGACACTTAGAAACAGCGATAGCCTTTCATTTATTACATACTTTCTTCAAATACCTCTTTAAAAAAATAGCTTCCAAATTGCTCTTTCTATTCATATTCTTTTTTAAAGACAATAATGCAAACTATCTTCAGATTTATGGTCCTGAGGAATATCCCATTTATCATATACTTTGTATGCACACATACGAAAAGATTAAAAAGAAAAGGGACTTCTCAGTCTGGCATTTGTAGCCTTCTGCAATCAGGTCTAACTTGTGTATCTAGCTATTTTCTCCTTGTTACTTTTCTGCTCTACACATCGTTTACTCCAGTAACATTGGTCTCCTTTTTCTCTAAATTTGGCTTTGCATTTCATTGCCCCTTCCTTTTGTCCTCATCATTTATCCTTGAGTGTTTTAATTTGTAATCCTTACCCATTCTTTATCTCCTACCAAAATTCCTATTGGTTCCTTCTGGGAGCTGTGGCTGACTGACTTAGAGTACGTCTTTCACCAGGCATTGGAGAGCCCACCTGGATTCTGCCCCTGTCCTCCACATTCCATGTAGTTCTCTTTCTACCTTCAAACAGTTGAGCCCTTTTTTCTCAGTATCTGGAAAATGCTGAAGCTTCTGGAAACATTTTATTCTCCCACTCCTTGGCTTGCCAACTTCATTTCCTATTACCTCTCTTTCAATTCTTTCACTTCTACCATACTGGGCAACCTTCATGATGTACCCCAGATATGCCAGGTATACTCCTGCCATGGGCTTTTCCCTGCCAGGAACATTCATGCTCCAGATATGTGCTCCATGAGCCCCTTACCACCTTCAAGTCTTAACTCAAATGTCGCTTTCTCAATGAGGTTCCCATGCTCAACTCCCAAATTAATCCTGCCATGTTTTCCTTTGTCCTCACGCCATCCCCATTTTCTCTACTGTGTTGTAGTTTTCATGTCATTTATCTCCTTCTAACATACTGTTAGCTACTTATATATTCGGTATGTTGTCTTATTCTCTCCCTACTCCCACTGGAATTTAAGCTCCTTTACTAAAGAGCTCTTTGTTTCATTTACTGATGTATCACAAGCACCTAGAAGAATGCTTGGCACATATGGGCATTGAATGTTTGCTGGATAAATGAATGCTTTTTCATTTCTTTAAAGCAGAAATGCAATAATTTCAGCCTCCTCAAGCAAACTGTCTTTTTTCATTTTAAGCAAATGGAAATTTTGGAAGGGGAGTAGAAATATTTAAATGATCTAGATTCCAATTAACTCTGCCTCTGATGACTTTAGCTCTGAGTGAATAGCAGACTCTTGTAAATTAGGTTAAAAAAATTCAGAGAATAATGAAGGTGGTTGGGAGTGGAATAGGTTCAGGACCTAGATGCTAAAATGATTCACCTTTTTTTTCCTTCTGTTTTAGCAGCAAAAAGTAAGAAGGAGGAAAGTAAAAATTATAGGTAAATTCTGTGTTGTTGTTGGATGCACCCTGATTGGTGTCTACAAACCAGGAGCAATTAATAGCAAACATACTCTAACACATTTTGTAGGTATTTTTCCTGAAAATTGCTCCTTTGTTTGGTGTTGATTTTTGTTAAATTGTGATAAAACTTAATATCACATAAAATTAACTATGAATAATTGTGGCTTTTAGTACGGCCTCTATCTAGTTCTAAAACATTTTCATCATTCCAAAGTAAAACCCTGGACCCCTTAAGCAGTCTCTCCCCATTATTCACTTCCCCTAGCCCCTGGCAATCACCAATCTGTTTTCTGCCTATAAATTTATGTGTTCTGGATGTTTCATATCAGTGGAATCACACAATATGTGACTTACCGTATCTGGCTTTCACTTTACATAATATTTTTGAGTATGCATTGTAGCATGTGTCAGTGCTATGTTTCTTTTAATGGTTGAATAATATTCCATTGTAGTTTTATACCATGATTTATCCATTCATTCACTGGTGGATATTTAGGGTGATTCTGCCTTTTGGCTATTGTGGATAGTGTTGCTGTGAACATTGGTGTACATGTATTTGAATACCTGTTTTCAATTCTTTTGGATAAATACTTTGGATTGGAATTGCTGTATTATTTGGTAATTCTATGTTTAGCTATTTGAGGAACTGCTAAGCTGTTTCCACAGTAGCTGAATCATTTTACATTCCTATTAGCAATGTATAAGAGTTGTAATTTCTCCACATCCTTGCCCACACTTGTTATTTTTAATTTTTTATAGGTGTTGATTTTAAGCTTTAAAAACCTCAAAATTTTACTGAAAGTGATGCTTTTATAAAAGTTTGATGGGACATAACAGAAAATCAAGTATATTAATGCCTATTATAGAAACTAATAAAGTCTTTAAGTAGGGAAATATGAAGATCAAAATAGTATTTAATTATGAAGTTTATTGAGTGAATGATGGCAGAAGATTCATAAATATGACTGAGAAGCTTGCAATTTTACATGAAAGATATATGTGTTATAGGTAATACAGTATACAGTATTATGTATGTCTGTATTAGTTCATTCTCACGCTGCTAATAAAGACATACCTGAGACAGGGTAATTTACAAAGGAAAGTGGTTTAATTGACTCACAGTTCAGCATGGCCTGGGAGGTCTCAGGAAACTTACAATCATAGCAGAAGGGGAAGCAAACACGTCCTTCACATGATGTCAGGAAGAAGTGCTGAGCGAAGTGGGGAAAATGCCTTTTATAAAACCATCAGACCTTGTGAGAATTCACTCACTATCACAAGAACAGCATGAGGGTAACTGCCCCCATGATTCAGTTACCTCCCACTGGGTCCCAACCACAACATATGAGGATTATGGGAACTACAATAGGAGATTTGGTTGGGGATGCAACCAAACCTCATCAGTGTCTTAATAGTTAAGTACACATAAAACATTACTTATGTATTTCATTAAGATTATATAAAGCTTGTTTACCTAAGCTGCCATAATTTATTCATTATAGAATAATTATGTTACAGAAAATTTAGAAAATTGATGAAAGAAAAAAATACCACCCTAAACTCCACTACACTATTCAATTTCATCGTAGAATTTAAATTTCCTTTAAGCTTTTCAAAACTTTTGTTTTCTAGCAGTGTTTATACTGCTAGAGTAAATAACAATATATATATATAGTTATTTCCACATATTTCTCATGCTATTAAATAGCCTTCATATCTTGACTGATCGTATAGTATTACATTTAGTCATTATATCACAGCTATTAAGTATATTTAAAAACCTGTTGATTTTAATTGGGATAATTAGAAAAGTATCATGAAGGAGATAGCTTCACTTTGCCCACCTCATATACTTCATTTCTTGGCTTATGTGTCATCTCCTTTGGGAAATGATTTCTATGACTTCTCAGATTGGCATAGGTTTTGTGATTCAACCCCACAGTGCCCTTTATTTTTCATTCATAGCTCTGGTTTGTAATTCTACTAAAATTCTTAGTTGTGTGAGTGGTTAGGAACTATGTCTTCTGCCTACTCTACTCCTTTTACTCAGGGCAGTGTCTGATGTTTATCATTGCTTAATAAGCTTGTTGGATGGATGAGTGAACGTACAAATAAGGAGAGGAAGTCAAGAGTGTGAACAAAGGCACTGAAACATGTGCTGCTGGGGTGTTTGGGGAAACACGTAGGCTTGGGAGCTAAAGATCAGCAGTGAAATATACTGCTCTGTGTTTGAGAATGAGAAGATATATATGGGACAATGTCACTGGAAGATGAACCTAGAAAGAGTTGTGTTTACATTAGGGAGGTTTATATGCAAAATCTAGGCATTTATATTTTCTTCTGTCACGTTTATAAATAAATTAAAATATTATATTGTCACAAAGTTTTAAATGGAGACATAACATATTATAATCTATGTTTTAGCATGACACCTTAGTATCACACAGCTCTGTGTTGCAGTAGGTAAAGTCCAGAAACTGGAATGTCAATTAAGAGACTACTTTTATTACCAAGGGCATTGGTGATGAATTTATGAATCTAGGTTACTTCCATGGGAGTACATTAGCTATAAAAGCTCTTTGAGGAAGTGTGATCCACGAGGTTTAGACAATCATTAGCTGGTAGATTTTGGGAAGAAAGCAGAGCATGGGATGATTTAGGATTATAGAGTGAATCAAGCTGGTGTCTGTAGATTTTAGGCTAAAGATAAATAGGTTTTATTGTTATCTGCTTGACTCAAGATACTGTTATGGATCTCCACTACAGATTATAAGTTGGCCACATTTTTCTATACAAGACTGAATAGTAAATATTTTTGTTTTTGTAGGTCATATGGTCTCTGTCACAGCTACTCAGCTGTGCTATTGCAGTGTGAAAGCAGCCACAGACTCTATATAAACTAATGGTCATATATGTGTTCCTCTTATACTTCATTTATTAAAACAGGTAGCAAACTGGTCTTGGCCCATGGGGCTATAGTTTGCTGACCCTGGTTATATTACTGAGGTTTTATTTCAGATTATATTATTAAATTATAGTAGATCCCATTGCAGGTGATGTGATTTCCTTCAACAAGGAGCACCAATCACAAGTAGGACTAGAGATATAGACTGTTATATCTATTAGGTTTCTTGATTCCCCTCTCCCAGATATTTGTGACTAAATGTTGCTAAACAAAATTCATGGGAGGCCATTGTCTTTTACTAAGCTGTTGCACTTGGCCTTAACATGCCAGATCAAACCAGAATGGAGTCACTTGTGCTAGGTGCCATTTAATCAAATTGAACTTTAACATGTGCCAGTTTTCTGAAAAATAGGAGATTCGCAGCAGCCAATCAGAAGGGGCCTATTTTACCTGAGCCTATATGATAAGGAAGTCCCCTGTTTTAACCCTATAAAGAAAGTAACTCAAAAATGACCAGTCTGTTTTTTGTTCCTTCTTCCTGCTTTCTTTACCCCTTCTCTAGCTATAAAATCAACCATCTCTGCTCAGTTTATTGTGGCACTTTTCTACATTTTTAGATGAGATGCTACCTGATTAATGAATCATGTATAAGATCTTTAAATTAGATCTTTAAATGAAATTTGTTGAAGTTTCCTTCCTTCCTTCCTTCCTTCCTTCCTTCCTTCCTTCCTTCCTTCCTTCCTTCCTTCCTTCCTTCTTTCTTTTTATGTCAAGCAAGGCAGAGAAAGGGTGTAGAAAGAACCACATTAAGAAGTTTGATTAGAAAATCTAAAGCATGGGCTGGTGAGGTAGCTCACACCTACAACCCCAGTGCTTTGGGAGGCCAAGGTGGGAGGATTGCTTGAGACCAGGAGTTTAAGACCAGCTTGGGCAATATAGCAAAAACAAAAACAAACACCCAACATATATACGAAAAAACACACTGGGCCTGATAAACCCATGCCTGTAGCTCTAGCTACATGGGAGGCCAAGGCAGGAAGATCACTTGAGGCCAGGAGTTTTGAAGCTGCAGTAAGCTATGATCACACCACTGCACTTCAGCCTTGGTGACCAAGTGAGACCCCATCTCTAAAAACAACAACAACAAAAACTAAGTGTAATGGAAACTAGGTAGACGTACAGGGACTAGAGATTATCTGAGTGTTAAGAGCAGGTTTCTTGGACACAAGGAGAGTAGAAAATGTGGAAGTATAAATGCTATGTCTTGGAATAAAGACCTTCTAGAAATAGGTCTAATTCTACAGAGTCAAAGAATTGTACAGCCAAGGAATTGGGATGAAATAATGGAAAATAAACAAGATTCTAATGTGGAAATTAACCATGAAGCCAGGTGAAAAGCATCGGCTTTGGAATCAGACTACCTGGTTGGAATCCTGTCTCCATAATGTTTTGACTTGGGATGAATTTTCAGTCTCTTTCAGATTAGCTTTAATTTTCTCATCTGAAAAAGAGAGTTAATACTACTTTTAGGATTATTAAGAGACTGTGTCTGTTGAGTGCCTGGTATGATACCTGACTCACATTACTCTAAAAATGGCAACTAGTATTATCATTATCATATTAATTCCATTTTATTTTTATTGCATTATGGCAAAGAAGTAGCTATCAAAGCTGTTATGAATAGGATGTTGGACTGGATTCTAAATTCCCTTCCCTATGTAGGACTCCTTTTTTATTGATATTCCAGATTTCTTCAGTGATATTAATTTATTTTTCTGAATTGACAGTTTAAAGCAAAAATAATAAATAATGATTTTATGGGACTTCATGCAAAACGATTGTGGTTTGTTTGTTTTTTTTTTTTAAATACAGAGTCTTGCTCTGTTGCCCAGGCTGGAGTGCAGTGGCATGATCTCAGTTCACTGCATCCTCCGCATCCGGGGCTCAAGTGATGATCCTCCCACCTCAGCCTCCTGAGTAGCTGGGTCTACAGGTGTACACCATCATGCTCAAAACAATTGTTATTAGTAAGATGTGAAACTCTTCTCTTCCTCCTCCTCTCCCTCCTCCTGCTTTTCTGTCTTTAAATTAAATCACAAATTTAGATCGTGTCTGATTGTAACACATCAAAAATATTACTTCTTTTCATGAAATAGTACAGTAACAGGGTCAATGTTTTTCATTGGTTTATTTCAAAATAGGAAAGCGTTAAGAGAATCAGGCGGTGGACCATGCAGAGTTAAAGTTAGAGGAGATTGCTGTTTGTGATAATGACATTTCCTTCACTTCTGTTGAAAGCTATTCAACACGAACATGTGACTCTTTTACTAATTGTAATGCATTACAGTACCCCATAATCTATGAGAATGTTCACCTCTGCACTCTGCCTGTCCAGCTGTTGTCTAGAACAATTATCAGCGAGTTATTATTCCGGTATGAGCTGTGTCATGCTCGAAAGTGGGATGAAAAAAATGTTAATGAGCATGCATGAATGTTGGTTGATGAAGGTTAAGTGGTTGCAGATATGCCCTCTGCATTCTTTCCTATGAATGTTCAGACTGAGGCAATGGGTTCTGATGAGGGATTACAAACAAATGGTGCTGATTGACAGTTCTTGATTTAACATTAAAATGGTATCTAAAGGCAAATTCTGTGTTTCAGCTGAATAATAGACACAATGTTGTTGACCCCTGGGTGCAACTCAACACTTCAGCATCCATTTTATCTTAAGAGTTTTTTTCCCTTATCGTACCAGATTTTCAAATGTTCTCATTTTTGTATTACATTTTATTTTAAAGTTGTGCCTGGCAGTGGTGGTATAGTTAAAAAAAATAACATATCCGTTATGTACTTACATTTTTAGAAGAATAACTTTGCAATTTTAAGTATGATTGAATTAAAATATTGTACACAATAGCTGTCTAAGTAGGTAAGCATGGGCCAGTACTCATCAGCAACATGTTTGTTTCTCTTTGTGTGTTTGCATGTATTTTAAATGACTCAAGTGCTTTTTTAGCATTTGTTTATTTGTGTGCTACTTCAAATTAGCTGTCTATATACTCTTTAGGAACTTTTAAAATTTATTGTTGTGAACATTGTGTTTCATATGCTATCTATTGAGCATAAACTTCAAATACTTCTCTTTTTTTGGAAGAAATGAACAATGTAAAGAATGGTATCAGGTAGTGTTCGGGAGGTTTTTTTCTCTCATCACTTTCCCCATCATTAATAATCTTGAACTTGGTGCATTGTATCCAAACTGGATTCTGTGCTTTGTAAACTGTAAAATGTTGTGCAAATATTTGTTTTTACTTAACCATTTTAGCTGAAAGGACAATATAATAGGAACACAATGCTTTGCAACATGTAACAGAAGTACAAAAAAGTGGAAGATTGTTCAATCATCATAGGATTGTAAAGTTACTAGATCATAGCTATCATTTTCTCATTTAATAGATGAAAAAAATCTGAGCGCTAAGTATGGAAGCCATAAAAGTGTTGCCAGTAGAGATATCATTTGACATATTTGGGTTATTTGTTGATCATTGAGAAATATTTTCTTATTTTTTATGTCCACTATGGAGACAGCTCTCTGTAACTCACTGCCTACTTAATGTATAAGCTTTCAGTAATAAGCCAGAGTGTTCGTCTTCATTTTTTCTTCGTAAGCATATTTTTAATATGTGAAGCTTTCATTTAAATTTTAATTCATAGATTTTTAATCTTTTTTTGGTAAAATTATAATTGTTATGGAAAATACTTGTAAATTAACCTTGAGTCATGAAGGAAACAGGACAGAAATACTCACCTGTACCTCTTGACCCTGGTTCTCATGTCAATATTCCTCTGTGGAAGAGGGCCTCCCTATTTCCTAGCCCAGCAGCTTTGTGCTTAAGGACTATTTCTTCTCAGAGCTCTGTGATTCCTATTGTATTAAGTGCTTAAGTCTTAGTGCTAGTGTGGCTTTTTTTTTTTTTCTGTCAGCAAGTGAAATTGGATATACAAGTCATATTCCCTCAAGGCTAGCTGCTACTTAGTACTATGCCTAGGATTGCAGCTATCTGCTATCAGTAAGCAGGGCTCTCGTTTTGGTTACTGGGTCCATCATGGCAAATCATGCAGCCAGCTGAACAGTTATTCAGCCAAGCAGCAAATAACATTGGATGCCTCTCCCATGAAAGGTACTGTCCTAGCTCCTGGGATACAGTGCTGAGCAGATAACTTCTTGCTTTCCTATAGTATATAATCTAATGGAGAAGACAGAAAATAAATAGGCCAACAAAAATGACTGTAGTTTTTGAATGTGCTATGAAAGTAAATGAGCAAGGTATGATGAGGGGTGTGTTTAGAGAGGATAGTCATGGAAGGTCCTCAGATTGGAAAGAATCTGTGATCTAGGATCCATCAGAAGTTTAGTGTGACTGGAGACAAGGGCAGGAGATGAGATTTGAGGTGTGGATTTTTTGGAAAATCTTCAAAGAAACATTTGAGTTGTTTTGAAGCATGAGTATATGATTTTTGAAAGCAGGGAGGAAGGTGAGGGCCAATCCAGCAGTAGGAGTGGTAGGGGCAAAGGAAGCATTGGTACAATATTGAAATACCCCTAGCTTAGGGCATAGTTATGTAGATGTTGATGATGGTGTTGCTGGCCCGCAAGAGGGAGTGGTGGTGTTACAAGTTAGTTAGTGGCCAGTTATGAGCCTGGAAAGATTGATTACTAAGGGCAAGTTCTTTCCACATGTTTTGCCTCTCTCCTTTCTAAAAGGTTCTAAAAGGAGGTATAAAGGATAATAGCCCCCCCCCTTTTTTTCTAACACACAGAAAAGTTGCTAGAAACAAGTTAGTGTTAAACATAGTAGTTTTTAATTCAACTATGCATTAATAATAAATGTATATATTTAAACAAACTATCAAAAATCCCATTGTACACAAGGTATGGGTAGCAGTAGAAGTCAAATCTATCAATTTTTCTTTCCAAATTTGAGTCCTTACGATTCTGCTTCCTTGTGAAGATTGGTTATGTGTGATAATTTTTGAAACAAGTGTTCCTATTCTCCAGTTGTCTTCCAGAAAATAAAACTGCAAATGCCTAAAGCTTTTGGATTCATCTATATTTTAGTCAAATTTTCTTCTACACTGTATGGAAAACTTATTCAGAGCCATAGTTTGCTTCTTTCTCTGTATGTATACAAATGCATATATTTATATTTGGAAAATAGCTCTTCATAGAGAAGAGAGGAAAGGAATGCATTCCAGTTTTGTCCCCTGTTAATCATTCATGGCCTACATGTAATACCATTTACTTTGTGAAGATTTTCCTGGTCCATCTACTGAGATGTTATTGCCTCTTTTAACTTTCTAAGTCCTCCATCATTTTTTTTTTTGAGACAGTGTCATGCTCAGTCACCCAGGCTGGAGTGCAGTGACATGATTATCACACACTGCAACCTTGAATTCCTGGGCTCAAGGGATCCTCCTGCCTCAGCCTCTCAAGTAGCTGGGACTACAAGTATGAGTTAGTATGCCCAGCTAATTTTAAAATTTTTCTTGTAGAGACATGGTCTTGCCATGTTGCCCAGGCTGGTCTTGAACTCCTGGCCTCAAGTGATCCTTCCACCTTGACCTCTCAAAGTGCTGGGTTTGCAGGCATGAGCTACCGTGCCCAGCCTCCATCATCTTTTCCCTTGGTTGGCCTCAAGGAAATAGTAGTAATTGTTATTATTAATAAGTATTAGTGAGACCTCAAATAATTGAGGCCAATCAAAGCCTTTGGTCATTGAAAAATTTACTATCCTTTTAATAAACTTTTACTGGGCTTCTGATAGAATAAATATCAGAATTTGCTTGAACTCTGTAATGCTTTTCACTTTATATAAATGATTATGTTATTGTATAATTTTATATCTTCACATCTTATTGTTCCAATAGATCTTCACATCTTCACATCTTATTGTTCCAATTTCAACCGAGATTCTTTATGAGCAAGCCTTAACATTTGACTTTTCTGTATTCTTCTATAGAGAGCCTAACTCAGTGATTTGGGAGGGAGTGAGTGAGTGAATGAATGAACGAAATAGATTAAGATTTTCTTTATCATGACAGGGAAGCCCTCAGAGGAGCTCCATATTGAGAGCTATTACATTTCCAGTTGCTATTATTGTTCTAACAGGGCTTTCTTGGTCCTGTGTGTCTGTGTTCGTCCTTCCCCAGGAAATGGAGTGTGGTACAGTAACAGTGGTCTAGAAGCAGGAAGCCGATTTCTTGTCTTGAATCTACCACTAGGTAGCTGTGTGCCTTGGAGAAATCAATTCTCCAGGCCTTAGTTACATATCTATAAAATAAGAGTTCTTGGTAGCTTAACATTCTACAATTCTTTGAAACTGCTGATCTTCGTTGACATTAAGAAATAAACTGCCAAAATAAACTTTTTTTAAAAACCAGAAAGCCCATTTTGTTCAGACTCGATAGAAGAGGAAATGTGCTAACGGTGTTAAATTGATCATATGTCTTTTCTCATAAGAGAACGAGATTATTACATCGGCACAGTTAAAAGTAGATGCAACAAATGCTTATATATATATGGAAAAATATGCAAGAATATTTTAGTAATATTGATAGCAAAGATTTATAAACAACTTAAATGCTCATTAATAAGGAAAATAGCTAAATTATTATATGTAGCCAAATTATGGTACCAGGTGATATGCTATGAAGCTGTTAAAACAAATGTTGTTGATCTAGACATATGAACATGGAAAATTACACTGGGTTTATTGCTTTGTGAAACAAGTAAAATGCAAAATAATGTATATGGTATGAGCTCATTTAATTAAGGAAAAAAACCCTTCAATTGTATATTTGTATACATGTGTATACATCTTTTTTGTTTATGTACACCCTTATACACTTATATGTGTAGCCTTTCAGAAGGCTACCAGCAGTAGCTTTTGTTAACAATAACTATCATTTCAATAGTTTCCTTTGGGGAATATTTGTATTAATGTGTGGGGAAACTTTACTTTTTAAAAATTGTACTTCTATATTGTTTGAATTGTTTCACAATGAACTTTAAAAAGTCAATATCTTTTCCTGGGGGACAAATCTAGAATAATATGGCAATTAGCTGGAATAGCATGTTTAGATTTTTTTGAAATCCTTATATATTTTGATGTGTATTAACTAGAAAATAAAAAGGCAACTTTGCCTTAGTCAATATAAATGAATCTAAAAAAATTGTTGCAAGATCTGTGAGTCATTTGTTTTATTTTTAAAGTTACAGCTTAGAAATGACCTTAGCTTTTCAAAGTGAAAGAAATTTTTGTCAAGTATATTACATACACAGGGTTACATTAATTCAATAAACTCCATTCAGAAAGCAATATATTTGATAGTTAATTATTCCAAATGGTGCCTGTGATCAAAAGGGACACTCATTTGTAATGAAGGAAATCTGTATAATGGTTATCCTGAAGAATATTTGCTCAAATTTGAGGATGGAAGTAATTGATGAAGTGAAAAATCATATATATCTTCTTCAGGCTTAGAAGGAGCAGCTTGTGAAAAGCTGAGAAATCATTATGAGTATTTGGGAAACTAAGCCAAAAGAGCTAAGTATGGGGATAAGATGTTAAATTTGATAATTTGAGATAAGGTATTACATAGGTCAATAGAAATACGTGTTTTATATGTTATAATGCCTTTGGGCCTTTGCATGTACATATTGGGAAGAAATAGATTTTTTTTGCCATCCTTCTTTGCTGCCTTATTCTTTGAAATATGAAATATGATATTTGCTGCTAGTATACATTTTTTTTCCTAATTGAGTTGCAGGGGATTTTATATCCAATGAGAATTTTTCAGTTGTTACTTGAAAAATCTAGTGCAACGTAGTAAATATTTTTTGAAAATATGTCCGCTGACTCTTTTAGTGCTTTTACATCTCCCATTAACCACTTACAAAGCAAGATATTGTCACAAGCACACTTGTCTAAACATACTATGCACTATTTTTGTCTCTAGCGCTTGCCCCATATTGGTAGAGGCTTCTGTGAGGCGGTCTTCCTGTGGAGGTCCAGACAGGAAGCTGGCCACAAATACCCTCTGCTCTGGGGGTCTCTAATATCTCTTTAGTTATTTAGTTATTCTTTGGAGTTACTCCCCAGGTGGCTCTCCTTCAGCCTTGCACCATGAGGGAGGAGGAAGAGAGCACACCCTCCAGAGGTGTATATGAATTCTGATCTTGTCCTTCTGATCCCCTGCGAGTTCTCTCTTGGCCCAGGAAGGGCTTTTGTGTCTTCCCTATGTCTGACACTCTGTCCTTTTCTCATGTGCTGCATCCTTCCTAGCCACTCCTTATAGTAGGGCCCTATTCTCAGTTTTATATAGTTAAAGGAATGTTTTGTGACTGCATTAATTTTTTTTCCTGTAAGTAACCAGCTTTTGCAATTGAACCACATAGCTTTCAAGACTATTGTCTCACTGTAGATATTAACAGAAATCTAATTTTATACTCAGTGCTCAGGAATGACCTCTTATTCTAGGGTTTATCTTTTCTCCCCAGAGGAAATAAATGCCATTGATCCTGAAATGGCAAGGCTATTGGACAAATTTCAGGAAAGAAAAATATTAATCTCCAGTTATCATCTCCAATTATTATCTGGCTCTACTTTCTCTGCAGGGTAGAATGAATCTTAGTCATTCTGCTTTTAATTTCATTTAGTTCTTCTGTCATCACATTTGCAGTTTCTACTGATGGGCTAGATAGGCTTTGAATGGCCAGGATGGCATCAGCACAAGAATGAGAGTCCAGAGTCCTCATTTTCATTTGCCAGGCCCTTAGCCTCTTATGGGTTAGTTTTCTTATTGGAAATAATGGTTTCTTATTGGAGATTTTTTTTAATTAGATGATATTCCACTGTCCATTAGATAATATCCCACTGTCCATTTTAATTGGGAAAAAAAGGATTTGAGTCTTACAGAAATTCAAGAAATTATATGAAATACAGATTTGATGTTTCCAACATGAAGTAAAATAGTCTTAAGCATATGAATATGATTTATTCAAACATTTTAGAGATTAGAAATTTTGACATGAGCCAGAGTCCCAATTAATAGGTGTTCCTGGATGTCAGAGGTATTCTGTTTAGTATTGTTCTGTTCTGCGTTGGCTTGTTGGTGTATGTCTTTTGAACAAAAACTTTTACTTTCTGACATTTTCATGAAGCATTTAAAGATAGTTTTTAATTAGTTAGGTTGGGGAGTTTACAGTAAGGGATATTTCAGTTCTTGTAAAGATTCTTCTTCACTAAGATGTTAATTCTTCTCTGCCCAAGTGTCAGGTGGCCAAACATAATTGTAAAGTAATTGAGTTTAAAGTGAGATTTCTAATACAATTTAAGCCACTGCATTCCCATTAACGAAAGGTTACCTCGCTCCCCATTTCACAATACAGCTCTGTTAAGTACGTTCTTTTTAATAGCAGATTTGGTTGTTACACTGAAGGTAAGATTGTTTAGGGGAGTGGGGGCAGGCTCGAAAACATTGGGAGATTTTCATTTTATAAGTAGCCTAACTTTAAATATGGACATTGGCAAGGGGATGAAAGTATTGCTTATTTTATATTCTTTGGAGTTTTTGTTGGGGCTTGAAGGATTATAAACCATCCAGGGATTTCTGAATCCTGACTTGGCTTAGCTCTCCATTTTTCCTGTGGGATTCCTTAGTGATACACACACACACACACACACACACACACACACACACGCCTCATTCTCCCTGTAGATACATATACATATGTATTGTTTAACTAGAAAATAAAAGGTGACTTTGCCTTAGTCAATATAAGTCAATATGTATATACAGGGATCCACAACAAACCTAGATAAAGAGCCATTTCATTGTTAACTTGGCTTTTGTCTGAATATTCCAAATACATCTCCCTGGTCTCTGGTCCTGGGTAAATGGTTTGAGGCTTTTAAGCATAAGGATGGCTTGGGTTTCCTTTCCAGAATCTAATTCTATACATTATCCATGTGCCACCTGTCTTTATGCGACAAAGAACAAGAAGCTGAAGAGAGTCAGTTTCTGTGTAGGAAAAGATGAAGATCTTCCTTTCATGTAAAAGTCTGCCCTGGCTTTATCACTATGCACCTTTAATGACGGAGTAATTGATATGGGCTACTATAAGCTTAGAAATCTGAGAGCTGGGTATTCAAGGAAATAGAAATGCGATTAGGTTCTTGAAACACTGAATTGCCCAAGAATGAAATTCTTTGTACAATTTGGAGAGGTAATCTGGGTGAGAGGTAGAAGAGAAATCGTTATTTTGTAACAGCATTATCTATATCATTATATAAATAGTCAAACCAATGTATAAGTTTGAGGTGTGCAGTGAATAAGGACCAACTCTGCCTTTGAACACCTCTTGGGAAAGAACGTATACATTTTAAATGATCCCAGTTTGGTCTGATTAATTTTACAGCCACTTAGATTTTTGTTCTTCATTTGACAAAGCAAAATTTTAACTACATGATTCCTACATAAATTTTCAAATCAAGAGGTCAAATTAAAATGAGTGATTTGAAATCAAGCCTCATAAAGAAATTTTTTTCTATTTTTAAATGTTGTGGTTAAGAATACATAACAAAATTTTACCGTTTTAACCATGTTTAACTGTACAGTTCTGTGGCATTAGCAACACTAACGTTGTGCATCCATCAGTACCATCCGTCTTTAGAACTTATCTTCTCCAGCTGATACTCTGTACCCATTAAACACTAACTCCCCATTCTCTACTCTCTCAGGAAGATTATTTTTAAAAATATCATTTTCTAATCACAATATAAAATGAATCCTGCTAGTCTTCCTTTAACCTCACCTCCTTATACTACTAGGGAAGTGTATATGGAACATTTGGGTTGCAGTTAGATGGTACAGTGGAAAAGAGGTCTGTATGTGAGCTGGGCATTTTATTAATTTTTTTTTTTTTTCCAAACAAGGTCTGCCTCTGTTGCCCAGGCTAGAATGCAGTGGCATGATCTTAGCTCACTGCAGCCTCAAACTCCTGGGCACAAGTGATCCTCCCACTTCATCCTCCTGAGTAGCTAGCACTACAGGTACATACCACTATGCCCAGCTAATTTTTACGTTTTTTGTGGAGATGAGTACTCATTTTGTTGCCCAGGCTGGTCTTGAAATCCTGGCCTCAAGCAATACTCCAGCCTTGGCCTCCCAAAGTGCTGAGATTACAGGCCTGTGCCACTGCAAGCCGGGTGTTATAAATAGCTATATAGGATGTACACAACACAAGCTCCAGCCAGAAGGTAAGATAACATAGAACTACAAATTTTAACAGCCCAGATTAATAAAAATTCCAAATTCAGGAGATTGTGGGGACAGAAACTAGCACAGAATAGTTTATTCTAGAACACAGATCAGGCAAATAATGGAACTCCAATTAGCTAGACCAATTGGAGACCAGAATGATCTGGAATGCTAACTGGGGCATTATTCTTAGAGCACAGAGAAATAAAGATTTAATAACTGAGAAACTGGGCAAGTGACTTGAATTCCCAACTGAGCTATCAAAAACAAGAACGTAAAAGCAGAGAGAGAGAGACAGGATAACTACGTATCAGAAAGTCCAGATAATAAAAGTTGAGTTCAGTTGAACAAATACCTAGGTATTGTCTCTACCTTCTCCTCCTCTTTTCTACCCTGGCACACCCACACTCCATTCCCCACACAATAAAGCATTTTCTTTCTTTTTTTGCTTCCCGTCCCCTCCCCTGCCTCCCCACCTCCCAAAACAAGATCACAAAATTATAGGCATGCTGTCATCAAATATAGAAGTAAGTTTATTGTAAAATTCTACTACTTAAGCTTGACCATTTTGCTGTCAGTCAATTCTTTTTCAGTATTTTGGAATAATGGTCATTTTTGTGTCAGATCACTTCTCTTCTATCAAGTTTTGGATAATCACTCTGGCTGTTTTGATGATTGTGTTCTGTTTTCCCCAGGAATATGCCAGGATGGTCTGCCTATGATTTAATGTGGCATTGCTTTTTATCTGTTTGTTAATATAATGTATTGTTACTTCTTCTAGTCTCAAGTTGCTTAGCATTGTGTGTACAAATACTAGTAAGCTGGTTTATCAACTCTTTCCATTCGACACCATGCTAGAGATCCTGAATTACCTGTGTTATCATTTGGATTTAGTTCTTCTAAATTAGGAATGTACACTGAGTTCTCACTCATGACTTTTCTCCTCTCTTGTACTTTCTTTTGTATATGTCTTCGTATGTCATACATTAACTTTCAGAGTTGGTTTTGTAATTTATTCTAGCAGAGATATATTTCTACCATCAGAGAACATATGAGAGAATGTTATACGTAAAAATAGTGGAAAAATTATTATTATTATGTTTTTTTTTTTTTGAGATGGAGTCTTGCTCTGTTGCCCAGGCTGGAGTGCAGTGGTGCAATCTCAGCTCACTGCAAGCTCTGCCTCCCGGTTTCAAGCCATTCTCCTGCCTCAGCCTCCCGAGTAGCTGCGACAACAGGAACCCGCCACCACGCCCAGCTAATTTTTTGTATTTTTAGTAGAGATGGGGTTTCACCATGTTAGCCAGGATGGTCTCGATCTCCTGACCTCATGATCCGCCCACCTCAGCCTCCCAAAGTGCTGGGATTATAGGCGTGAGCCACCGTGCCCAGCTGGACAAATTAATTTTTATGAATATACATGTATGATTCCATGACTGGGAAACACCAACATTCAAGAAGAATTCACAGGGGCCAGATACTAGAAGTATTTCTTATGGTGGTGAGATTTTGAGGGCACATAAAAATTTATGGATGTTTTCTGGAGAAGTTGTGATGAGCCAAGATAGATGATGTTAGAACAGGATTCAGTTTTCCTTCAGTCGGGTTTTGAACTCTCTTTCCTGATATCTTTTACTTTCTTCTCTCAGTCCTTAGATCTATTCAGTCAGAGCTCATCTCAAATTGTAATGAACCCAGTTAACACTAAGATATATGTGATAGATAGGCTTAACTTTTCAGGATTATTTTTCTCCCTAATCCACAGCTTGTGAATTTAAAAAGTTGTTTCATCTGTTATTTTGAATGGTGTTAATATTTTATTTGATTTGAACTCTTGTTTTTCTGCTAGTTAAATCTTTGGTTATGAGGGGGTGATTATACCCAAGGAGACCTCAATAAAATGGTTCTTTTTGTAGGGGTCGTACTTTTGAGATGAGCAAAGTTGCTAATTATTATAATTTAGAAGGTCCTTGGATATTAAGCAGTTTTTATGAAATATTTTGATTTTTAATTTCATATAGGATTAAAGAGGTAGGGGAAGCATTCTTTAGGTAGCCTTTGTAAAAATCTTTATTGTTTTGAGGTATGTACTTTAAGTTTTTTAACAAGGTATTTCCCGATACTTTAACAGTTCTTTTGTACATATGACTATGGCTAAAAAAAATCTAGATATACCCATAATGAAGGGTTTATTAAGTAGTGAGATTCTTATTCCTGTCCATGTAGGACTTGACTTGCAGAAAAAAGACCTTCAAGACTGTTTGTTTTGTGACATTGTCTGCTAAAACAGAATGTCACAGAAAGAGAAATACGCATTTATCTGCTACATTTTTTATGATTGCTACAGTTGAAATAATCTGTTTCACAAAATTTTATTTAGGGCTTCAGCTACTCTTCCTATATATTATATAATTCTTAGCCTTGAATTGTCAAACAGACTTCTTTTTGCTAGTAAAATATCCTGATTAGTTATGGCAGTCATATATTAGTATTTGAATAGAAAAATAGCCTATCTGTTTCTCCACTGATTATTTTCTATGTAGTTAGGTACACACCCATTTATTTATGTGCCTAGAAATATTAAAACTTGGTTTGGGAAGCCAGATATGACTAAAGTGATTTATACAATGTGATTTTCAATACCAAAGCATTTACTTCGATATTTTCCCAACGGTCTATTGCCATCTCATAAAAACATTCCAAATTTTTTGACTTTTTTTCCTATGTATTCTGTATCATTTGCTTTTGAGCTACCTAAACCTTCTTTGAAACCATATTGTCCTATCAACCACCTATATTGTTAACTCTCAGAAATTTAGTTTTTTTCTCAGTCGTTTGCCTATTCTCCATTTCTGACCTTTAAGTTTATCAAGTGTATTCCATTCTACTATATTGCTGAATAACTGAACCCTATCCAAAGCAAAGTTACCCACTACTTGAGAGGTAGTGATAGGCGCATTCTTGACTTTTCCTTTGGAACCAGAGTCATCCTTCTGTATTTGCAGGGGATTATTTCCAGGAACCCAACAGATACTAAAATCCACACATACTCAAGTCCTAAAGTTGGTTCTGCCCAGCCTGCAGTTGACCTTGCATATCCACAGGCTTTGCTTCTTGAGAATACTGTAGTTTCAGTCTGTGTTTGGTTGCAAATGGGAGTCTGTCAATATGGAAAACTGACTACATTTATTGAAAAATACCTGCATATAAGTGTACCTGTGCAGTGCAAGCACGTGTTGTTCAAGAGTCAACTGTGTAGTTATTTCCCAAAGCTTTAAATCCTGTTTATTGTGTTCTGGAGACTAAACATTTCTCTTCCCTCCCTCAGGCCTATTCAGTTTCCACTAACTGTCCTGGTGAACATGTACAGCAAGGGAAAATTTGGATCAAGTGTAAATGCAAAGTGTGGGGAGTTATCCTTTCTAATGTGCTTGGTTGCAGACTGCTTTCCTCATGCAAATTCCATGTCCCAGAGGATGCTCTAGGCTTGCTGTGTGGTGGTCAGTTCCTGGTCTCAGGTCTGCTCATAGCCAAGCCTTGTGCCACCTTCAGCATGTAGCTTATATTCTCTGCTTAGGTTTCCTGATTTATAGAATGAGGTGGTTAAAGTCCATACTGAAGGGCCGTTCTGGTTCAAAAATTTGTATCTTTCAAATTTTGATACTCTTTATCAGCCTCTTAGAATCTCATGAGTTAGAAGGCAAAGAAAAATAACAGCCATTATGCAAGTAATTCATAGATATCTCCCCATTTGAAGACTGTCAGGGACTGGTGTTTTTCATTTTCTAGGTAAATTATTTTGCTTACTTTATTTTTTTAGTTGAGTTGAATTTATTATCTTCTCTCTGTGTCATAGAGAAGAATGCTTGCTTATTTATTCAGATATACTTATTTTCATACTCTTAAGGCTAGTGTAATTACAGTCTATTTAGAAAGGTAATTTATTATAAACATTAACATGTAAAATTTAATAATATCTATGCTAAAGGCATACCAGAAAAAAACTTAAAAGGCTTAATATTTTAAGTGCCTATTGTCATAAGATACATTTAACCAGGGAGCACCAACAAAAGCAGAGTAAACACTTATTAGTAACATTTACTGATTTAAAATACTCAGTTATAGAAAGAGAAAACTGGTTTTTATTACCTTTTATGCCTATACTGACTACTAAAACATTTAAGACTGCATATTCTGAGGTGTTTTTTCTTTTGCAATGGTGAAATAATGTATGATAACATTTATATGAAATCTTACTCCTAAAAAGCTATATTTTTAATCAATCTGATTAGTACATAATGGAAAATGAACTGGAATAATATGTATAACCATGTGACATGGAATTATGATTTTTAAATGGAAAATTTAGTATGAAAGAAAGGATTTTGAAATGATATTCTTTACATAATTTTGCTACTATTTTTGAAACTTTGAAAATAGAAAAAGAATGAAGAGAAAATGTAATTAAAAGAGACTTTTTCAGTTCATGGCTCTTGGCAACATAGGAACTTTTGTCATCTTTGACTTCATTCTGACATAAAACCCTTATAAAATGCTGCATATGCTGTGTTAGTGATCAGAACAGTTTTTGAACGGTATTAATCTTCTCTTGGAAAAATGGAGCCTTACACAGCATCTCTAGGAAGTAAGATTAAACACAAAACTCTAATGGCAACAAAGCTAGATCACAAGTATAGATGGCACTAATAATCTGACTTTATGATTCAGAGTTTCATGTTATATTTGAGAAAATCTAGTCTTTCAGAGTAAGTGTATTTTGTACTGGCTTTAGAAGAGTAGCTCCACCGATTCATGGGTTTGAGCCTGAAGTGTGCTTTACTCTTGAATGCTAAATTGTGTTTATGGACTCTGATCGTACTCTTCTTTGTCACCACAGGGGGAGGGTTACATGAAGGTATTTATCATCTCATTTCATTTTCACAACTACTCATAGAGGGCCAGTATCCCTATATCATAGGTGAGCAATCACAGCCATAATGAGGTTTAGCTACTAGCATGTGGCAGGCTGGGATGTAGAACCTGTTGTCAGGATTCCAGGCCTGAGTTCCCAGACAGAGGACCCTGCCCTTCCTCCAGGCATGCTAGTATTTTACCAGAGGTATTGCCAGCATGGCTAGCAGAAATAGTATTTTGTACAAAAACTTCATTCTCACTAAATGTCCTCCTTTATTCTCATTTGTTTTTAATTCATCCTTATTGTTGCCAACATTTATGTGCGGCTTTATCAGTGGTCTTTGCATAAAACATTTTTGCTGGTTTTCCACTGATGCAGCCCTGATTGCATTAAAAAATAAAAAACAAACAAAACTTTTGTTATCTCTCAATATGAAAGATTTTTCCAAATCAATCTTTTTGTATAATAGACTCATTATCTGGCTTCATATCAACAAAAAAGTATTTCTCTTTTGGTTTTAAAATTTCTGTTGTTTTCTCTCTTAGGCAGTTCTGCTTCTTTGTATCCCTTTGTCCATATTCTCACTATCTAAGTTCCATTGATCCTTTGTCCCAACAATCCTATGACTATATGATAGCAGTGAAGATGGTAGAAGAGGATTACCTTACTGGGTATATACTCACCATCCTGAGTATGCTGATACATTAAATTAAGTGAGTCTAATTTGTCATTTTTATTTTCAAAAGGTAGAATTGGTTAAATTATATCAGTGTCTTATTTGGAGGTTGAAGTGGTGAAGGTTGCTTGTATTTGTTTTTTTTTAAACTGTGACACCTAACATACTTCATAGATAGTGAAAAGAATATTGGAGTCCAAGTCAGGTGGTCATCATTCTTTTATCAGATTTATTGCTTAAAATTACCCTAAGCGTTATTTTTCCTTATTGTGATGATGATGATGACAATGATACTAGTAGTAGTATTAGGATGACTATAATGAGAATTATATAAGAAACGGAAACAGAAAGCCTTCAGTGCAGTACTTAATAGGGGTTCAGTAAATGTGATTTAAAATTTACGGTTACTTGTGTCTTTGACGTTTTTCTTTAGGTAGACTACGAAATGTTTCAGAATGTAAAAGGATACTGATAATGATGAGAAAAGTAAACATTTTAAAAAGTTACAGTCTGCTCTTAAGAATAAAGACAAGAAAATAAAATGTATACATTTTCTGAGAAGTTGAGGATTGCTATTTGGTCAGGTTAAGGAAGGGAATCCTACTAACTTTTTTATTAGCCTTCATCTGAAAATTTTAACTAATACAACAAGACCAGAAACAAGTTTTAAATTCTGGGAATAAGGAGATGAAAGTGTTGTTATATGGTATCTGGAAAACCTGTGACAGTTAGTGGAGTAGTTACTAGGATTGATACCTGTATCATCATTCCCATTTTCTCTTCTCCACATCTGTATGTCCAGCTGCCTCTTGTACATGACTAATGTGGATATACAAGAGCTTCTGTAACTGAACATGTTTTAAACTGGACTAGTCCAAACCTGTTCCTCAACTGTTGCTGAATTAAATAAACATCACCATCGTTTATCTAAATAAACATCATCATTATCATCTATCTGATTGCTTAAGCCTGAGTATCCTCTTTATTCTCTTTTACTCTGCCAATTCATACATACATACACACAAGTGACCACATGTATGTCCATCCAAAAGATATTTGTTGAGCACCTGATGTGTTCCAGGCTTTAATCCTGGTGCTAAGAATATAGTGACAATCAAAGTTTCTGCCTCTAAGGATCTTATCTTCTAATGGAGGAAGAGGGACAATATCAAATTTATGATATGTAAGGAGTAAGTGCTTTGAAGGAGAAAAAAGTCAGAACAATGGTGATAGAGAACACCAGGTGAAGAGTTTGCTTTCTATATAAGGCAGTAAGGGAAGGCTTTGCCACTAAGTTTTTAACAGGATTCATTTGCTGCACTGTAGTGGAGAGACTACAGCTAGTCAAGCCTGAAAGCAAGGAGACTAGTTAGAAACCGGCTGTGGTCCAGGTGAAAAAATATGTTGGCCACAAAAAGAGAAATTGTAGCCAGGGCAATGGTGAGGAGTGATTACTTTAGTGAATATTTTGGAGTTAGAATCGACTAGATTCACTGATGGATAGGATATTATCGTGAGGGGAATAGTAGCAAAATTCAAGCGTTTGACTTGAAAATAGCAAAAAGAACATTCCCATTTTTTAAGCTGAAGAAAATAGTTGGGAGAGCAGATATGGAGGTAGGCACGTATATGTCAGGAGTTTGCTTTTGGGCATGTTAAGTACAGGTGCTCATTAGACATCCAAATAAAGATGTTGAGAGGGAGCAGTTGGTTATTCAAGTCTGGAGTTCAAGAGACAAATTTGGGCTGGATCAATAATTAGTCTATTTCCCACTACAGAATCAACTTTTGGAACTCATCCACACTCTCCTTCCCTGTTGTTATTGCCCTTGGTGAAGGTACCATTGACTTTCGTTTGGATTACTGTAACTTCCTTCAGTCTTGCCCTTCTATTGTAATTTTTGCCATTCTTCTAATCCACCTTCTTTAGCCTGAGTTTTTCCTAAAATATAGTTATCCTGATGTCTCATGTGCTTAAATCTTCAGTGGCTCCTCATTAGTGTGAGAATAAAATCCAAATGTCTTAGCCTGGCTTAAAATATCTTATGTGATCTGGTACCTGACTCATTTCTGGTGTCATTTATTTCTGTTTAATATTTTCTGTTCTTATTATCTTCAAGTCTTTCAGTGCCTTTAGAGTTTTTGCACCTTTACACCTTCAAATACTATTCTTCTATTGTTGTGTCTTTCCCACATACCCCCACCTTCTTACCTGGCTGACTCATTTTTCCTTTCAAGCTTTGCTTAGGTATTTATCCCAAAAGGATTATTTTTGACAAGCATAGTTAGGGTGCTCTTCTTTATTCTTGTGTAGTTTTCACTATAACATCACTAATACATCCATGTATTATAATTGTCATTTATTTTATAGTCACTTCTATTAGACCTTAAATTCTTTGAGGCAAGGAATTTCTCTATCTTGTCTAGCATTGTATCTTTGTTGCCTAACACAGTCTCTTTTTAGTTGCTTAATAATTTTTTTTATCTGAATGAAAGACAAAATAAGTAAAATCCTGATTATAAAACATGTATACAAAATTAGGCAAAGTTTCTACACAATACCTAGGAGTACAAATGTCCTTTGGATACCTAACACTTAACATAAAATATACAGGTCATGTATGAAGAACACTGTGCTAAGTTGAATAATTATAAACACATGCCATGTTTATGATAAGGAAGTTCAGAAATTGTCAAGATATTAAATCTCTCAGAATCTATTTGCAATTACCTTGCAATTCAAATACAGTTCAAATGGATTTTATTTTTAGACCTTTTGGATTGCTCTAAAGTTCATGTGGAGAAATAAATGAGGGCCGGGCATGGTGGCTCACACCTGTAATCCCAACACTTTGGGAGGCTGAGGCCGGTGGATCACTTGAGGTCAGGAGTTTGAGACTAACCTGGTCAACATGGTGAAACCCTGTCTCTACTAAAAAAAAAAAATACAAAAATTAGCTGGGCATAATGGCATGAGCCTGTAAATCCCAGCTACTCAGGAGGCCGAGGCAGGAGAATTGCTTGAACCTGGGAGGCGGAGGTTGCAGTGAGCCGAGATCACACCGCTGCACTCTGGCCTGGGCGACAGAGCAAGACTCTATCTCAAAAAAAAAAAAAAAAAAAAAAAAAAGAACAAAATTTAGATATGGAGAAAAATAATTTGAACAGCCAATGAATAAAACGTATCATAAATCTATAGTACTTAAGACAGGGTGATAGCAGTGTTAACAGTAGCACAGAGAATAATGTAGCAGAACTAGTAGCCCAGAAAAATAGAAATAACTTATCTAGACACTAATTATATGATCAAAGTGTAACTTAAAATCAGTTGAGAAAGATGGTTAATTATATAAAATGACACAGAAATATCAAATGTTTTGAAAAATGGAAAATTTGATTCTTACCTCATGCTATGTACCAAAATATATAATTGTAATATACAGGTTGAATATCCCTTATCTGAAATGCTTTGGACCAGAAGTGTTTTGTATTTTAGATTTTGGAATGTTTGCATAATACTTACGGGTTGAGCACCTCTAATCCAAATCTCTCTAATCTGAAATGCTCCAATGAACATTTCCTTTGAACATAACCTTTGAGTGTCATCTTGATACTCAAAGTTTCAGATTTTGGAGCATTTCAGATTTTGAACTTTACCTTTAGTGATTTACATATCTACCAAAACACATTGCTACACTCTTCTTTCTTATCAAGTTCCCAATTTTGTCCAATAGCGACCTCGCCACCTCCAGTGTGGGACTGCCATACGATCACATGTGCCACCTGACTGTTACTGCCATTCCCCAAGTACAACCCCCAGGGGCCCAAGGACTAGTCTTCCCAGAACCTATGTTTGCTGCCCCGGGGATGAAGGACTGATGTGACTAGGGCCTGCTGGTATCCATATACATGCCACTTGGGCTCAAGGACAGACCCACCTTGGGTTTGGCTCTTCATCTTCATCACTATGAAAGTCATACCAAAGCCTCCACAAACAACTGCAGCCTAAGCCACTGAGGAAATCTCAGACACTGCTGATGATTATAGCTGAAGAAATCACACAGAGACTATGTGGCTGCTCCCACCCAAAACTCCAAACACTCTACTTAATCGATGCTGTAAATACATCTGCAGGAAAAAGTCTTAGCTTATTAAAGCTACTCTATAAAATTAGAAGTGATTATTAGAGGAGGTGCACAGATATCACTTTAGGGACACACAAAAAAATCTGAAAAAGAAAGGAAACATGATACCTCAAAGGAACATAGTAATTCTCCCATAACACACCCCAAATAAAAAGAAATTTATAAAAGACCTGAAAGGGAATTCAAAATAATGATTGTAAGGAAACTCAGTGAAGCGCAGAGAACACAAGTAGACAATATAAAGAAATCAGGAAAACAATTGATTAGAATGAGAAATTCAACAAAGAGATAGATATAAAAAAAGAGCCAAATAGAAATTCTTGAATCAAATAATTCAATAAAGGAAATAAAAAATATAATCAAGACCTTCATCAGTAGACTAGACAAGGACAAGAAATAATTTCTGAGTTTGAAGATAGGTTTCTTGAAATAACCCAGACAAACCAAAAAAAGAAAAATAGAGAAAAAGATTTAAAAAGTCTGCGTGACATGTGGGATAAAATTAAGCAAATATATATTTGTGTTTTGGGATTACTGGAAGGAGAAGAGATGGGAAAAGGCATAGACAACCTATTTAATGAAATAATAGCTGAAAACTCTCTAAGTCTTGGGAAAGAAATAGACATCCAGATACACGAAGCTCAAAGATTCCCAAATAGATTCAACTCAAAAACTCTTCTGTGAGACATATTATATTCATATTTTCAAAAGGCAAAGGCAAAGAGTGATTTATAAAAATAGCAAGAGAAAAGTGTCAAGTCACATATAAGAGAATGCCCATCAGACCAACATCAATTTTTTTTAGCAGAAAATTTACAGACTAGGAGAGAATTGGATGATACCTACAAAATGCTTAAAGAAAATAACTGTCAGGTAAGAATGCTTTACTCAGTATAGCTGTTCTTCACAGGTGAGGGAGAAATAGTCTTTCCCAGCCAATCAAACACTGAGGGAATTCATCACTGCTAGACTCCCTGCTTAAGGGAGTCATATATCTGGAAGCAAAAGAAAGCTGTATCTACCACTGTTAAAACACATAAAAGTAAAAAGCTCCCTATAGAGCAGACACACAAATGAGAAAGGATGCAAATATTGTTATTACAGAAAACCACCAAACTACAAAGATAAACAGAGAGGAAGAGAGAAACAAAGGATATACAAAACAATTAGAAAATGATCAACAAAATGACAGAAGTAAGTGCTAACCCATTAATGACCTTGATTATAAGTAGTGTAAATTCTCTAATTGAAAGTTATGTACTGGCTGAATGGATTAAAAAAATGGGATGCAAATATATGCTGTCTACAATAACTCACTTCACCTGTAAAGATAAACAGTGACTGAAAGCAAAGGGATTGAAAAAATGTAATGTATGTAAATGAAAAGTCAAAGTGTGCAGGGATAAGCTATACTTGTATCAGTCAAAACAGACTTTGTCAAAAAGAGATAAAAAGAGACAAGATCATTATATAATGATAAAGGGACCAATTCAGCATGAGAATATAACAGTTTTAAATGTGTGAATGCCCAGCGCCAGAACACCCAGATTTTTAAAGCAGATATTATTATATCTACAAGGAGAGAGACACTCCAATATAGTTGTAGTTGGAGAATTTAACTTTCAGCATTTGTCAGACCATCTAGGGAGAAAATTGTCAAAGAACTATCAATCTGAAACTGCACTGTAGACCAAATGAATCTAATAGACATTTACAGAACATAGCATCCAGTAGGTGCACAACACACATCTTCTCTTCAGCTCATGGAACACTCTCCAGAATAGACCATATGTTAGGCCAGAAAACAAGTCTCAACAACTTGTAAAAAATCAAAATTATATTAAGTATCTTTGTAGCTCACAATGGAGTAACACTAGAAATCAACAACAGGAACTTTGGGAACTTTACAAATAATATGGAAATTATACAGCTTGCTTCTCTAATGTCCAGTTAGACAATTAGTCTCAATGTCCAATATGTTATGAAGAAATTAAGAAAATAAAAAATATTTCTGAAATGAGTTAAAGTAGAAACAAAATATACCAAAACCTTTAGAATATAGCACAAACAGTACTAGGAGGGAAGTTTGTAGCAAAAAATGCCTACATAAAAAATAGATTTCAAATCAAGAACTTAGTGATGTATTTCAAGGAACTAGGAAAACAACAAACCAAACCCAAAGTTAGTAGAAGGAAAGAAATAATAAAGTTCAGAGCAGAACTAAATGAAACAGATAAAAAAAGAAGACACATTGCTGGGTGAGGTGGCTCACACCTGTAATCTTAGCACTTTGGGAGGCTGAGGTGGGAGGATCACTTGAGGGCAGGAGTTCAAGACGAGCCTGGGCAATATAGTGGGGCTCTGTCTCTATGAAAAATAAAAAGAAATTAGCTGAATGTGGTGGCACACATCTGTAGTCCCAGTTACACGGGAGGCTGAGGTGGGAGGATCAATTGAGCCTGAGAAGTCAAGGTTGCAGTGAGCTGTGATTATGCTGCTGCACTCCAGCCTGGGTGACAGAGTGAGACCCTGTCTCAAAACAAACAAAAAACAAACAATATGAGATTAAACAAATGAAAAGTTGTTTTATTTTTAAATTAAATTGATAAACCATTAGAAGAAAAAGAGAAAACCCAAATGAATAAAATCAAAATCAAAAAAGGAGATATTACAACTGATACCACAGAAATAAAAAGGATTGTTAGAGTCTAATTATGAACAAATGTTTGCCAACACATTGGAAAACCTAGAAGAAATGAAGAAATTTCTGGACACGTAGCTACCAAGATTAAATCAGAAAGAATAGGAAACCTGAGCAGACCAATAATGAGTAAGGAAGTTGATCAGTCTTCCAACAAGACTGGATGGCTTCACTGTTGAATTCTACCAAGGTTTTAAGGAAGAACTAACACCAATTCCTTTCAAACTATTCCAAAAATATGAAGAGGAGAGAATTCTTCCTAACTCATGCTACAAGGCCAGCTTTACACTAATACCAAGACAAGACGAGGACCCAACATAAAAAGAAAACTTAGACCAATATTCCTGATGAATTTAGATGCAGAAATCCTCAACAAAATAGTAGCAAAACAAATCCAATAGTACATCACGAAGATAATACAGTATGATCAAATGGGATTTATTTCAAGGATGCATAGATGATTCAACATTCACGATCAATAAAATTTATTCTGTTAATTTTTCATAAGGTATGTTTTTAAATAAGAATGGTATTGTATATTAGACATAAAATGACTGTTTTAGTTAGCATTCTTAGAGCTAGCTTCATAATCCAATTAATATACTTGCAACTTGAGTGCAGGTGTTTTAATTTTTATAACTGTATCCTGTATGCTATTCAAATGAGCTAATTGTAGTTATTCTTATACCCATTGGTATTGGTTTCCATAGTATACATAAGTTTTATTTTTGTTTTTCCTGTTAGACCTTCAAATATTTACTTTCCATAGTTTCTCTGGCATAAAAGCTCCCAGTTTCTATCTTCAACAGTTCAGGTCTTGGGATATCTATCGTTTTATTTGTTTTTATAACTTTTATTTAGAAGAGTTACATCCTTTTTAGCTTATTTAATGATAAAAAGTTCACTTTTTCCACTTTTGTATTTGAATGAATTGCTGCCCCTAACATGGATCTATCTTGGTTTTACAGAGAGAAGAGAAGAGGAAGATATTGAAGAGAAGAAATCGATTAAGAAAAAAATTAAAGAACTTAAGTTTTTAGATTCTAAAATTGCCCAGAACCTTTGTAAGTATCATATTCCAATACCATTCAAAGACAGTGGAAATATTTCTTTAAATGATTTCATTTTCTTTAAGACCGATTATTCATTATTTGCTATTTTCATTTTGTTATTATATGCATGATAAATTCACAGATAACTCTCCTTTAGGTAAATTATGGGATTAAATGCTTCAAAAGATAAGTGCATATTAGAAAATACAAATAAGAAGAGGTTTTAAAATGAAATTCTACCTTTCATAACTGAAAAAAAAAAACAGCTACTCTTTAAAGTCCCTTTTTTTAAAGTATAAAAATAAAGACTTAAGGAATTTAGGTAATGACATCATATTTTGAAAAAAATTGGTAGTGTATTGCTTCTTTTATAACTCTGAATCTCTAATATTTGTGATACTTGATCACACATAAAGGAGGTTATAATATTAACGGAAATAAGGATGGTGAGTAAAGTGAATTCAGTTATCCCATCTGAGCAGTTCAAAGCCTTTCCTCAAAAGTTCTGAGTAGAAATATTTTAGATTTAATTACTGTTACAGGAGCTAAATACTCAGTATTAAATTATCTTCTTGACCAAATTACTGTGAGAGAAGAAGGCAAATAGTTTTGCTCTTAACTCATTTCTAACTACTCTAAATGCATCAAAGGTAGTTATGCTTAGAGATGATATACTATGGTCTGTATATATCACTTTCTGATGGTGCAAGAGGGATATGAATAATGGGGAGAATCTAGAGTGATGAAGAATTAACATGGTTTTTAGTCTCCCTCAATTATTACATGCCTCAACTGAGCTTTTAGCAAGTATTGGAATAAAACAGTTCTTCAGCGAGAGGATAAAGATCCATGCTACTGATTAAAGAGAGAGTTATGTTAGAGGCAATATATTCAAATGGTAGAGTTGGCATTCCTTTTATGAAAATTTCAGAACCTCCTCTCCTTCGTAATCACTTTGATCTAAACCCATCTCTTTTCTACAATGCAGGCCTGCCAAGATCCCCATGGATAGTATGGCGGCATTGGTGTATTGTCTAGTATTCAATTCTCTATTTCTGGGCACTGCTGATTGCACATCTCTGCCCCTGTCAAGTTAGGAGTCACCAAGTGACATGCTTGGACCAGTGAAGATGGGAGTGGAGTTAATGTCACTTTTTGGGGTGGAAGCATTTCATTGGTGGTTGAAGAAGCTCCCCCTGGCACCCAGAATGGCATTCAGAGTGGTGTCCATCATCCTGATATAGGGATCATAATTAATAATTAACAGAAACTGGTGTGATGAACATATGGTCTTCATGAGAAATAATTTGTGTGTGTTTGCTTAGACCACAGAGATTTTGTGTTTTTTGTTTTTTGCATGATGTACATATTTTAGGGAATTTCCCTCCCAAAAGAACTTTGTCTAGGTTCAAAGCACTGTGTTTTGAACTATGTCAGATAATGTCAGAAAGTTCCGTATCTGTGATCTAAAAGAGATGATTTTATTTTGAAAAATGTTCATGACCTGCATTACAAATTACTAGTGTTGATTCTAAATAGTCTTGTAATAGTTCCCGAAGAAATATAATGTTTAATAGAATTCTTTCTGAATGGGTCAGCTGTGGTAAGTTAGCCTAAATGTCCATCTCATAGTTAAATAACTTTTTGAACACGGTTATTTATTTATGTATTACAGAACATGTTCTACATGGGATTTCAAATTTAATTAAAACAGCTAATAAATACTGATTACCTTTGTTTACTAGTTCTGTATTTGGCCCTTTAATCTTCACTACAACCCCACCAGGTGGGTATTAGCATTAACAGTATAGGTAGGGAATCTGGTGGGTGTAGCAGTTAAGTGATTTCAATAAGATTGCTCATTTTGAAAATATTTTAATGTTTATATAGTTTAATGTATATCTGTTCCTTTTTACAGAAAACAGAATAACATTTTTATGGAGAAAGATCCTGTTTGCCTTGTTTAATTTAGCTAGAGTATATATATCCTATTCATTTAATTGAGAAACATGTTTTAAAGTGTAAGATGAAAAGATACAGAATTTATACCATGTCATATTATGATGTAATCCATTTTAAGATTATTCTTCTCCTCTCTGATGGTAGCAGGCATTATGATTTAAGCTTTAAGAAGCTTTAGCAGCCTATGATCTTCATTGTAATTATAGTTTTTTGTCATGAAATTTAGAGTTTTGAGAGTCTGAATTCTGAGATGAGTCTTAGAACTGTTTTGGAATGAGATAAATTGAAATAAAACAGTGGTCAGTAGTAGAATACTGATACTAAAATGGAAAGGTTCATTTCTAAAGTTCATTGAAGAGAATATTATGGGTATGTACTAGATTAGAACTTTGGAGAAAGAATCTAAAAGTCATTCATTTATCTACTTGTCTATTTAAAAGTGGTTTTGGTTTCCTATATTTTTGAGTTCATAAAGGTTTCCAGACACTAGGATCAAGAGAAGGCTTAGGAGTTTTATAAGTTTCATTTGTTTATGATTTTTTATATTTAAGGTTGTTTTCTGCAAGCAAGTACAGCTTAACTTATTTCTGCCTATTTTTTTTCTCTTACCTAATTGCCCTGGCTAGGACTTCAAGTAATATGTTGAATAGAAGTGGTGAAAGTGGAGATCCTTATCTTCTTCCAGATTTTATAGGAAAAGCTTTCAACTTTTCTGTTTGTTATGATGATAGCTGTATGTTTGTCATATATAACGCATATATTTATTGTGTTGTGACACATTTCTTCTATACCTAATTTGTTAAAATTCTTTATCATAAAAGAATGATGAATTCTGTCAAATTATTTTTCTATCTATTGAAATGATTATATGGTTTTGTCTTCCATGCTGTTAATAGGGTGTGTCACATTTACTGATTTGCATGTTTTGAACCATCCTTGCATCTCTGGAATGAATCCCATTTAATCATGGTGAATGATCTTTTTCATGTATTGAATTCATTTTGTTGAGAATTTTTGCTTCAGGGTTATTGACAAGTAGCTTTCCTTTGTTGCATTCTTGCAGGTTTTGGTTTCAGGGGAATGCCAGCCTTGTGGAGTGAGTTTGGCAGTATTCTCTACTCTTTGATTTTTTTTGAATAGTGTGATAAGAATTGGTAATAGTTTTTACTTACATGTTTGATAGAATTAAGCAGCAAATGTATTAGATCCTCAGCTTTTCTTTGGTGGGAAACTACTTATTACTAATTTCAGTTTCCTTACTGGTTATTGGTTTATTCAGGTATTGTATTGTTTTATAATTCAATCTTGGTAAGTTATAAGTTTCTAGGATTTTATCCATTTTTTTTCTAGGTTATCCAATTTATTGATGTATAAGAAATTATTCAAAATAGTCTCATATAATTCTTTTTTTATTTTTGTGGTGTCAGTTGTAATATCTTTTCATTTATGACTATATTTATTTGAGTTTTCTTAGTCTAAATAAACATTTGATTATTTTATTTTTTCCAAAAATGAAATTTTTGGTTGTTTTTTCTTTCTTTTTTTTTTTTGGTATTTTCTGGTCTCCATTTCATTTATTTCTGCTTGGATCTTTAATATTTTCTTGCTTCTACTAATTTTGGGTTGAGTTTGTCTTGTTTTTCTAATTCCTCCAGGTGCAATGTTAGGTTGTTTGAGATTTTTTTTTTTTTAGTGTAGACATTTATTTCTGTAAACTTCTCACTTAGATCTGCTTTTGCTATATCCCATATATTTTGGTATGTTGTGTTTCCCTTTTCAATTTTCTAAATACATTTTTATATTGAAGACTTTTAATTTCTTCATTGACCCATTGGTTATTTAGAAGCATGTTGTTTAGTTTTCATGCATTTGAAAAGTTTTTGAATTTTCTTCTGTACTGATTTCTAGTTTTATTCCATTGTGGTCAGAAAATATACTTGATATGATTCTAGTCTCCTTAAATTTGTTAAGACATGTTTTGTGGCATAACATATGATCTGTCCTGGAGAATGTTCCATGTGCAGTTGAGAGAAGGATGTTTATTCTGATTTTGTTATATGAAATGTTCTGTAAATATCTGTTAGGTCCTTTTGGCCTAGAGTTCATTTTCTAGTTCATGTTTGTTGATTTTCTGTCTAGATGACTGTTTTATTGCTGAAAATGAGGCATTGAAGTCTCCTAATATTGTATTGCAATGTATGTCTCCCTGTAGATCTATTTTCTTTGTATATTTAGATGCTTTGGTGTTGGATACAAATTATATATATATATACATATATATGTATATACACGCACACACATGCATATACACATATATATGTTTACAAGTGTTACATCCTTTTGCTGAATTGATCACTTTATTATGTAATATCCTTTGTCTCCTTTTACAGTTTTTGGTTTAAAGTATATTTTATCTGATGTAAATATAGCTACTCCTGTTCTTTTTCGGTTTTCATGTGCATGGCATATCTTTTTCTATCTTTACACTTGGTTTATATGTGTCTTTACGGGTGAAGTTAGTCTTCAATAGTCAGCATATAGTTGTAGTTTTGTTTTGTTTTCATTCAGCCACTCTGTCTTTTAATTTGAGAATTCAGTCCATTTAGATGCTAGATAATTATTGATAGTGAAGGACTTATAACTACCGTTTTGTTGATTGTTTTCTAGTTGTTTTGTAGATCCTTTTTACTTTCTTCCTCTATTACAGTTTTCCTTTCTGGATAAGTGATTATTCTCTAATAGTATGTTTTGATTTTTTTGCTTTTAATTTGTAGTACATTTAGTATAGATTTTTGCTTTGTGGTTATGAGGCTAACTAAAAGATTTTTTACAGTTACAACAATTTATTTGAAACTGATAAACTTGATCACTTATAAAAAATAAAACTACATATTAATTTTACTCTTTCCTTGAATTTTGAATTTTTGATGTCACAACTCACATCTTTCCATATTGAATATTCCTTAACAATTTATTGTAGTTACTATTAATTTTAATAGTTTTGTCCTCTATTCTCCCTTTTAAAGATACAAGTGATTTACATACCACTATTACATTATTAGAATATTCGGAATTTGACTATGTACTTACTTTTACTGGTGAGTTATACTTTCAGATATTTTTATGTTTCTCATTATCATCCTTTTCTTTCAACTGGCAGAATTTCATTTAGCAATTTTTATAAGACAGGGCTGTTGATTGTGAACTTCCTTAGCTTCTGTTTGTCTGGGAAACTCTATCTCTCCTTGATTTCTGAAAAATAAATTTTGACGGTAAAGTATTCTTAGAAGTTGTTTTTCTTCAGCACTTTGAATATGTCATCATATTTTCTCCTGGCATGTAAGGTTTCTGTTGAGAAGTCTGCTGTTAGGTATACTGGAACTCTCTTGTATGCTATTTTATTATTTTCTCTTGTTGCTTTCTGGATCCCCTCTTTGTCTTTGATCTTTGACAGTTTGATTATAATGTCATGGTGTAGTATTGGATTCAATCATACTAGACACCTTTTACCTTCCCGTATCTGGATATTTATATCTTTTTGCAGGTTTGGAAAGTTTTCTGCTATTACTTTTTAAAATAAGTTTTCTACAATGTTATCTACTCTCTCAAACCTCAATGACACGTTTTTGCTCTTTAATGCTGTCCAATAAATTTCACGTTTTCTTCATTCCTTTTCATTCATTTTTCTTATTCTCTTACAGTATATTTTTAAATAAACTGTCTTTAAGTTTACAGATTTTTTTCTTCTGCTTGATCACTTGTACAGTTGATGCTCTCTACTGAATTTCTCATTTTGTACCTTGTATATTTTAGTATTTCTGTTTAATTTTTAAAAACTGTTTTCTTTGTTAAAAAATACTGATTTTTTTTTTTTTTTTTTGTATTTTCTTGAAGTTCACTGAACTTTCTTAAACCACAGCTTTGAATTCCTTGCCAGATAGTTCATACATGTCCATCTCTAGTGTACATCACTGGCAGCTGATTTTGTCCCTTTGGTGATGTCATGTTTCCCTGATTGTCTTTTTGCATTGTGGTCAAGTGTTGCTGTCTGCATGTTGAAGAAGTAGATATTTATTCCATTCTTCTCAGTGTGACTTTATTTTAGGTCATCTTTCAACAGTAAGTCTGTCTAGGGTTTTTGAGTAGACCATCTGGTATGGGTTGCTGTTGTTGGTGCAGTGTTAGGGAGTGCCCTAAGCCTAGAAGTGCTTTGGGTGGTGCAGCCCAGGCTGGAAATTTTTGGCTCCCACAGCTGGCCCTGCATCAGGCTTACTTTCGTGGTTCTTAATGTTGTTGCAGTCCTGGGTGGTTCCTGAAGCCCATGGCTTCTGTTGCCTGTTTGCCACTGAGTATTTTCTGTAAACGAAGGTCGCTGCAGTCATCCGTCAGTGATATAGGCCAGAACTCGAGTCTTTTCTCAAAGGACCGTTAGATTCCTGTCTGGTACCAGTGTCAGTCTAGATGCTTAGACTGCAGATACCTGTCAGGAATCAGAGTCCATGAGCATTTTATACTGGTAGATTTGTTGTTAGCGACAAAGGGAAATTTCTATGTTCACTTCTCTTTTTTTTCAAGTGGACAGTATCTCTCTCTCTCTCTCTTTTTTTTTTTTTTTTCCTGTGCTGCCTGACGTTGGTGGATGGATTGATACGGGTGATGTAAAACATTCTTTACATAATCAATGTATCTTTTTTAGTATTAGTCTATACCAGGTACTGTGATTTTTCACTTGTTTTCTCTCTTTTGAAGGTATTTTCTTTCACATGTGGCTAGTTCAAATTCATGTTTCTGTGAGGGTGGAGAATTACTGGAGAGCCCTACTTCACCATCTTCAGTGATTATATTTTTTGCATGTTCTATTGTCTACTACGGAGTTGTCTTTTGTAATTTTATAAATTTCTACTTACTTTTTTTTTTTTTTTTTTTTTTTTTTTTGAGACAGAGTCTTACTCTGTCGCCCAGGCTGGAGTGCAGTGGTGCAATCTTGGCTCACTGCAACCTCTGCCTCTTAGTTTCAAGCAATACTTCTGCTTCAGCCTCCCGAGTAGCTGGGACTACAGGCACATGCCACCATACCTGGCTAATTTTTTGTATTTTTAGTAGAGGTGGAGTTTCCCCATGTTAGTTAAGATGATCTCGATCTGCTGACCTCGTGATCCGCCTGCCTCTGCCTCCCAAAGTGCTGGGATTACAGGCGTGAGCCACCGTGCCTGGCCAAATCTCTATTTACTCTTATACCATTTACATATTTCATCTTGTTCTTGGGATATTAAGGATTATAGACATCTGTGAGTTTTATTGTAATGATTTCATATTTAAGACTTCTTGGGTTCAGAACTGTGTGTGTTGGTGATATGAATACAGATGATGCCCTTGTTAATCTGTAGGTGATACATGATATTCTCACAAATCAGGAATACAACCTCAATACAGAAAAGAAGTAGATCCTGTTTCCTGAGTTTTATAAAAAATAGTCATCCTTTGATATCAGAGGGATTGGTTCCAGGACCCCTGATGAATACCAAAATCCACAGATGCTCAAGTTCCTTATATTCTGCTTTTATATCCATGGTTTCTGTATCTTTAGATTCAACCTACTGTGGATTGAATTTGATCCACAGTTGGTCAGATTTGTGAATATGGAACCCACAGATATGAGGTGCTGAACATAGTTTCTTTATCTAGAAATACACATACCAGATGACATAGAAATTCATTAAATAAAAAGAAAAATAATAGGCTATTGATTTGCAGGTGCTGAGTATGGTTAAGAAGTGACATCTTGAATGTAAAAACATAATAGTACAATAAGGGTTGAACTAGCAAAAGCGTTGTATCTGTTGCTGTGAAAATATCCTTCTACTTCAGTAACTTTTGAAAAAATCATTATAATAGTTGATATAAGAGCCATCAAGAAAGATGTTTAGAATTCTCAGTAATAACATATTATACTATCTAGTACATTTGGATAATTTTCAGTGAGAATTTGTTTTCTAAAACTGGATATTTTAAGCTTTGGTTACATGTGAAGGTTTCCCTAGCATACTGTTTACAATGTTTCTGAATAGTGAAGTGCTACTATTACTTGTAAAAGTGTTAATGTACTGCTTAGCAGTTTTCTTAAAATACTTTTTCCTGAACTCTTTCCTAAGGCTAGAAGAGATACAAGCAAATAATACATATGCTTAGACAAATATTACATGCACATACTGTGGTTTTCTTATTATTTTCATTACAATGTGATGTTTTTATAGTGTACCTTATTTCATTTTTTGTTATCACATGAAAATTGACATCATTCCTATGGTAGATAAATAACTGAGCATTTAAAAATCAACCTTGGATCCAGTGCAATAACACAGGACTGTTGTTTAAACACTAGTTCTAAAACTAGAGAAGAGTATAAAATGTAGTAATGAAAGTTTCCCCCATAATATGTTTCCCCCAAACATAATATTAAATGTTTGAATTCTCTTGTTTTATGAATTTATTTTTGATTTTATAAATAGAACTACATCTGAAATACTTTTTTAAACCTTATTCATTATAAACCTTTCTCTCTTTCTCCTTCTTAGCAATCTTCCTGAGCTCTTTTCGGGTGCCATATGAGGAAATCAGAATGATGATATTGGAAGTAGATGAAACACGGTTGGCAGAGTCTATGATTCAGGTAAACAAACAGGCACAGCTTAAATTTCAATATTTCATTGCAAGCTTCTCATTAAATAGAAATCTGTAAGTGAAGCAAAATTCTTCACCCAAATCATTCAACTGGAAAATCATTGCTGCATAATTAGTTTTAGCATAACTTCTGCATTGCCAGGAGAGAAAGCTGCATCTTCTCTTAACTGCACATGAAATAGAATGCTATCAAATGATTACATTTTAAGTATTTTAAGTTATTGTTTCTGAAAAGCAAATTGTTTAATTTTACATTTTTGTTTTTGTTATACTTTATTAATGTGTTACTTAAAATTTGTTTCTATAGCCCTTTTAGAATGTGTTTTTCTTTGGCTTATGAAGATATTATTATATGGTTTAGAAGATTGAGGGAGTTTTCAATTACAGTTACCTTTACTAACAATTCTTCTTAGAGTCATTTGGGCTCCTATGAGTATTAGAGATTGTTTACATAGTATTCTGAATTTATTCAGAAAGCTAGAAGATTTTTGTTAATGGCTTTTATTCATAGTATTTTCAAATGAATACTAGCATCATGTCGAAGTTATTGCTGAGTTCCACATAAGAAATCAATAATGTATATCTTGATAAAATTTAAAGTTGGAGAATCAAAACACAAATTATATAGTGAGAGATTATCTTCAGCTTACCATCTTTTGTTCTGATAGCGGATATATTTAGGAAAATGATTACTTAGCAATAAAAAGAAACCAAATATTTATTAGTGCCAACAAGCAATTAAAATTATTCTGAATATTTTAACTAATCAATAAATGATATCTTTGGAAGTTGTTCTAAGTTTTGCCTTTCCTATCTTGTCTTCTAAATGTAGTGGTCATATAATTTCACTAGTGATTTGTGCTGTGAGTCGCTGAGACTCATAAACTACCTGATTCAGCTACTCTTATTTAAGCATTTTTTTTCTCTTTCAGTTTGTTTTTTACTGGATTTTCATCTTCGTTCATGTTGATTATATGTGTGCCTTCTTGCTAGGAATAGATGCCAACTTCCTTAAATAAAATTTTTCTACTTAATACTTGTTTGTATTTCTTATAATGAATTAGTTAAATATTTACAGAGTAGCTTTTAGCTTGATTACATGAATGTTTTAAATGAACATGTGGTTTTGTTATATAATAGAAAAGAGATGATTTGCTTTTTAAAATTCATGTCCAAAGTACATTCAGCTCCATATATTTTGTAATGTATTAGTTTTTTATTTGTACTATACCCATTCACCAAGAACTTATTTGCTTAAAATAATACAAATTTATTATCTTACATTCCTGTAAAACATAAGTCTGATATTGGTCTTACTATGCTAACATCAAAGTATTGGCAGAATGACCTGTGTTTCTTTTCGTAGGCTCTAGGGAAGAATCTGTTTGTATTTCCAGCTTCTCATGGTTGCTCATACTCTATGGCTTGTAGAACCATTCCTTCATCTTCCAAGCCAGCAATCTTGCATTCCTCAATTCCTTTGTCTCATAGTCACATCTCCGTCCAACTCTATTGTTTTTTTCTTCCACTTATAAGAACTTTTTGATTACATTGAGTACATCCAAATAATTCAGGATAACCACTCTAAGGTCAGCTGATAGCAACTTTAATTCCATCTATAACCTAAATTCCCTTTGCCATGTAACTTAATATTTTCATAGGTTTTGGGGATTAGTCATGTACATCTTTAGGAATGGATGTCATTATTGTGCCTATCATACTTTCTAAATATAAAACCAGCCTTGGGTATTTCTAAAATGTAAAAATTTATTTTGAACATATATAAGGTTTTAATATATTCATTAAAAAGTAAGAATTTCTTGCTATTTGAACTCTTAATTTTAAAAGTATATTCCTCATTTTAATGCGAAGAATTCCTATTTTGACCAGGGCATGGAAACAGAGCTTTATGTTGTAATAATCATGATTTTGGTTCTCTGTGTTCACTGTGATGGTTATATTTTGACATATTTAGTTACTTATTCATATATATGTACAGGTCAGCAGTATGTCATTGTTTTGCCATTTTTCATGCCACTTTTCTGCATCATTTTTTACCCATTTACCTTTGTTTGTCACATCAGTCATTTATTAATTCATTTTTCATATACTTTATTTTATGCAACATGTCCAGGGCATTGTATTAGGCTCAATAATTTTTATGTTTTATTACTTTTGTTTTTTTTTTGAGACAGAGTGAGACTGTCAACCAGGCTGGAGTGCAATGGTGCGATCTCGGCTTACTGCAACCTCTGCCTCCTGGGTTCAAGCTATTCTTCTGCCTCAGCCTCCTGAGTAGCTGGGATTTCAGGCACCCGCCACCACTCCCAGCTAATTTTTGTATTTTTAGTAGAAATGGGGTTTCACCATGTTGGCCAGGCTGGTCTTGAACTCTTGACCTCAAGTGATTTGCCCACCTCGGTCTCTCAAAGTGCTGGATTAAAGGCGTGAGCCACCATGCCCGGCTGTATATTAGGCTCAATAAGAATTAGACTTGACCTTCTTGGAATTTATAATTTGACAAGGGAAATGACATTTACATACATAATTGTAAAGCAAGGTAAGCAAAGTTTTAAGATTGGTTTAGACCTATAGAATATGTTGAGGGAGTATGCTTTGTGAGTGTATGTGTGGAGGCAAGGGTATGTAAATGTTGAATAGGTATAGATGTAGAATAGAGCAGAGGAGTTGCATGAAAAATGTAGTGAAGGGCAATTGTTTTGGCAGTAATAATACTGTGGGCTGTGAGGGAAGCTGGGCATGCGTGCCTGTCTGTGCAGAATTTAGCTGAACAGTAGCTTAAGATTTGCGAAGGGTGTGGGGAATTTGTAAGGGGAGAGACAAAGGGAGGTTGGAACCACGCACTTAAAAATCACAATAGTATTTTTATGTTAGAATGTAAAATTAATGGAGTGAAAAAATTAAAAAATTCAGGTGAAAGATGAAAATCTGATTATATATGAGATATTCAGGGGGATTTGTCTAAAAGGATGCTAAAGAAATTCAGAGGCCTGAAGTAATAAAATCTAACAATCCAGCTGTCAACTAGAATGGGTAAAAATATAAATAATCATGTCTTTTGGTCTCAAGCAATTCCACTAAGAGAAATTTCTATTTATGTGGGGAAATCATATACTTTTATTTTTATTCAATTTGATAGTATTAATAGTGAATACTTTGTCTAGGGATGATCTTAAAATGCCACTTTTTTTTTGTTTTGTTTTTGGCCAGTTAACCAAGTTTTTGTCCAAAGGTACACAGTGAGTCAATAACTTATTCTTTGATCTAATTGATTTTGATGTATAACATTCTCTAACAGTATTTTTAACTAATAACACCTTTGGGGAATTTCCCCCCATAAATATATATAGCATGATCTAGGCTTAATTATAGTTTGTATTCAACTTTGGGCTTGTACAGAATTTACTCATGCTGTAATTTGGAATTGTGAGCACCAACCACTCTTTTTTATCTTAATTTTAATATCAATGCACTAACTTCTTGTAACGCTATTATAGTTGATTGTATTTTGATACAGAGGATCGATATAGACTTTGTCCAAGGGATTGTTTAATCATTTAAGTTGTATCAGGAAGACATAGTCTTGTGTATTCCTTTAATCTTTATTCAAGTAGTTCTGTTGTTTAAGTGTGTGGCTTACTTAAGTTTCTAAAGGACCTCTACATGCCTTTTATCTGCAAGGTATATCAATCATCATGTGTCTTCAACACCTTTTAAAATTTTCTTTCACATCAGAAAAGTTAGTTTGTTTTAGAGATATCTTCAGTTTTTATTATTAAAACTGTAATCCTATTGGTAAATCTTGCAAGCACTGCCATTAAAATTCCCTTGATTTCTATTCTGTCCCTTCCCATGCCTTTTTGTAGCAATATGATGATTTCTTTTATCCCCCTGAGTGAAGTGTTAAAATATGTTTGGCTTTGCCTGAAATTTCTGACATTTAATTCCCTAAAGCTGAAATGTAATGGATCACATTCATCCAGGTGAGAAAGCTGTTCCTTTGGTATAGGTTGAGTTCTCTTTCTCAATTATATAGCTAATCAAATAAACATTCAGTTTCAGTAGTGCTTGATTTGAATATATAATAACTCTGGGATAGAGAAATGGAAAATTGACTGTTTTCAAGATGCAGGGAATTTTGCTTAAGGCTTATTAGGAGGGAGGTTACCTAGAAATAAAACTGAAGATTAACTTCACTGGTTTTCTTTCAGTAGTTTTTAAATTATATTTTTAAAATTCAAGAAGTACATTTAGTGAAGATCTTTCTTTCTGGTTTTAATTTTTAGAACTTAATAAAGCATCTTCCTGATCAAGAGCAATTAAATTCATTGTCTCAGTTCAAGAGTGAATATAGCAACTTATGTGAACCTGAGCAGTTTGTGGTTGTGGTAAGTACCGAGTCTCAGAGAGGATTTTTATACTGTGCCAAACAAGAGAACCTGTCAACTGTTTTTATATCGCTAAATGTAAAAAAGCATGTGAGTAATCACATACATTTAATATCCATCTTACTTTTTTTTAACTTAAGGATATTCATGTGAAATTACCTTGATTTAAAATATATATTGAAACTCTGGCATTAAGTGAAGTCCAAGGGGCTTTTGAAAATTGTATGTATAATTTTTTTGCTCTCTATTTAATGTTAAAATGTAAAGTAAAAACTGTACTTCTTAAGAATAGAGAGGTATATTTGTGATTTATTCTAGAGCTGTGTATTCCAACATATTGCAAGAGTAGCTTTGGTTTCTTGTTCTGATCACTTACTTGAATTCATCTCGTAGTTTAGACCGAAATTATAAATATAGTATCTTTCTTGGCAATGAGGATGAAAAATGAATTCATTTTAGAAAATCTTTGATAATCATCTTGCTCCAGCCTTTTATTTTATAGAAGCTGGGGTCTAAAGAGGTGAAAAGAATTTCCAATGCCATATATTAAATGTATTACAACTTAAAATTTTAAGATTTTTATCAAGATTTCTTTTCTGTGCTCTTTTCTCCTACCATTAAATTATTATTTTTAGGTCGGTTACACTTTGTCATTATAACAATACTATAGTGTTGTTTCTCTAATAAGATTGTTTATTTTTTCCCTTTCATCTTCAGTTATATTAATAATCTCCAGGGCCAGGATGAAATTTGTTTGACAGAATTTTAAAAATTCAGGTTGATTTACTTAATAGCTGTGCCTGCACCTCATATTTTGGCATGTTGTAGACATTTGCTTTTACATTCCTTCCTATCTCTTCATAAACGCATTCTACTCCTTGCTACCACCAAAGTTAAAAAAAAAAAAACTCCAAATAGAACACAAAAGGAAAAAGCATGATTTTCCTTGTTCACAGTCTTATAATTCTTATTCTAAAACTTTTTTTTTTTTTTTTTTAAATACTTGAGACAGAATCTTGCTCTGTCGCCCAGGCTGGAGTGCAAGTGGTGCAATCTCGACTCACCAAAACCTGCGCCTCCCAGGTTCAAGCGATTCCCCTGCCTCAGCCTCCTGAGTAGCTGGGATTATAGGTGGCCAACACTACACTCAGCTATTTTTTTGTATTTTTAATAGAGATGGGGTTTCACCATGTTGGCCAGGCTGGTCTCGAACTCCTGACCTCAGGTGATCCGCCTGCCTCCGCCTCCCAAAGTTCTGGGATTACAGGTGTGAGCCACCCCACCCGGCCTTTTCTAAAACTTTTAAATTCGTTGTCTTTAAGAAAACAAAAAAAGTTTTTACTTTTTACTCCAATTCTTCAGGGTATTCTCTTCCCCGCCTGCCCCTTTTCTGTCTCCTTTCTTTTTTCTTTATTTCCCTGCTTGCTTGCTTTTCTATTATTTGGTTAGTTTGTCTATTTGATACTCTATTTGCCATGTCTTCCATAAGAGAATAGGTGAATAAGGGAGAATTTGCATTACATTTTTAACCACAGACTATTTAGAGTGTTTTTTTTTTACCTATGTTTTGACACTTGAATTAAAATAATATATAAAATTACAATTTTGAAATATTTTCCATGTACATTAAATCTGATACCATGCAAGGTTATATGAAAATGTCTATCTAACAAGTAGCTTTTTATGTTGCCTACCATTATAGTAAAGATTTAAAACTATTTCTGTGTTCTAGTGATTCAAGAAGACTGCTCAAATTTGCAGATATTTTCAATTTACTTAAAATAGCCAAGTTATGCCTTGTTAAAAATTAAGAATTCACATCAAAGAGCTTTGATTTACAAAAAGTGTACTTTTAGGGATCAGCAGTTAAAACAACTGGATTCCCAGATACCAATGCTAGAGGTAATAGTTTTGATTTTAAGATGGTGATGGACCACTTCCCTTTCAGGACATGTCAACTCAAACTTAATCTGGAATGTACACATTCCATGCTGGGTCATACCTGAGTGCCAGTGGAATATAATTTGGAAGGAATAACGTTGTTGAAAAACATCCTCTACAGACAATATGAACAATGCCTTAGTCATCTATTGATTATGACAATATACTCTTGAACAAATTGTTTTCGGTTCTGGTTTCTGTGGTACTAATATTTTAAAAGGTAATTGTATTGGTGGAAAAATCAGAATGAAAGTTGAGGAACAAAATGAAATATTTTTATTTTATTTTTTGTCAAATAGTAATGTTCTTAGATTTTACCTTTTTCCATTTCTATTTTTCACCATTTCCAATCTGGCTGCTACTACTTCTCAACTTTTGCTCTCCAAAGAGAAGTGGGAAACCTGCTTAAAGCTCCAAACAATCCTTGATAATTAACCAAAAAAAAAAAAAACAAAATACTGGACAAAGAGTGTTAGACAGTCTGGAATGTCTGAAATTTTCTGTACTCCTTTCTAGATTAAAAACCTTTGCTAACTTACTAAAGAATGATGTGTTTTCAGTTTATCAACATTATCAATAATACAGTAATTTGATGATTTTAAGAAATTGGTTATAATTGCCAAGTGTATTTCTGTAAGACTTCCATAATAATGTTTCATTTTTAAAGTAATAAACTTTTTGAAGTGTTTGTATCAAAAATGGGCAATTAACTTGAAGTGAATTAAACTCCAGATTTCTACAAGACATCCTTGCCTTAAAAACATGTTTACTTCTTGATTTAGCCTAGATTTAAAGTACATTAGAAATGTGCTAATCATCTTTACCTGAAAAATCATCACACAGTTAGATATAAGAAAAAGTCAAGAGTTTGGGGTAGTGTTAGTGCTTTCCCAGCTCCAAATAGGACCAAAGCTTGACTTTTCATTTGTTTTTCACTGTAGAAAAATTAGCTCTTAACTCTTTCATCTTTAGGTTCCGTAGACTGATGTTATGATTTCTAGCATTTTCATTTGAACAAAAATTAGTTAAAATTCTACAGTTTTTACTTGCCACTAAGTTTAAGTTTTCTTTTATCCAGTTATGTGAATTCATTAATTTGATTCATATTAATTACAATTTTTTCTGAAAGGTTGTGTTTTATTTAAACTGATACCCTAACTTGAGACAGTAGATTAAATTCAGTCAAGTTGCTTGCATTATATAATCAACTTTAATTCTCCATAAGAATTAGTTAAAAAACATAAGATGTAGCTCCACCAGGATATTGATGTTTATGTTATTTTCCTCTTTGATAGAAAGGCAGGGTGTAAAAGTAAGACATCTAAAATATTAGTAACCAATGTCAATTAAGGTCAATTAGCATATATCAGAAATAGTTTGTATACTGGAAATGTCTTACTTTTTTTTTTTTTTTTTTTTTTTTTGAGACAGAGTCTAGCTCTGTCACCAGGCTGGAGTACAGTGGCACGATCTCGGCTCACTGCAACCGCCTCCTGGGTTCAAGCGATTCCCCTGCCTCAGCTACCTTAGTAGCTGGAACTACAGCTTGGTGCACAACACCAAGCCCAGCCAACTTTTTGTATTTTTAGTAGACATGGGGTTTCACTATGTTGGCCAGGATGGTCTTGATCTCTTGACCTTGTGATCTGCCCACCTCGATCTCCCAAAGTGCTGGGATTACAGGTGTGAGCCACTGCACCCGGCCATATGTCTTACTTTTATCATGTATCACTTAGATACAGTTTTCTAGGGCTCTATATCCTGTAGAGTATGGTATACAAATTTACTGTGGGAATTATGTCAATTTCTATTAAATTGTATATCCTTGAAACTTCTAACCACTAAACCATGTGATGTGCCTAATTTTTCACATTTTCTGTAATATAGACTTTCATGTTCATATTTATGTCTCTGTTGAAATTGGAAGCAAAATTATTTAATGCTGATATTACCTCTCTTTCTAATTAAGTCATAAATGTATATGTAGTAGACATGGATACTTTTTGTGGTACTCAGTTCTTAGTTGTTCATCTGTCACTTATATAGTAATTCAGAAACTTAAGTTACCTTCTTGAACTGATCTCCTTGTGGTTCTTGTCACTGGACATGCACTCATTTGATCAGGATAGCTCTCAAGGTGTTCTAGAGCTGATTATCCATGAGTGGGGTAAAGTAGTGCTGGTAACATGTGGTCGTAAGTTGGCTTGTACCTATTAGGATTGAAATCCAGTTATATGATTTCAAGGCCTTAGAGCTTAATTATATTATTGACTTTTTTTTGTAGATGATCATATATTTATATGTCCTGTGTTTTCTAGGAGATTTTGGTATATGAAAAGTAACACATCAAAAATCCAATAAACTCTCATTTAATGCTAAAAGACTAAGGATCCTGGCCAAATGGTGTTTTAGAGGAGTGCCCTGAGAGGTGGTCTATCTCTGTATCTTTTTATAGTGGCTTGTAATGAATAAGGCCATTTACATGCTGTTTTTGTTGGTTTAGGTTCTGGGCAGAGGACACTGAATACTGACTGATGTGCTTAATTTGAAATATTCTTTTCCCTGGACAGTCCAGGACAAAATTTTCTTGTGGAGAAATTGGTGTATATTTGAGAGGCAATAGCCTCCTCTTTTACTCAGCTTAATTTTCTATCACTAGATTAACAAATGAAAATATACTTTGTCATTAATTGGAGTCATTGCTTGTGTCTCTTCTTGGATTCTTTCCATCCCTGTTTATCCCCAACACCTTCTCGTCCATCTTTCCAAAATATTACCTACTTACCAAGGGTTGATTCCGATGGAGTAGAGCCTGACTTTAGTTTTATGACTGCATTTCTTGTATTTGTAGGCTTTCTTTGATCAATAAGCTATTAGGTAAAATCACTGTGTTCACAGTGGCATGCTTTAACTGTGAGAAATGATTTATGTAAATATTCAGTGGGATCAGAAGATTAGCTGAAGTTTGGAAAGAGGCCTAAAAATTTGCAGTTGAAGCTTGGTGTACTAGACTTTCTTTGATTAAAAATTCTAGGTTTTTGAGTATTTGTCTCCACGTTATTTAATTCTGTTAAGCTTCCTGTTCTTCAAAGAAATCAAACATTTATAGGAAGATTGAATCGAACAAATGTCCTGTTTGTGTGCTGTATTTTGATCTACCACCATTTGGTGTCACTGTAGGGCAGGGCTTTTAAACTTTGTGCAGCTGAGGCCTTTTTAATGAAAAATGTTGTAGGAAATTCGTGCATATCTCCCTGCATTAAAAATCCCTCGCTTTAAAATACATCATATATTCTTGTTGTAAAACATTCAAATAACATAGAAATATTGAATACAATGTAGATGTCCCCCGTATCCCACTACCTCTTTTCATTCCACACAAATGATCATTTTTAACAATCTGTTGTACTTCTAATTCCATTTCTGTGTATTTACCAATGTATGCATGTTCACGTGAACATTTTAAAAAATCCATTGTTCTGAAACTTTTTGGCTGTGTCATATATTTTGAATATGTTTTTCATGTTGTACTGTTTTTAAATTCGTGCATTTTATTTCATAGCCCATATTATGATTTTTCCTTTTAATCATTCTCTTAATGAAGGACACTTAGTTGTAGTTTCTCTCCGTGCCTCAGGTTTTTTAAAAAATAATTCTGTATACATCTTTGTATTTGAAGGCAGTGCATTAGTATTGCACATTGTCTGGGTTTAAATTCTAGCTGTACCTCTTCCTAGCTATATGATCTTTGGAAGTTACTCATTTTTTGATACCTCCATTTTCTTATTTATGAAGTAGGACTATATTAGTTTCCTGTTGCTGCTATAACAAATTACCACAAACTTGGTGGCTTAAAACAACACAAGTTTATGATCTTACAATTCTGGAGATCAATAGTCCAAAATGGTTTAGCTTGGGTGCATTCCTTCTGAGGGCTCTAGGGGAAAAATTTATTTCCTTGCCTTTTCCAGCTTTGAGAAGCTGCTAGCATTTCTTGGCTCATGGTTCAGCATTGCTCTGACTTCTATTTTTGGCATCACAACCCCTTCTCTGACCCTCCTGCTTCCCTCTTATAAGGACCCTGTGATTATATTGGGCCTTCCCAGATAATCCAAGATAATCTTCCCCATCTCAAGATCCTTAATGACATCTGCAAAGTCTCTTTTGCTATGTAAAGCAACACATTCAAAAGTTTTGGGTATTAGGACATGGATATCTTTGAGGGACCGTTATTTTGCCTATAACAGGGACAGTAATAGTGCCTACCTACATTGTATTGTTCTGAGGATTAAATAAATTGAGAGTGAAGAGATGTAAATCATCTCACAATCATACTTAGTCTTTGAATTGCTAAATTGAAAGGCCTTTTTAATCTTGCTAGTTACTGTCAAATTGTCCTTCCAGAAGGCATGTGAACTTACACTTTTTTTTTTTTTTTTTTTTTTTTTTTTGAGACAGAGTCTCGCTCTGTCGCCCAGGCTGGAGTGCAGTGGCGCGATCTCAACTCACTGCAAGCTCCGGCTCCCGGGTTCACGCCATTCTCCTGCCTCAGCCTCCCGAGTAGCTGGGACTATAGGCGCCCGCCACCACGCCCGGCTAATTTTTTTGTGTTTTTAGTAGAGACGGGGTTTCACCATTTTAGCCAGGATGATCTCGATCTCCTGACCTCGTGATCTGCCCGTCTCGGCCTCCCAAACTGCTGGGATTACAGGCATGAGCCACCGTGCCTGGCCAAACTTACACTTTTATGAATAATATAAGTGAGGATTCTTTTCCTTGCATAATCATTAATATTGTTTTTCTTTTTTAGTTGGTGACTTTTATTTTACTTATTTCATATTTCTTGGTTATTAAATGAGATCGAAGCAGTTATTATGTATTTATTGGTTGTTTATATTTTTTCTTAGAATTGCCTATTAATATTGTTTATTTTCCTATTTTATTGCCTTGTAGCTTGTAAGAGCTCCTTATATGTTCTATAGCGCTACTCTTGTAAATATTTGCAATTTTTCTCACTGCCTCTTACTTGTCTTTTTATTTTTATTTATGACGTCTGCTGTATCTTGCATCTTTGAAGTTTGGTTTTAAAAGTGAATTAAAATGAAGATCTGCATAACTCACTTAACGATAGAGATGTGATTTTTTTTTAGGGACGCATTGGTCCTTTGTACATGACAGGTGCATGGAAAATAGCAGTTGGTTAATTCTTTAATTTGATTAAATAGAGGATCTTGTAAAGATGTAAAATGGAGAATGAAATGCCCCTAAATATGTTTCACTGACTCTAAATTCCTTCAGTTGCTCCCCGAGCCTTTCACACGGTTACCCAAAATTCTTAGAATAGCATTAAAACTTTTTAAAAAAAGTATCATTTCGGTAAACTGACACAATAAATGGCATATATTTAAAGTACAGCAGTTGATTAATTTTGACATATGAAAACATCCATGAAATGATTACAACAATGAAGATAATGAAGATACCCATTACCCCTAAATGTTTCCTCAGGCTCATCTGTAATCCCGTCCTTCCCACCCAGCATTACGTCTTTAAATGAAGCAGTTCCTAACATTCCCCTTCTACCTCCTATCTTACTTTTTTTCTCTCTGCCTCATCATTGCTAGACAATTTGTTGAGCTCTGAAAGCATCATGCTCAAGCCTGTCAATATTCTGCCTTTCCCTTCTTTCCCCTTTGAGGAAGCCTCTTTGGGGAGCTTTCCCTAACACTTCATTCTATACAAAATTCAGTATCTTTCCTCTTTGTTACCAGAGAACTCTGTGCATATCTCTAAATGGCTTGTATTATACTGGAATATAAGTGTTATTTTACAAGTCACAGTCTTCATTTATGCTCTGAACTTTTTGACAGGCTAGAGTGTATTGTGCTCATCTTTCTATTCCCAGCACATGGCACATCTACTGACACATAGTGCCACATAACATATACATGTATGTTAAGTGAATGTATGAAATAAAGAATAGATGAACAGAAAGGATGGAAAAAGTATAGCAAGAACAATAAAATGAAAACAGTGTTTTTAAAAATCATTTTGAGTATTTTTGATTTTTTTGTTAAAAATGAATCTGTAGATGATTTCTCTATGAGTGAAAATGGGTTAATTCAAAAGTAGACCAAGAAATCAATAACTTGGTGCATAATTCACACTTTTTTTTTTTTTTTAAAGAATAGAACTTAAACCCTAAGTGATCTTGCCATTTAACTTCTAGGTTTGTCTAGTACAACATCTTAGATTGAACGTTTTCCTGATTTTTAACTCAGAAGGCCATGTTGTTTTGAGTGTGACTACTCATGGTACTCTATACAATACTTGTTTTAGTACTTAGTGGTTTTATTTCATAAAAGATGTTGAGGAAATTGTGATTTGGTATAAGAATCATGGCTTACTGAAACACTTATAAAAAACATTGACCAAGATAGGTGAGGAAACTGAAAGGATATCTCCACCAAACCAACACTTTCCCAGACTAAATATCTCCAAGTCTTTCTTGCATTCCTTAGGTGTTGAATATTTCAAAGCTTTGCAAATGTCCAGATACAAAATCAATCATGTTTCCCAGAGTTCAGTCTCCTAACAAAGACATACAGTTACTCTGATATAATTTTTTTCAAGAACCCATTTTGGTTTCTTGTAATTACTACTTCCTTTTCTGTTTAATAATTCATCTTTGATCTCGTCTGTCAATTACATAAGTTGTGTCAGTCTGAAGTTGGCAGAATCTACTGTCTTCTCTTCCTGGAAAAGAGAAGTTCCATTCATCCACTGCTACTGCTTTGTCCAGTTGTCCAAGGTCCCTCAAGTTCTATGGTGCTTTAGATGGCCATTTGGTAATCTTGTCTGGAAATCTTTCATTACACAGTGAGAACATTGGTTTGAAATAATAAACTATTATTTCATAACTATATTTCTAGCTATTTTAAATCTTAGAGGTATGCATCTTTTAAGATAAGCATTCAGTCATTGTTTTTCTTGTCACTTTATTTTTACTTTTATTTTTTGGAGACAGTTTCACTTCATTGCCCAGGCTGAAGTACAGTGGCACAATCTTGGCTCACTGCACCATGTGCCTCCCCAGTTCATGCGATTCTCATGCCTCAGCCACCCGAGTAGCTAGGATTACAGGTGTGCGCCACCATGCTTGGCTAAATTTATTGAATTTTTAGTAGAGATGGGGTTTCACCATGTTGGCCAGGCTTGTCTTGAACTCCTGACCTCAAGGGATCTGCCTGCCTTGGCCTCCCAAAGTGCTAGGACTATAAAGAAACACCTGACACTGGGTAATTTATGAAGAAAACAAGTTTAATTGGCTGACAGTTCTGCGAGCCTTACAGGAAGCATGGCAACATCAGCCTCTGGGAAAGCCTCAGGAGACTTATGATCATGGTGGAAGGTGTAGGGGAAACAGGCACGTCTTACATGGCCAGAGAAGGAGTAAGGTGGGAGGGGGGTGCAACACACTTTTAAACAGCCAGATCTCCTGAGAACTCTTATCACAAGAACAGCACCAAAGGGGGAAATCCACCCCCATGATCCAGTCATCTCCCACCAGGCCTCACCTCTAACACTGGGGATTGCAATTTGACTTGAGATTTGGATGGGGGCTCAAATCCAAACCATATCAACCATACACAGTTTTTCTTTACATGTTTAACAGTCAAAATAATGTGTAACTGATTCATTGATTTAACCAAATATAGTGACATTCATGGAAAATTAGAGGCTTTTTAATGGTGAAACTTAACATTGCTTTTACTGCTGATAGGTTGGGTATACTTAAGAACTTTGTACATTTTTATTTGCACTCTCATTAGATGATTCGGGTGGCTGAGGCATGAGAATCGCATGAACTGGGGAGGCAGAGGGTGCAGTGAGCCAAGATCGTGCCACTGCACTTCAGCCTGGGGAATGCCTCCTGGTAGCAACTATTCCAGTAGTGTATGTTTCAGTCTTTGGATGTTTCAGGGACTTGGATTTTGTTGGAGAAACTTAGACTTTGAGTTTGTATTGGTAGACTGTACCATTGTCTGATAAATTTTCTTCAAATACTTTGTCTCCTTGATTCAGCAATAATTTATTCATTTTTTGACAAATATTTATTGAACACCTACTGTGTGCTAGGTATTGCTGCAGACTCTGAGTTAAATGTGATGATCCTTCTCTTAGTCCCTATTTGTCATATATTTTTATTGGGGATGGTAGCAATATATGCATAAATAATAATGTAATATCAGATAGTAGTGAATGCTCTGCAGGAAGTGGTAGGATGAGTGTGTTTGTGTGTGCAATTTGTGTGGTTAGGAAGGACTTTCTGAAGAGGTAAGAGTTGAGCAGAAGCCGGAGTGACTTTAGTTAGAGGTGTGGATATCTCAAGGAAGCATGTTATAGACAGAAGAGACCACAAACAGCAAGGCCTTGAGGGATAAGTGAGTTTGGCTATGTGAGGCCAGTGGCTGTGGCAGAGTGAAGGTGGGAGACGGTGTAAAGAGGCCACCAGGGCCTTGATCATGCATGGCCTTGCAGCCATAGTGTGAGAATTATGGATTTTATTTTAAGAAAGCCGTTAGTGAGTTATTAACAAAGGGGTGAAATGATCAGACTGATGCCATAGAAGTGTTATGCTGGCAGCTATATGGAGAAACAGATAGTAGGGTGAGGTGAGGAATATAATTAAAGCCAGTGACTGGTTAACAAGCTATTTCAATGATCTCATTATTAATGTGTGAATTAGTGGTAGTTTGACAGGCTTAGCAGCAGTGTCATTGGTGAGAAGTAGATTCTGGATGATTTTGAAAATAGTGAATTAGAGTTTCTGACAGATTGGATTTGGGGCATAGGAGGAATCATGAATAACTCCAGGTTCTTAGGCTGTAAAATTAGATAAGAGTTCCCATTTATAGAGATGAGGGAAAGTCTGCAAGAGAAGCAGATTATGGAAGGGAAGATAACTAAGGGTCTGTTGACCTCTTAGTGGACATATGAAGCATGCATTTGGGGGTATAAGCTGGGAGTTCAGGGATGGAGTTATAAATTTGGAAGCCAATAGCATACAGGTCACATACAAAGCTATAGGAGTGGATGAAATCACTGAGGGAGTGAATTAGAAATGTAACACAAGAGGCAGTGAAGGGCAAGGTGAAATATGCAAACCTTACTGTTTTTCTCAGTCTTCTCCCTGGAGAGGGGCACATCATCAGCAAGGTTTTGTTTGTTTTTGCTGCTGGTTATCACCTCTCAAAGGACAATTGCAATCCCTTACCTAGGGAATTGTACAAGGTGATTTTATATATAACACTATTGCAGTTTGTTTCAAAAACTAACCATGAGTTGGGGTGAGAGGGATATTTGGCATTTGTAGGGTATATAATTCATCAGGGACATTTAGAAAGAAGCTAGTGGCCATGACAACGTGTGTCTGTGCAGTGAAAGAAAAAAAACTTTTTGCCTCCAGACCTTGCTCTCATATGGAAGAAAATGGAATAATCTCTAATACATCATGATAATAAATATATAGTTCCTGTATTATGAACTAAGATAAAGTTAAAATGCCAGAAGTGTGCAGGCATATTCCTTTATAAAATAACTCTCATTTAATCAAGGGATTGAGCTTATTTAGTTCAAATCTCCATCAAAATAGTAATATCAAATCCTGCCATTACAGGGAAAAAATCACTCACATGCTGCCAATTGTGTTCTCTGTAGAGTGGGAGGATAAGTGGAATTGAGCTCTGAATGAATTCTCTTATGAGCTTTTGTTACTCTTTTTCCCTTGAAATTAGTAGAATGTCAGCTATATTAAATAACTCTGCAATTCTTTAATTTATTAGAACTAATAAAAACCCAGCATGATCAGAATAATATGCTATTTCCTTGAGCTGCTAATAACTTGTGAGTTTCTCAAAAAGTTTGAAATTTCAACTGTGACTTATATTGATCTCTCTTCTTTTTAATTGATGGCAAAAGGTACAAAATTTTGCTTGTGTTTTATATCACGTGCATGTAAAATTTGTGAAAGAATTTGATATAGCATCTCAAGTTATATTTAACACAGTCTATTCTTAACACAACAGCCAACGACTTCAGTCACATAATGTTCTGTTTTACCTATAACCCTACAATGACTTCCCACCTCAGAGGAAAGTCCAGAATTCTTGTAGTAGTCTACAAGGCTCTACATAATTTGTCCCTGCCTTGGTATTTCTTACCTCATCTTCTACCATTCCCCCTGGCTAAGGCAACTTTAATCATATGGCTTCTATACTGTTTCCTAAACATGCCAGTCACATTCTTGAGAATTTCTCACTTGTACCTTGCCTTGTCCAGTTATTCAAATGGCTTGTTCTCTCATTTCTTTCTGGTCTTTTTTCACAGGTCCTTTGTGGAAGTCTTCTCAATGCACCTTCTTTGAAATTGCATAATCAGTTGCTCAAAATACTTCTTTTCCTCTTGTATTAGTCAGGGTTCTCTAGAGGCACAGGAGTGATAGGATAGATGTATATATGAAAGGGAGTTTATTAAGCAGTTTTGACTCACAGGATCACAAGGTGAGGTCCCACAATAGGCTATCTGCAAGCTGAAGAGCAAGGAAGCCAGTAGGAGTCCCAAAGCCTCGAAAGTAGGGAAGCTGGCACTGCAGCCTTTAGTCTGTGACCGAAGCCTGAGAGCCCCTGGCAAACCTCTGGTGCAGTCCAAGAGTCCAAAAGCTGAAGAACTTGGAGTCTGATGTTCGAGGGCAGGAAGCATCCAGCATGGGAGAAAGATGGAGGCCAGGAGACTTAAGTCAGTCTAGTCCTTCCATGTTCCTCTGCCTACTTTTATCCTAGCCATGCTAGCAGCTGATCAGATTGTGCCCACCCAGATTGAAGGTGGGTCTGCCTCTCCTAGTCCACCTACTCAAATGTTAATCTTCTCCTTTGGCAACACCCTCAAGACATACCCAGGAACAATACTTTGCATCCTTCAATCCAAACAAGTTGACACTCAATATTAACCATTACACCTCTTCACTGCATTATTTTTCTCCCTAGTACTCATCGGCTTCTCATTTACTGTATTACGCTCTGTCCACTAACCTAGTTAGCCTGCCATAAGTATCTATGGTGGCAGGAATCATTCTGTCAGGTACTCACTTGTGAATTCCTAATGCCTCAAACAATATATGGTATTATACAATAAATATTGATGAATGAATAAGTAAATTTCTCTCAGATGCTTTATTTATTTTAAATATGAAAAACTAAAATCATTTAGCTCTTGGCTTATTGAGGCTTGCCTGGCAATATGTTCTTAGTACTGAGACTTGAATCTGGGTTAAAAAAAACTTTGTCTTAGTATTCCAGAAACCTTCAACTGTCCTTCCTTGTGTTTCTAATCTGATTGTGAAGACCTGGGTTTGAATTCTGAATTTACCACATCTAGTTATGAAACGTTGTATGAGTTTCTTACTATCTTTCAATTTCATTTCCTTTGTTTGTTAAAATATACGTGAATATAGAACCTGTCTCACAGAGCTGTGGTGAGATTAGGAGAGCATGCATGTGTGTAGTGTATAGTGGATAGCAAATGCCCAATTATGTTAGCTGCTGTTATCATTCTCTTTTTTTTTCTTTTTTCTTTTTCTTTTTTTTTTTTTTTTTTTTTTGAGGCAGAGTCTCACTCTGTCACCCAGGCTGGAGTTCAGTGGTGCAATCTCAGCTCACTGCAGCCTCTGCCTCCCCAGGTTCAAATGATTCTCCTGCCTCAGCCTCCCGAGTAACTAGGATTACAGGCATGTGCCACCATGCCTGGCTAATTTTTTTCTATTTTTAGTAGAGATGGAGTTTCAACATGTTGGCCAGGCTGGTCTCGAACTCCTGACTTCAAGTGATCTACCTGCCTCGGTTTCCCAAAGTGCTGGAATTACAGGCGTGAGCCACCACGCCCAGCCTTCATTCTCTTATTTTTATTTTACACTTTTTTCTTCTCATCTATTGTGATCCAGTTCAGCACCCACTTTCTTTTTTTTTCTTATTCTTTTTTTGTTTTTTTTGAGATGGAGTCTTACCCTGTTGCCCAGGCTGGAGTGCAATGGCGTGATCTTGGCTCACTGTAACCTCCGCCCCCTGGGTTCAAACGATTCTCTTGCCTCAGCCTCACGAGTAGCTGCAATTACAGGTGCACGCCACCATGCCTAGCTAATTTTTGGATTTTTAGTAGAGACGGGGTTTTACCATGTTAGCCAGGCTGGTCTCGAACTCCTGACCTTGTGATCCGCCCCCCTCGGCCTCCCAAAGTGCTGGGATTACAGGCGTGAGCCACCGTGCCCGGCCAGCACCCACTTTCCTTAAGAACTATATTCCACTTTACATTAAGAATTTTCTCTCTCACTATTCTACGATTCTTTAGCATGTTTTATGTATATGCTTTTGTTCCCATCACTGTCGTAGAGTTATTCTCTTTGTGATATAGACAACCTCATAATTCCAGATTCAGCTTAGGTCCTTTCATTTCTCATTTTGTGTGGTCTTGACCTCTGGTCAGCATTTCACCCTATTAATTATATCTACTTTTTGTTCTCTTTCCTGGCTCCCTTGTGCTTCTAATGTCTGACTCCTCCCTGACTCTTTTCCCATATCTTCTAACACTTGAATAAGAATCTTACTCAGATGCTCTCCTCTACTCTCTTCTTTTGATACCCTCTTCTTTCTCAATGATTTTATAAAACACATATAATTTTTTTAATAACTCTTTTTGAGCAATTTTTACCTTCCAGACTTTCTATACTTTGGCTTTCAAGTAGACACAATTGATTGCAGTGAAAAGTAGCAAAGGGGATGCCATATAGGGGTTGACATAAAGGTAGATACTAACTGATGAGCATTTCAGTGTGATCAATTATTGTGACTTCCAGATCTCATATTGAGACACAGTGCTGGGTTATTTATTTTCTTTTCAACACAGTGGGTTTCAAGAGTATAATCTAAATTACTAAAAAAGTAATTAGAATAAGCTTCTCTTCTGATATTAGTTGCACATGTTGGGGCTAGAAATATGAGCCTTTAAAAGCTTTCTACCTCTAACTCTCTGACTAGGTATCCCGGATTTCTCGGAATCCCCTGAAATTAAAATCAACGAGTTGTGTATAATAACAGCCTAATAGTTGTTACGGAAGTATGTTCAAGGACCGACCCCCCTGCCTCCACCCCCGCCTCCCCCACCAAAAATACTGCAGTTCATGTAACTACCTGAGATATTATAAAACATCAGGTCAGCCTTCTGTTTGTAAATCATATAATGCTTTAGGATACCTAGAGGAGATTAAAATCTTACTCTGCATTCCTTTAGTCTGATTAACTTTTAAAATATGGTATCTGTGACTTGTGATACTCAAAAGATGATGGTTTGGATAAAGGGAGCGGGGAGAGAGGTGAATTTTGGAGTTTCAGGTTAATGGCATAATATCGCATCAAATGAGCCACTATAGAGCAGACAAGTAATTACATAGCAGTTATATGAAGTTTATTTAGTGACTTACAGTTCACAAAGTATGTTTATATACATGTATATGACATATTGTTTATAATAGCTCCTCAGGGTTATAAGAACAGAAACTCATATAGAATAGACTACTTAACCAAGACCTCCTCCACATGCCATAAGCAAAAGAGAAAGATTGAAACTGCGGATTTCTAAACTTACATTTCCATATTTCATTTTGTTTCCACCACACTGTGTTGTTTTTAGGCACAGAGTTCTTGATATATTGGCAAAGAATTAGATGCACACAGGAGGTGGGAAAAAGGTAAATGAATGCAAAGGGAAAGGTTTTTAAAAATAGAGTTTACCTTACGTTTTTGTTTAGGATCAATCTTGTCCCTATTTTCTGTCTTCAGAAATAAAAGACCCAAATGGGAGAGGATTCCCCTGTCCATCCTTAAAGAGCCCAGTGAATGTGTACACTTCTAGAATGTCGACTACCTCGTCTGGCTCATTATTCTTGTGGCCTGACCACTGACTTCTCTTGAGTAGGCCTTTCTCCATTTTCTGTCCTCAGCTTAACAGGGAAACTGGCAATCTGAGGCCAAGCACTTGAAAATTTCTCTGAGATACTCAGAATCAACTTTTAAACAGTTTTATTTAACTTCATTCACGTTGTGGCTCCTGAGACAAAGGGTGGTAGTGTTTTGGCCCCATATGTATTTGGTTAATTATAGTCTTTGTCTGAGTTGATTTTTCTTCCCTTTTTCGCTTTTCTTATATTTTTATTTTGTATTAAATTATATGCGTCATTAAACATCCTTGTCTTCCATACCAGACTTGGCTCTTTTCACAAGATAAATGTGTTTTTTTTTTGTTTTTTTTTTTTTCCTTTAACATTGGATCAAGTTTCCTATCCTGCAAGTCTGCTATTTTCCATTACTGCTATTTTTCTTTCTTTTCCAAGGATGCCAATTTTATATCCAAGTCTAGATATTACAGTTATTTAGAAGAGCGGATACCGAATAGCCAAAGTGATTTTTTCCCGTTTAGTGAAACACTAGCACTAACTTATATGCCACCAGCATCACCACTACCAAATAATTTGATTTACTATATTTGTCCAAGGAAAATCTAGGAATTTGTTCAAATTGTTATATGTTAGGAAATTCCTTTTTTTGTGTTTATACTGTCCCACTTACAGTATATTGACTTACATTTATGCATTAAATAGTCAAAACTTAGTAATATAAATTTTAATTTGTTTAAGGGTTCTCAGTTTGTGGCTTTATGCTGAAACTGTCATTAGGTCAGTTTTTATTCTGTCAATATTTTGTTCCTTGTTGTAGCATTATGTGTCATCTTCTTATGGTAAGCTATGTGGCATTACTGAAGTTTTATGTTTTGGACAAATGGAGTCTTTCTACCCTATTTTATCAATGTTTCCTTTTTAAGTAGCTCTCCTTGGAATCACTAGCCACAGTAAAGTGCCTAAATCATTCTGATCACTTGAATGCTAGTATTTTCTGAAAAGATTTAAGGTTCCAGCAGCTTAATATTGTTATAAGTTTCCTTGACACTGTATTTGTTTTTCCTAAGTTCTGACCCAGAATTTCCAAAAACATTTCATATTTTTAATGTAATTAAGAGAAAACTAGTTCAATTAGCTTCATGACAATCTTTTTCTTTACTGCTCAATTGTCTGTTCTATTCTCATTCTATTTATGTGCTTTTGAGGGGTGGGGGGGCAGGGGAGACTTCTTTCCTTTTCTTCTCTCTTTCTTTTTTTTTTCTCCTGGGAAGGACTATGTCTGCTGTGGTCTTAGCTACTTCTTACTGAATTCTTATTACCACTTCCTTTGGAATTATCCATGATTTTGACTGCTGGCCTCATTAATGATCTCTCTTAGCAGTTAGAGACCACTGTTTCCTCAACCTGTACTTCCTAAAACGCAGGTTTCTGCCTATTTTTTTTATGCCCACGAGCCTTAATTATAGCCTCATCCTTTATTATGTCCGTTACCTGAATGCCACCTGATGTCCCATCTTCAGTAGGTTTTCCTTTGTCTTCCCACATTTTAGTATCTCCCATTCTGCTTAAATTGCAGATCACAGACCTGGCCCTTCTGATATCCTCAGACAATAGCAACGGGTATACTTTATTACTGAAGGGCAGAGGAGTTGCCTGAAAAAAAATGTATCACAGTGATTTGATCTGAATGCTCCCAAAATGCACCCACCAAATCAATGGCTTGAAATAAAGCATAACCCAAATACCAGATGAATTATTGAAAGGCTACCAATTTATTTTTAGAAGTCCCTGAATGAATTTTACTTGTCCTAACGTAGAAACAAAGAATAAAAATTGCATACAATCAATACTAAGAAACACAGCAAGCTGTCGTTCTTAATGGGTTTATGTTTGGAATATAGAGAAACACTTTTGTCATTAATATCCTGGCATCAGCAAAAAACAAGAATTGTAAAATCGCATAGATTAAACTTAAGGCAAGGAATTAGTCATTTAAGAGTATGTGGGCAGAGTTATTGTTCGAAATATGAGCTGGTTAGCAAATATCATAGAAAAAGGTTCTCTTGTTCATTATTTTTGAATAAACTAATCTGCAACATAGAGGGCTTTTTCCTGTGTCACACTGTCTGTATCTCTACCCCTGACCCTGCCTCCCTAGAAGACCACCAAGAACTTTAATGTCTACTGGTTATGTCTGCTTTTAAAGATAGATATAAAACCATTAGCTGGCTGGAATTGCATTCAGGGATCTGACTGCATTGTGTTTTGTTTGGATCCTACCTCCCCAGCTCCAGCTTTCCCTTTTACTCTGTGACTAACTGACCTTTACCTGGTCCACTGATCAATCTTGAACATGTAGTTAATTAACCACTTGCAAGTTCAGAGGATTTAGCCAAGTGACTCTAGAATGTAAGTATCACATTTATAGTATTTTAATGAATTCTCATAATCCCTCTTTTGTTAAATAAAATTCTGAAAGTACGGCAGGGGTTGCCATGCTTATAGTGTGTTTGTTTCATAAATGTTAATGAAATGGCAATGGAAAGCCACATTTAAAGTAGAATAAAATATGGTTATTAATCTTAGAACAATATTGTTGAGAAAAGATGTAATGTTAGAGATGCTGATGCTATGGCGGTTCATCATACCATATGTATTTTTGTATTTGCCATTTGTTATTTACTGTTTCAGGACCTGTGCTTCATGTTTTGAATATACTATTTTCACATAGCAGCTACTGACTCTTGTTATTAAATGAGATTTTATGTCGTTCACAAACTTCAAATACTCTAATGGTTTCTGAAACTTACTTTGTGTTATCTTAATATAGCCACTTCAGCTTTATTTTGATTAGTGATTGCATGCTATGCCTTTTTCTATCCTTTATCTTTTAACCTACAGTTTTTATAGGCAGTCTATTGAGTTTTGCTTTTTAATCCAGTCTGACCATTTCTGCCTTTTAATTGAAGTGTTTAGACCATTTTAATTTAATCTGGTTATTCATATGGCAGGGTTTAAATCTAGCATCTTACTATTTATTTTCTATTTATCTCATCTATTCTTTGCTACTCTTTTTCTACCTTCTTTTGGATTGAGTATTTTTAATGAGTCTGTGTTATCTTTTTTGACTTATTCACTCTTATTCTTTGTTTTGCTATATTATTGGTGCTTTAGGACTTGGAGTATTTCTTTTTGAAAGAAATTTTAAGTCTTTTTATTTTTTAAAAAGAGTCTTTTATATCTACTTACCTATATACCATTTCCAGTGTTATTCACATCATTTTATAAATCTAGACTTCTATCTGAAATCACTTCCTTTCTTCCTGAAGAAATGCTTTTAACATTTCTTTTAGTGCCAATGAATTCTTTCAGTTTTTTCTTTGACCCTTCTAATGGTTTCCAGTTTCATGATAATTTATAAGATAATGTAGTCTCTGTTTCTTTAATCCCAACTTTTACTACCCTTGTCCTTTTCCACTGTTTGAGCTATATACATTTTCTTGTTCTCATTTTAGGTTTTCCTCTTGCTGTTTCCTCTTGGGCCCAAATGCCACTTCCTTATAGAAGTTTTCATTATAATGATGCTGCCCCCCATCATTCTCTATCTATGTTACCCTCTTTTTCATTTATTTATAGCGTTTATTTTTGTTTAAAATGATCTGATTTGTTTGTTGTTTTTCTATCTCTTTTTCTCCCCTTCTCCCTCTGCTTACTTATGGTATATTCCATGTGCACCAGGTTCTTGTTTTGTTGTTGTTGTTGTTGCTTGTTTGTTTGTTTGTTTAATATGAATCTTCAGGTCCTAAATCAGTGTTTGACACATAAATAAGGGTTCAATAAATATTTGATACACAATGAATGAGTAAAGTTAAGTCTCATTTTCATATAACTGCAGAAATAGGCATTACCATCACATAGATTAGGCAACTTTTTGACCTGTTTACTCAACCGGTAACTATTACAGCTCAGCTATGAACCATGCTTTTTTGACACTAAGGCCATACTTCATTTCTTATGGTGGCAATCACTCTTGTGTTTCTGTTTGCTATAGGTACCTACTGTACTTAAAGTTGCTTTTAGCAGTGGTTTCCCTGTTTAAATGCTTCTGCAATTTATTTTTAATAGCTGAAGATTAACTTCGAGGTAAAAAATTACCTAGAATATTTAAGCAGGAACTTGAATTGATGGCTAATTCAAAGTACGTTTTTCAAAATTTTCTTAGTTTCTGCTTTTTCTTATATGGGATTTAAAATCTAAAATCCCCACTTCCCCACTAAATTCCTGCTAAAAAGTGGGGGCATTTTATTTTATCATAGAATTGTAGATTGTTTTTTTTTTTTGATGATAATTTTTGGGGTTTTTTTGGTATGGAAACATGATGCTTTCTAGTTAGACCATCTATGTAGTGTTGAAATTTTATGGCACAATCTGCTTAATTTCTTTCATTTGGAAAAACAAAACAAAACATCATTATAGTCACATACTAATTACCAGCCATGCATCATTCATTTGAAATACAGCCTAAAGCATTTTGTAGTTATAAGCAAAAAGGTCTCTTGTGATTCATCACTTTGCAAACAACATTGTTTTAAGGTTGCTTTTAGATCTGACTTTCATCTAGTGCCTAGGAATCATTTTTCTGTACTCTTCAAATCTCATTATGAGGTTTGAGATTTGCTTTACCTATACTCTTGTAAGACTATTTTGGAAACATAATGGAAAAGAGGAGGCTGGACTTATGGAACTAAATCACTGAAGTTAGACAATTTTGTTGCAGTTGTGGCTTAAAGTGAAATTATTGTAGATATATTCTGGTTCATTTGCACTTTTATGTCATGCTCTTGAAGGTACTGCTGTTTCTGAAAGGGTCCGTAAAGTTCAGTTTTAATAAAGTTGAGTAGATTCTGTATTTTTCTAGTTAGTGTGCTATCTCTGTTGATACAAATGTGAAAATTTGGTGAAAATAGGTTATATACATACTATTTACATAGCCTCGAAACAGCTCCCCATAAACTATTAATTATAAAGGAAAGAAACAGTAATTTAACATTGGAAAAACTTGTGGAGAGCACCTTATACATACATACATATATACATACATATATGTATATATGTGGAGAAGAAGAGAGAAAGAATATGATGAATTAAGTGAAGCAGTATGTGGACAGCATGTTTAATTTGGGTACAGGATTTTTTTTTTTGTATTTTAAAAACGGAAATTATAGTAAAAAGTTGTAAAAATTACGTTGACATCAACATCAGAAAACTTAAAAAATGCTTAGGAATACATATAACAAAACATATATAAACTGCTAACGGTGATAAAACTGGACAAAATATCCAGGTCAACTGTTTTCAGACAGTGAGCAGCCAGTAGAGAAAAGCTGCAGTTCTTGAGAGAACAGAAACTTAAAAGTTTCATGAATACTCAGCCTTTGGCTTGGTGACAGTTTTCCACTTAAATTACAGAGATTTGAGTTCTAGCAGAGAATATAGTTCTCTGAGCTGAGGAGGCAAAGATCAGAATTTATGGCAGTGAAACAGCTGGTATCTACAGGGCAGAGCACTAATGGGGAAGGAATTGTGCAGAAAGGAACTCCAGTAGTCCACGTGGGTATCTCCCTTGTGTCTGTGCCTGGGAGCTGGAGTGTTCATACACTGAGCAAGACTAGCCAGATAGCAGCTGCTACAGGGTGAGAGTGGAACAGAGATACTAGAGGTTCAGCTTTGTACTTCTGGCTCTGCCAAATTACAGAGATCATCTTAACACTTCATTAGCATATTTGACATTCAATCAAATAAGGAAAAGCTGGTGCTTTAGGAAGTAGGGCCACACCCTAAAGACCTAGTCTAGACCCACCCTAATAAAACCTATAGCACGTCTTGATGAACTCCCCAGGGAAAACAGGTTGGAGATTGAGTTTCACTAAGTTAGAGGGTCTAAGAAAACAAATCTTACTTTCCAGAGAGCTACACTAACAAAGTTTATAGTGAACTATACAACTTAAGATGATCACCCAGTGATTGATTTGACTGCTCAAATAAGAACAAATAGTTTTCAATGGGATATTACAGAACTGAGAGTGGTTATATGTAAGTAAGTATTCAATATTGAATGCAATATTGAATTAAAAATTAAAGAATAATAAAATGGGATGTATTATCAAGAAAAAAAGAAGTCCAAAATGGCCCAGGTTTTGGATTTCACTTGCAAAGACAAAATAAGGATACTACAAATATGTTCAAAGAACTAAAGCAAATGATCTTCAAAGAATTAAAGAAAAACATGGTCATAATTAAGGAATATTTGCAGGGAAATGAAAACTATAAAAAAAATTGCTATATAGAAATTATTGAAAAGTTCAATAACTAAATTAAAAATTTTAGTATGTGGGTTTAATAGTATATTGGAGATGGCAGAGGAGTCAGTGAAATTCGAAGGCAGTTTTATAGTGATTATTTTCTCTTAGTTATGTAGGAAGAAAGACTGAATAAAGTAATAAACAGCAGGTATTATTGGGTAGATATCATTCAGTCTAAAATACCTGTAACTGGAGTCCCCAAAGGATAAGAGAGTAAGATTGTGGCTGACAAAATATTTGAAGAAATAATGGACAAAAAAGTCTCATTCAGTGAAAAACATAAACTTAGGGTTTAAGAGGCTCAGCAGATCCCAACTAGGAAAAATATAAAGAGAAAAAGATATCATGGCACAGCCTAGTAAAACTGTGGAAAACCAAAGAAAAAGAGAAAATGATAAAAGTATCTTGAGGGGAGGAAAAAGATAAAAGGCACAGTACATGTAGGAAAACAAAGATAAAAGATTTTGCTGGCTTCATAGAAGTAATAGACAGCAGAAGTCAACAGAAGAGTTTAAAATGCAAGAAGCTCAACAGAAAGGTGTTAAAAAAATACCCTGTAAACTCAGAATTCTCTATCTAATGGATGTCTTAAAAAAAAATAAGGTGACATGAAGACATTTTTAGTATTATAAAAGCTGAAAGAGTTTGTGACAGTAATTCCTACCCTACAAGAAATGCTAAAAGTTGTCCTTCAGGCAAAAGGGAAATATGCCAGATGGAAACTCAGATCTACAAAAAGTAATGAAGAGTACCTGAAATAGTAAATAAAACCTTTTTTCTTATGATTTTTTGAAAGAAAATTTGTAATAAAAAACATTGCGTAACAGGGTTTATAATTCCAATTAGATTGATACATTAAGATGTATTAATCCTAGACAAACCAGAGAAAATATAAAAAGAGGCATAGTTAAGCCAGTAGACGAAATAGAATACTAAAAATTGCTTGACTAACACAAAGCAGAAAAGGGATAAAAGAGGTTGTCTTGGTCTATTTTGGCTGCTGTAACAAAATACTGTAAACTGAATGGATTATAAACAACTGAAATTTATTTTTCACAGTTCTGGAAGCCGGGACTTCCATGATCAGGGTGCTGGCCGACTCCATTTCTGGTGAGGGCCCACTTATTTCTGATTCATATATGTTGCCTTCTATCTGTGTTCTGAGATGGTGGAGGGACAAGGCAGCTCTCTGGACCCTCTTTTATGAGGGTGCTAATCCCATTCATGAGGACTCTGCCCTCATGATCCAATCACCCCCAAAGGCCCCATGTCATAATCCTATCACACTGGTGAGTAAGTTCTCAACATTTATGTTTGGTGGGACACAAACACTCAAACATAGCAGTGGGGAAAAAGGCAGAAAGGACATATGGAAAACAAATAGTAATAAAATAGCACATGAAAAATATCATGGGTATGTGTATTTCCAAGAAGGTATCTTTCAAGGCAAACTATATTATAAGAAATGAAGTATCAGTATACAATAACAAAAATAATAACTTGCCAGGAAGAGATAATCATTTTAAATATGTATGCCTAAAAATTGAGCATCAAAATTTATGAAGCAAAACCTGGCAGAAAAAAATGGAAAAATATACAAATTCTCAATCATAATGAGACTTTAACACTCCTCTTTGAATAAATTCTAGAAAAAGTGTACAAAAAAAATCAGTAAATTCTTAGAAAATCAAGATACTTCTATCATCCAACTTGTTCTGATATTTATAGAACACTATCTACAACAACTGCAAAATACACATTATTTTTAAACGCATATCAAATGTTTACCAAGGTAGACCATATGGGAATATAAAATAAGCCTCAGTAATTTTCAAAATATAGATATCTTGCAGGGTATGTTTTCTGTCTATAACAGAATTAAGTTAGACAACAACAATAATAGAACATCTACCACAGTCTAAAAATTGCATAACCTAATTTAAAATTACCGGTGGGCCAAAGAAGGAATTATTTTGAGCCAAATGAAAATGAAGCGCTGAAAAAGACAACCAAATTCTCAAACTACTGGTATCAGGAATCAAAGAAGGGAATCTACTACAGCAAAACTAGAAACTAATATCATATATGAACATAGATGCAAAAGTTGTCAACAAAATATTTTTGCATCAAATATTGCTGAACTTAATAAGGAGAGTATGTTATGACCACATGGAATTGATCCCAGGAATGCAGGGTTGGTTTTACATTTCAAAATTAATTAGTTAGCCATATTATCAGATAAAAAAATACAAGGTAATTATGAGAAAAATCATAATTACCTAAATACATGCGAAATAAGACGCATTTGACAGAATTCAGTCATTTTTTATGAAAAAACTCAACAAACTAGAAATAGAAGGAAACTTCCTCATTTTGATAAAGGACATCCATGAGAAACCTGGAGTTATACTCAACTTAAGGGTGAATGATTAGATGACTTGTCTTTTATGGTTGAGAACCTGGTAAAGGTGTCTATTTGCATTACTTCCTTTCAGCATTATAATGTACTAGTCTGTGTAACAAGAAAACATAAAAGATGAATACATTAGAGGAAAGAAAGTATACCATCTTTTTCTTTTTTTCAGCTGACCTAATTGTCTATGTGAATTGAAAAAGGTCATAGAATACAGTCAGTGTACCAAAAATAGTTATTTTTTTCTACAAACAGCAAAAATTTAAATGTAATTAAAATAGTATTATTTACAATGTCATAAAAAAAACTAAAAATACTTTGGGATACATTTCACTAAATATGTGCAGATTTTCTACTGAAAACTGTAAGATATTGCTGAGAGAAATGAAAGAAGTTGTAAAGAAATGGTATTTATTATGCTTATAGACTGGAAGAGTTGGTATTGTTAAGATTTCATTTCTCCCTCACATGACCTAGGAATTTCACACATTCCCAATCAAAATCTCAGCAGGTTTTATTATAGAAATTGACAAATGATTTCTAAAATTCATATGGTATGCAAAGGACATAGAATATAGAAAACCAATTTTAAAGAACAACAAACTTGGTGGACCTAAACTACTGATTTAACATCAAGGCAAAAGTTTTGGCTTAAGGATATACAACTAAGCTTTCTAGAAGGTTAGAAATAGACCCACAAAAATACCATCATTTGATATTCAATGATGTTCTTTGTATCAAATAGTTTTGTAAAGTCTATACATCTTAGGGACTAAAATGAATCTCAACTCCTGCATCACACCTTACTGAATAATTAGAGGAATGGAGTACGGACCTAAACATGAAAAGATAAAAGATAACTAGAATAAAACATAAGTTGGTAAAAGGAATATAAAATCATATAACCTACTTTGCAAAAACACTTTGGCAATGTTTTAGGTTAGGTATACATTTGTACTATATTTTTTACTAATTTAATAGAAATGAAAACACTCATACGAAAGTATTAAAATAGCCTGTATTAGTTTCTTAGGGTTGCCGCCACAAATGTCTACGATCTTGGTGGCTTAAAACAACAGAGATTTATGCTATCACATTTCTGGGGTCCAGAAGTCATAAATGAAGGCATTGGTAGGGTTCCTTTCTTCCAGAGTCTCTGAGTGAGAATCTGATCCATACCACTCTGCTAGCTTCATTAATCTACTCACGATCCTTGGCGTTTCTGGGTAGATGTATCACTCCAGTCTAGGGCTCACCCTAAATCCAGGATGATTTCATCTTGAGATTCTTAATTTAATTACGTATGCTAAAACTGTTTCCAAATATGATCACATTCAAGGTAGCAGAGGTTAGGATTTAGACATACCTTTTGTGGGTCTCTGTTCAATTCAACTCACTACATAGCTCCAAACTGGGGTGGGTTGGGGGGAAAGTCCATCAGCAGGAAAGTAGATACACAAATTTTGGTATATTCTTGCATGGAAATCTATTAATAAAAAGGAACAAAGTACTGAATTATACAACGTGTGTATAAATCTCAGTCTTTTTTTTTTTTTTTTTTTTTTAGTGAAAGAAGCCAGCTATATAAACTGTTTACCGTATAGTTTCATTAATATAAATTTCAAGAACAGGCAAAACTAAGCTATAGTGATTGAAATCAAAACACTGGTTTTCTACGATGGGATGGGGATTGTCTGGAAGCGGGCATGAATGAATTTAAGACACTAATATGATTCTGGGGTTTATGCCAGCTTTTTAATTCAAGAGATATGAAACTTATGTGTTAAGACTGTGTGCTGAGACTGCCAAATTAAATAGGAAGTCTCTTTGTTCTTTAGCTTTACCAATCATAGCTTTACCACTTGATGATCCTGAGTATCTTCAGAACTCATTTGGACCTCCTGTGAAATCCTTAGTGATCCAGAATTGATAAGGATTTATAAACAAAGGTGCAGCAGTCTCTAATGTCTATAGCCAATTGTTTATTTCTTGACTAAGTGGAGGAATATACATTTTAGCCTTTTAATATTTTTGTACAAGCCTTGGCTTTACCTTTCTCCTATGAAATATGTAAAAATTATACCATATGTACTTTGTTTTTGTATAGTTTTCTTAAATAACTTTAGCATAGCAGCTTTAATATCGTAAGAGTACATTTATTTTAAAAACAGTTTTGATATTCTGAGTATTACCTCAGGCATAAGTCACTTGAATAGCTTTTTTTTTTTTTTTGAAGCCTTTCTCCAAGTGAAATGAACTTGTGTTTTTTTCTGAGAATTCTGGAGATCATGAACATATTGGTCTGTTAACAATGAAAGATATTTTTTATATCATTAGAAAAATCAAGCTCAAAAATTTTTTCTCTAGTGTCTTAATTCTGTGATGTATTAGATCACATTACTTTCTCAAAGTATTTTCTCTTGTCTTTCATAAAACTGCATTTGTTTTTTCACATTCTTCTTGCTTATCATACCTCTCCCATAGAGAACTGAAGAATTAGCTAATAGGAGAGTATGAGTGGAGAGTGTAGTGTGGAGCAGCAGTCCTCAACCTTTTTAGCACCAGTGAATGGTTTCATGGAAGACACTTTTTTCATAGATGGCAGGGGGATGGTTTTGGGATGATTCAACCATATTACATTTATTGTGCATTTATTTCTATTATTACATTGTACTATATAATGAAATAATTATACAACTCACCATAATGTAGAATCAGTGGGAGCCCTGAGCTTGTTTTCCTGCAACTAAATGGACCCATCTGAGGGTGATAGGAGACAGCGACAGATCATCCAGGCATTAGATTCTCATAAGGAGCATGCAACCTAGATCTTTTGCGTGCATAGTTCACAACAGGGTTCTCGCTCCTATGAGAATCTAATGTCACTACTGATCTCACAGGAGGTCAAGCTCAGGTGGTAATGCAAGCAATAGGGAGCAGCTATAAATACAGATGAAGCTTCACCTGCTCGCTCAGGCCCGCTGCTCACCTCCTACTATGCAGCCTGTTTTCTAACAGTTACTGGTGTGGGATCCCTGATGTGGAGAGACAACAAAAGTAGATCTGAAAAAGTATTAAAGATTCAGCACAATAGGAGGTAGTTGGGTATATTAAGGAGGAAGGTAAGAAATATTGAGATAGTACAGGTGGCAGGCAGAGCTCATTGCAGGGTGTTACTTGATAACTACTGTGAAGAAATTAAAGTTCATTCTTACCTACTAGAAAACATAGCAGAGGAAGCTTGAGTTCCAGATGGTTTGTAAATTGTGGTTCTTAATTTCCACATTGCGATGCTCTGAGTGGTAAGGACAGTTGATTAGCAGCAAGTTAGCTCTAGGCCTGGGTCCTACTAGCCAGGTGACTTGAAAGAGTCATTTCACCTTCCTGAAATGCTTTTCTGTTATTTCTTATAATGTGATATCTACAAAGTAGATGAACTAATGCTTTTAGAGTATTATAAATTAAGACCGAGGCCAGTAACTTCCCAGTCAGCAGGTTACTATACTGTTAGAGAGTTAAGTGAACAGTGAAGTTTCATAATAACTTCAGGGAAGAATAAAAAAGAATAAAAAATAAATCCTTCTGAGGTGTGCCATGTTAAGTCTGCATAGTAGGACGGGGGAAAAAAACATCTGACAACCTGTATTTATAAAAGAAAATGTATAAAGAGAAGTAGATATGGTGTTAAACAAAGTTGATGTAAAAAATGATTTTTTTCCTTATAGAATAATGGATAAAATTATATGTGAAAAATAGAACCATAATGAGATTTTGAGAGATTACATCTTCCTGGGGACCTTTCTGACTTTATACTCCTTAAGACAGGCAGAAAGAATTCAACGATAAGGGCTACAGGGGCAGCTGCTATGGCTCCTGTGCCCCTCACAGCACTGAATGGGGCCCAGTCAATACTTGTTAGTTCATTGATTTTTCTAAAGGTCTTTTTACGTTGTTCCCTCTCTAACAACATATATTGCCAACAAACAAAATTTTGAAATAAAATTACCCTTAGGGTTCTGGATATTGCTTCTTGATTTTTACCAGTCACTGCTTTTAACATCTCTTCATTCTGACATATGACATCTGTGTGTGGGGGGGTTACAGGAGTACTGCTCCCTGCCTTCAGGAAAAACAGGAGTGAAATCAATGTATTTTTCCTTTTTTGGATTGATCTTCAGATTACATCTCATTATTGTCAGATTTGGGTTTCGTGAATTTATATTGCCAAGACTTTGTAACAATAGATTTAAAGGATAACTGTAAAAATGAAATTCTAATTTCTTCTAGCATTCTAATTATTAACTAGCTTACATTTTATGTTTATTGTTCATTTACCCTTTCCTTTTTCTCATTTTTAAAAATGACTTTCTGTTGCCATTCAGAGTATTATTTGAGCACCATAGTTCATTTCTGCCTTCCACTTAGTCTTAGACAAGTCAGAAGTTTAGTTTTCTTAGCAGGAAAACAGAATGCAAATCCCCAGTGTTGATAGAATATGAGAAGTGGTGAGGATGCGGAAACATTGGTCGGGCTTTTTACATATACATATATTTTCCCCCTTCTTAACCCTTTTTATTTGATTCCACCTGAAGAAATAAAGTTTGATTCAAATAATGAGGAAAAGGGCTGGGCGCAGTGGCTCATGCTTGTAATCCCAGCACTTTGGGAAGCCCAAGTGGGTGGATCACTTGAGGTCAGAAGTTAGAGACCAGCCTGAACAACATGGTGAAACACTGTCTCTACTAAAAATACAAAAAATTAGCCGGGCGTGGTGGCTCATGGCTGTAATCCCAGCCACTCAAGAGGCCGAGGCAGGAGAATTGCTTGAACCCAGGAGGTAGAGGTTGCAGTGAGCTGAGATTGTGCCACTGCACTCCAGCCTGGGTGACAGAGTGAGACTCTGCCTCAAAAAAAGAAAAGTAACCCTTCTGTTATTATCATAGATTCCATGATTTAGATCTTGGAACATTAACCTTAAATGATATTTTGTTGTTAAATAAAAAGGGCAACCATTTGGCCTAGGGGTCATCATATGACTAAATAGTGAACTAAAGACAGGCACCTTCTCCAGGTGACCTTTCAAGTTCTTTTCCCACTCAATAATTTTATTTATTAAAACACATTTACTCAATAATAGTCAAATACTGATTTATCTAAACTTGGAAGAAAGAACAATAGGAAAAGGACATCTAATTTTTTTTTTAAGTGTTGTTCAAAGCTTTGTTTTTAGGTTACATTTCCTGACTTTGCCTTGTCAGGGATTTTCATGAACTTGTAGCACTTTGTTCTGCATTACATCATAGACTTACTCTATCTTTTCAAGGTACCTGTCCCTAGTGCCAGATACACTCATTATTCATACAAATCTAGGTTATATTTTTCTAGGAGAATTAATTACTCTATGCTGGCTACATATGGTTAGCTTGTCAGCAGGAAAGCTTTAACATATTTTGGGGTGGTATAATGTAGGCATTTAAGCAGTCTCTTTTTTCTTCTGTGCATGAATGTAGTAGTACATTAATATATGTTAGAATTAATATATTTCGTAATACAAATGTTTTGCATAGAATACTGGAGAATTTCTTCTCATATGTATTGCAAGTACCTGGCTTCATAATCATGAATAATGGCACTTACTGAAAACAGCGATGCTATGAGCCCATTATACACCTTCAGAATGGCCATAACTACAGGTACTACATGTGAGTGCTCTTTTGTATGTCTGACTGCTCTAAAGGACATATTAAGTGTAATAGAGCATTATTCATGTTACCAGTGTCATATGAACATCTTCCTTTTGCAATGGTTAAGGATAAAAAAAATCCAGGTAAGTGAACCCATCTGTCTTAAAATATAATATATTTTAAGACAAATGTCTTTGTGATAAGTGATCACTGCTTAAAAAGAACAATTCATGCCCAATAAGAATCAACATTATAATAGTACATCTTTGTCTCTTTATAATTTCATATCGCTTAAACTTACTCTATAAACTTAATGATATTTCTTCTTCTTCTTTTTTTTTTTTTTTTTTTGGTCCTTGTTGAACTTACATTCTTTGTTTTTCCTAGACAGTGGAATATGAAGACGTTCCTTAAAGTGCCTTGTAAAGTAGACTTCTTATTAATAACTACATTAATTGAGCCCTTAGAATCTTGATTGTATATGAATAACCATTTAATTTGGCAAGGGTCTGGGGAGAAAGCTAAGTATAAATTAGATATTTATATTATTTGAAAATGGAACTTTTCATTCACTATAGGGCTTTGGTCTATATGAAAATATTCTCTCAGAGTTGTGTACAAAGAACTAATTCTTTATTGCTCAATTTTTGTCAGATGAGTAAGCTGAGTTATGTTTAGTCATTAAGGCAGTGTCTATAATATATTGGAGTCTTATAAGCCTTTGTCTAGTATATTTTAAGTAACGGTCATTATTATATTATGAGCTGATAGCTTTCTGTATCCCAAACAATCATGATTTTCATTATATTTGGCATCCTACAGGCTTCATATAGCATTGTTTTTTAGCCTTTCCTTTACAGTCTGTGACTAAGGGAGAAACAGTCCCTATTTTAATCTGTCACTGCTTTTTTTCTGACCTTGCCTTAACCTGCTTTTGATATTTACAATAGTTGTTGAAGTTCAACAATTTTACTATTACCGCCCCTTCAGTGCGTTTTAAGTCCCAAATCCCTAGTGTGTTTGGTCAAGGAATTCATATCTAGCTTCATATGTGGTATGTCTTCAGCCTACAGCTAAGTGATTATTTCCTGCATGTGTGTTGATATAACACAGGAGTAAGGATAAAGGCAGGAACTTGCCCCTTTGTTCTTTTAGACACCTCCAGTCCCCCACATTCCCAGTAGAGAAACCTAGAGTCCCAGACAGGGTTAACTTGGCATGTGATAGATTTGTGGGTTTGCACCGCTTCTGCCTGCTACTACTCCCATGTTTCCTAACTCTGATTCTGCTAATTTAGTATGTGTCAGGAGTCATTCTACTTTCCTGTGTTTCTGAAGAAAGTCAATTTAGTACAAATTGGGACCTATTTACTCTCCCTCTATCTAACACATACTGTTAGTCAGCAGGGTTTCTGAGGACAGCAATTGCTATTTGAAGAAAACAAACCCTCTTTAGACTTTTCTGAATGTGTTTTAAACATGACCCAGTATATTGCAGTATTGAACAAAAATTATTCAAAATAATGACATGAATGCCTTGTAATTTGTGGCCTATGTATCTTGTTACCTTTTTAGAATTTAGTTTAAAAAATGCTTACTTTATTGCTTAATTAAACATTATCATTTAATTAAAGCTTTCTTTTCATTGAGCATCTAAATTGTTAATTTGGGTTTTGAGGGATGACTCTGGATTCCTTACAAAAACAAGCAGGGCTTTTCTCTCTTCCTGCTATCAGTTTTAGGAGACATATTTCTTCTTTGGTACTGTCATACCAATAAATCATCCCAGATTACTTGCAGTCGTACAGTACTAAACTATACCATGCATTTTAAAGGAAATCTGCTGTTTTCTTTTCAATCAGATGAGCAATGTGAAGAGACTACGGCCACGGCTCAGTGCTATTCTCTTTAAGCTTCAGTTTGAAGAGCAGGTGAACAACATCAAACCTGACATCATGGCTGTCAGTACTGCCTGCGAAGAGATAAAGAAGAGCAAAAGCTTTAGCAAGTTGCTGGAACTTGTATTGCTAATGGGAAACTACATGAATGCTGGCTCCCGGAATGCTCAAACCTTCGGATTTAACCTTAGCTCTCTCTGTAAAGTGAGTTTGTTTTTTTAAAAACACATATTTGCCTGAACACTTGCTCTTAAATGTCAGCCCTGATTGCATTATTTAAATATTTTTTTATTTTGATGTGCTCATTATCAAGAACTTGAACTGAACCATGAACTCAAACCCAGAGTGAACTGAGCTAATTTACTCAACCTCTGAACTAAATCCAAATATTAATTTTCTTCAATCTGCAAATCCAATTCAAGGATTTTATTTAATAACAAAATTATATCATAAACCTATGCTTTCTCAAACCAATGAAATGGAACGTCAAAATATTATTAATACTGACTCGTACTTACTCAGTTCAGATACCTGTATATATATTGAATATTGCTTAGGATTGCCATTAACATTTTTACCTTTAACTATTTAAATATTTCTCTGCATTGCTTTCATAAGCAGACTGAAAGGAGAGAAAAATGGGACCCCTTTATATAAAGGGGAAATTATTATATTGGAAATATATGCAACTCGGATATTATTGATTTTGAAGTGTTTCTATCTAAATATAATTCTAGAGGACATGAAAATGGAGTAAGTTTAGAGCCTTTTTTTTCTCCTGTGTCTTTCATAGGTTGAATTTCCTTACAGCAAATATATTCAATGTTTTATAAAACAGAGCTCTTTCCTGAGGAGTGGGCCATAGTAATAGGGCTTTATTGATCTGCTTACAACAAATTCTTCTCAGTTACACATCAGAAGAAAACCTTTTTCTTGTTCTTGACCTCGTAACAACCACACTCCCTGATTAAGGAATTTGATTATTGCTATTGCCAGCTAGTTAGGGAAGGTGAAAAACAAGTTCTGCTTTACCTATAGGTTTACTGCATGCTTATTCTATTGGGGCTTTCATGAATTTTCTTATACAATTTCCCTGGCCTAAGCCTCTCATTGCTATCAATGCCTTGTGAGTGTTTCCTTTGCCCCATCTCCATTCTTTTATTTTCCTCTCTGTTTTCTTAGGCAGCTGTATTTGGTGAAGATCCCTAGCATGGGCGATGCAATTCCTAAAACACATCCTGAAGACTTGGCACATCTCTCGTGGGCTTACTCAGAGTGAAGTCCTGTGCCAGATGCTTTGCCAGATTCTATCTTTAGATTCTATCTTTAATGTATGTGATTAATATTTACCTGGCATACATGAGACTCATATTTTCCACATGTAAACCATTAATTATGATGAAATGCTTTAATGAAGCCACATACTAAAAGTTATGGCAGCAGAGTTAAGACAGAGAGCCTAGCTCAGCTATGAGAGGGCAGTTAGATATTCAGAGAGAAATGGGAATTTAAGCTGGATCTTGAAGGATGAGCAGATGTTCTGTGAGAGGAAAAGGCGTTCTAAGCAGGAGTCAGCAGCTTCCAAAAGGGTTATAGCATGGCATGTGTGAGTACAGTGAGTGGCCTACTACCTTTGCAAACTAGATGGGAAAGGAGTGGGGCTAATGAGACTGAGGTGATAAATTGGTCTAGATTGTAAAGAGCTTTGAATATCCTGCCTAATGATGGAGATTTTATGGAGTCACACTCTGTAAGGCAAGTAATATGATCAGATGTTTCGTAGCAAGATATGTCTATCAGCAGTATGGAAGAAGGTTAAGCTGCACTGTTTAGTACTGTTGCCATGAAACATATATGGCTACTTAATTCAAATTAGTTGAAATTTAAATAAAATTAAAAACATAGTTCCTCAGTCACACTCGCCACATGCCAAGTGCTCAGTGTCCATACCCGTTGGCAGCATATATATGGCACATTACCATCATTGCATAAAGTTATTGGACAGCGCTGGGTTAGAGGGTTACATTGAGGAGGTATTTGGTGTTTGGTTGACATGTAGTGTGAGACCTAAGAGAGCAACAGAGGAAACCAAACTGAGAAGGTAATAGGAAAGATGGTATGGGGGTGGCAGAGAAGAGAGAAAGGTCAAAAATAATTCCTAAGTATCTACCTTAGGCAACTAATGGGAGATATTGCTACTGGCATGTTTGAAGTGGTTGCTCAAAAGAGAATGAGATCAGGGGTTTTTTGTTGTTATTCTACTCTTGTTTACCTCAGTATCTTAAAGGGCATATGATTGAAGCTACCTTATTCAATTATTTAGCAAAGGTTTGAGTGTCCACTAAGTAGCTATCACTGTGTTTTGAGATGATGGAGTTCCAAGCTAAGGTAACGGCAGAAGGGTTTGAGGTAGAATGTAGTGGGGATGTAGGGAAGTACACAAATTCAGGGACATCTGAGGAGTTGTCAAGGTGTGCTGGTTATGAACTTGGAAGCTGAAGGAGAAGGAGGCAAGCAAGAATGGCAGATTCAGGCTTTCCCTGAGAAGGAAGGCAAAGTAAGAAAAACAGGGTGAGGGGCAAGATAGGGGAAAGTTAATCCACAGCCACACATGTACTACAGTCTGTTTCCTCGTGCAAAAGTGTCTGTGATCCTCTTTAGGTTTTACATCTCAGAATTATAGTTGACACAAAAAAACTGGCTGCATGCTCTTCCTCATGTCCTTATGCCTTCCTCTAAGGAGAGCTGTTGACAGGGAGACTAGGTGTGATTAATGAGGTAGGATAGCCTACTGCAGTGGTTGGTATATAGTAAGTACTCAATAAATAGCTGTTGAATGAATGAAACTTGTCATAAGACAAAAAGTAGTGTCTTATGTTTATTTTGTTGTTGAAAATAAATAGACATCCTCTCATTGAGATACAATCACTGATGCATAGTAATTTTTAAATCTTTTACAAATGCAATGTAGCTGTTATTCTTTTACTACAGTTAGTCGGCAAACCAGTTAATCTGTCTGCAGATAAAGAGTTGACTTTATTTTCTTGCAATGATACTGAGTATTTTGATCATCCCTCTTAGGAGCCTTCTGTTGTGGAAGAAACAAAATAAATACTACAACTTCATGTTTTTTATTAGCCTACATGTCAAGTTGAAAGCATATATTGAACAAGATGATATCTCATCATATTTGTTATCAGAAGTAGCAGCTTGATCTTTGACAATTGTGATTGAATTTTCACACTGAGTATAAAGCATTTGGTTTGATGATAAGCTTCTACACAAGGAATTCCATATATATTTGACAGTAGAAAGACAAGGAAGTATTTTAATCTGTTAAAACATGCTGGGTAATTATATGACATTTAACATTTTATATCCAAAATCCTTACTTTTAAATGCCCTTTACGAATTTAACTCAAGTATGAAAAATTCATGAAAATTCATATTAAATTAACTTTGCATTGTTTAGAAATAAGAGCATGAATACTTGAGTTTCATGCCCATTATAGTTTAGTTTGGGGAGCTGTATCATAGCTTTGTAGACATTTGTAGTCAGGATGGCAATGAGTAACTATAATATCTCTGGATTCGAGAGAAAAGGATTTGCTTTCTTATATCCCAAAGATTTCATGTGACATATGACAAAAAAGTAAAATATGACATATAAGGTAAACATAACTGAATTTATGATTAAGATCTAAATAAAAATTAAAGTTGCTATATAGGTGCTTGACTTTTTGGTGGTCAAAGTGATGTGCAAACTTCACTTCATGAGCAAAAATAGTGTTTTCCCTGATTAAACCTTCATAAGAAATTTTGCATATGTATCTTTACAAAAGGAAAACGTGTTGAATAGTGTTATAAACAACAAATGAGTCAGTTTCGTCAGGATTTTTTTTTTAGAACAATCTCTCTTTCTCCTCCTCTCTTCCCCTCTCCCCCAAAATATGTATTCTGGGCCTCTTAAGGACCTGGCACCCCATGCGAACCCTTATGATGTGAAAAAAAATGTACGTTTCAGTCACAGTAATGCTACTTCTAGTTTAGTTAAAATGGTGTAAGTACCTTGCTTTCTGATGGCTTGACTTTTTAAAAGGATAAACCTTGCAGAAATAATGGAGGACTGCTTGTCATTAAAAAATCCTCCAAATGTAGTACTGAACTTCAGATAAAAAATGGATATCATTTTGACATCATATTAATTTTGAGAGTGGGGAGACTGCTGTTGATTAAGTGGAAAACATATCTTTAGAAATTAAATCGGCAGATGGTAGATGCTTATCTGACCAAAATGCTGACCTAGAAAAGTTTGTATCTGGTTAGTATCAAAGATGTTTCTCCAAGAGACACGTTGATAGGGCCAAGTTCATTTTTTTCAAAGGATTTTAGGTAAAGAGTGAATTGACCCAACCATCAAAGTTCAACACCATATTAAAATATATGAGATAATTTTGACTTGTAAATTTAAGAAGATGTTACTAATCCACATATAATAACCATAACATGTGTTTAATAATGTTTACTAATGTCTAATAAGATGTATAATTTCTGAGTAACAGATCATTCTGATCAATACAACAGGATGATGCAGCTCTTTGTTCCAGGTGATTGATTGAATCAACTGACTTCCTATATTGGGGTAATAGATATAAGTTTTGAAGGAGTTTTACCACGTGTAATAACTAATTTTTATTGGTATTTATGCTGTTATTCTTTGGGAAAATTGCAGAAACAAATAACTATTGATCCCACTTTAAATTTATCCATACTGTCACTTTGTAGGAAGCCTTCTGTTTTCTATGGCAGTAGAATATCTAATGAGTTCGTCTCAGAGTTGAAGTCATTGATGAATACATGGTAATGGGGCTATGGGCGTTGAGGAGTAGGTGCTAAGACGGTGAGGGGGTGGCAGGCAAAATTAATTTTTCCTAAATTCTCTTTTCTAATGCATGAATTTTTTATCTGATTCTGGATATTCCTTTTATAAGCAAAAAGTAGAAAAAGTAGAATAACTTCATCAGAGCTGTGATGGAGATAATTAAAACAATAGAAACAGCAACAAACATTAAATTCTCATATTCTTTAATGTTTCCACCAACCCTAATGAGACACTTTCCAAAATTGTGACAAATGGCTTTTGGATGACATTGATTAGCAACCTGGAGTACCCTTTAAGAAATACTGATGCCGCAGTCCCCACACCAGTTCAATTAACTTAGAAAGAATGGATGTGGATCCTGATTGGTGGCATTTTTAAAGCTACTTCCTAGGTGATTTTCATACTCAACTTGAAATGTGAATCGCTTGGTCTTCTGCCCTACTTTCATATCCCAGAATGGAAAATCCCTGACTGGTGATCTGGAACCAAAAGCAAACATGAAAAAATGAAAATTAACCAACACCAAAGCCACGACAAAAACGAAACAACTTTACTTCTTCACTTAAGAATGAGTGGTGAGGCCAGGCGCAGTGGCTCATGCCTGTAATCCCAGCACTTTGCGAGGCTGAGGCGGGCCTATCACCTGAGGTCAGGAGTTTGAGACCAGCCTGGCCAACATAGAGAAACCCTGTCTCTACTAAAACTACAAAACTTATCTGGGCATAGTGGCAGGCGCCTGTAATCCCAGCTACTCTATTCGTGAGGCTGAGGCAGGAGAATCGCTTGAACCCGGGAGGCGGAGGTTGCAGTGAGCCGAGATCATGCCACTGCACTCCAGCCTGGGTAAAAAGAGTGAAAAAAAAAAAAAAAAAAGAAAAAGTGGTGAAAATATTTTCAAAAATTGCTGCTTTTCCTCTCATGCCAAGCTAAACATTACTCTGAAAATGAAAACTTTGAAAAGGAGTGTGAATTTCAGGCACATAGTGGAACTGAAATAAGTTGAAGGCCTGTTTCTCGAGCCATTTTACAAGTCTCTAGCTTGTACAGGTAGAGTTTCAGTGACTACAAAAGCATGAGACAGGATACCTTTGCCTATTTCAGGCAGTTTGTATTTTGCATACCTGTCACACTCACACAAGTTAACACTGTGAGTCGTTTTTGTGAAGTTTTGATCCCTATGTATCACTTTTTCCTTTACTCTATGAATTTATTTTTAAGAAAGATCTCTGCCGAACAAATCCATTGTTCCATTTGCATTCAGGGTATTTTGAGAGGGATTTTTATTCTTTATTAGGTTGGCAAAATTATACCAGTAAATTTTGGCAACCTTTGAAAGTAAAGCAGTTATGGGCCAAAGACTTGCAAATAACAAATGCCATTCTTATTTTACATGCAGCCAGTTAAATCACAGAAATACTGATTTCCAAAGCAATGTGAAACTATTTAGAATGCTTAACCCCCTTTGACTCATTCATTAACACATTTAATCTATGACATTTTCTAAGAAATATTTAATTGGCTTTTCTAAATAGCGTTTTTGGTAAATTATTTTCATGTCACCTTTGTTATTCAATTGCTGTTAAATGTTGTAAATGAGAATGATTCTTCTAATAGAATTATAAAAGATGGAGTGACTTTGCTCAGGCTCAGCAAATAGGCTGCTTGTGTGCCTTCATCTTCCTGCTCTCATAGCAAGCATAGCTTCTCTATCAAACTACCCTTTCCCCCAAACACCCAGCCTCTGAATCCTCCTCGGCGTCAGGCTTATAGACAACTACCCCATCAGAGATAGCACCGAAGGTGAATATTACCATCCCTGGTTTAATTCAGACTTCACTTTTATATATTTTATAAATGAAAAATAAAAACCAGAAACAAGACACTCCATTCCTGATACTCTAAGAAGTGTCTTACCTCTCCTTTATCAAGGGTCTGCATTGTTTCTACATTTTTGGAATCAGAGACAAAACATGCAACATTATTATCCACATAGTAATACTTAGCCATTGGTACTTATGAACATTTGTTCTTGGGGGACAGGGGAGAGGATGATGAAGAAATGTGTCATAAGTGGCTTTGAACTATGGTTCCAGCATTGGGAGGTACAGAATCCACCACCACCAGAACAAACTGAAAAATATCACCTGAGATATACCAGGCGTGTGTTTTGTTAAGTCCTTTAATGTAAAGTTCAGAAGTTTCTGTATTTTTTTAAAAAAACAAAACCATCTCATTTAAAATTATTCTGTTTGATCCACTTATATGAAACAGCAAAATGAAAATACAACTTATAAAGTTTTGTTCGATGCAATAAAAGCAGTGCTCACAGGGAAATTTATAGCATCAAGTGCCTATATTAGAAAATAAGAAAGATCTAAAAAGAATAATCTTTAACCTTAGGAAACAAGAAAAAGAAGAGCAAATGGACTCTGGAGTAGGTAAGACAAAGAACTAATATATACTAGAGCAGATATCAATGAAATTGATACAGAAAATTAATAGAGAAAATCAAACCCACCAATATCTGATTGAGTCTTTAAAAAGATCAATAGCCAAGCTAACCAAGAGAAAAAGAGAGAAGATACAAATTGCCCATATCAAAAACGAAAGAGGGACTATCGTTACTGATCCTATGGATGTTAAAAAGATAACGGAAGAATATTATTAACACAACCAAGCCTACAAATGTGATAACCTAGATGAAATGGACCTTGATAGATGCCATCTACCAAAAGTCACACTAGAGGAAATGGATAATCTGAATCTATTAAAATACTTGAATCAATAATGAATAACCTTCAAAAACAGAAAGAACAAGGCTCAGATGGTTTCACCAGTAAATTCTATCAAACATGTAAGGAAGAAATAATTTCAATTCTCTAAATCTGTTCAAGTAAATAGAAGGAGAGGGAATAATTTTTAATTCTATGCATCCTGGCTGGGTGCGACATTTGAAAATCCATTAATGTAATCTATCATCATCAATGAGCTAAAGAAGAAAACTCACCAATAGATGCAGAAAATGCATTTGAAAAAATGTAACATTCATTAATGAGAAAAATTCTCACCAAATAGGGGTAGAGGGGAACTTCCTCAAGTTGATAAAGAACATCTACATAAAATCGACAGCTAGCATCATACTTAATGGTAAGGAACAAGATGCTTTTTCCCTAAAACTGGAAGCAATGCAGGTGTGTCTTCTCTCACTACTCCTCTTGAACATTGTGTTGGAAGTCCTGGCTAGTACAGTAAGACAAGAAAAATAAAAGCTATAAAGATTGGGGCAGAATAAACAAAACTCTTTCTTCATAGATGAAATGATTGTCTGTGTAGAATGCCCGCCACCCCCCCCCCCAAAAAAAATGGACAAAAAATAAACCTCCTGGAACTGTTAAGCAATTATATCAAAGTTTTAGATTATGAGGTCACCTAATTTAAAAAGCCAGTGGTTTCCTGTATGCCAGCAATGAACAATTGGAATTGGAAATTTAAAATAGTGTATCATTTTCTTAGTAACAAAAACCATACATAGGTATTAATCTAACAAAATACATATAAGATCTGTATGAGGAAAACTACAAGGCCAGGCGTGGTGGCTCATGCCTGTAATCCAAGCACTTTGGGAGGCTGAGGCGGGCAGATCACCTGAGGTCGGGAGTTCAAGACCAGCTTGACCAACATGGAGAAACCCCGTCTCTACTAAAAATACAAAATTAGCCAGGCGTGGTGGCACATGCTTGTAATCCCAGCTACTAGGGAGGCTGAGACAGGAGAGTCGCTTGAACCTGGGAAGCGGAGGTTGTGGTGAGCCGAGATCGTGCCATTGCACTCTAGCCTAAGCAACAAGAGTGAAACTCCATCTCAAATTTAAAAAAAAAAAAAAAACACCTACAAAACTTTGAAAAAAATCAAAGAAGATCTAATAAAGTAATAGACATTTCATGTTCATAGAAAGCATGTCTCAGTACTATTAAGGTGTCGTTTCTTCCCAACTTGATCTATGGGTTCAATAGAGCCCCAGTGAGAGTTCCAGCAAGTTATTTTATGGATATTGACAAAATGATTTCAAAGTTTGTATGGGGAGGCAAAAGACCCAGAATAGCTAACACAATACTGAAGAAGAAGAACTAAGTTGGAAATCTGACACTCCCTGACTTCCAGACTTAGTATAAAGCTGCAATAAGGAAAATATTGTGGTATTGGCCAAAGGGAAAAAAAATAAAAATAATTTTAAAATAATGGACTGGAATAGAGACCCCAGAAATAGATTCGTATAAATATAGTCAGTTGATTTTGACAAAGGAACAAAGGTAATTCAATAGTGAAAGAATAGTCTTTCTTTTAAAGAAAAGGTACGAGAACATCTACATTTAAAAAAAAAAAAAGTTGCCAGACCTAATATCTTTCACAAAAATTAACTAAAAATTTATCATGGACCTAAATATAAATTGCAAGACTATACATTTTATAGAAGATAAGAGAAAATCTATGTGACCTTTGGTTTTATTATGACGTTTTAGATATAACACTAAAAGTATAATCTATGAAAGAAAATTGATAAATTGAACTTTATTAAAATTTAAAACTTCTGTGGCAAACAGTTAAGACAATGAAAAGAAAACAGGCTGGAAGAAAATCTTTCCAAAACACATACCTGATAAAGGACTTTTATCTAAAATGTACAAAAACTCTTAAAACTAAGAAATAAACAACCCAGTTTAAAGAAATGATCAAAAGATGTGAAGAGATACCCATCAAAACGTATAGGTGTCAGGTAAATGTATGAAAAGATATTGAAGGGATTAAAATATGCTATTCTGGTATATTGACTATTTAAAGATACTTGAAAAACAGCAGGTGTAGAAAGATTGCTTTGACCTCCTTGCTATTTCTTAAAAGCAGAAGTTAACATTTTCATGCAAAAGATGGCCTTTCCGTACTGGAAAGATGCAACATCCTTAATCGTCAACAACAAAAAGTCGAAACAAAGAGAATTTTTTAGAGGCCTTGTTAAAAGTAATTTCCCACCTAATGTAGTTGCTCCTTAACAACTGTTCTTTTCACAATCCGGTATATGGGTAACTGACTCTATTTCTTTCAGTCTTCATTCCTTTGATGGCCTTTGTGCTACGGAAAACTTGCATTACACGTTTCTCCTGTTAATCTCTCTCATGTCAAATTAAATTATCAGACCAGCAAGGACCCTAAGAGGATGGAGTTGTAATTTTTCTGTCCCTATAATAGTCAGCAGCAGATGTCATTAAGGAATTGCAAACTCAAACAATAAGACACCACTGCATATGTACTGGCATTGCTAAAATACTAAACACTGACAGCACCAAGTGCTGGTAAGTATATAGTACAACCTTCATTCATTGCTAGTGGGAAAGCAAAATGTGGCACATCAACTTTGGATAACTGGCAATTACAAAGCTACACGTAGAACAAACCATCCAGTAATCACACTCCTAAGTGTTTACCCAAATGAATTGAAAACTTAAGTCCACACAAAAACCTGCATACAAATGTTTACAGCCATTTTATTAATAATTACCTGAACTTGGAAGCAAGCAATATGTCCTTCAATAGGTGAATGGATAAACTGTGGTATATTCATTTGGAATATTATTCAATATTAAAAATAAATGATCTCTTTAAGCCAATGGAAGACATGGAAGAACATTAAATTCGTATTGCTAAGTGATAGAAACCAGACTGGAAGGGCTATCTACTGTATGATTCCAACTATGTGATGTTCTGTAAGTGGCAAAAGTCTAGAGACAATAAAACATCAGTGGTTGCCAGGGGTTCTGAGGAGAGGGAAGAAGGAAGGAATGAATAGGTGAGACACAGAATTTTTTAGGGTGGTAAAACTATTCTGTATAACATTGTAGTGATGGATGAATAACACTGAGTTTATCAAGACACATAGAACTGCAGAACACAAAGAAAGAACCTTAACGTGGAAACTAGTTAACAATAACGTGTCAATACTGGTACATTACTTGTCACAAATGTACCACACTAATGTAAAATGTTTACAACAGGATAATTTGTGTGTGTGTAGGGAAGGGTATACAGGAACTCTGTTTTCTGTTAGTTTTTCCTGTAAAGCTAAAATTGCTCTAAAATATAAAGTCTAAAATATAAAGTTAATTATTAATAAGGGTTAAAAAACCTTTAAAATTAATGTATTTGGTCCATTTGTATAAACAATCTAAACATGTTCACTTTCTAAGCACTTACTCCAATTTTTGTTAATTGTTCCCATGAGAAATTCTTATTATTAGATTAAGAAATCCGTGCTCTAAAATAGCAGTTTAGTTACATAGCTTTGGCTGGACAATGTTGGACTCCAGTGAGTTTTCTGAAACTACTCCAAACAAGAATATTTTTAAAATTTTTGACGTATGTTACTAAATCATTTTCCTGGAGGTTTTACTGATTTGCGCATGCCTGCAGTGGCTTTCATAGACTGGCACTATGAAAGTGCCAGTCTCACTGCGACCCTGCCATGACTTCTTGTTCTTGGTGAGAGTGTTTTTGTTAGGTGGAGAGTGCTGATATAGTTGCTGAAGCAGTATCTTGTATCTTTTTTATGTCTTTGATCATCCGAGTTTAGCATTTAAAAAATATATTTGTATTCTAATCATATTTGTTCCCTTGCAGATTGTTTATTCTAGTACTTTTTCCCATTTGCCTGTTATGAATGTCTGTTTTCTGATCTCTCAGTACTAAAAGAACTGAAAATAGTCCTTTTTTGTAAGGAACATTGAGCTGTTTTATATCTTTTGCAGGAAAAAGGGGGCAGTATGAACAGAACAGTGCAACGCAGTAGATAATGTAGTATGCTAAACTTTTACTAAAATGCACAAATGCTTTCTATATAGAAGTTTCTACACTCACTGTAATTCAAGAGAAATGTGTTAAAAATATAATTCAGAGAAAGTGTGTGGGGATATGGTAGCATATTATAATTACGGAAGTCCACATTATTTAATGCACTTTCTTGGTCACTTAATGTTTTAATTTTCATTATCATTTTAAAATGAATATTAAGTAATTAATATAAATTGTTTTTATATATGGGTGCCATAAGTAATTTAGTATTTATATGCCTTAGTATCTAATTTATATAATATCAATTGGTTTCTATCTTTAGAATTATTAAGAAAGTTATATTTTAATATTAATGGTTGTGGTTATGGCAGTGGCATAAGCACCTTAGGCTTGTTTTGTTTTGTTGTTTTTTTTAAGAGCCAGGTCTCACTCTGTCATCTATGCCGGAGCGCAGTGGAGAGATTATATAGCTCACTGCAGTCTTGAACTCCCAGGCTCATGCAGTTCTCCTGCCTCAACCATCTTGTTTTATTTACTTCAAGATTTTCATTGCCATTTGTATTGGAGTGATACTCAGTTTTGTTTTGAAAAATTTTGTTAGCACAATGATTATTTAAAATATATATTTAAAAATATTTATATATATAAATAAATAAATATATATGTAAATAAAGCAAGAGCCCATCTCAAATACACACACAAACACACACCAGGCACACACACAAGCACACGTACATACCAGAAAACAAAATCCATTCTATAATGGTGGTTGGTTTTATTAGTGAATTTGTACTACCACATTGACTTTTTGAGCTTTCTGTCTGAGCAATTGTGTTATAGTCTTTGTTAGTATGTCTTCATACATTCATTTTCACGTAGATACCTTTATTTTTAGGGATGCTATTTTATGCATACACAATCCACTTTATTCTGCAAAAGATTTGAGATGGGATATGATGCTATTAAAATATAGTGGTATAAATCCATTGAAGGTTAAACTTTATAGATACCTTTTTCTTCAATCATATGATATTTTGTCAGCAGTAATCCATTAGAAATATATAAAGAGTTGCTATTTGATTGATAAGATTCAGATGGCATTTTATTTATTTTACAGATAAAACAATAGAATGTTGTGCTCTTAGAACTAGAAATGACCTCAAGGGAGTGTGGTGTCTGTTTTTAGATGCTTTCCAGGCTAGAATTAACAGGTTAAAGGGTGCTAGTATTTTACATTGCATTAGTGCTCTTTTGTTGTTTTACTGCCATTTTTTGAGAATTTGGTTTATTTTGTTAATAATAAGCTAGACTAAAGATTGCTGTAAAGGAACTATATTTTATAGTGGATAAGAGCTTTGTATTCACACAGACATGTGTTCCAATCATTGGCTCCATGTGATCCAGTGTAAGCTATATGATCTCTCTAAATTTCCATTTTCCTTTTTAAATAATGGATATAATACTAGTTTGGGGTTGTAATGTTTTAAGCACTTAACATGTGTTATATTATTTGGCTAATGTCTGTCTCATGGTAAGTACCAAACATTAATGCTGAGGATGCTACTGTCATCCTCAGCATTAATATTATTCACAGGTTGTATTCTTCTAAAATGGTAATGGTGCCATTACAAGATTTTTCAGAATTTTGTCTTGTTTCTGGTGTTCACTAATGTCCACAGCATCTAAACATCTAAATATTCAATGCTGCTTTGATACATACCTAGATTATAGGAACATAATGATGCGGAGTAGAGTTATTAATGTGATAATATTCTTAAGATGTAAGTTTCATTATTTCAAACAGGAAGGGATTCCAGTTCCTTGACTTCTGAAGATCACGAAGATGCTTAGTTTTTATTTTAGGGTTTAAATTTAAATTATTACCATGTGACTAAATAAATGGAATATTCTTTAAATGTCATCCAGATTTGTGCTGAATACCTCAAAAATATCCCCAAACCTTGCACTGTAACTGCAAGGGAGTTTTACTGCAGACTGACAACTAGGCCATGATTTATTACAGGATCCACTTTTAACATTATTTTGTCTGGAATGAACAGAGTGGTTGGAGAAACTCCATCCATCTTTTGTTTATTTGACATTTATGCCACGTTAAATGTACCTTAAAGAAACAATACATAAATAGGAAATTCTGTTTAACGGTGATGATTACTCATCAGTAAGATAAATCTCTTGACAGTAATACAAAAGAAATCCTGTCAAGCACTGACTGTTAAAGTTTAAATAAAGCATACTTTTAACCTGAAGATATTTTTAAAGCAAATATTTTATTTTCTTTCCAAGATTTAGCGTTACAAAGTTTACATAAGTTGTTACTCATCTTCAACAAAATTAACACTGTATTCCAAGCTTTACTTGTTCTAGCTCAGAAACTGATTATGATATGAGTGAGTATGATATGAGTAGGAGTAGAATGTGCCTTTTTAGTTGGTAATTTTCATTAATGAAATGAAAAAAATATTGAGCAAATGGATAAGGACCTAATACATTTTATGCTTTGATGCTTTTGGAAGACTTTTTAAAAGATGGTTAGAGAGAGGGGAGGGAGAGAATAGAGTAGTTGAGGCAGGAAGAGTATCTTGGCAGCATTGTGAAATTTTTCTAGAGAATGTTAGAGCATAAATGAAGAATCTCTGCCCTGGAGTTTAGAGCTGCATAGTAGTTTATAAATGAGACACCATGCATGATCAACAACATGCTTCTTTTCTGAACCTCTTATTTATTAGGCTTAGTTTCAAATTTATTTACATGAAAGTTTGAGTGGTGTCTTTCAATTGTTAAATACCCATTTTGAAATGATAGGAATATTGTGCTTCCCTTTACTATTCAGTGAGTGTACTTTTTAATACTAGATTGTTCCCATTATGCTGCTTGCTACTCAGTTGATGTTTTCAACAAGACAACCCATGGTAGCACCCTCCTCCTAAATCAGTGTTTAGCTTTATAATGGTCTCTGAATAACTCGAATCTGTGTTTGACTTGAGTATTTAACATTTATTAAACTAAGTTGCTACAAACTACATTGTTTTCCATGATTCTAAATTCTGAATTCTCATTGCTTACAAATAAAGACCAAGAGCAATCCAGTTGGTTGTTCTTCCGTCATTGAGATTTCTTGATACGTTAATCCTAGCAGTTGCTGGCTGTTTAGCTATATCACAGATACTATTGGAATACTCTTTCTAGGCTTTACAAATTGTGAAGGTAGATGGTGATTGTCTTAACGTTCCAAACAGTCTACAAGGGTGTAGACTAGTAAAAATGGGTTGCCGAGAATTCAGAGTAGGAACAGTGTTCCCCAAGTAGTCATTGCTGTAAATGAGGGTGGGTGAGATAAAGGATCTTTGCTACTAGGGTGCTTTTTAACAAAACAGAATACAACTTTCATGTTAACTTTTGGTGGCTGTGCAAAGAGAAAACTGTTTGTAAAAGTTTGCTGCTTTTAATCTGGCCTTACCTATTTAAGATGATAGTATGAATGAAATTATAGGATTGTAACGAAACTTAAAGATTGTATTTGACATTCATGAGTCTATATGTAAAAACAGAAGCCCATAGAATGATTCCAACTGACCCAAACACACAGAAATAACTCTGAAATGAGATTATTACTACATTTCTCCACTCTTCCAGTTTTTAAAAATTAAATTGTACTGTGTCTACTAACTCTTAGTTCCACTATAATGTATACTTAACATTTTTAGAGTAAAAAGTGAATTTAGAGTTTCTATGTTGTTTCATTTTCTTATTTTACCTGTGTGAAAGCTAAGGTCCAGTAATGTGCTCAAGACTATTAATTAGTCAAGGACATGTTTTAACATTGCCAAATCATCCACGTATGTTAGTGACTATTTGTCTAGGTAGTCAATGGAGTCATGTTTTTGAGGCATCCTCTTGTAAAACACTCAGCTCTATGTTGTGAAATCTGTATTTCTTTTAAACAAGGTACCAAATCATGGACTAAGTGTTCATATTCAGTCTGTTTTTAAAGTACTGGGAACCACTGTATAAGTTGCATGTTGTGTAGGTCAGCATAGCATTTGAACCTATTACATGTGTCATGATGTGAAAGTAAAGCTGTCTAGGTGGGTAGCTCACTGTTCCCGGCTCTATGATAGTTTTTGAATCAATAAGTAGTCAGTATGTTAATATGTCTGATGGTACGGAAATCTCCCATTCTTCCACTACTGGACTTTAACAGTTATTTGGTATTTTTCTGATAGTGATAGAATATTTAGTGAGGTTGGATTTTTTAAAATATTACTTATGGGAATTTATTTAGGAGCCAATTTTAAAGTTGGAAATTCTTGGAAAGGAAGCAAGTAAGTAGTACTGTGCCCAATTAGGTATGCCTTGAATTTCCAGCTGTAAATTAAATTCTGGTAGAAAAGACTGATTTTTTTTTTAACCCTTTATTTGTATCTCTGCTCTAAATGATTACTTAATGGTAGGGAATGCTACCAGATTACCTATTAGTCCTGTGTTCATACCACTCCTCCTTGCCAATACTTTCTATCCCAACACTACACAAAACCCAAGCTAACTTTTATCATTGTTGAAGTTTTAGCTTAACTACCTCTCCCTGTGATTGCACTCCTTGGCCATTTCAGATTAGGATTGGTCCACCCTGGTCGTCTCAAGCCCGTAACCTCTTTTCATTCATTCTACATACCTGTTTATGTTAATTTGATCAACTAATTAGCTTTGGGAGGAAAGGGGTCACAAGTTGGTGCCCCAGTTTATTCCTCTGAGGTTTAACCATGTATTTTCAATAGGTATCTTTCAGGGATAAAAAGTTGGTTCTTGGAGAGCAAAAATGTCTTACTTGTTTAACCAGTTTTTAGGTGTAAAACACAGATATGCATACAGTATATAAACATAAATGCATCACCTTTGTGATTTTAAAATTTTATAGGTGCAGTTAGGAAAAAAATGCCTAAAAACTTCTTAGGGGGCAATCATGAAAAAAAATAATGAAAGCACTGTTCTATACATAGATAGATAAATGTATATTCTTTCAAGACATTTCCACCTGGGTACTACTGAAAAGCTTCAAATTTACCTTGTCCAAAACAATTTTCTTCTTTGGCCACCTCACACAAATCTGTTTCTCATCATTTCTGACATGGTAGTTAACAGCATCACCTGGGTTTCCACACCCACATGGTCTCATTGTCCCCATTTCCCAGGCACAACCTCCATTCAGACTGCCCTCTTTCCCTGCCTGATTATTGCCATGGGTTTTTAACTCACTCTTCATGCTTCTCTTAGTACTCTTGCCCTAATCTTTTTAGCCACACTCACTGGAGGGAGCTTTCTAAAATGTATATCTGATCATCTCTCATCTAGTTGGAAAACTTATATTGCTTCAAAATCAAAATCCTACTTCCATTGCATGCCATTATCTTTCCTTTTATTTTTTGGTCTTTTCAGATTTATATCTTTGCCATGTCCCTACATGCCTTCCCTAATACAGATACACTTTAATTCTGGAGTCACTCAGCTGCCTCAGAGGTGTCATATCCTTCCTCATCTATAGCCCTTGTAAATGCTGCTCCATGAGCCTGTGTTAATGCACTTTTGTATTTTTTCTTTCTTTTCCCTAAGCCCATACAACTTCCTGTCTTTGAAGTCTCAGTTCCATTGTCATGTCCTCCTAAATGAAAGTTGTGATTATTTTTACTATACTATTTGTCACACCAAGGCAAATACGTATATTTTTTAACTAAACAGCTTCTTGAGGAAAGTCTATGTTTTATTTGTTGTTAGGTCTCCAACTACTACAGTAGCTAGTAGGCATTCTATGGATATGTGCCAAGTGATAAATGGATGAATGCCAAGGATGTTTAAATACTACTATTAAATAGACTCATAGGTTACTCTGTTTTCCTAGGCATTTTCCATATTTTTTTCTATAAAACATTGCATGCTCGATTAAACTTATTCCTTTTTTGCGACAAATAATGATTTTCACCAAGCAGCAAGTCAAAAGTAGTTTTTCGAGTATTTAAATATTTGTTTTTCAAAAACGAAATCAACTAATTTTACAACTTTTAGTCCTTATCTACAAAATACAGTATTAATATTATTTAAGTAGACAGAATATCAACATACTTATGACTCTGTGTTTTTTCTCCCTCCTGTTCTATTTAGCTAAAGGACACAAAATCAGCAGATCAGAAAACAACGCTACTTCATTTCCTGGTAGAAATATGTGAAGAGAAGTACCCTGATATACTGAATTTTGTGGATGATTTGGAACCTTTAGACAAAGCTAGTAAAGGTTTGTGCCTTTTTAAGAAACATTTCATGGCTCTGATCTTCAGTGCTAAAAGACTGAAAATTATACCTTTTATTTGTATGTACTTTCCACTTTCTCACAGTGTTTTCATACCCAATATCTCATTTTAAAAATAAAGAGAGTTGTAGGATATTATGAGTTGTCATGATTGGAGCTATGAGTTTAATTTGTTTAGTTAGATGATGAGGCCTTATATTATAAAATACTTTGTTTTACAGTTTAAACCTTGTAGATACCTGCTAGCCCTACCTTCTACTGCTAAATCTCCTGCACTTTTTGGCCAGGGTGATGCTCTCTTGATTCAATGTCATTCATAGGCACTGATAGCCTATTACATACCTGATACCAGAACCAGCAATCAGTGTCCCTCCCTACTTACCTGAGTACCAAATCTATCTCTGCCCAACTTGTTGGTGCTCTCTTTTTTTGTTATAGAAGACACCATACTGCCAGAGTTTCATTTCACTCTTTCCTAATGCCCAAATTTCTAACCTGATTCTAGTCTCAATTGTGGGCTTAGATCAGGTCATAAAGGGTCATAGAACGGATAGAGCTATTATTAATACTTGGTTATAATATGATTTAAATATAATTTTTTGACTACCTTAATAATTCAATTTTCTTTTTCTTTTTCTTTTTTTTCCTTTTTTTGAGATGGAGTCTCGCTCTGTTGCCCAGGCTGGAGTGCAGTGGCGTGATCTTGGCTCACTGCAAGCTCCGCCTCCCAGGTTCATGCCATTCTCCTGCCTCAGCCTCCTGAGTAGCTGGGACTACAGGCACCCGCCTCCATGCCTGGATAATTTATTATATTTTTAGTAGAGACGGGGTTTCACCATGTTAGCCAGGATAGTCTCGATCTCCTGACCTCCTGATCCGCCTGCCTCAGCCTCCCAAAGTGCTGGGATTACAGGCATGAGCCACCGCGCCCGGCCTCAATTTTCATTTATATTTCACATTGATTCTTTCAACTTTACTTGGTGTCAAACAACCAATTTATGAATACATTTTGGAAAACAACTCATCTGGAATGCTGGAATATCTGTATTCTTTTTTTGTTGACTACTAGTCATTAGTAATATGAAATTGTCTTTATAACCTCTTTATTTTCTTTTTAATATTGGAATTCATCAACTTGAAGGATATTTTATTGTTTTCCATATTAGAGTGAATATTTCTTCTTTAAAAAAAATTAATTTTATCTTTTCCTGCTCCCTTTAAATTGTTCTTCTTCTATAAAATGAGGATTATAGAACTTTATTGACAAAGAAGCATGTGATTGGATGAGATGTTCTTTGAAACTTTGTTCTGAGATGTATGTTTCCTTGAAGTAAATATTTCATATGGCCTGTCTTGATTTGTAAGACAAAAAATAAGCCTTTTACTTAAATTTTCACTAATAAATCCTAGTGTTCCAATGAATTATTGAATTACTCACTTTACCCCTCTGCAACCTGAAAATGTCCTTGCTATAAGAAGAATCTTCCCATATATATAGTTATAGATGTTTTAATAGGATTCAAGAAGGGAAAATAATTGAAATTATTTTCTTGTGTTAAATCACCTGAGATAGGGCAAAAGGGCATTGAACTGAATGGGTTGTAAACATTCAGAATCACTCAGTGATATTCAAAATAACTTTTACCTCAGGGAAATCAACTCTCCTAAAGAGAGAATTCTGATATTTTGGATTTTTTGACCAAATGGGATAAAAAAAAATTGGAAATGAGTATTCTTGATGGACATTAATCAGTTTGATAGATAACGGAGTAGTGGATGAAAACATGGTAGGTACAAAGTGCCTTGAAATACACCGGGAGTTTTTTTCCTGGGGAAAAACATGGTTGAGTAGATGTATTTTTTATTGTAGAATTTATTGTTTAGCAGGTTTTGCTGTAAATGAAGTTTTTGAAATATTTATGTTGACTCATACTTAAAATTCTTTATTGATATTATAATTTGTTCTTTAAAAATATTTACCTTTGATAAGGACTTGCAGAACTGTAACTTGGTTTGGTTCTTCTGGGTATTTTTCTTTTTGTTGTTTTTGTGTTTCAGCAGGGCGTTCTGGGGTTTTGGGACTTTTTAGTTTCCATCTGTTAAGAGTGGAGTCTAGTGTCTGTGTATGGGTCAGCAGACACCGTTAGTATGTTTCACAGGGAGCAGCCAACTTCATCTTTAACATAGAAAAGCCATCACTGAAGTACTTTTTATAGTATAGGTGATTGTTAAGCATAACTTTTTTATTATTATATTACTTTATTAATGAGATTTGAGGAGAAAATGTAATATTTTGAATGAGGTAAGTGTGTTTGCTTTGGAGTATTTTAATGCTCTTATACACGTGTTATATATCATCATTTAAAAGTTTCCAGATTTGAAACCTCCTCAGTGAGCTATCACATGAATTAAAAAGTACCTTTGTTTTTGAGGCATAACAAATCCTGGTCATTAAGTACTCCTAGATCAGCAGGGAGAACTTTCATTGCAACTAATGAGCTTACCTGTATGACAATTTTCAAAAATCTACTTCATTAGGACTGCTTCTTTTCTAAGATATAATGGCTTACAACTTTTCTGTTGCATTTCAGTGGAAATATTTTTAGTCATTATTGTATTTCTGTATACCATTGTAATATTTCTCTCTTTTTGGACTTCTAAGGTTCAATACATTTTTCCTTGTCTAAGCAGTTAAAATTAATCTATAAAGGTTTTATTGATTACTTCCCAATAATCTATTTCATTATTAAATTTTATTAAAGAGTAAAAAATATGACAAAACTTACTTTTTTTTGTTGGTGAGTATATTAAAATAAAACTAAGGTAAGTTTACAACATCACCTTGGTCTGACCTTTTTAGAGTTATAATTCCACCATGTATTTCCATCCTTTCCTAGTCAACTCTTAATTCTAGAAATACCGTGCTAGTTCAGTCTGTAACTCATTCATCCAATCACTAACTTAACAAGCCTTTATTGAGTGATTACACTGTGTCAGAAACTGTGCTCTTGTCTTACTCTTGGTTCAGGTGTAGTGTCTGTGTCTTAGTGAAACCCAATCTGTCTCACTCCCATCTAGCTCTTCCCCAGCTGGCTCTTCCCTCCTATGGTCAATTTCCTTTACTTTCTCCTCTTCCTCTGTGCAGTGTCTATGCATTGCTTTTTTAAAAGTGCTTTTCACTAGCCTAATGGTGAACCCTTCTCTTCTTTTCTCCCTAGATCTTCTCTTTAGGTGATGTTTTCAATTCCCATAATACCACCATTATGTTAAAGACTTACAAATTTATATCCCAGACTTTCCTTCTAAGATCCACACTTCTATAGACAACAGCTTTTGCTATTTCCATAGCATCTCAAAAAGGTGTCAGAATCATATTATGCCACAAAATGGGACTTTTGATTCCTACACCCTTAACCTCTCCTTCCAAATTTTGTTTACTTGAAAAAATCCTGCTTGGCTCCCCTTCTTTGGATATCTTTTCTCTCATTTGTCATATCTCTATATAGCCTTCAGCATCTCAATGCAGAGCTGCATGGTGGCTTTTGCCTAAGTTAAATCCATGGGAAGTGGCAGCTGTGGCAAGAATGTTGTCTAGTTTTCTCCTTCATCAAGAAACTTAAAAGTAAATGTCACCTTCCCTTTGGTGCTTTTTGCTGGGAACCTCACCTAAATTTGTGTATTCTACTCTTTATTTAAGGATAAATTCATACGTTTTCCAGGAATTCTTATACTTTAGGAACTGCTGCTCTAGACCAGGGATTATTCCTGGGACAGCTGTGAATAGATTTAAGCTTCTAGAAGAGATCAATATTCAGTGTATTATCAGAGTGGATTCAATGTTAACTCATTTTTAATTTTTGCCATATTTCTCTGTTTCCATATTTTACCATTAAGAGCATTCACTGATATATTTGATTTTTAAATCCTTTCCATTTAATACTATGCTTTCTGCTTCTAAGACTCTGTTTATATGTTTTTAGCTAGCAATTCCTTGATTTGACCCTAATATTTGTCTGCTCAAATACGTCTCCTGGTTTCCAGTTTCTCATGCGTTTCCATCATTTTATGATAAATGTCTTACTAAATACCAAATGTTTATCTTTTATTCACCTACTGTGAGCACTTAGAACACTTAATTTCCAGGTGGCAACCACCTGGAAAATTTATAGTGTTTGAAAATTTCAAATTTATCTGCTATAACCAAAAGACACGTTAACCTCTTTGTTGCTATAGCCTTCTAAAAATGCCAGTTACAATTTGTTAGTGAGTTTGATACATATTTTGAATAATCAGTATTAGTTATTAGTTTAATTGCATTTTATATCCCCTGCAGCAGAGTCAACAACACAGCTAACATTATATTGGTTGGAATCATTATGTCGTGGAGGTTGTAGGTTGGGGCCTCATAATTTGTGTACGATATATTATTTGGTCTTTCAAATCAGGAGTAGAATATTAGAATGTTATGAAAAGACACTTTTTTTTTTTTTTTACCAATATCTGCCTATATGATGTAGTTAATAGGTTACATTGTTGGTGGTGGAAATATTTATGATAAAATAATTTAGTTATAGAAGACAACCATGTGGGATGTTGCTTTTATTGACTGGTCAAGGGAACAAAAATGTTTTCTAACTGTTACAAGCTGTACTGTTCCCTCATAAATTCCTATGTTAAAGCCCTAAACCTCAGTATGTCAGAACTTGACTATGTTTGGAGATAGGGCCTTTAAAGAGAGGAGAGTTAAAATGAGATCATTAGGATATCCCTAATCCAATCTGACCTGTGTCCTTATAAGAAGAGGAAATTTAGAGTCACAGCCATTCAGGAATGTACATGTACAGAGGATAGACCATGTGAAGACACAGTGAGGAGGTGGCCATCTGCAAGCCATGGGGAGGGGCCTGGAGCAAATCATTTCCTTATGCCCCTCAGAGGAAACCAACTCTGCCAACACCTTGATCTTGGACTTCTGGCCTCCAGAATTGAGGAAATGAATTTCTGTTGTTTAAGCCACTCAGCCTGGGGTATTTTATGAAGGCAGCCCTAGCAAACTAATATACTAACTTAAGACATTTTTCTCATTTGCTTAGTGGTCTTTGGCTATAGAATACAGTAGCCTATACTGAATGGTTTTTCACTTTATCAAATCAGTTGAAGTAGCAGTTGTAGAGCTGCTGTGTTGGATGTGCACTAGTAATCAATTTAGAAATATCAAAGATTCTTCTACAAACTGAATTATCAGATGTTTTGAAATAATTGCAAGTATGCTTCAATTCCTCTTTTGAGTAGACATGAAACATAAAGTAGTACATGTATAAGGATATATTAAGGCATTTTAAATAAATATATTCATGAAAATTCTCATTTAATTTCAGGATTAGATCTACGGCATTTCCTAGATTTTGTTTTAGAATACAGTTAATCATACTATACCAAGTTTTTGTTTTGTCTTTTTCTTTTACTCACTATATCCATATATATATATATCCATAAATATATATATGTTTCTTTTCCATTTCTCCCTGTTTTGCTACTATAATAGTTGTAATTTTCATATAAGCAGGTAACTGATAAACATTAGTAACACTCTGAGTTATCTCTTGACACCTTTCCAAAAGTAAGGCATAGGTGGATGATGTTACTTTTTTTTTTTCATTTTCCTGTGGGAATAATGAAAGTATTTAGTATATCCAAGTTGTGTAGTGCTGGTTCTACAGATAGACTGTGGAGTAAAACCTATGTTCGTAAAGCCAGCTTATGACTCCTAATGGTTTTATGTCTCAGGGAACTAATTTGACTATCTGCAGTCATCTAGTAAGTATACTTAGGAATTTACTTAGGAATTCTAAAGCATACATTAGTATACTTTACATTTATATTTAGTAAGTATACTTAGGAATTCTAAAATAATTTTAATGTTAATATAAGCCAAATATAATAAAAGTTAAATTTATTTTTAAAATATAATTTATATATGTTTGCATATACTTACCAAAATGTTAGAATATGTACAATTTTATGTTCAATAAATTAATACTTTTTTCACAAAAAGGTATGATGAGATATAACTGGGCCATTCCCAAGGTAATTACAGGATTTGTGAAAAATATTTGTAGTGTATTGCAAGTGTGGTATAGTGGTAAGAGACCACATATTTAAATCCTGCCAGTTTATTTCCAGGGATTATCTGTATAGAGTTGGCATGAAAAGTTTAAGTTGTAGACTTGGATATGAGATTGTAAGAGTAATCATTTTGCAGTGCAAATATAAACTGTGTTGGAAAGCAGCAGAGTGGAATAGAAAGAGAATGTCCCAAAAATCACTAGAAGGATTAAGGATTCTGTAGATTGACATTAAAGAACACTGGGCACAGAGGAACTACTTGCAGCTAAAGATTGCTTTTTGAGATACTGAGCTAGGAACATTTCCTGAATCTGCTGTGGCTTGGGCTAATAGATGATGATGAAGAAGAAAACCACATCAGGAAGACCTCTATATCTTTTTGGAGGTTAACAGGCTGAAAGTGTCATCAATACATCATTAATCTTTTCGAGAAACTAACAGTTTACAGTGTTTGCAGATTTTGGGCCAGCTACGGATTTGAAGTAGCTACTTGAGCAGTTCTGTCAGTGTCACCTATGAACTATAGCGAACATCAAGTAACAGGACAGTATCACCAGTGATGACCAAGGTTTTAGAACTCTCTTACACTTGTGGCTGTAAAGCAATATTTACTGCACCTTAGTTTTGCAATATGAAGTAGGTGAAAGAAAATTTCAGAATAGTATATTCTGAAGGACAGTTTAACATAACAAATCTGTGTACTACAAAGAAACCTAAGCAGTAGATAGAGCAAACACATTAATGGCAATCTTATGAATCTTGTTGGAGACAAGGTTGACATGTAACCAATTGGGGGAAGAGGTATGGAGATAATCAAATGCTGCAGGTAGAATTGTCAGCTGCTCTCCAGAAACCAGAATGTATTTATGCATCTTACAGAATCTTGAATTAGTAGTTGTATTGGTTTGTTAGGGCTGCCATAACCAATTACCACAAACTGAGTGCCTGTAAACAACAGAAATTAAGTCTCTCACTAAAGTCTCTGAAATCATAGTATTAGTAGGGTTGGCATCTTCAGAAGACTCCAGGGGAGGAAGCATCCATGCTTCTCTTCCAGCTTCTAGTGGCTACTCAGAGTCCTTCGTGTTCCTTGGCTTGTAGATGCATCACTCCACTCTCTGCCTGCATCTTCTCACCATCTTCTCCATGTCTCTCGGGGTCCTCACCTCTGCTTATGGACACTAGTCATTGGATGATGTCAGTCACAGGATGATTTCATCTCAAGATCCTTAACTAATTTCATCTGCAAAGTTCCTATTTCCAAATAAGTCACATTCTGAGGTTCTGGGTGGATATGCATTTTTGGGGGGCACTACTCACCCACTACAGTCATCTTTGGCATAAGTCCTATAACTGCATGGAGATAGCACTGTCATCTTTGAGTATTATGAAACAGTGCATGGAAATTATACTAATAAGCATATCTGGAAAGCATGTATCATTAAATTGTGAAATAGTTTGGTTTTTAAAGTTATTGTTAATATGCTTCAGAAATACCCTTTTCTTTGTCATTGTGTGAAAATACTAAACCAGTTAAAACTGAAATTATTGTATGCCTTTGTATTAGTCCGTTTTTGCATAGTTACAAAGAGCTACCTGAGACCGAGTAATTTATAAAGAAAAGTGGTTTAAGTGGCTCGCAGTTACACAGGCTATACAGGAAGAATGGCTGGGGAGGACTCAGAAAACTTACAATCATGGCAGACGGCAAAGGAGCAGCACGCACATCTTACATGGCTGGAGAAGGAGGAAGAGAGTGCAGGGAGAGGTGCTGCACACTTTTAAACAACCAGATCTCGTGAAAACTCACTCACTATCATGAGAACAGCAAGAGGAAAACTCACCACCATGATCCAATCACCTCCTATCAGTGCCCTTCTTTAACACTGGGGATCACAATTCAACGTGAGATTTGGGAGGGGACACAAATCCAAACCATATCAGCCTGTGAATTTAAGGAATTTTTTTATTGATAGGCCATGATAACAGCAATAACTGTAATAAGTGATTTTAGTGGGCAAAATTAAAAATGTGTTTGCAATTAGATTATAGAAACATTATATGATAGGAGAAACTGTTATCTGGACCATGGACTCTGAGGTTAGGTAACTGGTTCACCTGGAGTTGAAACCCCAGCTTGTTATAGGTATAATCTTAGACAAGTTTCTTATTCTGTCTGAGCTTCCCTTTTCCTACCTATAAAATGGGTGCAATATTAGTACTTAACCCAGATGTTTGTTGTGAGGATTAAATAGGTTAATATGTACAAATGTTTATCAAGTTTGAAAAGTACCTATTAATCATTATATAAATATTCTCCATGTTTCTTATAGTGTGGGTGTTATTTTTCCGTGATTATTTATTGTTGGCACACATCTGCCTGTCATTAACAGTGCAGGTAAACATGAGTCTATGTGAATAATGTGTTAGTATAGAATTTTAATATGTATTGTCAGAAATTTGAACAGATTCCAACTGTGTGTTGCCTGAAGCTTATTCAAACTTTAGAACATAACGACTGCAAATTTTGTAGGCTTATGTTAGTAGTTTTCTAAAAATGTTGGTACTTTTCTAAAAATTAAAGAATAATACACATGCAGTTACATAAGTGTACAGGATCATAAGTGTACAGCTCAATGCATTTTTACGAGTTGGACATACTAACATAGGGAATGGAATTTGGAAAATGAGTTCTATTTTTCTGCCTCTGCTTCAGCCTGCAACACGTTATTTTGTATTTTGAACTTTGACATAAGATTTCTTTTGAAAACGGAGTTCTAGTACTAAACAACCTTTGAAAACAACTGGTCTCCAGCAACTCTTCAACTCTGAGTTTATTTTTCTGGAGGTGATGCATGAATTTAAAAAAGAAATTTTTTCATTTCAGCCAAGAATTATGAAGGAATGCCATATGGAAATATGAACTACTTTATGAGAAATGATATAAGTGCTAGGAAAATCTAAAATAATATTTATTCACGCTCATAGGAAAACCTAAAGAAAATAAGATATTGGGTAATCGTCCTTTCTCCCCTCAGAAGAGATCACCTTTAAGTATAGATTTAAAATTGATCAGCAGTGAGACCCTTTTGTCATATAAGTGTCTACCACTGTGATGGTGGCTTCTTGGCAGCTATCTTTCAAACCATATTTTATGGAAAAAAGAGCTAGTGTTAATTAGTAGTTTTTGATATGTTTTGACTCTATAAGGAAAGGACTCTCAAAACAGCTTATTGAACTCCTGTTTGGTAGGCATTGTGCTAGGCACTTGTATTAGCAAGGATTAGGCTTGACTGTGAGTGACAGAAAAAAAAAAATAAAGTTAGTTTAAATAAGATTCATCTATTTGGCTGGGCGCCATGGCTCACGCCTGTAATCCCAGCACTTTGGGAGGCCGAGGCGTGCGGATCATGAGGTCAAGAGATTGAGACCATCCTGGCCAACATGGTGAAACCCCGTCTCTACTAAAAATACAAAAAACTGGGCGTGGTGGTGCATGTGTGTAATATCAGCTACTGGGGAGGCTGAGATAGGAGAATCACTTGGACCCGGGAGGCGGAGGTTGCGCCATTGCGCTCCAACCTGGGCAAAGAGCGAAACGCTGTCTCAAAAAAAAAAAAAAAAAAAAAAGATTCATCTATTCATTGTTGAATCAGTCATTTACTGAATACCTCATCCATTCCAAGGCACCAAAGAGCTGTAAAAACAAAAGCCTCTGCTTTCTTGAAGTTTACATTTTAGGTGGCAGATATAGAACCAAGCCAATGAAAGAAGTCAATGTATGTCTTATGTCTGACTCTGGCATGCCAGGGCAGGGTTTTTTGCAGTTTTAGATTGAGTGGTCAGAAAAGGTCCTGTAGAGAAAGTGGTCTTTGAGAAAAACATAAAAGAGTCGTAGAGAGGCCATTTATGTTGGTATTTGAGAGAAGACTATTCCAGGCAAAGGGAAAAGCAAGTGTAAAGGCCTCAAGGTATGGAAGTGAGACTGGAGCAGAGGGAGAGAGGGGGAGCATAATAGGAGATAAGGTCAGAAAGGTAATAGATCCTGTAGGGCATTACTGTCCATTGTAAAGATTTGACTTGATCATGGTGGATAAGCTTTTTGATGTGCTACTGGATTCGGTTTGCCAGTATTTTATTGAGGAGTTTTGCATCAATGTTCATCAAGGATATTGGTCTAAAATTCTCTTTTTTGGTTGTGTCTCTGCCCGGCTTTGGTATCAGAATGATGCTGGCCTCATAAAATGAGTTAGGGAGGGTTCCCTCTTTTTCTATTGATTGGAATAGTTTCAGAAGGAATGGTACCAGTTCCTCCTTGTACCTCTGGTAGAATTCGGCTGTGAATCCATCTGGTCCTGGACTCTTTTTGGTTGGTAAACTATTGATTATTGCCCCAATTTCAGCTCCTGTTATTGGTCTATTCAGAGATTGAACTTCTTCCTGGTTTAGTCTTGGGAGAGTGTATGTGTCGAGGAATGTATCCATTTCTTCTAGATTTTCTAGTTTATTTGCGTAGAGGTGTTTGTAGTATTCTCTGATGGTAGTTTGTATTTCTGTGGGATCAGTGGTGATATCCCCTTTATCATGATCAAGTGGGCTTCATCCCTGGGATGCAAGGCTGGTTCAATATACGCAAATCAATAAATGTAATCCAGCATATAAACAGAGCCAAAGACAAAAACCACATGATTATCTCAATAGATGCAGAAAAAGCCTTTGACAAAATTCAACAACCCTTCATGCTAAAAACTCTCAATAAATTAGGTATTGATGGGACGTATTTCAAAATAATAAGAGCTGTCTATGACAGACCCACAGCCAATATCATACTGAATGGGCAAAAACTGGAAGCATTCCCTTTGAAAACTGGCACAAGACAGGGATGCCCTCTCTCACCGCTCCTATTCAACATAGTGTTGGAAGTTCTGGCCAGGCCAATCAGGCAGGAGAAGGAAATAAAGGGTATTCAATTAGGAAAAGAGGAAGTCAAATTGTCCCTGTTTGCAGACGACATGATTGTTTATCTAGAAAACCCCATCGTCTCAGCCCAAAATCTCCTTAAGCTGAGAAGCAACTTCAGCAAAGTCTCAGGATACAAAATCAATGTACAAAAATCAATAAGCATTCTTATACACCAACAACAGACAAACAGAGAGCCAAATCATGAGTGAACTCCCATTCACAATTGCTTCAAAGAGAATAAAATACCTAGGAATCCAACTTACAAGGGATGTGAAGGACCTCTTCAAGGAGAACTACAAACCACTGCTCAAGGAAATAAAAGAGGATACAAACAAATGGAAGAACATTCCATGCTCATGGGTAGGAAGACTCAATATCGTGAAAATGGCCATACTGCCCAAGGTAATTTACAGATTCAATGCCATCCCCATCAAGCTACCAATGACTTTCTTCACATAATTGGAAAAAACTACTTTAAAGTTCATATGGAACCAAAAAAGAGCCCGCATCGCCAAGTCAATCCTAAGCCAAAAGAACAAAGCTGGAGGCATCACACTACCTGACTTCAAACTATACTACAAGGCTACAGTAACCAAAACAGCATGGTACTGGTACCAAAACAGAGATATAGATCAATGGAACAGAACAGAGCCCTCAGAAATAACGCCGCATACCTACAACTATCTGATCTTTGACAAACCTGAGAAAAACAAGCAATGGGGAAAGGATTCCCTATTTAATAAATGGTGCTGGGAAAACTGGCTAGCCATATGGAGAAAGCTGAAACTGGATCCCTTCCTTACACCTTATACAAAAATCAATTCAAGATGGATTAAAGATTTAAACGTTAGACCTAAAACCATAAAAACCCTAGAAGAAAACCTAGGCATTACCATTCAGGACATAGGCATGGGCAAGGACTTCATGTCCAAAACACCAAAAGCAATGGCAACAAAAGCCAAAATTGACAAATGGGATCTAATTAAACTAAAGAGCTTCTGCACAGCAAAAGAAACTACCATCAGAGTGAACAGGCAACCTACAAAATGGGAGAAAATTTTCGCAACCTACTCATCTGACAAAGGGCTAATATCCAGAATCTACAATGAACTCAAACAAATTTACAAGAAAAAAACAAACAACCCCATCAAAAAGTGGGCGAAGGACATGAACAGACACTTCTCAAAAGAAGACATTTATGCAGCCAAAAAACACATGAAAAAATGCTCATCATCACTGGCCATCAGAGAAATGCAAATCAAAACCACTATGAGATATCATCTCACACCAGTTAGAATGGCAATCATTAAAAAGTCAGGAAACAACAGGTGCTGGAGAGGATGTGGAGAAATAGGAACACTTTTACACTGTTGGTGGGACTGTAAACTAGTTCAACCATTGTGGAAGTCAGTGTGGCGATTCCTCAGGGATCTAGAACTAGAAATACCATTTGACCCAGCCATCCCATTACTGGGTATATACCCAAAGGACTATAAATCATGCTGCTATAAAGACACATGCACACGTATGTTTATTGCGGCATTATTCACAATAGCAAAGACTTGGAACCAACCCAAATGTCCAACAATGATAGACTGGATTAAGAAAATGTGGCACATATACACCATGGAATACTATGCAGCCATAAAAAATGATGAGTTCATATCCTTTGTAGGGACATGGATGAAATTGGAAATCATCATTCTCAGTAAACTATCGCAAGAACAAAAAACCAAACACCGCATATTCTCACTCATAGGTGGGAATTGAACAATGAGATCACATGGACACATGAAGGGGAATATCACACTCTGGGGACTGTGGTGGGGTGGGGGGAGCGGGGAGGGATAGCACTGGGAGATATACCTAAGGCTAGATGACGAGTTAGTGGGTGCAGCGCACCAGCATGGCACATGTATGCATATGTAACTAACCTGCACAATGTGCACATGTACCCTAAAACTTAAAGTATAATAATTAAAAAAAAAAAAAAAAAGATTTGACTTTACTCTGAGATGAGGAGCCACTCAAAAGCCACGGAAGGTTTTGAGCAAAAGAGTGACATCTGACTTAAATTTTCAAAGGATTGCTTTGGCTGCTCTGTTGAGGAAAAAGTGTAGATGAATAATGGTAGAATGAGTAAAACCACTCTGATGCTGTTAAAATAATCTAGAGGAGGAATAATGTTGGCTTGGATCGGGAAGAGTAGTGAGGGTGGTAAGAAGTATTTGGAAAACGAATGCATTTTGAGGTTAGAACCAGCAAGATGCGCTCTATGGTTAGATGTGTGCGGCATGAAAGAGAAAAGAGTTATAAAAACTAATGATTTACTGCGATGTAGGGGCAAGTCAAGGAGGAAGATAAATTCTAATTGGAAAAGTGAGTTTAAGGTGCCAGCTAAATATTAAGGAAACATGTCCAAATAGGCCATTGGAGTTCAGGGGAAGGATCTAGGCTTGAGAAAAAATTTGGACTTTTTTGAAGTCCAGCTAATACACAATCTTGGAATTGTGAGGCTGACCTGGTCTCCAATAGCAGCAAGTGAAAACTAGTCTTACTTGAAAGTCAGTCAGTCTGTGCTTAACATTTCCCCTGTGACAAAGTAAAAAGCAGTAAAATTGCCCTCCCATGTACATGTACACAGAACCATTATACTAAGGGAACATTTTGAATATTGTTATTAAACATTTCTGTTATGCACCTCTTATGTAATATTTATACCATGGTTTTGAACATCTTATCTAAGGGAATTCTGAAATCTTATAGGTAAACATGATTTCCTTTGAGATGGGCTTCTCCCACTAATACACTTTCTCTTCTAAAAGGCTGCCGCCTTTAATACCCTCTTTGTACTTGTAAAGGACAGGGCTGGCTCTTTCTTTCAGGGGATGAAATAGCTCAACAGAATTGACTGGGGGCCTTTAATTGGTTGTATTCATTTCCTCTACTTGCCTTCTCCCTTTCTTCTTTCCATGTTCCATAGCAGATGAAGGCATTTCTCTTGCAGTATTATGTAAAAACAACAAAAATTAAACCATCATTGCATACAGTATAGTAAATTAATTAAGGAATGCAAATTCCATTTGTTATTACCTGGGGTTCCATCAAGAATCAGAACAATGGGAAGAAAGAAGATCTGAGTCAGGTAAGTCAAGGAAGGTACAACTACTTGATGAGGATGACTGGCTGTTCACTTAGCATTGCTCCTTTGTCTTTCTTTTTTTTGAGACAAGATCTCCCTCTGTCGCCCAGGTTGGAGTGCAGTGATGCAATCATTGCTTACTGTAACTTCAAATTCCTGGGCTCAAGCTATCTTCCTGCCTCAGCCTCCTGGGTAACTAGGAGTATAGGCAGGCACCACTACCCCTGGCTAATCTTTTTAAAAAAATTTATAGAGATGGGGTTTCACTGTGTTGCCCAGTCTGGTCTCAAACCCCTGGCCTCAAGTGATCCTCTCACCTCAGCCTCCCAAAGTGCTGAGATTACAGGAGTGAACCACTGCACCCGGCAGCACAGTTTCTTTCAATTTATCTTTGCCTGTTACGAACTAAGCTACAATTTATTTTTACTTTGATTTTTTTTCAGTATTGTTTTAGTTTTGTATCTTTTTGTCATGTAATGGATTTTATAATGGTATTCTAGAATTTAGGTTTTGTTGTAGACCTACTTAATAGTCAAGATTTTTTTTTATACTACTGAGGTTTGTTTTGGACCACCTTGTCCATACAATTTTATTATTTTAACTTGCATTTATAAAATGTTGCTATAGCTTTATAAAATGCTTTTATTATTACAGTTGTCTAGGAAGAAATATATTGCTTGGAGCCTGAAACTAAATAATTTTGCACATGAAACAATTGATTCTATGAGTGTAGGAAGGTTTGATTTAGTTTGCATGTTTAAATTGTCTATGGTAATAAGTTGTTCTTTAAGCTTTCCTTAAAGAAATCAATTTCCCTGGATTGTATCATGATGTGTAAGAGTGAGTGTGGCATTTTTTAGTAAGCTTATTATGAAATAATGACCAACACCTCCAGGAGATATTCATAGAGGATTTTTTTTTTTAATTACAAAGATTATGTAACCTCTCCTTTCTTACTTGAAATCTTAATCTAGTAAATCATAGAGGCCATGGTGTTATAAAAAGCATGTATTCATGACTGCTTTAAACTTAAATATTTATAGTTTCGATTTTAACTTTTACTCTAAAGCTTCTTTAACACCTCTGGTGTATAATTATCATAATAATAAGACACTTGGAGGAAAGCCTGTGTCTTTGATTTTAATGTCTGGGATATTTAATCTGTTATATTTTCCTGTTTCATTTTTAACGCTCTTATCTGGCGAGGTTAAAGTTAAATCCAAAACCCATTCCTTCAGCAAACATTTGGGTATCTGCAATATGTTTTGTAACGAAAATACAAAGATGAATGGTGTCTTATCTTAAGGAATTCCCAGCCATTTGGGAGAGGAAGACAGATAAAAAGATAAATGTAAATAGAGAGTAGTAATTGCAAAGATAGAGATAATTACTAGTTGTGATTGGGAGAAAGGGCACTTTACCTGTGTACTTGCTGTAGTTTTTGATTCCTTGTAAATTATGAATGGTTATGACCCAGGGGTGAAGTGCACAAGGCAGATAGACACACATTATTTCCAGGATCAGGTACAGATTAGATGAAGAGGGATATGGGCAGGGGAACTATAAGCAGTATGTATTTTGGAGATGAATATTTGGCAGGATATGAAGTAGAGCACCCCAGGTTGTAGGTGGGGCTTTGTTTAGGAACTCAGATGTTATGTAACCAGTTTACTGACATGCATTGAACAGGAAAGGGGCAGCTTTACTGATTGTCTGGAAACCCCTATGCACAGTGTGAAAATGACGCTGGAGAAAAACTGTAGGAGACCAGAGATCAGAGAAGACAAAAGGGTTCCCTATGACTTTAAAAGTGTTAAGTCAGCCAGGCGCGGTGGCTCACACCTGTAATTCCAACACTTTGGGAGTCCAAGGCAGGCAGATCATGAGGTCAGGAGTTCAAGACCAGCCTGACTAACATGGTGAAACCCCGTCTCTACTAAAAATACAAAAATAAGCCAGGTGGTGGTTTATGCCTATAATCCTAGCTACTCAGGAGACTGAGGCAGGAGAATTGCTTGAACCCAGGAGGCGGAGTTTGCAGTGAGCCGAGATCACACCAGTGCACTCCAGCCTGGGCAACAGAGTGAGACTCCATCTCAAAAAGAAAAAAAAGGAAAAAGGAAAAAAATGGTGTCTCAAAAAAAAAGAGAAAGAAAAAAAGGTGTTAAGTCAGGAAGGAATTAAGTACTATTTGTCAAGTAAAATGCCTGAGTGTCATGATTGTTTGAATCTGAGAATTGCAAGAGAGGAAAGGGTCAAGACCAGCAGGTTTCTAGCACAAGAAATGGGATTTATGGTCCTTTTGCCTTCTGTGGTATGGAGATTACACATAGGGAGCAGGTTGGAGATAGAGACACATGATGTCTGAAGTGACTGAGAGATGTCATCTGGTGGAATGTTAACTGAGGAAAATGCAAAAGTCAAAATTGTCTAGCTAGCTCTGTTTGATGATGGCTCTGTTTTGTTAGTTTTCTTCCAAAGAATGAACAGGAATACAAAAAATATGATTAATTTCTTGGTGAGAAGATTGAAAGATAAAATTCACACATAGGTCACATACAGAGACACCAGTAAATTAAAAATTCTTTAAGAGTGTACAATTTAATACTCCCTGATATAGTTTTTGTTTTGTTTTGTTTTTTCCTTTTTTTTTTTTTTGGGATGGAGTCTCGCTCCGTCACCCAGGCTGGAGTGCAGTGGCGCGATCTCAGCTCACTGCAAGCTTTGCCTCCCGGGTTCATGCCATTCTCCTGCCTCAACCTCCTGAGTAGGTGGGACTACAGGCGCTCGCCACCACGCCTGGCTAATTTTTTATATTTTTAGTAGAGACGGGGTTTCCCCGTGTTAGCTAGGATGGTCTCGATGTCCTGACCTCGTGATCTGGATATAGTTAAGATTTTTAAGACATAAAATATAGTTCCTGACCTCAAAGAACCTGATACATGTGAAAAATGTGGCTAAAATTATGTTTGAAGATACATACAAGAATTGTCTATAGAAATAGAATAATTGCTGAAAAAATAAAAACACCAAGGGAATTCTTTTTTTTTTTTTTTAAGTTCTGGGATATATGTGTAGGATGTGCAGGTTTGTTACATAGGTAAACGTATGCCATGGTGGTTTGCTGCATCTATAAACCCATTACCTAGGTATTAAGCCTGCCATGCATTAGCTATTTTTCCTGATTCTCTCCCTCCTCCTGCCCGCCACTCATACAGGCTCCACTGTGTGTTGTTCCCCTCCCTGTGTCCATGTGTTCCCATTATTCAGATCCGACTTATAAATACAGCAAGGGAATTCTTAAAATGCTCTTTAGTTTTACCCATCAGATGGCATACATTTTCTTAGCCCAGAATTCTCACGCTGCTTTCTTTCTTCCAAGTGTGTGTTGGTCCTTATTTAAAAACCAAGTGAGAGGTTGGTCAATTACATTTAAATCTGCTTAACCATAATGTGCAAATAATGTGCAAATAATCAGAGACTTCTGGTGAAGCACAAGAAATGGCTTAGTGAGATTTGCATCTGTAGAGTAGCCTCAAGAACCATTTTATTTTTTTGAAGATAGCTTGCTTACTCTTTATGAAATGTCTGTGAGGTAAAAATACGCGGTGAGATCCTTCTCATTTCACTAATGTGGAAATCAAGCCCAGGAGAAATTGCTTCCAATCATAAAGAGCATAGTTCCTGACCCACTGACAACCACAGAATTGGAAAAGTCACAGGCCTTTTATCCAGTGGACTAAGTCCCTCTCCCACCTAGCTGAGAAGCACTCACTCATTGGGGTAGCTCTATCTTCAGTTACCAGTAGCTGGCTTCCTCTGAGGGCAGCCTAGACTTTAGGCACCTCTGAGAATGAGCCAAAAATGTGCTTCTCTTACACCTCCCTACTGGAATTCTGCCCTCTGACCAGACATGTACTTCTATATCCATACGGTACAATGAAAAGTAAATATTTGGTCTTTGCCCCCTGGTTCCTGACACGAAGCTCCTAGAAGTTTTGGAATTTCCTGAGTGACACATATTTTGTATGTTAATGTAGTGACTAAAGACAGGTAGGGGTATAGCTTCAGGATGAAGACTGGTTTCTAGAAGTAGTAAACATACGATTAAAGGGTTAGAACTGTGGGCTTATACCCAATGTATGGGTGCGAGAGGGGCTGAAGATTGAGCTCAATCACAAATGCCAGTGATTTAATCAATAGTGCCTTTGTAATGAGGCTTCAATAAAGACTGAAAGAGGTTGGGGGAGCTTCTGGGTTGGTAACACATGGATGTGCTTGGAGGGTGGAAGTGCTGGAAGGGCAGTGAAACTGTGCACCACCCCCGTCCCACCATTCCTTGTCCTGTACCTCTCTTCCGTTTGGTTGTTCATGGGTTGTGTCCTTCATAATAAAGCTACAATCATAAGTATAGTGCTTTCCTGATTTCTGTGAGTCATTCTAGTGAATTGTGGAACTTCAGGGAAGGGAGTTTTGGGAATCCCCAGATTTATAGCGAGTCAGTCTAGAGTGGTCCTCTAGACTGGCAACTGGCATCTGAAATGAGGGTAGTTTTGTGGGAGTGAGCCCTTCTACCTGTACAGCCTGACACTAAATCTGGGTAGTTAGTATCGGAATTGAAGGATTTTCTCCTTAACTTATGGAGTCTGCACTAACTCCAATTGTAGGACACCCAGTTGGTATTGGAGAATTAGACAATTGATTGGTGTTGGAACAATGTATTTGGTGTCAGAGAAAAAATCAAACAATCTATGTTCCCTCCCAACATTTGCCCTGTGCTTTTTCTCATATGGGAGTCCCTCAGACCTATTGGTCTGTTCTCTAGATCTTTTGCTAATTTGACATGTGTGCATAATAAAATTGGTTGAGCAGACTAAGTATTTTAAGTATGTGGTTTTGTTCAAGGTGAGATACCACTTTAATATATATAGTACTTAAAAATAAATACATATATAAAAAGTTATATATATATAACTGCACACTCACCCGTCCATCCAGAATGCTTAGGCATATATTCCCTGGGTTTAGGCAGGGAATATGGATTGCTTGTGATTGCAATGGGCAAGAATGTACAAGAAACCCCTTATTATGTGAAAATTATATCTGTTTATTTAAATGTTACTGACAGGGGTTATGAAAACAAAATGGTAATTTCTATAATAATTTATATATAACACAGTGGTTAAAAATAAGGTCTGGAATGAAACTGCTTGAATTCAAATTCTAGCTTCACCAATTTTTAATTTGACCTTTTTACTTACCTACTGAGCTCCAGTTTCCTCATCTGTAAAATAGGAATAATAATAATGCCTACTTCATGATGTTCTGGTGAGGATTGCATGAGTTAATTAATAGAAAACACTTAAGACGGTACCTGACATACATAAACACTTACCACATTTTAGATGTTGTTATTACCATTACTATTATTTTTATTGTCACTGCTACTAATATAACAATTACTGCTACCATTATACTACTAATACACTACTTTTTTGAACCTAATTTATAGCACAAAGTAGATGTATGGCTTATAAACATTTCTGAGCATGTATTTACTTAATAAAAGAGACAGGGTCTTGCTCTGTCACTCAGGCTGTGGTGCATTGGTGCCATGACTGGTCACTGTAGCTTCAAACTTCTGGGATCAAGCAATTTTCCCACCTCAGCCTCCATATTAGCTGGGACTACAGGCACATGCCACCATGGCTGGCTAATTTTTTTTTTTTAATTTTTGGAGGCACAGAGTCTTGTTGTTGTCCAGGCTGGTCTTGAACTCCTGGCTTCAAGTTGATCCTCCTACCTCAGCTCCTAAAGTGCTAGGATTACAGATGTGCATCACCATGCCCAGCTTGCTTTTGAACCTTTATTTAGTCAGAAGTTGCAGAGTTTTAGGAAGTATAAAAAGTGACTGAACCACCTGTAAGAGTTCTTGAAAAATGATAGAGGAAATGCTAATGAGACTTTAAGGGAGAGATCAAATAGACTAGGAGAGCAAAAGGAATCTCTTATGTAATGCAGATAGAGAACTTTGAAAGAAGCAAAGAAAAAAGTTGGAAACGGGAAGAGTAAATGAAACACCATTGGCCTAATCAAATAGAATCTTGGTTGTGGATAATTGACAAGCAGACATAAAAATGAAAGAGTATAACATAGGAAATATATGTTACCACTATGAGCAATGCACAGCAAGGTATTGGAATAATTTAAATAGTTAAAAAGGTAAGAATATGTGATTCTTAAATTTGAGACAATGACTCAGATAATAGTGTGTATTATTATAGCATTTAGTGTGTAAATTCAAAGTATCACAGAAAGGGAATACGTGAGAAGGAAAAAAAAAACCTACTGAGAAAATATGCATGAGTGTAAATCCAGACTAGCTTCATCATAGTGGGAGCAAACAGTTAAAGTACCATCACTCTTCAAGCACAAACAAGTATTATATGTGGTTCTCGGAAGAGTTCAATCATTGGACTCCTTAAACGTTGCATCTGAGAATTAGATTGCTAATTTTTTAAAATAAGAAAATACATTTAGGTTTTATTAAAAGCTGTTAATGTCAGAATACCAAATGTTATTTTCTGTACAACCAGGTTAAAAAAACAATAAAACACCATTTCATATTCTTACACATTATTTTTAATGTCTCCTTACTATTTTATTCTTTTGAACCAAGCTAAAATTAAAAAAAAAACAACTCAGTTTCATTTTGTTGGGCATTTAGATTGCTTCCAAGGATATTCCTATCCTTATAGATAAAACTTGAATTGCACCCATTCTTCAGGATTAATTCAAATCCTTCAGGATTAATTCAAATCCTAAGAATGGCAGATTACCTTGAATTACTGTATTCATTCTTTAAACATCATTTTATATAGTTCACATTGAACAAAAACAATAGATTTTTTTTTAACCTAGAATTCATTTGTACCTAAAGCAAATATTTTAAAAGTTGGTTTAGGTCACTCTATCTTCTTTTTGCACTATTAAATCTTTTTCCTGGTGTCATATAAAATTGACTATGAAAAGATTTTCAGAAATGATCCTTAATGTCTGTTCTGCTGGGTGGCTAGTATATTCTCATAGTGACACAGTGCCCTGGTTTACCATTTCTTCTTCATGTGTACCGTGAGAGCCACTTTAAGTCAAAGAAGGAAAAATATTATTAGATAATAAACACAAATTGTGTTCAGGATATCAGCAAAGAAAGCTTGACATTTGTCATTATAAGTAGCCTCTGATACCTTTTCTTTCCCATTGTAGATAAGCTTGGACAATAAAAAACACTTTTCCCCATCTTTCCCATCTACTCACTGTTCCCTGTCAAGAGATGATTTTGAAAAATGTTCAAATTATATTTAAATCAGTCCAATTTTAAAAAATGTTTTCTTTTTGTCTCTGAATAGACTGATGATTTTGTAGTATTTCCAATGGTCAAGAATTCTAATGAAACTTATTTCTGAAGTGTGGTTTATTTGTGTGTGTGAGCATTTCTTAAATTTTGTCTTACGTTTTAAAGACTGTCTTACTGAATTTCTTTTATAACTAGATTTTAAATTGAAAGGTTAAAAGTGAAATTTATTTTTATTTTATAATGAATTTTCTTACATTATTGTGAGTTGTTTTCATGAATGTTTTGTTTCTAGGGTGTCTTACCTTTTATATATTATAATTTTGTCCTTTCCGGGCATTTAATATACTCTCTTTTAGTCTCTGTAGAAACGCTGGAAAAGAATTTGAGGCAGATGGGAAGGCAGCTTCAACAGCTTGAGAAGGAATTGGAAACCTTTCCCCCTCCTGAGGACTTGCATGACAAGTTTGTGACAAAGATGTCCATATCCTTTTGATAGCTAAATAACTTAAGTCACTAGTCAACTAGAGATACAATTTATTTAATATTTTAGATGTCTTTGTGTAACCAGAGATCATTCTGTAGTGCCAAATTACAGAAAGTTTAACCTTTGCCTTCTTGCAGGGAAATTTATCAAAGTGTCTGTCAATCATGAATAATACACAAATGTCTGTCTGTCTGTCTGTTTGTTTATTTATTTATTTATTTATTTTTTGAAACCCAGGCTGGAGTGCGGTGGCATGATCTTGGCTCACTGCAACCTCTGCTTCCCAAGTTCAAGCAATTCTCCTGCCTCAGTCTCTCAAGTAGCTGGGCCTACAGGCACGCACCACCATGCCCAGCTAATTTTTTTGTATTTTTAGTAGAGACAGGGTTTCACCATATTCGCCAGACTGGTATCGACCTCCTGACCTCAAGTGATCTGCCAGCCTCAGCCTCCCAAAGTGCTGGGATTATAGGCGTGAGCCACCACGCCCACCCACAAATGTATGATCATTAATTTCTATTTTTTTCCTTTTTATCAGCTTAGATAATAGTATGTTCTCTCATCTTTTCCCTGTCATATACCTTATTTCCTTCTGATGTACATGATGAATTGAAAGGATATTAAAACTCAGGTTGAGGAAGTTTGACTCTAAACTCATGATGTGATTTAGATACCTTTGAAATGTCTGAGGAAGCAGATACAAGACTTCATAAACGTGTTTAACTAGTCAGCTTAACTTCAAGAATTGGCATATATTATAAATTAGTTTGTGCTCCATAAAATTTAATATTTCCTTTAGAAATACTAGATGGTTATAAAATCAAAATGGAGTTTATTATAGTCACTACTTGTATTGATATTTTCCTAACCCAAATAAATCGGTATGTATGTGTGTATATACATACACACACACACACACACACATATATAATTAATAGCATGAGGCTTGTGTCCTGTTTAAGGTTTCTTTTGTATTCAATTATCTTTATTATCACTAACTTTGTAGCTTAATCTCTAATGAGTAACTGAAGTAATAAACTTTTATTTCCTGAAAGTAATGTTGAGTTGCTTTGCAAACCATTTTATGAAATTACAGACTGATATCTTTTGTGTTGTAATAAAATATTACTACAATGCATTATTAAAATCCCATATGGACAAATGAATTCTGTATGAAAGATAACTCACTTCTAAAATGAGCTCTTATAAATAGACACTCCTAATATCTTAAACTGAGGTACTTGAAATAAAATGACTATTTTTCCTCTTTCTACCTCTTCTCTCCTGAGATTTAGTGAATCACAAAATTAATATTTGGCTTGTCATAGATTTTATTGTATATGCTTTCAGCTTAATTGTGAACTAGTTGAGTTTTAGCTTCCTTCACTGTCTCTGTCGGGAAATATCATAAAAATATACTCCAGCAACAATCAATTCAGGCTAACGTGTTTGTTTCCTTTTGTATCTTGCCACCCATCCAGTTTCTTATTTCATTAGGGAGGATGCCTTTATCACCCTACTGAGTAAGGCTTTTTTTTTTTTTTTCTTTTTAAGTAAAGGTGAAATCTGTATTCATCAAAAATTTTTTTGTACTACCTTCTCATATGACAAAGTGTGCTTTCTAAAATAAATATATTATTGCAGTTATATGTTTCATCATTCTTAGCTTTTTTCTTAATTTTATCATGTTAAAATATTCATATGTGACAGTTTGTTAATAACTAAGTACTGTTAATTGAACTACTTATTATTGTTCCCTATAGATATAAAGCAGTTCAGAAAAGATTTTGCTTGCATGTAGCTTCTGGTAGTACACTGTGAATGCACTAATTATGAAGCTCAGGTTTATAGAACCAAGATGAATTCCTGAGCTTGGAGTAAAGGTTGTAGAATCTTGCTTAGCACACGATCTCAGGACATATCTATACTTGGATTTATATGACACAAGAAACTGAATGATGTCGGCTTCTTGAAAGGTATGCGGCTCATAAAAAGCAACCAGCAGGAAATCAGAAACAGGAAGGATGATGCTTTGTTGGAAACAATTTTTCATTCTGAGTACAATTATACTCCATGGACAAGAAAGCTACTACATCCTGTCATTAAATATCACAACCTAGAAGCCTCTAATGAACTGATTAGCATTCATGTATCTCTTGGAAGTCAGATATATGAACAGTTGGTGCACTTTGCTATTGACAAAGCTTATAATCATAAATATTCTTTGCTGAGATTAGATTGCACTCGTTTGCTTTTCATCTTAGTTAGACATACTAGTTTCGAAGTAATTAAATTCATTCATTGCGAGTCTTTGTTTACATTAATTAGGACTGACATGTCAGATTTTGCATATTAAATGCATTTATACAGATCTTATTAAAATGGCAAATTGTGAGCTTCTTAGATGTTAAAAAATTGAAGAATTTGGAAGCTAAAATGCACAATGAATAAAATATACTTAAAGTTTGTTATTAACCACTTAAACTTTGTTCATGTTTTTCATTGAAATGCTTATTCATCGAGGTACATATCAAATGTTTGGTTCATTCACCAATTCTGGAAGAATATGTGTATTTTTAAATTTGTTAACAATGTATCTTACAAGTACGTACTTAAATAATTATAATTTAGTGAACTGTTAAATCAATTAATTGAATTGTTTTAAATTATTAAGATACAATTTTATTGTAATGTGAAATTTTACTAATAGCACTCGATGATAGTATGTTGTATTTTTATTCTTTCTGTGTATGCTTACTCTTTACATATACTGCTTAATATTAAAAAATTGAATTTAGTGCATCCTTTAAAAAGGATGCACTATTATTTCAAATATCATTGACATTTTAGTAATAATTATTACCTCCCACTTGCTAAGTCTAGTCAGAGCCTTAATTAGAATTGAATATTTCCACAGTAACTACTTGCTTGAAAAATGTGAAACCAAATTCAATGTATATCAGTATTGTTACATGCAAGCTATTATATGTGAGGTGTACGTACTTACTAAATTTTTATCGGTGAGAAAATTAAGAATATGCCAGGATTTGTGTCATGTAGTGCTTGTTCCTTTCTCATGATCTTTAAATTCTGTGATATGTCTTATTTTAAGGAGAAGAACAAATAGAATTTGGAGCATTGCACTTGAAATTCTTCTTGCCTGAGCACTTGCCTTTCTATTTTCTTCCTACTCCCTCTCCTGAGTCTTTCAGAAAAACTTATTTTGCTAGACATTTATATATTTCTGTATTTATTACAACTTATGTGACAAGTTACTTGACTCCTTTCCATGTTATATTCTTTAAATTTGTTCATTGAAATCCCACTTTATTTTCACACTTTTTTTGTGTGTTATTCTATATAGCAATGCTTTAGAAACTTCTGAAATCACTGGGTAGATGCTAAAGCCAGCCCAGTAAATTCATTGAGAGAAAGATTTACTTATATCTATATTCTACACTGCATAATGTACAGCATTTTTCAGATAAAGGAATTTAGTATGTTGAACTTTGAACTGTGGCGACTAGGAAGTAAAATAGAAGATTGGAATGGATGAAATGTAAACTTGTATAATACACGGCCCAGTTGTAAGAGTGGGAAGTGGGGCAATTGGGTGATTTATTGTAGCAGATTTTTCTTCTCTTGAATTAGTCTTCTCACTTTCTTCTCCTTTTCTTCTTCTGTTCTTTCTTTCTTGCCTGTGTTCCACTTAATTCCTTCTTAGCAGACTTTTAAAACTAGCATTAAATGTGCTGTTCTTAATTCTCTCTGAGTCCCCAAATTTATAATAATCTTTTCATTTTCTGAAGTCTTATACCTACAAGGGAGTACTACCCAATGGACAGCTCACTGCTCTTTAACAGTCAAGCCTCTGTTGTTTTAGTCAATCTCACTTTCTTAGCCAAGATTTTAACTACCTAACCTCTGTCACTCTACGTAATATCATATTTTTTTTCTACATCATACTTATTACTATGTTAAAAATCTGATTCATTTGTTTATTATCTGTCTCCATACTCTAAAATGTTTCTTGACAGCAAGGACTTTGCCTGACTTGTTAGCTACTGTTTTTCCTAGTGCCTAGAATACAGTGGAACTCAGATAATACTTACTGAATGGCTTGCTGGATCCTGTGTACTTAAGAAAGTCTATGAAATATATTAGACACATAGGACTGAATGATGCTGATCCTTATAAAGTATGTTAATGGAAGTTATGGGCATCCTCAGTGACAGAACTGTAATAAAGGCAGTATGACCTAAAAATAAATGTGGGATATATTTGTGGTAGGTGGTTTGGTAATGAGCAATACTGGCATACCAGGAGTAGAATTCCAAGTCATAGCTGGCCAACACTTAACACTTGTGGTTCAATGCATGTAAACACAGATCTGGTTGTTATCTACCTCTCAAATGGGAAGATGACAGTGATTCTAGTAGAAATTCATGAGAATTTGGCCTCAGTGTTGGTAAAGGAAAACAAAATAGATTTCCCAAAACATCAAGTAATTGGGCTTATATCAATATTTTTATAATGAATTTTATGAAATGTTTATTTTGTTGAGTATCTCACGTATTTTTCCAAAGCTCTTGACGAATACAGAAGTTGGAGTTTAACAGTTTGCACAAGGACAGCTAACTACATTTGCATTTTCTTTTAGATGAAGATGATGATGAAGAATTAGAATTCTTTCATATGCTAGCCTACATTTACTCCCTACCTGGCAGTAGTGCTGTCTCTTTTTTCCTTGGTCTTTCATTATTTTTCTCAAAGAAAAGGACCTGCATCAGTTTCCTTATTTCATCCTCTACTGATGTAAGTTCTGGCCAGAAGAACCATATCTTTTTGAAATTGTGGGCCAAAAAAATTTTAGATATAAAAATTCCATTTTTAGCTTCTTTCTCTTGGCCTGCCTGAATACTGTTTTTTATTTGTTTTAAATTTTGCTAATGGCTAGTCAAAGTTAGTAAAAGGACTTCTGCAAATTTAACTATGTTCCATTTCGTTAAATGTTAATTTAAAGGAGCCATAGGCAATTATGAGTGATGCTCTAAAAGAATCATTTTTTCTGGATATGGTATAGTGATGTTATATCTGACTGCATTAGCAATTTGCCACACAAGAAAAAAAATTTCATTGTTTATTTAGAAAATGTTTTCTAATGTCAGTGGCTGTCACATTCACATTAAATTCATCTTCTTAATTTCAGTGTGTTTTGAAATATATTGTCATGAGTGAGAGAAGAACGTTTCTATATGTGTGTGCCTGTGTGTGTAATCATAATTTTTAATAATCTAATGCATAAAGAAATTATATACCAGTTTTCTAAGAGAAGTTGGAACACTAATTTGGTTAGATAATGGGAGAAGTTTTCAGTTTAACTCTTAAAATTTTGTTTGCTTTTAGAACCTTAAAGTTTAAAATAAGTGAGGGATGATGATAACAAGTATTTTTGTGTGCTACTAAATGCCCACTTTTCTGAGAACTTTGCATGTGTTAGCTCATTTAGTCCTCTCAATAGCCCTGTGAGTTGGTGATATTATTGTTCCCATTTTACAGATGAGGAAATTGAAGCACAGAGACATGAAGGCACTTGCCCACAGGCACACTATTACCAAGTATAGGAGCTAGAAATTGATCCCAAGATGTCCAATTTAACTGTTGTGTTTAATGCTTGTACTGTTGATTTCAATATCATTGCAATTATTCAGCTGCAACTACTGAACTATAATTTTAAATCATATTGTATGATCTGCATATTATATTATTATAGTAAGTTGGAAGAAAGATTTTTTAAACTTGTTAAAGAGAAATATTAAATATATAAATCTTTTCTAATGATTTCCCAAAGTTAATTGGAAATTGAATTTAAGATTTTGTTGCTATGTAGTATAGACTGACTTTAAGAATGGTCAACTATTAGAAGTAATTTTAGAATTTTGGAAATATAGTAATGGTGGCTATTAGACTAAAACATTGGATTTACAGAGTTCCCCCTGCCCCCAAAGCATTACTTTGTAAATTTCAGAATACCTTAACTATAGTATACAGATTTGTTATCAGTGCAAAAGAACAATATGAGACACTTTCGAAGTTACACGAAAACATGGAAAAGTTATACCAGAGTATAATAGGATACTATGCCATTGATGTGAAGAAGGTGTCTGTGGAAGACTTTCTTACTGACCTGAATAACTTCAGAACCACATTCATGGTATGGTAAAAAAATTGTTTTTTAAAAAGTTTTTTTATTTATACTATCTTATCTATTATCTCATTACATCGTTCTACTCTTGTTGCTGTAGGAAAACCTATCTTTTCTGATTTTGAAAGCTATAAAATTTCAGATTTAAAAATCTATTGAAAAATGTATGGTTTGTTCTCCTTTTGGCCTTTCCAACATTAAGCTGTAATCAGACATTTTGATTGAAAAAGTGACAAATTCTGAAGTTCTTCATAAAGACTCCCTTGCTGGCTAATTACAGAGCACTTCTGTAATAAGTTTTTGGCTATGAATTTGTTTCTTTATACTTCAAGATCAGTTTATATTTTTGTGATATAATTTTACCAAATTCCTTGCAGCTTTTGTAAGGCTTTTTTTCCTTAATGCATTGTACAATAAGCTACACGCAATTTGCCTTTGAATAGGTTTTACATTCGTAGGGTTTCCTTTAGGATACTTTAATAGGGAGGTCAGGTCTTTGATGTGGAATCCTTTCATTTAGGCATTAAAAATATCTTTTCAAACATATTAGCTGATTAGGTGGGGGGAAGAAAAGAACTACACACATATTAAAGTGAGAAGGCATTGTTGCCTCCCTAGGGAAACTGGTGACATATTTCTACAATGAAAAATTGTTATTCTTAATAGATGGGTAAGTCATTTCTGTATTTTAGCAATTGTTTGTGGCGATTAAAAAGTTTTGAGGTGTGAAGAAAAAGAAGGTTGAATTTAAAGAACTGGTTCTTTTTAATCTCAGGAAAACTTTATTGCTGAGGTTGTTGGACTTGGTTATAATTATTTAGTTAGGATTAGATAGCCTTTTAATAAAAACACTATTTTTAAAGGAAAACTAATTTACAGGAAAAATACACATTTGGTCACAGTTCTAATTTATTTTCTCCACAAATTCAAAGCAATTCTGTAAATTATTTTTCATTGCCAGAAATGAATTTGGTTAATAAATATGATATACCTGTATGTGTCACATACTTTGCAATATATTATTTTAAATTTTGTAATGTTTTGTAAAGCAATATGGCTTAGTGGAAATAGTAAAGACTTTGCAGTCTGAGAGAGCTAGATTTGAATTTCATACGAGTTATGTGTCTGAAGACTTGTTTAACCTTGAGCCTCAGTTTCCACATTGGTTTTAAAAAAGTAATGTGAATTCCTTCCCCATAAAAATGTTTTCAGTATTAAATGAGATAATATATATTTAATGTTTATCATAGCTCCTGGCACATGGTAGTTGCTCAATAAATTATTATACAGTAAAGGGTTAATTCAGCAGGCTTGGGGTGCTCAAAACCTTCATATTCCAAAGAACACTGGCCCCTGACTGGCTACTAAGAGACCTAGAAATATCCTGCCTGATAAGGGCGTTTTATATACCTGGGGCCTTGGGCCAACCTATATAGATATGCTAATGATGTGATTTATGTTGAACACCTGTTTTGTCTACCTGGGGCCCTGGGCCACACTGTCTCCATTTGACCTCTTACTGAGCTGGAGATAGAATAGCTAAAATTAGTCTTCCAGGCAGTCTATGCTAAAGTGACTGACTCTCAATAAAATCTTTGACACCAAGACTCACAGAAGCTTCCCAGGTTTGCAATACTTTGTACATGTTGTCACATATTGTTTTGGGGATGATGAAGCATTGTCTGTTGGACTCCACTGAGAGAGGGCAATGGGAAACTTGGATCTGGTTTCTCCTGAAGACTGCCCTTTGCACATTTTTCCTTTTAATAGTGTTTGTAATAAACCATCACAGTGAATATAATGGCTTTTCTGAGTTCTATGAGCCCTTCCGGCAAATTATCAAACATGAGGGTGTCTTGGGGACCTCTGACACAATTATGCATCAAGTATAAAATGGATATATGAAGTAATAATATCCTTCTATTCTAAGTATTTTCTATAAGCCAGGCATTCTTCTAAATGCCTTACATATAGTATGTCAGACAAGCCACACAGTTCTTCTATGGCAGATAAAGAAGCTGAGGCACAGAGAAGGAACATATCCAGCTCAGTGTTATACTGCTATAAAATGGTCGAACTAGAATTTAAACCCATATAATCTTCTCTAAAGCCTTCTTTAAGGGCCCTAACTCTTAAACATTATGTCATGCTGCCTCTTGTATTCTACAGTTTGTGTTCCATTTCACAAATTAGAATACTGACGTTTGGAGGGTTTCCAAATGAGATCAATGCCATATTGTTTGTAAGTGATCCAGTTGGGATTTGAATCCAGATCCCAACTATGTAAAGTATACATATTTTAGATCAATTATTTACAAACCAAATTATTGTTCCAAAAAATGACCACTTTTTCTTTTTTTCTATTGGGAGAGGGGTTAGGTTTCAAGCTAGTCCTGTTGGACACAGCAGTAGCAGTTATGCATATAATAGAGGTAAATAGATCTAAAAGGATTAGAGGGTTTTGGCATTCTGTGGGTAACTTGGCATTTCATGTGGGCAAATAGTGGGCAGAGAGAGAAAGTGTTTGAATGGGAAAAGGGTTCCAAAAAGTGGGTAACAGAGTGACAGCTCTACTTTGTTTCAGAGTTCTCATGGGGTCCTAGAAGTCACTACCACCACACACACATTCATGTGTACACTGCACTAAATTAAAATTGTTAACATTAAATATTAAAATGTATTAAATCTAAAGAATAGTATATAGAAGAAATTTTATTTAGGAGAAAAATAAGCATGAAGGCTGGAAGGGAAGTGATTGTAACAAGGTTGTGAGATTTTATACAGGTACTTTATTCTCTTCTATTTTTCTTTCTTTTTGGGGGGTAAATATGGTTATATTGTTTAAATTTTAGACAAAATATATCGCTTTGAAGTCCAGAGTAGCAATATTGGCAAAAACTCCTGACAAATAAATGTCTCGTTTTGTCAGGGTCTTCTGATCTCTTAGGTTGCTCTTTAATTCCGTATTATTCAACTTTGAAAATCAGGTTAATGTGAATGAGTCACTACGGAAATCTTAGATATGTAGCTAAAGAAAGATGTAGAGTTTTATTTGTTGAAGATCTTGTTCTGGAAATCCCCATTAATAGACAAAAATTTTCTTCTTAAAAAGTACTGTTAAAATGTTTCCATTGTTTATTCATCCACTGGCATTTAGGTATACTTCTGGTCATGAATGAGCTTTTATCATAAAGTGAAGGCTAATTTTTGTATTACATATCAGGGGTTGGAACCACTGTCTTCACTCCATACCTACTCCCCCATTGGCAGTTTTCCATGCAATGTTTTCTCTCAAGTTCAGACCACTGTACTTACTGTTTCCTATGTTTGGAGCACTTTCTCCATACTCTGCCTGGCTAAATTATCATACTCATCCCTCTAATCTCTGTTCAGACATTTCTTCCTTTAGTAAGATCTGTGTCTGTCATATTTATCTTTCTGTCTCTAGTGCAATTCATGGCATATAATAGATAAATTTGTTGAGTAACAGATGATCAATGGGTGATTTAATAGCTAACATATATAGAGCTAACCATGCGTCTGGAGCTATATTTACCCATTTAATCCTTATAGTAGCAACTAAATGTGGTATGTGTACTGTTATTATTCCCATTTTTCAGATGAGGAAACAGGTATAGAGAGATCCTGACTTGCCTATCATTACATAGCTGCCAAGGAGCTAAGATTCTTTCCAGGCTGTCTGGCTCCACAGTCTATACCATATGTGGCTGACCTGCGTTAACATCTATTAAATGCATAACTGCTATTGCTGTGTCAAACGGGACTAGCTTGAAACCTAACCCCTCTCCCAATAGAAGAAAAGAAAAAGTGGCCATTTTTTTGGAACAATCGTTTGGTTTGTAAATAATTGATCTAAAATATGTATAGTTTAAGATTGTCTTGGGATTTAAACTTAAGTAGTTAAAGGCTGGGTTTAAAAGCTTTTTGCTATACCTTTGACTAACTCATACAGTCTCTCCTCAGTGTTTCTAGAATCTCACGACTAATATGTATAGATACAGCCCTTCGAGTTCATTTTTTTGTTTGCTCTATGAGAGCCTTGTTACAATAGCTAAAGAAGGAATATCTGTTCCAGACTGCTGCCTCAAGCCATGTAGAACAAGGGGGAAAAGTTTCAAAATCTTGTAGCTTCTCTGAGGAACAGCTGTTTATTTTGACAGCAGTTTAACTCACTTCTCTTCTACTTGAGAATTCTCAACTGGGAATTAATTTTTTTTTTAAACAATCGACTGTAGATAATGTGCTCATTGGGAATGGTTCTATTTTGAACTACTGATCAGTTTCCCAAGAAATAGGGAGTAAGTTTGCATTGTAATTTTCTTTAGCTTTATTTTTGTTACCATGATCAACAGAACAAAACCAAAACAACTGTCATGGTTTGAAGTTACTTCTTACTAGATCCAGTGCCCAGTGCTTTGCATGGAGTGTCCCACCTCGTCTTTCAGTGTTTTTTTTTTTTTTTTGAGGTCCAGAATGTGACAGGTGAGATAACTGCAGGGTAGAGAAGCTCCATGTCTTTGCAGAGAAGCTTCAGAGTTGGTAGGGCTAAGACTGAATGGAAGCCTGCCTGACTCCAAGGCCTGTTCTTTAACAGCTTCAGGTACATTGCTGCTCAGAGAGTTTGCAAGAAAAGCCAAGGTTGTAATTTTTAAGAGTGTTTTTGATAACTTACTAGAGAGAATCAGCACAGGGCATACTTTCTTTTCATACTCCTTGGGTATAATAATTGTCTATTTACATTGATGGGTTCATGATAGAAGAATGTTTTCAGATCTGCTTCTATTTCAAAACATGAAATGTGTTCTTTTAAAATTAGAGGACTATTAATGTAAAGCCTGGTTGCTGGGGTGAAGGATAAGGTGAAGGATAGAGGGTCAGCATCTTTTCGTAATAGATTTTTACTTACTGTAAGACTTGAGTGAAGACAAAAGTTCAGATTGGAGGTACTAGGTGGAAATATCTGACCTCATACTATATGCTGAGTAAATCGGTGGCGTATCGGGCATCAAGCTTTATACCAAGTGAAGTTCATACCTTTATTCATGTAGTGTTGTATAGCATTAATCATTGTTTTCTATTTGTGACTGGTTTTAGATTCACTGCATGCTATTAACCAATCTATTTGTTATTAGCAAATGATATCATGCTTCTACAGGATTAATTGAGCTCATGGAATTTTTGTTGGATCTTGTGAGCAACCTCATCCTCCTTAATCTATCCAACAGCTGTAGCGTGTTCATGTTTGTCCATTGAGTTTAAACCTAATTTTTCTGCCTTTCATTGGTCACTGTGGCTTTGAAGCATAATGTATGTACGGTTCCCACTTTCCATTCATATTAGAGGATTTTGATCTAATTGCTTTTTCTCACATAACCCAAACTACATGGTCTCTTCTTTAATGCTCTGTTATCCAGGTGATGCTTCTCCTAATTGGTACGGGTGGAAGCCTGTACTAATTAATCCATTAGCCCAACTTTGCTGAAAGTTCTTTTACTATTCTCTTTCCTTATCCAAAATTATTAGCAAAGTACAACACTCTTATCTCCTTAAGCAAATTTCATCTGACATCTTACTTGTTTTGCTTAACATTTCATCTTAAAGAAATTCTTCCTAATGCTTTCATCCTCTTCACACCCCTTTGTTGCAGAACTCCTTACGGGTAATCTATTTCAAAATAATTTTTCTACCAAATTATACTTATTAAAAATGTGTCATTTTTATCCTTCGCCCAGTTTTTGATGGGGTTGTTTGTTTTTTCCTTGTAAATTTGTTTGAGTTCATTGTAGATTCTGGATATTAGCCCTTTGTCAGATGAGTAGGTTGCGAAAATTTTCTCTCATTTTGTAGGTTGCCTGTTCACTCTGATGGTAGTTTCTTTTGCTGTGCAGAAGCTCTTTAGTTTAATTAGATCCCATTTGTCAATTTTGGCTTTTGTTGCCATTGCTTTTGGTGTTTTAGACATGAAGTCCTTGCCCATGCCTATGTCGTGAATGGTAATGCCTAGGTTTTCTTCTAGGGTTTTTATGGTTTTAGGTCTAACGTTTAAGTCTTTATTCCATCTTGAATTAATTTTTGTATAAGGTGTAAGGAAGGGATCCAGTTTCAGCTTTCTCCATATGGCTAGCCAGTTTTCCCAGCACCATTTATTAAATAGGGAATCCTTTCCCCATTGCTTGTTTTTGTCAGGTTTGTCAAAGATCAGATAGTTGTAGATATGCGGCGTTATTTCTGAGGGCTGTGTTCTGTTCCATTGATCTATATCTCTGTTTTGGTACCAGTACCATGCTGTTTTGGTTACTGTAGCCTTGTAGTGTAGTTTGAAGTCAGGTAGCGTGATGCCTCCAGCTTTGTTCTTTTGGCTTAGGATTGACTTGGCGATGCGGGCTCTTTTTTGGTTCCATATGAACTTTAAAGTAGTTTTTTCCAATTTTGTGAAGAAAGTCATTGGTAGCTTGATGGGGATGGCATTGAATCTATAAATTACCTTGGGCAGTATGGCCATTTTCACGATATTGATTCTTCCTACCCATGAGCATGGAATGTTCTTCCATTTGTTTGTATCCTCTTTTATTTCCTTGAGCAGTGGTTTGTAGTTCTCCTTGAAGAGGTCCTTCACATCCCTTGTAAGCTGGATTCCTAGGCATTTTATTCTCTTTGAAGCAATTGTGAATGGGAGTTCACTCATGATTTGGCTCTCTGTTTGTCTGTTATTGGTGTATAAGAATGCTTGTGATTTTTGTACATTGATTTTGTATCCTGAGACTTTGCTGAAGTTGCTTATCAGCTTAAGGAGATTTTGGGTTGAGACGATGGGGTTTTCTAGATATACAATCATGTCATCTGCAAACAGGGACAATTTGACTTCCTCTTTTCCTAATTGAATACCCTTTATTTCCTTCTCCTGCCTAATTGCCCTGGCCAGAACTTCCAACACTATGTTGAATAGGAGCGGTGAGAGAGGGCATCCCTGTCTTGTGCCAGTTTTCAAAGGGAATGCTTCCAGTTTATTCCCATTCAGTATGATATTGGCTGTGGGTTTGTCCTAGATAACTCTTATTATTTTGAGATATGTCCCATCAATACCTAATTTATTGAGAGTTTTTAGCATGAAGGTTGTTGAATTTTGTCAAAGGCCTTTTCTGCATCTATTGAGATAATCATGTGGTTTTTGTCTTTGGTTTTGTTTATATGCTGGATTACATTTATTGATTTGCATATATTGAACCAGCCTTGAAGGATATGAACAGACACTTCTGAAAAGAAGACATTTATGCAGCCAAAAGACACATGAAAAAATGCTCATCATCACTGGCCATCAGAGAAATGCAAATCAAAACCACAATGAGATACCATCTCACACCAGTTAGAATGGCAATTATTAAAAAGTCAGGAAACAAAAGGTGCTGGGGAGGATGTGGAGAAATAAGAACACTTTTACACTGTTGGTAGGACTGTAAACTAGTTCAACCATTGTGGAAGTCAGTGTGGCGATTCCTCAGGGATCTAGAACTAGAAATACCATTTGACCCAGCCATCCCATTACTGGGTATATACCCAAAGGACTATAAATCATGCTGCTGTAAAGACACATGCACCCATATGTTTATTGTACACTATTCACAATAGCAAAGACTTGGAACCAACCCAAATGTCCAACAATGATAGACTGGATTAAGAAAATGTGGCACATATACACCATGGAATACTATGCAGCCATAAAAAATGATGAGTTCATATCCTTTGTAGGGACATGGATGAAATTGGAAATCATATTCTCAGTAAACTATCGCAAGGACAAAAAACCAAACACCATATGTTCTCACTCGTAGGTGGGAATTGAACAATGAGAACACATGGACACAGGAAGGGGAGCATCACACTCTGGGGACTGTTGTGGGGTAGGGGGAGAGGGGAGGGATAGCATTAGGAGATATACCTAATGCTAAATGACGAGTTAATGGGTGCAGCACACCAGCATGGCACATGTATACATATGTAACTAACCTGCACATTGTGCACATGTACCCTAAAACTTAAAGTATAATAATAATAAATAAAATAAATGTGTCATTTTTCTGTTTTAGTTAGACATATGTAGCTGTTATGTGGACTCTCTGAGTTTGCAATATCACCTGTTCTCATATAGAATACATTTTTATTTCTGTGACTTATTTTTGAGCACACGAACATTTCCCGATGGGATTTTAAAGTACTGAAAAAGGCCACTACACTTCTTTCTTACTCATAGTTTCTAAGACCTTGAATATCTGGAAATCCCACTTTGAGGTTAAGATTTAGAGGGCAACAAAAAAATCCCTGCCTTAAAAAAGATTATTATTGCACACAAAAAGTGGAGAAGCATTATATTGGTGTTCTCTTTTTTGTAGATGGGTATAGACATATGTGCCAAACTTTGTAGTTATTATTTTCTAGTTCATAAAATCCAGTCTCTTTCTCCCGTAACTTAATTTCCTATATATATCTCCCATCTTAATTGCCTGTGATGACCCTCAAAGAGAGACATGATTAGTCCTGATTTCTTCAAATCTTAAGTGATTGATGAAACCTGCCTATGATAGGCCTCAGCCAATTCATTTGTTATTAATAGTGATGTTTTGCTGTTTGCCGTTCTAGTGGGAAGACAGCAGTAGTTGAGATGCAAGTTCTGGCATCAGAGCATCTTGGAGTTGAGTCCGGTCTCTGTAGATTATTAGTGATACGTGTATAGGCAAATTACTTAACCTTACTGAGCCTCAGTTTTCTGATAATAACAGCCTGCATCTCTTAGGGATGTTACTTTTTGAAAATCAAATTACATAACATACATATACCCTCAAAACAAGTTAGCCATGTACAAATAATAGAAGTACAGTAATTTTACATTTTCAATCTCATTATAATAGGATTGATACTGTATTTTATCCTTTTTTATTTTTATGCTCCCATATAGAATACTGTGAAATAAATAAATAGCTACCTGTTTCACATGTATAGCTCTGGCTTTAGAGTATTTCTACAATTTTGTTAAATTTATGTTTCATCTAGATAAAGATTTGTCATTTGTGCTGTTTGCCGACTTTAAGTCAATTTTTGGTTTATAAAATTGAAATCTATGTTGTGAACAAATATAAAATCAATTTTAACTCAGTTAATCTTGCTGCATCTGTTGATCAAATATAATTTATTATTCTACTGAATTCTCCGACTAAAGTAGTGAAGTGCCAAACAAAAATGAAATCATCCAGTCAGAGGGTATTTTTAGTGTAAAATTGTTTTTGATAGGGAGGACAGCCAGAACAAAACTCATTTTGCCAAATCATTTAGATTACACAAATTTGATCCTTGTCAACTCTAAATGCCATTTGTGCTGACTACTGTGTGGACCAACTAGATCATCAAAAGGAATGTCAAAACACTAAGCATTTCCTGTGTGCTCCTAAATCTTGTAGATTGACTCATTATATGTGTTAGAGGAAGGAAAATCATGTACAAGTCCTATGGTCGAGTGTTGAGCCAGCTTTTGCAATTTTAATAGGAAGCATCTTCTATCCTTGCTTAATTTGGTGGGCTTACAACTTGAAAATTGTATTTGGAGTCTTTTCACATAAGACTTATGTCTTCATTAGCACATTTGTTATTCTGAGATCAAACTTGGAGCTAAATGCCACAAACCTAGAACAAAATAAATATGCTAACTATAAGACTGTTTTTCTTATTATCCTTTAGTATTTGTTTATTTAAGGAATTAGATCAATTTCAGGTGCTGAATATTTTGAGTTTGCAACTTTGAAAAATAATTTAATTCTGATAGGTTCTCCTAGTCTTTACTCTTTAAGTTCTTCACAGTAAAAACAGACCTTTACTAATTGGCTTACTTTTCTTTCTTGGTAAGATTTATTCGTACTATGCATTGCTAAATGGGATAATAACTGGATTTGACTGCCAGGTTCTGTATGACTGCTAATAACTGCTAATTTTTATTTCTTTTCCACATTTTCAGTATTTTGTTTGTTCCCTGAAATAACGTAGCAAAAGGTAATGCCTAGATTATTCTAATACGGTAGTGAGAATAAAAATAGATTGATAATATAGGGAAAAGAAATCAACTTAATAACTAATACATAATAATAAGATATATTAACTCATGTAATTAAAAAGGTGACAACCTAGAATACCACAAAAAAAAATGAATAAAATGGTATGTTCTTTGTACATCAAATGCAGTGGCCTTTTCTAGATTATTCTCATACACCCTCACATAGAGACAAGAGGAAACAGAGAGATAGAAGGAGAGGATACATGTTAACTTAAGGCTATTTTTTATGTTACATTTTAAACATAATTAGGTTCATATGGCTAGGCCTGGTGGCTCAGGCCTGTAATCCCAGCACTTTGGGAGGCCGAGTGGGTGGATCACGAGGTCAGGAGATTGAGACCATCCTGCACAACATGGTGAAACCCTGCCTCTACTAAAATACAAAAAAAAATTAGCCAGGCATGTTGGTGCACACCTGTAGTCCCAGCTACTTGGGAGGCTGAGGCAGGGGAATCGCTTGAACCCAGGAGGCGGAGGTTGCAGTGAGCCGAGATCGCACCACTGCACTCTAGCCTGGTGACAGAGCGAGACTCCGTCTCACAAAAAAAAATAAATAAATAAATAAATAAATTAGGTTCATATGAGACTAGTGGGACTTTAGTTGGATGTTTCCCTTGAATATGTGTTTAGCAGCAACTCAAAAAACTGCTGCCTTATCAGCAAGCCTACCTTTAAGCACACTATGGCTGCCATCTTGTGCATAGCGACTTGTGCTTGTATTTAGCTTTGTAATTGGGAGATAAAAATAATATTTTTATTATATATCACTTCTGAACAAAAGGGAAGAGAACACACAATGGGAAATCAAATTATACTTTGGGAAAAACTTTATTACAAACATCTTATACTTTATCTATTAAAGAAATGTGAATAGGTTGAAGTATCTCATTTACTTGAAAATTTTACGAATTGTGGAAGAGATTGCAAAGAAACTCATAGCAAAGTTAAGAAGGGCCAGTAATGTTACATCCCTGATGGGTTAATAAGTAATTTGTTGTTTTACCTGAGACCGATTTTACAACAAATAGCAACTTAAGCTGAAATAGTTTAATAATCAGCACCTGCACATCCTTTGGGATATTCTAGTTTGTTCCTCAAAGGATAGTTTCCCATTTTCATAAGTTTCACGGTCATAAAAAGTTCAACTAATAGCAACGCATATTGAATGTTAAGATGATGAATTGTTTGTGCCAGAGCACAGTATATCATGTTCTCCTATTTTCATTGATAACAGTTTTTTAATTGGATTTGGTAATACTAGAAAAATTATTTTGATTAATTTTACTGTCATTCTAGATTTCTTTCTAAAACATCTGTCTTGTAATTATTACAATAAACTTACTTTCCACAAAGTAGCTATAATAAGTTTGTTTTTGGCACTTGGGGAAAATTTTTACATTTTTACATTTAGTTACCAAAGAAAATAATTTTAATGGAAAACTGAAAAGTAGATCACGTAATTTCTATATTCTGACAGACTTTGGTGACTAGTATTAATTTTTTAAATTTTTTTTCCTGTTCCACTACAGGAATATGTATGAGAATACAGAAATGTATTTTTAAGGATTTTTTCCAAATTAAAATGTTTTCCAATTATTCCTAAAGCTGAAGTCATCAGGAGTTTCTAGAAAGTAGTAATTAAGTATGGTGAAGCATTGCCTTTTATTAAGGTTAAACAACCCTAAGCAAGGTGTTTAGTGGGAATGTGTGAGACCTGCATGAGCTTGTTTACTCTGAGAAAATTAGTCTTGTTTTCATAGTACCTAACTGTCATTCCCCTGGAAAACATGGAGACTTAAGTTAGGTTTGTCTAATCTAATCTCATTTTAGGGACTTGAGACAAAGTTGAATACTTAGGAAAAAGTAAAGATTTTTGAGTTTAGTGAAACCTGTGTTAAAGAGATCCCTGACTTGTATTGCTTGAGTATCCATTAATGTTGAATGAAATAGAACTCTGAACAAGAAGACATTCATAAGCTTTTCAACTTTTTTTCAAATGATTAAATCTCCTAGTTTTCTATGTCGCAAAAATATACAGGATATTATAATATGTTGAAAAATGTTGAGTTGGGTGGGCGAATCTGTTTAAATGGGCTGAGACTGAAATAGAGATGAAGTACGATCAAAAAGTCAGAATCTATGGCAGCCTACTTTAATAGTTAAATAAATAGTATTAAATAGTATTTAATACTATTATAACATTAAATAGTATTTAATACTATTATAACACTAAATAGTATTTAATGCTATCATTTTTATATTTTGTTTTATTAAAATTTTATTTTATAACATAAAATAAGACTGATATACCTGTCAAGTAAAGGCCTATTTGGAATATAGGCTGTTTATAATGCTTTTTTTAGAAGGAGGGGAAAATGCACATTGATTTTTTAAATTGCACTTTTAGGGAAAAATATAAAACAAATGTTAATTGCATTATTGGGCAGTGTTTTAAGTTAATTTTTTAGGAATATCTAATTTCAAGTGAAAGTAGTACTTTCGTGGAGAAAACACAGGAAAGCTAACTCTTTTTTTCCAGAATGAAATCTCATAATGAACATTAGATTTAGAATATTAAAAACAATGTGCATATATATGTAAATTAAATCTTCAGAGGTATAATAGCTAGACTTGAGGTTGAGAACTACATCTTGCCTTCCATATTTAATTTACCACTATAGCTTTCCTGCCAAGTGATGCAGCTTGTATTGGATGCAACCATTTTACTCCTGATCAGCTCAGTGTACCATCGTATTCCAATATCTCTGAATAGAAAGCATTCATATTCTTATAGGAACTATGAAAATTGGCACTCCCCCATATGTTTGATGGAAGCATATATAATTGATATAAGCCAGCATATGTTTTTTTCTTGAATTGTTGCTGGATAAATGTGTTTGAGGCACTTCATTAATGGTACTGTAATAATAAAAAATTGTTGATGTTATTGTAAAGAAATAATAATACTTGTTAACATTTATATAGGGCTAAAATTTATGTGTGAGGCAATGATATAAGCTATTTACATGCATTATTTCATTTATTTCTTAAAATATCCTTGTATTGCAGGCACTATTTTGTCCATGTTACAGTAGAGGAAACTGAGGCATAGTCACACAGCTATTTAGTGCTAGGTGGTTATTTAAACCAAACAATATGATTTCAATTTCTACCCTCTTATTATACTGTCTTTATAATATGCAGCAATAAGCTCAGATTGATTTTTTTTTTTTTACAACTTCTAAAAGTGATGAAATGTCATACTTAATGTATTCTTGAAGGCATTCTTGATCTTCAGTTCCACAGTATTTTTTTGAGTGCTTGTTCAGGACTCATTTGATATGGCTGTCCAATTACCCTTTTTTTGTTTGTTTGTTTGCAACCTTTGGGTCATGAAACACACATGTATAAAGTATCCCCCGAAATACATACTGTATGAGAACTGCTACATTATATGAACGTTTTTTAGAAATAAGATATCTGTGTTGTTCAACCCTATAAAACAATATACTTTTGAGGACTTTGCTTATCACAATACGATTTACTAGGGACTCTTAAAAATCCATCCCACCAAAATACAACAAACTATTTTAAAAACGTGGCTGTCCTGTGAGAAAATTAGGGAAATCTCCAAGGCAAAAGTGGTTAAAGAGAAAGAATGAAGTTGAAACCTGAACAATAAGCACAGGTGAGCAAAGGGGAAAGTTAGGCCTGCCCTGGGAATGAAAACCAAGACTACAACTTGGTGAATACAATGAATAAAATGTTTACAATAAACCTGTGACAAAAGCAAATTAAAGTTATTCAGGTTAGAAATGATCCCTGGCTATTTACAGAAGCAAATTCAAATCTGTGCCAGAGGACAGTTACAATTTAGGTCCTCAAGATTCTCACAAATTAAGTTCAATTAAGTAAGAACACTCAATCCTAACCACCAAACACACAAAGAAACAAGGGATTGTTTGGTGAAATGATCAGAAAAAGTAATACATATAGGCCTCCAAGACCCCAGATATTTAGTAACAATATATGAAATATTTAAGGAAATAGAACATGAAATTTTTAAAAAGAGAAAAAGTAACAGGAGAATACTAAAAAGGAGCAGTTTTGAAAAAAGCAAATAGAATGTATGGAAATGGAAGTGTGGTGGTTGAAATTTAACATTCAATGGATTAAAGAGCAGGTTATGCTCACTTAAGGAAAGAAATGGTGAATTTGCACAATACATCTAAATAAATTGTCCAGAATGCAAACCAGGGGGACAGTATAATTAGAAGTGTAAAATACTTCTTAAGAAACATGGAGAACAGGATGACAAGGCCTACCACTTGTATAAAGTCCCAGAAGAATAGACTCAAAAAGAATGAAAGACAATATTCAAAATGGTGGCTTAGAATTTTCCAGATCAGCAATCCATAGAATAGGAAATACAACTTATACAAAGCCAGATAAATAAAATGAGACTCACTTCAAATAAATAATGAAGCTGCAGAACACTAAAGCCAAAAAAAAAATTGCAGCCAGAGAGAAAAGATATGACCCCCAAAGCAACAACAATTAGATACAGATTACTTATTGCAAAAATGGAAGGCTGAAGAGAGTGAGATCTTTAAGTGATGCACAAACATAAATGTTCTTCTAATTTGGGGTATCCAGCAAAAGATCTTTATAGAGCACAGGTGGAATTATCTACTATTTGTAGATAAACAGGAAACAAAAGTGTTTTTCATCAACATCCTTATGTTAAAAGATTTTTTTTCAGAGACTGGAAAACTTTTTCTTAAATAGCCAGATAGTAAATATTTCAGGTTTGCAGGCAATACAGTCTCTGTGGCAACTCTCGTGTAACAGTGCAAAAGCAGCCATATCCAATATGTAAATAAACGGCTGTGGCTATGTACCAGTAAAACTTTGTTTACAAAATACGTGGTCAATCTAAGGATTATAGTTCGATAGCCTCTGCTCTAAAGGTTGTATTTAAAGAAGCAACAAAAAACAGATTGAGAGACAGGAAGCCATAGGTACTATGAAAACAAATGTAAAGAAAGTACACAATAAAACAATGTTACATAAATTTATAAATTGAGTGAGAGAGATTTAGAATTTGGGTTTTCTTTATTTTAGTCAAGGGAGAAAGGGAGATACAGATATTAATTAACTTTAGGTCTTGTTAAGTTGCTAAAAATTTATTTGTGTAATAAAAATACAAGGATAACCAGTGAAAGGATAGAAATATCAAGTATAAATTCTAAACTGTAGTGAGAGAAATAGACTAAGAAGGATACACCAAAAAAAATCAGGAAAAATAAAGGCATAACTAAAGCTAGACAAATAGATGGAAACAAACATTTTATAAATCACAATAAATTTTTTAAAGGACTGTAATATCGTATAAAAAATAAAATCTGGTTTTATGCTGTTTATAAGAGACCTCCCTTTACCCTATGGATATAGAAATGTTTGAAGTAACAGGACAGTTAATGAAATACAAGGCAACTATTAATCAGAAGAAAGGGAAACTATGTTAATAGGTACAATTGACTCAAGACATTAATTACTTCATGACAACAAAAAGCTTAATTCACGTGAAAGATACAACAATTTAAAAATGGTATGTGCCTAATAACATAGCCCCAAAATGACATTGTAAAAATTAATAAACTATATCGATAAGTTGACAGATTTAGGATTATGTTAGGAAATGTCAACAAAGTTCTTTAACTTACTGATAAGCAGAAAAATATCATTAAAGACAAGCGTTAAACAATTAACAGACTTGATTTGATTAGTGTATATAGAATTCAAACTCGATAATTAAAGAATACACATTTTTTCATGCACAAGTTGAACTTTTATAAAATTGGTTACATACTAGAGACCATGAAATCTCAATACATTTTTCAGTGCCAGTTTTATTTATTTATTGACCACAATGACATGAAATTAGAAATAAAATTAAAAGGATGAAATTTTAAAACCTCTAGTTTGAAAATTCTAAAAACACATTTAAAAAGTCATATGTCAAAGATGAAATCATAGAAAACAGTTATACCTGAACAATATTGAAAATACCCCACATTAGACTTTGCTGGATGCAGTAAAAATGGTATAAATTTATACCATATGTGCTTAAGAGAATAAGTCAAATGTTCCTACATATATAAAAGATAAATATTTAAGGTTATGGATATTCCAATTACCGTGATTTGATCTTTACACATTATATAAAAGTATCAGATTATCATATGTACCCCCAAAATATGTACATGTATTATGTATCAATAAAATAACTTTTATCAGAAAGACTTAAAAACATCTGACTTCAGAAATTTAAAAAGGATTTATATGATCCTAGAGAAACCAGAAGGAGGGATATGAAAGATTAAATGAAAGAAAAAGTGACATAAAAGGCAAAAATGAGGTTATTCTGAAAAGACAAGTTAATTAGATATATTGCTAAAAAGATTAATCAAGAAAAAGAGAAGATAAATAATATTGAGGATATAAAAAGGAACATAACTAAAGATACAGAAAATAGTAAAAAGAGAGGAGCTTTCTGTAAAAATTTGTAGGATAGTATTGGAAAAGGTAAATGAAATGGATAAGTTCCTAGACAAAAATAACTTACTGAAATTACTTTAAAAGAAATAGAAAGCATGAATAGTTCTATAACTAATTTTGATTTTAATGACTTTTAATCTTTGAAATAAATACTTGGCCTAGAAGTTTTTCAGATACATTTTACCAAATTTTAATGAAATGATTATCTCAAACAAATGGAATACAAAAATGTATTTTATGACTAAATGTTCAAAAAGATAAATTCTTCCTGTCCAAATTGAGTTTATCCTAGAAGTGAAAGTATGGCTTAATATTAGAATATTCATAAATATAATTCACTATATTGAGTCTAATGGGAAAAAAAATTGTGAAATTTCTCTCAGTCAAGTCAGAAAATCCTATTCAGATTTCAAAACAAGAACCATGAACTAATTTAACCCTCCACCCTACTCCAAAGTAGGAAAGGAGTCAAAGGAAACCCTTTAACCTAATACTTAGAATCTAACTCCTAGTCAGTATAGCAAGATAAGACAAGTAGGAGTTGAAAATGTAAAGATTGAAAAGGGAGAAAATCAAGCTGACATTATAGCACTCTATGAATAGCAAAAACAAATCCTATAGGAAAACTATCAGAAATAATAAGAAAAATTATCAGTAGCATATATAAAAATTACATTTTTTAGGCTGGGTGTGGTGGCTCATCCCTGTAATCCCAGCGCATTGGGAGGCTACGGTGAGAGGATCACTTGAACCCAGGATTTCAAGACCAGCTTAGACAATATTATCAAGACCCCCATCTCTACAAAAAGTAAAAATTACATTTTTATATGTTACAAAACAATAGAAATCATTGTTTTTGAAGAAGGCACCATTTACAATAGCAAAAGAAATGTATAGAGAGTAAATCTAACAAAAATGTCCAAGACCTGAATGGAGAAAATGAGTTTTTTTCTAAAGCTTTTTTTAAAGATCCAAGTTAATAAAAAGCCACATGCTGTTCACAGAAGACTCAAAATTGTGAAGATATCAATTAAAAATGCTTATAGTCCTTTTCAATGAAACTTAACAAGTCTATTCTAAAATACAGATGGAAGAGCAAAGGCCCAAGGATACAGAAGGCATTCCTAAGTAAGAAAAATAAGATGTAAGCCTTAATAATTAAAATAGAGTATTATTCTTAGAGACATGGTTATATTGATCAAATGGACTAAAACAGCCATAAAATGAAGCAACACACATGTGCTAATTGAAATCCAAAAGAAGTGACTTTGCATATTATTGGAGAAAGGATGGGCAAAAGTGAATTGGATCTCCAACTCATACTGTTCAAAAATGTTGATTCCAACAATGAATGAATGGATTTTTAAAATGTGGTTCATATACACAATGGAATACTATTCAGACTTAAATGAAAAAATGGAAATTCTGTCATTTGCAACAACATAGATGAAACCAGAAGACATTATATTAAGTGAAATAAGCCATTCACTGAGAGACAAATACCATAATATGATCTCACTTACGTGTGGTATATAAAAAAGTCAGACTTATAGAAATGGAGAATAGAATGGTGGTTATCATTCCACTTGGAGGGTAAGGGGGTTGCACCAAACTCTGTCTGGCAAGTAACACTCAAAGAATTTCTTTAGGCAAAGTGTAGCTGAAAGTAGTTGGAGGCAGTGCGGTTTATTTGCCAGCTGACTAAATATAAAACAAGGTCAAGAAAAGATGATGGTTTTAAAAAATCAATGTCTTATAGCCAATTGTCTTTATATCTGGCTAACCCTTAACTTTTCTTTCTTAATTCAAATTTAGGATGGAAGTCACTAAGAGGCAGTCATATCCAGAAAAATGTTGTTCTCATTTAATTATTCAGTTTTTCTGTTTTAAGCTACTTTTACTTCTTAACATTTAGAATAAAAGAAAATCTCAAATTACTGTTTGAACTCGGATATTAGTCTCAGACTCACCTATTTCTGTGCTCTCTATTGGTATTTTTTCAGCTAAAATTCTTCTCCTAATAGTTACAATATGAGAATATGGTATGTTTTAAATGAAGTAGGCTTTTAAATGAAAATCAATAGTGCATTTTTCATGAAACAAAATAGGTTTAAGAACTCCTTTAGACCTTATTTCTAAATGTAAACATTGTTTTATAGGTCTTGGAAAAGTAATTTTCACTTTTTATTACCCATGGGAATGCTAAAAGGGTGTGGCAATTATATCTGATAGCAGATTGCCTATTATGTACTCACATTTAAATGTATTCAGTCATTAGAGTAGAAAATTCACATCAGAAAATGTTATACCTTAATTAGACTCATAAATAAGCTACATGATATATTATTTATTTATTGTAGGTTCATCTTGTTCATTTCTCTCAAGCAAGAAATAGAATTTTCATTCCTGAATATTTGCTTTTCCTTTCTCTATCACAACCTATCTTCTTACCCCATCTCCCTTATAGATACATACATGAGTATACATGCACACACACATACAGATATACTCACTTGTCTTTGAACCCATGATTATCTTCTCCTACCTTTCTTATGTTGAATTTTTTTTTTTTTTTTTTTGAGACAAAGTCTTGCTCTGTTGCCAGGCTGGAGTACAGTGGTGTGATCTCGGCTCACTGAAACCTCTGCCGCCTGCATCCCAGGTTCAAGTGATTCTCCTGTTTCAGCCTCTGAGTAGCTAGGACTACAGGTGTGTGCCACCACACCCAGCTAATTTTTGTATTTTTAGTAGAGACGGGGTTTCACCATGTTGGCCAGGATGGTCTCAATCTCCTGACCTCATGATCCACCCGCCTTGGCCTCCGAAAGTGCTGGGATTACAGGCATGAGCCACCGTGCCCAGCCTCTTATGTTGATTTTTATTACAACTTTTGTCTCATAGCTGCCTCTTAATATACATGACCATAATATGAAGCAATATGGTGGAAAACCACTGACTGTAGCTAGCTTTCAAATCTTGCAACTTACTGCCTCTTACTACTTTTATTACAGTAAACAAGTACTTAACCACTCTGGGCCAGATTAGAGAATGCAGAATCCAATTTGAGAATTAAAGGGATTGCACATTAAAGTATCTAGTATTGCAGCTGGTATTTTATAGCTTAGCAATAATAACTAGCGTTTATATATGTCAAGAACTGTGAAGAGTTTGAGAGTTTACCTACTAACAGGCTAACAAGTTAACTTGACACCATTTCATGGATGTGGGGTCAGAGACAAAGAATCCTTTGCTACTCACACAATAGCAATAGCCAGATTAAACTTTTTTTTTTTTTTAGGTTTCTGCGCCCGTACTCCCACAGGGCTATAGGAAAGGGACAGGTGACACTTATATACACAGTGGTTTGTGTCATCGGAGGGAAATCCTGAATTTAGGGAATGCAGTCTTTTATAATAGGTAGTAAGACTGTCCAGCCTTTGCTCCAGTTTATCATTCTGGGCAGTAACAAACCCCTTAGCTTAGGAGGGAGATACTACCTCTATCTTCTGTTCATTATGCAAATATCTTTGAAAAGATAGTTCGAAACAAAGGTGCTTGGTTGGTTCTTGTATCTCAGTGTACGTAGTTTTGCACTTGCTTGAAAATCTCTAGTCATTTTCCAGAACGCTTAAAAGAAAATCTAACCTCCCTGTCTTGGCCTAGAAGATCCTGAGGGATCAGGCCTCAGCATACCTCCCTGACCTCATCTTATACCTTTATACTGGCCTTCTGTCTCCTAAACCCAACAGCAACCTTTGCATTAGCACTTCCCTCTGCCTGATGTGTTCTAGATCATCACTTACCTAGCTCCTTGACATTTAAGATTCAGCTTGAATCAAGTCAGAGTGAGACCTTATCTAACTACCTAATGTAAAGTAACCCCTCAGGAATGCTATCACGGCACTCTTATTTTGTTGTTGTTATTTATTATTTATCTCTGCCTCCTGCCGCACCCTACCATATAGAATGTAAACTTGTTTTAGTGTGCTCTCTTATGCACTCTTCCTTCTCCCCTCTCCGCCTTCCTTTCCTCTCTCTCTTTTTTTTTCTCCCCTACTTTACAACAATACTATTTAGTAGTCCCAGAGTAAGTATTAATTGGATAGATGGAAGGATGGATGGATCGATGGATAGATGGATGGATGGATGGATGGATGGATGGATGGATGGATGGATGGATGGATGGATGCATGCATGCATGAGTTACTGTCCCCTCTACTCTGTGCTTTTTGTTTCTTTTTGTTGTTGGTCAAAAATATTAAACTTTATTATTTGATTTTTAATGAAGAACTTGTACTAACTCTAGGGTTAAAATAAAGAATACCACAGTAAAGATATAAAAGCCTTCTCCCGAAACAACATAAGCCACCTACTTGTTATAGTTTAATTACACACTTTTCTATTTAATACCAGTGGTGATAAACGTCCAATGTGTTAACCTGTTTGGTTTCATTGGTGTTTAATATAATGTTACTCTCTTTGTTGGCACTTAAAAATCCCATGTTTACCTGCTAATTCCCCTTAATGCCACATGAGAGGTATTTCTTGATGTGTATAACACTTAAGAAATAAGAAATTAAACAAATAATCACATATCTATTGAGATCTTCTTATGATTAGCATGTTATTATTAGTTTTGATCAAAGCCAGAGGACCTGGCTTTGAAATGACAAACATTTCTTTTTTTTTTTTTTTTTTTTTGAGACAGAGTCTTGCTCTGTCGCCCAGGCTGGAGTGCAGTGGTGCGATCTCGGCTCACTGCAAGCTCTGCCTCCTGGGTTCACACCATTCTCCTGCCTCAGCCTCCCTAGTAGCTGGGATTACAGGCACCCGCCACCACACCCAGCTAATTTTTGTATTTTTAGTAGAGACAGAGTTGCACCACGTTAGCCAGGATGGTCTCGATCTACTGACCTTATGATCCGCCCACCTCGGCCTCCCAAAGTGCTGGGATTACAGGCGTGAGCCACTGTGCCCGGCCAAGAAATATTTCTTTAGTTACCTTTACGACATTTCTCTCTATATTAGAAAAATTCATATATGATTGTAATAAAAAGTAGCCACTACAAGATTTCACTTCTTTTATTATGTCTTTAATTTGATAATTTTTCTTGTACTTGATAATTTGCTTTGCAAAGAAGATGTGGAAAACCCTAATTCAGTTGCTAGACACTTTTGGAAATGTATATGAGAAAACAGTTTTGATTTGTGAATTAGTTTTTTTTTTATTTTCAGTTTCTGTCTCCCATCTCCCTTTTAGGTAGTTAATTCCATCAAGATGTGGATGTTTTAAAGATGCAGGTTTAAGTTTAATAACAGTCGTATTTATAGATACATAACATAGTTAACAAGGGTTTCTGTGCATACCTTTTAGAAGACTGTATTACTAACATAACTCACCATTATCTAAAAGATAATCATGTTTCTACCTTAAGCATATTTTCAAATAGATAACTTTCCATTTTGCGGGATGAATCACTGGTTAAAATTGATCATTTTTCAAAATTTTTTTAGCAAGCAATAAAGGAGAATATCAAAAAAAGAGAAGCAGAGGAAAAAGAAAAACGTGTCAGAATAGCTAAAGAATTAGCAGAGCGAGAAAGACTCGAACGCCAACAAAAGAAAAAGCGTTTATTAGAAATGAAGACTGGTGAGTACTATCAAATTTGTTATTTATTCTATGTATACTTAAGATTTATATGGGCTGCTTTATTAGTATATTAATGAACTTAGTGAAAAAGGAAAATACAACCACTTGTTTCTGTAATTAAACCATAGAACAATTCTTTCTTTATGGTCTTCTTTCCCTTCCATTTACTAACGAGTAGTGTAGTGTCTTCATTCCAGTGTTGGTCATAGGTGATTTGGTCCTCTGTTATGCTGTTTTCGTTCCAGCGTATTCACGTTTCTTTAATTACTACCTCAATAATCAATCTTTAATAATGTATGTCAGTTAATAAAGTAACTGTCAGAAATGGACTGTGGAAAATTCTATAGGACATGTAACCCGGTTTCTTCAACAAAATATCCCAAGGGAGGGAAAAAAAGTGATGGAGGATAAACATTGTTTAAAAGAAAGAGACTTAAGCGACATATCAGCCAATTGTAATGTATGGAATTTATGTGTATTCCAATCTGTGGTCCCAGCTACTCGGGAGGTTGAGGTGGGAGGATCGCCTGAGCCTGGAAGGTTGAGGCTGCAGTATGCCTTGATCTTGACACTGCACTCCAGCCTGGGAGACAGAGTGAGATTTTGTTTCAAAAAAACAACAAAAAGAAAAAAGCAGTCTGAACATTTTGGATACTTTTTTTTTTCTTGTAAACATGACAAAATTGTTGTCAATATGTTTCAAAGTATCTTTTAGAGACTGGTACTGAAATTTTACAGAAACATATGTATATATGTATTTCAAGAAGCTAAAAGATACCACTTATTTAGAAGCAAAAGAATTATGTAAAATATAGTTATATTTTCATTCCCTGAAAAATTTGGCTTTTCTACTTCCAAGTCAGTAAGGATTGAACAAGGCTTTAATTAAAATCCATCCGCTTCACTGCTAAATCACCATAGTTTACAATTCAGGGTTGCAAATTCACCTAAGGTTTCCCCAGGAATAGACAGAGATGCCTACTTTGCCTTCTTTACTTTCACTTTACAGGTATATTTTTATGCTTACTAAAGCGAAACGAGTACCTTAATGTATTGCACTTGTTTCTTCCTGGGAAGAAAAATCATCTAAGCACAATTTCTTGTTTATATTTGAAATTCAGGGAATATTCTCAGAATTATTTTTAAGTATGAATAAAAATGGAGATCAGAAAGATTTAGTATTTATTTTTAAAATATGCTTCTGGAAAGAATTTTAAATTAATATATTACTTCCTAATTTACAGAAGATTCTGGTGTTTGAACATTAGCTTTTTTTTTTTTTTTTGAGATGGAGTTTCGCTCTTCTTGCCCAGGCTGGAGTGCAATGGCGCGATCTCGGCTCACTGCAACTTCTGCCTCCTGGGTTCGAGGGATTCTCCTGCCTCAAGCCTCCCGAGTGGCTGGGATTACAGGGGCCCGCCACCATGCCCGGCTAATTTTGTATTTTTAGTAGAGACCGAGTTTCGCCGTGTTGGCCAGGCTGGTCTTTAACTCCTGACCTCAGGTGACCCACCCACCTCAGCCTCCCAAAGTGCTGGGATTACAGGCGTGAGCCACTGCTCCCAGCCTGAACATTAGCTCTTTTAGCGTTGTCTATAGTTATCTAGATGAGTTGCTAGATGGCAGATTGGATGTATTGTTTGTGGGTTTTGCCCAGGGTCTGATCACACAGAGTGTCTCAGTAATTCTCTCTTATACCAATTTGAAAGATTGAAACTTGATAGGGCAAAGAAATTCTAATAAAACTTCCAATGTAATGTCAGTGATGTTTTAATTTAAATTTATGTCTCCCTAAGGAAGCTTTCACTTTTAAGAATAAGTTTATTTCTCAAATTTATTTACATTATCGAAAACACCTAAAAAATAGTAGATCAAAAGGCTGTTACCCATAATCTTCCTATCCAAAAAATCACTGTAAACATTTCTGCACACTGTTCTTTCAGTTTTAAATTTTTCTGCCTTCTAATAGTAGCTATGATCCTAGTAAATATGCAATTCAGTGTCTCACTTTATGTTGCTGAACTTTTGAATGTTTCATGTTATTCATAGCTTGTAATTCTTATAATTTTTAATATATATATGATTGATTCCACTGGTTGTGCCATATACAATTTAACTTGCATTAGTCAGTAATGAAGTCATGGAACAATAGTTATTGCTGACTTTTCAATGTGATTAATCTTTTTGTCCATAAATAGAAAATGTTTGTAATTATTTTATTGGACATGGAATAGAAAAGGATATTTTTAAGACTTTTGATGCATACTTACAAACTGATTTTCAGAAGCATAACTTTAATTTTCTCAACTTTCAACATTGGGTTATGATTGTGCCTTGGTTGAATATTCTTATTTTTTAAGATTTTTGCTAATTTTATAGATTTTAAAATTATGTTTTATTATCTTAATTTGCATTTCTTTGAGTATTACTAAAGTTGGACTTTTAAAAAGCGTTTATAAGTTCATTTTTAGTTCCTCTGTTGTGAATTGTTATCTTTTTCTTATTGATTTGTACAAGTTAGCTCAGTATGTATTCATATTTACATTTTAAATACCTCCTTCTAATGTGGCTTTTTTATTTCTATATCTTGATATATATAAAACTTTTATTTTCATTCTATGATGTTTTAATATTTGCCTTTGTGATTTTTTTCTGTCACCTTTAAGTTTAGAAAATCATCCTTTCACTGATTTCATATCAACTTCATTTCTTTTCTAGTTTTGATTATTTATAATATGACTGTACTCTACTTATTTATAATCTTCCCTTAATCATATATTTGATATATAGGTTTTAATATAAAAGGATCTGTTTCTAAATTTTACCAAAAGCATTCTAATATTTAGCCATCAATTGTGTTTAATAGCTGGTTTATGTTTCTTTAAAATAGGTAATTTTATGTTGATGACATTACCTTCTTTTCTTAATTTTAAAAAAAGCTTGAATGTTTTTAATTTTAACAATAGATTTAAAGAAACGTTTTATTATATCTTTCGTTAATCATAGAGCTCATCTTATTTGACCTATTGGATTATTTTATTAGACTTTTTCTGTACTATCTCTTCCTAAACATGGTCTGCAAATTAACATCGGTGGGCCTCAAGTAAATGTAAAATCTTCACCCAATAGGACTTTCCAAACCTGTAATTTGCTGAGGTACATATGCATCATACATTTTAACATTTTTCAGGGGTGCCCTCTGCAGAGCATAGTCTGAGTAACTTAGATTTATATAAATGATATTAAAATAGGTAAGTTTAAAGTAATATATCTGTAAAATAAATACAGATATGTGCTATGTCTATATCATACATATGAATTTGCTATAGATGTAATCGAACTCATTTGATACAACATGCTGAAACAGCTATGATTTAAGAAGCTACTGTGAGACTTTGTCTTTTAAAAACGTTTGAAATTTTTGCAAGTCAACTTTGAATTTTTTTTTCAGACTGTGGGATTTAAAATAATCTAGGGATAATAGCCCAAATTTCATAATATTTGTAAACACATATTTTTCTCACCAAAGTGAAAGACCTCTTCTAAAACCCCAATAAATGATGATGATGGTCCTTAGTTTTCCTTTAAAATCAACACAATTATTAATGTAGAAGAACAAAGCATTTGATTTCTTACAGTAACTCTTATTACCAAGTGAGTCATATAACCATATAACAAATATATTACTACATGCTTATTTATTGATAACTTTTTTCATTTTTAAAAAAATCACAAATAATACAGTCAACTTTTTTCCATATTATATGTAGAATATGCTTTTTGTCAAGTCATGATTTTTATAACATTTGAAGGTTTTATGAAATAGAGGTTACTAGTGTATCTAATTTAGCACTTAATTACTGAAAATATGTTAAATATCAGTTTTTTATACTTTTAAATTGATACATTGAATTTTATGCATATGATATTTGACAAATATGATCTTCAATAAAGACATTGTACTATTATAAAAATATGTGTTATCATTTCTATTATTATTTTATTGGTAAAAAACGAAATATAGCAAGGCCACTTTTTATTGTTCTTTTATTCATCAAGTTTTTTTCTATATGTTGAGATTACAGTGATAAATAAGAATAAAAAGGTTCCTGCTGTAATGAAGTTTAAAATTCTAATGAGTGCTTCAAATAACCAAATATATAAAATAATGTCAGATAATAATTTACAGGAACTAAAATAAGATAGGATAATGAGATGGAGACTGCTTAGGCTGGTGGTAGTAACAAAATTTGGTCTCAGAGAACTAAGGAGACTATTAGTATGTATCAAACTTTCTAGTTTAAATATTGTTTAATAAAAATCCTCAGAAGTTGGTAAGATTTATATAATTAGTGTATGTGGTTTTTGGATAACCAGGCTTATAAGCTGTACTATATGTGCTAATATGGTGTGTTTTTTAAACACTGTGAGGATCAGTTGAAACTTTATGTAATTTTTCTTCGCAGGTGTTATATTTTAGTACAGAACATGGTACTGCTCAAATCTTCGTAGAAATTTTTAGCCCGACTTTCTCAGCCTTAAAAGAATGTGGAAGGGTGAATTATTGAATTTACATTAGTGTTTTGTTACCTCACTGGGCCAGGAACTTTTTGTTTTAGCTTATTTTCATATGTAAGGCACATACCCCTGGATGATGGAGGAAGAGAGAAATCTTCACATAACTCTGCCATAAACCCACAGGGAGCTTCCTTCCATATATTTTCATGGCTTTAGTATTTTCTCCATGCAAATAAGAACTGAATTTTTTCACAGGTGTAGAAATTCTTGTATCACTATCTGAGGTAGCACAGTAAATTAAATTCCTGTTCTTTCTTACCCATAGTAAATCATTACTTGCCCTCAGCAAGAGAACAGGCAACTATTTCCAAATCTACTATTATTTACTATCACTATCATTTCAGAATGTGATTTTTGTTAATAGAATGAAAATAAAGATAAAAATAGTGGACTAAATTTCTCCAAGAAGAAAAATGAAGCATTAAAAATCCTTCTGAGCAACCAAACTAAGAAAGCAGTCTCCTATTTTCATGTTATAGTGTTAAAACATGATGTTTTTCGTTTTTGTTTTCTCATTTTTTTTTAAATGATGAACCTGAAGGTCTCTTAAATATTCACATACACAGTTTTGGTTATTTCTGTTGAATGTTTTGGTATTACATAAACAAGCAAGTTACATTTTCATGATGTCTTTATTTAATCAACATATAAATTTTGAGTAAATGTCTAAGGTTGATGCTTGAGTTTGAACTATTTTAATTTAAAAAGTACCTATTCATCTGACATGAAAACTACTAAGCATAGACCCTAGTGGTTATTAATTTAAAATGCATAACTCTTCTTAAGTGTAATCATTTCTAGTAAGGCAAGTAGTAGTAATAATTTTATGTGATTATGCACAACTTTTTCTTAATTCCATTTCTGTTTCTTAATCATGGACACAAATAGGGCATTTGCTAACAGAATTCAATATTATGCTTTAAGACTTCCTGAGTATGTAGGTTGATTCACATCATTTTTAAATAGCAGATCAAAATGGCCTTGAAATGGACCCAGTGTTGTGTAATTATGTTTTGTGGGGGAAGTAAATAAGAGCTTATTTAATGGAGCAATAAAAACTGTATGAGCAGCTCCTATATTTTAGTCTTTAGGTTACAATTTGTCTATTATTTATTAGACTTAAATGTCTCATTTGGTGCAACTTCAGTCTATTAAATAAAGAGATAATTAGCTTTTAGAAATCTGTTGTTTACCCACATGGCCAAAACTGCTCCTTTGTTTTCCATTCTGCAATTTAGAATAACTAAGCAATTAGGCCTCCATTTTAGAGGAAATGCATATTACATAAATTCTACTTCGGAATGTCTCTGCCAATCTCAACAGATATGCAATTAACGTTTGTACTTGCTTTCATAAAAGCTTTAACAATTACCCTGTCTTCTACAGATATCATAAAACTTAGATTACTTTCCATAATTGCCCATATTCTAGTTTTGTGCAGTAATGCTTTCAGTTTTTTAGTGTTATTGGCAATTGGTGCATATAAATAAGCCAATAGTTTTAGTAATTTCTCGATATAGAAGGGTAGAACAAATGGAATTGCATTGGCTTGGATATATTTCTCTTTTCTTTACTCCATCATTTATAGAACAGACATTGTAACAACAACAACAACAACAACAACTGCTACTACTACTGCTGGCATTTATTGATCACATATTATTTGCCAGCCTATATTTATTATTACATGTAATACTTATAACAAACTCATGAGACTATTTTATATGTCGAAAAGTTTAATTTACTTGCACATGATCACAGATTTAACAAGCCATGAAGCCAGTACTCAAGTCTTCTCACGAGGTCATATTTTTAACTATTGTGCTATTATATTTTACCACTGATGATTTAACCATGGTACAGGAAAAAGGGACCAAAATGATTGTGGTAACTGTCACTAGACTATACCTATATAGGAAGATTGAGAATTATTTTCCCTGGAAATGTGTGAGAGGGTCAGTCATGTCTTTGGTAACATAATCAGTGGTTTTAAGCCATGTGGTCTTCCCTTTGTGTTTGGAACTTCTGGGGCGATTGTCACAGTCAAAGGAGGGATTCTTCAATGTTCTGAATAGTTCTGACCCAACATAGTTGCCAGAGGTCAACTTTTCTGAGGGAGGTAGAAATGTGTTCAGTACTTTCATTGTTTGACTCAGAATAGAAGTTAAGGAACCAGAGAATTTGCAATATAGTAGGTTTTAGGAGTGGCACAAACATTTTGTGTGCTTTACTTGTAATGTGTGCCCTGAGACATTCTTCCACGTCCACCAACTGTACCATGTAACAATTTTTTCCTTCTGATGGTATTAAGAAACTGAAATTCTGTTCCATAAATAGTAGCAAGCAATGTCTGGTGGGAAATTTTTCCAAGAGTCTCTCTGTCAGTTAACTAGGCAGCTTTTCACTTATGTGCAGGCATCTCTTTCACTGGAATAACATAGCTTAAATTATGAAAACTCATTCAGAGTTCAACCACTTTGTGCACTAATTTGCGTCTTCTCCATGCAGCTATACAAGGCTCACACACCATCCTTTGTCCCCTTCCAACAAGCCCCAGAAAAGAGGAGGTTCTCAGACTTCCAACATAACTTAATTTGAAAGTGATTATTTTTTTCTTTTGTCTTTTTCTTTCTTTCTTTTTAAACTTTCTTGAGGGTTATCAGTGCCACTCTTGTTAAGCATTTTTGTGGCATATCCTCATGCTAATTAGTTTATTGCTCATCCAATATTTTAAAATCATTTTCAAAATGTTTTTCATATTATTATAATATGGTATTTACTATATTCTGAACTTCACTTTTTGTTGTTTAACTTCTCTGGGAATAAAAGATTAAATGCCAATTTTCATAAACTTTATTTGAGGCAAAATAATTTAAATTTTTAAGGTGTAGCATGGTCTACCTCTAAGAATTTTACCAAAGAAATCTTTATATTAACATCACTTATTCATAATTTCACCCTGTTCATATTCTAGGGCAAAAAAATCATACCAATCAGTTCTTTTGATCTTATCACAATGTGGAAAACTCTGTAACTTTGATAATGTCAGCCACATTTATTGTATTATAATTGAGAACTCAATCACAGCATTGCATCTTCTTTGTCTGTAACATTCAATACTCCTTAGCTGTCTCCACTAATCAACATAAACCATATATCCCACAAAGCCTAAAATATTTGTTAGCTGGCCTTCACAGAAAAATTTTGCTGATTCATAATATAGATCGGCTGGGCGCGGTGGCTCACGCCTGTAATCCCAGCACTTTGGGAGGCCGAGGCGGGTGGATCATGAGGTCAGGAGATCGAGACCATCCTGGCTAACAAGGTGAAACCCCGTCTCTACTAAAAATACAAAAAAAAATTAGCCGGGCGCGGTGGCGGGCGCCTGTAGTCCCAGCTACTCGGGAGGCTGAGGCAGGAGAATGGCGTGAACCCGCGAAGCGGAGCTTGCAGTGAGCCGAGATTGCGCCACTGCAGTCCGCAGTCCGGCCTGGGCGACAGAGCGAGACTCTGTCTCAAAAAAAAAAAAAAAAAAAAAAAAATAATAATAATAATAATAATAATATAGATCAATAAGTCATAGACTCTGTTCTTTGATTTTAAGAGACAGATTAAAAAAAAACCATGAAGTAAAAAAAAAAAACTTTTCCTTGTCTTCCTATAGCCAAAAGTATGCATTTGCAAAATGACCAGTCTGTGTTGAAAAATAATGAGTTATTGTTATTTTGATAAAATTGATATATTTATAAATTGATAAATAAATAATAATTGATAAGTAAATTAATTAAAATTGATATATTGATAAAATTAATGATAATTGTCAGAGAAAACTTAATCTTTAGGCATATTTCTTGCTACAGAGAATTGTGTGATTTTTAGATCTATTAATTTGAAATGGAAAGTCATGCAGTTGAACTTTTGAAATGCTAGCAAGCATCTGGGCTGCTGATTGTTTCAGCAACCGATCTAGCACAACCATTGTGCTTCTTATCCTTTTAGCCCAGCTTATAGACCCCAGTATTTCTATAGTATTGTTTGTATATCTTTCAAGATGGAAATATCAGTGTGTCAAAAGGTCATAGGTGGAGCCAGGTTTTTCTTTTTTTATTAATAGGTTCTCTCTTTTCTTTGTATTTTGGGTCATTCTGACATTAAATCCTTAAAGTTGAAGGAAATCTATTCATTGGTGTTGAACTTGGTCGTGAAGGTTGCTCAAAGTCTAAAGTGATTATCTCAAAGAGGGGGAAAAAAAACAACTCAGTAGTATTTGGCATTTGATGATGAATAAATATACCCTAGGGCAGACTGGGGAAATTAAGCAAAGAAATTGAATATTTATATGTTACATGTAAATGGTATAAATAGGCATTAGTGTTTAGATGAAATTAGACATTATTTTGTAATAGGATTTTAAAATATTGTTTCCTGGATAGCTTCCTTCCTCAGATATCCAATGTTTTTCAAGAGAATTATAAGCAATATGATAGTAACAGAGTTAACAATGAGGGCAGCCTTAACACAGGCTAGAATGCCCCAAGGCAGGAAGAATATGACAGACTAGCATAGTAACAGAAAATAGATGACTGACTGTCTTTAGAGCAAGCAATTCTTGGAGACCATTGCCTGACTAGAGTGAATTGCCATCATAGAACTTCCAATAATAATTATCATTAATGGGTATAAGTGACAGTAATTTCAGTTCAATAGAATCCTTTGAATGTTTATTTTTAAACTATTAGTGCTATTCAGGCAGGAACTCTTGTAAAATTAGTGCTGAATCTGAGGTTCTATTACTAGCTTTCATGAGTGTTGTGTAAAGGATCACTGCTTTAGGAAACTGGATAGATTCCCTCCAAAGTCATTCCAACACTGATTCTGTGGCAATTAGTTTGAAGATTCTAAATGTGTGACAGTTCCTCTTTTTAACTTAACTGCAAAGTAGCCTTCAAGTGTTACAAAGTCAAGAAGATTGTTTGCTTGGGGAACAAAAGATTATTTTAATTCAAAGGCCAAGAACTAAGAAAAAGTCTTTTTGCTGCATTTCAGATATATTTCAGAAGTAATGATTCTATTAGTGCTGAATTGCAATTATGATCTCTGATTTTCAGTGGATGTTTTCAAGGCTAATTAGATTGTACTTTCTGCTGGATTCACGTGTGAATAAAAGTACTTTTTTAAAACCTTTATCCTTTATTATTTATTTTATGGTTTGATATGGAACACTAATGCTCTTCTCTCAAAAAAAGGACAGTGCCTTTTGATAGTAGTCACTCATTATTTCTTGAACGCATGGGATACTTTTATTAGATAAAAAATAAATGTATTAACTATTTTAACAGATTATTTTACCATTTTGCTGTGACTCTGTTAATTGTACTCTGTGATTTTGGCTTTGGTAGATGAAAATATTGTTTATGATCGTTGGAAATACCGTTCACACTTGAGCAAAGATGCTAGTTCTGCTCCCACTACCCATAGACAAACTTTCAGAGACCCGTTCCATGGGATTCTGAAGGAATTTGGTCTGAGGAAACATGTCGTTTGGATTATACTGTATTCTAATTGATTCTATCATTAAGGTAAATAGCATTGCAGTCTGAGGAAATGCTGTTTCCTAAATCATGATATCTGCCGAGATTGAGCATAAAATGTCTTAATGTTATATTTGGAGGCATTGTGGGAAATTAAAGAAACGTTCTTCTCTGCCCAGAAAATATTAGAAGAACCCAAATGATGTCAAGCTTTGTTCAGAATTGCTACACTCATGTGATGGGGAAATCTTCGGAAGGAGTGTTGTTTTTCACATCTTCCTCTTCCCTATGAGATAATTCCCATTTTATGCTTGATACTGTCCTATTCCTAAAGCATTGCACTTTGATATAAGTAGGATATGAACTCAGTCATCTTTTATCAGTTCTAAAAAGGGAAAGGTAAGAAAAGAAGGGGAAAATATATCTCATGGTGTTTACCATTCTTAGAAACTGAGGAACGCTTAGAGATAAAATTTTCCATCTGAATATATTACAACTTAACTAATGAGTAATGAGGGTTTCTATATGGGGGAGGATGCATGTGTACGTGTACACACGCACTTGTGTGCATGTTTTTAGCCTGCTCCAATTTGAGGTCAGCTGATTCTGAAACAGAAGTTTTGACAATTTGGTGTATTCCTCCTAGAAACTTCAAAAAGAAGTCTTTTTGAAGTAAGTGTTTATCTCATTTCATTAATTAGATACTCAATATTAATCTTTAATAAAGTACAAGAAAGGAGGGACATGATATGAAACATTTACTATAGTCATTTTAAATGATACTTCAGTTAATATTTTGATTTTGCTATGAAAAATTTGCTTTTCATAAAGATCAAACATGCCATTATTTCTCAATAATAAATCTTACAAAAATAAAACCTTTAATCAAAATTAACCATGTTCAAAAAAATATCTTTTACAGTGAGCTGTTGCTTCTAATTTCTTTCCATAGCAGGTGTTTAATAAGCACTTTAAAAATATTTATGGAATTCACATTTGTGGGACAAAAACTCCTCAACTGTACATGTTCTATTTATGCAGACCCCATAAAATAGATTGGCACAATCCTAGGACAAGATATGACATATGTCAAGTTTGTTTTATGTGCTCTTATACTTTTGGTAACAAACGGGGAATTTCATAGTTAGGACAGCAAGTTCAGATATGCAGAGATATAACTATTTCTATAAATGCAGTTTAATTTATGACTGAGTCATCAGCCTACCTGATGGTTAACAATGTAGTCAATTCTCCTTCTGTGTGTGTGTGTGTGTGTGTGTGTGTGTGTGTGTGTGTGTGTGTGCATATTTCCAGTAATTTCAGTAGAGAGTTGTTATTTGTGTTTGAAATTCCCTTCCATGATCTCTTCTTATCTCCCTTCTTCCTTCGATGAAGGAAGCCAGCTTCGGCCACCCTTCTGTGCATATGCCCTCTTTCTGGTTCAGTTGGCATCTACGTCCATAACAGCCTCCCTGCTTTGGCATCATTCCTCCTGTCTGCTTGTGGTAAAGGTGATCACTGGTTTGCCTTTGAATGGTAACCAAATAGAACAATTGGATTTCTCTTAGTTCCCTCCTTGGCTTCCTTATGTTAATGATTCTTGGAAACATTCTTCTCTTGCACTCGTGCTCTTTCTTAGTGAACTTTTTTTTTCTTCCCCAGGCAGGATGCATAGGAAATTACTGTGCTTCAACCACAGCACTCAGCTTCTTGTGGTGCTTCTGCAGCCTTCTTGTACCCTAATCTTGTTTCCTTAGCCCATTCTCAACAATTCTGCATGTTGGACACAAGACACCTCCACTCTTGGACTCAACTCTCTGTAACTTCCTAGGAAAGTCTACCCAATATGCGCCACTTCCTCCTGGGATGAATGCGCAGGGCTACTGCACTGCATGTAATCTCACTTCCAATTTCTCTTCCACCAGATGGGGGCATCTTTTCTGTTCAGAGCCTAAGAATGTGGTGTGCATTTTCTGCTACATGGGTGGTTCCTGTACTAAGAATGATCCTTTGGCTCTCACATTGGGGTGGGAGAGAGGAGGATGGATTGACATCTGAGCAGTAAATGTGGAAAAGACTACCTTTGTTGTTCCTTTGAAATGTGGAATCTTGAATTAGGTGGATACCAAATGAACACAGTGAAATGAAGGGCCAGAGTTTCTGTGCCTGGGCATCCAATGGGCTAAGTAAATTCAGATACAGAGGTGTGACATTTATATATGGACTAACCAGTAATGTAGCAGGCCTGATTGATCTTTGGGTAGAACTATGGGCAGAAATGATGCTAAATTGGAAGTCAAGAAACCATGCTATGCTTTGAATTTTTTTTTTGCTTTATTTTGTAGGCACATTTCAAGGGCATTAAACAGAGCAGTGATATGATTTGCTTTTAGAGAAATGGCTCTGTAGCAAAAACGCAGATGGATCAGAGGGTGTTGGGACTAGGAGGAATGAGACTAATTAGGACACTTGCAATTTTGCAAGAGATAAATGTAGAAGACCTGAACTAGGATGCACTGAAAAGAGAAGACAGGATGGATTTGAAAGGCAGTTTAGAGGCAGAATCAATGGGGCTTTCTAGTGGATTGGGTGTGGGGAGACAGGGAGAATACTTCATGAACAGGTAGGTGATGCTGCTCCTACCAGCTTTAGAACACATAGATTTTACATCTCCAATTTAAAGGCTTTTTAATCTTGGGAGTGTTTTTTACCTGAATGGGCCTGGCATAGGGTAAGAAACACAACATCTGCACAGTAACTATTAACTTCTTTCATAGAGGAAAATAAAAACAAATTTGTTAATAAAGACAACTTTGCAAGTTTTTGTAGCTAGATTAACCGAGAACCTCTGAAAATAAACCATGTTTAGCTCATGAGGATAAGCTGGAGGTGGCCCTTTCCTGGAGAATCTGAGGCATGGGGTTCAGGTAGGGCAATGGAGAGAATGTGTCCCATTATCCCCTTGAAGGAAAACAGGTCAGTCCCACTCCTTCCTCTTCATCTAAAACTAGCCCAAACATTCAGTTCCAAGGCTCTAGGATTCTCATTATTGAAGTCTGCATTCGTTTATTTTGCTGGCAGGTGATATTGTTGTAGTCAGTATTTGGTTATTGTTTTTTCATTAGGTACTAATTACACCTTATCTAACATTCTGAAAGACATTCCCAAGGCTCCTGTGTGATTTGCTTTTGTGACCATTAAATTTCTGACAAAAGAAATTATAAAAATGGGCATTGAAATACTTCCTTCATTAGCAGAATTATTAGTGTGATGGTGAAAAAAAGTATTTCTATCAAAACTTTCTTTCAGCAAATATTTATTTATCGCATATTATGTCATGATACTATCCTAGGCACTAGGGGTACAGCAGAAAATAAAACAAGCGAGTGTCCCGGCCCTCATGGGCATATATTCTGGCAGGAGACAGACAACATTTAAGATAAATAAACAGCATTAGAAGTCCACAACTTATAAGGAGAACAAAATAAAGTAGGGATGGGGGGATAGAAAGTGTGGGAAGGAGTGACATTTTACATAGGGTGTTTTTTTTTCATTTACTAAAACTATTGACATTATATACAATATTGCTATTCTCTGTTAATAGTGGTGTCATGAAATGTTTGGTGCTAAGGTTTAGGAGTTGGGTTATCAGTATTCCAGTCCCTGCTCCACCAGTAGCTAAGTAATAGCAGGCCAGTTAGCTTCAGACCATAATTCTCCTTATCTACACAATAAGATTCCTTCTAATTTGGAAAATTCCATTTGTATTCTGTAAATTAATAACAAACTTTATTAGAACCCAAGGAATGAAGTTTTGCCTACTCTTCCACTCACTTGTTCTATGACACTGTCCTCTTTTACAACATAATCTCTACTTTAAGATACTTTTTATTACACAGTAAATATGACTCTCTTCTTATACAGTATGGTTTTTTTCCCCCCTTTGGTTATAGGATGAATTTAGTTTAAAATTACCTGTTTAGAATGTTTGCCCACAATATGGATCAGTAAAAGATATGTTTAGAAAAAGTTACTGATATGGTGAAGTTAGGGAAATATATCTGTATGCACATATGTGTGTATGTATATGGACAACTCTTTTCATTTATGAATCTCATAGTTTTCTGTCTATGCTCTTAATTTTCTGAATGGAAGGTACTTAATATATTTGTAGAACAGAAATGAAAATGTCTTACTATAGAAATGGTTGACCTTTCAACAGACTGACAACTTCTCATTTTCCCTGACAAATACTCAATCCACACTTCAGTCTATTAAGAACAGAGCTCATTAACATGCATAAACTAGCAGTCTAATCTAGTTATGGTGCATCCTTAATGTGTGACATGTTCAGCATAGTGTAACTACTTAGTCTTGTCATAAAAGGTAGAGTGGCCTCCCGTGATCGAGGTTCTGAGATCAATTTAACCTGGATAAAATCTTTATCCATAACAACTGTCATTAGAAATGACTAGCATTTCACTAATTAGCCCACCATTTACGCCCCATAAGCTTCTCACAGATGGTAAATGTTTATAAACACCCACAGATGTGTGCACAGCTGACTCTCAGTTATCCGCAGGAATAGGGGACATAGATAATTTAGATTCACTTACAATACAAACCCCTCATTTTAGCTAGTTTCAATCTTTTTTCTCCTTGGACTTTTTACCACAGCTGTTAATGAAGTAGCAAATTAACTAATCTAATTTCAACTTCTCCTCTTATTGATGCACTTACCCCCTGATGAAAGCACTAATATGTACAAATGTGGTCACAAGATGGCTGGCAAGCGGGTGGAAATGGTAAGCATGAGCTTAGAAAAATACATTGAGCAATGGAGAATATGTCTGTAACTGTTTGTCTAGTAACAAACTTTAAGTTGTGAAACCATAGCAAGCCACCCAGTTCAAGAATGACATACCTGGCCAGGCGCAGTGTTTCACGCCTGTAATCCCAGCACTTTGGGAGGCTGAGGCAGGTGGATCACGAGGTCAGGAGATCGAGACCATCTTAGCACGCACAGTGAAACCCTGTGTCTATTAAAAATAAAAAAAAATAGCCTGGAATGGTGGCGGCCACCTGTAGTCCCAGCTACTCAGGAGGCTGAGGCAGGAGAATGGTGTGAACCCGGAGGCGGAGCTCGCAGTGAGCTGAGATCACGCCACTGCACTCCAGCCTGGGCGGGAGAGCGAGACTCCATCTCAAAAAAAAAAAAAAAAAGAGAGAGAGAATGATATACCTAAATTCCCTGGGACAGAAGCATCTCCTTAAATTCAAGAGAAGGGAAAGGATGCCATTTTCCTTGGTGGCCAGGCCCTATAGTAATAATGATTTCTTTTCAGATAGTTCTTCCTGAAATTTAGTCTTAATTTTTCATTATATTATCAGCCTATCTACTGTCTCATGCTGAATGAAGATGAAGAAATATAAATATAATAACCCAGAGCACCATGAAGTCACTTTTTTGTCTTACTTCCTTTGGCCTGAAGAGTCTTGCGTCTTGTGCTTCTCGTACATTCTTAATCTGAAGCTTTCGTTCATTCTCCTTTGTGCAGTTGTCCAGGCAAATTTAAAGGCAATATTTGATGGAGCCCACACAGAGTGAGGAGATGTGTGGAGCTAACTGCGGCCCACAGGCCATTTACAGAATGAACTATGAAAGACAACCATTTTGTTTCCTAATGACCTACAAAGCATGTACTATGTCTTGCAGACTGAGGCATTCACAAGTTAATACAAATTGTTTTCCAGAGTTTCATTGCTTGAGGAACATGTCTTTCTTTCAGCTTATTGGGAAGGAAAATTAATCATTCCTAAACAGCATGTTAGAAATATTCCAAAATGTTTAAAGAAGAATATTTATACTAGGCTGGGCATGGTAGCTGGTTCCTGTAATCCCAGCACTTTGGGAGGCTGAGGTGGGAGGATCTCTTGAGGCCAGGAGTTTGAGACCAGTCTGGGCCACACAATGAGACCCTGCCTCGATAAAAATAAATAAATAAATGATATTTATAGTGGATTAGATAGTGATCAAAATTCGCATCAGAACTTGGACAGTAGAAGGATGTGGCATTGAAGAAAAAAATCTTGCACCACTGGCACTATCCAACAGATCTGTAACTTTTCAAATGAATGATACATTTTTTAATTTTTTTTTTTTCACTAAAGAAGATTTGAAATTGCTGACAGGCTATATAAGAATCCTATTGAATATTCCCCTAATAGGAAATGTAACTGGAAACTCAGTGCTTAGGGATACAGAAATCCTTCTATTATATTTACCTTCAACAGTTGTTAAAAAGGACTCATAGTGTTTTGACATGAGTAGGTGGTGCCATTCACTGAGATAAGGGACACAATAAGAGGTAGAGGTTTGGGGAAAATGGTAATTCAAGTTTGTATATACAGATGCACCTCAACTTTTGATGGGGTTATGTCCAGATAAACCCATCATAATTTGGAAATATTTTAAGTCAAAGCTGCATTTAATATACCTAAACCTACCAAACATCATAGCTTAGCCTAGCCTACCTAAAACATTCCAGAACACTTATAGTAGCCTACAGCTGGGCAAAATCATATAACACAGAACCTATTTTGTAATCAAGTATTGAATATCTCATGTAATTTATTGAATACAGACAATGGTTGTATGGGTAGTCAAGTACAGTTTCTGTTGAATGTGTATTGCTTTGCTTGATTGTAAAGTCAAAAAATTGTAAGTTGGGAACAGTCTGTATTATATTTGAGGTATCTCTAGGACATCCAGGTTACCATGTCTAGTGAGTAGGAAGGGGCTAGTATGACCAACACATCCCAGATTGCCTAATTCTCCCAGTTTTATCACTGAAAGTCCTGTGTTCCAGGAAACCCCTTAGTCTTGCAAGTCAGGATGGTTGGTCACCCTAGTTGGAACTCAGGAATAGCGCTTGTTGCTGGTGATAAAAACTTGGGAGTTTTCAGTAAATGAAGCCATGGAATGAATAAAACACCAATGGAAAATTCAAGGAATGGTGTAAGAATGAGCAGAGTAAGAAGATCCCAGAAGAGGACCTTGACAAGGGAGTCACATGAAAGTAGTAGGAAGACCAAGAAAGTCTGGTATCATGAAGCCCAAGGAAGAGACCATTTCAAAAAGGAATGGGTAGTCAACACAATCAAATACTGCTAAAGAATCATGTAATGAACTAACAGCCATCCCATTGACTTTAGCTCAAAGAATAGCGTAAAGAGTTAATGAATGAATATGGGAGATGAGACTGAGATATGAGTAAGAAAGGGTAGTAACTACAGGGGATTTAGAAGTCAAAGGGGAGGACAAAGCAGGTGTTTTAATTTGTTTAAATGCAGACTGGGAGGAATGAGAAAGGAGGGCAATTGGAAGAGAATGACAATCAATGGAGTAAACTTCTGAGGGCGGCAGGAGGGGTGGAGAACAACAAGATACTAGCACAGGTAGAGGAAATTGTCTTGGAAATCCACATGCTCTGCCATTGTGATAGATTGAAAGGAGGAAATGTTGGGCCTAAGTGCAGATACATTTGTAGGTTTGATGGTGGGAAGTTAAGGAAGCTTTCATCAAGTGGTTCCTGTTTTCTATCTAAAAGGAAGGCCTTTGCAGAGGAAGGGCCATGGTTGGTTGGGAGGCTTGAGTGAAGTGTGTAAGCATGTAAACCCTCTCAGGGAGTGGGAGAGCCTCCTGATGAAACACAGAGGAGTGCTGAATAGCATTAAGAATCCAATTGAGGTAGCAGTTGCACATATGTACTAGTTCAGATCCTGTGGTATTGTTTCTTACCGGCACTACTCAGCATCTGGAGTAATGCCAAGAAGATGGAGTTTGGGGCTTATTTACATTTTAGTGGGAGTCTGAAAAAGTAGGAGAATGAAGGAGGGAAGTAAGATACCAGCGTGTGAACCATGGTCAAAGTGATGCACCACAGAGTCTAAACTAGATAGTCAAGGATATGAAAACAGTGGTGCCAGGGCATTGGAGATTTTCATGGGTAGATGACAGGAAAAGAGAGAGAGGAAAAGGACATGGGTCAGAAAATGGTTGTATGAATTCAAGTTATTGGAAGTAAAACAGCTCTGGGTAGTGACAAGATTTCGATTATGGCCAAGGAAGTCGGTGATGGGAAGTAGAAGGGATTGCTCCCTGGAGAGGAGGAGGTCAAGGAACTCTTAGGACCTGGTGTTGGATTAGATATTAACATTAAACTGAATTCTCACAAGATGATGGCAGAGCCTGGCCTGATGAGGAAGACTGACTCAATTGACAGTTTATTCTGAATGAGAGGGTAGACTTGTGCGTGATTAGATGACAGTGACCCAGAGGGATGGCAGCAGTGTAACTGAATGACATGTGTCTCAAAGGCGGGTGCTTTTTACATGAGGAAAAAAAAGTGACAGCCTGACATAGCAGCTTTGATCAAGGAGAAAGCAGACATTCCCATGTCCTCCACCTGTGCCCTGCAGACTTTAAGCACGTGAGATAGGAGGGGAACAAGCAACATCTACCAGAAGGGGTGAGCAGAGATCATCTGTCCAGTTTCCAAGTAGAGCCCATTTTCAATTAAGAGAACGAGGTGAAAGGAGTGTATGGTGAAGAAATTGAGGTAGTAGAGAGATTGTTCATGCTAATAATGCTGGAGGAAATAAAGATCAGAAGGACACTGTTGTCTAAGAATGATGGTGATGGTGGTTTAGCTGCCTTCAAAGTTTTAGCCCAACTACAGCAATCCCCAGTGGCTAGGTTGAAAGGAGGAGTCAGGAGGCCATGGCAGATTGAAGTAATTCTAATATTTTCAGATACTCCTGGTCTCAGGAGGAGGAGTGTTTCTGGTCTTTCTCTCTGAGGAAGGAGCATCTGTGAATGACCTGCATCTCTCTTATTGTCAGATTCTGGGAGAAAGCTCCCGTCGAATTTGGGGAAACGAGCTTGTGCTTGCCTGCTCCTGTTTCCTGCTCTGAAAGCTACTACCTCTTTGTGCCTTAAAGCATTTCCTAAAACACCTTTAAATATAAGTCAGCAAACCTAAGGATCTGAATAGTTATCAATTTTCATGTAACACCTCTCTCAATAAAAGTCTATAGTGGAAAGAATGAGCTTTAGAATCAGAAAGATATCAAATCTCCCCTCTGCTACCACCCTATGGCAGGGCTTTGGGCACCTTACTTTACCTTTTTGAGCTCCAAGTTCCCTAACTTTAAAATGGATTAGATAATAGCTACTTTGAAAGAGGGGAGTGAGAATTAAATTAGAAAATCTAGGTAAAATGTTCCATACAGACTCTAGCACATAGGCATTCAATCAAAGTGATAGTTCCTAGTGTGTCTTAATTCATATTTAAATTTTTTATTCTTTATTTTATGTATCTCTTGTTTCCTAAATAAAACTGTTCTTGACCAGGAATGATGGCTCACACCCGTAATCCCAACACTTTGGTAGGCTGAGGTGGGAGGATTGCATGAGGCCAGGAGTTTGAGACCATCCTGAGCAATATAGTGAGATCCTGTCTTTATAAAACAAAATTTTTTTTAATTACTTGGGCATGGTATAGTCTCAGGTACTCAGGAGGCTTTAGCAGGAGGATCCTTTGAGCCCAGGAGTTTGAGATTATTATAGCGAGCTATGATTGTGCCACTGCACTCTCCAGCCTAGGGCAACAGAGACAGACTCATCTCTTTCAAAAAAATAAATAAATAAAAATAAAATAAAGTTGTTCTCAAAGTTACCTAATATCAGCTTTTACTGTGGGGCTCGTGTATTCATTTTGTCAGCTTTTTATAGTTGTGGAGCGGGGGGAGGGAGTCTTTCATTGTTCTCTTGAGACTGTAGCACATTTTTGCCTCCAGTTTTTTTACAATTGTTAATGAGTTCATTGAAAGTTCAGTTGTCTCCTCTTTCATTTTTCTCATACTTGCTTTCTTCTGAAAGCATATGTCAATTCTTTTTCTTCACCAATTTTCACTCATTCAGATTTGCCTTATTCTCCTTGCTGACTTCCTCCTTTTCAAAACAATGTTGCTGTTATTCTGAATAGGATTTTAAAATTTCCTCTGTGTTTAATACTAATGGGATGCTACATCTCACTGTGGAAGGAATAAGGAAGGACATTATATTTGGGCAGAATAAATCTGCATTTCTCCTTTAAAATGAAACAAAGGTAATGAATACTTATAGTACTTTGAACACAAAGTTTATGTTAGAAATGAACAAAGAACTTGAGCCTGGTAAAAATTACTTTGTGCAAGGTTGGCAGCAGTGAGATGGGCTTTAACCCTTAAAGCTCAAAATGAGAATACACAGGTTTCCACAGTTTACTGTGATATCTATATGGTTCTGTGTTTAAGGTACAAATAAAACATATCTTCAGAAATTTAAGTAAAAATCCAGGTATCAAAGAATAACCCCTGGAATCATCACTAGGCAACCATAGCTATAGCTCTTCACCTCTATTGCCTCAGTATTAAGCAATTTCATAGCACCCTGATTTATTTTGTGTAACATTCGTCATACAGGTAGTCATTAATTATGTGTTGAACTTGCTCTTACATTTAAGTCCCATGGGAACAAGGGCTGGGGCTAGTTCAGTGCCTGACACGTAGTCCTTAGTGTATCTTTGTAGAATTGAATTAAACAATAGACTTTATAGTTTTATATTTCCAACTACTTCCTGAACAAAACAGAATATTCTGCCAGTACCTCAAAATCAATTCATCTAAAACCTAACTTGTCGTGTTCCACATAAAACCTGATTTTCATGTTCTCATTTTGGGTTAATGATACCACCATTTTCCCAGTCACCCAGGCTTGACACCTTCACACTATGCCAGCTTTAATCATCATGGAGTACAGTTTTGATTATTTCACACCTTTCAAAAACATTTGATGGCAGTTCTTCAGCCTCGAATCCAAGCTCCCAGTCTGCCTTCCTGACCTTATTTTCCCCTTCTTCCAGTGCGCACCATATGCTGCTGTCAGAGCATGACTGCTGGGCTCCTCTGGGCATCATACGGTGTTCCAGGCACCACTCACTGGCTCCTCGTGGCCTCAAGTCCATTTATCCTGGCTTCTCCTGAAAGAAAATTCCTGTGAAATTACCGATATTATTCTCTAGCTCCTTCCCCTTCTTTTTTTAATTCTTATTGAATTAAGCATTTTCATTATCTGAAACCATTTCATTCTTTATTCAAAAACTTCATAAGGAAAAAAGCCATTGAAAAGTCAATTCTTCACTAATAAAATACTAAAACAAATCTAAAACAAATCCTAATATATTTTCAATGCGAAGTAAGCATTTGTCAAGCTTAAGCTTGTTAAACTTCACTCAGAATAAAGTGAAGCTCTTGTGGGTGACAAGTGAAACTTCTACCCAGAAGTGGAGGTGCTGTGCCATGTAATTAACCTTTTCCTCCCTGGGTTACTCTGTGATTAAAGGATCGTGGGTGTTCGCTCTGTGTGATAGTCACATTTTGTTAAATGTCATTATCACTTCACATCTACATATGTATTTAAATAGATACATTCCCCCCCACCCGCCGACATTCTGTGCTTTTGCAACTGAAGGCATCTGTTCAGCACCCTAGACCCTACATAACACACAAGGTCGACTGTGGTAGCATTCTTTTTGCCAGGGAGTCAATGCCAGTTTCTAAATTTTGCTTTCTTTAGTAATTTTAGAATAGGTCAGAGTGAACAAGCTCATCAGAGTGGGTTACTTGAATACTTACATGCAAGACATTTTAACAATCATTTACCACTGGAAAAATGATTAAGTAGTTCCTTTTTTCAGCACCATGTGGTGGAATAATTGCTAAGCTGCTGGAAGTCGTAAAACCCATTGCTGGCTCTGTAGTTAATAGCCATAAGTGGTCATAGAAAGGTCTTCATTCGATGTCCTCATTGATAAAATAAGGACTTGGTTTATTTCACTTACTATATTTTGGAGATGGTCCATATCAATAATTTAAATATGCCTCATTTTTTGACAGTACAAAATATTCTGGTATATGGATGTCATAGTTTATTTAGTCAATCTCTTGTAGATGGACATTTAGTTTGTTTCTAGTCTCCTGTTACAATGAACAACAATATAACAGACACCCTTTTACATGTTTTTCCACACATGTAAGTTATACATGTAGAATAATTTTCTCAGAGAAAAATTATTATGTGATATGTGCAATCTTTTTTCTTTTTAAAAAAGCTATTTTTTAGAGGAGAGGTCTCACTGTGTTGCCCAGGCTAGTCTGAAACTCCTGGCCTCAAGCGATTCACCCACGTTGGCCTTCCAAAGTGCTAGGATTATAGGCATGAGCCACCACAGATGGCCACAATTTTATTTCTAATAAAAATTACTAAATTATATTCCGAAGTGATTGCATTAGTTTTATATTTTTCAGCAACAAATGTGTGAAGTGACCTCTTCCCCAACCCTTCACCAATACTGATTTATCATAATTTTTCATTGTTGCTATGCTGTTAGATGAAAATGATCTCTCATTGATGTATTTAGAATATCTTTAATTATGAATGAGGTTGAGGATTATATCACATCTAAAGCATGGTTTATTTATTTTTGTTATGGTGTCTTAGTCCATTCAGTCTGCTATAAAAAATATCATAAACTGAGTAGCTTATGAAGAACAGAAGTTTATTTATCACAGTTATGGAGGCTGGAAAATCCAAAATCAAGATGCCAGCAGATTCAGTGTTCACTGAGGGCCTGTAACCTTCTAGCTGTGTCCTCACATTGTGGAAGGGACAAAGGCAGCTCTCTAGAATCCCTTTTATAAAAGCACTAATCTCATTAACAAAGGCTCTGCCCTTATGATCTCATCACCTCCCAAAGCCCTTTCTCCTAATATCATCACCTTGGAATTAGGATTTCAACATATAAATTTGGGGTTGGGGGGGAACACAAAGATTCAGATCATAGAAGATGGGTTCCCTGAATAGCAATTGCCCATTTCTTGGTGTTTCTTACTGAGTTACAAGCATTCTTTATTTTAAGAAAATCAGACCGAGGGAATGCCAATGTTTCAAATATTTTTTCCAGCTTATCCTTTCATTGTTTATGTGTACAGTTTGTTATTATTTGATTTTTTATTATTTTTAATAGAAACAAAGTCTCACTATGTTGTCTAGGCTGGTTTCAAATTCCTAGGCTCAAGTGATTCTCTCTCCTTGGCCTCACAAAGTCCTGAGGGTACAGGCATGAGCCACTGTACCTGTCCTATTTGATTTTTAGATATTTATATTACTTTTGGATTTTCTTAGGAATATCTTCCCATTCCAGAACTACTGAAAATATACTTTTCCATATTCTCTGCTATAGTTTTACACTTTAATCTTTTAATGTTGAAATGTTTGATCCACTTGGAATTTATTTTGGTATAAATAACAAGGTGAGATCCAAATAGGCTAATGCTACCACAGTAGTTATTGAACACATTTTTTTAATCTTCTACTGATTTGAAATGCCACCTTTATCATGAATTGACTTGTCATGTGTATTTGATATGAATCACCAAGTGTAGTACATGTTACACATTATTATTATTGTTATTGAGACAAGGTCTCACTTTGTCACCCAGGCTGCAGTGCAGTGGCTCAGCTACGGGTCACTGCAGCCTCAACTTCCTGGGCTCGAGTGATCCCCCCACGTCACCCCTTGAGTAGCTGGGACTACAGGCATGCACCACCATACTGGCTATTTTTTTTTTAAGAGACAAGGTCTCACTATGTTGCCCAGGCTAGTCTTGAACTCTTGGGTTCAAGTGATCCTCCTGCCTCAGTCTCCCAAGTTGCTGGGATTACAGGCGTAAGCCACAACACCCAGCCTCTGTTGCTCATTATTATCCAAACTTATTTGACCACAGAGCCACCTTCTCTACCCCCTCTCCCTAAACACATACACACAGAGCTTCTTATAGGACTAGTGTTCTGTGGTGCACACTTTAGGAAATGCTGTCTTATGTACTGAAGTTTTTTTTCTTTTTAAATGTGATATATCTCCTTATTTTTGTAATGACAAATTCATCCATTATATGGTTACTCTTACATCTTGTGCCTTAATATGTTTATATTCCAAAAATGATTGTAACTTTTTTATTTGAGTAGACAATTAAGTGAGCAGATAAATAGCTTTTTTATCCGGAATTATTTTCTTACAACAGAACCTAAATCATAAGAAATGTGAAAATTAAGAATTAATAACAATATGATACAATTTGTTATAGTATATTTATATTACCATTTTTCCTGGTTGTGTATATAGTTAAAATTCAATCATAGTTTATTCATGACATCCAAGAATAGGTTTCTTTTTTTAAGCTGGAGAGTTTGTAGAATAATAATCCTTTATTTCATAAATATCATCTCTATAATCCTATTTAGTGTAAGACATGAAATTATTTAGATTCAAATTTGGATACAATGTAATAAATTGTATGCTAATTATGGTTTACACATTCTAATGTAGCTGCAAAATATTTTTCACTTAAACTTTGAAAATGTAGCCTTATTTTTTGTTGTTGGTCATGGGATTTTTTTGAGACAGGGTCTTGCTATGTCACCCAGGCTATAGTGCTGAGGCGTGATCTCAGCTCACTGCAACCTCTGCCTCCTGGGCTCCAGCAAGCCGTATGTTTTATCCAGAGCAACTAAAAGAATGACCTTGTGGTCTGTACTCCTAAGTATAAGATGGATGCTACAGATCCAGGCCTATTCAAGATAGGAAGAAGGAGGTGGTAACATATGATAGCAGTCATAGCTGCCGTAATTCCAGGCCATATTTAAGATAGGAAGAGGAAGAGTGGTTATCAACATATACATCTTTTATGTCTAGAAATACCATACTTTATGTACATATATGCCTTATTAGACAGAAATGCATCACACGGCCACTTCTAGCTTAGCTGCAGGGGAGCCACAGAGAGAAATTTTAGCTTTCCTAGCCTCTGTGGAAGGAAGGAGAAGGTAGAGAATGAATGTGTTGCATTGACTAATCAGCAATATTTGCTATATTAGTGAACAAGAATAGTCATCAAAATATTAAAAATATGAATAGCTAATATTTTTTAAGCCTTACATATGGGGGGCACTGTGCTAAGCTCTTTATACCTTGCTTAATCTTCACAATAGTCTTTGAGGATAAATACTATTATTATCCTCATCTTATAGGTATGAGGAGGCACAAGGAGACAGGGGTGGTCTTTAAGGAGCACACAGCTGATAAGAGTAAGAAGCAAGATTCAAGTCCAGGAGTTTCACTCTTTAACTTTGCTCTTGGGTGCTCTATTTTAAGGAAAAAATAAATAAAACTTCCTTTCTTGTAAAATATTCTAATTTTTTCTCCTAACTTGTAACAGAAATATATTTAATGAAATTTGTACAAATCATGACGAATAAGGGAGAAAAAAACAGAAATATTAACCTATTGGAGTTTTTTCCCCATAAAATTCCACTTCTTGTGGTTGAGCCAGTCACTTAATTACAGTATGAAAGAGAACTGTTCTGATTATCATTTTATCAGTTAAATCCCAATGAAAATCGGCTTTCTAACTCCCTTGACTCAAATAAATTTTCAGTTTCACATCTGGATTAAGACAAGTTCAAAGACTTTGTTTGAAGTTATTCCTGTCTTTTTGCTGTCTGGTTTAAGTAGCATTTTGAGCTTTGTTCTAGCTAGTTAAAGACTGAACTGGGTTACCAAGAGAAGCTGTATAATCTTTTTCCCAAAAATCTCTATAACCAGAATCATAGAGGAATAATTCATGTAATTATGTTAGGGCAACTGTGTGTGTGTGTGTGTGTGCGCGCGTGTGTGGTTTTTCTTCTAGAATTGGGTTAAACTATAAGCCTATGAATTTTGTATATCAACTGCACACTTTCAACCTTTGGGGAAACTGTGCTTTCCTTCCCTAGTCCCATTCCAAATTCCAGATTGTAATCTTCACGTCACTTACTACTACTGAAATATTAGAAAATGTCACTGGGCGTGGTGGCTCACACCTGTAATCCCAACACTTTGGGAGGCCGAAGCAGGCAGATTGCCTGAGCTCAGGAGTTCAAGACCAGCCTGGGCAACGTGGTGAAACCCCATCTCTACTAAAAATACAAAAAATTAGTCAGGCATTGTGGCACATGCCTATAATCCCAGCTACTCTGAAGGCTGAAGCATGAGAATCACTTGAACCTGGGAGGCAGAGGTTGCCATGAGCTGAGATTACACCACTTCACTCCAGCCTGGGTGACAGAGCTGTCTTCAAAAAATAATAATAATATAGGCTGGGCATAGTGGCTCACACCTGTAATCCCAGCACTTTGGGAGGCCAAAGCGGGTGGATCACGAGGTCAGGAGATTGAGACCATCCTAGCTAATATGGTGAAACCCTGTCTCTACTAAAAATACAAAAAATTAGCTGGTGTGGTGGCGTGCACCTGTAGTCCCAGCTACTCAGGAGGTTGAGACAGGAGAATCACTTGAACCTGGGAGGCGGAGTTTGTAGTGAGCCGAGATCGCGCCACTGCACTCCAGCCTGGGCGACAGAGCAAGACTTCGCCTCTAAATAAATAAATAAATAATAGTAATATATAGTTGTTTGACTTTAGGAAAGTATGTCAGGAGACAGTGGAAAGTAAAAGAAGGAGCTATAAAAGCACACACAAAGTAAACACAATGGAAAATGGTCACAGGTTGATAATAGTCATTTCCTCTTAAAAGCACCTTTTCCTATTAGTTTGCCTTGTGCATTACCCTCAGCTCTCTTTTCTTGTCACTACACAATGTCTCCCTAAGAGAGCTCAAGCTCTACCATAATATCAATAAGCAAAATAACAAAGATTCACTGTTAGTAAGCTCTTAATATGAGCCAGGCACCCTACTGAGCATTGTACGTGATTTATCTGTTTTAATCCTCTCAATATTTTGTGAAATAGGTGCTGTTCTTCTTGCCCTTTCAACGTTTAGGGGGAATAAATGAGGGTTTTAGAGACTAAGTAATATGCCCAATAACACTGATTGTTAGTTGGGGAGCCATTGGTTTGAATCTAAATGGATGAATTCAGAACTTGTGTTCTCTACCACTTTACTATGCTTGTACTCTTTTCCATAGTTTCAGGTACGACCTATGCTTCTAAGTTGAATGTATTAGTGTAACCAATTCCTCTTTCCCAAGTTTTAAACCTGTGACTCTATCAGCCCTCTAGAAGCCTTGAATCACTTTGTATTTGTATATCTCATGAACATTTCAACTTAACATATCCAAAATTGAGCTCCTGTCTAGATCCAACTCATTCTATCATCAAACAAAGACGGTTCTGTACTTGGCAAATGATATCAATATATATACAATTGGCTGAGCCAAATGCCTGGAAATCAGCCTTAACTATTTCTTTATAATATTCACAACCACGGATACCAAGATTTCTCTATGTCTCCTCCTTTCTTTTTTCTATTTTCACCACTTCTGTAACTTACTTGGGCCCTGAAATCACATTTTGTCTAGATTTAAATCATTAAACATGCCTCTTGGGTTTGTTTTTTGTTTGTTTGTTTTTTGCCTTTAGTCTTTTCTCTTCTCAAAATATTCTTTCTAAAGTAGAAATTTGACCATGTTACTTCCTAGCTTAAAATGACTTCATGGCTCCTTTAAAGTCTAAACTCCATAGCATGGTATATTCAGCCCTTGGTGAGTTGGCCCCGGCTCTCTCTTCACCTTCACCTCGCAGCGTTACCCCTGTTATCTCTTCCTACTCATATCCACTGCACATTCTTCAAGAATCCCTGCCTTGTACAGCTTTCCTGACAGCTTTAGCTGGGTCTTGTCTCTTTTGACAGCTCTGGCACTCTTAAATCGGTTCTTTAAGTCTCAGATATTCTGAGCCTTCTGTAACTGCTGTTCCTTCTCCCTCTGCCCCATACTACATGCCCACCACCCTGTACCACATTCTGAATATCTCTGTCATAATATTCAACCTGTTGTGTTTTACGATTTTTACCTGTCTTCCTCCCCTTCTCAGAGGTAAGCATCTTTAGGTCAAGAATCAACCTCTTCCTTCAAATTCTCTTCCTCAGCCATCTTCTTTCTCTTTCAATAAAATTTTTAACTATCTTGTATTTATCAATGTCTACAAATTCCTAAATTAAATATAATAGGCTCATAGCATGATAAAATATCTTCTCCCTCACTCCTCTCAACCTCCTCCCACTTCCCAGAGGCAATCACTTTTAATTCTTAGATATTTCTTCTGATATTTATGTGTTCCTTATTTCTAGATAATAGCATAGACTGTTGCATATCAATTTTTTATTTTAGACATTACTGAGTTCCTGATTTAGTTCCCTAATGCCCTCTCACCACTAATCCACCTTGTGTGGATTACCCCTCTTCCTTTACCCCATTGTCTTTCATTATAATTATATCACAGTTGATGGCCAACAGAATGGCCAGTGTTTATAATATTGGCACTATGTAAATATACTTTGTTTTCTTTATTTTTCTTCTTTTAATTTTTAAGTTTTTTTTTCTTTACCCCAAATTTCAGTATTCCTTGTTTCTGTCCTGGTTTTTTCCTGCTGCTATAACAAAAACACCTTAGACTGGGTAATTTATAAACAACAGAAATTTATTTCTTGCAGTTCTGAAGGCTGGGAAATACAAGATCATGATGCCAGCAAATTTTATGCCTGGTGATGGTTCACTGTCTGCTCCATATATGGTGTCTTGCTGCTGTGTCCTCATGTGGTGGAAGGGACTAACAGCTTCCTTGAACCTCTTTTATAAGGCCACTAATCCCATTCATGAGATTTCTGCCCTCCTGACCTAATCACCTCATAAAGACCCTACCTTTTAATACCATTACATTGGAGATCAAGTCTAACATTCAGACTACAGCATTTCCTATGGGACAATCTTGTTGTTTCTAGATTAATAGAGACTTCTCAAAAAGTTTGTTTAGTATTTGTACATACATACCTGTTACTGTATTATCCAAAGTCTTCAATGGATCTGGGAAATAATCAGCAATCATTTTGCAAATGGTCCGACACAATAGATTTGCTACCGGTTCTGTGGCCACTACTCTGTCCCACTGCCCAGTTTCCTCCCATGTGATCCATGTGATCTAAACTGGCTGCTCTGAGACTGGGACATCCTGGGAATTCCTTTTGCCACTTTGCTCTCTTGTCCCTTCTCCTTTTCTGGATGCCATGTTTTCCTCTTTCTTACTATTCTACCCCTCTTGTTTTGGTTTTGCAAAAGCACATCTTGCAGTCTCTTTCTAAGATGGCATGTATAGACACTTGCATGTTTGAAAAATGTCCATTTTCTATCCTTGTCTGATTAGCAACATAATCATTTCTTCACTGGAAATAATTTCGCTTCAGAATTTGGAAACCATTTCTTGCCTATCTTTTGGAATTCAGTGTTGCCACTGAGAAATCCAGTCCTAGTCTTATTTCCTTCCTACATATTTGACCTGTTTTCATTTGTTTACTTGCTTGCAGCATTCTAGAACCTTTTAGGATCTTCTTTGTATGCTTAGTTATTTAAAATTTCAGGTTGTACCGTGGCTGAAGAAAATGGAATAAGGAAAGAGAGTTCCTACTGGATCACTGACTTATCTTTTTTCTCCTGTCCTTTAAACTTAGGTGGTTTCCAAGATGCCACCTCTTCTGATTCAGGCATATACTTTTCCAGAGTGCTGAATGAGTATTTTTTACAATATGGAAATGACTTCCAAAAATATTACCCACATTTTTGTCTGAATTTGAGGCCCGAATTTCCAGCTGTCTTCCAGAAGTTACTGGAGGTCCCTGCTAGCACCTTCCATTAACATGTCCAAAAGGAAACTCATTATATTTTCCAATCTTTGTTCCCCATCAAAATCAATAATATTTAAATTTCATATTTTCTTTTCTCCAGCAATGGGCCGCAGAGATCTCAGACATGTCCTTAGCAGTTCCGCCTTCTTTCGGTTCCTAAGACCTATTGATTCCACTTTAGAAATGTCCTTAACTCTCCCTTCTCCATTTCCTTTGACACAGTGCAATTTTTTAAAATACCATTTACAAATTAAGATGATATGTTTTTCACATATAGGAAATCTTTGACTTTTGCAGTTAGTCTAGTTATTTAAGAGTTTTCACAGCAGGGGAGAAACTATAAATATTTTTAATATAAATTATAGCTGGAGAAATTGAATTCTACTCTAAGAAAAACTGACTAATTTTAACTTCTCTGGTCTATGTTAGAATACTGTAAATATAAATCATCTAAACATCTTATTACACCTCATTTTTTGTTTTTATTCATACTTTTTGCCTTCGTACCTGTTATTCCTTTTGCCAAGAATGCTATTCCCTCTACAGTCCCTAACATGAGTAACTCCTGCTTATTCTTCGAGTCATCATTCACTAGGAAGCTGTACATCTCCAGTAACTCATATATACACTTTTCTGCTTGTGAGAGCAGAAATGCTTTTGTGTTTACCTTTGGGGCCTAGGTATCTTGGTGCCTAGTAACATCCTGGCACACAGTACCATATGCATGGGTCTTAGGTATCTTGGTGCCTAGTAACATCCTGGCACACAGTACCATATGCATGGGTCTTAGGTATCTTTAGTGCCTAGTAACATCCTGGCACACCGTACCATATGCCAGGTGAACATGTGTTGGTTGAATGTTCTAAATGCATTTTTAACATTTGGAAGAACATCTTCTTTATATGTCCCCATCTTACACTTTGGTTTATTTCAAGAGTCTATTTGTACTTCAAGTCAGAGTTTTTCTTAGAAATGATGTTATACCTAATGAAGAGCGTAATAGAATACACTATAAAAGACTTCCCTCGGCCGTGCGCGGTGACTCTCATGCCTGTAATCCCAGCACTTTGGGAAGCCTAGGCTGGCAGATAACCTGAGGTCAGGAGTTCGAGACCAGCCTGGCCAACATGGTGAAACCCTGTCTCTAGTAAAAATGCAAAAATTAGGTGGGCATGGTGGGGCACGCCTGTAATCCCAGCTACTTGGGAGGCTGAGACAGGAGAATCGCTTGGACCCGGGAGGCAGAGGTTGCTGTGAGCTGAGATCATGCCACTGCACTCCAGTCTGGGCGACAGAGCAAGACTCCATCTCAAAAAAAAAAAAAGAAAAAGACTTCCTTCATTTGTAACATATCTAAAACAGTGCTTGAAACATTTAATAATAAGCAGGCATTTCATACATGTCCTGTAATTTACCATGGATTTTATCTGTGAATTTCTTTCCCTATATTTGTATATCACTTAGCAATTTATCAAGTGCTTTCATTTGTATTATCTCATTTGATTCCCTCATTAACCCTAGACAGGTATTGTCTGTATTGCATATGTCAGGAATGATTATGTATATAATAGTCTAGTGTCTCACAGGTAGTTAGTTGAAAGCTCAGACTAGAATGCAAGTTGTTTTACTTCATTATTGTATTCTTCCCATTATGCATGTGAGAGTGAAGGCCAAAAATAGCCATCTGCTCTGGAGGATGAGAGCAGGGGTAGAGGTTCCAGGTGGACAGTGATGGACGAGAGAAAGAATGTTTGTAGAGAATCACAGGCAGTTGCCTTTAGCTAAAGAACAGGTTGGGATGGTTGGAAGTAAGAGATACAATTGGAAATACAATTGAAATCATTGTTGGGGTAGGAATAAGAGTTTGGACTTTATCTGTCAAAATCCATTTGAGCAAAAAAAAGAAAATTAAAAATAAAAATGAAAAAAAGAGTTGGAACTTTATATTGTAAGAACTGAGATATATTGAAACTTTGTGACCGGGGGAACTGAAGATCATTTCTGCTGTAGGACTTACTTATCAGTAATGCATGGGCAGAATTAGGGAGAAACTGGAAGCAATGTGACTAGGCAACTCATGCAGTATTCCAGATAAAAAATAATTCAGTTCTGTAATACCAACATAAAGTGTAGTTAGAAAAGGAACAGCAGATTAGTTCAGGAGATAATGGGGAGTTTCAGTCTATAGTATTTGACAACTAAATAGATGTATGAGACAAGGGAAAAGGAAGAAAGAAAGCTGTGTTGTTTAGAATGGTGGCGGGAATGTATTCCCATCTCTTCCCTGGACCCCTGTCCATCTATGAGCTTTATTCTCATGCATAATCAACCCTTCCAGCTGACCATCTTAGCTAATTTAGTCAACATATATTTAGCTAATTTAGTCAACATATATTTAGCTAATTTAGCCAGCATATATTTATTGAACACTCTCTATATAATAGTCGCATTTTGCCAGGTGTTGAAGATAAATGAAATCTATAATCCCTGCCCTCAGTGGGCTCGTGGTTTAGTGGTAGAAAGAGTCACATAAACAATATAACATTGTAAAGAATTTATTGGTATATGTATTACAGACCACTGGGACACAGAGGGGCACCTAGTTTATGCCACATGGGTCAGGAAAGGATTCTCAGTTCTCCGTTTTGAAGGAAGGGTAAGAGCTAGCTTGGTGAAGAAAGTGAGACAGATGTTCTGTGTAGATATAATAGCATGTTCAAAGGCATGAAGTAATAAACATGAGACTGTGTAAGTTGTTTTGTGAGCCTAAAACTGTCAGCATTTATTGCCTAAGAACAATGAGATTATTCTAGTGAACCATAATACAGTTATCACACTCTGATAACTTAACATTGGTACAATGTAATTATCTGATACCCAGTCCATATTCAAATTTCTCCAGTTATCCCAATAACGTCATATATAACTTCTTTCAATTCAGGGGTTAATCAGGGACTCCTCTATACTTCATTGTCGTTCCTCTTTAGTCTCTTTTAATCTAGAACAGTTCTCTAGCCTTTTCTTCTCTCTTTCTCTATTTCTTCCTCTCTTTATCTTTCATGATATTGATACATTTTTAGATCCTAGGCCAGTTGTGTCACAGAATGTCCCTTACTTTGGACTTCTATGATTGTTGCCTTGCATTCAGATTCAAGTTAAATATTTTTGTGCGAAGTGCTACACAGGTTAAGTTGTGCATCACTTCAGGAGGCAATTGATATCAGCATATTCCACATTGTTGGTAATGTCAAATTTGATTATTTGGATAAGGTGGTATCTACCAGATTTCTCTATATCCTGTTCCTCTACATCCCTTATGCACAATAGTTTTTGCAACCGTTGATGACTCCTGCCTGAATCATTTCTTACTATGTGAATTGTAATGTGGTGAATTTTGTAGTTCCCTCATATCTTTGACATCTATTAGTTGACACTGTTCTTTAAAGAGGAACTCTCCTTCCTACATTTTTATTACTATGTATTTTTTAGTATCACTATGGATGCATGATTCTTTTTTCCTCAGTGTGCAATAATCCCATTCCCATGATTATTTATTTGATACTCAGTTGTCCTAAATTTGGCCAAGGCAATGTTTCAATCTGGCTTCTTTGTCTTTTCAACATATCACTATCTATTTTTGAGCACTTTCTTATTTTCTGGCACAACAATATGTTTCTGACTCATTTCACACTTTCTTGGCCTCAGTTCTAGAATCAGCCATTTCTGTAAGCATTGTCATTCCTTTTAGGGAGTAATGGTATGTAGAAACCAAGATCTGAGGGCGAGAGAGGTCATTAGAAACGAAGATTTTAGGACTAGTAACGGTAGCTAGAAACCAAGATCCAAATGCTCATTGATGCTACTATAGTGTTATAGGAAAAGGGTTTTTTTGTTTGTTTGTTTGTTTGTTTTGTTTTGTTAAGCCTTGAGCTTACATTAATACCTATACATCCAATCCAACCCTTCTTGGTTCTTTTTCTTTTTCTCCAATTCCATATTTCCATTTTCTTTCCCACAGTGAGCACATCGGCACATTTACACATCTGCTCCAGCTTTTATACACACACAATAGTCTGAGAATCACTACATCAATACCACTACCAACAATAAATTTACTAAGAAGAAAGTTCACATTTTCTTTATAGTTTTTTTCCCTTAAACTTTATGCCATTAAAGTATTCAAAAGTTACTTGGATTCTTTTTTCCCCCTCCTTTATAATCTATCAATATGAAAACATGTTTATTTGTTTCTATTTGATTTCAGTACTAGGATTTTTTTTCAATCTCATGACTGCTTGAAAAAGATTTAAAATTGTAATTTTAGATTTTGAAATGTTTTCTTTTTCTTTTACTATCTTAAATATTTGACATTACCTGCAGTTTTTTAAGGAAAAATATAGTTGAATTTGAAAATAAATTTTCAAATAGCTATTTGTCTGAAATATTTAATGTATTTTAGTTAAAATAGCCATCAAATCACTTAGAATTACATTTATTGTAAATTCACAACTTCCAAATATTCTATTTCTCACCCACCTTTTTTGATAACACCTACAAGGTTTAGTACTCTTCTAAAAATATGAAATAGCAGCAGATGGAAAAGGGGCTGATACATATTTATATTTATATATCTGTTTATAAACTGTAAATGAGTATGTTATTTGTATTCTACTGCATTCACTTTTCATCTTATCTCTGTAAAGGGATTGTGTATCAAAAAGGAAAAAATAAAAGTTCGAAGGAAAATAGCTTTCCATTATTTTAAATGTAGCAGTATACCAGCCATACAATTTCATAAAGAATGCCTGCAAGTTACCTTGTCTGGACGGGCAAAAAGTCCTTACGGTTTTCTTGAATTTGGTTTGGGCCAGTAGTTCCTTTGAAGCTTTTTCTCCTGTTCTCTTTGAACAATATTTAACATTGATAACTATAAATACTTATAAGTATTACAGGCATAATCTGTTCTTTGTAGAGATAATTGGCTCTATATCCACGTATTTCCTTAATTATATACAGGATATCAATTTAAAGTAATCTTAATGGAGTGCAGTCCTTTTGATTTCAGAGAGCCTCTTTTGATTTATTTCTCATTATAGAAGATAAACTATACGTTCTGTAAAATTTTGTAGTGATTGTTCTGTGTCACCTCAAGTCAGGGGATGATTATCTTCTGATATGAAAAATCAATTGTTGGAAGCATGGAAATATAATCTGTTATATTTAAAAGTTAGCATGGAAATATAATTTGTCTGCTAAGTTTAGACAGCAGAATCTCAGTAACAACAAAAACACTCTCCCGGGCCGTGTGCAGTGGCTCACGCCTGTAATCCCAACACTTTGGTAGTCTGAGGCGGGCAGATCATGAGGTCAGGAGATGGAGACCGTTCTGGCTAATATGGTGAAAGCCCATCTCTACTAAAAATACAAAAAATTAGCCGGGCGTGGTGGCAGGCGCCTGTAGTCCCAGCTACCCGGGAGGCTGAGGCAGGAGGATGGCGTAAACCTGGAAGGCAGGGCTTGCAGTGAGTAGAGATCTCACCACTGCACTCCAGCCTGGGCGACAGAGCGAGATTCTGTCTCAAAAAAAACAAAAAACAAAAAACAAAAACTACTCTCTCCCATACCTGGTTGACTTTAGAATAGAAGATGATGCCTTGAAAATAGCTCATCTCTACAAAGGAAATGTGATTTATAACTCAAGACTCAAACATGACTAGAACCACATTCCATTTAAGGTAATTGTGCTGTTGGACTATAAAAGCAGTGCTCTGAAGTGAATCCGTGGAACTCGGTCCCTTTAGTGCACAGTAACATAGGCACTAATGAGGCAGTTTTCATTAAAAGATAGTTGATTTAATGAGAGAGTTAAAGTCCTGTCCTATTTTGAAATTGCTAGCTTAGTCCTGGCATCTGATCTTTTTTCTCCCTACCATCACCATCACCAGTTTTTGTATATGCTTTGACATTGCTATGGTAACCCTGAGGGCTGATGGAATTCCCTGCATCTCTTTTCACAGAGGGTGATGAGACAGGAGTGATGGATAATCTGCTGGAGGCCTTGCAGTCCGGGGCTGCCTTCCGCGACAGAAGAAAAAGGACACCGATGCCAAAAGGTGAACCCTATACTTGTTTCATGTTACTTTCTAGGGAGCTATCACAGAGAAAGAATCCTGTTTTTCTCATTCTTTTGAAGTTGTGTGTCAAGAATGCAGTGCCGTGGGCAACAACTGTTCAGAAGTTTCATAAGTTTGCTTAATCCCTTGCACAGACAAATGTCAGAGAGATATGCATTCCAGTTGGCCGATGTCAGTAGCACATTAACAAATCAATGCACTGAACCTAGAAAATCCTAATTAGTGTGACAAGTCTCATCTAAAGAACCATATGTACCTTATCCCAGTGGAGTTTACAGTAGCATAATTAAATGGGAAGTAAAAGTCATAACATTACTGCTTCAAGTATTTCAGGATATTGAAGCATTACTTTGCTGCCAGAAATACATAACCTTGGAAAAAAGTATGTCTAATACTGTTTTCCTTCTTGAGATGCCCAGACCTCTATATTAAGTTTATTTTATTTTTTTTTTTAACAGATGTTCGGCAGAGTCTCAGTCCAATGTCTCAGAGGCCTGTTCTGAAAGTTTGTAACCATGGTAATAAACCGTATTTATAAATTGCACATTCTTCTTATCTACTTTTATCCTATTGATCTGTGATTTTAGTAGACTGCTGTGAAATTCTCAAGTTCCAATATAACTAAAATAGTAAAAATGTGTGCATGTACATATTTGCTATGAGATTGCGTACTCGTATTTTTCATCCTTATATTATTGCCTTGAGGTTGTGTCTTAGGTTCTTCTATCAGGTCTCTAGTGAATTTTTTATTATTATAATTATCTGAAGTTAACATTCAATCATTGCTGATCAGTGTTATCCAAGGCACTCTTTCTCATAACACTTTTTAAAGTAGTGGACTTACTATATGTCAAGATACAATTTGAAGTATTAAATCTGTCATCTTGTTTTAATCTCCCACATTTGCCAGTGCAGTTAGAAATACCTTAACTGGCATTTTGGCAAAATGGTAAGTGTAGATGAGCTTCATGTGGTATTATTGTGGAAGGATGTGATAAAATCACTAAGAAGATGAATTAACTTAGTCTCTGATATTTATCTAAGATGGACTCCTGTCAAAAATCTCTAACCAGTCCTCCATGCCCAACCGCATAGAACTCTCTGCTCTGTTCAGGGTACCATTTCATGTTGATTGGCTTTTATTTGCTTTTGTTTTTTTCCCTCTGTGTTATGTCCTTGGGTTCTGCCTACCTTCCACAGTCAAAACACATTCGTTGATTGTGGGTGCTGTTTTTCAAAGTGAGATTGTCACTAATGTTTGCCAGATTTATAAATGTAAAACAACTTGACAGATTTTGTATGAGTTTTTTGGGTGCAGATGACTTAAGTTCTGGAATTATTAACATGTGACTGAGAGAAAAACCTGTGCCAATTTCTAGGGAAGCTAAAATAATTATTAGGTAAATAAGAAAAAGACATGGATGTAATTATCTTTTAATAGGTGTGGGGATCCTTACTGCCGAAGGTAAAGTATATATAGTAGGTGCTTAACAAATGACAGTAAAGGTAAAAATATACTGCAGTCTCTTAAATAGGTCTTTTTTGTTGTTTTTGTCTTGCCTTTCTCTTGTATAACAATACAAATAAAAAGAGTTGGAATAAGAGAAGTTCACTGTGAATAATTAAGTAATTCCTAAATTTAGGGTTATGATTTAGAGCCATTGTGACATATTTTACAATGGCAAAACCTGTAGAGAGTAGATCTATCCTGATCTTAAGGATGATTTTGTATTATCCATGAATAAATAGAAACCCAGAGAGGCTGAAAACTTCCAGAGTACAGAGCTGGTTAGTGACACAGCTGTGACAAGAATATGGTTCCAATTCCTATTGTATTTCTTTTTTGATTTCGTATATGTACTTCAGTTATTTTTTATTATTAATAGTAACAGCATAATGAACTCAGCCCCCACTTTAAGTCATTAAAAAAGAGCCACAGCCAAACACAATGATTGTGATATGATTAATGATATGCATATACCATCCTACAGTTAATTTAAAATATATATTTTTAGATACTATGTGGGGGAAAATTAGTTCAGATAACTTTGTACACTGGTCTTGGAGAACTCAGCCTTGTGACTATAATATTAGTAAAGTGTCTGGGATATAATGGCTCAGATACAATTACGTATAAATCATAATGTTTCTGTTTATTATATATATAGCAGATGAGCATTGCATTTTTATAAAGCTAATGTGTACTGGCTTAAGTTCTAAGGCTGTTATGATAATTAAGCTAGTAGATTATACAGCAAGCCGAACAAGATATATCACAAAGTTCAAATTCTCTGTTCTAATATAAATGTGATGAATTCCTACATTTTTAGAAAGTATTTTCTATTCATATTTCTGTTGTGTTTTCCCTTCATATTTCTAACCAAGTAGAAAGAAATCCAAATGACCAAATTTATCTTAAGAATTGTGTGTATGTAGATTTATTGGACTAGATGTTCAAAAATGCAGGATTTGGTTAAGGAAAATGTCTTCATTGCAAAAAGGGTAGTGATTATTTTTAGTATAGGATGACATTTTGGAGTTCATTGGAAATCTTTCTATTTCTAAAAACTACTTTTTTTCATTGAAAATACTAACCCTACGACTGAACTATGTGATTGAAATGTAAGATTGAACTTATTTTTTAATTTGCTTTTATATACTTAAAATTGATGTCTAATATTTATATTTTCTACAAGTATATATTGTTATTGATCTCATAACTTATTTTTAAAGATTTAAAAGATTTTCTACAGCTATGTGAAATTCATTTATAGCCTATGTAAAATAATGATAATATTAATAATAATAAGCTAATGTTTACTGAGATATTTGGCTTACTAAATGCCAAGCACTATGATGAATATTTTATGCATATTACCCATTTAACCTTCTCAAATATTTCTATCAGAGAGTCAATATTTTTATCTCCATTTCATAGTCGAAACTAGTCAAGTATTAAAGAGGTCTGATAACTTGTTTAAGGGCACGTAGTCAAATTTTGAATGCATGCCTATCCGACTTCAGAGTCCAAGTTGTTACTTTCTTTGCCATGCCATACTCTTAATATAACTGCTTGAATCCATGTCTAATTCCTTTCCCATCCATGAGCTGGTGACTTATATGCATACATTTTTTTAGCTTGTAACATAAAGTTAAACAATTGAGACACAGCCTCTCAGAGGTTCTCCAGCCTCTGGTGTGCCTCATCTCTTCTTCCCAAATTTAGCCACTAGATAGCACTGTTTTCCTAGTCTGAGGTTTGGATTATGAAAATAATCTGGAATTAATTATGACCACTTTTTATTTATTTTAATAAACTCAGTATTAAAACATTTTTGTTAATTTTAATAAACCTATGCTGTGTTAGAAATATTATAGAAAGCTTGGGTAAAAAATATATATCCAAAGCCTAAATTTGAGTTTATTAGCTGCAATTTTAATTTTTTATTGTCTGTATATCTTTTGCTGTCTGTGTGTTGTCTGTGCCTTCTTAAATCATAGCTATAGTCTCAGACTTCTTAGGTTTCTTTTTATATATAGAGAGAGCATCTTTTCTCTCAGAATAGAAAAAAATTCTGGTAAAGTATCCTCCTGGACGTTGGGGCTAAAATGTCCCTATATGTATTTTAGCAAACTGACCTCAAGCATTCTAACTTCAGTGGACTTCAGAAGCAGACATCTCATGCACTGAATTATCCAGCCTTTGTGCTGTGGTCCAAACCTCTACCAAAAACACTTTGGTTACAAGTTGTACCTGTTATCTTTTGCTTTGGCTGTAAAGGCACAGGCAGAAATGAAGTATGTGCTAAATCTTTATTTATTCAGCAAAATTTATTAAGCTGTTGCTAGGCACTTAAGATTTATAGATATCTTCCAAGAATGCACCATCTAGTTGAAAGACAGACTAGTAATAATTGCCCTACTTTTGGTAAATGCCAGGTTAGAGGCAACAAAAAATTTTGGCAAGACCAGGAAGTCAGAAAGACTGATCCAGACTTCATGAGGACAGTTTAGAGCTGGCTTCCAGAAAGGATCTGAAATGCAAGCTGAGACTTGAAAGATGAGTAGAAATGAGGCCAAAACCCAAGGGCAAGAGTGAGCCTAGCAGCAGCAGCAGTAGTAGCATGTATGCAATTTTTCAGGAGGTCCTTTCTGAACCCCAGTCTGAACCTTGTAGAACTGTACATTCTAGTAACACCCTAGTCTTCCCATTTTATAATACACACTGCCCTGAAGATGTTTTTATTCAGTGTCTGTCACAGTACTCATGAGTTTCATCAGAGTGGAGACAAGGCATAAAGGAGCATATCTGTCTTGTTGACTGCTGTAACCCCAATACTTAGTTGGATTGGTATCAGGCATGTAAGTGTTTATAAGAATGTGTTGAATGAACAGACATGTTTATGTTTATACTTGAATGGAACTGTTAATACATATTAAGGAGTAAAATCAAATCTCTTAATGTCACCCAAATAATTTGATATGCCAGTTGCTAAAGTTCCAGCTGTGAACACAGTTAACCGCTTCCCATCTCCTCCCTTGAAGTTATCTATCATCAAAAGGAGATATTTGATTGTTTGGTCTATGCATAGCTTCAAAGAGTTGTCGGATCAGATGTAGGGGAGGGGAGATTCAATTTCGATTTGGTTACTCACTTCTTAGAAGTGGAGGGCTACTTATTAAATATCTTTCCCTTAGTCAAGCAAAGTGTGGCAACATTAAAACAAAAGAATGTATTTGTTGATGAGTACAGGGCATTATCTATTTTCTTTATTCAACACAGTCCAAACCTAAAGATTTTCTGTAGTCTACAGAAAATAGTAAAATCTCCTCTTTTAAATCAAGATAATTAAAATATTTATTAATGCATTTTAATAAATATCATAGTATGGTGTTTGAGTGTTAAGAAATCAGCTGGCCCAGTTTAAGGTACCAGATGGGGAAGAAGTATATTGCGGGTCTGACACCAGGCCAAGGAATTTGGATTGTTGAGGTTTTTGAGCATGAAAATGACAGGTCCCCATAGTTAGTATGGAACTAAAGTGTAAGTGAGAGGGAGGGATTGAAAGGACTTCATGGCAACCTATATGCCAGTATGAATCGGCTGCTATGGATGGGGAAAAGTCAAAGAGGGGAAGAAAAAAAAAAGTCAAAAAGGAAAGAGGCCCAGCCTAGAGCTCTAGGTTAAGACACCCCCACAGAGAATTGCTAATAATTCATAAGCAAGTGAGTTATCTAAAGGAGAATCTTTAAAACAAGAGAATGGCAAGTTAAGGACTGAACCTTAGGAATGGAGTCAGGTGAGTAATGAAGTGAAGGAGAAGCAGAAAAGAGATCAAGAAGTTGGGAGGAATTACACAGTAGTGGAGCCTATACAACGAAGGTTGAAAGAAGACTTTGGTTTTCTCATTTCTTTTTCTTTTCTTGATTGTTTTCTTTGTAACCTCTGGTATACCACTGAGTGACTGGTGTTTTTCAGGATACATTAATTCCTACTCTCCTAGGGACTTCTCTTCCACTGTACACTCTGTGAACTGTCTGTAAAACTTTTGTGATAAAGGCTCCACAGATATGAATTGTTGAACCACACCTTATGCTGCATCTGCCTGCAGTTTGTTTGCATCCTTATTAGGTGGTTCTCTTTTCATAAGTGGTACAGTGGGATTTTTTTTCCAGTTAAATGGATAGAGAGTAATCAGAAAGAATTCTATAAACTATATGCAATTAAAACCCCTAAAGATAAAACTATTTAACTGTGACAAAATAAGATAAAACATAATCAAAATTTTAGGCAAACAAGTATTATGCATTTTTAGAGAGCATCCATAACCTAAACAAAATCTTGCTATATTATCTTTACACTAAATCAATTCTTAATAGCCTTAATTTGGATTTGATTATCTATTTTTACTCTTCCACTTATATATGGCACTTTGAGAGATTTTTATAGAAATAAGATTGTATTGCCTCCAGGCACAGCTGCTCTGCCACTCTGATTTGAAGTCAGAGTTAAATGTGAAGCTGGTTAGATATCTTTGAATTAGCATATTTTTCTAAGGGAGGCACACAAGATGGGCTTTGTTGTTGATATATCAAAACTTCATATATAGCCACCCCTCCCCCATCCCCAATCCACTCGATCTTGGGACACCTTGTTTCTTGACCTGCCTTTTCTCAAACAGCAAGAGTTTGTCTTTAGGCAGAATTAGGAAATTTCTAAGGTTTCCATTGGTGTCTACTGAGCACTAACTGCCTTAAGTCTTCTTTGGAAACAATGAAGACAACTCTATTGAAGTAGTAAATGTTGACAACTACCATTTTCATTTATTTTAACTGTATCTTATTTTAAAGTAGAAAGAGCATAAGGAACAATATATTAAAATAACTTGATTTTCTAAATGTCATTGGCCTATTTTTTGAGAGTATTTTTTGTTCTTTTCCTGATGAACTCATGCCTGACAAATAACCTAAGAAAGGGAGCTATTAAAATACTAATGGTTTTTGACACCCTTACACTTGGGCTTTCAAGCAGAATCAAATGCTACCTGTAGCTGTCAAAAGACTTAAATATTTTTTAAGGAGATTTTTTTAGGCTAGGAATGTAAAATAATTTGGATGATTTCACAGTTTATTCAAACATCAGTCTCTTATATTTACCATGTAGTCAAGCAAAAGGCAGAATGGACTCAGCAGGGCTCCTGCCTAGGTAAGGATGCCCTGTGGGTAGACAGGAAAGGCTTTTCTTATCTAATTTATAGTCAGGGCAGGACAACCTTTTGGCATAGTCATTATCAAACAGACTCTTAAGCATGAACAGGTTAGAAAAGTCTCAAGTAGTGAAGACTTCAAGTTGTTTTAAAAGGACATTTATGCAAGAAATAGCAAATGTCTTTCATTTAATGAGCATTCACAAATGTATGCTGAAGGCTGGAATAAATTTAGTGAGAAGGAGATAAAGAACTGTATTGTATAAGGAAAGTAATGTCCTTGACTTCCCTGAAATGGTTGTTATGATTAATATCTCTTGTTCTGCTTGTGTTCCATAGTGGACTATAATTATTATGATCTTTTTAAATCGTTTGCCCATTCTGAATCTCTCCCTTTTCTTATGGCAAAAGTTCAGAGTCTAAGTTTATAAGGAATCAATGGACAGACTTTAGAAGCTCCTTGAACTCTGTACTTTTGTTTTAAATTTTGTGTTTGGACTTAAAAAAAAAAACTGGTAAAAGGATATGTTGGTTTCCTCAAATTTCTCCCAAAATAAAAATCCCTTTTAAAAGAGGATTAAAGAATTACTTATTTTGTCGTTTGATTACTGATTTGTTACACATTGTCTCTGTTTCTATGTGTTGTGTAATTTTGCATTACTTAAAAGGGAAGCCATTTCTATGATATTAATAATTGTTTGCCATTTGAGAACTAAACTTTCATGGGCATGTCAAATTCTTGGTGAATCTACAGTTTTAGAGACAAATAAATTGTTTAACCTAAACAGTTACAATCCAACGAGGTGGTGCTACTGTGGAGGTTCACTGAGCATACAGAGGAAATGACGTCATGTGTACCTGGGATAGTCTTTGGTCTTACTGGATCTCTCAAGCTGGAAGGAGTGCAGGGCTCATCTGGGTCATACAACTTGGAAGGAGCAAGAAAGAGAAAGAGAAGCCAGAGGAGGAGCGTTCTCCCCTAGGAGCCACCAGTGACAAAGAAGTTGGGAAAGAATAGTCACCAAAGCCACATGTTCAGAAAGGCCAGGTACAAAAAGGATGGATAAGCACCCGAGCACAGATTGGACTGAAGGACTCGGGTATCACTGCTTACCTTGAGAAACGCAGTATTGGTAGAAACTGAAGCCAGGTAGCCTTGGCTGGAGGAGGAGTGGAGCTTTTTTTCTTTCTTTCTTTCTTTTTTTTTTTTTGAAAGCCTAGATATGAAGAAAAGAAAAAGTAGGAAAATAGCTGAACCAAATGGTTTGTGATTTAATGAGCATATTATGTTTCTTTGCCATTCATATGACAAAGGCTTTACTGTCTTTGTATTCTGAAAGGAAGTATTAATAGTTCTGGAGGTGTGGGGCTAAGACTTAGGGGAGCAGTAGCTTAGGTTAGGTTCCCGGGGAATGGGATATGAAAGCATAGGTGCAGAGCACCTGGACAGTTACAAAGGAAGGATGTTTGAACAGAAGTGGATGCAGACAGTAATTGAGGGAAAATTCTGAGCTCCCATCTGATAACACCTGTTTTCTCTGAGAATTAGGAGATAAGATCTCTTCCTTAAAGTCATAGTCTCTGGCTGGGGGAAGGAGGCAAGGTCATTGGGGCTGACAGATCTCTAGGGAATGTCAGAAGAAAGTGATCAGGGAGACACAAAATAATTTTTACATTAATGGCCCAGTTGCAGAGGGAGATGATTACTTATGTAGTGATAGTATAGTGTGTGAAATCCATGGTAAGAAAAGTAGCCAAGGTGCCTCCCGGGCCCTGTGAAAAAGGGCAAATGATCCCCAGCAGCCTAAAGGTTCTAAAAAGTAATCACCACGTGTGACCACAATGCTCAGGCAGTAGGCAGACTGGGTGTGCTATAGAGCACCAGCCAAGCAGAGTCATCAAATTTTCTGATAGGATAAGATATTTTGTGTTTTGAAAACTGTAGTAGTTACAGGAAAATAATGAAAACTCTTTTGGAACATAACAATGTGTGGTTCACCAGTGTTTCTGCTGTTGTATTCCATCTGTAGTAGGCATTATGGCAGGGATGGGGGACCCTACTGCAGCTGAGTTTCTTCCAGGCATGTGCCAACTGCATTATGTGTCTGAAATCTTTTCTAAGAAAACAACACTTGGTATTTATTTATAAGATACCATTGGATTTATATTTTACTTTATTTGCCCTCCTTAAAGGTCAGTTCCAAGTAGCCACAGATATGGAAACCACCTGTCAGTATTAAAAATAAATAATTTGCAAAATACCTTACACATAGTAGGTATTTAAAAAAAAATAGCAGTAGTTGTTTTTATTCAGTGACTATTTGTGAAAGCATAAAACTAGCCAGATTTTCAAATACTCTTTCTACAAGTGAATGGTCTGGCAGAGCAGTTTGACCTTGAAAAACAGTTCGGAGTCAGGTTTGGGCTTTGAGGTCAAACAGGTCTGGTTTAAATTCTTTACTTACTATCAGGGTGACTGTGGTTATTTGTCTTTAAGTTTTCTTTTCCTCAGCTATAAGAAGAGGAATTACACTATGTGTTTCATAGGCTGTTAGGAAGACTAAATGAAAGTGTATGAAGGTGCCCAGATTTGTGATGTAGTGCCTAGAATTGAGTAGCTACTCAATAAATTCAAAATACGCTGGCACTTTCTCATTCCTTCCCCTTCTTCACTTTCCTTCCATGATACATTTGCCAATAGAAAGTTATTGCAAATCCTTCAACAAGAATGGCACATAGAATGGATTTAGTAATTGGAGACATGGAAATTAATTTTCTTGCTATGAATAGTTCTTGGACTGTACTTAAAATACCGGAAGTAATATAAACTAGTTTAGCAGAAAAAAGTTGAAAATTAAGACTATGGAGAATTTTGTTTTTAAAATAGAATAATAAAGATGTTTTTACCTCCTTTTGTCCCTGGGAGTCAATCACCACAGAGCCACCAAGAGAAAGAGTTACAAAAACAATTCCCAGCACCTGTGACATCAAGATATCTTTAATCTGGAACAACAATATGTAGACATGGGAAGGATGGAGAAAACGATGATGTGAGTGGAAAGCTGGAATCCAGATGTATTATTTTCCTAGGGCTACCATAGCAAATTATCACAAATTGGAAGGCTGAAAACAACAAAAATTTATTCTCTCACAATTCTGGAGGCTAGAAGTCTGAAATAAGATGTTGGCAATGCTGGTTCCTTCTGGCAGCTCTGTGGGAGAATCTATTCCATGCCTCTCTCCTAGCTCTAGTCATTGCTGGTGGTCCTTGGTGTTCCTTGGTTTGTAGCTGCATCACTCCAGTGTATGTCTCCATCATCACATGGTGTTCTCCCCATGTGTCCTTTAACTTGTCACATGGCTGCCTTATAGGGACATCAGTCATTGGATGAGGACTCAACCTAATCTAGTATGACCCTGAGTTTACCTGATAACATCTGCAAAGATCCTATTTCCAAATACGGTTGACATTCACAGGTACTAGGGGTAAGGGCTTTAACATATCTTTTTTGAGGGGACACAGTTCAATCCACAACACCACAGGGCCCCAGTGGCAAATGGACTGATCCATCCCTCCCAGGACTCTGAGGGCTCAGGAATTATTGGTGCCAGGAACCGCTGACAGAACTAGTGAGCCATAGAGCTGAAAATGGGACTGGAAAAGGAGCAGTTCAGCCACCATCTAGACAGTCTGACTCCGAAGTCCAGAATTTTAACCATTATGCTATACTGCCTCACCTCACTTCCCTTTCTCCCACCCTTCCAGGAGATCAGAGATTTATTGTTAGGAACAATTGCGCTCAAGAATCTAGAATGGGAATATGAAGCAGGAGCAAGGTGTTCTACTGCAAACAGGGATTATGTAAACACAGAAGATGACCTAAGGAGAAAAAAGTGGAAATGAATTGAAAAAGCCTCTTCTAACTCCCTTTTGCCACTTAGTTCTTAGCATACAGAAGCAAAGTTTATGCTCCAAGCAGATGACAGAATACATCTCTGGATATAATGAACAGTCTAGAGAACAGGCTTTCTGGTACTACTCTGCTCCTCCCCACAGTACTAGCTCGGAGCAAGAGAATTACACAGAGAAACCCATTAGTTAACCAACTTACTTATTCACACAAAATGTTTACTCTTAAATATTGATTTGGGCCACAGATTCATTAGCTAACATTTGAGGAAAACATTTAATATGGAGAAAAAAGGAAAAACAAAGGACCTCTTAATAAAAAGAGAAAATATGAAGAACAAAAGAAAAATTTCAAGCAAAACACCACAATTATAATTTCAGGGATATCAAAGACAATTTTTTTTTTGTGACAGGGTTTCTCTCTGTTGCCTAGGCGGAAGTGCAGTGGTATGATCATAACTCACTGCAGCCTTGATCTCCCAGACTCAAGCCATCCATCCACGTCAGCCTTGCGAGTAGCTGGGACTACAGGCACGTACCACCATGCCTAGCTAATTTTTTTATTTTTTATTTTTTGTGAAGACAGAGTCTCACTGTGTTGGCCAGCTTGGTCTTAAACTCCTGAGTTCAAATGATTCTCCCGCCTGAGCCTCCCAAAGTGCTGGGATTCAGGTATGAGCCACCATGCACAGCCTAAAAGACTATTTCAATGATGAAAGGAACAGGATACATGCATACACATATGTGTGTGTGTACACACATATATGTATATACATATATACACATGTATATACATATATGTGAATATATGTATATATGTGTACATATGTATATACACTTATATGTGTATATATATACACACATGTATACACATATATAAAGATATATGTATGAAAAAGAATTAGGAAACAAGGATCCCTTGGATATGGAAAACAAGGTAGCAGAAAAAAATAGTACAATATTTGAAAAAGCATAAAGATAGAGGGTTCTTGGAGATTGTTTTGTCTATTTTTTGCTGTTTTAACAGATTACACAGACTGGGTAACTTATGAACAGAAGTTTATTGGCTCACAACTCTGGAGGCTGGGAAGTTCAAGATTGAGGCTCTGGCATCTAGTGAGGGCCTTCTTACTGCATCTTCCCATGGTGATGGGCTAAGGGAGACAAAACAGGGCTGGACTCATCATCCTTTGTAAGGAAACTATTCTCACAATAATGGCATCAACCCATTAACTAAGACAGACGCCTCAAGGCCTAATTACCTTGTAAAGTTCTCATGTCACAATACTATTATGATGGCAATTAAATTTCCACATGAGTTTGGGAGGGGACAGCCATTCAAACCATAGCAGGGAAGATCAGGGGAAAATGTGAATCTTACAATTAATCTGAATGATCATTTGTACAATTGTATTAAAAGGCTTCCGGGACGATTTTAGACCACCATAATGATAGACACTAAAAAAAAAAGAGGCAATAGGCAATTATTAATTTTAGAAAAAAAGACAAGTGATATATGATTATGGTACACTACTTGGCATAGTCCTAGATACTATTTTACTTTGCCATAATAATAGAAACATTGTAACCAGACTTTAAAATGGTGCCCAATGATCTCTGCCTCTTTTTCACACCTTTATATAATCCACTCCCACCTCAAACATTGTTCCAATTAAATATGGCAGAAATGTATCTCACTAACAAGCTTAGATTATAAAAGATGCTGAAGCAGCCGGGCGCGGTGGCTCACGCCTGTAATCCCAGCACTTTGGGAGGCTGAGGCGGGCAGATCACAATGTCAGGAGATCGAGACCATCCTGGCCAACATGGTGAAACCCCGTCTCTACTAAAATACAAAAAATTAGCTGGGTGTGGTGGTGCACACCTGTAGTCCCAGCTACTCGTCCGGAGGCTGAGGCAGGGGAATCGCTTGAACTCAGGAGGAAGAGGTTGCAGTGAGTTGAGATCGCGCCACTGCACTTCAGCCTGGCAACAGAGCAAGACTGTCTAAAAAAAAAAAAAAAAAAAAAAAAAAAAGATGCTGACGCTTTCATCTTGGGTGCTCTGTTCTCTCTCCCTCTTCTTTGGCTATGGGGGACACTATGTTTTGAGCAGCCCTTTGGAGAAACCCAAGTTGTAAGGAACTGGAGCTTCCATCTAGCAGCTGTCTGAGCTTCTAAGTTTATCTGTATTAAGATATAACCAGAAGCCGAAATCTCTTCTTTCATTTAGTTATCTATCTCCTTTTCTCCTAAAATACACTGGTTGTACTTTTATTTTGCATTATTTCTCTTTACTTTCTGTCTTCCAATGCTATATATAAACCTAAAGAGGAATTTTCTCTGTTCTACCTCTCAGCTTATCATTTTTATGTGATCCAGAAACTAAAATGCTCTTCAGTGTACACTCCTAAGGAGTGATAGGGATGATAGGAGTCAATAATGGTAGTGTCACTAGCTCAGGATAATAAATGTGCTTTTGCATATAAAATGAACACCCTTCCAACCTTTTCTTTTGTGTTGTATAGATAATATTGACCAGTGATTTTGCAGCACATTTCTGAATTATTTTCTTCCCTTGTCATTCTTAATGTGCGAAAAAAAATGATAGAAATGAGCAATAGAGAAAAATCAAGTACCACTCTACATTTTTTTTTTACTTTTTAGAGCAAAGGTACCCTTCTGGTAGTGTGTAAAACTCTGGTAGATAATGTGTATCCACTGACTCCTTAGTAAGCAAGAGGGTAGGATGAAATTCGCATTTTGAAACACTGATGTTAGTTATAATCGTTGACTTTTTTTATAAAGAAGTGACTTTTCGTGTATTACACTGATCTCATGAAAGCCAGGGATGTAGTTAGCATAGCTGGAACTGTGGTTTGGAGGGGAAATGATGGTTAGACAGTTTGTTATTTCGTCTAGGTAAAGAGATAAATACTAAATATTTTTATGCTTTTAAAGGGTTTATAAATTTTTTGAAGCAAGAATTGACATGCATTAAGAATGCTATAATGTCTCATTGATTCCCAAGTAAATTAGAAATTATTAGTGTTAGCCATGATGTACTTTATTGTGATGTGACAGCATTTGGCTTAAACAGTTTTACCATTTATTAGCACTAATATTAGAATAAATGATAATGATCATTAAGTGCTATGTACATGATCATTTAAGTAATCATGCTTGCAATCTCCTTCTATTAGTCAAACCTCTTTGGGTTAATTAGTCACAGGAGCTGTCTTATTACAATTTCTAGAAGAATAATGAAACAAAGGAACACTGAAATATACCAAAGAAAACAATAGCGCATCACTCATTTACCTCATATATTACTGTATGTACCCTCACCTAGTTTGTATTGCCACCTTAAGGTTAAAAAAGTCTGACAACATTTTTTCTTTTGAGATAAGATAATTAGGCCTATTATATTTGCATACCTTCCTCCATTAAAGCATGTATGCAGCAGAACAATGCTAATATGATATGCAAATAACAACGAAGTCCACATTTACCAACATATTCACATGGAAAGATGAACTAGTAAATACCGTTAGGGTTTAGGATTTTAAAATGTTAAAACATCTTGTTGTATTTTAGCTCTGACAAGCCAGTAACTCAAAATCTGTGTAACTTCAAGGCTACAAATATAAGAGACAACTAAGAAACTTTTATTATCAGTTCTTTTATTACTCACATCTTATTAATATAGTTACTCTGAAGAGTTGTTAAGTTGATATTTGATAAACCATGAACAGAGTTTTATTAAATCCAAAGTGCTATTTTATCACTGGATGGAAAGCATATTTCATAACTTTTTCTTAGTTTTCCCCATGTACGAAAGGAGGAGAAAATATAAAGAAAAAGATCTTTTAAAATTCTTTGTTATCTGTTATCAGGCAGCTTCTCAAATGAGAGTGATGATGTATGCTCTATTTTTTAATATGCCAGAAGAAAAAAGTGAAGGGCATAGTGCATTAAGGAAAATCTCTGACAGTCTTATTAGGGCAGAGAAAAGTCCTGCCTGAGACAGCGCCTAGGACCTGTTTCTACACTTGCAGCCTTTGACAATAGCAGCCTCTCTAATAAGTCTCAAGGCTTTCATCACTTTTTGTTTGTTTGTTTGTTTGTTTGTTTGTTTGTTTTGAGATGGAGTCTCACACTGTCTCCCAGACTGGAGTGCAGTGGGCGCGATCTCGGCTCACTGCAACCTCCGCCTCCCAGGTTCAAGCAATTCTCCTTGCCTCAGCCTCCCCAGTAGTTGGGATTACAGGCACACACCACCACACCTGGCTAATGTTTTTGTATTTTTAGTAGAGATGGGGTGTCACCATGTTGGCCAGGCTGGTCTCGAACTCCTGACCTCATGATCCACCCACCTCTGCCTCCCAAAGCCACTGTGCCCAGCCACTTTCATCACTTTTTAAACACTGGTGTCTCTGTTTGCTGCTCACTTACTGGAAGCTGAACACCGCCTATTACTCTTCATTCTGTTAACCTACTTTCTCTTCATTTACTGATCCCCGTTCCCTTTCCTTGCCTAAATATAAGCAGTCTTGATCTGCTGAGGATGAGAAAGAAATGTATTTAGTGATGGGATGAAGTAATACAAGTCAGTAACTCTAGGTACTATGTTGTAGAAATGTGATATTTCCTAGAAATTAACTCTGTGTCTTCTGCATATTGTTTTAATAACCAGAAAAGGGGTTCTGAGAATAATTTTTTAAGTTATTTGTGATTAGTTTTCATATCCTGCTGATACCACTCTCCTTGTGGTAGTTTCTGTGCCCCCGGGCCCATCCTTATGTATTTTTCAAAGTTTGCTTTTTTGTGTTGTAGGCCCATATGGTTCATCACATGCTCTTCTAAACAGATCTCCAGTTCTATCTATAACCTCTTTGTATTTTTGCACTAAGGTCTTCTTTAATCATGTGAAAAAGGTATTTTTCTTTCAAAAAATGCCAAGCACTATTTCAAAATCAGAAATAAAAGACTATCACTGGTCTGGATGTGGTGTCTCATGCCTGTAACCCCAGCACTTTGGGAGGCTGAGGCAGGAGGATAGCTTGAGCCCAGGAGTTCGAGACCAGCCTGGGCAATATAGTGAGATGCTGTTTCTACAAAAAAAAAAAAAAAAAAATTCAAAATTAGCCAGTTCTGGTGGTGTGCGCCCATGGTCCCACCTACTCAGGAGGCTGAGATAGGAAGATCACTCAAGCCCAACAGGTTAAGGCTGCAGTAAGCCATGATCCCACCATTGCACTACAGCCTAAGGGACAGAGCAAGACCCTGTCTCTTAAAAAAAAAAAAAAAAGAGAGAGAAAATTCTTGCCTCTGTGAAGCCCCCTCTTCACTAAATTGCTTGGCATTGTGTATTGCATTGATTTAGGACGTTTTGTTTTATTTTATTTAAACTTCCCATATACTCCCTAGCTTCTTCCTTCATTTTAAATGTAAACTTTATATGATAGAATCACATACATATGGAAAAGTAAACCATCCTAAGTATATGGCTTGATGAATGTTGATTAAATGAGCTTGCCTGTATAACCAGATCAAGAAACAGAATTTAATTAGAAACACAGTAGCCCCGTGGCCAGTCATTACCTCACATTCCACACATGTCCTGACTCTGAGCATAAACTAGCTTTACCTTGTTCTTTCCAAAAATAGGATTGTACACTTTGTATCCATGTTGTTGTATGAAGCTGTAATTCATTTATTCTTACTATTGTTTAGTATTCCACTATAAGGGCATATCACACATTTTTTTCCTGTTATCAGTGGATATTTATGTTGTATCTAGATTTGAACCATTACAAATAACATGGCTAAGAATGTTTTTATTATGTATGTCTTTTGCTTCTATCAGACATACACCTAGGAGTGTAATTGCTGTTTTGTTGGATATGCATATATTCAGCTTTAGTAAATACTGTCCAGCAGTTTTCCAAAATAGTTGTACCAGTTTATACTTCCAAAAGCCAGGTATTAGAGTTTTAGTAATTCAAGTAGGGTATCTCAGTGTAGTTTTGATTTGCATTTCTTCTATGGATAATATGAGTACCTTTTCATAGGCTTATTTGCTTTTGTGGGTATCCTATTATGTGAAGTGCTTATTCAAGTCTGTCCTGTGTGTTATTTCTCTATTAGGATCAATTTACTGTTTGTGATGATTTTTCAATGCTGCCATTGAGTAGGTTTTATTTGCCCATTTTTCCATTAGCTCACCATCATTTTTCATATTGAGAATGAATAGATTTTGATGCAATTTTATCACAACACATGTCAAACTGCCACTTGTGTTATGAATATTGTCCTTGTAGCATGTACTCTTTTAACAGTGTTTCAGTGGCTGCATGACATGGCTGTGTAGTAAAGATGACCCATAATAGGCCGGGCGCGGTGGCTCACGCCTGTAATCCCAGCACTTTGGGAGGCCGAGGTGGGCGGATCACGAGGTCAGGAGATCGAGACCAACCTAGCTAACACGGTGAAACCCCATCTCTACTAAAAATACAAAAAATTAGCCGGGCGTGGTGGCGGGCGCCTGTAGTCCCAGCTACTCGGGAGGCTGAGGCAGGAGAATGGCGTGAACCTGGGAGGCGGAGCTTGCAGTGAGCCGAGATTGCGCCATTGCACTCCAGCCTGGGTGACAGAGCAAGACTCCATCTCAAAAAAAAAAAAAAAAAAAAAAAAAAGGATGACCCATAATAACTAGCTTTCCTAGGTAGGGTTTGGCTTTTATGTTTTTCAATTTTTTTTTACCATTATATATAGCACTGTTTCTTCAGGATAATGCAACAGATATGAACAATTTTGAATCTTTTTATACATATTGCCTCACTGGTCTGGGTGGAGTGAAGAGATTATACTAAATTATACTCCTACCAGCAGCCTATGGACATGTCCGTTCATCTAATTCTCAATAACACTGGATGTGTCTCAGAATTTTTACTATCGACAAAATGGTGTCTTATTGTTTTGCATTTTTCTTTAGCTGTGAAATTGCATATATTTTCATCCTTTATTTGTAACTGATAAAATTAAGGGGGCAAAGGAACCAGAAACGGAGTAGGAGGGAGAACCTTCTCAGTATTTCTTAGCAAACTATGTCATCCTTAAGGAAAAATCAGAAACTTCAATATTATTATTTCCTCTTTCTTTTTTCTCTATTAGGATAAATTATTATTACTGTTTGTGATGATTTTTCAATGCTGCCATTGAGTAGGTTTTATTTGTATGTTTTTATCATTACTGATAATAAATACTATTAACTCTGATGTACTGGAGTAATGGGTTGGAAATAGGTGAATGAAAATCAGAGACAGACCTAAATCCCAGTGGCAAGAAATAGCTGGAACCTCAGATGGGTTCACACCTCCTTCCCCAAGGTTTTTGGGTAATGAGGTAGCAGCTTAATGGATCTGTAAAACTAACTGTGACTAACCTTAGTCTACATGATGCCATCCAATGAATTAAGTTCTCTTCCAGGCTATTTTAACAGCAACTTTAGCAGATTTCCCTCCCTCTCTCCCTTCCTCCCTCCCTCCCTCCCTCCCTCCCTGCCTGCCTGACTACCTGCCTGCCTGCCTGCCTTCCTTCCCTCCTTCCTTCCTTCCTTCTTTCCTTCCTTCCTTCCTTCCTTCTTTCCTTCCTTCCTTCCTTCCTTCCTTCCTTCCTTTTTACTAAATTTACCACATGTATCTATTTAAGAAAAGGTATTTCAATAGTGAAGGTATTAGTAGATTATAACTTTTTTAAAGTTTATGTTTATATACCCTACTTATTTCTAGGAAGAATTTGAAATGGCTTACAAAAGGAGACACATAATAATTATGTAATTATAAGAGAAAACAGATGCTATAAGAAAAGAAAGTTGGCTTCTTAGCTTATAGCCTTGGTTCTCAAATTTCAGCATGCACCAGAATTACCTGTGGTCTTGTCAAAATACAGGTTTCTGGGCTCAACCCAGAGTTACTAATTCAGTAGGTTTATGGTAGGCATGAGAATTTGCATTTCTCAATTCCCAAGTGCTACTCATACAAGAACCACACTTTGAGAACCACAAGATCTGGATCACCTTTATCTGTTTTGAGTATTTGGAATCATCATTGATTAATATCATATTTTTTATTAGTCTTTGTGAGCCATATATTTCAGTGTCTGATCATAATAATAGCTATTATTTTTATAAGGCTCATTATATGGCTGTACAGGATATGATTAATTCTATGTCATATCCTGTATATTATCCTCTATATTCATATGTATTCTGAACCTTGGCCACATTAGAAATACCTAGAGAGTTTTTCTAATGGCTCCAATATGGAGCCTTAGCTCCACACATTCTGATTTAATTGGTCTAAGATGGGGTCTGGGCACTGTATTTTTTTGAAACTCTCTTTGTGATTTCAGTGTGCAAAACAAAATTGTAAGCCACTGATAGGTAAAGATAAAAAATAGCCCCTTTTGCCAACAAGTAACAGATTGTTTCATCTGTGGCTTTTTTTCCATCCATGTGCCTAGCCACTCATTCTCTTTTTTTAATCAGTGTGGTATGTTTTTGGTTCTTGAGTATACCATTTTGTTCTTCTCTTAATTGAACTTCATCCTGTTTTTGATGAACCGTTTCTCTAATCTATCAAGGTCATTTTAAATTCTATTTCTTCTAAAGCATTTAACCCCTGCCCAACTAAGTATCATCTGCAAGTTTAATGAGCAGATTTTCAATTTCCTAATTGAGACTGTGCTCATTAAGTTTTAATATTTTATAATTTTATTGCAAATTATTTCCACCATGTGGGTGATTCTACCTTGACCTTGCCCTGGCTGTGCACATTTTCTTCATTATCAATGAACATTTATTTAGTGCTTAGAAGTTGTGTGGTATTGAAACAAGTTCTGTGACTTCTAAATAATTGAAAATAAGTACTGAATCTGACACCATGTAGTTTGAACTCTAAGGAGAATATGTATATAACATAAGCTGTATGAGCAATACAGAACATATAAGCATTTAAACAGAAAAACTAAACATTGAACGTATAGTTCATAGGTCTGTAATGATCTTTACTATACCTGTATAGAAAAGAAGTTAATGATGTAGGTTGCCACTTTACTAGCTGTGTAACCTTTAGCAAGTCACTTCCTTCTTGTGCCTCAGGTTTTTTGGTCAGTAAAATGGGACCATAATCATTCCAGCCTTGGTTCTTTGTGAGGCTTAAAATCCAGTAATGCATGAAAACTTATCAGTACAACCTAGCACATAGCAAGAGTTCAAGTAAATTAAGAGTCAAATGAGAAATTGATAGTAGGAAGTATTTTAGGTTTGGTTTGACAAGACTGATAATAATCCAAGTGACAAAAGGATGATTAGTCTCAGATCTACCTTCTTCAGTGACTAATTAAGCTAATGTGGAACCTTCCATTTTTACAAACTAGAGCTTATTTTTCTGTAAGTAAACAGTTTCGATTTTCATTCTCAATTTGCTATATTTGTAATTGGAAAGGGTGCTTTTGCAGATCATTATAGCTATTAAGTGGCAGAGTCAGGATACAAACTCAGAACTTCTGTCTACAAGTTGGTTACTGCTAAATGGTAGAGCGGAGGGAATAGATTGCCCCAGACATAAGAGGTGAGAGGAGTGGGAGTCTATTTTAGAAAGATAAGATGCCAAAAAGAATAAAGTAGCTAGTATTTGACCACTTACTACGTGTCAGACGCTGTTGAGTGTATTATTTGCATTGTCTCAAACTGAGGCTTAGAAAAGTTAAGTAACTTGCCCAAAATCGTAAAGCTGATAAATGACAGAGGCAAGAATTAAACCCAGATCTGTGACAGCAAATTCCATTTTCTAAGTCACTTCAGTAAATTGCCTTTCTTTGAATGGAATCAGGAGATTACTTTTTCTGGAACAGAAGATGCCCTCAAAAATATCAGAAGTAGAGAGCAGAAAGATAAGTTGGATACAGGAGTTGTGTTTACTCCCTGGCTGTTTTGTGACAGATTAGATGGGAACAATCAGCTGAGGGATTTCTCTTCAGTTTAGCATGTATTTAAATTGGTTGAATAGCTAAAAAGTGAAGGTGTCCCAGTAGGAGGAGGCTGGAGATGGCCTAGATGAGGGTTTTAGAAGGGGTGGGTTAGAAGGGTATGGAATTTATATACTTTATCTTCTTTTGTTCTTTGATTTACTTAAAATAAGTAAATGTCAAGGGTGATCTCTTTGAGCCCATAAAAGCTAACGCTGTTTTTGTGAAACACACATTTTTATAGCACTTTACAGTTTTCAGAGTGCTTTCAGGTACCATATTTTGTTTGATCTTAATATATTGCTGGCACTTTTACAATTCTGCTTCTATTATCCTAAAACATCCATAAGCATAAGAAATATATTTATAACAAATTGGATGGAAGGCACAACTATTCTGGAGTTTCTTTGTATATACCTGTTTCAATGTGTTTATTTCACTGTAAGTGACAAGTATAATTATGATCAAAAATTAAAATATAGATATTACTCAGAAAATACCAGCCATTAGGCAGTGTCACGAGAGGATATCTGCTTTTCTATCTCAAAAATCTCAATACTGCTACTGCTCAAACATGTTCAAAGCAGTTTTCCCCCATGCAGTACACTTTTGAGTCCCAAAAAACTCAGTATAACAAAAACATATTTTTCAGATTTGTATTACTATATTATTTGGAGTCATGAAAATCTTCCAGCTACATTTTGTCTGAAGTTTAGTGATTTATAAACACTCTTGATCTCATAAATTAGAATTACATAAATATCTGTGATTCATCAGAGTAGAAGCCTCAGATATCGAATTTCTTGAAAAGTTTTCTAATATTTGCCCTTTACTAATAGATTTGACAAAAGTTAGGCTTCATCAAGTTTATCTATTTATAAAAATCATTTTTAACCCTGAAATTATTTCTGCTTTTGTTCTTTAACCCAATTTGTTTGGTATTAGCCTCAGAGCTAAAAATACAGTATGATCTGAGCTATCCAGATAGTATTTAAAAAGCTGGAAAGCAGAATCATTTCTGCCAGAGAGTAAAATATTTGTAATTTTCATTAGTAGCTACTTACCACTAATAAAGAGTTTACTTTTAAAAATAATCTTTTATAAAATGAAAATGGATGTCTACATGTGTTCTTAAGAGAGATAATTTCTGTTCAGACACTTTACATGTATATATTCAGACATTTTATACCAAAACCAGAACTAGCTAATGTGTTTCATTCTCTCTTCATTCCCCACTTACCCACATCCCCAGATAATTATTTAAGAAATTTGAATGATTAAATTAAATATTATTCTTACATGCTAAGAGTTTTTTGTTTAGACCTTTCCCATTATAGAATTTGTACTTACCCTTGTTTTAAAAGAGACTGAAGCTTTAAAATGACTACATTAGCTGGGTGCAGTGGCTCACGTCTGTAATCCCAGCACTTTGGAAGTCCAAGACATGGGGATGCTTGAGCCCAGGAGTTCGAGACCAGCCCTGCACAACATGACGAAACCCCATCTCTAACAAAAATACAAAAATTAACTGGGTGTGCTGGTGTGCACCTGTAGTCCCAGCTACTGGAAAGGCTGAGATGGGAGGATTGCTTGAGCCTAGGAGGTCGAGATTGCAGTGAGCCATGATAGTACCACTGCTCTCCAGCCTAGGTGACAGAGCGAGACTGTGTCTCAAAAAAAAAAAAAAAAAATTGACTACATTATTGCTTATTGTGGTACAATACTAATAATGTAGCTGAAGTAAAGAAAACCCTATAGGGGTCTACTTAGTTTTGAATCCCAGCTTTGCTGTTTATATGCTGGCAGTTACTGAATCTCTTTGCACCTCGGTTTCCTTATTTAAATTATACCTACCTTATAGAGTATTTGTGAAAACTAAATTAAACAAGCCATGCAAAGCACTATGCACTCAATAAAATGTTAACTGTTATTACTGATGATAATATTTAGTTCTATACTAACAAGGATATTGGCTGGGAAAGAGACTGTACTCTGGAAATGTTTCAAGTTTTGAAAATTTTAGACCACTGTCATCTGCCAGGTTATACCTGCTAGCCCCATTGTCCTGTGTTGCCTGTGAATATATCCTGCTTCTTGGCTCATTAAGAAGTGTTACTGGATCAGATCCATAGAATGTTTTACATGACTATGAGTGGCACTGGACCAATTTATGAAGCTTGACTGCAGAGGTATTGAATGGTGGCTGAGGTAACCCATTTTTATGTCATTTGATTAATTTTTCCATTTTACTTGTAGTACTGTTACCACACCAATTTCAAGATGTTTTCAGTTTCCTGCTTTAAAAGTTTACTTCAAAAACAGTATAATAGATATTCTCCTGTTTGATGTAAAATTATTTAGAAGACCTGCAAGATTGTAGCTCCTAATATAAAATGCTTAGATATGGTTACACCTTCTTTCATACAATTACAGACATCCAGAGGTTGATTGAATATCCAGGTGTAATGAAGCAACTTAACTTTTTACAGGTTGTATACATTTATGTCATAGCAGTTGATTGAAGAAAAAATGGATTTGTAAATAACACTCGTAGCAATGAAAGTAAAGGCTGCCTCTTAAGGTGTTTACAAATAGAAAAATCAAGTTAGGAGGATTCTAATTTAATGATTAATTGTTTTGCTGGAATTTTAAAGGAATGGATCCATAATGATATTTGTTTCAGGCTATTAACAGCCAGAACCTTGGCTCCCAGAATTAAGAAATCAGTTCTTGTTAATTAAACTTAAAGATGATGGCAGAGATCTTTGTGCCATGAAGCGAGAGCCTGATCTATGGCTATTTTGTTCCATACTTGGTATAACGCAGTACACTCTTCTCAGCCAAAGCCCTATGTTGTCTGGGCAACTCCCGTTGCCATAGCAATGAAATTCTTTTGCAGGAGCAGGGCGAATGCTAATTGTAGCCATTTGTTGTTCCTTCTGTCGATCCCTTAACTAGCACAGTTGTAGAGCAGCCAGAGACTCTGGGTGAACAGCACGCAGTGCCCCCAAAAGCATTGCTGCTGAAGGCAACCGGCTGCTCTGCTTAAAAAATCATTTGAGCAGCCGACAGTGCTGACAGTGCCACTATGTGGGCAGAAGCACAGCTTGACTCAGACCCTGACAACTGTTGATCTGGGAGAGGGAAAGAGAAGACTGTTTAAAACCTGTTGAGAAGGTACTGATGACATGGAGATTAATTTGACACCAGTCCCTCAGAGGTAGGTGCTAGGCATATCGTAGCAACTGTTTATCCAGGCCTGAACTCAATATTGGAATGCCCAGAGGCTATAGGAGACAGATCAACGGTTATTCCTTTTATTTCCATCTAAAACTGCATTACCGTGGCCTACGGTAAAAATATTCATTTGGTTGGAACCAACCAATTGTAATTCACACAGGTATTAGATTCAGTTTGTACTGGTAACTCCCTCCTCTCCTTATAATCTCTTATTTTTAAAGACTTATGATTTAACTGCCAAAAGTGACTTGAAGCTGAAAATAAACTCAACATAAACGAGAGCAGACCCTTTTGAAAAATAAAAGGCAAAGTGATACCTACCAATTGCATGATCTTTCATGCTAGTTTAATTTGATAAAATGTTCTTAAACCTGGAAAGTAGTAATTCTTGTAAAACCTAATTGCTGTAGGTATTTAGAGATGAAAAAACTTATTATCATGGTAAGAAGAAACATGTGAGGTACTATTTATACTATTATATCCTCCCTTTGAAAGTGTATTGGCCCATAAAAATGGTCAAGTTCATGAGGTTTTTAAAACCAGCTATTGTGTAAACATAGCAATAAATTTCAAGGTAGTTTTTTAGGTATAAATTTAACGTATGTGCCTTCTAATTGAGTAGACTGATAGTGCATCCTGGCTGAAATGTTCTTAAAATTCAGGAGAACTAATATTGTAGGCTTGTTATATCAAGCTATTTCTCACTATTGCTTTATGTTTTTTTGTATTGAGAGAGTCAAAATCAGTAATAACAATGACCCAGTCATTACCACAGATTCCTCTTTTTATTGACCAAGAGGGAAGGAAGGTTTCAACTCAATGTGATTTTGTTTTCCTTGAAAGAACTCCATGTATATTTAATGTTTGTATCACTTGTCCTGCTCTTTCCAGGGAGATAGCTAACAGAGTATCATGAAGGGCCCTGAAATAAATTAGTTTCTGATGATGGTGATCCTAATACATCACTTGTGTGCCTCAAACACTAAACAAATTAGTTTCATTCATTAAAACAGATACCATTCCATAAATTCTAAGGAGAAAAAACTTGAAATTTATTTTTTGAAATTTTCTAAGACCTGTTGTTTTTTCTTTTAAGAAATACCTATGAACTGTATAATACTATTTTTAAAATATTATATACTTCTTATTTGTGAATTTTATATGCAAGGTATCTTGCATATAAAATTGTGAATTATATATCTGAGATATTCTTTCATAAGCCCTATTGGATATAATAAAAGATTATTTTATTAAGTCATCTACTTTAAAATATTTGGCTTTTTTTTTTTTTTTTTTTTTGAGATGGAGTCTCGCTCTGTCACCCAGGCTGGAGTGCAGTGGCACAATCTCGGCTCACTGCAAGCTCCACCTCCCGGGTTCAGGCCATTCTCCTGCCTCAGCCTCCCAAGTAGCTGGGACTACAGGTGCCCACCACCACGCCTGGCTAATTTTTTGTATTTTTAGTAGAGACGGGGTTTCACTGTGTTAGCCAGGATGGTCTCGATCTCCTGACCTCATGATCCACCTGCCTCTGCCTCCCAAAGTGCTGGGATTACAGGCGTGAGCCACTGCACCCGGCCGTACTTTTTTTTTTTTTTTTTTTTTTTTTGAGACAGAGTCTCAGTCACCTAGGCTGGAGTGCAGTGGCACTATCTCAGCTCACTGCAACCTCTGCCTCCCGGGCACAAGCGATTCTCCTGCCTCAGCCTCCCAAGTAGCTGGGACTATAGGTTCATGCCACCACACCTGGCTAACTATCTCACTCTCAGTAGAGACGGGGCTTCACCATGTTGGCCAGGCTGGTCTCGAACTCCTGACCTCAAGTAATCCACACACCTCGGCCTCCTAAAGTGCTGGGATTATAGGCATGAGCCACCGCACCTGACCTGGCTTTACTTTTGAAACACTGTGTGCTCAGCATGATGAAAGAGCTCTAAAATGTCAGAAATACTCTTAATTCCTCAGTCAACAGAGATTGAGATGCTGTCAGATTACCACCAACCGTGGCTTCTGGCCCCCTCTAATATAAAATGCTTAGATATGGTTACACCTTCCTTCATACAATTACAGACATCTAGAGGTTGGTTGAATATCCAGGTGTAAGGAAGCAATTTAAGTTTTTACAGGTTGCATACATTTATATCACAGCAGCTGATTGAAGAAAAATGGATTTGTAAATAACACTTGTAGCAATGAAAGTAAAGGCTGCCTCTTAAGGTGTTTACAAATAGAAAAATCAAGTTAGGAGGATTCTAATTTAATGACTAATTATTTTACTGGAATTTTAAACAAATGGATCAATAATGATATTTTGTTTCAGACTATTAACAACCAGAAACATGGTTGGGTCTCCCATAGGGTTCTGAGCACAGGTGAAGTCTAAAATGTCTTTACAATGAGGCTGCACATCCATTTTTTTCTTGGCAGAGAGTATTTGTGTTTTCACAAAACCTTGCAATGTATTGCATGAGAACTGGTAGGATAGATTTCCGTAATGATCAAGCCACAGCAGCCCTCTAGAGAACTAGAGTAGATATTCCGCCGTCACTCTGCCAAAGTTCTTTTCCCTAATGACCAAAGATCTGAAGGGCCTAAAACTGGAATGTAGGTTGAGGAGTGCTCTAATATCAAGAAGCTTTCTACAAGTACATAATATTCAAACTTAGCAGGAAAGCAGCTCTTTTGGTACCCGGAACTCTACCAACGTTGTTCCAGGGGCAGAATCAGAGCCACTGCTGTCTCTGTTCCATAGTCTTCCAGTGTAAAAACCTGCAACCACTTATCTTATTGCATGATTTGTAGACCTTTGCTTTTAGTGGTGCAGCATGCTCTGGCTAGCTAACCTCATTTGGGCCAAGACATAGCATTCTCAAATAATTTATAGTGGAAGGCATAGAGCCTGCAGGCATTTAGAATCAGTCCACTTGATTGTAGTGGCATTTATAAGAACTATTACCTAGGAAGGAAGAGTTGACTATGCGGAAAAGAAATCTAGGAACCAAAATGGCTCTCCTGTCATTCTTGTGTGGACAGCAGGACAGTCACTTCCTGAAGTGAGAAGAATGCAGTCATAGATGTCATTCAAATTTGACACATTGCCCCCTTGAGGAGAGAGTGCCTCTATAGTAGGATGTAACTGAAGCCCAAGAGGAAATCTTGTCTGGGTGCTCATGAGGTTATATGGCCCTCTCCTTCCAGCTTGATATTTCTCAGGTCCCAGTGGCCAAGGCAGGACCTGATGGCTTGAAAATACACTCCAGTGGGAGAATGGGGCAATGAGTGACCTGAATTTTAAAATTCATTTTTTAACCCTTACTTAAACCACTCATGCCTTGTCCCTCCTTTTAAATAAAGGAACCTTGAAGGAGTTACATCTCATGATGATCCATTCACCTTTCTCCCAGGAAGGCTGATGAGCCATTCTAGCAACATACGGGTGTAAACAGGCTGATTTAAAATACCTAGATGCAAAATCTGTAAGTCACATAAATATTTATTGAAAGATTCATTCCCTCTTGATTTATGCCAGAGTCAAGTCTTACCAGGACATTGTCTGGAAAATCCTTCCCTAAGTGCACATGTTTCAGTGATCATCCCGAATAATACTGAATTTTTTTTTCATATTGGTACTTGGCAATCAGTTATTTTTTAGTATATTTGTTTATAGTTTGGTTTGCTATTGTGGTTATTTTCTCAGTCATTTTCAGCCAAATATGACTTCTTTGCAGCTTAGTGATGTTATCTGAATTATTTTTATTGTATGCAGCATTAAGCAATTTGCTCCTAAGAAAACGAGTCAAAAATGAATGTTTCCAAGTAATTATATATTCATAATTTTTTGCATCTCATTATGATTTTATAACTTGTGGGTGATGGTAGTTCAAGTTTTTACTTTTTAAAACATAAATTCATTTTTCTCTTTGTCAGTCATTGTAGGAAAATGATGAGTCAAGCCAGAAACTATCACTATTTAAATTATAAATTATACATAATGAGAAATACGCTGTCAGTGGTTCCAAACCTTGCTATGTGTCATAAGCAAGTGGGCAGCTTCTGTAAAAAATACTTTTATGAACTTCATTCCAGACTTACTGAATCAGAATTTCTGGGTGTAGGTGCCTAGGAACTGTTTTTAAACAAATTCCTCCAAAACTTATTGTGTAGCTGAAATGTCTCTGATCAGAAAAGGAGAATTTTGGAGATAATGATCTGGAATAACTCTCACCTTTTAATATCAAGTTCCAATGTGAAAACAGGGTTAAAGTCTTGAGGGTGACTATTCAAAACCCAGCTGGTGCTGGTTGCAGTGGCTCACACCTGTAATGTCAGCACTTTCGGAGGCCAAGGCTGGCAGATCACTTGAGGTCAGGAGTTTCAAGACCAACCTGGCCAACATGGTGAAACCCAATCTACTAAAAAAAAAAAAAATTAGCTGGGTATGGTGGCGCACAGCTGTAATCTCAGCTACTCGGGAGGCTGAGACACAAGAATCGCTTGAACCTGGGAGGCAGAGGTTGCAGTGAGCTAAGATTGTTATCACTACATTCTAGCCTGGGCCACAGAGCAAGACTCTGTCTCAAAATAAACAAACAAACAAAAACCCAGCTGGCTTATATTTTTCTTGTTGGTACTTGTTTGATGTTTTGTTTTTCACTAAAAAATAAAATATTTTTAAAGCTGCCTGAATATAAAAGATATATACAATAAAATCATGCTAAATAGGTAATATTATTACTGACCAAAAATAAACATGAAATAAATGTAATATACAACATGGACAGAATTGCTGTTTTTAAGATGTAAACATTGTTTAAAAAGAACACCCTGAGAGTGCAAAAAGAAAATTAGTGTATGAACTAGTGATTAGAAATATTCACTTTCAATTCATATCATTCCAGAATATTTACTCAGCTTGAAACATATTTTCAATATTAGTGAAAACTGCCAAACAAGCAGAGCAGAGTAGTTGGGTGAAACTATTAGAATATTTCTTTGTTTAAAAAATAATTTTTACATATCCCTAAGGTATGCATTGATTGTATGCATTCATTTCTTTTTTAAATCAGTTTGCTAGTGACAGTTCACTGGAGCTGAGAACAGTGCTGGGTAGGCTGCTCCTCTCCAGTCTGCCTTCCCTAGCTAGTATAATACATTGTTTCAGTGAAGTCTGGGCTTCTGATTAACCAGAGCATTATGAATGACTGTTTAACTTAATCTGTGTTTGTATGTGCAGCCTTACCTCATATGTTACATATTCTTGAGAACTGGCAACCATTGGCTTGCACGTAATTCTCAGTTGTGCAAGGAATATCTCTATTACAAACACTAGTCATTTTTTTTTGTGAGTCAATTTCCTTTCTCTACCCACTAAAATCATGAGAAAACTCAACACCCTAGGTACACTTGTCTGAAATACCTCTTCCAAGATATTTTGCTGATCCCCTATTGGAAATATCATTCTCCAGATATACCAGAAGAAATTGCTAAAACTTTGGTATTCTGTTTTTAAAAGATAATTAACCTCTAGGTTAAACAATTCAGTATTCACACTTGAAATAGTACTGGCCCCTGCTGTGTTGTTTTTTAGTCCATCTCCCTTCTCTTTTGCCTTCTCTTTCACTTTCTTGCTTGGCTCTTGTTAAACATGCTGACAAACCTCAGGCTGTGTGTTAAAGCTAGAGGAAAAAGCAAAGCAAACAAATAACCAAGTTTTTAAATTCTTCCTTTCTAGCAGGCTAAAGTTGTTCTCATGAAAGCAACTATAGCAAGAAACCTTCTTGGAACAAAAAAGGTTCCAAGTCTTAAGGTTATCCATAAACTCTAGCTATTTGTACTGTCATGCAGACCTATAAGGGGTGAGGCCAGGGTGAGAGCATTCTCTCCCTGAGTGTTCTCATCTACTCGATGGCTCTTCCCTCAGGCATCCCCAACATGGTGCATCTCTATCCTCTTAAAGTGCTTTTGCCTTCACATCTTTGGTCAGTCGCCCTGATTGCAATTTTTTTCTGCTTTGTCCAGGTGCACTGTTGGTTCCAAAACTCTTTCAGATGTCACCTTCAAGGCCCACTCTTGCCCCACTCCTGGCCAAAGAAAGCTAATCAGGGCTGCTCTGTGCTGTGATAATAAGTTATACCTCTCTGTAAACGTGGTCAGTGGTGGTTATAGTTGTCTTTCCTAATAGAGAAGGAGTCTCCAATCTTTTGGCTTCCCTGGGCCACATTGGAAGAAGAAGAATTGTCTTGGGCCACACATAAAATATACTAACACTAATGATAGCTGATGAGCTAAAAAAAAAATTACACACAAAATCTCATAATGGTTTAAGAAAGTTTACAAATTTGTGTTGGGCCACATTCAAAGCCATCCTGGGCCACAAGTTGGACAAGCTTGTAATGGAGTGTGCCCTCTTGGAGGGCAGAGACCATCTTCTTCATCGTTGATTCCCTAATGCCTAACAGAATACCCAGCACATAGTATGTATTAACTGAACTTGGTGGATATTATTTCTACTCATAATGTCACCTGTCCCTGAGTCATAGTTTTCAGATAATTGACCAATATAATCTGTGCAATAATTGGATATCATGTCATCATCTGGTATCAGATTAATTCATAACCATCATTAAAATGTGGGGTTTTATTTTTGGTGGTGGTTATTATTATTTTACTGAAAAGTTATATACATGCAGAAAATGTACAAGTCATAGGGCACAGTTCAATGTATTTTTCTCAAAATGAACATATGTGACCAGGACCCGTATAGTTGTTTAGAAATATAGAAACTTAACCCCCAAAATAAAAAGTCGATCCTAACAAATTTAATGTAAGAATAGCATGATTTGCCACCATTTTACTTGATTATGTGTGTATATGTGTGTATTTTGAGACAAGAAAGGGACAGTGATGCCTGTGGGGTGTAGACTTTTTTCCTCTATTAAAGTGCTTTTTTTATTCTCCCTGTTGCAGTCCCTTGGCAATTTCAAAGGAAATTGAATTTAAATATGCTTTTCCAGCTGCATTTAAATGTATGTAAATGGATTGTAAATAAAAACTTTAAAGGAAATGAAAATGCTTTACAAATATCCCATTAATTCCCCAAGCATCCCATATAACTCTGAAAAAGGCAGTTGTCATAGAATCAAAAGGGCTAGAAGAGACCCTTCAGTAGATCTGTGAAGGGCCATTAGAGAAAGATAATATGCCACTTTTTCTTTAAAATGTTCAGAAAAGGAATATTTGCACTTTTCTTGGCCGTTCTTAGTTTGGGCTCTCACACAGACCTTTAAGGGGTGAGGCCAGGGTGAGAGCATTCTCTCCTTGGGTGTTGTCATCCACCCCCAACAAGGTACATCTCTGTCCTCTTATCTCACCTCCCAAACACCAACCCAACTTGCTCCCCCATGTTGGAAACTTCCTCCTTTGCCTTACTCACGACCACTACTACATACATACCACATTTGTCACCAAGCATGATTTATTCTATCTCCTTAAGGTTGCTCAAGTCTGGTCTTCCGTCTCTTTGAGTGCCACTGCTTTATCTCAGGCCAACTTCATTTCCAGACTGCTTTGTTGCAGTAACATCCCAATCATTCTCCCTTCCTCCAGTTGTCCTCCTGTCCATTTCATTCCTTCATACTATCACTGCCAAAGAGATCATCAAAAAATACAAATCTTTTCTTGGGCTGTCTGTGTAAGTTCCAGTAGTTTAGAATGTGAATTCCCCACATGATTTTGTTTGTGCCTCCTAGGCTTATTTCATCCCACTCCATCACCAGATTCCACTGCCTGGCTATAATTGAGCCACTGGCAGTTCCCAGTGTGATCCACACTTTTCAACTCTGTACAATTCTTTCACCTTCTAGGAATGTTGCCTCTTTATTTCACATTCCAACATTTCATTAAGATTCAAAATGTGGTGTTCTCTTTGAAAATGCGTACCCCAAAATCTATCATTTCTTTATTTCTGTTGAGTCATGTCAACTTATGAAGGATGAATTGTCAAAGCTACTTAAATATCAACATCAAATATAAGCATAAAAAGTAAAAACAGGACCTACTGTGTAGAAGAGACATGTCTTGATCTGCTTCTTTCTTTTCTTTCTTTTCTTTTCTTTCTCCCTTTCTCCCTTTCTTCCTTCCTTTCTTCCTTTCCTTTCCTTTCCTTTTTCCTTCCTTCCTTCTTTCCTTTCTCTTTTTTCTCTTTTCTTCTTTTCTTTCTTTTCTTTTCTCTTTCCTTTTCTTTCTTTTCTTTTCTTCTTTTAGCAGCATCCATGCTTACATCAGAAGCCAGCCCTTTTAGATTACTACTCATCTGTGGATTGATCTAAGGTAAGTCATAAGAACCAGAAAAGTCCTCCCTGTTACCCAGAAGGATGCACAGAGACATTAGGAAGAATCTGAACAAACAGGCCTTCATAAATTCTCCACAGTTTATCTGCTTGACTATCCACTTTTCATCAAACCTAAGCATAAAAATATGCAAATTTTCCTGTTTCTTTGGGTCTTCATTTCTGAAGTTTCACCTGTCATGTAAAACTTACATTAAATAAATATGTATGTGATTTGGCTGTGTCCCCTCCCAAATATCACCTTGAATTGTAATAATCCCCACGTGTCTAGGGTGGGGCCAGGTAGAGATAATTAAATCATGGGGGTGGTTTCTCTCATACTGTTTTCATGATAGTGAATAAGTCTCATGAGATCTGATGGTTTTATAAATGGGAGTTCCCCTGCACAAGCTCTCTTGCTGACTTCCATGTAAGAAGTCTCTTTGCTCTTCCTTCTCCTTCTGCCATGATTGGGAGGCCTCCCCAGCCGTGTGGAACTGTGAGTCCATTAAACCTCTTTCCTTTATGAATTACCCAGTCTTGGGTATGTCTTTATTAGCAGCATGAGAAAAGACTAATACAATATGCTTTTCTGTTGTTAATATGTCTTTCGTTATAGGGGTCTCAGTCATGAACCATGCAATAGGTAGGAAATATTTTACCCCCTATGTCATTTTGAATTTATTTAAGATGATACAGTTGTTTAGAATTATAGAGTGGAATATCTCATTAAAAGTTGTATTTTGTAACCCTCTTTTTTCTCTTTTCTTTCTTTCTTTTTTTTTTTTGCTTTGTTGCCCAGGCTGGAAGGCAGTGGTGCAATCACGGCTTACTGCAGCCTCAACCTCCTGGGCTCAAGCAATCCTTCCACCTCAGCTCCTGCCTGACCAATTTTTATTTTTTGAAACAGGATCTCACTATGTTGCCAGCTGGTCATGAACTCCTGGGCTCAAGTGATTCCCCCTTCTCAGCCTCCCAAAGTGCTAGGATCACAGGCATGAGCCACTGCGCCTGGCCCCCCACTTTCTTACTGCTAGCAATACTTACAGTTTTGTCTTCTGTTTTTGTCTCTCTGAGATACACGTAAATCTGTAATACTTTCATTAGGTGGAATATGAGAAACTCACCTATGTAGTACAATAGCATAAATGCTGCAAGAGTATAATTTTTTTCTTTCCCCTCTATAGATATTCACTCAGATTTTTTGTTTATGTGTTTGTTCTCTATAGATACACTTTTCAAAGTATGCCTATAAAGAAAGAAAACTCAAGAAAAAAGCTTCCCTTTGTATTTCTTCTTTCCTAACTACCCCAGCCCTTATACTCATTCATTTTCTTTCAGAAAGCACCTGCTTCATTTTAAAGTCTTCTTTAAGTTGATCATGTTTGTCTTGTCAGGAGTAACAGTGGGTCAAGCTGTAAAAATGATCCGTTAACAGCTAGAGTGAGGCAGAACAAATAACTAGTCACCTTGGTTTCCTACAATTCCAGGTCACCACTTACCCTTACCCCTATCTGCTCATCATCCTTATTGTTTCTTTTCTCTTCCCAGCCTTGGGCATAGATTCCTTGAGCTGTTCACCAACAATCTTTGAGAAAATGGCCTTCATGCTTTGGGGCTACACCTTCTTTGTTCATCTCTTCTTATTTATTTCCTCATTTCCTGACCTCTATTCCTTTATAATAGTGTGAAAAATATGAAGGGGGAAGTAAATATATTTTTTCTCTAATATAGATCAAGTGATTCTAACTTGTTAAATAAAGGTAGATAAGTTACCTAATTCCAGCTTGCGGTACGTTTCTTGACCCTTTATATACAACTTGATGAAATTTTTCTCAGGATACCTAAGTTAAAATTAAGTTTGCTTTTACTTCCTTCTGTGGCATTTTTTATTTATTGCTTAAATTTCCATTGTTTGCTAATTTTACAAACTGTAGAAGAACTTCGTGCTTGGTGTTAGACTTAGCATCTGGGAAATCCCAGCAAACAGGCTAATTAAATGTCACCAGTGCTATCACTGTAATTAATATTCTCAGACATCACTTACTGAGCACTCTGTATGTGACAGGTACTATCTATTATCTTATTTAACTCTTACAACAGTTCTAGGAAACAAGTCAGATTATTCTCATCTCCAAGGTAAAGAGAAAGAGATGAAATCATTAGTGTACAGTCTCATAGGTATAATATGGTAGAGGTGAATTGGAACTCAGATCTTTCTGACTCAAAAATAGGTATTTCTTAAATGCGGTGCTTAAAATATTCCGTAATGGTTCTTACATGGGGTATATTTTTAAGGAAACAAAGAATAGTCTGAAACAATTCTGTACCATAACCTCGAATAAGTAGATAAATGAGTGTATACACATTATCAAAAATGTGAATGGTGTATATCTGCTGAAGTTTCATTATTGGCATGTAAGTAGAGTCATCCTTTAGTATTTGTAGGAGATTGGTTCAAATCTCCTACAAACATGGCATAGTGTCTGCATGTAACCTAGGCACATCCTCTAGATTATTGATCATACCAAATACAGTGCCTACACATCACTTCATTCATGTGGATTCAAGTTGTCGGTGCACAGCAAATCCAAGTTTTGTTTGTTGGAACTTTCTAGAACTTTTTTTTCTGAATATATTTGAATCACAGTTAGTTGAATTTGTGGATTCAGAGGGTTGACTTTATACTCTTGTGTATTTTTCAGGGTCCTCCATTATGTTTGAGTAGTGCTTTGCAGGAGTCTCTGTAGCGCTGTGATAAAGAGGATGTACATTGGGATAAGCAGATTTGGATTCAAATCTCAGTTTTGATATTTACTTTATGTTTAATCTCTCTATGTCTCAGTTTTCTCTATTTAAAATCAATAAAATAAACATATTTAGTAGATGTCTGTGGTTACTAAATAAGTTCTATATGTAAAAGCAGTTCACAAAATGCCTGTTCCAGAGTAATACTGAAGTAGACCTGAATACCACAGTGACCATTGTACTTCTGATGCTACTAGCACCGGTGCTGTAATCATTAATACTCAAAAGGGTATTGTGAGGGCACATGTTGGTATTAGTATTCCCAATTAACAAATGAATACTTAGAGGAGTTAAGGCATCAGCTCACAGTGTTACATATGGAGTAAAAAATTTCTGACTCTTGTATTTGATGTGGTTTTTGTATTATACCATGCAGCCTCCAACAGTTCAGTATTAGGATGCCAAATACATTCAAGATTCGAACTGCAATTCAGTAGATGAAACGTAGTCAGTTTATTTTATACAGCACATTATTCTAAAGGATCACATTCTTAACAAAACGCAAATTCAAACCTTCAAATCCCTTTACTAATCCCTCTACTAACAGTTGTTAATTTTGATACTTTGGACCTAAGCACGAGGGATAGTTCTTAAGAAACATGATCAGGAGAGATGGGAGGCCAGTAAGGAGAGCGTTTAAATGTCAGCCCTGAAATGTTCTTAATACATATAATTGTATTGCTTCTATTCTGTAAAAAGAAAAATTCAAAAAGGGGGAAAAAAAGGAAGCAAAGCTTCCAAAAGTGAGAAAGCCATTGGTTGTAAACATAGTCAAGTTTTTATGGACAGATGATGTGTTAGGGAAAATATCTCAGTATACAAGGAGGCATATAGGTAAATATGTACAGTGGTCAAACTGACTTTTCAAAATTTGAAAAGATACATTTCAAGTCAGTCTGTAACTGTTACTGGAACAGATGCAGAAGTGACTTGATCTAAAGAATTCCCTTATGGGTGTTGCAAGCTGTTATGTGAAGGAGTAGATTTTTAAAGTGGTGCCACTTAAAGATACCTTCATGGATTAGTGGGATTATAGGTTTTCATCAGTTGAGGAATATATTCCCTTGTGCATATCCTCTTTTTAGTAGTCTTAGTATTTGACAGTAGGGTAAATCCGTCTTGGTGGGGGCCTGCCTGTCATAACAGCCCCTCCCTTCTCCAGTACAAGGAGGGAGAAGAAAGCTAAAGGAGTAAGACAGTTCTTAAGCAATTTAGGTACTGCTTTAGCAAGTTGGCATGCCTTGGGTCTGGCCAGTCCACAGAGCTCGCTGTTTCCCTGGAGGCTCCTCTGCTGAGCTTTTTCTACTCCTACAGCCAGCCACTCCTGATCCCACTCATTCCCCATTCACCCCCACCCTCTTGCCTCTGTGGTCCCCTTGCTTTGGCAGGCCACCTTCTTGAGCAGGATCTCTACTAAGATGACCCCAGGCCGTTGTTGTCATGGGCACCAGTTCTGGTCAAAGAATTCTAGATATCAGGTAATTGTTTATTTTAATTTATTTTGTTTTTTATTTTTTGAGATGGATTCTCTCTCTGTCGCCCAGGCTGGAGTGCAGTGGCGTGATCTCAGCTCACTGCAGCCTCCCTTCACCAGGTTCACGCAATTCTCCTGCCTCAGCCTCTCAAGTAGCTAGGATTACAGGTGCCCACCACCATGCCAGGCTAATTTTTGTATTTTTAGTAAAGACAGATTTTCATCATCTTGGCCAGGCTGGTCTCGAACTCCTGACTTCAACTGATGCACCCACCTCGGCCTCCCAAAGTGCTGGGATTATAGCCATGAGCCACTGTGCCCGGCCTAATTTTATATTTTAAATGAAGAAGATAGGCCTTGTATATTTCTGAGGATGGCAACTAAACTTAGAATGTATTTGAAGATAAGAGTTTGCGTAGAATGAGCAACTACTATAATGGCCAGTGTTTTGTTGTATAGGTTAATTCATTTGGAATTCAGAATAACCTTTTTGAGGTAAATCCACTTTTACAGATGAGCAAAAGGTGAGGTTAAGAGAGTAAGTTACTCCAGGCCTTACAGCTCTTTACCTAAATCAAGATTTACATCAAGCTTTATAAGTCCACGTATGTTGGGGTTTGGAGCTAGTAAAATTATTGCTGCCTTACTCACTATGATACTATCTTTTTTATACTCTGAGGCTGACATAAAACTTCCCTGGTTTTATGCTGATTTTGTTTAACAATAGTCCCAATGCCTAAGTTTTGTTCATATTTCTATGTCTGATGCTTAGCTTAACATAGAATACATAGTAGATTCTCAATAAATGGTGAATAAATGATAATGAGTATGCAAAGAATATAGGCATTAAAATTAGGCAGAACTGTTCATATCCTTTGCCCACTTTTTAATGGCGTTGTTTATTTTTTCTTTTGTAAATTTAATTTCCTTATAGATGCTGGATATTAGACCTTTTTCAAATGCATAGTTTGCAAATGTTTTCTCCCATTTTGTAGGTTGTCTGTTTACTCTGTTGATAGTTTCTTTGGCTGTGCAGAAGCTCTTTAGTTTAATTAGATTCCATTTGTCAATTGTTTTTGTTGCAGTTGCTTTTGGCACCTTCGTCATGAAATCTTTGCCTGTGCTTATGTCCTGAATGGTATTGCCTAGGTTGTCTTCCAGGGTTTTTATGGTTTTCGTTTTTACATTTAACTCCTTAGTCCATCTCGTGTTAATTTTTATATATAGTTTAAGGAAGGGGTCCAGTTTCAATTTTCTGCATATGGCTAGCTACTTATCCCATCACCATTTATTGAATAGGGAATTCTTTTCCCGTTGCTTGTTTTTGTCAGGTTTATCAAAGATCAGATAGTTGTAGGTGTGCAGTCTTATTTCTCTATCCTGTTGCTTCAGTCCGTGTCTCTGTTTTGTACCAGTACTATGCAGTTTTGGTTACTGTGGCCCTGTTGTATAGTTTGAAGTTGGCTAGCGTGATGCTTCCAAGCTTTGTTCTTTTTTGCTTAGGATTGCCTTGACTATTTGGGCTCTTTTTGAGTTCCACATGAATTTTAAATTTTTGTTTCTAGTTCTGTGAAGAATGTCAATGGTAGTAATGGGAATAGCATTGAATCTATTTTTTGCTTTGGGTAATATGGCCATTTTAATGACACTTCTCAAAAGAAGACATACATGCAGCCAACGAACATGTAAGTCTCAAAACGACAGTGAGGTACTACCTCACGCCAGTCAGAATAGCTATTATTAAAAAGCCAAAAAAATAACAGATCCTGGTGAGGTTGTGGAGAAAAAGGAACACTTACACAGCTGGTGGAAGTGTAAATTAGCTCAGCTATATAGAAGACAGTGTGGTGATTCCTCAAAGACCTAAAAACAGAAATACCATTCAATCCAGCAATCCCATTACTGGGTATATATCCAAAGGAATATAAATCAGTCTGTTGTAAAGACATACACACGTATGTTCATTGCAGCACTCTTTCACAATAACAAAGACATGGAATTAACCCAAGTGGCCATCAATGATAGATTGGATAAACAAAATGTGGTACATGTACACCATGAAATACTATATAGCCATAAAAAAGAATGCAAGCATGTCCTTTGCAGGGACATGAATGGAGCTTGATGCCATTATCCTTAGCAAACTAACATAGTAACAGAAAACCCAATGCTGCATGTTCTTACTTATAAGTAGGAGCTAAATGATGATAACACATGGACACATAGAGGGGAACAACACACACTGGGGCCTGTCAGAGGGTTCAGGGTGGTAGGAGAGAGGATCAGTAAAAATAACTAATGGAGACTAGGGTTAATGCCTGAGTGATGAAATAATCTGTGCAACAAATCCCCATCACACATACTTACCTATGTAACAAACCTGCACATCCTGCACATGTACCCCTGAACTTAAAATAGAAGTTAAAACAAACAACAATAACAACAAAAAAAAGAAATTAGGCAGAACTGAATTCAAATTCAGTCTCTTTGACAGGATCCCGTGCCTTTATTTTTATAAGTTGGGGAAAAAAAAAATCTACCTCATGGGTTTGAGCAGCCAATGAAATCATGTCTGTAAAGCATCAGTTACCATCTTATAGAAAATAGACACCTGATATATGTTACTTTCATTCCCTTCTCTTCTCCCTCTCATATAAATGCCTTATGGTCTTTTGAATTGCCTTTGTTTTGTTTGTACTGTGAAAGATACCTGCAAGATCATTCTTTCCCATTTATTTTAGCACACCACCTAACACGATGTCAAATGTATCCAGATTTTTTATTAAATATTTTTTGCCATTGAAGATTGCATAGTAAGGTGTTACGGACTTTCAAAATGTTCTTCAAATTCTGCAAATTAGATCAGTGTTGTTTTCTTTTCCTTCAAATGACCAGGTGTTTATTTAACGTCACAAAATATCTAAAGTGTACTGGTTTTAGTCTGCAACTAATAGCTTTGCCAATAATTTTATATTTTCATATCTGTAAAACCAGTCTTCTATATGCAATTAATATTCAGTGCTACTAATATTTGCTTATAATATTGCATTGTTTTTATTTCATTTTTGTAATGACATTGCTTAATAGTAAAAAAAAATTCTGTTTTTCAAGAAGTCTTATTATAATATTTTGTAAACATTCTATTTAAAACATGACATCATATCTGGAATAACCTGAAAGAAAATATGATTTTTCTTACTAAATATAAAAGTCACAGATTTCAGAATGTAAAATTTTCTCTTTCAAAGTTTTAGTGACTCACTTTAGAAATTGAGTTAAATAATAGGAGTCTTCTGTGGTGTTAAATTTTTGTTTAGAGATTCTGTATTATGGGATTACTTACAGGTAATGTTAGATACTTCAAGAAATAAACTTTTGGCATTAATCTTGCTTAATAGTTATATTTTTTAAAATTTGAAAATAAAATGAGACCAGATGGACTGAAGAGAGCCGCCTGCACCTTTCTGCATGGTGGAATTGCTATTGGTTTATGACAAATGCCAGTAAGAGAAGGCAGGGACTGGGTCGTTGCTATCAGATGAGAACTGAAAGCAGACAGGTTTTGTTATCAATCACTGGTTGTCGGTGTAAGACAGCAGCGGCTGTTATAATTGATTTGATGGCTCCGAATGACTTGAGCTTTAGTGGCCAAAGCGGATTGTAGCAACTCAGCCATGCATGACATTGACATGAAGAGGAAGTGACATGACTCCTCAGAGGCAAAGTTAGATGATTTAAAGGGGTAAATCTACTCATCAATTCAATAATTCATAAACTTTAACTTTTGATATGAGATGATATTGATGAGAAAAAAGGAAAAAATAAGCTTTTATTTTTCATAATTGGGCTTTAGGTGGTTTTTGTTGGATTAGACCCACTTTTCATATCTTCTTTTTTCACCCTCAGTACTCTGTTATCCATAAATGATACTTATATGTTTTAATGCAGAATGTCACGTATTATGTATCATTCCTACTAAGCTGTTTGATGGGAACATGAGTTTAAAAGGGGAGCCAAAAAAGGAAGATAATAAGAACCAAATATCTACCTTTTATATATGACCTAACTCCTCAGTTTGAAGAATATAAATAAATAGTTTTATCAAGTCAGGTAACTTTAGGAACTAAACACAATGAAAGGTTAGAATTCCTGATGATATCATGCCTAATTATAATCTTAAATCAACCAGATTTCTGAAGGCATGTATGTATTAGCCAATTGGGCATGCATACTGGGAATGCGTAGGGTGTGTATATGTGATGACAAGCTGGTTTCCATACTAATCATGCCATAGATTCTGGCCTGGGCCAAATAAGAAACTGTCTCCTCCCAACAACTCATTGGTTGGTATTCACTTCTTTGAGCACTGGGTTGGAAAATGCTGAATTGGAAAGAACATGGTGCTCATTTAGTGATGACTGTGGTGATGGGTGCTGAAGAGGGAAGTGTCGTATTCCATACCACATGTCTGTCCTCACTGAACAGTGCTTGAACTGTCGAGGTTGATAATGAAAAGAGATTGGGGGTGACTATTTGCTTGGGATTTTTGTTTCCTACACAAATATATATCAGAAACCTAAAGGGCGATGGCACTGGTGGTACAGAAGACTTTAATACAACTAAACCTTCCTATCTTAGATATTATTCTTCAAATTTTACTTGTAGAGAATTCTTCAAAGTTATATATTTTTCTTTTATAAGGACTTTTTTTCAGAAATCTGAACTTTGGTAGTTTTATTTTAAACTTCAGGATAAGACGATAAGACACAAGTTACACACTAGTTTTTCAATAGCACCTTTCATTTTCTTTTCAATCTTTATACTCAGATTATGGGTGTTTTAGATTGAAAGATTTTACGGAAATTAAGTTCTGGCTTTGTTATTTGTTTTGAGGAAAAGAAATGGTTAGATATATATTTCTTGCAAGTTTTACTCAATAGTGAACATTTTCATATTCATTAATGTGCTTATCTGTTAAACACTTTTTAATAGTCTCCTTTGGATAAAATTGCCTATAATTCAGTAATAGTTCTTAGCTATGATGTAAGAAGAAAAGTTAACATCATTTCTAAGTGAGTGCCTTAGAAATTAAAGAATGTAGATAATGAAGGAACCTAAAGATTGTCTATCCTAGTGGCTTTCGAACTTTTTTAACTGCAACTCACATTTAGAAAAACATAATATACTAAGACCCACTACATACACATACACACACACACCTCTACCAAAAATTGAAAACAAAAATTTCACGACTTCTACCTGTACTACAGGTGATGTATTCTATTTTCTTTTCTAATCTATTCTTTTCTACTTTTTCCACTAAAAAATGGAACACATAATGCCAGTTTTGGTGGATGGAGAACTGAAGTTTAAAAATAATGTTCTAATTTTCTGATTTCACTGATTAAGTAAACCTAAAACTTGAGAGGTACCTTTCATCAGATATATATATATCTATCAGGCCAGCACAGTGACTCACACCCGTAATCCCATAATCCCAGCACTTTGGGAGGCTTAGGTGGGCAGATTGCTTGAGTCTAGCAGTTTGAGATTGGCTTGGGCAATGTGGTGAAACCCTGTATCTACTAAAAATACAAAAAACTAGCAGGCCGGGTTGGAGTGCGCCTGTAGTCCCAGCTACATGAGAGGCTGAGGTGGGAGGATCACCTTAGCCCAGGAATTTGAGGCTGCAGTGAGCTGTGATTGCCACTGCACTCCAGCCTGGGTGATGGGAGTGAGACTCTGTCTCAAAAAAAAAAAGTACCAAAAATTAAGCTCCAGGCCCTCAAGGAATTTACAGACTGAATTATAAATAGGACAAAACAATTAAGCATATTTAATTGTTTTGTCCTATTTATAATTCAGTCTGTAAATTATATTTGTTATTTGCAATCTATTTGTTTTAAGTTGGTATTAAGGGGGTTGGTTGTAACACTAGTGAGAAGAATATAGATAGACTCAAAAAAATACTTGAGATACTGAATATAATTTGAGCTAAATTTTGAAGGAATGGAAAACAATAAACTTTTTTTTTCACAAGAGGACTTTTTTAGGAAGATGTTAAAAAATAGCATTTTGTACAAATAAGAAAACATGACAAACCAAATCTTATGGAACAATGAGGGTCAGAATAAGAGATTAACTCGCTTTGGCTATATTAAGAATATTATGCTGATGTTGTTCTAATCTAATCCGTAAACTAATACCCCACAAAGATTCAGCATAGTTTAGCACAGTGAATCAGTTCTCATAATACTAGGCTTTTAAGTGTTTTCAGTGACATAAGACACCAGGATTGAGAAAGATGATCAGTAAAGACATCTAGATGTTAAAAATCTTCAAATTCAAGTGAAACCAGCAGAAAATAAGCAAGAAATCTTTCTAACTTTAGGTACAAACATTTTTCAGCTGTGAAAAGCTAAGCAACTTTACTTTTTGGTTCTTCTTACCATTTTCCTTTTTCATTTTTTAATAACTATATAGGACTATAGATAACAAGCAAACTCGTATGATCTTTGAATATGGCAATTATGTCTCAACGTTGATTTACTCACTCATTCTGTTTCTAAGCTTTTTAACTGTGGTGATCAGTGTAATTACAGAGCTGCCTTTACGGTGAGAAGGCACAATTTACAGGTCAAAATGTCATACAGAAGTAGATATGGTGTCTGTCTAATTAGATTGCTTAATATTTATCAGAATGGCATTCTTTTTTGTTGTGCTATTGCTTGACTCTGGGTCCCAAATATTCTTTCTTAATATAATTATATAATTGGATTTTCTGTGAACTTTATAGAACATTAATCAGAATTAAACATTTAAGCTTAAAGTTTTATTTGCTGTTGGACATAAAATCGACAGTTTTTTCCCCAATGTCTTGTAGTTTAATGCTAAGAAATTCATTCCATAGAGGTTCATTGTGTTGCTCCAGGGAGCACCTGTTTTAGATGCTGGGTTGCTCTAGCTGTTCATGCCCTTGTAGACTTTACATGTCCACCTTCTTCTGCAACAGCAAGTAAATAAATAAAGTAGCAGCTTATTATGCTGTCAATGAAACAAATGAGAAGATATGATAAGCAGCAGAAGCCTTTCTTAGTCACATTCAAGCTACAGTGAAGGGAGGTCCCAGAAGTTTGCAGGTAAGCAACAGTGAATGCAAGGAGGCAGGAAAGATCTGAGCTTTTTAGAAGAACCAGTAGAAGAGTGATGTTGACAAGAAGGGAATAATGGGGAATGGCAAGCAGTTAGAGAAATTAGCAGGGTAGGCTGGGACCAGACAGGTAAGGTAAGGATTTGGGATTATATGCTGACAGCAATAATACCATCTCATTTTTATTGAGCACTGATAGGTGCTGGGAACTGTGTTAAATATTTCACATGCACATTCATGTGATCATCTCAACATCCTTTGAAGTAGACAGTAATACTGTCTCTGCTTTATAGATGGCAAATGGAAGATTCAAGGAAGGGAATTAACTTGCCAATGTAACAAAAGCAGAGTGTTTTAAGTGCAAGGCAGAATGGCCTCAAATCTCAAAAGTCAGGTTCCAGAACTCACATTCTCAACTACTACTATACTTTTTATACCAATTTCATTTTACCTTTAACTAAGTCTATATTTACTTTCCTGTTGTTGTTTTTTAAGTTATTTCCTTGGAATAGCTAAATGTACAAGCAAAAAAATAGCAGACTTACTTTTCTGTGATGCATTCCACCCTACAATCTCTCCTTTTATAATAAAAATAAAAGCTATGGACTCTTCTCAGTTTATTGTATTTCCTTTTGTTTTGTTTGCCCTTGTGTAGTCAAATGCTACACTTTTCCTTTATAATTTTTCAAGCACTTCCAGATTTATGAAACATAAAGGTGTAAAATTATTCTACTGGTAGAGTAGAAATAAAAGCTAAAAAATATTGCCAGAAACCAGGCACATAATAGAAATTGGCGTGCCAGGCAGAGGCCTGAGGGGAATTGAAGAATGTGTCCTATCTGAAGAAGCCAGTTGCTGCCTAGTTCAGCCACGTGATGTCTAAGACTAGTTTTGCTATTTCTCATAGAAAAATCACAAATCTACATTTTTATGTGAAATGTCACATTTAAAATTTAGGGCTCGCTGTTTTTTTAAGTATGCTGACCAGATAAAACCAAATACTGTAATAGCTTTCAACTCAAGAGCCTAACTAAACTGTTGTCCTCTCATTTTTTTAGACCTATACTTAATTCTGTGATCCATCTGAATTTTATTTTTATTCAGAGTATTTTGTATAAATTTCAATTTGCTGAAGTGGAAAGATCACTTGAGCCCAGGAAGTCAAGGCTACAGTGAGCCAAGATCACACCACTGCACTCCAGCCTGGTCAACAGAGCAAGACCCTATCTCAAAAAAAAAAAAAAAAAAATATTAATGTATTCACCGGAAGTCACAAAAATAGTAGAGAAAGATTCCTTGGACCCAGTTTTCCCCCAATAGTAATATCTAGTACATAACCAGGAAATTGGCAAATTGATGTTGGTACATTCTACAGGTCTTATTCAGACTTTACAAGTTTTACATGCATTTTTTTTTGTATGTGGGTTATGTATTTGTATATAGGTCTTTGCAATTTATCACACGTATAAATAACTAACATCACAATCAAGATACAGATTTCAGTACCACAAAGATCTCATGCTACCACGTTATGGTAAATTGTTTTTTGTTCTCCTCCCTACCCCATGCTCCACCCCCACCTCCTCCTCACCCCACACACAACTGCCAGGAGCAGCTGTAGTACAAATTATTGAATGGTATCTTTCTAATCTATTTAATTACTGTTTGCTTCTGTATTAGAGTTCTTTCTGGTCATTATTCCAACTCTTATCTCTGTGCCTGCTCACAGCTACTGTAATCTTACTAGACTAAAAAAGAGACAATATGATTTCAGACCAGCCAAGGGGAAATGTCATAAGTAATTGCCTGACTGATACGTACCTAGGATCATGCTTCTGCCAAGATGAGTGCTGGCTCTGTGGTTTTTTGACCCAGTCCACTGACTATAGTCAAGCTTTTTATATTACATTGGTGGACATTTTCACACCTTGCCAGGAATTCTGATGCCTCTCTTCTTTGCCACATGAATGTCTTGGTCACAGGCAGTTCCAGTGTACTTCACCAGAAACATTCTTGTGCCTTCTGAGCATCTCATTGTGATTAGTGAAGTTATTCAGAGATTTCAGCTCCCAGTAGCTAGGAGGCTTCGTGGTGCACAGTCAGCTGTCCTCTCAAGAGACTGATTTATCCTCCCACAGCCCTTCTTTGGAGCTTTCTACTTCTTCTTATAATATATCCTACCTTTGTAAAACCATGTTTCTTACTTAGAGTTCCCCATGTATACAATTTTCTACTTCCATACATAGAGAAAAATTCATCTACATAAGTACTTTTTTCCATTAAATATCAATACTTTCCTGTGTGTTGGTAAAAGTTAAATATATCCTATTATAGTCACCTGTTTTTATATTACTTCACAGTCTACATATTAATTTTCCTTTTCTACATGCCATGATTGATGTTTATATATAAGTCAACTTGTTCCAATTAACCATGATTATATTCATTTTATAACTTTATTTTTAATAGGTAATACATTATTATACCTAAAAATGGAAAATTTACAAAAATTTTACTCCTACCTATGTCCCTTATACACACAATTTCTTTCTACAGTGTCAATTAATGTTACCACTATCTCTTCTATCTTTTCTTTTTTATGTAACTTAAATCTCTTTATATCTTTATACCTTAAATCTCTTTTCCCATTTTTATTGGGTTATTAGTTCTTTTTCCTAATTATTTCCAGGAATTCTTTATGTATTAATTCATAAAGATGTCAGTCAACATTAAGTCATTTATAATAAAAATTATCTATAGAAGTTTTCTTAGGAACAGATAAGCTAATTCTTAAAATGGAAAAGCAAATAAGCAAAAACTAGATAAAGTAACAATTAAAAATAAAAAGAGTAACCAGTGGGGGTGTCTAGCCTTACCAGATACTACAACATGAAGCAACAAACAAGAAACTAGGAGAATATATTTCAACTCATGTAGGACTTTCTCCTTTATTTTTATTTATTTGTTTTTTTTGATGCCCTGTTTTTTTTTTTGATGCCCTGTCAGACTGGTCTAGTAAGGACTTTCTTTAAGTTTCCATGTACTACTCTAGGCATTTTTAAATTTATCTTTAAAAGTTGACAACAAGGTATCCCAGGCCCATTTTGACTTTTTGTTGTTGTTGTTAAACCCTGCTGCAGGACTTAGAATCAATTACTGTCCACACTCACCTTCTTTAATGGAAGAGAGTGTCTGAGACCAAAATACGGGTATTAGGGCTGCATGTCAAATTGTGTATGGTGGTAGACCCTCTGTATGAAGCCGCAGCCAGGCCTTTTTAATAACAGACTAGACAAGAAATTCCCTTTTCAAGTTCACAAGTTCATGATGGTTTATTTATTTTCTCTACATCACGTCTTCCTAACCATAGAAATAAGAGCCAATGCTTATATAGCTCCTACTCTAGATAGGCAGTGTTTTGCCCTTATATGTACCAACTTACTTCATCTCCAAAATCCCATAATGCACAGGGCTTATATATATGTATACACATACCGCACACATAGGCGAGGAACTTTAGACACAGAGAGGTTAAGTAACTTGCTCAAAGTTAAATAGCTAGTAAATGGCAGAGGTGGGATTCAAACCCACACATTTATCCATATTTTTTGAGAAAGAAGGATGGATGTTGATAATGACTCCTATGGAAATGTTTCCAAATTCCCAGTTTCATTTTAGGCAGACATTTGGGAAGAAGACAGATTGTGGATCAGCCCAGAGAAGTTCTAAGTCTTCTTCCCTGAATAACAAACAATTGTTTTTTTTTTGCTCTATGTGACCTCAGGGATATTGGACCTAATTATCATTTACCAGTTTCCTAAACAACCACCTGTACCACTAAGGAACTGTAGCCTGGATTTGACCACCAGCTGTTGTCAGGGGAGAGTAAACACCTACTTTGTTAACTGTAGGTCACAGTAACCTTGCAAGAAATCCTCAGAGGGTTGCTTTGTTTTTGAAGAGGTTTCTTCAGATAGAAGTAATTCACTGCCCCATTGAAAGACATGATAAGGAAAAAAACATTAATGTAAAAAGAGACCCATTTCTATTTCTTTGAAGTTTTTTAATATCTATAAAGAGAAAAGATAATTTATATGAAAAGGCTTTATAGATGAGTATATTTTATTATTATTCTTGATTTCTAACATCTAATTTCTACTCCATTCACCAGGACCTCTTCATCAACAATCTTATACACTTTTATTTTTAATGTGTTTGTATTTACATCTTTGTTCCTAAGGCTAATGTTTTATTATATTGCATTTTAACACTCAATTACTCATTTTTCTTAAATGTCTAGTTAGGACAGTTAAACCATCAGTTGAAAACTAAAATGTTGAGACGGAATAGCCCCACAGATCACTTCCCTTATGAGGGAAGGGTCACTACATCAGCCATCTGAGCCCCTCTTGGCCAGGCATTGAGGAGTGAGACTCTCAGGCTGGATCTATGGCTAAGTACAAATGGAAGAAATATGTAAAGGATTGGGGGATTCTTGAGTTGGTTAACTGGACCAGGGTGCTCAATTATCCCATGAAAATAAGGTCCTGAGGTAGATATAAGGAGGTGTACATTGTATGGAACATAGGATAGGAAAGTCAGATAAGAGCAGGCAAATAGACCTAGCCATTGTCTGGGACCGATGGCTGCCCTTTCCCAAAGTGTTATACTCAGATTAACTGGTTCTATCTGTGAATAACACATTCACACAAATTCAGCATTATTTGATTCAGTGATCCTTGTTTTATTGTATGTGCATTCCAGAGAATACATGAGTTACATATAAAAGATGACATATGTAGGTCCAGACACACAAAAACACACATGGACACACAGACATATGAACATATGAATTATATGGAAATAGAAATAAGTGGTTTTATATAAAATGCTTTCTATAAATTTGGCTATATGAAATAATACATGCAAATCTATACAGTTCTAGAATAATATACTTGTAAAGTGAAATTTTAATTCATAGAATGGAATAGGCTTTTTATATTCTGTTAAATATGGCAGCTATGTTTTCAAGAGAAATATTTCCCCACCAAGTTAATAATCAGGTTGGAATTTTAATAAGTAATTATAAATTTTTAGCAGAGGAAAGACATTGGTCATCAAAGCATATGATGCTATTTTTCCCCTCTCTCTTTTACCTTTGTAATAAGGCTTTTTTCTTAAGTTGCTTTCTGCTGTTTAAAATGGTGGCATTCGTGTTCTAGCAATAATTGTAGAGGTTTGGGTTATTATAAACTTTGAATATCAATTCCTCCCCTTCTGTGACAGTTCTACCACTAGGGAAGTCAGGCTTGCAAGGTCTAATTACTGCAGCATTTTGATATCCCTAGCTACAATATTGGCAGGAATTTAAGCTATGGTAGAATTCATTGGTGACACTGTTGTAACTAAAAAGCACAGAATCTGTTTTCAAGCCTGTTCAGGATGGAATCAAGTATTGGATGATGTCAAATAGTCTTGCTGCAAGTTCAGAAGTGCCTTGGACGAATCTAATATGAAATGCTAATTATTTGCAATAGAATGTAAATAAGGTGGCAGTAAGTCTTATTTGCAGTGACTAATGAAAGCTGTTGTACTATAATCATTGAGATATAGAGCAACAGGACAATTCATTAGGAAAACCGTAGTTGACAAGCGGTTAATTCATGCCAGTCTGGACCTTTCCTCTTGCTTCTGTTTACTTCTATTATTTCTTCTTGATAATAAGAAGTCCCATATGGAAACATATAACAAGGATAAGAAGAAACTAGCAGCTAAATTTTGCCAAGCTATGCTGAATATCTACAGACTAAGTCTTCCTTAGCTTTTCTTTGCCTATGAAAAACAACTGCCATATTAGGCTGATTGAAAATATAGTCATTTTCTAGTCAGCAAATTGCTAGTCTGAAAATTTTTCATGTTCTCTCACCAGACTTGAGCAAAACTTAGCTATGCTGCAAATTATTGTATTTCCCAGACATATATTACATTTCAAAATTTAGCCACATTTTCACTTCTCAGATTTTAGCAGTAGAACACTTTTAACAACTAAAAACAGTAAATTGCTTGATACAGCTCTCTTCTATGTATTATAGAATACAGTCCTTGATAAATAAAAGTTGAAACTCTAGAATAGCTTTTCTTTTCTGGGGCATATATTCCTCACAGCAACAATAGTGCAAGATGCTATCTTATTTTCAACTCATATAGCCAAATTTTGAACTTATAGAAGAATTAAAGTAAACAAAGTACTTTCTATTCCCCAAAGGTGTAAAAATTAGGAAGGTGATTTCTATTATGTGTAATTTTCACAACGATTTCTTTCACTATCTGTGACTACCATAAAGGAAAGCCAGCTCATTTGACGCAATCGGCAATTTATGGCCCATCCCCTTTTGAAAGGATTTAAGGTAGCTTATCTTTTTAAGGATGAAGAAGTGAAAAGTTAATACTGTGATTTATTTTTGAGCTTCCTAACAGCCAGGGGAAAAAGAGGAAATAGAGCTTTTAGAGTGCCAAAACTTGGGCTGCATCTTCTAGGCAAATTCATACTTGAATTTAGGCTCAAGGAAATAAAACCCAAGAAATACCGAGAGTAAGGCCAACCAAGAGTTTTGTGTACCATTTATTCCCCATTATTTATAAGGCCGTGGATTACCCATACTGAGCTCATTCTTTCTATCTGAAAACAGGTGTCTTAAATTCTTTAGACAGTCTCAGGCTCCTAAGCTGGTTTGGAATAAGATCACTCTGCAGTGATAGTTCACACACGAGTTTTTTCTACTACTAGGGTTGCCAAATAAAACATAGAAATGTCAGTTAAATTTAAATTTCAAGTAAACAATGAATACTTAATATAAATATGTCCTAAATGTTGTGTAGGGTATACATATACTAAAAAGTTGTTCATTGTTTATCTAAAATTCATACTTCACTAAATGTACTCATTTTTTATATTATTTTATTTTGCCAAGTCTTGCAACCCTACCCATACTTGCTGGTAAAGCCCCTCACAGTGTATAATAGAGAACTATCCCTTTATCACAAAAACTGAGGGCCCATAGTGACAGCCAATCATATTCTTTTTTTTTTTTTTTTTTTTTAACTTTTAACACATTGAGGTGAACAGATAGATAGACTATCATTTTCTGGCTGGGTGCGGTGGCTCATGCCTGTAATCCCAGCACTTTGGGAGGCCGAGGCGGGCGGATCACGAGGTCAGGAGTTCGAGACCAGCCTGGCCAACATAGTGAAACCCCATCTCTACTAAAAATACAAAAAAAAATTAGCTGGGTGCGGTGGCACACACCTGTAGTCCCAGCTACTTGGGAGGCAGAGGCAGGAGAATTGCTTGAACCCAGGAGGCGGAGATTGCAGCGAGCCGAGATTGCGCCACTGCACACCAGCCCAGGTGACAGTGTGAGACTTCATCTCAAAAAGGAAAAAAAAAAAAGACCATCATTTTCGATCAGTGTCACTTAACAAAGAATCTTTAGACAGTGTACGACAAAACAGACTTTTACCAGGAGACTTGAATACTTCAAGTGAGCTATAGATTGGTGGGGAAAGACCACACACGCACACACATACACACACACACACAATATATAGTTAAATTAGGTTTCCACTTTAATTAGCCAGGGGTATAACATCTTATGGAAAGTTGGATGGATGCGTAGCAGGAGCAGATGTAGCATGTCTCAGAATCCATTGCCTCTAGAAATGAATGGGCACCTGCAGCTACCAGGACACACTGTTGCTGGAAAATAGGGTCTCACTGACTCTAAGAAGCTTAGTTCTTACTGTACTACTGTCTTAGGGTTTACATTCTAGAAGTACACTAACAATCTGGACACCTTGGCTCAAGTGAATATTTTAAACATTGAGCTCTCCTGGTCCTGGAATATATCTCAGTGTCACCAAGAACACATCTGCATTCAGAGTGGGGGAAAGAGTTCACACCCATTAGTCCCTGAACATTATTCTGAAGAGTTATTTTTCCTATAGAGTTTTAGAACCTCTTCCTCATCACTACCAAATAGGAAATCCATTTCTTGGAAGGGGTATGTATGTGCTGGCATGCTGTATAGGTCAGGGTTCTGGCTCAGAGACTAGAATCCAGTTTAAGCAGTGAAGTATTTAATCATGACATTGTAAGTGGATTCGGGGTCATTAGGAGGACTGAAGAAACAATTTAGATCAAGCTTTGATGAGCTACATGTGAAGCCCTAACACAGGCTACCATGGCATTTGCTCCCCGCTCTATGATACAGAAACTGCCTGCTGAATTGGGAAGCTGCTGGCTCCAGAACCTCACTGCCACTCCCTAACAGGAAGTCCCCATGATCAGGAAGCCACCACTGTTACTGCCAGACACAGAACCTTGCAGTGCCTGTTACAATCCACACCAGCATAACAGAGAGCTATCTTTCTGCCTTTTAGTACTACACAGCTAGTGACTAGATACAAGGATGGTTGCTGGTGCTATGAGAGAAAACCAAATGCTTCCACAGTCACACTTGCAAGAAACCCCACAAAAACGTGGCCTCCACCTTACTTCCAACATCCTAACCGTGAGCAATTTGAAGATTGGCCAAACCAAATCACATCCAAACTGCATGGGGTCTCTGATGTGGTTTTTAGCTTCTAGCCACTGCAGTACAGGAAGACACTCTAGTAGATGGTTAAAAATGGATGTTGAATGTCAGTCCACCATAACCAGGATACATTACCTGTTCACAAGTAATAATCATATTTTATTAATTCCTTTGAACCCTACCAAAGGGAAAAATCAATAAAGGCCATGTCATAAGGCTCTCAGACTCTTTTTGAAAAATGTTTCCTAAGGACCTCTGTAGGTTAAATCATTATTATTTCCTTCTATGAGGACGTATACCGATTCTTGAAGAGTGGCAAGCTTTTTTTGTGGCTTTGAATTCCTAAGGGCTTTGAATGCAGAACCTTTGACAGGGATAATTAGATGTTTTATGGACAATGTTTTGACAGCAGTTTTATATAAAGTGTAAAAGCTGCTTCATATGGTTATATCTTTATTCAAAAGCTTTTATCTTGCTTTTGCTGGCAGGTAAAGCCCAGCTTCTGAAAGAGCACAAGCAGCCAGTACCACTCTGACCATTATTTTGGTGGTGCCCAGAAGCTGCTTTCAAAACTCCCTCTATCTGCCTTGATTAGTTTTGCTCTTGTTCTTCTGGACACAAGCAACCCAGTGGGACTGGAATTCCTTCCCTCTTTTACCTACTGTCATGGCTGGATTGGTGCCAAATGGGACAAACTCAGATCCACCCACATTTTGTTCCAAGAGGTTGTATGGTACAACCTCTTGCCCACTGTCGTTGCCATTATTTTGTCAGATGAACATAAAATGAAAAGTATCCTAAGTCACTGGTGAAAGGCAAATAAAGTAGAATTAGTGACAATCCACAAATATTTATAGGGCTATTACACTCATTTCTTTTCCTTGGGATTTTTTATGATTTAGAACATAGAGAAACTCACACCGTCAATTCACCTAGTTCTTATGCAGATGAAGAGACATTGACAAATAACTTTAAAAAAAACATGAGTTAACAGCTTGAGTACTGAAATACGGTTCTTCCTCTTATATTACTTGAAGAACCATGGTTGTATAAAAATCCCAGTGCAATAAATGCAATAAAATCATCTTTATTTATCAAAATAACATTTATTACCAAGACATGAAAAATGAAACCGACAAATTAAGTTACATATCCCTATCAATCTTCTGAAAGTTTTATGCATTTGCTCGGTAAAAAGCCCTTACTTGCCAATTCCATTTGAGCTGTTCTAATCAAATTTTCATATCAGCTGGTTATAATTGTTAACAATCCATTTTGGGAAGATGGGTGATTTTTATAATAGAACTACCCAAAAAATATGTGTTATATATGTAAACTATAAATCAAAATTCTTGATTTGTGTAATGGTTAGCAAGTTATTTGTGGAATTTTACAGTATGAAAATTTAGCCAAGTGTGCATTTAGTCAGTTGTATTCTTTTGGATTGTTTTAATAGAATACAAATATTAGAAAAATAAAAATCATGGAAATTAGGCTAAATTCCTACAGTGCTCCTTTAACAGCAGCCTCCACCCCACCCTACATATATACTTTTAAACTTTCACTTGGGGATTATTACATATGCCAGATAGTCAGTGAATACTTGCAGAGGAAAATGAGTTATTGGGGCAGATAAATAAATGGACTTATAATGTTTGCTTACTAGCTTACATAACTACCAATAACTGTGTTCTGCTAAGCTTCTTCTCAAAAATTCTAATTTTTTTTCTTCTGTGTTTGCCTAAAATCTTCCTCATATATTCAGTTTTATAGATAACTGTCAGGCACATACAGAGGACAGCTCTTTGGAATGGGGATATATTTTACAGCATTTTATTTGTTCGACCATCATTTACAAGCACCAGCCACATGCAGAATACTGACTGGATGTTCTAGTTGCAAAGGTGATCACAATGTTTCCTGTCCTGATAAAATTCTCGGTTTTACAGAAGAAATGATTATGACATATCACATTGCCCATGTTTATTAAAATAAATATTTTATGTTCAATTTTTAAGAACTTTTTTTACAAAATAAAAAAATTTTCATTTAATAACAATTTCTAATATTTTGAGCATAGTGTTTTTACAGTTTTTAGAATTTAGTTTTGGACTAAGTAATAAATATATATGGTTCAAAATTCAGATTTTGAAAAAATATAGTCATGTACCACATAATGATATTTAGGTCAATGACAGACCCAATATACAGTGGTGGCCCAATAAGATTATAATGGAGCTGCCCTATACAGGTGTACAATTTTTATCTTTATATTGTATTTTTACTATACCTTTTCTGTGTTTAGATACACTTAGATACACAAATATTTACAATCGTGTTACGGTATAGCCTAGGTGTATATAGGCTATATCGATTATGTAAGTATAGTCTATAATGTTCCCATGACAGCAAAATCACAGTGACGCATTTCTCAGAACATAGCCCATTGTCCTCCAGCTATACACTTTCCCCTTCCCAACTATCCAGTTTCTCCTCCTCAATTGTTTAGGATTAAGTTCAAGTGCATAGGAGAGAACCCTCAAGTTATCATTGACTTTTATACTTCATTTAAATGGAGAAATTCAAAGCTAGTCTGATGCTTGTATGGAGGTTCCACAATGTCATCACAGACTTGGGTTCCCTCTGTCTTAATGCTTACCCTCTTTATCCTTTAGCTTGTAATTCCCAAGTCTGCCTCTCAGTCCAATTTCACCGCTAGAGTGCCATCTGTCATTTCTTTATTCAGAGAGGAAAAAGAAGACAGTAACAGCCAGAAAGCATGGCTCTTTAAAGAGCTTTCTCCAACACCAAGAAGGAGAGGTATAGACACAAATTCAGGTTGCAGGGTACTTCACATGAAGGAATATCTTTAGTAGATAGGCCATGAGCAGCGTGAGAGAACCCATTGCCTGGAATGTGTTCTCCAATAGCTGCTCATGGCCTAATGGAATGTCACCACCAAGGAAAACAACATCCAAAGGCAGGCTTCATTTAATTCACCTTTTTGCTTAGAGCCAACCTCTCTCCATAAGTTTTAAGTGTCATAGCTTTCAAATTAATCCATTCTTCATTAAATCACAGTGTTTTATTTGTTAACTAAAATTTTACCTAGAAATAGGAAACAGAACTAATGTTAGTATTGTATTTGATAGATATCTTCACTAAGTAAAAATGTGGCTCTCTTCATTATATGTGCTACAATTGAACTCAAATCACACAAATACGTTTGTCTCCATTCACTAATATATTGATTTTCAAGCACGACATTTTATTTTATGGCTTACTTTCAAAGGAAAAAATATTCTGGAAGGAAGGCTTTATATGGTATGTCAGAAGAAAAAGAGCAGCCTACTGTTTTGTTTTGTTTTGTTTTTTTGCTAAAGAAAATTGAGTGCTATTTAGAAAAATGCAGTTCCTTATCAGAGGCATACCATGAGCTAAATCTCAGGGAAAGAAATGGACTATCAGTCATCATTATATTGTGTTTATTTTCAGGTTATATTATGAATACATTTTCTTTAAGTTATCAGTTAGGTGGGGGGGGCTACATTTTGAGGTGGCATTGTCACTAAAATATATGAATTTGAAGTATCTAGTACATCTCTCAAAAGCCTTAATAAAATATACAGAAAGATATTCTCCAACCTTTGTGATGATTGAAAACCAGTTCAAAATATTACCTTCTTGGAATACAGCCTACCAAAAGGATTTAACAAATGACAGTTCCTTAAAAAAAAGAAATATTACATTTTTCCTTTTTCAACATTCCACTATTGAAAATGTCTCAATTATATATGTTGTATAGTACATGTGTTAATATTAATGTTTCTTTATAAGGTCTATTATTAGAAGACATAACAATTTGACTTTGGAAACTTGCTTTTGGGGGTCCCCTTTCTACCTTGTATCATCTTAACAGGCACATTAACCTAATTCATTAAGTTCTTTATATTTAGTAGCTATGAGTAGGATCAGGGAGTGTGTTTCATTTAGACCGGTAACATTCTGGTGTTTATAATTTATAATGATTTGCCTTGATTAAAACACTATTGCTGTTTCTGAAAATTTGAATGGATTCTCAAATGCTAAACATCTGATTTTCTTTCTGAGCTATTCAGGGAGACTTCAGAACAAGAAGAATTTAGCTTTGTAATGACAAGAACTTTCCATAGTAATTCCTCTAAATGTTTAGGACCTTATTAGGGTGGTTTATGTTCTGTGATATTCTTTTTAAAGGAAGGAAAGTTAAGTCTGAGCTTTTTCCTCACCACCAGCAGCGTGGCATCAGGGAGGTGGCCAAGGATCTGACCTTGTGCCTTTAAGACTGTTTTTCCTCACCTGTAAAACTGGAATAACAATTCCAACCATGAGAGGTTGTGATAAGTCTGAAACGGAATAAATAATGTAAAAGGACCTGGCTAGTGCCTAATATATACAGTAGCAGCTCAGTCATTGTTAATTTTTCTGTCATTGTATTGTTAAAATTACAGGTTGTATGTTTAGTGATTTCTGTATAGGTGATTAGAAATAAGTTCAGTACAACTAATGACAAATAAGATTGTCCATTTTAATAGTCTCTCTGTCTCTTTTTTCTTTTTCTTTGTTTTTTTTTGTTTGGTTTGGTTTTGGTTTGGTTTGGCTTGTGGTTTTTTTGTTTGTTTTTTGAGTGGGGTAGAATGGAACTCCAAGGGTAGCATTTCAGAAGATTTATCCTCCTATACCTATAATTTTCTTGGTTGCCACCTAACAATGTTGAGGTGGATTTCCAGTTATATGGGAAAGCCAACCAGTATTTTGCATAGATAACTGAAAACAAAACCTAATCATTTATGGAGCTTTTAAAAGTTCTTTAAATACAATATTTGTATTGTATAATCATTTGTAACCGAATAGGAGACATGTGGCTAGAAAGTAAGACTTATCCCAAATGGTCTGAGTGAGTGGTCAGACTGTACACACTGGCCTTGGTTGGACCAGGAAGAGTGGGCTGTTGGGTGGCAAATTAATGCAAGACTTGAAAGTAGAGGAAGCAACAGAGACCAGAAGTTCCTGCCACCATGGATCACTGGATGGCACTGAAGGTGACTAGTTGGCTGATGGCCACCCCATCTGCACACTGTCAAGTAGGCCCCTGAGAAGATACTTCAAAATACTTAAAGTACGGAAAAAGTACTTAAAGCTTAATCGGTATGTATAGATACTATTCTTATTTAAAAATTTAACTGCTGTTTTATAAATTCTTAACATTTTAATGATTTTTTAATTCCTTCCCAAACTCGGAGTAGTTCTAAGGTTTCGTTAACTTACTGGGTTTAATAATTTTTTTCTAATGTCAACCCTCCTGGACTGCTGCATTGCAGATCTTTTGAATATATTTTGTCACTGTTTTTAAGACAGTATGTACACGCTTGACACTATACTGTTCTTTGTTTCTGTTGCATTTTATGATAGTTAACACAGTACATGAAATTTTTAAAAAATTAAGTGAGATTTTTTTATTCTTACTACTTTTTTTTTTAATAGGTCCATCTGTCATTGTAGTTACAGAATCATCACAAAAGAGTGCTGACGTAATAATGTATGCTACCAGAGTCAGGTATTCCCTTGTTGATAGATAATCTCATTTAAAGCAGAATTTAATGAGTGATATATTTTAAACACAGTAATTGTGTCAGACCCACCCATTATATGTATTAAGGGAGCAAATAAAGGGAGTCTAACATCAAAGAACAGATTTCAAATCCAGCCTCAGCTGCTTATAATGTGATCTTTTTTTGAGTTATTTAAGCCGTCTTACATTCAGTTTCATATTTGTAAAATGGAGGTGATAATAATGTCTACTTCAAAAGGGTTTCCAAGCACTAGGAGCTATTCAGCATATGAAGGGTTTAGTGTATTGCCTGGCACAGAGCATGTCTCCATGAGAGGTACCTGTATTTTTGTTGCTGATACTTCTTCTTTGTTATCTCTTTTTTTAAAAATGTTTCCTGGGGCCGGGCACGGTGGCTCATGCCTGTAATCCCAGCACTTTGGGAGGCAAAGGCGGGCAGATCACAAGATCAGGAGATCGAGACCATCCTGGCTAACATGGTGAAACCCCGTCTCTACTAAAAATACAAAAAATTAGCCGGGCGTGGTGGCGGGCGCCTGTATTCCCAGCTACTGGGGAGGCTGAGGCAGGAGAATGGCGTGAACCCGGGAGGCGGAGCTTGCAGTGAGCCGAGATTGCCCCAGTGCACTCTGGCCTGGGCGGAAAAAGCAAGAGTCTTTCTCAAAAAAAAAATAAGTTTCTTGGATATACAAGCGCAGCATTATTCCTGTAAATGTAAGAAAGGCAGAATCATGAATATTAATGCATTTTAACTTAAAAATAGTCATCAAAAGATGAGCATGTCCATAACCAACTGCTTGTAATATGTAGCTGCAGTTGTCTGTTAAGTGACATTTTTGTGCATTAAGACTTTAAATGTATTTAACATTAATGTGGTATGCCCACTTTAAAATTTTTTTAACTTTCATCTTTCTGTAAAGGATTATCCTTAGAAGTGCTCAGTAGTATCATTATCTTCTTGCATACCTTAAAAAAAATGTTTTATCTGCAAGCAGGCACTGTGTACTTTCACTTACGTAATCTCACAATAAATGTGGCAAGTGAAGATTATCCTTATCTTAGAGAAAGAAAAAAATGAATCTCAGCAAGATTGTGTGCCCTGTTCAAAGTTACACCTGGTCTTGTGTCACCAGGTCACTGTTAATTCCATTAAACCACAACCACTTTCTTCAAGTGCTATAATTGGGACAAACTATGGAAATTTCCTCTCCCCTCTGAACAGGGGAACAGATTTTTTTTTTTTACTCTAAAGAACATTATAATGGTCAGGACTGTACAGTGATAGACTGACCTCTCTTAGGACAGCATGACTTCCTTACAAGTTCTAATATTGAAGCAAAAGGATTGTTGCTTGTCAAGGATGTTATGGAAGAAATAGAGGCTTGCGTGTTATGTGTCTATAAGGAACTTTCAAAGCTTAAAATTATGCCTTCTAGTCATCTCTTTCCTCATCCCCTCCTCTAATCAGATGCCATATCCTGAAGCTTTTATCTTCACAAGTTTTCTTTAGAACCCTCTAAAAAATGTACTGCTACAGAACAGATGCATTAAACAAATATTTGATCGTCTACCATGTGCTGGGAACTTTGCAAAGCAGATAATTTGTGCTGTCTTCTTGAGGTGAATTCTGAATTATTCTTGGAGGGCAGAGATAATGATGTGCTCTCATTACCATCAAGATAATAGATGGTTACATCATAAATGGTAACAAATATTAGATGAACGAAAGAGAGGAGTACAACCATATGCTGCATCTAGATAGATAAATGGGGAAAATACGGTCTATCCTACTTGCTAGCTTATAATAAGCATCTCAATTCATGAGAAGCTGGTTAAAAGAGAAAAACTACGTCAGTACTGCCCCTTTTCATTCTTCTCCCTGCTCCCTTATTGTTCTTGGGAGAGGGAGAATATGGACTGGTGACTTTTTTGGTTTTTTTGGACAGGTAGAATACTTATTTTTGTTCTCAAAAACAATTTTCTTATAAAATTGAGCTGTATGATTCACACTAGAAAATGAAGTTGCACACTCTCCACACCCCCAGCCAGCTCCCTCAGGGCCCAGTTAGCCATATCAAAAAGCCAAAACTTAGGATTTCTTGTTAAGTGAGACAATAAATACACCTTGTAATAAGCAATCTGCCACTTTTGGGAACATCCTAACTGATATAGACAGGATGGATGGAAGAAGCATTGTGAAGGTAAAGTTGAGGATGTGGCATCTTATTAGAGGAAGGGGGGACAAAAAAAAGGTAAAGTTATAAACTGAGGTTTAACATCCTGAAATTTGTTTTCTGATCATTAAAACTTATTTCTAACTTAGACATGGTCTCACTGTGTTGCCCAGGCTAGCAGGCAGTGGTGTGTTCATAGCCCATTGCAGCCTCAAACTCCTGAGCTCATACAATCCTTCCACCTTCACCTCCCAAGTAGCTGGGACTACAGGTGTGTACCACCATGCCTAGCTAATTTTTTTTTTTTTTTTTTTTTTTTTTGAGACGGAGTCTCGCTCTGTCGCCCAGGCTGGAGTGCAGTGGCGGGATCTCGGCTCACTGCAAGCTCCGCCTCCCGGGTTCACGCCATTCTCCTGCCTCAGCCTCCCAAGTAGCTGGGACTACAGGCGCCCGCCACTACGCCCGGCTAATTTTTTGTATTTTTAGTAGAGACGGGGTTTCACCGTGTTAGCCGGGATGGTCTCGATCTCCTGACCTCGTGATCCGCCCGCCTCGGCCTCCCAAAGTCCTGGGATTACAGGCGTGAGCCACCGCGCCCGGCCCTAGCTAAATTTTTTAAAACAGTTTTTGGAATATGGGACCTCACTGTGTTACTCAGGCTGGTCTCTAACTCCTATCATCAAGGGACCCTCCTGCCTCAGCCTCCCAAAACACTGGAATTACAGGCATGAGCCATGAGCCATGATGCCAGGCCTGATTCAGACTCTTAATTTTCCTTTTTGCTCTCCATGGCTGTTATCCATGGCTCAGCAACTCATGCTTACAGAATAACTGGCATCACATCCACACACAGCTATGTCCAAAGACATATGGATCTTGGGACAGGCCCTCTTCTTTTCAGTGCCTGTTTTTATGAAGGGGAATTTTTCTTGGAAGTCCTTTAACAGACTTTCTTTTTTAAGCTTTAGTAGCCAGAACTAGGTTACGTGGCCATGTAGGTGGCTGTCTCTGCCATCAAAAAAGCTTCTTACCTATAGTAATTTAATAGCTCCCCTTCCTCAAATATTAACTCACTTTAGTCCCCCACACTGCTGCCAAATTTTTCTTCCTAAAACAGATCTTATCCAGTCATTCCACTGCTTAAATTGTTCAGAACTTCCCTTTGAATACTACTTCCCCATCCCAGATCACTCTGCACGGTGCCTGCATAATGTCAGTCCTCAGTGGAGGTGGACTAAATTTTAGTTCTTTTAATTGTAAGATGTTTACAGACACATTTGAGATCATTTATTGAGAGTTTTTTAGGTTTCAAAAAACAGACTGTGCCAGATGTGGCAGCACATGCTTTTAGTCCCAGCTACTCCAGAGGCTGAAGTGGGAGGATTGCTTAAGACGGGCCTGGGGAAAATAGTGAAACACCATCTCATAAAAAAAAAAAAAAACCTTCAGATTACTACAGATGATGTATTTGTTGAGCAAATATGTTTCACTTCTTATGTGCCAGGCACTGTAGCACTGTACTTGGTGTACAGGGGTCCACAACCCCCAGGCCACAGATAGGTACTGGTTAGCAGCATGTTAGGAACTGGGTGGCACATCAGGAGGTGAGCAGCAGGCAAGCAAGCATTACCCACTGAGCTCCGCCTCCTGTCAGATCAGCGGCAGCATTAGATTCTCATAGGAGCACGAACTCTATTGTGAACTGCGCATGCGAGATATATAGTTGTGTATTCTTTATGAAAATCTAACTAATGCCTGATGATATGAAGTGGAATGGTTTCATCCTGAAACTATCCTTCCCCCTCACCCCTGTGGAAAAATTGTCTTCCATGAAACCAGTCCCTGGTGCCAAAAAGGTTGCCTCTGGTGCATAGTATTAAACAAAACAGACACAGGATTGTTTTCATGGAGACTGCCATCTACAAGGGAAGACTTATTAAAGTGAACAAGTAACTGTAAGTGTGGTAGTTTTAAGAAAGTAAAATGGGGGATGACAAGTCAATAACAGGAAGATCAACCTACTCTGAAGGTGAGCCTCCCCCAAAGAAGTGGTATTTAAGTGAGAGCTGAATAAATCTGAGCTAGGTGCATAAGATATGTGTGGGAGCCAGCTATATGGAGAATGGATTGAGGGGGCCCGAGTCGATGGCTGGAGACTAGGTCAGAGGGAATTGCTGTAATCCAGATAAGAGATAGTGGTAGCTTAGGCCAAAGTTCAACCAGTGGGAATAGAGAGAAAATACAGAACATGGTATGTGATTGTTTATGGGGAATAAAACATATGGCTCTTGAGTTACTGACTTGAACAGACAGATGAGTCTCTTGTTTCCTGAGAAAAGGACCACTGCTTTATTTGAGAAAGAGAAGCCAGACAAAAAGTTTGAAAGACCATGTCTGCAGCTACCTAGCCAACCACTTGGAGAACTAGAAGGTTGTTCAGGATATTGCCATTGCCCCAAGAGTGCAGTGTCATCCTAATGATGTATCTTCTGCCTCTTTCTGCCTCTCTGTTTCTCTTGTCATTACCAGCTGGATATAATGCTGTTACCTTTTTGGCTAATATTTACATGCTTTTCTTGACTTTGTTGTTCTAACATATTGTCTTCTCTCTGGTCCTTGATTTCAGTGGTCCTATTCTATTTGTAACCTTCTCTTTGTGTTTTATTGTCCCAAGAGAGGAGCTTATAGGGTGAGTTGGATAATGTCTAGTATAGAATGTCTCATAAGGCATTCTTCTGCCAGGTTGCCTCATGCCAAGTTCACACTGCCTGTGGATCAGATACCATCCTTTGTCCATTGAGCCATGTTACCCAAAGGATGACAACTTTTATTTATTCGTGCAACAATTTTTTTTTAGTGTTAACTCTGTGCCAAATGATATGCTAAGCCATGGAAACATGTGCCTTGGAGTTATTCAAACTTTGATCTGAATTCTGGCTTTCCCATTCACCTAATATAGGAACATAGGCCAAAAATTATTAAGTTCTCTGGGCCTTGATTTCCTCATCGATATAATGGATATAGCATATCTTGAATTGTTCTGAGGACTAAATGAAGTAATTCAAGTAAAAGACTTAGTTTACTTCTAGCTCATCATTAGTGGTGTTGGTAAGAGAGGGGGTAGTGGTGGTGATGGTGGTGGTGGCAACGATGGTACTGATAGTGGTAGTAAGAGAGGTGGTGGTGGTGTGGTAATGGTGATGGTAGCAAGAGCAATAGCATCATTGTGGTAATAACAAAAGAAGTCATTGAGTCAGTGAGAATGGTGTGGTAGAAATGGAGATAAATAGTTCTTGATCATGACAGTTGTGGGGATGGTGGTAGTAGATTATAGGGAAAAAAAAACCTGCTGTTAGCTGCAGGATGCTCAGAAGGGCTGTGGATAAGAAAGCCACTCCAAGCTTCAAGGACTGTCCAGTACAAAGGAGTTTTTAAATGTGGTTGGGCTCCATTGTTAGGAAACAAATCACTATGCTCACTTAAACTTGGACCTTGGGGAGTGTATTTTATGAGTTCAGTACTTAATTACTTTCACGGTTCAAGAACACTGGCAAAGTGACTTAAAAGTACACAACAATTATCTAACTATTTCATAAAGTCAATTTAAGGGTGGAAAGTCTATATTAAAATGACAAGAACAGTGCTCACTTGCATGTACTTTAAAGAGCAAGGTAAAGCCTCGCTTCTTGGCCAGGGTGCATTATAGTCATTCAGTTACATCCTCTGAGTGTTTTTGTCTTTTTGACAGAAGAAACTCATCTCAAAGTATTGTTTTGTTCTGTATAATAAATTGTGTTGCTTAAAAACTTTCAAGCTGAACTCAGAGCTCTGTGAATTTTTTTTAACTTGTTTATTTGAATAGCTTTTGTGAATAAACCTGTTCTGAAAAAGGAGGTAGTAAAACAGTTTAAGAAATTAATACAAAGGCAGTAATAGCCAACATTTGTTGAAAAGGCCTGATACTCTGCTAGGATATTTACGTATATTATCTCACTTAATCACAACAATGTTAAGATGAGAGCCAGCACAGCATTATCTTCTGTTTACAAATAAATGAAGACTCAGATTTTCCCAGGCTCACACAACTGGCAACCCAGTCTGTTGCCAGAGCCATTTTTAACCAGATTGTTAATTGAGCAAGTTCTTTATTATTCCTTCTCCCTTGATTGTTTAACAATAAGAGAGATGAGTCACCATTTTATTAAAATATCCCTAATCTACTCCCATATTTTAAATGGCATGTCTTTTTCAGCTTTATAATTTGTTGTGCCATTTTTTAACTAACTTTAAATGTAGAGAGTACATTTGAAATAATCAAAATGAAGTTGTTGGGGTTTTTTTTTAAGATCTTTGCAGATATACCATGGTATTACTTTTTAGCACTTTTCTTTTTTTTTTTTCCAAAATAAATTTTTATTTTTTGTTATTTATTATTATTATACTTTAAGTTTTAGGGTACATGTGCACAATGTGCAGGTTAGTTACATATGTATACATGTGCCATGCTGGTGCGCTGCACCCACTAACTCGTCATCTAGCATTAGGTATATCTCCCAATGCTATCCCTCCCCCTTACCCCCACCCCACAACAGTCCCCAGAGTGTGATGTTCCCCTTCCTGTGTCCATGTGTTCTCATTGTTCAATTCCCACCTATGAGTGAGAATATGCAGTGTTTCGTTTTTTGTTCTTGCGATAGTTTACTGAGAATGATGATTTCCAATTTCATCCATGTCCCTACAAAGGACATGAACTCATCATTTTTTATGGCTGCATAGTATTCCATGGTGTATATGTGCCACATTTTCTTAATCCAGTCTATCATTGTTGGACATTTGGGTTGGTTCCAAGTCTTTGCTATTGTGAATAATGCCACAGTAAACATACACGTGCATGTGTCTTTATAGCAGCATGATTTATAGTCCTTTGGGTATATACCCAGTAATGGGATGGCTGGGTCAAATGGTATTTCTAGTTCTAGATCCCTGAGGAATCGCCACACTGCCTTCCACAACGGTTGAACTAGTTTACAGTCCCACTAACAGTGTAAAAGTGTTCCTATTTCTCCACATCCTCTCCAGCACCTGTTGTTTGCTGACTTTTTAATGATTGCCATTCTAACTGGTGTGAGATGGTATCTCATTGTGATTTTGATTTGCATTTCTCTGATGGCCAGTGATGGTGAGCATTTTTTCATGTGTTTTTTGGCTGCATAAATGTCTTCTTTTGAGAAGTGTCTGTTCATGTCCTTCGCCACCTTTTTGATGGGGTTGTTTGTTTTTTTCTTGTAAATTTGTTTGAGTTCATTGTAGATTCTGGATATTAGCCCTTTGTCAGATGAGTAGGTTGCGAAAATTTTCTCCCATTTTGTAGGTTGCCTGTTCGCTCTGATGGTAGTGTCTTTTACTTTTTAGCCCTTTTCTATCTTAGCTGTAGCCAATCTGTTGTTTTGAAAAAAGACCAACTTAATAAAAGTAAATCATGTTAAACTAATGATTCTATAAAATTACAGGCTCACCCAGAAATAAAAGTTATTCATCTGAAAGAATACAAAAGATTATGTATTCATTTAAAAACTTTTTCTCAGGTATGATTTTGTTCCAAATGGGCATAGATCTGCATTTTTTACAGATTTTAAAGAGTTTATATGTGTCTGAAAGTAGTTATCTCTACGTGTTGAGAGGACAGGTGATTTTTAAGTTTCTTTATTCATCTTTATAGTCCTGATACCTGGTAACTTTTTAAAAAATTATACATGGGAATAAAGGTCTTTTGGTAAAGGATTTTTAGTCTATAAGGTCTTTTTAAAATCCAGAATAAATAGCATGTTTTTAAAATATATTTATTATTATTATAAAAGCAATATGTCTTATTTAAAGCATTCAGAAAATGCATTCCAGAGACAGGTCAGAGCTGTGAAAATATAAATTGGGGGATTGCCAGTAGGTAAATGGTATTTAAACAATATGACTGGAGTAGATTGCTTTGAAATTAAGTGTAGATATGAGAGTTAATGTATTCAAGGACAGCCCTGGAACATACGGACATTTGGGGCTCAGGAGGAAGGGCGGAAACACAAAACACTGAGATGGAAAACCAAGCAAGGGTGAAGTCCTGGAAGCCAAAGGAAGAAAGAATTTCAGGTAGCAGAGAGTGACAACTGTGTCCCGTCTGCTGAGAAATCAAGTAAGGTCAGAGTTGTAAAACGACCATTGGATTTGGTAATGTGGAGGCTACTGTGACTTCAAGAAGAAGGGGAATTTTAGTGCAGTGGTAGGGACAAATATCTGATTGGAATGAGTTCAAGAGAGAGTAAGAGAAATTAGAAACTGCGATTGTAGGTAACTCTTTCAAGGGAGTTTGCTATAAAAGGAAAGAGAGGATGAGGCTGGAGGTTCAAGACTAGCCTGGGCAATATAGTGAGACTCCATCTCTAAAACGTTTTTTTTTTAATTAGCCTGGCATGGTGGCTCTCACCTGTTGTCTCAGCTACTTGGGAGGCTGAGGCAGGAGGATCGCTTGAGCCCCTGAGTTCAAGACTACAGTGAGCTATGGTGATGCTGCTGCACACCAGCTTGGGTGACAGAGCCAGATGCTGTCTCTAAAAAAATAATAAAATGAAAGGAAGGAAAGAAATGAATTAGTAGTTTGAAGAGGAATTAGGATCAAGGGAAGGGTTTTTTGTTTTTTTTTTTTTAAAGATGAGAGAAATAGTATGTTTGTTTGCTGGAGAGAATAATGAAATGAAGTGGGGAGAAATTGGTATGTTAGAAAAAGATGAGTAAATTGTTGGAGCATTGTCCTTGAATGAGAGATTATGAAGTCTAGGTTGCAAGAGGAGGAGTTGGCCTTATTGGAGCATGGACAGTTCATCGGTAGAAATGGGAAGAAAGGTAGAGTCTACTGGCAAAGTGATGTAGGTGGAAAGATGTCAGCAGTGAAGGGAGTTTGTAGAAGTTCTTGTTTCACTGGCTTAGTAATTTATTTTCATTTCTTCTCTTGCAGTTTAAGAATTTAATAAAAGCTTTTTTCGAATCGTACAGTATATTTAAACCACCTTCATAGAAATATTAAACCTTGATATGAAATGTATCATCAGCTCTTCTAAGTTATAAACTTTGGGGAATTTAAACTCCCAGAAGTACCAGATTTTCTACTTCAATCCCTTTGATTCCAATTCCCTTTAATATGTTCACCCAATTTTAACTTTCTAAAACCTTATTCTGCAGTTTTCTTCTTGATACGTTGTAACTGTGAGAAAGTCCATTTTATTTCTGTGAGCTTTCACATTTAACTTGAGAAACCTGTTTTCCAGATACTTAACCAGTTTCTAAATTACTTAACCAGGTGCCAGCGTACTACATTTAATGTACCAAGTAATGATTACTGATTGCTGGTCAATCCATATTCTAATTGCTTTTCCCCTCAAGGTATTGTTCTCTTGAGGGAAATTGTCAGCTGTTCAATGTTTTGAGACCAGAAACATTTAAAAATGCATTAAAACTTAAACTTGGAGCTTAGTAGAAACGCATTTAGCTGGCTTTACTACTAGGTTCTAATCACTTTTTTCGTGTAATGAATATGACTTCATTTTGTGTTAAAGTCTGTTTTCTCAGACAGATGGATATAACCATTTTCTGAAATTATTGCCACAATAACTGCTAATAATATAATCATAGTTAATTCCTTGCATTTATATGCATGTGTCAATTCTACCCAATCAAACTATTCCCATGGAAAATATGTGTTATTACTATAAAATAGCAACATATTTTTGTTAGTACTTTCCATTTGAAGAAATCAATTTGGCTATCTTGATTGTCCACAAATGCAAATATAGACAATCACAATTATTAATAGTAATCTGAGAATGACTAACAGGAGAGAAAAAAAGGAGACAAAAGAAAGTTGACCTCTCAGAGGCTAGTTTATTTCCTCTTATTAACAGCAGACCATTCACAGTCAAAACTTATTTTGTTCAGGATCTAGATAAAAGAAATAGTCTCTTAAAGTGGTAGCTTATGTATGGGTTATGGACACTTTAAAGTGTCTTATCATTTGGAGTTCTATAGTAGGGTTTGTAAATTAAAATGTCAGAACATTTACAAAGTATACATTAAGCAATATATTAGAGTAACTTAATCACCTTTACGAGCAGCCAGCTTTCAGTTTCGTAGCTTATATTAGTTTGTATTTTATTTGTATTCTTAATATTTCTCGTTTCCTTCTTCTTCCCTATTTGACCTAGTAACTCCTCAACTGAAAATGGGAACAAGTTACTTTTCTCTTCACCATTGTTTGGTATTATATGTGTTCTCAAGTTCATGTTAGAGGGTGATTCAAAAATTATATGATGTAAAAGATGTGCAGTTGACCGTCTGTATCCAGCGGTTCAGCATCCGTGGCCGCAACCAACCACAGATAAGAAATACTCAAAAATTGCCTCTGTACTAAACACGTGCAGACTTTTTTTCTTGTTATTATTCCTTAAACAATACAGTGTAACAACTATTTATATAGCATTTACATTGTATTAGGTGTTAGAAGTAAATCTAGAGGTGATTTAAAGTATACAGGAGGATGTGAATAAGTTATTTGCAAATACTGTGCCATTTTATATCAAGGACTAGAGCATCTTTGGATTTTGTTATCCTTGGGAGGTCCTAGAACAATCCCCCATGGGTACTGAGAAACGTCTACGTAGTCCTACTAGATAACAACAGTAAATGAGGAAAACCAAAGTATTATATACATAGTTAATTATCATGAAACACAAAATAGAACTCTTCATTATTAAAAACCTGCTTAGTAATATCAGCACAGGAAAGTTGTGCATTTAAACCATGAAATACAGGATTTGAGAAATCTCAATAATCTCATTTACCATAACAATTAGTAATATATTTCCCTATATTCCCAATATACTAGTTGTTGATCCCTATATTCTTTCATTCTTAACTTTCAGTGTGTATTGTATACTTTGAAAATTATATGTTCAGCCATAAGACTAAAATAATGAAAGAAAACACTAACGTACTTACTTCAACAATATTTTCATGCTTCTGTATTTTCAAGTTTCTTGAAGTTGCCTTCAGAGCCAGTTTACAAAACACACAAGAAGTCCCATTTACTTTATGGTTTTCTCTCATTGATCTGAAATGATTTTATGAGGTTCCTTTTTTATCAGGCCTCACTCCAAAGGGCTTCTGACTGTTTCTAAAGTCAAATCTACTTTCAGGGGGAAAAATTTTTGCCACCATTGAAAACAAAGATGCTACAGACCCTGAAGGCAATTATAGAAAAATTGGCAGATTGTTCTGAGTAGAATCTGAGTGGCACCGTGGGAGTAATAAGAGTATAACTTCCCACAGAAACTTTCGAAGGGGTTTGTGGTTAATTAGGGTCTCCATGTGTTTAAAAATTCATGGCGGCTCTCTTGTCATGAGTCAAGAAAGTAGGTGGTTATTTTGTTTTTAATCCCTATTTTTTTTTGCCGGTCTGTTTCTTTGGAGTGAGGACTAGGCTATAATCATTTTTGAATGCAAATCTCTCACACACTGTTTGGCACACAGGAAGAGCCTAGTAAATTATGGTAAAAAAAATTCTGTTTTCTTGGCTGTCAGACTGGAAGGACAAATCAGTTCATTTTTATTTAATAATCACTTTCATTCAGGTTTCTCCTATCTTACCATTGTAATGGCTATGGAACTAATTCTTTTCACATTTTTGAGGGTGCAGCTGTGAAAAAAATAGTCAAACCCTTAGACCTCCTGGAAGTTACATTCTGCTGAAGGAAGATGATGATAAACTAAATAAATAAAATATAGTCAGACGGCACTTAACGATGAAATATGTTGTCAGGCGATTTCGTTGTCATGCGAACATAATAGAGCATACCTAACACAAACCTAGATGGGATAGCCTACTACACATCTAGACTGTTGGTGTAACCTGTTACTCCTAGGCTGCAAACCTGCACAACATGTTACTATGCTGAATACTGTAGCCGATTATAACACAATGGTAAGTATTTGTGTATCTAAACATATCTACACATAAAAAAGGTATAGTAAAAATGCAGTTTTGTCTTACGGGATCACCATCATACATGCAATCCTTCATTGACTGAAGTGTCATTCTGCAGCACATGACTGTACATAGCATGTTAGATGGTAAAGAGTGCTAAGAAAAAAATAACCACAGCAAGCTTCTGCTTCTGTATGAGGGTGGCAGATCAACATTCCTGCCAAGAGCAACTAGAATACCAGAGGAAACAAAGATCATCCAAGAGCTGTGGAAACAGTGAGGACCAGAGGAACTTAAATTTTGGAGCAAAGTCTACCTGTCTGTAGGAAGATACTTGCAGCTGCCAAGGCGAGAGATTGACAATCTGGGTTTGGCCCCAGGCAGAGGGCTACCGCTTTGGGACAAGAAGCCAGCCACGTTTCGGCAGTTGTGTGGGGCCAGACTGGCAAAAAGGGAAACTTGAAGGGCCTCAGCACAGAGTCCATTTCCCCTTCATAAGATTTACTGAATTCTGAAGCTGTGGATGATGAGGGGTTGCAAAAGAGACGAAGTCTAAGAAGAAGATCTATTTTTGCTGAGGAAATGATAACCTGCCAGACAATCAGTCGAAAACCCTGGAGGCCTGTGCCCTAGGAAATAGAGCAAATCAAAATAGACCCAATCTTGCTAAAACTGCAACTTAGCCTGGGGTTAGCTCAGTTCCTGACTGGATGGAGATTAGTAAGACATTTACCTTTTCTTTCCAGAAGAAAGTGAATCCTCAGGTAGAAGACAACATCATCTGGGGCCTCCTAGGTTTTTGTTTTCTTTTTATATTTTGTTTTTTTAATATATACATAGAATATCCAGATTTCAATAAAACACTGCTAGGCATGCTAAGAGATAGGACATTTGGACACACACACATAAACACGCATACAAGAAATAGTTATTTAGATGATCCAAATACTGAAGTTACTAGACAGGGACTTTGAAATGAATATATTTCAGAAACTAGAGGAAGAGAAAATACATAAAAAGAGGGAGTGCTTCACCCAATAATAAGAATCTATCAAAAGAATCTAATGGAAATTCTAGAACCGAAAAATACAAACTATAAAATTAAGAATTTAGTGCTGGATAAAATAGCAGTTTAGATAAGCAGAAAACAGGAGAGGTGAACAGGAAGACTCTCAGAAAATATCCAGGCAGAAGCAGAGAGCAAAAAAAGATGCTGTATATAGAAAAAAGTATAATGGACATGCAATACAACAAAAAGGTTTAACACTGCATTGTCCGATAGACTCCTAATGTGGAACACGTATGTTACTTAAACAGATGAAGTTAATTTTAATAATTTATTTTACCCAATATATTCAAAGTATTATTTCAACATGTAATTAATATGAAAATTTTAATCAGATACTCTGTTTTCTTTTACTCATGCGAAGTCTTCAAAATCAGTGTGCATTTTGCACTTCACCACATCTCAAGTTGAGCTAGCCATTTCAAGTGCTCCATCATCACATGTGGCTATGGCTACTATATTGGACAGCTCAGTTTTACATGTATATAAGGAGAATCCCAGAAAGAAAGAGAAAAGAAAGGAGAGCCATATTTATTTATTTATTTATTTTAAAGATTAGGAAAAGGGATAGAGAGTGCCAGACATTGGTAGTGGCGAGCATGAGGGGCATACAGTTTCAAATGGAGAGATGAAGGCAGGCTTCCCCACAGGGTAGTGTTTGAGGACAGACATAAAGGAGATGAGGAAGTGAATGAGCCTTGCACATGAGTGCAGGAAGGAGTTTAAGGATAGGGACTCAATGCAGAAGTGTGCTTGTATGCAGCAAGAAGGTAGGTATATTGTAGAGGGATTAACTAGGAGATTAGGTCAGAGAAGCAACAGGAGGCCAGACCATATAAAGCCTTGATATAGTTCTGGAAGTTTATCTAGAGATAAAGAATATAACTGTATATTTTCATGTTTTGTGTACTCACTTCATCTTAAGGAGGGGGATCTCAAGGCTTAAATATTAGCTTTGGTTTTTCTACTGCTGTTAATAAGAAAATAAAAATACTTCCTAAGAGAGACTGAATGGTAAAGTCATGTAATGCCTTTGTAAGTGCAGTGTGAAAGGTCAGGGAAGGTTTGTGTGCGTGTGTTCTAAAGCTGATTTTCAGAAGTCCTTTTCCCCTAATCAAGCTCTGTCAGCATAAAATATTTTAAATAAACAGCTTTTCCACACTGTGAATATAATATCTAGCAAGACCAATATAACGCTTCATTTTCAGATTTCTCACATTTTGTTTTCTTTTTTTAAAGACTGAAAATAACCACATTCAATTTGTAAGTTAAGCGTAATTTCTTTTATGACAAGTGGCTCAGTCTTCATTATAAGTTAGGTAATGAGAAGGCATCTAGTTAGAAAGCTAGGGCATTTCTTCATCTCACAAATGCAGATTTGAATGCTGAGTATGCCTGGGTGTTGTATATCATCTTCCTAATTAAAGGTAAGAAAAATACAATTACTATGGCCAAGATGGTAAAATAAATAATAACAAATCTTTATTCGTTGAGGTTGGATGAGAGGTTTACTTACAGTAAAGGAACTATCTTAGGAAAGGAAAACAAACAGTAAGAAGAAAAGGTTGAGAAGTTTAAGGAATAGGTTTCTTCAGGGATTGATATTAGCTCTAGGCTTACTTAACACTTTTACAAATAATCTGGAGAAAGGCAGTACTCAGTCAAATATCAGAGGTTTTAAGGAACGCTAAACTTTCTAGTAGGAAAGAATCAATAAATTGGAGCGCTGCCCAGGGAAGACCTTGCAGATCTGTGCAGGTGGGCAGATGAATACAGGGTGGTAAGAATGCAGTGATGTATGTATGGCCATTGAGTTAGTATGTTTATGTATGTGTGTATGTGATCTTCAAGCAATGGCTTTTAGCCTTTTTGAAAGATTTCCCCATTCATTTGAGAATCTAATCATAGTTAAGAAACTTTTCCCTAGGAAAGAAAGCTCATAACCCCCACAATAGGAAGTCATGGTCTTGAATGAGCTAAACATTTCAGAAATAATTTTCTTCAGTTCATTTATTCAGTGAGCAAACAAATATTTATTGAGCTTCAGCTATGAACTCTGACCTATATGACGTGCTGGGAATACAGAGAGATAAAGACACACTTGGCCTCTGACCTCAAACTGACCTAGGTTACAATTTGGAAGGAGCTAGATAAGCAAGCATTTTTGCAGCAATGTGATCACTGTTCCCACCTCTATGCCAAAGTGCTGTGTATGTCTCTAGAGAGGCACTGGATTCAGACTGTGGAGGGAACTAAGGATTTCAGAGATGGCTTGCGAGAGAGCATCTAATTGATGTATAATGATTACCTTCAGTCAAAATTACCAAAAATGTCAAAGGCCAAGATCTTTGTTATATCATATTGCGAACATTCAGTATCTATGAGTTTGATATACCTCAAGGTAGGTACAATGGAATGCACGCAACTAAAATTAACAGAAGGATAAGATCAATTTCTAAATGTGTAATTTTTTAGACTTGGAGGCAGAGGCTGGGAGAGAACATTATAAAATATACATACATGCAATGTATATATACATACAGTAAGAGAAATGGTGTTAGTAAAGACTGATATACCAAATCTTCTAATACTAAAATAAAAAATGAATATCCTTGAAACTTAATCTGAGTAGCTTCTTTTACTAAGTAAATAAACTACTGAACTAATTATCTTAAAATAATAAAAGGAACTATTAACGGAAATGATTTTTGATAAATTACCGAATGCCAGAAGTACTAAAATAATCTACTCTTTAACATTTATGGTTGATTTAACAAGGATAACCAAGCAATCTTTATTATTCAGCATAAAGACTTACCGTTATAGCAGATGAACTCTAGAATCTCAAGGGCTTAACACAATAAAGGTTTATTTCTTTCCCATATGAAGTCCAGTGTGGGTCAGGCAACTTCCCCCCATCAACTGGCTTTATCCTCTGGAAGATCATGGTCTTTGCACCATGGAAAGAGGCATGGAGGAGATACTTTGACTCTTAACTACCTCACCCTAAATATTCCACAAGTTACGTCATACCCATGAACCAGAGATTTTCACATGGCTTAAACCTAATTTCAGAAAGATATGGGAAATGAAAGAAAGTACGTAGAATATTTGGTGAGCTCTCTCTCTCTGCCACATCCTCCAATGTTACATTCTTGGGGATACTTGTCAGAAAAAATATCACTGTGGCCTAATAAAGGAATTAGTGTGTGTCTGTGTATTCACCCTGCAAGCACACATTCATCCCTCTATTCCAGAGTCCTCCAAACAGGAAGTCCCCACCAGAGAAATATTTGACTACTATTACAAAGGTTTCCAGCTGAGTAATTGCTGGATAAAAGGGAAGGGGGCAATTAGGTGTTATACTATGGGGAGATACATCATTATTAGAATTGCTCTTTCCTCCCCCTTCATCTTTCCCCATGGTAGAAATAATGGGCTAAATGGGAAAATGGTGGTAACGCTAACTAAAATGGGGAATGTAAAGAGAAGCAAGTTTTTTCTTTCAGAAGAAAAGCAATGTCCATTCAGACGTGAGGAATTTGAACAAGAAGGAGATACACCATATACAAATAGAAACCGAGATTTGCAACTCAGAAATGTATTTAGCACAGAGGAGTAAAGTTTGAAGCCGAAGCCTGTGTTTAAGCCATGGAGACAGATGACCTCAAGCTCTCTCCCTCAGGGAAGTGTTCACATTTAAGGTTGACCAAGGGAGAGTGTGTGTGCGGTTGGAGCAGCAAGGGTGGGTGTCACCAGGGTAAGAGAAGTGAATGAGCTGCATACTCAAGTTTGGAAGAAAAATAATAGCTCTTTCCACCTAATTTAAAGATTAGAAAATCCATGTAAGCCTATCATTCTAATTTAGCTCCAACAGTCCATAGGAGGTCACTGCATGGACTTTCCCCAGTGGGCTCTGATTCCAAACTGTTCAAAGTCCTGTAAGGAAGCCCTGGAGAAAATCCAGCTATAAATTAAGATGGAGTGAATTACTGAAATCACTTTCTGATAAAACCTGGATTTAAGATCATTCTGTGCCCCAAAGTGTTTCTGAAAAGGGTGGGACACAGGGAAATAAATTAGTAAGTCAGATTGGATGAGATAACTCTTCTCAAAACCCTCCAGTGAAGTAAGAGACCAAGGGCCAAACCATCTGTCCCCATCATCTCTCTGACCTCATTTCTGCTACTCCAGCCCTGGCTCACTCCCCTTCAGCTGTCCCAGCCATCTTGCTATTCCCAGAACACATCAGTCTTTGTACTTGCTGCTTCTGTCTGGAACATCTTCAAAATATATGTATACTCACTCCATCTATTCCTACAGATCTCTGCTCCATTATCCCTTTGTGAGAGAGGCCTACTCCAACCATTCTTTGTAAAGTAGCAACCACAACCCTCAGCATGTTGACACTGCCTTTTTCTCCAATGTACTGACCACCCTATAACATATGTGTTTACCTGTGTGTCTCTTGTGAGCTGCCTCCTGCCTTACTCCTAGAATATAAGCTCCATGAGAGCCAGGGACCTTTTCAACTTTGTTGTCTACTATTCCTAGAACAGAGCTTGACCCATATTAGAAGTTCAGTATCTGTTGAATTAATAATTGGGTATTAAAGATTATCCTTTGCAATCACTAATATTTTACTCTTAGCATGTTTTAATACCAAAAAGGAGAGAGGACATAATTTTAAATTTGTATAAATTTAACTTCCCGAATCATTATTTTTCTCATTTTGCTTCAGTGAACACATGTAAGCTGCAGTTGGGGACCACTGCACCATGCCATCCTAATTCTTTTAGGTCTGTTAATCCTTGCCATCCAGTATTTGTGTTACTCATAGGAAATAGATTACTTCAAGCTGATTTAAGGAAATAAGAATATTGCTTACTTCCTATTTTTTAAGGAAGCAGGAATATGGCTTATTGTGCTATTCCTTTTGGTAATACTTTTTCATGCACTAATTTAGCAACTTTTTTGCACATTTGTTCTAATATTTATGCAAGAGAGATTTTAAAAAGATAGATGAAAGGGATTTTTGCTTAGTTAAGTATTGTTAAATAGGATTTTTATATTCAGGTTGCTTCAGCAACTGTTGTGTTTGGTAGCTCTGATTTTCAAATGTAGCAGGTTGTCATGGAAGGTCTGTTGTTACTTCATTTATTTTTTTTCTTTTATTAGTTGTTTGAGGCAGTAAAATAGGCTTGTGTTACCTCACTAAAAAGACATCATTTTAAGTTATTTTAAGTCCTTGAGAAGATCAGTTTACCACAAGGAAAAGACTTAAAATCTCATATTAAGCTCAGAGTGAAATTGTAATCAGGCAAGCAATTATTTAATTTTCTTCATGGTGTACTTCATAAATGTCAACATGACTTGTTGAGGGAAAAATGACAAAAGCATGAAATGTATTGGTAAGTATGAGGAGAGAGAAGACAGATCATTGAAAGGATGCTGTCCATATTTTAGTGGTTGAACAATAAGCATTCTTTAGTTTATGCACATTTGGGCATATGCATTTTATTGGACTTTCTTGTTTTCTTTTTACCAATACATAACTTTCTTTGACTACCATAATTTAAGATAATGTAAAAAAAATGCCAGGAGTGTTATTTACTTCTGAACAAAATTGAATGTAAAAGCAACTATTATTTTCAAACATGATTAACATCTTAAAATGAAAGCATAATTATTCACTGTATCTAACCCTTTTCTGGGAAATACAAGACATTGGCACAATAATCAAGTAGCTGATAATTAGTTGAATGATTTAAAGTTGTTTTTAAACATCCTGAACATTTATCCTTTCCTTTTATCAATAGGTAATCTTTTTCTCATAGCTTGTGTGGAAGTGAAAACCCAACCTCCCATCCTCAGATTCCAGGCTGTTCCAATGGTGGGCCTCACAGGGAAGAATGATTCTTAGATCTGTCACATATCTCTAATAATAACTCTGTCAGAGCTAAAGAGGCAGTGCAGTTTCCTGGTAGCTGCGATGACTTAATGACCATCCACATAGAGTGTATTTATTTGTAGTGATATTTAAATAAATTACATGAAATAATCACAGATATTGGTATATGAGTTGAATCCCCTCTTCTTTTTTTTTTTTTTTTTTTTTTTTTTTTTTTTTTGAGACAGTGTCTCGCTCTGTCGCCCAGGCTGGAGTGCAGTGGCGCAATCTCGGCTCACTGCAAGCTCCGCCTCCCGAGTTCACGCCATTCCCTTGCCTCAGCCTCCTGAGCAGCTGGCACTACAGGCGCCTGCCACCACGCCCGGCTAATTTTTTTGTATTTTTAGTAGAGACGGGGTTTCACCGTGTTAGCGAGGATGGTCTCGATCTCCTGATCTCGTGATCCGCCCGCCTCGGCCTCCCAAAGTGCTGGGATTACAGGAGTGAGCCACCGCGCCCGGCCCTGAATCCCCTCTTCTAAAAACCTTTCTGCTGTCTTACCTATCCTATTGTCAGCATGTGGAGTAGTTTGAGGAGGTATTATTCCTAATATTTCAGGCTGGAATTTCTGAATTTTTACAACTATCATTAGGTTATAAAGCCCTCAACATACCATGTGTTAGTCAAGTTCCTACTCAAGTTAAATGATTCAGAGGTTTAGAATAGGATAATCCAAATCTCTTGGGAATATGATTCCCTAATTCATTTGAAATACAATTAAAAGTTTATTTTGCAACTAACTAGGATAGAATTACAAGTTTACTTTTACTTTCTTTCTGCAAGCAGAAGCAAATACATGTCAATTAATAAAATGAGAAGATGTTTTTGGTTTATTAATGATTTACATAAAATCGGGAACCTACTTAACACATACAAATAAGAAAAACACCATAGAAAATTCAATTTAGCATTACAGAAATTACTGCAAACCAACTCTTTGTCTGTACTAGTATATAAAAATACTTTTAAAAGTGCATCAATTTTCACAGCCATTTAGTAGATTAGAAAGCAATTGTAAACAGCATAAAACCCACATTAATGCCTGTCAACATCCTGCCTTTTGCTCAGTTATGGATTTGTTTGAAATAACAGTGAGATCTAAAGTGATTGCATCAACATCACAGACTGTATAAATATGAATGAACCCACCGTAATGGGATGCATAGCACTATATAGCAGGCATTTGTCCTCCCTGTCATGGTAACAGGTTTGTGATGTAAGAGAACATGGCATTGTCTCCAAGAAATAACTCCACATGTTCTTATACTGTAATCATAGCAACTGATGGGTTTTTAGATTGCTCTAAATTTTATATTCTAATATTGTACTATTAAAATCCATCTGTTGTTTAATGTTCAAAAATCAATCCAGATAATATGAAATCCATTGAGCTATTTCTAAAAAGTGATTGTTAATTTCAGTAACATGCCATTTTGATTTTTAGTGGATTATCTTGATGGATCTCTGCCTAAAAGCATAAGATCAACGGAACCATGTCATCTGAATAGAAGCTAGTGAATGGGATTGGGTGCAGTAAAATGGAAATCCTTTTTAATGAAAGATAAGAGCTGCATCCTTACCTCTCAACCTTTCAATCCTTTCATTTGAGGATTTAGTAAGTTGTTGTTTTCCTTTGTTTGGAATATAACGGTGTATGTTAACTTAGTTCTAGTTCTACTGTTTTATTTTTAAAGATGACCACATTAAGAGGTTTTGGTGGTAGAACAAATAATTTTTTAAAGACCTCTTTTATATTATTAAATTAGAAGAAAGGGTACCAGTGCATATCTTTTTAATTGGTTGACTCAGCTTAAATTGTCATTCTTATTTAGATAAGGGTCATTTTATTCTAGTACTTAATTTTTTTGTTGGAATACTCTTATGCTGGTAAAAGTTTTAGTACTAACTTCTTAAGTACATGTTTTAGTCTTCAGAAAGGGTAAAGTGTACATTTCAGTATTAAAACCATTAATCCAGCTTGGTTGTATATTGACATTTCACTTTTTAGCAGATCATTTACCTGACTGGAGATCTCTCTTCTTTGTTAAGAATGTTGCTTTTACAGTTTTCTGATACTTAGGAGAGGAGACCATGGCCATTTAATAGAACTAATATTTGTCTAGTGACTTTTCTACTGTGCTTTGTGCATTGTATTATCTCATTTAATGCATTCTACCTTTTATTTCTGTTTGAAGGGAGGAACCATCTGGATTGTAACAGCAAGTTCTTTTCAAGCACAAAAGTTCCAGGAGAGAGAGAATATAGATTTAGTATTATTCCTCCTGGCATTCCTCATTCTAACTTTTGCCATCACCTGAGTTCCAGCATTGGGGAAGACAAAAGCACCAGGGTGCACATCTTTAAAGACATTTATGCTGCTTGCCTTCAAGTAAATATCAGCTACAACCAGGAATATTAGACTGTCTCCCTTTTCCCTGTAAAGTGGGCCTTTAATGGGATGGCCACACTTTATTGATGGGAATCCTGTGTTCAAGTTGAGATCACAGGTACAAATGAAGCCTAACTAGTAACCTACAAAATATATGCACTAGAAGCTATGGCAGTGGTTCAAAGTTAGAAAGATGATTAGTATATTCATTTTTATCGACTGTAGCACTTTATGATGCTTATGGAAATATTCTTAGTAAATTATTCAATCAAATAAATTTTACATGAGGGTTTTACTAACAAGTCTAAAAAATTATTTTCAACTAGATTCAGTCAGACAGATGGATTTTGTTCTCCAGGTGGTTGCGTATTTTTTGCTTGATAACCTATTTGGCAGCACTCTTTTGAACCTGTGAATATTTATATTTTAGGGCCCTCTCAATAATTAAGAAATCCACTTTCAGTACCAGATGTTTCCAATGACTGAACAACTTTGTTTCATTCTACAACTGTAACTTTTTTTTTACTTTGTTTGTGTTTTCAATAATATTTTCCCAAGAACCAGGAACAAAGGAAGCATTTACTAAAGTCATATGTTCACTAAGAAACTTTATAAAGGCTAATTTACTTTATTAAGCAGAAATGTAGGCATCCCAAGAGCATTGTTTATTTTAACAATCAAGCGTTTTAGAAGCTATAAAAATTAGCTAGTTTATAATGTTTTCAGTGACTTTTCTTCTTAAGTTGTTGAAGTACCCAACTAAGACACAAATTTAATTTCAGAAACTATGAAATTATGCTTTCCTGTAATGTATTATCTAACCTTTGGATGAAAAGCTTTAAATTTTTCAACTAAGAACTGTGCAACAAATGAAGAGTAAAATAACTTCCTTTATAGTAAACTAGACCAAAATCAGTGTATCAACCTCATACACTTATTCTCGGAATAAACCCTGACCTGAGACGAGATTTTCATTCTATAGCAAATAAATCTTGAGTATCCTGTGATGGTTGGAGTCATACACAATTATCTGAGTTTTTACCAGTCTCCTATTTCATTTTACCTTGACTAAGTCCATTCTTCGATTATTTTTCTTGATGTCACTGAGGCTAACTATTGGTTCTTAATATTTCAAAGACAAAAATATATAATATCTTTCATATCTGTCCTTTCTTATAATGGTAGACAAATTGAAAGTGGAGTATTTGGTGACTTTGGTTTATATATAGCACCACAAGAACAATTAGGGATCACAAGAATGAAGTCACTTATTTGAAGAATCACATTTTAGGATATTACTAAGATTTTTCTTTATGTTGAATTTAGAAGGTTGTATACTAAACATGTCATCATTTCATAATTTATTTCAGAAACTATTTCCTTGAAAATTCACTTTTGGCCTTGCTTTCTAAATGAGGATTATAAGGATCATTTAAAATTCAGATTTAAAAATATAATTCCCTATATAAATTAAAGCTTCAAGTTTATTCTGCAAGTAAGAAACTCAAATTTATCATATCATTTTACAATAATTTTCTTTCTCTTTTTATTAAAAACATTATCATTTTTACTGTTTTTGAGATATCCCATCACGTGCTTCATGAATTTTGCATAAACTTTGTGACTTTTTTCTAAGATTGGGAAATACGCTGTTTTTGTTCCGCAATGAGTTTCCATGTGAGATTGCAAATAATTCCGATACTATATAAAGACCATCCAAGAGCATCTACTTTAAATTGTCTTTACAAGTAGGAGAGAGGGATTTGCACTGATAATTTTCCTAATTCCTTGGAATAATGTCATACACTTTTAAGCCTGAGTTTTGACAATCAGAATCAGACAAAGAACTGAGTTTCATGATATCAAAGAGCTTATAAAAGGACATCTGGCCAGCCCATACTCCTACCTAACATCTTTTAGTGGCTTCCTGTAGTTCTTTGAATAAAATAATAAAATAATAAAATCTCAGTTCATACAATGTCCCAGAACACCCTCACCCACAGGCCCAGGCTACCTCTTCCGTCTCAGTCCAGTCACTCTTCTCTTTGGTCACTACTTTCCAGTCATAAGCGCCTTCCACCGGAGGCCTTCACGCTGTTCCCTCTACCTGGAATGCCGTTCTTCCACTAAACCTGTCTTGCTAACTCTTTCTTGTTCTGTTCTGAAATATAATTTTCTCATAGTAATTTTCCTGTGACTGCCTTCCCTCTAAAACTTAAATCAGGTCCCTTGTTACATTCATAATTGTACCCTTTACTTTTCCTTCATTGTACTTACAAGTTATAATTACATATTTGTTTGATTATTTGTTTAATGCCTGCCTTTGCCAATAGAATGTAAGCTCTGTGATTAAAGAAAGAGTTGGAGTCAGAAGAAAGATTTTATTATAATCAGTATTTCACACTTTTGACAGGTAAATTAGACCCAAAATAACTCCCAGGGAGCAATACACAGCCTGGAAAACATGAAACAAGGAGCGGCTGTTTGGTGTAATAAAGGAGGAGCACCAGGCTGAATTTTCAGAGGCCTAATAGAGTAGGTTATGGTTGATGGAGGTGGTGGTGGTGGGTCGATTTCTGCATGGCAAAAGAGTGTACCCTGACTATTTCACTGTGTCATTTGAGGCATATCTTTTGACCATTCTGGGCCTGTTTCCTTGTCATTAAAAGGAAACCTAAGGTTCTATGACTATAACATTGTCACCTTCAAACAGGAGAATGGAGTAAGGCTGGGCTTCAGCATTCTTTAGTGTCCAGAAGATGGATTATAGTTGTGAGCCTTACCAAGAATTCCAGACACAGCCAATAATATAGACCTTATTTGGTGTCGGGGGATGGGGGGGTTGGGGGTGTCAGTCAGGGAAGTAGGGGGATGTAAAAGGTCTGAAAAAAGGGATACAACTAGAAATGATTTAAATGACCTCTTTGGCTCAAAATTCATAATTATTTATTTACCATTCATACCTCTTATTAGCCCTCAAATGTTAAACCTCAACCTTCCTTTTGCCTCATCAGATTTCATAGATATATTCTCAGGTACTCAGAAAAATAGCTAAGCTATCAAGAGTAAAAGTTTGTATTCTTTTCTAAAAAAAAAAAAAAAAAAAAAAAAAAAGAATTTCTCAAAGCTATGAGTAATCTGTACCAAGTAATTAAAAAAATAAGTTTTATTCTAGTATTTTTATCAAAACCATAGAACAGAGAATACTGTGAACTATACATGGGGTATTCTACATTCTAAATTCTATACTTAGCTTTTTAAAATCCTTTTTGACTTGTCTTAGGCTGAATGAAGTATTTGAGTCCTAACATGAACATTGCATAAGCTTCACACTGAAGAGTCAGGATTATTTTTAACTAATGTTTACAAAGGATCAGTGGACTGTATCCTTTTGTTTATGTTATACATGAAAGAAATACAGTTTACATAGTCACAAACACCCTCAGTCAGCCCTCTGCAAATGGATTATGTACTTGAATATAAAAAAGTTTCTCACACATTTTAAATGCACTTGAGCTAAAACATTCTTTCCTCCTTGTTTACTTCTTTCCCTTTCTCTAGCTTTGCTTCCTGTCTTTTGCTTATTTTATTCGTTCTACATGCTTTAACTAAAATTGATCTATATACAGACTGAAATTTCAGGTTGAGTTTTATTCTGAATATTCCTTAATCATCATATGTTCACAGTGAGACCTTTTCTTGTGGTCAAAAAGATTATAATTTTGCTGATATAAAGCATATTAATTTAACAGAAGCAAGCATATGGAAATGGTTCAAATGTGCCAGGTTTTATTTTAACTACTGGTCTTTTACCATATTTCCTAAACACCTAGATATCAGTAAGTAAGCTTTTATAATCTTTGATCTGATCTCATAGTTCAGCAAAACATTGCTCAAGGTTGACAGTATGACCCATGGGGATAAAAAACAAGACTAATGATATGAGTAAGCAGAAATTCTTCTCTCTCATGCAGGGCAAGGGTCTGTGTAATTTTCTCAATCTAGTCATCCCCTTTCCTTTGGAAAATCCAAAAAGATAAGATAAGAAATTACTTAAATTTTTAATGACTAAAAAGCAACTGATAATTAACAGCCATCCTGCCTTCCTGTGTGTTGCTGCCATCATTCTCCCTAAACACCAGACCCTTTTACCTCCCAGCATTTTGTATTTGCTTCTTTTTCTACCCGCAATGCCCTACTATTCTTCTTTATTTGACAGACTCCTACTTACATGTCAAGACCCAACACAAATGTTACTTTCATAGTAAATCCCCTGGAGGTCTAGTTCCTCTGTCCTCTTTGCTTCTGCAGTATTTTTTCCCATAGCTCTATTTTAGCACTTATTTATAATTTATTTGTTTTAATAATTTGTTTCTCTCTGATAGATATGAGTGCCTCAAGGCCTAAGATCTTGTTCATCCTTGCATCCCTGGCCTCAGCACAATGGCTGGTAGATGCATAGTAGGCAATCCATTATTGTTTGCTTCAATTGCATGAATTAAGCAACCAATCACATGAAATGTCTGACCAACAATCTTCTACTTTGAAACCAGTGTATTCCCAAAGTTAATTTTTAAATCAGTTGTTTTGGAATTCACAAAGCAATTTCCCATAGAAAGAATGTTATAAATGGTGGTTAGGTTCCCAGGCTAGCCCTCAAGAGTCTATTTAACCCATAATGTAGCTGTAACACTATGCAGTTGTAATGAAAAATAGCAGAAAACAACACTGTTACAAATGTGCAATGTTTTCATTACATTAAGTAAATACAATTCCTCTTCTGTATAGAAAATGCAGTCTAGGGCAAATTATACCAACCAGCAAATGTAATATGATCTAGTGACAAGAGCAGGATGGCTGAACATAGGCCAAGCTCTTTCACTAATTTGCTTTATAAATTGTTTAACTTTACTATGCCTGAATTTCTGCATCTGTCCAGCCAACTTGGTAATTCTTGCCTGCTCATGCTGAAGAAAAGGTAAAGTAATGTATATAAGAATGCATTGAAACACATAAAGCCCTATAAAAATGCAGTGTATCATGGCATAAAGTGCTCACAGACAAATGAAATTAGACTGAATTTTGGACTTTTAATGGAGTGAAAAATAAAGGAGCAGAGTTGATGTTTCAACTTCAGTTGCCCAACCCCATCACCTGGAAGCTAGGTAACCATCATGTTATCCTTTCTTCACCATGAGCAAGTCGAAAACACATGAGTTAATATCTCTGGGCCTTGGTTTCCTCTTGGGTAAAGTGACATTGTGCAAATTAGATGACCTTCCAGTTCTTTTAATCTGGATGTCTGTGTTTAACATTATTTGGATAGAGTAGCAACTTTCATAGCATAAAAAAATGTCCTGGAAGGGTCATAATTATATGGTCTGAATTTCTTCAGTTTTCTGTGATCAGCTTACTTAAAGCATCACTTGCATAACATACATACACACACACACACACACACTGCTTAATACAGTTTTTTTTCTTAATCTGCCAAATCTGTCCGCCCTAAAACCAACTTGTCCCCCAACATCTGCCAAATCTTTCCACCCTAAAACCAATTTGTTCCCCACCGTCTGCCATCAAAATCAGCGTGGAAACCAACTTCTGTCAAATAATATCTCCATCCAAACCTGCAGAATAGCAGTCTTCTCGTTTCTTACTCAGAATTTTGCTTTCTTCCATGAAGAAGAAAGTTTTCCTTCATGATTTGCCTAAAAATTTCTCCTTGATTCTGGTGCACCAGATATATACTTGGGAAACTGTCTAATCAAATTTTATTCTCTATTAGGAGCCATCTGTTTGCTGATGACGACTCTGTTTGTTTTTTATTTTAGTGCAATCCATTTTCAATCCTTCATCGGTTTTATCATACCACCTGCACTTCCCATTTTCCCAGCTCATTCCTTCCTTCCTCTTGTGTGGGTGAAGAAGGAGACAGGGTGTGGACAGCAGGAGGCCGCCGTACTCCTAACAGAATACTTGAGGCTCAAATTCTTCTCTCTGACTGATTAGAATGCCTCTCTCCCCAGGTAGTCCAGGCCTTCTTTACTTTCTCCCCTGTATTTAAGCTTCCTCAGAAATCTTGTGGCCTTTCAGGAGACTTTCTTGCAGCAGAAGAAAGAAGGTGCTAAATTCTTGCAATCTTTAACTTTCTATAACAAGAGATTCACAATTATCTCTCCCTCAATCATTGCTTTCTTTCTGTGCCTGGGGATTGACTAGTACATAATAAAGATGAAACCCAGTCTACGTAGTTGATTGCTTTTTGGTGAAACTCTATTACATAAACATCTTCTATGTGAAATTTCCAACATAATTTGATACTAAAATGTTAGTATTAGTTAACCCATGTTATGTGAGTTTTTTTCATTGTCTTCATATATTCATCTGCATGAGTGTGGCCTGTCTTGAATCCTAACCATCCACTAAATGGGTACTTGGTAGCATTTTTAATAGATTTTTCCTTTACGTAAAGTTCCCTGCAAGTTGTTTCTGATGTATCTAATCCTATTGTTACTCAAAACTGAAATGAGACCCTGCCCTTATGAAGCATGATTTCACTTAAACTATCTCTAGGTGGACCTCACTCCACCAAAATTCTATTGTATTTATTATGTGCACAATTCATTTGACACTTGAGTGACACTAAAAATGAGTCAACATAAGCTCCTCTTTTGTCCCTGGTCCCTTTCAGACCAATGACAGTACCTTAAACTTCTTGGTGGTTCCTAGCTCTGTGTCTTATGCATATAGGTGCTCAATAAACATTTATGGATTCATTATTCATTTATGTTTGGACTTACTTGTGAGGTTGAAATGTTCAATTGATCCACTTTTTGACCTTTTCAGTTATTATTTTTTTGTCAGTGGTTTTGATTATTCAGGTGCACTTTTACCATCAATAGGTCATATCTATAAATAGAAGTCTAGAGACATTTTTAATATGTTTGGGGAAAGAATAAAGAAATTCAGATTTTAAAATTGCAGGTGAATATTGTGCTAGTGATTAGCTTGGCCAACATACTTTGAAACAATTTATCAAGCTGAGAAAAAGACAACAATAGAGCCATCCCTTATGACCACAATTTCTATGGCTTCCTTCAAAAATAGCCATTTTAAAGTTTTTGTTTCCTTCTTCTTTTAATCTCTCATGTTATGAATAATATTTAGCTGAACTCCCAAAGCAACTGGGGGAAGAAAATCTTTGGTATTGATTTTGGATAAAATATGAGACATTTACTTTTGTGAATGCTAATCTCTGAAGGCTTCAATACAATCTTTTGTTCTCTGGGTTCTTGTGTCATTCAAAGATTTAAATTTAGACACCAATATGTTTTTGACCACAAGAAAGCCCTCTGAAACACCTAAGTATTAAAGTTTTAGTTGTTAATATCTATAGGATTTCATTATTTTAATTACCATCTCAGCAATTCCCAGTGGGTAATAATGGCATGTGGTTGTCCTGCCTGTACTTCTATGGGCAGTTCATCGAATAATCATCCTTATGTTACACTACATTGTGGTTCATTGTCTCTCTGAACTTTTTATTTTATCCATATTTGCTTAGCAACCAAGTTATAATTGTTTAAAATTTATCCTAACATTCTCTGAGTTTTTTCAATATATCATTTCAAGACACTAAGAGGAGATGTCAGATTTTGTCCTGACGTCTTATCAAAAGGGTTAAAACTCTACTTCCTGTATTCTTAGCCTCATAAAATCCTTTCTTCCTATAAATTCCAAAATATGACTGATCACAAAGCATATTAATAGATCTAAAAATGGGTGTGTTTTCTTTAAAACTGTATTTGTTGGAGACAAATACTTATACTCCATCAAAAGTTTTATCAGCTATAATTCCCTCTTATAATTGTTTTTAAAAGTCCAAACTAAGTTATTTTGCTCTGGTTGAGGCATGTTGGCTGATTTTTAGACTTGGATGAATTTCATTGTAAATTGCTGTTGGATGTGACTGGAGTACCCAGGAACTGTCAGGATGGCTCAGTGATTTAACGCTGGTGTCCTGCAGCTTTGACTGTAATCAGCAGATGCTGTGGTATTACCATAAATGTTTTCCTAACTGCTTCTGTCAAAAAGAGAAAATTCTTCCTGCACTGAGTCTGCTGCTTCTGATTAAATTCATTTTGCCTTCTTTTGCATAATTAATGTCCCATGATGATCTCTAACCTTTTGTTTTTAATATTGCCTCTTGGTCTAGACTCAGTCTTTACAGGGAAGCTCAACTAAGAGCAGACAAAGAGAAATGGTTGGTGCTTTTACATGAACCCCTAGCACCTCCATGGCTCTGAAGTCGTTACTGTTTTATATACCATGACTTGTCAAAGACCATGAAAGCTTCTGGTGTTTGCAATGTTTTTCATTGTTGTCCTAGTGCTCTATTCTACTTCAGAAGGCTATTTCTGTAATGCTTTGGTGCACATGGTTTTGCCTGAGGATGTGTGATGATAGGGTCTGCTTTAGAATGTTCTTACCCTGGTTGTGTAAATTGATAAACCTCTGACACAAGCCAGGCAAAAGGCTTCCTATTCTCCCGCAAAACTTTCTATACCCCTAGCCCGAAATAACTCAGAGATTATATTTGCTACAACAAAGTAAATGTGTATAAAACATAAGTATGTTAAAAATGAATACCATGTTTTGTCCGTGAACACATTTTATACATTATCTCAATGGGAAAAGATCCTTGAGTTTATTAAATAGCAGTACTTTTTTTTTTTTCCTGAAGAGCCCAAAGTGCTTTCTTATTTGTTCTTTTCGAACCTCTGAGTACTCTTGCATGACAGTCACCTGTGAGCCGAATTTTTTTTCCTCTTTTGAGTAGAACATTGATGTGAATAGATATCCTTTGTGATTTTATTCTTACAGTGTAAGATAAAAGGTGTAAGTGACATCTCTAAGGTACTAAATAAGGCCTGTAGTAACTGGCAAATTTACAGCTTAGAACTAGCCTGTAATCATATTATCTGAAGTTAGAATTCTTCCGGTTCCCTTTGTTTCAGAAAAAAAGATGAATGACTGAGTGCCACATTTTCTGGGGTTTATCTACTTCTTTCTCCTATAGCAGATTCCACTAACAAATATTTATAACATTATTTTCAATGTAATTTTATTTGCTTATAGAATCAAATAGCTTTTGAATCAAAAAGGATCTTATAGATCACAAAGTATTTTGTGACTGATGAAGCTGAGTCTAAATACACAGAGTCACATGCAGTGGCACATTTAGTTTGGGGATTGCCAACTTTTAACTACTGCAATGTTAACTTGGACTATAGATTTTAGTTTATCTCAGATTAAAACCAAATAAAAGAGAAACACAGGAATTTCAAAATAATTGTAGCAGTCCTCACATATCTTCCACATGAAAACAAGATTTATGATCAATAGAACTTTATTTTTTCTTACTCCAACTGTTACTACAAAATCTTTAAGCCTGTAGCTGCTTAGATCTCCTGCAGCTCCAGTATATTATTTTCTTCTACACAACCAACAGTGATACCACTTTTCCATCTCTATTTATCATCTCTTTGTATTACAAGAGAGTCCCCCCTTTCAACAGAACAAGGAATCCATGATCTAGGCGATGACAGAGTACCCCTTGAAACTGAGACTTACAGGTTTTCATTCTGGTTCTGTCTTTTCCTTGCTCTGTCATTAAAGTAATCCACTTAACTTCTGGGCTCAGTGTTTTTGTTGGGAAATGGAGATAAACAATAACCACCTCAAAGGAGGATTCAGTGGATGCTCTGTGCGCTAATGTGTCCACATACCTGCTTCTTTGAGACCTATATTTGATAGCCAGCAAGAACTTGGAAAAGGCAAGGATATAAGAACAAGAGGTCTTCAGTGAAATTAAACAAGAGATGTCAATTGTTCTTCTTTGTCTGTTTCTGATTCTCATTTATTCATGAGCATAATGTATTCATTACTACTCAAAACAAATGTCACAGATATTTCGATATATTTGAAGGTATATTTCAAGATATTTGAAGGTAAGAGTAGAAGGAAGTCAGTTTAAAAAGCACCAATATTTAAGAAAATGTGAAATATTTCTCTGACTCTAAGAAAATCTCCTTCCCACCCTTCACCCCTACACTCCCCAATAATCTTTCCATAAATTATTTCTTACCTTGATAACTCTAGGTGCCCTGAAATCCTCAAACTTCATATTAAGTGTATTGCTGTTACCATGCTGTAAGAGAAAGCTGTCAGGTTATTTTAATGACAAAGAGCTGTAATTCATATGTATTACAGCTGCCATTCTCATAGGACATATTATTCTGAATTTGGATATCCACCCACCTTATCCCCAGCAAATTAGCACATAAATACACATCATAGGATTTATCATTGTAACCAGGAATTTAACGATACTATGTGTAAGCATAAACCAGTTTGCTGATGAGATAGATTACATTGAAAGTCTTAGAAATGAAAGTTCTTTCTTTATTTGTACAACCTTGAAAGACATATGTTGATCAATTATTCCCAAAGCTTCTATGACTCTGTTTTAACCCGGAGTTATCTATCTTTAGTTAGTGTCTGTTACTGATCTATCTGCTGTAACCATCAGAAAAGAGGCCCAAACCCAGCCACTTTCAAGATTTGTGATGAGTATGATTTGTACTTTTCAAAGAGCTTTTGCATATGTTGTTTTTGTCATAAAAATCCTTTGTAGGCTTAGCTTGTTTAATCATCCCCAGTAAACAAAGAAAGGTGCTGAAGTCTAAACAGATGAAGAGCATTGTTCCAAGATATAAAAAGTAAATGATAAAGCCAAGAAGAAACCTTTGCAATTTTTCCTTTTATATATAAACTAACCCCATAATACAACACCCTCTGATCTAAGCTGTCACAAATGTACCGTTTGCAACTAACCAGATGAGCCGGGGAACATTGTTTTGGTTCTCTGTAAATCCATAGAACAAACAAATCAATAAGCGTACAGCTTGATAAACATAAAGGTTGCTCCGTGGCAGAAAGCTCAGGCAGAAAGCTCCAAATCTGTGGAGACAACAGATGCTTCCCAACCTTGCATCCCATAAAAGGGTTTTTAATTTGCCTGAGATATTCAGAGTTCTCTTAAGAAGGCCCAGAAGAAAGCCACAGCAGCAAACCAAGAACGTTGTCAGAGTCTCACAGATAACAGCTGGCTCCTTGGCCTTGTTTTTTTTTTTTTCCTCCCCCTGCAGAATGGGAATATTAACAACAACTTCACTGAGTATGTCAGAATTAACAGGAGAAATGTTATTCAAGTTCCTCCTCGTGGCTGGCAGACACACAGGCACATTATATAAGTGGTAGCATTACCATCATCACCATTGGATTAAGACCTACTTTCAGACTGACTGTGAAGAGAATGGAAAACTGGAACACTAATCTCTTAGGAGAGGCCCAGGTGGAATGATGAATTCATTTTATTCTTCCTCTTTAGTATAGCATTGACAACAAGGAAAGTAAAAAGAGGTTAACCTCAGTGAAAGAACGTTAGAGGAAGCCACCATTTGTAATGACATCTGGGACAAACGTGTCTCAAACTCAGGACTTCTGGTTATAAATCCATTTCCTTTTTCGTATGCTGCTCTTCAAATTCTGCCCAATGCACCCTTTATAAACTCTTCCAGATTTTATCACTTCATGCCTGCATTTCTACATAGCTTCCTTTTTATTTCCTGCCTCTTGTCTTTCAATGAGTCCCCTAAATATCCTAGTTCATTAGTCTGGATTAGAAGATTTCCTCTAATTAGTGTCTATTACCTTCACATTGCTTATGTTCCCTTCATTCATCATCTGCTGCTACAGATGACACCCCACCCCCAGCTCTATGTATTTTCTTTTAGAATCTAACACAACCACAGGACTTAAATGTTTGTATTTAGTATTTAAGACAAAATGGACCCTAATTTTGCTAAAAGTCATAAAAGATTCCAGATTCAATACGGCTTTGAAAAAAAATGAGAGGTTTGACTGACTACTCAACACAATCCAAGCTGTTCTTACTGTTTCTACTTGTTACATAGGGAAGGTAATAAGCAAATCTCTCTGTCGATATAGATATATGAATGTGGTTAGATTGTAGGCTTCCTGAAGGCAGGGACTGTGTCTGTTTATTCTCTGCCATATCCCTGAAACATAAAGCAGCATGGCCCACTGTTCATACTTTTGACTAAATGAATGAAAGCATATTCTTTATCTTGTGCCTTGCAGTACACCAAAGAATTATGAAACATTGTCCTCTTGAATGTAGAATCTTATGATGAAATATGACACATCTGCATTAAAGTACCGCTTTTAACACAAAGAATGGGAAGTACATAGACTCTACTTTGAATAGTTTATGGTCATCACTAGACTTGAGTATGAGGCAGGGGCACAAAAAACTACAACACCAGGCTAACTAGGATACAAAACATATGAGAGAAATACAATACAAGTTGGCATCGCTATGTTTTGGAAAATCAGGAGGTCATATTTGATTGAGATTTGAGGGATGAAAGATTATTATAGACAATGATTCAGACTAGGGAATAGGGTATTCCTTGTTATACAGACAGTTTTATGCAGTATTATATATAGAGTTTAATGCAGTATTTTATATAGAGTTTTCTGCATAAGTACAGCTAAAAAATTTAAAGGCATTTTAAGAAACTGCACTATTTCCTAATAGAAGAATAGTGTCCTAAAGCATAGCTTGCTAGTGAGAGAAAACTATATGCTAAAACTTTAACCTTTAAAATAGATTGAAGCCAGGCATGGAGGCTCACACCTGTAATCCCAGCTACTCAGGAGGGTGAAGGGGGAGGATCACTTGAGCCCAGGATTTTGAGGCTACAGTGAGCTATAATGGTGCCACTGCACCCCAGCCTGGGCGACAGACAAGACCCTGTCAATAAATGATTATTAAATAAATAATAGAGCAAGATTTTTGTGGTTAGCTCATTTTTGTTAAAAAAGAAAACAACTGAAAAATAATTTTATGACTCTGGACCCTTCGTACAAATTGGGTAGTATTTGTTAAAATGTGAGGATTTATGTATAATAACATCAAAATAACTAGCTTCTAATATTTTCCAATGTACTAGTGAACCTGGGCCATAAATTTTGCTGCTCTTGTCAGTAGATATACAGCAAAGATAAGTATGGACAGTACTCTGTACCATATAAGCAGAAAACCTGGAAATTAACATTCCTGGTTCTCTTTAACTAGAGAGCTAACTATATTTTTAGGATATTTGTCAGAAGCAATATCAGTAAAAATGAAGTGTCTCATAGTTTCTTTTTGGTTCATTGTACTGATATAGAAATACTTCCTGCTTCTTTTACAGCATTTACAGTTTAAAAATGTTATTAAAGTGCTATAGTTTGGAGCCAGGAGCTGAATTGGATTACTTGAGCTTGCATCAGAGCTCCACCCTAACTTGCCTCTTAATTAGAACAGGTTTCTTAATCCCACAAAGCCTCCTTCCTCATTGTGAATTAGAGAGTATAAAAATCATACTTTCTTAGGCTACATGATGATTTTTGTAAAGCACTTTGTGCAAACCTGGCACTTAGTAAGTGCTCTAACATACTAGTATTGTTTTTATAATGAGTCTTGTAAAATATAGCCTGAAATGGAAAAAAAAAACACTTAAAACAGTTATTTTATTAATAAGTTGGTGAGAAAGTGAACATAATTTTGTTATAACTAAATTTGAGTTCCTTATTTGTGGATTGTGTTATAGTTGAAAATTTTTTTTAATCTTTTTGTTTTTGAGAGAGGCTCTCACTCTGTTGCCCAGACTGGAGTGCAGTGGTGCAGTCATGGCTCACTGCAGCCTCAACCTCCCAGGCTTGAGTGATCCTCCCACCTCAGCCTTCCAAGTAGCTAGGACTACAGGTGTGTGCCACCATGCCCTGGCTAATTATTTCTCTTAATTTTTTGTAGAGACGGAGTCTTACTATATTGCCCAGGCTGATCTTAAAGTCCTGGTCTCAAGCAATCCTACCATCTCTGCCTCCCAAAAAAATGTTGGGATTACAGGCATGAGCCACTGAGCCCGGCATTTTGTTGTTTTTTTAACAAAGTATGTGTGATATGCCACATAATAAACCTCATTGGAAAGACAAGGAGTAACACCTCCCATTATAATAATCTTTAATAAGTAAAGCTATAACTAGGTACAATAAGATTTGTATATACCAGGAGAAAAAAGGCAAGAGATTAGATTAGATAAATAAAATGATTCAGATCGGAAGGTTCGTAAGAGTTGCATTACCAAATGTGTTTGGTAAAACTACAGAACACATTGCTTCCGTGTTCTACTCCAGACAGCGGTCTTTTCGTATCATGAGATTCCATCAATTGCAAAGGTTTCTAGATTCCATTATTGCAATGTTTTCCTTCCCCTTCCAAATAAAATGAAAGCCAATAGAGAAAAGTAGTACCATTGCAAAATCTAAGACCTTTAGAAATAGAATAATTAATTAATAAACATATTATTATTTTACCATAATAGTTGTAAATGAGTGTACTCTGTTCTATATTTTTTAAGTCACCAAAAGTTATTCAGGGAACTATAATGCCCCATCAAATTTAATGATTGGTGACAGGTGTAGCCGTCTGACCTCTAGTGGCTATAGCTTATAGCTGCATTTTCATTGATTGAGTTAAAAAAAAAAAAAAGACTAAGGAAAGAAGTCTTCTTAGATCCTAATAACAGGGTTCTGCAAGTAAGTGTATGATTAGCATCCCTGAAGTTCTGCTGGTCTAATTGTTGGGGTACTAACTACCTCAAGGAACAGAGGTCAGAACCAACTTCGTTAATCTATGAGTTTAAATGCTTGCAATGTGTCAGCAGATTCTGCCCTGAGGCCCAGCAGCCAAGCAATCTCTACAGCATTTTTTTAATAGGCATTCTAAAGTTCATAACAAGCTCTCAACACTGATATTCAACAACACGTCATAGGCTTGCATGAAATATTTTTAAAATCCTGATAGGATACATATGTATGACAATGTATGTTTTTATTAGATATCTATATGAATAATATATCTTTCCTAATGTGTAGGTGTGTGTGTTTCTTAAATATTTTGGGGTTTAAATTGACAGCATTACTCTTCCTCATATACTCCACCATGTTTTTGAGACAACACTTCTGAGTTCAGGGTGCTGCTTGTGACCAAGAAACCAAATGGAACTGACCAACAGTTTGAGGACATAAACCTTCTGATTATTTTGAACCACTGAACTAACAGATGCTACATTTACTATGATGCCCCAGATTGAAATAAAGTAGGAAAATTTGTATTTAGAGTTGAAAAATAAAAAAGAGAACATTCTGCCATTTGATAGTAACATATTTTTCTTTGTCTTTAACATAAACCATACCGTAATACTTGATGTAATTTATTCTTTTTGTGCATTGTGTCTCCACCGAGAATTCTTATTTCTCTCAGTAACTTAATGAATTGCCAAGTATTTATGGCCAATATGGGTCTCCAATATTTTTTTAATTTCAAATACCACATGGATTATAAAGTTCCACATACTTTAAGGCTTCTGTGCTAACACTTATAGCTCTTTTAAGAGGATGTATGTGAAATGGAACAACTAACAGTTACTGTATCTTGTCCTCCTTGTCCATTTTCCTGCTGTCAGAACCTTCTTTAGCTTACCAGGAGTACTATACTCTAATTTCTTTCTTTTCTGCCCTCTGTATGGTACATTTCTAGTCTTTGTGTTTTGTGTTACCATAGAGACAGGAGGTGCTCCAAAGCCCAAAGCCCCGAGAAGACAGACTGGAAGCAGGTCTTTGAGGAAACAGTCCCTGCTGACAAGAGAAGCCTGAGGCAAGAATCTACAGCAGTAAAGGGAAAGAGGGGGATTGTGTGGCCCAATCTGATGGTGTGTCCACAGTCTCAGGAAGCACAAGCTCTGCCAATGCTGTGTTAAAAATGAGTTGTTTACAGAAACCAATTTTACAGAGACCTCAGTGCAGCCTGGGGTTTCATAGGAATCAAACTTTGGTGTTTTATTTGCAAAAAAATAACTGAAGTGACATTGACCTATTCCTTTTACTATTTTCCTCATTAAAAGGGAGCAGCTTCTGAGAAAGGTCCTCTTTGCTTGACTTATTTTGCTGATCAAAAATCTCATCTTTAAAATAAAGGTTCATATTCTTTGACTCGGCAAAAACCATCAGAATTGAAACTGCAGTTTGATTGCAGAGGACTCTACAACCAGCACCCAAATCATTGATCCAAATATGCTAGTTATAGAAATAAGTAGTTTCTATTTATCCTGAGTTGTCATGTAGTCATGTACTCCCTTCATATTTTAGATAACTTACAGCTTTTAAACATTTATCTGTATTTAATGAATTGTTATGTTTCCTGCTATATTAACTCATGTCATACTTGTTAATATTTTTATTTAGGAGAAGGCTGCTAAAAGATTTAAAAATAATATAGAGTTTTGTTTCTCTTTCTTTTTCTTAGAGATGTGATGTGAGGTCCTGTAGGGAAAGTGGGAAGAAGAGAAAAATGAAAAATTTAACAACAAAATAATGTGAAATAGAATTTAAACGAACAGATGTTTTCTGAATTACCTTTAAAACCAATTTCTTTTTCGGAATGGAAAAAGATCCATGCTCACGGTGTTTGCTGGATTTTTTTTCACAGATCTAGCAGTCTAAGCAAGGGAAGAATTCAGGGAAATTCAGAGAACATCAATATTTCTTCCTAGGTTATCTGCACAAAATTGTCCTTTGAAGGAAGAAAGCCACTTGTCTGTAAACCTGTAAATAGAAATAAGGATGAGTAGGGCTCTCTCACTTTCCTCAAACTGACAGTAGGAGGCAGTAGTGTACTAGCCTGAGTACTCTCTTTAAGGTAATGCCTATGACTTATGCCAGATTTCTTTTTTTCACTCATTTTCTAGAAATACATGAAACTAAAATTTTAGAAATAGTTTAAGATTTCATAATGAAGCTTGGTACCATCAATCTAGTACAAGATAATGCTGCTGTGCTATGAATAGAACAATAAAAAAAGGCCAGTCCGTCAGCTTCTAATAATGGCAACACTGTGAACCTAACCCCCACATAGGTCCTGATCCAATACGAATAGGAGAATAGCATAAAGGTCACTCTCATTTTGAAAGGAAGGAGAATTAGATTTAATAAGTTAGATCCTCCTAATTTTCATGGATTTACTAAAACATGTACAGAACTAGTAAGCAAAAGTAGAAGAGTCTCTGAACGGTAACCCAGTCTCCCCATGCCTAGATGGCTGGATAAACAGATGCCAAAACATAGACAGTAGCAACAGTAGGCTTGCATTATTAGCATTCAGATTTTGTGAGTATATTTTTAATCTTTAGCCTTTGTCTATTTTGCCATTCACAGAAGCTACCTAAATCCAACTTACCTAGAAATATATAACTGCTCCTTCCTCTTTATATGAAACAAAATCACAATAAAATGCTAAATATTGGAACAATTCATTTTCACTTGTTTATAATATATACATATTCAACTCTAAATACATAATGTATAGGTAATAGCACTGTGAAAAACTCCAGGTTCTAGATCTGTGCTGTCCAGTACAGTAGACAATAGCCAGGTGTGGCTCTTAAGCTCCTGAAATGTGGCTGGTCTGAATAGAGATCTGCTGTAAGTATGAAATACACATTTGATTTTGAAGGCTTAGTACAAAAAAATGCCAAAGATATCATTAATATATTTTTGCTATATATATGTCAAAGTGATAATATTTGACATTGGATTAAATAAAATATATTATTAAAACTAATTTCACCTTTTTTTTTCAATGTTTAATGTGGCTTCTAGAAATTTTTACCTTGCATGTATAGCCCATTTTTGTGATTCTCATTAAATTTCTATTGGACAGTACCGTTCTAGTCTCAATGTTGAGTCCTCAAGGGACCCAAAAGCACAAAAAAATGTACAATAAAGCAAAATGTTATGTCATCAGCTGTATCTGGGTAATATTACTCCAAAGTGTTCCCTTTTTTTTTAAGGTTTAGTTTAAAACATTAAGTGAAGCAAGGTAATAAAATCATGCCATGCTTGGGTTTAGTCACTCAGGAAATAAATTATCAAGAACTTGTTATGAGGTGGGCACTGTGCTAGGGCTTGGGAATACACCAGTGAATAAAACAAGATACCTGCCTTCATAGAGCTTATGTTCTATCAAGTTAGGTCACAATTAGATGGATATGAATTAGATTTCTTACTACTTGAACATATTGCTATGTTTAGATATGGCTAATGTAGTATATATGTAGTAATAGGCCAGGGAGAAGTAAAGGAACATTTCTATGTATATAGTCATACATAAAATTATTTTGTTATAAAACAGTTATAAACACAAATGTATCCCAGGACTGAATTCTCTAATGAATAAAAACATTATTTTAAGCAGATTCTTATTAAATGCATATCAAAAATCAACCTGAAGTATTAAGTCTACATGGAAATTTTTTAGGAGTCTATGAACATATAATTGTATTGTTTTACAGTACTGCACACCCTAGTTAGCTTTAGCTTTTCCCCAGAATTTTGAACTACTAAGTGAATATTGTTTTGCATGTTCATTATAGAAATGACAGGATCTTAAATGTTTCAAAAACTTAGCACCTGGCATGGTGGGCTAAACCCTCACTGAATTAACTAATGAACTGACTTAACCATAATTTCAACTCATGATCACTGAAGGAACAGTTGAAGAAACTATAGCTGTTTGGCTTGGAGAAGAAAAGATTGAGAGAATATAATATCTGTCTTCAAATATTTGAAGGGCTGGTGGGTGGAAGAGGAATTGGATTTAATACAGCCCTAATGGAAAAAATCAACAGAGCCAGTGACTAAGATTTCAGGGAAACAAACACTGGATAAATCTAAGGTAAAACATGTAATTATTAGAGCTGACCAAAGGTAGAATATATTGCCTGATGAGATTGTGAGGAAATGACTCGAGGTCTTCAAACTGAGTCTGGATAGCTACTTGATAGGATGCTAACTAAATGTAATTCGAGCATTGGCTAGGTGGTTCCACCAAGTAACAAGGGGTCTTTCCATTTGATTCTACATTACATGATTCTGTGAATCAAAATGAAATGAAACAGAAATAGCATAAGTTATTCAGAAGAAATACCTGTGCATTCGAAATGTCTAATAAATGTTGAAGAAGTATAAGAAATAAGGAAATATACTTAAAAGCACACTATGTGATGAGACTTAGAAATGGCTTCAGAAATATGTTCTAGTCCTAAAGTATTTAAAAATAGTTAGCTAGTTAGTTTCTAATACAGCTCGCAAGTTATTAGCACTCGGAATCTACCTCTCCCCAGCCTCTTCATCCTTGGGAAGTGCTTTTTCCATTTCACAACATGTCTATTTGCCATGGCCTAATCATGTTCCCCCAGAACCATGAGGGCCAACGATTTGGACTGAATTTGCCAGAGGCAAATAGCAAAGCCTGTGTGGCCTTGGCAGTTCATGGACTTCTCTAAACCTCAACTTCCTTATCTACAAAATGGGCTTGTTGATACCTGCACTTTGGGATTGTTGTAAAAATTTTAAAATAGACCAAGGCGGGTGGATCACAAGCTCAGGAGATCGAGACCATCCTGGCTAACACGGTGAAACCACATCTCTACTAAAAATACAAAAAATTAGCCGGGCGTGGTGGCGGGCGCCTATAGTCCCAGCTACTCAGGAGGCTGAGGCAGGAGAATGGCATGAACCCGGGAGGCGAAGCTTGCAGTGAGCCGAGATCGTGCCACTGCACTCCAGCCTGGGCGACAGAGCGAGACTCCGTCTCAAAAAAAAAAAAAAAAATTAAAAATAGCATGTAAAGGCTAGGCACAGTGGCTCACACCTGTAACTCCAGCACTTTGGGAAACTGAGGCAGGAAAATCACTTGGGACTAGGAGTTCTAGGTGAGCCTGAGCAACATAGCAAGACCCCGTCTCGATTTTTAAAATGTTTAAGTTAGCCAGGCATGGTGATACGTGCCTGTAGACCTAGCTACTCCGAAGGCCAAGACAAGAGGATACCTTGAGCCCAGGAGTTCAAGGCTACAATGAGCCATCATGGCACCATCGCATTCCAGCCTGAGCAAGCGACAGAGCAAGACCCTGTCTCTAAAAACAAAATGAAAAAAGATAGCATGTAAAAGTTTTATCAGGTATGTAGTATGTGTTTAATAAGTATACTGTCAAACCATATCCCTGTATTATTTCTCTACCCTTTCCCTTATGAACCACCAGATCAACTGATCAAATTACTTCTGACCTGGTATCTATTAGCTGACAAGCCATTACACACTTTAGAAATATTTATTTAATATCTGCCAAGCCACCTCCAGGTGACCACAAGTGCTTAGTAGTCTGAGACAGCTGTCAATAACAGATAGCATGACTGATAAACAGATGCCATGGTTGGTTTCAGTCTGTTAGTATGAAGAGCATGAAAGTGTGGTTTGAGAATGTGTTATTTGAAGTAGTAGTAGGGCATATGTAGGAATGTTTAGGGAGGCCATGGTGGATACGGTATTGGAGCTCTGTTGTCAGGGCTGGAAATGCAGATTTGAGTCTTCTTCCTAGAGGAAATAGTTGAAGCTGTGAGATCGTGATGGAGAGAAGGTAGAAAGGGCAGAAAAGAGGGCCAAAGATGTAACTGTGAGAAATGGCCACGTTGAGGTTATGATTGTTTGGTAGAGGTTGGGAAGGTAGCACAAATTACCAAAGAAGGTTTAAAATGAATCATCGAAAAGTAGAAGAGTAAGCACAGTCAAGGGCAATATCATGATAGAGCATGTTAACCAGGAGTCTGAGGACTTAGTTCTGTCTCTGGCTCTGCCTGAAAGTTATGTCTGCTTTCTCAATTTTATGTCAAACAAGGTAAATATACTAAATATACCCATATTACCTATCTCACAGGGCTGTTATAAGAATCACATGAGTGGATATATGGGGAAAGTGTTTGCAAGCTATAGAATAGCCATATATAAAGGTAATATGATCATATCGATATTATGCCATAATAATGTTCAAAGTCACAAATAACATTCTACATTGACTTCTAACACCAGCTAGTTGAAGTTAAGCCAGATTTCACAGGTCACAGTCCTCTAAAAGATTGCCTTCACTTCAGTACCAGCTGCAAATTTGAGGTCCCTAGGTTACCCTCACTTTTGATCACTTGGCTACAAATTCAGTGCTTCCTACTACCCTCTCAAATTCAATAATTTGCTAGAATGACAGAATTCAGGAAAGTACTATACTTCCTGTTACAGCTTTATTATAGCAAAAGAATACAAATCAGAAACAGCCAAAGGAGAGACACCTGAAGCCCCTATTGTCCTTAGGGACGCATCAGCCTCCCTGCACATTGATGTGTAAGGATGCACAGAGGATTACCAACCAGAAAACTCACCTGAACATCAGTGTCTTGAGTTTGCACTGCGGCTTTGTTACTTAGGCACAATTAGTTGAATCATCAGCCACATGATTGAGCTCAAGCTCCCGTACCCATCTCTCACTCAGAAATCAGGCTGATAATCATTTGGCTCAAAACCCCAACCCTCTAATCACATGATTGGTCTTTCTGGCTTGGTTAACCCCCATCCTGAGTCATTCATTACTATAAACTATCTAGGGGCCCACCATGAGTTACCTCATTAGCAAAAACTATCAGTTTAGGGTTTCAAACTATTCATCTGAGGGGCCCAACATGAATACAAAATTCCAAGGCTTTAGAGGCCACCTCCCAGGGACTGGGACAAAGACCAGATGAATTCTTTATTACACACATTCCAAAATGTTGCAAATGTGAGAGAAAAAAGAGGCATGAGTAAATGCAATTGAGTTTAGGAATTTCGATGCTTTGGGTAATATTGTAAGGAGCAATTTCAATAGAGAGGTATGGATGAAAGCCAAATTAGAATTGCTAAGAATTGAGGGGAGAGATGAAAAAGAGGAAAGCAGATATGGAAAAGAGTATCCAACTCAGGTAGCATATTACAAATCAGGAAGATAAGCAGTCAAACAGAAGAGTTTACGTTACTGTTCTCTTTAGAGGCTGAACCTATCCTGGTTGTTGTGTGCACAGAGCCTGCGTCATCTTGAGCTTCCTTGTAGCCCTACACTCAATTAGAAAAACTCAGCATAGGAAACTGTGAAATGGCAGTACTGTCTTTGAATTTTATTTAAAGGATAGTGATACAGAACAAGAATGAATAGAAGTTTATATAATAGTTTCTGCAAATAAAGTTCTTCATCAGTTGTTTCCTCTATTCAAAGATATCATTATATTCTGCTTTGCATACTGTGTTTAGATAGGGGGAGTATTGTTTTGTTTAGTTGTTTGTTTTTACATAATTTGTTTTAATAAGAGTTTCTGGCACCCCTAAAAGATTTTAACTATATGCAAAATGACCTTTTGCTCTTTGAATTATTTTTATATATTTTCAATACATAAGATAAACAGCGAAATGAAACCAAAGGAAGACAATTATTAATAGCATCAGTAAATCAGCAATAAGGAAAACCACAGGGATATGGGCTGCTGGCGGCCACCACTAACTTCCGTTATTGCATAGATTAAAAACATATATTTGTCACACACTTTACTATCATGTAGACCCAGTGGTGCTTTAAAATTATATTTATGAGTGATTCTTTTTCTTTCACCAAAGTAAAGCCATTGCTGGGGTGAAACAAAACAGCTACTTAGTAGGTCAAAGTAATAGTTAAAAACAAAAGGTAAAGAATTGCGAGGAGAGACCAAATTTCAGGAACACTGAATAGATGGAGTCAATTTAGGACACCAGAGTTCTACATTCTTCCTCCTGTCAAGGCTGCCACAACTCACCATTGACCACAAAAGACAGGAGCTCAATTTTATACTTCATCTGAGAGTTGGCACTCCTAAGAAGCCAGTGCCCATTAGAACCACAATGTGAGGGGGGATCAATACTAACTTCAAAGGAATAATGCCTCTTTCTGAACCATAACTGATACTTCCTGCAGCAGAGAAGTCTTCCCCAAGGGCCGTCCGCCAGGGCCTTAGTTAGCCTTGCCTTCTTAGCTCAAGAAGCATAACAACTGTTGGCTGAAATATTTCCTCATTTAGATGCCAAGTTGCATATATTCACATATATATACATAATTCTTTTGTCAGCAACTTTCCCAGTTTCCTGTGTCTTTTGTGTTTCTCAAGAAACAGTGGAAATATTAGCACAGGATGAATGAGTTTTTTTAAGCTTTCTTTGTCATCCAAATCTATACTCTGCCAAAGATCATGTGGGACCCAACACTAGATGTAGTTTAAGGCCTTTATTCTCATTTTTAAGTCCAGTGGGTATCAGTATTTAAGAGGCATTCAGCTCTCCAACAACGTTCAACTTTTAGTTCAGTTTCAAAGAAAAAGCTGTGGTGGGTCTCTAGATTCAATTCTTATAGTAAGAATCCTATGAAGAATTAAATTGAAATGAGTAAGTATTCCTATCTTAAAGGAAAATAGCATGTATTCTCATCGTGTTTATTTCCACAGAAACACAAATACAAGATGTGTGGATTGCATTTTCTTACTGAATTGGTACTAAGAATAGCAGCTGGTTCTTTGCCTATCAGTACTACAATCAACAGTGGCCCTGAATATTGGCAGTAGTCCTAGATATATTGCACATAGAGATCAATTGTAATATCTTAAACAGAAAAAAAAGGCCTAGGATTCAATTTGTAAAATAATAAAACAAACTCCTCACCTTGAAGAATTAATCATCCCTCTTTGCCTTAATATTTTTAGTTTCCATTTAAAAGTGTGTATGGTGAAGAGTTGAGTTGAGAAATAGAAACGCTTGTCTTTTTATTGATACCCCAGCCTTACCTTTCATTGAGTCCATATGTCCTAGGTATCATCTTGCATTTGTAACTGTCTAACTTCATATGAAAAGAATTGGCCTACCTGCCTCAAATTACAATTTATTTATGCCTCTGAGCACCTGGTAGAGTATAGAGTTTTCTCCAACTTACAAGGTTGTGGGATCACTCTGTTGTTTGAAAGTCAACCATTTAGAAACTAAGTGCATGTTTTTGCATGGAATTTAGGTCTCCAGCCCACACAAAGCCACCAATAACAAACTTTAAAATAATGGTGATAACAAAAGACACCTGGCCTTGACACATTATAATAAGATTTCTATATAAGAGTGAACTTCTGGGGTCAGCAGGCACAGTGGCTCACACCTGTAATCCCAGCACTTTGTGACGCTGAGGCGGGTAGATAGCTTATCCCCAGCCTGGCTTTGTTGCCAGGCTTTAAAAAAGTGAACTTCCGGCCGGGTGCAGTAGCTCACACCTGAAATCCCAGCACTTTTGGGAGGCCAAGGCGGGCGGATCACGAGGTCAGGAGATCGAGACCATCCTGGCTAACACAGTGAAACCCCGTCTTTACTAAAAATGCAAAAAAATTAGCCGGGCGTGGTGGCGGGCGCCTGTAGTCCCAGCTACTCGGGAGGCTGAGGGAAGACAATGGCGTGAACCCGGGAGGTGGAGCTTGCAGTGAGCCGAGATCCCGCCACTGCACTCCAGCCTGGGCGACAGAGCAAGACTGTCTCAAAAAAAAAAAAAAAAAAAGTGAACTTCCAGCTTGAGCACTTCCTCTACCTGCACTATCTCTAATTATAGTGGGATAGGCAACTCCTCCTGTCCAGCTTCATTTATCTGCTTTGCAGTTTAAGATCTGACTTGCTCATTTCTACAGTTTTGGTCTCCCATGTCTGGAGACAAACCAAAAAGAAGGTGAGGACCAGAATGGGGGCTGTTGGGGTGCTGAGAGCTAATGTGAGGGCTGGGAATGAAGAGTTGTTATCTAGGAATTTCTAAGAAAGCTATAAACATCTTTTAAAAAACTCTTGTGCACTTTTCTTTTTTATTTCTTCAGTGGTCTCAGGAATGGCCTCTTTCCTTTTTACACTGTCTTGTCTGTTACTTCTCATGAAAGATTCCTCACCTGAAACCACAGAGGAGATAAATACCATCTTAGTTTTTCTCTTATCATTTTGTCCCTAAAGCAAGCCCACAGCTATTTTGAGTTTTCTCAAAAGGATAGAAATGCTTTTGCCTGCCTTGGCCCATCCATTATTATTTACCTTTGTCTCCAAAGAAGTTCAAAGACCAAACGCTAAAAGAAAAACCCAGGAAATGCTAGGCATTTCATCCTTGGATCTGGTATAGATCAAGGAGTACTAAGACATTCAAAATAGATATGCAATCCTTGTTTTTGGCAGCATGCATGTTCATTAGCGACCTTGACAAGAACTGTTTCAGAAGAGTAAAGGGTCAAAAGCATGATTGGAGTGGGTTCAAGAGAAAAATAGGGAGCGAGGAATTAAGAGAGTAAGTATGGGCAATTCTTTCAAGGTATTTTACTATAAAGGGAGCCAAGAATTTAGATAGCTGGAGCAGGATGTGGAGACAAACAGAGATTCCCCCCACCTCATAAATTTATGATTATTAGAGCCTCTCTGCTGAGGGGAATGAGCACCTGGAGAAAGAAACCTTTACAATGCAGCAGAGAGAGGGCAAAGCAGCCAGAGGGATGTCCTTGAATAGACAAGCAAAAGTCACATCCAAGCAAAAGTCACATCCGTCACTCACCTTGAGGGCTGTCCTCAGAGGGGAGCTCGGAAGGTTGATTCATCCTAACAGGAGGGGCGGATGTATGTGTGTGCAGTAGGCAGATAATAGGTGTTGGGGAAGGGGTGAGGCACGTGCAGGAGCTCTCTTCTGATCACCTCTATGAGTGAGTTAAATGAGAGGGAGGACATATTGGAAGTTTCAAAGAGTGGAGAAGGTGTGGAGCAGTTGTCTGGGAGAATGGAAGAGTGAATGGACTAGGGAATTGTAGTGGGTTAAAGGTCATGCTTTTGAAGTTCATAGTCATGAATCTAAGTGAGACCAGGAAAGAAATGGAGGATATGTGTGACCTTGGATATACTGTGTTAAGGTAGTTTACATAGGTGTACTATCTGCTTTACAAAGCTGTTGCGAGAATTCAGTGTGTTAGAAGGCATTTTGAAGTATAAGTGCAGGACACCATTATTATGAAACTTAGCTTTGAATTACTTAGCACTTTCCTTTGGCAAAAGGGTTTTCAGATTTCTTGAAGACAGCCTCAGTATCTCTAGAGACAGCATTTGGCGTCTACCACCGATTTACTCAGTAACTAAGTCTAAGCAAATGACTTAACCTCCTTTTGCTTTTACCCCTCAATCTATATGCTGAGGGTGGTAATGTTTGAAGTGCAACAAAATACAGGCTATTCATAAGATGGTATGTATGTATGTGTTTTGTGTGTGTGTGTGTGTGTGTGTATACATACATATATATATATGTGTATATATATAGTTTTAATAATTTGCCTACCAAGTTCATTATTTCTCTGAAGGAAAACCACTGACTAAAAATTCTGATTAGAAACTTTCCTTCTTGGTTTCGTTCAAGAAAGAAATTAATGTCATTAGTATTCAAACTAAAGTTTATCTTGTGTCACAGAGTATGGAAATAATTTCTTTACCCAACACATATTTATTGAGCACCTACTTTGCACCAAGGACGGTCTAGGCACTAAAGCTATAGCAATATTTAAAACAATGTCCCTACTTTCTTGGAGTGCATACATGGACACGCGCACACACGCACACACACATTTCATATTCTATACCCATATTTTGGCTAATTTAATCTCTTCTTTGCCATTAGACTTTTAACTAGAGTTGTCCAATAGCAGAATAAACTGGTTTGTTGGAGATACCATCATGATGTAGTGGTTTGCAGGAAATCAAATAAGCAAAGATAGGAACATTTTGGGGAAGGAGCAGTAAGCTGGCCAACATTCTACATTTAGCTGCAAATGCAGTTTTCAAGCATTCTTTGGGACAGAGGTGTGGGAGCTAGAAAAGAAAAGGATGTGGTCATAGGAACTGCAGGAATACCACATCTACCGTGCTCTTTCCGGCAAACACAATATGTACATTATAAGCTACAGAGCATACACTCCTTTAAGAGAAAATCACTGCTCTATTAGATTTTGATTTTTGAGTAACAGTTGCCCACCTGATATAGAAGGTGAAAGACAAAGTGTATTTATTTTCTTCCAGCAGCTAAAAGGTGATCATACTTCTAAAATTTGTTGAGATTGTCCAAGAAAGTGTGTAAAATCCTCATCCATCACTGGAAGCCTCTGGTCAGAAAATGACAGTGCAGTAAATATCTTCAGCAGCCACCTTTTAATGTACAAGCTGTTTTCAGTTGGAATTTTCAGCACTCACATAAAACACACTGTCATGAGTGACTGCTTGTGCTCCAAAGTCATTACTATTGGGACAATGGAACATCTCTCAGAGAATAACCAAAAAACTTTAAATGTCATGTCAGGTTTGTTGAAGCCATTTTCAAGCCCCATTCAAGGTTACATGAATATTGAGGGTGTCTGTTTTTTAAAAGTCATCATTACCATCACTTACCAATAAAAGAATGTATGTGTGTATGTATATATGTACATGCATGTATGTATAGATGTGTATATACTTGACAATTACATATAACATTCTGGTTTGCTAGGAAGTTTTAATTATTTGCTTGCCAAGTTCATTGTTTCTTTAAAGGAAAATAATCGACTTTTTAAATTCTTATTAGAAACTTTCCTTCTTGATTTCATTCAAAAAGGAAATTAATCTCATTATTATTCAAGCTAATGTTTAATCTTGTGTCACAGAGTGTGGAAATTATTTATTTATCCAACAAATATTTATTGAGGACCTACTTTGCACCAGGGCCATTTTAGGCCCTGAAGTTACAGCAGTATTTAAAATAATGTCCCTACTGTCTTGGAGCACACATTCTAGTAAGACAGACAATGGACAAGTGAGCAAATATATTGTGTGTCCAGCCATCATGTGCCCTGTGAAGGAAAACATGACGGGGAAGGATAGAGCAGTGCAAAGGGCAAATGCTATTTTAGATGGGTGGCTAGGGAAGGCCTCTCTTTTTAGGTGGTGTTTGAACAGAGACCTGAAAGAAATATGGGACCAGGCCCTGATAATAACCACGTGACAGGCATGTCAGGCATAAAGGAAGAAGGAAATGGGCATTAGTGCTAATGAAACGGTTGGCTGTTATATTTTAGTTTATTCTTAAACCCCTGTGTGATTATTTTAAACCTGTCTTACTCTGTTGACTGTTTCTTTGTTTAGTCTATCTAAGAAGACTACTTATTTATTGAGAATAATTATTTTAAATGTGTTTCATAACGTGCACAGTCCTTGGTTATCATGGTGATAAGTTTTATGTTTCTTTTTTCCTTACTGTAGAAAATCAGAAAGTGCAGTTGACAGAAGGGTCACGTTCACACTACAATATCAATTGCAACTCAACAAGGACTCCAGTCGCCAAGGAGCTTAATTATAATCTAGACACTCATACGTCTACTGGGAGGATCAAGGCAGCTGAGAAGAAGGAAGCGTGTAATGTAGAAAGCAACAGAAAAAAGGAAACGGAACTTCTTGGCTCTTTTTCTAAAAATGAATCAGTTCCCGAAGTTGAAGCCCTGCTGGCAAGATTACGAGCTTTATAAGTTAAACTGGTTTTTAAAAAAAATGATTAAGCCAAATATAAAGCCATGCTCTAAACTATAACACTTGAAAAAATTGCTTTTATGTAAGTGACTTTATATAGTTTTAAATTATGATATATATTAGAAAAATAAAGCTAAATATATGATTGCAATGCTTTTTCTATGTACTGGAGGTTTTGGTTTATTCAAGATTGTACCGGGCTTTAATCCTTTTTTTTTTTTTTTTGTCTCCTGGTATTCCTCAGTTCTTTATTTGGTGGTTAAATTATACATATTGCTTTAGAGAGCAGGTAGGTGGCCATGTGTTCAGCAGTGTGTCCTTAAGAAAATACCATCTTTCTAAGCCACTGGAATTTTTACTTTACTATTTTTAACATTAATGGATGTCAGGTCATCAACCTCAAGTCTTTACATATCCATGTATATTCCATATATATTGTTTATATAGGCCCAAGTTTCTCCTTAATTGGGATCTATATACTACCAGCACAACATCAAAAACATGTAATTGAATACATCAGAGCTATATATGTAAGGAAATGACTGGTGACCCCATTATCATCATTGTTGAATTCATGTTAAGTAGACCCTCTAGGGGACCATAAGGCAATTGAGCACATAACGAAAAATGATGCAATAAGAATGTATGCACTCTCTTTGCCAAATGCATGTGCTTTTGTGTAACGTGGATGTAAACAGAATTGCAGTGCTGCCGAAATTCTTGATCTTGGCTAAGAGAGTATTTTTCCCCTTGTAATTATGACTCTGAGATAAAATTGCCATTTTGAAATTTCCAAAGTAACAACTTTTTTTATTTTATGAATAAACTTGGGATTGCAATTTCTCTGATCTGACAATCAATAACTTTAACAAAGATCTAAATAAGTGTTTCAAGGAAAGTTTTCCTAAGCAAATGTAATATTACCTCATTTGGGCATCATTACTCTGTTAATTCTATATCAAAGGAAATAAACTTGCTACTTGCACTAAATGAAAAAAAATGCTTTCTTTTGTCTCTCTTTTTTTGAAAACATTCTGTGGATAAGCTGAGAATAGACTGTGCTATGCAGTCTGTCTAAGCATCTATTTTGCTTTATTACATGTAATAAGTAAGTGACTGTTCTTTTACCTTCAGTTAAAAAGCAGTTATATGGAACTAGTCGGGCAAGGTCTATTGCTTTTTATTTCCTTAAGTTGCCACCTCCTTTCAGCTCTAAGTTAATAAAGTTAATTAATTAGAACTATGAGCCAGGCCCTGTTTATAGACATTGGAGAACAGAGTATTCTCTGTAGCCAGTGTAGGAATAAATGTGAATTTGTATGTATTGCTGAAATGTGCATTTTGCCATCCAGTTGCAATTCCTGTTTTTCTGAAAACAAACCTTAAAAATCAAGAAAGGTGAAGGACATTTACATATTTAAGCTGACGGCACCCCTAACAACAAGGCAGGATTGTTTTGTTTAGGAAAGAATTTAAATGAAAGAACTCTCACTATCAGTTCTTAATGTGATTTTGCAGACTTGGGTTTTTCAGAAACAAAACTTAAATTCAACTAGATAGTTTGGGCACACCAGGAAGCAGGTAAAAACTCTGGAAACTTGGGACCGGGGAGCAGCCACGGGGGAGAAGAAGCCCGGCAAATAAAGGAAAGTGAAGATGACGGAGACTCCGAGGGGCAGAGGAAGGCAAGGAAGTCCAGAAATGGAGCAGTCAAGCCCCAGAGCGTCTGTCTGCAGGGGCTGAGGACAACTTTCAAGCAAGAGGGCCAGGAGCCCAAGGCTAGCAGAGTATCAGAAGCGTCTGGCCACCCACAGGTCAGCAGCCAGCACTCTCTCTCCCTTGATGACAGCAGCTGGCTCCAAAAAGGACCATAGCTGTGGAAAGGAAACCTCTAAATGTCTGATAAAGGTGAGTACCAACTCAAGGAACGATCATTTGGAGATACTTTTATTGGTAGATGCCCTTTCAGCAATGGGCTAGAGGTATGATTAGGGTTTTAAAATGCATGATATTTCCTTAGCCAAACCATAGCATTGACCTTTAATTTGAGGGCAGGAGTTGAGGTACAATTTTATTTTTTTGAATAAGCAGTTTGTTCATTTGAATGAGCCAGTATAATGATTAATTTTTTTTTTTTTTTTGAGACAGAGTCTGTCGCCCAGGCTGGAGTGCACTGGTGCGATCTCTGCTCTCTGCAAGCTCTGCCTCCCAGGTTCACACCACTCTCCTGCCTCAGCCTCCCGAGTAGCTAGGACTATAGGCGCCCACCACCACGTCTGGCTAATTTTTAGTAGAGACGGGGTTTCACTGTGTTAGCCAGAATGGTCTCGATCTCCTGACCTCGTGATCCGCCCGCCTAGGCCTCCCAAAGTGCTGGGATTACAGGCATGAGCCACCGTGCCCGGCAGATGATTAATTTTATGTGTCAACTTGACTGGGCTAAAGGATGCCCCAGACAAGCGGTACGGTTTTATTTCTTATTGTGCCTGTGAGGGTGTTTCTGGAAGAGATTTGCATTTGCATACATAGACTGAATAAGGAAGATAGCCCTCCCACTGTAGGTGGGCATCATCCAGTCTCCTGAGGGCCAGAATAGAACAGAAAGTGGAGAAAGTGTAAATCTGCACACTCTACTTCAGTTGCGACATCGTCCTCTCCTGCCCTTTCTCATCGGCCTTCCCGGTTCGTGGACCTTTGAACTCAGACTAGGATTTACATCACGGGCTTTTCTGCTTCTCAGGCCTTTGAGGTTGGACTGGAATTACACCTTCAGCTGGCAGATGGCAGATGGTGGGACTTCTCAGCTTCCAAAAAATCACCTGGTCCAATCCCTCATTATAAACCGTGCACTCTCCCTCTCTCTCTTTCTTTTGTCTGTCTCTCTAAGTGTGTGTGTGTGTGTGTGTGTGTGTGTGTGCATCTTGACAAGGATGTTCCATCCAGGCCAGTGACAAACCCCATGATATGGTTTGGCAGTGTCCCCATCCAAATCTCATCTTGAATTGTAGCTCCCATAATTCCCATGTGTCATGGGAGGGACCTGGTGGGAGGTCTTTCTTGTGCTGTTCTCATGATAGTGAATAAGTCTCATGAGATCTGATGGTTTATAAAGGGGAGTTCCCCTGCACAAGCTCTCTCTTGCCTGCCACCATGTAAGACATCCCTTGCTCTTCTGCCATGATTGTGAGGCCATGTGGAACTGTGAGTCCATTAAACCTCTTTCCTTTATAAATTACCCAGTCTTGGTTATATCTTTATTAGCAGAGTGAGAACAGACTAATACACCCCTGATCCCAGAAAGATCATTGTGCCCTTTCTCATGTTAGTGTAGAGAATTTGGCTGGAACACACAGACAATTGGGTGGTCATTGAGTTGTCCTAGAGCAATGATCCACTGCTAACAAGTTTTCCCCAACAAATATTTAAAGTAACTTAAAAATAATGGAAGTAATCTCATTACATGAGCTTGTATCTCCTTTATTGTTAACATATTTGCATATTTAAACAATATATCAAAGACACCTAGTTTTTATATGCGGAAGTGGGTATTTCAATAATTCATATCAAAATTTTCTGGTAAATCTAAAAAACACAATTTACAACAAGTTGCTCCGAAACTCTTTTAGTTGTTAATATACTATTTACTCAAAAACAGGAACGATTAATGACATTAAAATGATAGTTTACCCAAAAGTGATTATTTCTTGGGTGATTCATTTTTATTTTAAAATATCATAATCTGAAGTAGATCTTCATTTAGCTAGAAACTAAATTATTTAGGCTATAACATACATTTGTGCTAGATTTCCTCTGATTAATTAAGCTTTCTTTGATATGTAAACACATGTAGACTGGAAATACTTTTGGTGATAAGTTGTGTGGCAAACTTTTGTAGGGACTGTGTGACTTTTGGAAAGTAATAGGTCCTAATATGTGAACTGCTAGTTTGATTGAAAACCAAAAAAGTGACATTTATTTTCTTTGCCTTTCATATAAATTATTTAAAATGTTGAAATGTAAGAATTGTAGCTGGCAGTGACCTGGTAATCATTTTTGTCTGGTGAATTCTTAAATGGTAACCAGGCATGAGTGTTCTTAAAATATGTCCTAGGGCCACATTGTTCAACCGTTTTGCTCGAAAAGCTACTGTTTAGCAAAACACGTGGAGTTCCCAAAGACCCACAGAGACCGGATGGCATTTCAGAATTGAATCCAGATCTTTCCATAAAATGAAAATAACGGAACCTTGATCCATGAAAGTTCATTATTCCTAAGCAGACCTTTGCCTTTTAAAGTGGATCTAAGGAGAAGGTTAAAGCTAGAATGGAGGATAGGGCTTGAAGTAGAACAAAATGTCCTCTAATTAGGATTCAACTATAGAGGCCTCTTTGTCTCCTATTCAGCTAGTTATATTTGAGTGTTGTATTTTACTTCAACAATAGTCTCCCTTTAGGCATCTCCAAGAAGCAAGAACTTAAAAGGAACCTTGGTTTCTTTCAGAAAACCTCTAAAATGATAGATGTTATTCTTCTATCCATTTTGAAACCCCAACCATTGGACAAAAGATGTTTTAAAAGCTCCAGATATTGCCTTCTTACATTGATATTATCAACATTCATCGTGTTCCTATGGATCTACATTATTACAGGTTTCTTATTTGAAATCTCATTGTTGAAAAAGCATTCTAATGACAGAATTGGAAACCAACTATCTGGATTATCTCTTCAGGACAAATCACTCACTTTCATTTACAACAGCTTTTTAAAGTATTTTAGTAAGTTTCTGTTGTGTTACTTAACTTTTTTTTAGCAGTATTTAAAGGTTAAGACTTCCCATTTTTATCTTGACATTTTTATCTCATGTTATATTTGGACTGTAACCTCATTAGTAAAAATTTATTTTTTCTCCTTATTTTCTAACTAAGGGTTACTAGCATTTATTTTAAAGATGAATGTCCAATCAGAATCTATCTAATCTTAATATTTTATGTATAATGTGAGTTCATGTGATTGATGGTCAAACATGAGGCCTATTGTAGGAAGCTATAATAAAATAATTAGATTAAACAGATTAAAACAAATGTTCTGGTTTCTTGAGAGTGGGACTAAGTCTTCAGATATGTATATTCCAGTGGATTTCTACCTAAAGTATCTGCTTTCTCACAGACATGACTGGTTCTGGTGGAGAATGTTCATTTATGCATCAAAAAAATAGAAGATTGACTATAAATATTTAATGTGTATTTAGTTTAATACACGTAATAGCCATAAAGGCAAATATAGTTAGGTGCAGATATTAGTGTATAGAAATGTCTATTTACATATTTGGTAATTATTTCCTTTCAAGGCTTAATCTGTGTGAAGTATTCTCTATTAAAAGACTAAAAAATTAGGCAACAAAAGCTTAGACTTCATAAGTAAAGTACCCAATTCATCAGGGAAGCTTGATTTTAAAATGGGATATTTCTTTCCTTCCCTTCTTTCAGGCACAAATACATGGCTCTTTCAATGCAAAACCAACTAGTGCCTAATAAAAGCAAACAGATGCCTCTCCAGCCTGAAGAAAATGACAATTTCTTTGGAGGGCCTCATCTTGAATCCTTTCCTTTCCTTAATGACCTAACGAGAGCCATTCTGATGATTGTAAGAGCCATGACTGACATTCCACACCTGTGGCCTACCCAGAGTCCAATTTGACAGTGATCATAAATAAAATCTTGTCGTACTATTATAGGATGTTTGGCAAGGACAAGAATTAAGGCACCTTTACAACTCCCTAAGGAATCTGGTGATATTTCTAACATGATCTCACACATTCTGTCCTGCCCGACCTTCCTTGTATCACCTTCCTGAGTTATAGCTTGTATCCGTTACCCTCTCCTCCTTCCACAGCCTCTCCCCAAAATAAAGAATTGCTGACCTGAAGAAAACAAATCCCGTTTGTTTTGTTTTTTTTAATCTTTATAAGACAGTTGGTTAAAATGTTCTGGAAATCATGCCATATGTTTTCTGCAAAATATTTACTGCCTCCATTAGATTAAATGTTGTGTCTCCCGTTATGAAGTGAATACTGAAGGTCTCTTAGAGATTAAGGGACCTCATCAAGAAGTGTCCAGCCTCATCCTTTAATAACTTCTGGGGCCCGGGATCTTAGAGGAAACATTATCCATTCACCAAGTCCACCAATTCACCACCCAGCATTTCAATGATTAGTTCTTTTATGCTGGCAGTCAATGGGGAAAGTTGCCTCTCAGGCACTTCCTTGTGAATCCGCCTGGAAAAGGAGTTTGTTTTTTTTTTTTTTTGATATTGTAATAGCTTTTCTCATACTCTCCAGAGATGCTTAACAACTTCTGTCTGATTAGCCAAAGGAAGCACACTTATGTAAGAAGAACAGCACACTTCAAGGACGCTATTAAGCATGAGGATGTTAGAGGCACATGGGGACGGCAAGCCTGCAGAAACCAAATGCCCTGTTCACAGAGAGTCACTCAGGGTGACCGTTCTCTGGGCCTGGCCCAGATACAGCACAAGGAAAGCAAAGTTAGATTTTGATCAGCTCCCATCTTCCTGGGAAGCTACACCTTTGCTACCCTTACGGCTTCTCTTTCTCTGTTAACTGAGCCTCCTTTCAGTTCTTTAGGTGAATGGTAACAGCAAAATGTTACCCTTCCAAGGGAATATTTGCATTTTAACTTACATCTGACCTATAAGGGTTAAAAGTCTACTAATGGAGAATTGGGAAGCAACAAACTAAGGGAAACTATACTCACTTATTTAACTGAGCCCTGAATCTCACCTCCTTCTTGGCATTCTTTCAGTCTGGATATCCTTGTTACCACCACCCTGGTCTTCAAAGGAAGTTACTCCCCCTTAATGCTGAGGCCAAAGCACAGGCAAAAGTTCTTCCATTCTTCTTTGTGGAGTTCAGACAAGATGGGTCTTTCAAAAAGCTTGCTCTGAGTAGAGAAGTGGAGAGTTAGAAAAAGGCAGCAAGAAATAGAAAGACACCCAAGCTAACAGACAACAGTTTTCATCCTCCACAGTAACCATGTGCCTCTCATTTTGAGAAAAAGCTGTTGCGCGTGTCCTCTGGTAGGACAACAGATGATGAAGGGGACCAGTGGTTCATTCCTGAGGAACAATGCAGCCACCTTTCATCTTCAGGTATCTTGCAGAATAGCAACCATCGATTCAGTCCTAGAATTATATCCCACACACCTAGGAGGATTGCATGGGCATTTTGGCCTTTCCTAAACCTCAGAAATGAGACAAGAGACCTTACCTGAACTGTACAGTGTTGTCAGCTCTACTAGGGTGAGTTGGACCTTGGGTTTGATGTTTGTGTTGATGTGGACATGTGGTTCCTTTGCTATAAGCTGCATAATGCTAAACAGCAACTGCCTTCAGAAGCCACACTCACCAACTGGCTGACAGGTGCACTGACTGGAGGGTGTGGGGGAGGGCAGAGACCATGCACACATACGGAGAGTGAAGAGAAGGGCCGAATAAGAAGCATGAGATGAGAGGAGTTTGCTGAGGGGGGCATGAAGCAGGAGTCCTCGGCAGTGAGGGCTGTATGCTATACACATCACAAGTTCAGAGGGAGGCAGGACTCAAAGAAGACAGGACAGCTGCCTTCAACTCCTTCAGGAACTCACATGGAGAAGATAATGAACTGACTTTCTGTGTCTCCAGAGCTACAGCCAACAGATAAAAATAGAGCATAGCGTGTACGGGAAAGCGTTTTAACTGTAGAGCTGCCCAGTGATGACAGAGTCTGCCCTCCAAGGTTATAGAATCATTGAGTCTTAGAATTTGAGAAAGTTCTTAGAAGGAACATTGGAGGTCATCTCATTGGAACCCCTTGGTCTTCTCCTGAGGGGGAAGTGGCCTGCCCCAGCTGGAGCACCTGTCTCCTGGCTCTTCCCGCTCCCTCCCTCATCACTCAGCCTCTCTCATTCACCAAGCTACCTCAGCAAGCAGAGGCTAGTCTCGGTTTGGTTGGGAGATAATAAAGGAATCTATTACTCAGGGAGGAGGCTGGCATATATGAGCTCTGAATAACTTTATCTTGCTTAGAATCAGTGTTCTGTGATTTTATGGAATCATAAGTGGGCACCCTAGCCTTGAGGCTTATCACCTTCCTCATGCCATCACATATTCTGTTTGCTTATCTCCTTGAGGGACATAATAACTGTCTTGGTTTATTCATGTGCCTGCGCCAGGTCTTGTAACTGAAATAAATCAGCACTGCCCTCGAAAGGAGTGGCCTGGACAGGCAAAAAGCCTCGTGGGAAGAACACCTGCTGAGGACCTGGGCTGCCGCGGGGCTCAGTCTGAGCAGTAAAGCAGCTCATCCCCAGCATGCCGAAATGCAGTGAGGAATAAAACCACTCACTGATGCGGCTTGTGCACTCACACGCCAGGCACTGTTCTAAACATGCTATGCGTATTATCTTACTTTATGTATATTACAACCTTATGGGAAGGAATCGCTATTGGGGCTGCATTTTAACAATGAAGAAACTCATGTGTAAAGAAGTTAAGTAACCCATGGTCACACAGCTAGTACGAAACAAACAGGGCAAAAAGGTCAGCATTCCCAAACTCTAGACTCTGTGATCTTAGAACACACTGTTTCCTTGCACTGCTCTGAACTGCCCCATGGAACGACACTGACAATTAGCACCGAACACGCTACCTCTGCCATGCCTTGCACGCAGTTGTGCGGCTGCCCTTGTGGATGACTCTCCCCTCAGCTTCATTGTTCCAGAGTGCTACGAATCTTCAGAAAACCTATGTGCCAAAGATGACAACGGAGAAATTTCTCATTTGAGTTTCTGTCATCTCTGTTTCTCTTTTAGTATAGTGTTGTGAGGTAATCACATATATAAACTTAAGGTAAGTTTAAACATGGATGTTTGCTGCCGGAGTTGGTCAAATGACCGGCAGTTGACAGGAATTTCGGGTCCTCTGACAGTGGTCGCCTTCCCGTGCACTGCTCTCCCTAGGAGTGCTTCTCCTGCACAGATGAACAGCTTGTCAGACCCTCTGCGTTTGGAAGACTCTTGAGATTTCTGCGAGTCTGGTTTGTACAGGAGGTGAGTGCTTCTCAAACAGTTAGCCTCTCTGTAAAGTACCAGTGCTCATAATTTTTTGCTTTCTTTTTCCTTTTCTTCCCTTTTTTCTGAATTTAGGGAGAAATAGAAGCACAATACATAAACAGTAACTTTCACAAGACTTATTTTTTGCCAAAACAATCACTTTGTTTAAGATAGGCCTTTTAATAGTATCTAAAAAATAGAGTACTTTCAAGTGGGGTTTTTAAAATTCTGAATGTGTGAAGTTCTAAGGAGACAAATCCACTCGTGACAGTATTTCTCACACCTTTGATTAGTAGTAAGCTGTGTGTTTTGGAATACCATATTTTGAGAAATTTCTGAATTTCATCATTTGGATAAGAGGCAATTTTTGTTCCGTTCATACTGAACATTGGATAACAGGCAATTTATATTCCATTCATACTGAAGGTAAGAGATTTATTGTAGATGAACTAAAGTTGGTGTGGCCCTCCCATAGATAATGCTTTTTCTAGTCCATAACCAGCAATACTGACAAACAAATAATTGAGTCTTTAAAGACAACTTAAAAAGCAAATTTGCTCCTCTTATTACTAAAGCATTCACACGTAAGTCTTCTGTTCATCCTGTTTGTTTCCACAGTTTAATCCTTATATTAGATTTTCATTATAATTATATTGAAACAAAGTTAAAAGTTCCTGACATCCTTTGCACACTGATCTAGCACCATACGTACCCATTATCTGATTTGCTTACTAAGCACAAGAATATTCATTGTCCTGTATGATATCTGACATAAAGCTCAATAAAATCTACTTCAACTGTAAAAAAAAAAAAAAAAAAAAAAAATTCTAATGAACTATTTGTTTAATCAAAGAAGACCAAGGGATTCATTAGAGAATTTTCTTGGTTTATTCTTTAAAAATTCATCCTTTTGTTAAACCCCATGTATGTACATTCAATAGCAATTAGATGCAAGAGTCCGTCATAAGCTGTTCAGATGTCGATCCCTAACATAGACCCATTCATTCAGTAATGCCAGGGGCTGTGCTAAATATTGGGAATGTAAAGTGCAACAAGCAAATACAGCTGACCTTTGAACAATGCAGGGGTTAGGGCCACTGATCCGCTATACTGTCAAAAATCCACAGATAATTTTTGACTCCCTAAAAACTTAACTACTAATAGCCTACTATTGACTGGAAGGCTTACTGGTAACATAAATAATCAATTAACAGTATTTTGTGTGTTACATGTATTACATACTGTATTCTTTTTTTTTTTTTTTGAGACAGAGTTTCACTCTTGTTGTGCAGGCTGGAGTGCAATGGCACAATCTCAGCTCCCTGCAATCTCTGCCTCCTGGGTTCAAGCAATTCTCCTGCCTCAGCCTCCCGAGTAGCTGGGATTACAAGCATGCACCATCACACCCAGCTAATTTTTGTATTTTTAGTAGAGACAAGGTTTCACCATGTTGGTCAGGCTGGTCTCGAATTCCTGACCTCAAGTGATCCACCCACCTCAGCCTCCCAAAGTGCTGGGGTTACAGAGGTAAGCCACTGCACCCAGCCTACATAGTGTATTCTTAAAGAAAGCTAGAGAAAAGAAAACTCTATTAAGAAAATCATAAGGAGGCCAGGCGCGTTGGCTCATGCCTGTAATCCCAGCACTTTGGGAGGCCGAGGCGAGTGGATCATGAGGTCAAGAGATCGAGACCATCCTGGCCAACATGGTGAAACCCTGCCTCTACTAAAAATAAAAAAAATTACCTGGGCGTGGTGGCGGGCATCAGTAGTCCTAGCTACTCGGGAGGCTGAGGCAGGAGAATGGCGTGAACCTGGGAGGTGGAGGTTGCAGTGAGCCGAGATCGCACCACTGTACACCAGCCTGGGCGATAGAGCGATACTCCATCTCAAAAAAAAAAGAAAGAAAGAAAAAAGGAAAAAGACAAAAAAGTCATGAGGAAGAGAAACTAAATTTACTATTCATTAAATGGAAGTGGATCATCATAAACGTCTTCATCTTCATTGTCTTCACCTAGAGTAGGCTGAGGAGGATGAAGAAGAGGGGTTGGCCTTGCTGTCTCAGGGGCAGCAAAGGCAGAAGAAAATCTACGTGTATAAGCGGACCCATATAGTTCAAACCCATATTGTTCAAGGATTAACTATATGGTCCCTGCCCTAGAGGGGTGCATAATCTAACAGAGAAGACAAACATAGGATAACTGTGCTTGGTATAAGAAGTACAGGTTTAGGGGGAGAATATAATGGAAGGCTAACCGAGCTGAAAGGGGGATCAGGGAAGCCCTCCTGGGTAGTGACTTAAGTTGAAGTTAAGCAGATGGGCAGAACTAGACAGGCGGGAAGGAGTGGAACAGTGCCAGGTAGAAGGAACAACATGTATGAAGGTTTGTAAGAGGGAAACAGCATGAAATTTTCATTTGGGGCACAAAATAGGTCTGAGATTGAGGGTAAGCTAAGTATATTGCATCTTCTATAGCATAAAAATTCATACTTTTTAAAAAAGCCATTGGAATTTATTTTTGAGAGAGAGGGTTGTATAAATTTTACCAAGCCAACTACAAAATGAAAACAACTAATAATTACTCATGGTATCAAACTTCCTTAAATTCTGTTTCATCTTCATAAAAATATGTATAATTAAGTTAGAAGGCTTCAACCTTTAATTAATTTTAAATGCATTAAGATTTCTATTTTTAAGGTATTGCAAGGTGAACATCTGTTATATTAATTATTCCAAGGATTTCTCTACACTAAATTATCTTGGTATTTAAGGCAAGCACATCACCTTCCTACTTGATACAAGTATATTTTTTTCAAGTATACATTTCAATATATGCTTTCATGTGTTATTTTAGAAAGTAACCGTACAGTTTGAGATGAAGTCTGTCACACCAATTTTCAACATTGCTGGTAAAAAATGCCATTAGATCATCCACATCACCGTGGGATGTACATTCTTTAGAAATGATGGGAAGAAAAAAAAGAATATGTAAAAATAGCCATTTTGTCTGATTTTTCAGAGAGCCCTTTCTTCCTCCATAGGTACATACTTTTATGACAACTATGAACAGTGGTGTTTTGTCTAAGATCCATGCAGGCAAGGTTGTATCCACTAGGGAGCTTCCCGGAGACAGTAATTTTCAAACAATAGAGGAAAAATGCACAGATCAGCCAACTAATTTATGCTACATCAATTTTACACACCCAGAAAGCATGAAACTTTAATATGATCTCACCAAAATCAAGCAAGACAAACAGAAGCTACCAAAACAGGCTTGGCCCTTTCATCTAAACAAGCTTATGTCATGCCGGCTTTCAGAATACAATGTATTCCAAAAGGGCAGGGTGGCCATGCTTCTAAATGCATGTTATATTAGACAGCAAAGAACTACAAAAGACTCTCACAGCGAAATGTCTGGACCCAAGTTGATTAATGTGCAGCTTTATTTCACTCCAGAGGCAAAGGACTAGAGGGAAAAAAAAAAAGACCATAAGCTCATTTGACAACTGTAAAGGTCACAGAGGAAATGATGGTAGGTAATGTGAAGTTGTCAGAGACCCCGTACTCAGAAGTGTACGGCAGAGGCCCCAGGAGTGAGGTGCCAGGTGGGTGTTGGCTATCAGAGGGTTCAGGCCAAAGGAAACACGTGTCCCTAGAATTCTCTGTTCTGGTTCAGGGTTCTCATGCCCAGTAAGAGACAAGAAGCAGATCATCCAGGACTAGGAGTCTCAGCCACCCTCTTGGAGAACTTAGGGCCCTCACTGTGGTCAGATATCTCAAACTTGCCTGCTCACAATGGCTCCTGGCAGCTCCCAACACAGGCCTCCCTGTCCAGTGGCACGACATAATAGCAGTGCCAGGTAGTCACCATCATTCCTCATCGTGAAGCAAGGCTGAGGGCACAGCTACGGCCATCGCAGGGCAGGTGCTCCAGTTTGGTTGCTTCGGGGAAAGCTCCAAGCAAACAGCCTGAAGAAGTACTTGTCCTCCAGGATTATCTGAAGGACAAGCAAGCCTTCCAGAACTGCTCTTTTATGAATTCCATAGCATTAGAATCCTGGATAAAAATGGAAACAAACAACATTTAAGAGTAAATCTTTGCATGCCTAAAGGCTCTTCGGTCATTTCTCAAGTGTTTGTCAGTGGACTGAAGCATTTGCTCCCCAAAACTGGTAACCAAGAATTACAACTGGTATCTGTAGAGATCAAAGCTGCACCCCCAATTTCTGGGACTTGCCCTTTCGCACACTTACGCAGTTCATTCAGTAAAAGGCTACAGTGCTGTGGGGGGAACTAAGAGCTTTTCCTTGAAAAGTGGAAAGAGCATAGAAAAGAATCTTATGATTAATACAATCTCATAAAACTTCAATACCATTATGACAGAAACAAAAAGATTCATACTTAGGAATTCACAACTTTTTCCAACCTCTGTTCCTTTCCCTGGACCTTTCCTTGTAGCTCAGTGTATTGAGTGAGGCATGAAGTATCTGAAGGAACTGTAGCAGGATTTGCCTTAAAAAGAACAGAGAGGAGCTAGCAAAAGAGGAGGAAAACGTAAAGAGATCGCCACGGGGAGAGATGTTTGAGCAACCACTGTAGGGAATTGGTAGAGATGGATGGGTGAAGAGGAATTTTAAAACATTTTTCTGTGTGTCCTGTGTATAAAGCCTTGCAGCACTCCTTGCAGAAACCTTTAGTCAATATTCATATAATTTCTCAAGGCTTCTGGAGTCAGATTTGTGGGATATGTGTAAATGGCTCCACTAAATTTGAGTGCCATCTGAGATAGGCTCACGAAGAATAGTCAAAACAGCAGTCTCGTTCTGGAGGAGACAATTCTCCTGAAATGTCTGCAGCCTCTTCCAGAACAGCACATGTTACAGGAGCCCCCTTATCCGCAGGCATACGTTCCAAGACCTCCAGTGGATGCCTGAGACCAAGGATGGTTCCAAACCCTATATATAAAATGTTTTTCCTATACATACACATCTGTGATAAAGTTTAGTTTATAAATTAGGCACAGTAAAAGAGTAACAGCAATAACTAAGAAAATAGAATGAATATAACAAACTGTAATAAAATTATGTGAATGTGGTCTTTCTCTCAAAATATCTTATTGTGCTGTACTGCAGGTAGCTGAACAGTAGAAAGGAAACAGGATAGAGAGGACTACTGTATTGAGTTTTAGTTATAACTGTCACTTTAAACCTTTGGTTTTTCTCTAAATAGGAGACTTCTGCTATTTTTCCACTTTCAAAACTGCAGTTTCAGCTTCCACATCACGTTCCCACCCGTAATTGTAACCAACTGAATGGATGTAGTGGAAAATACTGCTCTGTGTAACTTTTGGCACCTGAGATGTACCCCACAGAGTGTGCCTCTGTTTCACACTGAGTGAAAAGATGAACAGTTTTGCACCCAGGAGATCGAATTAACTAATGAGGTAAATCTGACATTCATGGGTGAAACACCACACAGTGTTTGAGGATTCCTCTGAAGAGGACTATTACAAATAAAGTCATTAGAGATAAAAATTTCATTCTCAAGCCATTTATGAGCCACTCTTGAGAATGTGCCACTGTTTTCTTTAGGGTAGGCAAGATGGTGGAAACAAGTAGACCGGAAGACTCAAGGCCTGACAGCAGCTAATCTCCTGAGCACACGTGGTCTAGAGAGGTTTGAGGTGGGATTGAGTTGGGAGCGGGGGTGGGACTAGCATGTTCCACACAGTCATTCAGAGCCCCAGGCTGATGCTAGCTTTGCCATTTCAGCCGTAGGTGGGGAGGTGAGTTAGGTGAGGGGTAGGCAGCCTGAAGGAAAAAAGAGCGTGGAGGAGGGGATGTGGGAGTTTTTGATGCCATGCCTGGGAGTAGCAGACAGCACTTGTGCTCACATTCCATTGAAGAGAACTTAGTCACCTCATGGTAGGGAAGGCTGAGAATGGTAATCTAGCTGTGTGCCCAAAGGAGGGGACACCAGTGGGCAAAACAACAGTCTCCACCACAGCCTTTTCTCTGATCTGATTTTCTGCTTTTAAAGATATTATTTACACATATTAATAATTATAGAAGTCCCACAATGTGGAAATCCTCTGTTAGAAGGTGACTTAGTCTTATGCGACAGCATGAGTTACAGATTTTCATTTTGATAAAATGATCTCTTGAGGGGAGAATGATTGCCAAAATACTAACTTTCATGTGGGAAAAGATAATAACAATGAGAGCAGATATGGGGCTTTACAGTTTCTAAAGCACAGCCCACCTTAGGAAATTCAATTAGAACATTAAAAACTACAACCAAAATAATGTTTTCAGGGCACCTTCTAGGGAATTTCAAACACTGGTCTTTTCAAGACATAGAAAATTCCCCTTGTTACATCCTGCAATCAGATGAGTTTAGTTTTATACATTTCTGGGGTATTTTATGTTAAAATTATAAATGAAAATATAAAGAAACTAAAAGTCACCTGAAATTCCACCAAAGATCATCACCACTAACATTTTGGGAGTGAGGTGTTTTGTTTTGTTCTTTTCTCAGACAATGAAATATCTGATTCCTTTATTCATGTAAGTCAGATGTTGTGACCTCAGCTGTCACCTCACTGGCCAGTGGAAAATCCCCCTCATCACATCTGGGACCCCGTCCTCTCCTTCATGGGATCGCACAATTCTCCCAAGCTGAAATCATGCCAGAGAAATCAGGAAGGGGCTGTGGGATCTTAATCCGTGTTTTTCTCCATCTTCACCATAGACCCATCAGCTACCAAAGGTGCTGCTGAGAACCGGTTCTCAGGTTCCCTCTGTGCACTCCATTCTTGGCATTTAGAGGCATCCTTGAGTCCATCCTGTGGCCAACTTCACTGACCCCAGACTAAGGGAGACCATGTAGAGTGCCACGGTTTGTGTTCAGCCTCTACAGACTTTCTCAATTTTGTGTTCGCTGTCTCCTACTTTTGTGATATTTCCATATATATATATATTTTTTTGTATGTATACATATGTATGTGTGTGTGTGTGTCTGTCTATATATATACTCTCAAACAATGTGTTTTAGTCTCTCTTCCAACTATTCTCACTGCATTACTTTCCTCTATAAGTTTGGAAATTACGCATTTTTCTTTTAGTGGTTTCCCTAGCTATTTTGATGGATTAGTTTTAAAAATCTAAAGTTAACTGTTTTTATTACTCTTCTTCTAAATAATGCAAGCTCTAAATAAATAACACCAATTAGGCCCTCCAAAACTATATGCTTAAATTGTCCGATATTTTACTTCAATCTATCTTTAGCTTAATATATTTGACATTCTTACTGCTGTTTTACACAGACAATGTTTTCTTCATCCCAAACCCTTCTGGAACCATCTTGCACCTACTTTCAAAATTTGCCTTAGTAAGACTCTATTGGTGGTAAACTCTGTCAGTTTTTGTTTGACTGAGAGATTTTCTTTATTTCACTCTCATTCTTGAAAGACTTTATGTTTGCAGATTTTCTTTCAGCACAATGATGATATTATTCCACGAGTTGCACTATGGCTGTTGAGACATCAGTTGTCAGTCTAACTGCTGTTCTTTAAAAGTAATCTCACTTTTCTCTCTCACTGCTTTTAAATTTCATTATCTTTGGGATTCTGCAGTTTCACCATGACATATCTAGGTATTGTTTTGTTTCTATTTATTCTCCCTAAGATTCATTGAATTTCCTGAATTTGAGCTCTGATGTCTCTCCATAATTCTGAAAAATTCTGGCTATTATCTCATCAAATATTGCTTTTCTGTTCTATAATCTTTTGGCACTTCTATTAGATACATAAAAGAGTTTGTCTATCTTCTATGTCTCTTAATTCTGCTTTAAAATTTTCTATGTGAGCCAGGTGTAGTGGCTCACGTCTGTAATCCCAGCACTTTGGGAGGCCGAGGCGGGCAGATCACTTGGGGTCAGGAGTTTGAGACCAGCTTGGGCAACATGACGAAATCTCGTCTCTACTAAAAATACAAAAATTAGCTAGGCGTGGTGGTGCATGCTTATAATCCCAGCTACCCAGTTGGCTGAGGCAGAAGGATCGCCTGAACCTGGGATTCGGAGGTCGCAGTTAGCCAAAGTCGTGCCACTGCACTCCAGTCTGGGAAACAGAATGAGATGCCATCTCAAAAAAAAAAATTATATTTGATGTTCTATGTGGTACCCTGAATAAAGTCTTCCAAACTATCTTTCAGGATGCTAACTTCTTTCCATCTGTGTTTAATCTTCCATTTAACCCACCCACTGAGTATTTGATATTAATTATTATATGGTTCAATTTTAGAACTCTGCTTGCTTCTTTTCCAAATCTGCTTGGTTGCTTCTGATAGTCTCTCGTTCCTTTCTCATCTTTCTAAGCTTCTCATACACACATTTACTTACACATATTAAATATGTTATTTTATACTTTGTGTCTGATAACTCCAGTATCTAAAGATGTTGCCAGCTTTTATCTGCTGGCTCTTGCATCTGGTACCTTGTTTCTTTCCTTTTTGACTGCATGCTCATTTTCTTTGGCACATTATTTCTGAGAGTTCTTTAGGCCTGGGTTGAATTTGCATGTCCTCAGAGAAGATCTGCACTTGCTTCTGCCGGTTGCCTGGGGCCACTGCTAGCTTGAAGTTTCTTGGACTAACTGCACCAGATAATGAGAACTCTGACCCCATGAGGCCTGGCACATCCTCAGGGGAGTTTTCCCCTCTGTCTGCTCAGTGCCACAGCGGTCCTAGACACTTTTCCTAGCTTTCCCCTTCTATCCAACACAGCGTGTTTCTCATTCGCCCCAACAATAAAGGGCCAGGCCTTTGCTTCATTGTGTCCCCTTCTCCCTGCGCAACCACCATAAAGAGCAGGTGTGTTGGCAACACCCTGAGAGTGGAGTCTGTTTCCATGCTTACTCACCTCACAGGGTCCTGCTTTAGTTTCTCTTTTGACCTCTGCAGATTCCTTAATTTCTGTCTAGCTTAGCAATGTATTTAAATAACTTAAAATGTTTTTTAGCCAAACTTTTAGTTGTTTTCAGCAGGAAAATTGTTCAGGCTATTTTTTCCACAATAAAACCAATAACTAAAGTTTTGTCAGAATTTTTTCCTCATAATGTCAACTTCTAACAAATATATAGAATTTTGTATTTTCTAAAAGAAAAATTAATAATGTTCTGTATTATATATTTTCATATACTTAGAAAGAATTATACACACTTATTCCAAAATTATAAAAATATTTAAGTATGTGTTTTTCTAGTTTGGCTTTTTTCCCGTTAAAATATTTGATTCCTTGGCTACTTATTGTGATATAAGTAATGAGGTTGTGGATCCAACTTCTTATTTTTTAGAAATGGCTGGCCAGTTGCCTAACATACTTTATTAAATGATAATTATTTTCCCTAATGATTAGAAATACTACAATTGTTATGAACTATATTCCTATATAGTACACCCATCTATTCTGGTGTGGATTTCTAGGCCCTTGTATTAGTCCACTTCATGTTGCTGATAAAGACATACCTGAGACTGGGAAGAAAAAGAGGTTTCATTGGACTTACAGTTCCATATGGCTGGGGAGGCCTCAGAATCATGGCGGACAGTAAAAGATTGGTGGTGGCAACAGAGAATGAGGAGGAAGCAAAAGTGGAAACCCCTCATAAACCCATCAGATCTCATGAGTCTTATTCACTATCATGAGAATAGCACAGGAAAGACTGGCCCCCATGATTCAATTACCTCCCCCTGGGTCCCTCCCACAACATGTGGGAATTTTGGGAGATACAATTCAGGTTGAGATTTGGGTGGGGACAAAGCCAAACCATATCATTCTGCCCCTGGCCCCTCCAAATCTCATGTCCTCACATTTCAAAACCAATCATGCCCACCCAAAGTCGTAACTAATTTCAGTATTAACCTAAAAGTCCACAGTCCAAAGTCTCATCTGAGACAAGGCAAGTCTCTTCTGCCTATGAACCTGTAAAATCAAAAGCAAGCTAGTTACTTCCTAGAGACAATGGGGGTACAGGTATTAGGTAAATATAGCCATTCCAAATGGGAGAAATCGGCTAAAAAAAGGGGGGCTACAAGGCCATGCAAGTCTGAAATCCAGCAGGGCAGTCAAGTTTTAGGGCTCCAAGATGGTCTCCTTTGACTCCAGGTCTCACATCCAGGTTAGCTGATCAAAGAGGTGGGTTCCCATGGTCTTGGGCAGCTCCATCCCTGTTGCTTTGCAGGGTACAACCTCCCTTCCAGCTGCTTTCACGGAGTGGTGTTGAGTGTCTGCAGCTTTTCTAGGTGCATGATGCAAGTTGTCGGTGAATCTACCATTGGGGAGTCTGGAGTACGGTGGCCCTCTTCTCACAGCTCCATTATGCAGTGCCCCATTAGGGACTCTGTGTGGTGGCTGCAACCCAACATTTCACTTCCGCACTGCCCTAGCAGAGGGTCTCCATGAGGGTCCCACCCCTGCAGCAAACTTCTGCCTGGGCATCCAGTCATTTCCATACACCTAAAATCTAAGCAGAGGTTCCCAAACCTCAATTCTTGACTTTTGTGCTCCCACAGGCTCAACACTATGTGGAAGCTGCCAAGGCTTGGGCTTACACCCTCTAAAGCCACAGCCCAAACTGTACGTTGGCCCCTTTCAGCCATGACTGAAGCAGCTGAGACACAGGGCACCGAGTCCCTAGGCTGTTGTCAGCACGGGGACCCTGTGCCTGACCCACAAAACTACTGTTTCCTCCTGGGTCTCAGGGCCTGCAATGGGAGGGGCTGCTGTGAAGGTCTCTGACATGGCCTGGAGACATCTTCCCCATGGTCTTGGGGATTAACATTAGGCTCCTTGCTACTTATACAAATGTCTGCAGCTGGCTTGAATTTCTCCTCAAAAAATGGGTTTTTCTTTTTTACTGCATCATCAGGCTGCAAATTTTCTGAAATTTCATGCACTGTTTCACTTTTAAAATGGAATGCTTTTAACAGCACCCAAGTCACCTTTTGAATGCTTTGCTGCTTAGAAATTTCTTCTACCAAATACCCTAAATCATCTCTCTCAAGTTCAAAGTTCCACAAATCTCTATGGCAGGGAGAAATGCTGCCAGTCTCTTTGCAAAAGCATAACAAGAGTCACCTTTGTTCCAGTTCCCAACAAGTTCCTCATCTCCATCTGAGACCACCTCAGCCTGGACCTTATTGTTCATATCACTATCAGCATTTTTGTCATTCAACATGTCTCTAGGAGGTTCCAAACTTTCCCACATTTTCCTCTCTTCTTCTGAGCCCTCCAAACTGTTCCAACGTCTGCCTGTTACCCAGTTCCAAAGGCAATCCCACATTTTCGGGTATCTTTTCAGCAAAGCCCCACTCTACTGGTACCAATTTACTGTATTAGTCCATATTCATGCTGCTGATAAAGACATACCCAAGACTGGGAAGAAAAAGAGATTTCATTGGACTTACCCTTCCACATGGCTGGAGAGGCCTCAGAATCATGGCAGGTGGTGAAAGGCACTTCTTACATAGCAGCGGCAAGAGAGAATGAGGAGGAGGCAAAAGTGGAAACTCCTGATAAACCCATCAGATCTCATGAGACTTATTCACTATCATGAGAATAGCACAGGGAAGATTGGCCCCCATGATTCAATTACCTCCCCCTGGGTCCCTCCCACAACATGTGGGATTTCTGGGAGATACAATTCAAGTTGAGATTTGGGTGGGGACACAGCTAAACCATATCAGCCCTCTATTTTCTTTAACTGATCTGTCTTCTCTTCTTGTACTAGTGTTACTTTGTTTCACTTAGGGAAGTTTTATAGTCAATTTTAATATCTGATAAGTTAAAAGCTTTAGGCTAGGCATGATGGCTCAAGCCTGTAATCCCAGCACTTTGGGAGGCCAAGGCAGGATGATCATTTGAGGTCAGGAATTTAAGACAAGCGTGGTCAACACAGCAAGATCCTGTCTCTACAAAAAAAAAAAAAAATTAGCCAAGTTTGGTGGTGTGTGCTTGTATTCCTAGCACTGGGGAAGCTGAGGCAGGGGTTTGAGGTTACAGTAAGTTTTAGCCCAGGAGTTTGAAGTTACAGTGATCTATGAGTGCACCACTGCACCCTAGGCTGGGAAACAGAAAAAGATCCTGTCTCAAAACAAACAAACCAAACAAAAAACACCTCAGAAAATTTTAAAAAACTTTTCCAGAATTTTCCTGACTATATTCATGGATATTTTTTCTTCTATAAGAAATTTAGAATTATTCTATCAAGTTTCCTAATACAGTTATCAAAATGTTTGCTCGTTGGACACAGTTGTTTCCATACTCACATTTATATTATTTCACAAAAGTACCCTATGAAAATATGACTGTTGTCTCCATCAGAGAGCAGAGACAGGAAACACATGACACCCTTAAAGGGTTTCATTGAAAAAAGGCTAATAAAGGGATGACTTACAGGGGTATGGGCAGGTATGGCAGAACCAACAAGGGTTGGGGAAGCCCTAAGCACCCCTGAGCCTGAAGGGGGCAAAGGGAGAGTCCCTACTCCTGGAGGCCACAGAGGGACCATCTGGCAGGAACCTCAGCAGGGCAGATAGGGACTAGGAGGAGGACTGAGGAAATTAGTACCCTGAGTGCTTTTACATCCTGCCCTGTGGTCTCCTACTAGTGCCCCCAATACACAATCCCAACAAGAATCCAGAGAACGGGGAGATTAGTGAAGCCCTTTCTAGAGAGCAACCTACTGCCACATAGAGAAGGCCAGAAAACAGACCTGAGGTGCAAACAGAGAATAACTGGCATGGCTCCATTTACAGCCTGGTAGCTTTTCCACTTGCAACCCTGAGTGCTCTTAAAATTTGAAATGTATTCACAGAGAAATTCTATTGAAAGTAATCCTAGAGAAATAATAGACTCATTATCCTGAAGCCAGATGACTTTGTGAAAATGCATAGTTACCTGCATGGGTAACACTTGTTTTTCACTTGAGGTTTGATGTGTTCTAGGCTGCAAACTTTCCTTGTCAGGTTGTAAAGTTGAATTTTTTTCTGGTGACAGAGAACAGCAGCCGTCAAATTGCCTGTTCCCTTCATCCCTTCCCTCCACAGACACAGAGCCTTATATCTCACCTATTACAGGATGATCTCTCATTAGCTTCAGCTTTGAAATATAATTTTCTACTTCCTGATTGTAAAATCCCCAAAGACGCCTCAGAAGTTTTTATAGACATTTTTCACCCAAGAAATGCAAGAACAATAAATCTTTTCACAAACAGAATCCACAGAAACTAATAAACAGTCGTTTAAATTCCAGAGCACCTGACAGGAATGCAGAACTCAGCAGGTGAGAACAAACTGGGCTTTTTCCAGGAAAGGTTGTCTGGGATCATTGCTCTCCTCCTTCTGCTAATTTCTCCAGCAGCCTAACCACAGGCAGCTGTGGTCAAATGCCTTTGACCCAAAGAGTGGCAAGTAAAAACCCAGTGAAATCAGCCTTTTTCCATCCTCTGCTGGGTGGGCATTTTCCCTCTAGGTTATACCTAGGGTCAAGGAGGATTCAGAGCCTTCATTCTAAAGAACAGACACATCCCATCCTTCCCAGGAGGCAAGGGCAGCATGAGAATATAGGGCGAACCGACAGGATGCTGTTGAAGGACAGATGTAGTATGTAGCTGAAGGACAGATGTGGGCTGCAGTGAACTCTCAGTCCTCACATTATCACCAGTCATCTCCCCTGTTATATGGCAACAGGGTGGTATTAACCACAAACCATTGTTTTCTGTAGAAATAATGACCTTCAGACCTGATAATGTGCTTTGGCATCGGGGCTTCAAAGCAAACGCAGAGAATGCCCCTGCGCCTGCCCCAGCTGCTCTGATAAATCACCCATCAATGGAGTCTCGGGGAGAGACTCTAGCAAATGAACAGATTATTGAATTTGTTCAGGTCATTTGAAGTATGCGAGCCTGCCTTGGATAAAGAAAGCAAATAGGTCTGTCTCTTCTGTGTCACGTTCTTCATGATGCAGGCTCTTGAATACAAGGGGGCAGCACCAACCCTAAGGCTAGACTCACCCTGGCTAATTTTATTACATAATTTCTGGTTAGTGCAGCAGGCTGTGGATGTATTTTGATAATTTCAGAAACAGATATGTACTTTGTTTGCTTTCTGGAGATGGATTTGCTTGGGGCTGATTTCACTTTTCCTTCTTAAAACCCTCCTCGTCTGCCTCCTCTGGCTCTCTGCAGTCCTGGGTCATTTAGTACCTTTTCCTTTCTTCACTCAGTGTCTAACTGAAGATCATCACCAGGGTCTGTCCTTGGGCACCACACCTTCCCTCTCTCCTGTCTCTCAGCCCTTCACCCGAATCTGCATCTACACCACCTGTCCCTTGCTTAAGCCCCACATTTTCTCTAGTTTGTTGGTTACCCTACTGCATGTCCTCCTAACACCTTAAACTGGACACATCAAGCTCAGTTGGCCATTTCCCCTCAATACCAAAGCAATCTTTCTCCTAACATCCTTCTTTCTTTCCTATTAGCCCTATGCCATTATCTAATACCCAGGATAAAACCTCGGAACTAATTTTGCAATATTCCTCATCTGCCCACTTTCAGTCTTTTCAGGTGAGATTCATCGACTCTTATCTTGAGTATCAGAAGAGGCTCCTAATTGCTCCTCTCTGTGCCTGTAATCGCTTCTGATTCCATTCATCAGAGGTGTTCCTAGATGAATAATACTGGTATGGTTTGGCTGTGTCCCCACCTAAATCTCGTCTTGAGTTGTAATCCCCGTACTCCCCACGTGTTGAGGGAGGAACCTGGCAGGAGGTGATTGGATCATGGGGGTGATTTTCCCCATGCTGTTCTCATAATAGTAGTCCTCACGAGATATGATGGTTTTATAAGGGTCTAGTCATTTCCCTGCTTGCTCTTCTCTCTCCTGCCACCATGTGAGGAGGTCCAAACTTGTTCCCCTTCGCCTTCTGCCATAATTATACATTTCCTGAGGCCTCCCCAGCCATGCGTAACTGTGAGTCAATTAAACCTCTTTCCTTTATAAATTATCCAGTCTTGGGTAGTTCTTTATAGCAGTGTGAAAAAGAACTAATACAAATGCTAAAACAAATTTTACTCACACACTTTCTTTTACGTCTTTACTCACATACCTTTCAATCTGCTTTGACTTCCTATGAACTATCTATTGAATTATTTACTCCACAGTTTAGGATTAAGGGTACTACACCAGCCTCCACTTGTAGCCCTCTCAGTATTCCCTAGACAAGGTGTCAGCAAACTACAACCCAAGAGCCAAATCCAGCCCAGCACATGTACTTACAAATGAGATTTTATTAGAACCCAGCTACACCCTCTTATTTGCATATTATCTACAGCTGCTCTCACAATACAGTTGCAGAGTTGAGTTGCTGCAACAGAGACCATATGGCCTAAATATGTGCTAACTGGGCCTTTATGGAAAAAGTTTGCCAACCTTTGCCCTAGACACACACTTATATTAAAACCAAACCCTTATTTTTTGCCACTTTCCAAACAGTATGCCCTGAACTTCCCATTTATGCATTCTTCACATTCCTAAAACATTTCCCCAGCCCCATGTCTGTGATTTCTTTAAAATTCTTCTCAAATGCTACCGCCTTCAGGAAAACTTTTATCTAATAGCTCTCATTCATTCATCACTGAACCACTCATTTGGCAACTGTCTTTATTGTACATCTATTTTCCAGGTACTCTGATACAGCATGTGGATGTTGTGTGAAATAGCGGCCCTACTGAAGCTTACCTTCCAATGGTAAAGATTCACATCAAATGAGTAATCACAAACCTGAGTGTGTGATTGCAAACTGTGATCAGTTGTATGAAGAAAAAGTCCAGGTGCTATTGGATAATATGACAGAGGATCTAATTTAAATAAGCAATCAAGAGAATCCTCCTTAAGGCTAAAAGCAAAGGACTGGGGTGAGAGTATTCCAGGCTCAGGGAGTGGCTGGGAGAAGGCCCTGGGGCAGAACAGAGCATGGCAAGTCTGAGAACCTAAACCCAGGGGTCGCTGTGGCTGGTGCCTATGTGGAGAGCAAGGAGGAGTACGGACCAGGCAAGGCTGAAAGGTGAGTAGGGGTTTTGAGGGCCATACCAGGAGTGGGATTTTTTCTTTTCTTTTCTTTTTCCACATAGAGCTTTTGTATAGTTTCGAGCCTGGAAAAGCCTGCTTTGAGGCTGTTCAGTTTATTTTTAACTCATTTTGGCTTCTGTGTGGAGACAGAATAGAAGGGATGACAAAGAATATCCTCTCATCTAACTCTCACTGCACTTTGTTAATCCTTTTTAATGACCTCCACCACCTTCTACCTTGTATTATAGTTATTTGCATAATATTGTGCATTGTAGTTATATGTGAACATGTCCTGTTGCCCTGCTATGTGGAGGTCCTGAACTCTCTTCTCCATCTGAAAATCTTCTGCACCATCCACCACAGTATATTGCACAAAGTAAACACATAATAAAGAATTGATGAATTACGTTGAATTAGTTGTCCAGATTGCCCTGCTTTCACAAACCTCCACATTTCTCTGACCCTTAATGTTTTAGCTTCAGCTCTATTCATTAGTCTTATTGCAAAAGAACTGAATTTATCTCTCAGTATTTCCATAGGCAGAAGTAGCACTGATGGGGGAAAATTACACAGATGCTGATTTGGGCACAACATGAAGATTATCTTTTATGAAATTAGAGTTTAGCAAAAAATGGAATCAACTGTCATGTGAGAGAAGAAATTGCCAGTCATTACAAATTTGAGCCGTGATCATACACTGTTGGTCAGAGAGGCTATGGCTAATGTAATATGTAGAATGATGGCTCCCAAAAAGATATGACCATGTTCTAACACCAGGAACTTGTGAATGTGGCCTTATCTGGGAAAACTATTTTTGCAGATATAATTAGGTTAACAATCTCAAGATGATATTACCCTAGAGTATCCAAGTGAAGTGAGGGGTATGGCTGGGGCTCTGCATAGTGGGCATGCTGGCAGGTCTGGGAAAAAAACTCAACCCGGAAATGGAGAAGACATCAAAGAAGTTGGTTCCAGATACTCTGTGTAATACCAACACTATGTAAGATCATCTATGCTGTCCAGGTGAGGACAGACAGAATAAGCCCCTTATCTCTCCATTGTGTCTCTTAACCTGGGAATGGAATCTTTTCTTTAGGATGAGCTTTTGTGCAGCTAGTTGTATTAGTTCATCCTCATACTACTATAAAGAAATTCCTGAGACTGGGTAATTAATAAAGAGGTTTAATTGGCTCATGGTTCTGCAGGCTGTACAGGAAGCATAGCAGCTTCTGCTTGGCTTCTGTGGAGACCTCAGGAAACTTACAATCATGGAAGAATGTGAAAAGGAAGCAGGCATATCTTATATGGCCAGAGCAGGAGGAAGAGAGCAGGGGTGGGTTGTGGGGGGAAGGTGCCATACACTTTTAAACAACCAGATCTCACGAGAACCGTTATCATGATAGCCTCACCAAAGGGAGAAACCTGCCCCATGATTCAATTACCTTCCACCACACCCCACCTCCAACACTGGGTATTACAAATGAACATGAGATTTCTATGGGGACAAAGATCCAAACCATATCGTTAGTCAATTGAATAGTTATGTAAATAAACCATTGAACAACTGAGCATTTGAAACATGCTAATAACACTAATACAACATATAGGTATAAGAAGGAAAGGAATAGAAAGTATTAGCTATCCAAATAACTTCACAGTCTGGTTTTTGTTTGTTTTTTTTTTGAGACAGAGTGTCACTCTGTTGCCCAGGCTGGAGTGCAATGGCGTGATCTCAGCTCACTGCAACCTCTGCCTCCCAGGTTCAAGTGATTCTCCTGCCTCAGCCTCCCGAGTAGCTGGGATTACAGGTGTATGCCACCACATCTGGCTAATTTTTATATTTTTAGTAGACAGGGGGTTTCACCATGTTGACCAGGCTGGTCTCAAACTCCTGACCTCAGGTGATCCTCCCGCTTCAGCCTCCCAAAGTCCTGGGATTACAGGCATAAGCCACCGCACCTGGCCTACTGTCTGTTTTAAAATCAGTTCCCAGGAAGAAAAATTAGAAACTTTGTCACTAATATTTTTATTGAAAGGTGTTGAGGGTAAAAGCCCTGAAACTAAGGAATATGGACGTGCTTATCAGGTTACATAGCGGGATACCAAAGACAGATGCAAATAGCAAGCAACCCTGAGCTCATCACTGTGCTGGAAGGGTAGTTTCTGGTTGGCAAAGTCCATTTGTCACAGGATGCAGGATAGATCATACATCCCAGAATATTAGAGGGATCTTAGGGTAGCGGTTAAAAGCGGATGGTCAAGTCCCATCAGACGTGGGGCTGAATCCCAGCTGCACCAACACCAACTTACTCATGCTATGACCTTAAGCAAATGACTTTTCCTCCTGTGTTGTGAAAAGGGACAGCATGATTCCAATGAGGCCCAAGGAGTGACACATTGAGACCTAGACATGGGTCTCATGCCTACGCCTAGCAGGTGCTCAATACATCCCTGTGTTTAATTATATTGTTTGCAAGGTGCTCAAGCCTTTGGTTTCTGTGTCACTCAGGGAAACATAACTGAAGAAAACAGCAGAGAGAAGGAGAATTTAGACCACCTGCTCTCCATGGCCCAGAGCAAGGGAACTAAACACTAAGTTCAGTTACTGAGTGTTCCTATCAAGATACTCAAACCTGGCATGCACCAGCTGGTTTAAAGCACATAAAGCAGAAGCTTAAGCACCAAAGTAAAATCTCAGTCTGCAGACAAAGAGAAATAATCTCTGTGCCCAGAAATAGAACTTCCTGAAAGTCCTGGAATTCCCTGGTCACAGGGGAACTGTGTGCTTTTGGTAAGCATGCTCCTGTGAGGAGCTTCTGGTTTGCCAAATAGACAGTCCTGCTCCAGCCCCCCAAACTGTCCCCCTTGGCTTTCCCCAGATCATCCACATTTCCCTCTAACTTCACAAAAATGCCCCCACTCTGAGCCTTGTGCTGCTACCTCCTACCGACTGTTCATAAGTATTTTAAGCAGATGTAGTGGAATTAACAGAAAATCTATTTATAGGATATTTTTCTTGAGGAACTTGAAGATAAAATTTGAGAGATGCCAAAGTCCTCCTGGAGCTATTTCTGTACCTGCAGAAAGGTAGATTAGAAAGATGACTGTCGTCTGATGAATGGTGTGAATAGTCTTCGGGCTACGATCCTGGAGTTTCTGTGCAAGCTGTGCTGCCCGCCCACTGGCAGGCCAAGGCAAATTGCTGACACTCACTGTGCCTCAGTTTTCCCGTATGCAAAGTGGAGATAAAAATATACCTCCCCACCGGGGATGTTCTGAGGATTAACGAAACAATATCAGTGAAGCACTTTGTGGTGTTATATACCCCAAAAGGTATTACCATTATAAAAATGCACAATATAAGACTCCATTTTTACTTTGTGACTTTGATGGCATGAACAAACTTCACCCTCCAGCTTTTTAATATGATTATAAGCCCTTTACAAGAATACAGCTTTCACTTTGCACAGCAGGATACATAATATTTCTTATAAATTTAATTTAGAAAACGGCAGGAAAATAAGGATTTGCCTTAAACCTACTAAAGCAAGGCAATTCCATTAATATTGCCACTCCATTTTTAACTTGACACATTGTGCTTTAAGATGACAGTCTTCTACGATCCCTGCTATTCTTTGGAACAATAAAGGTAAACTTGAGATACAGGACACATTTTGTCTCTGAATCTTTTTTTTCTAAAGCTGCCTAGTCTGATCCTTAACAACCCCCTTAATGTGTATTTCTGCTTTTGAAGCAGTAGTCTGAAAAGTTCTGAGGTAAGTTTCACGTTGACTTCCAATAATGGATGTCCTTCATTGTGCACTCTGCCCATCTAGAACTTCTGAATGCCTGCGGTCACAGGGGATCTGGCTTAAACTCTCTATGCCACAGGAAGAAGTGGAACTTAGGAAGCTTTTAGGTTGTGGTTAAAGATGAGAAGTTGCTCTCTTCAGGGACTGAGAATATGATTTGTGGCTTTGGACAAATCGGCTGGTGGAACGAATCCTTGCATCTCCTCTCAGAAGGGTCCTGTATTAGTTTCCAATGGCTGCTATAACACATTCTCGCAAACTTTGTGGCTTAAAACAACACAGATTTGTTATCTGACAGTTCCGTAGGTTACAAATCCAACATGGGTTTCACTGGACTGAAGTCAAGGTATCGACGGGGCTGCGTTCCCTCTATAGTCTCCAGGGGTCACTCCCTTTCCTTGGTTTTTCAGCTTCTCGAGGCCACCTGCATCCCTTTCTGGGAGGTAACTCTCTTCCTCCATCTTCAGAGTCAGCAAGAGTGGGTCAAGACTTTCTTATGTCATCACACCGGCCTTTTGTACTGTTTCCCTCCTCTACTTTTAAAGATCTTCGTGATTATATTTGGCCAACCGGGATGATCCAGGATAACCTCACCCATCTCCGGGTGAGCTGATCAGCAACTTTATCTGCAACCTTTATTCTCCTTTACCACATAACTTAACATATTCATAGGATTAGGGCACAGACATCTATGGAGGGAGCATTATTCTGCCTACCACAGGACCCAAATATATTTCCCAACTCTTGCTAAAGTGGACAGCAGGATCCCCTGAGCTACAGGGATGGTGCAATAGGAAGCTGTTACCAGTGTCAGAAAGTGTGCAGGACCACCAACCTTCCCCACCCCTCAAGTTTCTCACTCCACAGGCAGTGAATGCCCTCTTCCTTATCAGACCCCACAATCCAAATTCCAGTCTGCACTCTATTCACGGATAAGAAGCCCATCAAACTGAGGCCAGTGCTGATCCAAGTATCTCATGTAGACAACAGTTACCTTCCTACAGTGATCTGGATGCATCTTGATTATCCTGAATGCCCAAAGTGGAGACTACGAGTCTCACTCTAGACCCCCAACCTCCATCTGTTGAAGTAGCCACTGATTTGCATTTTTGTGTTCTTGACTGAAGCCAAGTCTGGCCAAAACTAAATTTGGCAGTGAGTGGTATTTGTATTTATTATAATGCATCTGCATGGTGGGTCATATAGTTTAATGACCTTGAACAAACCCAGATGGTTTGTTTGACTCTAGGGTCATGTTGCATCCTCACTTAGAGTCTCACTACTTGCAGGTACCCAAAGCCCTCAAATGTCTCAAGACACCCAGAATCCCATCTTCAGTACCCTTTTCCTTTCCTTTCCCCTTATCCCTGTATGAACTCTGTCTTAGGACACCACTGCCTTGTGAGAGGCAATTGGTTAATTTTTCTAGGAATTCTTTATTCTTGGAAAGAAGTCCTCAGGAGTAATGGAAAGGGGCTAGGAGTGAGTTCCCACACCCTGACACTCTGACAAGGGGACGCCTTTTGTTGACAGGGCCCTCAGATCATTCTATAGGGCAGCTGTCTGTGTTTCAGCCACAGCTCATCTCATAGGGAAGCAAACGAAGCCCAAAGCATCCCCTCTGCGAAATTCTGTAGTATGCAAGGAGGGAAGTGTGCTGGATTTACTGGCAACCAAAGATTAATTAGGTCTGTGTGGGTAAGTGGTTGATGGGACAAGGTCAGCCTTTGCTCTGTGTCAGCTTGAAAGGGGATGTTGGGAGTGGAGTCAGGAGGCTGTGAAGGGCGGCCTCAGGGTCAGAATGACAGCAGCTCGGGGAAGGCTCTGGGCTGTGAAGTAAAACAACCACAAGTGTAAATGACCCGAGGCTCTGATGATGTGCAGCAGTGATGTGCATGCTTTTAGACTGACATTCAAATGACTGAAATATCACCCGCCTCACCAGCCTGATCTATACTAAGGGAGAGTGAACTCAGATCATCAACCGAGGGTTTAACGTTTACTAAACAGAGTGTTAAAAGGTTTCTCAGTCCCTGAGGTTTGAAGCCTTTGTGACAATGTCACAGCAAGGTGCAGTTAATGTAACGCATGGGTGGCCTGTTTAAAATATTTACCTCTAAATGAGCCTATTAAATTTCTAAAAATATTAAGTCTGTAACAGATACAACCCTTTTCCCCAAAGACAGATTCAAAGAAAAACACATCAAATGCATAAGCGGACATCACTCCTGATCCATTTGAAGCTGGGAACTGAAAAACAACCCTAGTTATTTCTTATTCCATCTGGATATCTGTGCTTAAGGAAAGATTGGAAGGAGGAAAGTAAAAGAAAAACAGGAAATCTTCAAGTACCAAAAATGTTCTGTAGAAGAGTGATCAGATTTAAGGCATGTGCTTCTGTGTGGCACAATTGGGAATGGCTGATGTTAAGAGACAAAATCCCACTGTCAGGATAACCCATTGCTCACTCTCTGAGGGGTGGGTCTTCTTGGTGCAGCCACTGATCCAGGGCAAAGCACATCTCAGAGTTTGGTTCTTCTTAGAAATGAATATAAGTTTAGGGGCCTGACTCAAGCTAACCTAACTCAACAGAAACTACATGTAAACACAGTGCTATCTTCTTACTATTCATTGAGAAATATACTTTTATTGGTGGCCAAGATACTCATAAAGCAGCGCTCTAGGAAGCCAAGTTAATAATCAGAGTTTCCTGATTTGTAGAGACATATATCGAAAGAAGGTAGAGGCTATGAGGTCTAGTTTGTCCAGGTCATGGAGTGACCTGTTAGAATTTTCTAAGCCCATCACAGGGCATACCTAGTAGTATCACAATAAAACTAATATTTATTTAGCACTCAAACATAGCAAGCAGAGAACTAAGCAGTTTACAGTCTGGCAATTATTACTCCTATTTTACAGAAGAGGACATTGTGGCTTAGAATTGATTGCTTGTTCTAGATCACATAAGCTACAGAGTGATAGATTTGAGGTTAAACCCAGGTCTGTCTGACTCCAAACCCAGACTCTTACCGGCCATTATATACTTCCTCTGTAGTCACTGGGGTGCTCAGATTCTCAGATTTACCGCCTCTTCCCTGACAGTGTTGGAAAAACTCTGCCAAATCCCTGCTTTCTGACTCCCCTTTGTTTAAGCTGCCACATTGACCATTCCTTTATGTTAACATAATTTTTCTTCTGTCTTCTCTCTTCTAATTCATTCTTTACATCTCAGCCACAGTGATCTTTCTAAAACACAAATCTGTTCCTGTCACTCCCCTGCTTAAAACCTTTAATTGGTTTCCACAGAACAAAGCACAAACCGTTTTTCTTGGATTTGGAAGTTCCTGATGATCCGCCTGCTGCCGGCCTCTCCATTCTCACCTTTCCACTCCCTTCCTCACCCCACTTTATATTCCTGCTGCATTTAACTTTTTCCGTCCTTGGAGTCTCAATCTCAAAGCCAGTTAATTTCTCTCTCTGTCTCTCACTCTGCCAACATTTCTCCATATCTTTTCATTCCCCAGTCTCTCCTTTTCACCTCACCTCCTCTCCCTCCAGTACTCATTACCCCCTCCTCTTCTACTATCATCATTCATCCATTCATTCCACATATATTTATTAAGCATCAAATGCATGTCAGGCAAAATTCTAGGCCCCAGGGATACAGTAGCAGACAAGATAGACACAGAGTTTCTGTTCTAGTGGTAGTAGACAAACAAGAATCAAATAAGCCAAAAAAGGAGGGTAAATCACAGACTTTGATAAGTGGTATGCGGAAAATTACAGTGGTAGTGACGTGAAATTGAGTGGAAGGTCAAAGAAGGTGTCTGAGGAGGTGACCCTTCTTTGTGATCCGAATGATGAGGAAACCAGCTCTGTGAAGATCAGAAGGACCAGCCTGTACAAAGGCCCAAAGTTGGGAAGAAAGTAAGTGAATGGGAGGCACAGAAAGGCCAGCGTGTCTGGATGAAGGCAACAATAGCAGGAGTTGAGCTGGGAGAGAAAAATAGGGGCTACATCACATAGGTCAGGAAGAGGAGCTTGGATTTGATCCCATATGCACGGGAAGCCGCTTGATGCTGGTAAGTGGCACACTCTGGTTTATCTTTTAAGAGAATTTCACTCCGGATGCTGAGTCAGGAAGGGATGTGTGTGTGTTGGGCTTGGACGAGAAGGACGGAAGCAGGGGGACCAGTCAGGACTTTATCCCAGCGGGCCATGTGAGAGACGATAGTGCTAGGCCAGAGAAGTGGTTGTAGAGACTGTGAAAAAAGGGAAGATTCACGGTGTGTTTTGGAGTGGGCAAAATTTCTTACTGGATTGTGTGTTTAGGGCTGAGAGGACCAGGAGTGAGGGTAAGCGGTTAAGGTTGAGGGAAGAAGAAGAATGAAAGATGACTCCTACAATTAGGTTTAGGCAATTGAATCGATGTGGTGACATTTTCACAGCTGGGAAAGACAGAGAGAAACTGGTAAATCAGTGCTATAAGTTCTGTGAGGGCAGGGAAAGGTACACATACAATATATGTGATATATGAGGGAGTGAATTCAGTTCATTATTTCCACATGTCTATTCATTGTATCTGGATTAGATAATAGCTCCAATTTAACACATGCATAATTGTTTATCAGTTATGTGTCTTAACATTTTCTCAGCCAACCTGTACAGATTATTTTTTGAGGTCAGTCATTTCTATGTCTAATGAATCTCATCTCTTGGCTTTTGATTCTAATTTTACTTTCAGCAGCTGCAGAGGTGTCAAAGGAGGGCAGAGACTGTGCTTTGCTTGTTTTATTATCAGGACCTAGTGCAGTGTCTAGCAGGTGGCAGATGTTCAGTAATAATTTATTAAATGAATAAATTGACCAATGTCTAAAAAATACTTGGAGGCAGACTTCAGCTTTATCAAACATTTTATAACAATAGGGACATCAGGGAATGCCAGTCTGTCCTCTCCCAAATCTGAGTTTTTCACAATGGAGATAGCTGGGTGAGGTGACATATGTACTATAAAGGGATATAATTCAAGGAATATGTTATTTACGACACAACAAAATGAAGTTTCAGACATTCTTGTGACTATCATCATCCGTTTTCTTATGAGAAAATCATTTGGAAACTTCTCATACTGAGGAGGCCCCTGGGAACGAAATGATATTCTGAATGTCTAGTTTAGATCTCCAAACCAATTTCAAGTCGCTCAGTTCCTTTGCTATAATGCAAAGGATCATATTATTCCCTGCCTTCTGCCCACCAACTTCATGGAGAACTTATTTGAGGACTAAGAAATGGGTGTAAAACACTTTTCTCAAGCCAGTGCTGTGTGTTACATTATACCGCCAATTTCAGCAACATCTGCATTTATTCAATAACGCTTGCCTTATAATAATACTGTGTATTTAATTGTTCTGTAATACTAGGGCTAGGTCATTTTGGGTGCAACTTCTAAGGTTGAGTAAAAACAGAAAGCAGCCTGATACTGTTTGCAAGGTTTTGGGCTCCAGAATGGATTTTGTCTCTATTCCAATAATCAGGCTTAAAGAAGGCTTTGTTATTCAACCATTTATTGAGGTTTGTTGTGGTTATAAAGTATGTGACAAAATAAACACTTTGGGATTCAGAATAAGCACTCTTCCAGGAGTGACAGAAATTTAAGTTTCTTCTGTGATTAATTATACATTTTAAATGGAAAGCAATAATGAGTAAAGATTCCAGTCTTAACAAAATTTTCCTTGGGTGCCGTGGCACCAGAATGATCTTATAGTCAGAAGATCACCTAGGTAAAGCAATCAGATTATGTCTTGTACTTTAGGTTTATTCTTCTGACCTAGAGAATGGATACTAAGACAGACTAACTAGGTAATTGAGGAATTTTTTTTTTTTTTTTGCAGAGAAGGGGAAAAAAAGGCAAGAATTAGCTTGTTTTCTCACACAGGAAAATAAAACAAACTCCTTCAATGTAGCTAAGTCTTGATTATTTTGTCTTCCAACAAACCCCAAACATAGATAAAGTGGTTCAAGTGCCAATTTGAATTTGGCAGGCAAGTTGGGCTGCAAATGATCTAATTTATCTCAATTCAAATCAGCTTAGCAAATTTGGAAGCTGCTCCATGAAAATAGGTAACATGGGAGTCACAAACACATGAATTTTAAGGTCTTTAAGCAAAAGTGACTTTCTAGGACAAACCACTTCCTGTTCTCCTTCCAGCAAACAGTGCATGCAGAAACCAGGGAGACAGGACAGGCTACTGGGTACACAGCTTTCGGATTTAAATGCTTGGCTCAAAAATAAGAATTATAAACCACCTGCCTTCATTTCAGAAGGAAAGAAACTTTCAAAAGGCAACAATCTAGCTGAAACCCTAGGAAGAAGTGGGAGTACAAAGAGAGACCTCAGTAGGAGAACACAGTAATTATTCAATAATTATTGGCAGTGAATAAAGTGCATGAAATGCAGGTGTAAATTATAATGCAAGAATGCCATCATCGTCTAATGGCAGTGCCTCCTCAATCCAGAAAAGAGCACCCCCATGGATTCCTCTTTCAAACCCTTTACTTTGCTAGGGGAGCTTTAGAAACAGCAGCAGACTGTGAGTTTAAGAAAGTCACAGAAATTTTATAAGAGGATTGCGGCTTGTGTCACCTAAGCATTTTGGAATTTTATCTTCCCTTTTCTGAGTTTGGCAATTTTACTATAAAATACAAAGGACACGTTGCTGATTTGGTTTCTTAACTTACAAAAATACAGCAGCACAAAAAGAAAACCGAGCCAAAAATTAGGCCTTTGGGCATGGGCAAATCTAGTCCATTATTTTTAAGGCAATTAGGGCCACTGAAAACAATGACTACTGGTATACAACGACCTATGCTGATATATTGCTTTGTGGTTTTCGCAGTGCTTTTATGTCCATTTTCTCATTTGACTCTCACAGCATCCTTTTTTAGGTAGGAATTATTAAGTGAAACAAGGAGTATATAAGGTCTCTGGCCTACACTTGGCTCATGGTTGGTGTTTTACAAGTGAGACTACTGGGATGCAGAGAAGTTAAGTGAGGTGCCCAAGGTCATGCTTTCTGTTTGGGCGAAAACCACCTCTCAAATGCAAGTCTTCTGATTCCAAGAGCAAATCATTTTTCCACTACCTAATTGACTTTCTGACTTCCCAAGGCACATTTAGAGACAACCTGAAAACATCCACTTACACAACAGCTTCCAGTCCTTCCCTGGATGGAAGCTGTTAATTGGTGGTAATGTCAAATAATTTACATATCATCTCTTTATTTCACCTTTTTGTTCTTTTACAGAGGTGAAGATGGGCAGAAAAATGAACCATCAAAAAAGAAGAAGGAGGATCAATGCATGACTCATGAATCAGTCTTGCTTTACTGAAAAGTTTCAGAAAACTCAAGATTTTCTTCATGCACTCAATTTGTGGTAATACAACCTCAAGCAAATCGTATATTTATCTGATATGTGCATGCTGGAAACTTTCCGTCTCATACTTTCCAGAATCTCAGGACTCACCCAGCACAAGAGGGGGCTGGAATTTGGAAAACATAAGATTGATTTTAAACCTAAAGACTCAGTGAAGATTTCTGTATCTGAATCTCTCTGCCTACCTATTAAATGTTGTTCCCAGGGAGATCAGCTCCAACTGGAACCAGAGTGAAGCTTCTATTCCCCTATCCATGGACAACACCTTCACCCACCTAGGCATCTAGACATCTAGACACAGACCTATGTCCCACCTAGAGATCTAGGCACTGAGACATCTAGATACCTAGATATGTCTAGACATCTTCCCAGCAAAAAATCCCAATCCAACTCGCTCCTGGTCATTCCTACTTGGATGTCTCACAGACACTTCAAAATCAATGTTGTAAACGAAATTAATCCTCTATCTCCTGACCCTCAATGGCCCTCCCTCATCATTTGTGTCTTGCAGAATGACCCCACCATTCACCAGTTTTTCCAGCTGAAACCCAGGAGGCCACAACAGGATTTGAGCGGCCTATAGAGATCCAAATGCTACTGACAGCAGCACTGAGGGCCCACTCAACTGCAGGATGAGGGGCCCTGGCATGACAGGTACTCCTGATGAGTACTTTAGCCATCCTGCTCCAAACTGCTTCACTCGCTTTATCCCTGCAATTGCCTAAGATAACAGTCCCCAGAACTGATTAGCCAGTTTCATCTAAGGTGGGGTCCGCAAACTGGTTAATTTTCCAAATAAAGTTTTATTGGGACTCAGCCACACCCATTCATTTATGTATTATCTATGGCTGCTTTTGCTCTACGGTGGCAGAACTGAGTGTTCATAACAGGGACCGTATGATCACAAAGCTAAAGTGTTTATAATCAGGCTCTTTACAGAAAATGTTTGTAGGCTGTGCTCTAACAGGACATCAGGATTAATCCCCTGATGCCCTACATTACTTCCTACCTCAGTTTCCACCACAAAAAAAACCCCACAACCCACCCAAGGAGCTATCCCTATAATGGCTCCATGCAGCCCTCTTCTGACCCAAGCCCCTACTCCTCCCTGAGCACCTAGACCTTGCAGCTGGGTTCTCTGGAACTCACAGAGTGTCATCAGCAAAATCTCCTAAATCCTCAACCTCAATGTTCCTTTCGTTTTTCCCTTGCAGATATCTGACTTTCCCTTGGGACAGTGCTTCCCATCTTAACTCTATCAAATGATGCCTATTTTTCTCCCACCATCCCATGTACCACATGTTCATCATCACTTCTAGACTATTATTCTCCCTGCTCCTCTCCCCTACAAATGTCTCTAACTATAGTACTTGATACTCCTCCTTTTAATAATCACTTACTATCCTTCCAGTTTTCTACCTTTATTAGTTGAAGAACTTAGACTTGGCTTACTGGAAATTTCCCTATCACTACCCTGTTATCATTCTTTGTGTCTTTAATATCTATGTAGATAATTTGTCCACCTTGTCCTTGCCTTCAATGACTTTATCTTCCATTGCACCTTAGCTATCCAAACCCATGGTATGCTTTGTTACCAACACAAACATCTCCAAAAATCTCAGTTTAAGGCATCCCACTTTGATCACCACCTCCTATTTTTCTAGCTCACTTGCTCTAATACTTTCATACCAATGGTTTGGTTTGGTTTGGTTTGGTTTGGTTTTACTGCATTGGGATTTTCTATCCATTGGCTCTACCTCTTTTTACTTTCTATCACTGCCCATGTTCTCACTTCCATTCTTTACCCAACTTAGACTCTGTAGTCCATACTTATAATTGCTCCCTTGCATTGACCCATGAATCACTTCTCCCCTTCTCTCTCCATCATGTTCACATTTAAAATCCCGATCCTGATTAAATCTAACATTTCACACTCTCCATTACTGCTCCCAAGCAGCTGATCATGGCTGAGAAAAAACAGGCACACAACCCTGCTGGTTTTAAACTAATGACTACAATCCTCAAGGTGATTTCCACATTGCTCAGGAAATCTGCAACATTTCCCATGTCAACACATTCTCCCACTCTCTTAAATAAATATTTCACACTTATTCCTCTCTCTTGTAATCATCAACACCCCACAACCAAACACACACACAGCAATACCCTTATTTTATATTCCATCAGGGGAATAGGTAGAATACACTGGTCTCTCTATGTCCGTTCTCTCTTGTTCCACCTTCACCCTTGTTAACAAAGGCAGAGTGATTTCTGTTCCTACCAAGATCAACCCCTCCACTTGTACACTGGATCCCGTTGTGCTCTGGCTTAGCCAAGGACTATACTTCTACTTTTAACCCCTTTTATTCCTGTGTTATCCACTTTCCCCTCTTTGCTGTATGCTATATTCCCATCAGCAGACAGACTTGCTGAAATATCTCCAATGTAAAAAAAAAAATTAAAAAGCAGCAACAAAAACACCTCCTTTGACCACACATTGCCCTTCAGCCCCTTTTTTCTGTTCCTCTTGGGAATACAATTTTTTGAAAATATTCTCCACACTGCATCAGAAGTGAACCTTCAAAGCTGTAAATTAAATCATGCTACAACTTGGGTTGTAGATTCTCTGAAGTTTTCCCAACACACTGAGAATAAAATCCCAAGTCTCTACCATGGCTTATAGACCCCTTCCTTGACATCATTTTTTTTTTCTCTCTCTAGGGTCACTTTCCATCTGCTTACCCAGCTTTACTTTCCTCATTGCCATCAGCTGGATAATGCCTGCCCCACCCCACCCCTACCACCAAATGTCCATATTCTAATCTCCAGAACCCATCATGGCAAAAGAGACTTTGCAGATGTGTTTAAATTAAGGATATTGAGATATGAAGATTGTCCTAGATTATCTGAGCGGAACAGGAGTCTTTGCAAGAGGAAGGTAGGAAGATCAGAGTCCTGGAAGGAGCTATGCCCACAGAAGCACAGGTCAGAGTGGGGCCATGGCAGGAAGGGAGCCAGGATCCCATGAAGGCACGTGGCTTCTGGAAAATGGAAGAGGCAAGGAAATGGATTCTCAGACAGAACACTGTGCCATTGACACCTTGACTTAACCCATAAGATGCTCTTTTAGACTTCTGACCTCCAGAACTGTAAGAAAATATTCTTAAGGTATTTTAAGTCACTCAGCTTGTTGTCATCTGTGACAGCAGCAATAGGAAGTTAATGCACTGGTGTTAATTTATTTCTTTACCTGTTTAGTATCTGTTTTCACTAGTGCAATGTAAGCCCCATAAACTGAGGGGTTTTCTTTCTCTTTTTCACCGTTAGCGTTCCTAGTGGTCAGTACAGTGGATATTTGTTGAATTAACAAATGTTTGTAGAAAAATGAATGAGAACCACTTCCTCCCTGACTGAAATATATTTTTTATTCTTCTTTTTACTCTCTGCCACTAGTCTCTGGTACCAAAGACACAATACATAGCCCAAGGCGCTCCTTTGACCCCATATGTCTGCATTTCCATGTTAAGTCTAACAGTATTGAAAAGCGAGCCCTTGGAAACTGAACTCTCAGGCTAAATAATCTGCGTCAGTCCATCATTTTCAGAATACAAAACTAAGGCATTTGTTTTACCTTATGGAAAGTTGTTCATGTCTCCTCTATACTGCATGATAAATAAGGAGACAGATTAATAGGAAGGGTATAAACTGGAAATTAATTAAGCCTTAAATTTCCTTAAATCCATTCATTATCTTTATTTCTCACTAGAATATAAGCTCATGATGGCCCAGAATGTCTTATTTACGGCTTTATCCTCAAAGCCTAGAAGCACATTGGTACTTAATAATAGTAGGCCCTCCATCAGAGTTTATGAGTGAATGAGATTTCTTTGGTTCCTCCTTCCTCTCAATCCCAAATCCAGACAGTCACCAAATCCAATAGATTGTTTTTCTTAGCATGTTTAAATCTATTCTCTATTCTCCACCCCTTACCTTCACTGTGCTTGCCTTAGTTCAGTGTCCCCATGAGGATGCTGGGATGAAGGCAGTGTTCTCTACATTCCCAAACCTTCTACCCTCTGCTGTCAGGGGGATTTCCTCAGATCTGATTATTTTAGCCTCCCCTCCCCACAAGATGTCTTCTATGGCTTCCGTATTGCCCATAGGGTAGGATCCTCACCCTTGGGTATGGCCTCAGTGATCAGCCACATCCTGCCCCTGATCCTGCTGCTTGGCCATTCCTTCCTTCTATTGCCTTCCTCAATCTCAGTGAACCTGCAACATCCAAGGTCTAGCTGTTGTTTAGCATCTCTGTGCTGTTACATAGGCTTCCTCTTGTTTCTGTGTTCTAGTTATCTGTTACTGTATGGAAAATCACCCCAAAACATTGCAGCTTAGAACAACAGTCACAATGTTTTGTGACTCCTATCTTCATGGTGGTGGAGATTCAATGCATCTAGGTCGTTCTTGCTTGTATTCTCTCATGAGGTTGCTGTCGGCTGGTGGCTGGGACTGGAGGCATCTCAAAGGTTTCCTCATTCATATGTCTGGCAACTGTTGCTGGACATGGGCTGGGAGCTGGGGGCTCACAAGGGCATCTCCATGTAACCTGGACTTCCTCATAACATGGAGTCTAGATTCTCAGAGCAAGCATTCCAGGCAGACTAGGTAGAAGTGGCATGGCCTTTTCTAACCTAACCTTGGAAGACACATGGCATATTTCTGTCACATTCTACTATTAAAAGTGAGTCAGTAAGATCAGCCCATATTCAGGGGCAGGGGAAATCCTCTGACGCTTGATGTGAACAATGTCATGCACGTACACAGAGGGCAGGAATTGATGGTGACAGTCTTTGGAGACTAGCAACAGTGGTCAGGAGTGCATTCTTCTCCTCTATTCCTCTATCTTCATCTACTAGCAGACACGCCATTCACATTTCAAGATCAGGCTTGTCTCTGACTCCCAAACCTTGAGGCAGAATTCAGCCCTCCCTCCTTCATGGGCCTACTTGTTCTTCCCCTGGTTTGCTTCTTTCTTGGCATTGATGGGGTTCAGGACACAGTATCCCAAAATATGACACCTTGGCATTTGAGAAAACAGCAGAAGCAGGAAGGTCTCTCTGCCCTTCTCCCACCCTTCTCCCCTGAAGCAGGCAGTGAAATAGTTCTCTGACTTTCCTCTGACATGGTTTGAGACCCTTATTCGAGAAATGCTATCTGTAGACCCAAGGAAAGAAATATTCTTATCCTCAGAGAAAGAGAGAGAGAGAGAAAGATGCCAAGAAGAATCTGAACAAACAGGCTTTGCTAAGTTCCCCCCAGTTTACTACCATTAGCTCATACCAAATGTGTTCAATCATACTTTTCCATGACTGTCCACTCTTCATCAAACTTAGCATAAAAATACACAGATTTTCCCTTTTCTTTAGGTCTTCATTTCTTTCTTTCTTTTTTTTTTTTTTTTTTTTTTGAGACAGAGTCTTGCTCTGTCACCCAGGCTGGAGTGCAGTGGCACAATCTCAGCTCACTGCAAGCTCCGCCTCCTGGGCTCACACCATTCTCCTGCCTCAGCCTCCCGAGTAGCTGGGACTACAGATGCCCGCCACCACACCCGGCTCATTTTTTTGTATTTTTAGTAGAGACGGGGTTTCACTGGTTAGCCAGGATGGTCTTGATCTCCTGTCTTTAGGTCTTCATTTCTGAAGGCTCATGTGTCACGTAAAATTTGTATTAAATACATTTGTAGGCTTTTCTCTCGTTAACCTGTCTTTTGCTGTTGGTGTCTCAGCCATAAACCTAGAGAGAAATGAGGGGGAAAAAAATACTATTCTCTCCTATGCATCTACAATATATAATTTAAATTCCTTGTTTACACAACTGTCTCTCCTGCTAAACTGTAAGCACATCGGGATCTGAGTCTGTGTTTTCTCATCTGTGCCCATGAAAGGGTCGGGTACAAGTTAGGCCCGTAAAAGTATGTGTTGAAGGAAAAAAAAAATCAGTTTCTTTGTTTTTGAAGATTAAATTAGCCAGAAACATGCTTCACACAATTGGTATTTGAAAAAAGGAAGTCTAAATGGAAAGGATGACAGGTGAGTTTTAGGAAGCTGTCATCTGGGCCACACAAACCATGGTCTCTCTGTGTATTGGTAGGATTTCATAGGATCCTGGGTACATTTAAGGCAAAAGACAAAAAATTACCTCAGTGTAAGAAAGTATTTTAAACTCATTTGAAGAGGTCGAGGGTCACAGCAGTAAATGAAACTTTCTGCTGAAGAAAAGAGGAATTCTGAATGTCGCTGAGCCTTACAAGTCCTGGTAAGCAGGAAACACCTTTGGAGGTAGAAAAAGCTTTAGTACTTTTCTTCTCAGTGGACTCCAGCTGTTTGTGGTTTGAGCCCACAGGGCACCAGGGCACCCACAGAGATAATGGTCAGGCTCCCAAGCCCCAGCTGACACCACGACTAGGAATTATCCCAATAGTTTACCAACTGATCAAGCGCATAATAAATTAAGAAAATGTTTAGCCAGGAGTGATAAGAAAATCTAAAATACTTCTCTGTTCAGATTTAATTTTCCAAGCAATAAAGTTTCTAATATTAACAAAGGTGGTGGAGCTTCTAAATTATTTTTTTAATCTTTTTTAATTTCTTTGAATATCTCATTCCAATGACTAATCAGGAGATGGCACCAAAATAGCAGGTGAGTTGAATTGTTCCCATCAGCATTACAAAGCCAACATTTTAAGGATTCAGTCCTTTTGGATTTAATTTCCTAATTAGCTTTTTTAAAGAGAAGTACAAAGGTTCAAAACTGCTGCCTTTCTAGAATTCAAGTATTTAAAGCTCCACTGCAAACCTGGAAACTTAATTTCAAAATTAAACAAAGCAATCTGTACAGAGCATCTAAATAAATATCTAATAAAATCTGTTTATAGTTTAGCCAAACTGAGATTTAGGACAAATCTTGCTACGATCTGCTCCTTTTAAAAATCTAACACTTTGTGGGCATAAATCATGTCTTCATAAACCCTATACTGAGGTTTATTTCATGCTGTTGGTAAGGTGTGAAACAGCAATTTTATAAATATGGCTGATATTCTTTAAGCTGGTATTCTGGATCAGACTAACAAGAGGTGCTGATTTTTCCCTAGTGGTTAGGGAAGCAGGAAAGAGTTATGAATGGTGAAGGGCAGTCTAGGGAACATAATAACTCTTGTATTTCTTGAGAATCATGTCTATATAGTATAGTTTTCCTGTTTAATTTGACTCACCAAATTTTAAATAAATTCATCCATCAACTGTATGCATCTTTTCCTCTGATTACTTTCATGAGTAATCACTACTTTGGGTAGTGATATGGTTTGGCTGTGTCTTCACCCAAATCTCAATTAAACCTCCTTTTCTTCCTAGTCTCGGGTATGTCTTTATTAGCAGCGTTAAAACAGACTAATACAGGTAGTATGGTCTTTTTTTTTTTTTTTTTGTGAGACAGAGTTTCACTCTTGTTGCCCAGGCTGTAGTGCAATGGCGCGATCTCGGCTCACCGCAACCTCTGCCTCCTGGGTTCAAGTGATTCTCCTGCCTCAGCCTCCCAAGTAGCTGGGATTACAGGCATGCACCACCACACCTGGCTAATTTTGTGTATTTAGTAGAGACGAGGCTTCTCCAAGTTGGTCAGACTGGTCTCGAACTCCCGACCTGAGATGATCTGCCCACCTCAGCCTCCCAAAGTGCTGGGATTACAGGCATGAGCCACCATGCCTGGCCAGTCATTTTGACAGTATTAATTCTTCAGATCCATGAGCGTAGGATGTCTCTTCATTTGTTTGTATCCCCTCAATTTATTTCATCCATGTTTTATAGTTTTCCTTATAGAGGTCTTTCATCTCCTTGGTTAAATTTGTTCCTGGGTATTTTATTTTAAGTGATTATAAATAGGATTGCCCTCCTGGTTTATTTTCAGCTAGCTCATTATGTGTAGAACTGCTACTGATTTTTTCATGTTGATTTTGTATCCTGCAACTTTACTGAATTAATTTGGCAGTTCTGAGAGTTTTTGGAGAGTCTTTAGGTTTATCTATATATGATCATGTTGCCAGCAAGCAGAGATGATTTGACTTCCTCTTTTCCAATGCAGATGCTCTTTATTTCTTTCTCTTGTCTAATTGGTCTGGTTAGGACTTTTAGTACTATGTTGACTGAGAGTTGTCATAGTGGGCATCTTTGTCTTGCTTGTTCCAATTCTTAGAGAAAAAGCTTTTAGCCTTCCCCCATTTGCTCTGACATTAGTTGTGCCTTTATTGTGTTGCTGTACTTTCCTTCTATATCTAGCTTATTGAGAGATTTTATGATGAAGGAAGGTTAAATTTTATGAAATGCTTTCAGCATCGATTGAGATGATTTTATGGCTTTTGTCCTTGATTCTCTTCATGTGACGTGTCACATTTATTGATTTGTGTACATTGAATCATTTTTGCATCCCTGGAATAAATTCCATTTGATTATGGTGAATAATCTTTTTGATGTGTTTTTTGCTGGTATTTTGCTGAGAATTTTTGTGTCTATATTGACCTGGGATATTGTTCTATAGTTTTTGGTTGTGTCCTTGTCTGGTGTTGGTACCATGGTGATACTGACCTCATAGAATAAGTTAGGAAGAATTTAATCCTCTTCAATTTTCTGAAATAGGTTGAGAAGAATTGATATTAATTATTCTTTAAAAGTTTGGTAGAATTCAACAGTAAAGTCATCTGGTCCTGGCCTTTTTTTTTTTTTTTTTTTTTTTTTTGGTGGTAGACTCTTATTACTGATTCAATCTGGTTACTTGTTATTGGTCTGTTCAGGCTTTCTATTTCTTCTTGAATCAATCTTGGTAGTGTATATGTTTCGGGGGATGTATCCTTTCCTCTAGTCTGTTTATTTATTGGCATATGGTTGTTCACAATAATCTCTAATGATCCTTTGTATTTATGTAGTATCCATTGTGATGTCTCCTTTTTGACTTCTGATTTTACGTATTTGGGTCTTCTTTCTTTTTTTATAGTCCACTGAGTGGTTTGTCAATTTTGTTTATCTTTTGAAAAGGTAACTTTTTATTTACTTGATCTTTTGTATTTTGGGGGGGGTCTCAAATTCATTTATTTTTGCTTTAATCTTTATTATTCTTTTGCTGTTACTAATTTTGGGTTTGGTTTGTTTCTGCTTTCTTATTTCCTTGAGATAGATCATTAGTTTGTTTATTTGAAATCTTTCTACTTCTTTAGTGTAGGAATTTATTCCTATAAACCTGCTTCTTAAAACTGCTTTTTTGGCTGGTCGTGGTGGCTCACTCCTATAATCCCAGCATATCGGGAGGCCGAGGCAGGCGGATCATGAGGTCAAGAGACTGAGACCATCCTGGCTAACATGGTAAAACCCTGTCTCTACTAAAAATACAAAAATTAGCTGGGCATGGTGGCACGTGCCTGTAATCCCAGCTACTTGGGAGGCTGAGGTAGGAGAATCGCTTGAACCCAGGAGGCAGAGGTTGCAGTGAGATGAGATCGCGCCATTGCACTCCAGCCTGGGTGGCAAGAGCGAAACTGTGTTTCAAAAACAAAAACAAAAACAAAAAAAACTACTTTTTCTCTTTTCCAAAGCATTTGGTATGTTGTGTTTCAATTTTTTTTTCAAGGAATTTTGCAATTTTCTCCTTAATTTCTTCCTTTACCCACTGGTTATTCAGGAGCATGTCATTTAATTTTTTTTATTGGTATAATTTCCAAAGTTTCCCTATTATTTATTTCTAGTTTTATTTCATTGTGGTCAGATAAGATACCTAATATGATTTTGATTTTAAAATTTGTTGAGACTTGTTTTGTGTACTAACATATGGCCAATCCTGGAGAATGTTCCAGGTGCTTATAAAAAGTTCTGCAACTGTTGGGTGAAATATTCTATAAATGTCTGTTAGGTCCATTTGTTCTATGGTGCAGTTTAAAACTTATGTTTCTTTGTTCATTTTCTGTCTACATGATCTCTTTCTAATGCTGACAGTAGGGTGTTGAAGTCCTCAACTATTATTACATTGGGGGCCTATCTCTCCCTTCAGATCTAACATTTGCTTTATATATCTTTGTGTTCCAGTGTTAGATGCATGAATTTACAGTTGTTATATCTTCTTGATGAATTGATCTCTTTACTATTACATAATATCCTTCTTTGTCTCCTTTAGCAGCTTTGACCTGAAATCTGTTTTATCTAAGTATAGCTACTCCTGCTTGCTTTTGGTTCCTGTTTTTGTGGAATATTTTTTTTTCCATCCTTTCACTTTCAGTCTATGTCTATCTTTACAGGTGAGGTGAGTTTCCTTAGGCAGTATATAGTTAGGTTTTTTATTTTATTTTATTTATTTACTTATTTCATTCAGCCAGTCTTTATCTTTTAATTGGAGAATTTAGCCCATATACATCCAAGGTAATTATTGATAGGTGGGAGCTTACTCATTTTATTGATTTTTCTATTTTATTTTATTGATTGTTTTCTGGTTGTTTTGCATACTCTTTGTTCCTTATCTACTTTCTTATTGTTTATTTTTGCTGTTGGGTATTTTTCTGTAGTGAAAAGGTTTGATTCCTTTCTCTTTCTCCTTTATGTGTCAGCTCTGCCATTGATTTTTATAACTTTGCATGTTTTCATGATGGTAGTTATTGTCTTTTCACCTCCAGATGTAAGATATCCCTTGAGCATTTTTGTAACAGAAGTCTAATGATTAGTTTATGCTTCTCTGAAAGACTTTGTTTCTCTTCGTCTCTGAAGAATAGCTTTGCTGGGTATGATATTCTTGGCTAGCAGTATTTTTCTTTCAGTGCATTGAATATGTCATTCTATTCTCTCCTGGTCTGTAAAGTTTCTTCTGAAAAATCTGGTGTTGGTCTGGTGGAGAGTCCCATATATGTGACTTGACGCCTTTCTTTTGTTGTTTTTAGAATTCTTTGTCTTTGACTTTTGACAATTTGACTAAAGTGTGTCTTGGAGAGGACCTTTATGAGTTAAATCTATGTGGGGACATTTGAGCTTCCCGAATCTGGATGTCCATCTCTCTCCCAAGACTTGGGAAGCTTTCAGCTATTTTAAAATTAAATATATTTTCTACATATTTTCCTTTTCTTCTTCTTCTGGAACACCCATAATGCAAATATTTATTCACTTAATGGTATCCCATAAATCCTGTAGGCTTTATTTTTTAAATTTTGTAAATAATTCTTCTTCTTCCTCTTTGTCTTCTCTTCTTCTTCTTCTTTGTCTGCCTGTTGTTTCAAAGGATGCCTTCAAGTTCAGAAAGTCTTTGTTCTGCTTGTTCTGGTCTGTTGTTGAAGCTGTTGATTGTATTTTTTATTTCCTTCATAGAATTCTCAGTTGTAAAATGTCTGATTCATTCTTTTTTAATGATATCTATCTCTGTTGAATTTCTCACTCAAATAATGTTATTTTTCTGATGTCATTAAATTGTCCGTCTGTATTCTCTTGTATCTCCCTGAGTCTCCTTAAGATCATTATTTTAAATTCTTTTTCTGACATTTTATATATTTTCTTATGATTGAGACCTATTACTAAAGAATTATTGTGTTCCTTTGGAGAGGGGTCATGTTTTCTTGATTTTTAGTGTTTGATGTGTTCCTATGTTGATTTCTATCCATCTGCTAGAAGAGTCACCTCTTCTAATTTTATGGGATAGGGCCAGGTGCAGTGGCTCATGCCTGTAATCCCAGCACTTTGGGAGGCTGAGGCAGATGGATCACTTGAGTTCAGGAGTTCAAGACTAGCCTGGGCAACATGGTGAAACCCCATCTGTACTAAAAATACAAAATTAGCCAGGCATGGTGGTGCACACCTGTAATCCCAGTTACTTGAGAGGCTGAGGCAGAAGAATCACTTAAACCCAGGAGGTGGAGGCTGCAGTGAGCCTAGATTTTTTCACTGCACTCCAGCCTGGGTGACAGAGTGATATTCTCTCAAAAAAATAAAAATAAAAATAAATAATTTTATGGGGTAGGTTTTCTAGGGAAAGACTTATTTTTATGGGTAGATTCTGGCACGTCAGTTGGGCGGGGTAGGTTTCATTATAGGTAGATGCAGTAGTATATAGTCTTTGTGCAATTTCTCTAGCTGTAATCCATGCTAGTAATGTTTGTGAGTGTCTCAGTGGCATAGGTAGTGTATTGTGGCAGTGGAGGCATAGCTTTGCTGGGGGTTGGTTTACTAAAGTGTTTCTAAAGTCAAAGGCATTTGTTCACACATGATGGGTCAGCCAACTTGAAGTCTGGCTTGCTTAGGTTGGGGTCACAGGGCTGTTACTCTGGCCAGAGGCTCAGGCATGCCACTGCTCAGCTAGCTTGGAGGCATGACTGCCTGGGGTGGGACTGCCTGGCTGTTTCTCTGGCCTTGGGTGCTAGTGTTCATCTGCTCAGCCAACCTAAAGTTGTGTCTGTTGGGGGTGGGCCCATTATGTCTTTTTCTCAGAACGTAAGTGCCAGTGTGCGGCTGCTTGGTTGGCCTTGGGGGTGTTTTCAATGGGGATGGCTCCTGAGGTTTTTTCTCAGACCCAGAATATAAGTGTGTGTCTCCTTCACGGCTAGGGGTGTTTCCACTAGGAGTGGACGTGCTGGGCTGTTTCTCAGATCCACAAGCCTGCGTTGGCAGCCTAGGGGTGTGTTTGCCAGAGGTGTACCACAAGACTGTTTCTCAGGCCCCGAGCGTAGGCACAGGGCTGTTGGGTAAGCTAGGGACATGTTCATGGCAGTGGAAGATGTGGGGCTATTTCTCAGGCATGGAAGGCAGGCATAGGCCATTGGTCAGGTCAGAGGTATGTCTGCAAGAGGAGAGTGCCCCAGGTCTGTTTCTCAGACCTGGGTGTGGAAGTATATCCATTATGCTGGCCTGGGAGGGTGTCAGTTGCTTGGTGGTTGTGGATCTCTCTCTTAGGGGAGGGTGTGCAGCAGTTTGGCCAGCTCAAGGGTAGATTTGTTCTGGGTAGGACTGCCAGACTGCTTCTTAGGCTGGAAGCGCAGGCAATGGGAGTTGGTAACCCGATTGTGCAGGACCAAAGACACAGCTGATCCTGGGCCCAGGCTCCACACAGCTGGGATTGTGGAGTTCAGCCACTCATGTGAGCCTGGTATAATGAAGATGGAACCCCAGTGCTGGAGACGTACAGTGGCTACTGGCCCCTGGAGCAGGGTGCACTCCAGAAATGGCTCTGGTCTCAAGATGGGCCCATGCTGTGGCAGCTTGGCTCACAGGGGTTTGGTAGGGGATGGAGAGTGCACACCTTGTACTCCTAATGTGGAAAAATACAGCTGCTCAAATTCTTGGAAACTCTCCAAACTGGGCTCAGAGCTTGTGAGGATTGTGGGATTCTCCTATAGTAAAGACTACAGGTGTTTGTGGTGGCAATGGGGACCGACAGGGTTCTTCTGCTTACTTTCCCCACAAAGGGTTGTCCCTTCTGACTCCAGGTCAACCTAGGTATGAGAGCTAGGGCTACAGAGGTCAGGTTCTTGCAATGGGCTTGCAGTTAGCACAGGTTCCTCTTCATTCCCCTGCTGAACTCCAGTGCTCTCCCTTCAATACTCTAGTCAAATCTCAGCTGCTTTTGTGTTGTCTTGATCCTTTCTTGTAGGGAGGATGAGTGCCAGGTGCCTCTGGTCAACTGTCTAGCCACTGTCATCTTAATATATATGTTTGAAGGAAGAAATAGACTTTGTATAATTATTGTAGTAGGCATCCTTTTTATTTAGAGCTCAATAGAAATGCTTATGGCATTTTACCACTAAATGTTGATATTGTATATTTATTCCCATTCAGATCTCACATTGAATTGTAATCCCCAGTATTGGAGATGGGGGCTGGTGGGATGTTTGGTTCATGGGGGTAGATCCCTCATGAGTGGCTTGGGACCATCTCCTTGGTGATGAGTGAGTTTTGCTCTGAGTTCACACGAGATCTGGTTGTTTAAAATGTGTGGCCCCCTTCCCCCCTTTGCCCCCTCTTTTGCCATGTGACATGCCTGCTCCCCTGCCACCCTATGCCATGATTGTAAGCTTCCTGAGGCCTCCCCAGAAGCCAAGCTGATGCCAGCACCATGCTTCCTGTAAAGCCTGCAGAACTGTGAGCCAATTAAACCTCTTTTATTTACAAATTACCTTTATAAATTACAGTCTCAGGTATTTCTTTAAAGCAATGCAAGAACAGCCTAATACAAGTATGATATGACCTTTTGGGTTGCGATAGATATTCATCATTATAGAAAAACAGTCTTCTATTCCTAATTTTTAGAGACCTTAAAATTAAGAATGGAAATAAATTTTTATCAAATTCTTCTTCAGCATATACTGAGATTATCCTATAATATTTCCTACTTAATTGACTTTTTATGTTTTTATGTACCTTAACCTTTTTATGTACCTTAACAAATTTCCTGTAACAAATTATGCTTGAAGATAGTGGATTATTATTTTAACATACTGTTGAATCAAATGCAATGGTACGTTATTTGGAATTTTTGCAACAAGTTTCAAAAGTAGCTTGGAGGGTATGAAGTTCAACCACATGCCACTAAGTTCACTTCCTGCCTCACTTCCCCATGGAGTATATCCCATGTGTTTCTGAAAGGAATGGAACTGATACCAGAATGGATAGTATTAGCACAACCTCTATGGTAATTAGCTGATCCTGCACCCAGGCTCTGTGCAGCCAGGTTTGTGGCACCCATGTGGACTTGGAGGAATGAAGATGGACCCCCAGGGCTGGAAAGGTACAGTGGCTACTTGGAAATCAATCCTCTTTTCTTTCAAATCTTCTGAAACCACTGACTGACATTAACTAGCGATGTCTGATTCCTATTGTTAAGCCAAAGCCCTTCCACCAATCCCTAATTGCCTGAAGATTTTTATTCTCTTTTCCATTGTTGTTTCCTTGAAAGAGACTTGAGCTATCATAAAATTTGCGTTTTCCCATCTTTTGGGATGGTTTTATTGTTGTTTATTTGAGATAGGTCCAGTACTGTTATTTGCACACACTTTGTTGGACATTAGAAGTTAAAGCCCAATTCATCACAGAATAACTAGTAAAAAGGATTAAACAACACATAGGCAGAGCATGACAACACAGAGTAACCTGAGTAGAGTGCTACCTGGGTGTTCACCATCAGGAACAACTGTTAACATAGCACCAAGAATGCACCGTGCAGTCTACCATGCAGATTTTTGTCTCTCAGAGTACATAATGGTGTTTAGGGCATGGGGAAAATCATCAGGTAACTTTTTTTCGTGGGGAGGAAATGCTTCAGACACAAACTTTTTTGACTAATTGGTCCTACTTATGACAGCATTAAACAGAATATGCCTGCTTTAGAAAATCCCCAAAGACAAACAGAAATGATTATCTTTAATGTGCCAACTTGAATTATAGAAAATATTATTGCTTCTTTGCAGAATGTAAAGTTGACTCTAATCTAGGTCCATTTCTAGGTGAACACGGTGGATTTGGAAGAGGCCAAAATCATGATTGGGTTGTTAAACTGTATTTCTTCACCCATACTGTAGGTGGAGTTATGGAAACATTCCTGATATTCTTAGACTGTTAAGAGGCACCTAAGTAAGTTGACTTGACCTAAAGTCAATGCCAAATCCACTAGATATGGTATTCACAGCACCTGGTACATTCCAGATGTTTAATACATATTTGTGGAATAAGTCAATGAATGGCTATTTCTTGTACCTAAAGATGCAGCTGTTATGTTTTAATAAATATGAAAAAAGTGGTCAATATTTTCCACCCATTAGTGTAACATTATAATCTTTGAAATAAGAACACTATAATCTTGAAATAACCACTTAAAAAAAAAACACAGAGCACCAACTTGCATGAAACTTAAAATATCTTAGCCAGAGACACTGGGTAGCCCAGAAAGTTATGCATGCAAGATTTATCTAAGCATATTCCTCTTCCCTCATATCTGTTCAAATGAACAAAGATGGGGATAGGGGAGGGGTAGAAACTCAAAATTGGCTTTAGGGAAGAGCAATAAAAATGATAAGCAGGGGCCCGGCGCTGTGGCTCATGCCTGTAATCCCAACACTTTGGGAGGCAGAGGTGGGCGGATCACGAGGTCAGGAGATTGAGACCATCGTGGCTAACAAGGTGAAACCCCTTCTCTACTAAAAATACAAAAAATTAGCCGGGCGTTGTGGCAAGCGCCTGTAGTCCCAGCTACTCAGGAGGCTGAGGCAGGAAAATTGCTTAAACCTGGGAGGCGGAGCTTGCAGTGAGCCATGATTGCGCCACTGTACTCCAGCCTGGGCAACAGAGAGACTCCATCTCAAAAAAATGATGAGCAGGTTGGATATGTTATTATCAGTAAAGGCTAAGGGACTCAGGACTTCAGATAGGTGAAAAGGAGAATAAGGAAAACTTAACATCTGTCTTCAAGGATATGAGAGGTTATAATGAAGAAGGTGCTGATCAGCTGTTTTTTGCTGTCACAGAGGTCAGAACTAATAAAAGAGGGATATTTTATAGAGAAGTAATAGAACTTCATAGTGAGGCCTATTTAATACTTGTCTCTATTACCAAAATAGGTGGGGTTTGGGCAGATGAGAGGGTCTCAAGTGTTGCTAATGAACCAGCATCATTAATATCACCTGGAAACTTGTTAGAAATGCAAATCCTTGAACCCTGCCCCAGACCTACTGAATCAGATACTCTGGGATTGGGACTCAGCACTAGGTCTTTTAACAAGCCCTCAGGTGATTCTGATAGATGTGAGGTTTGAGAATCACTGGGATAGATAAACTCTTGTGGACCCTGTGCTTTCAGATATCCTTGGAAAGCAGGGGTCCAGAAGAAATGAAGTCTTTAAGCTTCTTCCAGCTTACTGTTGTCTGTCTTTTGTGAACAAGACACCCTTATCAATGTAGTTTATGTCCATCCGTATTATAAACTATAAGGGAAAAAAGCTGTCTCTCTTGGAAGATAAAGTTAGTGGCTGTAGTAAGGTATAGTTTGTAATCAATAGCAGTAAAAACTGCCCCAAAGGAAAATGAAATTCCTTTTGCTCCAGGAGTTATTGAAGATGTTCCACAGAGTGCTACCTTAGAAAAAATGTGAACCACCAGCCTGATGTCAAGATTTTCAGGATATAGCAAGAGATGTGAGCACACAGAGGGATGATTATGATTAGAGATATAAAGTAGAGTCAGTGAAGAGATAAGTATAAGAATGCTGAATACTGGGGAGGGTGCTGTACAATAAGCCCTCATATACTCTGTGATATGGTTAGGCTTTGTGTCTCCACCCAAATCTCATCTTGAATTGTAATCCACAGGTGTTTAGGAAGTCACCTGTTGGGAAGCGATTGCATTATGGGGGCGGGTCCCCCATGCTGTTCTCGTGATAGCGAGTGAATTATCACGAGATCTGATGGTTTTATAAGTGTTTGGCAAATTCCTCCACGTACTCTTCTTTCTCCTGCCAGCGTGTGAAGAAGGTGTCTTGCTTTCCCCTTCGCCTTCTGCCACAATTGTAACTTTCCTGAGGCCTCCACAGCCATGGGGAACTGTGAGTCAATTAAACCTCTCTCCTTTATAAATTACCCAGTCTCGGGTAGTATCTTTACAGCAGTGTGAGATTGGACTAATACACTCTGCTAGATGGATTTAAAAGGCCACAACCACAGTTTATCTCGAGAAAAATTTGGCAACATCATTAAGAATCTTAAAAATGTTCTAGCTCATTAATTTGCTAATATAACTTTTAGGAATTCAGTCCAAGGAAACAATTGGAGGTGTAGTCTAGAATGTTTGTTGCAGTTTCATTGTAATAGTGAACATTCTGAAAGCAAAAGAAGAAACCCAGAAGCCACAAAGAAAAAGATAGGCATGCTTGACTATATACAAATCAAACATTTAAACAATTGTTGATAGCAAATACAAAATCAAGACACAAATGATTTATTAGGAAAAATAAGTGCAACACATATATGATAGACTAAACTTATGCAATAACCACCTAAAAGGGGGCAGAATAGAAAGGAAGATCTTGTTAAATGGACAAAAGATATAAATAGATGTTTTACAGAAAAGGAAATCCAAGTGGAAAATAAACATATAAAAGGATTAAACTTTACTAGTGGTCATGAAAAGACTCATTAAACTAGCAATGAGAGAGATGATTTCTCCCATTAGAATGACAAAAATTAAAGAGTGATCATACACCTCCACGGGTAAAGAGCTGAGGAAAAGAGCACTCTTCCACTTGGCAAACAGATGTGTGAATTCTGAAAGGTTTTTTGGCACATAATTTGGCAAAATTCATTAGAATAAAAAATATACACAATCTTCAACATAGCAATCCTACTCCTAGAAATAGTCAAAGGGATAAAAGTGCCTGGCATATTGAGAATATATGTAAGAAGATAAGTACTCATACCTTGTTTGTAGGGACAAAAAAAAAAACCTAGAAAAAAATATGAATCCCCATTATGCAGAGAATGAATAAACTCCAGCTATCTGTATCATGGAACATTATGCTGACATTAAAAATAATGAATGAAATGTAAACCATTGGCTTGGAGAAATTTCCAATGTTTATTATTAAGTGATAAAAGCAAGATAAAGGGAAGAATACATACAAGTTTTCATTCAAAACAATGACAAGTCCCCCATATATGTGTACATATGTTTATGATTCTACTAGAATGTCTAAGCCACGATTTAAAAATTTTTAAATATGTTAAAAAATTTTAAAATGTGTTTAAGAACCATGATATGATAAAAGTAACATGGATAAGATGGTCCCATTTATGTAAAATTATACAAATTTATATGTATTTGTATTAAGACATATTAAAGTTAGTTTGCTAACAGTGGCACTCTGGATTGTAGGAGTTAAGGTGATTTTTACTTTTTTTTTATATGTCACTTGAGTTCTTTTTATAATAGGCATGTAGAGTAAAGCATAGCTTTTTTAATTATAAAAAGAAAAACAGGCTGAGTGCAGTGGCTCATGCCTGTAATCCTGACACTTAGGAAGGCTGAGGTGGGAGGATTGCTTGAGCTCAGGAATTTGAGAACAGCCTGGCAACATGGTGAAACCTCCTGTCTACTAAAGAAAAAACAACAACAACCAGCCAGGTGTGGTGTAGTGTGCCTGTAGTCCCAGCTACTCAGGAGGCTGAGGTGGGAGATCACATGAGCCCGGGAGATTGAGGTTGCAGTGAGGCCAAGATTGTGCCACTGTACTCCAGCCTGGGCAACAAAGTGAGACCCCATCTGAAAAAAAGAAAAGAAAAATATAGCAGAAACATAAAAATGAACAGAATCACTAGCTGACATCATTTAGGAACTAGGAAGCAGAGGAAAGGGTATGTTGAAAAATATAAATGACCAGTTATTGCTTTTCCGGAGATCTAACAGTCTCTAGAAAAGTGTTAGATCAGGCTGAATAGAAAGGAAGTTGTTAAGGAGAAATGGTGGAGACAGTAGTTTCAACAGTTTAGAGTTGGTTGGTGGGAAATGGGCTCAGAATGGTGTGTATTCTGTGAAGAACTAATCCATGTGTCTAAGGACTGCTGAGGCTACTGTAGCAGCTCTGCTGGTGATTGGGGAAGTTACGAGTTGAGTGTTCATAGGACGCTTTCATGTTACTCTCTGGCACTGATGCTATCTGTCCCCTCTAACTATCATGATTCCTGCTATGAAATGTTGGTGTCCTGCAAAATTCATGTTGAAACTTAATCCCCAGTGTGATAGTATGAAGAGTGGCGGGGGTGGGCCTTCAGGAGGAGGTTAAGTCCTGAAGAATTAAGATATATGGTATTAGTGCCCCTATAAAAGAGGTTGAAGGGAGCTGCCTTTCACTTCATCGTTTAATTATTAAAATAAAACCCATTCTTAAAAGACCATTGGTGAAGTGAAAGGCAGCAACAAGGTGCCGTCTTTGAAGTGGAGAGCAAGCCCTCACTGGACCCTAAATCTGCTGGTGACTACATCTTGGACTTCTCACTCTCTAAAACTGTAAGAAATAAATGTTGCTCTTTATGAATTAACTAGACTAAGGTATTTTGTAGCAGCCCAAATGCACTAGACAATTCTAATTCTCTACTCCTGGCTAATGCCTCCCTATATATTTTCCATTCTTCCCTAGCTGTACTTCTGGACAACTGAGGCAGGAGGACTGCAGGAAAAAAGGAAAAGTAGGAAAGGTGATTCCTGACTCTTGACCCTCCCACAACCAGTCTTGGGTCTCTGGAAACAGAAAACTGTTTCTCTCTATCAAAAACCCTGTCATGGACTTCCTATATAGCACTTATGGTTGCTACTTTCTTAGCTGTTGTTGTTACAGTATCTGTAATTACTTTCAAAGTTCTTTAGCATTATCTAGAAAGCACAGTCAAGAAGTGGTCAGTCTACTAATTAAGAAAGTGTAGCCCAGGGTGTCAAATAACATTCTATCAGCAAGGACTACTCACTCCAGAGGCAGCTATCACAGGCCTTCCTGTTATCCATATCTCCATCAATAACAGATGCTTTCTAATTAGCACACTATCTGTAAGAAATAGGCTTTTATTAGTGTAAAAACAGCCTGTTGCTAAATGTGAGGAATATTAGAAATGAGCTGCCAATTGTGAAATAAAGATATTTAATATACATTGATTGTTTTTAAATTAACATGAATACGATATAAGAATTCAACGGGATCTGTAACTATATGCATCCTTAGGGACCGCACTTAAAAGGCCTGGTTTCTAGAACGCTAGATTCTTTCAGATAAAGGTGGCAGAATCCTGCCTCTGGAATCTTGCATTGTTCTAGAATGAGCCTTTCATACAAAATTGGTGGTCAGATCATCTGAAAAGAAAGACAACAGAAGCCTTCTCCAGTCTACAGAAGTCATATAGTTTCTTTAATACTGTCTTTGCTGATAAAATTTTAATTGATAAACATCTAATTAATAAGCAACTCTGAGATTGCTTTTAGTATAACCTATTGTAAGGAACCAGCTGACCCTCTGCCCTTCAAACTTCTTTGGTAGACACCATAATCTATACAAGACCTTAAGAGCTGTGCATATGGTCAATAGGTCGGTCTGGAATAGTTGGTATTATGGCTGATTGTCTTCCTCCTTTCTTAGACTATAAACTCATCATGTTTATACATGGGAGGCTAGCACATGGATGGCTATGGAAAAGATATGAAAATAATTAGGTGCATGTTGTGAATCTGTTGGCTGAGCTCTCCAGAGCTCTTTCCCACTCTTCTCCAATCTTCCTGCTGAAAGTAATCAAAGTAGCAGGATCTTTTGAACTGCCCAGAGCATAATCCAAAGCTTCAGTGGGTTCTGGCAGTGAAGAGATGCTCTTTCCAGGCTGTTAATTTTATTCTTGGGCCTTTTGGAAATGTTACATCATGGCCATGTGTTTGCCCAAACTTCTCTTCAGGTATGGTTGTGGCAGATTTGACAAGTGGAGATAGAATAGTTTTGATAAAAAGAGTGGTCATGGAATCAAAGAGCAGAATTAAACTGTGGTTCACTACTTACTGGTATGATTGTAGGCAGCTGGTACCTTAGTTGCCTTATAAAAACAGTAACTACTTGTAGGTTTGTTGGATTAAAGAAGATAATACATACAAAATACTTAGAAAAGTGCCTGCCTGGCCTGAGGTAAGCTCTAGGTGATAATTAGCATTTCTTATTACTGCCATTATTTATCCCAGGAAACAGAGTTGCAAATAAAGTGTGTGGGTGCCAGGTGCTCTTTTTTTTTTTTTTTTAAGGTAAGTGTTTTCAAACTGGAGAAACATTAGAGTCATCTGGAGAACCTGTTAAATATTCAGATGTTCAGCCCCTGCCCCTGGGGACTGATTCAGAAAGTCTGTTATCTGTAGCCTGAGATTCCCCTCAGGTGATCTGTATGATAAGGCAAGTTGGGGAAACACTACTGTAAGTGAATAAGGAAATGAATTTCTAAGCCTACAATCGACTAGTTTAAAGTTGGCTTCTGATTAAGAAGCCTGCCTAGGGCAGTTTTTGGTGCCTTAGGGCACCTTTTGGAAGTGAGAGCTAATTTTATTTCTTAAAGCAGTAGGTTAAGAGTATGGACTTTGGACTTTAAAACACTAGGTTTGAATTTGTTATTGGAATGTAACCTGGGGCCTTTCTTCACTTCTATTTCCTTATCTGTAAAATGTAAATAATAACAGTTACTTCTCACTCGGACTCCTGTAGGACTAAAATGAGATAATGTATGAAAAAGCACAGTTCCTGTGCAGAGCAAAGACTTAGTAAGTGATTATAAATCATAATCAGGAATATTGAATTTTCCCTTCCTGTATGACTGAGTAGCTCCCACTAAATCTCACCCTCCTTCTGATAAAACTGCAAATTCTGGACAAAATAAAACACCAATGACCTAAACTCACTGAGGAGTGAACAAAAGCAGACTGATTCTGGAGAAGAGTTGACACTTAAAAAAAGGATATGAGTTACCAGTTTTTTAACAGCTTTCTGTCTGAGGGTGGGTCAAAGTTGACACCAAGATGTCACTATAATTCTGAAAGGAAATTCTCAGTTTTTCTTGTATAAAGACCCAAAGGACAGTTAGGGCAAGTGAAAGGGAAATTCTGGAGAGCTAGAGACAGAGAAAGCACCCAAGTTCTGTTACAAACTCTGCCTAAATCTTTGTCTAGCTGCCAAACCATCAACGTGTGTGATAGACTCCAGCTAAAGGTTAAAGAACTGAACTGAACTTGAAGGTGCTTCCCAGGAGTCTATGTTTGCAGTTTGAATCCAACCAAATCATTGCTTGCAAAAACAGCAAATGTACAATTTTCAGAAGAATGTAAAAGAACCCAGTCTCTCAAACAGTATTCACAATGTCTGAGATAAAAATCCCAAATTACTTGACATTCAAAGAACCAGAAAAATCCATTCTTAAGAGAAAAGACAAACTTTGAGATAAGTGAGATGTTAGAAATAGTGAATAAAGATTTAAAGCAACTTATTTAACTATCCTCGAGGACACAAAGGAAAATATATTTGCAACGAATGAAAATATTTTTAAAAATTCAGCAGAAAATAGCAATGAAGAAGAAACATTTAGGCATTCTAGAACTGAAATGTATAAAATATCTGAAAGTAAAAATCACTGAATGAACTTAACAGCAGAAAGTAGATGACAGTAGAAAGTAAGACTTCCTGGAAGACAGATTCAGAATAATCCAATCAGAATAATAGTGAGAAAACAGATTGAAAAAATTGAATGGCACCTCAGGGACATATGAAATAATATAAAAGAGTATAACATATATAAAATTGTAGCATAAAGGTGGGAGAGATAATGAAATGAATCTTAATTCTTTTTTTTTTTTTATTGACACAGAGTCTCACTCTGTTTCCCAGGCTGGAGTGCAGTGGCGTGATCTCGGCTCACTGCAACCTCAGCCTGCTAGGTTCAAGCAATTCTCCTGCCTCAGCCTCCCAAGTAGCTGGGACTACAGGCATGCGCCACCAAGCCCAACTAATTTTTTGTATTTTTAGTAGAGATGGGGTTTCACCATGCTGGCCAGGCTGGTCTCGAACTCCTGACCTCGTAATCCACCCACCTCGACCTCCCAAAGTGCTGGGATTACAGGCATGAGCCGCCATGCCCGGCCAGTATATCTTAATTCTAATCCAAATATATGAATAAAGATGGGTAAAGAGGTAGGAGGAGCCATAAGAAATTTAACAGAACTTCACCCTGTGGGAACAAGTTCTTTTAGATGTCTTCGTGTTTCATCTATGGAAGCCCTTTTAAGCTTTCTTTTTTTTTAAAAAAAAGAAAAATCTATTTTTATATAAATTTACAAGGTACATATGTAATTTTGTTACATGGATAGATTGCATAGTGGTGAAGTCAGGGTTTTTAGTATATCTATCAACAGAATAACATACATTGTACCCATTAAGTAGTTTTTCATCATCCACCTACCTCTCACCCCCTCATCTCTCCAGGTCTCCATTGTCTAGCATTCCACACTCTATGTCCATGTGTATACATTATTTAGCTCCCACTTATAAGTGATAGTTTGTGGTACTTGTCTTTCTGTGTCTGAGTTGTTTCACTGAAGATAATGGCCTTCAATTCCATCCATGTTGTTGCAAAATACATGATTTCACTCTTTTTTATGGCTGACTGCTATACTATTGTGTATACTTTCTAAACTTTCAAAGTGAAAATGGGTTCTCCTATTTCAAGTGATGATTCTCCTTCCTTCCTTCCTCATTCTTCCTTCCGTCCTCATTCTTCCTTCCTCATTCTTCTTTCTTCCTTCTTTCCTCCCTCCCTCCCTCTTCTTCTCGTTTCCTTTCCTTTTTTCTTTCTTCCTTTCCCTTCCTTTCCTTCTGCTTAATGTCTCTCCACTATATTTTGTGAAGAACAATTACTTTATCTAGTTCCTTTGTGTTACAGTCGCACTGGAGACTACTGATAAAACTCTCTACTTGGTTAAAAGGGTTCAATGCGTGCCTAGGGTGAATTGAAGGAATCTGATTCCGCAGGAGTTTTTTCCCCTGTGTTACAGATTTGGTTGAGGCATGAAAGGTCAGAGGCAAAAGGCCACAACTATCATCTACTCAGAACTGCAATGGGAGCCTGGTCTTCATGGCACCATGGATGTAGATGCTATAGATGCTGCTTTCATTCTCTTGAGGACTTCCAAGAGTATTTACTTACATAATCTCTGTACTATTGCTGCTAGTAGCTTCTTTGCATGTTTACATTCCTTAAACTTCTCTTTTGCTGGATGAGAGTAATTTTTCTTGAATAAAATTTATTTGTACAAACTTATAGTGTACATGAGTAATTTTGCTACATGTATATAATGTGTGGTGATCAAGTCAGGGTATTTAGAGTGTCCATCATATGAGTAATAGATATATATATATATATATATATATATTTTTTTTTTTTTTTTAAATTTTTGAGACAGAGCCTTGCTCTGTCACCCAGGCAGGAGTGCAGTGGCATGATCTCGGGTCACTGCAAGCTCCGCCTCTGGGGTTACGCCATTATCCTGCCTCAGCCTCCCAAGTAGCTGGGACTACAGGCGCCCGCCACCATGCCCAGCTAATTTTTTTGTATTTTTAGTAGAGACAGGGTTTCATCATGTTAGCCAGGATGGTCTCTGTCTCCTGACCTCCTGATCCACCCCACTCAGCCTCCCAAAGTACTGGGATTAGAGGCATGAGCCACCGCGCCTGGCCAAGTACAGTATATTTTTGATAAGGGTAGTCACTCTACTATCAAATATTGAATTTATTTCTTAAATATTACTGCATGTTTATACCTTTTAGTCTGCTTCTCTTCATCTTCCCTCTTCTCCCACACTCACTCTTTCCAGTTTGTGTTATGTATCTTTCTCCTCTCTACTTCCATATGATCAAATATTTTAGCTCCCACATGTAAGTGAGACATGTGATATTTGTCTTTTTCTGTCCGGCTTCTTTCACTTAAGATAATGACCTCCAGTTCCATCCATGTTGCTGCAGTGATGTGATTTCATTCCTTTACTACCTTTTCTTTATCCATTCAATACTGATGAACACTTCAGCTTTCCAAGTGGCTGGGATTGCTGGCGTGAGCCACTGTGTCCAGACGAAGTCCTCCACCATTATTGTGTTGCAATCCATCTCTCTCTTTAGATCTAAGAATATTTGCTTTATGAACTGGGTATTGCAGTGTTGGATGCATATATATTTAAAATTGTGTATCCTCTTGCTGGATTGATTTTTTAAAATTATTACATAATGATCTTTTTTCTTTTCCTACTTTTCTTGACCTAAAGTCTGTTTTATCTAAGTATAGTGACTCCTGCCCACTTTTTGCTTCTGATAGTGTAGAATATCTTTTTCCATTTCTTTCCTTTCAACTTACATGACTTTACTCATAAGGTGAGTTTCTTGTAAACAGTACATAGTTGGATCATTTTTTAAAATCCATTCAGCCATCCTATTATCTTTCAAGTAGAGAATTTAACCCGTTTACATTCAAGGTTATTATTAATATGTAAGGCTTTGTTTCTGTCATACTGTAAATTGTTTTCTGGTTGTTTTATATATTTGTTATTTCTTTATTTTTCTCTTATTGTTTGTTGTTATGGTTTGGTTGCATGCTCAGTTGCCTAAGGTAGTGGATTATGTTGGGCAATCCCCACGACCCTGGGCTATGTGCTCTTTCTCACAGCTAGGGGGTGAAGCTGGGCTAGGTTGGCTAGTGTTCAGGTTACCCAATGGTGAGAACCAGCACTAGCCATGGTGGATAGAGGTGGGGTGATCCTTGGTTTCCAGGTGGAGTGCTCAGGTGAGGGGCAGTAGCAACTACGGTGAGGCTTTACCACTGGAGTAGGTTGTGCCATCATCATTGTCCACAGTAGAAGCTGGTGGGTGGGAAATATGTGTCCTTCCTATGCCCCATTTTTGGTGAGGCTCACCCTTTGCCATATGCCACCCTGGTGCCATAGCTCACACCTAGCTCATGTCCCTGCCCTGGCTGCAGGAGCAAACACCCAGCTTGTGACTAAGTCCCAGCAGCAACTCTGTGCTTGCATTCCAGTAGCAGTCCTGGAAGTATTCCCTTTCTAGCAGTGGCAGCTGTAGCCTGTGCCATGCTTGCTTCTTAGCCCTGGCCATGGCAGTATTCCCAGCTGGCTTCCCAGTCCCAGCAGTGACAGCCTGACTTCCATAACATTTCAGTCCCAGTGCCACTGGGCCCAGGACAGCATTCAGTCTGTGAGGTTTGAAAGTGTCACCTTGCTGTAGCTACTTAGCTCACAGAAAGGGTATAGGACCCAGCATGAGCTCCGTCTCAGAGCAGTTCTCCCCCATCATCTTCCAGCAGCTTCCCATGTTAGTTTCAGGGTTTGCGAGGGTCAAGGAGTTCTCCTGTGGCATGGATTGCACAATCCCACAGTGGGACTGTGGGCTACTGGAAGTCCATTACTCATCCTTGCCCTGCATTGAGAGGAAGTTATTCCCAGCCCCCAGCCAATCCTGTCCCAGCAGATTGCCTCTTCCTTCTCCTTCCCCACTTTTGGTGTTCCCTGTCACTGCTCTGTTCAATTCTAGCATTCTCTCTTGGATAGTGTATTCGAAGTATGGCTATCTATGTACTATTTTTGTATTTTCTAAGTGAAGGAGGTGGGTATGAAATGCTTCTGGTCATCCATCTTAAGCCTCTCTTGAATCAAATCCTAACACTCCTTTAACATCTTAGTAGCTCAATAGTAACTTGCCCAACAGAGTCTAGGCTTCTTGTTTTACCATATAGACACTTTTGACATTTGCCTAGATAACCAGACTCATCTTAAGTTCTCACCAACTGCTTCAATGCCCAGCTTACCCTGTTGCTTTATGTCTCCATGTATTCCCCTTCCCCTCCCCTTTTATACCTGTTGACTGCTTGTTCAACAATTAAACACACAAACAGAAAACCAAATGTGGTCAGATATGACTTTTTCTCAGAAACCATCCCCAACAATCCCAGAAAAACATAGCCATTCTTTCCTTTATACTGTCATATTATATCAAATCTAAAACACACTATTTTTTCCTCTACATCTTATTTCTGAAATCAGGATGCCTTTATCATTACTGATATTTTATGATCACTGGTAGCCAGGCAGCAGTTATAACATGGTGGTTGTTTCATGCACATACTCAAAGCTGGTTATTATTCATGGAAGCATGACTGAAAAACTCTCATTGTCAACAAACTTTAAGAGAGCCATTCAAAGAAGTATTATGAGTCTTAATTGTTTGAAAATCTTTTGTTGACAACTTCTCCATAAAGTCAAGAAAGAGTTGTCATCAAAACTTGCAGATACTTGTAGAAAGAGTATCAGCAACTTGAAAGTAAATCCTAGAGACATGAGTAAAGCACTCTTTCAAGAATTGTTGCATCACCAATATTATTGAGGGCACAGAAAACTATACTGTGTGGAAAGACATAGACATGAAGAGCTCTGACTCAAAAAGTGATATTAAAAAATGAAACTCTGAATATGAAATTTCAGGAACATGTTAACCAATTTATTTTCCTTTTTAATGTATATATAATACAAATCTACATCTAAATAAGTTTATAAGTTCTTTCAGTAAGTATAACATAAAGATCCTGTTATAAAAATGTATTGTGTTTAAGCAGCAGTGGCTTTTCTTTCTTAATGGTACATAGAATTATGCAACATCTGTGGTATCTTATATTTGATAAAATACAGTATTTCTGCATATTCTGTTTTGTATCTTTCCTTCAGTATTTTATTTATTTGAAATCTATTAGCTGTAAGCTTCTTAAAAGCCAGGTGATATCATATGTCTGTCTATAGATATAGACAGATATAATCTTGTGCAAATCAGTATCTGTATGTAAAAAAGACTTTTATAAGTCTTTCTCAAAGTCAGCTAAACAAAATATGTAAAGGAGATCAGAAGCTGGCAAAGCCAGCATTGAAAAGATCAAATGAGTCAGAAACAGTCCAAGATAAACGTGCTCCAGACACAAAACCTCCGAGCTAACCCCCACTCATTCGGTCTTTGTTGAGATTAGCATAGAGAGTCTACTTTCCTCACACTCAGAATACCTGAGACTGGCTCTGGGGAGGGTTCATAATGACTATGACAGAAGTACAAATAGGAGAGGAGCCGAATCTAGGCACCTAGTGTGAGTGGCTATGTGGCCATGTGTGATTGATAGATGGTCTGACCCAGAGCAGAGTGGTTTGGGACCAGTTGGAAAGAGGAAGAGGGGTAGTTCTGAAAGATGCTGGGCTTATGTATATGGTCTTCAAACTTTTTTTTAATTCGCCTAACCACACATTTTAATTGACCTCGAACATTCTTCGTAACTTTAATTGGGAAAGACGTAGTTTCTGGTGTTTTATAAATGCTGGCATTTAAATATAAAACTGCTACATCATTTTTCTTAAAGTATCCAATGGTATCCAAATATGACAATAATTTAATACTATAAATCATTTAAAAATATATAATTAAGTTATTCATTAAACTTGAAAAATTATATAACTTTTGTCTCCTTAGACTTGAGTTTCCAATTTCAGGAAAATATAGTATACTAAAAAGATGCTATCAAGACTTATAAAATGATAAACAATTTTACCTATTATTTTTTAAATTTAGAGGCATCCTATTTACCCAAGCCCTATATACATTCAAAAAAGACAGGGAAAATTAAACATTGTTAATTTTATTACACTTTAACCAGGATAATATGTTTGATATAATACTTTCATTTTATCATGTGGCTTAAACAGTTTACCTAGAGTAGAAAATTTAGCTCATTAATGATCAACAGAGAGCCTAATTAGAAAGCAAGGACACATTGTCAAACCAACCAACCAAATGTCTGACTTCATTTTTTGGAAAAAAAATTTTAAAACTTATTTTGAGATAATTATAGATTCACAGAAAACTGCAAAGGCAATATAGCAGGTCTGGTACGCACATCACTCACTGAGTTTCCTCCAATGGTTACACCTTACATATCAAAACCAGGAAATTGACATTGGCATAATGTGGTGTATAGTTCCACACATTTTTATTATATGTATATATTCCTGTAACCATCACCACAATCAAGATACAGAACTGTTCTATCACCACAGTGTTATCGAGGGCACAGAAGACTCAAAGATCTTCCTCATGATATCCTTTTATGGTCACACCTAAACATCTCCCTAACAATCATCTCTGGCTTAAGTCTGTCATTTTATTGTTGTTTTCTGATTCTTCCCTGTTTTCTTTTCCTTTCCTCATTTTTGCCTCTTTATTGCCTCCCTGTGGGTTACTGAAACATATTTTAGAATTTTCTTTTGATTTATTTAAAGTGCTTTTGAGTATATATCTTTGTGTAATTTGTGTGTGTGTGTGTGGTTACTCTAGATATTACATAACTTATCACAGTCTACTGGTATTGACATTTTACCAGTTTGCATGAAGTATAGAAACCTTACTTCCCTTTTAACTTTCCTTTTATCCTTCCACATTTCTAATATAATCATCTTAAACATTTCCTCTATGTACATTGAAAACTAAAAATGTTACAAGTCTGGCTTTAAACATCAAACTTAATTTAGAAAACTTAGAGGAGCCACGATCCACTGTATTTACTCATATTTTTATTCTGTCCATTGTTTTTTCTTCATTCTTTCTTAGGAAATTACATTAGCTATTCTTTTAAGGTAGAACTACTAGTGAAAACTTCTTAGTTTCCCTTCTTTTAAGAATGTCTTAATTTCCCTTTCATTCTGAATGACATTTTTGCTGGATATAAGATTCTGGGTTGACAGCAATTTTCTTTATGCACATGAAAAATGTTTTATCATTTCTTTCTGCCTCTAGGTTTTTTGATAGTAAATGTGCTATCATTAGAATATTTTTTCCTTTATAGGTAAGATGTTTCTCACTGCTTTCAAATTTTTTTCTTTCATTAGTTTTCAGAAGCTTAATTATAATGTATCTTAGCATGGGTGTCTTTGGGTTTAATCTGTTTGGGATTTGCTCAGTTTTTTTGTGTCTGTAGGCTTACATTATTTTCTAGATTTGGAAAATTTTCAGCCATTATTTTCTTTAAATACCTTTTTAGTACTGCTCTCTTCTTGGGATCCTGATGACATAAATTGATATGGTTTGGCTGTGTTCCAACACAAATCTCATCTTGAATTGTAGTTCCCATAATTTCCACATGTTTTGGGAGGCACCTGGTGCAAGATAATTGAATCATGGGGGTGGTTTCCCACATACTGTTCTTGTGGTAGTGAATAGGTTTTCTAATGGGTTTCCCTTTTTGTTTGGCTTCATTCTCTCTTGTCTGCCACTGTGTAAGATGTGCCTTTCACCTTCCACCATGATTGTGAGGCCTCCCCAGCCACATGGAGCTATGAGTCCATTAAACCTCTTTTCCTTTATAAATTACCCAGTCTTGGATGTGTCTTTATCAGTAGTGTGAAAACGGACTAATATATAAATGTTAAATTTTTAATTATAGTCTGATAAACCCCTAAGGCTCTCTTTATCTTTTCAGTTTATTTTTTCTATCTATTGTTCTGATTGGGCAATTTCTATTGCTCTTACAGTTCACTGACTGTCATCTCTACTGTGCTGTTGAGCCCACCAACTGAGCTTTTTATTTCAGCTACTGTATTTTTAGTCCTAAAATTTCCATTTTGTTCTTTTTTTATATCTTCTTTTTCTTAGCTGAAACTTTTTTTTCCCTTTGTTTAAACCATGTTCATAGAAACATTTTTTCTCATGGCTACTTTGGAATTTTTGTCAGATACTGTCACCATCTCTACCACTTATGTGGGAGGAGTGTTGATGATCTTTTTTTTGTTTTGTTTTTTTTATTTTTTATTTTTTTTGAGACGGAGTCTCGCTCTGTTGCCCAGGCCGGACTGCGGACTGCAGTGGCGCAATCTCGGCTCACTGCAAGCTCCGCTTCCCGGGTTCACGCCATTCTCCTGCCTCAGCCTCCCGAGTAGCTGGGACTACAGGCACCCGCCACCGCGCCCGGCTAATTTTTTGTATTTTTAGTAGAGACGGGGTTTCACCTTGTTAGCCAGGATGGTCTCGATCTCCTGACCTCATGATCCACCCGCCTCGGCCTCCCAAAGTGCTGGGATTACAGGCGTGAGCCACCGCGCCCGGCCGATGATCTTAATTCATTAATTCATTCAAGTTAAGCTCTTTGTATGATTTTCAAATTTTTCCTGGACATTTTAAGCATCATGGGACTCTGAATTTTATTTAAATCTTGTGTTTTAGCAGATATCTTTTGACACCATGATGGTGGTGCCACTCAGTTAATGTCAGGTTGGGGCAGATGTCCAAGTTCCGTTAATACCCTGGGGGAGGGTACCTCATTACTGCTGGGCAGGGCTGGGAGGTCAGGCTCCCCATGTGGCCTTCACTGACACCATGGGTGGTAGAGGGAGCTCTAGTTACCACCGGTTGTTGGTGGAAGCTCTGGCTGCACACTCGCTCTTCTCTCACACCATCCCAGCAGTAAAGGGGCACACTTTGTTATAGACTTCTGATGAGATGGAAGTCTGAGCTTTCTACTTGGCCTTTGTACCTGATGGAAGCATGGCCTTAGCTTTTTCCATGTTGTATGGCCAGAGTAAGGAAGGCATTGTCCAAAAGTTTTTGTCTTACTGGGCAGCCCTTTCCTGGTTTTTTGACTACAGAGAACGGACTATTAGGGAGATTTTCTTAAATCTCCACCATTGGTGTTTCTGGATTACTAGCTCCTCTATCACCCCGTATAGGGTATGTATACAAGGCAAACAGAAAAACCAGGAAACTCATTGCTATGTGTTTCTTAGAGCCCAAGGCCCCACACTAGCCTGCCCTCTTCTCTCCACCTTTCAGTCTTCTTGCTTATTATTATATAATGTCCAGAGTTTACAGCTGTACTTAGCAGGTGGAAGATAGATATGTATGTTTACTCTTGTCCTAGAAGTGAAAATCATTGACTTAATTTTTGAATTAAATTAAATTAAATAAACTTATGTCAATAAGCATGTTTTAAGGTATACAATAGAAACTCTGAAGAAAGAAATTATAGAGTGCATTTTATAAAAATGATTACCAAGGCTGGGTGCGGTGGCTCATGCCTTAATCCCAACACTTTGGGAGGCCAAGGCAGGCGGATCACAAGGTCAGGAGATCGAGACCATCCTGGCCAACATGGTGAAACTCTGTCTCTACTAAAAAAATACAAAAATTAGCTGGGCATGGTGGCGTTTGCCTGTAATCCCAGCTACTCGGGAGGCTGAGGCAGGACAATAGCTTGAACCAGGGAATCGAAGGATGCAGTGAGCTGAGATCATGCCACTGCGCTCCAGCCTGGGCGACAGAGCAAGACTTCATCTCAAAATAAATAAGTAACCAAAACACTTAAATCAAGATTAAAATGCTTCAGATCTAATATAACTAATTTATCCCTTTTGTTCTAGGATATAAAACAAGATAATTTAATACGTAGTTTCTCATTACTTAATTTTCTAAAAATGTAATGTAATATGTAGGTAAAATTATGTTACCAAATAGGGTTTGATATGGTTTCTCTATGTCCCCACCCAAATCTCATCTTGAATTGTAGTTTCCATAATCTCCATGCGTCATGGGAGGGACCCAGTGGGAGGTAATTGAATCATGGGGGCAGTTATCCCCATGCTGGTGTTCTTGTAATAGTGAGTGAGTTCTCATGAAATCTGATGGCTTTTTTTTTTCTTTTTCTTTTTCTTTTTTTATTATACTTTAAGTTCTAGGATACATGTGCACGAAGTGCACGTTTGCTGCATAGGTATACATTGGTTTGCTGCACACATCAATTCATCATTTACATTAGGTATTTCTCCTAATGCTATCCCTCCCCCAGCACCCCCCACGACAACAGGCCCTGGTGTGTGATGTTCCCTGCCCTGTGTCCAAGTGATCTCATTGTTCAATTCCCACCTATGAGTGAGAACATGAGGTGTCTAGTTTTCTGTCCTTGTGATAGTTTGCTGAGAATGATGGTTTCCAGCTTCATCCATGTCCCTGCAAAGGACGTGAACTCATCCTTTTTTGTGGCTGCATAGTATTCCATAGTGTATGTGTGCCACGTTTTCTTAATCCAGTCTATCATTGATGGACATTTGGGTTGGTCCCAAGTCTTTGCTATTGTGAATAGTGCTGCAATAAACATACGTGTGCATGTGTCTTTATAGGAGCGTGATTTATAATCCTTTGGGTATATATCCAGTAATGGGATGGCTGGGTCAAATGGTAATTCTAGTTCTAGATCCTTGAGGAATCGCCACACTGTCTTCCACAATGGTTGAACTAATTTACAGTCCCACCAACAGTGTAAAAGTGTTCCTTTTTCTCCACATCCTCTCCAGCACCTGTTGTTTCCTGACTTTTTAATGATCGCCATTCTAACTGGTGTGAGATGGTATCTCACTGTGGTTTTGATGTGCATTTCTCTGACCAATGATGATGAGTATTTTTTCATGTGTCTTTTGGCTGCATAAATGTCTTCTTTTGAGAATTGTCTGTTGATATCCTTTGCCCACTTTTTGATGGGGTTGTTTGTTTTTTTCTTGTAAATTTGTTTGAGTTCTTTGTAGATTCTGGATATTAGCCCTTTGTCAGCTGGGTAGATTGCAAAATTTTTCTCCCATTCTGTAGGTTGCCTGTTCACTCTGATGGTAGTTTCTTTTGCTGTGCAGAAGCTCTTTAGTTTAATTAGATTCCATTTGTCAATTTTGGCTTTTGTTGCCATTGCTTTCGGTGTTTTAGTCACGAAGTCCTTGCCCATGCCCATGTACTGAATGGTATTGCCTAAGTTTTTTTCAGGGTTTTTATGGTTTTAGGTCTAACATTTAAGTCTTTAATCCATCCTGAATTAATTTTTGTATAAGGAGTAAGGAAGGGATCCAGTTTCAGCTTTCTACATATGGCTAGCCAGTTTCCCCAGTACTGTTTATTAAATAGGGAATCCTTTCCCCATTGCTTGTTTTTGTCAGGTTTGTCAAAGATCAGATGGTTGTAGATGTATGGCGTTATTTCTGAGGCCTCTGTTTTGTTCCATTGGTCTATATCTCTGTTTTGGTACCAGTACCATGGTATTTTGTTTACTGTAGCCTTGTATAGTTTGAAGTCAGGTAGCGTGACGCCTCCAGCTTTGTTCTTTTTGCTTAGGATTGTCTTGGCAATGTGGACTCTTTTTTGGTTCCATATGAACTTTAAAGTGTTTTTTTCCATTTCTGTGAAGAAAGTCATTGGTAGCTTGATGGGGATGGCATTGAATCTATAAATTACTTTGGGCAGTAAGGCCATTTTCACAATATTGATTCTTCCTATCCATGAGCATGGAATATTCTTCCATTTGTTTGTGTCCTTTTATTTCATTGAGCAGTGGTTTGTAGTTCTCCTTGAAGAGGTCCTTCACATCCCTTGTAAGTTGGATTCCTAGGTATTTTATTCTGTTTGTAGCAGTTGTGAATGGGAGTTCACTCATGATTTGGCTCTGTTTGTCTGTTAATAGTGTATAGGAATGCTTGTGACTTTTGCACATTCATTTTATATCCTGAGACTTTGCTGAAGTTGTACATCAGCTTGAGATTTGGGGCTGAGATGATGGGGTTTTCTAAATATACAATCACATCATCTGCAAACAGGGACAATTTGACTTCCTCTTTTCCTAATTGAATACCCTTTATTTCTTTCTCTTTCCTGATTGCCCTGGCCAGAACTTCCAACACTATGTTGAATAGGAGTGGTGAGAGAGGGCATCTTTGTGTTGTGATGGTTTTCAAAGGGAATGCTTCCAGTTTTCACCCATTCAGTATGATACTGGCTGTGGGTTTGTCATAAATAGCTCTTATTGTTTTGAGATACATTCCATCAATACCTAGTTTATTGAGAGTTTTTAGCATGAAATGCTGTTGAATTTTGTCAAAGGCCTTTTCTGCATCTATTGAGATAATCATGTGGTTTTTGTTGTGGTTCTGTTTGTGTGATGGATTATGTTTATTGATTTACATATGTTGAACCAGCCTTGCATCACAGGGATGAAGCCGACTTGATCATGGTGGATAAGCTTTTTGATGTGCTGCTGGATTTGGTTTGCCAGTATTTTATTGAGAATTTTTGCATTGATGTTCATCAGGGATATTGGTCTAAAATTCTGTTTTTTTGTTGTGCTCTGCCAGGCTTTGGTATCAGGATGATGTTGGCCTCATAAAATCAGGGAGGATTCCGTCTTTCTCTACTGATTGGAATAGTTTCAGAAGGAATGGTACCAGCTCCTCTTTGTACCTCTGGTAGAATTCGGCTGTGAATCCATCTGGTCCTGGACTTTTTTTTGGTTGGTAGGCTATTAATTATTGCCTCAATTTCAGAACTTGTTATTGGTCTGTTCAGAGATTCAACTTCTTCCTAGTTTCGTCTTGGGAGGGTGTATGTGTCGAGGAATTTATCCATTTCTTCTAGATTTTCTAGTTTATTTGCATAGAGGTGTTTATAGTATTCTCTGATGGTAGTTTGTATTTCTGTGGAAGCAGTGGTGATATCCCCTTTATCATTTTTTTATTGCACCTATTTGATTCTTCTCTCTTTTCTTCATTAGTCTTACTAGCAGTCTATCAACTTTGTTGATTTTTTGTTTGTTTGTTTTTCAAAAAACCAGCTACTGGATTCATTTTTTTTTTTTTTGGAGGGTTTTTTGTGTGTCTATCTCTTTCAGTTCTGCTCTGATCTTAGTTATTGCTTGCCTTCTGCTAGCTTTTGAATTTGTTTGCTTTTGCTTCTCTAGTTCTTTTAATTGTGATGTTAGGCTGTCGATTTTAGATCTTCCCTGCTTTCTTTTGTGGGCATTTAGTGCTATAAATTTCCCACAACACACTACTTTAAATGTGTCCCAGAGATTCTGGTACATTGTGTCTTTGTTCTCATTGGTTTCAAAGAACATCTTTACTCTGCCTTCATTTCGTCATTTACCCAGTAGTCATTCAGGAGCAAGTTGTTCAGTTTCCATGTAGTTGTGAGGTTTTGAGTGAGTTTCTTAATCCTGAGTTCTAATTTGATTGCACTGTGGTCTGAGAGACCGTTTGTTGTGATTTCTGTTCTTTTCCATTGGCTGAGGAGTGCTTTACTTCCAATTATGTGGTCAATTGTAGAATAAGTGCGACGTGCTGAGAAGAATGTATATTCTGTTGATTTGGGGTGGAGAGTTCTGTAGATGTCTATTAGGTCTGCTTGGTGCAGAGCTGAGTTCAGGTCCTGGATATCCTTGTTAACCTTCTGTCTTGCTGATCTGTCTAATATTGACAGTGGGGTGTTAAAGTCTCCCATTATTCTGTGGGAGTCTAAGTCTCTTTGTAGGTCTCTATGGACTTGCTTCATGAATCTGGGTGCTCCTGTATTGGGTGCATATATATTTAGGATAGTTAGCTCTTCTTGTTGAATTGATCCCTTTACCATTATGTAATGACCTTCTTTGTCTCTTTTGATCTTTGTTGGTTTAAAGTCTGTTTTATCAGAGACTAGGATTGCAACGCCTGACTTTTTTTGTTTTCCATTTGCTTGGTAGATCTTCCCTTTATTTTGAGCCTATGTGCATCTTTGCATATGAGATGGGTCTCCTGAATACAGCACACTGATGGATCTTGACTCTTTATCCAATTTGTCAGTCTGTGTCTTTTAATTGGGGCATTTAGCCCATTTACATTTAAGGTTAATATTATGTGTGAATTTGTTCCTGTCATTATGATGTTTGCTGGTAATTTTCCCCATTAATTGATGCAGTTTCTTCATAACGTCGATGGTCTTTACAATTTGGCGTGTTTTTGCAGTGGCTGGTACTGGTTGTTTCTTTCCATGTTTAGTGCTTCCTTCAGGAGCTCTTGTAGGGCAGGCCTGGTGGTGACAAAACCTCTCAGCATTTGCTTGTCTGTAAAGGATTTTATTTCTCCTTCACTTATGAAGCTTAGTTTGGCTGGATATGAAATTCTGGGTTGAAAATTCTTTTCTTTAAGAATGTTGAATATTGGTCCCCACTCTCTTCTGGCTTGTAGGGTTTCTGCTGAGAGATCTGCTGTTAGTCTGATGGGCTTCCCTTTGTGGGTAACTCAGCCTTTCTCTCTGGCTGCCCTTAACACTTTTTCCTTCATTTCAACCTTGGTGAATCTGACCATTATGTGTCTTGGGCTGCTCTTCTCAAGGAGTATCTTTGTGGTGTCCTCTGTATTTCCTGAATTTGAGTGTTGGCCTGCCTTGCTAGGTTGGGGAAGTTCTCCTGGATAATATCCTGCAAAGTGTTTTCCAACTTGGTTCCATCTCCCCATCAGTTTCACATACAACAATCAAACGTAGATTTGGTCTTTTCACATAGTCCCATATTTCTTGGAGGCTTTGTTTGTTCATCTTCATTCTTGTCTCTCTAAACTTCTCTTCTCGCTTTATTTCATTAACTTGATCTTCAATCACTGATACCCTTTCTTCCAGTTGATCAAATTGGCTATTGAAGCTTGTGCATGTGTCATGAAGTTCTCATGCCATGGTTTTCAGCTCCATCAGGTCATTTCAGGTCTTCTCTACACTGTTTATGCTAGTTAGCCAGTCATCTAATCTTCTTCCTTGCGATGGGTTTGAACATCCTCCTTTAGCTTGGAGAAGTTTGTTATTACCGACCTTCTGAAGCCTACTTCTGTCAACTCGTCAAAGTCATTCTCCATCCTGCTTTGTTCCATTGCTGGCGAGGAGCTATGATCCTTTGGAGGAGAAGAGGCGCTCTGATTTTTAGAATTTTCGGTTTTTCTTCTCTGGTTTCTCCCCATCTTTGTGATTTTTATCTACCTTTGGTCTCTGATGTTGGTGTCCTACAGAGGGGGTTTTGTGTAGATGAACTTTTTGTTGATGTTGATGCTATTCCTTTCTCTTTGTTAGTTTTCCTTCTGACAGTCAGGTCCCTCAGCTGCAGGTCTGTTGGAGTTTGCTGGAGTTCCACTCCAGACTCCGTTTGCCTGGGTATCACCAGTGGAGGCTACAGAACAGCAAATATTGCAGAACAGCAAATATTGCTGCCTGATCCTTCCTTTGGAAGCTTTGTCCCAGAGGGGCAGCCGCCTATATGAGGTGTCTGTTGGCCCCTGCTGGGAGGTGTCTCCCAGTTAGGGTACACAAGATTCAGGGACCCACTTGAGGAGGCAGTCTGTCCATTCTCAGAGCTCAAATGCTGTGCTGGGAGAACCACTGCTCTCTTCAGAGCTGTCAGACAGGGACATTTAAGTCTGCAGAAGTTGTCTGCTGCCTTTTGTTCTGGTATGCCTTGCCCACAGAGGTGGAGTCTAGAGGCAGAAGGCCTTGTTGACCTGTGATGGGCTGCACCCAGTTTGAGCTTCCTGGCTGCTTTGTTTACCTACTCAAGCCTCAGCAATGGTGGACGCCCCTCCCCCAGCCAGGCTACCACCTCACAGATCCAACTCAGACTGCTGTGCTAGCAGTGAGCAAGACTCCATGGGTGTGGGACCCACCGAGCCAGGCATGGGAGAGAATCACCTTGGGAAAAGCACAGTATTTGGGCAGGAGTGCCCCGTTTTTCCAGGTAGTCTGTCACAGCTTCTCTTGGTTAGGAAAGGGAAATCCCCTGACTCCTTGCACTTCCTGGGTGAGGTGATGCTCTGCCCTGCTTCAGCTCGCTCACTGTGGGCTGCATCCACTGTCCAACCAGTCCCAGTGAGATGAACCAGGTACCTCAGTTGGAAATGCAGAAATCACCCGTCTTCTGCGTCGATCACTCTGGGAGCTGCAGACTGGAGCTGTTCCTATTGACCATCTTGGAATGCCCCTTCTCTTTTTTTTCTTTGAGTCAGAGTCTTGCTCTGTTGCCCAGGCTGGAGTGTAGTGGTGCAATCTCGGCTCACTGCAACCTTGGCCTCCCAGTTTCAAGCGATTCTCCTGCTTCAGCCTCCTGAGTAGCTGGGATTACAGATGTGTGGCTGTAATCCCAGCAATTTGGGAGGCCAAGGTGAGTGGATCACTTGAGGTAAGGAGTTCAAGACCAGCCTGGCCAATATGGTGAAACCCTGTCTCTACTTAAAAATACAGAAATCTGATGGTTTTATAAGGGGGTTTTCCCCTTTTTGCTTGGCACTTCTTCCTGCTGCCATGTGAAGAAGGATGTATTTGTTTCCCCTTCTGCCATGACTATAAGTTTCCTGAGGCCTCCCCAGCCATGTGGAACTGTGAGTCAATTAGACCTCTTTCCTTTATAAATTATCCAGTCTTGGGTAAGACCAATTAAACCTCTTTCCTTTATAAATTACTCAGTCTCAGGTAGTCCTTTCACAGTGTGTGAAAGGACTAATACAGGCATTATAATACAGGGATTATAATAAAAGTCATTATAATCCTTAGTAAATGTGTGTATGTGTATGTGTGCATATGTGGTATGTGTGTATCATATTTTGGTGTTCGGTTTTCACATATAATTAAAAAAAATTCAGGTATAAACAGAATACATAACACCATTATTTTAGTTTGATACTATAATCAAAGTTCCTACAGAAAAAACAAAACAGAAAGGTATATAAACTGCTAAAAATGAATTGGCCTGGCAGCTAGCATAATTTTATATTTTATTAATAAGGGGGAAATGTTAAACTTTTCGTAAGATGAAGTTTAAAATAAACACTTTAACATATAATACACACCAAATCTGAAAAGTAATTAAATAGAAGTTTATCTGTGAGTTTTACTAAATCTAAAACAATTTGGAGTCCCAGAAAACATTCCACTTACATTTAGAAGATCTGAATCACTAACCCATACTGTTTTGGCTAATGGAAGGTGCTTTTCTTTGGATAATGGAAGCTGATTTTTCCCCCAGCTAATAACATGTCTTAGGAATGAGCATTGAGAATAGCTTTAAAAGAAGTGCTTACATTTAAGTACATGAAAAAGAACCATTTTTTAGTGTTCAATATTTCCCACAGATGCTTTTTACCTTGCTCTCAACAGATTTGTCCTTGTAAATAATGAATTCTTTAATAATAGGAGAATAGAAGAGGTAAAGTCATTAAACAAAAATTATCATTTCTCCCACTTTATTTCATTTTTATTTTTATTATCATTAACCACACTTTATTGTATACCTGAATTTAGAACATCCAGACAGGGATCCAAATTTCTTTGGTTTTTGCCCAAACGGCAAATTTCTCTTTAATGCCCAGCTTCATCCTTATCAGGAAAGTGTACATAAAAGAGAAGGAATGATGGGAAGCCCTAGGACCTTACATAGTCTTGAGTAGTCATGAAAGGAAAACGCCACCATTTTTTTTTTTTTTTTGGCACCTAGTAATTTTTCACTGAGGGTGAAGCAATGATTCATTTTTGGTAAAGTTGAAAAAAAGGGCTATTGGTGAACACATTGTATACTCAGGTAAATCTTATTTAAGAGAGGATATAAATGGAATTTGGGAATCTGGAAATTGATTTTCTGACAATTGTAGGAATTCTTTTACCCCTTGGGAAATCATTCTGTAATGCCAGGGCTGTGAGTACCCCACTTTGATCATCACTGTACAGATCATTGCTCTAACTTGTGGACCTTGGGGTCCACATGCTAGAGCAGTGAGAGGGAACAAAAGAACACTTAGGAGCACTGAGGTGATAAGTGCTCAGTGATAGCACTAACACACAAGTTGTGAATGATACCAGAATACCAGCTGAGTTTGAAAACTTAGAGTTGCTTTTTTCCACATTTGTTAGAATAACCAAATATTCCCTTTCAGCACTTTTGCTGATTTCTGAAATTGTGACTCTCTTCATTGAAGTTACATAGGGGTAATCCCCCATCAATATAGGTTTTTAAAGTAGCTGGAAGGGTACAAGGGTCACTAACCGGATTAATTAAATCAAACAATGAAGCTTTCTCAGGGTGAAAAATACTGCATTATACTCTTTCTCATGTGACTACTTCAACTTTTGTTGATCACATTAGCATTTGTGAAGATAGGAGGCAAAACAACTTGCAGGTTGCTTTTCTAGCAGCTAAAGAAAGCCTACAGGATTTTTGCAATTGAAATTAAGACCTATTGGTTAGGAATCATTAAGATTGTAAAAATTTGAGCCTGAAAGCTGATGATGCAACATCCCTGAGTAGGAAAGACTGAGTTGATATTACCATTAATATGTGTTTCTGAAAAGCCAGAGTGGAAATAATTTCATATGTCAGAAATCACAGGCATTTTATCAGCCTCCCAGACTTACAAATACCCACTTGCTATTGCCAGTCAGGTCCAGTGTGTTTAGTTTGCAAATTAACACTTCCCTCCTGTGCAAAGTTTTATGAGAAGGTTAACAAAACATTTGAAGGAGCTGTGAAAAGGAAGTTACATGCAGCACAAACCAGGCAACCAAGAGCTTTTGGTGGTCATCACTGAAGATGGAAACTGTGGCAGATGGAAGTCTCTGCTTCTTGAAGAGAAACTATGCATTGAGTATGCATGATCTGTGTGCCTGGATATCATCTTTACCTGCTTTGTTCTGTATGTTGTCAAAGAGGATCGCTTTGGGGAGCATTGTGTCTGTACACTCTGGATGAACCCCTTTGAAGCAGGAGGTAGGATGGAATACTTGTGCTTTTGTTTAAAACATGCCTGGGGCCTATATTGACAATTTTGTTAGGTTCTTTATTAAAAATGTATTTGAATAAACCATAATTAATTTATACCAGAAGAGCAAAACAGCAGACATTGTGCCTTTTTTCACAGATTATGGCTGAATGGATTCTAACCAGTAAATCTGTACATTTGAATTTTATTTCCTGGATCTTTTCTCATTAAGTCCAATGGAGTGATGAGCTTGGGATGGAGGCTTTATAGAGGTATCTTTTAATATACTTTTGATAAAGCACTAAGAAAATTTATAATAATTTTAATTGATAATGCGGAAGCAGAGGAGCAGAACAGAAGATAGTTTCTCAGTGTTTAGAGACCTTGAATTTATTGTTTCCTTTGCAAAGTCTATTAGTCACCCCTGACAAGAAGCCTGCAATTTCAGGTGTTTGCAGTTTCCTGACCCTTCATAGCTACTCTCTGTGGGATCTTTATCTGGCCTGGCTGCTGAGACTGTGGCTGTTTTATATTCATTATTTGATTAAAGACTCAACAACTTTATTAAGGAGGTATCGCTCTAGCTTTGCAGCTGGGAGTTTCAGAGAGGGAAGTGCTCTGCCCATGGGCCACAGCTGTAGTCACTGTTGAAGCTGAGATTGACCCAGATCTACTAGGCTCTGCAGGACACACCCTTTCCACTGTATTATTCTCACCCCAACCATCAAATCAAAGGGGCGGAGCAAACAGAGACAAAAGGTTCTCAGGAGCTAGCTAACAGTTTGTGTCAAACAAGGTGAGAGCGGACAAGTCTCCTCCAGGAATATTCCCCCACTCTCTACTGAGCAGCAAACCTCAATTAGTTCCTGTAGTCTTGGCTTGTAGAAAAGGGTTGAACTCTAAATTAGGCTTCACTGTCCTAGCTCTATGCCTTCTACTTATCCTTTAGAGCTTAGCCTAGATTTGATTCCTTCAAGAAAACCTTCTGTGACATTCCTCTAAAATGGATTTCCAGATCATAACACCTACCAAATCATGTTTATCTGTGGCAAGCATTAGACTGCGAGATTTGTTAGTACTTTGTTTACTGTTTTTTTGTTACCTAGCGAAAATGTCTAGAGCTCAAATATTTGTTGAGTAAAGGAAGAATATCACTAGCAGCCTGAGTGACTTGGGGAAGCTAGATATCTCTAGGTATCACTTTCCCCTGGCGAAAAATGAGTTTTTTGTAAATGATCTCTAAGATCATTTCAGATATAGTATTTTATGACACTAGCTGCAAGCTATGCATCCTGCTAGAAGATACCTGACCTTATTGACCTAAATTCCAGGAACTTCTTTATGCTTATTGCCGCAGGGGAAAGAAAGGACTCTTTTTTCCATTGTTTCTCAGGCCCCAAAATATGTGCTCAATATATATCGAGTGAATGGATGGATATTTAGTTCCAAAACCAACATACAAATACAACAAATCTCCATCAGCATTATCATGTGGTTTTTTAAGGGCACAATTCTAAATCTGGCTCTGAGACAAAGTCAACATGCTCCATAGCTGCCTTCATTTAAAGTTATTTAGTTAGAGGGAGTGGGAAAAGGCTCAGTTCCACATTGAGACATAGAAATGTACACCTTTAGTCATTTTTAATATTCTATTGACATTTCACAGCTAAGGATATCTGAGATCCTTGGAAGTGGAGTGATTTTTCCAGCATCCCACTGGCAGAGAGTGGCAGAGCTGGAACTAGGTCCCAGGTCTTCTGACCCCAAGTCTAATGCATTTTAACCCCCTATGTTGCTTCCAATAAGTCAATAATCTTTGCTCACCAAGACCAGCATCCTGAAAATCCATATCACTGATCACACAAGAATGATTTACTGCAAAGCTGTTACTTGAGATAATGGCAGATACATACCCTGCTCCTTAACACCATTACAATGATGATGTTGAGATGAGGGCATGACTTACAGTCCATAGAACACCTTTGTTCGATACTATTGAAATTTCCACTGAGAATCAGGAATTTCCTGCCTGTCCTTGCCTCATTCAAGAGGATCACTAAACGATTGTGTTGTACCAATCAGTGTATCTATGTGTTTTCTCTCCAGACTGTCAGGTTCCTCAGGGCAGTGACCGTGAGTATCCTTTCTGACAATCCATACCTATCACAGTAACTATCACACTGCGACACTCACCCATAGATGCTGAATAAATGAAAGGGCTTAGAAACTGAGGTGACCTGTCTAGATTGAGTTAGCAGTGACAGAAGTTAAATAAACATTTTGTTATTGAAACAAAATAAAACCTTAGATGACTCTGCTAGTGACAGGCCACCTAGAAATGGCAGTTTCCTTCGCTGTTACAGGCTTCCTCCAGGCTTGCTGAATTTGACTCCCCAAGACAACAGTTTTATAGGCTGCAATTCTGTGGATCCAGTCTTTCCTGCTCTGTCAGTTGTCAAGCTGCTTCCCTTTTAATTCAGCATAACAAACTATTTTAATAATGCATTCCTTGTAGAATGAGGTCTTCTTAGATCTAGTTCTGATGGTCATTTGGAAGCACGATGTGCTTATAGTCTTCGAATTTTACTATTGAGGAAAAACTAAATCTGAATATTTCTCTATCATTCTGATAAATTTTCATCATGGACCCTCATGTGAATAGTACAATTTAGCCAATGGCCTCTTATAGATAATAGACGAATATATCAGAATTAAACGGCGCAGAGTCCATGCATCTTTTAAAATCATCAAATACAAAATCCTCCTGGCCACATAAATATAAATGAAAGCTTGATTGTATCACAGTCTGCAGGCGTATGGTGCTTGTGATGATAGCCAGCATAAGCTATCGATTATTAAAGACAGACATGAATTTTTCCAGCAGTGTCTCCAGAGTTTGTACTCTTTAGTTTTCTCTTGTTGGCCACATTTTGTAAAATCCACATTCTTCCTTGCCTCTCCTCTATGCAGGAGGGAGGGAATCTTTCTCCAGGGGCCAGAACAGTGTCTTGGATATCAACCCAAGGACTAGTATGAGAAAAATGCGTTCTCTTCTCACACTCACATGTGATGGTGCTGTGTCCTCAGCAAAGCAAGACCACAGAGGCCCTTGGTAGGGGGTCCTGGGATGCTATCGTAGGAGCCTGCATCCCTGTACTAATTCTGATATATATTCTGACTATAGGTGGCTTTCCTTTGTTTTTTGTCCAAGAAAGCCCCTAACTTTTTCAGGATTCCTTGTTATTTCTCACCAAAGCCAACACAAACTTTATAGGAGGGAGAATCCTCAAGCAGAGTAGAAGAAATTGGGGACTCTCAGAGGTGTATAACAGGTGGCACAGGCAGAAAGAATGGCTTAGAATGTCTTTCTTCCCTACAGTCTCAGGAAGGGACACATTCTGTGCAACGGTGAATCCAGGATTTCTACATATTAACTTGAACCACGTGAAATTGAGGACAGTCAACTGTGCTTGACATATAAAAAGGGTTATTTAATATGGTTCAACCTAGTAGAAGGGGCTTAGGAATAGAAGCTAGTCAGAGGTGGGGACCTGGGAGACTTGTAATTGGGCTTGCAAAAAACAAAAACAAAAAAAGAAAGAAAAATCACGTGACTTTACTTGCATTTTTACATTGTACTTGTATGTGGATTACTTGAGGGAAGTACAAACTGAAATTGTTGGGGGTGGAGGTGGAGCAAAAACCCTGTCTGTAGACACTCCTTGACATCACCTCTTCTGGGCTTGCTGAGAAAAGGCAAGCCAGGCAAGTGAGGAAAGTAAGGAATGACCCTGATATAAGCATCAAAAATTAACACCAGTTTAGATTACTTTTATATACACAGTCTGTTTTCTTCCTTTTTCTTTTTGGCTCTTTATTTTATTTGCCAGTGACCTGAAGAAGATGGGAAGAGAGAATTCACCAAGAATTAGAAAATGCCCCCAAAATATATCAGCTATAGAGTCAAAATTCAGTGAAGCTGAATCAGGCATATGAATCATAAGCTGTGATTTTACTTGTGTAAGCACTTACAGGAGTACTTTTTTCAGTATAAGAAGATGTATTTTGAAAATCAAAGAAAATGTACTTTAAGCACTCAATACAAGAGTATGTCTATTCCATGTAGTGCAAGAATCCTATCCAAACAGATGGTACCTGCATGGCACGAATAAGATTCTTTGACCACTCACGAGACTTTCTCTAGCCACTCTCTGTTTCTGGGGCTCAACGTATGTGTGTGTGTGTGTGTGTGTGTGTGTGTGTATGTGTATGATTTAGATTATAAGAAAGTTTATTGGTATAAAAACCTTTTTGCGGCTGGGGGTGGTAGCTCACGCCTTTAATCCCAGCACTTTGGGAGGCCGAGGCAGGTGGATCACGAGGTCAGGAGATCGAGACCATCCTGGCTAACATGGTGAAACCCTGTCTCTACTAAAAATACAAAAAAAAAATTTAGCTGGGTGCGGTGGTGGGCACCTGTACTCCCAGCTACTTGGGAGGCTGAGGCAGGAGAATAGCGTGAACCCGGGGGGCGGAGGTTGCAGTAAGCAGAGATCGCACCACTGCACTCCAGCCTGAGCAACAGAGCGAGACTCTCCATCTCAAAAACAAAACACCAAAAAAAAAAAAAAAAAAAATCAAAAAACAAAACAAAACCAAAAAACACCTCTTTGCAATCCCCTTTCTTTATCCCACTCCCCAAATATTCCTGCTTCTAAGTTTCAGTCTTGGATGTCAACCTGAGCTGTAGTTCCTTAGTGGAAAGAAAAGATGTTCTCCCCTCACACTGCTATGTGCTGTGTCTGCAGCACAACAAAACCACCCAAGGCCCTCAGTGGGGGTGGTCCTGGGATATTTAAGCCGTTTATCTACAATTTAAATCCTCTGTGAAATGTAAATACTCCTAGCGAGGGTGATAGATTGCCTTTTTCATTTCTATTTGCTTTTTTATGTCCTAATGTTTTTCGAGGTTTTTAATTTTTGTTTTGTTTCTCTTTTTGCTATGTCATCTCCCACTACCTCATTTCAGTCTCTCATCACCTTTGTCTTGGACTTCTGCAACCATCTCCTGATGGTGTTTCTGCTTCTAGGAGGGCCAAGGTGATATCTAGCATTTGAAGCTGGCCAGTTACTGTTCAAAAACCCTTTCTCCACAGTCAGGTCATCATTACATTCATCACCCTGCCTCACCACCTATGTAAGGGTCCAGTCTCTTGTACTGGCCTTTCACACTTGTAATTTGCCATAGACTGCATGGCACTTCACACCTCTTCCCTCGGCTCAGGCTGTCCCTTCTGCCCAGAATGACTTTAATCAGGCCCACACAGTATTTGATATAGTCCCACCAATGGTGAATTGAGCTTCCATGCATTCATTCATTTACTTATTCTTTCTTTCTCTGCTGTGTTTTAATGGATAGAAGGTCAAACCCCAGGGGATATTGGCCTTACTTCTACTTCAGGATAAATACTGACTTTCAACAAGTGGAATTTTGGACTGTGGGCAGAAAAGGAGTAAGGCATTTTGTCTTGGATTAATTGTCTAATATTCCTTAGAGATGGGTTCTTACCTTGGGGCCTATGGACTCTGTATGCCAATATGTTTCATTTTAGGAAGAAAGTCTGTAGCTTTATTTAGATTATCAAAGGAGTCCAAGACCCTAAAGATATTAAGAACATTACCTTAGAGAAAAGTATGTGTGTGTGAAAGTATATTCAAAACACTCTTTTTTTATTCTCAGAAAATTTTCTTCCATTTTTGATCATTTCTCATCACATACTATTTGCAATAAATTGTTTTTCTTTTGTGCATTTCCATTTATGACTCAAAAAATCTTTGCTGATATTTAAAGCCATTCTTTATTTTTTCAATGAAACCATGTTAGTAAAAACAGATCTTTGACAGTCCATAGAAAACATTTAAGCCTCAGCTTCAAAGTTTTTGAAACATGTCAGACTATAGAAATGATTACTTTTAACACAAATCTATTACTAAAGCTTAATGTCATAAAATATGAGTTGTCAACAGAAGTTAAATAAGGGTAAAACAAGAATAATAATCCCAATAGATATAAGAAAATATACAAAAGGGTTAAAATGTACACTTAAATCTGTTCTTGAAAATAAACACTTTAACAAAATAAAGCAAATAGGTATGTAGACAGACAAAAAGTCTATCAAATGCTTGGTTAAAATGCAACTATCTAATAAGGCTATGGCTCTGAGAGAAGATTTTTATTTTGAAAGATAAATGATCTTAGAGGGTGAAACTGAGAAAGTTTATGAAGATTGTATGGGCGAATTTGCAAACACTTCCCCTGATGCTTAAATACATACATCTTTGCAGTGGAAGATCAAAGCTTGAACTCTTAAAATAAAGACAAATGACAAAGATTGATTTTTTTTTATGGTAGAAAGAATAACTTAATGTAATATTCTCAAGGTTGTTTTTCTTCTTGCATGTGCCAAGTTTTTTATGACATAGTATGCCTGAAAGTTAACCAGGAAAAACGTTGCTTTGGGAAACTTAAGTAGGGATTGGGCTTCATTCTGTTTGGAGAAGGAAATAGAGGTTAGAACTAACAAAAATGAAAAGTGCAAAGTGAAGAAGGAGAAGAAAGAATTAGAAGAAAAAGAAGAAAAGAGGAAGAATAAAAAAGAACATGAGAAAAAAAGGGCTAAAAGGAGAGAGGGAGAACGAATGAATGAGTGAATGAATGAGTGAATGAATGAATGAATGAATGAGAGACTGCTATATAAGTTTGGCCTCTCAGAACCAAAGTTGGTGGGATGCAATGTCATGCTTGTGATTGCTATGTGATCCTGAAGAAACTTAAGAATTATGTCCTTTGACCCCTAACATGTCTGGGAAAGGGTAAAGAAGAACTGTATGGAGGCAAGATCCCAGTGGATACCACTCAGTTGAAAAATGTAGGATGATTGCCTTTCATAAGGTCTGAGCTAGGGCCAGAGTTTATGGAGCAAAGGATTTATTTCAAAGCAAAATACATGAGCCAATGTACCCATGCCATGGGATTCACTGGTCTTACTGTGTACTCTACCATCCAGAAGCAGCTGGACTAATAGCACAGTGGAACGGTCCATTTAAGACTCAGTTACAGCTCTGGCTGGGGGACAGCTCCTTGTGTGGCCCATGTGCTGTTTAAGATGTAGGTTTGCTGTGAACCAGTGACCAATACCTGGTGCTGTTTCCTTCATAGCCAGAACACAGGGTTTATGAAACAGATGTGGAAGTGAGAGTGGTATATCTCACTATCGTAACTCTTGGCTCCAGCAGCTAGAACAAAATATTAGAAACTGGGTGGCTTATCAAGAACAGAAATTTATTTCTCACAGTTCTGGGGGCTGGAAGTCTGAGATCATGGTGCCAGCATGGTCCGGTTCTGGTGAAGGCCCACTTCCAGGTTGTAAACAGCTGACTTAAAATAAATCTTCTATGGAGGTAGAAGCTTGAGCTCTCTCTATAACCAAATTACTCCAATAGCCTTTGTTTTCTCTGTCTTTGGAATCTCCTTGTTTAAGTGTGTTAGTAACCAAGAGAAAAATATTTCTGTCAATAAATGCAACAATGATGGAAGTTGAGATTGAGATGAGTTGAGAATGCCATCTAGCATTCCTCTGGAAAACAGGCAAAAATAAGAATTCCATGTTAACTAAGGTGATGGATCCTTATTATCAACGAAAAATAGGGTTACTTTTGTACAATGGAGGCAGACAGGGAGAATTCTTCATGGAACCCAGGAAATCTCAGTGATGTTTCCTAGTTTTTCCTTATTCAGTGATAAAGATAAAACTACAGTAAACGTCTACAGGCAAGATTACCAATGACTTGTATATTCTGAGTAAGATTTGGAGAATCCCACCACGTAAAGAACCTTGACCAGCTGAGGTACTGGCTGATTAGATTGGGAACATGGAATAGAGGAGAAAGAAAATTTAAAATACTGTAACTTTGTCACTAATTCAGAGATAAGTACTATCGTTCTTACTCATATTTTCTTCCTTACTGTTTCATGTATATATTTACCTATTCTAACTTTCCCTGCTTTCCTGTTGCCTTTCATACTTTATTTGCAGTGAGCAAAGTTTACAAAATAGTGCATAACTGAAAGACTGTCCAGATGGAATTGCAAAAGATGTAGAGGAAGAATAGACCTTTCAGAGCTCTTGGATTTGGGCCTGGAGGCAGTGGCAGTTAACGATTTATCTCCCTTTTACTGATGTCTTCTATAAGGGGTATATTTGGTGGCAGTATTTTGCATTGCATAGTTGCTAAATCTGTTGCTGCTTAATTGTAAGCATGGAAAAAGTATGTGTATGTGAGTGTTTGGCAGTCAAGTCCTCGAGTGGACATTTGTCATGTTATTCATAATAAGCCCCTCTCACCCATACCTGGGTTTACCTGAATCAAGTGGCTCTGGATGGGCCCCTAGATAGCTTCAGGATGGGGGCTGGTTGCTAGAGGCACCAACCATGTAATAGAGGGCTGGACCTTTCAGCCCCACCCTGCAACCTCCTGGGAGATTGAGTTAATCACCAAAGGCCAATAATTTAATTAATCATGCCTAAGTAATAGCTCCTCCATGAAAGCCCTAAACGACAAGGTTAAGAGAGCTCTGGGTTGGTGGACACGTAGATGTTGGGGTGCTCATCCTGCATTCCAAGAGGATAGAAGCTCATGAACTGAGGATCCCTCTGGACCTTGCCCAATGGACCTCTTCATCTGGCTGCTCATTTGTATCCTTTATAATATCCTTTATAAAGGATACAAATGTAATGCTTGGTAAATGTAAGCAAAGTGTTTCTGTGAATTCTGTGAACCATTATAGCAAATTATTGAACCTAACAACGGGATGTGGGAACCCCTGATTTGTAACCAAGTCATACAGAAGTGTGGGTAACCTGTGGATCAACTATTTGTGGCTGACATCTTAAGGTGGGGAGCAATCTTAAGGGACTGAGCTCTTGATGTATGGCGTCTGTGCTAAGTTGGTTTTAATGTCAGAATTGAATTACATTATAGGACACCATCTTGTGTCCACAGACAACCGGAGAATTTCTTGGTGCAGAAAACCCACACATTTGGTGTCAGAAGTTTTGTGAGTAGAGAAGCAGTTTTTTCCTTTAGCACTTCTATTATGTAATTATTTTAACTACCCAGAAGGGATGGGAGGAGAACTTGTCACAACTGAGATTATGTTACAACCGCATAAGTTCATTGTTGTCAGAATGTATCAATATTCACTAGACAAATTGGTTTATCCCCAGTACACCTGCTACTGTGATGGATCAGCTACTTACCATCACAGGAGCATTAATTCTTAGAGGACATCAGAGATCTCTTCTAAGTATTTCCTATAATATATGACTGGAGTCTTTCCTGCTCATCCTTTCCAAGACTGGAGGGAGGAATTCTGAAAATCATTAGTTCTCCTTCTTGCTTTTGTCTTTCTTTTTCTTTAATTTATTTAATTAAAAAAACCTTTATTTCCTTTCTTTTTCATCTCCTCCTACTCTTCTTGGCCTGTTGTGACCACTAATTTACTCTCTATTTTTGTGAGATCCATTTTTTTTCCCTTTTTTTAGTTCTCACATATGAGTGAGAACATGTGACATTTGTCTTTCTGTGCCTGGCTTATTTCACTTAACAGAATGACCTCTAGTTCCACCCATGTTGTCGCAAATGGCATGATTTCCTTCTTTCTGTCACCAGTTAGTATTCCACTGCATACATATACCACATTTTCTGTATCTTTTCATCCATTGCTAGACATTTAGGTCAATTCTATATCTTTGCAATTATTAATAGTGCTGCAATAAACATGTGAGTGCAGATGCCCTTTTGATATACTGATTTCTTTTTCTTTGAGTAAATATTCAGTAGTAATCACATAGTAGTTCTACTTTCAGTTTTTGGAAAAATCTCTATACAGTTTTCCACAGTGGCTGTACTAATTTAAATTCCTACCAACAGTATACAAGGATTCCCTTTTCTCTACATCCTGGCCAGCATCAATTATTTTATTTTTTAAAAATAAAAGCCATATTGCCTGGAGTGAGATGATAATATCTCATTGTGGTTTTGATTTACATTTCTCTGATGATTACTGATGTTGAACATTATTTTTCCCCATGTACCTGCTGGCCATTTGTATGCCTTCTTTCAAGAAATGTTTATTCAGGTCTTTTACCCATTTTAAAATCAGAATATTTGTGTGTGTGTGTGTGTGTGTGTGTGTGTGTGTTTGCTATTGAGTTTAAACTCCTTGTTTATTCTGGTTATTAATCTCTTGTCAGATGAATAGTTTACAAATATTTTCTCCCATTCCATGGGTTGCCTCTTTATTCTTTCCTTTGCTCTTCAGAAGCTTTTTAGCTTGATATAATCCTACTTGTCTATTTTTGCTTTGGTTGCCTGTGCTTTTGAGGTCTTTTACACACAAAAAAATCTTTGCCCAGATCAATGTCTTGCAGCAATTTCCAAATGTTTTCTTCTAGTACTTTCATAGTTTCAGGTCTTAGATATGTCCTTAATCCATTTTGATTTAATTTTTGTATATGGTGAGAGACACATGTGTAGTTTCATTCTTCTGCATATGGATATCCAGTTTTTCCAGCACCATTTATTGAAGAAACAGTACTTCCCCTAATGTACGCTTTTCGAGCCTTTGTCAAAAATGAGTTGGCTGTAAATGCATGGATTTATATTGGGTTCTCTATGCTGGCAGTGGTCTGTGTGTCTGTTTTTATGCCAGTAGCATGCTGATTTGGTTACTATAGTGTTGTAATATACTTTGAAATTAGATGTTATGATACCTCTAGCTTTGTTCTTTTTGCTCAGGATGGCTTTGGCTATTTGGGATCTTTTGTGGTTCTACATAAATGTTAGGATTTTCTTTTTTCTACTTCTGTGAAGAAATTGTATTTTGATAGGCGTTGTATTGAATCTGTGAATTGCTTTGGGTAGTATTGCCATTTTAACAGTCCAGGAGCATGGACTATCTTTCCATTTTTTGTGTCCTATTTAATTTCTTTCATAAGTGTTTCATAGCTTTTTTTTGTATAAAATCTTTCATATTTTGGCTAAATTGATTCCTAGATATTTTATTTTCTGTGTAGTTATTGTACATGGGATTGCTTTCTTGATTTCTCTTCAGACTGTTCACTATTGGCATATATAAATGCTACTGGTTTTTGTATGTTGATTTTGTATCCTGCAACTTTACTGAATTTGATTAAAAGTTATAACAATTTTTTGGATAGAGTTTTTAGATTTTTCTAAGATTATGTTTTCTATGAACAAGGCTAATTTGACTTCTTCTTTTCTACTTTGGATACCTTTTCTTTCTTTCTTTTGCCTAATTGCTCTGGCCAGGATTTCTAGTATTATGTTGAATAAAAGTGGTGAAAGTAGGCACCCTTGTCTTGTTCAGATCTTAGATAAAAGGTTTTACATTTTTCCCCATTCAGACAATGTTAGCTTTTGGTTTGTTACATATGGCTTTTATTATTTTAAGGTATGCTTTTTCTATACCCAGTTTGATGAGTATTTTTTTTTAACCATAAAAGGGTGTTAAATTTTACTGAATACTTTTTCAGTATCTATTAAAATAACCATATGGTTTTTGTTCTTGATTTTGTTAATGTGATGTATCACATTTATTGATTTTCATGTATTGAACCATCTTTGCATCCCTCGGAGGAATCCCACTTGATTGTGGTGAATAGTCTTTTTAATGTGTTTATGAATTCAACTTGCTAGTATTTTATTGAGGATTTTTTGCATCTATTTTCATCAATGATATTCTCTTGCAGTTTTCTTTTTGTGTTATGTCCTTCCTTGGTTTGGTAGAAGAGTAATGCTGGCCTCATAGAATGAGTTTAAAAGTATTCTCTCCTCTTTAATTCTTTTGAAGAGTTTGAGTACAATTGGTATTAGTTCTTCTTTAAATGTTTAGTAGAATTCAGCAGTGAAGCCATCAGGTCCTGGAGTTTTCTTCAATGGGAGACTTTTTATTACTGCTTTGATCTCATTACTCATTGTTGGTTTGTTGAGTTTTTCTATTTCTTCAAGGTTCAATCTTCAATGTATGTGTCCAGGAATTTATCCATTTATTTTCCATTTGTTGGTGTATATTTTTTCATAGTAGTCTCTTAAAATTCTTCATATTTCTGTGGTCTCAGTTGTTATGTCTCCTTTCATTTCTAATTTTGTTTAGTTGGGTCTTTTTTCCTTAGGCTAGCTACAGGTTTGTTCATTTTGTTTATCTTTTCAAAAACTCAAGTTTTTGTTTTGTTGATATTGTTTATTGTGTTTTTAGTCTCAAATTCATTTATTTCTGCTCTGGTCTTTATTATTTCTTTCCTTTTACTAATTTTTTTTCCTTGCTTTTCTAGTTCCTTGAGGTGCATTCATTGTTAGGTTGTTTATTTGGCATATTCCTACTTTTTTATAGAGATATTTGTTGCTATGAACTTTCCTGTTAGTACTGCTTTTGTTGTATCCCATATGTTTTGATGTATTTTATTTCCATTTTCATTTGTTCAAGAAAACTTTAAATTTTCTTCTCAGTTGGGCATGGTGGCTCTTTCCTGTAATCCCAGCACTTTGGGAGGCTAAGGCAGGAGGATAACTTGAGCCCAGGATTTCAAGAATAACCTGGGCAACAATGTGAGACCTTGTCTCTACTTTTTTAAAAAAAGGAAAAAAGACAAAATTTTCTTCTTAATTTCTTCATGACCCATTGTTTGTTCAGGGGAAATTAACACATGTTAATTTCCATGTGTCTGTATAGCTTCCAAGGTTCCTCTTGTTATTGATTTCTAGTGTTATTCTTTTGTGGTCAGAAAAGATACTTGATAAGATTTCTGTTTTCTTGAATTTGTTGAGACTTGTTTTGTGGGCTAAGATATGGTCTATTCTGGAAAATACTCCATGTGCTGTTGAAAAGAATGTGTATTCTGCAGCAGTTGGGTAAATGTTCTGTAAACGTCATTTAGGACTATTTGGTCTAGTGTGTAGCTTAACTCGAATATTTCTTTGTTGATCTTCTGTCTGGATGATCTGTCCATTACTGAGAGTGGGGTATTGAAGTCCCCTACCATTACTGTATTGCAGTCTCTCTCCCCCTTTAAATCTATTAATGTTTGTGTTTTACACTTGGGAGCTTTGGTGTTGGGTGCTTAGATGTTTATAATTGTTACATCCTGTTGCTAAATAGACCTTTTTATCATTATATAGTGACCTTCTTTATCTGTTTCTATGGTCTTTGATTTTCAGTCTATTTGATCTGATAAGTATAGCTATTCCTGCTCTTTTTTGGTTTCCAGTTGTATGAAATATCTTTTTCCACCTCTTCCCTTTCAGTTTATGTGCGTCTTTATAGGTGAAGTGGGTTTCTTGTAGGCAGCATGTAGTTGGCTCTTAATTTTTATCCATTCAGACACTGTCTTTTTAATTGGAGAACTGAGTTCATTTACATTCAGTGTTATTGCTGATAAGTAATGATTTACTATTGCCATTTTGTTGCTTGTTTTCTGGTTGTTTTGTAACTCCTCCTTCCTTTCTTACTCTCTTTCTGTGTGGCTAAGTGATTTTCTCTGGTAGTAAGTTCCAATTTGTTGCCTTTATTTTTAGCAAATCTATTATAGGTTTTTGCATTGTGGTTACCACAAGGCTTCCCCCAAACAACATATATGTGTGCATATATAAATGTGTATGTGTATATATAATATACATATATACATATGTGTTATTTTAAAGAGATGACAGCTTATCTTAGACCACAAAGCAAAGAACAGAAACAAATGAAAAAAAGAAAAATTCTACATTTCAAATCTATCCCCCCACAGTTTGACTATTGATTCTCATTTTATATATATTTTTCTCATTTTATATATATTTTTTGTTGCTTATCTCTTAACAGATTGCTGTAGCTATTATTATTTTTGATAGATTTGTCTTTTGGCAGCTTCATACTAGAATTATGAGTGGATTACACCTCATAATTACAGTATTTGAGTATTCTAGGTTTGTCCATGTACTTAATTTTACCAGTGGGTTTTATATCTTCAATGTGTGTGTGTGTATGTGTGTGTTTGTGTGTGTGCATATTAGTGTTTTCTTATTTCAGGTTGAAGAACTTTCTTTAGCATTTCTTGTAAGTCAAGTCTGGTGGTGGTGAATTCTCTGTTTTTGTTTGTCTAGAAAAGACTATTTCTCCTTCAGATTTGAAGAATAGCTTTGCTAAATATAGTATGCTTGGATGACAGTTTTCTTCTTTCAGCACTTTGAAAATGTCGTCCCGCTCTCTCCTGGACTGTATGGTTTCTGTTTAAAAGTCTGCCAGACAAATTGCAGCTTCTTTATATGTTATTTATGTCTTTTCTCTTGCTGCTTTTAGCATCCTCTCTTTGTCCTTGGCCTTTAAGAGTTTGATTATTAAGTACTTTGGGACGGTCTTATTTGGGTTGAATTTGTTTGGTGTAATCTGACCTCTTTGTATCTGAATATTTATATCCTCAACTTTTGGAAAGTTTTTTGTTACTACTTCTTTGAACAGACTTTCTACTCCTTGCTCTTGCTCAAATCTCTTAAACACTAATAATTCTTAGATTTGGTCTTTTGAGGTAATTTTCTATATCTTGTAGGTCATCTTTGTTCCTTTTTATTCCTTTTTCCCGTTACTCCTATGACTACGTATTTTCAAATAATCTGTCTTTGAGCTCACTGATTCTTTCCTCTGCTTGATGCATTCTGTCATTGAGAGACTCTAATGAATTTAGTTCAGCACATGTGTTTCTCAGTTTTTACATTTCTGTTTGGTTTTTAAAAATTATGTCAACATCTTTTTTAAATTTCTCTGATAAATTGCTGAATTGGTTTTCCAGGTAACATTGAATTTCCTTAAAACTACTATTATGAATTTTTGGTTGGAGAGCTCACATATTGAGGTCAGTCACAGGTTCCTTTCTATGTCCGTTTGGATGGTCATAGTTCCCTGCTTGTTTTTGTTTCTTGTGGATGTATGTCTATGTCTTTGCATTGAAAGATTGGTTATTTATTCCAGTCTTCTCTGTCTAGCTTGTTTTTAAATTAGATATATTTGCCTAGAGCTTCTTTGTAATCTACCTGTTGGTCCTGCTGATTTTCTTTCTTTTTTTTTTTTCCTGCTATGTCACTGCCTCCTTTTCAGTACTAGATGGCACCTTAAACACAGGTTTGCCTCTATTCTAGCAAACAATCAGAGTGCTGTCTGTCCTGAGTGAGGAAGATCCCAAAGGGGGATACCTTGGTAGTATAAGAGGGCTGCTTAGGAGTTTGCATCCAGGATACCTGTGGAACAAAGCTCTTCCAGCGTGCGGCTGCTGAACAGCAACTTTGATTTGGTGTCTCCTTTGGCTGAGTTACAGAGTAGAGTTTCTAGGACTTGGAATGTTACTCCACCCTCCCTCCTTAGTCTCTGGCTGTCTTCAGGGGTATCTCTCTCCACGCATTCTGGATGCTTCTTGTGGGTTGAGACAGGGACAGGGCTTCTGGCAGGGAACCCAGGATGGTAGGGAAGCTGGTTGTCCACCTCAATCTCACTTTTTCTAGTATACAAACCATAAGTTGGGGATAAATTTTCAAATACTTGGTGCTGTGCAGATTAAGGGAAGGAGCATCTTAAATATGGAAGTCCGATTTTTACTTCTTTATGACCCCATGAACTGCCTAATCCTCATAATTTGAATTCTAAGATATTGCTGGTGATAATCTCAGCACTGTATATTTGTTTTTAATTTTCTGTGTGTGGGGTGAAGCCAGCTTGCTTCTCTACTGATATTTAGGAACTCAGAGTCCCTCCCTTTTTTGCTTTTAATAAATGTTTCCTTGGCTTTGTAAGCTTGGAGACACAGCTCCTCAATTCAAGGCTCCCAGAGGACTCTGTTGGTGCTACTAAGCTCCAGGTCTCTGCTTCCCCTGGCTTTTTGCTCCCTGGTGGGCTAATGCTTTCTCTTAAATTACTTTAGAATTCTTTTCACTACTTCTCCTCTTACCCACAGAAAGGAAGTTTCTGGAAAAATGTTCTTTGCATCTGCTGCTTAGATCTAATAGCTTTTGTGGCTGGAAAAAAATTTCCTGATATTTTTGAAATAAAATCATACTTAACATCATTATTTCTAGGTACAAGCCTTTTCTGAAGCTAAATAATTGCTTTTCTTCATAGTGTTTGCACCTTTCAAATAATTGCAGATGTTTCTTTTGTATTGAAATTATAAATATTTATCCCTATTAACCTTTTTATTTGCATCACCCTTGGTGATTCTCAGTTCAGATCTGTTCTGTAGTCTCAGACTTTTCCAGGTTGAATACTTGGTGCCAAGTTAGACATGCTGTTCTATGTTCATCTCCACAGAGTCAGGAGGAAGGGAAAATTTCTTCTCTCCCATGAAGCAGTATCTTCATATTTACCCTAACGTAGGTCTCTTTTTTGGGGGGCTGGGTTTCAGGTGGGATGGTAGCTTTCATATAACATCACAAAATATGCATGTTCTGTATCACTTTCAGACATTTCCTGTATTTCCCCCTTTTTTCCTTCCTTGTATTTTTAACCATCATGAGTTTATTTATTACTCTGTTGTCTTTACTGGTATTAGCAACAGCTCTGAATTTAGCATCATCTGCAAACTTCATTTAAGTACCCTTTGCTGCCTCCACAAGATCATTAATAAAGATGTCAACTAGAGCATTTTAGAAAATTGCTACAACACTTCTTCATCTTCAAGAAAATGACAAAGATGTAGAGAAAGTTTTCCCTGATCTAAACTATTGAGATCTTCTTCTTGTTTGTTTGACTTTCAGGCCCTCACAAGTGTCTTCTGAGAGACAGCTCACCTCGTTAGCAGAGACTTGGCTACATGCTGCCTCTTGTCATGTTTTCACTGTGTGTTCAAAGTAGTTTTCTTTAAAAAAAAAAATGCAACGTTAGGATAAAATTGTCCAGTAATTCCAAAAATTGACTTTCTTACCATCCAGATGGCACAGGGCTTGGGGTCAGATTTAAAATATTTAAAGATAAAAAAGAATATAATTACGTATTCCCACCTAAGTTTGTGGTCTGAGATTTATTCTTGCTGTAATTTGACTATCTGGTTGCTTAATTACCAGTAATCTAAAGCAGTGACTGGTTTACTAATCACCACAGTGTTTCCAATACTGACATAAGGACAAAAAGCATACTTAGGTATTCTGGGAACAGTTAATCTTTATTAACTGTTGGTCTTTGAGGACCAATTGTGTTCCAGCAGGTGTGGAAAAGATTATTGTCCCCAACCATCCCTTCTCTCCTTCTTCCTTTAAGTCTTAGAGCACACTGCCCCTCTGCCTATTATTTTTCTTAGCCTGCCATACAGCTGTATGACCATGTGACCAAATTTTGGCTAATAAGATATGAGCAGAGTGATGTGAGCAACGTTTGCTACACATCCTTAAAAATAAAGGTGCTTGAATTTGCTGCTCTCTTTTCCACTTCCTGTGGGCTAGAACAGGGGCATGGCACCAACTTAGCTTGATCATGCATGAAAAAACCAAAAACCAAAACCAAAAACCCAGAGAAAGGTCAGGTACCAAGATAAAAGAAACTTGGTTCCCTGAATGACCTCGTGAGATGGAGCTACTCAGTGAGCCTCGATTAGCCAAATGATTAAATGAGAGAGAAATAAATCTTGTCTTATTTAAGCTCTTACCTTTTATTGTCTCTTTGTTACAGCAGCTTAGCATTTGCCTTAGCATATAACACAAATACCAATCTTTGTTATAATAAATCTTTCTCAAAAATATAAATAATGTTATTATATTCTGTTTAAGAAGTGTAAGGATTGAGTCCAAAAGTTTCAAAAGAAAGATTTGATGTTTAAGTTTTAGGCAGTACCATATACGTGAACGTAGAGCTTTATGCTTGAATTTTGCATTTAAAATATAATGAGCAGCTCCACCTTCCTTTCTCCCCACATCACTGAATGTTCTTTATAAACATTTTTTTAATGGTACGATATCTGGGCATACATAATTTATTAATAAATCTCATGTTGTGAGGTATTTAAATCACTTCCAGGTTTTCATTTTATTTGTAGCACTACCATAAATATTTGCTACATAAATATTGGTCTTCACTTTTTATATTTTTCTAAGGATGGCATCTTAGATGGCGAATAAACCGTATCACTTTACTCTATTTTCTAACCCTGGACCACCCAAGACCCATCTTCAAAGAGCTCTAATACCAAAACTTTCCCACATATACTCCAAAAAGAAAATATTTTAAAATCAAATTTTACCTAAACTTGCTTCTATAATCAAATTTATCCTTTCTAATATGCACTTCAGGGCCCTCCTTAATTAGTCCACAATTTACCTTTCACAACTGTATTTTTTATTACACCTGTATATGAACACTGCTGCAGTTCAAATACCCTATTCTACTTTTTAACCATACCTTAACATTTCCTATCTTCATGCCTTTTAAGCTTTTGTCACATAGTCAAACTGTACCATTCTCAAAGATACCTCTTAACAGTCACTTTCTCTATTTAGACTTGCCAGTGCATACAGTTCACTTAGATATCTGATACCATGGAACTGTTTGAGGACTCCTGTTTTTACTATGTGCATTGGGCAACATACAATATATCTCATGTGATACCTTAGAATAGCCGTGAATGACTACCTTTGCATGGTTCTTGAACTTTTACACATGTATTGTCTTAGTCTATACAAGTGGCTATAACAAAGTGCCATCGACTGGGTGGCTCATAAACAACAGAAATGTATTTATCACTGTTCTGGGGACTAGAAGTCTGAGATCAGAGTGCCAGCATGGTGGGTTCTGGTGAGAACCCTCTTTCTAGTTGCAGACTGCCAGCTTCTCGTTGCATGCTCACATGGCAGAGAGAGGGTAAAGGAGCTATCTGGCTCCCTTTTATAAGGGCACTAATCTCCATTTTTGAGAGTTCCACCCTCATGACCTGATTACATCCCATAAGTCTCTACCTCCTAATATCACAGTTCTATAGGGGTCAATCTAGACTCCGTGTGCTCACAAACCTCCTGCCAAACCAATTGACAACAGATAAATTTCTTGGCCAAGGGCAAACAATGCAGCTGACTGCAATGGTGAGGGGGACACTGCCTGACAGAGAAGAGAGACATGTGCTAGTAGCATAAAGTGATGGACTCCAGAGTTAAGAGTCAGGCTGCATTGAGCTATTTTCAGATATGCCAGCAGAGGAAACCGGGTGAAGCAGAAAGGAATTCAGAGCAAAGAATCCAAGGAAGGTCGAGATTAGAGAATTCGTGCTGAGCAGGAAAGATTAAGTGCCTGCCTCAATCCCTAACGCTGTTTCACTTTACAATTCTAGTTTATATGGCTCAGGCATACTTCCTTTTCTTTCTTTGAAACAGCCTTATAACAAAGCATCAATTCATTTGAGTTATCTTGAATGGGTTTTTGTTCATGTGACTTAAAAGAACCTTGAATACAATGTCTAAGTTCTTTAATGGTAAGAAGAATATCTTATACTCTTTGGCCTCTCTTGAAGCATTGTCCTAAAAATTAGTTTAAGTAATTAAAAAAACTTTTTCTATGTCTCTTCACAATCTGTTATTCTATCACAAAGGATATGTTCTCCAAAAATGTACTATATCATTCTATATATTCTTTTGCCGTTTTGTTTTTTGTTTTAAGAAGTGGAGAGTTTAATAGGCAAGAAGGGGCATGAAGGAAGGGAGAAGGAAGAAGCTCCCTTGTACAGAGACAGAGGGAGGGGGCTCCAAAGCCGAGAGAAGGAGCCCCTCATTCTATATATTCTCACAACTTCAACATTTATCTATGGGTCTGATTGGACGTGAGCCCAATTCTATCATTTACAAGCTGTGAGATCTCACTAAAGAGAGAGGTTTATACCAGAAAACTCCTGGAAATCTCTTTCTGTTGGGATTGGAAATCGTGATTAACCACCAAGGAAGTAAATCTGAGTTAGTGCCCTAACAATTACATTCATAATTTTCCCACTGAGCAAATGCCGTGCATAGAATAAAAATATAGAATTTTCAATAAAACTAAGCTCATCAATAGAGCAAATGAAAATATTTACTATATTTAGGGTTGGAAGATGTGGTACTCTATTTAGATATAGTATGTATTTATATAAAATACCATTTAAGGGAAAATAAAGTAAATGTAAAATTGGAAGGTAATTGAGACATTGTTAATGAATAAAATTTTAAAAATCTAAGACAGATAATAAGATCTTTAAGGCAATACAGTACCAAGCTTTGTTATAAGTGTTCATGTTTAACAGAAATCTTTATTTGGGGAGAGTAATAACAAGAGCTCACATTTATGGAGAACTTAATACTTGCTTGATTGCGTTTTGCATGTACTAAATTACCCTTAAGCAGACCTATAATGTGAACTCTGTAATATTTTCCATTTTACAAAAGAGAAAATTGAAGTTTAAGCAATAATCTCATTTTTCCGTGGATTGAACACAGATAATCTCTCTTATATTCATGTCAAACTATATCACTTCATTTAAAACTCTCTTTCAACATGTAAGAATGAACAAGAACAACAAACCCATAAATATATCATGGTGTTTTTGCTTATACCTGATAGCGCAGGACCTTCAGAGCTTTGTCAAGTTCAGCCTAGTTATTTCTAGCAGTGCCTGGGGTTGTTTCGTATGTGTTAATGACCAGTCCTGATTGGCCACCATGGTGTGCTGCAGTTACTTGGGGTCAGGTAATTGAAAGGACTCACAGGACTCTAACAAGGTATACTTATGAAAGATTTATTACAGGCAAAGTATACACAAAACCAGGAGCAAGAAAGCATACAACAACATTATGACAGCCAGGAACACCTGAGCCCGGTGTTGGTCCTCTCTCAGTTGCGCAGACTATGCTCTATCTCAGGATCACAATCCACCACTATGAGAATGGGATATCTGTCTCAGGCAATGTGAGAAACAACTTTACTGGGTTGTCTTTTATTCTTCTGATCAAACTGCTAACATTGGGCTGAGTGACCAGGTAAACCAGGTGAGGACCATCAATTTATACATTTCACTAAACAATGTAGACAAGCTGGCACCCAGTGCCTCTGGGGGAATTCCAGGCTTTAAACAGCACATTGTAAATCATTAGCTAGTACATTTCATCCCTATTTTGGCCCAGAGTTTGTACCATAGCTCCAGGCATCCCTGAAGATAAGCTATAATTTAATATTATTTCTACACATGTGGATTTGTCATTTAAGAAGTTCTTCTCTTTCTATAACCCAGTGCTGTCTACTAAACTTTATGTAAAAATGGAACTGTTCTTGTCCAAGAGGGTAGCCATTAGCCATAAGTGGCTCACTTGAAATGTGGTTAGTGTGACAGAAGAACTTAATGTTAAATTTTGTTTAATTTTAGTTTAAATAGCCACATGTGGACAATGGCTACCGTATTGGACAGTGCAGCTATAGCTCCTCCCTGTGCTTGACTCTGCTGTATCTCTTGGGCACCACTTTGTCTACCAGGAACCACTGATGCTTCTGTTTGGTACTGCCTTTCCTTCTGGGCAGTGCTGCCTCTGGTAGGCATTGCAGCCACTTCTGCTGAGTATTGCTCTGTCCACTGGTCACTACTTTGCCCTCTTCTGGGTATTGTAGTAGATATTCTGTGGCATCCAAGGTGAGTAGTAGGTACTGTTAATAAGTTTGCCTACCCAACAACCATTCCACACCCCCACTTAAACTTACTAGCAGAACCTGCCTCCCACTCTAGAGATGGAAAATCCCAGCTTTCCTTGTTCTATTCTCCCTTGCATTGATAGCATGAGTACGTGACCCAACTCTGGTGAATGTGACCTGGAGGAGTGCATACCTCCACTCCAAACTCATATATTGCAATTCTAACCCCCAGTGTAATGGCATTAAGAGATGGGTCTTTGGGAGGGAATTAGGTCATGAAGGCTGAGCCCTATGAATGGGATTGGTGCCCTTAAAAAAGAGAAACCAGAGAGCTCTCACTCTCTCTCTCTGCCGTATGAGGATAAAAGAAGTCAGTTGTCTGCAACCCAGAAGAAAGCTCCTCTGTAATAAAAGACAGATGCATGGCAGGAAACAACTCTTTTCTTCACGTAGATATTGGGGGCTGTGGCAACTCCCATGGGACTACTACACAGGGGCAAATCTGAAGACCGAGTCAATGATCTGAGGATGCTAGTGTAGAAGCAGCCTGGCTCCTGATGGCATTGCATTGCATGACTAAACCAATCTTGGAAATAGCTACTTCCTGACTTTTCATTATGTTCAATAAGAAAATTGTCCTTCATATCTCACAGTGCAGTTAATTATAGCTTCGCCTCTCCAAAGACGTGACTGCATGGTGGGTGGAGGTAAGAAACAATTATAATTGATAACATCATATTTTACTCTGAATTTCTCCTATTGAAGCTTTGTTAGTTTTAAAAAAAATCTTTAAAAGAAAAAGTGGATGGGAGGCCAGAAAATGGAGGCCCCGTGTATAACAAACCCTTCCAGGCAGCTTGACTGAACAGGACTTTAACTGCAGGTAGAAAACAGTCACTGTAAGAGCATGAATGCTGATGGAAAAAAACAAATCAAAACAGAGAAGGAGAATTGAAAAAAAGAGCCTACATGGAGAGATTAAATTTTGTCAGAAAGAGGAAAGTTTTTTTTTGTTTTTTTGTTTTTTGTTTTTTTTTGAGACAGAGTCTTGCTTTATCGCCCAGGCTGGAATGCAGTGGCGTGATCTTGGTTCACTGCAACCTCCACCTGCTGGATTCAAGAAATTCTCCTGCCTCAGCCTCTGAGTAGCTGGAATTACAGGTGCATGCCACTACGCCTGGCTAATTTTGTTTTTGTATTTTTAGTAGAGACAGGGTTTCACCGTGTTAGCCAGGATGGTCTGGGTCTCCTGACCTCATGATCCTCCTGCCTTGGCCTCCCAAAGTGCTGGGATTACAGGCGTGAGCCACCATGCCCAGCCGGAAAAGACCTTTGATTTAAAAGTTGTTATTGTTTTTCATGTTTACTTTTCTCTTTCTTGCCTCTTTAACTTTTCCTTCCTGCTTTATCTAACTGTGTCACTTCACCTCATTTGCTTAGGAGAAATCATTTTTAGAGAAATAAAACATCCTATCATGGAAACACTTCATAGCCCACTCATTGTCCTCTCCCCAAACGGCAACCACATTCTGAATTGGTTGTTCATTTTTCCCATGCAAGATTTTATTATTTAGTACATATTTATGTAGAAATAAAATATAATATTGCATTTCATGTTTTTTTAATAGAGTTGACCATACTCTTCATCTCTTTTTCAGTTTGCTTTGTTTTGTTGTTTTGTTCAGCATTGTTACTGAGATTTTTCCACCTTGAAACATGAAAGCTCCATTTTATTACTTAAAGAGCTACATAATCGGCCGGGCGCGGTGGCTCACACCTGTAATCCCAGCACTTTGGGAGGCCGAGGTGGGCAGATCACGAGGTCAGGAGTTTGAGACCAGCCTGACCAACATGGTGGAACCCTGTCTCTACTAAAAATACAAAAATTAGCTGGGCGTGGTGGCACACACCTGTAATCCCAGCTACTCAGGAGGCTGAGGCAGGAGAATCACTTGAACCCAGAGTTAAGGTTGCAGTAAGCTGAGATCGTGCCACTGCACTCCAGCCTGGGCGACAGAGCAAGACTCTGTCTCAAAAAAAAAAAAAAAAAAAAAAAAAAAAAACTACACACGCAATCCATTGATTAAATATGCCAGTGGTTACTTTTATGGTGATGGAAAACTATTTGTTACTCTTAAAATGTTTTTAAAAATCAAAGTTTTATACATGCACATAGTTTAAAAAGTCAAATTGTCCTACAAGGCTTGTTTTCTTTAAAAAATTTATTATATTTAAGGGGTACATATGCAGGTTTGTTTGTTACAAGGATATATTGGATCATGGTGGATAGGAGGCAGGACTAGATTGCAGCTCTGGACAGAGCAGTGTGTGGAGGCTTGCATTGTGAATTTTGGCTCCAGATCAACTGCAAGAACAAACCAGCAATCCCGAGAGGACTCACAGACCCTCTTAAGGAAGCGGTCTGCTCCTGCAGGACCCGGGAGACAACCCAAATACTGTGAGTACCCCAACTTAGAAGTGGGAAAGGGAGAGCCTCCTTTCCCAAACACACACCGTCACTGGAGAAACCGAAGGTCTGTTTGCAGAAGTTTCTGACCTTACCTGGAACTGAGTCAATTTAGAGAGCTGAGCAAAATACAGGAGTAGATGAAGCAACAGAAAAGCCCTTGGAGCTCACTGGGTCCCCAAGGAGGCCATTCCTGCCTGGCACCACAGGGATCCATTGGGAGGGTGACCAGAGGAGTGAGGGATAAAAATCCAAAGGAGAAGGAAATCTCTAGTTGAACTTTGTAACAATTTGAACAGAGTGAGAAGCCTCCTGGCCAGAACTTGGGGGAGCGCGCAAATCCAGCGTGCAGACTTCACAGGCAGGGGAAGAACCCAAGATCTTTTCTTTCACAGATGGGAGATGGCTAGTCTGTGGCAAGTTTTCATGCCCCGCTCACCCACTGCCTGGAAACAGACTCAGGGCTGTTGGGGGCAGGGGTACGGAGGAAGTGAGTGCGGCCCCTCAGTTTGCATGGGAGCTGGCTGAGGCCTGTGACTGCTGACTTTCCCCCACTTCCCTGACAGCCTGCATGACTCAGCAGAGGCAGCCATAATCCTCCCACATACACAACTCCAGTGACCTGGGAATCTCACCCCTATCCCCCAAAGCAGCTGCAGCAAGACCTGCCCAAGGAGAGTCTGAGCTCAGACACGCCTAGACCTGCCCCCAGCTGATGGTCCTTCCCTACCCACCCTCACAGTGGAAGACAAAGGACATATAATCTTGGGAGTTCTAGGGCCCTGCCCACCAGTAGTCTCTCTTCATACTATCATAACTGATGCTCTCTGGAAAGTGCCACCTCCTGGCAAGAGGCCAACCAGCACAAAAATGGACCATTAAACCATCAAAGCTAAGAACCCTCATGGAGTCCATTGCACACCCCTGCAGCTTCTGCTGGAACGGGTGCTGGCATCCACGGCTGAGAGACCCATAGGTGGTTCACATCAAGGACTCTGTGCAGACAACCCCTAGTACCGGCCTGGAGCTGGGTAGACTTGCTGGGTGGCTAGACTCAGAAGAGAGACAACAATCACTGCAGTTTAGCTAACTGGAGGCCACATCCATAGGAAAAGAGAGAGAGTACTATATCAAGGGAACACCCCGTGGGACAAAAGAATCTGAGCAACAACCTTCAGCCCTAGACCTTCCCTCTGACAGAGTCTACCCAAATGAGAAGGAACCAGAAAACCAACCCTGGTAATATGAAAAAACAGGATTCTTTAACACCCTCCAAAGAATTACACTAATTCACCAGCAACGGATCCAAACCAAGAAATCCCTGATTTACCTGAAAAAGAATTCAGGAGGGTAGTTATTAAGCTAATCAGGGAGGCACTAGAGAGAGGCAAAGCCCAATGCCAGGAAATCCAAAAAAAATGATGCAAGAAGTGAAGGGAGAAATATTCAAGGAAATAGACATCTTAAAAAAAAAAATTCAGAAAACATTGGACATACTTATAGAAATGCAAAATGCTCTGGGAAGTCCCAGCAATAGAATTGAACAAGTAGAAGAAAGAAATTCAGATCTTGAAGACAAAGTCTTCTAATTAACCCAATCCAACAGACAAAAAAGAACAAGAAAATACGAACAAAGTCTTCAAGAAGTCTGGGATTATTAAACAACCAAACCTAAGAATAATCAGTGTTCCAGAGGAAGAAGATAATTCTAAAATCTTGGAAAATATATTTGGGGAAATAATTGAGGAAAAATTTCCAGCCTTGCTATAGACCTAGATATCCAGATACAAGAAGCACAAAGAACACCTGGAAAATTAATCACAAGAAGATCATCACCTAGGCACATTGTCATCAGGTTTTCCAAAGTTAAGACAAAGGAAAGAATCTTAAAAGCTGTGGAACAGAAGCACCAGGTAACCTATAAAGGAAAACCTATCAGATTAACAGCAGATTTCTCAGCAGAAACCCTACAAGTTAGAAGCGGTTGGGGTCTTATCTTCAGCCTCCTCAAAGAAAGCAATTATCAGCCAAGAATTTTGTATCCAGCAAAACTAAGCATCATATATGAAGGAAAGATACAGTCTTTTTCAGATAAACAAATGCTGAGAAAAGTCGCCACTACCAAGCCACCACTACAAGAACTGCTAAAAGGAGCTCTAAATCTTGAAACAAATCCTGGAAACACATCAAAACAGAACCTCTTTTAAAGCATAAATCACACAGGACCTATAAAACAAAAATACAAGTTAAAAAAAAACAAAAAACAAAAAAACCAAAGTACACAGGCAACAAATAGCATGATGAATGCAACAGTATCTCACATCTCAATATGAACATTGAATGTAAATGGCCTAAATGCTCCACTTAAAAGATACAGAACCACAGAATGGATGAGAACTCACCAACCAACTATCTGCTGCCTTCAGGAGACATACCTAGCACATAAGGACTCACATAAACTTAAAGGGCTAGAGAAAGACATTTCATGCAAATGGACACCAAACATGAGCAGGGTAAGCTATTCTTATATCAGACAAAACAAACTTTAAAGCAACGGCAGTTAAAAGACACAAAGAGGGACATTATATAATGGTAAAAGGCCTTGTCCAACAGGAAAATATAACACTCCTAAACATATATGCACCTAACACTGGAGCTCCTAAATTTATAAAACAATTACTAATAGACCTAAGAAATGATGTAGACAGTGACACAATAATAGTGGAGGACTTCAATATTCCACCGACAGTACTAGATAGGTCATCAAGACAGAAAGTCAACAAAGAAACAATGACTTTAAACTGTACCTTGGATCAAATGGACTTAACAGATATATAGAGAACATTTCATCCAACAACCACAGAACACACATTCTATTCAACAATGCATGGAACTGTGTCAAGATTGACTATATGATAGGTCATAAAATGAGCCTCAGTAAATTTAAGAAAATTGAAATTATATCAGGCACTCTCTCAGGCCACTGGAATAAAACTGGAAATCAACTCCAAAAGGAACCCTCAAAACAATGCAAAAACATAAAAATTAAGTAACCTGCTCCTGAAGGAACACTGAGTCGAAAATGAAATCAAGATGTAAATTAAAAAGTTCTTCAAACCGAACAACAATAATGATACAACCTACCAAAACCTCTGAGATACAGCAGAGGCAGTGCTAAGAGGAAAGTTCATAGCCCTAAATGCCTACATCAAAAAGACTGAAAGAGCACAAACACATTCTAAGGTCACACCTCAAGGAAGTAGAGAAACAAGAACAAACCAAACCCAAACCCAGCAGAAGAAAGAAAGAAAAACAAAATCAGAGCAGAACTAAATAAAATTGAAACAAAAATATACAAAAGATAAATGAAACAAAAAGCTGGTTCCTTGAAAAGATAAAATTGATAGACCATTAGCAAGATTAACCAAGAAAAGAGAGAAAATCAAAATGACCTCACTAAGAAAAGAAAGAGAAGATATTACAACTGACACCACTGAAATACAAAAGACCATTAAACACTACTATGAACACCTTTATGCAAATAAACTAGAAAACCTAGAAGACATGGATAAATTCCTGGAAAAGTACAATCCTCCTAGCTTAAATCAAGGAAGAATTAGATAACCTGAACAGACCAATAACAAGCAGTGAGATTGAAATGGTAATTTAAAAATTACCAATAAAAAAAGTCCAGGACCAGATAGATTCACAGCAGAATTCTACCAGACACTCAAATAAGAATTGGTACCAATCCTTTTGACACTATAACCAAGGATGCAGGGATGGTTTAACATATGCAAGTCAATAAATGTGATACACTACATAAACATAATTGAAAACAAAAATCATATGATCATCTCAATAGATACAGAAAAAGCATTTGACAAAATCCAGCCTCATTTATGATTAAAACTCTCAGCAAAATCAGCATACAAGGGATATACCTCAATGTAATAAAAGCCATCTATGACAAATTCAGAGCCAACATAATACTAAGTGGGGAAAAGCTGAAAGCATTCCCTCTGAGAACTGGAACAAGACAAGGACGCCCACTCTCACCACTCCTCTTCAACATAGTATTGGAAGTCCCAGCCAGAGCAATCAGACAAGAGAAAGAAATAAAGGGCATCCAAACTGGTAAAGAGGAAGTCAAATTTTCACTGTTTGCTGACGATATGATTGTTTATCTTGAAAACCTTAAAGACTTCTCCAGAAAGGTCCTAGAACTAATAAAAGAATTCAGCGAGGTTTCTGGATACAAGATTAATGTACACAAATCAGTAGCTCTTCTATACACCAACAGTGAAAAAGCAGAGAATCAAATCAAGAACTCAACCTCTTTTACAATAGCTGCAAAACACACACACACACACACACACACACACACACACACAAACCCTTAGGAATATACTTAACCAATAAGTCAAAAGACCTCTACAAGGAAAACTACAAAACACTGCTGGAAGAAATCATAGATGACACAAACAAATGGAAACACATCCCATGCTCATGGATGGGTAGAATCAATATTGTGAAAATGACCATACTGGCAAAAGCAATCTACAAATTCAATGCAATCCCCATCAATATACCACCATCATTCTTCACAGAATTAGAAAAAACAATTCTAAAATTTATATGGAACCAAAAAAGAGCCAGCATAGCCAAAGCAAGACTAAGCAAAAAGAAAAAATCTGAAGGCATCACACTACCTGATTTCAAACTTATACTATAAGGCCGTAGTCACCAAAACAGCATGGGACTGGCATAAAATAGACACATAGACCAGTGGAACAGAATAGACAACCCAGAAATAAACCCAAATACTTACAGCCAACTGATCTTTGACAAAGGAAACAAAAACATAAAGTGGGGGAAAGGACACCCTTTTCAACAAATGGTGCTGGGATAATTGGCTAGCCACACGTAGGAGAATGAAACTGGATCCTCATCTCTCACCTTATACAAAAATCGACTCAAGATAGATTAAGGACTTAAACCATAAAGTCCTTAAGGACTGAAACTATAAAAATTCTGGAAGATAACACTGGAAAAACCCTTCTAGACATTGGCTTATGCAAGGATTTCATGACCAAGAACCCAAAAGCAAATGCAATAAAAACAAAGATAAATAGCTGGGACTGAATTAAACGGAAAAGCTTTTGCATGGCAAAAGGAACAGTTAGCAGAGTAAACAGACAACCCACAGAGTGTGAGAAAATCTTCATAATCTATACATCTGACTAATATCCAGAATCTATGACAAACTTGAACAAATCAGTAAGAAAAAACAATCCCATCAAAAAGTGGGCTAAGGACATGAATAGACAATTCTCAAAAAAAGATATACAAATAGCCAACAGACGTATGAAAAAATGCTCAACATCACTGATGATCAGGGAAATGCAAATCAAAACCAAAACCACAATGTGATACCACATTTCTCCTGTAAGAATGGCCATAATCAAAAAATCAAAAAACAGTAGATGTTGGCATGGATGTGGTGATCAAGGGACAATTTTACACTGCTGGTGGGAATGTAAACTAGTATATCCACTATGGAAAACAGTGTGGAGATTCCTTAAAGAACTAAAAGTAGATCTACCATTTGATCCAGCAATCCCACTACTGGGTATCTACCCAGAGGAAAAGAAGTTATTATTTGAAAAAGACATTTGCACATGCATTTTTATAGCAGCACAATTCATAATTGCAAAATCATGGAACCAACACAAATGCCCATCAATCAATGAGTGGATAAAGAAACTGTGGTATCACATATATATACAATGGAATACTGGTTAGCCATAAAACGAAATGAATTAACAGCATTTGCAGTGACCTGGATGAGATTGGAGACTATTATTCTAAATGAAGTAATTCAGGAATGGAAAACCAAACATCGTAATTTCTCACTGAGCTATAAGGACACAAAGGGAGCTAAGCTATAAGGACACAAAGCCACAAGAATGATACAATGGACTTTGGGGACTTGCGGGGAAGAGTGGGAGTGGGGCGAGGGATAAAAGACTACAAATATGGTGCAGTGTATATTGCTCGGGTGATGGTGCACCACGATCTCACAAATCACCACTAAAGAACTTACTCATGTAACCAAATACTAATTGTACCCCAATAACTTATGGAAAAAATAAAAGATTCTCTGAATTAAAAACAAACAAAAAACAAGGGTACATTGCATGGTGCTGAGGTTTTGGATTCTATTGATCCCGTCACCCAGATAGTAAACGTAGTACCCAATAGAAAGTTTTTCAGCCCTTGTCTTCCTCCCTCCTTCCCTCCTTTTGGAGTCCTCAGTGTCTATTATTCACATCTTTATGTCCATGTGAACCCAAGATTTATTTCTCACTATAAGTGAAAACATGCAATATTTGAGTTTCTGTTTCTGCATTAGTTCCCTTAGGTTAATGGCCTCTAGCTGCATCCATGCTATTGCAAAGGACGTGATTTCTTTCTTTTTTTATGGCTGTGTAGTGTTCCATGGTGTATATGTATGACATTTTCTGTATGCAATTCACTATTGATGGGCACATAGGTTGATTCTGTGTCTTTGCTTTGTGAATAATGTGGCAATGAACATATGAGTGCATGTGTCTTTTTGGTAAAATGATTTATTTTCTTTTGGGTACATACCCAGTAATGGGATTGCTGGGTCAAATGATAGTTCTATTTTTAGTTATTTGAGAAATCCCCAAACTGCTTTCCACAGTGGCTGAACTAGTTTGCATTCTCACCAAGAGTTCACTCCCTTAACTCCACAACCTTGCCAGCATCTCTTGTTTTCTGACTTTTTAATAATAGCCATTCTGACTGGTGTGAGATGGTGTCTCATTGTGGTTTTGATTTGCTTCTCCTGCTGGCCAGTGATGGTGACCATTTTTTCATATGTTTGTTGGCCACCCGTATGTCTTCTTTTGAGAAGTGTCTGTTCATGCCTTTTGTACAAGGCTTGTTAAAACCACCCTCACAAACTCCAGAATAATCATATTCAACTTTTGTAGCTGACTTTGCAATTTGCCTTCAAAGCTCTAAATAAATATAGCAATCACTTATTTTTACATTTAGGCTTTAGCTATTATCATATGGAAAACAAAGCTTTAGCTCTCTTTCCCACAAATATTTTCCTCCACCACAGGCCAGCACTGTCATTCTTCTTTCCACATTTTCAATATAAGTTTATTATAATTTTGATTAGATCAATATACAGTTTTATTAAGACTCTGAGAACACTATCAGATCTGAGTCATACAATGATTCTTTTTTCTTTTTTTTTTTTTTTTTTGAGACGGAGTCTCACTCTGTCACCCAGGTTGGAGTGCAGTGGCACGATCTCAGCTCACTGCAAGCTCCTCCTCCCGGGTTCACGCCATTCTCCTGCCTCAGCCCCCTTACCCGTAGCTGGGACTACAGGCGCCCGCCACCACGCCCTGGCTAATTTTTTGTATATTTTAGTAGAGATGGGGTTTCACCATGTTGGCCAGGATGGTCTCGATCTCCCTACTTCATGATCCGCCCGCCTCGGCCTCCCAAAGTGCTGGGATTACAGGTGTGAGCCACCGTGCCCGGCCTATTTTTTCATACACAACTTTTTGTTATCACTGAAGTTAATAATAGCTGCTTTTTAAAATTTCCATAGTTTTTTTATACGCTTAAAATTACTGCACATGCAGAACCTTCCCTAGTTGTGTAAGTACTCTCTGATCCAAATAAACACAATTGATATTCTCTCATTTTTATCTTTTTATTTTTTAAGAGACTTAAAAAGCTTTTATGATTATCTTTAAATGACACATAATAATTATAGATGTTTATGGGGTACAGTGTGATGTTTTGATACATGTATAAAATGGGCAATGATAAAATCAGGGCAATTACCATATCTATCACCTCAAACATTTATCATTTTTTTGTGTGTTCAGAACATTCAAAATCCACTCTTCTAGCTATTTGAAAATATATAATAAGTTGTTCATTAGGGTCACTCTACAGTGCTATAGAATACTAAAACTTATCCAGCTGTAGGCCAGGCATGGTGGCTCACGCCTGTAATCCCAGCACTTTTGGAGGCTGAGGCGGGCAGATCACCTGAAGTCAGGAGTTCAAGATCAGCCTGGCCAACATGGTGAAACCCTATCTCTACTAAATATACAAAAACTAGCTGGGTGTGGTGGCAGGCACCTCTAATCCTAGGTACTCAGGAGGCTGAGGCAGGAGGATTGCTTGAACCCAGAAGGTGGAGGTTGCAGTGAGCTGAGATTGCACCATTGCACTCCAGCTTGGGTGACAGAGTAAGATTCTGTCTCAAAACAAACAACAACAACAACAAAAAACAACTTATCCAGTTGTAATTCTGTATTTATTAACTAACCTCTGACTATCTCCTCTCCTCATTACCCTTCCCATCCTCTCGTAACTGCTATTCTACTCTCTTTCTATGAGATCAACTTTCTTTAGCATCCACATATGAATGAGAATATGTGGTATTGTCTTTCTATGCATGGCTTATTTCACTTAACACAATATACCACATTTTCTTTATCCACTCGTTTTCTTGATGGACACTTAGGTTATTTCCATATCTTGGCTATGATGAATAGTGCTGCAGTAAACATGAGAGTGCAGATATCTCTTCAACAAACAGATTTCCTTTCTTTTGGATGCATACCTAATAGTAGGATTGCTGGATCATATGATAGTCCTATTTTCAGTTCTTGAGGAAGGAATCTCCATGCTGTTTTCCTTAACGGCTGTTACTAATGTACATTCCCACCAACAGCAAATAAGAGTTTTCCTTTCTCTACATCCTTGCCTGCATTTGTTATTTATTTATTTATTTTTTGGTCTTTTTGATAATGGCCATTCTAACTGGAGCCAGATGCTATCTCATTGTGGTTTTGATTTGCATTTCCTTGATGATTAGTAATATTAAACCTTTTTTTCATATACCTGTTGGCCATTTATATGACTTCTTTTGAGAGGTGTCTATTTAGCTCATTTGCCCATTTTAAAATTTAATTATTGGTGGGTTTTTTGTTCGTTTTTTGCTGTTGAGTTGTTTGAGTTCCTTGTATATTCTGGACATTAATTCCTTGTGGGACGAATAGTTTGCAAATATTTTCTCTCATTCTGCTGGTTGTCTCTTCACTCTGTTGACTGTTTCCTTTGCTGTGCAGAAGCTCTAAAGTTTGGTATAATCTCATTTATCTATTTTTACCTTTGTTGCCTGTGTTTTTGAGATTTTATCCAAAAAAATCTTTGCCCAGACCAATGCTGTAAAGTGTTTTCCCTATGTTTTCTTCTAGTAGTTTTATAATTTTGTGTCTATTAAGTTTTTAATCTGTTTGAGTTGATTTTTGTGTATGATGAGAGATAGTTGTCTAGTTTCATTTTTCTGCATGTGGATACCCAGTTTTCCCAGCACCATTTATTGAATAGACTATCTTTTCTCCAGTTAATGTTTTTAGTGTCTTTGTCAAAAATCATTTGTCTGTAAATACATGGATTTATTTCTGGGCTCCCTATTCTGTTTCATTGGTCTATGTGTCTGTTTTTATGCCAGTACCATGCTGTTTTGATTACTATAACTTTGTAGTATATTTTGAAGTCAAGTATTGTAATGCTGCAAGCCTTTGGTTTTGTTGTTGTTGTTATAGTTTTGCTCAGAATTGCTTTGGCTATTTGGAGTCTTCACCTGAGGTCAGGAGTTCATGACCAGCCTGGCCAACATGGCAAAACCCTGTCTCTACTAAAAATACAAAAATTAGCCGGGCGTGGTGGTGCATGCCTGTAATCCCAGCTACTTGGAAGGCTTGAGGCAGGAGAATTGCTTGAACCTGAGAGGTGGAGGTTGCAGTGAGCCAAAATTGTGCCATTACACTCCAGCCTGAGTGATAGAGTGAGACTTCATCTCAAAAAAAAAAAAGAAAGAAAAAAAATCTTAAAATATTTCTTTGACAAGTATCATTGGTATTTTGATAGAGATTGTATTAATTGTGTAGATAGCTTTTGGCAGTGTGGCCATTTTTTACAATATTAATTATTCTAATCCATGAACATGAGATGTCTTTCATTTTTGTGCATCCTCTTCCATTAACTTCATCAGTGTTTTATAGTTTTCCAGTCAGTGATTGTTCATCTCCTTGGTTAAATTTATTCATAGGTATTTTATTAGTATTTTGTAGGTATTATAAATGAGATTTCTTTTTTGTTGTTTGTTTTGTTTTTCTGCCAGTTTTTTGTTAGTGTGTAGAAATGCTACTTTTTTTTTCACATATTGATTTTGTATCCTGCAACCTTACTGAATTTGTTTATCAGTTCTAGGAATTTTTTGAAGTTTTTAGGGTTTTCTATATATAAAATCATATCATCTGCAAAGTGAGAAAATTTGACTTTTCCAATTTGGATGCCATTTATTTCTTTCCTTTTTGTTAATTACTCTGGCTAGGACTTCTATTACTGTACTGAATAAGAGTGGTGAGATGGGGATCCTTGTCTTGTTTTAGCTTGAAAGCTTTTCCTTATTCAGTATTATGTTAAGTGTGGGTTTGTCATATATGGCCTTTATGGTGTTTAAGTATATTCCTTGTATACCTAACTTGTTGACAGTTTTTATCATAAAGGGATGTTGAATTTTATCAAAAGCTTTCTCTGCATCTGTTGAGATGATTATATGATTTTTGTCCTTGATTCTGTTAATACGATGTATCATGTTTATTGATCTGCATATGTTGAGCTATCTTTGCATCCCTGAGATAAATTCTTCTTGGTCATGGCATCTTATTTTTTTGATTGATGTTGGGTTCAGTTTGTTACTATTTTGTTGAGAATTTTGGCATCTATGTTAATCAGGGATATCAGTTCATCAGCAGTTTTCGGTTTTGGTTGTTGTATCCTTGTCTGGTTCTGCAATCAGGATAAAGCAGGCCTTGTAGAATGAGTTAGGAAGAATTCTCTCCTCTTTAATTTTCTGGAAGAATTTGAGAAGAATTTGTATTAGTTCTTCCTTAAAAGTTTGGTAGAATTCAGCAGTAAAGCCATTAGGTCCTTGGCTTTTCTTTTACAGAAGACTTTTTATTATTAATTCAACTTTGTTACTCAGAATCAATCTTTTCAGGTTTTCTGTTTCTTCATGGTTCAATCTTGGTAGGTTCTATGTATCCAGAAACTTATTTATTTCTACTAGGTTTTCCAATTTGTTGGTGTATAGTTGCTTGTAATGGTATCTAATGATCCTTTATGTATCTGTAGTATTAGTTTTAATTTCTCTTATTTATTTGGGTCTTTTTTATTTTGGGGTAGTCTAGCCAATGATTTATCAATTTTGTTTATCTTTTCAGAAAAAAACAAAAAAAATCTTCTGTGTTGTTTTTTAAGTCTCAATTTTGTTTCTGCTCCGATATTTGTTATTTATTTCATTCTATTAATTTTGGATTTGGTTTGTTCTCACTTTTCTAGTTCCTTAAGCTACATCATCTGTGTGTGTTCATTTGAAACCTTTCCCTTTTTTGATTTAGGAGTTTATTGCTATATACTTCCCTCTTAATATTTATTTTGCTGTATCCCATAGGTTTGGCAATTTGTGTTTCTATTTTCATTTGTTTCCATGTGTTTGTACAATGTCAAAAATTCCTCTTGTTATTGATTTCCAGTTTTATTCCATTGTGGTCTGAAAAGATACTTGATACGATTTCAGTTCTTTTAAATTTGTTGAGACTTGTTTTGTGGCCTAAGATGTGATCTATCCTGGAGAATTTCCATGAGCTGATGAAAATAATGTATTCTGTAACCCTTGGATGAAAAGTTCTCTAAATGTCTATTATGTCCATTTGGTCTAAATACATTTTAAATGCAATGTTTCCATTTTAAATCCAATGTTTTTTTGTTGTTGTTGATTTTTTTGCCTAAATGATCTGTTCAATGCTGAGAGGGGGGTGTTGAAGTCTCCAACAATTATTGTATTAGAATCTATCTCTCCCTTTATATGGATCTAATATTTGCTTTATGTAACTGGGTGCTTTGATGTTGGGTGCATACAAATTTACAATTGTTATATGCTCTTGCTGGATTAATGCCTTTATCATTATATAATAACCTTCTTTGTCTCTTTTTACAGTTTTTAACTTAAAGTCTTTTATCTGATATAAGTATAGGTACTTCTGCTTTCTTTTGCTTTCCATTTGCATGGAATATCTTCTCCTATTTCTTCACTCTCAGTCTATGTATGTATAGGTGAAGTAAGTTTCTTATAGGCGTGTACAATTGGGAATTTTTTTTTTTTTTTTTTGAAACAGGCTTTCACTCTGTCACCCAGGCTGGAGTGCAGTGGCACAATCTCCACTTACTGCAACCTCCACCTCTAGGGCTCAAGTGATCCTCCCACCTCAGTCTCCCAAGTAGCTGGGACCACAGGTGCATGCCATTATGACTGGCTAATTTTTGTATTTTTTGTAAAGACAGGGTTTCACCATATTGCCCAGGGTGGTCTTGAATGCCCAAGCTCAAGTAACCTGCCCACCTCAGCCTCCTGAAGTGCTGGAATTACCGGCATGAGTCACCATGCCCAGCCAAAAAGTATGTTTTAAAATATCAATTTTGCCAGTCTATATCTTTTAAGTGGGGAATTTAATCAATTTACATTAAAGGGTGTTAGTGACAGGTGAGGGTCTACTTCTGTCAATTTGTTAATTGTTACTCTGGTTGTTTTATATATTCTTTGTTTCTTTCTTCGTATCTTATTGTTTATGGTTGCAGTTTGGTGATTTTCTGTAGTTATCAGGTTTTGTTCTTTTCTCTTTCTCCTTTATGTATCTGCTGTACCAGCGAGTTTTATACTTCTGTGTGTTTCATGATAGTGATAATTATCTTTTGGCTTCCAGATTTAGGATTCTCTTGGACATTTCTTGTAAAGTTGGTCTAGTGGTTATGAATTCTCTCAGTTTTTCATTGTCTGGGAAAAACTGTATCTCTTTGTCATTTTTGAAGGATAGCTTTGCTTGGCATAGTATTCTTGATTGACAATTTTTTTCCTTTCAGCACTCTGATCATATCATCTCATTTTCTCCTGATATGTAAGTTTTCTGCTGAGAAATCTGCTGTTAGTTTAGTTGTGATTTCCTTATATGTGACTTGATGCTTTGCTTTGCTGTTTTTAGAACCTTCTCTATGTCTTTTAATTTTGACAGTTTGACTATAACATGCCTCAGAAAGGACCTTATTAGGTTGACTCTATCTGGGGACTTTGAGCTTCCTGAATCAGGATGTCCTTATCTCTCCCAAGACTTGGAAAGTTTTCAGCTACTTTTTTATTTAATGGGTTTTCTATGCCTATTTCTATCTCTTCTCTTCCAGTGACTACCAAAATTTAAATATTTGTTTACTTAATAATGTCCCATAAGTCTTGTTTTCTCCTTTTCATTCTTCTTCTTTTTTTTTAAAATCTCTGGCTAGATAATTTCAAATGACCTTTCTTCATATTCAGAGATTCTTTCTTCTGCTTGTTCAAGTCTGCTGTTGAAGCTCTTTATTTTGGTTTCATTTATTGCATTTTTCAGCTTAGGATTTCTGTTTGTTTCTTTTTAATGATAACCTATCTCTGTTAAATTTCTCATTCATATCATAAAGTGTTTTATTTCATTGAATTGTTTATCTGTATTTTCTTTTATCTCACTAAATTTCCTTATGATTATTGTTTTCAATTCCTCTTCTGGCAATTCAAAAATTTCCTTTTCATCAGGGTCTGCTACTAGAGAGTTATGGTGTTCCTTTGGTACTGTCAGTTTTTTTTTTTTTCTTTTTCAATTTTTTTGTGTTCTTGCATTGATGCCTGTGAATCTCGTAGAACAACTGCCTTTTTCGGCTGGGCACGGTGGCTCACACCTGTAATCCCAGCACTTTGGGAGGTTGAGGCAGGCAGATCATGAGGTCAGGAAATCGAGACCATCCTGGCTAACACGGTGAAACCCCGTCTCTACTAAAAATACCAAAAAATTAGCCAGGTGTGGTGGCAGGCGCCTGTAGTCCCAGCTGCTTGGGAGGCTGAGGCAGGGGAATGGCGTGAACCTGGGAGGTGGAGCTTGCAGTGAGCCGAGGTCGTGCTACTGACTCCTGCCTGGGTGACAGAGTGAGACTCCGTCTCAAAAAAAAAAAGAACAACAACAACAAAAAGAACAATTGCCTTTTTCAAACTTCTAGAGTGATTTTCATAAGTAAAGACTTTCACCTGGAGATGAGTCTTAGTGTGCTATTTGAAAAGGATGTGGTAAATCTGCTTCCAGATATATACAGTGGTATAGTCTCCCTGCAGCTTCTTTAGTTGTGTTTGACATCAGCAGTAACTGTAGGTACTTCAGTGGCCTAGGCTGTAGAATTTTGGAAGCTGTAGAGTGGCATAGGTTGTTAAGGTCCTCAGGAGCAAGGGCTTCTGGGGTCTTCCTATTCTCATTTTCTCTACAATAAGCTGAATGGTTCCTTCTTGATGTCAAGTCTGACATGTCCTACAGGTGGCTGCAGTGGTTGTGGGTTCCAGGTGCATATGCCCAGAGCATCTGTGGGGCTGGAGTCCTAGGCTTAAAGTCTCACATATTGCAGCACCAGAGTCTTAGGGCATAGCTTTTCTCTCTGTGGCAGTGTTGGACATAGGTTGCCCACAGCCAGGACCTGTGACTCTGAGGCACCCCCTAGCAGCTTGGGCCCAGGGGCCCATTTGTGATTCTACCCTTGGGAGACAGGGCACAGGACTGTTCTAACTCTGAGAAAGAAGGGGTTCTCTGGATGTTTGAGCTCAGAGACCAGAGTATAGCTGCAATTTGGGAACCTGAGCCAATAGGGCTCAGTGGCAATTCGGGTTCCAGAGGACGGACACTGTGTAGTCATGCCTTTAGCCCTTGGGATGGCAGGCCTTGGCTGTATTTCAGACTGTGAATCCAGGTACAAGTATCCCAGAATGGTGGAACCCACCTGTTGTTTGGTTGCTGGGTGGCATGGAATAACATAGTGATGAGCCCACTCTCTGGGGAGATGGGTGTCTCAGCAGTTCAGACTCTAGGGAACTAGTCCAACTCCAGGGAAGCGGGATATTTGAGTTGTTTGGCCTGTAGGGTGGGGTGTCTTGGCTTAGCTTCTTCTGTTTCCCTGGAACACACAGTACTATCTCAGCTCAGCCCTGGATGTGCAGCTGCTCAGTTTGACCCATGTACTCCCTCCCCAGGGGAAAATGTGCCTCTTCAGCTCAGGCCCAGAAGGCATGACTATTCTAAATGGCCCAGGCACTGTTTCCCTGGGATTTAAGGCACTGCATCAATTTAGGCACTGGGAAGGTGTGACTGCTCTGGGCAGTGAAGGCGCTGCTTTCTCAGGAGGCAGAGTATTGCTTCAGCTCAGGCACAGAAAGGTCCTTGCATTCTCTGTGTGGTTATTCTGAGTTTCTGTGCTCTGGGTAGCCAAGGCACCATCCCAGGATGACTGATATTGTTTCATTTCCAGCACAGGGGTACAGGGTGCAGCAGTGACTAGGAGAGGTATTTGAAGCAGCTCTGCCAAGGCACCATATCTCCAGGAGGCAGTGTGCAGCTTCAGCTTAGCCCCCTAGGGGCAGGGTGCCACAGCAACTGGGAGAGGTAGATGGAGTTGTTCTGCCAAGGCATCCTTTCTTTCAGAGAGAGTGGGCAGCTTTAGCACCATTTCCCAAGTGCAAGGTGCAGCAGCAACTGAGATGGGTAGATGAAGTAGCTCTGCCAAGGCACCATTTCCCTAGGAAGGAGTGTTCAGCTTCAGCTTTGGCCTGAGCAGGCAGGCTGCACCTGGGCACTCTGAGAGAGGTAGGTAGAGTGGCTCCACCCCTAGTTTGTCACACAGGGATGGGTGTAACAGCTGGTTGTAGCTCAGTTTGGAATTGTTGGGCCATTGAGTGGGGCTTTAGCCTCAGGGATTAAGGGGTGCCATGAGCACTTGCCCCCAGAGCAGGATATACTCCAGTGGCAGTTTCAGTTCCAAGATGGCATAGCAGAGTAGCCAGGTGGCCACAGGGAGTGGGGCACAGTGCTGGCTCCTTCTCTGAAGGAGCACAGCTATGTAGACTCCAGGTATCTCTCTTAGCTGGGCTTAGTGTCTGTGAGGACTGCAGGGGACCCCAGTGGAGAGGACTGCAGGGGACCCCAGTGGAGAGGACTGCAGGTGTTCCAGGTATTGATGGGGCTGCTGGGACTCTCTTGCTTACCTTTTTCCTGAAGGGAGAAGTTCCTTCTGGTTCCCATCTGGGGGATGGGATGGTGGAGGCCCAGTTGTTTTCTTTTGCTCTCTGTATGGTTATTCTGAGTTTCTGTGCTCATCAGAGTTTCTGTTACTACTTTGATGTACTGTGGCACTTTCCTTTTGCTATTTTCATTAAAATCTAGTTGTTTATTTGTTGTTTTGGCTGTCTTTGCTGGAAAGAGAAGCTCTAAGGGCTTCTACGTGGCCATCTTGCTGATGTTGCTATAATTTTATCTTCTTAAAGCAGTTTCTACCAGAGCTGAATGATCTGCTTCAATCTAGAGCACTTGTCCTCTATACTGAGTGACTTGTAGACTTTGTATTTTGCTTCGACATAATCTGTAGATCCAAGAAATGGAACCTAATTCCTAGGGTTTTTTTGTTTGTTTGAGGTGGAGTCTCGCTCTTTCGCCCAGGCTAGAGTGCAGTGACGCAATCTTGGCTCACTGCAACCTCTGCCTCCCGGGTTCAAGTGATTCTCCTGCCTCAGCCTCCTGAGTAGCTGGCACTACAGGTGCATGCCACCACGCCCGGCTAGTTTTTTGTATTTTTAGTAGAGATGGGGTTTCACTGTGTTAGCCAGGATGGTCTCGATCTCCTGACCTCGTGATCCGCCCGCCCTGGCCTCCCAAAGTGCTGGGATTACAGGCATGAGCCACCACGCCCGGCCTATACTGAGTGACTTATAGACTTTGTCTTTTGCTTTGAAATAGTCTGTAGATCCAAGAAATGGAAACTAATTCCTAGTTTTATGATCCCTTGTCTTTATTTTATTTTCTGATTTTGATGAAGACCACTGTTGGTCAGCTTCCTGAGAAAAGGCCAATGGGAGATAAAGGGAGATAGTCACCCCTCATGTTTGTTTGATAATATGGCTGGGAATAGAATGATAAAGATAAGTTTCCTTCAGAATTTTATCAACGTTGCACAAGTCATCTAGTCTTCAGTTTATTTCAAGTCTGGCACCATTCTGATTCTTGATTCTTTATGTAAGTCAGAGGTTAGCAAACTACTGCCCACAGGACAAATGCAGCACAATGTCTATTTTTCTTAATAAAGTTTTATTGGAACACAGCCATGCTCATTTATTTACATGTTTTCTATTGTTGTCTTTCATGCTACAAGAGCAGAGCTGGGTAGTTCTGACAGACTCTATGGCCCCAAAAGCCTAAAATAGTTATAACCTGTTGTTGTTGTTGTTTTTGTACAGAAAAGGTTTTCAATCTCTTCTATAAGTGCTGGGTTTGTTTCTTTCTTAGAAGTTTGTAAGAGTTTCTTTTTGTCCCAGTGTTTTAATGTAGCTTGGTGTGGGTCCATGTTTTTTTATTGTGTTGAGTGCAATATCCTTCATTTCTGGTATATTATCTTGAATTATTTCCACTATACTTTCTCCTCCTCCTCTTATAATTTCCTCATTTCTTTCTTTTTATGGTTTCTATTATTTAAGACATCTTCTATTTTATTCTCTTAAAATAATTTTTTAACTTGTCTTTTTACTCTAATTTCTGAAATATTTTTGTAACTATTTTCTAAAGTTTCTATTAAGATTTCTAGTTTTGCTGTCATATTTAATTCCCCCCTACACCAGCCCCTAAAAAGCATCCTATTTGTGTATCAAAATATTCCTTTTCTTCCCTGAGGATAGTTAATAATAGTTTTCCTTTTTGATTTTTTCCTCTGTCCCGTATGATGTCTGTATTCCATGAGTTTTGTTTGTTTTGGGCTCTGATATTTGTATCTGTTGCCTTTCTCAAATGTTGGCGATATTTGGCTTATATCTAATGTGGGGCATTAAATCGTTGTTTAAAGATTTATACCCATGAGTTGGTTTGCCACTGTGAGCTTCTCTATATAGTGATTTGACATGGTCTTTTTTGGAGAAAGATATCAGTATTTCTTAGGTCTTTTTTCTTGGGTTGGTCAGATTCTCTAGGGAAAGCTCTTCCAATATCTGGCCTGGAAGGTAAAAAGCTGGCTAACACCTACAGGAGTTGATGGGGGAAGAGAGCTACAAGGTCCGAACATTTAATATGTTCATTTTCTCTTAACTGCCCTGTTTTAAGATCTGTAACCCCCGCCATCAACTGAGTTTACTGTTCTGGTTTTTAGAGATCATCTGTTTTATACCTCATCATCCTGCACCAGGGAGGGGCAATTACCCAGTCTGACAAATGAGGAATGGGGTCCAGGAAGTGTTCTCTGCTGGACTGACAGATGGCAGCACAGCTCCTTTACTCCCCCTGTTCCCCCTGCCATCATGCCTCTTCTATCCCCTCTCATATTTCAGGGGCTGGAAGACCAGGAACTGTGTTCCCAGAGTCATTTGCTGGTCATGCTCTGGATTGAAGTCTGACAATGAGAGGTACACCTCAAGATTTGGAAGGCATAAGAAAGGCACAAACTATATTATTGCCTTTAGCAGCAGTAGGCAATTTTGCAGATTTCAGCAAAAATGAAATTTTCCAGCAGCCTCAGGGTGTTTCTTTGCAAATCCTCTGCTATGATGCTTCAGATAGCTATAGTCATCTCTGACATTTTCTGAAGTTCTTGCAACTTCCTGACTCTCTGATAGCTGACAAATCTCAGGAGTAGCCATGGCTTTCCCTGACTTGTGCTTCTCCAGTCTTTCCAATTAAGTGGTAATTCTCCATATTATATTCCTTCCTTCCTGACCGGTACAGTTTAAGTGCTCCTTGAATGGCATTTTTAACCAGTCCTTTTGTTTTTAGCCTTCCCTTCCCCCATTTCACCAGGTAAATTGGTAAACTGGGTAACTTCTCAGCTTTCTGCACTGTGGTTTTCTCGGATTTGATAAAACCACTTTTGACATGCTTTTCAAACTCTAAGGATTCTATTGTTTCACCTGCATCTTTTTGTTCTTGGGGATTTATGCCTTTCATAAAAAAATTACTCTCTGTCATTTTGTAATGGGTATTTGGAAGGGGGCAGAGGAATTCGATCCTGCATTCCATCCATTACCATTCTATATCAAGTTCCCCATTCACTCTTCAACCTTCTCCCATATGGACACCGGCCACCTCTCCAGCCTCATCCTGGGCCATGTTTTCCTTTATTCCAGCTATGCTGACCTTGACTGATAGTCCTTGAACTCACCAAGGTCTTTCCTGCTTCAGGATCTTTTGCATACTGTTACTTTTGTCCACTCTCTCTCCTTTTCTCACCTAACTTGTCTCTGTTCTTCGCGGTTCTCAGAGAGGCCTTCCCTGATGACACATACAAATTGGGTTATCCTTTTTTTTCTATCATAGAACACCATTCTTTTCCTTTATTATACTTGTATTTTATACTCATATTTATGTGTTAATTTATTTAATGTTTGTCTGCTGCAAGAGCATAAACTTTATACCTAGTAGACATAATCAGATCTCTATTAATAATTGAAAATGGAGAAGAATTATTTTTAAGGAAACTTACAGAAAGGAAATATTAGGCCCTGTCTGGTCTGAGTGTTGCAATACTGGCAGTATCATTCAAATAGAAGGGACATTACAAAAGATCCATTTCTTAAAAGACTCAATCTCAAACTATAAATTTTCCCATACTATTTTAATTCTACAATCTACCATCAAGGAAAAAATAACAGGATCAATTTATAGCTATAAGGCTTAGTATCCCCATAAGCCTTTCTTTTCTCTTTTTTCTTTTGTTTTCTTTCTCTCTCTCTCTTCCTTTTTCTTTCTCTTCCTTCCTTCCTTCTGCCCTCCCTCCCTCCCTCCCTTCCTTCCTTCCTTCCTTCCTTCCTTGCTTCCTACCTACCTTCCTTCCTTGCTTGCTTGCTTGTCTTTAACAGGAAATACCCCATTCATTTTCTTTTATATCCCCTTAGGCTTGAGCCAGTTGAAAAAAACTTCCTTAATAGTGCTCAAATGAAAAAAAAGGAAAAGTGATGAGAAAATTAATATAATGAAATAATCAATGCAAATGACATACCATTGTCCAGAAAAACCCTCAATCAACTCTCTTAGAATTACTGAATCTGAGGGGTAATTGTGCCGTAATCTCTAATTGTAAGATCAAGGCATGCTGTCAGAAGTACTGCCAATATTAAATAGATATTTTATGTTACTCTTTTTAAGGTGGAATTTCTAAGAAATCGAAAACCATTTATCAAAAACATAAATCATTCACACTAAGTATTAACTAAAAATCCTTAATTTTGGTAAAACTAAAATTTGTATTCATCCTCAAATAACACCCATCAATGCTTTATTTTTCTAGAGTCTACAAGTGCAGAAAAAGTTTGAATAATTTTTTAAAATAATAACTTTAAATTTATCTGTATCAGGTGAGTTACTGAAGTGTGTTAACATAGCTAAAGAATCAGAGGTTTGGGGGGAGGAGGAGAAGAAACTTATGTATAATATTTGTTTTATGAAAATACATAACAATGTATCTACTGTTTAAATTCTATGTTGTTTTGGGGAAACAATTTAATGTGCATACATAGTAGCAGTTTACGATTTATAAATGTTTTCTCATTTATTACTCATTTTACAATACATCTTATATTTATAATGATTTTTTAACCTCCCTAGACCTTATAAAATGATGTGATTGGCTTAAGCAATCATTAAGGTTCTTTCCAGCTTTGATTCCATTATGTTTTCAAACTGTGACTCTGCCTAATCACAAGTACAGCTCAGTAAATCCCCTTTCCTCTGTGTGTTTCTGTGTTTGTCTCCATCACTTTGGTGTTCTCCCAGTAGATACATTGAAGGGCATGTTGATTAAATTAGTCAAATTAACTCTTTGCCTGACTCCATCCTCATTAGGCTAATGAGCAGACTTAGGAGTAAATCTGTGTGTCTCAGTTGTCTTAGGTCAGAAGTACTGTCACTGGGAGCACCAGTGAAAAGTTGTAATTGTGACATTCTTTAGGAGTTTTTAGCTGGCAGCTCATTTTACATCCTTTCTCAAGAGGGAACATGTGGCTTTGCTGAATGGAAGTTATAATGTGTTGGGCAATCTCATTTTCTCTGCTGGATCATTGTTAAAGAGGGTGTAATTTTGTTTCCTCCCCTGGAAAGAGTTTCTTGGGTAGGCATGTGTGAGAGATGTTGAACAAGTATTAATCAAAGGGTGAGGGGGGAAAATCCTATTATCACCATAAGGTGCTGTGAAGTAATAGATTTTAATGATGAAGTAGCCATGTGAGTAGCTACACTACAGATTTGTTTATGATTAAGTGTGTGCTTGTGTGTAGGGGATGAGAGAAGGTGACCTGAAGATAGATTTGGGGGAAGGACAGACAAGGAAGAGAGAGAAAAAAACAACTGGTTTCAAAGGTTGAGTGTCCTCTGATTCTAAAAGGCATACTTCCCCTGTTCAAATTACACATCAGAGCACTCATTTGACTAAGTGACAAGTCATATACATATTAAAACATAGGTCTAAAATTTTTACACTGGCCAAATGATTTTTAGTGCTTGGATATATTTGTAAAACATAAAACACTGACGGTTGATAGCAAAGTAGCCAGCATATGGTAGGTGCCAGATACATGTTTTTGAATAGACAGAAGGACACTGTGAACGGTAGTTGTGTTTAGATATTACAGCTGGCTGAGTCCCCCAGTGGGAGCTGGTGATAGCCTACACAATACCTTCCTTTGGCTCATCAAATAGTGTGAATGAAGATACGGTAATACTTCCAGGGATTATGGTCCATTTATGATGGAAACTATTTGTTTTCTAGAAGGAAAAAAAAATTTGCTGTCTCTATGAGATTGGGTTAGGTAGAAGTTTCTCTCTTTGGGGCTCTCAGGGGTACAACTGTGTTGCTACATGAGCCCTACATGGGCTAAAATGTGAATATAGTCAGACACTGCATAATGACGTTTTGGTCAATGACAGGCCACATATATAGTGATGGTCCCATAAGATAACTGTATTTTATTGTATGTTTTTTATATTTAGATATCTTTAGATATGCAAATACCATTGTGTACAATTGCCTACGGTATTCAGTACAGTACATGCTGTACAGGTTTGTAGCCTAGGAACAATAGGCTATGCCATATAGCCTAGGTATATAGTAGGCCATATCGTTTAGGCTTGTGTAAGTACACTCTGTAATGTTCACACAATGACAAAATCACCTAATGATTCATTTCTCAGAACCTACACCCCTAGTCAAGTGATGTATGACTGTATATACAACCAGCAAACATCTAATATTCTGGAAATTATGAGGAAACTATGAGTTTTCTAAAAACATAAGACATTTTAAAAAATTATGTCTTTTTTCCTTTTTCAGTTCAAATCTTATTACTTCCCAGTTGTGTGACACTATCCTCACAGGGCTCAAAGCATTGAACGGTAGATCCCAGCGCTTCATTTATGGCTCTGTGGCAGCTAAGAAAGTCATCTATTGGGAACCATAGCAGATCCAGGGAGTGCCTGGCACAATTTCTATATCAACAGTCTACGTTTCTACGTTTCCTAACCTTTTATTTGCACAGATCTTGCCAAAATGCTTAGCAATTGTAGAACATCTAGACCCATCTTTGCAATGAGGATTAGGTATACTATAGAGACCAGTACCATGTGAAAAACAAAACCTGTTGGAAATGGAAGACTCCTTTGTCACTATACTGTTTCAGATTTCACCAGTAGGTTTACGTCCTGGCTTTGCCTCTTAGCATGTGTTTGTTCTTATCATGAGTCTCCTCAACTATAAAATGGGAATAATTAAAACCACCCACATCGTAAGTTCACGGTGAGGAATAAATGAAAAAATGCATGCAAAATGCTTAATACACTTCTTTGCACATAGAAAGCTCTCAGTAAATGCCAGCCGCAATTACAAATGTAGCTCACTGTGGCTGGGTTGGAGTAGCTCCTTGAATCTCAAAGTGTTACAATAATCAGTGACATAACATTTTTATTTGATAAAATGCAACTTTTAAAATTTGGTGTAATTAAATCCTCCTAGCCAAGAGGAGGCCCCACAGCTACTATTTGACCAGGGAACTAGAATGGTTCCTTGGAAATTTGTATCAATGTTGTGTCTCTTACAAAATAAACAGGATGCTCTACTCTATTTTTCTCCATCGGAGAGAAAGGCTACCCAAGCAAAGTGACTTAAGCCCTACAATATAACTGAGTTTGGCGAAGTAGCTCTTTTACAGTGAACACCAGCCTCTGCCTACCCAGTATGCACAGAGAAATGAACTTTTAAAGGTGCACTGAAGTATCACAGGAGTTTATTGATTATGGTGACACTCCAACCCAAACCATGCTCAAAGGCCTAGAAGTTTAAGAGTGTAGGAAAAGCTCAGGAGATGTGAAGAAGAATTGTTGCCGATGTTACCTGGGACAACAATGAGGTGCAGCCCAATAATCTGGACATAAAAATCAGATTATCCACCAAGTGTTTCTATAAAACAAACATTTAACATATCAGAGCAAAGATATATGATTATCTTAAAAAAGGCAGAATATCTTCCATCTAGGCCAAACTTGAAGGAAAAAGTATTTTTATGGCAAAAGGAAATTTAAAAAGTCTTAAAGCTGATTGATCAACAGTATGGCAGGGCACAGTGGAAAAATATAGACTTTCCATCTCTAGCTATGTCCAGAAGACTGGTTGTCCTGAGCTGTGGGCCCAAGGACCTGGCCTGTGCAGCACACATATTGCTCAGTACTCTGGTGACTTGACCACAGCAGCCGTTTGGCTCAGGCAATAAGCTTCTAATTCTATATCCATCAGGTAACTTTCCAGTGAGCCTTGGCCTGCCCAGATCCATCAATGGAGCCTTATATTTTTTATCATAAGTGAATACATTGGCATTCTGGATTCCTTAATGTCAGACTTGTGAATTGGGTTGGTGTGAGTTATTTCCCTGTGCTTGATTAACTCTGGATGTACTGACTATTGACTCTCCAATCTCCATATTTAAGACCATACCCTTGGTAACTACATCAAGGTGGCTTTTTTCAGGAAGCCACACCAGCTCGCTTTTCCCAGGAAGTATTGCTTTCTCTCTAACTGCAATGTGCATGTGACATGAATGTAAGGGAATATCAAGACTTTATCAATGCAGGTGGTATAATATTGTGTTAACATCACCAATGAAAACTTGCGAAGGGGACTTAAAAGTTGCCTCTGAATTTGAACTTCTTTCCAAAGTCTGCTGAATACTGAAAATAAAAATCTGTCCAATAGGAGACGGTGGAGCATAATGGCTGAATAGAAGCCTTTGCTCTTCATCCCCCACAGCAGGAACACTCAATTTTAACAACTAACTACACACAAAAAAGCACCATCACAAGAACCAAAAATCAGGTGAGCAATGACAGTACCTGGTTTTAACTTTTCATGCTGAAAGAGGCACTGAAGAGGGTAGAAAAGTCTTGAATCAATAATGCCACCCCTCTCCCATCCTCTGGCAGTGGCCATGTGGTGTGGAGAGAGAGTCTATGCACTTGGGGGAGGGAAAGCGCAGTGACTGGGGCACTTTGCATTGAACTTAGTGCTGCCCTGTCACAGTGGAGAACAGAGCCCTGCTGTGCTCAGCTGGTGCCCAAACACGGAGGGAGCATTTGGACCAGAACTAGCCAGAGGGAAATCACCCATCCCAGTGGTTGGAAGTTGAGTTTCTTAGCAAGCGTCACTACCATGGGCCAAAGTGGCCTTGGGTCCTAGGTAAACTTGAAAGGCAGTCCTAGGACACACTGATTCCTAGGCAACTCCTAGTGGCATGTGACCTAGCCATGTGGCACGTGATCTAGGGAGATACCAGATGAGGAGGCTAAGGAAGTTCTTGTGCCACCCCTCCCCCAACTCTAGGTAGTGCAGCTTGCAGCAAATGAAAGTGACTCTTCCCTTCTGCTTTAGGAGAGGAGAGCAAATAGTAAAGAGGACTTTGTCTTGCATGTTATATTCCAGCTCAGCCACTGTAGGGCACGGGGCAGAGTCATGAGGTCCCCATTCCAGGCCCTAGCTCATGAACAACATTTTGAAACACTCCCTGGACCAAAAGGGAGCCTGCTGCCTAAAGAGCTCTTGGGCCCTGAATAATCAGCAATACCCAGGGAGTGTGCCATGGGCCTTAAGTGAGACTCTGAGATGCGGTGGCTTCAGATGTAACCCAGCACATTCCCAGCTATGGTGGCTATGGTGAAAGGCCCCTTCTGTTTGAGAAAAGCAGAGGGAAAGATAAAGGAGACTTTGTCTTGCACTTTAAGTACCAGCTCAACCGCAGCTGGATAGGGTACCAAACAGGCTGTTGGGGTTCCCAAGCCTAGGTCTAGGCTCCTGGACAGCATTTCTGGACCCGCCCTCAACCAGAGGGGAGCCCACAGCTCTGAAGGGTGAGTGCCAGCTCTGGCAGCATTCACTACAAGCTGAAGAGCCCTTGGGCCTTAAGTGAATATCAGTGGTGGCCTGGTGAACCTCTCCTGTGGGCTAGTGGCAGTGGTAGCCACAAGGAGAGGCCTCTTTTCCTATAGCAAGGAGAGGGAAGAGGGGAAAGGACTTTGTACTATGATCTGAGTGCTAGCTTAGCCACAGTAGAATAGAATGTCAAATGCATTTCTAAGGTTTTTGACTTCAATCCCTGGCTCCAAACTGCATTTCTGGACCTTCCCTGGGCCAAGGGGAACTCACCACTCTGAATGAAGGGACACAAACCTGGTTGGCTTTACCACCTGCTGATCGTAGAGCCCTAGGGACTTGAGTGGACATAGGTGGTAGCCAGGTAGTGGTTACGGCAGGCCTTGGGCGAGACCCAGTGCTGTGCTGGCTTCAGGTCTGAACCAGTGCAGTTCCAGTGTTGGTGGCCACAGTGGTGCTTGTGTCCCCCATTCTCAGTTCCAGGTGGCTTAGCACAGAGAAAGAGACTTCATTTGTTTGGGAGAAAGTAAGGGAAAAGAACCAGAGTCTCTAGTAATCCAGAGAATTATTCTGAATCTTATCCAAGACCACCAACACAGTACCTATATAAGTCTGCAGGAATGATAGCATTACTGGGCTTGGGGCCAAAGTTCCTTTGAATATCTAGAAAGTCTCAAGAAGGATGGGCACAAACAAGCCCAGACTGCAAAGACTACAATAAATACCCAATTGTTTCATGCTAAGACACATATGAACATCTATAAGCATCCAGACTATCCAGGAAAACATGACTTCACCAAAAGAACTAAACAAGGTACCAGGGACCAGTTACGGAGAAACAGAAATATGTGACCTTTCAGACAGAGAATTCAAAATAGTTGTATTGAGGAAACTCAAAGAAATTCAAGATGACGCAGAAAGAGAATTCAGATTTCTATCAGATAATTTTAACAAATAGATTGAAATAATTAAAAAGAAGCAGAAATTCTAAAGTTTCTAAAATGCATTTGACATACTGAAGAATGTATCAGTCTCTTAATAGCAAAATTGATCAAGCAGAAGAAAGAACTAGCGAGCTTGAAGACAGGCCATTTAAAAATACACAGTCAGAGGCGGCAAAAGAAAAAAACAATAAAGCATGCCTACAGGGTCTAGAAAATAGACTTGAAAGGGCAAATCTAAGAGTTATTGGCCTTTAAAAAGAGGTAGAGAAAGAGATAGGGGTCAAAAGTTTATTCAAAGGGGTAATATTAGAGGACTTTCCAACCTAGAGAAAGTATCCATATTTAAGTACAAGAAGGTTGTAGAACACTAAGAAGATTAAACCCAAAGAAGACTACCTGAAAGGATTTTATAGGCCAGGCATGGTGGCTCATGCCTGTAATCCCAGCACTTTGGGAGGCCGAGGTGGGCAGATCACGAGGTCAGGAGTTTGAGACCATCCTGGCCAAAATGGTGAAACCCTGTCTCTACTAAAAATACAAAAATTAGCCAGGCGTGGTAGCACACACCTGTAGTCCCAGCTACTTGGGAGGCTGAGGCAGGAGAATCACTTGAACCCAGGAGGTGGAGGTTGCAGTGAGCCGAGATTGTGTCATTGCACTCCAGCCTGGCGACAGAGCCAGACTCTGTCTCAAAAAAAAAAAAAAAAAAAAAAAAGGCATTTTATAATCAAACTCCCACTTATTTGTGGAAACATCAAAATCAAAGCGATTGAATGAACTCATGGAGATATAGAGTAGAAGAATGATTACCAGAGGCTGGGAAGGGTTGTTGGCGGTTGGTTGGGGGGAAGTGAGGATGGTTAATGAGTACAAAAACATAGAATGAGTAAAACCTAGTATTTGATAGCACAACAGGGTGACTATTGTGAATAATAATTTAATTGTACATTTTAAAGTAGCTAAAAGAATATAATTGCATTGTTTGTAACAGAAAGGAAAAATGCTTGATGGGGTGTTTACCCCATTTCCTCTGATATGATTATTATGCGTTGCATGGCTGTATTAAAGTATCTCATGTACCCCACAAATATATACACTTACTATGTACTCACAAAAATTAAAAATTAAACTCTACATAGGACTTTTGCACTTTCAGTAAGACAAGAACAAAAGAGAAGTCCCCCTTTCCAAAAACCATCTCAATTTGCTCTTTTTAAAGTAAGAATGTGTTGATATAAAGTTTGGAAGACAATAAACCTACTATCAATGGCATATTTTGCTATAAAAGCTAAGCCCAGAGCAAATGTGAGAATAAACTCTGGCAACTTTGATCAACGAATACTAATAATGTTGTATGTTTATAAGTGTTTTCAATATTTCTAAACTTCTTCTACTTCTTTCATATCATTTGATAGTAACAATCCAGTAAGGCAGTAGAGAAGACAGAAATGTTATTCCTACTTGAAAATAAGAAGCAAAGAGACAGGGAGCTTATAGGGCTTCCTCAACATCAACTGACTAGTTAGTGGAAGAGCAGAGGAGGTAAAGCTCACCTGCAGTCCCTGTGTGTTTCCCTCAACACAAGATACTGTCCGTTCATATTCACTTAGGCTGTTGACAATAATCATGGCTACAGAATGGATGGTAGAACAATCTCCACAGATAGTAAGGATGAATAGATTGTGCTATAATCGATCAGGTGTGGTGACTCATGTCTGTAATCCCAGCACTTTGGGAGGCCGAGGCGGGTGGATCATTTGAGACCAGCAGTTCGAAATCAACCATGGCCAAAGTGGTGAAACCCCATCTTTCCTAAATATGCAAAAATTTTGGAGTGGTTGCCCACGCCTGTAGTCCCAGCTACTAAGGAGGTTAAGGGAGGAGAATCACTTGAACTTGGAAGGTGGAGGTTGCAGTGAGTCGAGATCATGCCACTGCACTCCAGAGTGAGACTCTGTATCGGAGGAAAAAAAAAAAAGGTTGTGCTGTATTCTGCTTATTTCATGGCAGTTGTCATTTGTCTATAGCCATAGCCTGGGAAACTTTCAGCTCTAGTCATCCAGATTATTTTGTGGGGACTGTTTTCAATTAACATTGTAACACTGGTCCTTTGTTACATATTGTTTTTCCACAAATTGTGATGGAATCAACTCTGTATGATCAGTTCTGTATTTCCACATCTTTTCAAGGCGTTTAGCCAAGAAGGAAATCTCGTTTGTTGTCATGGAAAAAATTTGATTCCCACAGAGGCATCGCACCTGTAATTCTGGTCTTTTCATTATAGCCTCAGATAAAAAATATCACCTTATCCTTTCCAACACAACTCTCGAAATAGCTATGTATTCTTTTATAAAACCTTTTTACTTTGTTGAGTTTCCTTCTGAGACTTCCTGATTTTCAATGATTCTACTCTGGATGGTTGAAAATGCTAAAACATTTTTCTTTTTCATCAGATCTGTTCTCTTCAAATCCCTCTGTTGCCTTTCCAAACCACATTTAAACTTTGTGAGTTTTTTTTTTCTTTAAGATTTCTATCAAACTAAATTTTTAAACCAATCAAAAGAAATAATAACTATAATACAACTCCTCAATTTTCAGCAATAAATAATTCTGGCAACAAGAAGGAAAAGAAAATTAAACTACTGAATGCATTTTCATACCATGCTGGGAAGAACAGCTATAGAAAATTATTAGATTCTCCTCTATAAATGTCTTAGTACAGAACCTGGCATTTTGCTAAGTTTTTTTAATCCCCCCAAAGGATGTGAATTATCTAGGCAAAAATGTTTATAGAGGTAAATGAGAACCAGATAGTTTATAAATAGAATAAGAAAGGGAGCCAGGGAGGGAAGGAAGAAGGGGAGGGGAGTGGGAAAGGATCAGGGGGAAGAAGAGGGAGAGTGTGAGAGGGAGTGAGAGAGAGGAAAAGATTGGAGAAAGAAAAATCTGCCCAGCACAAGCTGGTGCCTTGCAGTAGTCTGACATGATACTGGGTAGTAGAAGGATCTGGCAGGATAAGATTCTTCTACTGTAGATGAAGCAGGAAGCTCTGAAACTTTCCAATTTCTTTAGAACAACATGGGATAGATCCTATAGTTCTTCTATTGTCCCAAGGACTAGGACCTGACATATAAGGAACAACCACAGAACCATTCACTTGTAATAGTAAAATTGAATTTTAATTCTTGTTCTATTTTATAAATGCACAATTTATTGAACAAAATGATCAATGCACTCCACAATGCATTGTAAATATTTCTATAGGCAGTTGTAAAGGATATTATCTCTTGAGACAAGTGCTTCTGGTATTTTCTATAAATGTGGCTGGGGTCAAGACCTGTTGGTCTTGACTCACTGGTATTTTATGCTGTTACAGGAAGTCTGGGGCAGGTGGGGGATGGCTTAGTAAACATTAGTTCTTTCTGAATCAACAGGAATATTGAACGTGATATCTGAATACTCAGGTTAGAATGTTATTTCACTTCTGTCAGTCTCCCATTAGCAGCGACTGATTGCAATAAGCTCTAGATTTTCAGAAGTACTATATGGAAAATGCCATAAATCAGAAATTAAGACGAAGTGCAATTTGACAAAAGTACATTACAATTAGCATTAACTTTATTGATTGGTCTATAACAGAGAACTGTTTACCAATGCAATCTAGATGCATCTGCTCTTCTATAACTGCTTATTTAGGTGGAAGTTTATGAGTTTTCTATGCAAAGTGTCTTGCCTTAAATCTCTTTTTCTTTCATGCTAGTAAATAGAAGTAAGAAGCTTTCTCCCTTATAAATACAGACCAGAAAGAGGTCGATAGAATGCCAGTTCTATGTTTTTCAAGATTAATAGATGTTAATAAAATGAAGTGATAAAATTGCTAATTGGATTCAGAAGGTAGAACTGTGGCAAGAAATACTTTTTAAAGGGTTTTTAAAAATTGTGATTTTTATTGGAAGGAGGTGGATGGGAAGATACTCCTTATGTTGGGATCTGGAATGGCCTAATTATCTTTGGAAAGTCCCTGTTTTACTTAATTCTGTATTCATATCTTCCTTACAGTACTCAGTTTTCTTAGATTTTCTTCTCTCTTGCAAAATGAGAGGGTTCAAAATTACTTAATTTCAATTGATGCCATTGTCTCTGGAAAGCTGCAAAAAGGCATCAGACAGCAATTATGCATTTACTATTTTATTGTTAGTGTCATGTACCTTCCAAATGGAACTGCTACAAATAAACATTTCATATTTGTCAGCCTTCACAATGTTACGGTGGTAATATCAACTGGGTCTACCTTTGTACATGGGTGTATATCTGTACATATGTCTTTCTAGAAAAGAATATTCAGTACATGCTTGGAGAAATTTTAATAAAAAATAGTTATAACATCTAAGAGTACAAGAAAACACACGTTTAGTTTTAGGCCTATTGCAGAGATAATTTGAGGCCTAAAAATTGTAAGCCTTTCATTAACACATTTATTTGTAGAGAAAATTTGTCTCTGAATATATAGTGGATTGAAAATTCCTGGACAGTGAATGAGTCATATGTCTTGGTATTTGCCGTAGCAACTAATAAGCCTGAGTAATTTACCTGGTAATCTGTAATCTTGCTTCAAAAAAGTATTTAAGGTAGATTACTGTAGAAGCCACACATAGAGTTGCAAAAGACAAAAGAAAAGAATTAAAATCTTTTAGGAAAGAGAATGACATTCTCCAACCTGGGCTAATATTGAATTCTGCAATTTTAGCTTTGAGTTTCCTGGAAAATAAGACAAGAAGTAAAACATGATGGATAAATATTTATCATTATCAAATGTAAGAAAGTAAGTCATTTTGACAAGAACAACAAGCTTTTACTGATAAAAGAATGTGAAATGAATTCATATGGAACTGTAGAAGGAGAATATTGAGCTACATGAAGTGTAGCTTGAAGACCAGATTTTTAAAAAGCGGAAATGTTTTTGGTATAAATATTTCTTATATTGATATTTGAAAAAAAAACTCTGCCTGCTTAATATTAAAATATAAGTCAGCAGTCATCATGAACAAAAATGTTACGTGGAAAGATTGTCATATCCTAGAAATTAGATGGCGGCCTAGAGAGTTACATAAACAAAGAATAGCTGGAAAGAGTTCAGCATAGCAAAAGCAGCTACAAAAATAAACTCGGGCAAAAGCTGTGCTGAACAAAAGCTTCACCCTGGCAAGCCGCCAAGGGAAGTTACTCAAACTGGGCAGAGCCTTTCCTGAGAAACCTCTGCCTCCTGGTCGGGAAGTTTTCCCTTGAAATCCTAAGCTTTTCTGGTCGTTTTATCTAAGAATTCTGCCTAGAGTAACAGTTATTAGGTTCTACCTCACTTAGCATACTGTGATCTTGACATCAGGGCAAGGAGCTCGCTCTTATCTCAGTGCATCTGCACAGTCAACTTCCTCAGTTACAAACCCCTCCTACCTACCCTCAGCCCCTGCTGGGCCCAGTATCTACTTAACAGTTCACACGTAGCCTCTGCTTAACTACTGCTTCCTTCAGGAAGTCTTCCCAAATCTGAGTAAGTTGTCCCCAGGTCGGTGATTCTCATGCCTGGCTGCACATCAGTATCACCTTGTATGCATTTGAAATACACCAAGGCCCAGGCTCCACTTTTGGTAATTTAGACCAGGAAGTTCTGCTTTAATTATTCTGGGTGAGGCACAGACGTAGATAGTCGTGAAAGTTCCCCAGGTGATTCTTTTTCCTTTTTTTTTTTCAGAGCCAGCACACTGGACCCAGCTGATTCTAAGGAGCAGGTGATACTAAGAACCTCTATTCTGCATTATCTATTAGCTCTCTGCATTTCCCGGTCATAACACTTACCAATTCAATTTAATGCAATATTAATTTATTGAGCATCTGCTACGTGTAAAGGATAACTTGGTGAATAATTAGTGAATAAAACATACAGGATCACTATGTTTATAAAGCTTACAGAAGACTAGCGCAGTGAATACTGAGCCAGTTCTTTGTAAATGCAATGAGTATTTAAAGAGGAACATTACAGAGTACAATGTACTCTGTATTCTGTAACCAAAAAAAGGTAGTCTACTGCAGCAGGTTGAGTCATCTTTTGCAATTTTTTTTTCCTTAGGGTCTCACTGTTGCCGAGGCTGAAGTGCAGTAGTATGATCTTGGCTCACTGCAGCCTTGACCTTCTGAGCCTCCTGAGTAGCTGGGACCACAGGCGTGCACACCGTGCTTGGCTAATTTTTGTATTTTTAGTAGAGATGAGGTTTCAGCATGTTGCCCAAGCTGGTCTTGAACTTCTGAACTCAAGCAATCTGCCCACCTCAGCCTCCCAAAGTGCTGGGATTATAGGTGTCAACCACCGTGCCTGGCCCATCTTTTGCAATTCTTGACACCAACCCTATATTAGAATTATACATCTATATCTTTTATCATGTGACTTTGCAGTACTTTCCTACAACAGGCCTTTCCTGCACTATTGACATTGAGCTTGGTCATGGGACTTGCTTTGGCCAATGGAAAGTTAATGGACATCATGGGGCAGAGGCTTCTAATGTATTTGACATTTTGTGCTCTAGCGATCCACCAGGCAGAGAGCATGCTCTGAGAAGCCTGTGCCCCAGAATTAACACACAAGTGTCTTTGACCTGAACCCAACTCACAGTGAGGAACTATGCCCAGAGAAACTTCAGTCTGAAGTAGAACCTCCCACTGGAGCCTAGCCAAGATCAAGCAAAGTATAGAGAACCTGCAGACCCATGGGCATGAGAATGAATGCTTGTAAGCCACTGACATTTGGGATGGTTATATAGCATTACTGTGGCAACAGCTAACTAATACATGAGGCTGGGGCTCAGACCACATTGCATTTGCCTAAATAAGCCATGTTTACTTTATCTTGTTCATCATTGTATTTCTTATTCCTATTACACTGTGTGATATGTAGCAGGTGCAAAAAATGTGTATTGAAGGAATACAAATATGGTTTCTGACCCCAGCGATCTCACAGGATAGTGTATGAGACAGTTCTGTGAACTGTTATAATGTGAAGTGATAAATGCAGTAATAGAAGAGCTATGATAGCATGGAGGTAAGAAGTCTTCAAGTCTGGTGTTACCTACACCAGGGAAAAGTGTCAAAAAAACAAAGCACCCATATTTGAATATAATAAGAGCTACTTATTTTGTCCATCAGAAGTTTTTATTAAACTTGCTGGTATAAGGTGGGCTACTTTGGAAGTCATATAAAAAGACTTATAGTTCCTGCCATGACTTAATAAATTATATGTTCAAACATTTTCAATATATGCACAGAATAACACGAGATATATAGAATCTACATTGCACACAAGAAAAAGGTCAATGGGCTTACAGCTGGGGTCTAGTGAATGAAATTCCAGAGAGTTATAGACTGGAATATGTGTTTATTCTGAAAAGGCACATTGTGGCTTTATAAATCAAAGTGAGAACTCATCAGAAATTGCACAGTGAAGGATAAGGAGTGGGTGAAGATGAAAGTGCAAGATGCACCTACTCCCTGTTTTCAACTGTGCACTATAAATAAACGTCCTCCCCAAATCACCAGTGACCAACAACTGTCTTCCTTCTTCTGACTACTTCACTCAGTCCCTTTCACACATGGCCCTGTGAGAGCTTATGGATTTATAATTTGATCAAGGTTAGAAACGCATTGTCACTCCTAACTAGGTATTGCAGAGAGATATTTAGAAGTGTTGTTTATAGGAAAGAGATTGCAAAATATTTTAAAGAGCTGTGCGTCTCAGTGTTCATTAGTACCAATTTGTTGGCTTCCCATTGGCACCCCTCTGCAGCCTTCTTCTACTGAGTCAGTTACTCCTCTCTATTCTTTGTCTTCCAAAAAATGTATTAAAATCTCTAACTTGCTGAGGTCTCTTCTATTTTTATCTTCCAAAAATACACTGAAATCTTTAATTTGCTGAGATCTCCTCTTGCACTATCTTTTTTTCCTTATGGATTAATGCCCCTTTTCTGGTATTTTAGCAGGGTTTGGGGAAGCAGAAGGCTAAAGTGTGTGTGATCAGTCTGACATTTTTAAAACCAGAAATCTACAACCTTATTCATCATAAGTAAAAATTGGGGACAACGTACATTTGCAAAGACAAGGAAGTTGTTAAATAAGTCAGGTGTATGCCCAGGCTGAAATTACATGTGGGAACTAAAAATATGGCTTTGAAGATTATTTAATGACAAGGTGAAATGCTCAGAATAGAAATTAAGGACAAAAAGTCAGATTGTAGAATTCTCTTTACAGGCTGACCCTAATTCTCTCATTCACATATCAAAATGATAATAGTTGCTAGTACATTTGGATGGTGAGATTATAGCAAATTTATCTTATTTCATTATTTTTTCAATTTAAGATACCAGCTTATTTTGTGTATTGCTTTTATAATTGAAATAATAATACAAAATTCTATGTAAGTCTTTTTTTCATCTAATGTTTTAAAGAGCAAATCCCTCAAATCTTACCAATAGATGCTTTTATCTGTAGGTGACTAAAGCAATCAAAATTTGATTATTTTACTATTCAATTTCCAGATTAATTGATAACATTTTTTAAAGATCCCAAACTCCCAAATTTTAGATGATTAAAAGACTCCAAAGATACCATTTCTTTTGGAACATTTTGCTGTCCCCCACTACTTTCCAGATAATAAGAGAAGATGGTAGGGTTATGGAGATAAAGAAAGGTCTTTATGATTTAGCATTGCTAGCACAAATACACTTTTTCAGCACTCCACCCTTAAGCATTCAGCTATGCACAACTGGGTATGAAAAGCATTCACATTTCATCTATATTAAATGTTGTAAATTACATTCTCAAAAGTCCCTGAGGTGTACCTACCAGTCACACTAATAACTTTCAAACAGCATGACCAAAGCAGGAAGTAGCATCCTTAGATAAGACAGGAGGTTCTGCTTAGAGCCTCACCATGGGACATTTCATTTATTTTGAATGTGTGTGCAATGATTTGTTCATTTCTAGTTTTTCAGATTGCAAGCAAGCCTTCTAGATTATAGAGGTGAGAGTACTAACATTTTCTTCTAGGTTGTTAAGTTTCTTAGCTCAAGTGAGAGGGTACATCTGTAGTCAATTATCTTAAATGTTATGATTGTTCCCTTTTTCAAAGTCTATTGCCCTTGAATAAAAATCCAAGCTCCCTGTTATATTCTTCAAGGTTCTGTATTGCTGACTCTAAAGGTAATGTTAAAGGAATGAACAGGGTGCACAAGGGTCTTGGTGGAATGGTCAGAAATGGCTGCTATAAATGTGAAAGATGAGCACAGTGTGCACGAGAGCACAGGGACTCTTGGCTGTGTGTGGTATGGTGGGGTGGAGTGGGGTGGAGCTTGGCTTTTTCAAGGGATGTAAAGAAAGCCTATGTGACTGTAGCACATGGGGCAAGATGGAAAATCATGCAATATGGGACTGGGGAAGCTGTGGTTTTCAACAATGCTGGTCTTGAGTAACCCAGATCTCTGACTTGGGCATTATTTTCTCCTCCTTAAAGTTTCGATCCAATGTCCTGTGTTCCTAACAGCCAACATGATGTGTCTTCTACCCCAGCATCGTGCCTTTCATTGGACCCTGGAGCCAGGTGAGCAGGAGACACTGAAATGGGCTCCAATCCTAGGACAGAAGCTCTCTACAACAACCTTCTCTGCTAGCCAAATATGGCCTTTGAGTCAGAGTTATTTCTTATAGGACTGCAAGAACACATTGCCCTAGATTTAGACAAGAGAGAAATTTAGAGGTTATCAGAAGGTAACTTAAGACTCATTCCAATACCTTTTAATCCAATTGGTAAGAAATTCGTGTACTTCACAAAACACAGGGTAAATGAGTGTGAGGCATGGGGAAAGAAAAAAATTAATGTCTGTCTTATCTACTTCCATTAGGAAAAACACAGTGTCTAGTATGGCCCATCACCATATCTGTGGAGCCTAGCAGAGTGCCTGGCATATGGCAGGTTTTATAATAATGTGTGTGATGCCAATAAATAAATGGCTTCTTTCAGGGCTGGGGCAGGGAAGGTCCAAGATGAGCCTGGACCATTCTGTTATACCAGAAAGTAAGGAAGTAATCAAAACATTTATGGACATATTGAAAGGATACACAAGCCAGCTTGAAGAGGTTTTCACTGGCCAAATACAGAAGGATTTTAACCATGGATGTAAATAAGGGCATAACTCATTAAAGAAAATAGAAATCTGTGAGTCTATACTGAAAATAATTAGATAGTAAATAAAAATGGGAAAGAAGAGGGCCCTTCCTTACAGGTTAATTTAGACAGATAAATATGGATGGGATAGTGAAGTTGAAAATTAACCATTTTACAATTATTATAGTAAAGATTGATTCAGGCAAGAATCATCAATGGATGCTAAATCTGTGGAGAAGAGTGTGATGAAGAGCAGGATATTTATATGTTCTTAATATGACTACTCCCAGATAGCTTACTAGTTGCAGTGATACATGGCATAACTTAGAATAAATGCAATCTATATACAACATGTGATCTTAGACTGGATTCTGCACTGAAAGTAAAAGCAAATATCATAAAGGACTTTAGTAGAACAATGAACAAAGTTGGAATATAGACTGCTTTGTTAAAAGGTATATATCATTGTTAAATCTCCACAGTTACATAAATGAATAGCCTTATTCTTAGGAAATACACACTGAAATATTAAGGAATAAAAGGGCATGACATATGCAACCTATTCAAAAGAAGTTCAGGAAGGAAATATTATACATAACACACATACACAGAGAAAAGAAAAGGTACAACAAATATTGCAAATGTTAGTGTGTATCTGTGCAAAGGGTGTATGTTCAGTATAATTTTTGTAACTTTTCTGTGAGTTTGAAAGTATTTCAAAATACAGAGTTAAAGAACTAACATGACAAGTACATAAAACAAAACAAAATAAGGTCAGGGAAGGTACAAACTGAGCACTAGTGCTAGTCAAATAATGAGAGGAATTTTGACCAGTGGAAATTAGAGGGCGAAGAAGTCTTTCAGTCGGGGGGAAAATAAATGCAGACAAAAACTGTAGGAACTGAGCTACCAAAGAGGGAAAGCAAAGGCATAAGGGAGAGCAAAGGGTCCTGTTCAACTAAACTGCATAAATTTAGAAAGATAAATCGGCCGGTCACAGAGGCTCATGCCTGTAATCCCAGCACTTTAGGAGGCTGAGGCGGGCGGATCACGAGGTCAAGAGATCGAGACCATCCTGGCCAACATGGTGAAACCCCATCTCTACTAAAAATACAAAAATTAGCTGGGCGCAGTGTCATGTGCCTATAGTTCCAGCTACTGCGGAGGCTGAGGTAGGAGAATCACTTGAACCCTGAAGGCGAGGTTGCAGTGAGCCAAGATCGTGCCACTGCACTCCAGCCTGGCAACAGAGCAAGACTCCATCTCAAAAAAAAAAAAAAAAAGATAAATCAACAGTTGTGATTTGGAGATATGTTGTGAGAGGCTATCTTGAACGTCCAAGGGCAGATTATCAACGCGTGCAAATTCAAACCACCACCTAGGTTGAGCATCCCTAATCCAAAAATCTAAAATCTGAAATCCTCCAAAATCCAAAACTTTTTGAACACTGACTCGATGCCACAAGTGAAAAATTTCACACATGACCTCATGTGATGAGTCACAGACAAAATGCAGTCAAAATTTTGTTTCATGCACAAAATTATTAAAAATATTGTATAGACTGGCCGCAGTGGCTCACGCCTGTAATCCCAGCACTTTGGGAGGCCAAGGCAGGTGGATCCCTTGAGCTCAGGAGTTCGAGACCTGCCTGGGTAACTTGGCAAAACCCCATCTCTACAAAAAAAAAAAAAAAAAAAAAAAATGTCAGGTGCAGTGGCTCACACTTGTAATCCCAGCACTTTGGGAGGCCGAGGCAGGTGGGTCATGAGGTCAGGAGTTCAAGACCAGCCTGACCAATCTGACCAATATGGTGAAACCCCATCTCTACTAAAAATACAAAAATTAGCCAGGCATGGTGGCAGGTGCCTGTAATCCCAGCTACTCGGGAGGCTGAGACAGGAGAATCGCTTGAACCGGGGCGGCAGAGGTTGTAGTGAGCTGAGATTGTGCCACTGCACTCCAGCCTGGGTGACAGAGTGAGACTCTGTCTCAAAAAAAAAAAAAAGAAAAAAAGTATAAAATTACCTTCAGGCTATGTGTATCCGGTATATATATATGAAATTTAAATGAATTTTATGTTTAAACTGATATTCCATCCCCACAATATCTCATTATGTATATGCAATATTCCAAAATTTAAAAAACCCAAAATTTGAAATGCTTCTGGTCCCAATCATTTTAGATAATGGATACTCAGACTGTACTATAAATAATACATCCAGTCTTAATAAGCGATAACATACCATAAGGGTCGAGAGAAAATTTTTTTAAAGTGTGATTTTAGAGAAGAAAATATTATTTCTAGCTCTTTCTAAATCTAAGCAAAAACCAACCAAACAGAAACCCCAAATATGCTGCTCATATATTTACTTATAAAACTAAAACTCAAATATGCTACTCAGAAAAAAAAGGGACAAGTTATTACAGTGAACTTTGGACTCAATTCAAATTCCTTCAGAATTTTTATTTTATACTCCTATTTGTTAAATTGCTGTAAAATTATTTGAAAGAAGGTCTCATTTTCTAATCATTGGCAGCTCTTTCTTTCCTCAAGGTACTTCAGCGTACTCGATCAATCCTTCATTCAGCATTCAAATGAAAAACTGATTCTCATCTCAAAGCTCCCCTCTTTAGCTGGGAGCTACTTTGCTGCATGCAACATGCCCTGGACAGCCAGCTGCTTCAGCTGGCCCTTGTGGGAGCCATCAATTGACCCAGAGAGAGTGTTTCACAAGATCAAAGGCAGATGTAAGGTCAAGGAGGCTAAGGCTGGCACAGAGGCCAGGAGGCTTAGCCCCCGAGGAGGAGGTAATTGGTAGCTCTGTATTTCAATGGAGTGAAGTGGGTAAAAGCCAGATTAGAGAAGGTCAAAGAGAGAATTGAAGGAAAGAAACTTAAGGGCACAGATGCAAACTATTGGGCAAGAAGAATTGCTTAACCAAAAGAACAAGGTTAAGAGGAGAAGTAATCAAAGCCGAAGGAGGCAACAGGGGATGATACCGCACTCTCCCGGGACATAGTTCAGAGTCAGGGCGAGATGAGAGAAAGGAGAATGGCATTACAACCACATGAGGGGGCTGAAAATAAAGGTTATAGAAAAAGCTACCAGTTATGAGACAGAGTTGGGAAAATTGGACCCAGAGAAATTAGATCCTATAGAGTGTAATAAGAAGGGCATTTAAATCCATATGTCAGAGTGGTTAATGGATTAGAAGCTGTGAAAAATACATGTGGGACAAGGATAAAAGAGGAAAGAGTGTTACTAAAGAAAAAGGAACAGAGAGACTTTCAGGAAGAAATATTTTATGTTAAAAGCTGTCACTAAGCCAAAAAAAAAAAAAAAAAAAAAAAAAAGCCCAGTACAACGTTCCTTTATAGGCGCCTATAAGATTTTTTATTAAAGAAATATTTGCTTTATAAAAAGTCTATGTTTAATATACATGTAAAATGTAAAGCATAATAATAAACTACTCATGAACCTATCACCCTACTTAACAAGCAGAACTTTACCAAACACATGCAAAATGGAAGCCACTTCCCCTGACTCCATGCACAGCAATAATATGCATTTATGCATTTGTGCTTATCCTTTCCTAAGATAATTTTTCCACATATGTATATATTCCTAACATTATATTGTTTAGTTTTCCCTCTATTTGACCTTTCTAATTATGGTAGAACAGTACCACTATACTCAGTTTTATATGCTTTTTTGCACCAACGTTTATGTTTTGTATTTGTCAAGACTCTCCACAGAGACAGAGTCAATAGGAGAAAGAGAGAGGGACCAAGAGAAAGAGAGCAAGATAAATTTTAAGGAATTGACTCATGCAACTGTGAGGACTGGCAAGTCTAAAATGTCTAGGCCAGGCCAGCAGGCTGGAAATGAAGACTCAGGCAGGGTTGGATTTCTTTTTTCCTCTTTTTTATTTGTTTTAAATTAACAAATATTGTATATATTCATGGTATACAACACAGTGTTTGGAAAAATGTGTACATTGTGAAATGGCTAAATTGAGTTAATATATATATATCACCACACATACTTATTTGTAATGAGAAAGCTCAAAATCTACTTGCTCAGCAATTTTCACATATTGTTATGAACTTATAGTCACCATGTTGTACAATAGGTCTCATGAAGTTATTCCTCCTGTCTAACTGAAATTTTGTGTTCTTCAACCAACATCCACACAATTCACTGCCCCCACCACCAGGCACTAGTAACTACCATTCCACCCTGCTTCTATGTATTTGACTTTTTAAAATTCCATATATAAGTGAGATCATGTGATATTTGTCTTTCTGTGCCTGGCTTATTTCTCTCAAGCCAATGTTCTCCAGTTTCATCAATGTTGTCACAAATGACAAGATTTCCTTCTTTTTTAAGGCTGACTAGTATTCTATTGTGTTCATATACCACATTTTCTTTATTCATTCATCCGTTGATGGATAATTAGGTTGATTCAATATCTAAGCTATTTTGAATAATGGGGCAATGAACATGGGAGTGAAGATAATCTCTTTGATATACTGATTTCATCTCCTTTGGATGCATACCCATTAGTGGGATTGCTGGATTATATGGTAGCTCTATTTTCAATTTTTTGAGAAATCTCCAAACTGCTTTAATGGCCACACTCATTTACCTTCCCACCAACAGTATACAGGTTTCCCTTTTCTCTACATCCTCACCAACACCTTTTTTCTTTCATCTTTTTGATAACAGCTATTCTAACAAGTGTAAGGTTATATCTCGTTGTGGTTTTAATTTGCATTTCCCTGATGATTACAGATACCACTGAATATTTTTCATATACCTATTGGCCATTCATGTGTCTTTTTTTGAGGAATTTTTATCCAGGTATTTTGCCCATTTAAAAAAATCACATTATCTGACTTCATGCTATTTAGTTGTTTGTGCTCCTTATGTATTTTGGATATTAACCCCTTATTTAATGCATACTTTGCAAATATTTCTCCCATTGCAGAGGTTGTCTCTTTACTCTGGTGAATGTTTCCTTTGTAGTTCAGGAGATTTTTTTAGCTTGATATAATCTCATTTGTCTAGTTTTACTTTTGTTGTTTGTGCTTTTGGAGTCATATTCAGGCAGGATTTCTATGTTGCAGTCTTTAGGAAGAATTTCTTCTTTTGTGAGAAACCTCAATCTTTGCTCTTAAGAGCATCGACTGATTAAATGAGGCCCACCCACATTATGGAGTTGGGGGACTCTGCTTTACATAGTGTCTACTGATTGTAAATGTTAATCTCATATAAAAATAGCTTCACAGAAATATCTAGACTAAGTTTTGACCAAAGATCTGGGCTTTATAGCTTAGCCATGATGACACACAAAATGAACCACCCCATGTTTCTAAGAGTGACCCTTATTGTTGTATGCAGCGCTAGTTTATTTTAGAACACTCACCATTCCATTATTTTAGCATTCTCTTCTCAGTTGACACTCAGATGTTTTCATTTATCAGGTGTTGTGGACCAAGCTGCAATAAATATTCTTGTACATGTCCCTTGTGCACATATGCAAGAGTTCATAGGCTATGTTAGAATTGCTAGTTCATCGGCTATGTTAATTAAACTTTAAAAGAGTGTAGGCTGGGTATGGTGGCTCACGCCTGTAACCCCAGCACTTTGGTAGGCCGATGTGGGCAGATTGCCTTAGCTCAGGAGTTTGACACCAACCTGACCAGCCTGGGCAATACGGTGAAACCCCGTCTCTACTAAAAATAGAAAAAATTAGCCAGGGGTGGTGACGTGCACCTGTTAGTCCCAGCTACTCAGGAGGCTGAGGCAGGAGAATCGCTTGAACCCGGGAGGTGGAGGTTGCAGTGAGCCAAGATCGCCACTGCACACCAGTCTGGGAGAAAGAGAGAGACTCTGTCTCAAAAAAAAAAAAAGTAAAAACTGTTTGCTAAGTGATTGTATCAACTTCTTTCAAAATATTTTAATAAATAGAGTTGTAGTTTTCAATTTTTGAGTTCCAAAAATAGGTTTAGGTACATGAAAAGAGTTCATTTATTTTGACAATTTGACCCTTCTCTACTTTTTCACTCCCTTTGCACTTTTATATTTACCCCAGGTGATTTAGAAGCAGGAATCAGAAGTGAGGCAAGATTTTTAAGGAGCTTTTCGTAAAGACATTGTAAGCTACTCCTTCATGCAGCAAATATTTATTGAGCATCTGCTATGTACCTAGCACTGTGCTAGGCATTAGATAGGGTATATAATGATTTATCACAACTCATACCTGCCTTCAGAACTAAGCAGACAGAAGTGTAAATAGGTAAATAATTACTAACAGTGTAAAGTAAGTATAGGATTCCATGTTTGCACACAGGAGGGGTACCTATTTATAACCTTGAGGATTGAAAGGCATTCCATAAGATAATTTAACCACTTATTCTAACTATAATATATAAGCATGGTTAGATATGGGTAGGTATATGCATAAGTAGATGTGTGGCATTACATCTAATCAATATTTGAATTGTTATGTGGTATCTATTGGAGTTTGTACTAAGTCTACCTCCCTGGAGTTGTACACTATAGAACTTCTCACATGTACACAGATGGTTAATTTTATGTGTCAACTTGATTGGGCTAAGAGATGCCCAGATAGTAAAACGTAATGTCTGTGGTATGTCCATAAGTATGTTTTCAGAAGAAAGCATTTGTATCAGTAGACTGAGTAAAGATTGCCCCTACCAATGTGGATGGGCATAATCCAATCCACTGAGGGCCTAAACAGAATAAAAAGGAAGAATAAGAGTGCATTTTCTCTCTCTGTTTAAGCTAATTGGACTGGGACTTGGCACCATCATCCCCAGACTTGGACTGAATTACATCACCAGCTTTGCTAGTTCTCCAGATGGCAAGTTATGGGGTGCTCAGCCACCATAATCGTGTGAGAGAATTCTTGCAATACATTCCCGTGTGTGTGTGTGTGTGTGTGTGTGTGTATGTGTGTGGGTGTGTCTGTGTATCTCCTATTGGTTCTATTCTCTGGAGAACCATGACTAATGCAAGAGAAGTTCAGTAGAACAGTTTTTCAGCTATCTGCAGCAAGAAAGCACCATCCTTAAACTGGGAGTTGGGACCCCAAATCCTTTAGGTCATGTCAAAGCCATCTCTGAACTCACCTTATGGACAATTGGCTTTATTTCTTTCAGCATTATACCAAAGTAGCTTGAGAAGTGAAATTTTCTTAATCCTGACATGAGCCTAACTTGAACCGAGAGTCTAGAAAGAATGTGGAGAGACATTTCTTCGTTCCCTCCCAGTGATGACGCAAGGTAAAGCCCTCATGGACTAAACCCTTTTCATCTGCTTGAAGTTGTGGGATGTCATTCACATAAATTTACCAGATGATACAGGTTATTTGTAAACAATACATTTCTTAGAATAGTAAGCATTTATTTTTAAGATAGTAGCTGGTTTTTAGCCTATTGTTTCTCTGCTGCATATTTGTTAACAAGTATTTGTATTAAGAATGTAAGATCTTTCCTTTGCATAATTCATTTTCTGTAACTACTCTTCATAATCAGGTCTTTGCAGTCTGTAATAAGTGTCTTTATGGGAATGCATGACTATAAAAATAGGCTAAAATCCAATACACAGAAACAGTGAGCTTCAGACCAGCTACCAGGAAGATTTATTTTAGCAATATCACTCTATGTGAGGCTGCTGTCTGGTACTTTTTATCCGGCTTACAACATTTTATCTCCTTATGTTGGCCAGAGTTAGTCCTAAGAGTAGGATTCATCTTTAGGAAACCTTAAGTGTCAATAAGCTATACTGGTCTTGTAGAAGACTCCAGCCCCATCTATTCTGAAGAGTATGCCACTTCATTCCAGTAATCTAACAGTTTCTTTAGTTTCTACACTTCATCTGTCCCTGCTGTCAATTTGTCTGTCTTCCTTCTCCTAGTCACACTAGGTATCATAGTACTTACAACGGTACTATAGAAGGCAGGGAGTAGGGAGGGCACAGAGCTGAAAGCAGGCCATTAAATGAAACTCCACCAATATTTAGAATCATCAGTGATCTCCCACTGTCCCACTGCCAGGAGTATGATGTGTATTCACAAAGTTCCCTCGCCTCCAGCAGGGAATTAGATAATTTTTGGAGAAATATAACACTTCTAGAGTTGGGATCCCCAGATTGTAACATTTGCTCTCTCACCAAGCCTTGTTTACTTCAGAGCTAAACATCTTCCAAATTCGCTCATCGGTGGACAAATCATGGCCATGCATGCCACACTTCCACTGATAGACGAGTCAGAATCATGAACACTGAGCTTCCAATCAGCAGCTTTGGAATTGCCAGCCTTAAATGTGAATGTACAGCCAAAGAACACTGTATATTTCAGCAAGTCATCCACCATTAAAGGAAAAAACAAACAAACAAACAAATAAAAAAGGACCCATAAAAAACAGAGATGATGAAGAAGAAAACAAAAATCTATATTTAATATCTTCAGAGCAATAAAAGATACTACATCTATAAAACAAACACAGGTGCTATAAAAAGAAATAATCAAGGGATTAGAAAGAGCCCTTAAGAATGAGAAATATGGTAGTAACATAAACAATTCAATAAAAGGATTGGAGGATGAAGTTGAGGAACTCTGAGAAAATAGAACAAAAACAGAATACGGAGGAAAGAGAAGGATATTAGAGCAATCTAAAAAGTTCAACATCAGGTTAATAAGAGAGAAATCAAAAACAAAGATGAGGAAATTATAAAAGAAATAAAGGTTTTTCCAGACATACAAATAGTGAAAGAAAAAAAGAGAAGGATCTCCCTTGTTCCTCTTTTTGGGAAGCTGCTGGAAGTTGTGCTTAAGCAAACTAGGGAGTAAACAAAGATAAAGACCAAGAAAAATGGATATTCATGTAACACAAGAGAAGGAAGAAAGGGAAGTCCTAGGAAGTTCTTGGGAGGGAGGACTGACTATATGATCTATTTAAACATCCGCAAACATTAGGAAAATATTAGAGATAATTACATAGAAATAACAACTATTAACTTAAAACATTGTACTGGAAAGGAAATCATGTAATCACAGCACAGTTCTTGGATTAATGCAATATTTACACAGCTATAATGATATTAAATGAAGGTTGTGATATAACAAAATTGGGAGCAGGAAAGGACAGAAAGTAAAGATGAGTGGGGTTGATGATGAGGGGAGAGTGGATATCTTGGCCCCAATAATAATATCAAGATAGTGGGTCTAAAACTGGCAAAACAAAAAGCAGCAAGGTAAGCATATTATTTAAAAATATGGAGTTACATATTAGAAGAAACATCAAAGAGTGGAGGGAGGTGGAATCTGATGAATGGGCTTATGGGAATGGGGAACCTTGAGTCAGGGCTGCTATGTTCACTAGAGGCTTATGCTGTATTGTAAGCCTTATAACCTATTTTATGTTTCAAACATGCACATGTGTTCCATTCATAGAAATAAAAATTAATGTAATTCTTATATATAAATTGCTGAGCATAGCTCTGATTTTTTCCCTTAGGATTAATTACTGGAAATGGAATTACTGGGTCAAAGGATTTGATCATTTTTGCAGCCATTTATGTGTATATATAACTCAGTTTTCTCCAAAGCTCACTGGTGGTACAGAGAATGCCCATTTCCTCACATCCCCATCAATATGGGGTATCCACTTTTAAAAAGTCTTTGCCTGTTTGGGCAACCTACAGAATGGGAGAAAATTTTTGCAATCTACACATCTGACAAAGGGCTAATATCCAGAATCTACAAAGAACTTAAACAAATTTACAAGAAAAAAATCAAACAACCCCATCAAAAAGTGGGCAAAGGATATGAATAGACAATTCTCAAAAGAAGACATTCATGCAGCCAACAGACACATGAAAAAATGCTCATCATCACTGGCCACCAGAGAAATGCAAATCAAAACCACAATGAGATACCATCTCACACCAGTTAGAATGGCAATCATTAAAAAGTCAGGAAACAACAGGTGCTGGAGAGGATGTGGAGAAATAGGAACACTTTTACACTGTTGGTGGGACTGTAAACTAGTTCAACCATTGTGGAAGACAGTGTGGAGATTCCTCAGGGATCTAGAACTAGAAACACCATTTGACCCAGCCATCCCATTACTGGGTATATACCAAAGGATTATAAATCATGCTGCTATAAAGACACATGCACACGTATGTTTATTGTGGCACTATTCACAATAGCAAAGACTTGGAACCAACCCAAATGTCCATCAGTGATAGACTGGATTAAGAAAATGTGGCACTTATACACCATGGAATACTATGCAGCCATAAAAAATGATGAGTTCATGTCCTTTGTAGGGACATGGATGAAGCTGGAAACCATCATTCTCAGCAAACTATCGCAAGGACGGAAGACCAAACACTGCATGCTCTCACTCATAGGTGGGAATTGAACAATGAGAACACTTGGAAACAGGGCGGGGAACATCACACACTGAGGCCTGTCATGGGGTGGGGAGATAGGGGAAGGGGGATAGATAGCATTAGGAGAAATACCTAATGTAAATGATGAGTGAATGGGTGCAGCAAACCAACATGTCACATGTATACATATGTAACAAACCTGCGTGTTGTGCACATGTACCCTAGAACTTAAAGTATAATTAAAAAAAAAAAAGTCTTTGCCTGTTTGATGAGTAAAAACTGTTTTTTCAATTAGTTTAAAACATATTCAACTCCTCCATATTCTGCACTGCCCTGGTTAACAGGTTTCAGATCATTATATATATACACATATAAAAAATACTTATTTTAATATAAATGAAATCTTACAGCCCATGTCGTTTTGCAAATTGCTTTCTACACTTAAGAATATGTCTTGGGATTGTAGCCACCCAGGGCTGAAGCTGGCATTTTCCCAGAGCCTGTTAATAATTTTGATTTGGGTTTTAAGTACCTGTAGATTTTTCTTTACTAGATGTGTTGATCCAAAAGCAGCATGTTTCACTTAAAAGTGCATTACTAAACCCAATAAAAAGTTCCAGCAGACTTAGTGATAGCAAAACTTTCATGCTTCCTTTTTGTTAGTGACTATTATCCCTGCTATAAGGATAATAATTAAGCAAAATATACAGCAATGAACACTCTGTGTCCAATATTTCAGTTAGAAGGTGCTACCGTGTATAACCCTATTGCAAATAGCAGAGTGAGAATAGCGATTCCCACAAGTGTGGTATAGTAGATAATTTCCATCTAAAATTTTACTTGCTAAGATATAAAATTTCCCTTTGGGGGTCTATGAAGTTTCTTGGTTTTATTTTCCCAAACAAATTTCTGGGTTATGGGCATCCTACTTACTTTCATTACCTGACATAATTTGCAGGTTAATTGCCCAGAACTAGCATATTGATTTAAAGTTTTGCGTCACCCATCCCCTTTTCTTTTGTCCAAGCTGCAGGAGATCACCGCTTGATTCACAGAGATAAGCAGGGTTGGTCTAAAATGTAGGCGAAAAGCCTGAAAACAATTCGTGAAACTAGGAATTAATGACAAATATATGATAAGCTTTGGAGCAAAATTCTTCTCTCCAGTTTTCATTTTTGGTTAAAAACTAATTATGAATAAACTTTATACTTGGCCTGATTATTTGCATAAAGTGCAGCAAGAATGGTTATTTCTATATAGGCTTCTCAAAACAAAACAAAACAAAAAGTCTTTGATGTCTCCTGGCCAAGTATTGCCATTATGCATTTTAAACAATGTGTTGTGGTCAACCCACAGAGGTGGGGTGGACCCCTAACTCAAATTTGGTTGAGATGAAATCATACATGCACCAAGAATGTGCAAAGGTTTATTACTCATAGAATGAGACTCTCTGTGGAGAGCAAGGAAAGCTCCAAAGCTGGTCTGAAAACAGCTTGAGAAGGCAGAGAAAGGAGATTTTTATAGTGATTAGTGAGGTGTGGCCAGGGTGAGGGTTCTGTGCATGGACAGTGGCTTCTGTTATTTGGACTTGTTTTTGATGCCAAAAGGGAGACCACCTGGGCTGTCTTAAGAGCGTGCTCAGATGTGGGGCAGAGAGGAAGGAGGACTAGTAGGGCTTAAAAGCTGTCGGCATTCAATCCTCAAAAATGGAGTCTGACTCTTCATTAACAGTGTTTGCTATTCCTTGAGTGCTTAGTTACACGGATCCTCTTTATTTTTGGAAAATATTCCTTACAATTTAGAAAGACTGGACAGAGCAGAGTGACATACTAAGGCAGTGAATGTGTGTTTCTTGTTGGTTTAGTAACCTCCCATGCATGATGGCTGTGCTCCTGATGGCAAATAAATGGCAGTGACAAGCCACCGTCAAGCCGGCACACACAGCAGCATCCAGCACCATCCAGAGTCTCCATCTGGAGAGGCCGATGCCCTCTCGCTCTTCTGGCTCTGGTCTCATTTTATTGCTTTGTGCAAACCAACCCACCTCATTCTTGAGAGTCCGCATTGCCAGCCTGGTTGTGCCCTAGTTTTTGAATGTGACCTTGTGTTGCTTCAGGCCTGCCTCCCATATGCCTCTGAAGGGCTTTCTCTGTCTCTTTTCTAAAAGTGAGTTATATTCTGCTTTGGTCCCAGGAGGAGCACTCATCTTTGGTCTTCTCCCCTCAGTGCTCTGTAGGCACAGAGATTAAAGGTGGAAGGAGGCCTAATATTTTTCTAATCTCAGAACCACAGGATCGACTATTGCCTGCTCAGCAAGTGTGAAGGGCTAAGCGAGGGTAACCAGAAGGCATGCTGACTGAGGTCTAATCACTGATTTTTGGGTAAAAGCTTAAAAACGGTCTGTTGATAGTACATAATAGCCAGAACAATTATTCTCTCCCTTATAAAGAATTCTAATTAATGTGGAAATGTAAAAGAAAAGCCTAGGCTTAGAACAGAAGGTCTAAGGCAACAAGACCTCAGTTCTCCCAGCAGCATTTAGAGCACTAGTAAGTGTTTAGGCCCAATTTCACATTTCAGATCAAGCAGATTAAAGCACGTAGTTTTTTCCACCTGGCATAATCCTAGCCTATGGAAGCCACAGTTAATTATTTCCCTGAACCCAGAGGGTGTTCCACAAAAGAATCTCTTTTATCCTGGCAAACTGAAGTCATATTGTGGCCAGCATTTTCAAAGCTGGCAGACCAAGGTTTGGCCTGCTCTGGGTGAAAATGTCTTTGTTTATTATTATTAATTAATTAATTAATTTATTTATTTATTGCTGTTGCAAGATTTAATAGAGTGAAAACAGAGCTCCCATACAAGGGAGGGGATCCAAAGAAGGTGGCCATTGCCAGCTTGAATGCCTGGGTGTATATCCCGATCATTGTCCCTCGTGCGGTGCTCTCAGGCAATAGATGATTGGCTATTTCTTTACCTCCTGTTTTTGCCTAATTAGCATTTTAGTGAGCTCTCTTTCCTACCTGATTGGTCGGGTCTGAGCTAAGTTGCAAGCATGACAAGCGCTATTGTTCCCTCAGCCTCTAGCACTTTCTGGGCCACGTTTTGTCTTTGCATCATGAATCTCTCAATTGCATTTGTGCCTTTTGTACTTCTGGGTGACTTTGCACTTGGAAGAGCTTGTGGGTACGTGGAGGTAAAGGAGGGAGAGGTTCACGATTGTACATGTTGAGGATACATCAGGCAAAGGTTCACAGTGGGTCTTCTCTGGCTATGTTTGGTCAAGCATTTTGGAAATCTGAATTGCTAACAAACTGAGGGGTAAGGATTTGGACACTCACTAATGACAAAATTGGGGAGTCCCTCAGGATACAAAAAATTATAACCCTAAGCAAACCAAGAAGTGAATATTGGGCATCTGCTCTACCCAGGATGCTGTGACAGTTATTAGGGGACATTCAAAGCAAAGCTGATAAAATAGCAGATAGTGTTTCTCAAGGAAGGCTTATAAGGCAGAGCTTCTGCCATTGACTTTCTGTTATCAAACCACAGGCACCAATTTTGTCATCCATAAATGATGTACATTTGCTCAGTTACTTCTCCTTTAGGTAAGTATTTGGAGACAGGTATGAATCTACTAATTATTACAGTTTCTTCTGGGAGATCTAAAGTCATAAATACCATCGAATAAGATAAGGTATATCAATCATAGCATGGTGGTGAGAACACAGTGCTCACATAACTGTTGTTATCGTCTACTTAAAGGTATATGTGGTATCCTTTGTCCTTCACCCATTTACATTTTCCTTTTCCACCCATTTCTCTCTTGCCTTCCCTTCCTCTGACCTTGATATTTTTGGCCATCTTTCTACAGAGATGCTGTCTCTCTTCCATGGGGCTCTAAGCTTGTGACAGTAGGGTTTGTGTTTCTGTGTTCTTTCTACTCTTATTGATTTATGCAGCATAGGGGCTTGCTGTGGATTGACTTAAACACACCAGAAAGTGTCTTGTAACTATAACGTCTTCTTATCCCAAGAGGGCGTTACCTCTCAATGGGAATTGCCCACCCCATTATATATTTACTCAGTTTAAAGCAGAGCAGGACCTGCTTAGCTTAGAACCCCTAAGTGCCACCATAATCACCTTGTCCAGCACAGCACACACAAGGTTTGAAGGTGGGGTAAAGGGGAGGGAGGCATAAGTGTTGCCAGATGCTCAGATGCTCACTGTATGTCTTCTCCTGTACTTCGTGGACTTCAGAACTTACTACAACATTCTTGAGGAAGCTTTGTAGCAAAATGATGGGATGATGACGACTTGTTTGGGAGCTTTTCTGCTGCTGTCTGAACTCAGGGAAGCTTTTCTAAAACGGACTTTCTGGCTAAAGGATCAACCACCTTTTGGCCATACATGCCCAGAGAAAACCTTAGGCAAGAGTATTTAAGATAGACACAGAAGTTTTCTTGCCTTTTCTGAGTGAGAAGGGGTTAAAAAAGGAAAACACTCAATGGAGATAAAATTCTTCTCCAGAGATGGTAACACTGGTCATTGGTCATTCATGGTTTCTAGTGTGTGTGTATTAGTCATCTGCTCCAATGCTCTTCATCAGAGCCTTGTCTCTTATTTCCCAGTCTATTATAAGCACTCACTTCTGCCCCTCCAAAGCTTGTTTCCTATCCAGACCTTCAGATTCCAGGTACTCACTATTGTTCTCAACCATGTCCAATGTCCCTTCTTGTCATTGCATTCTGTCAGTTACCTCCATCAAATATGATCTGTCCCCTGTCCCACCCATTTAGGCCCTGATTTCCAACTTGTTATTCATGCTGAAGGATTCCTTGGACAATTTCAGGTGATAGCCCCTGTTGTATAATACATGATTTCCATTTTAACAATATTCTCCTAGGAATGCAACGGTGTAAATTTAGAGAAAGACATACAATGGTGAGGTTTTCAGGCATAAAGCCAGACTAGAGGCAATGATCTGTTTGGGTGGAGAAGGAAACAAAGTTCTACTCTTTGGTATTGCATTTCTCACGCAGGAGCAAAGCTTCAGGCTTTACTTGTGACTCTCAATGACCCTTATTGACATGTGCATGACCCAAACTATCCCTGGCTTTGGTGTCAGGAAATTTGAGCTTCAGTTCCAGTCTACTGCCCTAGAACTGTGATTTTTAGGACAGTCTGGGTCTGAGTTTCTCATTTGTTAAATGAACGTAGAGAATAGAGAATCTGTAAAATTATTTTCAGCTATGATTCTATGACTTTCTGATACCAGGCTTTATAGCACTTGATGTAAACATGACAGTAGCAGATAATCAAATGGTACTTAGAAAGGAAGGTTGACTGAGTATGGAATACCACTGTGAATCTGGTGATCTTGCCTGCTCTGTGTTAAAGACAACTATGGAGGCAATACTTCCTTAAGCAGCTCTAATTTGTGTAGAACTTCTATTGCCGAAGTAGAAAAACTCAACCAACGCTTTCAATTAAGTTAAATGACTTCATGTTCTGTTAAGTTCAGGCTGGCTAGGAATTTCCTAACTTTAACTGACTTCATTACAATAATGGTTAGCATTAGGTTCACATAGGTGATGTCTACTTGATAGTATTTTCATAATTGTACAGCTATCATCAAATTATGTTGATTTATAGCTGGATGAAAAATGACAGTGAATAGCATAATTGTGAAATTTCACAAGGCACTGACATTTGTCTTTAAAGCAGAAAAATTCAGCAAGTACGACTACTGCAATGGAAGTGCAATTGTAAAGACTTCATGGAAAGTTCACGGATTCAAATGTAATTAAGCATGAATTAAACATGATGAGCTACAGGGCTGATTCTAGCACTGCTGAAGCTCCATTATGGAAATCCGCTTCAGAAATATGACCAGCTCTTTTTTAACATATGTCAGATGCCTAACATATGGTCTCCTAAGGCCTCCAGCATACCTTGGGTGATCCAGGGCAGTCAACGTCTGTTTGGCACTGTTGAAGGTCTAGTTTATTGAGCCAAGAAGCTAGGAAACATAATGGGAAATCAGCCCATGCTTGTCAGAATCTCACTTCTTCTCCTTTAGAACAAGTATTATAAATTCAAAGAAAAATTTGAGCCCTTGTAGTGCGGTGTTCTGACTTTTCACGCTGGTGCAACAAACAATAAATCATGAATGTAGGCTAATGCCTATTTACAATTAATTTTTCAAAGATAATAACAAACTAAAGGGACAAATTTTATAAGCCACAGCCACAAACAAAATCAATTGCTTGACAACTCTCTCTCTCTCTATATATATATATATATTTTTTTTGAGACAGAGTCTTGCTCTGTCACCAGGCTGGAGTGCAGTGGTGTGATCTCAGCTCACGGCAATCTCTGCCTCCTGGGTTCAAGCAATTCTCCTGCCTCAGCCTCCCGAGTAGCTGGGACCACAGGCAAGCACCACCATGCCCAGCTAATTTTTGTACCTTTAGTAGAGACGGGATTTCACCATTTGGCCAGAATGGTCTCGATCTCTTGACCTCGTGATCCGCCCACCTTGGCCTCCCAAAGTGCTGGGATTACAGTCGTGAGCCACTGCGCCCGGCCGACAACTCTATATCTTGTATATGTTGTGGGACACAGATAACCTCGAGAAGAGCTTCCTGTAATATTGTCTTTCATCTCCGACCTCCCTTGCATCCCAATCCTTCAACCTCAAAAGGAAAGAGCAAAAAGCTAGGAGACTGAAAGGCAGAAATTCAGGAACAAATCTTCCATTGATTGCTGTGGCAAAGTTGATCTGCTTCATTTGGTGTAGTTTTTCTGTATGTAAAATTAAGATAATTACATTACAGAGGCTGGGTACGGTGACTCACGCCTGTAATCCCACCACTTTGGGAGGCCGAGGTGCGTGGATTGCGAGGTCAGGAGTTCAAGACCAGCCTGGCCAAGATGGTGAAACCCCGTCTCTACTAAAAACATAAAAATTAGCCAGGCACGGTGGCTGGTGCCTGTAATCCCAGCTACTTGGGAGGCTGAGGCAGGAGAATTGCTTGAACCTGGGAAGCGGAGGTTGCAGTGAGCCAAGATCACGCCACTGCACTCCAGCCTGGGCAACAGAGTGAGACTCCGTCTCCAAAAAAAAAAAAAAAAAAAAAAACGATAATTATATTGCCTTGCCCATGTCACAGGGATCCTAAATGAAGGTGATGTGATAAATGCAAAAGTCGTTCGTGTATATGTATACATTTGTTTATATATGTATATGTGAACATATCTATCTATCTATCTATCTATCTATCTATCTACCTAATCTCCCTAAATAGAAGATATACTAATACATACTAAGAGTTGCCTCTGTCCTCTGGTCATATCCCCACTGGAGTATGGGAGCTGATAATCATAATGACAATAATAACAACAGTAATGATGATCATTTGTCATACTTACCCCGGGCTAGGCACTAGCACCATATGTTTATATAGACAAGTAAATTGTATGAACATCTTTTCTGAATCCTAGAACAATAAGGAGTAAGAAGAATAAAAATGTCTAAAATGTAATAGCTAGTCTCTCTTTTAAAAAATAATGTGCTTTTGGCCAGGCGTGGTGGCTCACACCTGTAATCCCAGCACTTTGGGAGGCCGAGGTGGGCGGATCACAAAGTCAGGAGATGGAGACCATCCTGGCTAACATGGTGAAACTCCGTCTCTACTAAAAATACAAAAACAAAATTAGCCGGGCGTGGTGGCGAGTGCCCGTAGCCCCAGCTACTCGGGAGGCTGAGGCAGGAGAATGGCGTGAACCCGGAAGGCAGAGCTTGCAGTGAGCCGAGATCGCGCCACTGCACTCCAGCCTGGAAGCCTGGACAACAGAGCGAGACTCCATCTCAAAAAAAAAAAAAAAAAAAAAAAAAAAAAGGGCTTTTCTGGCCATAATTATTGAAGTAAAATAGGTTTCTTCATTATTGGCAGTGGTTTGTGGTCTTTGTGTCGAATGAAAGTAGTGGCTGTATCCTGCCCCAGTGAAAGATTTGGGGAAACGGTATTTTGCCATTTTATCTCATGGTTTTACTCAAGCGTTTTCTCCTTTAGCCCTTTATTGTTTTTTTCCCCCAAATCTGGGTATACCAGAGTGACCCCTTTAGAGCTGAAAGAAATAAGTTTGGAATGTGAGAAACTCACTCTCCACAAATGTTAGAGGGAGCTAATAACGTAAATAGCTTGTCAGCCTGGTTTAGATAAATAACAATGACAGATCATTAATGGAAGTTCAGGCATGTCTTGGAGGTTGATGTGAAAGAGCACAGAGACGTACTTTTGCAGCATAAATTTCAGTGCCTCTGACAGAGACAAGGTCTGCCACCTGTGATTCTGCAAGATGACTGTATTTTCATGTAAAACCCTCCTTAAGGTTACCAGGTTCTAGAAATTTCTCTCGTCAAACTTATGTCATATAGGTGGGTTAGAGAAGAGACACTGTTGATCAGCATCTTCATTGTCATCATTTGATCATTTTTTCATCATTAATTACCCGGGGAACATCAGTTATAACTTGAGTTTCCACTAAGTGCAATATAGTTCTTATCCTATATGTATTGATGCTCAAAGATTTCAGACAGAAAAAGCAAAGATCTTATCACCCATTACCCAGGCAGCATGAGTTAGAACATGTTTCTAATTCACTGAGTGAAATACAGTTCATCTTATCCTGTATGTGTCTATTCTAAAAGATCTCAAAAAAATTAAAAAGCGAAGAAGGAAATGCTAACAAATCATTCCCAATAGAGGTAAAAATAAGAAACAGACAAAGAAATCTCATGGTTAATGTACTCTTTATCCCAAATTGCTCTGCCTACTTACATGTGGGTTGTAGAAATCAGAAATTCAATCTTTAAACCACTGAAGGCCTTAACTGATATCATGTCAACCATTTCTTCCCAAGTAAACTGGAATCTGAAGTCTGCTGGGCCCACACTTGGTTTTCTGGGCACCTTCTTAACACTGGGATGCAAATCACCAAATCCTCTGCTGAGCATCTCAGTTATTTATTTACTGAACATTAGTGAGTTTTTAGTAGAAGATTACATAATTTTTTGAGCACTCTTTTGTATGGAACCCTCTTCTAAACCTTTTACATATAACGAACTCACAAAAACATTATGCAATAAGTATTATCAACTTACCTATAATATACTGATTATGAGGGGAAGTAATGGTGTTCTTCAGATTGGGAATCATTTATGTGATATGCTAGAAGTTTTGTTATTTTCCCCAAAGTTTGTCTTTTACAAAATAAAAGCAGAGAACTCTGGAGGACAAATTTAAGACAAGAGTATAGCAGAGGTGATGAGGTAAATTAGGAGTGGAATCCCTTACTACAATTCAGGAAAGTAATGATGAGCGCCCTAACTGTAGCAATGAAAGTGAAGATAGACTTGAGTAGAGCTGTTAAGACGTATTTAAGAGGAAAAATCAATAGTATTTGGTGAACAACTGTGTGTGAAGGGCAAATGATAGGCAAGATTCTAGACTGACTCTCAAGCTCTGGGTTTGGGTGACTGAGGGCGAACTGAGTAGTTATCAGAGACTGAAAACAATAAAATAAGGAATTTTTGTGAGGAAGCACATGAGTTCAATTTGGGATGTGATGAGTTGGAGATCGTTCTGGGATTTCCAAATAGAAACAATTAATAGACTCTTTGCACAGAGTAGCCTGGAGCTCAGGAGATCAGGGTCGGCTCTTTGAAAGTCCTCTGTATATATGTGGTTGGTGACAGCTGGTCTGGGTGAGATTTTATAAGTAGTAAGGGTACTGTGAGAAGAGAAAGGGAGAAGAAGAGATATCGGTGAGAGAGTCTATGAAGCGATAGAGAATAAGAATAAGATAGAAGAGACTGGTGTCACAAGAGGCAACAAAGGAAAGTGGACAACTGTGTTAAATGCAGTGAGTGAAACATAGAAAAGAGTCCATTGGTTTCCATCATGAGCAGGCAGTTGTTGACTTGGTGAGGGCTGCTTCAGTTGTGCCAGGTGAATAGGAGGTGACAAAGGAGACATTTTTGAGTATAGAAGAGCCTTTTAAGTCACTTGGGAAAATAGGGAAGGAAAGAGGTAAAGGAATAAATTCTTTTCTTTTTTTAATGTGGAAAAGTAGCTAAGAGTTGGTGCAAGAGAGAAGCTGAAGATAGAGGAAAGGAAAGGAGGATGTAATTGATGGAGCAAGTTTGCTGAGGACTTGGACAGGGTGTAATTCAGAGTGCACGTGAAGAGCTTAACTTTGAGAAGAGTCACCTCTTTTTCTGAGGTTCAAAGGAAGAAGGCTGGGTGTGGTGGCTCACACCTGTAATCCCAGCACTTTGGGAGACTGAGGCGGGCGGATCACGAGGTCAGGAGATCGAGACCATCCTGGCTAACATGGTGAAACCCTGTCTCTACTAAAAATACAAAAACAAAATTAGCCATATGTGGTGGCGGGCGCCTGTGGTCCCAGCTACTCGGGAGGCTGAGGCAGGCGAATGGCATGTACCTGGGAGGTGAAGCTTGCAGTAAGCTGAGATCACGCCACTGCACTCCAGCCTGGGAGACAGAGCGAGACTCCGTCTTAAAAAAATAACAAAATAAAATAAAAATAAAAAAGGAAGAAAGCAAAAGTCCAGATACCTTTTCAAGTCAAAGGGCAGGGGCAGGAGATTGAGTTATTTTTTACCCTAAGATTTTTGTTTTCTTCATAAAATGGAAGGTCCAGTTGGCAGAGAGCCGTGGTGAGAATGGGACATAATGGGAGTGGAGAAGTTGAAAGAGCCCACTGAGATGTCAGTATTTTTAAATGGAATCTTGAGGAAGATGACTGGGTACACTGGGCACGTTCAGATGGAGGTGAGCTAGGTCATTAATTTTAGTAATTGGACCATCCCACTCAGGAGAATTTTCTCCTGAGTTACCTGATTAGTGATCAGATATGTGAATGGACATGTAGGTGGTTGAATTGATCCAGGGTTGGGGGTGTTCCTGGCAGATTCATCACAGGGACAAAAATCAGAAAATGAGCCCATTAAAAGCATACACACTTATGGAATCTCAATAAAATTCAAAGATGAGTGTGATGAGCGAGGGGGAGAGTCAGTCTGGTTGGATTTTTGTCCTCTCTCTTTCTCAATTACCCCTGCCACTTTCCATAAACCAAGTTTACTTGGCCAGGGACAGTGGTTCTTCTTGCCTGGTTACTACTGGCCCCTTTCTGAGAGTGGGATCCTGCTTCTATCATCTTTCACAGCCCATGGCTCAGGCACCACCTGATGCCCAGAACTCCTGCCACCCATAAGTCCCTTGTGTGCTCAGCCAGCACCTGGGGCCTAGAAACATGCATACTGCCTCCTTCCTGGAGCAAGTGAGCATTCACTGCATACACTGGGCCCAGTGTTTGGCCTCTTGGCTCCTTCCTAGGGGTGGCCATCTCTCCTCCCCAGGTTGGTCACTTCTCTGCCTTCCACATCTCATATGGTCAAGACATGATATCTTTGTGGGAGTTACAAAAGAGAGGGTCAGAAAGCATTACCCTTATTTTTATCTCACTAAAATATGTCACCTGGAAATGCCAGAAAGAAGAAAAATCACTGTCAAAGCATTTAGTCTCTTGCTTTTGGAGGTTAAAAAGATGATAGCACATTTGCAGATAATTCAGAGTGGCTGAAAAACAGTCATATATTTAAACATTGGTCATATATTCAAATTGTCTGGAATAATTCCAAGACAGCAGCTCACCCCTTCTCTACATTTTTGCCATGTTTTACTGGACCTGAGAGGGTCAAAGCCGGAGCTAACCTTGTATTTTATGGATGTCAACAGGCTGCCGGCACTCGGCTCTGGAGCATCATCCTGCTCTCTGCTTTATATGCAGGTCATATCTGAGAGCCATTCTGCGAGGCTGCTGCAGGGTTTCCATCTGTCTTGAGCACAGCAGAACTTCAGGGATCACAATAGGAGATTCACGTGCCCTGACAGGATTTTTATTCCACCTGCTGTTGATGGTTGATAAAGAAGGCAAAAGTGAAAATTCCATATATTTAGGCTATTTCTTTTCTCTATCCAGTATTCATTCAATAAATACATATTGATTACCTACTAAGTGCCAAACTCTGACGCTCTTAGGGGCAAAGGACATTATAGAGAACCCACATGTAGTCTAGTGGAGGTAGAAAAATAGTAATTAAATAATTTTCCAGACACATATAGAATTTCAACTATAATTAGTGCTGTGAAGAAAAAGTCCATTGTATTTTGAGAATATGTGAGAGGTACTCTGACTTTTTACGTGGGGACTAGGGAGGATTTCTTAGCGGAGGTGACTTTTGCATTGAGTTATGAACAATGGTTAGGAATTAAGCAAGTGTAGCAGAGAGGGAGGAATAGGCAAAGTCCCTGAGGAGAAAGGAAATGATCCAGGAGCTGAAGGATGGCTGTGGGCTTGAGTTCAGAGAGGAGTGAAGAGTGGGTCAAGATGAGTTCCCAAAAGGGGCCAGACCAAGCATGGTCTTTTACCCACAAGAAAATGGGAAGCCTTGAACATTCTTTAAACAAAGCAGTATGATGATTCAATTTATATTTGTGAAAAATGACTGAGTGGCTGCAGTCACAGAGGATGGATGCAAGGTGGGGAAAGTGAATATTAGGAGAGGAGTTAAGGGGCTACCTCAGTGGTCCACTAATAGTGGATAGAGGGTTGGATTATAGCTGTGGCTGTAGAGACCGAAAGATGGAGATGAACTCATGCTGCATTTTGGAGCTAGAACTAATAGGATATATTGATGGATTGAACATGCCCCACGGTAGAGAGAAATAAAGGAATGATGAATGATTGCTATGCTCTGCCTTGAGGGGATGCTGTGTGGATAGTGGTGACATTTACTGCTCAATTAGAAGACTAGGGGAGGAGCAACTTTGGTTAATTAGGTCCTAAAACTGATAGAACACAATAATGTAGATTTTTTCCATTCCATATGAAATTCAGAACTACTAACTTATTAATTTCTTAAAATTTAAGAACAAGTTATTCATGAAAAGTGTATTTGCAGGTCAGTTGATATCATCAGAAATACTTTGTAGTCAAAGATAGAATAACTCCATTTGCAGCAAGAGTCGTAATATTTATATGGAAATTTGTAAAAGAAAAATCAAGTAGAAGTGGGAATTTAAGGCTCCCAGCAATGGAGATATGTGTGTGTGTATTTTTTTTTTTTTTTTTGGCTCTGTGTAGGGGTATATGTGGGTAGATTATAGTCAACAGATGAGCTTATTTCCTTAGCTACCACATCCATAAATTTGCTATGGTCTTCCCCTACCTTAGTGTGTTACAAGCATAGTAGACCTTATCCGCCTGTGTAATGATAAATTGAGAGAGATTTTCTCCTTATTGGTTTTATGGATATTTCTTCTCTGTACAATCTGGAATAATGTTTTTTCTTTAAGTTATTGTAAATAACCATTTCAACTTCAATGACTGAGTATTCCAGCTATTATTTTTTCCTTCTAGTTCATTGCTATTGCTGTTTTGTGTTAGATGGGGCACTGGGTCCAATTATAGCTTTGCATTTAATTATAAACTTTGCATATGTGTGCATTAATTAGAAGATTTTATTGCTTTGTATTTTATGGCTGGAGGTTGTGAACTATAGCAATTCAATATACCACTTAAGGGGATAATACAAATTTAGAATAATAAAAAGTAATTTATAATGATCATCTCAGGCATCCGAAGTAGTACATAGAAAAATAATATAGCATAAATACAATATGCACAAGAGTCAAGTCTATTCTTATTTAATGAAGAACTTTAATCTGATAAGGAAGACAAAGATCTGGTACAATATATAATTGACACTCAATTAGACTGCAAATTTAAAAGCAGGACCTAAAAGTGTGATCTTAAAAGCATGTTTAGCTGTGTCTGCCCTGAGAATGAACTACCTAGGTAACTCTGGAAAAAGGTATTTTAACTAAATATTGTAAAGACAAAAATAACTGTATATAAGTAATGTATTTTAGTTAGTAGGTGTGTCTCTCACAGGGTCATGGGTTAGAAATCCTGAAATACTTTATGCGTATACTGGAGTTGAATAAACAAGTAAATATATCTACTTATGTAATAAATAGAATAAATCAGAAAGTAGATAATAAGCCAGATCTTTCACTATTGAAGACAGATGTTACAGATAAGGAAAGGGGTAAGGCTAAAATGAAACCTATGGTGTTGGACTAGAATCAGAGGTATCAGCATAAACTCATGGACTTTGATCTATATACAGATAGATAGGTACAAAAATATAGATATGTGTGTATGCATAGGTTAGTCTATAGATATGCATTCCCACCTCTCTCTGCTGAAAGGGTCTGCAAGCAATGACACTACTACAGCAATGAATACACCTGATGCCCAGATCTTGGTTTCTAAACACTGTTTTTCAATAAAGAAAACCAGAGCTTCATAAAGAAATGATAAATTCCTGGGTAGGCTGGGAAAATACAAAACTAACCTGGATCATCTTGTGGAGTAAGGAAGTGTGTAAAAAAGAAAGAGCTCTTTCTGGAAAGACACAGGTGTCAACCTAGAGTATCTCTTTTTGTTGTTGTTGTTGTTGTTGAGACTGAGTCTCCCTCTGTCACCAGGCTGGAGTGTAGTGACGCCATCTCGGCTCACTGCAACCTCCGACTCCCTGGTTCAAGTGATTCTCCTGCCTCAGCCTCCCGAGTAGCTGGGATTACAGGTATGCACCACCACGCCCAGCTAATTTTTGTATTTTTAGTAGAGACAGGGTTTCACCATGTTGGCCAGGATGGTCTCAATCTCCTGACCTCATGATCCACCCGCCTTGGCCTCCCAAAGTGCTGGGATTACAGGCGTGAGCCACTGTGCCCCAACTCAGAGTAGCTCTTAACAGTGGCCAAAGTTGGAACAATTTGAGCAAGAAAATAAATGATAGAAATATTAGATGATAATGAGGGTTTCCTCAGGGAGTGCCTAAAGAGGGTTAGCTTCTTTGAAAGGAGCTGGCCCCAGAGGCTATAAGGAATTCCAGGAAGAAGTTTGGAGGTCTAGGGATGGAAACTGGCAGAAGTCATTCAGGCTGTCCTTTGGTTGCTTGTTGGAGTGGAATCAGCTCCCCAGGGGAACAAAGCCTGTGGGAGATGGTGAGGGCAATGACGAAGTGAAGTGAGGATTCTGAAGGAAGCAAGCCTTACTTAGGCAAAGTGGCTTGCAAGGGGAAGAGTACCCTGGAGCCTGGGTTAGGTTGGGTCATATTATGTTGGTGCAAAAGTAATTGCGGTTTTTGCCATTGAAGTAATGCCCCAAACTGTAATTACTTTTGCAGCTACCTAATATGTATGTAGCAAGACCCTCCCATGCTAATGATTCAGGATAAACAGACCAAATGTTCCCCTTGTTTTCTTCTCAAAGGTAAAGAAAGGTCTTCGGAAGGAGAATGGAAAGAGATTTCTAGGATTGACATCAACCGGGCACCCGATCTACATCTCTCTGCAGTGAACATATTGGTTCTTCTCTGAGGGAGGGGTGTAGGAGGAGATCTTAAAAGACCTGGTGATCCCCTACCTTCAGGCTCTCAAAAACCTTCAGAGCAGAATATGCTGGGAAATATTATGGATTATGCCATAAATGTCTGATGTTCATTATGAAGCTTGCTGCCTTTCCCAAGTGTTGCTCAGGTGCCTCCAGCTGGGGTGCTTTGAATAGCCTGATATCAGCCTAATGGCTTTCCTTAGGCCCTTTTACTGCTTCCATTAATTTCTTTAGTAGGTTATTTCCAGGAAAACCCCACCTTCCCCCCCTCCCAGCTACTTAGAGGCTGAGGTAATCCTCCTGTCTCAGCCTCTGAGTAGCTGGGACTACAAGTATATGCCTCCACGCCCAGCTAATTTTTAAAATTTTTCATAGAGATGGGGGTCTCCCTATGTTGCCCAGTCTGGTCTTGAACTCCCGGCCTCAAGTGATCCTCTAGCCTCAGCCTCCCAAAGTGTTGGGATTACAGGCATGAGCCACTTTGTCTGGCTGAGAAACCCCCTTCTTATTAGCATGCAAACTTTAGGTAAATTGTTTCCTCAGAATTCTAAGAGTAAGTTATATAAAGTATTACAACTATTGGAATAGCAAAGATTAAATAAAACCACTGGACTTGATCAGTAATCATTCCTTCTACCCTAAATGATGATAGCATAAATAGAGCTCTGAAAAATAGTTTCTATCTGTCTAGTTTGGACCAGGACTCCTTGGAAGAAAAGACAACCTGAGACCTGTAAGCCCCTCTAAGATTTGACATGCCTGTCTGTCAATATTGGTGATGGTCGTGGTGGGAAATGAAGAGTGAGGATGTAGGTTGCCTATGTAGCATTTACTCCCCACACCTTCTCATAACATTAACTCAATTTTGTTCTGTAATTCACCCTCCCCACCACAGCCATATGACTTAGGAGAAGTGGATCTTACTTTTTGCACCAAGGGCTTGATTAGTTTAAGGGTTATAACTCATTCAATTATGTAACAATATCAAGAGACCCTTATTATGTGACACATACTGTTTTATGCGAATAAAACAACCCTGGATCCCTAACACAATGAAACTGACATTCTCATGTGTGTGGAAGAAAAAGTACAAATAACAAAGCAAATCGTGTGCTGATAAAAACTAAGGAGAAAAACCTGGCCTTAGCAGGGGCAGAAGGGAATGCTGGGAGATGTTGTCGGGAGCGCTTGCCGTTTTAAAAGGGTGATCAAGGGATCAAGGAAAGGCCTTGATGAAGTGACATGTTCTCATTCCCTTGCCTTGCTTTAAAATTAGGTCAATTCTGCCAATGAAACCAGAGGGAAGTCTACCGGGGGAACTTGTAGGAAAACGTTTCCTCACAACAAAGATAGAGGCACAGGAAGAGACAATCGCCCTTCTTCCTCTGGATGTTATTTTAATTGGATGTGATGCCAGAAAGAGCTGCAGACACCTTGCTCCCTACTTGAGACACAAGAATGTCAGGGTGGAGAGAGAGAATGAAACTGGGACCTTGATTATTTTTCTGAGCCACAGAGTTAACTAACCCTGAAGTCTGATCCGTGTCCATGCTTCTTGTAATGTGAAATAGTAATTTTTCATATTGTGTGTGCCAGTTTAAATCGGTTTCTTTTTCTTGCAGCTGAAGGCATCCTAACTGATATAGAATGGGTCTTGGTAGCTTTAATAGGCTACGATAAATCAGTTTGCAAAATTCCATGTAGATAGGAGTAGAAACTTATGATACTCGTTATAACACTGGCACTTCCCTTGTACACACTATTAGATGTTAGCCTAGCAGCATCTTAGAGCTTGAAGCAGCAGGGATAGAAAAATGACTACCTGTTAAAACTCATTTTCCTAAGACAATGACATAAAGGATTCTAGACACTATTCTTGAAAACCTTATATTCAGGTGCTCATAGTCCACATGTCCTAATTTGCAACTATGTATGGAGAAGAGCTGTACAGATGCAAGGACACATGGGTGAAGACTACTCCACAGAAAATAAGAGCAGCAATTTTAGACTATTGGGGCTGCTCTATGGTGGTTGTGGAGGGGATTGGGCCACATCGAGTTTGTAGTTAGCTTTGTAAAAATCCCCATTGTAATGGAGAGTTGGTGAGAACTAGAATCTGTGATTTCTTCCTTTTTCTCTGTTCTTTTTTTTTTTTTTTTTTTTTTTTGAGACAGGGTCTTGCTCTGTTGCCCAGGCTGGAATACAGTGGCATGATCACGACTCACTATTGCCTTGACCTCTTGGGCTCAAGAGAGCTTCCTGCCTCAGCCACCTGAGCAGCTGGGACTACGGGTACATGTCACCACACCTGGCTATTTTCAAAAATTCTTTTGAAAGCAAGGGGTCTCACTATGTTGCCCAGGCTGGTCTCAAATTCCTCAGCTCAAGTGATCCTCTTGCCTCAGCCTCCCAAAGTGTGCTGGGATTACAGACATGAGCCACCACTGCCAGGCAGTCTCTGATTTCATTGCCACAAGTTGCCAACTATTGTAGTCAGAATAATGTATCCCTTCTTTTTTCAAAATATCCACATCCTCATCCCTAGATCCTATGAATGTGCTATGTTATGTGGCAAAAGGGGCTTTTTACAGATGGGATCAAGGTTATGGATCTGGAGATAGGGAGATCATCCTGGATTATCAGGGTGGGCCGCATCTAATCACATAAACCCTTAAAAGCAGAGAAATTTTGCTCACTGGAGTCGGAGAAATGTGATAAATGAAGAGGCAGGAGAGATTTGAAACATGAGAGGGACTTGACCTACCTTGCTGGCTTTGAAGATGGAAGAAAGGAACTAACAGCTGAGACATGTGGGTGTTCCCTGGAGGCTGGGAACACCCCTTAGCTCACAGCCAGCAAGAAAACAGAGCTCTCCATCCTACAGCAGCAAGAAAATAAATTCTACCAACAATCTGAATAGCAAGGAAACTGATTCAGAGCCTACAGGAAGGAACACAGTCCTGCCGACACTTTGATTTTAACCTGGTGAGATCCGTGTCAAGCTTCTGACCTACAGACCTTGGAGATAATAAATGTGCATGCTGTTTTAAGTTGCAAAGTTTATGGTAATTTGTTATCATAGCAAGAGAAAATGAATATGCTCACCCAGCAGAGAGTGGTGTCTTGAGTGGATGAGGCACCAGACTGAACTACCAGCTGGTTGGAGAGGGTAGGCCAGAGTTGAATAAAGGAGTGCCGCTTTGAAGCAGCCCAAGTAAGCAAGAGACAAAGAAGATAGTCTGAGTATTAGGGTAGAGAAAACATGGGAAGTGGGTAGGTGGTATACCAGTTGCCTCATGTATGTAACAAACTACCTTAAAACTTCATGGTTTAAAACAATAGCAATATTCTGTGGGTCCACAGTTGGGACTGGTCTCAGCTGTGTGGCTCTTCTGCTGATCTCTGTTGGAGTCTCTCATGCATGTGTGGTGGCTGGCAGTCAGCTAGGCAGCTGCTTCTGGGGTTTGACTTGATGAGCTGACTGGCCATGTTATCGCCCCATCCAGCAGATTAGCCCAGACTTAGTTGCTGGCAGGACTCTCAAGAGCAGCAAGAGACATTTTCCAAGTCTTTGCTTATATCGTGTTTGCTACTGCCCCTTGGCCAAAGTCACATGATTGGCCCAGCGTCAGTATATTAGTTTCCCTGGGCTGCCATAACAAAATACCCTAAGTTAGGTGGCTTAAACAACAGAAATTTGTTTCCTCATGGTTCTAGAATCTGAAAGTCAAAGATCAAGGTGTCTGGGGCTTGTTTCCTCTGAAGCCTATCTTGTTGGCTTGCATATGGCTGCCCTCTTGCTGCCTCTTCACATGGTCTTTTCTCTATGTTTGCATCTCTGGTGTCTCTTCCTCTTCTTATAAGGACACTGGTTATGTTGGATTAGGGGTTATGGCCTCATTGTTAACTTAATCATCCCTCTAAAGACCTTATCTGCAAATATGGTTACATTCTGAAGTACTAAGGGTTAGGCCTTCAGCATATGAATTTTGGGAGGATGCAATTCAGCCCATAACCGTCAGTATGGAAGAAAACTCCCCGGGGCCTGGAGAGTGGGAGGCATGAACAAATGAGGGAGCTGCTGCTCTAAGAATCTACCACAGATAGTTATGGAAGTGTAGAAAACTAAATAAAACCCACAGTATTTCCCACAGCTGACTTTATTTAAGATACAGTGTCTTAGAGAAGAGATCCCCAAATTGTGGCTGTGGGCTAAATGTGACACCCAACCTATATTTGTAGATAACGTTTCTTGGGACTCAGCCATGCCCATTTATTTGTGTGTTGTCTGTGGCTGCTGTCACGCTATAACCTCAGCGTTCAGTAGTTGTGATGGAAACTGTATGGTCTGCAAACTTTTAATCTATTTACTATCTGTCCTCTTACAGAAAAATTTTTCTGACCCCAGTGTTAGAGGATTCTAAGAAAGCTATGAATCGGGTGGTGAAAGGGTAAAATAAAATAACCAGACAACTACCAGCAGGAGACATACGGTCTAAGGGAGGCAAGGAATGTGGCAGGCATGATTCTCCTTGCTCATTTTATGAAAACAAATGACCAGATAAGCAACAGTCCTGGAATTGTTACACAGATGGGTCCTGATGGTGCCGCTTATGCAGCTCGCTGAAACTCTTTCTCAGAGGGTTGTTTTACACAGCCTTGGCCTCCCACCCATCTGCTGCCACACCTCTCAGTCCTTTCAAGTATTATCTAGAGAGATCCAATTGTCAGACACTGAGAACAAAGCATGAGTCTCAGCTTTATTAGGGATTTCCCCTCCTATAATATTTCATACAAAGCCTCATTCACACCCAATATGAAGGCAGTGCTGCTTTTAAAAACCATTTCACATTTTTAAACCAATTCTGTTAAGCATGACTTCAGCTGTCACTTCTTGTTATTTTTGGAGAAGCTTGATGCTCGAAGGTTTGAAACGTCCCGTCCATTTGTTCAGTGGGCTTCTGATAACTATCCCTGCCCACTGGGTATGAAGTTGACACTAATTAAGCAGCTGACTGCCTTAACGATAGAGTATATTAGAACAGGCCACGATGCCATGTAGTTATAATTGTTCTTACAATGTCTGGATACTTGGTGCTTACTATTCTAGAAAACCCAGGACTTCCAAACTGGTGAGATTTTATTATTGCTGCAAATGATGAGTGCAGAGAGAATTTGGGAATGAATGAATGTTGATAGTGGGCTCAAGGCTGTCCGCACTGCAGACGTAGTCTGTAAACCCCCTAGAATCAAGAGAGAAGCAGGCTTTTTAAACCCTTGCTACATAAGCCTTGTTATCGCTCAAATAGACCACTTGAGATGGAAGTACAGACAGATTTGGTGCTGATGACAGCTCACCAGGACCCAGCTCTCCATTCAGGTACATTGATATGCATATTCACTCTACTGGAAAAAAAATCATCTCCTCTTCTACCCTGGGACACGGCTTTTGTAGGCTCCGGAATCTGCTATTTTATACCCACCTGCTGGTACAATATAAGCAGCTGCAATAGGCATCAAGCTATGAAAAGCTCTGAGGAGCACTATTGCAGTGCGAATTGCTTCCTTGCTCTGCACTGTTTGGTGATTGTAAGATGGATTGCCAGATTAGCACAGACACACAGTATTTGTGTAGGTAACTGGGAGGGTGATTTTTCCCTGCTTCTCCTACCAGCTATTTCTTACCAGTCCCTTTGCCACCTATAAAAAATTGGGTATTTGCTAATGTTTCTTAGTGGAAATTCAAAGGCCGGAATCACTAACTCAAGCCCACAGTAATACCACTCTGTTTCTTTCTGCCCTCAAACTGCCACATAAGAGCCTCTGATGCTACTGGCCAAAGAGGCCACTAGCCTATGCAATTGCTGGCTCACAGAAGCTTCCAGGACAGCAATTCTCTGTTCTTAATGTTTTATGTCACCAACTAACTAAACATAGCCACCTTTCCCAAATGCAGAAAGTTGTTTCCAAAACACAAAAAGTTGACCCCCCAAAAAAAAAAAAAGTTACAGATAACTCAGAGGTGTGGAGGCTGTCTCATGCTTTGGGAGACTTGTGCAGCCGTGTGGGTAATCTATGTTAACATCTTGTCTTCAAGATGCTGACCTCACTTTGGTTCAGACATTCTAGGAAAGGATTCATTTCTTCTCCATTTCAAAGCTGTTTATCTGGCTTAGAAAATAGCTGTTTTAAACAGAAGCCTTTACACTTGTCTGAGTAAATTCTGTTCCAATTTTTGTTTTGGCCATAAGTCAAAGATAACAGCTGTGCGCTTGTGGGTTCACTGAACTCTACGTGCTTGTTGGCTGCATCACCGACCAGAGGGAATAACCAATAATTAGAACATTTCAGGTCATCTTGGGAAGAACAGAGTTTTCTCTTGTTTGGAAAGGTGGTGTGACCTCCCTCTGATTTTCCCAAATGTGGATCTTTTGGTGACTGAGTGTAGAGCTCAATATACAAGCCTGGACTCATCACCACTGTGTCCTCCCTTTCCCAAAATATTGCCTGATAAATGGAAGCTTAAAACCATATTTACTGTTTTTCAGCTTAACTCTTGCTCTGCAACAGGCCTGGGCCATGATAATAAGCAAAAATACTTGTGCATTCCTAGCACATCAGCATTTCTGATCACAATGATTTGTGACTCAGGCCTTGAAAGCTGTGGGGTTTCTCCCTAGTTGAATCAATACAAGTTTACATAAATATATGTTTCTGTTTTTCTTTCATTCTTGATTCAGCATTCATGTTTACTATCTGGTAACTACAGACAGTGGGAGCATGGGGGCAAGGGAGAAGTCGAGCAAATAGAGAGATGATTCAGAAGAAATTATTTGGGTGGGTTCTAATGTCTTAACTGATTATGACTTTTTTTCTTGTGAAGAGTAATGTGTTAGAATTTTCATTTCAAAAGATAAAATTTATTCTATATATCTAAAGAATATAACTGCTCATCTATTACACTGAGTATATACTACTATAGCCATGCCTACAGTAGGAAGTGTTCTTGTATCAGGGTATTTGGTGTGCTAGATAGAGCCTTTCATATTGGAGATATGTATCCTAAAGCATTATTAATCCAATAGTGACATAGAGGCTGGATTGCTACTGATGCAAGCAGTATTTGTTCTATATTTAAAATCTTCCTGAGTCAAGGAGACAAAGTTGGCAAGAGATATGGTGATTGTTTTTTGCTCAGTTTTATGTCATGACAGGGAAACCTTTCACTTTCACTTGAATAACCACAAGGATGAAGGAGAGGCCACCTTTTCAAAGATTCACCTGCAAGACAGTTTCTGTTATTAAGCAAGGACTCATTACTGATCTGCTCTCACTCTGCTGTAGAATGTGGCCTGGGCTGCTTTCGGTGACTGAATTGTTTGTGAAATGTAAAAATGCACCTGGCTGAGGTAGAACATGGGGTCTGAAATTTAGACCCCCCTACTTCTGTTCAACAAACTCTTGGCCCACAGGGCTGCTCAGGGTTGGAGTGGGAAGACAACAGGTTTTTCCTAGATTGCCCACATTTTCCATATTGACTAATGGCATCTCTGAGCATGTTTAGGCTTCTTGGTGTCAGTTTGAACCCAAGACATTTTACTTTAATCATCCCTGATTTCCTTACCCTTAAATCCTGTTTCAATATGGAAATAAATGAATTATTGATAAATGAAAGTAAATCAATAATTATTGGTTAATATGGATACATTTTCTGTGACTGGTTTCACTTAGGTAAAGGCTGCCTAGATATAGAGATTTCTGTGGAATATCCACATATTTTTCATTTATTTTGTTAGGAAGACTTTAAATAACATTTTATATTCAAAGGGAAAAATTATAACTAATTTGAAGTTTATGTGATTATATTCTATCAAGCTGTTAGTCAGTATAGGATCGTTTAAATAGATTCTTGAAGTGTGACCTGGGTTAGGATGGATATTGATTGGTAACAAAAAATCTTGCCCAGGAAGTCATGATAAGAAAATATCAGTAGTTGGCTGGGCGCAGTGGCTCATGCCTGTAATCCCAGCACTTTGGGAGGCCAAGGCGGGCGGATCACCTGAAGTTGGGAGTTCGAGACCAGCCCGACCAACATGAAGAAACCCGTCTCTACTAAAAATATATAATTAACCAGGCGTGGTGGCGGGTGCCTGTAATCCCAGTTACTCAGGAGGCTGAGGCGGAGAATCCCTTGACACCCGGGAGGCGGAGGTTGTGGTGAGCTGAGATCGTGCCATTGCACTCCAGCCTGGGCAACAAGAGTGAAACTTCATCTCAAAAAAAAAAAAAAAAGAAAAGAAAAACAAAATCAGTAGCATACTCCCATCCCTGAAGGTATGTATTCAAAGTGCTGTGCCCACCACAGCCATTGTGTCCCTGCAGGCAGCTTCCTAAACTGGTCCTAAGAAGGACTCTGAATAAGCCGGAACTGTTTAAAACTTTCTCCAAAGATGGAATGTGTGAGTTCAACTAGAGGAGACTGAGAAACACTCATCTTCCTGAAACAAGACAAAAATATGTCGCCACACTTCTGGGTCACATTTCCTGTCTGCTTGGAGCATCCCTCTAGGATTGAAGGAACAAAGAGGGGTGGTAGGGAAAATCCATTGAATCTCAGAGATGCCTGTGCTTGCAAATTATTTTCAGTGTGAAGATTTAGAATCTGGGGAAAGACAGGAAAGTGTGCAGCAGGGATTTTTTTTTCCACCTCAGCATTTCTTGCAATGGACTGATTGGTGTGAGAAATTAGCTGTCCTGCTGAGAGTTAGGTGTAGCATCATAAAGAGTACTTCAGGGAAGCCTTTGTTTCTAGCATATTGGTCTTTAAACTGTGGGCCCTCTCCAGTAGTTTTCCTGATTACCTTCATCATGTTGTCACACAGGGGGTGTAGAAAACAGATTGCAGATCTCTATCTACTAATACACTTAATCTGATTAATTTTTATGCTAGTGCCTTTTCTCTTTTATTCCTCAAAGTGCCTTTTCTCTTTTATTCCTCAAAGTGCCTTTATCTCCTTCATCTGTGACACTACCACATAGGTGCTCATTTAACAATGAAAAAGAGCCTCCAGAATGTCTCCTTCTGTTGTGTGAACTTAAATAAATCTAATGATTTTAGCAGAACAGATCCCCTCCTAACACACAGGAATAAATCATGATTCAGTTTTCTAGGGACCAAAAAAGAAAACCGTAGACTTTTCTATTAAAGAAACAAGCCAATTTTCTTACACTTCTGAAGCTAGATATTATTAGTGATTATTACTATTATTATACTCATTTAATTCCTATATTGAAGCCATTTTTTCTGACCTATCTACATTTAGAAAAACACACATTTGGGGAAAGAATAAATCAGTAGATATGGTATAGGAGCAGTGGCTTAATGACAGAACTAATTCCCCACTTCCCACTAGTCTTTTTACCTTAAGCCATTAGTCCCTTAACAGTGTTTAGTAAGGGCTGTCTGTAGCTTAAGGAAAGAAGGAAAGAAATGAATACAGTCGGCCCTCTGTACCCATGGGTTCCACACCACGGATTCAACAAACTGCAGATCAAAAACATTTGAAAAAAATGTATCAGTATTGAACATGTACAGATTTTTTGTCATTATTCACTATACAACAACTCTTTATATAGCATTTACATTGTATTTGGTATTATAAGTAATCTAGAGATGATGTGAAGTATATAGGAGGATGTGCATAGGTTATATGCAAATCCTACACCCCTTTACATCAGGGACTCTAGCATCGCTGATTTTGGGATCTGAGGGAGGTTCTGGAACCAATCCATACAGATATCAAGGGATGACTGTATTTTTAAACTATCTACTGTATGTCAGGCACTGTGCTAGCTCCTTTTTATTTGTTCTGTCATTTAATAAAAAGGAGCTCATCATGATACTGTGAGGTGGGCAGTGGTTTTATTTTTCAGATGAGGGAACTGAGTGAAATAGAAGTGGGGGCCAGAAGAAAGGGGCCCTGGGGTTTCTGTTGTTGATCATTTGGCTTTTGAGTTAAACAGGCTTTCTGTTCTTGGAATTATGAAAGGGGCACAGCAGAGCTCTTGTAGCATGGCCAGAAGCTGTTCCTGCTGGGAGGCTACAGGTGCACAGTTGGATTCTTCTGGAATGAGTCCTTTCTGAGCCTCACTGGAATGATTTGCTGGGGCAAGCACAAGATGTGAGAGCAGATCATGGGACATGTTTCTGCTTTGGGCGGATAATGATATGGCCCCACCCAACTCCAAAGAGGTCAAATACCATATGAATAATAAGGACTGACACCTACTAAACACACTGAACCAGGCACTATCCTAATAACTTAATGGGTATCAATTCATTTAACCCTCAGAACCATATAAGGTAGATGTTAATATTATTCCTACTTTATAGAAGGGAAAACTGAGGTAGTGGTTGAGTAGCACAGAGATTAAGTAACTTGTCAAGGGTCACAAAACTCGTAAATAGTGAAATTGGGGTCTGATCCAAGGGAGGCTGGCTTCAGAGTCATTGCTGTTTAAAACTTTTACTTACTGCCTTTAACCCATTCCCTTCAGAATTGTCCTTTGCTAAGCTGACTTTTTGGGACAAGGCTTCTGTCCCTGTTCACCTCCTCCTTCTCAGTTGCTTTCTTCTGACTTACTTTCATTCTGGGGGAATCTTTTTCTCTTAGAGGAACTTCAGCTCTCTTGAAATTGTGTTTTTCTTTGTTCTTGCAGAGTGGATGGCCCATTATACTCAGAACCCTTGGCATCCAAATTGTCAGCAACTCATCAGCTAGTGTTTCTTCCTTGAAGGGCGAAGTCTCAATCCTCAAATGTTCTAGGAGGTGAGTAGAAATTTTTGCCTTCCATCGTTTTAATGTAGCAAAGCAAAAAACAGCTGAAAAGGGTAGTTCACGAAACTATCATAGCATCTTAGGCTCTGATGTCAGCCTGGGTTTATGTCTCCACTATTCCATTCTACATAACTAGCTGGCTCAATATATAACCAGTACAAATCCTTGGTTTGTCCACTGTAAATCAGCTTTACTTTCTAGTTCACTGAGTGGTTATCAGAATCAATGGAAATGGTGTGTAGAAAGTGCTCATCACTATACCTGGTAGCTATAAGCTTTTAACAAAAGATATTTTCATTAGTTGTGATGATGATAATTATTAAAGCTCTGGATGACTAATGAACTGGCTAAGGTTATTGCATTTTAACTCTGCAAATGCATGGAAAACACTCCCCGTGACTGGGAATATCTTAAATCAGTGCGGGACTTGCCATATTCTGATGGCTCTTTATAACATGTTAAGGTGGCCTTACCTAATTTCAGATTTCACTCAAGATCTGTTATGAGAGGCTGGGAGGAGACTTTTATAAAGCTGTATTCAAAAGCAATTATATTATTTTCAGTGTATTTTTAAAAGATTCAGAAAGAATGAATTATTTTCCAGAAGTAAGATTTTTAAAAATTCATTGATAATATATAAGGCCGGGCATGGTGGCTCACGCCTGTAATCCCAGAACTTTGGGAGGCCAAGGCGGGCAGATCATGAGGTCGGGAGTTCAAGACCAGCCTGGCCAACATAGTGAAACCCCGTCTCTACTAAAAATACAAAGAATTAGCCGGGCATGGTGGCAGGCACCTGTAATCCCAGCTACTCGGGAGGCTGAGGCAGGAGAATTGCTTGAACTCAGTAGGCAGAGGTTGCAGTGAGCCAAGATCATGCCATTGCACTCTAGCCTGGGTGACAGTGAGATTCCATCTCAAAAAAAAAATTAATAATAATAAAAAGAAAAAATAAAAAAGATAATATACAAGAAGTCAAATATATAAAGAGTCAAATATGTAGAAAGGGGAATGAGGAGAAGAGAGGTTGATAAACTGAATTAACAACTCAGCCATTTAGATTGAAAATAGCAAAATCTGAAAGTAGGGTCATGGTTTGGTGCCAGACAAAAGACCATCCCAGTTTCTAGTTGTGCATCTTTTCAAGTAAGATAGTAACAGGAAGAAAGGGTAAAGAGAGGGAACTGAGTTGACTGTCCTGAACAGGAGAGGAGGTAATGCTCTGTACATTGTTTTCTTTTTGAAACAAAGTCACAAAACAAGCAAACACACAAACACGTTAGTGGCAAAGGCATATAAATGCTGGCCCAAAGGGCCTTAAAACAATACAGACACAAATTCCATATCTGACCAACTATATTGGGAAGAGTGGCAAATTCTCATTTCACAGATAAAATATCTTCCCAGACATGGGCAATAACCAAGCACACAGGGTAGGAGTCTTGACCCTATGAGTCAGAGCAAACCTACAAGCTAAGAACAGATCAAGTGGTAACTAATAAAAAGCAAGGATTATAAACAAAGAGGCAGCCTCTGAGATGTTCAGTAATTCTGTTTTCAGTCTTTCAGTAAACAAATCTTTCTCGGGCATCTATTCTACATCAAGCACTGGACAAAGCATGATGATAAAGATTTCAGAATAATCCCTAACCTCAGAGAGCAGGCAAGTTAGTTTCTGCCAATCTTGCTTTAAACGGGATTTTCCATAAGCCTAATATGTAGACAAAGGTCTAATTTTCAGTTAAGATTCATTGTTATATAAAAGTAATGGCCATTTTTTCATAAGGAAATTTGTAGTACTTAAATTATGTGTGATAATTTTTGAAATCTTAGAGAAACATACTTAGCTAAAGTTTCTAAGGGATCGGCACATGCCTAATGATGGACACTCTAATTTTAGGCACAAAACGGTTATGAGGATTTAACCATTTTCTAGAAAGTATATATGAAAATTGACTTATGGGCTCCAATTCTTTATCCTGTCTGGTATCCACATCGCTTGCTGTGGGACTTTGTAGCCTGTCCCCCTAGTGGGGAATGCTACTTGATTACTTGATGTCAGTCTCAGCCAGGTAGTTTGTATTGGATTTTGGCACAATTGCTTGAACTGTGCTCAGATGTTGGCCTTGACTGCTTGCACATCTGCTGTTTAACAAAAGAAGAGCCAGCTCTAAGGCATAAAATACACAAGGATTAGCCCCATACCAGCCTTCATGGAGGTAAGTCCAGCTTAGCACCACCCAGATCAACTGATTCCAAGCTGGCCAGCAGAGACACATGTATGAGAATTCATGAATATTGGCTTGGAGTGGCATATTACATGGCAATAGTCGACTGATACAATGTCCCTTGTGATATAGTTTGGATGTTTGTCCCCTCCAGGTCTTATGTTAAAATATGATCCCCAATGTTGGAGGTGGGCCTAGTGGGAGGTATCTGAGTCATGGGGGTAGATGGGTAGATCCCTCATGAATGGCTTGTGGCCACCTCCTGGTAACAAGTGAGTTCTTGCTCTATTAGATTAGGGGAGAACTGGTTGTTTAAATGGCTTGTCACCTCCTCCCTTCCCTCTTGCTCCCTCTCTCACTGTGTGACACATCTGCTCCCCCTTTGCCTTCTGTCAGGATTGTAAGCTTCCTGAGGTCCCACCAGAAGCAGATGCCAGCACTATGCTTCTGGTGCAGCCTGTAGAACCATGCACCAAATAAATCTCTCTTCTTTACAAATTACCCAGCCTCAGGTATTCCTTTATAGCAATGCAAAACGGACTAACACACCTCACAAATTCAATTCTATTTCAGTGAGCCAACACTGGAGACATCATTGTGGGTTTTCCTTGGAGCCATTTATAATTCAAAATCATGAAAGTCCCAAGTTCTTTGCCCAAAAAATACCTTCCACAGAGAAGGCAGTCAATAAATGCTTAGTGAATCTGGCCTCAAATATATCTCAGTCTCTCTTACTGTACAACATGAATCCAAGTGAAAATGAGAAAATAACCATTTGGAACAACACCTATGATGTTTGGAAACGTCTCTTATGTATAGGCAAGTTCTTAGTGGCCGTTGGAGGTATAGGCTGGAAGGGCCTTGTATAGCTAATGAGTTCCCTTGCACGGTGTATTTAAATAAATTCCCAAAGCTGCTTCTGCTGATATCCAGAATAGTAGCACTTTGAAGAAAAATTTACCACTGCTTCAGTGGAAGGCATTTTTTTCTATTACTAGCCTGCGAATCCCTACAGTGGTATGGGAATTTTGTTATTATTATTACAATTACGAAGAACACTATCATTATCTCTTTGAGTGTTCGTTGTTCTGAATGATACTGTTTTAAACCTATCTGCACTAAGTTTCTAATGTAAAGGTTTTCCATCTTGCTTTGACTTACTACCAGAGTCTAATAGAAGTTTCCATACATGAAGGCCAACTGGGTAAGGACATCTCCCTAAGTAAGAAGTTGGATACTAAAACTCAAGATGATTAGAAGTTTCCCTGAAAACATAATAGCATAATGGAATGGCAGCAGCCAATATTTATTGAACACTTTACAGCATGGGATGCAGTGGAGTACTTGCCACATACTTTGTAATATTCACAAACACCTTATGAGGCACATACATCTCTAGACTCATCTCGCTCAGTGGTTCAACACTTTTACCAAAGTTCTGCAGCTGGGAAGGAACAGAGGTGGGGTGTGAACCCAGGCTTCAGAGCTTACCCACTACATTTTGCTTGTGGCCAGAAACAGAAGGAGGAAGACTCAGTGTCAAGATTCCATGTTTTGGATGGAGACCGTTAAGATTCAAATTCCTGAATGTTAAGTGAACTTAATCCTTTGTACCTCTGATTCTAGTTTCTTCCACTAGAAAATGGCAAGAGGATGACCAATACTACAGAGCTTCTTTTAGAAACAAATTGATCGGTGCAGTAGGTTACGCCTATAATCCCAGCACTTTGGGATCATGAGGTCAGGAGATCGAGACCATCCTGGCTAACACGGTGAAACCCCGTCTCTACTAAAAACACAAAAAATTGGCCAGGCGTGGTGGCTCACGCCTGTAATGCCAGCACTTTGGGAGGCCGAGGCGGGCAGATCACGAGGTCAGGAGATCGAGATCATCCTGGCTAACACAGTGAAACCCCGTCTCTACTAAAAATACAAAAAATTAGTTGGATGTGGTGGCGGGTGCCTGTAGTCCCAGCTACTCGGGAGGCAGAGGCGGGAGAATGGCGTGAACCCGGGAGGCGGAGCTTGCAGTGAGCCGAGATCATGCCACTGCACTCCAGCCTGGGAGACAGAGCGAGACTCCGTCCCAAAAACAAAACAAAACAAACAAACAAAAAACCCAAAAATTAGCTGGGCGTGGTGGCATACGCCTGTAGTCCCAGCTACTTGGGAGGCTGAGGCAGGAGAATGGCATGAACCCAGGAGGCGGAGCTTGCAGTGAGCCAATATCGCGCCACTGCACTCCAGCCTGGATGACAGAGCGAGACTCTGTCTCCACAAAAAAAAAAAAAAAAAAATTAAGTAACGGCCAGGGGCTGGCATTGATGCTAAATGGATCTGATGTTATTTTTCCCACAGCATAAAACACTTGAGGCCGGAATGGGTTGAGTGTTGGTTGTCATCCCATTTCAGGGAAGCTGAGCAATGGGTTTACTCAGTATAATGAAGCTACTTTAGGAGAAAGTGCTCACCCTGCAAAATAGTAGGGAAGACAGTCTGTTTCCACAAAACCCACTTTTCACCTGTCGGGATGTGACTAAGAGAACACTCTAAATATAGAAGATGTAACCATCAATGACCAACTATTCCTTTCTAGAAGTAAACCTGATTCTTTGACAAGAAACTGTAAATTATCTACTTCCAGTTCTGCAGTTACAATAATATGGTCAGGAAACAAAGAATAGGCTAAGTCCTGAAGGCATGAGTTCTGTGTTAAAATAAATCAGTTTATGGCAAGTGAAAACCTGAATAACTTTGTAAAATATTGCCCAGAGAGCCCAAATTTTCCACTATTCAGGAATAGTGGAAAATTTGATGCCATTATATGCATCATTTTGACAACAGGCATAAAAGGATGTTTTGAGTCTATGACAATTTTGCTTCCTTGCAAAGAATTTTGCTAGTTTGATTTTAAATATGTACAGAAGGCTTATTCTTGTAATATTTGAAATAAAAATTTAAAATGTGAATAAGGTGATAAATGAAAAAAATCAACAATTCTCTAAATGTCACTTCATTCAGCAATATACATTGTGTTTCTCCTCAGCAAGTGGGGAAATGAAAAATGTCATGTACACACAAGGTTGATAAATTGATTTTTCTTTGTGAGTATACATCTTTGCATTAAGAATCAGAAAAAAAAATTGTACTTTGCAGGTTTAAATGCTGAATTTATACCATTTGGCCCATTAAAAAATTGCTAAGAAGAGCATAGAGGTAAAACATCAATATTTCTGTGATGTTTTGATTCTTACTGGTGATGGTTTCTTAAATACCACCTGCTCCACTGAAGCTGAATTCAGAAGGTAAATCATAATTTTCAGACATTATTGTTTATTTTCAGCATTTCTAGGTAGAAAACATAAAATGTTAAAAATACTTCAAAAGTGACTTGATATGTAATTCTTGTTCTTTCAAAAATGACTTGGTATGTAATTTTTGTTCTTTCTTCACTCAGAATTCCTAGATGCACGTATGGCTTTTGCTGTAAACTTTGCTCCTCTGAGAACCCACAGGCCTCAGAATAAATATAAAATATATAATTTTTCCCTGAGGCCATCTGTAAGATGATTTCCTAAAAGAACAAAAAATTGCTTTTAAACAAGGCATAAACATGGAGTTCCGGAAACTCTGATTAAACTTCTTTGAAAGTTTTAAGCCAAGGCAGAGGGGGACAAGTGAAACTGCAATGGAATTCATCTTGCCAGCAGTATCATACAGCATTTGCTCTCCTGAACGCTAACTTCAGCTGTGATTTATTAGGCGACCAAGTTCATGTCATTGTGTCTGATCTTCAGAGACCTGGCTTCAAATCCTGATTTTACTCACAATTGAAAATGAAGCTGGTGGTCAGGTCCTAGCCCCATTTGACATGATTGTCAGCCTGCACTTGGGAGAATGGCCATCTGGAAAAACAGGGAGTGTTAACTTGCAGGTCAGGGACTCAAGTGCCTATCAGTGGAGTTTTTATCTGCAATGAGGCTGGGAGGGGCTGCAGCTCCTGACCGTCTCAGTGGGACACTTACGAAGCTGCCTGACAAAGTAGGGTAATACGATTTAATGTCCTCCTAAGGAAGATTTTGTCCTCTTTTTTTGTTGTTGTTAAAGCTTAAGAAAATGACTAATTATTAAAAGTTTGGAAAAGAAATTGCTCTGGGACTTGGAATGTCTGTGTAAAATCTTAAAGGCAGCCAATTTTGCTTCCTGGCATTTACTTGCCTTGTGCAGCTTACAAATAGTTTCCATGTGGTTGCTGCTCCAGTACAGACCTCTGATAAGAGGATGGGGAAGTTAGTTTTGTAGAAGTCCATCAGTCTAGGGGTAATGTGTATGCTTAAGTGAAATTTTTTTGTAATGTTCTAGAGAAGGAGGGTTGTTTGCTAACTTTTGTGGACAATAGAGAAAGCTGAAGATTTATGAAAATTAATTTTATAATCTGAGACAAGACAAAAAATCCAATCAATGTAATTAAATTTGATGCTGAATTTACGAAAAGAGACATATGAAAAGATATATGTCAGAGTTATAATGCTAATTTGTTATCACATCCTGGGATCTCTGCTCCTTTAATATGAGACTGCCTCTTGCTTTTGCTTGAATATCTATTGTTAATTCAGGAGAAGAGATGATAGGTACCACCATGCCAAGAGTCTTTTGGGAAAACGTGTCCCATTCATTATGACATATCTGGAGGGAAGGGGACCCTAGAGCTATTTTTTATTTGAATATGGTCAGTGTATTAGGGTTCTATAGAGGGACAGAACTAATAGGACACACACACACACACACACACACATATATATATAGAGAGAGAGGGGGGAGTTTATTAAGTTGTATTAACTCACACAATCACAAGGTCCTACAATAAGTCACCTGCAAGCTTAGGAGCAAGGAAACCAGTCCGAGTCCCAAAGATGAAGAATTTGGAGTCTGATGTTTGAAGGCAGGAAGCATCCAGCATGAGGGAAAGATGTAGGCTGGGAGGCTAAACTGGTCTCTCTTTTCACATTTTTCTGCCTGCTTTCTAGCTGCACTGACAGCTGATTAGATTGTGACCACCCAGATTAAAGGTGTGTCTGCCTTTCCAAGCCCACTGACTCAAATGTTAATTATCTTTGGCAATACCCTCACAGACACACCCAGGATCAATACTTTGCATCTTTCAATCCAATCAGGTTGATGCTCAGTATTAACTAACAGTCACAGTAGGTCTTTTTGGTTGAGACGGAGGCTACATCAGACATTTTTTTCACCCCCATAGGGAGGTCATCTCATCCTTAGAAAAAGTAGGTATTACCTAGAATAAATGCTTCAGCCACCCTGTCTTGAGAGACATTGAATTAGGGGCCTGCTGACACTGACATTTACCTAACATAACCCGTTCAAAGCACTTACCAAGGGCCAAGCACTATTCTAAATACTATAAAAATATTAACTTATTTCTTTCTCATAACAACCCTATGAGGTAGATGTGATTATTATCCCCATTTTTCAGATAAGGAAACTGCGATATAGAGAGGTTGAGCTGAAAGTCAAATATCCAGTAAATGGGAGAACCAGGCTTCAAACCTAGTCAGTCCAGCTCTGGAGTCCTTGCTTGTTCCAAGCTGCTTGATGGTGATGCATTCCTGACTAGTAAGACTTCCCCAATAAACCAACTACAGATTGCCTACAATGTACTTAGTACATGAGGATTTTCTAAGGGGGCCAATGAGTTCGTCTTCATGTCAGATTTTAAGCTTCTTTGAATTTGGTAATGTGGTTCCATAATAACTTGTTTTGTGTGTGTCCCTCATCATTCTACTTAAATTCCTTAGTCAAACTATAAACTCTTAAAGCTGGTTAACCCTGACTAAGCATATCCAGGTCTACCAAAACCTGCATCCGAAATAACTTCTAAGAATGAACTCTTGGAGGGACATTTTCCCCTAGTTGGTCAGGAAGCCATTCCTGACCCTCAGTAGGTAGCTGCCCCTGTTATATTAATAAATCTGTATTATGATTATTCTTTCTTTAATTGTCTCCCTCGTAAATACATCAGCTGTGTGAGATAGAGTTTATGCCTTATTTGTCCTCTTGTAGCCACTACCTAGCAAGGTGCATGATAGGTAGTAGCTGTGCAAAGGTAGTCAGAGAGGTCTGTTGATTGAGTGAGGCCGGTTGACCTTTGCTGCCTACTTTCTGTAGATCTCCAGGCTGTGTTGATGGACAAAGACTCTGTCTCCTCTCTACCTTGGAAGAGAGTTTTGTGACTGGTTTTATGAAGTGATAAAATAGCTTTACTTGAACTTGTCCAACAAAATTTAATGATTATTGGAAATTCTGAAATAGAAATGGGGAAAGATGGGATTTTTATTGGGAGAAACTCCCCAAATAGCTATTAAACACCAATTTCACAAAAGAAACTAGAGGGACTTTAATTGCCTCTGGATCCATTTTGCCAACTCTAAGGTGCCTTAAAAAATTAAAATTGTACCAAATGAGAGGTTATTATGAAAGCAGAAGCAGCCATGTTAAGAGTAGGAAAGCTTCCTTCATATTTATCCTGTTTGTGATTTGCAATATCTAAATTATAGGACATGGTATAGTAACAGACCTTCCTTGATCTAATACCCCACATTTCCCAAATAGTCTAACCTCTTAGCCTTCACACGACACTCCTACTCACTCTAATCATTGCTGCTCCCTGGAGTCTTCTGTCTCTTCTATTTTATTGTCATCTGGGGTAATTTTCAATTTTTATGTGATTGTCTCTGTCTCCCTCCCACAGAGCTACACACATACACACACACCCTCTTACATGCACACACACTCACACAGTGTGGAGAGATTTTAATCTCGTTTTGCTCTCCTCTCCCCAGTTTTATAGTAAAGATCATTAGATAGCAGGGCTGTTTTTATGGATGTGGAGGGAGGAGATAATTGAGGATGAAAATCTGCTACTCTTCACCTTCTAGATGTGCTGCATTTTCCTATCGGCTTGTAGGAGAGGGTTAAGGTTTACTCAGCCAGGAAGGAGTTATTTTCAGGAGTCCAGAGGATTTTCCAACACGAGTGGGTTGGACTGTTTGCTGAAGCAGTGAGATTACAGGCAACCTGGTGAGGGTATTTGTAGCACTGACCTCTAAGCAGGGATGCGTATGTTAGATCCAGCCTCCCTTTGAGGTTTCTCAGGCTTGACTATTTCTACATTTGGTGGGTACATCACTGTTTAAAAAATAAACTCAAAATTTGAGAATAACCGTATCCTTGACAAGATGTATCCTTTTCTAAGGAGGATTGCTGCAGCTGCCTAACAATGAATTACAACATTCCACAGCTGTCTGGGCAGGAAATGAAGAAAATTATCCTGGCTATCTCAAAATGGGTGTTTGGGGAATGGGGGAGAGTGTATGAGTTGCTAGAGAGTATTTTGGAATTAGGGCGCTGGGCCAGCCTGATCAATCTTATCTTGGATTACAGGGTCCTTGGCCATCAGATTTCAGAGAGTATTAAAAAAATTGAACAATCTAAAATCAAACAGTATGGTTACATAGATTCCAGATAGTGAACTAAAGTGAAAACTGTTATTTTTGGCCACAACCTGATTTTACTTCCTTATCCTCCCATCTGATGAATAAATTGCATTTAAAAATTAATATCCTAATTACCTTACAGTCAAATATGATGGAGCTATGAGTACAGGGGTATCATTTATTAATCATCCTTCCAATAGAGGACTATTCATATTATTTTCTATTTTCACTTTCTATGGTTTTTCTAGTGCAAACCAGAAAACCTGCTAGACCAATTCTAAAAGAGCTGTAACACTTAACATTCATATTTTCAAAAGACTTTGTTGGTTGAATAACTGTTCATTCATTTGGTCATTCTGTGTGCCCTCTACTGTGCTTCCTAAAGTTGCATTTCCCAAGCACATTTAAGAAGAGATTACTCCTCTCACCCAGGGACCTCCAATGGCTCCCCATTGTCTGCAGCAATGTTTCTCAAACATTCATGTGCATATGAGTCACCTGGGGATCTTGTAAAAATGCAGATTCTGATGCATTTGGTCCAGGGTGGCGCCTGGGCTTTTTGTATGTTGAAGTTTCCAGGTGTTTCCGAGGATGCTCTGGCTTTGACCTCACTTTGAGTGGCGTGGGTCTACAGGATGGGCCTGTCCCTCTACTCTCTGGCCTTCCCAGGACATTATTGTTTTTCCAGATACCTGCACAACCTCTGCTTCTATGCTTTTGGGATGCTAGTATTCATCCACATCTTACTTGCCTCTATCCACAGAGCCCATACTCTCCACAAGCTTTTCTCAGATTTGTCTCTACCCTGCCCAACAATCAGAAACACTGTCTCCCTCTCTTGTTCTCCTCTTGCATTTTGGTTGGAAATCAATTTTCCAACTTAGTACTGTCTGCTGGACTGTACATATTGGATGTGTATCTGTCTCTACCAATGAACTGTGAACCTCCGGTGGAGAACATCCCATTCTGTACATTTTACCTTCTTCTGCCGCATTCTGCACAATTCCTACATAGAGCAACTATAAATAAAAGTTGAATTGAATAAAATTCACAAATTGTATAAAATCTCTTTTCTAGATGGATTTCTCTTGACTGGGTGAAACTTGCTGACATTCAGATAAATCTCTTCAACGTTCTTTCCTGAAAGGATGTCTTACTCCTTGGTAGTTAGGGATCGCTCCTGGGTGTTTTTAAAAGAGATTTTGACTTAGAAGATCTGTGAATGTGACTATGTGGGCTAAGCTTCTTAAAGGGGCAACCCAGCTGAGAATCACAAAAGAAAGCGGAGGCTGCTACTTTTGCCGACCGACCGTACAAGCTGGGTTTTTATTGTTGCTAATGAGAGCCACTCGTGTTGACTGTCTAACAGGAAGTACCTTAATCCTTTCTCATTAGACTTCTAAAATTAGCCTTGCTTTGCCCTGCTGGAAGAATCATGAAATGTGCTACCTTTTCAGATTTAGGTGGGATGATAGAATTGAAGGTCCATTCCTAGAAGCTGGACAGATATTCCTAGCTGGGCAGTATTAATGAATAAGCTTTTTGAATCAGAGTGACCTGGGCTCTAATTTTAGTGCTGCAATGTGGTAACTTTGTCATCTTGAACAAATTAGTTAGCCAGTTTGATTCTCGGTTTTCTCATCTTTTAATGGGGTAATCATACCGCTTTGAAGGAGTATTAAGATTAAATGGAAGAATGTGTATCAACAAATAATGGTGAATGTTATTGCAATCAGAGCTCTCGCATGTCACCAGCCAATCTTTCAGGGCTGTAAGGGAAAACTATTTCCTTCTCTCCACCAACTAAAGGAAAACTGTTTTTTTTTTTTCCTCTACTCTCTACTACCCTCAATACTTTACTTCTGACACCAGATGTGTGGGTTTTCCACACCAGGCAATTCTCCAATTCTCTGTAGACACCAACTGTGTGTCCTACAATTTAAGTCAATTCTGACACGATCTACTTGGAGATAGCATCAAATCCCACAGGTTACGGGATCAGTCCCATAAGACTGGCCAGGTGTGGTGGCTCACGCCTGTAATCCCAGCAGTTTGGGAGGCCGAGGCGGACAGATCACAGGGTCAGGAGATGGAGACCATCCTGGCTAACACGGTGAAACCCCATCTCTACTAAAAATACAAAAAATTACCTGGGCGTGGTGGTGGGCGCCTGTAGTCCCAGCTACTCGGGAGGCTGAGGCAGGAGAATGGCGTGAACCTGGGAGGTGGAGCTTGCTGTGAGCCGAGATTGTGCCACTGCGCTCCAGCCTGGGCGACAGAGCGAAACTCCGTCTCAAAAAAACAAACAAAACAAAACAAAACAAAAAAAACGGCCTCTACTTCAGGCCGCTGACAGGTCCAGGTTGTCACCTGTGTTTCTGACTGGCTGGTTATAAATCAGAGGGTCCTGTGACATCCTCCTTGGGTTTGATAATTTGCTAGAATGGCTCACAAAACTCAGGAAAACATTTATTTACATTTACCAGTTAACTCAAGAACAGCTAAATGGAAGAGATGCAAAGGACAAGGCATGAAGGAAGGAACACAGAGCTTCCATGCCCACTCTGGGCATGTCATCCTCCTTAATCACCAACCCAGAAGTTCTCTAAACCCTGTCCTTTTGAGTTTTCATAGACATTTCATTCTGTAGGCATGATTGATGAAATTATTGACCAGTGATGATCAATTCAGGCTTCAGCTCCTTGCCCCTCGGAGGTTAGGGGTAAAGTTCCAACCTTCTAATCACATGATTAATTCCTCTGGCATCTAGCCCCCATCCAGTGATTTTCTAGGGGCTTTTGAAAAATCACCTCATTAATATAAACTTGGGTGTGGTTGAAAGGGGCTTGGTATGCATAACAAGAAACACTCTGGAGCTATTTTAGGAACCTGGGACAAAAGACCAAATATTATAACCAAAGATACTTCCGTAACTCTTATCACTTAGGAAATTACTAGGATTTTAGGAGCTGTGTGTCAGAAATGAGAATACGGACCAAATATGTATTTCTCATTATAAATCACAGTATCACGGGACTTAAAGTCTATCATCAGTGTTTGTTGATCGCATCTCAACTATTAAAAGCTGGGATGAGAGAAGGGCTCTTGACACACAGGTTCTGGCTGCTGTGTTGTACCCACTCACTGCCCCCACTAGTGGCAGAGGCAGTAACTTCATCAGTGACTTGATTCTATTCCAAATCCATCAAAATTGAGACTTTTTAATCTTTTCTGGATCATGGACTTCTTTCAAAATCTAATGAAAACTATTAACCTTCTCCCAAGAAAAGAAATGCAGGTATTTATATAATTTTGCTTTTATTTTCTGGAGGTTGATGAGCCCCAAGGTAAAAACCACTGCTTCCTCTATGTGCTTACAAACTTCTGGTCCCTCATGAGGCGAGAAGCCAAGAATAACACAACGAAGTTGAATTGGCACAATTAAAGATTAGGAAAGTTAGTGCAAGGATGGAGAGAAGCACTCACTTCTCCCCCAATTCATTTTTCCTGCTCAGGAAAACCTAGAGCCAAGATTAAGACTTGAAGGGTAGAGGGAGAGTGGTTTGATAATCTTTCCTGTTATATTTTGCATTGGGAATTATGGTCATTTAATTGTATCTGTGCATTTTAGATGGTTTCTGATATAATACGTTAATCTCCACAAGGTTTGTGATAAAAATGAGTAATATCCCAATTTAGGAAAGTTACTCTGTTTTAGACATGGAAGGAAAGCTGCCCAAGCAGCAAAGTATACTGCTCTTGGTCCAGGTGGTAGATCTCTGTGCAGGGCTGACTTGCATTAACAAACATGAACACAGTAGATGTGGAAACATGTCCAGGCCTTGCTCATCAGTTCCCATTTTCATACTTCCTGAGTAGTCTGGGAAACGTGGAAGGACAGCATGAATTCAATTTAACAGTCCAATAAGTGCCAAAGAAATGATCACATCTCTGAAAATAAGTGTTTTAGACAAAATTTTTCAGATGGTAAAAAAAGACAAATCCTTTGTTTAGTAAACAGCAAACACTTGATACATTAATCATCCAGCTGACATTAAGTGTAATCAAAGGTTCCGTTTTAGTTCAAATACAACTTATGTTCCCCAATTAATTACTTACAGGACTACGTAGTTTGCATTTTAAAATAAATGTTCTGCTTCCCAGATGTCTTCTTATAGGCATGCTGTGACCCTTCTTAGAGAGGCAGATTCTCTTATCACAGTGATTTCAAGGCCTGCTGGGGTGTGAAAAAACTGATATGGTTTAAGTACCACCTGCCATATTGGACCTAATAAGGAATTTGTGGAGCTGGAATGCAGTTCCTACACTTAAGTAGGTTATATTCTTGGCAAAGAAGCTGTGAATTGAGATGATGTCATTCAAGTTTGATTTTTTCCAGAGAAACATTATTATAATGGAGTTGTCTTCCTGACCAAGGGTTAAGTTTTAGTGGATTCACAAAAATGAGGCTATCATACTGGTAAGGAACCTCAAAGGAAATGTGGGTCAGTCCTCTTTCCTGAGTCAAAAAAGTGTTATCCTCACTTTTTCAGATGAGACAAGTGAGATTTCTTTAGAGGCTGTGTTCTGCTAATATGCTAATTATGAGTAGGGATTTTGGAGGGTAAGGGTAGGATCTAGTACAGAGCCATCCAATAGAACTTTTTGCAATGATAAAAATGTTCTCTATCTGTCCTGTCCAATACAGTAATGTAGCCACATGTGGCTGTTGAGTGCTTTAAATGTGGCTAATGTGACTAGGATACTAACATTTAGATTTTATATAATTCTAATTAAATTTAAATATGTGTAGTTACATGTGAAGAGAAGAGGTAAATTGAATATAATTCCTGGCATTTGAAAGGCAAGGCCTACGTAACAAAGTGAAAAGTATAACCAAGAAAATAAAATCAGATGAGATAACTACCTTGCTGGCTGCATTGGTTATTTTAAAATGAAGTTTGTTTTTGTTTGTTTGCTTGTTTGTTTGTTTTAGACAGGGTCTCCCTCTGTTTTCCAGGCTGGAGTGCAGTGGTATGATCTTGGCTCACTGAACTTCCCCTCCTGGGTTCAAGTGATCCTCCTGCCTCGGCATCCTGAGTAGCTGGGATTATAGGCATAAGCCACCATGCTGGGCTAACTTTTGTATTTTTAGTAGAGATGGGGTTTTGCCATGTTGCTCAGGCTGGTCTTGAACTTCTGGCCTCAAGTGCATAATGAAGTTTAAGGATCATCAATCTGCTGGACAATACCAAGGAAAGTCTCAGAGGCATTTAAAAAAAATATTTATGGTATAAGGAAGGAAAAGCACACACACACAAATCCCAGGGATATGGACAAGTACTAAATAAAATATTTAAACTTAAACAAATGCTGTATTTAATGACAGAGTTAGGACACATTTAAAGAAAAATTTCCTAAGGGTAATGGAGGAAGTTGCCATGGAAAATTGTGGAATATACTTTGAAAAACAAAACCAAAAGCAGTTTTGGACTGTGGCTGGCCATAGGTCTAGAAGCAAAATTTATACTACTGTAATTCTTTCCACTTATTTGGTTCTTACTTTCAATTTTAACATATCTACTTTCTCTTAATTTTGATACAAAATACTTAACACGAGATCTGTCTTAGCAAATATTTAAGCATACATGACAATATTGTTAATTATAAGCACAATGTTGTTCAGCAGACCTCTAGAAGTTTTTTCATCTTGCATGATTGAAACTTTGCTCATCAAAAAGCAGCTCCCCATTTCTTGTCAGCTCAGCTCCTGACAGCCACCATTCTATTTTCTGCTTTGATGAGCTAGACTCCTCATATAAGTGGAATGATACAGTATTTGTCCTTTTGTGACTGGCTTATTTTGCTTAGCATAGTGTCCTGAAGGTTCATCCATGTTGTAGTATATAACAAGATTTCCTTCCTTAAGGCCAAATAAAATTCAGTTATATGTATATGTCACTTTTTTGTCCATTTATTCATTGATGAACATTTAGTTGTTTGTACATCTTGGCTATTGTGAACAATGCTGCAGTGAACATGGGACGGCAAATATCTCTTTGAGATCCTGATTTCAGTTCTTTTGGATTAAAACTCAGAAAGCTGGATCATATAGTAATTCTATTTTTAGATTTTCGTCATAGTGGCTTCCACCATTTTACATTCCTCAGAGTGCACTAGGGTTCCAATTAATTTTTCCACATCTTTGTTTACCCTTATATTCCTTTTTTTTTTTTTTGAGACAGAGTGTCGCCCAGGCTGGAGTGCAGTGGCATGATCTCAGCTCACTGCAACCTCCACCTCCTGAGTTCAAGTGATTCTTCTGCCTCAGCCTCCCGCATAGCTGGGATTACAGGCGCCTACCACCGCGCCCAGCAATTTTTGTATTTTTGGTAGAGACGGGGTTTCACCACATTGGCCAGGCTGGTATCGAACTCCTCACCTCAGGTGATCTGCCCGCCTCGGCCTGTATTCTTTTTTAAAATTTATTTTTTACAGATGTGAGATGATATGTCATTGTAGTTTTGCATTTCTTTGATGATTGGTGATGCTGAACACCTTTTCATATTCCTGTTGGCTATTTGTATGTCTTCTTTGGAGAAATGTCCATTCAACTCTTTTTCTTATTTTTTAATAGGATTGGTTTTTGCTATTGAGTTGTTGGTCTTCCTTATATATTTTGGATATTAACCCTTTGTTAGATATATGGTTTGCAAATATTTTCTCCCATTCCATAAGCTGCCTTTTCACTCTATTTAGATTGTTTCCTTTGCTGTACAGAAGCTTTGTAAATTTGATGTGGTCTCACTTGTCAATTTTTGCTTTTGTTGCCTGTGTTATTGGTGTCACATGCGAGAAACATTGCCAAGACTAATGTCATAAGTCTTCCTCTCTGTGTTTTCTTTTAGGAGTTTATAGTTGCAGGTCTTACATTAAATCTTTAAACCATTTTGAGTTGGTTTTGTGTATGGTGTAAGATACAGGTACAATTTATTTTTGCATGGGGATATCCAGTTTTCCTGACACCATTTGCTGAGGAAATAATCCTTTCCCCATTGTGTATTCTTTGTGTTCTTATTGAAGATCAGTTGACCATATGAGTGTGGATTTATTTCTGTGCTCTATTCTGTTCCATTGGTCTATATGTCTGTCTCTGTGCTAGTACTATATCATTTAAATTTCTGTAACTCACAAAATGCTTTGAAATCAAGGTAGTGTGAGGCCTTTAGCTATGTTTCTTTTTTCCTCAAGATTGTTTTGGCTCTTCAGGATTCTTTGTGGTTTCATATAAATCTTAGGATTATTGTTTCTACTTCCGTAAAAAATGCCAGTGGGATTTTGATACAGATTGCACTGAATCTGTAGATACCTTTGGGTAGTATGGACATTTTAACAATATTGTCTTTTAACCCATGAACACGGGATGTCTTCCAATTTATTTGTATCTTTTTAAGTTCTTTCAGCAATGTTTTATAGTTTTCAGTATATAGGTTTTTCCTCTCCTTCATTAAGCTTGTTTCTAAATATTTTATTCTCTTTGATGCTTTTATAAATGGTATTGTTTTCTTAATTTCCTTCTCGAGTTGGACATTGTTAGTGTATAGTAACACAGCTGATTTATATACGTTGATTTTGAATCTTGTAATCTTACTGAATTAATTTATTTAATAGATTTTTGTGGGATCCTCAGCATTTTCTACATATAAGATCATGTCATCTGTGAACAGAGATAATTTTACTTCTTCCTTTTGGATTTGGTTGCCTTTTGCTTCTTTCTTTTGCCTAATTGCTTTGGCCAGGACTTCCAGTACTAGCCAAATTATTCTATGTTAAAAAGAAGTGGCAAGAGTAGGAATCCTGGCTGTGTTCTTAATCTTAGAGGGAAAAATTTCAGTTTTTCACCATTGAATATGATGTTAACTGACAGTTTGTCATATATGGTCTTCATTATGTTGAAATATATTCCTTCTGTGGCTAATTTGTTGAGAGCTTTTATCATAAAGGAATGTGGAATTTTATCAGTGCTTTTTCTGAGTCTATTGAGATGATTTCATGGTTTTTGTCCTTCATTCTGTTGCTATGATGTGTCACATTTATTGATCTGTGTAAGTTGAATCATCCTTGCATCCTTGGAATAAATCCCAGTTGGTCATGGCATATGATGCCTTTAATGTGCTGTTTAATTCTGTTTGCTGGTGTTTTGTTGAGGATTTTTGCATATACATTTATCAGAGTATTGGCCTGTAGTTTTATTTTCTTGTGATGTCTTTATCTGAGTAATGCTGGCCTCATAAATTGAGTTTGAAAGTGTTCCTTCTCTTTAATGTTTTTGAAGACTGTGAGTAGAATTGGTATTAGTTCTTTAAGTGTTTGGGAGAATTCAACAGTAAAGCCACCAGGGCTTTTCTCTGATGAGCAACTTTTTATTAAAGCTTTAATCTCATTATTCATTATTGGTTTATTGAGGTTTTCTGTTTCTTCATGATTCATTCTTGGTAAGTTTTATGTGTCCAGGAATTTATGCATTTGTTGGACTATAGTTGATTGTAATAGTCTGTAATGATGTCTGTGGTCTCAGTTGTTATGTCCCCTTTTTTGTTTCTGATTTTATTTATTTAGGTCACCTCTTTTTTTTAGTTTGTCTAGCTAAAGTTTTGTCAATTTTGTTGGTCTTTTCAAAAAACAACTCTTAGTTTCATTGATTTTTTTCTATTATGTTTCTATTGTTATTTTATTTATTTCTGCTCTAATCTTTATTGTTTCCTTCCATCTGGTAACTTTGTGCTTAGTTTGTTTTTCTTTTTTTTATTTCCTTCAGATCTAGAATTATGTTGTTCATTTGAAATACTTCTTGATTTCTAGTATAGGCATTTATTATGATAAACTTTCCTCTTAGTCTTGCTTTTGCTACATCTCATAAGTTTTGGGAATGCTATGTTTCCATTTTCATTTGTTTAAAGATATTTTCTAATTTCCCTTTTGACTTTGTTTTTCCACCTATGGGTTGTTCAGTAGTGTGTTAACTTCCACATATTTGTGAATTTTCCAGTTTTACTTCTGCTTTTGATTTCTAGCTTCATTACATTGCGGCTGGAAAATAAACTTGGTATGATTTCAGTGTTCTTACATTTGTTAAGACTTCTTTCTTGACCTAATGTGTGATCTATCTTGGAGAATGTTCTGTGTGTGCTTGAGAAGGATGTGTATTCTGCTGCTGTTGGGAGGAATGTTCTGTATATGTATGTTTGGTCAATTTGTTCCTTACTGTTATTCAAGTCCTGTGTTTCTTTATTGATCTTCTGTTTTGATGTTCTATTTGTTATTTAAATTGGGGTATTGACATCTCCTACTATTATTGTGTTGTTGTATATTTCTCCCTTCAGTTATGTCAATGTTTGCTTCATAGTTTAGGTGCTGTAATGTTGGCTGCATTATATATTTACAATGTTTTTATTTTCCTGGTAAATTGACACTTTGCCATTATATAATGTCTTTCTTTGTCTCTTGTGACAGTTTTTGACTTGCAGTATATTTTGCCTAGATAAATATGGCCAGCTGTGCTCTCTTTTGGTTACTATTTGCAGGAAATGTCCTTTTTAAAAATCTTTTAAAAATCCTTTTACTTTCAGCCTATTTGTGTCTTTAAATATAAAGTGAGTCTTTTGTAGACAGCATATAGTTGCATCTTGTTTGTTTGATTTTTATTCATTAAACTACCTTATGTTTTCTGATTGGGGAATTTGATCCATTTACATGTGAAGTAATTAATGATAAAGAAAGCCATACTACCACATGTTATTATTTTGTATGTGTCTGATAGCTCTTTTGTCCTTTTTTTCTCTCTTGCAATATTTTGCGTTTTGTTGATATTTTTGTGATAAATTTTTCATTCCTTTTTCATTTTATTTTCTGCCTTTTTATAGGTATTTTCTGTGTGGTTACCATAGGGCTTACATAAAACATCTTATAGTTATAACAGTCTAGTTAAAGCTGAAACAAATTAAGTTTAATCACATACAAAAACTCTGCACTTCACTCCTTCCTCTCAACCTTGTGATATTGATATCACATATTATTTTTTATATTGTGTATCCATTAGCATATTTTAGTATAGTTATTTTTTATACTGTTGTCTTATAACTTCCACCAGAATCAAAAGTCATTTATGTACCACTATTACAGTATTACAAAATTCAATATTTATTTATATATTGGCCTTTACCAGCATGCTTTATATTTTCATATGCATTTGTGTTGTTGTTTAGCATCTTTTTGTTTAAATTTGAAGGATTCCCTTTAGTGTTTCTTGTTAGGCAAGTCTAGTGGTGATGAACTTCCACAGCTTTCACTTATCTGGGAAAGTCTTCATCTCTCCATTTTTGAAGGACAGTTTTGCTGGATATAGTGTATTTTATTGTCAGTTTGTTTTCTTTCAGCACTTTGAATACATAACCCTACTTCTTTCTGGCCTGTGATGTTTTTGCTAAGAAATCTGCTAATAGTCTAATGGAGTTTTTTTGTATGTGATGAGTTGTTATTCTCTTGTTGCTTTTGAAATTCTCCCTTTGTTTTTGAATTTCGACAATTTGATTATAATGTATCTCAGTGTTAACTTCTTTGGATTCATCTTATTTGGAATTCACTGGGATTTTTAAACCTGGATGTCCATTTTCTTCCCCAAATTCAGGAAGTTCCCAACCATTATTTCTTTACATAAGTTTTCTGCTCCTTTATCTCTCTCTCTCCTCTTATGGAACTCCTATAATGTATTTGTTGGTCTGCTTGGTGGTATCCCATAAGTTCCTTAGGCTTTCTTTAATCTTTGTCATTCTTTTTTCTTTTTGCTTCTCTGACTGAATAATTTCAAATCACCTGTCTTTTAGTTTACTGATTTTTCTCTTGTACCTGATCAAGACTGCTGTTGAACTCTTCAAATAAATTTTTCACTTCAATAACTGCATTCTTCTGCTCCAAATTTTTTATTTGCTTCTTTCTGTAAAAAAATGTATATTTTTGTTGAAATTCTCATTTTGTTTATGTGTCTTTTTTATCTTATTGAACATTTTATTGACAGTTATTTTGAATACCTGTCAGGTAATTTATGTATCTCCATTTCTTTAGGGTTGGTGTCTAGAGATTTATTTTGTCCCTTTAATTGGGACTTTTCACCTTGTTTCTTCATTGGTTTTGTAACTTTTTGTGGGTATCCTACACTTGAAAAATAGCAGCTCTCCCAGTCTTTATGGACTGGCTTCATAAAGGGAACAACCTTCACCAATCAGCCTGGCTAGAGATTTTGGGACCCCCTCAAATCTTTTTTTGCGTTTTTGTCTTCTCTGAACTTGTGCATGTAGATTCCCAATTAGAGAGATCAGCTGGTTGTTGTTTCTTCTTTTCCTTCTCCTTCTTTTTCTTCTTCTTTCTTCCTTCTTCTTTCTTCTTTTTTTTCAGAAGCTCATACTTTCTGGCTTCCTCTGGTATCTGTCTGCTGTAGCATGTGTTCTTTGAAATTGAAACATGCCTCCTCACTCTTTCTTGTCCTCAGTGGCATCTAGACTATGTTGGGTCCCCTAAGTACCCCAAGGCAGGCTAGACAGAAACCAGTCCCTTAGGTAGCCCCCTGAAAAGCTGGAACATTAGACCTATGTTTTACTCTTCTCTTTCTCCCTAAAGGAGAGGTCACAGAGCTGTATCAACCTCTGTCTGCTATACTGTGGGTTCTCTGGAGCAGCAGCTGACTACCCAGCTCTTTTGTTATCAGTGTTTCCCAGGCATCTAGAATATGCTGGGTTTCATCAGCACTTCCAGACAGGCGAAACCAAAACTGGTCTCTTCTGCAGTCCCCTGACAAAAGTCAGAACATTGGATGTATGGTTCAGTCTTTCCTTTCTCTACCCAGGAAGAAGCCAGGAGATAGGAGTTTCACCGTGCAAAGGGGAAGGAACTATAGTGAGATGATGCCACCATTTTTAGTTCTTCCTTCAATATGGGCTGGTTTAACACTCACCTGAGTTTCAAGAGCCTCTTAGCTCATTTCTGGATTTTACATAGAGAAAATTTGTCAAGTATTGTTGAATAAGTGTTTTTATGGGAAAAAGGAGGCTCTGGGGCTTCCTGTTCCACCATCTTAATGAGGTTGCTTCAATATACCTACTTTTGATTGTGTTTAGTGCTCTAATATAGGCCTAATGATTGCAAAACACCATATTCAAAATCTATAAATGATTTTACTTCATACTTACATTAGTCAGGGTTCTCTGGAGAAACAGAACAAATAGTATGTATATATATCTACATTTAAAGGAATTGCTGCTGGCAAGTCTAACATCTGTAGGGTTGGCATATTGGAATCTCAGTTAAGAGCTGAGGCAAAATTGCTTTTTCTCTGTGAAACCTCAGGTTTTGCTCTTAAGTCCTTTGACTGAATGAGGCCCACCCATATTAACAAGGATATTCTCCTTTACTTAAAGTCAACTGAATATAAATGTGAATCACATCTAAGAATTATCTTTATCACATAATCTAGACTAATATTTGACTAAATAACTGGGCACCATAGCTTAGGTTAGCCAAATTGACCCATAACATTTATCATCACGTTACTCTATACAACTAACCTAAGGTCACAGAGAATCAAAGATTGTCAGGGCTAGAAAGGACATGGGAGATGATCTAGATAAGGTCTTTATTTTACAAATGAGAAGGCTGAGAATGCAGTTAGGCAGGACGACTTCGCAGAGGCAGTGTTAATTAGTGAAAAGGACTTTGTGGTTTGAAAGATGTAAATATGATGGCTAGGTTCATCTTTTATCACCTATCAATTTTATAGAAGTGGAAATTTTATATACCACCCTTATGGCAACATTTTGTAATAACAGTCTCCCACAGAGAGTAATTACTCAATAAATGGAAATTAATTATTAGATTATCATCATTGACAACATTATGGGCACTTAAAATGCAGCTTGTAACTCACTCAAGAACTCACTGGTAAAATGGGAGAGTTCCCTTACCCCCCTTGCAGAGGATGTGAGACAGGGGTGTGGCTCGTCTATTCAGCTGCCATTGGCATTCAAACCCTCTACAGGAGGGGGAGCATGTAGATGGGCAGGTGCAGGAACTGGAGTGAGCACCGCTGGGCTCCAGCCCCATAGGAGTATCTAGGGGTGGGAGCCTGAGACTCCTGAAGCCCAAGTGGGCATGTGTTACAGTGTTCTCTTTTAGCCTTGCCATACATGGACAGCTTAAGTGTTAACCAGCTCAATGCCCTCTTGGTACCTGGGTCCTTGTCCAGGTGTCCAGGAAGAATCAGGTCAAACATGGACTCGAAGGATGAATATGAGGATTTTCTTGAGTGGTGGAAGTGGCTCTCAGTGGGATGGATGGAAAGCTGAAAGGCAGATGGAGTGGGAAGATGATCTTCCCTGGAGTTTGGCCATCCAGCGGCCAATCTCTTCTTCGACTGTCCCCAGCCAAACTCCTCTTGACATTCAGATGCTCCTCCTCTTCTCTCCTTCTCTGCTGCTCTTCTGCTCCTCCGTTTGCCTGGTTATCTGCTTGTGGAGCCTGGAGTTTGGGGTTTGTATGGGTGTAGGATGGGGGCAGCGTGGCAAGCCAAAAGGCAACATTTGGGCATGAAACCAGGAATGCCTATTCCCATTTAGGGTTGTGTGTTTCCAGGCTTGAAGGTTGGGGCCTTTAACAGAGAACTGCCCTCTTCTACCCGGTATTTCCTTGCTTCCTATCTGTATCACCGGGAAGTTATTAAGACTGTCACCATTCTTGTTATTTAGTCTCTTTTACAGTGGTGCTATCACTAATAACCTAAAATTACATTACTTGTAATATAGTATTCAATCAACTGCATATACTTTTTAATCTACATATTTCTCACTTACTTATACTGAAATAAAATCAGAGGATATTCTGTCAGTTGCTGATTCTTATCAGGGTTAGTGGATTCAGTAGGATAGTCCCAGAAAGATTTTGAAAAATATTTTGAGGACTGTTGTGGGTAGACCTAGGTCCATGTTGGATAGACTTTTGAGGTGTTGATCCAGGGCTGTTCATTTTGTGGCTCTCGCTTTCTTATTATGAATGCCCCTTCGCAGGCATAGGCCTTAGAGATCATCCTGCTGTCCTCTCTGTGCTTGGAATCAGAATGTCTGTTTTTGCTGCCTTGAGCCGCCAGCTCACCAGCTTAGTAGTTTCTCTGTGCTTGCTGATGTTATGCAGAGAATACCTGTGTTGGCAGAGGCCAAGCTAACCCCGACATGCAGAGAATTCTCCATCCTTTGATCTTTGACTATGTTGTTGCTTCATAATGTCAAGAGCCTAAAAGCTTTGGTTTGAATGGTGGCCAAATGCAAAGGCATTCAGAACCGAGTTTGATCCTTAATCCACGAAATCAAAGGTTCTTCTCTCTCAGCCACAGGTCCTGATTGTTGCCTTATAAAATTGGATTACTACTGTCACTAGAGCACTGCATTTTCCTTTTATCCATCATTTTAAAAGCTTGACTATGGGCGTGCTGATAAAATAATGAGATGTCCCCACCCCCCACAAACACAGCAGAGAAACTGCCAACTAAATGTGTCTTTGGAAATCATTTTTCTTCAAACATTTCTGTAACTCACATTTTAGAACTATTTTAAAAATGCCTTCTTGTGACAATTTTACTGAAAGAAAAAAATTACTTTTTCATATTATACTCATAAGGCATTCTTCTGGGCTCTACTATATTTTTTCCCTTCATTTTTTCTCTTTCTTTCATTTTTTTCTTGAGGGTGAGAAGTGGGGTAAGGAAAGGTAGCGTTAAGGCTAGAAGTCAGGGAGAAGCCGGGGGACCTGGATGGGGAGCATTCTAGAAGGATTGCATAGGGTAATACTTCCCAAATTTTAATGTGCAGAAATTTGGGGGGATAATGTCCAAATGCACATTCAGATTCAGTGGGTCTGGGGTGGGGCCTGGGAATCTACGTTTCCAACATGTTTCCAGGTCATGATGCCACTGCTGCTCCATCCACCATGATTTGAGTAAGAGGACTTAGGAGGAGGAGGAGGAAGCCAAGGTATCAGGAGCGCTCTGAATGAGGCATTTTACAAGTTTGCTCAGTCACATCTCAAAACAGCCCTGTAAGATTATTCTTCCTGTGTTACAAATGAGTTTACAGATTTAAAGAGGTTAAGGAAATGGAACCAAGCTGGAGTATAAATGCGGTTTGGGGTGACATCAGGGGCCACAGGTGGCTTCCCCTCTGCATTCCCTCTTGTTGATATGAGTGCTTCCCTCCTTCCTGCTGTTGCTCAGTGTCCTGGCAAGGTGCACACGTTCTGCTCCAGGGATGTTTCTCACGGCAACTGCCCCTTTCCACTTTCACTTGTTCAGGGTCTTTGGTTTGACTATTGCCCTCTTCCCTGTCCACAGACTTTTTTTCTCTTCCAAGCACCCTAAATGGTGCTGCCAGAGTGAGTTTAAAGTGCAGCTCTAACTAAATGCTCTTTAGTTCCCAAACCTTCTGAATCTATGACATGCTTCTTGGCTTCACATTCAAGGCTCACCATAATATCATCTCCCCTTTGCAGGTTTCTCCTGCATATTTCTTTGGCCACAGTGAACCAAAACCAACCAAATGGAGCTTAACTGTTTGTTTGAATAGACCCTGAACTTCCTGACCTCCCTACCTTTGCTTATGTGAGCTTTTCCCTGCAGTGCTCAACTTTCCATCTCAGCACAGTGAGATCCTTTCCTATACCTTGCCTGTCCCCTCAGCCAGATACCAGTGCTTCCTTCTTTGGAAACTCCCCAGGCTCTTTCCTAACAGCATATTTTTTATTCCATCTCACATGATATGAACACATTTATTTGTACTCATCTTATTATTAATAGCCTATGAAAAATGTGAGACAGTCTTCCCAGGCTATTATCATTTAGTGATGTATAGTCTTCCCTCACCCTACATATCAATAGCCCAAATAGCAAAACAAACAGTAAATAATGTTTCATGAATTAAGTTGCATGACACTGTAAGGTTAAGAATAATAAATGAGATTCAATGTTAAGTGAATTGTAACTTAGGTACTCTTAGAGTATTAATTTTTAGGGTTTTTATTTTATTTTTTTTGAGATTCTAATGAGCGAAATGGACCCCAGAATAAAACCTATGCAAAAAACATTAAGTAATGTGTCCAACAGTAATTCTCATCATCATCTAGAAAATGCAACAAATAAACTTTGCCTGCTAGAACTGCAGTGGAAACTTTCTGAATCAGTAGCAATAGAATAACTGGAACAGTGACCAGTATGAGGAGAGGCTCACTAAGTGTTGAATTCCATCATTTTGCTCCTTAACTTAATTTTATAGGACTGCTGAAGGGATTTCTTTGATCTAGAAAGCTTGCACAGCAGTAAGAAAAAAGCATTTGGTTTTCAGCATTTCATTTAACTGCCAGGTGTAGAAACATCTTGTGAAGGAGAAGTGGAAAGCCACATCTCCTTGGAAACCTTTTTGATATTCTTAGACAAATCAGAAGAGCAATGAATAGCCACTGATAGTACAATAACCCACTAGGCACCATGCTCCTTTGTCTTGGATGAATAGTTTAAAATGATTGCCAGTCTTGGTAGTTCTCCTATAAAGCAATCCTCTTGTTATGATTCAGTTTAAGGAAAGGCTATAACTTCTTCATCTATGATGGAGGTTAAAGACAGAAGACAAAATATAGCACAAATGTCAACTTAGAGATTGTTCCAATTACTGCTCCTCTTTTTGGCATTGCTAGAACTGACGCACACATCACTAGCACTGACGTTGACATAGAAAAGACTGTTCCTTACATTTATTGACGACAGTGATTCAAATGAAAATGTACCTAAGCATCACCTGGGAAGCTTGTTAAAAATGTAAACCTCTGAGAAATTCTGATTCAGTAATTATAGGGTAGGACTTAAGAATGTGATGCAAGTGACTCTTGGATCACTTTACACTTTTCATATACAGTTGAGGGAATTGAGGGTCAGAAATGCAAAGTGATTTTCCAAAGGTCACCCAAGTAGAAATAGAGCAGAGCCAGCCTAGGTCTTTTGATGCCAATCCATGCCTATTTCCTCTATCTCACAGCTGTTTCCAATTATCTGGAGATGTGCATCTCAAATTAATGTACATGTGAATTAACCATAAGACTTGTCATAATGTGGATTCTGCGACAGTAAGTCTAAGGACAGGGCAGAGATTCTGCATTTCGAACAGGCGCCTAGGTAATGCTGCTGCTGGTCTGTGGACTGCATTTTGAATAACCAGAATCTAGGACATCACTGGGCATGGATTAAAACATTTAAGGAAACAAGAGCTGGCCATGGAACTCAAATACATTGGCCTTTTGTGACATTGTAGCCTCTACTGTGGATAACACAGGACTGAGCAGATGAAAGGCTATTAGAAACATAAAAATAAAATTTAGCTGTTGAAAGTCCCATGGGAGTAAGTAAGACCCAGATCAGGTGGTGGTCTCAAATTAGTCTTGCCTTGACTGTTTTTCCTCTTTGGTATAGTTTTCACGGTGATCTGTTTCCTTGGGGAGTTATTGAGATAGTCTAATGAAGGCAAATGCTTGTTCCTAGAGTTATAGACAAGGTAGGAAGAAATGGAGAAGATGCACAGGAGAAAATAGAATCAAAAGCATGGCTAGGGTTCATGTGGATTTTTTAGCTTATGAGATGACCTAAAACCAAAAATAAAATGGTAAATATTTAAGTGTGTTCATTAGTATAGTTAACATAGTTAACTATAGTTTAAATATAGTTAAAATTGTTTATGCTATTTTAAAAATAGCATAAAATTGCCAGGCGTGGTGGCTCACGCCTGTAATCCCAGCACTTTGGGAGGCCCAGGCGGGCGGATCACGAGGTCAGATCGAGACCATCCTGGCTAACATGGTGAAAACCCCGTCTGTACTAAAAATACAAAAAATTCCGCCAGGTGTGGTTGCGGGTGCCTGTGGTCCCAGCTACTCGGGAGGCTGAGGCAGGAGAATGGCGTGAACCTGGGAGGTGGAGCTTGCAGTGAGCTGAGATGGCACCACTGCACTCCAGCCTGGGCGACAGAGTGAGACTCTGTCCCAAAAAAAAAAAAAAAAAAAAAAGTTTGAGGTCAGCCTGACCAACATGGTAAAACCCCGTTTCTACTACAAATACAAAAATTAGCTGGGCATGGTGGCTGGCACCTGTAGTTCCAGCTACTCGGGAAGCAGAGGCACAAGAATCACTTGTGCCTGGGAGGTGGAGGTTGCAGTGAGCCGAGATCACACCACTGCACTCCAGCCTGGGTGACAGAGCAAAACCCTGTCTCAAAAAAACAAAAAAACAAAAACAAAAACAAAAAACCCCAGAAAATTAGATTATCAATTGAGTTATTTAACCAGGAAAAGAAAAATGGACACATACAATTACCTGATATTTTTTTGGAAATTTTCAAAACCAGTTGTATACATCCTCAGAAAAGAGAAAAGAAATAAGAATTTGCATTGAAGTAGCAGTATTTTATTTGGTATAAAGAAGAGTTTGGAGTCTCTAAAGTCTGAGAATTGTGTATGGGGGAAGGTTACAGAATAACATATCTAGACATTTTTATAAAATGAAGCACCTTCTTTGAAGGACTTTAATCAGTCAAGATTTGAGTTCCTATTATGTTCAAGGCACTGGGTGGGTGGGTACTGGGACTGCTGCAGTGGCAAGATATGGTAGCTACACATAAGACAGGAAACAGATGTGCAAATAGATAACATAATACAATGGAATGAGGACAAGAGTGGAATTGTGATCTCAATGTGGGAGATCAGAGGAATTCACTTTGTCCTGGGCAGTTAGGGGAATCTTCAGAGAAGACTTAATATGAGCGTCGAAGGATAAGTAAGAGATGGCCTGAAGAAGTTTGCTAGCATTCACTTTAGCGAGTGTTATTTACCGTTACATGATAAGGGTAATAAAAGAACATGCCCTGTGGAATCTAACACTCCTGAGTTCAGTTCCTTGCTCCACCACTTTCTTCTTCTTCTTCTTTTTTTTTCCCTTGAGAGACAGTCGCCCAGGCTGGAGTGCAGTGGCATGATCTCGGCTCACTGAAACCACCACCTCCAGCGTTCAAGCGATTCTCATGCCTCAGCCTGCAGCGTAGCTGGGATTACAGGCGCGCACCACCATGTCTGGCTAATTTTTGTATTTTTTCGGTAGAGACGGGGTTTCACCAAGTTGGCCAGGCTGGTCTCAAACTCCTGAGCTCATGTGATCCACCTGCCTCAGCTTCCCAGAGTGCTGAGATTACAGGCGTGAGACACCGTGCTCGGCCGACTTTCTGATGGCATAGTTTGGGCATACTATTTAATCTCTCTCTGAGCCTATACTTTCTCTTTTGAATAACAACATGGTATGCTCCATGAGAAAATAAATGAGATAAATGAGAAAACAGTAAACACATGCCTTTGAGTCTTATAGATATTTCTGTACATAATGTCAACAAATTTAGGGTCTAACTGATATCATAATTACACTCCTGAACACATTATTTGGAACAAAGCCGCTCCTTTTATAAGCGCCCACATTCTTTGCTTGATCCCACTGTTCAAAGATTTTTGTTCATTTTCTGTTCTAGATTTTCCCTTACAACACTTGTACTGGATTGAATTCTGTCCCCTACAAAATTCATGTCCATACAGAACCTCAGAATATGACTTACTTTAGAAATAGCGTCTTTGCAGATATAATTAATTATATTAAGATGAAGTCATGCAGAATTAGTGTGGGCTCTAAATCTAGTATGACTTGTGCCCTTATAAGAGAGGGGAAGACACACAGGGTCACAGGGAAGAAGGCCATTTAAAGAGAGTAGCAGAGAAAGGACCCAGGCTGCCACAAGTCACAGAATGCCAAGGATTGCTGACAACCACCAGAAACTTCAAGAGGCAAGGAAGGACTCTTCCCTAGGCTCTGAAGGGCCTTTGGAGGTAGCATGCCCTTGCTGATGCTTTGATTTTGGATTTCTAGCCTCTAATACTATAAGAGAATAAATTTCTTTTTTAGGCTACCCAGTTTTTGTTACTTTGTTATAGCAGCCCTTGGAAACTAATACAACATCTATACGCCATCTACCTTCCATTTAAAGTCATGACTTAATTCTGAAGGCATGTAGTGGCTTTGTAACATGTTGAACTGACAGGGCTGTGCTGCATTTCCTAGAACCCCCTTCTCTGTCTGTTTCTAATTAAGCTGTGCCACAAGATACATTTTTGTGCAAGCTTTGGGGGCACAAACTCTAACAGCAGCCATATTTTTTTTATGCTTAGAATATTGAGGTAGGGCCACCGGGTGCTTTTGTGGTTCAAATACCTTGCTCCTCATCTGCCTGCTCACCTCATTGGTGTTTAAGGCAGCAGCCTCACCTGCAATTGCTGTGCCTTCCCCTGCATCCTTTTTCAGCTTCTTTGACTCCTGGCCCAGGTGTGTATTTACCTCAGTGAAGAAGAGTCCATCTTCTCCTGCAGGAGACAGTGAGAAACTGACATGGTTTGAGCTTTTCCTTGTTCTCTCTACTTGATTTACATCCACCCATTCCTTCCAGACTGCCTGCCCAGCAGACATCAAGCTCCAGCATCAAATGCAAAGACAATGGCCTTGCAGACACTGTTTTACCAGCTCCCTCAATTTTCTAAAGTCAAATCTCTATAATAAATTGCTTCTCTAATTAGACCCTCACAGATGTAGGTACTCAGGGCCCCATAGCTTGGTCCTAAGTTTTCAGACAAGATCATTTCTCCCTGTCTACAGATGAGACAGCTATAATTTAAAAATCCTTGCACCCAAAGTTCTCAAACATACCAGGTGAAATGCCAAGTGGTGTTTTATGTGAACTTACTTTTGTGGTTTTCAGCCTCCAGTGAATTTAGTGGCTCAGCATAAAGATCTCTCACTTCCTCTCCCTCATGTTTGTGACACTTCTTTCCCTTGCTCTGCTGCCACAGACAAAGAAAATTACAGGCAGCTCCTACTGTTCCCTTCTTCGACTCCCACCAGGAGCAGTAGGCTCCAGGGTTCACATTCTGTTTTACAAAGGCTTTTTCAGCCATCGTTCGGGAAGACCTTGGCTCGACTGTCAGCAGGAACCGTGGCTATCTGCAGCTGGAGCCTCAGAGGAGAGGCCCTGACTCCACAGTGGCAACCCTTCCCTTCAACCTTGTCGTAGTTCTCTTTCCCGAGAGCCAGACAATGTAATCTGAGACATCCTGGTGCTGATGGGAAGAAGATGAATCACAATGCAATGGGCGTTGGATTTTTTTTTTTTTTAAAGCTCTCATTTCCTTTGTGCGTAAAAGCTGGACATGACATTTGCAACTGGCTCTACCAGGCAGTTCTCCTTGTGCCAGCACCAAGTATACTCTCATAATATGGCCCACAGTGAAAGCTTCATGCAATTGTAATGAAGATCCTGTAGCCAGAATGAATGACTCCATTCACTGCAAACATAGAACTTGCTATGGATGTTCAATTACATTTGATGTCTCCTGGATAGCGTAGAAGGGGAGGTGAACAGTGATGTCAGCTTGGACGAAGACAGGTTAGAATAAGCAAAAAGGGGACTTGCTGTTCTCATTTCTAGTCAGCATGCCAGTAGAATGGTGTCTGTAACCTGGCACTCTGTTCTTAATAGGTTATTGATAATGGTCTTTATTCATTTTTAGAGGACTCTTCCATAGCTCCAGTTGTCCCCCAACCCAGCCCCAACTCAATGTCTCTAAGTTGCCATATTTCTGTGACTTGATTTACCCTATTCTTTCTGCAAGGATATTTCTTGCCTTTTCTGTACTTCAAGAACTCCTGCTCATGTTTTGAGAACTAGCTGAAACATTCTATCATTGACATCTTCAGAGAAACGGAACTTTTTCTACTGTGTTCCCAGCATCTTTTAAGAATCTTTATTATAATCCACAGTCCAAATCACATAATTATTTACTTACCTGTCTAGTATCTAAACTTCTTGTGGACTTGACTGATTCATCAGAACCTAGAACAGTTCCTGGAACTAATGTGGAACTAATAGCTTTTCTTTTTTGAAGAGAATTGGATAATATTGAGAAGAGAGTGATTGGCTTGGCTAAAGAACATTAAATTAGCATTTTGAGTATCTGGATTGTAATCCCCAATTCTGTTACTATCCATATGACCTTAAGGGTTTTAAATGGCTGGTCAGGGTTGAGTGACACTGACTAGTGAAGCAAGTCTCAATTTCTTTTGCCTTGATGTCTTCATTTGCTAATTGGTGGATATGATAATCACCCTTGCTAACTCATGGGTTTGTCTTAAGAATCAAATGAAACACAAAATATAAAAATGTCCCTGTTCCCCCCATCAATAGAGCATAGAGCAATGCCAGTTATTTTCGTTAACGCTTTTATAAGATCTTCAGAGGTTCAGGGATGGACAGGCTCCTTGTAACCTGGGGCTCTTCTCTCTGATGCTGGGCTGTTAGAACAGGCTGACCTGGACTAAGGACTTGTTCCTCTGACCTGTGATTGGTGGAAAGAGTCCCAGTGAAGGCCATTGGCTTCTGAGATTTAGGTGAATGAACTTTGTTATGTGGCTTGTTTGTTGTGGGCTTTCTGCCTGCCTCCCCAGGCTCCTAACAGGTGATATACACAGTAAAAATACTAGTGACCACTTGGAAGACACGAGTTTGAAATCACGAGTTAGTGAATGGGCTGAATTCCCTGGGAACAGTCATTCAATCAATAAATATTTCTTAGGCAGCTATGGAAAGAGCTATTGAGGGACATTATAGATTTTTCAGAGATCTTTACAAGGAAAGAGATTCTCATTGGTCTGGGATGGACCAGGGCTTCTCTTATTTGAGGCTGTTTTTACCTCCTCCTCAGGTATGAGCTGGCCTAACTCTTTTCTTTGGCAGTTATGTTCGCTATAAGCTGGGCAAAACCAAAAGCCAAGTAAAAATGGCCTCTGGTGTCTTCACATCTCCCTTATGTACTCGCTCCGACTTCCTAACCAGCTCTTTTCCTTACCTCTAAGGGTGCAGGGGCCTCATTTTGTCCCTTAGCTGTCCAAAAATCACTGCTTCCTTTTTGCCTTTCCCCAAACGTAGAAAAAGATTTAGTAGCTTATCATTCTAATTATTAAAAAAGAGCTCTTCCTTTATAGATTGATATATCTTTCTTCCCTGTGTCTTCAGATGTTTATTGGGGATAATATAGTACAATTTCAAAACAGAATATAGTGATACAAACTACAGAGGGACATTTTTCTCTGATAAACTCAGCACCTTTGCTAAGTAATAGTTGTGGACATCTGCACATTTGATTATGATGTGCATTGTCAGAGTTTTAGTGATTTTCCCCATGTCTATGAAGGAAAGGTGAGTTTCAACAGCTCTCGAAATGGGGATTCTTAAAATCAGCAAACAGTTCACACTGTTTAGAGAAGTCACGATAAGACTAGATTTTGGAGGGGCAAGACAGTGGAAGTAAGAATAAAAGCAGATTTTGTTTTGCTTTTGTATTAATAACACAGATGGTCACACTACTGAAGACAATCACATCTTAATAAATTATAGTTACACCAGCAGCAGCGAAGACACCAGCAATGTATACAAAGTGAAGATACCACACTTCTTAATGAAGTTCAGTGATAAGAATTGTCATTAATGTGATGTGTGTTTACTGGTCAGGTAAAAATAAAATTTGTTAATGAGATACAATGGCCTTAAATAAGACACAGAGAAAGGATTTACATATTAGTATAGAAAAAAAAAGAATTTTCTGGTTGTAAACATAAGATATTTGTATCTCATTAGCAAAAAATAAATCGAATAGGTGATAGCCTTGTTGTATCAGGGACATCAAGAGTGCCTTAATAGTTGTAATTCTGCAGAAGTGCCTTCTATGCATGTTAGCAACGTACACTAAAAATATCCCCTGTGAAAATGAATGATTTATTGCTGTTCCTGAGACAGGAATGGTTTCATTTAGAGCAGTAATAAATACCTGGCATTTGCTCATCTCTGTCTTCTCTTTTTGTCCAGCTTTTCTCTCCATTTCATAGACTCTTAGTTGGGAAGAAACAGGAAATGTCACCTTGTTCATCCACTCATCTGATGCTTGGATCTTTTCCAAAGAAGAACAAACAGAAGGGCTTGAACTGCTCTAGTGAGTGACCTCCTGAGGTCACCTGTTCTGTCTTTGGATGCACCTAACTGCTCAGAAGTCTCTCCTCTGTGCGTCTTCTTCACACTGGCCCTGGCTCTGCTCTCTGGACCTACACAGAATAGTGCCAACTGCTCCCAAAAATGACACAGTCATAGGGTCATGTGAGGGCTTTTCTTTTTTCTCAGGTTAAACATTCCACGTCCTATCATTCCTCACATGGCGAGGTTCAAAATCCCCTTCACTCTTCTGGTCACTTTCTTCTGAGCATATTTCTCATTGTCCACATGCATCTTAAATGTGGCTTCAAAACTGAATGCAACACTCCAGGTGTGGTCTAACAAAACAGGACAGGACTATAATTGTCCTTGCTCTGTGTTAAAGTCAACGTATATAAATACTGCTTGAACTCAAATTAACCCTTTCAAGTCATATAAGACTTTAATTGGAGTCAGTGATTGTTGTTTAATCATACAGTTGCTAAGTCTTATCTTCACCCCATCCTGTTCTTGTTCGGTTTATATGAATCCACATGTTGGACCTTTCATTTATTCCTTTGTTTTAGGTTTGATTCATTATTCCCACCTATCACAATTTTTCAAATAACTTTCAGAATATGAGAGAAACTAGAGATCATCTAGTTCAATCTGAGTCAAAGGCATAGAATTGTTGACCCCAGTGAGAAACTGAGTTAGATCTCCTGAGGTTTTACTGCATCTCCTTTATAGCATCTCTCGGTTCTTCTTCCCTTGCAGTAAACTCTGTGCTTTCAGCAATATTGTCTTTCCCCTTTGGGTTGTTGAATTTAAGAGCCCATTTACTTTCGGCCAGCCATGGTGGCTCATGCCTGTAATCCCAGCACTTTGGGAGGATGAGGAGGGCAGATCACTGAAGCTTAGGAATTCTAGACCTGCCCAGGCCACATGATGAAACCCCATCTCTACAAAAAAATACAAAAATTAGCTGGGCATGGTGGTGCATGCCTGTAGTCCCAGCTACTTGGGAGGCTGGGGTGGGAGGATTGCTTGAGCCCAGGAGATTGAGGCTACAGTGAGCCATGAAGACGCCACTGCACTCCAGCCTGGGCAACAGAACCCAACCTTATCTCAGAAAAAAAGAAGAAAAAAGCCCATTAACTTTAGCTTGGATAACTGCAATAAAGCATTATTGTGGAATATACTTTCTCTTTTCCTTTATGGAAGAAACCTTGAAGTGCTGTCCATCTGCTGTCTGAGATCTGGTCTGCCCTTGCCTCTTTTTGGGAGACAAAGTTAATCATCATGTCGATTGGTCAGCACTTACCTCAAACCGCAGCAGCCTTCATAATAAGAAGAATAAGAAAGATGAAGCTGCTTGCAATGTTGAGATTTGAGAAATACTAGTTCTAATTCTAGCGGCATCTTCTTGGGCAAGTGAGTTAATCTCTCTGGGCCTCAGTTGCTGAAATGAAAAGAGTGGGATTGTGCTTTGTGGGCTATTTATAGAAATGCCACAGTTCCCTTATTAGGAAAACAAGCTTAAAATTTCATCGTTAGAAATTGAGGCTGGGCATAGTGACTCATACCTGTAATCTCAACATTTTAAGAGGCCGAGGCAGTTGGATCACCTGAGGTCAGGAGTTTGAGACCATCCTGGGCAACATGATGAAACCCCATCTCTACTAAAAATACAAAAATTAGCCAGGCATGGTGGCATGCACCTGTAGTCCCAGCTACTTGGGAGGCTGAAGCATGAGAATCACTTGAACCCAGGAAGCAGAGGTTGCAGTGAGCTAAGATCGTGCCACTGCACTCCAGGCTGGGTGACAGAGTGAGGCTCCATCTTGAAAGAAAGAAAAAAAGAAACTGAGTCCTCTGTGCTAAGGAAAGACTTTCCCATTCAAATCCAAAAACTCCATGGGAAGGTTAATGCATTTAAATTAGTTGCTAGTACTTTAGGGCACTTCTTTCTGGAAGGTTGCCAAAGGGATGGCTCGCTGAAGCAGGCTCTGAATCTGATGAGATTCATGGTAGAAAACTGCAGGTAGGAGAGAGCTGGGAAGTCCCACCCTGGGGAGCTGCCTGAAATCAGAAGGTCTAAAAATATACTTTATGGAGGTACCTCGCTGCTGGACATGGACTTAGAGGCCAAGAGCCCAAGTGTGGAAGGATGATGACAAATTATTGTAGGAACTGGAAGGGAATTAGAAAAGAGTCCAATTCAGTCCCCTCATTTTAGGGATGAGGAGATTGAGGCTTAAGTGCCTTGCCGCAGGTCACATAGCTGGTTAGTCGTGGAGTCAGAGCCCCATTTCCTGTGCGGTACTTTTCCTCTACATCATGAAGACAAATGACAAAATTTTGCCTAAAATGGCACTGCTCTCCGGTTCCGGCACCATGCAAAGTGAACAAGATTGATGAAGTGCTTGAAGCAGTCTATTTGGGAGTAGACAATGCCTGTTCCTAAGGCTGCATAGCCGTCCTCTCGGTAATGTTTGAGTAAATGGATCAATGTGGTCTGTCTCTGCAGAGATTGGCAGAGACCACAAAATAGAGTCCTCGCATACTGTTATTCCATGGAGGCAGACTGGACTGATTAATAGGACTCAAAGTTCTGGTTGAGGACATTCGCAGAATAATCTGATGCTGAACATGTAGTCACAGGTGAAGATAAATACCACAAGTCAAACAGATCCTAAATGGATGGAGAATGTTCCTGCAATGATGTGTGAAAGATGAGTTTATGGAGGAACCCAGCCACATCATCTCTGCTGTCTCCCAGGGCACATGCTGGGTACTTTGAGTATTAACATTTTAGGATTCGTTCCTGAAGGGTTGACTGCTTGGGATTTCTCTTAAAGCATCCAGTTTGCTCATTATGGCTGAGTAACTGGTGGTCATCTTTTGGATACCAGATTTGTTCTCATTTTCAAGGAGAGCTTGGAAGGGCAGTCCCCACACAGACTTAGCTTACTTAGCATAAGTTGGCACCAAGGGTAGCCTTCTATCTTGAGCAGGCTTGTATTTGAATACAAAGGTACATATGAATCACTTGGGTACCTTATCATGATACAAATTCTAATTTAGTAGGTCTGGGGTAGGGCCCAAGATTCTGCCTTCCAAACAAACTCCCAGAGGAAGCCCATGCTGCTGGTCCACAGGCCACACTTTGAGTAGCAAGGCAAAGTTCCAGATTAGCCTTCAGCCTGGCACGGGGGAGGCTGGTGAGGTTCGCTTAGGCAGGGCTTTCCCCACTCTAATCCTAGAAAAGTGCTTAACCAGGACCTTCCTGGGCCCAGAGGGAAGATTATTGAACCTATTAGGCATTAGCAATGAACATGGATCTTTGCACCTAAGCCTTCTTAATCAAATCTGCAATATTTGTGGGTGGGACTGTTTGCTTGCACAAACACCCTACACTTGCCCACAGTAATTAGGTAATTGAATTGCACACAGTAATTAGCTGCCTAACTGCCTGCTTGTTCATGCAGGTATCCAATTTGCTTTTGAAATGTGGGCTTATACTGGTGAAAATGGAAGCTGCTGTTAAAGACTGCAGACACAATTAAGAAGGCCCATTGAAAACCTGGCCCCTGAGTGAGCGGCTGGTGTATACTTCTCCCTGATATATTTTCTTTCCTCCTATTTTAGCTACTCTGATTACATTTTCTTTGTGACTGGGAGAATCTCAGTTCTATTACGCTACTTAAGAGAAATGAGAGGTGGTATTGGACTTCTGCTTTCCTGTCTTTGGAATAAAATTAAAAACTAAGTGTTGTGCAATAGAGTGACAGCTGGTCTGCCGCTTCCTTAGTGAACTGACAAGCTTGTTTGCTTCCCGAGAGCTTGTCTGCCTGCGCCGCCCATCATGAAAACAGGTGAGGGCTTCTGCTGCCGTCTCTCCCATTACACTGGCATGCACGCTCAAAATTGTGGCCCAACACATGCAGTTCTCTTTTAACCTGTGATCATTTTCATAACAAAGAAAAAAACAGAAATCGTGAATATCTGCTTCTCTGGTGAAGGAAATTTGTGTCCAAGCTTCCCAAGAAGCTTCAGTGAGAATATTAGATTATTTCCCTCACTCTTTAGGAAACTGTTAATTCTTTCAAAACATGTCTCACAGTTTCACAGTTTCCTCTTCCTACCTATCTCAGATACGTAACATCTTGACTCTCCTGTATCCCTGGCTTTGGGTCCCAGAGCACCAGGGCACCAAGCTCTGCTGAGGTCAGTACATATATCTAATTCACATCACACCCTGGGCTCTTCTGAAGCCACTTCTAAAGGATGACCTTGAACCTGCTGACCTACAAAACAGTGCTCCACTGAGCTACCTCATCCTTTCTAACAGGTAAAAATCTTTGGAACACACAATTATCTTGAGCACGGATCAATGGAGATTTTTTGTTAGCACAGTGCAATCTTTGTAAATTATGATGATAGCGTTCATTTGTTAATCCTGCATGCTGCATGGATCCTTTAAGTTCTTGCACATGACAATAGTTTTGACTGGATTTTAACATTAGAGCTACATTTTTAGGGAAAAAAGTATCTTGCAAAATCTCCCTCCCCCTTTTTTTTTTTTTTTTCATAACAGGCACAAAGACCATTGTGTAGTCTCCAACTTTAAAGGATGTCTATACAAGAGGACTTGGAAACATATAAACCCAATCATTGAAATCCATTTAGTTTTAATTTCATTATGAAATGTACTAAAGGGCTGGTGGTCAAGTCTGTTACTGGAGCTTTCAGAGGCAGAAATCTGAGTCATGATTGGGGAAAAAAAAGGAACAAAAATTAGGGCATTTTTATGTTCAGCATATAGGAATACATTAGGATGCAGAAAACTATGGCTTTTTAAAATAATAGGGAAGCAACCTCCATGTAAAGATGAGAAATTATAATATTAAAGACTGTTGTCCTATAAGATAAAGAAGTCAGGGGTATAATTTTAAGACCTTTTAAAAGAGCAATCTTCAACAAGCATATTTCAAGTCTCCTTAATATTGTTCCTCATATATAAGGGGCTGCAAAAATCCAGAAAGGGGTTTCTCAGGGAGTTTACTCTTGCATTGTTTCCTTGAAGTGAAGGGAGTCATTTTTCCCATTGTATAAATCTAACCACAAAATTGAACTGGGTCCTTGCTCTCCACCCCTCTCAGAGTCTGGCCTTCATTGTCTCTCTGCCAGACCATGGCAATCTCACCCAATTAGTCCCCCTCTCATCCTTTTTTTTTTTTTTCTTCTTGTGCATACTGTTCATTCTATCACCAGAATTATTTCTTTAAAACAAAATTCATCACATTATTCTCAAGGCTTCCTGATGCTCAGAAGATAAAATTCATACCATAGCATGCAAGGCCGTTCACACTCTGCCTCCTGTCTCTTTAGGCAGATCTCTCAGCAGCCCCTGCCTGACCATGCACCCAGCACCCTTGTCACATTAAACTTCTCAATATTCCCTGAATGTCATGTCTTCTCACTACACTATCACTTGGTCCTGTGGATGGGGAATTAGAATGGGGTAGAAACAGGGATCAGTTGGAGGATATGGTGAAAACTCAGATAGAAAGGGAAGAACAGATAATTGGGAGTGATTGTACTTTAATCCTTTCAAAGGTTTATTGAGTAGAAAGAACACTTGTCTAAATAAGCTCAGTGCATAGCAGTCATCCATATCACATTGCTTTATAACCAACATTCAAGGAATTATATTAGCCTCTGGGCTACAGAGCATATGGAAGTCCAGATGGGTGTGTAGATTTTTTTCTCTTTTCATTTTGTTCCACTTGTGCTGACAGTATCAGATTTTCCACCTCCACAGTCATAGCTTGTACTTGTAAACATAGTGGGTTCAGTGGAGGAGTGAGGGGGAAAGACAAAAATGTGTTTTATGAAGACAGAACGGAGTTCACCTTCCTTCTTAATGTCTAGCAATAGACAGGTGTCCTTGAAGATTAGTTCCTCTCTAGCAGGAAAAATTTCAGGTTTGGTGCTCTTTAGGAAAGAGTCAGTTTATAGCATCTTTAGCTTCATGGAGCTGAACGAATTTTTTGGTTGAGTTAAATTTTCCCTTTAGATAATCTATAATCCAAGAATGAGAACAAAACTTTTGAAAACAGCATCCAATTTTTCGTTTTGCTGCTTATTCCACTCTCTCCACCCTGGTGCTCCACAGATCAGGTCAGGGACCCTTAGTCTTCTAACAAAGAGGAATGACCTTCAGTTGCAGGAAGCTGGGGAGGGAAGGAAGAGAAAGAACAATATTAGATGATGCTGATATGGAGATTCCACTTGTAGTTGGGCGCTATCTCTAATGACTGTTACATGCTTCCTTCCTGGGAATCTTGGCAAATGAGAGGATAGAGGAATCCTTGCACTAGGAAATTGAACCGTGCAAGTAGACAGACTTTACATTTGCATAGACCACAATAAAGATACACCTGGACACAATCTCCTTTCAGTCACATGATGGAGATGAGCACATGTTCATTCACCATCTAGGAGGACACTTTGTGTTTGGATCACTCTATTGAGAAATGTAATACAATGAATAATGTCAGATATTTGATTAGAGGAAACAAAAATTACTCCATACTATGTAAAAATATAAAAAGCAGCAAGATTTCAGTACATGTGCCCTTGCTGACAGATGCCATCTTGTGAAGGCTCTTCCCTGATTGGGACGCACATGAATCAAACCAAAAGTAAATGCTATCAAGGGAAGGTTATTCATATTCAGAGTTATCTCCTTCAGCTAGGTAAAAAAGTATTGTAACTAGATTGTATAGAGTGGTAGAAAAAAAGTGCAATACCCATGATTTATGATAACATCAAACTGCCTTTCTCTTAGCTAGAATGGGCAGAAAATCTGAAGCAAATTACTCAGAAAACCCAAAGGCAGTGATTTTTGAAATCATACGACTTATCTCACCTATGACTGTGCTTGCTCTAGAACTTCTCTCTTTTTTTTTTTTTGAGACAGAGTCTCGCTCTGTCACCCAGATTGGAGTGCAGTGGCGCGATCTTGGCTCACTGCAATCTCTACCTCCCGGTTCAAGCGATTCTTCTGCCTTAGCGTCCGGGTAGCTGCGACTAAAGGTGCCCGCCACCATGCCCGGCTAATTTTTTTGTATTTTTAGTAGAGACGGGGTTTCACCATATTAGCCAGGATGGTCCCAATCTCCTGACCTCATGATCTGCCTGCCTCAGCCGCCCAAAGTGCTGGGATTACAGGTGTGAGCCACCATGCCTGGCCACTCTAAAACTTCTCTAAAGGAGAAGGTAAGCTCCTTCAGCAGGTTCTAACTGAATGATTGCTGTGTGTCTGCTACCGTGCTGGGAATGGGGAAACCATGTACATGTGGCAAATCCCTGCTCTTATAGGAGTCACTGATGAGAGGTGCAAACAAGAAAGGGGTATGATGGCAGCCAATATTCTAAGAGATGTACTACTCAGATAGCTCCTAATTGTTCTAGACCCTGTACTAGGCAGGGCTTTGAAATCTGCTAGTAGATCCCATGTTCTAGCTTGAGATTTCTAAAGTTTTGACACTTATAATCCACACTGCACTGAGGTATGTAGTCATTTCTTCTCTATTCCCAGGGTAGAAGGGCGAGACCAGAAACCTTACGAGGGGTTAGGCTACCTTAGCAGTCCACATTGTTTTGCTAATTTTTCCTCCATTCAGGCAAATAACAGAATTCAAGCTTTTACAGCTGAATAAGACAAAGCCTCCATTCATCCTTTGAGCAGGAAGAATGTGAAAAACTTTAGGAATGGAAGAGTCATTACCACTGAACCCAACAGACGATTCCCACATTGCTTGCTGGTATGGGCAGAATTGTCCTCCCCTCCCCTCCAATTCATATGTCAACACCCTAATCCACAGAATGTGACTGTTTTTGGAGATAGGGACTTTAAAGAAGTCATTGAGTTAAAATGAGGGCATTAGGGTAAGCTCTATCCAATCTGACTGGTGTCCTTGTTATAAGAAGAGATCAGGAAACACTGATACACATTAGAAACAGAGATACAAGGGATGCTCATGCACAGAGCAAGACCACGTGAAGACACAGCAAGACGGTGGCCATCTGCAAGCCAGGAGGAGAGGCCTGGAAAAGATCATTTCTTTATGGCCTTCAGAGGAAACCAACTCTGCTAGCACCTTGATATTGAACTTCTGGCCTCCAGGACTGTGAGAAATAAGATTCTGCTGTTTAAGCCATTCAGTCTGTGGTATTTTGTTTTGGCAACACAAGCAAACCAACACATATGCCTTTGCATCTTTCAGATATTCTGTGGCTTAGTAAGTTGATGGACTAACCTCCGAAAGGAGAAGAACCTCACCCTTTCCTAGTTCACATTCAGACAAGGAAAGGTGCTTGGATTATTCTGCTACCACTTTCCATGGCCACCAAATTGGACACCTTATGAATACTTTCTTTGCTATTCGGTCATCTCTCAAGTCCACAGAGGCTCTATTCACTTTGTGGATTAAGACTCTTTAAGAGTAGAACCTGAAAAGTCTCCCAATATTTGATATTTTAATATTGACATGCTTGAAGAGAGTGCTCAGAAATAAATGACCACTTCAGATCTGTTCTGGCTCAGTGATCCACAAGCATACCTTGAAAGGACTTTGGTCTTCTCTAAGGCTTTATAGAAATTCAAAGTAGTTAGTGTTTCGAAGATATTATCTGCGATTGAAATTTTTTTTCTATTGGATGCAGTTGAAAATCACATAGATAATATTTAATAATCAAGAGATTGACATGTAAATCACCATTGTTTGAAAAAGCTCACTGATGCAAAGATGTAATTTTCTCTCTCCTCCCCAAACCAGTAAGGAAGCAAATAACAACCTTCTTATAGTCCTGTGGTTAATAGATTGAGGATTTGTGTTGGGAGATAACAGAAATGCTTTTTTCTAGAGCTTCCTGGTTGATAAAGTGCTAGATAAAGCAGGCTTTTTACTGAAATTCATTTCCTCTGCTTAATGACTAATTGCAGCAAAATAGACATGGCTTCAAAATCATGTCTTTCCTATTTGCATTTTTTTCTTCTGATTCTTAGATTTAAAATTCCAGTTGTGCTAGAAATCATGATATGTCTAACACTTTTTGAAAATTATATAGATCAAAAGAGAAAGCATGTTCATAAAAAGCTTTGATAGTCTCCTTCTAATAAACTCCCTTTTAGACATTTTTAATTTATACAGAAAAGTAATGTTCAGTTGGGAAATGCTCAGATATTATGCTTTAAAGCCCTAATTTATGTGATCAGCTTGATCCACATGGTGCACATTATCCCTAACTTGTTGGCAACGGGAAAAATTTAGCTCAATAATATTTTCTACCCTTTGTGAAAAGAAAATATGATTATTAAGAAACCAGGGAGCCGAGCCCATTCTGGGCTGCTACTAGCACAGGTACCAGCCCAGTGAATGCAGAGCTGTTCTGGGTGGGCTAAGGACACCTTGGCCTGTCTAATTTTCTTTTGCTCTGGTTCCCAAGAGATTACTAATTCCTTTCTTATTTTATAGCCAAAGCCAATAGTAACGGACGACAACATCTGTGTTCAGTAGGTATATTTTTGCCAGCTTGCATTAAATAATTCATTATGGATGTTTATAGGGCCAAAATTAGCCTTTATTAAATATAGAAGCAGGCATCACCGCCATTCCCTAATGAGAGCAATCAATCCCTTTAATGATTTCTCTCCCCAAGTGGAATTGTCAGGACTTTAATTTTTTTTTTTTTTTTTGGCGTTTCTTATTTACCAACTGTTATGGATTGAATTATGTCCCCACCAAAAGATGTTGAAGTCCTAATCTCCAGTACCTGTGAATGTGACTTTATTTGGAAATAGAGTCTTTACGATGATCAAGTTAAGATGAGGTTATGGGTTGGGGGCGGTGTAATTCGGTATGTCTCGTGACCTTATAAAAAGGAGAAATTTGGACGCAGAGACAGACATGCACAGAGGGAAGACAGGAAAGCCTGAGGCCACCAGATGCTGGGAGAAAGGGATGCGCAACTGATTATCTCCCACAGGTCCTCAGAAGTCCCTACTGACACTTTGACTTCAAACTTCTGGTCTCCGGAGCTGTGAGACAATAAAATAGCTTTTTGAAGGAGCCAGCTTGTGGTACTATGTGACAGCAGCCCCAGGAAACCACTGCAGCAACTGATTAGGCCTGCTCTACCAGGGTTAGGGTATTTCCACTCATTTGAAGACTTTGGATGGATGACATGGGCTCCCATGTTAAATGATCACCTCATTTAAAATTGCACCCCCAGACACTTTTTATCTCCCTCTTTTGTATTTTTCTCCTTACTTATCATTGTTAGTGCACATTCTATATTTTATTTATCTTTTTTGTCAGCTTTTCCTCTCACCAAAATGTGAGCTTCACAGAGGCAGATTGTTGACCGTTCTTGCTTATGTTCCCCAGCAGTAAACAACGTTGATACTCAGATATTCATGAAATGAATGAATTGCTTCATCTTTTTTGTCATCATATTTTATTCCACATAAACCTCAACACCTCTCTTACTTCTGAACACAGCCACTAAAAAAAGGAATGAAAAGGGGTTCTGTAGAAGATCCTGGGAAATTTGCCTAATCTAAGATGTATTTTATTCGAAGTTGCAAGTAGTAGGAGAGTAAGATTATTATTCTTTAGGATAGATCTTTTCATCTTTCCTTTCTATTGATCTCTATACCTTGGTATCAGCCCATTTCAAGTCCATGCGATTTTAATAATTTTTGAGTAAGTAACATTTATTTCCTAAAGGATAGCACCGTAATTTTGAATGTCCATATTTTACTTGAAATCTCTGATTTTAGATTAACTACTCATAGAGAAAAGCCATGAATTTATAATATGCTTAGGTTCAGATTTTCATCCAGTACACTTTGGTAGGCACTATGCATGAGTGGACGAATTATCAGCCCCCTGTTAAGGTTCTGAGATGGCTTTCATGCCTGTGAAATTACTGTCCCTGGAGAGAATAAATAATACTTCATAATAATGGCCCCTGTGGGCTGGGCATCCTATTGTTTGTATGAGGTTATGATGTCCTAGGCTGGATCCCTTCCTTTGTCTCTTCTAACCTGGAATAGTATGCTCTGGGCTTCCCAAAGGTTTTTCATTTAATTTAGGATTAGCCCAACATATAGTTACTACCTAGTTGATGGCCATGTTTTTATGTTGCTGAAATCAAAATTTACAATTCACTTGTGTGTTCTAGTTCCAATCCCAGAGCAAAGTAGAGCGATGCTTTGGGATCAAAAAACGTCTTGCTATGCCTGTGGCCCTGGGCAGATTATTTAGACTTTTGAGGCCTATGAAAAAGAAATAACAATAGCTAACCCTACATAATTATTATTTAGAGAACAAAATGAATGTAAGGCTCTTGAACATGATAGATGTTCTGCAAATGGCAGAGACTGCTATTTTCCCTTGTAGGCTGGTATGTTTGATTCAGTATTTACTTAAGCTAAGAACTCCAGGCTGCTCAGATTTCAGCAGAAATATTAACAGCGGCGCTTTCCCCACAGGTGTGGGCAGTGCGGGATGCCTCTGATCCACTTTGATTCTTCCACATTGTAGATATGGATGTGATTCTGTGCAGAAAATTCAGGTTGCGGGTGCCAATGGGAAAAGGAGGGGTGTGTGTGAGTGCTCAGAAAGAGCCTTGAGGACTCTCTAACAAAGTCCTCTTTAAAATTCCACTTGGAAAACTTCCCAGTGACCACAACCTCCTTTCTTTGATAGTTGCTATGATTGTCCGAAACCTTCTGGGAGATCTATGAGTCCACTGCTGTATCACTCAAGCAGAAACACTTAGTAAGTCCTTCAGCAACAACCTCACCTGTTTTTCACAAATAACTCACTCCCAATTCCACTGAGGAGGTGTAGATGTTCGTTAAAGCATTTCATGAGCATAGAGAGAAAAATAAAATCAACCTGAAAGATAATTTATGAGCAACTTTCTTCAGTTTGAAAATATACCAACAAACCTAGCAGAAGCCACTCTGGTTTTTATGTTTTTTTTTTTTTTTTGTTATTGCTGTTTGTCATTTTCGTATGATAACCACCTGTGGTCGTTAACACTTCCTATTTCTAACACAGGGTCTCAAACATCTGCTGCTGCAGCCAAAATGTCCCTCAACACACTTAAACTTTATGTCTCTGAAATGGGAATTTCATATCCCACTGTTGGAATTACGCACATGCCTTCTTTCGCCTGCAGTCTGGTGATTCTGCACTCTAGCTCTGCGTTCCTAAAGTAGTTTGCACCATCCTGTTCATCCTCACAACTGTGTTTAGGTATCCCCACAATTGTCTTACCTTTCCTGCTGGATTTCAGGCTCATTGAAGGCAAACATGAAGTCTCCTACGATTTTATGTCTCCCTGTGCACCTAGCAGAGTGGGGGCTCAGTAAATGCTTAGTGTATATATTTTGCATGCAATTCTGTAAACATAATAATACAGAGCCAACAGAGAGAGTGGCATAAAAGATGAGGGAAAGGAAATGGAAAAACATCACTTTGGTTGTTTTTTTTTTTTTTTTTTTTTTTTTTTACTGAAATGATTTTATAATATATAGTCATGAATTAGGTCCTAAATTCAAGGTCCTAAATTATGCCAACACTTTAAAATAGCCAATGTTATCATAAGGATTGAAAACTCCGTGTTTGTATATGTTAGAGGTTTTTTTCTTCCATCCTGAACATAGGTTCTGAAAATAAAGAAGCTTAGATTGAATTTTCCCTGCAAATGGTTTATCCTGGAAATCCTTTTCTCCTAAGCGCAACTCTGGGTATTAAATGGTTGCTGCAGCTCATCAGTCTCATCTTCAGTAAATTATCCCGAGAGAACACAATATCGAGTCTTGGAGGTTTTAAAGATATTAACATTCTAGTATGATGCTATTTTTTTTTTTTACTGGAAAGAAACTGATGTAATTTGACCTTAAAATATGAAATGTGATCTTCCATTCAGACCAAACAGAGGCTCTGTATCTCGTGGACCACATTTCCTGTAAATGCCCTATGTGTGTTCTAAAGGATGTATTTTTTTCATGGTCCCTAAGTGAAACTTAAATTATGTGTGCTCAAAAATGTTGTTTTGCTTTCAAGAATTTCATGACGCTTTAAAAATAATTTTCAAGTATGAACCATAATGTGAACATAATTTACCATCCAGGTAGCAGTTATTTTCACTAAAGAATAAATGTTTTCATTTTGTTTAGATACAGGCATATTTTTCTTATAAAAAGAGAATATTATAGTTGTGTATTTATGATACAAAAAAAGTAAAACTAGAAAATTAGACATTTGCATAAAGGCAAATGCAGAATTAAGCCCACATAGAGCTGTGTGATATCCTTTACTGGGTGGGAGTCACTATCTCGGCCTGGACACTGACATTGTCCAGGCTTAACACATACAATTTCTAAATAGAAAATCAGATGAAACCAGGGAAAGCAAAATGTATTGTTTTTCTTAATTTAAGGCATAAATGACGAGGATAGCATCTGCGGAATTGAGAACAATGCTGCCTAAGGACCCTTTTTAGGCTTTCAAGATAGCTCCCCTGGCAGGCTTATTGAGCTCAGAAATATCCAAATGAATCTGGAAAAGAAAAAGTCTTTCTAACGTTGGGTCATTAGAAGTGGAAGATGAAGATGTGTAACATTCCTTTCCTGCAGGCTCAAGTTCCTGGATAATGTCTAGTCTGTGTTCAGGGAGGCAGAAAATATATGATATAAAGAAATCTTAGTGAACATTATGTTTCTGAGTTCATTTACCTCATGATTCAGGCAAGGGAATGCATGTGTATGTGAGTATGTGTATGTGTGTATGTATGTATCGTATATGTAGGCAATGTGTGGGTGGTTTATATGTAGTATGTATGCATGTGTGTGGCATGTTTGAGTATGCATGCACATGTGTGTGTGGTATATGTGTATGGAGTGTGAGTGCATGTGGTATGTGTATGTGTGGTGTATGTGTGTATATGTGTGTGGTATATGAATGTATGTAGTGCATATTTGATGTGTATGTGTGTAAGTTGTATGTATTCACATGTGTATATTTGGGGTACACGTGGTATATGTTTATGTGTAGTGTGTGTGTGTAAGTTTTGTGTGTGTGTGTGGATTACTTGTAAATATATTTTTATTGAAAGAAAAGTGGCTCCAGCTTTCATCCCTTCCAATCCATGCTCCTCTTTGCTCCAGGCTTATCTTTCTAAAACACAAAGCTGAGCTTAGCTTATCCCTGCTCCAAAACAAAAACAAACCCCGAAACACGGCTCTTCAAAGCCTGAGAAGACAATTGGCAGCACTTGTTAACCTGACCCCAAGATACCTTTGTCAGGTGTTGGTTGTCTGGCCCTGCCCCACCCATCCCTCCTGAATTTCATATGCAGTCTCTGCAAGGGTGGCGCTTGCAGGGGTCAGGAGAAGTTAAGAACACAGGCTCCGGAGCCAGATCACTTGGGTTCGCTCTACCATTTACTAGCTGTTGCTTGCATTTAGGCTGGTTACTTGATCTCTCTGAGCCTCGTTTTCCTGATTTATACAGTGGGAATGATAATAGTGTGTCTGGAATTGGTGGGTTCTTGGTCTCACTGACTTCAAGAATGAAGCCGCAGACCCTCGCGGTGAGTGTTACAGTTCTTAAAGGCAGCGTGTCTGGAGTTTGTTCTTTCTGATGTTCGGATGTGTTCGGAGTTTCTTCCTTCTGGTGGGTTCTTGGTCTCGCTGGCTCAGGAGTGAAGCTGCAGACCTTTGCAGTGAGTGTTACAGCTCTTAAGGTGGCGCATCTGAAGTTGTTTGTTCCTCCCGGTGGGTTCGTGGTTTCGATAGCCGCAGATCTTCACGGTGAGTGTTACAGCTCATAAAGGCAGTGTGGACGCAAAGAGTGAGCAGTAGTAAGAGTTATTGCAAAGAGAGAAAAAACTAAGCTTCCACAGCATGCAAAGGGATTCAAGTGGGTTGCCACTGCAAGCTCGGGCAGCCTGCTTTTATTCTCTTATCTGGCCCCACACACATCCTGCTGATTCGTCCATTTTACAAAGAGCCGATTGGTCTGTTTTACAGAGAGCTGATTGGTCCGTTTTGACAGGGTGCTGATTGGTGCGTTTACAGCCCTTGAGCTAGACATGAAAGTTCTCCATGTCCCCACTAGATTAGTTAGATACAGAGAGCTGATTGGTGTATTTACAAACCCTGAGCTAGATACAGAGTACTGATTGGTGCATTTACAAACCTTGAGCTAGATACAGAGTGCCGATTGGTGTATTCACAATCCCTTAGCTAGACATAAAGGTTCTCCAAGTCCCCACCAGATCAGCTAGACACAGAGCGCTGATTGGTGCATTTACAAACCTTGAGCTAGACACAGAGTGCTGATTGGTGCATTTACAAACCTTAAGCTAGATGCAGAGTGCCGATTGGTGTATTCACAATCCCTTAGCTAGACATAAAGATTCTCCAAGTCCCCACCAGATTAGCTAGATGCAGAGTGCCGATTGGTTTGCATTCACAAACCTTGAGCTAGACACACGGTGCCGATTGGTGTATTTACAAACCTTGAGCTAGATACAGAGTGCTGATTGGTGTAATTACAATCCCTTAGCTAGACATAAAGGTTCTCCAAGTCCCCACCAGATCAGCTAGACACAGAGTGCTGATTGGTGCATTTACAAACCTTGAACTAGATACAGAGTGCCAATTGGTGTATTCACAATCCCTTAGCTAGACATAAAGGTTCTCCAAGTCCCTACTAGACTCAGGAGCCCAGCTGGTTTCACCCAGTGGATCCCACACAGGCTGCAGGTGGAGCTGCCTGCCAGTCCCGCGCCCTGTGCCCACACTCCTCAGCCCTTGGGTGGTTGATGGGACCGGGCGCCGTGGAGAAGGGGGCGGTGCTCGTCGGGGAGGCTCCGGTCATGCAGGAGCCCACGGTGGGTTGAGGGGAGGCTCAGACATGGCGGGCTGCAGGTCCGGAGCCCTGCCCCACAGGGAGACAGCTAAGGCCGGGCGAGAAATCAAGCGAAGCGCCTGTGGGCCGGCACTGCTGGGGTACCTGGCACACCCTCCACAGCTGCTGGCCAGGGTGCTAAGCCCCTCACTGCCCAGGCCGGCAGGGCTGGCCGGCTACTCCAAGTGTGGGACCCGCCAAGCCCATGCCCATCCGGAACTCTAGCTGGCCCGCAAGTGCCACGCACAACCCCAGTTCCCACCTGCGCCTCTCCCTCCGCACCTCCCAGCAAGCTGAGGGAGGTGGCTCCGGCCTCAACCAGCCCAGAGAGGGGCCCCCACAGCACAGTGGCAGGTTGAAGGGCTCCTCAAGCACAGCCAGTGTGGGCGCCGAGGCCGAGGAGGCACCAAGAGCGAGCGAGGGCTGCGAGGGCTGCCAGCATGCTGTCACCTCTCAATAGGACTTTTCCTCATTGGAGATGTAAGACTTAGCTGTTATTTTCCCTGTCTCGGACTCATGCCGTAGCCTCCATGTATCCTTTTCTTCTTCTGGAATGCCTGTCTCCCTCTTAAACACTTTAAAATCCTGCCTGGTCCAGCTAAAATGTCATCATTGAAGTAAACTATAATACTTAAACTAGGGAAGTATTACAGGTTAGTAGTTTAGTGTTTAGGTTAGGAATCAGAGACACCTAGTGTCAAATCCGGGCTCCTTTTTAAAGTGTAGCTTTCTTGTCAGTGAGGTGGAGGTATTGTCAGTGTTAAATGAGCTAATGTGTGGGAGGCCTGTAATGAAGCAGTTCCCTCCGATTTGTATTCCCTTGCATTTTGTTGTCTTCTGAACATGTACATCCAATTATGTGCTTTGTGTTATCCTGATGTTGGTGCCTGTCTAGACTGCATCAAGTATTTTTCTCTCCCTCCATTGCCTAGCACAGTGCTATGTTCATAATGCATCTTCAAAAAAACATTATGAAATAAACAAATACAATAAGAATGAAACATGAATCAGAAAGTGAATCGTGAGCTTCTAGGATCAGCCTAAAAGCCATTGCTGTAAGAATATACAACAATATTGATAAGCATTCAAAGAGCTGCCTTTAAAAGTTTCATAGCTCAAAGATACCCTTAAATCTTTAGAAGGCAAAAAAGACTTTTAAGAACTTTAATTTGTTTTCGTCCTCCATTTCTTTTGTTGTCATGTGGTGAAGAAGGCTGATTCTCAGGGTCATTGCAAATTGATTTTGTGCTGTGCACTTAAAAGAACTGAAGTAGGTTCTTAGAGTTTTGTTCACTATTATTGCTCCTAAGAATTCTTATTCTGATCATTGATTTAATTTTTTTCATTTGGTAATAGCTTTTTGAACTACAGTAAAAAATTATTTTAGCAAAAATATTAGCCCTGTGGATAAGTGGCATAGGATTTTTTTGGTGTTGTAAAATATATATACAGAAATACCATAACTCATATGATTCTCAAAAATCGAATGCAACAAAAAGGATGTATTTCTGGTAGTTAGGTTTTTAAATGCCATTAAAAGTCTTTAGATAATTTGTTTTGGAAATGTTCATGACCTGTAATGGTAGTCAAAATGTGGAAGGTAGGCGGGAATGTGTGTAAAATATCGTATTTATCATTTTGTTATTTGTATATTTGTATATCTCAAAGAAGATATTCTTAAAGCTGATATTTCTTTCTTAATTTTTCTCATTGTACTTGAGATAGACTTTCAGGTTGCCTGTTCTAACAGTTTATAGCAGAATCCAACAGTCACCTTTGTAAATATCAGAACTGGTACCTAAACTCCAGAGGGACCCAATCTTTAGCAGCCTGAGTTGGTAACTGGGAGATTGATTTTATGAACTGGTATTCAAAGTGTTTCTTGCTTTGATAAAATGTAGCTTCTTCCTCTATCTGAATAGGGTTCTATAATCCACCATTTGTTTTTTTTTTTTTGTTTTTTTTTTTTTCAGATTTTTCAGCTGTTTTTTCAGATAGTATTCTGCTGAGATGCTGTGTCCAACCATTCTACAAAATAGTAATAAATAGAATGCTTGCCCTTTGCTGTGGTTTTAGTCAACACCTTGGAGAGCAGAGGTTAAACCATAAAGAAGGAAGTGATGAAAAATAAAAGGGGAAGTTTCACAAGGTGATAAAAAAAATCATTCCAATTATAAGTGGGAGATGTATACGAATGTTCCATTGATGAAATGGCTTTCCTCACGATGTGAAAATTAAAGAATCCCTGGACCCAAACCCCTTTAAAACCCCCAAACAAGACTCCTGCCACTGCAGGAAGTCAATTATCTCCATGGCAACCAAAACAAATAGTGAATATTGCCTTAGCAGACAAGATGGATAAAAGGTGCATCTAAAATTAATTTATGTCTTGGGATCAAACACTTGAGATGAGAGAACTGGTCCATAAAGTACCCAAGAGAAGCTATTAAAAGAGAAACAAAATAAGTCCCTTGTTGAGTTCCCAAGGGAGCTGTGGTTGAAGCATATAAATCCTGTTTGTGTCTGCCTTTAAGGGGGAAAGTTGTCAATATGTCCCCATTTACATGGCTGCTTTGATGATGGCCCCCTGTAAATCTCAGGCCTGCCAAAGAATGTTTAAGAAATGTCTTAAAGGGTGATCTCTTAATCCAAACTTTCGTATAGTTGGGGACTTTATTATTATTATTATATACAACAATTCTGAGATGTGGAGATGCCCCCAGAGTTCAGATTTGAGTCTATAAAAAACTTGCACTAAAAAATAGGAAGAAAGAAAAAGAAGATAACACACACAATCACGCAGAAGTTTCAGAGCAACCATGGAGCTATTAATTTTTCATTAAGTTTAGAAATTAAAAACACTAATTAAACCACTGTTTGGAAAATAACTCCAAATATTAAAAGGAACTTTTCAGAAGGAAAAAATGCCTCTGCTTTTCTCTTCCTGGAGATGTGGCTTTTGAAGTCAGGGGGATTCCGGTGGGGAGCCTGCTTTGTGGAGGAGTCCATTTCTTACCTTTAAATGGAAAGATGGTGGCACATGAAGGCTGAGCAGGATGGAGACCCCAGCTGTTCCTTTTTAGGGCAGAGCTGTTCTCTCTAGACTGGAATTGCATTTACTGCTTTACCTGACTCAGGCTTCCTCTTTGTAGCAGATTTTACCCCATTCCTCCCGACCCCTCTTTTTCCAAGATCACAGTTATTCTCTTTCATGTGCAACCTTCAATCAAGCCATACTCCAGCTGTTTCTTTCTTCCTGGAATCTCTCACCAGTTTCCCTTCCTCTGTATCAACCTTATTATTGGACAACTGGTTGATTATAATTTACTTGGCTATCTTCCACCCACCTCACTCCCATCTTTCCACATACACTCACTGGATTCACTTCCGCGGATCATTTTAATTTTTCACTCTTTCACTCAAAAACCTAATGATTTCCTGTAGCCTGTAGAATAAAACCCAAATTCCTCTATGTGGCACTTATGGTTCTCCACTGGCTGACCTTATCTGCACTCTAACATATCATTCCTCTAATTGTTCCCACAAATTCATCATTCTAATCATCATCACTCATCACAAATGTCTTACACTTTCCTGTGTCTCTACGTGTGTGATTCTTGTTGCTTTTCTTAGCAGCTTCTCCCATAGGCTTATACTTCTTCCTCCCCAACACAAGGAGGACCTTGTAATACCTTATGTATCTCTTAAAATCCAACTGAATTTTACCTCCATGAATACTTACTAATCACCCGGCCTATAAAAATGTCCACACCCTAATCCCTACATCCTATGATGTACTCCATTACAGAGTAACAGGGAATTTGCAGGTGTAACCTGCAAACCTTAAGAGAAAGGGTTACAAACTTTAAGAGAAAGAGGTTATCCTGGATTATCTGGATTTTCCCAATTAATCACATGAGCCCTTAAAAGCAGAGAAACTTCTCTGGCTGCGGTCAGAGAGATGTGGCAGAAAAGGAGGCAGAAGAGGTGCGGCAGAAAAGAAGGTTAGAGATTCTAAGTGTGAGAAGAATTTGAGGCACAGTTACTGGGTTTGAGATATATATATATATATCTCCTTATGTAGGCCTCTAGGAGCCAAGGGTGGCCTCCAGCTGACAGCCAACAAGAGAATGAATCCTTAGGCCTTTGATTGCAAGGAACTTAATTTTTCCAGCAAACTGGATGAACCTGGCCATATATTATTCCTAAGCCTCTAAGATAATAACTCAGCCTTGATTTAGCCTTTGTGAAACCTGAAACAGAGAAACAAGCCAAGTGACTTCAAACTTCTGACCTACAGTACTGTGAGATAATACATTTGTATTGTTTTAAGTCACTAAGTTTGTGGCAAAGTGTTATGGCAGCAAAAGAAAGCTTGTATGATAACCTTACTGTACATTTTATGAAGTATGGTGATCAAGAGACTGGGATTCGTAGTTTGACTGGACCTGAATCTGCTTCGGCATCACAGACTGTATGACCTTTGGCAAGTTACTTAACCTTTTATGTAGTACAGTTTCCTCATCTCTAATAATGACATTTATATTCATTCATGGTCATTCATAGAATTATAATAAATGCTTAGATGTTACATATAAAGCATTAGCTGGCATATGTTGGCATTCAATAATGCTTTGCTTTATGGTGATTTGTATTTATGATGCAAGTGGTGGATTAAAAATGATCATGAACTCTTCACAGCTCTTTCCTTGAGGAGATGATGACTTTTTTTCCCAACACTTGCACCTAGGGTGTACTTTGACTTTCATTGACCCGTAGAACACAGTAGATTGGGAGAGAAGAGGAAAATGGTGGATAAGAGGCAGGACTAACTTGCAGCTCCCACTAGGAGGGAGAGAGCAGTGTGTGGAGACCCATATAGTGAACTTTTTCTCCAAGAACTACCACAGGAACATACCAGGAAAGCTGAGAGAATCTACAGACCTTTGAAGGAGGTGGATTGCCACTGCAGGCTCCATGGGACAGCAGAGGAACTGTGAGTGTGCTTGCTTTCTCAGCTGGGAGGCTTGTAGCCTGGGGCAAGTACTCAGTCCTGCTCAAGGGCTGTCTGGAAATAAACTCAGTGCTGTTGGGGGGAGACAGTGGGAGTGAGACTGGCCTTTCTGGCTATGGGCTCTGTGGGAGCTGGTAAGGCCTATGGTTGCTGCCTTTACCCCCTTCCTTGGCGACCTGTGTGACGCAGCAGAGACAGCCATAATCCTCCTGGGAATATAACTCCATTGGCCTGAGAACCACATCCCCTTATCCCACAATGGCCACAACAAACCCTGCCCAAGGAGAGTCTGAGCTCAGACATGCATAATCCTGCCCCCACCTGATGGTTTTTCTCTACCTACCCTGGTAACCAAAGACAGAGGACATAATCTCTTGGGAGCTCTGTGACCCTGCCCAATGCCCAAGAAACCTGAATACTCATCCAAAGGCAACCCTAGGGCAAGCATGTATCCTCCCTATACAATCACAGCTGATGTGCTCTCGAAAGCACCACCTCTTGGCTGGAGGCCAGTTAACACAAAACCATCACACTTAACAAAAATACAACCAAGAACCATCACAGAGTCCATTTCATTCCCCTGCTACCTCCACCAGAGTAGGTGCTGATATCTACAGCTGAGAGAACTGAAGACAGATCATATTACAGGACTCTTTATAGACACTCGCCAATACCAGCCTAGAGCCCAGTAGCTCTGCTGGGTGGCTAGATCCGGAAGAAAAATATCAATCACTATAGTTCGGCTCTCAGGAAGCCCCATCCCTAGAGGAAAAGGGAGAGCACCACATCAAAGTAGCACTCCCATGGGACAAAAGAATCTGTAAAGCAGCCCTTGAGTACCAGATTGTCCCTCTGACATCATCCACCCAAATGAGAATAAACCAGAAAAACAATTCTGATAATATGAGAAAACAAGCTTTCTTAACATCCACAAAAGATCACACTAGCTCACCAGCAATGGATTCAAGCTAAGATGAAATCTCTAAATTGCCAGGAAAAGAATTCGTAAGGTTGATTATTAAGTCAAACAAAAAGGAACCAAGAAAGGTGAAGTCCAACTTAGAGAAATCAAACAAAAATGATACAGGACATGAAAGGAAAAATATCCAATGAAATAGCATTAAAAAAATCACAACTTCGGAAATCAAGGACACATTTAGAGAAATGAAAACTGCACTGGAAAGTCTTAGCAATAAAATTGAACAAGCAGAAGAAAGTACTTCAGAGCTCAAAAACAAGGCTTTCAAATTAATCCAACAAAGCTGAAGAAAAAAATTTTAAAAAAATGAACAAAGCCTCTAAGAAGCTTGGGATCATGTTAAGTGACCAAATCTAAGAATAATTGGTGTTACCAAGGAAGAAGGGAAATCCAAAATTTGGAACACATATTTGAAGGAATAATCAAGGAAAACATCCCTGGCTTTGCTAGAGATCTAGACATTCAAATACAAGAAGCTCAAAGAACACTTGGGAACTTCATTGCAAAAAGACCATCATCTAGGCATATAGTCATCAGATTATCTGAAGTCAAGACAAAGGGAAGAATCTTGAGAACTGTGAGGCAAAAGCATCAGGTAACCTATAAAGGAAAACCTATCAGAATAACAGCAGATTTATCAGCAGAAACCCTACAAGCTAGAAGGGATTGGGGTCCTATCTTTAGCCTCCTTAAACACAACAATTATCAACCAAGAATTCTGTATCCAGCAAAAGTAAGATTCATAAATGAAGGAAAGATAACAATCTTCAAACAAACAAATGCTGAGAGAATTTGCACTACCAAGCCAGCACTACTAGAACTGCTAAAAGAAGCTCTAAATCTTGAAACAAATCCTTGAAATATGCAAAAATAGAATCTCCTTAAAGCATAAATCTCACAGGACCTATAAAACAATAACACAATGAAGAAAAAACAAAAAACAAAAAACAAAAAATCAGGCAACAAATGGCATGATGAATAGAATAGTACCTAACATCTCAATACTAATGTTGAATGTAAATAGCCTAAATGCTCCAGTTAAAAGATACAGAATGTCAGAATGGATAAAAATTCACCAACCAAGTATCTGCTGTCTTCAAGAGAGTCACCTAACACATAAGGACTTGCATAAACTTAAGGTAAAGAGGTGGAAAATGATATTCCATGCAAATGGACACCAAATGCAAGCAGGAGTAGCTATTCTTATATCAGATAAAACACACTTTAAAGTAACAGCAGTTAAAAAAGACAAAGAGGGACATTATATAATGATAAAAGGAGTAGTCCAACAGGAAAATATCACAATCCCAAATATATATGCACCTAATGCTGGAGCTCCCCAATATATGAAACAATTGCTTACTAGATTTAAGAAATGAGATAGACAGCAATGCAATAATAGTGGGGGACTTCAATACTCCACTGATAGCATGAGACAGGTCATCAAGATAGAAAGTCAACAAACAATGGACTTACACTATATTCTACAACAAATGGACTTAACAGATATTTACAAAACATTCTGCCCCAAAACTGCAGAATATACATTTTATTCATCAGCACATGGAACGTTCTCCAAGATAGGCCATATGATAGGCCACAAAGCAAGTCTCAACAAATTTACGAAAATCAAAACTATAGCCTGTAGTCTCAGACCACAGTGGAATAAAATTAGAAATGAACTGCAAAAGGAACCCTCAAAACCATGAAAATACATGAAAATTAAATAACCTGCTCCTGAACAATTGTTGGGTTAACAATGAAATATTCTTTGAACTGAACAATAATAGTGACACAACTTATCAAAACTTTTGCTGGATACAGCAAAAGTGGTGCTAAGAGGAAAGTTCATAGCATTAAATGCTTATATCAAAAAGCCTGAAAGAGCACAAATAGACAATTTGTGCTTTTGAATTAACCCAATCCAACAAAGCCAAAGAAAAAAGAGTCACCTAGGGTCATGCCTCAAGGAATTAGATAAACAAGAACAAACCAAAGCCAAATCCAGAAGAAGAAAAGAAAGAACCAAGATCAGAGCAGAACTAAATGAAATTGAAACAAAAAATACAAAGATAAATGAATTAAAAAGCTGGTACATTTAAATGATAAATAAAATTGATAGAACATTAGCGAATTTAACCAAGAAAAGAAGAGAGAATATCCAGATAAGCTCAATTAGAAATGACACAGGAGATATTACAACTGATACCATAAAAATACAAATGATCATTCAAGGATACTGTGAACACCTTTACACACATAAATGAGAAAATCTAGAGGTGATGGATAACTTCCTGGAAAAATATAACCCTCCTAGATTAAAACAGGAAGAAATAAGAACTCTGAACAGAGCAATAACAAGCAGCATTTTAAATGGTAATTCAAAAGTTACCAACAAAAAAAAATGTCCAGGACCAGATGAATTCACAGCTGATTCTATAAGATATTCAAAGAAGAATTGGTACCAATCCTATTGACACTCTTCCAAGATAGAGAAAGAGGTAATCATCCCTAAATCATTCTGTGAAGCCAGTATCACCCTAATACCAAAACAGGGAATACTAGCTAACAGAATACTAGCTAAGTACTAGCTAACAGAATCCCACAGCATATCAAAAAGATAATCCACCATGATCAAGTGAGTTTCAAATCAAGAATGCAGGGATGGTTTAACATACGTAAGTCAATAAATGTAATACACAACATGAACAGATTTAAAAATAAAAGTCACATATTCATCTTAATAGACACAGAAAAAGCATTTGACAAAATTCAGGATCCTTTATGATTAAAACCCTCAGCAAAATTGGCATAGAAGGGACATATCTTAAGGCAATAAAAGCCATCTATGACAAACCCACAGCCAACATTATATTGAACAGGGAAAACTTGAAAGCATTCCCCCTGAGAACCAGAGCAGGACAAGGATGCCCACTTTCATCACTTCTGTTCGACATAGTACTCTGGGAGTCCTAGCCAGAGCAATCAGACAAGAGAAAGAAATAAAAGGCATCCAAAGTGGTAATGAGGAAGTCAAAGTGTCGCTATTTGCTGATGACATGATTGTATACCTAGAAAACCCTTAAAGCCTCATCCAAAAAGCTCCTAGAAATGGTAAATCAATTCAGCAAAGTTACACGGTACAAAATTAATATAAACAAATCAGTAGCTCTGCTATACACCAATAGCGACCAAGCCAAGAATCAAATCAAGAACTCAACCCCTTTCACAATACCAAACCAAACAAAAACAACAACAACAACAAACTTAGGATTATATGTAACCAAGGATGTGAAAGGCTTCCACAAGGAAAACTACAAAACACTGCTGAAAGAAATCATAGACGACCCAACAAATGTAAACACATCCCATGCTCATGGATGGGTAGAATCAATATTGTGAAAATGACCATATTGCCAAAAGCAATCTATAAATTCAATGCAATTCGCATCAAAATACCACCATCGTTCTTCACAAAACTAGAAAAAACTCCCTACAATTCATATGGAACCAAAAAGAGCCCGCATAGCCAAATCAAGACTAAACAAAGGCCGGGTGCAGTGGCTCATGCCTGTAATCTCAGCACTTTGGGAGGCCAAGGCAGGTGGATCACGAGGTCAAGAGATCGAGACCATCCTGGCTAACATGGTGAAACCCTGTCTTTACTAAAAGTATAAAAAATTAGCTGGGCGTGGTGGTGGGGACCTGTAGCCCCAGCTACTCTGGAGGCTGAGGCAGGAGAATGGCATGAACCCGGGAGGCGGAGCTTAGAATGAGCCGAGATCATGCCACTGCACCCCAGCCTGGGCTACAGAGCGAGACTCTGTCTCAAAAAAAAAAAAAAGACCAAAAAACAAATTCATAGGCATCACATTACCTGACTTCAAATTATACTATAAGGCCATAGTCACCAAAACAGCATGGTACTGGTATAAAAATCGGAATATAGAGCAATGAAACAGAATGGAGAACTCGGAGATAAAGCCAATACTTACAGCCAACTGGTCTTTGACAAAGCAAACAAAAACATAAAGTGCAAAAAGGACACCCTGTTCAACAAATGGTGCTGAGATAACTGGCAAGCCACATGTAGAAGAATGAAACTGTATCTTCATCTCTCACCCTATACAAAATTCAACTCAAGGTGAATCAAAGACTTACAGACTTGAAACTATGAAGATTCTAGAAGATAACATTGGAAGGAACCTTCTAGACATTGGCTTAGGCAAAGATTTTATGACCAAGAATCCAAAAGCAAACACAACAAAAACACAGATGAATAGATGGGATTTAATTAAACTAAAAAGCTGCACAGCAAAAGAAATATTCAGTAGAATAAACAGACAACCCACAGAGTGGGAGAAAATGTTCACAATCTATACATCCAACAAAGGACTACTATCTAGAATCTCCAAGGAACTCAAATCAGCAAGAACAAAACAATCCCGTCAAAAAGTGGGCTAAGGATATGAATAGATAACTCTCAAAAGAAGACATACAAAAGGCCAATAAACATATACAAAAAGCTCAACATTACTAATTGTCAGTGAAATACAAATCAAAACCACAATGCAATACCACCTCGCTCTTGCAAGAATGGGCCTAATCAAAAAATAATAATAGATATTAGTGTGGATGTGGTGAAAAGGGCACACTTTTACATTATTGATGGGAATGTAAACTAGTACAACCATTATGGAAAACAGTGTAGAGATTCCTTAAAGAACTGAAAGATCTACCAGTTGATCCAGCAATCCCACTCTTAGGTATCTACCGAGAGCAAAAGACGTCATTAAAGAAAAATATACTTGCACATGCCTATTTATAGAAGCACAATTTGCAATTGCAAAAATATGGAACTAGTCCAAATGCCCATCAATCAAGGAGTGGATAAAGAAAATATATTAGCCAGGTGCAGTGGCTCACACCTGTATCCCCGCACTTTGGGAGACCGAGGCTGGCACATCACCTGAGGTCAGGAGTTTGAGAACAGCCTGGCCAACATGGCAAAACCCCGTCTCTACTAAAAATACAAAAATTAGTTGGGTGTGCTGGCGGCTGCCTGTAATCCCAGCTACTCAGGAGGTTGAGGCAGGAGAATTGCTTGAACCCAGGAGGTGGAGGCTGCAGCGAGATGAGATCGTGCCACTGCACTCCAGCCTGGGTGACAGAGTGAAATTACATCTCAAAAAAAGAAAATATAGTATCTCTCTTCCTCTCTTTCTCTCTCTCTCTCATATAAAACTACTCAGCCATAAAAAGGAACAAAATAATGGTATGTACAGACATCCTGGATGGAATTGGAAACCCTTATTCTTTTATTTTTTATTTTTCCATAGGTATTGGAGTACAGGTGTTGCTTGATTACATGAATAAGTTGTTTAGTGGTGATTTGTGAGATTTTGGTGTACCCATCACCCGAGCAGTATACACTGCACCCTATTTGTAGTCTTTTATCCCTAGCCTCCCTCCCACCCTTCCTCTCAAGTCCCCAAAGTCCATTGTATTATTCCTATGCCTTTGAGTCGTCGTAGCTTAGCTCCCACATTATCAATGAGAATATACGATGTTTGATTTTTCGTTCCTGAGTTACTTCACTTAGAATAATAGTCTCCAATCTCATCAAGGTTGCTGCAAATGCTGGAAATTCATTCCTTTTTATGGCTGAGTAGTATTCCATTGTGTGTGTGTGTGTGTCACAGTTTCTTTATCCACTAGTTGATTGATGGGCATTTGGATTGGTTCCAGAATTTTGCAGTTGCGAATTGTGCTGCTATAAACATGCATGTGCAAGTATCTTTTTCGTATAATGACTTCTTTTCCTCTGGGTAGATACCCTGTAGGATTGCTCTATCAAATGGTAGATTTACTTTTAATTCTTTAAGGAATCTTCACACTGTTTTCCATAGTGGCCGTACTAGTTTACACTCCGACCAGCAGTATAGAAATGTTCCCTGATCACTGCATCCATGCCAACATCCACTGTTTTTTGATTTTTTTGATTATGGCCATTCATGCAGGAGTAAGGTGGTATTGCATGGTGGTTTTGATTTGCATTTCCCTGATCGTTAGTGATGTTGAGCATTTTTTCATATGTTTTTTGGCCATTTGTATATCTTCTTTTGAGAATTGTCTATTCATGTCCTTAGCCCATTTTTTGATGGGATTGTTTGCTTTTTTTTTTTCTTGCTAATTTGTTTGAGTTTGTTGTAGATTCTGGATATTAGTCCTTGGTCAGATGTACAGATTGTGAAGATTTTCTCCCACTCTGTGGATTGTTTGCTTACTCTGCTGATTGTTCCTTTTGCATGCAAAAGCTCTTTAGTTTAATTAAGTCCCAGCTATTTATCTTTGTTTTTATTGCATTTGCTTTTGGGTTCTTGGTCATGAAATCCTTGCCTAAGCCAATGTCTAGAAGGGTTTTCCAGTGTTATCTTCCAGAATTTTTATACCTTCAGGTCTGAAATTTAAGTCTCATTCCATCTTGAGTTGATTTTTGCATAATGTGAGAGATGAGGATCCAGTTTCATTCTCCTACATGTGGCTAGCCAATTATCACAGCACCACTTGTTGAAAAGGGTGTCCTTTTTCTACATTATGTTTTTGTTTGCTTTGTTGAAGTTCAGCTGGCTGTAAGTATTTGGGTTTATTTCTGGGTTCTCTATTCTGTTCCACTGGTCTATGTGCCTTTATTTATACCAGTACCATGCTGTTTTGGTAATTATGGCCTTATAGTATAGTTTGAAATCAGGTCGTGTGAAGCCTCCAGATTTATTCTTTTTGCTTAGCCTTGCTTTGGCTATGCAGGCTATTTTTGGCTCTATATGTATTTTAGGGTTGTTTTTTCTAATTCTATGAAGAATGATGGTGATATTTCGATGGAAATTGCATTGAATTTGTAGATTGCTTTAGGCAGTTTGGTAGAGACCATTATTTCAAGTGAAGTTACTCAGGAATGGAAAACATTGTATGTTCACATTTATAAGTGGGAGCTAAGCTATGAGGATGCAAAGGCATAAGAATTATATCATGGACTTGGGGGACTCGAGGAAAGGTTGGGAGGGGAGTGAGGGATAAAAAGACTACACATTGGATATGGTGTACATTGCTTGGGTGACGGGTGCACCAAAATCTCAGAAATCACCACTAAAGAACTAATTCATGTTACTAAACACCACCTGTTCCCCCAAAATTTACTGAAACAATTTTAAAAAGATCAAAGTAAATTGGATGCTGTGGGTTCTCAAGGGGGACTCGTGGCTTTGCTCTTGCTTTTTTGGAATGCTTCTGCCATAACATTAAGAAACCTGGGATAAAAGACCAAATGGCCAGAGGCTTGGCCATCTCTGTCACTTTAGACACCCCATCTTAGACCCGAGATATGTGATAGCCCCAGCATTAGAGCATTCAGCACCAACCAAGCTGCTTACTGAAGCCACAGAGTCCAGGTGAGACCAACAGAACAACTGCCCAGTCAGCCCACAAAATTTTGAGATCAAATCACTTGTTGTTTCTCCTGCTGAGTTTCATTTTTGTTTTATTTTGCTCCTGCAGTAATACATGGCTGATACCTGAGGCTCTCCTAAATTGGTTTTGTATCCTCCTTAAAACATAGATTAAAGCCTTGTGCATTATAAACATTCAAATATTTTAATAGAATTATTCCCCACTCTTTTCTTGATTTTTTTTTTTTTTTTTTTTTTTTTTTTTTTTTTTTTTTTTGAGACAGAGTCTTGCTCTGTCTCTCAGGCTGGAGTGCAGTGGCTCAATCTCGGCTCACTGCAAGCTCCGCCTCCTGGGTTTACACCATTCTCCTGTCTCAGCCTCCCAAGTAGCTGGGACTACAGATGCCTGCCACCACACTGGACTAATTTTTGTGTATTTTTAGTAGAGACAGGGTTTCACCATGTTTGCCAGGATGGTCTCAATCTCCTGACCTCATGATCTGCCCGCCTCAGCCTCCCAAAGTGCTGGGATTACAGGCATGAGCCACCGCGCCTGTCCTCTTTTCTTGATTGTTAATACCTTAATCTGGTTATAAAGAAACCCAAGCACATGTTTGCAAACTAGTTTCATAATTTGGGTAAAAATATGTTTTCTGTAATATTGTATAGTCTGGGTAAGGCAAGTAAAAAAAGTTCTCACTAACTAAAATAACTAGAAAAATTTGGGAGTAATAGAGCTTTAACTCATTGTAGTGATTTTGTGCAAGTCATTTATCCTCGATGGATGTTGGTGAGCTCTTCCGTAAATTAGGAAGTTTGTATCAGATGAGCTCTACCCTTTCTTCTAAATTCACATTCTATCATGGAATCCATTGTAAAGACCAAGCTTAAACAGCTGTGGCCATGGGTGCAGGAGTTGAGTTCCTTCCAAGTTTAAATCGGTCATCAAAAAGGAAAAAGACTGTTGCTTCTGGGGTAGAAGCCAAGACCCAGTGGCCACTGGTTTAAGTGATTCTGTTTCATGATATGTTTTGTCATTTGTTGGGAAGGAAATTAATTGGTGATCTTTGTCTAGCTCCCCGTGTCCATGTCATAAAGTACATCACAATTGGCAGGCGGCTGGCAGCTTCAGCAGGCAGAAGAGAACAGAATCATTTTAAGAATGAGTGGACCTCTTTATACCTCATCTAATGGCAGTTTCTTCCGCATAAACACATGTTGCAGCAGTGCTAGTGGATGCTTAACATAGTTCTATGTTTGGTCAGTAAGGGGAAGTAAGAAGATAATTTTCTTAATCTAAACCAATCTAAATAATGTCTTAAGTCTCCAGGGACACAGTATGAATACAAATAATTTTTTATGATGCAATTATTGCTCTCTCTTAGTAAATGCATGCTGCTGATCACAACAGAATGAAAACAATCTCTTCCCCTTGATGGAGTATCCAAGTACCCACTAAGGGAGAGAAGTAGGTGTTGGGTTACACTTTTACTGTGGCTGATTTCTTTGGTCTCCACTCCATAGTTAAACGCACTTGAACCTGCATTCATCCTTCCCATTTTTACCCCCTCTCCTGATCCTAGGTAAGTGACCTGCAGTCTGAGGGCAACTGTCCCCCCACCTCTGAGCCGAGTTAAGCTCTTTGACCTTGCACTTTTTTCCTGGCTTGAGAAGTACAGATAAAATATCTTTCAAGGTTTCTGTAGCAACAGAAAAAAGTAAACTGAATCTCTCAAAAGTTCTATAGTCTCCTTCATGCAAAGAAAATATACCTCCCTCCACAAATCAATGGAATGGAAATAATTTCTTTATCATTCAAGGAACCTAGCAATTTCCAGTGTGTTTAATCATGAATCATGTTCTAGATAGTCATGTGTCACACGCTCGCACATTTTATAACTTCATTCCAATGTGTTTCACATAGCAATCTTACAAGTCATTGCCAAATATTTTGGACCTTTTTTTTAAAAAGAGCAGCATAATGAAAGAAATGGTCACTAGGCCACTTGCAAAAGTTTAATATAGATTAAAGAGGATAATATTGTTAGAATAATTTTGATAGTCATGTATTTTAAACCAGTATAAATTGACTACATGGCAAAGTGTGCCGTAGTCACTGAGCTTTAAAGATATAAATATTAGAGTTAAAAATACATTTCAAAACTCTTGCAAGTACGTCTGCTTCCAGCTACAGTAAAGTTAAGTGACCAGAAGTACCCTCCTTCCTTAAACAACTGGAAAACTGGACAACACCTATGAAATAATGGTGTTTAGCTACTGTGCCAGAGGTAGAATGTAACAGTGATTCCTGAGAAAAGGAACACAAATAAGGGAGCCCTATGATTGCCCCAGTTTACTGATTGAAGAACACTTTCAGACTACAGCATAGGAAGAAAGAACAGAGCCAGAAGGTCTCACTGACTCTAGGATAGAGATAGATATAGATAATATTTTAATGCAATATTTTAAAAATCAAATTTAATGTAAAAAGTTACAATGGAAAAAATACCAAATGTTAAAATAAAGACAAAAACTGACTCTGCACTTGCACAAATTTGGCTTTGTTTGCCTTCTCCTAATCCTAGCCTTGTCTGAGAATTTTCCTTTGGATAAAGTCCAATTTCTCATTTTTTTCTTTTGCGATTAGTGTCTCTTCAATCCTGTTTAAGAAATCTTTGGCTATATCAAGTTTACGAAGGTTTTCACCTATATTTTCTCCTGGGAATTTTATTGTTTTCATTTCTAAATTTAGATATGATGAATATAAAATTAATTTTTGTGTATGGTGTGAGAAAGAGATCAAAGTTCATTTTCTTCCGCACCAGATATCTAGTGGTTTCAGCACCATTTGACGAAATCAATGTGTTTCTTTATCACATTACCTTGGGGCTTTTGTCAAAAATCAATTGACTATATATGTGTGGAGGTATTTTGGACTATTTTGTCTGTCATTACATCATTATCACATTGTCTCAGTGTGACACAGTATCAGAAAGTGATTACTGTCACTTTGTAGTAAGTCTTGAAATCAGATGGTATAATTATTCTAGCTTGTTTTTTGGTTTCAAAATTGTGTTGGCTGCATGTTATCGGCAGCGGTCCCCAAGCTTTTTGGCACCAGGGGTTGGTTTCATGGAAGACAATTTTTCCATGGACGAGGGGTGGTGGGGGGCGGTTTTGGGATGAAACTGTGTACTACAAGCAGTGCAAGAATGTAAGCCCTGAAAAAGGAACTTGGAATGTGAGCCCAGCTATCTGACTGGGGACAAATTCCTGACTAGAGTGCAGTGAGCTGTTGTCCAAGCTGATCCTGGTACCCGTCTGTGGCCTGGGGATTGGGGACTCCTTAAATCTGAAGAAGGTTTCTTTTGTTTTAAACTGCTAGTCTACAGTTCAATTATTGTGTGATCATCTTGCATTGTGTAACTGTAACCTTAGTGATATACTTTGTTAGGGCAGATATTTGGAAAAGCCAAGGTGTTTTCCAGATCTCTCTAACCTGATGGGACTAAGCCTCTGAACTCTGTCTTCCTACAGATCTTGCTGGGGTTTTGTTTTTGGCTTTGTTGGGTGGGTATGGAATAGGGCACAGCGCTTACTTCTAAGATGCGGCCTTTTGGCGTCTCTGGAGGATATCCAAGGTGTTAACAACATTTTTACAAGCAGAACTTGACCACTAATCTCTTTCCAATGTTGCACCCTGAAGCAGCTTCTTAATCTTACTCTGACCATGCATAGCACAACCATTAGCAAAAGACCCACTCCAAACTTTTGGAGTCCCCTCTCTCTGCAGCTTCCTCCTCTGCAGTCCTGCCCTGTAGATTCCAGCCGCTTCATCTGCTCCTGCTGTGATCTCTGCCTCCTCAGTTGGGATGAACTAACACGATCTGCTTGCAAAGCAACTCATTGCCCTCTAGTCAGGAATTTGTCCCGAGTCAGACAGCTGGGCAGTTGTGAGGCTCACATCCCGAGTTCCTCTTCTCAGGGATCACACTCTTGTACTGCTTGTGGTCCACTGTCTCAACACAGTTGCCTCATATATTTGACCTACTGCTTGTTCATGACAGAAGCACTACTTTGATACCAGTTACTCCACTATTATCAGAAATCATTGCAGTCTTTATATAATATTAATGAAAGGGCTCTTTTCTATTTATTTGGATTAGTAGATTAGTATTTTTTAATCATGCATAATTCCTGTGCATAAATGAAAACTAAAAATATAAGTGAAATAAATTGGGTAAGGTATTCCTAAAGTGTCAAATTCTCCTGAATTACTTCAACTCAGCGTTGTCGGTGCTTGTATTTTTCCCTGCAATAGTGCTCTCTGTGCTATTGAGATCATTGGTGATGCAGTACTCCTCTAAAGAGTGATACACTATTGATTCTGTGTTTTTTTTCCAAGTTGCTGTCACTTCTGAATTTTGATGTTGGTACTTTTTAGAAGTGTAAATGTGCAGACAGTGTCACTGTGTTATGATTGCCACCCGGTCCACTGCAATTATAAGATGTCATAGACAGTAAGAAGGCATTCAGATTTCAAAGATACTAATGTGAAAAAATGTGCATCTTACAATTGGTGTAATATGGTATTTTACTTTTAAACATATGCATTTTAATTTAGAGAAAAAAGAAATCAACTATTTAAAAAATGAAGATATTTTTTCTCATATCATGGAGACCAGCAAGATTCTAGAATTGATTCCCAGTCTTTACTGTTGCAGCAAACACAGGGCATATAATGTAATCACTGATAATTTTTTATTAATGTAGTTAATAGGAGGTAAAAGTTAATTGTGAATATCAATGCACAAAAAGAACATAGAACAAAGAACAGTATCAATCTACAAGTGTCTATTTATTTCCTGACAAGTCAGGAGAAATGAGTTCTAAACTTGTATATTAATAGCTAACATTTGTTCAGTGCTTTATATATGTTGGCATTGTTCTATAAGCTTTCAGTAGAAATTTCCTTAACCACTTGAATTTAAAAGATTACTTGGCTTTCTCCATTCCGTCTGTAAAGCACACTGACATACTTACAGTACCCTGACAGCTCCAGAGAGTGGGCCCACCTCCAGGAAGCTGATCAGTTTTGCTCCTGCAAGTTGAGATGGATGTTGTCAAGAGAGTTGGGGGTGTTTGGACCCAATTTGATTATATCAGTTGTACTTATGAATGCAATTGTGTATTTTCATTAAATATAACAAAATTCAATCAAATAAGAATTTTAATAGCATAAAGATTGTTTTTGTAAGAACTAAGTTAACTATATTGGAAGGATTCAATTAATATAATTTACGTTTTTAATGCTGTTGAATTAGGTAGAGGTGTGCTTTGGTCCAAATGTTTGTGTCCCTTCAAAATTCATATGTTGAAACCTAATCACCAATGTGCTGGTGTTAGGATATGGGACCTTTGGAATGTGTTTATGTCATGGAAGAGAATCCTCATGAATGGGATTAGCACCCTTATAAAAGAGGCCCCAGAGAGCAGCCCAGCCCCTCACACTACATGAGGACAAAGCTAGAAGGCAGCATCTATGAACCAGGGAATGGCCCTCATTAGGCATAGAATCTGATAGTGCCTTCTTGGTCTCAGATTTCTCAGCTTCTAGAACTATGAGAAATAAATCACTGTCATTTATAAGCTACCTTGTTTATGATATTTTATTATAGTAGCCTCAATAGACAATGTGAAACAACAAACTACAAAATTGGAAATTATAAAACTCTAAAAGAATGCTGTATTTTGACTGACTCATCATTGTATTTACTTCTCAAAATTAAAGGGATGGAAGCTTATGGGTATGGTTTATATGAAGAAAGATGAATGCAGGCTGGGCATGGTGGCTCATGCCTATAATCCCAGCACTTTGGGAGGCCGAGGCAGGTAGATCACCTGAGGTCGGGAGTTCGAGACCAGCCTGACCGACATGGAGAAACCCCATCTCTATTTAAAAAAATACAAAATTAGCTGGGCATGGTGGCACATGCCTGTAATCCCAGCTACTCGGGAGGCTGAGGCAGGAGAATTGCTTGAAACTGGGAGGCGGAGGTTGCGGTGAGCCGAGATCATGCCATTGCACTCCAGCCTGGGCAACAAGAGTGAAACTCCGTCTCAAAAAAAAAAAAAAAAAAAGGAAAGATGAATGGAAACAAAATCAGAGGACCCATACTCAAAGAAAAAGCCTTGACTCTACATGAAAATGGGTACATTATGTGCACAAACACACACACACAAAACAACAACACACAGCTAACCCTTGAACAACATGTGTTTGAACTGCACAGGGTTCACTTATACATGGGCTGTACACCAAGTATGCCTGCTTCTCTTGCTTCCCCTTCTACCTCTGTCAACTCTGCCTCTGCCACCCCTGAGACAGCAAGACCAAACCTTCGTCTTACTCCTCCTTCTCATTTCTATTCAATGTGAAGACGATGATGAAGTCCTTTATGATGATCCATTTCCACTTAATAAATAGTAAATATATTTCTCTTCCTTATGATTTTCTTAATATTTGATTTTCTCTAGCTTAATTTTAAGAACACAGTATATAATACGTATACACAATACATGTTAATTGTTTATGTTATCAGCAAAACTTCTAGTCAACAGTAGGCTATTAATAGTTATGTTTTGGGGAGTCAAAAGTTATATGAAGATTTTCAACTGAGTGGGGGAATCAGTGCCCCTAACCTCACATTGTTCAAGGGTCAACTGTATATGTCTTAGGTTAAAAATAAATAATTTAGTGTTAGGCTTTGTGTCCCCACCCAAATCTCATGTTGAATTGTAATCCCCAGGTGTTTAGGGAGTGACCTGGTGGGAAGTGATTGGATATGGGGGCAGTTCCCTCTTGCTGTTCTCATGATAGTGAATGAATTCTCGTGAGATCTGAGGCTTTATAAGAGGCTTTTCCCCCTTTGCGTCTTTCACATGCTGTCTTGCCTGCTGCCATGTAAGATGTGTCTGCTTCCCCTTCCACCATGAATGTAAGTTTCCTGAGGCCTCCCCAGCCATGTGGAACTTTGAGTCAATTAAATCTCTTTTCTTTATAAATTACCCATTCTTGGGTATGTCTTTATAGAAGTGTGAAAATGGACTAATATAGTGTTTGTATGTTTTAATGAGTCTCTTCTTACACTAATGTTTTACTACATTTGTTTTTATTATCACACCTATTTTTCAGGTAAAGAAATTGAAACCCAGATAAAGTAAGGAACATGCTTATGGTAACACAGTGACCCAGTAGTGAAGATGGGACACATATTTAGATAACACAATTTCAGAGCTCCCCACCTCAAACTTACCAGCCTCCCACTAACTTGCTGTGTGTCCTTAGAGAAAACATTCAGCTTCTCCAAATTTATTTTTTATCTGTAAAACAAGGAAGTTGTATCAGATACCTTAGGTCTCTTTTTAATTCTAAAAAAATAACTTCTATGATTTAATTCTCTACCACAAAAGTATGGCTCTGATACCTATGTTCTTCATGGGTATTTTTACTGGAAAAGTCCCTACAAACAGCAGGTGAAGAAAAATACCTTCAATCTTTATTTGAATTATCACTACCTCATACTGATTACAGCATGGTGAAACTGGGGCAATCCTGGTAACAAATAGAGTTTCTCTTTGATGATTTTATACTTATTCTAAGTTCAAAATCGTATTTATTTATTTATTAGAGACAGGGTCTGGCTATGTTGCCTAGGCTGGTCTCAAACTCCTAGCCTCAAATGATCTTCCTGCCTCAGCCTCCCTAGTAGCTGGGATTACAGGCATGTGCTACCATGCTTGGCCTTCAAAATCTTTCTCTCTCTCTCTCTTTTTTTTTTTTTTTTTTTTTTTAGAGTTCAAACATCAAGATGGTGGTGGAGTAAACCAGCTGGAGTCTTACCAGTGGTTGATTGGAGGTATATTGCTGAGTTTCTGGGAGCAAATGGCTCCTGTCCAGGATAACCAGTGCTCATCTTTGGCCTCTCCTGAGGACCCTTTTCATACTAAAGCTTGTTTTAAAATTCCTCTTGTCAGATGTCTTACAACTAATGCCATTCACGTTTTTGATACCTAGATTCAAACATCTTTTTTGAATAAGGTCATACCCTACTCCTTTTGTGGCCTCATTAATCTTTCCTGGCCTTGAATAATGAATGGCCTCTGGTGGACAACTAATATCACAGTCTGATAGCACAGCACTGGTCCTGGAACCCTTCGACAATCTGTCCATGTTGGTCAAAATGTGGTAGGCATTATTATTCATTTTAATCATAACCTTAAAATCCACCCTTTATTTGGTTAACTCCACAAAGCATTTGGTTTTGTTAGTTACTATTGGGCAGTATATCAAAGACTGTATGTGTCTTTATAAGTAGACTTGAACTAAAACTGCATATAAAATAAATGATGTTGATTAAGGGTGTTAATCCATTCAGTGCGGGCAGAGCCCTGACGACCTAATCACCTCTTACGAGTTGTACCACTCAACACTGTTTCACTGCAAATTAAGTTTCCACCTCTCAAACTTTGGGGGGGCACATGCAAACCATAGCAACACTATATAATAAAACAGATATTACCAGGGAAGTACAATCTTGCAAGGTATGGAAAAAAATTATTTTCTCATAATTTATCATTTGATTCAGGTCATGGAATTTTCTAATTAATTCCCAATCAATTTTTGGCAATGTGTGTTGCTTCTACTTCCAGAAGATAAAGCACATAGCAAAAGTAAGCTATTTCTGAATTTTTTCATGGTCTTATATCCTATTACCTCAGCCCTGCATTTATCTCTGGGTGTTCATGTACAATGATCTAAATGAAATTTTTGAGATGAATATTAGTTTTTCACAACATACCAACATCTGTTCCCAATCGAGGTAATAGCGTTACAGTCAACGGGATATAAACAACTTATAGAAACATTCATGTTGAGAAAGAACCTTCTGGGACAATTGAAAGATGGATTTTCTGTTTCCCACATGAGTGACTTCCATTCAAGGGCTGGCAAAGCATTGTGACTGGAAGACAACACAGATTAGGGCAGATACAAAGATGAACCTTGGGCACAATCTAAGATCAGCCACCCACAGAGTTTTGTTTATTTTTAAAATGGATTGTTCAGATATGGCATTCCTCATATAGAAAAATGCAGTAAATGGAAAGACAGGGGTAGAGGGGTGACTTTTCTCAGATAAGACTGACAATTTATTAAACATTGTTTGACCTTAAACATTTCAGCAGAAGACTCCAAGTGTAACGTAGACTTCATTTCAGGGTGGAAACTGGGGAAACTAAATAAGCATATCTCAGAATATTTATCTTTAAATGGATTCTTATTTTTTTAAATTTTACTTTAAGTTCCGGGATACATGTGAAGAACATGCAGGTTTATTACATAGGTATACATGTGCCATGGTGGTTTGCTGCACCTATCAACCTGTCATCTGGATTTTAATATCCACATGCATTAGGGATTTGTTCTAATGCTCTCCCTCCCCTTGCCCCCCTACCCCCCTAAACAGATTCTTTAGTTAACAAAAAAAAAAAAAAAAGAAAAAACCCCACAGCACTGTGTTCTGATCCATATGAAAATTTTAGGTTTCAGAAACAAACGGAACTATGTAGAATGAGATACTAGTAGAGAGAACAGAAGTAATTATACACCTCCTTGCCTTTTTTATGTTTATTAGCCTTAATTCAATTTTAAAGAGTTTTTGTGTCAAATGGCATATTGGCAATAAGTTTCAACAAAACCCAAGCAAGAGTGAGGCAATGTATTCTGAGCTGCCTTTGTCTCAGAGACATTGTTGCCTTTCCATCCTGAGAAAAACACTGTGGAGATGCGTGCATTTGTCTTCCCAAACTCCTCACTTTCTAACAGACAGCACGCACATTGCCTGAGGATCTTGTAAGTGCTTGCCCAGGTCTTGGTGAGCTTCCTTGGTCACAGCTGCTCTGACAGTGTGACTGGCTCAATTTCCTCATTATGTGAAAGAAAAAATGTTTAGTCTATACTTCTTGAAGCATGCATAGCCCCTGGGAATATTTCTGAATAAATAGTTGCCAGTCAGATGACTTTTTCCCCTTTAGTCCTTTGTTATTCTAGAGGATTGATACCCTGGAAAGCTTTGAGGCTCTTCTAGGCCAAGCATGCAAGCAATGCCACCCAATTTAGGTGACCCAATTTTGGCTACTTAGTTTGGCCATTTACTTAACAATCTCTAATCCAGGCAACTACTGAAAGAACTGTCCTCCATATTAAACATATACAAGTCTTTAGAAAATAAATATTCCTTCCTTCTGCCTTTAGCCACTCCTGTCTAAACTTACAGATCACATCCTAAATACAAATGATCTACAGGTTTTGAGATGGCACCTCCTGTGTTGCTCTCCTCTCTTTTTCTCTCACTGTCTCAAACCCCTTTCAAGCTCTTTTTGAAGCTGGGATCGTCCTTAACCAGAAACCTTTAAAGTGAACTCTACAAAGTGTGTATGTGTGCATGCATTTTCAGAGATGGAAGGAGAATAATACCTTTTAAGGACTTCTTACAAAAAAACCTGTTAATTAAAAAATTTCAGAGTTCACTTAGGGTCCTAGGGGGAAGGACTTTGACAAAAGCAGGCCTGAAATAGTTGGGTTCGCCTAGAACTTAAATTATTCCTAGGAGTTTATCAAATGGTTTTATCCTTTAATTAGAAGAACAATTTTTGAACATTGGGTAAATCCTGTGAGGTGCCACTTAGTTCATTGTAGTAGTAATTTCAAAAATGGCACCCTGGTGACTTGACAGATTTCATGCCATTTTCAAAAGTGCCAAACTTAGACACAGGAAAAATCTGGAATGTTATCTGCATAAACCTTAATCAGTGATTTCTTCACAAAGAGACTACAATTACCAGTGCACTACACAACCAGGGTTTCTGTAGGTGTTATCAGCGCCACCTCGCCGAGCTCTCAGGAGCGGTGACCTCTGTTCACCTTAAAACTATTATGCCTCAGCTCTGTGTTTTACAAGGGTTTCACCTCCACTGAGCTATTTCACTGCCAGGCTCTTATCTCAGTGGAGAGAGTCAGTGCCAGTGCCCCCACTAACATTTCAAGAGGGTAAAGGAAAGAACTCTCAGCTCAGGTCACAGATGTCAGGATTCACAGACCTTAACACCAGGCTCAAGGCTGGAAATCTGATACGAACATGACAAATCAAGACAAAATGGTGAAGCATTGGAATATAATCACCTACTAAGTCACTGCTATTCAAAAGTCCCTTTAGAGAACAAATTGGCGTAACACTGAACAGGAAAACATCATGTTTAAGGAGAAAGTATAGAAGGGGCAACTGTTGCATTGTCAGAATTTTTGGCACAAATTTCAACAATTTAAAGGTTGTGAACTCTAATCCTACCTTCAAAGTTTTCTTATTCCTCGTGATTTTGTTCCCTCATTTATTGTAACATCCTCCTCATGGGATTATGGTGATAAATAATGTATGTTTTAAGGGGTTTTCTCCACTTTCCATTTGTTTAAAAAAAAGGCAATAATTCTTTATTTCAGAAATTATTTTTCTCCATCTGAGGTGTTGAACAAGTTGGAAACTGAAACTATCAACCCACTAAAGATCTAACCAAATAACACTCACCCTTCAACGTGGGTTGTCTATTCAGAGCTAATGCCGAACTGATAGCCAAATAGAAATACTCAGGTTTCAAATTGTGTAACACTCAGCTAGTGATCAAATATTTTTAAAAGCAGTAACTAAAAGGAATTTCTACTACAGGCCAGGTGTGTGGCTCATATCTGTAATTCCAACATTTTGGGAGGCCAAGGTAGCAGGATCACTTGAGCCCAGGAGTTTGAAACCAGCCTGGGAAATATAGCAAGATCCTGTCCCTACAAAAAAATTCAAACAAAAAATCGAGTGTGATGGTACATGCCTGTCTTCTCAGCTACTTGGGAGGCTGAGGTGGGAGGATCACTTGAGCCCAGGAGTTCAAGGCTGCAGTAAGCCATGATGGTGCACTGCCCTTCAGCCTGGGTGACAGAGCAAGACTCTGTCTCTAAAAAACAAACAGACAAACAAAACCCAGAAAAGCAAAAACTAAAGGACATATAGCAACATAGCAGACATTTTAACCCCTTACATTGGGAACTAGCTGACCTTTGGGTCTCTTTCTGTAGCCCAGGCTACAGGGTAGTGGTCCAGTTGCAACCCCAAACTCCTGGGCTCAAGCGATCCTCCTGCCTCAGCCTCCCGAGTGGCTAGGACTACAGGGTTCACTACCATGCCCAACTAATTTTTGTTATTTTTTGTAGAGACAGGACCTCACTATGTTGCCCAGGCTGGTCTCAAACTCCTGGCCTCAAGCCATCCTCCTGCCTCAGCCTCCCAAAGCACTGGGTTGTAGGGGTGAGTCACCATGCCTAGTCCAACTAGCAGACCTTTAGATTACTAGATTTCCAGAAAGAATGATTTCTGTAACTACATGCTTTCTGTGTGCTTGAGAGTGGAATACATACAGAATCAATGAGTTCATCCCCACAGTATGAATGATGCATCATGTTATTCTTCATACACTATAACTCCCATTGCCTAATTATACACAATGAATGTTTCAGTGATTTGGATTTCCTCCCCCAGTCCTAACAAAAAAAAAAAAGCACAAATTTTCTAGTGTTACTAGCATGCTCCGTGATCTTTCTTCATATCCATTTATGGAAATTTTTGGTCACAGGACAGCCTCCATCCAAATCCCTGTAGCCAAGAGCTTGGTGGTAAAATCTCTGAAGGAAATGTTTTCGGCTGGAGCTTTGTCATAGGGCCATAGGACTTTTTTTGGGAGTCTAGGTATTCATGGAGTCTTAGTATTGGTGGTCCATACTGTCTGGAACTGTCTTTTTCCCCAGGAAAACAGATAGCCATGACATAGGATGGTTTTGCGGTATTAGGTTTACTATTGAGTAGGATAATTCGTTGTCGTGAGGAGCTGTCCTGTGCCTTGTAGGACATTTAGCAGCATCCGTGGCTGTTTTCCAGTAGATGCCAGTAGTACCTCTCCCCTTCCCTCAGTTGTGACAATTAAAAATGTTCCCAGACATTGCCAAATAACTCCTGGTGGCAAAATCTCCCACCTCCACAGTGAAAACCAATAGATTAAAGGAATGTTCCGCAGTGTCCTGCTGTTAGTACTTGGAATTTCAATCTCATCTTAGTTAACACATTAGTAACAGTGTGTTGCATTTATAATTTGCAAAGAGCTTTTCACATAGAGCACTATATTTAACTCTCATAACAGCCCTGAGATACATTTGTTGATATCCTTCTTCTAAAGACTTAGAAACTGGCTCTCTAAGTGACAAACTCTTAAAGTGACAAGTGACTAAGCACATAAAGTGGGGTTTCTGGGACATTCACTTTGGCCTTCAGCTTCCTCATTCCTGTGGTTCAGTTTGTCTGATATTACTGTGCACTAGACTACCCTATTAATTTCTCTTACATTAGGGCTGGAAGAAATCTTAGAGGTTTTCTCTTCCTTCTTAGAACAAACTGGATTGCAGAGGAATTAAATGATTTGCCCAGATAACCAAGTCTACATTGGTTTAGAAAAATTATTCATAACATTTGTTAAAGAATGCTAAGGCAGACTTTATTCAGGACCACCATGACAGGTATAGAGACCACTGAAATAAGATTTTCCAGTAGGGAGAGAGACTGGGCTCAACTTTAAACACAAGGAAAAATGGGAATTTATAGCCAAGAAGGAGTAAGGTGGGGGTCAATGGATGGAAAATTACTAAGAGGAAACACCAGATGTAAGGGAGAGGGAATTCTACCAAAATTGACCTGATAGGATTGTTGCTGAAGGCAGGCCAGGGTGATCATCCATCATCTGAGGGATGATGGAGGAGGAAGAACCTGATCAGACGTCAAAGGTGATCAGATACTAAGGATGGGAGATTCTGGCTAAAGTGACTTAGCAAGATTCTTGTTAAAGTTGAACAATGCAGAGACTAACACCAAAGGCTGAAAGTCAGGTCCTATTGAAGAGAAAGTTAAGAGGAGCCTGATTAGTTTGGTCAAGGAGAGACTCTGTTTGACTTGAATCCAGCTCTCCAAGCTTCCTAACCAGTGCTGTTACATAAGCATTACATGAATGAATGATAAAATGGGTACAAATTAAATACATTTTGGGGTATGTGTGTGTGTGTATGTATGTATGTATGTATGTATGTATGTATGTATGTATGTATGTATGTTGCAGAGAGTAGATTTAGGGGAAAGTGGATTGAGAGGAATAGGTGCTCTCAGAATAGTCAGTAATATCAGTGGGGCCAAATAATCAGGAGAAAAACAGGATGTGTTTGAGAGCCACTGTGTTCCTCAAAAAGCCTTTACCTGGTCAATTATAACTTAACTGAAGTAGCTAAGGGTTGTGGGGAGCAGTAGGGATGAAGGAGGAAATGATAAGTGTCTGCAAGAGTCAAAACCACTGTGTAAGAGTTGGTTAAGGTGGCCCTATCCTGTCCTATTTAGCACAAGGATGTTCAACTTCATTTTTTTCCCTATAGATCCTTTGGTCCTGGCTTAGGCATCTCCTCCCCTGAGATGCTGTCCCTCCCTCTCCATTCAGCTGGTTGCTGGCTTAGTGCTCCTTCTTTATTCTCCCAGCACACTGTTTGTATTAGTCTGTTCTCATGCTGCTAATAAAGACATACCTGAGATTGGGTAATTTATAAAGGAAAGAGGTTTAATGGACTCACAGTTCAACATGGCTGAGGAGGCCTCACAGTCATGGCGAAAGATGAGAAGAAAGGAAGAGCAAAGCGACATCTTACATGGCAGCAGGCAAGAGAGCTTGTGCAGAGAAACTCCCATTTATAAAACCATCAGATCTTGTGAGACTTATTCATTGCCATGAGAACTATTGGTATGGTGGAAACCAGCCCCATGATTCAATTATCTCCACCTGGTCCCACCCTTGACACATGGGGATTATTACAATTGAAGGTGAGATTTGGGTGGGGACACAGCCAAACCATATCACCATTGTAGCACTAAACACACTACATTACATTTTTGTTTCCCCCACTAGCCTGGGAGCTCCTTGATGGCAAGAACATTGTTTCATTCATTTTTATAACCATAAACCCTCAGCAATCATAGGCATTTGAGGAATCAAGGGAGTTAACGATGGTGGAAGAGCAACTCATCCCAGTGCCCTTGATTTGTAAACAGGGGCCTCAGTTTTAAAACCATATTTTAATCACCCACTATTTGTCTTTCCTCCCTCCACTTTCATCCCTTCATTTCTTCTCTCTCTAGATACTCCCCTCTGGCAATGCAGGCTTATTTTACCTGCATTAGAAATTCCAGAGGCTAATCTTGCTTAAGATTGCTTAAGAAATTCCAGAGGCTAATCTTGAAACAAAGCAGGCACAGAGTCCAGATTGCAGAATCCTCCCGCTTAACGGGACTCACGAACAGTTAGTCCGTGACCACTGGGCCAAAGTCAACATAATGCCAACTAGGTCTACCTCTTACCCAAGATAGCCATTGGAACAAGGCATACAGACCCCACACCCTGCACCACTCCCACATGTCTCCCGTATCAAGTTTTCCTTTAAAACCCCTGTGGTAAACTGAGAAATTTAAGACGGTACTTGAGAACACTTGTTCACCATCTTCTCTGTTTGCTGGCTCTCCGATCAAACCTGCTTTTTCTCTCACCAACCACCTCTTGGGTTTTCAAGCTGCAAGTACAGACTAATAGGCCCCCGAGGACACCATTTGCTCTGACCCTGTGCTCATCCAGTAACCTCCCTTCTCTAGCCTGGACACCTGAGGGACTTCCCACAATAGGAAGCAAGACCTGCAACATCATCAGCTCTTTGTGGCTCATGTTAGGTTCATCTCCCACTGTAAGTTAATCAAGAAGAGTGAGAGAAATGGCCAGAAGAACCATTCAGAAAGCTGGAAGGGCTCAACTAATTTTTTGTTGTTGTTGTTTTGTTTTTTATTTTTATTTTTTTGAGATGGAGTCTTGCTCTGTCACCCAGGCTGGAGTGCAGTGGTGTGATCTCGGTTCACTACAAGCTCCGCCTCCCAGGTTCACACCATTCTCCTGCCTCAGCCTCCCAAGTAGCTGGGACTACAGGTGCCCACCACCACGCCCTGCTATTTTTTTTTTTGTTTTGTTTTGTATTTTTAGTAGAGATGGGGTTTCACTGTGTTAGCCAGGATGGTCTCGATCTCATGACCTTGTGATCCACCTGCCTCGGCTTCCCAAAGTGCTGGGATTACAGGCGTGAGCCACCACGTCTGGCTGGGTTCAAGTAATTTTGTAATTTTGCCAGAGGCCAGCCCAATAGTTTGAGCCCAAAGTGTTCTAGTTGGGAGATCTTAATGCGTCCCAGGAGGTTTTAGTAAGGTTACAGTGGTGTGTGTGTGCATCTGTGTGTGTGGTTAGACAGAGGGTGGGCTGACAATGATGGAGCTACTGCCTGAGTTTCCAGCATTCAGAAATGGCTGTGGCTGGGCTCTTCCAGAATTATCAGGTAGAATATTTCTGCCTTGAAATGAATATAAGAAGAAGTAAAAGAAAAGTGATGGGAGGAGGGAAGTCTTTTAAGGAAAGATTATTGTACTTAAGAAGACAGCCTTTCTAGTAAACCTCATTCCATACACCAACTCCCTAACCTCTTTCCTGATTGTGGATGAGAAATTGTCAAATCGTATAAACTCTACGCTTGTGGTGAAGGTGCAGGATTGTTTGCCTAGCCAGGCTGTCTGAAAATCTGAACGCACTATGCTAATAGTACTCTCATCATGCACACTGATGCTTTGTTTCCATGCCCCCAAAGTCTTTGCTATGCAAATCAAACCACAGGGGCACTTTAACATGTAAATCACATAATCTCCCTCACGTGGGATGAATTGACGGATCTTAAACTCCTTGACTGTTGGGAGGTAATGAACTGTACTTATTTAGCCAGCATTATTGCACTGGGCGTATCCCCTACACTGGGCTTTACTCGGTGGTACAGCTATACCAGGGGAGAGCTGGGGCGATTATTAATATTGCTTGTCAAAAGAATAGGAGAGGCTCAAACCTGAGAAATTCTGACTCCCTTTGGGGAGGAAAATAAAGCCCTCCTCAAAAACTGTGTTGAGTTCTGTGTCCCCCTTGAGAGGTGGTGGGTTTTTCTTCTTTGATTAGTGAATGAACACTGAATCTTCCTGGGAAAGGCTGTTTTCAGCTTGTTTCACAGGTGAAAGGAGCCAAGGAGACTTAAAGGGACATTTCAGGCCCTGCAGCTGGGAGGAAATCCAGGCTGGGGCAAGAAGCCAGGAACCTGTGTGAAGGCCGTGGAAGGCTGTGCTTTCACCAGCTGCTGCAGTCCTGATCCCTAGTTTGTGGCTAAAGTTACTTAAGCACCTCGTGCTAGCTTCCTTTTCAGTAAAACAGGGATAATGCTAGGGATAGAGGGAGCAGTGACTAGATCCTGTTTGTAATGACAGCTGAGCTGCTTGGGCAAGATGTGCTTGTTCCAGAAATGAAGTGTGATTCCATTAAAATGTGTGATCTTTTGAAACAGCCTACCTTGTTTTGGGGTATGTGGTACTGGATTTATTTGTTGGGAACAAATTGATGAGAACAATATTTTGGCCTTAAGACATCAGTTTAAGCAAGGCACAGTTAAAAAGCAACTTCAGCTCTTAATGGGCTTTTACTCTCTCTCTATGCGTTCGAAGAGTTTGACAATTGTAACGTGCTCATTTTAGCCATTACCTGTGTGGCAGTCCTCACCCGGGCACTGTTCCAGAACTTCTTTTGAGCTTAGTGTTTGGAACTCAATATACATTTTCTCATAGAAACAATGGCCGTAAGCCTTCTTGGATGGTGGACAAAAATTGATCTCACCCAAATGTAGCTGAAATACTGTGCATTTGCAATTAAAAGCTAGCAAGAGAAATTAGAAATGATTATTAAAAATTCCCTTCAAAAATATCACAAAATGTATTTAAGTCTATCAAAACACACAAAATTTAAAACCACCAGACCCTAGGCCTAAGCTGCTTGCCTTAGCATGACACTTTTGGAGGAGTGGAAGCAGGAGTCCCCTTGGGGTATGACCCTAACGCATTGCTGGAATTTGCCAGCAAGGAGGAATGACAGAAGGATGTTGGACCAAATGGAGAGGGAAGAAAAGGTGGTTACATCACCCTAAACTCTTCCTGACATTATTGGGGTGAGAGGGTATGAAAGGTTCTCTGGGGCACTGCTCACTTTCACCTTCCGGTCCAAGACCCCTATTCCCCAGATTCTGGGAGCATTGCTGCTGAGGGCTCACAGCCTCTCTCCAGAAATTGCCCTCTGCCTGCTGGAGCTGCTTTGTCCTCAAGGTTATAACCCTTTCCTAGAGCAGCCTTTGCCTAATAATCTGTGGATTTGGGAATATAAAGCCCTGGCCACATTGCCTTAATTTGGAAACACTGAATAAATATGTTAGCTTCAGAAGGCCCTGTACAATTGGCCTCTGTTGTGACTACATCTCAGTTCAATTTCTTCTTCTACTCCAAACCTGTTTTCTTCAGTCCCTTGGATGTGTGGGTCCTAACTACCTTCCCCCAGTAATTCTGCATGCAAATCTGTCTCAGAATCGGTTTCTCCAGGAACCTGACCCAAGACAAACAAGCAGACAATTAAGGGTAGGAATGGAGAGGCGATTAGTAAAGACTTTGTTATTATTAGTTGGTAGCAGAGGGCTGAAAGCTGATCTAGAGGAAAGGGGAGTACCTGTAAGGAGACTAGTGGAGAGAATACTAGAAATGATAAGAGCTATTCTGGCAGGGTAGGCATTCAACATTACTTCTATATGAAGTAGATCCAATGACTTAGTCAAAGCAACTAAAGCAGTCCAATCCTTATGCAAATAGAGGTCTGAAAACAGACAACCTACAGAATGGGAGAAAATATTTGCAAGCTATACATTTGACAAAGGTCTAATATCCAGCACCTATAAATAACTTAAGTTTACAAGAAATAAACAACCCCATTAAAAAGCGGACAAAGGACATAAATGAACATTGTTCAAAAAAAGACATACATGTGGCCAACAAGCATATGAAATAAGTTCAACATCACTGATCATTAGAGAAATGCAAATGAAAACCACAATGAGATACCATCTCACACCACTCAGAATGGCTATTATTAAAAAGGCAGAAAATGTGGATCTTGGCAAGATTGCAAAGAAAAGGGAATGCTTACACACTGTTGATGGGAATGTAAATTAGTTCAACCATTGTGGAAAGCAGTGTGGCGATTCCTGAAAGAGTTGTAAACAGAACTACCATTCAACCCAGCAATCCCATTACTGGGTATATACCCAGAGGACTGTAGATCATTCTACCATAAAGACAGATGCATGTGAATGTTCATTGCCGCACTATTCACAATAACACAGACATGGAAACAACCCAAAAGCCCATCAATGATAGACTGGATAAAGAAAACGTGGTACATACACACCATGGAATACTATGCAACCATAGAAAAGAATGAGATTATGTCTTTTGTGGGAACATGGTTGGAGCTGGAGGTCATAGCAAACTAATACAGAAACAGAAAACCAAATACTTCATGTTCTCACTTAAAAATGGGAGCTAAATTATGAGAACTCATGGACACAAAGAAGGGAGCAACAAACACTGGGGCCTACTTGAGGGCAGAGGGTAGAAGGAGGGAGAGGAGCAGAAAAAATAACTATTGGGTATAAGTACCTGGGTGATGAAATAATCTGCACAACAAACCACTGTGGCACAAGTTAACCTATATAACAAACCTGCACATGTACCCCTGAACCTAAAATAAAAGTTGGAAACAGAATTCAATTGAGTTGGTCCTTTAGGACTATGCTCTCTTTGAAGAAAAAAAAAAAAAAAAAAAAAAAAACCCAAAACTCTGCCAAGTCTCAGGAAGACCTAAACTCTTGATCTTCCTCCAGAGTTTTAGCTTGAATAACATTGTCTTCATTCATTTTGCGTTGCTATAACAGAATACCACAGACTGCATAATTTATAAAGAAAATAAATTTATCTCTTACAGTTTTGGAGGCTGGGAAGTCCAATATTAAGGTGCCAACATCTGGTAAGGGTTTTTTTTTTTTTTTTTTTTGCTGTGTCATTCCATGGCAGAAGGTAAGAGGATGAGAGAGAGAGAAAGCTCAAACTCACAGCCACAAGCTATTTTTATAATTGGAATTAAATTATTCATGAAGTTGGAGCCCTCATGATCTAAACACCCCCTTTTAGGCTCCACGTAAAACTGGCCCAATTGTCCCTTAGAACTCCCATAGAACTGATATTTATGGTTTCTTTTGAATAAACATAGGAACTGACCCTCCTAGTCTTGAAACTTGAGAAAGTTATATTTGTCTTATCTGAGTTCCTTTCTCAGGAAACCAACCATCAGTCCTCCCAGAGAGTATCAAAGAACTGAAACTTACCAAATTATGCATCTAAACAATGAGACACCAGACCTCTCACCCATCATGATTGCCTAACCAACCACTTGCTTCCTGTTGACAAACTCTTCTTCCTTACCCCTCCTTAATTCCTGTTTTCCTGCATGTAATTACATTTATTTCCTGCTATATAAACCCTTGATTTTAGTTAGTAAGGAGATGAATTTAAGACTCCTCTCCTATCTCCTTGGGTGCAGCACCCAATTAAAACCTTCTTCCCTGGTAATACTCCTTCTCTCAGTGATTGGCTTTCTGTGCAGCAAGCAGTAGGATGTAGACTGAACCCCTGGTGTTTTGGTAACACACCTTCCAACACTGCTGCTTTGGGGAGGACACATTCAAACTATAGCAAACACAGTTCTATGGCTGAAGCAATTTGGAAGGGTTGCTTTCTCAGAAAGCCTCTTATTTAGTTCCAAGCCTGGTATTTCTGTATAAGATGTTCAAAGGTTATTGATCACAAAAGCATCTCTCCTCCAAATGACTTCTTGCTGCCAGCTGCAATCAGTAATGGTGCCAGATTGGGGTTGGGGAAAGGCTTACCTTGCCAGTCTTAGGCTTGGGTTGCGGTATTACTCATTCTACAGCTGCAGTTGTTAATTTTATTACACTGAGCTTTTTCCTGTGCACTAGACACACACAAAATAAATGAATAGTATACAAAAGTGTTTCTAAGAGATCTAAAAGATTTCCAAGAGCTAGCCATCTTCCTCCAAAGCTGAGACTAAAGTATGTCCAGCAAGCAGCGGGCTCTAAACAGATGTGAATGTATAGTGCTGTGGGAGAACTTGGGAGGCAGGCAAAGATTTTGAGGTCAAAGTGTAACGATCTCCCATGACTGGCTGGCTGGAAGGACAAACCTCAGAAACTGGCTGTCAGGGTCCATCAACTCATATTTTCCAAGTCTGTTTTCCTAAGGACCAAATGTGGTGCAATGCTATTATGGGATCTCACAAAACAATTTGAAGGCCAAACAGAGAGATTTTGACCTGACATGCTTGACAGACCCCTGAACAAAACATTATTTCACGCTCTGATGTTTAGCTATTGTTTTCCAGAAGGAAGAAAAATGTAAAACTGCACTGGTGATACCCATGCAAGGATCAGCAGTTTGTAGGAACTACCAGACTATGCAGAATTGTTCTTAAGTCAGAGTGGGTGATTTAAACTCAATCTTCACAAGTCCAGCACTGTTAGCTAATCAGAGGATAACAGATGCAAGGACTGAGTCTTAGGCAACTGAAATGGAAACCTAGGTTCTAGGGTAGAATTACTACTGGGATTGCTACAGAGAAAGTCTCTCTTAACATGTCAATAAGAGATCATTAAAAAACCCTCCGATTTGGAACCACTGTGATGGTTAGATGTGAATCAAAATATCCTCAGAAAAGGCCTAAACCAGTCATTTATTAAACAAATGTCACTGAGTGCCAACCATGTGGTGCTGAGCAAATGTTTGAAAAGCTGCAAAAGTGAAAATTTCCTTCCAGACTGTTTGCAAATTATTTTACAGGGAACAAATAATTTCAGTTATTAATTTTAATATTTTAGGAATATTTTAACACTTTTATTGATCTCAGGGTAAAGTACAAACTCTCTACCAAGGTTTATAAAAGACTCTTTGTGACTCTGCCTCTGCTAATCTTTTCATAGACTGTGTCCCTCAACTTTATGACCCATTCAGTATGGACTGTAAATGTGTCTTGCTCTCTTTCACACAAGCTCTTCTCTTTGTCTGGGAAACCATTTTCATTCAACAACTTTCCCTACACCCTTCACCAATTCTCCCTTTGACCTGATAACACTTACTCATTTTTGTAGCTAATATTACATTTCATTTTTCTCTTAGGACACCTTCTATGAACCCCTAAAATTGGGTTAGGTGCTCCTACAACACTGCAATTTTCCCATTGTGTTAGTCTGCCTGGGCTGCCATTAAAAAATACCATAGACCAGGTGGCTTACAGAACAGAAATTTATTTTCTCACAGTTCTGAAGGCTAGAAATGCCAGATCAGGGTTCAGCAGGGATGGTTTCTGATGAAGATTTTCTTCCTGGCTTATAGATGGCCACTTTCTTGCTGTGTTCTTACATGGTGGAAACAGAGTAAGTTCTCTAGTGCCTCTTCTTATAAAGATACTAACCCTGTAAGATCAGGGCTCACACTTATGATCTCATTTAACCTTAATTACCTCCATAATGGCTCTATCTTTAAGTACAATTACATTAAGGGCTGGGTTCCAAACATGAATTTTGAGAGCAGACAAACATTCAGTTCATGACACCCATTATATATTTCTTTAAATTTTTAAATTTTTAATTTTTTGGGGTACATAGTAGGTGTATAAATGTATGGGGTACCTGATATGTTTGATACAGGCATGGAATGTGAAATAAGCACATCATGGAGGATGGAGTATCCATCCCTTTGTACATTTATCCTTTGTGTTATAAATAATTCAATTATACTCTTTTAGTTTATTTTTAATGTACAATTAATTTATTATTGACTATAGTCACCCTGTTGTGCTATCAAATAGTAGGTCTTATTCTTTCTAACTTTTTTTTATTCATTAATCATCCTTACCTCCCACCCCAGTCCCCCACTATTTTTCCCAGCCTCTGGTAACCATTCTGTGTCTGAGTTCAATTATTTTTATTTTTGGATCCCACAAATAAGCGAGATCATGTGATGTTTGTCTTTCTGTGTGTGGCTTATTCCACTCAACGTCATGATCTCCAGTTTCATCCATGTTGTTGCAAATGGCAGGATCTCATTCTTTTTTATGGCTGAATAGTACTCCATTGTGTATATGTACCACATTTTCTTGATCCATTCATCTGTTGATGGACACTTAAGTTGCTTCCAAATCTTAGCTATTGTGAACAGTGCTGCAGCAATCATGGAAGGGCAAATATCTCTTCAAAATTCTGATTTCCTTTCTTTTGGGTATATACCCAGCAGTGGGATTGCTGGATCATATGGTAGCTCTATTTTTAGTTTTTTGAGGAACCTCCAAACTGTTCTCCATAGTTGTTGTACTAATTTGCATTCCCACCAACAACGTATGAGGGTTTTCTCCATTATATTTCTTATCCAGGGCACCATTCACATTGTAGATTGTGAAAATGTACTTCAGGGGTGTCAATTACAGTTTGTGAAAATGTACTTCGGGGTGTCAATTACATAGACTACTTATCTTTATTTTTCATTAGAGCTTAAGCTTCATGAGGGCAGGAAACATGCTTATCTTGTTTATTATTGTCTTCTTAGTACTGACCACAGTGCTTCAGAAATACAAACAGTGCATATTTATTGAGTAAACTCAATACATATTTTGATAAGTATAATTCAGCAAGATCAAACCAGTTTGTGGCACTTATTCTCTTCACTTGAGGATAGTTTACTTGATTAAATCATGGGTTTCTGGTGGTAAAGCCATATTAACTGTGTCACCCTATTGCTTTTCTTAAATGGATGTCTTCATCAAATGCACTCCTTCTCGAATGTTACTTTGACTATCTTCCTTCTGACACACTATTTCCTCCCTGATGTTATCTTCCTGTTCCAGCCTGCTTTTTCCTTTTGTGCCTCACAGGTTCTGACTATCTTGACTTTTAATCTTGACCCCTTCAGTGATAGAAACAGACCCAGAGAGACAGAGACTTTCCCGGAGAAGTAGAGACATTCCCAAGGCCATTTGGTGATGCAGAAGCAGAGCTAAAACTGGAACCCGAGAGAGTGGAGCCCTGTATGACAAAAGCACTCTTAATTCCTCAAGTTAGGGGCGGACAGGGTAGGGGAAGTGGGGAATGGGGGAAAGTATCATTTACTGAAAAAAATGATCAACTAACAAGGGGATATTTGAATAATTACTATGTATAACATAACAAACTGGGTGCGGTGGGACTACAAAAAAAGAATAAATGGGTACTCCTGGAGCCTACAACCAGTTGGTAATACACAGAATCATGGAAAGTTAACCTTCAGTACAGTGGGAAGAAGAAATGCTTATCCAGAGAGTGAGGAGGAGTTCAAGGAAGGAGGGTCATTCTGGGGAAGGGTAGTCTACAAAAGAGTCATGATGAGGTGGGTTAAAACCTTACCTAAAAGAATGACTTCAGATAGGCTGACTTTCAAACATCTTTCAAACTCATTCTTTCCACTCGAGGCCACAGAGTTAGATATCGTGGTCATTATTTCTTAAATTGTATTTAAAACAATTACACAACAAATATAATTCTCATTTTAAAAAATTCAGACAGAATACATATATAGTAAAAAGTAAAATGCATACACATAAATTATGAGGATTTTAAAAAATAAAAATGGGATCATGTATTATAAATTATTTTGTGATTTGGTTTTACCCATTAAAATTATGTCTTGAGGCTGAGTGCAGTGGCTCAGACCTGCAATCCCAGCACTTCAGGAGGCTGAGGCAGATGGATCGCTTGAGCTCAGGAGTTCAAGACCAGCCTGGAAAACATGGTGAAACCTCTTCTAGCTCTTAGAAAACATGGAAAACATGGTGAAACCTCTTCTCCAAAGAATACAAAAAAAAAAAAAATTAGCTAGGTGTGGTGGTGTGTACCTGTAGTCCCTACTCAGGAGGCTGAGGTGGGAGAATCAGCTGAGCCTGGGAGGTTGAGGCTGCAGTGAGCTATGATTGTGCCAGTGCACTCCAGCCTGGGCAACAGAATGAGACCCTGTATGTATGTATGTTTGTATATATATGTACACACACACACACACACATATATACGTGTGTGTGTGTGTGTGTGTGTGTGTGTGTGTGTGTGTATAGAGAGAGAGAGAGAGACTGAGAGAGAGGAGAGATCTTTTGTTTTGTTTCAGGACACATAGCTCATTCTATTGTCTTCCCTTCTTGCCTGAACTTTGGCAATAAGACTACTCTGCTGATTTCTGGCCTCTTCCAGCATGTTCTTTTCCCATTCATTGTCAGTAATATTTTTCTAAATTGTACATACAATTATGTCATTCCTTTGCTTAGAGTCTTTTACTGAAACTTGCATCAGCTAAAAATATTTTGATAGAAAGTAACAAAAAATAAATCCCAAACTGGCTTAAATAATAAATAGAATTTTACTGGCTTACTTACTAGTTTGTTAGGGCTGCCATAACAAAATACCACAGATTGGGTGGTTTAAACAACAGAAATTTGTTTTCTCACAGTCCTGGAGCCTGGAAGTCAAGGAGTCAGCAGGTTTGTTTTTTTCTGAGATCTCTTTGGCTTGTGGATGGTGGTACCCTCACTTGGTCACCAGTTGGAATGGACTAGGGCCGTCTCTAACAGCCTCATTGTAGCTTAATCACTTATTTAAGAATCCTGTCTCCAAATATAGTCACATTCTGAGCTATTAGGGGCTGAGGATTCAACATATGAGTTTTTTGAGATACAATTCAGCTCATAAATTCACATAATTGAAGATCTCAATATAGGTGGACTTAAGGTAAGGCTTGATTTTGGGGTGTTTGGGTTTATACTGTTTATGAATTCCTAGAACCATGTAAATCTCCCAGTGGAAAATGGAGGCTGGTGGGAAGTAGAGGAGGTGTGCTGAGGGAGCAACCACATACTTGCCCGGAAGCACTTTATTGTTTTGAGAATCAAGTGTAAATTATTTAGCATGATTTATAAGGCCCTTTACCATGTGGTCTCTTTTTATCTTCTCTTTTCTTTTTCTTTTTCTTTTTTTTTTTTTTTTTTTTTTTTTTTTTTTGAGACAGGGACTCATCGTGTTACCTGGGCTGGAGTGTAGTGGCACAATCTTGGTTCACCACAACCTCGACCTCCTGGGCTCAAGTGATCCTCCACCTCAGCCTCCTGAGTAGCTGGGACCACAAGCACATGGCACCATGCCTGGCTAATTCTTGTTTTTTGTTTTTTGTTTTTTTTTTGGTAGAGACAGCGTTTTGCCATGTTGCTTAGGTTGCTCTTGAATTCCTGAGCTGAAGTAATCTGCCCACCTCAGCCTCCCATCATTTTATCTTTTGAATATAATTTTTCTATCGTATATACATTCCATCCAATATGGCAATGGTAATCTTGCAATTCCATATTTATTTCATTCATTCTTATGGACTTATCCCCTTTTCTGGAATGACCTAAACTAAATGTCACCTCTGTGAAACCTTTATTCACCTTTCTCTGTTACCAGAAGGGCTGGTGTCCATGGCTTCTAAGGTCATGCATTATACAACTCCAAGCATGTTTTCACATATACTGTAACATAAATATTGCCTCCTGGGTTGTACAGTGTAAAATCTTCATAATTGTATGTGATTGCCTTGGCCTGCTTTCCTTAATATAAAATTACATTGTAATAGTTTACTTAAATGTCTGCTATCCTTCTAGTCTGTAAGGCCAGCAAACTATAACTTAAATAGTACAGTTATATTGCTTGCTGTTTTAAGATATTTATCATTCTTCTCAACTACTAAAACACTAAAATATTTGTTAAATGAGTGATTCAATCAATATATATCATTTTTAGTGCCAAGTTAAAAAATTATTTAACCATGACATCATTCTTATGAGATAGGTATTATTTTCTTTATTTTTCAGCTGAGGCAACTGAAGCTCAGAGAAGTTTAGTCACTTGCCCAGGACCACACAGCTAGTAAGTGACAGAATTGAATAGTGCTCTCTCACTCTCTCTCTTTCTCAAGTCAGGGTTTTCAGTTCTGATCAATAGTGGACATAAATTTCAGCATCGAGAATGATTATGTCTTGTTTAGTTGCTTTAGCTACATAATGGAAAGACTGACCACACAGTCTACCTCCTAGAGTTCCCAGGAGTAAATGGGATTATGCATTCGACTGTGCTCTGAGCATAGAGCTACCTATACTAGGGCAAATATGAGGTATTATTTTATAATAATTGTTTTGTATTAATAGCTTCCAATTCCATAATTAGCCTAGGATGCATGTTTTAAGAGATGCATGTTTTAATATTTTTATTGATGCAATAATGGAATCTTGAAATAAATTTGCAGATCAGTGCTGTGGGCCCAAAGGGAAGCAAAGCAACCTAGTTTTATGGCTTATCTAAGGACCAAGATGAAGCAGCTTTGCAAGAAGTCCTCCTTTTGCTGTTAGCTCTCATTAGCTGAACTCAAATTCCAGTAGTGATAATACACAATTCTTCAACTGCATATAGATTCTGCCTCTATAAAAGGAAAAAAAATCTGTAAATGTAACCATTTCTCCCTCGTCAGCTAATGTAGCATAGTAGTAACTATAAAACAGTTTTCTTTAGGTGCTTTTGTGTGATTTATTCCTCCTGGCATGGATGATGGGGATATGAGCAGCATTTTGTTTCAATAGAGCTTTTCTGTAGCTTTTAACCAGTTACAAAGGACGTCTGTCTATACCTGGACACAATCCTGCAATAGAAATGAAACAGGCTTTTAAGGCTTGAAAAAAAGGAAAATAGAAGGCCAGGGGCAAATTGTCGTTTCATCGTTTTGTGAAGCAAATATTATATATCTGGGAAAAATATTTTTTAAAAGTATATAATTTAGGAGGGTCTAAAGGTGTTTTGTTAGGTCAATTGTGTATCAGAAGTGTGAAAGGAAGGGCTTATAGATCTTTAAATGTCCCCCAGATAAGTGAGCTTAATCTATTTCAAATTATACTTCCCACTCCCTGATCTGAGAGAAGGGCTTTCTGTCTTGCTTTCAGTACTTAAAATCTGAAATAATATAGACTCGACTACCCAGGGATCTGCCTCTTGGTCTGGTGCTTTGTCACCACAATTGAGATAGGCAGGTTGGAAGCAGCGACGTGCTCCCCAGCATCACTCACAAAAGTGGGAGGTAGTGTTGTCTGCCTTTTTTCCAGAGGCTGGCTGGCACAGTACTCCCCTTGAGTTTCTGCCAAGGCACATCACTAAATAAGAAGGAGGTAAAATAAGGATAAGATTTAACTGCTTCTTTCCAGGGAAGCTTGGAGACAGTATCACTTCCTTTTTTTAAAGTTGGAGGCAGTTTTATTTGTTTAGGTAAATCCCATGGGAAATGAATAAGTAAAGTTATCAACTGACATGCTTCAGAGGCTGAAAATAGATCCCAGAACATGATTTCCTTTTTGTTTATCAACCATATGTATTTATTCCTGGTTTTCTTCTCATAGGCTCCCGGATTGGGGGAGTCAGAGATAGTAATAGCTGAAAAGAACTGATCTTTTTTAGTTTGCTTGTTTTTGGGAATTATCTCCCCAACATTTTATTTAAAAAATTTTCAAACGTACAGTATAATAAGCATTTTTCACATTTGCTTTCTCTCTCGCTTTTTCTCTTTTTTTTTTTGGCTGAAAGTTTGAAAGTAAGTTTCATGCAGAATCATGATACTTTCTCTCAAAATATTTTAACATACATCTCCTAAGAACAAAGATATTACCCTATCATTATCATATCCAAGGTATTTAACATGCATACAATAGTATATTGTAACATGCAGTTCAATTTCAAATTTCCCCTAGTTGTCCCAATAATGTTTTTTTATAGTCATTCTTCTGTTAAATCCAAGATCCAAGGAAGGATAACACATTGTGTTTGCTTCTCTTGTTTCTTTAGTCTGTGTCCATCTAGAACAGCTCTCCCTTGCCATTTTGTAGTTTGCAACATTAATATTTTCGAAGACTCCAGGACAGATGTCCTAGAGAAAGTTCCACAATTTGAATTTGTCTGATACAATTCTACTAAGGCAACTGTGTTCAAAACCTACTTAATTATTTCTCTTTTTTTGTGTGTGGTTATATTATCAAGTTGATATATAGTTAGATTCATTTGTTTCTGTTTGATTTCAATTTTAAGAGTTTGCTTTTGGTAAGTCCTTTTTAATATAAATTTAAATTTAGAATTATGAAACATTTACATGATTCAAAAGGCAAAACTTCATTTAAAGTGTCTGTTCAGAAGTTTTATTCCTGCTTCTTTCTCCAAATTTCCATCCACCCCTTATGATAAACCATTTTCATTAGTTTCTGATTTGTTCTTCCTATATTTTATTTTTTAAAAATAAGCAAAAAAGTTATACATGAATTATATATACACATAGGTATATATGGGTGTATATATATATGCATAGGTATATATGTGTGTATATATATATGTGTGTCTATATATACATATATATTTTCTGCCCTATGGGAAACATATATAAATATTATCTATCAATCTATATATCTTCTGTGGCTGTGCATTTAGGTTTTTCCCAATATTTGCTATTACAAATAAAGCCTTAGCAAATAATCTTGTGCCTATGCTGTACTTGTGGAGGTGCAACTGTGAGTATGGGTGCCATGCTATACCAAAGGTAAGTGCATGTATCATTTTAGTACATATTGCAAATTGCCCTCCATAGGGTTGTATCATTCTTCACCTCCACAAGCAATGTGTGAATGGATCTGGCATGAATCTGAACACTTTACATTATCTCACTGAATCCTCACAACAACTTTTCCTTATTATGACATTATTTCTTTGTTTTGTGACCCTTATGTATACGTGGGAGATTAAGGCTCAGAGATCTTCAGTAATGTCTCCAGGGTTGTATGGTAAGTAACTGGCATAGCTAGGATTTGAACCAAGATGTTGACTCCAGACTCATGCAACTAACCACCTCACTGTACCATATACTCCTTACATTAACTTTCTTGAATCATATTTTTGGTGTATGGATAGGATTAATAGGAAATTTCCTATTCCCAGAGATGATGTTCCTGAAAACCTCAAGGACTTCTGGAGAATCAAAAGAACTTACTAACTTAAGGAATGCCAGAGAAGTAAGAGAACAGCTTTCATGTTCATGCTGTTTCTTAAGGAGATGAGTGTTCAATCCAAGTCCCTAGGTCTCATCCAAAGATTCTAACCTAGTAGGTTTAGCTATGACAGCAAGAGTCTTTGAAAGAGGAGAAGTTGGCCAGGTGTGGTGGCTTACACCTGTAATCCCAGCACTTTGGGAGGCTGAGGCGGGCGGATCACGAGGTCAGGATATTGAGACCATCCTGGCTAACACGGTGAAACCCATCTCTACTGAAAATACAAAAAATTAGCTAGGCGTGGTGGTGAGCGCCTGTAGTCCCAGCTACTCAGGAGGCTGAGGCAGGAGAATGGCGTGAACCCAGGAGGCAGAGCTTGCAGTGAGCCAAGATCGCACCACTGCACACCCGCCTGGGTGACAGAACGAGACTCCGTCACAATAAAAAAAAAAAAAAAAAAAAAAGTTTTAGGAAGGCTCCTCTCTCGGAACAAGGCACGAGAGTACAGAGAGTTGGATCCAGTTCTAAGGCAGAGTGGGCTGCTGGGAGGAAAACAGGGAATCAAAACCAAGGTAAACAATTTAGGATTTGGGGCAGGCTCCAGTCCCAGCAGAGAACTGGAAAACAAACCAGGAACCTGGAGAGGCTCTTAGGACCAGACTTAGGGGGTCAGCTTTTCCCATGACAGAGACAAGAAGTAAATAAACATTTCAGATACAGATAAATGCTATGGTCCAGCACAGTAGAATAGAGAGGAGTTAGGATGTTTAGGGAAGACCTCTCTGAGAAGGTGGCCTTTGAGGTAAGATATGAACAATGAGTTGGCCAAAGACCTGGGGGCAAGAAACTTCTAGGCAAAGAAAACAGCAAATGCCAAGTCCTGAAGGGAAAATGAGGCTGGAAAAATACGTTACATAAAGTCTGGTAAAGCTGGAATAGGTAAAGTTGGAATAGATAAAGAGGAGGTCAAAGGCACAGATCAGGCGGGGCCTTTGTTTAAGGTAAAAGAATTTGGGCCAGGTGCGGTGTCTCACACCTGTAATCCCAGCACTTTGGGAGGCCGAGGCGGGCGAATCCCGAGGTAGGAGTTTGAGACCAGCCTGGCTAGCATAGTGAAACCCCATCTCTACTAAAATTACAAAAAATTGCCGGGCATGGTGGTGGGTGCCTGTAATCCCAGCTACTCAGGAGGCTGAGGCAGGAGAATTGCTTGAACCTGGGAGGCAGAGGTTGCAGTGAGCAGAGATCGCGCCATTGCACTCCAGCCTGGGCAACAACAGTGAGACTCCCGTCTCAGAACAAAAAAACAGTTTGGACTTTATTCTAAGTGCATCTGAGCATGCTTGGGGGAGGCAAGTTTTGATGGATTTCTGGAATGTGTTGCAATTTAGTCATCAGGAAATGTATTTAAATTCAGTTCTATGAGGTATGATAAGTTCTAAGGAGACAGGAATAGAAATAACTGCTATTGATTGTATATACTCATTTAAGTAAGAGTTATGCTATGGATTGAATGTTTCTGTCCTCACCTAAAATTCATGTTAGAACTTTAATCTTCAGCAAAATGGTACTTGGAGATGGGGCCTTTGAGAGGTAATTAGGTTATGAGGATGAAGATCTCAGGAAGGAATTAGCGCATAAGAGACCTAAGGGAGCTTGCTTTCTCTCTTTACTCTCTGTTGTGTAAAATGAGAAGACAGCCATCTCCAAACCAGGAAACAAGCCCTCACCAGGCACCGGAAATGACAGCACCTTGATCTTGGAATTCCCAGACTCCAAAACTGTGAGAAATAAATTTCTGTTGTTTAAGCTGCTCAGTCTATGATATTGTTTTTTAATATGTATAGCAGCTGAACTGACTAAGACAAGTTTTTTTTTTAAGGCAGGGTATAATAAGAGGCTGAATGTAAGGTTTGGCCAGTGGTGTGAGTTAAAGGACATTTACACAAAAATAAGTACCTTGCTACTCATGCTTATTGCCCCCAGATGATTTATCAAGCCAAGTATATTCTTCACATTCTAGTAAGGATACAGTACTTGTTCCAGTACTATATGCATAGTAAACATATTTCATTTCATGGAAAGAAGAATTTTAAAATATCTTGCTATGTGCCACATGTGAAGCTCAGAATGTATGCCACTGATGAATTCAAATAGAGAGTACAATTTCCCCACACCCGGTTCATCAAATTTTCATTTTTTGTGTGTGTGACATCAGGTAACATAAGCTTTCTTTTGATTATGTCTCTCATTTTGCCCTCAGTATTTTTTTTAGATTCCTGAAATCAGAGAAGTTTACCATTAAGTGAGAAATCTAGCTATATTGGCATAAATCCTGAAGAAAGAATGAAAAAAAAATGGCATCATGCCATATCCTAATCATGATAGAGCTAAAATAGAGTAAATGGCAAGAGTGTAACTTAGAAGAAACATTGAAATGAAATGAATGACAGTAAATATATTTAAAAGTCATGACAGGCACATCAAAATAAGGATAATTTAGTACTAAGTCATCTTTATAAGGAAAAAACTCAAACATAAAATTTAACATTTAAGCAAAATCATTATTAGCCAAGTAAAAATTCAGTAAGAACACTAAAAACATATGCTTTACACATTTTAACTTTTCTTCTTAGGCTGATCTATAAGGTATGTCAATGATCCAGGTATTTTTAAATATCTAGGTGTTTGATACCATGTAGACAAAAACTGCAGACATTTGGCTCAATTTTCTATTTTCACCCGGCTATTTAGAATCATATAAATCATATAGAATCATATAAAATCATATATCTTATAAAATCATATAAATCATATAAATCATACAAAATCACACAGCATGAACTATCTTTTCAAATCGTATAAATTAGGCACAGACCATTTTCCTTGTAGGCAACATATAATAAAATCAGAGGAACGACCATAGAATCAACTAAAGATGATAGCTGTTTAATTATGAAAGATAATCATTGATTAGTTGATAGTTCTTTATACAATAAACATTTTTAAAGAAGTCCTTCTGTGGAAATTTACCTGGCAGATACTTGTGGCTGTCAAAGGGTGATAATATTTGGCTGATGGAAATAGACAAAGTACACAAGTAGCTTTAATGCAGGTAAAAGATAGTATTTATTGTACACAGATGGCCTCTTATTGTGGAGGTACAGCAACCCTCAGGGTTGAAGAATGATGATTTCCTGGACTTCAGATCCCCCTGAGGATGCCTGGTGGACCCTGGCAGCATGTAACTGGGATAAGAAGTGCTTCAAGCCTGCCCAAGAAGCTTTTTCATTTCTAAAGGGATTCCTTCTTGGTTTTTGCCAAGTTTTATGGAGTCTCTGGCTCCCTATTCACCTATCCCTAGTGTACTGTACTCCTGCATGTTAGCTGTGAGCCTGGCTAAACTGTAGACCAGCTTCCCAGGCATCTTATCCTCCTAGTAGGTCTATTCCTATAGGCTGTTACTAGTTCCACTAGTTCCTTCTACACACAGATGCACACACACACACACACACACACACACAGAGAAAGCTGGAAGAATTTGAATTTGTTACTAAAGCAAGAAGTACAAAATGGAAAAATCAGTCTAAGACTATAGAATGTTGTCAGTTTAATTGATTGAAGCCATCCTAATGATACCCAGGGTCTGTCAGTGGTTAGACTTGATCTGATGGGCAATAGGGAATCATTGTACATTCTTGAGGAAGGGAGAACTAAGATGAAAATGATGTTTGAGAAAAATACTGATGGATTCTTTATAGTGGCCTGGAGATGGGATAAATGGAAGAGAAGTAAAATAAGTGATATAGGCATGAGAAGCACAGGTTTGTCTACCTTTCTCTACTACCTTCAACAGTTTCAACAATTGGCTATGTTCCTAACTTGAGTCAGGAGCCTTTTATAGGTGATCTCACTGGGAGGTAAGATTTAAAGGGAAATGACTGGAGGCAATCAGGTAGAGCAAACCTGTCTGTTCTCTAAGGGGCCAGCAGACATGAATGTGGTGGCTAGATGTGGGGACAAGAGTTTCTTAGAGAGCTAAGTTAGCCTTAACAATCACAGAGGCTGAAAATATTTGAGAAATGCCTATATATAATGGGATGGTGAAGAACTGACTTAGCTTAGGATATAAGATTATCCCCAGGGGATCTTGGCATAGAGTCTAAAGAAGAGTCTAAGGAGGATATACAGCTCATCTGTGTCCGTCAGAGTACAGCCAGGACATAAAATACACACCTGTTATTTTAATAGAAGGAGTTTAAAATAAAGATTTTTAACTAGGAATTAAAGAAATGAAAAGGCAAAAAGAGAACACTAAGTATAACCCTAGGCCTGGAGGATGAGGGAAGAAGTTGAAATTATTAACACTTAGTGACTTGGAAGAGAGGCTCTGCAGAGCTGGTGAACCAGAGAGGTGAGATGAGGCTGGTCTTTAAGCGTTGGAAAAATTGCAAACTGGAATCAGCTATTCTACTGGAACAAACCAGTGTAAGGGTTGCTAGAGTGACATAGGAACAGGAAACTAAAATAAGAACAGAAAACCAAGACAGGAGCAAGACACAAACAGGAAGTGTTTGTGGTCCCTGCCTTTAGCCTAGCTGTCTCCCTCTGGTGCCCTCTAGTGACAATGCCTAACAGAACCTCTGGCAAAAGAAAAATAAGAGTCTCAGCCCTAGCATTACCAAAGGGAATATAGAAAAATGAGTTTGATGCTGAGACAATAGTCTAATAACGGGGCAGACATGCATATTCACTAGTTGGTAGGATGAGTGTCATGACTAGAGTGAAGTGACGAGAAGACACTCAGTCATGGACATTCTGGGACAGAACATAATTGAGACAAACAATGAGGTCAGAGCCTCTTCCCAAAGGAAGACTTATATCTTGAGAAAATCTAGAAGCTAGTGATAAATAATAATAATGCTATCAACAGCATTATTTCATGAGTTCTTTCTATGAGCTAGACAAAGTTACGGCCCATCTTATTTAATCTTCACAACAGTACTAAAATGGTAGGTAGATATTATTCTACCCATTTTGCAGATGTGGAAACAGGAGTCAGGCAGAAGAATATCTAGTATGGTTGATAGATCATGATTGAAACCCAAGTTTTTCTGATTCTATGGCCTAGGAACAAAAGTGTTACTTGGGTTTGACTCATGATTTTCAGCTTCATCAAATTGCTTAAAAATCACTATCAGGGATTGCTTTAGTAAATTTCAACTATCAGCATGGGAGAGTACGTATAGAAGAACATGGGGAAAATTAAAACTTGCGTTGAGAATAGAAGTGCCCATACAAAAAACATCTACAATTACATGTGAGGACTTTGTAGCAACCCTGTGCATGCTCCACAAATATTGTGTAATAAATATACCAGTGCTGGATACAGGTTAAGGTGGCAGATAGGAGGCAGGACTAGCTTGTAGCTCCTGCTCGGATGGACAGAGCAGCATGTAGAGACTCACGTCATGAACTTTTGCTCCAATAACTACCATAGGAACATACCAGTAAAGCAGAGAGAATCCAAAGACCCTTTGAGGGAACTAGATCACTGCTTCAGACTCCCTGAGATGCTGAAAAACTGTGAGTCTGCTTGCTTTCTCAGCAAGAAGGCTGGTGGTCTGGAGCAAGTTCTCAGACATGGTCACCTGCTGCCAGGAAGTAGACTCGGTGCTGTTGTGGGGGCACAGTGGGAGTGAGACTGGCCTTTAGGCTTTTGGGCTGCGTGGGGAGGAGGTGAGGCCTGTGACTGCTGGCTTTCTCTGGTGACCTGTATGACTCAGAAGAGGCAGCCATAATAGCCCTGAGAATATAACTCCATTGGCCTGAGAACCACACCTCCATCACCCATAGCAGCCGCAGCAAGCCTTGCCCGAGGAGAGACTGAGCTCAGACATGGCTAAACCTGCCCCGACCTGATGGTCTTTCTGTACCCACCTTGGTAGCTGAAGACAAAGGTCATAATCTCTTGGGTGCTCTATGACCCTGCCCACCGCCTGAGAAGCCTGAATACTTAACCAGGTGTCCTTAGGGCAAGTTTGCATCCTTCCTATGGGACCACAGCTGATGTGATCTTGAAAGTGCTACCTCCTGGCTGGAGGTCAACCAACACAAAACCAGCACACTAAACAAAAACACAGCCAAGGACCCTCACAGAGTCCACTCCACTTCCCTGCTACCTTCACTGGATCAAGTGCTGATATCCATGGCTGCAAGACCTGAAGACGATTCACATCACAGGACTCCTTGCAGACACTCCCCAGTACTAGCCTGGAGCCTGTTAGCTCTGCTGAGTGGCTAGAACCAGAAGAGCAAAACAAGCACTACAGTTTGGTTCTTAGGAAACCCCATTCCTAGGGGAAGGGTGAGAACACCACATCAAGGGATCACTCCCATGGGACAAAAGAATCTGAACAGCAGCTCTTGAATCTCAGGTCTTCCCTCTGACATAGTCTACCCAAATAAGAAGAAAGCAGAAAAACAAATCTATTAATATGACAAAACAGGATTCCTCAACACCCCCCAAAAATCATACTAGCCCACCAGCAATGGATCAAAACCAAGGTAAAATAACTGAATTGCCAAAAAAAAAAGAATTCAGAAGGTTGATTATTATGCTAATCAAGGGGGCACTAGAGAAAAGTGAAGTCTAACTTAAGGAAATAAAAAACATGATACAGGATATAGATGGGAAATTCTTTAGTGAACTAGGTGGCATGAATAAAAAACAATCACAACTTCTGGAAATCAAGGACACACTTAGAGAAATGCAAAATGCACTGGAAAGTCTCAACAATAGAATCAAACAACAAGAAGAAAGAACTTCAGAGCTCAAAGACAAGGCTTTTAAATTAATCCAATTCATTAGACAAATAAAGATGAATTTAAAAAAATAAAGCCTCCAAGAAGTTTGGGACTATGTTAAATGTCCAAACCCAAGAATAATTGGTGCTCCTGAGGAAGAAGAGACATCTAAAAGTTCAGAAAACATATTTGAGGGAATAATAGAGGAAAACTTCCCCAGCCTTGCTAGAGATCTAGATGTCCAAATATAAGAAGCTCAAAGAACACCTGGAAAATTCATTGCAAAAAGATCATTGCCTATGCACATAGTCATCAGGTTATCTAAAGTCAAGACAAAGGAAAGGATCTTAAGAGCCATGCTATAAATGGTAACACAATAATAGTGGGTGACTTTAATAGTCCATTGACAACACTAGACAGATCATCAAGACAAAGTCAACTAAGAAACAGTGGACTTAAACTATACCCTACAACAAATGAACTTAACAGATATTTACAGAACATTCTACCCAACAATTACAGAATATATATTCCAGTACATGGAACATTCTCCAAGATAGACCATATGATAGGCCACAAAACAAGTCTCAGTAAATTTAAGAAAATTAAACTCTATTAAGTACTCTCTCAGAGCACAGTGGAATAAAATTGGAAATCAACTCCAAAAGGAATCAAAACGATGCAAATACGTGGAAATTAAGTAACCTGCTCCTGAATAATCAATGTGTCAACGAGGAAATCAAGACGGAAATTTTAAAATTCTTTGAACTGAGCAATAATAGTGACACAACCTATGGAAACCTCTGAGATAGAGCAAAAGCAGTGCTAAGAGGAAAGTTCATAGCATTAAATACCTACATCAAAAAGTCTGAAAGAACATTAGACAATCTAAGGTCATACCTCACAGAAATGGAGAAACAAGAACAATCCAAACCCAAACCAAAGAAGAAAAATAATAATAAAGATCAGAACACAACAAAAGTAAATGGAAACAAACAAAGTACAAAAGACAAATGAAATGAGAAGCTGGTTCTTTGAAAAGATATATAAAACTGATAGACCATTAGTGAGATTAACCAAGAAAAGAAAGATCCATCATCAAAAAGCTCCAAGAACTCATAAATCAATTCAGCAAAGTTTCAGGATACAAAATTAATGTACACAAATCATTAGCTCTGCTATACACCAACAGTCATCAAGCTGAGAATCAAATCAAGCACTCAACTCCTTTCACAGTAGCTGCAAAGAAAATAAAATAGTAAGAAATATACCTAACCAAGGATGTGAAAGACCTCTACAAGAAAAACTACAAAACACTGCTGAAAGAAATCATAGATGACACAAGCAAATGGAAACACATCCCATGTTCATGGATGGGAAGAATCAATATTGTGAAAATGACCACACTGCCAACAGCAATCTATAAGTTCAATGTGATTCCCATTAAAATACCACCATCATCCTTCACAAAACTAGAAAAAACAAACCTAAAATTCATATGGAATCAAAAAAGAGCCCACATAGACAAAACAAGACTAAGCAAAAAGCACAAATTCGAAGGCATTATGTTACCCGACTTCAAACTATACTATAAGGCCATAGTCACCAAAGCAGCATGGTACTGGTATAAAAAAGGCACATAGACCAATGGAACAGAATAGAGAACCCAGAAATAAAGCCAGATACTTAGACCCAATTGATCTTTGACAAAGCAAACAAAAACAAAGCTGGGGAAAGGACACCCTATTTAACAAATGGTGCTGGGATAATTGGCAATCCACATGCAGAAGAATGAAACTGGATCTTTATCTCTCACCCTATACAAAATCAACTCAAGGTGGATCAAAGACTTAAATTTAGGACCTGAAACTATAAAGATTCTAGAAGATAACATCGGAAAAACCCTTCTAGACATTGGCTTAAGCAAAGACTTCATGACCAAGAACCCAAAAGCAAATGCAACGAAAGCAAAGATGAGTAGACAGGACATAATTAAACTAAAAAGTTCTGGCACAGCAAAAGAAATAATCAGCAGAGTAAACAGACAACCCACAGAGTGGGAGAAAATCTTCACAATCTATACATCCAACAAAGGACGAATATCCAGAATCTACAAAGAACTCAAACAAATCAGCAAGAACAAAACAAACAATCCTATCAAAAACTAGGCTAAGGACATAAACAGAAATTCTCAAAAGAAGATATGCAAATGGCCAACAATCATATGGAAAAATGCTCAACATCACTAATTATCAGGGAAATCCACATCTAAACCAAAATATGATACCACCTCACTCCTGCAAAAATGGCAATAACCGCCCTCCCCCCAAAAAAAAGATATTGGCATGGGCGCAGTGAAAAGGGAATGCTTTTACACTGTTGGTAGAAATGTAAACCAGTACAACAACTGTGGAAAAAACGGCAGACATTCCCAAAGTAACGAAAAGTTTATCTACCATTTGATCCAGCAATTTCACTACTAGGTATCTATTCAGAGGAAAAGAAGTCATTATACAAAAAAGATGCTTACACACACATTTATAGCAGCACAATTTGCAATTGCAAAAATATGGAACCAACCCAAATGCCCATCAATCAATGAGTGGGTAAAGAAAATGTAGTATCAGCATACGCTGCTTGGGTGATGGGTGCACCAAATTCTCAGAATTCACCTCTAAATAACTTATTAATGTAACCAAACACCACCTGTTCCCAAAAAACCTATTGAAATAAATAAAAAATTAAAATATGTATAAATAAAGCACCGCTGTCTTTTTCTTCTGCATATTTTTGTTCTGGATCATTTTGTCCTTTCCTTGTTTGTTTTGTCATCTTGAAAGCCTTGCTCAGGAATTTGATGACCATTGGTTGACCATTCATACCTTGGTGTGAGGCACTAAAAACTTGATGGAACCTATGTTTTCTGCAAGAGTTTGTTGACTGGGGTTCTGGTGGTTATCTGATTTTTCCTTGGGCAATCCTTTTTTTTTTTTTTTTTTTTTTTTTTGCAATGGGGTCTTACTCTGTCATCCAGGCTGGAGTACAGTGGCATGATCTTGGCTCACTTCAACCTCCACCTCCTGGGGTTCAAGCAATTCTCCTGCCTCAGCCTCCCAAGTAGCTGGGACTACAGGTGCATACCACCATGCCAGGCTAATTTTTGTATTTTTAGTAGAGACAGGGTTCCACCATGTTGACCAGGCAGGTCTCAAACTCCTGACCTCAAGTGATCCACCTGCCTCAGCCTCCCAAAGTGCTGGGATTACAGGCGTGAGCCACTGCACCCAACTGAGCAATTCCTAATTATCAGTATCTGTAGGCATTTTCTCTGATACCAGTTTCTATACATATTTTAAACTTTTTGATTTGAAAAATTCAAATTTACAGAAAAATTTTAGTGGTAGTACAAATATACCTATTTTTCTGTAATGTTTGAAAGTAAGTGGCTTACCTTTTTATATGATAGTTTTGTGTGTATTTCCTGTATACAAGTACTTCCCCGTTTACAACCAAACTGTATTCATGAAAATTAGGAAATTAATGTTGATGTGCATTGCTACCATCAAATCTTCAGACCTCATTTAATTTTCCCCAAAATGTCTTTTATAAGAAGAATCCAGGAGAAAGTCATATGTTGCATTTTGCTGTCATATCTGTTAGTCTTCTTCACTCTAGAAAAGCTTCTTAGTTCTTCCTAAAATTTTATGACCTTAATTAACATTTCTGAAGGTCCCTCAGTTTTATGTTTTATAGATTTTTTTCTCATGATTATTTTCAGGTTGTGTGTCTTCTGAAGGAATATCACAGCAGTAAAACTTCTTATTGCATCCTACCAACTGATGGTGTACAATTTTGATTTGTCCTATTATTAATGACATCAAGTTTAATCACTTGAATAAGGTGGTATTGTCTATGCTTTTCCACAGTAAAGTTTCTATAGTTTGTGTGTGAGGTACTTCAAGATTTTTTAAATACCCTGCTTTTCATCCAATTAATTAATAGCTATATCAATATAAATATCTATATTAATTGCCATTTCTATTTTACTCAATGATTATCATTTGTTTCTATTATTATTTATTTTGATGCTTAAATTGTCCAGATTTGATGAGTAGGAACCACTTCAAAATGATCTTTGACTCATCCCCATCATTCTTTGAGCATTTTCTTTTATCTTGACACATCAAGTTGTTCCAGGTCCATCTTGAAGTTTTCTAGTTCCCAACTTGCAAATCGCCCCTGGTTCCTTTGATTTACAGATAGTATTTAGCGACCACAATCTGCACACTGGATATGTTCTACTTAAGTCCCGATAGACCATTCTAGGTGCTCAAGCCCTCAGCTCTCCTCACCCTTCTTAGGCTCCAACATGCCACGTGCTGCCATGACCCTCCATTCCTCCCCTGCAAAGATGGCAACCCTGCTTGAGCTTAGCTGCAGGATTTTCAGGTAAATTTTTCAAAAATGAAAATTGAATAAAATTTTTATAAATTTAAAATTTTTAAAAATTTTTAATAAAAGTGCAATAAAACAGAAATGGTAATTTATATAGATACCTATTTATATAGATATTAATTAATAGGATGAGAAGCAGGGTATTTAAAAATCTTGAAATACCTCCTTCACATGCTATAGTAATATTACTGTGGAAAAGCATGGACAATACTACCTTATTCAAATGATTAAACTTGATGTCATTAATAATGGGACAGATCAAAATTGTACAGCATCACTTGATAGGATGCAATAAGAAGTTTTACTGCTGTGGTATTCCTCCAGAAGACACAACCTGAAAATAATCATGAGAAAGGAAGAGAAGAGGAAGATCTAGTATCTGCATTCTAAAGAAATCTCTCAGAGGAATGATGAAACTTTACAAATAGAAGTGGGAAGGCAGAACCACAATTTTGAGTCCCCCTATGATTTCAATTCTAAGGAGATACATATACAGACATACATGTATACATACTCTACAGCCTCTAAACTAAGTCAGTTACTTTACTAGATCCTTAACAAAAAAGGAACAATTCGTTTCCAGATTTATTGAATGAAAATGTGACTATAATGGATTTATTGAGAGGTAGTGTCTTGATTTGGAGTCCCCAGAAGCTGGCTCTGGGACAAGGATTCAAGTGTGGGTAATGTATTATTTGGGAGGTCATCCCAGGAAACACCCACAGAGAGAGAATTCAGTCAGGAAAGGGAAGGAAGACAACAAAATGTGTGTTCTGAGATAGTTATCTGTGAGAACCTCTGGAGCTCTGCCCCTGAAAGGAACTCCGGGAGACAGTGAGCACACATTTCACTTCCTTCAGCTGGTGGCTAAGGTAGTGATAACATTTATCTACTGATTTATTTGTTTTCATTGGTTGGGGTTCTGGAGGGCATTAGCTCTCCAGACTTCCAGCTGACCCTCCCCATGGATTGAGGGTACTCCCACAGCCAAATGAAAACTCATTTAGGCAGAGAGTGAGAGGTGTTTGTATGCAGTAAGTGGTCTACAATACACAGAATATCAACAGACCATCCACAGTGTTTGCTACACATGCTATGTCTTTGCCAGGCTATGTACCCAAGAGAAGACATACCACTTTAGGGGAATTTTCAAGAGTATGTTATTTATACTATAATTTTTTGTGTTAAATCCTGATGAGCCAGGTGCAATGGTGCATGCCTGTAGTCCCAGCATGGTAGAGGCTGAGGCAGCAAGATCACTTGACAACAGAAGTGCTAAGCCAGATTACACTGTAGTGCACGATCATAGTACACTTACTATGATCACGTCTGTAAATAGGCATAGCACTCCAGCCTGGGCAACATAGCATGATCCTGCTTCTCTTAAATAAAAAATCCTAATGAGACACCAGTGAACCAGAAAGTATATATATATGTATACATACACATACACACACATCTATCTATATTTACCTTTATGCATTTATATATGTGTTATATATGTAAAAATAATAGCTTATAATATCCCACATTCTGAGTGCTAATTACACTGTTATAATATTTTTTATATACTGGTTAATTTAATCCTCAAGCCACCTCTTTAAAGATAGTATTGTAAGTATTTACATTGAATATATGAGGAAACTGAGGCTTTGGGAGGATTAGCAACTTGCTTAGGTGACATTGGTAAGAGGTGGTGTTGGTATAAATCAAAGGAGGGTAGCTCCAGAGCCCATGCTTACAGTCATTTGATCTATTTCCTAAAGCAAAGCTGTTGGAGATTCCGCAAAAGCAATAGAAAGAAGATGTCAGAGGAAGATCCACTGAAATGCTCCCACAATCAATCATCTAGTAAAAAAGCATTGATCCAGTGATGAGGAATGCTAGGATTCCACCAGGAGGTCTATAAATTCAAGTAATCAGCCTTAGGTTCTAATTGGAACCCTGGTGCAAAATTTTACCCTGAAGAAATCTATTCAGTTCAAAGCATCAGTCCTGTTTGTAGAACTCGCTTCCAGCTTCTGATGAGAGGATCCCAGCAAATGCAACAGGGAACTAGACTCTAGGAAAACACCATTTTGCTATTCTGGGTGGGACTCTGAATGGAGACATGATCCATATAAGACATACACTTGAGATCTTTTACTCAGTTTTCAGTTTAAAAAAAGTAGTTACCGCACTTAGCCTTTTTGGTCCTGATTTCTGACAGAGTAGAAATTCTTAATATAACTAAGATTCTCATTTGCAACGTAGAGAAATACTTCTTGTCTCCAAAAAACTCAGGAAAAAAAGAAAGATGAGTAATGGATTGTAAAGTCAATCTAAGTTTAACTTTGAATGGAAATGCTTGAAATCCATGTTACGACATTACACAATTAACTTATATTGCATTTTTAAATGTCTTTAAGAAAATTTTAAACTGCCTTCGGAACATAGGTGTAATACAGTGAGAATGTTTTTGGTTGAAAGTAGGTCACTTCCTATTCTCACTAGGAAACTTTTGTTTTAGCTTTAGTATATTTTTAAATATTATATTGAAAAAGTACAGTTGTTCAGAAACATTATTTATATCTCAGCTGATGACCTCTTTAAATGTGTACCTAGGAACATGGGCAGAGCTTTGAATCCAATTAATGTGGATCTCAATTAAAGAGATTTAAAGAGCTTATTAATCCACATCTAGAGGAATCATTCAACAAGGGGAACTAGACAAAAAATACCAGGGCATAAGGAAGAAAATGAAACCTGTGGGTGTAACAGTGAAAAGGAGGCCTAGCATGACTAACTCCATTTTGCTCCTAACCCCCACTGCCATGATATCTTTTAGGTTAACTGCTTTGGCTTATCTCTGAACTTCAAAGCAGGAATGATAATAGTCCCTTCCCAAAACTAATCCCCAAGAATATAAGGAGGGTGTACACGCAAGTAACGATGTTGTTAAAAATTTATAAGAGCATGGTGATGTGACCAAGGACAATGATGTTTACCTTTTTTTTTTTTTTTTTTTTTAATACTTTAAGTTCTGGGATACATGTGCAGAACATGCAGGTTTGTTACATAGGTATACACGTGCCATGGTGGTTTGCTGCACCCATCAACCCGTCATCTACATTAGGTATTTCTCCTAATGCTATCCCTCCCCTAGCTCCACACCCCCCCGACAGGCTTTGGTGTGTGATGTTCCCCTCCCTGTGTCCATGTGTTCTCATTGTTCAACTCCCACTTACGAATGAGAACATGCGGTATTTGGTTTTCTGTTCCTGTGTTAGTTTGCTGACAATGATGGTTTCCAGCTTCACCGTGTCCCTGCAAAGGACATGAACTCATCCTTTTTTATTGCTGCATAGTATTCCATGGTGTATATGTGCCACATTTTCTTTATCCAGTCTATCATTGATGGGCATTTGGGTTGGTTCCAAGTCTTTGCTATTGTGACTAGTGCTGCGATAAACATAATGTGCATGTGTCTTTATAGTAGGATGATTTATAATCCTTTGGGTATATACCCAGTAATGGGATTGCTGGGTCAAATGATATTTCTGGTTCTAGATCCTTGAGGAGTCGCCACACTGTCTTCCACAATGGTTGAACTAATTTACACTTCCACCAACAGTATAAAAGCTTTCCTATTTCTCCACATCCTCTCCAGCATCTATTGTTTCCTGACTTTTTAATGATTGCCATTCTAACTGGTGTGAGATGGTATCTCATTTTGGTTTTGATTTCCATTTCTCTAATGACCAGTGATAATAACCATTTTTTCATATGTTTGTTGGCCACATAAATGTCCGCATTTTTTTTGTTTTTGTTTTTGAGATGGAGTCTTGCTGTGTCACCCAGGCTGTAGTGCAGTGGGGTGATCTCGGTTCACTGCAAGCTCTGCCTCCTGGGTTCACACCATTCTCCTGCCTCAGCCTTCTGAGTAGCTGAGACTACAGGTACCCACCACCACGCCTGGCTAACTTTTGTGTTTTTAGTAGAGATGGGGTTTCACCATGTTAGCCAGGATGGTCTCAATCTCCTGACCTTGTGATCTGCCCCCTTGGCCTCCCAAAGTGCTAGGATTACAGGTGTGAGCCACTGTGCCCAACCAAATGTCCTCTTTTGAGAAGTGTCTGTTCATATCCTTCGCCCACTTTTTGATAGGTTTTTTTTTTTTTTTTTTGTAAATTTGCTTGAGTTCCTCGTAGATTCTGGATATCAGCCCTTTGTCAGATGAATAGGTTGCCAAAATTTTCTCCCATTCTGTAGGTTGGCTATTCACTCTGATGATAGTTTCTTTTGCTGTGCAGAAGCTCTTTAGTTTAATTAGATCCTATTTGTCAATTTTGGCTTTTGTTGCCATTGCTTTTGGTGTTTTAGTCATGAAGTCTTTGCCCATACCTATGTCCTGAATGGTATTGCCTAGGTTTTCTTCTAGGGTTTTTATGGTTTTAGGTCTTATGTTTAAGTCTTTAATTAATCTTCAGTTAATTTTTGTATAAGGTGTAGGGAAGGGGTCCAGTTTCAGTTTTCTGCATATGGCTAGCCAGTTTTGCCAACACCATTTATTAAATAGGGAATCCTTTCCTCATTTCTTGTTTTTGTCAGGTCTGTCAAAGATCAGATGGTTGTAGATGTGTGGCATTATTTCCAAGGCCTCTGTTCTGTTCCATTAGTCTATATATCTGTTTTGGTACAAGTACCATCCTGTTGTGGTTACTGTAGCCTTGTAGTATAGTTTGAAGTCAGGTAGCATGATGCCTTCAGCTTTGTTCTTTTTGCTTAGGATTGTCTTGGTTATACGGGCTCTCTTTTGGTTCCATGTGAAATTTAAAGTAGTTTTTTCTAATTCTGTGAAGAAAGTCAATGGTAGCTTGATGGAGATAGCATTGAATCTATCAATTACTTTGGGCAGTACGGACATTTTCACAATATTGATTCTTTCTATCCATGAACATGAAATGTTTTCCATTTGTTTGTGTCCTCTCTTATTTCCTTGAGCAGTGGTTTGTAGTTCTCTTTGAAGAGGTCCTTCATATCCCTTGTGGGCATTTAATGCTGTAAATTTCCTTCTAAACACTGCTTTAGCTGTGTCTCAGAGATACTGGTATGTTGTGTCTTTGTTCTCATTGGTTTAAAAGAGCTTATTTATTTCTGCCTTAATTTTGTTATTTACCCAATAATCATACAGGAGCAGGTTGTTCAGTTTCCATGTAGTTGTGCAGTTTTGAGTGAGTTTCTTAATCCTCAGTTCTAATTTGATTGCACTTTGGTCTAAGAGACTGTTCGTTATGATTTCCATTCTTTTACATTTGCTGAGGAGTGTTTTACTTCCAATTATTTGGTCAATTTTATAATAAGTGTGACATGGTGCTGAGAAGAATGTATATTGTGTTGACACTGGGTGGAGAGTTCAGTAGATGTCTATTAGGTTTGCTTCATCCAGAGCTGAGTTCAAGTCCTGAATATCCTTGTTAATTTTCTGTCTCGTTGATCTGTCTAATATTGACAGTGGGGTGTTAAAGTCTCCCACTATTATTGTGTGGGAGTCTAAGTCTCTTTGTAGGTCTCTAAGAACTTGCTTTATGAATCTGGGTGCTCCTGTTTTGGGTGCATATATATTTAGGATAGTTAGTTCTTCTTGTTGCATTGATCCTTTTACCATTATGTAATGCCTTTTTTGATCTTTGTTGGTTTAAAGTCTGTTTTATCCGAGAGTAGGATTGCAAATCCTGCTTTTTTTGCTTTGCATTTGCTTGGTAAATATTCTTCCATCCCTTTATTTTGAGCCTATGTGTGTCTTTGCACGTGAGATGGGTCTCCTGAATATAGCACACCCGTAGGTCTTGACTCTCTATCCAATTTGCCAGTCAATGTCTTTTAATTGGGGCATATAGCCCATTTACATTTAAGGTTAATATTGTTAAGAGTAAATTTGATCTGGTCATTATGATGGTAGCTAGTGATTTTGCCTGTTAGTTGATGAAGTTTCTTCATAGTGTTGATGGTCTTTACAATTTGGCATGTTTTTGCAGTGGCTCATACTACTTTATCCTTTCCATATTTAGTGCCTCCTTCAGGAGCTCTTGTAAGGCAGGCCTATTGGTGAGAAAATCCCTCATCATTAGCTTATCTGTAGAGGATTTTATTTCTCCTTTGCTTATGAAGCTTAGTTTTGCTGGATATGAAATTCTAGGTTGAAAAGTCTCTTCTTTAAGAATGTTGAATATTGGCCCCCATTCTCTTCTGGCTTGTAGGGTTTCTGCAGAGAGATCTGCTGTTAGTCTGATGGGCTTCCCTTTGTGGGTAACCTGATCTTTCTCTCTGGCTGCCCTTAACATTTTTTCCTTCATTTCAACCTTGGTGAATCTGATCATTATGTGTCTTGGGGTTGCTCTTCTCGAGGAATATCTTTGTGGTGTTCTCTTTATTTCCTGAATTTGAATGTTGGCCTGTCTTGCTAAGCTGGGGAAGTTCTCCTGAAGGGGGTTCTCCAACTTGTTTTCATTCTTCCCATCACTTTCAGGTACACCAATCAAATGTAGGTTTGGTCTTTTCACATAGTCCCATATTTCTTGGAGGCTTTGTTCATTCCTTTTCATCCTTTTTTCTCTAATCTTGACTTCACACTTTATTTCATTAAGTTGATCTTCAATCTCTGATATCCTTTCTTCTGCTTGATCGATTTGGCTATTGACACTTGTGTATAGTTCACGAAGTTCTCTTGCTGTGTTTTTCAGCTCCATCAGGTCATTTATGTTCTTCTTTCAACTGGTTATTCTAGTTAGCAATTCTTCAAACCTTTTTTCAAGGTTCTTAGCTTCTTTGCATTGGGTTAGAACATGTTCTTTTAGTCAGAGGGGTTTGTTATTACCTACCTTCTGAAGCCTACTTCTGTCAATTTGTCAAACTCCTTCTCAAACCAGTTGTGTTCCCTTGCTGGAGAGGAGTTGTGACCCTTTTGAGGAGAAAAGGTGTTCTGATTTTTGGAATTTTCAGTCTTTTTGCACTAGTTTTTCCTCACCTTTATGGATTTATCTAATTTTGGTCTTTGATGTTAGTGACCTTTGGATGGAGTTTTTGCATGGATGTCCTTTTTGTTGATATTGATGCTAATCCTTTCTGTTTGTTAGTTTTCCTTCTAACAATCAGGCCCCTCTTCTGCAGGTCTGCTGGAGTTTGCTGGAAGTCCACTCCAGATCCTGTTTGCCTGGGTATCACCAATAGAGGCTGCAGAGCAGCAAAGATTGCTGCCTGTTCCTTCTTCTGGAAGCTTCGTTCCAGAGGGTCACCCACCAGATGCCAGCCAGAGGTCTCTTATATGAGGCTTCTGTCAACCCCTGCTGGGACCTTTCTTTCAATCGGGAGGCATGGGGGTCAGTGACCCACTTGAGACAGTCTGTCCCTTAGAAGAGCTCAAGCACTGTGCTGGGAGATCCACTGCTGTCTTCAAAGCCAGCAGGCAGGAACGTTTAAGTCTGCTGAATCTCCATCTACAGCTGCCCCTTCCCCCAGGTGTTCTATTCCAGGGAGATGGGAGTTTGATCTGTAAGCCCCTGACTGGGGCTGCTATCTTTCTTTCAGAGATGCCCTGCCCAGAAAGAAGGAATCTAGAGAGGCAGTCTGGCTCCAGCGGCTTTGCCAAGCTGCGGTAGGCTCTGCCCAGTTTGAACTTACCGGTGACTTTGTTTACACTGTGAGGGGAAAACTGCCTACTGAATCTTCAGTAATGGTGGATGCCCCTTCCCCCACCAAGCTCAAGAGTCCCAAGTGAACTTCAGACTGCTGTGCTGGCAACGAGAATTTTGAGCCAGTGGATCTTAGCTTGCTGGGCTCTGTGGGGGTGGGATCCGCTGAGCTAGACCATTTGGCTCCCTGGCTTCAGCCCCCTTTCCAGGGGAGTGAACAGTTCTATCTTGCTGGCATTCCAGGCACCACTGGGGTATGAAATAAAAAAAACTCCTGCAGCTAGCTCAGTGTCTGCCCAAACAGCCGCCCAGTTTTGTGCTTGAAACCCAGGACCCTGGTGGTGTAGGCACCCGAGAGAATCTCCTGGTCTGCGGGTTGCAAAGACCATGGGAAATATGTAGTATCTGGGCCGGAATGCCCCATTACTCATGGCACAGTCCCTCACAGCTTCCCTTGGCTAGGAGAGGGAGTTCATTGACCCCTTGTGCTTCCTGGTTGAGGGGACACACCACCCTGCTTCTGCTCGCCCTCTGTGGGCTGCACTCACTACCTAACCTGTTCCAATGAGATGAGCTGGGTACCTCAGTTGGAAATTCTGTGTTGATCTCTCTGGGAGCTGCAGACCAGAGCTGTTTCTATTCAATCATCTTGCCCAGGTCCCTCCAGATGTTATCTTTGATGCTGCTTGGATGTCTGTAATCTTCAGTCACCTTTTGACCTCAACCCCCTTCTGCTTTCCACTTTCCTTAACATAAAAGGAGCCCCACATCCATATTAGCATAAGATGGTTCTTTAGGACATTAGTCTGCCATCTTCTTGGTTTGCTGACTCCCAGAAATAAAGTCGTCTTCATTGCCCCAACACCTTGTCTCTCGCCTTACTGGCTGTTGTGCACTGAGTGATATGAGCTTTGTACTCAGCTACATGGGGAGGACAACACTCTCTTGACCTTAAAAAGCTATTTCTAGGCCAGGCACAGTGGCCTGTATTCTCAGCACTTTGGGAGGCTGAGGTGGGTGGATTGCTTGAGTTCAGGCATTCAAGACCAGCCTGGGGAACATAATGAAACCCTGTTGCTATAAAAAATTTAAAAACTGGCTGGTCACGTTGCCTCATACCTGTAATCCCAGCACTTTAGGAGGCCAAGGCTGGTGGATCATCTGAGGTCAGGAGTTTGAGACCAGCCTGGCCAACATGGTGAAACCCCATCTGTACTAAAAATACACACAAAAAAAAAACCAGCTGAGCATCATGGCAGGCACCTGTAATCCCAGCTACTCAGGAGACTGAGGCAGGAGAATCACTTGAACCCGGAGGCAGAGGTTGCAGTGAGCCAAGATCGCGCCATTGCACTTGTTGTCTGGGCAACAAGAGCAAAAGTCTGTCTCAAAAAAAAAAAAAGAATTTTAAAAATAAAAAACAAGCAAAAACTAGCCTGGCATGATGGCACATGATCTGTAGTCCCAGCTACTCTGGAGACTGAGGTGCAAGGATCAAGTAAGCCTGGGAGGTTGAGGGCTGCAGTGAGCTATGATCACACCACTGCACTCCAGCATGAGTAATGGAGTGAGACCCTGTCAAAAAAAAAAAAAGAAAGAAAGAAAAAAAATGCTATTTATAATGTCTGTACTATTGTTGATAAGATTTTTATGGCTATGAAGATGTTAAGAGATTACCTAAATTTTCAGACTCCCGAAGGGTCTGGAGTAGACTGGTAACTAAGTAATTTAGCTTTGGTCATCGTTAGGACCCAGGTGGATAAGGAGGGCATCTTTTGGTACTCCATGTTAGTCACACATTTTTGTGGGAAAAAATATCAAATTGTTTACCTTTTTTTCCCTTGTGAAAGATGGATATATTTTGGAAGAGCTGGTCTTGGCTTTTTGCAACATGTACTCCAGTGATCTAAATGATTAAATGCTCTTCCCCCACTTCCCTCCATAGATTTTGAGCAATAGTCTTAGCTTCTTTCTTAGTCCTGTACAAGGAAACTTTCCAGTAGTAACCATTAAAATCCAAATAAAGTTAAAAAATAACCAAAAAAGTGAATATGTTTCCATCTGGAATCTCTTCATATTTCAGCGTGAATAAATTGGCAGATACCTGGTGGAGCCCTAGGGCCAAAAACTGAGCTTATTTTGTTTCTGTTTTCCTTTCTCCTTTTTCTTCCTTGTCAGTTGGATAACATCTCTGCTGATTTTTGGAGACTCAAGCCTTCGTGATGGCCATTTGTCATTCCCTCAGCTTCCATGGCTTCTGGCTATGGGTACTAAAAAAGCACCAAGGTGAGGAAAAATCAGGAAATCATATTTATCCAAATATCCCTTTCCAGAATTTCAACCAAATGTGGAAACCTAAGCCAAGTGACAAAGTAAAGATTTCCTTTCCATGGATCTTCTAATTGCCCCAAAAAGGCGGCCCCAGGGAGCACTGCAGATTTTTCAGCATTCAAGGTGTGTTACTGTAGACTGTTAGTCATAAGGCAGATGGCAGGGAATCTGCTGGAAGGCTGAATTTTCACTGGCGCCAAATAGGGCTGACTGCACAGTAGTTAAGTGGGGAAGCTGTCAAGGAAAGAGACACTTTCCCTCCCCTACAGGGACAGTTGAACCACATACTTCCCTCCTTCTCCGGTTCCCAGTTGCCCTGGGCATTTTTCTCTGTTACAGCATTTCACTCTTGAAATGAATGGCACTTAGCAGGGAAGGTGTCTTTGGTAAGTATTTTACAACAGTGCAGGAGTTAACAGTTTCTTTTTTCATTAAAAGTGAGTTTTTGGTGGCTTTGTGACTGGCAGCCTGGAAACTTCTTACTTCCCTTTGATCCAGTGATTTCATAAAGAGTCCCCTTTTCCCAGACATCTGCCAAAGGGAAGGTTACGCTCCTTTCCTTGCTTCCTTCCGCCTTTGTTCCCTGCTTCCTTTCCCTCCCAAGAGTCATCAGAGAGATTTTTTGTAAGATCCCTGTGAATATATGCACAGTGATGGATGCTGGATAACACTACAACCACAACAACCTTTTATTCACTGGATGTGTGTGTATGTTTGCACACACATGTGCATGTGTGTTACTGTGTGTATGTGCACGTGTATGGGGAAGAGTTTAAAAAAGTGACATGGAAGGTAGCCATTGCTCATTTTAAAAGACAATATAAAAGAGAGGAGAAGAGAAAAATAGTAGTCACTTTACAAAATCAGTGGACCTACCAATTGCAATTTTTTAAAATGTAGATCTGCTGCTGTTAATATTCCACTTACAGCCAATTAAATATTGACAAGGTAATTCTATTGCAAGGGAAATAATGTACTCTTCCAAAGTCAAAATGTGTCCTCCTTAAGGACAGGCGTTATATCACACTTATTACTACTGCCCAGAGCTTACCACAGGGTTTGGCGCAAAGAAGGCACTAAAGATTTGTTAACTTGGATTGAAAAAAAGTTAGTAGATCACTACATCATGAACTCTGCAAAAGTATTTATGAGAATTAGGATAGTGATTATATGTAAGTGGAAGCTGATTTATCTGTTATTCTTCTGACCTACACTTTATTAGCACAATCACTCTTCCACAGGATGATGTACCTGAGACATTACAAGGGCTTAAAGTATCATCTGAGGCATCCAAGAAAAATTTGATTATATTCTGTGGAATTTTAGTACTTTTGATCTTAAGGGTATTTTACTATACTTTAGTTCTCTAAAAATTAGCAATTCATTAATATGTGGGATAAATTGTTATAATCAGAGTCTATAATTAACCAGAATGCTGAATGTGTAGCAATAAAATAGGTTTTTACATGGACAGAGCTGGGTTGAAAAGTGGGTTTGACTGTTGCTAGCTTTGTCATCTTGGGCAGGCTCTTTAACTTGTCTAAATTCTTGATTCCTCATCTCTGTAAAATGGAAAGACCTAAAATAACCTCCACCCTCCAGGGCTGTTGTTAAGATTAAAGGAGGCAAACTATGTAGGGAGCTCAGCACAGTGTCAGGGATTTGGCAGTCCTTCAACAAGCAGTTGGAATAGGAGCAGTAGGCTACCCTGGAGTCTGTGGATGCTCCCCATTTTTGGTGCCCTGTGATTATTGTATGGAAGACATACTGGGACAGAGGAAACCCTGGGTGTGTTCCATCGGACAGCCTATATTCCTGCTCCAGGGCTTGGAACCTTACAAAAATACAGAAAGTCATAGGAGCTGGAAAAGCTTCTCCAGTATTTGGCAGCATGTATTTAGTAACATGGGTGGAATTAGTCTAGATGTACATTTTTCCAAATATAATTTGTTGCTTTCTAAGGTGGATCTATACTCATACCTGTGTTTTTCCTCCAGTCCCACAGGCAATTTGTGATCAGTTCACTGAAAATGCCATGTGTTCTTTGTAGTGGGAAATGAAAAGAAACTGAGTTTTCAGCATCACTGTGAGATTTGCATTTGAAAAATAGGTGTCACATACTTTGGTCCCCATTTCGTTTAAGTGTGAAGCTAAATGCTAGTGACTTCACTAAGTGTTTGGAAGCAAGATGTTAATATCATAATTATCTTTTTCCTTAATGAGATAATATTGAGCAGCAGCTTTAGAAAAAAAAAATCTGAATAAGATGCTGAGAATAAAAGAAAGATGCGTTGGCTGGCTTTCCTTTCTTTCTCTTGGTGGGGCCCAGGCTGAAGAGATGGGGATGTACCCATGAAGTGTTTCTTGAAAACTCAGGCTACCCTTTCTGTATACCCTAAACCATTCTCTGTGAACTGCATAAGAGCTAAAGTCTGAGGAGGTTCTGTTTTTAGACAACTGTTGGTTTCTTTAGGCATAGAACCTCAGGAAGTCACTGTAGAATTTCTGGAGAATTGCAGTTTCTTCCCCATCCCTCCATGCAGTTCCACTTGCAATTTCAGGAGTTACCAAGACCACTCTCACTTCTGAAACCGAATGCACATTCAGAGATTCCCCAAGACCTGTACGGAGACCCCTATTGAGAGATCCCTGTTGTTCAGGCTTGATAATTCACTAGAACCCAGAAAAGCTGTTATATTCTTGGTTACTGTGTCAGTCTGTTTTCACACTTCTATAAAGATACTACCTGCGACTAGGTAATTTATAAAGGAAAGAGGTTTAATTGACTCACAGTTCTGCATGGCTGGGGAGGCCTCAGGAAACTTATAATCATGATGAAAGGCAAAGGAGAAGCAAGGCATCTCTTCTCATGGTGGCAAGATAAAGAAAGAGCACAGGGGAAACTGCCACTTTTATTTATTTTTATTTTTTTGAGACGGAGTTTCACTCTTGCCGCCCAGGCTAGAGTGCAATGGTGTAATCTTGACTCACTGCAATCTCCACCTCCTGGGTTCAAGTGATTCTCCAGCCTCAGCCTCCCGAGTAGCTGGGATTCCAGGTGCATGCCAGCAAGCCCAGCTAATTTTTGTATTTTTAGTAGAGACAGGGTTTCACCATGTTGTCCAGGCTGGTCTCAAATTCCTGACTTCAAGTGATCCACCCACCTTGGCTTCCCAAAGTGCTAGGATTACAGGGGTTAGCCACCACACCCGACAGAAACTGCCACTTTTAAACCATCCGACCTCATGAGAACTCCCTCACTATCATAAAAACAGCATGAGGGAAACCACCTCCATGATCCAATCACATCCCACCAGGTCCCTCCCTCAACACATGGAGATTACAATTCAACATGAGATTTGGGTGGGGACACAGAGCCAAACCATATCAGTTACTGTTTATTACAACAAAAGGATGCAGATTAAAATTGGAGGGAAAGAGGAGCATAGGGCAGGGTCCAGTGGATAAGGCATGGGGCTTCCACTTTGGCTCTCCCAGTGGATTTGTGTTGGATAGTGTCTATTTATTTCAACAACATGTATGGCAATGTACACGGAGTACTGCCAACCATATAAGCATACCTGATTCTTGCTGTCCAGAGGTTACTGGAACTTAGTCATGTAGACATGGTTGACCCCTGCATGACCTAGCTTAGGCTCCAAGAGGTTGAGCTAATATCACACAGACCTAGGCTCCCCACTCTAGGTCATATTGTAAACTTAGACTATTTGGCATGGCCCAAGTGCCCCAGGTAAGCAAGGACACTCTTATCAACAAAACATTCCAAGGGCTTAAAGGTTACCTCTCAGGATCTGAGGGCAAAGACCAAACCTCAATATGGACAAGGTTAATCCTTTACTGCACTCCACTCTGCCATTCTTCAACACAGATATGCAATTTAAGATCCTGATACAGATTTAAGTGAGGTGGCCACACATATCAAGTCTATGTACAACTTATCCCTGGCCCCTTGATCTTCTGAAGCTTGCAATTATGGGTGAGACTCTGTATGTAGGTAGGATTCTGCCAGAATTAAGGAAATGGACAAATTCTTGTCATGCCACTGCCCTTTTGTACTCAGGCCTGACCTCACCACACCATAAAATATGGCCTAATAATTATGTAATTTTGTTTCAGGGATGGTTTATAAGTATTATTTTCCTGATTCTTGAACCACATTTAGCACTGGATAACAGCATCCTCACTTGAAATATGCACTTGAAAGAAAGTGCATATTCTTGCTAGTATCTATTAGAGGAGTGAATTCCTCTAAATATGCAAGCTCTCTCATCCCTAAGAACTACAGAAGGCTTTCTTGGGAATTATTAAGAAACAGAATGACTTTTTTGTTTTAGTTTACCTTATGCATCCATCCATAAGAAGAAGGTTTGCCAGAGTGAAATTTAATCAATGTTCTCATTTTCTTACTACATTTCCAACAAACTTATTGTTACAGTGTTTTCAGTTATCATCAAAAGTTCACATCTCTCCATATCTCACCTCCCACTTGGGTGAGATAAGCTCAGCTTAGGAATCAGACACTGAAATACTTTGGGAACTAGGTGAGTAATATAAATGTCTGCAGTGGTACAAGTATGTGACAACTCATATTACTGAAGAGTGTCGCAAGGTGTAGATTGCCAGCCTGCCTAGAATATTCATTTTTTTTTTTTTTTTTTTTTGAGACAGAGTCTTGCTCTGTTGCCCAGGCTGGGGTGCAGTGGCGCTATCTTGGCTCACTGCAAGCTCCGCCTCCCGGGTTCATGCCATTCTCCTGCCTCAGCCTCCCGAGTAGCTGGGACTACAGGTGCCCGCTGCCATGCCTGGCTAATTTGTTTTTTGTATTTTTAGTAGAGACAGGATTTCACCGTGTTAGCCAAGATGCTCTCGATCTCCTGACCTTGTGATCCACCCGCCTTGGCCTCCCAAAGTGCTGGGATTACAGGCGAGAGCCACCACGCCCAGCCAGAACATTCATATTTAGACTTTTAAAATATTTTTCAGGTAGCCAGGTGCAGTGGTGCATGCCTATTATCCCTGCTATTCAGGAGGCTGAGGCGGAAGCATTGCTTGAGGCTAAGAGGTAGGGGCTGTAGTGCATTATAACTGCACTTGTGAATAGCCATTGCACTCCAGCCTGGGCAACACAGTGAGACCCCATCTCAGGTAAAAGCAGAGAAAAATATTTTGCAGGCAAATAAAACACATCTTTTGACATGGCCCATGCAACACCATTTTAGGACTCTTATATTAAAGAGATAGATAAGCAAATGACCAAATATTTGTAGGAAAGCAGATAGAGCTTAAGATTTGGCTCAACATTTCAAGTATTTTCAGATTATGGAATTATGCCTGAGGTTGACTATACAGATTCAGCTTTCCAGTTTCCCCAAGAAATGTAAAAACAAAAGTTAAACAAATAAATGTCTCAAATATTGGGTGGAGAAACTGAACAAAAATAATTCCCTTTGTTATCTTATTTGACTTTATTGTTTATGGCATGAACTCATAACACTGGTGATTGTGCTTGACTTGGAAAGGGGAAGTTGCTTTTTACTTAAAAGCACCTGAGCTGCTCTGTAATAGGAATAATAGAAATAGATATGTTAAAGTTGCAGGAAGTAAATAACAATATCTAATATTTAAATTAAATTCTAGATGTTGAAACAAGGGGTGGTAGGAAGATTTATGCAGTAACATTTTTGTCATTTTCTGTCGAATTTAAGGTTGCACAAAAGATATGTGGTCTATAAGGCATATTTATGGAAAGCAAATATGTAATTATTTTATGGAGATTGAAGTAAAGTCCAACTTCCTGCATTTCCAGCACATAGTAGTCATCAATAAATTATTACTGAATGAATGAATGAATGCTTGAGTTTCCTTCTCAGTGCCAAGTGTACCAGGCTCTCTAATCACATATAGCTCACATCACGTGAAAAAAGATAAATGATTCATAATAAACAATGACCATCTTCTTTTCCTCTTACGGAAAATAAGGAGTAGAAAGGCCAATGTTTGAAAGGAAATTATTCTCTTGATAAAATTCCAAGTACTTGAACTTTTCTAAGGCCGACCTTCCCAGTGAGATTTTAGATCCAAAGAGTTTCAGTAAAGAATTGGCGTAAGCACTCCCAAGTTTGGGTGCTTATCTAAACCGAAATTAATCTCTGAACCTTTTGAGGTTTTCTGACTTCTAAAGAAAGCTGAGAAAGCCAGAGAGGGCAGAGAAATCACAGAGAAAAACAGAGAAGAGTGATCATGGGAAAAGCTACAGAGGCCAGAGAGATCACAAGGGCTGAGAGAGCAGAGGAGGGCAGAGAAAGGGTTAGGAAATAGAAGAGAGGGATAACAGAGGAGCAGAGGTAGCTTGGAGAAGCCAAGGAGGCCAGAGCAATCGCAGAAGAGATGCTGAGGGCAGAGAGAGCACTAAGAAAATATAACTGAATGGGGAGATTAGAGGGGAGCAGGGGGTGAAATTGTGGACAGAGCAATCAGTGCAGAGGAGGAGGGGGCAAGAAACACGCACTCAAGAAGGGCTAGACTACAGACTGACTGCTTAAGGGAAGAATGTTTGTCATGCCTTTTATTTTGATTGTGATCATTTGAAACCTGGAAAAGATTTTCCTCTTCTTTCCTTTCCTCTTTTTTCTCCTCTTCACCCTTGTCTCATCTCCTCTGAGAGAAGAGGTAGATAGGAGAGGAGAGTAAGGAAGTGAATTGAATATTTCCTAGAAATTTTGCAGTTTGATTATCAATATGTCATACCAAACGAATGCAAGTCTTAAAAAATGAAACTGACTTGAAGTAGGATATAAGCTGTGTTTCTTCCTTCTGAAAATTCATCTTTCTTCCTTCTTAAAGGAAGAAATTACTATATTTGGTGAGAAGAAAAAAAACATGCATTTTTAAAAAGAAATAAAAAAATAAAATGTTAGTAATAACACAGCAAAATCAGGTTTTATTAAAGAGTACTACTGTTTCCTGGACAGATTCCCTTTATCACACGATGAAAGAGCAGCGTGAGTGAATTACATCAATGTATTGCAGTGTGTTGCAGACCACTTATGCATGACACAGTGCCTAGAGTCACAGTTTTAGCTGATCTCCTTGGAGGCCATACCTCTTCTCAATTCAACCCCATCCTTTACAGATGAAGAAATTGACATCCAGGGAAATTGGCGTACTGTCTCCAGGCCATGCACCTACTTAATAGGAAAGCTTTAAAGTTCATCTCTACTAAACAAAATTCTGGTAAGATGTGTAACTGCATTTTCTCAGGTTCTGAATTATAATTTATCTACAGGCTATGTAGATTGTAATTGAAATGAAAAGTAGAGAAAGCAGTTATTTTAGCCCCACCCTCAAAATAACTCCTTGGCCTGGCTTCTGGGTACTTTTGGTGGTATGTCTCCTAGTTCCATTGTAACATGTTGATAAGAGCCAGCTTTCTTATTTTCCCCAAATAGCTCTCACACATAAACACTAACCCAATCCATCTGGGCTTGTATTGTTCAGTTATCGTAAGTATGGGATGTTTATTCAGGACTAGGGTGGGGTGGAGGAAGAGTCAAGCCGGAGAGTCGATTAATAAGCCATATCTATCACCAACATAAAAACATGCGACTAAGAACAAAACGGGTAGAGTCAGTTTTCTTTATATTCAAAATACAATATAGAATTTTTACCATTATCAAAGTCTCCTTTTCTCCAACTGCCTTGCTACAGAACAAGTAACAAAAATAGTACAGCTTTTCCTCTTACTAACTTCTTATACCTTCTGGATAACTTCTTATACTTTCTGGATAACTTCTTATACTTTCTGGGTTCTAAAACTTCTTATATTTTCTGGGTAACTTCTTATACTATCTGCGTTCTATAACCTTTATACTTTATACATGCTACTCTCAAACTTCATAACTAATTTTCCTATTTCAGACCTTGGGCCTGAGTTAAAATAATGGAAACTTTTAACATTACTTCTAACTTCCAGCAGCAACTGGATTACAAGTCCTCAAACCTCAGCATTGTTCTACTCATCAAAACAAAGTCCTCTGGTTCATTTCAAGAATCTTATCTAATGACTGCATTGTGCTATTTATTTTTTTCTCAAAAATAATTTTAATATTGATAATTTCTTTACCAGTAATCACTGTTTTTTTTTTTTTTTTGTAACTTCTTTACCAGTAGTCATCTTCTGGAGTAGAGGGATACAAAAAAATTAGAAGACAGTTACTTTTTCCAAGGATCTTTTTTGGGAGATAAGGTAGACCAACAAGAACTCTTGTTCTTATTTATAATGACTTATGCACATCTCTCCCTTTTTCTTTTTTCTTTTTTTTTTTGAGATGGAGTCTCTCTCTGTCACCCAGGCTGGAGTGCAATGGCGTGATCTTGGCTCACTGCAACCTCCACCTCCCGGGTTCAAGCGATTCTCCTGCCGCAGCATCTTGAGTAGCTGGGACTATAGGTGCCTTCCACCACGCCTGGCTAGTTTTTGTATTTTTAGTAGAGACAGGGTTTCACCATGTTGGCCAGGCTGGTCTTGAACTCTTGACCTCCTGATCTGCCCACCTTGGCCTCCCAAAATGCTGGGATTATAGGCATGAGCCACCACCCCCAGCCATTTGTCCCTTTTTCTGATGCTAAGTTCTTTAAGATTAGAGGGTTTGGCATCTCCTCATAACCCATAGTATGGTCTTCATAACCCAGTAATTGTGATTTCTTGGCTGATAGGCCTCTGCTAAGCCTCTCTAGGATCTTGAGCAGTGTGTCTGTCTTGCTCACTCATTGGTGTGGGCAAGCCAGCTTGACTTCCTTTAGTCATTGGTTCCATCATTTTCCTTCTTCCTCCTGTATTTTTCAGAGTTGATCCTATTGTCTATTGTCTTCGATGTTCCCATGCCTAGTTGCTTGGTCTTTCACTCTGAGAAAACAACATCTACGTGACTTCATGAACTTGCTGTGAGGACCAAATGAGATGCTGGGCACATTTGGGAAGTAAATGCGGAAACTTTTACAACTAGATGTGATTTTTACAGAGCTGATTACTTTAGAGTGAAAGTAGAGAATATAGGTAATTTACTTGGAAAATGGTATAAATATATTATTCATACCTTTGGTGTGTATGTAGAAATACCAGTAATTCTATAACATTTAATAACAATTAGAAACAAATTTTTATCTGAGCAACTACCACTAGCAATAATCATGAAAAACAACAGGTAATAGAAAAGCAATGTTGTTTTATTGCTCCATAGACCAGAAATATGCAATTAGATGCAAGCACTTAGAGGTACATGAAGCACAGTTGTAAGCACACGCAGTTACCCTCATAGACTCAGTAAATACTGTCAGGCTGGAGCGTGGACTCTGGACGAAGATTGCCTAGGTCTGAATCTGGCCTTTCTCCTAACAGCTGAGGGACCCCTCCTCCCTCTTGTTCATTGTCGGTAAGATGGAGATGATGGAAATAAGAGTACTTACTTTTTTGGGTTGTTGTGACAAGTAAGTTAGATTTACCATCTATAAAGTGCTCACAAAAGTGCTTAGCATACTGAAACACCACATAATTGTTAGATGGAATTATTCTAGTACAACAAACATCTGAATTAAAGATGAAAAGCGTAGGGAGAAATTTGTTAAAGGATACAAAATTACAGCTAAATAGGAGTAAGTTCTAGTGTTCTACACCATTATAGGATGACTCTAGTTAGCAATAACATATTATATAGTTTCAAATAGCAAGAAGGAGGATATTAAAGTTTCCCAAGACAAAGAAATGATAACAATTTGAGATGATGGATATGCTAATTACTCTGATTTGATCACTATACATTACATGTATCAAAACACTGTGGTGGCTATGTACAGACATTATTTGTCAGTTAAAAAAATAAAGGAAGATGTGAAATATAGCCAGGCATGCCAATTTTTGTTCTTTAAGGCATTTAACATTAAGTTGTTCTTCACTTCTAACCCTGACTGAGGTTTCCTGGTGAAGACCTCAGATTCAGCTGAGGAGGGTGAAGAGCAACAAATGGTAGACTAATTCAAATGCTGGATGAGAGGAAATCAAACTGGAAAGTCCACTACCGCCAAATGGTTAAGGGAACAGGCATTGGGTAAGTTCTGGGTCTTCATCCCAGCTTTGCCAGTGGCCAGCTGTATGTACTACATCTCCCAGGCGGGGAGGCTGCACTGTGGTTGCGATGTGATAGTGCATGAATAGCAATGAGCACAGTACATGGCAGAAGGGCATGCTGTGTGGATGTTATTTTCTGTTCAGTTTGCCAACTACGCATGATTCTGTTTTGTTTCAACTATCCGGCTTTGCTTTAATGACTTGGAAGAAACAGCAGATTCCGATTCCCTTTTGCAAATATTTTAGCACTTAAACATTGTCATTCACACAGTTGTTACATCGATAACAAAGCAAGCCTGAGCCCTGCTTGAGCAAGGTCTGTTCCTGGGGAAATAGCCTGTCTGTTTCCACTCTGCCTCATCTGCCATATTTTAGTTGCTAATTGGAGATGGAAATGTTGCCAAGTTTTCTTCTTCCCTAGGAATTGATCTTTTGGGTGAACGTAAGCCTTAACCCCTTAAGCTTTATCACCATGCTTTCTCTACCTTATCAATTCAAATGGATTTAGCATGTATTATCGGTATTTAGATCTTGATTTTCTTTCTACTTCATTCTCCTTTAAAGCAATCTGTCTAGCTGAAAACCTCTTGTTAGAAGAGATTATATGATTGTTTTTTGGTTTTATAAACTGTTTGAAGAAGTGGCTGCACACTTGAGGATTTAAAATGATGTCTCAACAGGAAACGGCTTCTCTGTTGAAAACCTGATTTCTCACAGGGCTGCTTATTCTTTATATAAAAAAAAAACTTTTCAGATTCGATCACATTGCTGCCAGGACACTTCGTTTTATTTAAATGCAACAACACAAACATCACTAATCTGGTTTCCCCAAATTCATTTGCGTACTCCCTGTCAACAATGGTTTTATCAGCCATCAAAATCTAATTGAAATGGCAGTGCAGCATGTAGTCATCCAATAATTATAACATAAGCACACTGAAAATCCAGATGCATTTGAACAAAAGCCATCAAAGTAACATAAACAGGAGAAAAGGTAATTAAAGAGCTTTCTCTCCTCAGCTTTCCACATTGCAGGTTTATTTAAATGCAGCTCTAGCAGGAGACCAGAGGTGGATTGATTGGCCAAATTTGTTGGCTGATGCTATTCTGAAATGTGTCCCATTAAAAAGGTGGTAAAGAAATTTAAAAAGCGTGACAATCATGGCACCCAGAAGCCCACTTTACTTCCTTCTCTGAGAACTTCTGTGGTAATGTGCACATGTGACAGTTAATAATAGGTGACAAAGATCCTTGCCCTTTATCACCTGGACACCAGATCTTCAGAGACGTGGGCAAACAGAACAGTCTTTTTCCTGACTATAAAATCCTGATGTCATAAGGTTGCTCAGCATAGCCTGCAAATCTCCACTTGGGTTTTTCACGTGCTGGAGAAAAGGAAGCTGCCCAACTATCAGAGGCTGTAATGTGTGAATGCAAGCAGTTTAGCAATGAGAGATTCAAACTTTTGAAAGAGAGGTAACAAAGCCCTAAGAATAAGCCCTGGTCATGAATGTATATATAGTCCTGGGGCTGGTTGGCATAGCAACTATTTCTGAGAACCCTGATGCTGCTTAAGTAAACAGCTGAAGCACAGAGCATGCCTCAGCTAAGCTGGGTCCATCTGTAGTATTAACATGTGAGGATCAGAACAGGAACGTTTTCTCCAACGTATCAGTGATATTTTGGTATCTCCTCCTAATAACTATTGTTCTCAGCACTTCATGGCAAGCCTCCCATTCTTTCTGGTTTTCCGTATGGCTGTTTTGTTGAACAATCCCAATATAGGTAAATCTAACGAAGTTGGTTTTGGAATAACTGAAAAGGTCTAAGCTCAGTGTCTTTCATTTGTTATTTGCCAATAATTTCCAAAGAAGGAAAATGGATGATTCAACAGCAACTCATTATGATGATCCAACAGATAGGATAGCTGTTGGAGTTTTCATTTCAAAGTTCGGCACACTGGGTGATGGCAAATGTTTTAGAATCTGACAAACTTGGCCATGGTGTCTGGTTCCACCATGAAAAGAGGTGCGACATCAGTTGTATTACTGATCCATTCTGGCATATGACTGATTCTTTCTGCAATTTTTTTCTTGTATGTAGAGTAAGCACAGTGATAACTACCTCACGGGTATTTAATGATTGACTAAGATAATGTATTCAAAATGCTAAGCACGTACACTACTCAAGAAATGGTAATGCTAACATACCCTGTTGAGTTCCTATATCATGGCTATTTTAGAATTGGATGCATTCATTGTCCAGCACTCTCCATATGATTCAGCAGTAAATCCTAACTTGTCTAAGCCCAGTGTGGTGGTCTAAGTCCCTTCACTCGTGACTGATTTATGGTGGACATGTAACCTAGTTTTGGCCACTGAGATACGAGGGGAGGTCTTAGTACACAGAATAGTGCTAAGAAATCAGATGCACTTGGAGTAGGATAGTAAGAGGCTCCTAGGAATGTTAAGGTAACAGAGTGTCCAAGAAAACACACTGTGAGAGTTTGTATACACTTGCAATTGGACCCTCTAAATATCTGAGATTTGTGAGTAACGATAAGAAATTTCTGTTTGGGCTGGGCTTCATTATATATGATACTCTTCTGAAAGTGGACTCTGCAGGCTATAGCATTTCAAAAGTACAAAGCATTTAAAAATATACAATCTAGGAGACTGGGCACAGTGGCTCACCCCAGTAATCCCAGCACTTTGGGAGGCCGAGGTGGGTGGATCACTAGAGGTCAGGAGTTCAAGACCAGCCTGGCCAACTTGGCGAAACCCTGTCTCCACTAAAAATATAAAAATTAGCCAGGCGTGGGGATGGGTGTCTGTAATCCCAGCTACTGGGGAGGCTGAGGTAGGAGAATCACTTGAACCTGGGAGACAGAGGTTGCAGTGAGCTCACGTGGCACCACACTCCAGCCTGAGAGACAGAGCAAGATTCTGCCTCAAAAAAAAAAAAGAAAAGAAAGAAAGAAAGAAAAAGAAATACACATACACACACACTCTATAATGCTTTGAAAAATATGTAGTTGAATAATTCACCTGTGTCTTGTTTCCATAGAGAAAGGTTACAAGAGAAGAGTTCTGTCTCTTGGAAACTTTTGAGTTCTTTCCAAACAGCTCTTTTTGGACACATATGAGAATCTAGTAAGGGCTGTAACTGATAGGTCCCTTCCTTCCTTGGGGAGTTTTCTCTAGACCACCCATTTCTGATGAGGGAAGAAACTTTAATGATAAAAAATCATCCAGGTGTGGTGGCTCACGCCTGTAATCCCAGCACTCTGGGAGGCCGAGGTGGGCGGATCACGAGGTCAGGAGATGGAGACCACGGTGAAACCCGTCTCTACTAAAAATACAAAAATTAGCAGGGCGTGGTGGCGGGTGCCTGTAGTCCCAGCTACTTGGGAGGCCGAGGCAGGAGAATGGCGTGAACCCGGGAGGCAGAGCTTGCAGTGAGCACTCCAGCCTGGGCGACAGAGCCAGACCAATTTGAGTCTCTTTTATTGACATCAAAAGAACTGTGCTTCCTGAGAAACACGAACTGAGAAATGAGAACTTATGAGTGTCTGGAAGAGAATTCTGAATGTTTTATATTCAGACTCCCATGTCTTGATCTCCCTTATAAATCTTTGCCCAAAAGATAGTTCTTCTAAGTCCAGAATGATTTATTTTTATATTACTTTTACCACTGATAATTTTAAAGTTTTGTGTTTCTAAGAATTTGGAAGTATTTTTATGAATCATATTTTTTCTGATTATTATAAGTTAAGGTTTTTCTTACTCTGTAAAACTTAGGATATTGTGAAGGAGGATGAGATAACAAAGGATGAAACCTAGTGTCTGTGAGCTGCAAGTTCCTCTCCTTGGGAGTTTCACTGAATAATCTGCCTCTAATATGATGCATGATATTGTCTTGGCAGTTTATTATTTTAAGGCAGTAGAACATAACACATGGGAAGGAGCTATCTTGATCTATTATATCAAGAATCCACAATTTATAGCTCTATTTGGTAGTAAAAAGATACTCCCTGAGAGCTAGAAGGCTGTGTATATCTGTAGTGATAAGAATGCAGTCCTTTAAAAATACCTTGATATCATTATATTTGTATGAAATCTATCATTGGGGTGAAAATTCCTTTGTTTACAACTTTATATTTTATATAAACATATGAAATATGTGTGTTTGTTAATATGCACTATTACATTAAATTTCCACAATAGTCCTGTAAATTATGTGAATTCCTGATTCACAGCTAAAGAACCTGAAGTACAGGGAAGGTGGCTAACTTGGCTGAAATCACAGAGCAAATGAGTGGCAGAAGGACTCAACTCCCGGTCTTTGATTAACCATATTGCTTTATTGTTTTTATTTTGTTTTGTCTTTTCACAGCTTTTCTCTGAGTATTTATAGGCATAGGGCTAACACTATTTATTAATAACTATTTGTAAAAAAATTTTGGAAGATGTTTTATACCCAGTTTTAAGGCCATGGCTAAAGGCTAGTTAGTTCTTGTCTGACAAGGCTGCATCCATAACCTAGTCATTTCTTTCCTGGAGCTCTCATGTGCATAGGCTACTATGCACCTGCCCTAATTACCCCAGGGCCAAATACCAAACAACTAGGGCAGGTCCTCTGCCCTGGAGCCTGAGTCCCAGGAATTGTTCAAATTAGTCCATTCACAGGAAGCCCTCTTAAGCTGCCTCTCACAGCTCCAGCTTGCTGTTGTGCTTCCTCTGTCTAACTTCCTGTGTGGCCCTGCCTGGCAGCCTTCTCTCTTTAGGAGCTGTGAGTAATAAAGAGTTCTGCTTTCTATCTATCTGAGTTTCATTGTGTTGTTTTGCCCTCCAAAGAATCTTTAGAGTTTAAACTTGTCTCTAACCTTTTTAGTTGAACTGTGGTATAACTAGAAAAGCTTTGGATAGGAAGACAGGTGACTGGGTTTCTTCTACAATAGGCTTTGCGTGGCCCGGTAGAGGTTTATTCAACCTCTCTGAATATCAGCTTCCTTCCCTATAAAATAAACAACAATCCTAAAAGCAATGGTTACTGATCTGAATTGGAATTCCATAATTTTGTAGTATAAATTGTTGGTGCCAAAGTATAAGAGCACCCAAGGACAAACTGAAACATGATTATTCAACTGGAAGGCAGTGCCTGTATTCGATAAATGGGAATCTATTAGTTTGGTTTATCCACATATAAGTTATGTTAACATGATAAAAGATATGAGGCTGGGTATGGTGACTCACGCCTGTGATCCCAGCACTTTGGGAGGCCAAGGTGGGCAGATCACCTGAGGTTTGGAGTTCACGACCAGCCTGACTAACATGGTGAAACCCTGTCTCTACTAAAAATACAAAATTAACTGAGCGTGGTGGCACATGCCTGTCAATCCCAGCTACTCAGGAGGCTGAGGCAGAAGAATCGCTTGAACCTGGGAGGTGGAGATTGCGGTGAGCTGAGATCGCGCCATTGCACTCCAGCCTGGGCAACAAGAGCGAAACTCCAGCTCAAAAAAAAAAAAAATCATGAAGAAACCCTTTTGTTAAAATGATTTTTTTTAAGCACACATAACTAGGCACTAGCTAATAAAACAATAAAGACCAGTGCCTGCTTGGTAGCCCATTATTTTATCACGAGAAGCTTGTATGCTGTAGGACTCTGAAAGCCTCCTTTCCAGAATGTAAACTATGAATTCTGAGATGGTTTGTTAAAGTTCCTTTAAGATTTTTTTTTTTTCACACTGTCTCTCTTTCTCTCTCTCTCGCTCTTTTTTTTTTTTTTTGGTCAGGAACTTCAGAAGCTGCTGAAGCTGCAGATTTTGGTGTCATTGACCTGCCTTCCTCTTTGTTTGGCGGTTGATGAATCCTTGGGGAGAGGTGTCTGTAACCCTGATGGAGAGCCAGAAAATAGAGTTTCTCTGAGTGGCAGCCCCTAGACACTTGATTTTTCTGAAAGATAGGCTCTTGATCCGGCCAGCAGGGGCTTAATGATTTATGCCTTTATGCCCAACTCCAGATAAAGTTAGACTACATCCTAAAGCGTGCATAGGAGAAAAAGCTATTACTGCACTTTGCTTGTTGGTGATAAATTCTACTGAAAAAAGAGAAAAAGAGACACAGTACTAAATAGCTTTTATTTGAAATGGTTTCCAAATTCTGCAACTTAGGGAGGATGATAATAGAATAGGGAGTACAAAACACTTAGGTAGGTCTCATCCTCTTCCCACCAGGCTTCCTTTTTATTTAGGATTGAGGCCAGGGTTTTATGCAGTATCTGTATTTTAGAACCAGAATGGATGAATAATAGCATTGCTAAAATTTGGAAGAAGCATATGGTTTTTTTTAACCTCCTATCACCTCTTATCTAAAGACAAATGATTGTGTTTAATAACTTAAATAAGAGATGAACTCAGGATTCCTCCTTGGGACTGGAAATAGAACTAAGAGCCTAGGTTATAACTTACTATCATTCTAGAGCACCTGGAGGATTCTGCTACTTTTAGAATTAGTCTTAGAATTGTAGATTCTATAAAATACTTTCTCCTCCATGTCTATACCAATTCTGCCTATCCTTTAAGGCTCAGTACAGGTGAAGAGCCAGCTCCTTCAGTGGAACTTTCTCCAACAGAGCAGACCTTGATGCTTTGCTTAGATGCCCTCAGCTCCCTTTAGCACTTCTCTGTGTTTTCTTGGGCTCAGTATGCACTTCCCTGTGACCACAGGCACCTGGAACTTTCTTTGAAGGACTGCCCAGGCTACCGCAGCCTCTTTGTCTACACGTCCAGAGACTCCCGCAGAGAGCTGTAGTGCCTAAGAGCTCGCTTCCCAGAGAGGACCGTGGCCAATGGGTGACTGGTGCAGAAGCTTGGAAGCCCATTTCCTTTGCCCCAGGACAATCTCTGAGGTGTTAACTTATATTGCAAACATCCTGTGGAGGATCAGGCTGAAGCAATCTTCTGTGAGATGTTGAGATATTACCCTGGCTTGACTTCTTCCCCGTTCTGGTCTGGCTTTCCCCATTCCTTTAGCAGTTTATTTTAAAGCACTTTCATAATGCACATCCTACCTCAGGGTCTGTTTCACAGGAAATTGACCTAAAACACAAGTTTTCTGTTGTACCATTTCTTTGAATTCTAAGAGCAATTGCTAGTTAGTTGAACACTAGTAATAGGCTCTGCCGTATTGCTTGCTCTTTTTTCCCTCAGAGATTGTGATCTCTCTGACGATGGCTGGAATCCTATTTAATGTTTACTGTTTTTATTTTGTTGTTTTATCTCTCATCTAATTTTAAAAAAGGTCTTTAAGGCCGGGCGCGGTGGCTCAGGTCTGTAATCCCAGCGTTTTGGGAAGCCAAGGTGGGTGGATCACCTGAGGCCAGGAGTTTGAGACCAGCCTGACCAACATGGAGAAACCCCGTCTCTACTAAAAATACACAATTAGCCAGGTGTGGTAGTGCATGCCTGTAATCCCAGCTACTCGGGAGGCTGAGGCAGGAGAATTGCTTGAACCCGGGAGACAGAGGTTGTGGTGAGCTGAGATCGCACCATTGCACTCCAGCCTGGGCAACAAGAGTGAAACTCTGTCTCAAAAAAAAAAAAAAGAGATTTTTAAGAGCTTTGCAATAAATGAGTAAATAGGATAAAACCAAAGTCAGTGGATAGAAAATGAAGTATGAGAATCAAAACATAAAGGGAGTGGGGAAGAGGAAAAACCAACAACTTCAGACTGAGAGAGGCAACTGAAATTAAGAATCATATTTAGTTTGTGCTTCTTAGCAGCTTGGACAAAGATGGAAACATAATTTCCTAGATAATTTTTAATCCTTAGTAGTACAAAGTTGTTTTAGTTATCTATTGCTGTGTAACAAATTACCCCCAAATTTAGCAGCTTGAAACAACAAACATTTATTATCTCTCACGGTTTCTGAGGGGCAGAAAACAGGGAGCAGCTTAGCTGGGTGGCTCTGGCTCACTGTCTCTCACAAGGTAGCAGTCAAGCTGTTGGCAACAGCTGCAGTCCCATCAAGGCTTGACTGGGGCTGGAGAATCCATTTCCAAACTCGCTCATGTGGTTGTTGGCAGGCCCCAGTTCCTCGCTGGCTGATGTCCAGAGGCCTCCCTTCCTGCCACATGTGCCTCTCTACAGGCTGCTGAACGTGCTCATGACGCAGCAGCTGCTTTCCCTAGAGTGGCTTATCTGAGAAAAAGAGAGAAAGCCGAGATGGAAGCTGCAGTGTGTTACAGCCTACTCTGGGAAATGATAAACTCTCACTTCTGCTGTATGTTATGCATCTCACCGATCAACCCCAGTGCAACGTGGGAGGGAATGCCACACTGTGCGAATGCCAGGAAGTGGAGATCACTGGAGGCCATCCTGGAGGAGGATGACCACAGAAGTATATGGCATATATTAATTTCTCCTGATAAGATGAAGCTGATAAGAGTGAAAAAGATAATTCAAAGGAGGATCATGTGTACTTTCTTTTTGTATGCTCCATTTGCTCATTGTGTAAAGGGTTCTCAGCAAATATTTATGGATATTCAAAAATCTACTAGTCTTCCAAGTTGTTTTCTTCATAAAGAAAAGCAGGTCAGCTGCAAGCATAAAGGACAAAATATAATGTACAGGATACTGTAGTGGATGCTAACTTGGGTATTTTAAGTCAATGTTCTTTTAAAAAGTGTCATAGCTATGTCACCTCCTCTATATTTCTAATGCTAACACTCTAAAGCAAGTGCTTAGATTTCTGCAGGAGCTTCTCAATGTACTTTCCCTTTGTCTAGATTCTCTTATGCTATATCTCACTTTCATCATGTCATTATTGTTTAATGACTCATCACTAATAGAATAAAATCCAATCACCTTGACTTTTCAAAAGCACAATTCATCTATTCAAGTCTCTATTCCATTGCTTCCATCAGGAGCCCTTTACTTTAACCTGGAACTATTCTCACTGCTTTCCAAAAGTCCATGCTAATGTTTAACTCTTAACTTTTTCTTGTTGCTGTATCCCCTTCTGGGAATTTCTTATTCTATTATTTGGCATCTCCATGTCCTTGTTCAGCCAGCCTTCCCAGTGTTTACATATCTTCAGCACGTCTGCCTTAGTGCAAGGCCTCAGTATTTCTTAGGTGGATTGTTATCTTAACGACTTTTTCAATTCCTGGGTTCCTTCTGCTTTATCCTCCCTGTTTCTCCTTTGTTGTTTTTACACGTCAAACTGATTGTATAATTTTGTTTACAACAAAACACTTTGAGAGCTTGACCCTTAGTAGGTACTCAGTAATTGTTAATTGCATGAATAAAATGTCCAGGCAAATTCCCACTCCCATTTCCATGAAGTTTTAACATAATTTTGCATCTCACTTTGATCTTTTCTGTGTTTGAAGTCCTGCGATACTTATTGTCTGCATCACTTATTTTGATGTTCTATAATATGCTTCCTCCTATTATCACTTAATTCTTCTCTTATCTTTCATTCATTCATATATTTGTTCATTCATTTATTCAACACCTTTCTTGATAGGCTACTCTATGCCACAGATTATGCTAGGTCTTGGGAGAATAGAATGCTTGGCAAACACAGATAAGATTTCTGCTTTCATGGCCCTTGGAGTCTACTTGTAAACAGAGACAATGATTAAATTATCACATCAAAAGAGTGTATTAGTCCATTCTCATACTGCTGTAAAGATAATACCTGAGACTGGGTAATCTATAAAGAAAAAAGTTTTAATTGACTCACAGTTCCACATGGCTGGGGAGGCCTCAGGAAACTTACAATAATGGAAGAAGGCAAAGAGGAAACAAGGGACATCTTACATGGTGGCAGGAGAAGGGGGAAGTGCCAGACATGTATCAAACCAGATCTTATGAGAGCTCACTCACTATCATGAGAATAGCATGGGGGAAACCACCCCCATGATCCAATCCCCTCCCACCAGGTCCCTCCCTCGACATGTAGGAATTACAATTTGGATTACAATTTGAGATGAGAATTTTGTGGAGACACCGCCAAACCATATCTGAGGGTATAATTACAGATTGAGAAAAGTGTTATGAAGGAAGAGTACATGGTTGCATGAAGGCATGTAATAAAGGAAGCAGTCCTAGACCTGGACTTCAGAGAGGCTCCTCTGAGGAAGTGACCTTTGGACTGAGATCTGAACAATGAGTAGAAACCACACAGAAAAGAGGGCTAGGAGGAAGGAGTGAGGGTAAAAGACAGTGTTTTAAGCATTGCAGTGGCATGCGCAATGACTCTGTGGTGGGATAAAGATTTAAAAGAAGGCCAGGGTGTTTAGATCCAGAAACAGAAAAAAGACTAATGGAAACATTGATGAAATCTGAATAATGTACAGAGTTTAGTTACTAATTAATGTTCTAATGTTGGTTTCTAAGTTTTCACAAACATTTCACAGTAATGGAAAATAATAAGAGAAACTGAACCCAGGTGAGGGGTATACGGGAACTATCTATGCAATTTTTCTGTAAATCTAAAATTCTTCTAAATGCAAATTTATGTGTAAAAAATAAGGTCAGAATGAAAGAAATTCACTGCATAAAAGAATGGTACAAGGTAAGGTTGAAGATTAAGACCAATCCAAGACTTCCAGAGCTTTGAGCGCTATGTTAAGAATGTTGACGTTTATCTTGGAGTAAGGTGTGATGGTTTTACATAGTGAATGACACAGCGGGAGCCGTGAATGACATTTGAAAATATCACTACCCTGGGGGCAGTGTACAGAGTGGATTGGAGGGGTACGTGGGTGGGTAAAGGAGGCCAGGTCAGACACTCTCGCAGTTTCCAGACTAGAAATGAGTTGAGTTAAGGTGGGGACAGACTCTCTTTAGTAAGATATATGTTTACAAACTGCATTTATCTTTTCTTTCTTTCTTTCTCTCTCTCTTTCTTGAGACAGTGTCTCGCTCTGTCACCCAGGCTAGAGTACAGTAGTGCGATCTCGGCTCACTGCAACCTCCACCTCCGGGGTTCAAGCGATTCTCCTGCCTCAGCTTCCCAAGTAGCTGACATTACAGGCATGCCCCAGCACACCTGGCTAATTTTTGTATTTCTAGTAGAGACAGGGTTTCACCATGTTGACCAGGCTGGTCTCGAACTCCTGACCTCAGATGATCCACCCCACTTGGCCTCCCAAAGTGTTGGGATTGCAGGCATGAGCCACCGTGCCCCAGCCCATTTTTCTTTCACTTGTGTATCTATCATAGAATTCTTTACATAATATCTACATAATACATGTTCTTTGGATAAATAAATGAATAGATAAATACTTGAATTAATTAAAAAAGGGTTAGATCAGATTAAGCAGCCCCTGAAGACAGCAGCCCCTTGGCAGTATTATGGTGGCTCTGTCCCAGGCTCTAGAACCAGGATTGGTGATTTCAAATAGAAATCAACAGACTACCTCAGTTTTACCCTCTGCTTCCAAGGACGCTTTTTCCAGAAATGAGTGATCCTTTGTCTTATTTTTGGAGTGCCCATTATTTGCACAAAGGTTCAGGAAGGAGCACTGGGTGGAAAACAGAGGCTCAAAAGACATTTTGAAAGAAAATTTGAAAGTGTTCAATACCTGGAAATGGAAGAAGCAAGTTAAAGTGCGGCAAGCCATCTGCATCATGCCTTCTTCTTTAGAGCAAGTTCATTCTGCATATCATTTGCATTTTGCCCTTTTGGCAATAGCAATAATCTTAGCTTTTTTAGAGGCATCTGTAATTAGAGGTTCTCCACCTCCTGGGGGAAAGTGTTCTAATTTCCCGATGGATAAAGGAAGCCTGGGGAAAGGCTGCAGAGTAAGGATGAGGAAAGGGCAGTACCAAAAGTTCTGCTTGTTTAGTTCAGTTGAGATGCAGCAGTTTAGGCAGTAGCAGGTCTGTGTTTTCTGCAAGCCCTTCCCATTTGGAAAGACAATGCTGGTTTTTAAGAACCATCTCTTGGGCTAATTAGTGTGAAAATCATCAGGTGGAGACTGCTGGGTTACTTTCAACTTAGAGAGCGAAGAAAATAAGAATGATTAACATTCCAAGATTATTTCAGCCAGGTGACCCTAAGATCCCAGTTTCTCTCCTAGAATCTTTGTTCTAACATTTGTGCTCTGTGTTTAGACAGGGCTATCACTACCCATGTTTGTTTTCTAACACATGACCAATTTTAGCCAATGGAGTTTATATCATGGATCTCAGAGGTTAATCTTTTACCTTTCTTGTCTCCTCTGCTTCCCAGACATGCATTCATTTGACTGGCAGCCTGGAAAATTGAAAAATGCCACAGGGGTTATTAAGGTGGAAATCGTTTCTGCTCTTTGAGGCTCTGCAAGCTAGTTATTGCTGCATCTATAATATCTAGGCATCAGAATAGCACGCATTGTTCCTAACTTGCCTGACACAGGCCCATATCAGTTGTAACACCCAGATAGAATGAAGGGGTCTCAAGATATCATTTCTCTACTTGAAATATATCCCTTTAGTCGATTAAAACAGAGTCCCTGAAGTTATTAGAATGTATTCTGTGTCTTTGTGCACACACGTTTGATTTACTTTTGTTCTTATTAAAAGGGTAAGCCTAGAGAAAAGGAGAAAAGAGAATCTTCCATAATCCATATTTTAATAATTGCCTGAGTGCACATTTACTCTACAGAGACTTTCATGTTTCTCTAACTATTTACTTGGCTCTTTTACGCCATGTGTATTACTTACCTGGCCTGGTAGACCATGGCCCAGGTTCTGGCCTATCATGTAATCCTGCATTTGGCTCCCTCTGAGCCATTATGTCTTGTTGAGTCTGGCTGTAGGATGGAGATATTTTAATGGATCGTTTTTCACAGTAAATGGCTGCATATTGTATAAATTGTATTGAGTTGTTATGATGTTAATATATAAATATTAAGAAAACCATTGGGGAAAAGTTACAGTGTAATTGAGATAGCCTATTTTCCAATGTTAATAAGTTCTTCATTAATTTTTTTCTCCATAAAAATATTGAGGGAGTTTAATTCACATTAAAAACTTATAAACATACATTTAAAAAATATTTTACATCCCAACTCAACAACAGGAAACAATACCACTCCTCATCTGGAAAACCTCTATGTATCATTTAAATAAGGCATAGAAAAAAGAAAAACACCCCAAAGCCAAAGTACCCCATGGTAACAAAAAAATCTTCAGAGAGGTTTTTCAGGAGAGAGAATTTGTTTCTTCCTATTTAGCTTTAGGGCAATGATCTTTTTAACCATGTTGCCGCAGACAAAAGATTCAATATTAGCATTAATGCCTGCTTTTGATAAAGTATAAGAGAATGAAATATAATCTACAATAACACAAAACCCTGATCATAAAAGTGAACGTAAATTCACGTCCTGCTTCAAAACTCCCAGGCGTGTTATTGGCCTCCTGTATTGGTGTATCAATCAGGGCCCCAGCAGGAAACAGAATTCATTCCAGATGGTTCAGATAAGACTTTAATAAAAGGAGTTACAGGGACATGGGCTGGAATCAAACAGAGGATGGTGGGGTGCTCTACCCCAGGGACTGAAAGCAGAAAGCTGTTACTACACCTAGGACCCAGGGCTGAGCAGAGGAAATAGTGTACTGGAACCCAGTGAGCCCTGGGACTGTGCAGGACATGAGGCTGTCTTAGTGGGGTGGACATAGTTACTGCCAGAGATTTGATGTGAAAACCGAATGAGTGGAGATGAAATACCCTGTCACTGCTCCTCCTGTCATCCATCTCTCACTGGTGCCTCTGTTGGCCGACGCTACCCAGAAGGCAGCCAGTGAGAGAGTCCATAAGGTGTAGTTTTTAGTAGGTACTTCCTGAGCTTGAAAGTAGGGCAGATGAAGTGGGGAAGGGGATGAAAAGTGGAAAATATCCAGAACAGTTGGTTTTTAGATCACTGAAGTGTTAGCATTATTGGTGTCTAAATAACAAAATTACTATAAAGGGATTATATTTTTTAACCCCTCATGAGAAAGAAGCTAGAAGTTCTATATTTTATTTTATAGAAGGCGGGATGTAAAGATGACTATTAGCAGGGTTTTCTTCTTGCTGGGCAAAAATGTTCAAAACTTTACCTAATAGTCTAATACTCCTGTAGGAAATTAGTTTCCAAAGGACTTTCCACTGATAGTATCTCATTGAATTCCAACTAAAGCCCTAAGAGGGAGGTATTATCTTATTAACTTTATAGATGAAGAGTCTGAGGGTCACAGCCTCAGATGGCTTTCTCACTATCCAAAGTTAGAACTATGCAACATCAAGATGCAAATTTAGGTCTGACTGCAGATCCCAGGTTCTTTATATCACACCACTATGCCATTTTGAAAATAATAATGTCACACACTTTTGATAGCATATATGCTGAAAGAAGAACAGAACTGTCTGTACTCTGCAGAAAATTGCATTTGCAGGGGAACTATAGTCTCTGTGTCAGGTAAGCTCAGTATCAAGAAGCAAAGAACAGTCCAAAGCATCAAGTAGTCCAGTGGAATAAAATGATTCAGGAAGAGAGGCAAGGAGAACATTTGGGAGCAGAGACTGGAAAGAGACTCCCAGGAAACAGTGAGAAGCAAGGAGGATCCTTTTATGAGGTGTGTGCATTCCTGAGAGTGGTTGGGAAGAGACTAGTAAGAGTGTAAAGCGAGGTTTCTCAAGAGTTAAGGAGGGGGCTACAATATTTCTCAATTGTTCTGTACAATATTTCTGTATTGTTCATGGACCACTTGCATCAGAATCACCTAGGTTACCTATTTCAAAGGTCAATCCTGGATCCCCCTCTGACTTGCAGAGTCAGAATCTGTATGAGGAGAACTCTGCCGTTTGGCATTTTGACATGTTCTCTCCATTAGCCCCTGCTCTCCCCGCTACCCCCACCACACACACACAACACAAAGGTTGAGACCTGCTGACAGAGAGCGCATTTGGGCAGCTTGACTAAACAGAGCTCTGTAACAGAACTATAAATATTTGGTTACAGCTCAGTTTTCTGGCATGGCTGAACATAAGCCATCTGACTATCCATCAATCATCCCAACTTCTATTTCTTTGCTTCAATCATAATTTTTGAATAATCTTTCGAAAATACGTTTTCTAATTTTATGCTTTAATAAACAAGGCATATTAAACACAAATTGACTTTTCAGATTCTTATAGCGCCTTGAGTTGAATATTTTAAACATCAATTATGGTAAACATTAAAGATGTAAATGTAGTAAGTTAGGGAATTGGGTTAAACTGTACGGATGCTAAGATTGCTTTTCAAAAGGAATCCCTAATATGAGGCTGTGTTCTTGTTATTTAATCTCATTTTCGTAAAAGGAGTGTGAAGAATGGGCAACTGCAAGACCTCAAAGGCAAGATAATATGGCTACCTTTTCTTTTTTTGCAAAATTAATTAACGACAACAGATGCAGTCATCTGCAAGATGTTTTCCAAACAACACTAAGAGCTTCTTTTCTGTTTTTATCATTATCCCTTTGCAGCATCCGAAACATTATGTATTGTTTCAGCATGAAAAACACAATATCTCACTTCAACTTCCCTTGTTAGCTTTAAGACTCTTTTCCAGTGCCAGATATTTGGGTAAGAGTGTTTATGGTATGGAACAGAATGTCGATTATCATTGTTGTAACCAAAGCTTATGTTGGTCATTTGGAACATTATTTTGTAGAGGATGCATGTGCTACCTTTTTACTGTAACTGTTTTTTTTTTCCAGTTGAAACCCTATAATCTGAGTCATGGTTCAAACAAACAGTATTTCAAATACTGTTTATCAAAAATTTTAAAAGAGTAACTGAGGCTGGCTGTAATTTAACTGTGAATTTGATTTTCATTGCTGATTTACAGAGAGGTGCAGATACTTTGTAACCGGTACTCAGGTTAAGTTTGAGTCAATTGTAGAATTTTTCTTTGTTTATTGTGATTCAGAATGGCAAACGTATTGTTTGTTTCCCTTACACGAAGGTAGAGTTGTTGATTAACCACAAAACAATACATATTCGTTGATTTTTTCCCCCACATTAATAGGTTATCTTTTGGCTGAGTCTGTCAGCCAAAAAATAATACTTTGAGTTATTTTCCAGTAATAGCCATGAGTTTGAGTTTATCTATTTACACTAGAGAGTAGTCTCTATTGAATCAACATCTGCAGTTTTGATCTGATTGGCCTGAGATGAAGCTACAACCTATAGTCATGGAACAAACAAAAATAAACAGCTTATTTTAGAATTAACTCAAGAGTATGACCTCACTTGGAACATGCTCTATACCAGAGTTCACTGATATTAACCTAATGGCTATTTTTAAAATTAAAGTTCCTTATCTTTGGGGGCTTTTCCAGAAAATCCAGCAATTACTTTTTCAAATATCCATTATTTCTTCAGGGACGTATTTTATAAGAAACAGAAGAAAATATAAGCATTAGATATTTTGGTGTATATAAATTACCACAGCAATCTCTGTAGTATTTTCCTGTAAGTTCTTATCAAAGCAATTTAGGGCAAACAATTGGAAAGTGAGAATTAAATGTGATCATCTTTCTTAGAGAAGTGAGTTCACAATGCCAAAAAATCCATTTTATTGAATTTCCGCCCCTCAGAACTGACCAGTTGTTTTGCTTTCCAGCAGTGTCACCTACATCTATCACAGAGAGCTCTTTCTTTCTTTCTTTCTTTTTTTTTGTTTGAGATGGAGTCTCGCTCTGTTGCCCACACTGTGGTGTAATGGCACGATCTTGGCTCGCTGCAACCTCTGCCTCCAGGGTTCAAGCAATTCTCCTGCCTCAGCCTCCTGAGTAGCTGGGATTACAGGCATGCACCATCATGCCCGGCTAATTTTTGTATTTTTCTAGAGGTGGGGTTTCACCATGTTGGCCAGGCTGGCCTCAAACTCCTGACCTCAGGTGATCCTCCCACCTCGGCCTCCCAGAGTGCTGGGATTACAGGCATGAGCCACTGTACCTGGCACAGACAGCTCTTTCTAAACTGAGAGACCTTAACAGGCATGTCCTTCTGAATTAGCCCATTATATTTAAGAAAGCACTTTTATAAGACCTGACTTTAACTTAGGTATTATTTATTCTTGGACTGGTGTGAAAAAAATTCATCAGCTTTTTTTTTTAAAGGTTTAATTACATATACACATGAGTGTATGTCGCTGCTCACACCCAATTTTCTTTGCCTTCTGTTATGCTATGACTGGAAAGCAGATGTTTATTTTAAATTATATTTCTTTTAATATGTGACTAAGTAAATATATGGGATTGAATTCTTTCTTTCTTGAACTTCTGCCTAAAACATTAAACTATACTAATATCAACTCTGCAGAATCTGTTTAAAAATAGGAGCAGCTGGGGTACAGTATTTCATGATTGAATACTAAAGCTTTCAATTCGAAAGAAAGCTGGGAGGTCGGAACAACTGAAAGACTCCAAATGCATCATGTCTAAAAAAGCCAAAAGACAAGCCAAAGCTATAAAAATTTCTTGTCGTATTCATTTCTTCTTTCTATCTATACAGTTAGAGTACTGTAAAGCATTTGATTTCTTTCAAAACTCTTGGCTGGACATTTGTTCTCAAATTATTAGAATTTTTTTATTGTATAGAGAATGTATATTCTTAATTTGGTCCTAGAAGGCAGGACTTGACTCAAGAGGCGGGGCTTGGACACTGGAAAAAATTGAGAACTAGCTAAAATAGGGATGGGGTGGAGGCAGCTTTCCATAAGACACACCCACCAGTGTGCCACGTCAGTTTACCATTGCCATGGCAACACCCAGAAGTTACAGCCCCTTTCCATGGCAACAACCTAACAACCTGGAAGTTACCCGCCTTTTCCTAGCTAGAAATTTCTGTATAATCCACCCTTTAATTTACATGTAATTACAAGTAGGTATAAATATGATTGCAGAACTGCCTCTGAGCCGCCACTCTGGGCACACTGCCTCTACGGTAGCCCCACTCTGCAGGCAGCAGTACCTCTGCTGCTGCTGGACACTGCTGCTTCAGTAAAAGTTGCCATCAAACACCTCCCACTCACCCTTGAATTCTTTCCTGGGTGAAGCCAAGAACCAACCATCCTGATCTAAGCCCCAAATTTGATGCTTGCCTACCCTACATCCATTCCCTGAAATTAAACAAAATTACAGTCCAAGACTTTCTCCCAAAGTTATCTTCACTTGAACTATTGCAGAACAGAACAAGAATAAAGAACTGCTGATTTCCATCGCCTTAGTTGACAGTCATTGCTATTTTTCTTCTTCTGTTTACCATTTGAAATTTTGGCACTTTTCCCTCTATATTGATATGAAACAGAAAAGTTTGCCGTGACAAGACACTGAAACTATTTCTGTATTTCTTTCCTTGTGGTTTAAAACACAGACAGGTCTCTGCATTCTAAAGTGGTGGTTTTCAACCGAGGGTGGTATTGCTGCTTTTCCCCCTACCCTCCAGGATGCTGGGCAATGCCTGGAGACATTTTTTTACTGTCATGCCTTGGGGACTGGAGGAGCTACTGGCATCCAGTGGTTAGAGGTTGGGGATGCGGCTAAACATCTACAACGCACAGGACAGCCCCCACAACAATTATCTGGCACAAAATGTCAATGGAGCCAAGGTGGAGAAACTGTTCTAAAATAACCCCTCCAAAACCTTGCTCAACCCTTCTAGGCATTCTCAATCTGGCTTATGTCAATCTGGCAATTCCACTCCATTCTGCTATTGGGAGTACTACAGTCTTGTGAAATTCAAAGGCCTTTAAAATTTTTTTTGCAAGGTCATCTCCTTTAATTATGGGACATTTGATCCTTTTGGCGCATATATATATGTGTGTGCTGTTTTTTTTTCTGACATCATGTCTCCCTCTTCACTCCATTTTTATGTTCTTTTGTGTCTCCCCTTCATCTTTCCATTCTCTAAACAGTTCTTTAAAAAAAATTTTTTTTTAACTTTTACTTTTTAGATGTGGGATCTTGCTTTGTCATCCAGGCTGGAGTGCAGTGGTGCAATCACATCTCACTACCTTCTTGAACTCCTGGGCTCAAGGAATCCCCTGCTTCACCCTCCCAGGTAGCTAGGACTACAGGTGCATGCCACCATGCCTCGCTAATTAAAAGAAAATTTTTTTTTTTAGAGTCTGGGTCTTGCCAGCTTGCCTACTCTGGTCTGGAACTCTTGGGCTCAAGCAATCTTCCCACCTTGGCCTCCTAAAGTGTAAGGATTATAGGCATGATCCACTAATAGTTCTAATCTATGATGTCTTTCCATCATTCCCTATGTGCTCAAACACTCCTGACTCTATTATAAGTTTGTGCTGTTTATTAGGTAGTGCTGAGACTTGGATTGCCCTGTTTGGAGCAGGGAGAAGCCTGGGAAATGTTCTGCTGACTCTGTTTTCTTTAGCTCACTTTGGGGTCACATTGGGAGTATCTGGTCCTGAGCCAGGGGAGTGTCATCGCATGGAGATTGTGCTGCTAACAGAGGGCTCACGTCACTGATGTTGGCCCTTCTCCATAGAATGCCAGCCACATGTCAGGCCCTGTGTGAGGTACTTCTCACATATTTATCTCTACAGGGAAGCTGTTATTAACCCTCCTATGAATAAGAGGAAAGGGAGGCCCAGCAAGACATCCAAGGACACTGGCTAGCAATGTGTAGAACTAGGAGTTGTACACAGGATGATTTGATTTAAAACCCTCACTCTTTCCATAGGACGATGTTGTCTTTGAGTGCTGCAAATAGTTAGGGACATCTCAACACAGCTAGGTTTGTTTTAGAGCTTGGTGAAACCATGTAAAAGTGTTTAGATGACCAGAATGGCTTGAATCAAATTGACCTGGTATTCTCAAGGCTGGAAAATATTTCATTGCTTATTACTCTCTCTCTCTTTTTTTTTTCATGGCCAGCAGAGAATTGGTTTCATTCACATATTCAATTTATAACATAATTCAGCAATTACGCTAGTTGCTGGGGTCTTCGGCACATCACGTAGAATTCTTAAGTCAGGGTGGCGTCCCCCGGCTCTGCAGTCTGACTGGCATGGCTTGATACCACACAGCTCTTCCAGGACTCACTCTTTCTCAGTCATCTAACTTGAATTCTCCAACCCTCAAACTATTCCCCTTTCAGATCAGGATAGTGACACTTCAAATCACAGTGTTGCCAGGAGGCTCAAAAGACTCCATGCACAAAGACTTCGCTGACATGAAGTAAGCAGGGATGAAAACCCCCTTCATTTTCCCTTTCATTAAAGGAACCAGGGACATGGTACCAGGGTGTCCAGCAGGGTGTGCCTGTGAACAAATAAAACATCCACAAACAAGACAAAGTGCCTTGGCACTACATAAAACAGATGTCACTTGTTTGATAACAAACCAGAAAAGAGATAGGGTGAAATGTGGAACATCGGTGGGAGATTCTTTAGGCAGATATAATCTGTTCTTATAATCCGTTTTTGTAGTTTTGCTCTGGTGAAAGTGGCTTCTATTTCCATGCTTAACCTGTGCTGGCGAATTCCTGTATGCAGTGTGGCAAATTACTGCCATGTCCTGTTTCACAGATGGCTGCTCTTTTGTCACGAGTGGAAATTTTCCAGTGCGTAAAGGAATGAAAGTTTATTTGAAGGGTGTGAATGTTTTTATAAACAAGATATTCTAGACATTATTTCTACCCACAATTTACTTTTGTGCTTTGTGTGTGCATGTGTATGCTTTGGAAAAATCTTTCAAAATCCCATCCAGATGGTTTCATTCCCTTGAGCTAATCTCACCATCACCTGTGTTTTCTTACATTCATCTGTCCAAGTGTGGCAGACACAGTCCCTTGGCAGACTCTCGGTCTTTCCCAATCTCTTTCTGCCAGCTAGTCAGAGCTCCAGAAAGGTTGTCACTTTTCCTAATAAAGGGGGCCCATTTCTTCCTTTAGTCTCCCTTTTGTTCACTCCCCTCTGCTCCTTTTCTTTTTTTAAAACCGTGATCAAAGTTATGATGACTGGAGCTGCAGCAGCCATCTTGTGATCAAGAAAGAGAGCCAAGACAATCATAAAACTTCCAGCTCTTGTCTCTGAGACTGCAGACCTAACACCAGTGGCTGATCTCCAGACTTCCTGTTAGGTGAGACAAAGAAATGCCCATTGCCTTGAATTGCTGTCAGTCACATTCTTCTGTTCCTTGTATATCCCTACATTCTGATATGGTTCCGTTCACTGGTGAATTTTCATAGATCCTCTCCATCAATTCATTTTCTGCTAAAAACTCATCTTTTTGAGGAAGGCATGAATGATTGAACCCTCATTCTCATCCCGAGTATATTCATTTTCTTTTCATGGCGCTCAGTGAACATTATCATTGAGCAGTCCTTTACTTCCGTTAATACATTGCACTTTGCAATACTAATATATCCTATTTGTCACTATGTTTTACTACAGACGCGTTCTTCTTTTTGTGTTTTGCTTTTTGTCTTTCCAGATAAATAGTGTGTCATAAAGTCTGAGTTTTTTTGTGTGTGTATTCCCTTAAGATGTATAATCCAGAACGCTCTTCTCATTAGACACTTTAGTAGGTATTTTTGATGGATGGACACACCACACATTGAATTCATTCTTGTAGCTGCTACTAGGCAACAAGATAAGGTGTCAGTGTGTGGTGGTGTTCACACATACAGAGTTAGGCCTAGACAGACTTTCATAGTGTCAGTTACTTCAACTGGGCAAGAACCAGACTTGTAACTAGCTCCCGCCCCCCTTCTTTTGCTCAGAACTGCTTTTCTCAATACCTTCCCACTACAGGATTCCTTTCAGAGCTCAAGCCCTGAACGTTTACATGTGGCATATGCATAAAGAGAGTTCTTTTTTTTTCAAAGTGCAGATCTTTTCTTCTTGATTTGGCATCTGACTGTGGTTATTTCTATTATTAAACATCAATGGTTCATATTATATAACAGTAGTTATTCAGAATGAGAAGGTATAATATAAAGTAATAAGGTGCCTTCAGCTATGCATTGCTTTACAGTACTTGGATTATTTAATTTTTTTTCATCTTTCACTTCTAGCTGTCCCTATCATTTCCATTGAATTGCACACACAGTATTTCCCTATAAAAAAATTTATCTCTTTTCTTTCTTAAAGGAAAACATTGAAAAGGGCAATAGATTCAAACCCTTTGAATGTTGACTCCCTTTCTTTACACAAATACTTGAAAACCCTTGTTAATTAGAAACAAAACAGCACCTCCCACATTCATTTTGCTTCTTTGTGTCATCTCTGACAGTTATGAGAGACAAATGTGTTCCCCTTCATTACTGGCACCACTCAAGCAGTAAAGCTCAAAGAGAAGAAAATGTGAACAAATGCAAGGACGTAGGAAATGCGTTAAATACGGTCATTGGCTAACACGTACAATGATTTCATCTTAAACAGAGACAGGAAACACCCAACCTCATTCTATTTTTTTTTCATATTATCAAGAATTTGAAGCCTTAAATAGCTCTCCTATGTCATTTCTTCAGGAACTGATTTAATATCCTTGTTTATGATTTGAAAACAGTAAGAAAGAGACTGCATTTTTGTTTTGTAAATTCAAAAGGAATGCTAGCTTGGAAAGACTCGTTGATTGAAATGAATTGTTCAGGCACATGGTGAAGACTCTAACACATCTTTAAAAACTCTGAAGCCTTCTCTGTGCACTTGGTACAGGGCTATCCTACTCTTGTCCCACTGGCTTATACCAAAATCTAACTTCTGATATTTCCCTTTTTGCAGTCTTCCCATTAGACTCCTGCTTGAGAGGCAGGAAAGCTCCTGGCAAATGCATTTGAAGCACAAGTGTACTCTGAGATGAAAGTGTTATGGATATAGAACTGTTATCACACTCGCATAGTCTCATTCTCACTTGCTCCTCAGCTATATGATCTTGGCTTCCTGGCAATCCACTTGATTACAATGTGTAAATGTCTAGGTCCAAAGTCGGGCTCACATTTTCATCTACTTGTGGAGATTGTTTTTCTTCCCTATCTCCATATTACTTTGCTTTGACCCCTTTTAATTAAAGAAGCTGAATCTTTTGACTTCTGAATCTTGTATTCCACTGATTTTTGTTTTTGACAAATGGAAGCAGGATAGCAAGGCTGCCTGGAAATGTGTTGCTGAAGAGAAAACACTGCTGCCTGGAAGACACATCTGGACATGTCGGCCTCAGATATTCTGTTTGGAGATCAAAGTATGGTAGCCCATAGCAGTCAAGCCATGAGCTGCTGCCATTCACCTGCCTCTGCATGAGCAACATTCTTTTGAACTGATCCTCCTCTAGTGCTGTTTCCATCTTGCTACACTTCTCAACCATCCCAGTCTTTGTAAGCATGGCAGGGGCACAAGTAATGGGCGCAGTAGCCCACTGACCAGCTCATTATACTTGCAACTTTCTTTCTTTCTTTTTCTTTTTTCTTTTGAGACAGAGTTTCACTCTTGTTGCCCAGGCTGGAGTGCAATGTGCAATGGCGCAGTCTTGGTTCACTGCAACCTCCGCCTACCGGGTTCAAGAAATTCTCCTGCCTCAGCCTCCCATGTAGCTGGGACTACAGGCGTGGGCCACCATGACCCGGTTATTTTGTATTTTTAGTAGAGATGGGGTTTCTCCATGTTGGTCAGGCTAGTCTTGAACTCCCGACCTCAGGTGATCGGCCTGCCTTGGCCTCCCAAAGTGCTGGGATTACAGGTGTGAGCCACTGCGACTGGCTTTTTGTTTTGTTTTGTTTTGTTTTGTTTTGTTTTGTTTTGTTTTGTTTTAGACAGAGTCTTGCTCTTCTCGCCCAGGCTGGAGTACAATGGCATAATCTTGGCTCACTGCAACCTCTGCCTCCTGGGTTCAAGTGATTCTCCTGCCTCAGTTTCCCGAGTAGCTGGGATTACAGAAGCCTGCCGCCACACCCAGCTAATTTTTGTATTTTTTGTAGAGACAGGTTTCGCCATATTGGCCAGACTGGTCTCAAACTTCTTACCTCGTGACCCGCCTACCTTGGCCTCCCAAAGTTTTGGGATTACAGGCGTGAGCCACCACGCCTGGCCTACTTGCAGCTTTCCAAGGGGGTGGTTCTTTGGAGTGAGTGTTCTGTTGTGAGAGAAAATGTTTGAGAAATCACTCAATATAAGAGCTGTCACTGTTAAATTATCTGGAAGTTCTTTACAATTGCAGAGTACCATTTCATACAGCATCTCCTTGGACTGTTACACAAGGTTTCACAGTAAATGGTATTATTAAGTGAGTGTTATTATCCCCACTTGAAGGATAGGGAGACATGTTTAGTCATACAGCTAGTGAAGTCAGGACTGGAATTCAAGCCTGTTGTTGCTGACTTCACGAGTTGTGCTCTTGATCATCTCATTCCACTGTATTCAGAATAGTGATTAAAGATAGTTTTGAGGCCATCAATGCCTTTGAAGTCGCATAGAAAATACAAGCATTTCCTGAGAAATATGCATAATATTTTTATATAAGGTTAAGGGGTTTATGGTCAACTGTTTCCATAATGAGATAGCAGCCCTGTTTTGGGATGAGAAAGCAGAAAGACAGATAGGACGACATAGAATTAAGCTTATCAGGGCAGACGAGCCATACCAAAATTAACCACTGCCTAAGTATTTCAGAGTGATTGTGATGATGCAATCATTATTTTTATTGAGTGCTTATTTGTGTATTCTTCTTAAGTATTCTTATTCTTCAGTGTTCTTCTAAGTGTTTCGCAGAGATTATTTCATCTCATGCTCATTGCAATTCCGTAAGTTGAGTACCTTCTTATTCCGTTTCCCAAACAGAAACTGAGGTTTAAACAATGCACTCAATGTCACATGATCATTTTGACTGTTAGTGTTTAAGCCAGAATTTGAACACAGGCAGTTTACCTTCAGATCCTGACTCTTTATCCACTGTATGGATGAACTTCACTTCAAGTTATGATATGGAACTAACCACATGAATTTTGTTGTTGTCTGTCTTCACTATGATTCAAACACTGTGTACCAGGCAGGGCACTCCCTACCAGTCCCTCACAGACAGCATCTTTATTAGATAGGTAGAGTGCTCTGTGCTCTCTACTCTGCCTAAGAAGAGCTCTTTGAAATATTGCATTATTTTATTCTCTATGACTTTGGATTTACTGTGTCTAATGCTGTCCTCCTTTTGCATTGGTATTAGTTTTATGATGTTAACCTATTGTGTTTTATGATGGGGATGATTTTTCTCTCCAATGTAAATTGTAATTCCCTTGAGTGGAACCACACATTCGTACATACCTTATAGTCTAGAGTAGTGCTTCTCAAACATTTTCATGTACATTAGTCTCTTGTGGGTCTTGATAAAATGCAGATTCTGATTTAATAGATCCAGGGTGGAGACTTAGAGTTTGCATTTCTATCACGTTTCCTGGTGGCATTGGTTCATGGACCACAATTGCAATAGAAAATTATAGAGCATGCAATGCTTACTGTCAACCTAAGCAGATAGCAAACATATGAGGTGGGAGGTACCTATATGCCAGGAACAGGCTTATTTATTCAACAAACATGTATTAAGCTCCTGCTGTGTGCCAGATACAGGCACAAAATAGAATAGGTTTAAACGCTGGCTCTCTCACTATCCTACTTCAAGAATGACAGAATGGATAACCTTATTTCCACTTTCTGTGTAAAGTAAGGGCATTCATCTGTGACTACCTGGGAGTCAGTATGGTACATTGGAGGAAGAATGGCTTTAAAGTCAGATACATTGGTGTTTTAATCCTTCTGCCCATGATTTCATAGAGACATGACATCTATTCATTTCTGAGTCAGTCAGTAAAGTTTTATTGAACACCTTTGAGGTGCCAGGCATTGGGCTATGCACTGGGAGCATAAAGGGCTTGTGGGCTTATTCTAGAAACTAGAGGAAAGACAATCAAATAAATCCCTGCAGATGAGTAAGACAAGTGCTGTGATAAAATAATAGTTGTTTAGAGAGAATAGGGAACACCATCTAATTCAAATTATGGAATAAGAAACATTTGTTTGGAGTGTGAGTTAGCCAAACAAAGGGCAAGGAGGGGCATGATACATGATACAATGAACTTTAGAGACAAGTTCCTCGATTTAACCTCTTATGGCTGTGAATTATTGTATAAATTACTCTTTAAGCCTCAGTTTCCTTGTCTGTAAAAAAGAGTAATAATTATTGTAGTCTTTTCAGGGGTATTCTGTGAGCCATTCACATTGAGCAATTGGAAAAATGCCCAGCATAGACAATAACTCATCAAACAGAAGTGTAGGTAGAAACAAGTAAGGATGAAAGAGCATGTTGCATGTGTGGGTGTGAATTTTTTTCCATATAGGATGAAGAGTGAGAGCAAAGACAAGGCAGAAAGTGGTTGGAAGGAATGCCCTTGGAAGTCTTTTTTTTTTTTTTTTTTTTTTTGCTTTTGCCACCCAGGCTGGAGTGCAGTGGCGTGATCTTAGCTCACGGCAACCTCCGCCTTCCAGGTTCAATTGATTCTCCTTCCTCGGCCTCCTGAGTAGCTGGGATTACAGGCGCCTGCCACCACACTTGGCTAATTTTTGTATTCTTGGAAGCCTTTTTGTACTAAGATAAGGGGTTTCAGTAGAAACTTACAAAGATAGAAGTGGTAATACGGTGATAGGGTGACATAGGGGCTATGGAATAAACAAAATTGTACAAGAGTTTGATCAGCCTCAATTTCCCTATCTGTGATAGGAGAGTTTGTTTTCCTGAATTTAGATTGAGCACCTCTCTGCAAAGCTGCAAAGGATTGAGCACCTCTCTGCAGAGGATGGATCCAGGGGCCTGAGGGCCCAGGTTCTCTCACTGGCTTCACTATCTGCCCAAGTATCTGATCTTTCTCTTTGTTTTCTTTAACCTGAATTCCTGTTGCCTGACTCCCAGATGTGTCAAATTTAGCCACCTGGAAACCGTTATCTGTGAACTCACTGAAAGTCAAGTTTGAACTTGGAATATTGTGAATGCCCACTAAATATTTATGAGTGTTGAATGGATGAAGAATGTTGAATAGATGAATAAGTTCTCGTTGAAAAATTGGATAGGTAACTGTTCGCACCTTGTCTTGGTTGACCTTCCTTAATTTGGCCACTGCTTGATTTATGCTTCTTACTTGATCATCTCTAATTTAACTAGACTCACATATAGCCCTATTCTGAAAGGTATTTTCCCCCAATTCTAGCATACAACTTTTTTTTTTCCTGAATGAGGTATATTCTTTTTTAGTAATTACTAAGTATTTGAACATTGCATGGAATGAAAAAAAAATATTGTTTATCTATTTTGGGTTATCTCTGTGAGTTTTACTATATATTTTTTTCTCTCTTCCATGTGTATGCATGCACACACGTGTGTACATATATGTATGTGTGCGCTTATACCAGGCCTAGTGAGAAAAGTTTGACAAATTGTGAATTTGCTAAAGTGTGTGTGGGGTGTGTGTATATGCATATGTGTGTGTGTGTGTATTTGGGTAGAATCTAATATGTTTGAACAAAAACAAATACATAATTTATTTGAGCCTTGTCTCAATGCAACATACAGTTTTGCCCTCCCTATTTTCAAAGTGACTTGCTCCCAAGGCTTCCTGCTGTTGTCTGCGTGCAAAGATTTACTGTAAACTGGGTCTGTTTAAGTTGTGAAATCATACTTCCCTGCCGAATGAAGTCAGAGATGAAGTTACAGTATGGACGCAGAGAGCAGACTGTGTAAAATGAGAATCCCCAGAGAAAGGAAGTCATTTTTATTTTTAGTTGATCCTTTCAGGCTGTTTGGCTGATTGCTGCTCCTGGGGACAAGGCTGCTTCCTGCCCTTCCATTGCTTGACTTGCTGCGTATCTCCTCTATTAATGGAAGAGAAATATCTCTCCTTATGTTTCATTGTCTCTGCTAACTAAACAACCTGGGTTTTTTTCTTTCCAACTTTCTCTATCAGAAAAGATCAAGTGAAAGTGACTGTTCTTGATTGACAGCTGAAATTGTAGATGGAGTTCTGCCAACCATTGAGTTTCAAACTGGGTGTATGCATCAAAAAAGGAAGGGGGATATAGAGAATTCTAAGAAAACTAAAATCGAACCTTAGCATAGAACTGATTTGGTTTTGGGTAACCTGAAGTTTGCAGTAAGTGACCTTTTTCCCATTTGGGTTTCTAACAAGTGTCCTGTTGACTGGGTAGCTTTCTTTTTACTGAGCATACAATCGTTAAATGAGAATTTGGGACTGTCAAGGTAACAGACTCAACTCTGGTTATTTGCTTTTTGAACTTTACCTATTGTTTTTAACAACTTCTAAAACATACATGTCGAATATGTTTGTGGTGAATGTAGTGAAATAATTCTACATGCTACCTTTAAATAAATGTCACAGCTGCAGTACCTTTTCCTTTTTCTTCATTTTATTCCTTTCCATAAGTTATTCCTTAAGTTTCTATTTTTAATAGGTAGACAAAGAATAATATAAAGTTCTATTATTTCTAAATATCATATAAAAGTTATATCAAAAATAAAATGTTCATAAAAACTATAGGTTTTCCTAAATTAACTGTCAGCTTGGATTTTGTTTTTGTTTTTGTTTTGACACATGTTCTGTTTATATATCAGCATTGAGTGTCCACTGAGAGCGGCCTGGTGTGTGTGTGTGTTTGTGTGTGTTGTAACGAGAAAATAAATTTTAATTCAGGCTAGGAAAATAAGGATTCTCAACTTAAAATCAACCTAAGTTGATATTATATATTAAAGCATTTAATATAGTTGACCCAAACCATTAAATCATGGTATTAAAAAATTACCTGGTTTAATTTCTTATGTTACAAAACTACAGTAGTCCTTATAATTTAATTTAGTATTCATAGACCTCAAGAAGCAAAGGTGATAGGACTCAATTATATATAATTGATCCCCCCTTCCTTGAAACAAGGGTCAGAATCCTTCTGTATCCTCATCTTTAGTCTTTGAATGAGTAAATAAATAGGCATCAGTTGGTAAAGTTGGAGAGGAGAAGAAACTCATGTATGATTTCAATGCATTCTCTACATGTAGCCAAATGTGTTTCTAAGTTTTCTGAAAATGCATTTACTTTTCTGAATTGTAATTGCCAATGCTTGTGCAAATTTTGCATAAACCTTAATTTCTCTTTTGAATACTTTTCACATCTGGTCTTTGCCCTTCCTTTTATTATTTTACTTGACAAAGCTTAACCTCAGTACAGACAATATTCTCCCCCAAAATTGCTGTGCTGAAATAGACTGATTATCATTGCATAAATATCATCTCCAAATAAGATTTTTTGACTGCACACCCGTGGAAGGCACTGAACTAGACCTTGCAATAAATGTTATTGAATAACTTCCACCTCCGTTCATAAGATTTGTGCTGCTCAAAAATAAGGCAAAAAATTACCTCATATCCTATTTCCCCTGCTATACTCTGAATATAGATTTATAGTTGGATTTCTTCTTTCTACTTTGTGATCTGGAAACTCTCATTATGAAGTAGTTGTTCTTTCCATAAACTTTTTAGATCTTTGTGAGCTCCCTTTTATTACTTTTTTATGCTGATAGGCTCTGGCATCAAGGAGTCCTTACAAGGGATATCCATGGGCCTATTCCTTGGTGATTATAGAAAACAAGACATTTTTTTCTGCCATAAAATATAAATTTAGTGCAAATGTGAATCATATGCTAAAGTTCCATTCACTTAATGGAAAGTTTATCACTATCAATTTAGTAATGTTTCAAGTACTTTTGATTTTTAAAATTAATATTACATATGGCTACATGATTTGATTTTTAATTTTTAATTGACAAATGAATATATTTATGGGGTATAATATGATGTTTTGATATATGTGTATATTATGAAATTATTAAATCAAACTTATGTATCCATCACCTTACATACTCATTTTTTGTGGTGTGAACATTTCACTTGATCTGAGCCAAAAGGCCGAGAAGCGATAATGGTGTGAACATTTAAAATCTATTGTATTAGCAATTTTGAAATGTATACTATGTTATTATTACGTACAGTCACGATGCTGTGCAATAGATCTCCTCCTTCTGTCTAGCTAAAACTTTGTACCCTTTGATCAGAATCTCCCCATCTCCCTCCTGCTAGCCCCTGGTAACCACCATTATACTCTCTACTTCTCTAGTTCAATGTTTTCAGATTCCTCATACGAGTGAGAACATGCAGTATTTGATTTTGAGCCTGCCTTATTTCACTTAGTATTTTGTGCACTAGGTTCAACCATATTATCTCAAATGAATTGCCTTCTTTTTAAAGGCTGAATGATCTTTCGTTGTACGTACATACCACTTTTTCTTTATCCATTCATTTCTTGATGGATACGTTGGTTGATTCCGTATCCTGGATATTGTGAGTAATGCTGCAATGAACCTGTGAGTGGTTAGATTTTAAACATGGTTAAATAAGTTGGTTTTAAAAAATTAAAGGAAGGGTTTGATAACATTAATTGCTTGCTTGAGTTTCACATCATTTAGAAAATATGTTAAATGGTTTGTGCATGAGCATTTTGGAGGTGTAGGCAAGTAATAAATATACTCATTAATTCATATCTTAGAAGAGGACATTGCCTCATTTGCCCTTTTGCTTTTAGTGTAAAAATATTGCATTTAAGGTATACATTCAGTATTGCATTCAAGGTATGGCACTGAACAAACTGGGATTCAAATCATGGCTTTGTCTCGTTTGACTGCATGACTTTGGGCAATTCAACCTTTATGACCCTCAATTTCCTAACCTGTAAATTTGGAGCAGCAGTATCTATTTAGCAGGGTGGTTGTTATGAGTATTATAGATAATTCAATGTAAAATGCCTTATACATAGTCAGTATTAGATATATAGTAACTATTAGTATAGCTTTTAGCAGGCCTTGAAAATGTGTTCAGAAATCATTTAGGTCTCTGAAATTATATTTGATCTGTAAATTTTATTAAGCCTATCATGTTTAAAGTGATGGCCTTCCTGCTTTTTCTCTTAGTATTCCTATACCTCACATTGCTTTCCTTAACCAATTAGTTTATAGAAAATATTCAATGTATAACCACAAATGAATTTTTTAAAAGCCTACATAGCAGGACTTAAACATACAAATGAGTCCTTTAAAATGCCCCCACAGGGGAGTTCTATATTACACCAACATTACTGCCATTGTTTAAGATCATTTTAGAGCTTCCCTTTGAAAATTGCCTTCAAAGTCAATATGTGAACCACCCAAGAAAATCGATTACATTACTTTAGAGTCATTCCTTATTGTAGTTGAAAGAAAAGTGTCACCTAGCTTGACTCTCCATTTATTAAAATAAAATTTACCTTAGAATTACTTTTAGATCTTACCCTTTCTTTTCCTTTTTTCCTTCCTTCCTTCCCTCCTGTTTTTGGTGCCTATCCAATTCCAGTCAAAAAATATTTACTAACTACCTACTATATGTTGCACTGGTGAACAAAAAAGATAGATTCCTGCCCTCATGGAGCTTTGCATTCTAGCATTCATTTCTTTTTTCTTTTTTCTTTTTTTTTTTACTGAAGAGGACCCCAACTCTCCCTCCAGTAATTCCCTCTCCTTCATCCCATGAAGACTGAGTGGAAAGGTAACTCCATGTGCTTGCTTTCTTACTAGAGAAACTAAAAAGGCCATGTAGATCCCTTACTCTATATAGATCCTTCTTCTTAACTCCGGTACTGTCAAGAGCATCTTGACCAACTAGATATACTTCCTCAAGGGAAAACTGAACCTTGAATGGGATGACGCAGAAACAGATTTTATTTATTCTTATCATAGCAGTGCCAAGGCGGGACTTCCAGGTGTTTCCTGTGACTGAGATAGGGACTGCCTGCTGCCTATTCCCATCTTACTTCCTTTTGGTCCTATAAACAACTTCATGCCCTTCCAATAAATTATTAATATTATGATTCCTAGGCTGACTAGCTAGTAGTAATTTCTGCTGCTGGTGTATACAGATAATATGTCAGCTATTATTTCAGCTCTGATGGTGATGTTAGGTTTGTGTTCAGAACAGTATTTGTGCAATTATTTGAATATTTTATTCTATTTTATCCTCACTATTGTCCAAAAATATGTTAGAGAATGCAAACAGGAAAATGCTTATACGAGTAATAAAAAATAAAACTCTCAAATGAAGATAGTTGAGATAAAATGAAAATTTGGCATGTAGACAAGAGAGAATCATTAGACTCAATAGAATTAAGCTAATTGATTGCAAATTCATTTATGAGAAAAAAGAAGAAAACCAAAGCACACCTATTAAATGCTTAAAATATACTACCAAAGTTTGTGTCTCTAAGGAGAAAGAAAATAGAACAGATTTTTAAAAATAAATAATATTTTATCTCTTTAGGAACTTCCCTATATATTTTTAAGTCAATTTTGTTTTCTGTTGGCACATACATATTTTTAGGCATTAATGATGTAGTTATGTAGTAATAAACAATAAAGAACATAATTATTTAACCATAGAGAAATGGTTAAATAAATTAGGATACATTTATATGATGAAATGCTATATAGCCATCAAAAACTATTTTCCATGAATATTTACAGGTTCGGGAAAATGACCAAAATAAAATTACCTAGGGAGGAGAGAATACTAAATATGAATTATGAGGTATCTAAAATGGTCAAACTTATAGAAGCAGAATAGAAATGGTGGTTGCCAGGGGCTGGGGAAAGGGGGAAATGAGGAGTTTCTATTCAAAGGGTATGAAGTTTCAGTTATGCAAGAAAACAGAAATTTGCTGTACAATATCATTACTATAGTTAACATTATATTGTATGCTTAAAAATTAGTTATTGGTAGATCTCATATTAAATGTTTTTAACACACACACACACAAAGCTAGATTAAATATATTATCCCAAATTTGCTTTTAATACTCTTTGTTTATTTACTTATTTTCTAGAGATGGGGTCTTGCTCTGCTGCCCAGGTTGGAGTGCAGTGGTGTGATCATAGTTCACTGCAGCCTCAAACTCCTGGACTCAAGCAGTCCTCCCACCTGGTCTCCTAAATAGCCACCACCCTGGCATAAAACTTTTTATACACACGCACACGCGCACACACACACGCACACACACACACACACATATACACACACACACACACAAACATATGTATATATGTGTGTGTGTATATAAAGAGTTTTTCTCTGTGTGTGTGTATATATGAAAGAAATACACCAAAATGTTCATTCTGGGTAGTGAATTTATAGGAGATTTTTAAAATTGAAACATCCTGATATTTTCCCAATTTATTTTGAAAATGAATTTGTAAAATCTGTAAGAATTTTTTAACAGAAAAAAATACACATCTGTACTTAGAGTTAAATATTTGGAAATAAACTAACAAAATATTTAAAAAGATAAGGTCAAATGGTTTGGATAAAAAGTGACAAATAGGACTGACATTCTTTAAGAGATTAGATTACATATTCTCACATTCTACAAAATCTCATGTGGTACTCTTCTGTGTTTAAGTAACTCCTAATTGTCGTTTTTTTTTTCTGTGATTTGTACCCAAGTGTTAAAAATTTAGAGGGGTATGAGGAACTACCCATTGAATAAAACTAATATGGAAAGCATAGCCGGAAACTTCAGCTACTGAAAGTGATTTTCTGCTTTAATATCACTATTCCACCTTATTTAGGCCCCCAACCAGCCTCATAAATAATCAGTTATCAAATCAACCTAAATTAATTCTACTTATGGGAGCAACCAAAAGTTTCAGATGCCTTAAACCATTAAATAAGCCCTTAAACGAATAAACGCAATGAAACCCCACTTGTAATATTAACAATTGGTTATAAACTTAGAAATAGCTACAATCCAATAGAGCTCAGTATTGCTTATACACAATATTTTTAAAAATTTTAATCAGCACAGTTTTATGTTTCCCCAAATTCTTCTTAATATTGTAAACTGCTGCTGTTGCTGTGGTTTCTATCCAGATATGGTAATGAACTGGATAAAAATGAAAGCAGTCTGTTGTAGCAAATTGTTCCATGTTTTTTTCTTGGATTGTATTCATTGTAGCATTGCTGTGACTTATTGGAATGCATTGGGCAAGTCTATTCTGCCCTAATGAGCAGTAAATATCATGTCCTACAAAGCATATTGGATTAAATCTCGCATGTGTTGTGTTGAATAGTTAAAACAACAATAACAATAAAAGCGTCATGGGCCTTAATGAGATGGGCCTCCAAATATTTTCCAGAATAATTTGACATGTGTCATAGAATGCCAAAACTCCCCAAAAGACTCGCAGTTAAACCATAGCTCCTTTTAGGCATGAATACTACCAAAAAGTATCAAAAATCTTAATTTTGAAACTCTAGGGAGTATATTTAATTTCTCTGGTCCTCAGAAATATGCTTGACTACACACTGGGCATTCAACTTCATTTTTCATCAAAGCAAGCTATTGAATGTGAATTTGTTGATCAGCTGGGGGCTGGTTTGTGTGTAGAAGAGACCATTCAGGAGTTAACTTGCTTTTAAAGAATACTATTCATTTTATTAAGGTTAGACATTTAAACACTGAATTCTTCTTTAAATTTTTAGGTTTATTTGACAAAATTTACTATTTTGCTTATAAAGCTACAATAACTTCAGGGCATTTGAATAACTCTTAGGTCTGTTTGCAAGTATATACACCTTTAAATCATCTAAACTTTGCTAATAGATTTAATATATTTTCTTTTATTTTTAATTACATCATTAACATGATTGATACATGTCAAGAATTTAATCATTTCTTATGGACCTCATAAGTTAAAATTACAAGTATGGAGCACTTAAGGTTTTAAAAATGATCTAATATATTAAAGCTAGTACTTCTACTTAAAATCACAAAGACATTTAAATTTTAGTTACACACTTTAACTCAGAATTACAAAGCTGATGTGTTACATTAATAAGCTGACTCTGTTAAATTCAAGACATTTAAAATACCAAATATCCACTGATTCCTTTATACAAAAATAAAAACACAATGGATGTGATTCCAGCTCAGATCTTTGCCCTTAATACTAGATATGTCAAACTCCACTTAACGGTCGGCCATGGTCTGAAAGTTTGTGTTCCCCCAAAATTCATATGTTGAAATCCTAACCCCAAGATGATGGTATTAGGAGGTAGGGCCTTTGGGAAGTAATTAGGTCGTAAGAGTGGACCCCTTACGAATGGGATCAGCACTCATAAAATAGGCCTTGCCCCTGCACCACTTGAGGACACAGCAGGAAGGTGCCTTCTGTGAATCAGGAATTGGCCCCTTCCCAGACACTGAACCTGCCAGTGCCTTGATTTTGGAATTTCCAGCCTCGAGAACTGTGAGAAGTAAATTTCTATTGTTTGTAAGCTACCCAGTTTACGCTATTTTGTTTTAACAGCCTGAACTGACTAAGACACTGCCTAATAGACATCTCAAATTTAACATATTCAAAACTAAACTCTTGATCTTCTACCCTAAACATGCTCCAACTGCAATTTTCCCAATATCTGTAAATGGCAACTTATTTCTTACAGTTGTTCAAGTCCCAAAATTTGGAGTCACCTTGAGTTTCACACTGGCATCCAATTTTGAAATGCTGTTGACTCTACCTATAAAATATGTCTGGAATCATACTACTGTCATCACTTTCATCATTAAGCCTGTGGTCCAAGCCATCCTCATCCCTTGTTTTTTCTTTTTAGATTTTTAAGAAATGGAGATGAAATTCACATAAATTAAAATTAATCATTCTACATTGAATAATTCAGTGACATTTAGTATATTTACAATGTTGTGTAACCACCATCTTCCAAAATATTTTCATAATTCCCAAATAAAGCCCATACTCATTAAGCAGTTACTCCTCAACCCTCTTCCCTACAACCCATGGAAACTACTAATCTGCTTTCTGTCTCTAAGAATTTACCTATTCTGCATATTTTGAATAAATGGAATCATACAATATTTGACCTTTTGTGTCTGCCCTTTTTCACTTAGCATAATATTTTTGAGGTTTATTATTCCATTCCTTTATATGACTGAATAATATTTCATTGTATGTAAATACAATGCAATTTATCTATTCACCTCTTGATGGACTCTTTTTCTTTTTAGCTTTCAAACATTTTTTATTGTGACCTACACTAAAATATTCATTTTACACAGCAACTCGGTATACATAGACATAAAAAAAATAAAAATAAAAATAACTAAAGGTTTCACAAACTATTCTTAGCATTATTATGTGCCGTGCAGTGATTCTTTCCTAGTCTATTCTATCCTGTCCCATTCTGTTCTGTTCTCTCTCAAAGCTGGTCAAAATTCACTAAATTGATTTCACAAGCCAGAATTTTGTCTTTCCCTGCTGCTTGGGAGAGTTCCTGAAACTGATCTTCAAAGTCAATCCATTCCTTAGTTGTATCCATTTTGCTGTTTATTCCATCTATTTGTTCTACATCTTACTTTTTTTTGAGAAAGGGTCTTGCTGTATTGCCCAGTCTGGAGTTCAGTGGTATGATCATGGCTCTCTGCAACCTCTGCCTCCCAAGCTCAACTGATTATCCCACCTCAGCCTCCCAAGTAGCTGGGACTACAAGTGTGTGTCAATAAGCCTGGCCAATTTTTGTATTTTTCTGTAGAGACAGGGTTTTGCCATATTGCTCAGGCTGGTCTCAAACTCCTGGAATCCAAGCAACCCACCCACCTCAGCCTCCCCAAATGCTGGGATTACAGGCATGAGCCACCACACCCGGCCCCATCTATTACTTTCTTCATGCTTAATGTTTCCACTAGAATTTTTAAAAAGTACATTATTTCTTTTCCTTATTTAATGCCTTGGTTGACTCTTGCATGCATTTTGTAATAGATGTGCAACTGGTCCCCCTGTGCCTACCTTTGACATCTATCTTACAGTTCTTTCTCAATACAGTAACAAAAAAAAAAAAAAAAAGCTTTTATAACATGTCAATTAATGTCACTCCTCTGCTCAAATCCTTCCATATCACTATGTCACTTGGGCTAAAACCCAGAATCCTTATAATTATGGCCTTACAAAGTCTTTAACCCTCCCACCCACAGCTGCCATGTTCCTTGTTGCATCCTATTTTCTGCTTCACAGCATCTTCTCTCCTTCACATGCTCCATCACAGTCATAATGGTGGCCCAGGTCCTGAACGAACCAGGCATACAGTGGCTTCAGGGTCTTTGCATTGGCTTTCCCTCAGATATCCCATGGTTTACCCCTTTATCTCCTTCAAGTTTTTGTTCAAATGCCTTCCCCCACCTTATCCCTGTCCTCTAATCCAGATCTCTCCTAACGAACTCTGTATTTTTCCATAGCACCATAGCATGTGCCACCTTTTTTTTTTTTTTTTTTTGAGATGGAGTCTCGCCCTGTCTCCCAGGCTAGAGTGCAATGGAACGATCTCGGCTCACTGCAACCTCTGCCTCCTGGGTTCAAATGATTCTCCTGCCTCAGCCTCTCAAGCTGGGATTACAGGCACCTGCCACCATGCCCAGCTATTTTTTGTATTTTTAGTAGAGATGGGGTTTCAACATGATGGCCAGGCTGGTCTCGAACTCCTGACCTCGTGATCCACCCACCTCGGCCTCCCAAAGTGCTGGGATTACAGGTGTGAGCCACCGCGCCTGGCCCTTTTAATATACTATATGATTTATTTGTTTAGAAGCAGACACATTCTCCTAGAAGAAGATCCTGAGATAAAATTTGAGCCAGTAGTTTATTTGGGGATTTACTCCAAGCAAAACAGGCAGGGGAGTAGGGTAGCAAGTCAGGGGGAGGTAGATTATTAAGCAGAATATCTCTGTGGACAACCAAGGCTCAGTAGCTTTACACCAAAAGGTGAGGAGTATGGGGTATGGATCTACCAGACCCCCTTCTGTCCTTGGTTGAGAGCTGCTTTCAGGACTTCCACAGTCATTTCTGCCTTGCCTTGAGTGTGGGCGGAGTGTGCTTCTTGTGCTTGGGCAGAGAGTTGCAGTTGTTCACAGTTAACAGTCTTCAACTAGTGAGTGTAGAGGAAATGTAAACAGGGCACTCACTGGTATCATCAGCTATACTTGATAATAATGTTTACTGTATTTATCTCCTGACTAGAAAGCAAGGTCTACAAATGTAGAGACTTTTTCTGTTTTGCTCATGAATGTCTCCACAGTTTCCAGAATAGTACTTGGCACCTAGTACTACTCAATAAATATTTGCTGAATGAATAAATGATCATCTTAAATATTCTACATTTGTTCTACATTTGCTTGGCTTGAACAATGTTTCCTTTGGGAGGTACAATTTTGTTCCTCAAACACTTTTGAGGGTAGCTTGCTCACGTGATGCTTTTGGTTGCCTTCTCAGTTTGCTGAAGTTATTAATAATCAGAGTTTCTGGTCAAGAAGCAACTGGTTCTTTGTGATGTGGATAGGACAAACTGATCCTGTGCATTGTATCTGACAAGGATTTCATAACTTAAAGTCAAAATTAATCATAGAGTCCAAAAGTCAGATTGCTCCGTAATCTTCTCCCAGGCTATACTTAATTATTGGATTTTGCATTTCTGTGGCTCATAAAATATGCAGAATATTTTTTCCTTTTAATGTTAGAGACCCTGAACTTAACTAAATTGTGTGTTTTTATTATGTAGTTTAAAAAGCTTTTAAAATCTCAACTCTTAAGAATGAAAAATTAATACCTGGATGAACTCTGGACATCTCACATAGCTTCCAAGGTTATCCCACTAAAAGAAACATTTTATCAAATAAAACATTATTTGAAAGCTTGGTGAACTAAACAAATAAATTCTGATATTCTCTTGGAAGGAATGTGAGGTTTGGCACTCTACTTTCTTGAAACTCCCCTATAACTGAAGAAGTCCTGGGGGACAAAGGAAGTCCATAGGAATGGAAGACTGGCAGAGGCCCTTCCAATTCCAACTCTCAGGATTTCTGTGCAAGAATCTGCTACCTTCTTTTGGTCTGTTCTTAGGCTTTCTAATGCTCTTTAGCATTTTATTACAGTATAACTGTAACCTTAGGAGTCATCATTCGGCCTGGCGCAGTGGCTCACGCCTGTAATCCCAACACTTTGGGAGGCTTAGGTGGGCGGATCATGAGGTCAAGCGATTGAGACCATCCTGGCCAACATGGTGAAACACCATGTCTACTCAAAATATAAAAAATTAGCTAGGTTCTTTGGAGTGTGCCTATAAATCCAGCTACTTGAAAGGCTGAGGCAGGAGAATCGCTTGAACCAGGGAGTCGGAGGTTGTAGTGAGCCAAGATCACGCTACTGCACTCCAGCCTGGTGACAGAGCAAGACTCCGTCTCAAAAAACAAAAAACAAAAAACAAAAAAAAAAACAGTCATCATTCTTTTTGGGTGCTTGCTACGTGCAAGACCATAGTAATTTGATTTGTCTTCTAACTTTTATAGTCATCCTGGCATCATACGTAAAGTTATTCCCATTAAACAAGCAGAAATAGGTGCAGGAGTGTTAAGTTTCCAATTTATACAGCTAGTAAGTAGCAGAACCAATATTTGAGCCAAGACTGTTTGTTCTAAATCTTCCTGGGTTTGAGTAATGCTTTATCCTTAGTGGATATTCAATAAAGAACAGTTAAGAGCCAGCATTTAATGTAAACAATGTTACTGGTTTTGTTTTTGTTTTGAGGAAGCTCAGGATCTAGGATCCAGAAAAAAAAAACATTTTATTTTGTGTTTGTGTGTGTGTGTGTGTGTGTGTGTGTGTGTGTGTGTTTGTTTAACTTTTAAGTTCAGAGGTACATGTGCAGGGTGCATAGGTTTGTTACATAGGTAAACGGTGTCATGGGGGGTTTTCTATACAGCCTATTTCATCAGCCAGGTATGAAGCCCAGTATCCATTATTTGTTTTCCTAATCCTCTCCCTCCTCCCACCCACTGCCCTCCTGTAGGCCCCAGTGTGTGTTGTTTCCCTCTATGTGTCCATGTGTTCTCATCATTTATCTCCCACTTATAAGTGAGAACACACAGTATTTGGTTTTCTGTTCCTGCATTAGTTTGCTAAGGATGATGGCCTCCAGCTCTGTCCGTGTTCCTGCAAAAGACATGATCTCATTTTCTCATTTTTTTAATGGCTGAATAGTATTCCATGATGTGTGTGTACCACATTTTCTTTATCCAGTCTATCCCTTTCTGCTCAAGGAATTCTCTCATTAAAACTGTTATGTTGGAGATAAAAACTTTTGTCTAATACAATTTTTACATCTCATAAAAATACTGGTGAATTTATTAATTTAACACTAGATAAAAATAATAAAGTGTTTCTTTATCCACTTTATTTATTTATTTATTTATTTATTTATTTATTTATATTTTTTGAGACAGAGTCTTGCTCTGTCACCAGGCTGGAGTGCCGTGGTGCAATCTCAGATCGCTGCAACCTCTGACTGCCTGGTTCAAGCAGTGCTCCTGCCTCAGCCTCCTGAGTAGCTGGGATTACAGGCATGCGCCAACACATCCAGCTAATTTTTGTGTTTTTAGTAGAGACGGTGTTTCACCATGTTGGCCAGGGTGGTCTCAATATCCTGACCTTGTGATCCACCCTCCTTGGCCTCCCAAAGTGCTGGGATTACAGGCCTGAGTCACCGCACCAGGCCACTTTATTTATTTTTATGATCTAGTATTAAGTTAACAAATTCACCAGTATTACATGTGAGAGATAAAAATTGTATTGGACAAAAGTTTTCATCTCCAACATAGCAGTTTTAATGAGATAATTCCTTGAGCAGAAAGGGCGTGACCATTTATCTATGCAGTTTTATCCACAAGGGACAGATAAATGAACACATTATGAAGGAACATCATGTTGTTGGGAAGGTCATTAAAGGTCCCTGGATAGTGGGGAGGAACAGAATAATGGACAGGTGGGGAAAGATCGCCAGTAGGCTTGTGCTATTGTGAACATGTTCAAAGTGGTAACAGATGAGAATTGAAGGACCGAGTCCTATATCAACTCTAAGATCATGGTTTTGTCATTTGTACCCATTATTTTGGCCAGAAATAAAATATGCTTTCAATGATACCAGCTCAGGTGAGGGGAAAAATATTAATAAGAGAAACAGAATACCAAGGCATTGGAATACCTGGAAGCTATAAGGGCAAGAGAAAATTATGATAGTTATAATCCTTCTATTTTTATAAGAAGCAATATAAATGCAATATCTGTTTGTCAACTAGACCTTCTTTCTTATATTATGAATGCATCTTTGAATAATGTCTCTAAATTGAGTGTGCTTATACCGTAGTGATACGATTTAGGTAATTGTCATAATCCTGAACATGTTTTGGTGCTTCTCAATTCCCATTTCTAACTGCTTCTTCTTTCTCTGGGACTCAAGAGATGCAAAATTTGAGGATGTGATTTTTGTAGCCAGTTGCCCCTATTAATGAGATTAATCTATATTAGATAGAAATTAAATATTAAATTAATCTATATTAGACAACTTAAATATTCTCTTTGAAGGCCCTAGTGTGATGTTTCCAAAGCAATGTTATGATTTATGTAAATCATATGCTATAAGAGTTTGAATAACTTAATACTCTACATTCAGAAAAAGTTTCACAAAATCATCACAGCAAAATGAAAATCTGAACTATTTAGAATTTTAGAAAGCCACCAGAAAGAATGTTCCTTACTCTTTCACAATATGTTTTCTAATATTATTGCCATGCATTAAGAAATAAAGCTTTCCTTACTCCTATTCTAATTTTCTCCTTTTGCCTCATAAGGCTATTTCTTTACTCATCAACTGCCATTATCTACTGATACATGCTTTAGCTATCATCCTAGCCCATGCTATTTAGTTCCATCAGACTCTGTGGTATATTCCTTGGGAACTGAAAGGCAGGACAGCCTACGAAAGCCCTGCAACTAGACCGCTAGAGTTCAAAATCCTGATTGTGGGAACTTATGGGCAAAACTGCTTACCAATTCTAGATCTCAGTTTCTCATGGAGTTAGTATATAGCTCTTAAGATGGTTTAAGTACCAAATGGGAGTTTATAGGTGAAAAATACAGGACACTGCCTGGTATATAGTAAGTTCTTGATACAATTAGCAAATATTTTTCCTATCTTTTTATTCTAAGATAATTTATTTTTGATAAAGTAGAGATTCTTTGACTCCTGGAGTCTATAATTTCAAGCTCAATTTCCCCAGATTTTTGTTTGTTTGTTTTTCCGTTTTGCTCTTTTAGTGATCTGACTGGGTATCCTATTGTATAGACCGGAAAATAGCTATAAATATTTGAAGGTTTCTTTAGCCATGTACTCATTAATCCACTTTTGAAAGATCGAGTATACTTATTCTTTTAAGTATATCCGGCAACTGATATCCCAGACATACCATTGCTTGTCTATATGCTAGAGATTGTTCTTTATCTTTAATGTAAATCATGATAGGAAACAACTGGCATCCATGTGTTGCTGGTCCTGTTGCTGCCTAATGAAAGCAGCCGCTTCTTTTGAGACCTTGTTCCCTTTATGCATCTTTATTTCCTCCCTTACTTGGCTTTGCTTTTAGGCTGAACGTCAACTGACTTCTCTTGATCTCTGAAAGCAAGTCTGATTTTCTAAGACTTGTGCTTGATAGTTTCTTTTGTCCATCTAGCTATCTTCTATCGACATGTACTTATTTATTTATTTTTCTTTGTGCTTGTTTTTTTGTTCTCCTGTAAACTCTGTGTAACTTTCTGTGTAATGATTGTGGCCCAAAGTGCTGCACTTTTCCAACTTTGGCCTAACCAATAGGGTTAAGAAATGCTGCTGCTGAAAAATTACCTTGCTTGTTTTTCATGATATGTCTATGAATGCAATCCGATATAGCATTTGCCTTTTGGTGACAGTGTTACACTGCTGAATCATATTCAATTTTTCATCCATTATTTCTTCCCTGGTGAATCACAGTACATTTGTCTTTATTAGCCCTCACAGTATTGACTTCCGCCCTTTCCTTCTTCTATTGATATCATACCACATTTTAATCATATCTTCCAAATTGGATTCTTGTGTCTTAACATAAAAAATGTCCAAGTGGGAAAAAGTTTGTAATCAATTTCAGCAAGCTGCATTCTGTTTCGTTATGTCATAAAGTACTGGGTATACAGGATCTTGGGGAACAGTGGGAAGCACTCAATCAATGATTGACATTAATTTTCTTTTGCCTTGAAGAGGGCTTTGTAGATATATTAATAAATTACCAGTGGCAATTGGCTTAGGTGAATTTACCATGGAGAACAAAATGAAGATTTTATGCTTACAAAACTCTATAGAATGGGCAGAATTGGACTTATCATCAACCAACATTTATTGAATGTTTACTATATTTAGGGCGTCATTTTAGAAGTGATTTTGAATAGAAACGTTTTCTTTTTGTGAAAATGTAAACACATATCCTCAGATTATATAAGTATAATAGGGGTCATTTTGATATTTATTTTCAGCCAGTTAAATATTACAACTATGCAACACTTATAGAATGCCACACTTTTTTCAAAATATAAGCACAATAATGTTATATTTCATACCTCAAACTATTTTCCTTTAGTTGGTATATTTTAGAAAATAATTCCTTTCCCAGTTCTTATGAAATAATTGACTATTTGTAACTTGGCCACTAGAAACTTTCAAAACTTAGTCTTGTATGAAACAACTTCATTTTAAAAAATTAACAGAACATTAAATAACTGAGTAGGCTCCAAATTACCAGCTAGAAGTTTACATCTCAATAGAAACAAAACATTAGAAAGTTTCATGACAGAACTGCTACAAAGAATGATTAATTGGATCAGATTTCTTTGACATATGACTTTGCTTTCCTTATGGCTTCATTTATTTGTAGCCTCTAAAGGGGTGTTTCAGTCATGGTAGCTATAGGCAATTCATTATTTCTTTTAAGAAAAAAATCAAAATGACAACCCTTTATTTTTAAACGATCAACTGCATCGTCCTTGCTATTTTTAATGATAGCTATTTGTTGAAAGTGACTGTAAAAGCTGGCATAACCTAAAAAGAATATTGGTTGTATCTCTTCCAGCTGTGAAGATTTTTCAAATAGAAAAAGCCTAATTTAATTTGGTTCTCTATTTTTTATATTTAAATTCACAACAGAACTCTGCAATAGTCTCAGGCGGGCTCAATCGAGGTGCACTAGTTTGATGCATCATTGTAAAATTCTGACACCATCTCACAGGGCTGCTGCGGTGACAGTGTTCACAGACAGAAAACATGAAGGCGAAAGTCTCTGCCTGTTTCTTTTGAGTGTAATTTACAGTGCAACTTAAACTCTGGACCTGTTTAATGGTCCTAACAGCGGAGTTTCTAGGCCAACGACTAAATCAGCTGCAGTGCTCCGCATTCACGGACAAGCCTTATGATTTACAAAATTTAATAAGCTGAGCCCTCATGACATTTCCCCCCAAGATTCTGCTTTTATAATCGCTGCCACAAAGGTTGTCAAAGGAGCATATACCCATTGGCATAATGAAACCTTACTGTCTTTTTTTTTTTTTTTTTGCACAAAAGCATATAAATATACTCCTACTATTGTTAATTCATTAACAGTGAATAAATTCTAGAGCATTCTTCTTGCCAGATCTGATAATACATTAGTGACTTTTTTGCATTGCTTTATGGAAGTGATATTTCTTGGGTAGTATTTTTGTGAGTGTCTGCCAAACAGAGTACAGACAAAGGTCAGATGACTTAACAGTTTCTCATCTGTACCCTGATGCTTTGTCAAGGTTTGCCATATGTCAGAATTCCTTGTCACAACGTGAAAGTTTATCTTTTCTACTGAGGGAACATACAGTGTCTGGTTTGGGTTTCTTTGTCTTCATTTGCTTTGAAAGGTACAACTATTTAGCAGCTTTGCCGAAGAGGCTATCATTCTATCAGCCTGGGTTGTGCTGCTTTGTTATATCAGATGGCTCTTTGAGGCCAAATTTGGTTTTCGAATAGGAAAACAAAAGTACTTGGATGATTCTGTTTCATTAAAATAGGCACTACTCTAGCCATGCTTTGGTGGCCTCTGGTACCTTGGCTTGCCCATTGCGTGATGTTGCTAAGTGAGAAGCCTGCAAAAATCACAGCCTAATCTACCTGGAATACCTGGCTTGGTTAATAGTCGTTTGGTAGCTGACATATCTAGTGGTACCATTTGCTATTAAATAAAATTATAATATTCATCAAACAGGAATTAGAAGTTACCCTGAGGCTACTCTTTTGAAGGCATGTTATTTCTGTTGAGATTGTATACAAAAAATAATGGATCTTCCATTGTTTTAGGCATATTCTCCCTTCCTTTTAAAGACACATTTCCTGAAACCAAAATAGGCACATACTCCAAATCTTCAAATCAAATTGTCTTCTGTGTCCTGTTTCCTGTCTCCCATTGTTCTTGTCTCTTTTATTTCTCCCAAAGTCTTGTTTTCCCCTATTACGCAACTCAGGTTCATGCAGATTAGTTCTGCAGCCTTTTTCCCCCCATTCAGCTCAATCCTGGGGGAATAGTATCCTTATTAAAAATGTACACATTTTGCTGCGTTTGAGAAGATTGGCTTAAATACAATGATAAACGTGAGAAAAATAGATACATTCTATTATGATAACCTGACTGCTCTATTTTCTTTTCACTACGGGGAGTTTTCATGGGTGCGTGGCAAAACAAATTGCAATCACCTGGGTATTTTCCACTCTGGTTCTGTCATTCTGAATGATAAATGTATTTATTCTTTAGCTGAGAATTAATATATCTGTACATCTCTATATATATACATATATATCTTTCCATATGCATAGGCAGATGATAAGCAACAACTAAGGAGAACAAGTTGAAAATTTTTTTTATAAGATCAATGAAAAAAATGTTTTATGTTCACATTGAAACGTTTAAGGCCTGGGGTAAGACAGCTTTTAAGGTCAACCAGAAAGGAAGATTTTCTTGTTGTAAGCATCTATCAACAGTCCTTGGAGGCGCAGTCAGCACTAGCATAATTTAATATGCCTTCTCCGTGAAAAGAATGCCTCTTTGACATCATGCCACAACTTGTACTTCAACTGAAGATTTTCAGGTGGTCTATGTTTTGCTGCATTGATTTCCTTTTATCATTTTAGTCAGTTTCAAATCCCTTTTTTTCTTATGTGTTCTAGAAACAAGGAAAATAAAGACTCATACAAAATATGTATTCCTCTGGCATTCTCTTTCCACACTGAAAACAAGCAATAGTTGCTGCCCTGCAGATGGTTAAGCAGCCCCATTCTAGGACCTGCTGAAGCTGCAGGTTGATTGTGGCTAGACTGTGGCATGGTTCCTTGGAAATTCAGGCTTGACAAGCAGAGCTGACAAAGGACAAATTGTATAGTGTCTTTTACCAGCAGGGGCCGCTGCAGAGCAATAATGGTTGGGATGCTTCTTTAGTTTGTTCTTTGGAAACAGAACATATAAGAATGTTAATTCTGTTGAGGCAAGAGATTTGGGGGAAGGGAAAATAACAGGAGGTGATGAATACAGTTGAAATCAGTCAGACAAATAAAGTAAGCTTTTAAAAAGTTTTGCCAGAACCATATGTCGAAATAATGCAGATTTTTTACCTGCATTTTACGTGTTCCTTCTGCACATGTGTATGTAAAGCAACATATAAAATTACTGGAAAAAGAAGAATGAAGCAACATCAGAGGAGTTCAGGATTTGTACATGGCAAATCTAACTTTTTTTAAAAAACTTCGAAAATCATAAACATTTTTGGAAATATGACTAGAACTATAACAGTGAAGACTGCAGAAAAATGACTCCCTGTTCACCCTCACCACTCTTCACCCAAGACAAACCACATACCTTGAATATATTGCAGTAAACTTTTTTCCTGGGAAGGTCTCTCTTCAGAAAAATAAATCAAACATTTGTATACTTTTCACATTGTTTGTTTTTAAAGACAGTTTTCTGTGGATTGCGGTGTTTTAAAGATATATGGAGGTTGCACAGATGGATAACACAGTTATATGTTTACCAAAGAAAGTTATCTGGAATATATGGACTTATGCTGGTATGTAATTTTGGAAGGGGGAAAATTAAGCTAGGTTTTCTTAAGAGTGAGGTTTTCCTTCTGTGTTTGGAATATTGAGAGTTGTGAATATAAAGATATTGCCCTGAAATATCTTTTTCCCCAAAATTTCAAAGCTGAGTGAAGGTACAGGAAAGAAAACACCAGGATGCTGTCTGTTGACCATATATCATATAATGTTGGGGAACAGTTGGTCCCCTAATTTAATTCTGTATGTAATCCAGAATAGCCTTATTTATTTAAATAGATCTGGCCTTTTCAGCAATTGCAGTAAATTCTCTTGTTTTAGTAATTAAAAAGTAAAGGGAAAGTGTACAGATAATTAAGAAGCTGGAGCACCTGTTGGCAGAATCCCATGGGAAAATACTGGCTGTAATAGAAATGTATTTGCTCTATCCAGCAGTTCAGGAATATCAGCTAAAATGTCATGCTAAATGAAAGAAAGGAAATGGAAGAAACTGTTGAGTTTAGCTTTATATAAATACAGCAAACACTTATGTATGCATTGGATTTTCTGATACCTAATTTAAACTAGTATTGATCAGAATTCTTTTAAAATTAATCTGGTACCTTGAAAGTGGTCCAGAAAGTTATTATGAAATGATATGTTATCATTCCTTCCAGGTATGAACAGGGATTAGCTGAAAAACCAGCTGAAAGCTAATGCATGAGTAAATCAGGTTATAAAATTGATACTATCTCTGAAAGTCTTCAAAGATTCAGGTCATTTCGACGAAAACTTATTTAGCATCTACTAAGTGCCAAATACTATGTTAGGAATTAGCAATCATTAGAAGAATAAGACAATGTTGCTATCCTAACGGAACTTAGAGACTGTGGAAAGGATCTCAGTGTATTTCAAAACAGTGAGAAGAGTGCTATGAAAGAAATATTCCCATAGAGCCACAGAAGTTCAGGGGTGTGTGTGTGTGTGTGTGTGTGTGTGTGTGTTGAATACTTAGACTGGGAGTGAAGACAGGCTTTTCAGTGGAGATGGTGCTTGCATTGATTTTTAAGGATTAATAGCCATTAACTAAGGAAATATAACTTGAAATTATCCTAAAGGGATTATCTTAGGTGTTCTACCACCTCGATTTTTAAAAACCATTTCATATATGAAATTCTATCTTATTTTCCAGAACCTTTGAATTAAATCTCTCTAAGGACAGCCTGACACTTCAAAGAATAGGATTTAATCATTCAACAAATGTGGTTAAGAAATTCTTCTGTTAGCTTATTTTAATAAGAGGGATATCCATTTATTCATTGATAAGCAAGTAGTGAGCTTCTACTATGTTCTGCTACTGTTCTCAGCACTGGGGTTAGAGCTGTGGATAAAAGACTTTCCCTGCCTTCATCAATCTTATCTCACATTATATGGGCTTAAATCAAATTTATGAACAACAGCTTTTCTAGCTTATAAAACACTTTTGCATGCATAGTGTTATTTAATTTACAATCCTTTGAGACGGTGAGAGCATCTGCCTTGCTCCCTTTCTTTGAGGCAGCATGACTCACCTGCACATCCACAGAGCATTAAATATGAGGCCTAGAATCCCAAGACCACCTCTTCTCCAGCTTGACCCAAGCATGATCCTGAACTTTGATATTTTGAACTTTAAACCTAATCTTGTCTATGGCCTCTTGGTCAAACTTAATAGGTCAAATTCAATAAAATATTTGTGGTTTCCTGGGCCAAGCCTTGTTTAGTATTAAGAATATGACTTCAGGGGGCTTCCAGGATAGTCATGGAGTAAAACAGTTATATAAGCTTAAATAAATGCATAATTAGACACTGTGATAAAATGGTAAAGGAAAGGCACATTGTGCTATGAGGAGATATAATGGGGAGGGGGTTAGAGGTGAAGGAGGGGCAGGTTATGAAGGCTTGTTTATGTGAGTATTTAGGAAAAGTGTGTTTGATTCAACTAAGGAAAGTTGTGCGTGTGTGTAAGAAATATGGAAGAGATAGATAGATAGATGATAGATAGATAGATAGATTGATTCCAGGAAGAGGAAAGAATGCAAGCAAAAACAAAGTGAGAGAATGTGTGAGATGAGGGCCAGGTTGGAGAGACAAACGGGCTGGATCATGCAGGGCCTTGTAAGATCCTAAGACCCATGAGAAGCACTAAAAAGCTTAAAGTGAGAGGGTGACAAGATCAGATTTGAAATATAATACTGGTTGTACTGTAGAAAACCAATTGGAGGCCAGGTGCGGTGGGTCACACCTATAATCCCAGCACTTTAGGAGGCTGAGGGGGGCAGGTCACCTGAGGTCAGGAGTTTTGAGACAAGCCAGGCCACCATGGCAAAACCCTATCTCTACTAAAATTACAAAAATTAGCAGGACATGGTGGCACATACCTGTAATCCCAGCTACTCAGGTGGCTGAGGCACAAGAGTCGCTTGAACCTGGAAGGTGAAGGTTGCAGTGAGCCAAGATCATCCCACTGCCCACTGCATGCCTGCAAGAGTAGATGTAGAGAGACCAATTAGGGATTGATTACAGCAGTGTGAGGGAAAGATGATAGTAGTTTGGAGTGGAATGGTGACTGCAAGGACAAAAAGAAATGGAAAAACATCAGAGATATTCAGGAGGTAAAATCTTATGGCTTATAAATGAACTGGATATGGAAGTATAAGGATTACTTATACATTTCTGGATTGTACAAGTTACATTAACTCAAAGAAGGAACAATATAAGAAAATCAGGTTTAAGGTGAGAGAAGATCTTGAGTTCATTTTGGAGCATGAACAGCTTGAAAAATGTTTATACTAATAGGGATTTTAAAATAGAAAGTTCAGTTTGTAGAACTAGAGATCAGAAGAGAGGACTGGAGTGAGTATAGATACCGGGGGTTATTAATTTACAGATGGGCATGGAAGCTAGTCATGGGAGAGAGCATAGACTGAGAAAAGGGTTGGGAAATGATGCTACCAATAGCTAAATATTAACAGCCAAGTAGAACAGGATAGGTCAGGAAAGAAGATTAAGAAGGAATAAACCGAACAAAATAACACAGGAGAATGTGGGTCCTGTACTTGAGCTGGGTAGAGTTTCTAAATTTCTAGACTGAGGAAGTGACCATTGTTAGGAGTGATTCCTAAGAATTCAAGTGGGGCGAAAGCTGAAAATGCCAATTGAATGTGCTCAAGGTGGAGTGGCCGCAATAGAACTAAGAACCACTTCAGTAGGGTGATGGACTGGGAGTGAGTTGGAGAAGCTTAGAATTAAAGAGGCTGATGGCAACATATGGACAATAAGCCTGAACCTCTTTACTCAGAAATCGAGCTCAGACCTGGGGTAGGGGTTAAAACAAAAAGAAAGCCTTGGGCATTCTTTTTTTGTTTTGCTTTGTTTTCTTGACACGGAGTCTCACTCTGTCGCCCAGGCTGGAGTGCAGTGGCCTGATCTCTGCTCACTGCAAGCTCCGCCTTCCGGGTTCACGCCATTCTAGCCATTCTCCTGCCTCAGCCTCCGGAGTAGCTGGGACTACAGGCGCCCGCCATCATGCCCAGCTAATATTTTTTTTTGTATTTTCAGTAGAGACGGGATTTCACCGTGTTAGCCAGGATGGTCTCGATCTCCTGACCTCGTGATCCGCCCGCCTCGGCCTCCCAAAGTGCTGGGATTACAGGGGTGAGCCATCACGAAGCCTTGGGCATTCTTAAGGATGAAAAGAATCCGGTTGAGAGGGAGAAGATGAAGATATAAGAAAGAGAGTGGGTAATCAACAATTTGTTAGAAGAAAAAGAAAGATTCTTAGAAAGGCAGTAAGGATGGAATTCAAAGTGCACATACAAGGTACAAGGATTGACCTAATATGGAAGAAAGGATCTTTCTGAATTATAAGAGAAGGGAAGCAGGGGAAGAGGGTGAGTGGGATGCAGGCAGTGGAAAGTTATGGACTTACCATGTGGCACCTTCTTTTTTTTTCTGTGAAATGGAAATGGAGGCCATTAGCTAATATTGAGATGGTGGTTGGCGCTGGTATACGGTCTCTTAAGTTATTTTATTTCATTTTATTTACTTTTGAGACAGAGTCTCACTCTGTAGCCCAGGCTGGAGTGCAGTGGCACCATCTTGGCTCACTGCAACCTCCACCTCCTGGTTCAAGTGATTCTCCTGCCTCAGCCTCCCAAGTAGCTGGGATTACAGGCATGCACCACCATGTCTGGCTAATTTTTGTATTCTTAGTAGAGATGGGGTTTCACCATGTTGGCCAGGCTGGTCTTGAATCCCTGACCTTGGGTGATCCACCCATCTCGGCCTCCCAAACTGCTAAGATTACAGACGTGAGCCACTGTGCCTGGCCTCTAAGTTATTTTAAACTTAGTTTTCCCATATGGAGTTTGACTTGGTTTGTCCTTCATGCTCTAGACATTGTGTGCTGCTTTCCCCTGTCCAAATGTGGCCTTGGAAGTTGGGATGGGCTTGGGATGGCCAAATGGCCAGGAGACCCAGAAATATCTGAATTCTACTCCAGCCCAAAGTCAACTTCCTCAATGAGGGGTATATGCAAGTAAGGAGTAATGGAAAGGAAAAACAGTGGCACTGTATTGCTAAGTTGACTTGGCACCCAGACCTCATCAGGAAACATTCTGGTAGGCTGGATTGCAGCACATGATCCAGAGGTCTAAAGCCCTGCCCTGGCCAATCATCCCACCCCCCATCATCAAAACAAAAGTAAACTTGAATTTTGGCTGACCTAATTTAAAGAAGAGAGGGACATATGATACTGCACATGTGTCCTCAGTGCCTTGGACAAGCTGGCCTCAAGGCCAGCAAGGGGTAAAAGTGCTGGCTTAGCTATTACAGCATAAAGAGCTCAAGCTCTTCTGTTCCAAGACAGCCTCTGTGCCAGCGGCAGCATCCAGAAGGTAGAGAGCCCTAATCAGCTGTGCTGGATAGACTGCACAGGTGAAACCGATCTTTTATACCTGGCATACATACCTGGACTTTTTCCTGCAAATGCAGTGCACTTCCCTGACTCACACGGATAAAAACAGTCCACAAATCTTCAGTTTAATGGATATTTCTGGGTTTGAGGTAAATTTTTTCATAGTTAAAGTAAGTTATTAAACTGCTTTCCCACCTAGAGTTAGCCAAATAGCCCAATGACAGTAGCAATTAAAACATTCTCCGTTGACCTTGCTGATCCAGGTGCTACCATTTTTTTCTTCCCTTTCTTTCAGTATTAAACTTCTTGGAGCCCTACACGTGCTGCCTTCCTTTTCTCATTGGCTAAGTCAATCCCATCATCTGCCTTCTACCCCAGATAATACTCAGAATTCACCAGTAATTTTCCCATGATCAAATCCATGGTTTTTTGTTGTTTGTTTGTTGTTGTTGTTGTTGTTTTAGTACATCTTTGATAGTTGTAGAATTGGAATTCATTCATCTGGCCTCTGTGGCACTGCATTTTTCTGGTAGAGCTTCTGTCTAAATACTACTCAGTCATGTCTACTTGTTCCTTGACCTCTTCCCATTCTACCTCCATGGATATTCATTAAAATTTTGCCTTTAACCCCTGTATTTCTTTTCTTCCTGGAAGACCTTGCATGACTCCAACTATCATCTCCATGCAGACAATTTCAAAATTTATTCCTTTAGTTCTGATATTTCTTTCCAGATCTGGTCTCATCTCTCTAGCTAAATTATTCCTTGGGCCTACTGAATGCCCTGCCATTATCTCAAATTCAGTAAATCTAATGCTGAATTAATAATCTCTTGGACTTAGCTTCTTTTTCAGTAGACTGACTAGACAATCACCTATATTGCAGCAGAAGTTTCCTAACTGTGCTGATCATCAGAATAATTTTGGTGTGGGACGGTGAACTGGGTAGTCTGAACAGCTCTTCAGGTGATTCCAATGATTAGCCAAGTTGAAAGCACTGGTCTGAAGACAGGATTATCATAGTAATTGATCTAAGGTCTCTTGTAGTCTAGGATATTGTAAGTCAATTTTGTACAATCTCTTCCCCTAAATTGGCACTGATATTTAATAGCAATGTGATCCTGGGCAAGCTATTTTGTTTCCTTGAGCCTCAGTTCTTTCATTTGTAAAATGAATATGAAAATATCTGTTGCAATGAGTGAGATTAGATGTGTGAAATACACTGTTTAGTGACATATACATAGCAGGAGCTTTCTAATTCCCTTGCCTGCACCTCTGTCCTTTCTGGTCCATTCTCCACATCACTAACAAATTGATTTTCTGTGTCACATTTCTTTCGTCACTCTTGCTTATAACCTCAGTGGTTTCTCTGACTTTCCGCAATGATACTCAGACCCCTGCTCCAGAGCAAATACATGTCATCAAGAGTAATTTGTGGTGTTTAAATGCCTTTAATTTCTGATTTAGCATTCATATAATTTGAAGTCTCAAACAGGTTGCTTTCTAAAAGTATGGATGTCAATGGTTTTGAAATTTAGATCACATCCCCTCATTGAACACTATTTTAAAAATTGTTATCTTTCATGCTACTCCACAAAAATGCATTTGGCCTTGTATAGCAGAAAACTATTCACTTATAATGAAAATATTTTAAAACAGTGGAAATAATAGAAAACAATTACACTGTACAAGTATATGAAATACTTTATCTGCATACATTTCTGGGAACAGGCCACTGGGCAATTCAGCTAGGTCCACCTTGGCTCTGAGACATATCCCCGCTAAGCTGTAAAGGATTGATTTTAGATCAGCCTTTGTGCTGAAAGCAGAAAAAAAAGGAGAGAGAGCATGGAAATTTGGATGCCTGGATGGAGTCAGATGTAGTAGCAAAAATAACTTTAAATGTTTTACTAGCATGATTTTACTGTGTTGGCCTCCTGCAATCCATGCAGGTCATTTACTTTTTATGTTGTCAGGTGCATTTTCACTCTGCTTTTTCTAGTTCCCATTAATGATCAGGGTTGAAGAGTGCAGCAGGTCCTCAAATAACATCTTTTTGCTCAATGTTGTTTCCTTATAACGTTGATAAGAAAAAAAATGATTCTGGGCTGAGGCCACTCTCTGTGTGGAGTTTGCATTTTCTCCCCATGTCTTTATGGGTTTTCTCTGGGTGCTCTAGTTTCCTTCCACATCTGAAAGATGTGCATGTCAAGTGAATTGGCATGTCTACACTGTCCCTGCATGAGCGAATTTGGGTGTTTGTGAGAGTGTGCCGTGCGATGGGATGGGGCCCTATTCAGGTCCGGTCCTTCCTGGTGCCCTGACCTGCTGGCATAGGCTCCGGCCACCCCAGACCCTGAACTAGAAAAGTTGGGTAAATAATTACCTTACTTGTTTTTATTCATCTTTCTTAAATGTATGTATGACTCACATTTACTTCAATGTTTGATGTTGGAAGTGTGTTGGTCTTTAAAATTTCATTGATGTTTTTGTGACCAGAAATACGTCATGGAAACTTAACTCTCGTTTATATCAATTAGCCTATGGTAAAATTGGTTTAGTTTTATACTTCATTTTGTTTACAGTCACACTTTCCAAAAACTTATCCACGATGTTAAGTGAGGACATACTGTATTGTTATTAGCTGTTTGGGGTATAAAGAGTAAAAAAGCAGCTGGGCGCGGTGGCTCATGCCTGTGATCCCAGCACCTCGGGAGGCTGAGGCCGGCAGACCACCTGAGGTCAGGAGTTCGAGACCAGCCTGGACTATATGGTGAAACCCCATCTCTACTAAAAATACAAAAGTTAGTCAGGTGTGGTGGCAGGCACCTGTAATCCCAGCTACTTGGAGGCTGAGGCAGGAGAATCGCTTGAACCTGGGAGAAGGAGGCTGCAGTGAGCCACGATCGTGCCACTGTACTCTAGTCTGGGTGATAGAGCAAGACTTCATCTCAAAAAAAAAAAAAGAGTAAAAAAGCTTTTCCTAGAACACTCTATGTATACCTGAGCTCCCTCTCAGACAGGCACCAAGACCTTAAAGAGGAAGGGATGGTTGGCAGCTATTTTTAAACATTCTTATTCTACACGTACATTCTTATTTTTAGTTGCTATATATTGTTCCAAGGTATGGATCTTCCATAATTTATTTTAAAACACTCTTCTTGATGAGCATTATTTTTTTTCATTATTGCCAACGATGCTACAATGAACATTCATATGTATGATGTACCTATGGATGCATATGAGTATTTAAAAAAATTCTTCCTGGAAGTAGTGAAGGGAGACTGTGTTCTAGGCATGGGTCTTCTTGCGAAGACAGGAACACTACTAATGGTCCCCAGAGTGGCTTTAAAGAAAAGATGAAAGTAGTCAAGAAAGAAATTTGAGGCGATAATTTCCTTTTTCCTATAATTATTACATACTTCTACAAGAATTTCATAATTTCAAAGTAGAAATTTGTGCTGAATTTTTAAATTAAAAATTAGCAATTTAGGAAGCTAACCGTACTCTTGGGGAGAAAGATGTGAAGCTGGCCCTTGCTGACTCCGATATGGTTTGACTATATCCCCACCCAAATCTCATCTTGAATTGTAGTTCCCATAATCCCCATGTGTTGTGGGAGGGACTAGGTGGAGACAATTGAATCATGGGGGTGGTTTCCCCGATCCTGTTCTCATGATAGTAAGTTCTCACGAGATCTGATGGTTTTAAAAGGGACTTCCCCCTTCACTCAGCTCTCATTCTTCTTTTCCCTGCCACCATATGAAGAAGGATGTGTTTGCTTCCTCTTCTGCCATAATTTTAAGTTTCCTGAGGTCTCCCCAGCCAAGCAGAACCGTAAGTCACTTAAACCTCTTTCCTTTATAAATTAGCCAGCCTCACATATTTCTTTATTAGCAGCATGAGAACAGACTAATACAGAAAATTAATACTGTGGAGAGCAGGGTGCTGCTATACAGATACCCAAAAATGTGGAAGCGACTTTGGAACTGGGTAACAGGCAGAGACTGGAACAGTTTGGAGGGCTCAGAAGAAAACAGGAAAATGTGGGAAAGTCTGGACCTTGCTAGAGAGACTTGGAGGGCTCAGAAGTTAGGAAGATGTGGAAAAGTTTGGAACTTCCTAGACACTTGTTGAATGGCTTTGACCAAAATGCTGATAGTGATATGGACAGTGAAGTCCAGGCTGAGGTGGTTTTAGATGAAGATGAAGAAACTGTTGGGAATTGGAGTAAAGGTCATTCTTGCTATGCAAAGAGACTGGCAGCATTTTGCCCCTTCCCTAGAGATCTGTAGAAATTTAAACTTGAGAGAGATGATTTAGGGCATCTGGAGAAAGAAATTTCTAAGTGTCAAAGCATTCAAGAGGAAGCAGAATATAAAAGTCTGGAAAATTTGCAGCCTGACTATAATGTGATAGAAAACAAAACCCCATTTTCTGGGGAGAAATTCAAGCTGGCTTCAGAAATTTGCATAAGTAATGAGGAGCTGAATGTTTATCACCAAGACAATGTGGAAAATGCTTCCAGGGCATACCAGAGAACTTCACAGCAGCCCCTCCCATCACAGACCCAGAGGCCTAGGAGGGAAAAATGATTTTGTGGGCTGGGCCCCGGGATCTCCTGCTCTATGCGACCTCAGGACATGTTGTCCTGCGTGCCAGCTGCTTCAGCTCCAGCAGTGGCTAAAAGGGGCCAAGGTACAGCTCAGGCCATGGCTTCAGAGGGTGTAATCCCCAAGCCCTGGCAGCTTTCACATGGTGGTGGGCCTGTGGGTGCACAAAAGTCAAGAATTGAGGTCTGAGAACCTCTGCCTAGATTTCAGATAATGTATGGAAATGCCTGGATGTGCAAGCAGAAGTTTGCTGCAGGAGTGGAACTCTCATGGAGAACCTCTGCTAGGGCAGTGCAGAAGGGAAATGTGGAGTCAAATCCCCCACCTAAAGTCCCCACTGGGGCATTGCCTAGTGGAGCTGTGAGAAGAGGGCTACCATTCTCCAGACCCTAGAATAGTAGATCCACTGACAGCTTGCACCATGTGCCTGGAAAAGCAGACACTCAACGCCAGCCTGTGAAAGGAGCCAGAAGCGGGGCTGTACCTTGCAAAACCACAGGGGCAGAACTGCCCAAGGCCACGGGAGCACACCTTTTGGATCAGCATGCCCTGGATGTGAGACGTGGAGTCAGAGGAGATCATTTTGGAACTTTAAGGTTTAATAACTGCCCTATTGCATTTTGGACTTGCATGGGGCTTGTAAACCCTTTGTTTTCCCATTCTATCTAGGAAATAACTAATTTGTTTGATTTTACAGGCTCATTGGCGGAAGAGATTTGCCTTGTCTCAGATGAGACTTTGGACTTGGACTTTTGAGTTAATGCTGGAATGGGTTAAGACTTTGAGGGACTGTTGGAAGGGCATGATTGTGTTTTGAATTGTGAGGACATGAGATTTGGGAGGGGCCAGGTGTGGAATGATATGATCTGGCTGTGTCCCCACCCAAATCTCATCCTGAATTGTAGTTCCCATAATCCCCACATGTCATGGAAGGGACCAGGTGGAGATAATTGAATCATGGGGGGGTTCCCCCATCTTGTTCTGATGATAGTGAGTTACTTCTCCGAGATCTGATGGTTTTATAAGGGGCTTCCCCCTTCGCTTGGCTCTCATTCTTCTTCTCCCTGCTGTCATCTGAAGAAGGACATATTTGCTACCCTTTCTGCCATGATTATAAGTTTTCTGAGGCCTCCCCAGCCATAGCTGTGCTATGAGTCAATTAAACCTCTTTCCTTTTTAAATTACCCAGTCTTGGGTACGTCTTTATTAGCAGAGTGAGAGCGGACTAATACTGACTTCTAGGTGTTTAGGATGGCCTTTCTCTGAACCAACCACACAGCACAGAGGGAGAAGTTTTAAGTTCCCTCTCTCAGCATGAAAGCCACATGCTTATAATGAAAATATTATAGGCCTTAATAGGCCCATGCACACACAAACATTCTCCTATGTTAACCACAAATTTATTTCTCCCCCAAAAATGCTAACCTTCAGATTGGCATTATAAAGAGGTGATGAATGGGAACTCAGTGCTCTCCATGCAGCTCATTCTTTGAAAGTCTCCTTCTTTGCTACTGTCTCCTCTCAGGTCTTCTTGCCCCTCTCCTTCATCCTCCCTCTCACTTGCAGACCTGGATGAGACCTGGCTTGTTTCTGTAAAATTTTATTTCAGAACTTATAAAGAAAGCTGGCTAAGAAACTTGACCTGCCACTTAGGCATTGGGCTGACCTGAGGAAGGGATGTAATTTCCCAGAGCCTCAATTTCCCTACTTATGAAGTGGTGATGCAGAATTTCCCATCTACGCCATTACTGAAGGAACCAGTTGATATACTGCTTGAGATAATAGTGATGTCTGTTTATTACCTGAAGCTCCTGCTGTGGCTCCTGTGCATGCTAGGTGAAGATGGAAACATGTTTGATGATTTCTTATCAGTATGTGTGTTAGTCGATGCCAAATTACTTTCCTTTCTGGTATAATACATGCTGCTGAAGGAGGAGGAAAGGAATCGGAAGGAGATAGCAGAGACTGAAGATTTCTCCTAACTTCCTGAGGTCTGCTTTGATCTCTTTCCTCTGTCAGGGGTTCTTTTTTTCACTTTTATCTTGTAGGCAAGGCAAATAGATACTATTTATAAGATATTTGAGTTTCTCCAGCACTTACAATATATTTTTTTCACCTCCTTTCCACCACAAAGGCCATAGTGATGGTCAAAGTGGCTTGCACAGAAGGAAACTATTAGTGGGAGAGAGCTCCTGTCCACTAGCTCAGTCATCCCCAACTTTTTTGGCACCAGAGACTGGATTTGTGGTTGGCAATTTTTCTGTGGACGGAGGATGGGGGTGGATAGTTTTGGGATGAAACTGTTCCACTTCAGATAATAAGGCATTAGTTATATTCTCATAAGGAATGCACAACCTAGATCCCTCGCATGCATGTACAGTTCACAATAGGGTTCACACTACTATGAGAATCTAATGCCGCCGATGATCTGACAGGAGGCGGAGTTCAGGTGGTGATGCTCACTCACCCACTGCTCACCTTCTGCTGTGTGGCCAGGTCCTTGGCCTGTTAGGAACTGGACCACACAGCAGAACCCCTGCACTAGGGCATCCTTGGTGGACAGGTCTCCACTAGGGGACCTAATAAGACAGATTCTTTCCAAATGAGGCTCTTTCCTGCATTGGGGATGCCTGCACTAGCTCATTTGGAAAGAGCCTGTCTTATTAGAACATTGTTCTTTCAGGGGGACTGCTTATTTGGTTTGGCCTGTTCACTGTAAACATCAAATTTTTCTTCCTAAGGTGAAAATGTTTTCAGGACTTTTTTTCCTGAGAGATGTTCATACATGTTCTTTGAAAAAAAATGGGGAAATGAGAGTAAAGTATAAGAAAGTTATAGAAATCATGCATAAGATTACCACATGAAGATTCTTTAATGAAAATTATTTCACTTTATGAGGGTACTATAACATTTCTCACTAGACTCTTATAAGTTGTTTAGAGTTTTTTCCAAAAAAATAGTAATGCACAATGCAGTGATGTATATCCTCATATGCCTCATTTTTTCCTATATGTCCACATATTTTTAAAATAAATTCTTACATGTGTAATTTCTCAATGAAGGTATGTACTTATGAAATACTTTCAACACATATTTTTGACATGCTTTTCATAAAGGCAAATACCAGATCACAAAAGATCTTACAAGTCACTTAAAGGCACTTTAGGCTTAATGTGAGAACAATGGTGAACCAGTGAATTATTTAAAGCAGAAATGTGATGTGGTCAGACATTAATTTAGATAGCTGCATTGGTCAAGGTTCAGTAATGGACAACGGAACTCTCTGGCCAGTTTTAGCAGAATGGGATTTCTTACCAGGTATTAAGCAGCTTACAGACTTGTTGGAAGGGCTGGAGAAGCTGGCTTTAGGCTGATTTTCAAAAAACAATAATCACGCAAGTCACACTGCTATGCTGACTGGCCAAGGAACTGCTGTGTCTGTGGCCACCACCTCCTACTCAAGAACTACACTGGTCATGCAGGAAAGCTGCTGAATCAGGATGAGCTGCAGCTACCATGGCCTAGGCTTGGCAACTAGAAACTTAGGGACCAGCTGGACCTCAGAGTAATGTTTCCCAATCCTGGCTGCATGTCAGAATCACCTGGAGTGTTTTACAAAAGTACTGGTACTTGGTCAGCACCCCCAGAGACTGCATTTAATTGATCTGGAGCAGGGCCCAGCCATGGTATTGAAACAAAACAAAAAAGCTGTGAGTGATGATTGTGCACCAGTCAAGGTTGAAAACCAGGGCAGAAGGACATCCATGAAAGCTGCCACTGGATAACCAAGCTGCTTCCCTACCAGTGCTTTCAGATGGCCTGTGTGGCTGCCACTTCTCCATACTCACCTCTGTCCTCTAACCTGGAGGGTGATTCTGCTTGGAAGTTCTGTGTGTGAAAAACAAGATGGAAGGTAGATTGGGAAATTTAGTCCTTAAACATGTCAGCTTTTTTCATGCTGTTCATATGAAGATTATGAGGGGTGTTGCCTGAAAGGATAAAACATTTGATATGAGAAGACCGGTTGGGAATAGAGTAGAGAAGCCATTGCTGGAAGTTCAGATAATTAATGAACAGGGCTGATATAGGTGATTGCTAATTAAGAAAAGGTCAGAAAACCCTATTTAAGGACAATTTAAGAGGTTGAATAGGGTGGATTTGGTCACTTTAGATGTACGGTTGATGAAAAGGGAAAAGGAGGATAGCTAGAATTTGAGCTTGGGTGTTTTGCTGAATGATTGGACCATTCATCCTAGGAAAAAAGGGTTGGGGTTTGGTGGAGAACAATACATTCAAGTTTAAACATGTTCAGTAAATAGTTTGATATCCATCTGGATATTAAAAGAGAGAACCGAACTGGAGAATTAGAAATAATTGACTTTTAGATTTTAACAAATGCCTGAACATGGATGAGATCATCCTGGGATAGGATCTGGGGCAGAATAATGAGGAACTTCAATATTTAAAGCAAGGACAGAAGACTAGGAACCCATACAGGAGACAGAGGAAAACCAATAGAATGTGATCTCAAAAATCAGGGAAGAATAAACATTTCTTCAAAGAAGACATAGAGATGGCTGGTAAGCACATGACAGATATTCTACATCATTAGTCATTAGGGTACTCCAAACCACAATGAGATACCATGTCACATCCACTAGAATGGCCATAATTTAAAAGATAGACAGTAGCAAGTTTTGGCAAGCATGTAGTGAAATTTGAACCCTCTTGCATTGCTGGTGTAGCCACTTCAGAAAACAGTTTGGCAGTTCCTCAAAAAGTTAAACATGGATTGACCATATGATTCAACAATTCCAAGCCTAGGTATATACCCAAAGAGAATTGAAAACATATCTACATAAAAACTTGTATGTGAATGTTCATAGCAGTATCGTTCATGATAGTCAAAAAGTGGAAACAACTCAAATGCCCATCAATTGATGAACTGATAAACAATATGTGATATATCCATGCAATAGAATATCATTCAGCCATAAAAAGAAATAAAGTTTTGATATATAATACAATATGGGCAAATCTTCAAAACATGCTAAGCTAAAGAGGCCAAATATAAAAGGCCACATATTATATGATTCCATTTACATGAAGTGTCCAAAACAGACAAATCTACAGAGACAGAAAGAGGGTTAATGTTTTTCAGGGGAGAGGACAACAGGGAGTGACTGATAATGGGTACAGGGTTACTTTCTAGGGTAATAAAGTATTCTGGAATTAGTGGTCATGGATACACAACTTTGTGAATATACTAAAACTCACTGAATTGTATTCTTTAAAAGGGTGAACTTTACGGCATGTGAATTACATCTCAATAAAACTGTTATTTAAAAAATCTCAAGGGAATAAACATTCAAGAAAAAAATATCTAGAGGTTAAAATGTCAATTGTTGCCAAAATGCCAAACTTCCATTGCAACAAATAACATTGACAAAAGAAGTTTCAGTTATGGGTGAGAATGCAAACATACCATGGGGTAAGTGGGAAATAAGAAAGTATCGACTGTGACTATAAATAATACTTTCAAGGAATTTCCGTGGAAAAAGCAGAAGAGAAATAGGGCAGTAACTGGAGAGGATCTGAGGAGAAAAGATGCTTGGACGTGCTGTTTTGTTTTCATGTGGGCAGGGGAGAGACTCATGGATGATTCAAGGCTGATAGAGAAGATCCAGTAGAGAAGGAATACAGGAGTGGGAGGAAGACACAGATTGCAGTCCCTGAGAAGTCAGGTGGCAGGGCTTGGAGTTTGAGAAGAATGGCAGCCAAGTAACTACTTTGAAAAAAAAGGAGAGAGATGACTAGGAAATAAAGCTGGTGGGTAGCTCTGAGGTTCTCCTCAAGGATACAGGCCTTGGATTTATGGTAGCATCCATCCATTCATTCTACTTACTAAACACTTACACTGTCCTAAGGACAGTATACCCAGAGGTATTCAGTTTACAATTTTATATTTATTTATTATTTGGTGGCAGCCTAGGACTGGGGTTTTACAGACAGAATGCATTGGAAGTACAGTGGGACAGTGAGGTGGGATTTGAGAACACTGGCAGGAGGGAGACTAAAGTGAATGTCCAAATTGTCTAAGACTGGGGTGCAGGGTGAGTGAGGGGAAGAGAGTTTAAAAACTGGCTAATAAAGAAGAAAGTGGAAGAATGAAGTAACTAGATGTCTTGATGAGGTCAAGTAATAATAAAAAGGAGTGTGATATATTGCATGTTTTGTCAGTGCTGTCGTGCTAAATGTTATAGTTTATATTATCCTCCCAATGACAACTATTATTTTCACAGGAAAAACAGATGCTTAGCAAGATTTGGAAACTTGCTTGTGTTCACACATTCTGAACATGGCAGAATTGCTCTTAGCCTAGGGCATCTGATGCTAGAGCACTTGCTGTAACCATTGAGCTACTTTTTAGCTACAGGCATTGTGTAAGTAGCCAAGTGAGACAGCTGGAAGGATAGGACTTGTGGTTATCAGATAGCAATATTTTTGTTTAAGAAACCAGACACGAGCATTTCAAGTGATGAAAAAAGACCAGGCCTGCTCCATGGGATGTGGAGAGCAGAACTAGAATGGTGGGAAATTCATTGAAATTATGAAAATAAAGTAATGTTTGAGGCCAGATTTTGGATGTATTGTCCATCTATATGCTCAACTTTCTGGGAATAATGGCAGAACTTGGAATGGAGAGGGAGACTGTAAATTAAACTGCTTAGAATTGTCTTTCATTTTCTCTCTCTTTGAAAACAAAATGAAATATCTGCCCAGAATTTAATTAGATGCATCAAGATTTACCTCGTGGAAAATCAGAAAATCTGGTATAGTTGTTAAAAAGTTTTACATTCTGCTTTCATTTCTTGATGAAACCTCAGGAAAAACTGGTTTCAATCATGTTTGGTATTTGATGAAGTTAATGATTTTCTCAGTGGAAAACAAGATTTGATGCCAACACATACCAATGGCGACAGCAATGATTCACAGAGACATATGGATGCTTTTTTATTCCCAAAGCTATCAAAAATATCAGGCACACTCTAGTCTCAAGTCTTTTCACTTGTTCCCTTTGCCTGGAACATTCTTCTCTCAGACATCTGTATAGATCACTCACAACTTCCTTCAAATCTCTGCTCAAATGTTATCTTCTTAGAGAGGTCCCCCGATCTCCTTTACAAAACGTTACCAAGCCTTCCCCTCAGTAGCTGCTATCCCCTGCACCTTACTTTGTTTTCTCCATTACATTTCTTACCATGTGACATAATCTGTGCTTGTTTATTGTCTCTCTCTTGCACAGGGCCCTATGCTCCACAGAGGCTGGGACATGGTCAGTTTTGTTCACATCTGTTACCCGCAGCATCTAGAACAGTGTTAGGCACTGAAAATATAGATTTGCTGAATGAATGTTCCATCTGTGTAGAGTACAAAATTTTGTGTGAGGATCTCACACAAAAAGAGGGCGTATGTTTCCTGGGTTATTTTCCTTCACTGTTCATTCCTAACTACTGCTTAAGGCTCCTCATGAATACTTCTGGCCTTGCTATCACCACGCTGCAAGCCGCTGTCCTCTCCCTGCACTGCTTTGCCTCAAGCATAAATAAAGCCCATTTATTTCCTTCTCTAAGGCTATACTAACATGTTTTACTAAACATGTGAGGCTCTCATAGTAGTAAATTCTTATAATTCTATGTTGGCTCAGCATTAATTTTGAATACAACTTTATCATACCAGAAGCAGGGCTCAGTGGCCCTTGACAGTTTTCTAGTTCTACACCACACCCAGCTGGCTCAAGCCAGTGGCCAGAGATAAGAACCTAGAAGCATCTCTCCCACCTAGCAGGCTGGGATCCCTGCTTTTCCGCTTCCTTTAAACAAGCCATTCAGGCATTTGCTGCAAAGTTAAAGTGACCTACATTCTATTCCTTTCTACATACTGCCAGTGGCCACACACGCTCGCTCTTTCTCTGCCTGACTCTTCATTCCTGCCTCACGGGAGATGGAGGACTGACCTCTCCACTCATTACACCCTCTCTTCCCAGGATCTGTGAGTAAAAATCTTTGAACTTGTTTCCTACTGTGATGGTGTATTGAATTTGCACCTTCCATCTGAAGATCCACAGGCTGCCCCAGGCCATTTTCCTCAGGATGCCAGGGAGAACACAAAAGTGAGCTCCCAGTGCCAGAGCAATGGTCAGGCAGGCATAGACTGGACACAGGTCAGACAAGAGCCACAAGGGCATCTGCCAGGATAAACAAGTTTCCCATGTGAGGGCCTCCCTGATCTTGGGTCGAACAACTAGGCACAAGGCCGTCTGCCAGCTAATAAAAGGGTCTTGCAAAAGCCACTCTGGAAACACCAATTTTCAGCTCCACATTTTTTTTTTTCCTGTTAGAGCAGGATTGCTAGCGGTTCTGGTACCAGAACCCCAATTTAGCTGGGGGCTTGCAAAAGAGTATTACAAAGCAGAAAAAGAAAACTCAGAACTCAGTTAATTTGTCATTATCTGTCACAAGGGGTTCCTTGCTGGTTTCTTCTCTTGACTCCAGCCATCCCATGGGTTGATGCAATCTGTGGTCTGTTCTGCCTCAAATGAGAACCTCTCTTACCCCATGAATGCTGAACCCAAAGAAAACAAAAGAACTACTCCTTTCTTTGGTCAGAGAGATGACAAATTAAAATTCCCTAGCATTAGAAAAAAACAAGTCAACAAACTCTCATTGCCCAAAGACATCCCCAAATTTCTTCACTACATTATCTTACTTGCAATTACACTACAAATTAGCTCCAAGAAATTTAGTCTTCCATAAGCTAAACAAAGTGATTTTTAAGCTTTTATTCCACCTCAATACAGTGTCCTCTCCATCACACCTCTCTCAGAATTTTTAAACAGTTATCCCTCAGTATCCTCGAGGGATTGGTTCCAGGAACCTCTAAATGCCAAAATTCATGGATGCCCAAGTCCCTCATATAAAGTGGTTTAATATTTGCATATAACCTATACACGCCCTCCTGTTTACAGCTGATACTTGAACAATATGGGTTTGAACTGCATGGGTTCACTTATACTTTCTTCTGCCTCTGCCACCCCTGAGACAGCAACACCCAACCCTCTTCTCCCTGCTCCTCCTCAGCCTACTCCACCTGAAGATGAGAAGGATGAAGATGATCCACTTCCACTTAATAAATAATAAATATAGGAGCTGGGTGTGGTAGCAAGTGCCTGTAGTCCCAGCTACTCAGGAGGCAGAGACAGAAGGATTGCTTGAGCCCAGAAATTCGAGTCCAGCCTTGCAAAGATAGTGAGAACTCTCTCTCTAAAAAAGTATATAAAATATGTGTTTTATTCTTTATAATTTTGTTAACATTTTCTCTAGCTTACTTCATTGTAGGAATACAGTATATAATATATATGACGTGCAAAATATGTGTTAATTGACTGTATTATCAGTAAGGCTTCCTGTCAACAATTGGATAATAGGTAAGTTTTTGGGAACTCAAAAGTTAAACACAGATTTTTGACTGTGTGCGGGGGAGATTGGCATCCCTAACCCTCATGTTGTTCAAGTGTCAAACAATACTTCAAATCATTTCTAGAGTACTTATATCTAATACAATGTAAATGCTATGTAAATCATTGTTTTACTGTGTTGTTTCTTATTTGTATTATTTTGTTTTTATATACTTCTTCCCAGTATTTTTGATCTGCAGTTGGTTAGAGCTGCAGATGTGGAACCTGCAGATAGGGAGGGCCGACTGTTTCCAAAACACCTTGGTCTATGTGCTCTCTCTTTGTCTCCAATACAAGAATCACCCTGCCTGAATATAGAATTTAGGATAGTAAGGAGTAAAAGCCGAGGCACAGAAAAGAATGTAGCAATTTTAAGAACCAGTTAATAGACAGCATTGACTTTGACGAGAGTGATTGATGGCTGTGGGTATGGAGACAAGTGAATAAATTTGAGAGGTATTTAGGGGATTTGCTACATAGGAGTTGGAAAGTGAGTAGATGTGGGGTCAAGGATGAGCGACACAATAGGTCTTGATTCCCGGTTTGACAAACTTTTGGTAAGCTTTCAGTATTTCTAATTCAAGTGTTCTCATTTTTAAAAAGTCTACCACTTCAAGGTAAACCTTTATGTTTGTGGGTTTCATGTTTCTATTCCTATACATCTTCCAACACAGCAAAGATTGTGGCTTTTGTATCCAATTTCAAAGATAAAAGGAAAACCAAAGGATATAGAAGCATCTTTAAAACCTTTATAACCTCTGAAACTTTTTGCAACTTAATCATGCATAAACAATGATGGATTTATTTAATCATAAAGCAGAAACATTTTATTTATTTTGTCAATAGGAAACTCTTCTAAACATTGTAATACAGTTTTGATGATGACTGCATGTTACTTGATCATATATACTAAGTAACATAGACCATTTGATGTGAGGCAGTATTCTTTTTTTTTCTTTTTTTTTTAGAATTACACTTTAAGTTCTGGAATACTTGTGCAGAACATGCAGGTTTGTTACATAGGTAGACATGTGCCATGGTGGTTTGCTGCACCCATCAACCCCTCATCTACATTAGGTATTTTTCCTAATGCTATCCCTCCCCTAGCCCCCCAGCCCTCGACAGGCCCCGGTGTGTGATGTTCCCCTTCCTGTGTTCACATGTTCTCATTGTTCAGTTCCCACTTATGAGTGAGAACATGTGGTGTTTGGTTTTCTGTTCCTGTGTTAGTTTACTGAGAATGATGGTTTCTGGCTTCATCCATGTCCTGCAAAGGACATGAACTCATCCTTTTTTATGGCTGCATAGTATTCCATGGTGTATATGTGCCACATTTTCTTTATCCAGTCTGTCATTGATGGGCATTTGGGCTGGTTCCAAGCCTTTGCTATTGTGAATAGTGCTGCAATAAACGTATGTGTACATGCATCTTTATGTACTGTGTCTTTATAGTAGAATGATGTATAATCCTTTGGGTATATACCCGGTAATGGGATCGCTGGGTCAAATGGTATTTCTGGTTCTAGATCCTTGAGGAATCACCACACTGTCTTCCACAATGGTTGAACTAATTTACACTCCCAACAACAGTGTAAAAGCATTCCTATTTCTCCACATCCTCTCCAGCATCTGTTGTTTCCTGACTTTTTAATGATTGCCATTCTAACTGGCATGAGATGGTATCTCATTGTGGTTTTGATTAGCATTTCTCTAATGACGAGTGATGATGAGCTTTTTTTTTATATGTTTGTTGGCCACATAAATGCCTTCTTTTGAGAAGTGTCTGTTTGTATCTTTAGCCCATTTTGATGGCCTTTCTTTTTTTTTTTTTTTTGTAAATTTGCTTGAGTTCCTCGTAGACTCTGGATATCAGCCCTTTGTCAGATGAATACATTGCCAAAATTTTCTCCCATTCTGTAGGTTGCCTGTTCACTCTGATGATAGTTTCTTTTGCTGTGCAGAAGCTCTTTAGTTTAATTAGATCCCATTTGTCAATTTTGGCTTTTGTTACCATTGTTTTTGGTGTTTTAGTCATGAAGTCTTTGCCCATACCTGTGTCCTGAATGGTATTGCCTGGGTTTCTTCTAGGGGTTTTATGGTTTTAGGTCTTATGTTTAAGTCTTTAATCTATCTTGAGTTAATTTTTGTGTAAGGTACAAGGAAAGGGTCCAGTTTCAGTTTTCTGCATATGGCTAGCCAGTTTTGCCTACACCATTTATTAAATGGGGAATCCTTTCCCCATTGCTTGTTTTTGTCAGGTCTGTCAAAGATCAGATGGTTATAGATGTATGATGTTGTTATTTCTGAGGCCTCTGTTCTGTTCCATTGGTCTATATATCTGTTTTGATGCCAGTACCATGCTGTTTTGGTTACTGTAGCCTTGTAATATAGTTTGAAGTCAGGTAGCATGATGCCTCCAGCTTTGTTGTTTTTGCTTAGGATTGTCTTGGCTATCTGGGCTCTTTTTTGGTTGCATATGAAATTTAAAGTAGTTCTTTCTAAATCTGTGAAGAAAGTCAGTGGTAGCTTGATGGGAATAGCATTGAATCTATAAATTACTTTGGGCAGTATGGCCATTTTCATGATATTGATTCTTCCTATCCATGAGCATGGAATATTTTTCCATTTGTTTATGTCCTCTCTTATTTCCTGTACCAGTGGTTTGTAGTTCTCCTTGAAGAGGTCCTTCACGTCCCTTGTAAGTTGTATTCCTAGGTATTTGATTCTCTTTGTAGCAATTGTGAATGGGAGTTCACTCATGATTTGGCTCTCTGTTTGTCTATTACTGATGTATAGGAATGCTTGTGATTTTTGCACATTGATTTTGTATCCTGAGACTTTGCTGAAGTTGCTTATCAGCTTAAGGAGTTTTTGGGCTGAGATGATGGGGTTTTCTAAATATGCAATCTTGTCATCTGCAAACAGCGACAATTTGACTTCCTCTCTTCCTATTTGGGTACCCTTTATTTCTTTCTCTTGCCTGATTGCCCTGGCCAGAACTTGCAGTACTATGTTGAATAGGAGTGGTGAGAGAGGGCATCCTTGTGCTGTGCCGGTTTTCAAAGGGAATGCTTCCAGCTTTTTCTCACTCAGTATGATATTGGCTGTGGGTTTGTCATAAATGGCTCTTATTATTTTGAGATACTTTCCATCAATAACTAGTTTATTGAGTGTTTTTAGCATGAAGGGTGTTGAATTTTATCAAAGGCCTTTTCTGCATCTATTGAGATAATCATGTGATTTTTGTCATTGGCTCTGTTTACGTGATGGATTATGTTTATTGATTTGTGTATGTTCATCCACCCCTGCATCCCAGGGATGAAGGCAACTTGATATGCTGCTGGATTCAGTTTGCCAGTATTTTATTGAAGATTTTTGCATCAATGTTCATCAGGGATATGGGCCTGAAATTTTCTTTTTGTTGTTTCTCTGCCGGGTTTTGGTATCAGGATGATGCTGACCTCATAAAATGAGTTAGGGAGGAGTCCCTCCTTTTCTGTTGTTTGGAGTAGTTTCAGAAGGAATGGTACCAGCTCCTCTTTGTACCTCTGGTAGAATTTGGCTGTGAATCCATCTGGTCCTGGTCTTTTTTTGGTTGGTAGGCTATTAATTACTACCTCAATTTCAGAACTTGTTATTGGTCTGTTCAGGGATTCGACTTCTTCCTGGTTTAGTCTTGGGAGGGTGTATGTGTCCAGGAATTTATCAATTTCTTCTAGATGTCCTAGTTTATTTGTGTAGAGGTGTTTTTAGTATTGTCTGATAATAGTTTGCATTTCTGTGGGATCAGTGGTTATTTCCCCTTTATCATTTTTTATTGTGTCTATTTGATTCTTCTCTCTTTTCTTCTTTATTAATCTAGCTAGTGGTCCACCTACTTTGTTAATCTTTTAAAAAAAACAGCTGCTGGATTCATTGATTTTTTGAAGGGTTTTTTTTGTGTCTCTATCTCCCTCAGTTCTGCTCTGATCTTAGTTATTTCTTGTCTTCTGCTAGCTTTTGAATTTGTTTGCTCTTGTTTCTCTAGTTCTTTTAATTGTGATGTTAAGGTGTCAGTTTTAGATCTTTCCTCCTTTCTCTTGTGGGCATTTAGTGCTATAAATTTCCCTGTAAACACTGCTTTAGCTGTGGCCCAGACATTCTGGTACGTTGTGTCTCTGTTCTTATTGGTTTCAAATAACTTATTCATTTCTGCCTTAATTTCATTATTTACCCAGTAGTCATTCAGGAGCAGGTTGTTCAGTTTCCATGTAGTTGTGTGGTTTTGAGTGAGTTTCTTAATCCTGAGTTCTAATTTGATTGCAGTGAGAGACTGTTTGTTATGATTTCCATTTTTTTTGCATTTGCTGAGGAGTGTTTTACTTCTAATTAGTTGGTCAATTTTATAATAAGTGTGATATGGTGCTGAGAAGAATGTATATTATGTTGACACTGGGTGGAGAGTTCTGTAGATGTATATTAGTTCTGCTTGGAGCAGAGCTGAGTTCAAGTCCTGAATATCCTTGCTAATTTTCTGTCTCATTGATCTGTCTAATATTGACAGTGGGGTGTTAAAGTCTCCCACTATTATTATGTGGGAGTCTAAGTCTCTTTGTAGGTCTCCAAGAACTTGCTTTATGAATCTAGGTGCTCCTGTATTGGGTACATATATATTTAGGATAGTTAGCTCTTCTTCTTGCATTGATCCCTTTACCATTATGTAATGCCCTTCTTTGTCTTTTTTTGGTCTCTGTTTGTTTAAAGTCTGTTTTATCAGAGACTAGGTTTGCAACCCCTGCTTTTCGTTTGCTTTCGATTTGCTTGGTAGATATTCCTCCATCCCTTTATTTTGAGCCTATGTGTGTCTTTGTACGTGAGATGGGTCTCCTGAATACAGCACACCCATGTGCCTTGACCCTTTACCCAATTTGCCAGTCTGTGTCTTTTAATTGGAGCATTTAGCCCATTTACATTTAAGGTTAATATTGTTATGTGTGAATTTGATCCTGTCCTCATGATGCTAACTGGTAATTTTGCCCGTTAGTTGATGCAGTTTCTTCATAGTATTGATGGTCTTTGCAATTTGATATGTTTTTGCAGTGACTGGTACTGGTTTTTCCTTTCCATATTTAGTGCTTCCTTCAGGAGCTCTTGTAAAGCAGGCCTGGTGGTGACAAAATCCCTCATCATTTGCTTATCTGTAAAGGATTTTATTTCTCCTTTGCTTATGAAGCTTAGTTTGTCTGGATATGAAATTCTGGGTTGAAAATTCTTTAAGAATGTTGAATATTGGCCCCCACTCTCTTCTGCCTTGTAGAGTTTCCGCAGAGTGATCCACTGTTACACAGGCTTCCCTTTGTAGGTAACCTGACCTTTCTCTCTGACTGCCCTTAACATTTTTTCCTTCATTTCAACCTTGGTAAATCTGACAATTTTGTGTCTTGGGGTTGCTCTTCTTGAGGAGTATATTTGTGGTGTTCTCTGTATTTCCTGAATTTGAATGTTGGCCTGTCTTGCTAGGTTGGGGAAGTTCTATTGGATAATATCCTGAAGGGTGTTTTCCAACTTGGTTCCATTCTCCCTGTCACTTTCAGGTATACCAATCAAAGGTAGATTTGGTCTTTTCACATAGTCCCCTATTTCTTGAAGGCTTTGTTCATTCCTTTTCATTCTTTTTTTCTTTAATCTTCTCTTCACACTTTATTTCATTAAGTTGATCTTCAATCTCTGATACCCTTTCTTCTGCTTGATCAATTTGGCTATTGATACTTGTGTATGCTTCACGAAGTTCTTGCACTGTGTTTTTCAGCACCATCAGGTCATTTATGTTCCTCTCTAAACTAGTTATTCTAGTTAACAGTTCCTGTAACCTTTTACCAAGGTTCTCAGCTTCCTTGCATTGGGTTAGAACATGCTCCTTTAGCTCTGAGCAGTTTGTTATTGCCCACCTTCTGAAGCCTACTTCTGTCAATTCATCAAACTCAGTCTCCATCCAGTTTTCATCCCTTGCTGGTGAGTTTTGATCCTTTGGAGAAGAGGCATTCTGGTTTTTGGAATTTTCATCCTTTTTGCACTAGTTTTACCTCATCTTTGTGGATTTATCTACCTTTGATCTTTGATGCTGGTGATCTTTGGATGGGGTTTTTTCATGGGCATCCTTTTTGTTGATGTTGATGTTATTGCTTTCTGTTTGTTAGTTTTCCTTCTAACAGTCAGTCCCCTTTTCTGCAGGTGTGCTGGAGTTTGCTGGAGGTCCACTCCAGATCCTTTTTGCCTGGGTATCACAAGTAGAAGCTGCAGAACAGCAAAGATTGCCACCTGCTCCTTCCTCTGGAAGCTCCATCCCAGAGGGGCACCCACCTGATGCCGGCCAGATCGCTCCTGTATGAGGTATCTGTCGACCCCTGCTGGGAGGTGTCTTGCAGTCAGGAGCCACGGGGGTCAGGGACCCACTTGAGGAGGCAGTCTGTCCCTTAGCAGAGCTCAAGCACTGTGCTGGGAGATCCACTGCTCTCTTCAGAGCCGGCATGCAGGAACATTTAAGTCTGCTGAAGCTGTGCCCACAGTTGCCCCTTCCCCCAGGTGCTCTGTCCCAGGGAGATGGGAGTTTTATCCCTAAGCCCCTGACTGGGGCTGCTGCCTTTCTTTCAGAGATGCCCTGCCCAGAGAGGAGGAATTTACAGAGGCAGTCTGGCTACAGTGGCTTTGCCAGGCTGCGGTGGGTTCCACCCAGTTTGAACTTCCCAGCAGCTTTGTTTACACTGTGAGGGGAAAACTGCCTACTCAAGGCTCAGTAATGGTGGACGCCCCTCCTGCCACCAAGCTTGAGCATCTCAGGTTGACTTCAGATTTCTGTGCTGGCATCAAGAATTTCAAGCCAGTGGATCTTCACTTGCTGGGCTTCGTGGGGGTGGGATCCGCTAAGCAGGATCTCTTGGCTCCCTGGCTTTAGCCCCCTTTCCAGGGGAGTGATCGGTTCTGTCTTGCTGGTGTTCCAGGTGCCACTGGGGTACAAAAAAAAAAAAACCTCCTGCAGCTTGCTCGGTGTCTGCCCAAATGGCTGCCCAATTTCGTGGTTTAAACCCGGGGCCCTGGTGGTGTAGGTACCCAAGGGAGTCTTCTGGTCTGTAGGTTTTGGAGACTGTGGGAAAAGCCTAGTATCTGGGCTGGATAGCACCGTCCCTCATGGCACCGTCCCTCATGGCTTCCCTTGGCTAGGTGAGGGAGTTCCTCAACCCCTTGTGCTTCCTGGGTGAGGTGATGCCACACCCTGCTTCCGCTCATCCTCTGTGGGCTGCACCCACTATCTAACCAGTCCCAGTGAGATGAGCTGGGTGCCTCAATTGGAAATGCAGAAATCACCTACCTTCTGTGTTGATCTTTCTGGGAGCTACAGACTGGAGCTGTTCCTATTCTGCCATCTTGCCAGCCACATGATGTGAGGCATTATTCTTGTAATATAGTAACAATTTTTAGTTTAGAATGACGTATTTAAAAATAACAAAAAGAAAACAATAAATCTTTTAAAGTATTTCACTGAGTCCTTGAAACAGTTCACAGACCTCCTGTTGGAACTTCTGATTTCTAACTAAGGCAGAAGATGAATTGTTTTGAGAGACTGAATATGTAAGGATTAATCAGATTGGGGTTCCAGAGAACGCAGAAGAAAGATTTAGGAAAGTGGGGAACAGTGGGGCATGGGTTGGTAAAAACAAGTAGCAAGCAGTTTTGGGGTTGGAGGACTGAGTAAATAAGAAGGTTTAGTTTAGCATCTAACAAAGATGGAGTATGAAGTAGCTAATTTGAAGATTGTCACACAATGCATCCCAGACATTCTCTCATTGATGGGGAATGGTTTGTAACTCAGAAGGTACCAAGGACTTGGATTGATTACAACTCCAAAGAGCTCTAGTCTCTTGCACATAGGAAATTGGTTCTGTGAAGGAATTAAGCAGGAATTCATATGGATTGTGGAAGCAGCTAACATACCTTGGAAGCATTTTTTAATTGTTTCATGCTTATTTTTAATACTTCACTTTGGCTTCAGTACTCTCTTACAAGGAAATGAAGAGGAAACACATTGTTCCTTGTTTTTACTAATCTGGAAACAAGAAAGATGGAATCCTTAAAAGAAATTCTCAGCTCTAGATCCTGAAATAAAAAGAAAGGAAAAGCAAAAAGTAATTCAACCCCATTCTTCTTTCGTAACTGTTATTAAAGGACCTTATTGAATTTATCCCTTTTTTAAGAGTCTTTCTTTGAGAGTCTCTTTCAGACTTCTGGAATGGACTATATGTGGTTTGTGGAAAGATACAGATATTTTCGCATCTCTTTTACACATATCAACCACAGTGACACTGGATCATGTTGTTCCTGTTTTTTCTTAAAACTTTTTTAGAGATGGGATCTTGCTATAATTACTTAGGCTAGAGTACAGTGGCTATTCATAGGCACAGTCATGGCACACTACAGCTTCAAACTCCTGGGCTCAAGTGATCCTCCTGCCTCAGCCTCCCAGATAGCTGGGACTACAGGCACACTCCACTATGCTTAGCTTATGTCTGTTTTTCTCTTCCATGGCACTCTGTTGGTTTCCTCCATGTATTTATAAATTAATAAATTAATACTTCACATTTGATCAGTATCTGTCTCTCACTAGACTATAGGTGCCAAGAGAGTTTGCTCTTTTATCTACACTACCTAACACATTACTTGGCATAGGTAGTTGCCATTGATTGATTGGTTAAATATATGCCCCAGGATCTGTTTTGCCTCTTTCTATTTTATTTTACATATTTCCTATGAAGAAAACAGTTCAATCTGTTTTTAAGGCAGAACATTTTCTCACTTGAGGAGGGAATTTGACCATATCGACAAAGAACAAGTTGTACAAGATGGCTAACAGTGCATGTGTAAATAATTTATGAATTAAAATGTTTTTGGGGTGTTAATTCTTCAAGTCAGATATTTACATTGTCTACTTCTCATTGATCTTGTTTGATTTTTCTCTTTGGTGATATAATTGAACTTCTCTTCTTCATTGCTGAGAAGACAAAAGAGGTAGGTGGCTGTATTAGCTCATTCTCATGCTGCTAATAAAGACATATCAGAAACTGGGTAATTTATAAAGGAAAGAGGCTTAACTGACTCACCATTCAGCATGGCTGGGGAGGCCACAGGAAACTTACAAGCATGGCGGAAGGGGAAGCAAACACATTCTTCTTCACATGGCAGCAGCAAGGAGAAGTGCCAAGAAAAGGGGGGAAAGCCCCTTATAAAACCATCAGATCTCATGAGAACTAACTCACTATCACGAGAATGGGATGAGGGAAACTGCCTCCATGATTCAATTACCTCCCACCGGGTCCCTCCAATGACATGTGGGGATTATGGGAACTACAATTTAAGATGAGATTTGGGTGGAGACACAGCCAATCCATATCAGTGTCATTAGAGCTTGGTTTCATTTCTGGCTTTATATGTGATTTGGGCAAGGCATAAGCTGTGAGCCTAAGCCTCATCCGTTGTAAAACTGAGAAAAACTCATTTGGCTATATTGTTTCTCCACAGAATGTTGTGAGGATAAAACAAAATAATTAAACATGAATTTTCTTTTGGTAAAAGTATTCAATAAATAGTATATGTTTATATGCATATGCACACATACATAATTATTCCTTTTGTTTTGGCTATGCCAAATTTTAATATAGTATATAGTATTTGAATGATAGGGGATGACTCCGTAAAAATGATAAAAAAATAATGATGGCAACTATTTAGTAGTACTTTATAATGGCCAAGTGTTGAGTTAAATGCATATGTTTTCTTATTTAATTCTCCCAAAAATATGTTAATGACCTTTTTCATTCCTATTTTCACCCCTGCCACTCTCATTTGAACTCACTCCAGTGAATAAGGCATTCGTACCCATGACTCCACTGAATCTTTTCCTCTCAGTGTTGCTATTGGCTTTTATGTTGCCAAATGTCAGTGGTCCACTCTGCCCTCATCTCACTCAGCCCCACTGAACATATGACAGTAGGTTCTTCTTTCTCTCGAGGCACTTTTATTCACTTGGCTCTAGGACACCACCATTCCCATGGTTTTCCTGCATCGTCCTCATCTTCTTGACCTCTAAATATTGGAGACCCCTAGAGCTCAGATCCTGGCCCTCTTTTCTCTTCAATTTTAACATATTCCTATAGGGATCTCACTCAGTCCTCATAAATCAAATATGTTTTATTCTCAGATAATGCACAATTAAGATCCATTTTTGACTTCTTTCTTGAATACATACCATATTCAATAGTCTACTCAAAATTTACATGTGAATATCTAATTCATATCTCTAACTAAACTCCTTATAGTTCCTTTTATTTTTACTTATTGCTAATTTAGTCTTCCCCATTTCAGTAAATGGCACTGCCATTTACTCAGTTACTTAGGCCCAAAACTTTATAATCTTTCTTATTTATCACAACTCACAATCTATCAGCAGTTATATTGAATCTACTTTAAATTCATCATGAATCCAACCACTTTTAGCTACTTCCAAGTGTCGTCTTCCCCTTTTAAGCCACCATCATCACTTGCCTGCCCTATAGGGACTGCCTTTACCTGGTCATCCTGTATCCACTCCTGATTCTCTAGGGTCTGCTCCCCACTTAGGAGCCAAAGTGATCATTTTAAAACACAGTTGGATCATGATACTCCCCTACTCAAAAGTGTGCAATGGCTTCCCATCACAGTTAAAATAAAATCCAAAATCCTACTGTGGCATATACATTTCTCTATGACTTACCTGGGCTACCTTTTATGTATTTTTTTTTTTTTTTTTGAGACAGAGTCTTGCTCTGCTGCCTATGCTGGAGTGCGGTGGCATGATCTTGGTTCACTGCAACCTCCGCCTCCCCTGTTCAAGCAATTCTTCCACCTCAACGTCCCGAGTAATTGGCACTACAGTTGCCTGCCACCACACCTGGCTAATTTTTGTATTTTTAGTAGAGAGGGGGTTTCACTGTGTTGGCCAGGCTGGTCTTGAATTCCTGACCTCAAGTGATCCATCTAGGCTAACTTTTAAATTCAACTCTTACGTCAGTGAATAATAGTGTTACTGATTTCCTTGCTTTTTCTCAAATTCAGCAGAATATTCCTGCCAGGAGGTCTCTCATTTGCTCTTTCCTCTGCTTGAAATGCTCTTCCTCAAATATTCACTTGGATCACCATCCCACATTCTTCATGTCTTGACTCAAATGATACCTCCTAAGAGGACTTACCAGCCCCTACTCTAGTCTGATCATGATTAGCTTATCTAGAATTCTTTTCTTTGGAATCATTATTACAATCTGAGATTATATTTAATTTCAATCTTGTTATTACAAGCGGTATGAGAGTAGTTCACGGTCACATCCTTACTGTCTAGAACAGTGCTCAGCATATGGTAGTGTAAAATTTATTTTAAAAATTTACCTTCAGATACCCCTCTGTGATCAGTCTGATTTTCCATCTTTTATAGGAAAGGTAACTGAGACTCAGGATGATCAAGTCACTTTGTCAAGATCACATAGTAAATGATACAGCCTGGATTTGAAGACTGATCTGACAGTAAATCTTACACTTCTAGCTGCTATACCATATTGCTTTCCTTTTTATGCTATACTGTCTTCACTCAATAATTTTGGAAATTAAGAATGCTGAAATTTCCATAAACATTAACGTTTTTAGAATACTTAACATGTGTGCTCACATTTCAGCCTTTGTTGCCTTCCTAGGATTTTTTTTAAGGTTCACACACATACATGCTCACCAGCTTGTTTCAGCTTCCCTGAAGGAAGATTTAAAGAGGAGAAAAACACCTTGCAAAACACATCAATACAAAAGATTGTTAAAAAACAATCAATGACACATCACTGACAATTGGATACATGTACAGCTCCTTAGAATTTCAGACTCTAAAGTGAAATTGATATAGTCAGGTGACTTTTATCTCTTTGATCCCACGTGCAAGTTTAGCATAGGCCTGAAGCAGTACTTAAACCATAACACTGTTACAAGAGAAGCTATTGACTTTGGCATTAGAGAAGACCTAATGCTAGTTATTGAAGTAAGGTTTTACTGATTTTTAACACTAAAAAGATTTCTCTAAAAGTAGATCTAGCAATTGTCTTGCTAAAATGCTCTTAAGAAATGCTAAATTGTCTCCTCTATTAGCCATTACTTCATTTTATCCACATTTAAGACAAAAATCTAAGAGCAGAAATCAAAACACACAGCTTACCAATTTTGTAGGAGTTTTGTCGATGTTTGAATAGAAGCAGAAAAGTTGTTATTCTTGTGGCAAGAGTTGACATTTGAAGACACCTGAATAAATTTTTCCTTTTCCATGAAATGTAATAGTTAGCATTTATGGAATCCTGGTTCTACCGCTACTGGTTGTGTGACCTTGTGTACATCTTTTTTGTGTTTCTGAGTCTGTAACCTGGGTATATTACTAGAACCAACCTCATGGGATTTTGGTGAGGGTTAGAAAAGAAAGTGCTAAGCACTTAAGTGTGATTACTTGGGAAATGCTGCCAGCTATTATAATGCATGTATGACCACTACACCAGTGTTTCTCATCCTTGGCACCACTGACATTTTGGGTTAGGTCATTCTTTATTGTGGGGTGCCATATGTATATGCAGGAAATTTAGCAGCATCTCTGGCCTCTACCCATTCCTACCAAAGCTGTGAAAACCAAAAATGTCTCCAAACATTGCCAGATGCCTTCATGGGAGGCAAAAATACCCACTTGTTGAGAGTCACTGTATTAGACTAATGCTTTGTATATGCTATCTCATTTAATCTTCACAAACAAGCTTGTGGAATAGGTAATAATGTTATTTCATGTTTACAAATGAGGACAGTAGAACTTAAGACAGTTAAATATTTGCCCTAGACACACAGATGGTGAGAAATGAGCTGTTGGTAGAATCTGACTCTGCCTAACAACAAAGCTTTGATGGTGTGTTACTTGCATTGAACTCGATAAGATTGTCTTTGGTAATGTCTCTAGTTAATAGGTTGCTCCCGTGTAAATCGCCAAGTCAACATTTCACTCTATTTCCACTAACCCCTGACTCAGGAGCCTGTACTATCTTTATAGCCCATTCTCTTTCCTCCTTACAAGTTGTTGCTCTTCTCTCTTTTGCATTGAAGAATGGTATACCTTTCTATTAGGACCAATTGGTGAGTGAGGCTTCACAATTCTCACAAAATATCAGTTGCACTCTCAGCTTGACATTAAAGCAAAAGTTTCTACCTTTAACTGGCAATAGATACAATCTGTGCTTCTGATACTTGTTACTAAGAATAACATTTAACTGACTTTTGCATAAAATTTATTACAAACTTAATCGAGAAGAATGAATTCAGGAAGTATTATCTGAAGAATTTGTAGTGCTTTGAGGGCTAAGCAGAGAATAAACAAAATAAATGGATAAGCCTTCTCTTGCTTAGAAATTAAGGTGGCCAGGTACAGTGGCTCATGCTTATAATCCCAGCACTTTGGGAAGCTGAGGTGGGAGGATCTCTGGAGCCCTGGAATTCGAGACAGTATTCAGATAGAAGGAGAAGGAGAGGGAGATTAAGTATATTTTTCCATCTTTATCTTACTGAACCTCTCTGCTGCATTTTTCACTTTTGTGGCTTTCATAATATTAACATTACGGGTTCTCCTCCTATGTCTGATGAACTCCTTCTGTTTCCTTTCTTGGCTTCTGTTCTTTTTGGCAATGTCTGAAATAATTGCCCTAGGGTTGGGTCCTCAATCCACAAGTCATCTCACTTTCTATATTCTTTCAGCAATGTTATTCAGCCTTATGGTTTCAGATACCATTATTTACCAATGGATTTCATGTCCGTGTCTTTAAGGCTATGCTCTAGCTTAAAACTCAACTGTCAATTACCAAGTGAGCATCTCTAAGGAATGTTCCACAGTCACAGCTGTTTCAACAGGCTCCCCTAAATGGGCTTCATTTCCTTAGTTGGTGGCACCACCATCCACCCAGTTGCCTAAACTAGAGTTTGTGCATCATATAGAATTTTGCAATTACTTTCCTCCCCATGCCCAATCACCAAGTTCTAATAACGCTAATTCCTAAAGATTCCTTCAGTTCATCTTTTCTCTGCATATTTGCTGTCACTGTCACTATCTGTCATCAGAACTACTGCCATCACCACCCCAAAGATCAATGAGACAAGATAATGTCCAAGTTTTTAGCAATGACTACCTAGCCTTTCTTGGTGCAGCCTCCACTGTTGCATTACTCCCACTACTTGTCTCACAGTGAACACTCAAGCAACACTTAACTCCTTGTGATTCTCTATACCAACCAGACTGATTTTCACTTCTCTGCCTTTGCCCAGCTGCTCCTTTTGTCTGGAATGCCCTTTCCCAATTATCTCATTTCAGAAAGATTTTGGTAAACCTTACCCTTCCCTCCCCAATACCTCTCTCTCATAATCTCTACCTTGATATACCTTCTGCATACACACAGCCAACTCTTTGGGACAAAGCCATAGCAAACATTTCATAAATTTTGTTGAGCGAATGACTATGTCAGATATCTCACTGAATTGGTAGCAATCTACTTCACTAAAAGTACTTTGTAAAATAGTGATCTCAATGCAGTTAAGATTTTATGTGATTTACTGATGAGGGTTAGCCTAGACTCATAAATTCAGTAGAGGACTATTACTTTTATTCATCTAACCACCTTCAGTTAAGTATCAAATGTTTCCTTTGCTTGTGGCAGAGATCCTGGCTTATCAAACTAGATGTTGGTATAAAGCTCTTTTGCAGTAGGAAGAAATGTGTGGACAGTGGAATTAGATTCTGGGTAGGAAAGCTGGATGTTTGATCCAGTATTTTTGTTCAAATCTCTTGCCTCCAACATACAGCCCTTGAAGCTACACCTCTCAGCATTACCTCTGGGGGAAGAGTAATGGGGAACATTCCAGCAACAAATACAGGTATGTAGGTTAAAATTTTTTATATTAAACACAATATTTAAACATCACATGTATAAAAATATAAAGTGGAAAACAGATATAGAGAGGATAGTTTTTTATATTACAAAAGTATTTCTGGCTTTACTGAAAGGATCATTGCAAAATTTATTCAAGCAATCATGTCTCAGTGAATTAGAATACTACATGATTTAAAAAAGTGTTACATACATTTTAGGAACAGATTGCACATATTAGAAGATACCTGTTCTTTAGATCCATAAATATACTTTTTTTTTTTTTTTTTTTTTTGAGACGGAGTCTCGCTCTTTTGCCCAGGCCAGACTGCAGTGGCTCTATCTTGGCTCACTGCAAGCTCCACCTCCCAGGTTCACGCCATTCTCCTGCCTCAGCCTCCCAAGTAGCTGGGACTACAGGTGCCCACCACTGCGCCTGGCTAATTTTTTGTATTTTTAGTAGAGACGGGGTTTCACCATGTTAGCCAGGATGGTCTCGATCTCCTGACCTCGTGATCTGCCCGCCTCAGCCTCCCAAAGTGCTGGGATTACAGGCGTGAGCCACTGTGCCCGGCCTAGATCCATAAATATACATTTCTTATTAGTGTTTATATTATGTGAATATACATTCACTGTCTCTTTTCAGGGTTGTTTAAATGTGATCATATTTATGATTTATGCTATGTATTTGAACATGTATCATGCACATATGTAAAGTAACAAGCCTTTCAAAATGTCATTGTCCTGAATATTTATAAAATGTCACATCAGGGTTAAAAAGAATTTCAAGTAATAGCTATTCTGTGGCATATGCAGTAGTTGTTGAGTATATCATTTAATGAACTAAAATTATTGGAATTTTTAGAATGTATCGTTATTGACCAGTTTTAACCAAAAACGCAAGAAGTTTCATTATTTTCTTTGTCAAAAATCTCTCTCAGTGAGGGCTGAAAGACATCTATACAGTTATAAATAGTGTCATAAGGATGTCAAAGTTGACTCAGGTGGATCAACAAGCCATTATTCCTCTCATTTGTACTCATTTTTAATGATCAGCACCTGAGCTCAACAGTATTTTTGTGACAATTTCAATCTGCAGGACTGAGAGAGCTGCTGTTTATCTATTTCTCACTGGAGACATTAGCATTAATGAGCTGACTCCTGCACTGTCTGGTGCTAACTATGGGTCACATTGGTATAAAGGTAGTTGCCTCTTGAGGTGGCCCATGCCATCTCTATTTTCTGGACAACAGCTGGCAGATAAATCTTCCACTATTAACATCAGTGTGAACTGAATGCCAGCTACCTGCATTATGGCCTCGGTTCTAGGAAGGGAAGCATGGCACTATTAGCACAACCTATACACATTACCCATAAGAAGCAGAAGGAGCTACATATATCAGGTGAACAAAAGACACCATTAGCCTTCCCCTTGTCCATATACAGTTAACAGATAACTGTTGCCCTCACTATTTTTAATCAACATGAACAAATTCAGAGCTACCAATACACTGATTCTAGGCTGGCATAGTTTTCTTTTCTAGTGGTTTATAGATGTCTGCTGCAAAACAACTAGGGTTTATTCATTGAAACAATTACTTTGATTTTCAATCATGTACATTCTCTGAAATCCACTAATATTAATAACATTTTGTGTGCGTGTGTGTTGAAGAGGGAGGGGAAAAATTACCATATTCTTTTCAATGTGAAAGTTCTTTCTGTTCTTGGTAGAGAAATTAAGCTCTTAGAGCAAATATGACCCTGAAGATCTGTTCTTAACTAAAAAGAAATATTATTGCATTACTATTTATTAAAAATTTTAAAAAGTAGTTTAGATTTTTTTTTTTTTTTGAGACAGAGTCTTGCTCTGTTGCTCAGGCTGGAGTGCAGTGGCACTATCTGGGCTCACTGCAACTTCTGCCCCTCGGGTTCAAGGGATTCTCGTGCCTCAGCCTCACGAATAGCTGGAACTACAGGCGCACACCACCATGCATGGCTAATTTTTTGTACTTTTTTTTTTTTTTTTTTTAAGTAGAGACGTGGCATCGCCATGTTCGCCAGGCTGGCCTCGAACTCCAGAGCTCAGACAATCCACCTGACTCGGCCTTCCAAAGTGCTAGGATTAGAGACGTGAGCCACCGTATCCTGCCTAAAAAGTAGTTCTGATTGGCAGAACTTTGCATAACAAATGTTTCCTTCTTTACTTCCTGGGATTCTCACAGTTCTTTGCACTTTCAACCTTAGAGTAGGATAACATCTGATCAATTTAATTGTTGATGATCCAGAACATCTCCCAGTAAAAATTCTTTTTGCTTTGAGCAAAGGATGAATAAATTTGGGAAGGATTGAAAGTATCCCTTAAAAGGTGGCTGCACAATGGCAAAGCAAACAACTGGAAATTGAAAACTGGTTATTTGCTTTATTTTAGGTGAAAAAAAAGGGAAAAATCTCATAAACTCATTATTTTAGTTTTTAAAATGAACAAAATGAATTACTTGTTGAGATACATACCAAACCTAGATTGCAAATGCATGTCTTATGGACAAATTATTCTTACTTTATACCTCAGAAAAATAGTTTCATATCCATTTTTTCCTGGTGCAAATAGATGAGTTCTTGCTATTTGCATCATTTGGAAAACAAAACCATCAGAATTACATTCTTTTTTTGCTCCCCAAGGACATAGTTTTATCATTAAATTTAGGAAGTAGATAAATGCTGAAATAACATAAACAGATTCCACTGTATATAAATAAGCCAATTTAAAGTAATTTAGTAAGGGAAAAGTTCTATTGCTTTCTTAATTTTTTGTCTGAACACTTTGCTTCATTGTAACATGTACTGGGCCTGCATGTTTTAATGTTCTTTTTTCTCTTTACATCCCCCTTTGGGGTTTCAGTCCACTAAATTCAAAAATAATTGCCTTTCGGGGATTTATTGGTATTTAAAAGCGGATCCCAACATCTTACAAATTGCAGTTGTAGCCTGTGTAAGGTGATGGTCAATAAATAAGGGAGAATAAGAACACTAAAGCTAGATTGTGAGAGAAGAAAAGGAAAAAAGCTTACTACATTCTTTCTAAACAAACAAAAAAGGCATAATTGGAAAAATTCATTTTTATGTTTCCTTACATTAGATGGGACCACTGAGTGAAACATTCACTGATGAATTACTCCTGTAATCTGTGTAGGAAAAACAGCTACTGGCAAATTAAAGAGTCCTGGAACAGAGCCATGAGAACTAAATGGCTAAAAATGAAAACAGGCAAACATTTGAGAGTATTCTACAGAATACAGATCTTTCAGCACCTCCCCCTTTTCACTGGTTAATTCATCGTCATGGAAACAGAATTTATCAAAATGTTCTTGCTCACTCCTAGTGACCCAGTGAGTAGACTTAGAGAGCTGGTGAAAGGTAACTCAGGCTGAAGCAATTTTTACAAATGATATGCTGCAGTTCATACATTGGTGAATTTTGAATGGTGCCATTGTGTCGATTGAACATGTTTCCAAATCTCAAAGGGTTCACTTTTTTGTTTGTTTTTTAAAAAGCTGCCAGGCAGAGAAACGAGAAACCTTTGCAAGTGAGTGAGCACAGGTGACTAACTCCATGGAAAGTGGCCGAATTTAGGTTTGAACTCACCTTTCCCCCTCAATTTGCTTCCCCCCCACCCCCGCTTGTCTAAAGGATGTTCAAATCCAGAATTTGGTAGACATTTCTTTGGTTAATTTATCTGCCTCAGCAGCTCTCTTCTGTTCTGTAGCTCAGAAATACAAAAATCCTTCATTCCTCATTGTAACCATCTCCTCTTATCTTTACCAAAAGCTAGGTGTTGGTAATCAAAGCCTGGCACATCTGGGCAGCTTGCAGCTGACACCTTTGCCAGACTAGAATTAACCCTACAATGGAGTACCTTCTTGGATTCGGGAAGATGACTCGAGGGATTCCCTAAGGAAAAGTGCCATTTCACTGTTTAAAAAAATTAGACATCATCTTTGTAGCTGCCAAATTCAAGGAAGGTTGATTTTTTACTTTATTTTATGTTTGCAATTAGTGACTTGTTGTCATGGAAACCACGCTTCAGATGATTCTTGAACTTAAATGGCTGAATGTGATCAGGCAGATGCCCTCCTCTTTTTTAGGCTCAGTAGTCAATGTCTCTCTCTTTGGTTATTCTGATAACAGAATCACATGAAACATCTATAAACATGCAAAATAATAGCATGGGGCAACATCAATTAAAACTGAATATTCAATCATTCATTCTTTAATTAAGGCTCTTTCCTCCTTTCCTGAAGCTGTAACCTTTCAAGTATTAAAACAGACATAAGAACTAAATCATTTAGTAAAAGAAATCTTTTCTAATTAACTGTTTGCGATACACTAATGAAGAAAAACAGGATTTGAAATTCCTTTTTGGTTTTTAATGTTTTGATATAGAAAGAAAAGTGAAAGGGCTTCATTTGGAAAGTCTATTCAAGGTAAAAAACTATGGTTTGAGGCTGTAGCCTCTCTCTGTGTGTTTCTTTTGTCTCTGCGTGAGGGAGGGTTGGGGTTTATCACGGAAACAGCATAGCCCACTCATGGTTTCTGGCAGCTGGATAATTAATCTATATTGAGACTGCAGGCAAAGTGTCCATGTTTGCATCTGTGACTACTCTGTGTTAGAGCTGGAAAATGAAAACTTCCAACCATCAGAGCAGCTCATCTTTAAAAAGAAAATAATCAAACACTCAGACACTCTGGATTTATTTGCTGACCTCTGTTTGAATACAGAATTCACTACTCTTCAGAAATACCATTATGCAGCATGTACACTAAGCCCTGAGTATATCTGGGGCTTTCTTTACTCTCCAGATATGGGAAGTTCACTCATCCTCCTCCCTTCGTTAATGCTAATTAATGGACAAGAGACCCTTAAGAGAGGGAACAAAGTAAGTCTGGTCAATTTTCTTTTTTAATTTAGGGAGCATTTTGGCATATTTTTTTTTTCTAGTGAAAAATAAAGTTGACTTTGAACATCTCTTTAATTAAAACAGAGTGTAAAGCCACAACAAATTTTATGTAACTGAGGTAAAAGCAAATACTTGCATTATGTTACATGATTATCTGTCTACCTATTAATATCTATCTATCTAACTACCATCTATCTATCTCATGCTTCCTAAAGGATGGCAACATTTGGAGCTGTTGTGTGAAATGTAAGTGAAGTGATTTGGCTATCAATCACTAAGCCTGACTCAAAAAAAGGTCTCATTTTTGCAATTATATTCCATTTCTTAGTTTCGATAAATCATCTAACTTCTCTCTGACTTTGTTTCTTCATCTTTAAAATGAGAAAAGTGCCCATTTTAAGTTCCCACACACATGTATAAAGAACATTTATGAATATTGAGGCACTCAATGCATTTTTGTGACTGAATAAATAATTGTCATATATTATTTTTCAAATCGAATAGTGACAACAGTGATAGCCTTTTTTCTTTTTTTTTTGGTAAGACAAAGATGTTCTGGAGGACAGTGTTTGCATCTTGTTCCCTGAAAATCTATCCAAAGAAACAGGTTAGGATGAAATGCATATTTTACAGCAATGTAGCAATTGGGTTACAATGTATGTGAGACCAGAGAAAATTGGTAAAATGGGAACACTGTGTTGCTACATATTTTGTGTGTCTTTCTTAAATACATGGTTCTAGTAGGAAGCAGGAGTTCTCACTCTATTTCTTACTGAGAAATGGTATGCATAGCGGACAAAGATAATAGAAAAGATGTGATGCATGAGACCTCTTCTTTTGATTCTGAGGCCAGAGAGGTCTAAAGACAAGAGGGTTCTTATCTTCTATCTCATAGCCTTTATTCACACATAGCCCTCTATGTGGAGGTAGAGCAAAGCACTCTCCTCCTCCCTAAGAAAGGTGTCCAGGAAGGTCAAACACAGTCGAGAACTAAAAGGAATGATGTTGTCCTGATGCCTCTCCCTTACTGCTGTGTGTCATATGTGTACAGAGGGGAAGTTAGTCTAATGTGATCCCTTGAAAACTAGGAGAGAGGAAGCACATTCATCTTTAACTTGAATTCAAGTGAAAAGCAAGCACTAATAGAATACTATGCTTTCTTCCTACATTGATTTTATCTGCTTCAGAAAATTGACAACCTAAATTGAAATCAGGTAGATGAAAAATACATTTCTTCAAACATTGTGCCCTTGAGGGAAAAATTACACACACAGCGTGATATGTGCATGCACACATGCGCACACACACACAAACACACACACAACCCTAGGCTGCAGCCTACATTTTTATCTTTGCTTCTTCAAGCCACATGTTTAGTAGAGGCATAGCTAAAAATATTTTGGGACAGGTGACATAGTGAAATAACTCAAGTAATGGGACTGTCAAGAATGTACAGCTGTACAGCTGCTTGAACAATGAATGTATAGTGTACAGCTGCTTTTGGGGATGTCAGATCCATATCTTTCTACTCTCTTTGCACCTGGCAGTCCTGGTCTGTCACAAGAGTGCACTGGGTGGTCTGGGAAGTCTGGCTTGGGTTCTGTTAACTCCCAGAGTTTACCCCAGGACTGTCACCAGCAGTGTTACATTTCACACTCCCTGCCACTGCATTGGTGATATCATTCTCCACTGGGGTATCCATTCTCAATAGTTGACACTATTGGTGGGGAATGCACAACATAATTTCAATGAGAGTATCTATAAGACAGAAATGGAGCTCAAGAAGAAAAGGATATATTGTCTCAAAGTTACCATTTTCTTTGGAAATTTGTTTGCTTTTTGCAACATGCTACCAAATGCCTAGAAATTTCGATAAATTGATAACACACTAAGAGGGCACCATGCCAGTGGTCCCTTCCAAACATGAAGTAGGAAGCATCTTGTCCTTAATTCATTTTATTACATGACTTTTCTTAGATCAAAGATGATTAGATTGGGAATTGACACCAGAGCCAAATACAATCATCTATCAACCTATCAGGAGGCTTGAAGAATGAATCCTGTCTAGTAGGGATGGTTTATGCTAGACAGTGATTAACCCCATCATATTATTCCTTATGGAGTAGAATAGGAACATAGAGAGAGGGACACAGACACTAAATGAATCAGAAGGCTAAGAGACACCCAGAGAAAAACAGCTGGTATGAGGTGGCAGAAGTCATGTAAACAAAGGACATGAGGTAGAAGAAGGAAGAAAGTAGTCAGGAAACAGAACTAGACCCACTCATAGTAGAACAATGTTCTATGGGAATAGCAACTACTAGATTATGTTGTGTGATGAGACAGACAAGGTATTCTAATTCTCCATGAGATACTTTCCTTGGTAGCTGAAACAGTTTTTTACATTCCCTAATTTCCCCTTGTATCCTTATAGCAAGTCCCATCAATTGAAAATTTTTGGCCATTAATGCTGCAAATATTATTTCTGGTTGTTTTTCATTCTTCTTTTACAGAAATTCTTATTATTTGTATGTTCCGTCTTTCATATTTGCACCACACTTCTTGGATAGTCTGCTCCTTTTTTTCCAGTTTTTTTTTTTTCTCTTTTAAATAAATCTCTGCTTTTCAGTTTGAGGCATTTCTATTGACATATCTTCAAGCTCACTGATTCTTTCCTTGGCTATATCTACTGTACTGATGAGCCCATTAAAGGCGTTTTTCATTTCTGTCTTAGCAAATTTTACTTCTAGCATTTTTTTTTAATTCTTAGAGTTTTCATCTCTTTGCTTACATTACCCAACTGTTTTTGCATATTGCTCCTTTTTTCATTAGAGTCATTAGCATATTACTTGTACTTAAATTCCAGGTCCAATCATTCCAGAACCTCTGCCATACCTAAGTCCAGCTCTGTCTCTTCAGACTGTGTTTTTTGCCTTTCAGCATGACTTATGATTTTTTTTGTTGAAAGGTAAACTTCATATATTGGTAAAGGAAAGGAGGTAACTTTTTGAGTGAGGTTTTATAGTTCGTCTGTGTTTATAATTTGCTGTAGCTGCAGATGTCAGAGGCTAAAATTTCTTCTGATGTCCTGTTTTTTTTTTTTTCTTCTCTGTTGTCTTTGCATTTCCCTATAGGCTTATTTGTAAATAGGGTCTGAGACTTGCAGTGCTTTTTAGCTGTAATCCCTTGTTATTATTTAGGAACCCTATTGATGTGGTTATAGGATAGGTGTGTGGAGTGGTAGTGGTGGGAGAAGAACTCTATAGTCCTCTGATTTTATCTAAGTCTTTTAGTTGGCCTGTGCCCCTGGGCTGTCACTTTCACTAATGCTTCTTAGTTTTGTTTTGTTTAGTTTTGTTTTGTTTCTCAAATGAGACAGGAAGGCTAGAGGGGACTAAAGTTGGGTATTTCCCTTCCTCTGGGTCTATTAGGGTCTGGTAAAATCCAAGTCAGTTAAGGTCTGGGAAAATTTTTTCCTTAAAGGGAGCCCTTGTTAAGAAGCCTGAAATGCTCTGGGCATTTTCAAAATGGTCACTTTTCTCCCTCCCTTACTGGAAGATAAGGTGATTTTGTTTTTCATTGATATCTCACTAAGAATCTTGTGAGGCTACTCAAGGTAAAACTCATAAAAGTGTGAGGGCACCCCCAAGGCTGCCAGAAGTTTTTCTTTCTTAAGCTAGTCCACGTTTACTCTTCAGCAATTAGTCAACTACCCTTTAAGAACTCCTAACCAGTGCTGGTGCTAGCTGAGGTTTCTGTTTCTGGTAAGCTGTGATTCTCTATGTCTTTCATATTTTGGGGATGGTGCTTTGTCCTGTGACCTCAATTTTCTGAAGGATGTAAGAAGAGTTGTTGATTCTCATTTTGCTCAGCTTTTCAGCTTTTTTTTTTTTTTCTTGTGAAGATGGGAGTGATGACTTGCATGCTCTTTACAGGTTGGGCTAGAAACTAGAAGTGACCCCTACCACTGACATAACCTAAAACAATGGTGTTTAAACCATGATTAAGGACGAATTTTTCTTTCTCTTTTTTTTTAAGTTGGCCAGACATGACCCCTTTTATCATATTTGAAAATTCTCTTATTAGATATTCTGAATCTTGTCTTTTTTTCAACATGAGCTGAGACAAGTTACTCAACTCATTTCCTTCTCAATTTCTTTATCAGAATAAAAGAGAGAAAAGGGGAGAGACAGCGAGAGAGGATTTATCTAATTTATAATCAAGTAACCATAGAAAAATATTGCTGAGAATTCATGCATAGGTGATGTTTGAAAAATGTGCAGTGCTATAGAAATCTAAATAATGTGATCTCGCACATCCTTTTTGACTCTGTTTTGAAGCACCTGATGCAGAGTAGTTTCTTTTTAAAAAAAATTGTAAAGTGATATATTTTAGTATTATTTAAAAGCATTTTATTCCTTTAGATTCTTCTCCCTGCCTCTTATTTTCAGATGTCCCATTATTTCAGGTAACTCTTCCATATCTATAATTTTATAGAAATAATATATGAGCAGGTATACCCTTGAGAACATATTTTCTCATTATCAGATTGGACAATATACCTATTATATAAAGGCAGTCTTTGAAATATAAGCTATAACATCAATAATCATTTTAACAATGTAATTCATATACTACAATAGAGTCTATTACTTTCTCTGCATTTTGGGTTGTCTCATGCATTTTTGGTGCTTATACTGTATTAACACCTCTTGTTGCGCTAATTTAATGGTTTTTATGAACTTATCAAATTTTATCTCTATGTACATTAAAAATATGTTGGGTGAAGAGGAACAATTTACTAATTCAAATTTATAAAGAACAAAGCACTTGCCCTTGAATTTATATCATGGCTAGTACTTTGCAGTGCCTTCAAAGAGAAAAATAAAAGCCCTTTAGAACAGCAGTGTTTTTGTTTTTCTTCTTATTTATTTAGACACAAAGTAGCCTTGAAAGATTATCACATAATCCTGGAGACGTTTTTCTATTTATTTACTTATTTAATACTTCGAGGGGGTGGGGGAGTCTGTGTATGAAGAAAAATAATTAAGTGTGACAGGTTATTTGACAGCTTGCTAACACAAATTAACCTTCTTTTAACACTGGCTGCATGTGAACATCCAGTTTTACTCCTCTGGCTTGGTGACACAGTCACAGTTTGTAGGGACTATCCTGAAGCATGTAAAAGTTTGAAGAGCAAAGCTACTTCTGCTCTATTCTGAGCACTGTGAAGCTTTCCATGAACAATGCAATGTTTTTGTTTGGCTTGGGACCTGTCTATTGATATTGAGTACTTTGGGCAAGAATGCCATTTTCCCCTTCTCATTTAATGGTTGAAGAAACTAATGCACAGTGAAATGATGTGGCTGAGGCAGGGCTGTAAGACTGAGATCAGCCAGCACTCACCATGCTCACATTTGTTGTTGTGGCTGCTGTTTTTCTCACTTGTATTTTAGGCTCAGGGAGCACATATGTGGGTTTGTTACACGGGTAAACCGTGTGTCACTGAGGTTTGGTATACAAATGATCCCATCACCTACGTGGTGATCATAGTACCTGATAGGTAGCATTTCAACCCTCACCTCACTCCCATGCTCCGCCATCTAGTAGTCTCCAGTTGTTCCCATCTTTATGTCCATGTATACTTAATGGTTAGGTCCCACTTATATGTGGGAATGTGTGGTATTTGGTTTTCTGCTCCTGCATTAATTTACTTACAATAACAGCCCCCAACTGCATCCACGTTGCTACGAAGGACATTCTTCCATTCCTTTTTATGGCTGCGTTGCATTGAGAACATACTTAAAAATAATAAGAGCCATGTATGACAAACCTATAGCCAAAATTATACTGAATGGGAAAAAGCTGGAGCTAGAACAAGACAAGGATGCCCACTCTCACCACTCTTATTCAACATAGTACTGGAAGTTCTAGCCAGAGCCATCTGGCAAGAGAAAGAAATAAAAGGCACCCAAACAGGAAAAGAAGAAGTTAACGTATCTCTCTTTGCTGATGATATGATTCTGTACTTAGAAAATACTAAAGACTCCACCAAAAGGCTTCTAGAGTTATTAAATGATTTCAGTAAAGTTTCAGGATACTAAATCAACATGCTTTTATTTGAATCCTGTTGCTTTACCATCTGCCATCTTGCTTGTGGTATTCTTGAGTTCAGAGATCATCTCTTCTTTCTCTGAACCTCTGGGGCTCTTTATCTGTATCTCTCTCTGAAAGCATACACCATTGTACAGATGATGTATTAGCTCCTTATGCATGCCTTATCTTCTCTCCTATCCTGTGGAATCCTTGAAGACAGAAGAATCCTATCCTCACTCATGCTTGTAAAATGTCAACACTAGCCCATAAGGATAATAATAAAAATGTTATCTTCTATACAATAGTTGTATAATTCAAGCAATTATTTTTGTATGTGAATGAGAACTCCAAATCATATCCCACTAACCTTCTGAACATTTTTGTATGTTTATTTTATGAAACAGAAACATGCTTAAGTGAAACTCAGTGGAGGACATGAGTACACTTACAGACCAAAGACGCCTATCCCTCCTGTGCTTGGGCATGAAATTTCCAGAATCAGAAGAAAAGAATCTCTTACAGCATTTAGCAGAGGAGAAGTGAGTCCCAGAGCTTGTAGATGCTTTACCTCCATTTGAACATACATTGCCTAACCTACTACTTAGCTAACCCTCTCTGGGCACATCTGTCTCTAACTTCAACAGCACAAGCCTCAAATAACCCAACTCTCATTTTCTGCTGATCCCATCCCAATTCTTCCAATTCCTACTTATCAAGTGAAAAGCTGCTATCACCACAGTGGTCATCATCAGCTTTCTTTTATCCAGCATGGCAGCATTGACCTTTCCCCTCCCTGACAGCCTGGTTTGAGGGATTTGAGATTTAAACTATATTTTATCTCTGCACCTTCCTGATATTGGTAATAGAATAGGTTGGCTGGAAGACAGATTGTGAATGAGAAACTATGTTTCTCCTAAACTGTGAACCTGGCTTTACACTCTTAAAAATCTAGCTTGAAAAATGACTTTTACTCTCCTGGTATGAGGTAAATGCCGCTCCTGACCATTTTCATTTTGCCTTTTTGACATAACACTAGTTGTGGAAGCAGAGAAAAGTGGCAGAAGTTCCTTATAGGATGTCTGCCCTTAGGTGTCAAACCCAGAGATTAGTTCCTGATTAAATTTACAATGCCCTCGCTAAATTGCCAGTTGGCTAAACTTCAATTTCATTTTTTTTCATTTTAAAAATAACTATTTTAGGTTACATTTATTTTGGTTATTATTACATCCTGTGGGCTCAATAGATTTGATTTTAGCAGGTAACCAAGTGAATTAGATATCATAACACAGATGGTAAATATCTCGTTGGTGTCACCAAAGCTTAGCAAGCAGGGTATGTTTGAAATATGGTAATGGGAAAACAGCTCCAATTCAGTAGGAACAGATTTTGTTGAGTGGAAAAAGTTACAGTCATATTCTGTGTTGTTTCATTTATGCCTGCTTAGAACTCCAAAATTCTAAGAAAATAATTTCTTGGAGATCATGGAGTATTAATGAAAGGTGAAAGGACAGATGTACTATTATTGTGAAGATGTATTAAATATCATTTAGCTTGATGTAAGAAATAAATGACTTATTTCTGATTTAGGTCATACAAGTTGCACAGGTATAACATATAGAAAAAATGGGGAATTTTAAAAATTGGGGGATATGCAATGGAACGCTCATTCACTTAATAGTACACATCTGACAACTTCCTTACCTGCTTTGTCTCAAAATTTATCTCCCAGAGTTATTAAAAACAACTGGAAATAATAATTACCTTGTATTTGATAGTGAAAAGATAATTTTTCAGCAAAATGGAAGTTGTTATGTAATTGGAGAGGACATGGCCACCTCCTTTCAAAAAATGCAATAGCTAGGAAAGGAATGAGCAGGTATAGTCATACATATTCTCTGGATTTTGGAGAAGTGGATTTCCACATGTTCAGAATGATATTGTGACATGAAGATCTGAAAGGGCAACTGTCTCAAGAGGAGTCGGGTAATTGAAGGCTTGTCACTTAGAACAGGGATTGAATGTGCTGAAATTGCTCTAAAGATCAGGACTAGAATGAGTGGACTGAAGCTAGAGGAAAACATATTTCAGCTTAATGTAAAAAACAATTTAACTATCAGAATTGTTCAAAGATAAAAATGGGCAGGCATGGGAAGTATAGTTACTTATTACTTGATGTAGCCAAACATAACTGGATGACTTCTTACCTAAATATTCTAGAGGAGAGTTGAGCAACAGATGGGTAATTGAACTGGGTGATTCATGATTATTTTCAATACTAAAATGTGCCAGTTATTGACAAAAATATTTGCTTAGGTACAAGGTCTGTTGTTCAACTCTAAAGTAGGTAATAGTGCTCTCATAAGAAGTGTTTCCTTAAGTTGTGCTCTGTATTTTCTCCTGCCCTCTTCATAATTACTAACACTGCCAATGAAAACTTCCAGGCCAGGTGCAGTGGCTCATGCCTGTAATCCCAGCACTTTGGGAGGCTGAGGAGGGCGGATCACAAGGTCAAGAGATCAAGACTATCCTGGCCAACATGGTGAAACCCTGTCTCTACTAAAAATACAAACATTAGCTGGGCGTGGTGGCACACACCTGTAGTCCCAGGTACTCGGGAGGCTGAGGCAGGAGAATCGCTTGAACCCAGGAGGCAGAGCTTGCAGTGAGCTGAGATCGTGCCATTGCACTTCAGCCTGGAGACAGAGCGAGACTCCATCTCAAAAACAAAAACAAAAACAACCAAAACAACAACAACAACAAAAAAACACTTCTAATTGCCTTCTTCCTCCAAAGGACACGTATTTAGCTTCTACTGATTCAGCTGTACACATGCTTCATCTAACGGGAGTACAACACTGAAATTATGCTGGCAACTGACCCAACTATAGTCACATAGTCAAGATAGAAACTTATTTTTCTTCCACATAATTCAAGCCTGGAGCTGGAAATTCCAGAGCTGGTATGGCAGCTCCAGAAAATCATTAGAGACCTGGCCTTATAATAGCTTTCTGTTCCAGCATCCTCAAAATTACAAGATGACTCACGGAGCTCCAGCCATCATGTCTTCATTCCAGGCAGGGATAATAATAGTAAGAGCCAGGGGCAAAAGAGTTTCCCTGGAGGTCTCTTACATCACAGTGACTACTTGGATTTACAAATGTGGTTGGGAAATACAATTCTTCAGCTAGGCACATTCCTCAGGTTCTCTCATTAAGCATGAACGTGAAAAAAGCAACTTCCAGTCTTTGCCACAGGCATCTTATTTCACATTTTCATAGCTGGGCAAGCAATGACTGCTTTCCCTAGTATATATGTAATTTTCAGTGACATACAGCCAAGGTCTAACAGATTTATAAATGTCCTACCAGTTTACAATTTTGCATCCTTAAAAAAAAATTACCATTCCTTATTTGTTCAACAAAGGTTTAGAGGAAACTCTAAACTCTAAAATGAGGAAGAGGAAGAGAGGAATAGCAGCTGGTAGGTGCACTCAGGCTTTTTTTCTACAGACTTGAGAAAATCAGCCCTGCTCCCTAATTTGCTTACCCTTCTCCACAAGAGAAAACGCTGTAAGCAATGGGGCATACCTTCCTTATTAAGGAGCTAAGCTTGATATGGTCTTTTGAATTTATGGGGCATACCTTCCTAATTAAGGAGCTAAGCTTCTTAATATGGTCTTTTGAATCTATCATGCATTCATTCATTTATCCATTAATCCAACAGTTATTAATATTTATTGAACAGTTACTATATGCTAGGTAGTGTTTTTGGAGTATAGAAATGACTGAAATAGACAAAATTTCTTATCTCCATGATACACACATATAATATCCTTCCTGAAAGACGTTCTTGGGAAAACTTTACCTTTACATTCAGATGATACCATAACTGATTGGCAGCTATCTAGCTCTGTACTGATAGTTGCCTCCACAAGGGAAATCAATCAAGACTGTTCACACACTCCATTTCCCTTTCTCCTTCTCTATCAGAGGCCTGATGTGCCCCTCTGACAGTTCCAAAACTCCTGTACACTCCCGCAACATCTGGTCTCTTAAAAATCCAAATTCTCTAAGCTTACTTCTCTCACGTTTGGCCCCAGAATCTTCTTTAAAAGCACTTGTCTCTTGTCAAGAAGCAGTTTGGTTATAGTGGTTTTTTTTTTAAAAGCTCATATTTGCTAATTGCTTGTGCCCTGTGCTAAGAGTTCATTGACTCTTCGCAAGAAGTGTATTTTAAAAATTAGGAAATTAAACCTTAAAGAGGTTAAAAGACATGTTCAATGTCTTTGAGTGCTTTGCTAAACTCTAACTCAGATCTGCCTGGCTTCAGAACCTTGCTCTTAACCACTGACTGCATGCATAGTTTTTGATGTTTCAATGCCTGATGAATTTAACTCGCTCAGAGAGCATTTGGATTATATTTCATTAAAATATTGTTTATTTGTTTATTATCCTAAACACATAAATGATTTGATATGTGTGTGTGTGTGTGTGTGTGAGATATACTCTTTCATCTACAAATTTTTCAGCAATGATCTATTCTCCAGGTGAAGACAAATAATGTAGCTGACAGCTGTTCCTAACTCTTAAGGAAGGTGGATGTCAAAAGTTTCCGGAAAAAAAGATGTGTCTAACCCTGGAATGATCTAGGCAAAAATTACAGATGATTGAAGTTGGGAGAGAGAGTAGGCTTTAAATGGGGCAGAATTTAACATCAGGAAGAATGAGCTGAACTTTGATGGAGAGAGGATGGGACAGTGAAAAGAGCATGAGTTTTAGAGACAGGCAGCTTAGAATTTCTGTCTTGTCTTCACTACTTAGTGGCACAAAAAATGTAAGTTATTATGTCATTCTGAGTATCAATTTACTCATATTTAAATGCAGGTAATAATATTATAATAATATCAGCCTATTAGCCTTATTGTGAGGACATGTGATTATATGCTTAGTAAGTTTTCATTTAATTGCTCTCTGGTGGGGGCAAGGTATGAGCATTTAAAAAAATCTCCTCAGGTGGAATTCCAAACACTAAGTGTAGAAGGACTCACCATTAGACAAACACCACAGTAACAATTGTTGTAGACAAGATCTATTGACGGATGTTAAAACAAGTGGATGCAAGTTTGACAAGAAACAGTATTTGCAGAGTTGCAAAGTGTTATCCCTAAGATATGTATAACTGCAAAGGGAAAAATAGTAATATTACCATGGGGAAACCCAGTAAATGTGACCTGAACCAAGCAATCAAAGTTAACAGCAGCAAGAATAGGATGTTAATATCACAAACCCCTTGATCTGACACACTGAGAAGCGCCCATCACTTCTGTGGTATTCTTACAGAAATGCATCACTTCATTCTGAATATGAGAAAACATCAGAAAAACCTACACTGAGGGAAATTCTATGAAATAACTTGATCAGCACCCTTCAAAAGGGTTGAGGTTATGAAAGATAAGGAAAGACTGAGGTAGTATCAAAGATTGGAACAAACTAAGAAGAAATAACAATAAATCCAATACTGAATAAAGAAAAAATGTTAGTGAGACAACTAATACAATTCTAATAATCTAGTTAATAGTATTGTACCAATGTTAATTTTCTGACTCTGATCATTGTACCATGATCATGTAAAGAGTTAATGTTATAGGAAGCAGGTGAAGGATATATGAGAACACTTGGTGCTATTTTTTTCTACTACTCTGAGTCTAAATTAATTTAAAATAAAAAGTTAAAACGAAACAAAAATTTCTTCAGTGATTCTAATATGTAATGAAGATTGAGAACCTGCAGCTTAGAATATAGAGAATTCTCAGTGAATGATAGCTATTACCAAACCTGGCTACAGTGCTATGCATACCAATTAGTTTTGCTGTTAAGGAAGTACCGTTCATTTTTTAAATATTTGTCTGACTGACCTGTGTGTGTCTTTCCAGATAGTGATACTTGGACATATTCAAATATAGTATAGTCTTGAAAAATATAAGTAGTCAAAGGAACTTTTGCATGATTCAACTTTAAGAATTCTGTGTTTTTCTAGATAACAGGGGAACAATGGAAAACTCTTGATTTCCCTGTCAAGAATGTGAGTGAACTTCACCCTTGCTTGACTCTCTTGATCCTCCTTAATTTTGCAATATTTTTCACAAATAAGAAGGGGTGTCTCCTTAAGTGTGGTTTCTCATATGAAAAACAATAGTACCTGTTAGTCATTGGGCAATTTCTAGGGCAGAACCATTATCTTGGTTTGATTAGCAAGGAAGGAAGGAAGAGGAATTATGGAAGGGAAATTTGTGTTTATTTTCCAGACCCAAATTTAGACATTCAGATTGTTTCTCTTAAGTAGAAAATGTTAAGTAAAGCATAAATGTTTTCTTCAGCATGTATCACCCACAAGAGAGTTTAGGAAGGAAAGAGGCTGCAATAGTTATTTGCCTGTTTGTAGAGTTTTAATAATTACTCGTATAGGCAAGACTGCTCAATTTGTAACCTTAGATAATTTGAAATAAAAATTCCACTCAATTTTGTAACAGAGTTTAAGGTTCTTAACTTCTTCCAAAAGGATCTGCAGATAATGGCATGGTTGTTTATACACTCAAGTGAAAATGGGAAATTTTAACTATTTTAACGAAAAATATTTCAGGTTTTTTTCCCTAAATCATGAAGACTTTAACCTGTAGGAGCAAAGGTCTGTGAAGTTAGTAGTTCCAAAAGTGGTATGGTTATCTGCATAAGTTTCTTAACATCTTTGTACGCATCTTCCTTATCTGCAAATGGCACTAATAATAATGATTTCTTCACAGCATTGGTATATGGAATGGCGAGTTTATGTTTTTAAACAGTGCCTAGCATAGTACCTGATACATGGTAAGTATTAAATATATATTACCAATTTTGTGTTTGTGTGTGGTGTGTGTGTGTGTGTGTGTGTGTGTGTGTGTGTTTCCAAGAAGCATGAAAAAGAAAAAAAAGGAAGGCTGGGTTAAGGAAAAAATCTACACCCAGTTCTGGTGGAAGCCCCAGACAGTGGCCAGTACTTAACAACTCCCTACAGCTTGGCTGAGTATTTTTGCCTAGTTACTGATATATAACAGGAGTTCAATGATTATTGCTAACTAAATTAACATAATCTTGCTCTTGCAAAAGCCCTCAACTCCATTTGCTCTCCATTTCTCTCCATCTTGACCTACAATAGCTCGTGTTTAGTTGAGTCCACGTAGCTTCTCGTTGGCTATCCCTGGCTTTCCAAATACTGCTGGAGAAAGTTACGTGGATGGGCTGACTGGTTTCACTTTAAATTATTACAAACTTCGAGTGGGCCTTCCGCAAGTACTAAGAAATCATTTCCTCTGTAACTCTGCTTCTCTACCCAGCAAGATTTTAATTTCAAACTTTCTCTATTCTCACACCTCCCACCCTCTCATTCTTAGCTGAATACTTCACTTCATTTTTCATTCAGAAAATAGAAAACAGAATGAAAACTCCATCTGCCCACAACTAAATCTAGAAACCTAAATTCCTGTGCCCCCATCACCGTTACATTCCCACCCGTTACTATGGAGGCCAATCTCTCTACTGGGGCTCTGAAATCTCTCTGCTGACTGTCAAGGACACCCCCTTTTCTGATATATATATACACACACACACACACACACACACACACACACACATATATATACACATACATACATATGTATATATACATTTTCCAACATTCTTAATCTCTCCCACCTCCCTTGATTATTTCCATGAATATATAAACATATCCCATTACTTCCCTTCTCATAATGTAATCTTCCATTGATCTGACATCCCCTTTAGCTATGGCTCCATTTCTCTGTTCCTCTTCAGAACCCAGCTTTATGAAGGATCAAGTATTATTTTCTCTCTTCCTTCTTTACTTTCTATAGGCTCTTCATCCCACTCCAATTTCACTTTCACCTTCATCATTCCAGGTGGTGAGTTTGTAGTGTGGTGGTTTGAGTTCAGTTCAGGAGGACATATTAGGAAAGCCGTTGGCCTTAAATTCAAGCCACAGGCTCTAGTTTAGATCCCTTAGTAAATGATAATTTGATTTCTAATTCAGACTTCCATCTAGAAACTGGGAAAGGAAGAAAGGAAGGTCATTTATTGGCCCCATGAAACCTCAGCATCTTTGTGGATTAGCTGAGAACAGTAAAACTAGACAAGGACTAGAAATTGGGACTCAATATGAAGATTAGGTTTTGTAAATGGTCATTTGGCTTTTGTAAGTGTGGATTGTATTGATTTTGACCTTGGTGGGGTATAGCAGGTAAACATAGCTGGTGTCTCAAGAGCAAAGATAATTTTGGTTTTCAGAAGTAAAGATAATTTTATCACCTTACCAAGTTGAGGGCTTTGGTAAGAGAAGGCTTGATGAACAGGCTGGGGTGGCAGATGCTGACCTCAGTCAGGCAGGTGCAGCTTCTCCCTAAATGGCATAGCCAATGTATGGATTCGTTTATATAGAAAAATAGTCTTTCCATCCTAATTAAAATTTGCCTCAAAACAAGGGGAGCTTTAACATATGGAGTGAAAGTAATTGGAGTTGAGAAACTCAAGAAATTAACAGGGAATGTGTCAGATGGCAGACAAAAATGGAGACCAGGATCTGAGTCAAAGTAACAATTTGCAAATTTGGTTGGAATTTTCTATAGAAGAAGATCAAGGAATGTTTTGTACAATTTTGAAAGATTTCCACGAAAACAAGATTTTTTAAAAATAATTTTGGTGTTCAAAGTATGTTAGCTCTTTGAAAAATTTACTCAAGTGAATTACATGAATCAGCCCATTCTCTAATGGAACTGTTGGCTCAACTTCTAATTTATATCTTGAATACAGTCCTATCTTACCATTTCCACTGCTTCTATCAGAGTCCCAGCCATCATTATCTTTTACCTAGGCTATTGCACTAGCTTCCTGGTTTTCCTCATATTTTTGCCCCTCTAGAGTCTTCCTCTACACAGCAGCCAGAATGACCTTTTACAAATGTAAATCAAATCATACCACTCTCCTGCTTCAAATCCTACAGTGGTTCCCATAGCAATTAAGTTAAAATCCTCATTACTTATCATGACTTACAGGGACCCTACATAATCTGGTCCCAATCATCCCTCATCATCTTTCCCCTGACAGTTATGCTCCAACTACAATCCCAGGTCATTCTGTTTTTAGAGACTTTGCAAGTTTTATTCCTTCTGCCCTGGAAGACTTTTTTCTCCCCACCTCCCTTCAGACCTTAGTTCAAATATTATCTCCTGAGAGGGGCGTTTACTGACCTCATTATCTAAATCAGTGCTCGACCTCATCTTGTTCCCATCTTTTTTTATAATTATTATTTTAAAACTTTGTAATTTTGATGGTGGACAGTCATTATTTGCCCCAATAGCCTTCTGAAGCCAATAGTCCTGATTATTAAAAATTACAAAGTTGTAAAAATGTTTCTCTTTTTTAAAAATAATATTCATTTTCTCTTTATGAAACAGGGCTGTCTGCAAAGTCTTGAACTGACAATGTAATCTGAGGAACTAACTTTGTTTAATCAGAGTAGTGAGCTAGCTGTTCCATTAGGAGACAGATCCTCTCTGGAAATATGCAACCAGTGATTGTATACAAGGATTCTTTGCCACCACCGTCCTTGGCTGAGGGTAGCACTGAGTTGATATGAAATTATTAGGCCCATTGTTTTTGTATAATGCCAAGCCAAAAGAAAACCAAATTTCAATGGCTTCTTTTCCTTGGAGAGCCAAGACGTCCTTTCATATGTCTTAGAATCTGGGTTAAAGGATAAGCCTATCAAATCAATGAAAACACTAAATTTCATGATTTTCTGCCAGAATACTCAGGTGGATGTCCTTGAAGTCTAGTTTTTTCATGTCTTTATCCAGTGATAAAATTATTTTTCTGTTTCATACCTGGGCAGTAATATTATCTTCATTAATATTTGCATTGCATTTTAGTGCAACCATGTAATCGTGGCAATGTTTCTCCATGAGATGCAGGTGGTGTGACTAGTGGCAGAATTTGGATTTCTGGCAGACCAACAAGTGTCCAGGGGCCTCTTGCAGGGACCTCTTGCAGCTCCCTCTGGGAGCTATGTGTGCCCCACTCTCATCTTGCTACCTTCTAAGCCATGGCTTTTTTTCTTTCCATAATGCCTAGACAAATATCATCTTATTTGTTTATGTGTTTGCTTGTTGTCTGCTGTGTCTCAGTAGAATGGACGCTGGATGAGGACAGAGACTTTGTCTGGTTTGTGGTTGTAGCCCTAATATCTAAAACCATGCCTGACACTTGATGAATATTTGTTGCATCTTTTATTAGGCTATTTGCGTCTCAACATCAGACTCACCTTTCTATATTTTGCTTTGTGCAGTTGGGGCTGGGACCCTGCAAGTCACTTTTCTCCCTTAGAGTTGAACTCCTGTTTGGTTCTACCACTTGGGGGCAATAGAGGTAAACTGCAAGGCTAAGGAAGGAAAAGACTTCGTCCTTGTTTCTCTATTTCCCCTATCAGAACCACTGTAACAACACCTCTTTACCCTGGCAGGGACAGTTGATTCAGCAGCAATTGGTTCCAGTTTGCAGATTTTTACAGTGCTGGAACCAGCCTTATCATTTACTCTCAGATACGCTAACATCAGCCTCTAGCACCCTCTCCAAAGACTGTGTCCAAGCTCCACGGGAGCCTTCCTCTGAGCCTGTAAGCTAGCCCTGTCCAATGAAATAACAGGCAAGTCACATATGAAATTTTAAACTTTCTAGTAATGACATTATAGATATTTCAATGCTATTACAAGAAAGTCATGATTTGTTTTAAGTAAAAAAGAAATAGGTGAAATAAATACATGTTTAACCCAATGTATCAAAAAATATCATTTCAACATATAAGCAATCTAAAAATTATTGAGATATTTTACCTCCTTTTTCATACTAAATCTTTGCAATCTCATTTGTATTTTAGTCTTTCAGCACATCACAATTTGGGCTAAACACATTTCAAGTGTTCCATGCCACTGGTGGCTAGTGGCTACCATATTGACAATGTAGCTCTAAGTTTAATATTCCCAGCATGTCCCCTTGTTCTCCAGCCCTTGGGGAGGTAGTTGCTTTCTACATTTAGCACCTCTAGGAGACCTCCAGGTTTTCAGTTTTGTAAATCCTAGTTAAGATTTCTTTGCATTAATTAAATTCTCTTTATTAAAATAACTGGTATGGTTTTGATTCCTTAGCTGGATCCTATCTGATACTTTTGTTCAGCAAATGAATGATGATGCTAAAAAATGAGATTTTTAAATCTTAAAATGCTGCATAGACAATATGGCATAATTGCACATTCGGAACAGGGTAAAAGGACTGTGTACTCCTAGAGAAATAGAGCATGGCAGATTGGCTTTGTAATCTGAGATCTGCCCACACATGAGCTGGGGAAATTCTGTCTTTCTTTCGGACTGTGAATTAAATCCCAGTTTGGTCACTTTCCGACCCCCTGTTTCACCTCGCACCACAAAGAGACATGTGACCACAAAATCCAATGGATTTTGTCCAAGACTTTTACAAAACCACAGGATGGGTTTTGGAATTACCTATGTATAATACCAAAGTAAGGTATAATATCTTTGCCCCTAACAATTTATGTAAATTTTAACATGTTTACCTTTTGTAGGCTATATTGTCAGCTACATCTAGGTAAAGTTTAAGTGATGAGATTAAAAAACAAATTGATCAACAAAAAGATAACCATTTACTTGATAATAAAAGCCTGCAAACCAATATAATTATGTTCAACTTTTCAACTAAGTTCTGTTAAATTGCTTTTCTGTATACAAATACAGTTTTGGTGGTCGGTATATTTTACGTTAGAATATCTGAATATGAATAAAATATTTCTTTTTGCCACATGCCAAGAGGCTAGACCACAGCCATTTTATTTGGTCAAGTTATTTTTGTATCAGGAAGGTGACAGGCTGGGCTAACTCTGATTTCATGAAGTCAGGGAAGCAATCCTTGCTATTTTAATGAATGGGGGCTAATGGACTCTTAGAGATCCTGTTCAAGTTCTTAAGAGTTTCATTCTTTATTGTTTCATCATGCCCCTTACTGCCTTTTAACCGTTTTCTTTCTCTTGTTCCCTGGTATTTTTTGCTGCTTTTTTTTTTTTCTCCACTTAGAACCCTGATTCTTTTCCTGTTTAATGGATATGCTTCCCTTTAGGACCCACAGGAGCATTCCCTGATGGAGCCAACATAGCTGGAGAAAAAGCCTGTTTTTTTTTTCTTAAAAAAAAAAACAAAACACATTTCCTACCCCCTACTTTGTGTCTGATCTTTCATCTTTACCTTAGACCTGCTTCAACTTATATTTTTCATTATAACTTTGTGTAACTTTCCATTCCTTTTGCCATTCTCTAGTCTTTTCCCCTCCCACTAATATAAATTCTCAGCACTTAAATCAAGACTTTTCTCTTCAAGGCAGTATGTGAACTTTAGTTAATCCTCAGCTCACGCTCCTTTATTACCACTGCTATATAAGGCAGGAAGGAGATTGAGACTTCCCCAACTCCCAGAGGGGTCAATTTGGTGTCTGAACTAGAAGTCAGATAGGCCTTATGCTTAGTTCTTTATTAAGACTGGGAGATAAAGGCTCCGTCTCTCTCACATAACAGTCCCCTGGATTTATACAGTGCCCTTTTCCTGAGGATCCAAAAGCATCTGAACACATTTTGCCCATAGTCTCTCAGGTCCGAGGAAATAAATGCTCGCCAGTATACCTGTTTGCTAAACATAATCAGAATGGGTCAAATAGGATTCAGTCAATGGCACTGAAGCAAATGTAATAGTCTCCCTCTTCCTTTCTTTGTAATTTGGATTTTCCAGGGAATGCGTGTATAGAAGAGAACTCTGCCTTTGCATTTACTGCAGGCAGATGCTTGCCTCCTTGGCATAGCTGCATGGTATGCAAATCAGTAGCTCTGGGAGATACAAATCTCACAGGCTGAATGGATTTTCTGTGGGCCAAAGGGCATTTACAAATTAATTGCAAAGCTGCCCTAGGACACTGTTGTGAAGTAGGTTGGTAACTTGCTCAAAGTCACTTTGTTGATGAATGCTGGACCGAGAAAAGAGTACCCTACTCCAGGAGCCGCCCTTCCTATCACTCCGCACTGGCCTCTGAGTTCTCCCTACCAGTGAGACGTACAAACTGAGGTGCTACCACAATGTTTCCAGTTGGAACTGGCTGCAGTAATTTGCATCGAAAGGGATGTAGTCACTTACCCTCTGCCTAACTGCTACTGAGTGGGCTTGCCTGTTCTGATTCCACAGAAGTTTGAATCTCCTCTGGTGTGAGGATACGCAGGAGACTGCCTGTACTCAACAGGCTTCAGTTAAAGCAGTTAAAGCTCTGCCTCTTTTATGAGGTTACACACCCAAGGCCCCGAGCACATTGTGTAGAACTGGTGAGTGCAGAGTGAATGATGAGAAATTTCCCCATTCTCTACTACACCCAAGGCATCTGTATTAGCTTCCTGTGGCTGCTCCAACAAGTTACTACAAACTTGAAAAAGTTATTCTATGGTAGTTCTGGAGGCCAGAAGCCCAAAATCAGTATCACTGGGCCAAAATCAAGGTGTGGGCAAGGACACCTCTCTCTATGCAGGTTCTAGGGAAGACTCCTTTGCCTCTTTGAGCTTCTGGTAACCCTAAGGCTTCCGTGGCTTGTGGCCACATCAGTGCAATCCCTGCTTTCATGGTCATATCGCTTCTCCTCTTTGTCCATATCAAATGTCCCTCTGTGTCTCTCCTACAAGCACACTTGTGATTGCATTTAGGGCCCATTCATATAATCCAGGATCATTTTCCCATGTCAAGACCATTAACTTAATCACATCTGCAAAGACTCTTTTTCCACATTAGGTGACATTTACAGGTTCCAGGATTGAGAACCTGATATCTTTGGCAGCTGTTGTTCTTCTAAGGTAGGGTGCTAGATCAAGGTAGGTATGTGTCTAATTTCTAACCTCTCTAAAACTACTTAAACAATTTGTCATTTTAAAAATGTAAGGCAATTTTTTCAAAAGGTGTAGGGCCAGTAAATACTACTCAGTGTAATTTAATGTACTCACCATGTTGGTTGTGCAGTTCTTTTGTAATGAATGGAGAATTTTCTGGTTTGGCCATATATTTGCCAGGCTATATCCAAGACTTGTAATGTTAGGGTATTGTTTCTCCCAGACTCAAACCTATCAACATACATTTACTGGATTTGTACTTTTGGCCATCCAGGGAAGGAGCAGCAAAAGAATAAAGTTCTCTTGAGTATTGTGTGAGTTGGCTTGTTATGTGGGGTTTGGGGAAGATTTTTCTTTATGAACAACTCCCTTGCCGCTTCTCCCTTCGTGTTATATAACTGATATTTTTAGCACCCTATGGCATTTATATTTTCTCAGAAGTCTGTGTTACTTTTATTTCCTTAAAAGAGACTATCAGGTTGGTATGTTTGGATTTTCGCTGTTATTCATCTCTGTTTGCTCAAGGCACAAACTACTTTTTTCCTATTTTTTTTTTTCTTGGCTCATGGTTGATGTAGTAAAAGGCAAAGACTGGATGATACTTGGAACATTTTGAAATGTGCTTACATTTATCTTTGCTTGAGAAGTCTCTTAATAGGGAACTATACTTACCATATCAATTTCATGCAAATATGAAAAGGATTTCAGTCTATCCTCAGATTTTTGGAGGAAGAAGAACCCTAACGGCTTATAATTAGATTTGAGGTTTGCTTAAATTCCAGGTTCAAAGAAAGACCCATAGGATGTGAACTCATGTAAAATAATAGTTATAGAAACATCTTTTGATTTGAGCAGAAACACCACACTAAATTCAGAAACACATCAGATTCACTGAGGCATTTAGGGTTGTTTATTATGCTATTAGTAATTTATATGGGGAATACTAATCACAAACTTGTCATTATTCTTCTTATCTTTTTAGGTATTTTTCATTTTTGTTCCCTAGGTATAATGTTGAATGTTCCATTTTTTTTTTTCTAGAGCAATGAAAATATAGCTGTTAGTTGGACAAGAAGTTTCACGTCTGTTAGTGCTCTTAGCCCATCAGGGTAATGAGTGATACAGCCCACGTAGCTGCCTTGGGCGACTTCTTAGGATGGTTAGCCACCATGAGTGATTAGGTTCCACAGATCACATAACACAAAAATAAAATAAAAAATACATGATATAAAGAACCTAGAGAGGTATTTATTCTTTTTTAAATCTCTACACTTATGCAGCAAGTCCCATTATTGTTTCCTCCTTAATACTGTTCCAATTTATCCATGTCTTTCCAAATCGTCTCCACTCTCTTGGGTTAGGCCATCATTACCTCTCACCTGGGTTACCAGAACAATCTCCAAACTCTCTCCAGTCTTGTCTTTTCCTGTACCAATGGCTTATGGTCTTTCTAAAACCTATATTATGGAATTCCTTGCTTCCAAGTACAATTCACAGTCCTCAGAATAAAATCCAAACTCCTTAACATATCTTATCAGATTTTTCATGATCTTGCCTTTGTATCTTTTCAGCCTCTTCTGTCTTTTCTTCCATGTAGTATATGTTACAAGATATTAAAGTGTTTGCAAATTAATTAAAAATATGCTTTTCATTGCTTTTGAAGATGCTGTTCTTTCATACTGGGAAATCCTCTCTCTGTCCTCTGATTCTTTTTTTCCCATTCCTCTGCCACCCTTCTTTACTGAATTAACTCAGTATCTCAGTATAACAGTGACCCTCCCACCCTGCCTTCTCGCCACTTGCAAGTCCTTGCCAAAGTCCGTATGTCACTAAATTATGTTCTTTTCTCCCTGCTTTCTCAGTTTATCCGTGATCACACATTGATTTTCTCCTTGATTTTTAAAAATCTGCCTGATAAGCTTCAGGGCAAGGAATGTGGTTTGCTAACCATTATGTTCACATAATAGCAAAGCAATAAGCATTTATTGACTGAATGAAGAGCTCTAGTCAAATAAGTTTGTCATGAAAATGAGAATAGGCAAGGAAAAGACAAAATAGATACTGATTGGAAGTGTCAGCTATGTTTCATATTTGCTATTGCTAACAGGAACCTTAACTTTCTTTGTTCTGTTTCTTTCTTCAAAGAAGCAACAATGTTAATAACAGAACTTTGCAGACTAAAGCTACATGTTTTCTTACAACTTACTTACGCAGCACTCTAGGCCTTAATAAGCGACTCCTATTATTCACTATCAGCTCCTCCTCTAGCTTTCACTCATGTAAATTAACTATAATGGTTTTATTTTTTTAATATTCAAGTTTTCTTATTTATTCCTGTAATAATTTTAAAGGATTTTTGCATTTCATCAAGAAATGGACTTTTGGAGCTTTAAGATTTAATGCCCCCCTACCCCCTCAAAAAACGAAAGAAACCATGAACTATGCTTTAATTTTTGAAATGTTGTATTTCATGATTGTAACCATGACAGTCAGTTGCAGCTGTCTGGAAAGAAGGCAGCAACTAGACAACATAGTGGAGAGATGTGGTACTCTTCCAGCAGTACAGCAAATTCACAAGTGCTTTATAAACATAGTTGAATTTTCCCTCGCTTACTTTGTATAGTTGCACCTTTTAATTGAGTAGTAGACATTTTTGGACTTGCATAACTCTGCAGGCCTTAAGACAAAGTGAAGAAAGTTAAATATTTAATTAACAATGGCTTTTCCTAAAAGATTTGTTTTTACTCTGTCTCCTAATAACTTAAAATGCAATTTAGAATAAACCCTCTAGTTATTGAATTGTTTCAGAAGGTCTATTAAAGCAAAGTAATTAGCAGGAAGACAGAGGAATAGAGATACTCAAGCTTCTGTCTGCTTTACTGTATGGATCTATTGAACATTTCACAAGGAATGTTCACTGAAAAACTTAATATATAAATGGCTGAGCTCCTTTCTTTCTTTCTTTTTTCCCATTTTTCTCTCCCTCTTCCACCCTTCTTTCCTTCCTTTGTTTCTTCTTTCCTTCTTTCCTCACTCCCCACTTCCCTTTCTTCCACCGTCCCTCCCTTCCTTCTTTTTTTCATTCAATAGTTACTGAATCTATGTGTGTGTCATTTAGTCCTGCTTCCAGAGGTGAAGACCAGTTAAGAAATTTAACATATATATGAGAAGAAAGAAGGTAAATAACCATTGTAAAGCAGTTTGATAAACGCAGCGTTAGAAATATGCATAGATACCATGGGAAGAATCTTCTACTCAGTCTGAATCCAGTGGTATGATGAAAAGTAAGCATTAAGATTAGCAAAAGCTGTGTGGAGGAAGGGAGGCATGAGTTGTTGTCTTGAAATGTAGGTAGTAAATGAGAAATATATTTAGATAGAAAAGAGAAATAGAAAGAAGAGCACAAAAACAGTGAGCAAATGTGAGGAGAAAGAGCAAAGAATACTCAGACACCTGCGAATAATTTGGGAAACTTGGAATTAGAACTCATATGAGAGTTAAGAAGAAATTTGTGGGGCTGTGACAGGGCACAAAGTTGGAGAAATAGGGTCAGATGTGGAAGGGTCTTGTATACAGGACAAAATATTTCTAATATAGTACTTAGATACATTGCCAGGCATTGGCAATATAATAATAAATGGGAAAACATCTCTGTAACGCAAGAACTCCAAAGGACTAGAAATGTAGTAGAATAAAAAGACATGGCAACAAATAATTGCAATAAACACAACACTGACAGGCATTTGGATGTTATCCTGGAGATGACTGGGAGCACTTAGTTTTAAGTGGAAGAATAGTGTGACTACATTGCATCTTAGAATATCTCCGAATTGTAAAGAATGAAATGGAAGGTTGTGAAGTCAGAGATTAGGACATCATTTGGGAGATTCTGCTGCACTAATCTAGGGGACATGAAGGAAATACCAGTGAGGATGGGCGAGTGGAGACAAGGTTGTGTTGTATCTGGAAGATAAAGCTGATAGGACTTAGGGATTGCCTGACTATCATGAGAGAAGAGAATGGGAGAAAACTGTCAGGGGAGAAGATGATTCTCAGGTTTCTGACTTTAAAAATATGGGAAGGAAATATTCTGTTCCTTTTATTCTGCTGTAAGTTTGACTTTTGCAGGGTCACACTGAGAAAGAAGCTCCTGCCTCTTTCTGTGTTTTCTTTGAGGAGGTGGATTTGTCGATCTACTTGGCCAGAGTTGTGTACTCCTTGGGCTATTATTTATTAAAAGGAAGGGCAGCTGTCTTCTAAAGAAAAATCCAGGTAGGAAACCTCCCCTTCCTTTGTCTATGCTTATGTGGAGAGGTTTCCTCTGCATCTTGTCTCTAACCGCATCCACAGAACTGGGCCCCTCTTCTTGACAGATGTGCTTGCCATTCTATCTCTCTGTTCTACCTCTGTCTGAGTTTGGGAATGTGTTCCTTGATGCTGATGGAGACAACTACTCAGAATCTGCCCTGTGGAAGATTGACTTGGGGTAAAAAATAAGAGCGCTCTTTGTATAGTGCTCAAAACCTCTCTTTTTGTTGTTGTTCTTCACCAGCCATTAATAAAGTTGATTATTTGGCCTCATTTGCCACTAATCTTGGCATGTATTCTCTAAGGGCCAGAAACGTGGAGCAGAGACTAGACCCTTTTTTTTTTTTTTTTTTTTTTTTTGAGATGGAGTTTTACTCTATTGCCCAGGTTGGAGTGCAATGGTGGGATATTGGCTCATCGAAACCTCTGCCTCCCTGGTTCAAGCGATTCTCCTGCCTCAGCCTCCCAAGTAGCTGGGATTACAGGCATGTGCCACCATACCCTGCTAATTTTGTATTTTTAGTAGAAATGGGGTTTCTCCATGTTGGTCAGGCTGGTCTCAAACTCCTGACCTCAGGTGATCTGCCCACCTTGGCATCCCAAAGTGCTGGGATTACAGGCATGAGCCACCGCACCCAGCTAGACCCTAACTTCTAATGAGTGATTAAGTTCCATTCACCAAGATAGGAGAACACAGAGTTAACCTGTTTAGCCCTCTGAGTCTTTCCTCATTCTCCTTTTCCTTTCCCAGGTGATGGAATAACACCCACCTTCACCCAGGCTCTACAGCTTGCTCATCATCTGTAATTCTTCCCTCTCTCTCATTACCAAGCAGCAGCAATTTCATCCTTGAAATGACACTTGAATCCATCACATCCTTTCTATTTCAGTCATCACAGTTGTGGTTCAGATGACTGCAGAAATTTTTTCACCAATCTTTCTCTCTCCAGTCCCTCCCTTCTCACTGCCCTCAGGGTTTTCTCTGGTGTGATATGCATGTCGGATCATATCACTCTCCTCTCAGAAACTTCCAACACTCACCAGAGCCACCTTCCACAATATGATGCCAGCCTACACATGGGATGGGGCAAAAGAAACTGCTTTAGATGACAGAGTATTTGGGTCCAGTTCTGGCTAGAAGTAGTTATCCTTGTGATCTTTACAAGTCACTCTAGCTACTTTTTGTTTCTTCATCTATAAAACTAGGGAGTAGAATTGGATGGTCTCACAGGCCTATTCAGATGTACATTTCTAGGTGGCCATGATTCTACTTTTTAGCCTTACATTTTGGAAGTAACTCTTTTCTTGTTGTTGGCCAGATGGAATCTGTCACCCAGTTTGGAGTGCAGTGGTGGGATTTTGGCTCACTACAAACTCCGCCCCCCGGGTTCAAGCGATTCTCCTGCCTAAGCCTCCCAAGTAGCTGGGGTTACAGGCACACTACATAGAGCCTGGCTAATTTTTTGTATTTATAGTAGAGATGGGGTTTCGCTATGTTGGCCAGGCTGGTCTCGAACTCCTGACCTCAAGTAATCCACCCGCCTCAGCCTCCCAAAGTGCTGGAATTACAGGCATGAGCCACCATGCAGGGGCCTTTTTACAAATAACTCTTGACTTACAAAAGGATATCTATATTGCCGTAAACACACTATGTACTTTCTTGTGCTCTGTGGCTTTACTGTCACATTTGTTTGACATATGGTTACTTTCTTATCCTTCACTGATCACACTTGTTGAAATCTCACTCATCTTTCAAGACCCAGACCAAATTAAACTTTCTCTTCTCATGATCCCTTCAAGTGAAATTAATCGTTCATTTGTAAGTACTCTCAGAGCACTTTGTTGATAAATAATTTAAGGTGCTGGAATTGTCCAAGTGAGGGAGGGAAATACTGAGCAGAAGAGGGCAGTTCCTGGGAGGGCCCCACCCTCAAGCTTGGAACCATGGCTCAAAGTGAGAACTTTACATCCTCATTTTCCCCCCTTGAACGTTGCCTTTTCGAAAACTGCCCTGGCCTGGCCCACCCCCCCATCCTACAAAAACCCCATAAAAACCCAGGTTCTCATAAAAACCCCAGGTTCCACTGGCAGAGGAGCAGCAGAGAAAGAAGAAAAGAAGTAGGCAGATGTCAGAGGGAAGCAGCTTGACTTTAGAGGGATGGCTTGATGCTGGGACTTCAGAGAAGAACCTGGCAGGGGATGGACAGACTCTAGGAGAAGACCACCTTCTCACTCCATCGCCTTTCCAGCTCCCATTCCCCCTGAAAGCCTGTGTCATAGGCAATAAAATCCTCTGTATTCATGACCCATCAATTTGTTCGTGTGACCTATGACCCTTCAATTCGTTCATGTGACCTGATTCTTCCTGGATGCCAAGCAAGAACTTGGGAGCCACAGGTGTGGGTGCTTGAGCTGTTTAACATTTAAGCCATCTATGGATGGCAAAGCTAAAAGAACACACAGTAACACACCCTCTGGGGCCCCAGGGGTCTCAGGTACCCTCCTAGATGCTGCTGTAGGGCTGCACGGGGTTCTGTTCCTGCTGGCGCCCAGAAGCACTCGTCCCAACTCCTGCGCCTGCTCACCTGCGTGCTCCCTGTCCCAGCTGAGAGCTGCAGACTGAGTAAGTGAGGCACCCTTGTCTCAAGGCCTGTGAAGGGGTCAAAGAGAATTTCCCATCTGGGAGATGGGAATTTCCCATTTCCCATCTCTCTCTCTCTGGTAGATGGTCAATAAACATTTGTTGCTTAACTAAATGGACATGATAAACATGTTGTTCATTAAGGAGTGAGTGTTGGTTTCCAGAGTAGTCACTGGGGATTCTTGTTTACTGGACTTGACTGATGAATTTCCAAATGAATTTGAAAGTTTTCAAAAATCAAATTCAGCCTGAAAAAAAATATAAAGAGAGTGAACTCATTCTATATTTACATTAAATTCCAAAACAAAGTATTTTAAAAAAACAGTGCAATCAAAGAATCATTGGATTAAGTGTAGCCTCTTGATGTAACACAAGTGGATAAAACACCCTCTCATATTCTTTGCACTTTTTAAAACAAAATCGCTAATACTATATTTATTTAAACTTTATAATTCCCTAAAGATGATTAAAACTGAAATGACTTATTCTCACGGAGATATAAGATTGTTTGGTCACTATATTCTGTATAAGCTCTTATTTTAATGTTGAAGATGCTGACCATGTGGTGATTCTTTACTATTAAATACTCTTCAAATTGAAGTTAGAATACAAAGCTTTAATTTTGTCTTTGTATGCAGAGAAGAGTGATTAATTGCTGCCTATTCAAACAGTCAGTTAATGGGAAAAAAAAAGAAACCAGCCCCATTGTAGGAATGCAGTCCTCCTTTTCTCCACCAGAAATAATCATAGGACACTTGTCTGATTTAGGCTTTTCAGATGCGGAGATAAAAACTTCAGCTAATTGTATCTTTAGAATGGGATAAACACTTGGGTCTTTCTCTGAGTTTCAGCAGAGAGGTTCAGTGTCGTCAATGATGCTTGCCATCTGAAATTGCACTTTCACAATCAGAGTAATTTTCCATTTAGGAGCCTCCTGCAGCAGCTGAACATTGGCAGAGCACTCCAGTCCCCCATGCTTGATAACTTCATGGCCTTTGTAGCACTGAGGGTGAGGAAGAGGGTAGAGAAAATCTTCTTATATCTTAGCAACTAATTGATTTAGTAGGATTCATGACATTCAACAGACATCCTTATTACTTGCCTTGTCTTGTCCTAAATCCATCTCGGACCACTGTGACATGAAAATGCAATTTCTTTCTATGGAGCTACTTAAGTAATCCCACAGTGTCTAATAATGTCCAGTGTTCAGTCTGTCTTCCCGGCATGCTACTTCTTCAATTTTGTGACCAGATTTGAGTGAATGGCGTGCATTTTGCAGGGAGGAGGGCTGATGTGTGCATGATTCTTCCTGGCATGCTGCTGCTTCAGTTTTGTGACCAGATTTTAGTGAATGACCTGCATTGTTGGGGAAGGAGGGCTGATGTGTTTATGACTGAAAAAAAAAAAAAAAGAACTTTCAAAAGGAGGTTTCATTTCAAAAATGGAAGAAATGATGCAGCACCAAGAAGATTTCTGTATGCAAATCAACCAAAATAAACTGTACTGTAAGGTGTTTGACATGCACAGTGTCATTTAATGAGGCATAGTTATCCTAGTTATTTGAACTGTTTAAAAATCATTGTTAGCATCTGGTGAGAAACTGCCAAGTTTTACAGCTAATCTCCACACACACAGAACTGCATATGGGTTATAAGACAGAATAGAGTGTACTTGCTCATTTTCTTGCTTGGAGTTGTTTCTCTCCTTTCCCCAACAACTTTAAACCCAATTCTCCATGGTGATTCTCTAATTCAGGAACTAGTACTTCATCCAAAAGCTCATATTACTTAATGGTCCTATATTTAAATATTGGGAAAAGGTATGTGTAAGCACCCAAGAGAATGTTGTATTCAGACAGAATTAAGTAAATGGTGAGAAGGTGAGAAAAATAAAAGGAATCAGATTTATCCAGTAGGATGAGAGAGGGTCACTGGGGAATTTGGGAACAGACATACACTTCAATAGACATCAGCTATTAGTGATACAATAAACATGCTGGCTATATTGTTGGGTAGAGTAAGATTATGGGGTGTAGAGAGAGGATAAAATTGTTCCAGGTACAGGGTTTAAATAGGAGACTGTGTCCAAATTTGCATTCTCATAAAAACACATTTCCAGGTTGGTTGGTTATAGTCACATTTTGGGGAGCTGCCATATTAATCTAAAAACACAAATTTATCCAAATAGCCTAATCTGTACAAGAATCTTGATTTTGTTTCCTACATAAATGTCAATTTTTTTCACCACATTGCCAAATCAATTTCCTCTTTCCTGGAACATACAAAATGGTTTCCTAGAGGTTCCCACAAGTGGAGTTTGTTTGGAAACATCACTGTTTTGTCCTGTTGGCTGGTCTTCGTTATTTTTTATTTTTCTCTGGGGGATTAGAGGATTTGACTACTTTTTCCCTTTGAGGACAAAGCAGGAACTTCCAAATGCCCAGGAAAATAAATGTGTTACTGTCTAGTTGCCCAGTAGAATAATGCAGCTGAAATTACTGTTTTTTTATGGTTATTAATACTGAATTAGGCTGGTAAAAATGGTCTAAGATCCTATGATAACTGGCGCTATATAAATATAAAATCACACTGTTAAACAACAGCTGCATCCTCAAAGGATATTGGAAATTCACTTATCTAGATTTAAATATGAGAAAGAGCATGAAATGTGTTAGCTTTTGAGATAGGGATGTGGATAAATTTGCAGGTTCATATATAGTGATTATTTGAAGTGTATTCTGATTTATCCAGCTGGCTCTTCCCTACTGGATTGATAGCAGATTTTAATATATGGTATTTCTTTCATGTTTCAGCCACCCATATGACTTATGCCATTAGGTAATGACACAGTGTAGGTTCTAGTAACTGCTGGCCTTCGATAATCAGGGAACATGATCTTTGTTCTAAGTAAATAGAATACAAGGAGCATGCTTAACATGCTGTTCTAAATTCTTTATATTTAAATTGGTTATTTTGAAACATTTTATTAGGAAAAATCTCTTCCATCTCCCATCTTTTCTTTTTGTCAAATACCTATTAGGGTGAAAAAGCGTAGAATATGTACCCAGGGCTATACCACAGACCCAGCAGAAGATGCCAGTGTCGTGAAAGGGGCACAGTGGGGTAGAAATATTCTCTAAGGGACTCTCCTGCAGGGTCCCTTCTTTTGTCCCATGCCTACAAAATCTCCCTGACACCACCTTCTTAGGTTTACCAGATCCAACCTCTTGTACTGCCTCTCTGTTCCCTAAGACTGTATGGGGATATGGGGAATAATGGAGTGTATGGGACAAAGCAGAGAAGGGACATCTTAGGTGACTATTGACTTATTTTAGCTTTACTTGAGTCTTGTTTGATTCTGTGTGTGACATGGGAAACCTCATATGGGTAACTTGGGAGAAGGAGGTACAAAGCCTTTCCATTGTTTCTGAGCCATATTCATTTGCAGTTTGTTGCCTTTTTCTTTTCTTTTTTTTCTTTTTTTTTTTTTTTTTTTTGAGACGGAATCTCGCTCTGTCGCCCAGGCTGGAGTGCAGTGGCATGATCTCGGCTCACTGCAAGCTCTGCCTCCCGGGTTCACGCCATTCTCCTGCCTCAGCTTCCCGAGTAGCTGGAACTACAGGCACCCGCCACCACGCCCGGCTAATTTTTTGTATTTTTAGTAGAGACGGAGTTTTCACTGTGTTAGCCAGGATGGTCTCGATCTCCTGACCTCGTGATACGCCCGCCTTGGCCTCCCAAAGTGCCGGGATTACAGGTGTGAGCCACTGCACCTGGCCAGTTTGTTGCTTTCAGACAGACTAAGGTTAGCCGTCTATCTCTATAAATTTTTAAAAATTCCTTTAGGGGTAGGGTTATCAGATATAGCAAATAAAAATACAGTAAATACAAATATTGCATGAGACATACTTACACTAAAAAATTATTTGTAGTTTATCTAAGATTTAAATTTCACTGGCCCTCCTTTATTTTATCTAGCAACCCTATCTGGAAGACAGTGTGGGGTTTACTACAATCCTCAGTTTCCTCAGGTTGAACTATGTGTGTGGTAAAATATGGTCTAAGATCCTATGATGTGTTATCACTTGGAAAACATTTTTGTGACCAAGGATGACCAGCCAGATCAAGAGAAGGAGTTAGAAATTATCGGTGTTATTAGCTATAGACCTCTCAATAGTCCCTCTTTCCAAAATTGTTTGCTAGATATTTCATATACTCTATTGAACAGCGGAGATGTATGTATTTACAGTTTCCTTTAAAACTCTCCCTAAGCCTCCTCAATGATTTCACTTTCTATAGATGACCCTGGCTACCATTGTAGAAGGAGCTAGAGACCAGGAAGAACCATCACAATGGCCTTTGCAGCCTCTGCAGCCTGGAACAACTTGTTGGCCGATGTCCAGAACGGCCCAGAGCGCTAGGGAAGGCCACGCCTCCACAGGCCCACAGCAGCAGTCTAGGAGAGTAGCTGTGCCCTAGGAATGAGACTGCCCTTTGTCATTCCCATGCTTTCCTCATTAGGAGTCAAGGGGGAGCTCCAGAATTTAAGCTCTTGGCAACAGCCCCCTCCCCTGATACTTCCAGCCCCTCCTCCATCATGTTACTTGGGACCAGAAGAACTAATCCCATCATGACTTTTACTTCTGCTCATATCAGTTACTAAAAGAAGTTCAGGAATCCCAAACCATTCCAGACTCTCATCCTCATTTGTCTTACTTCTTCTCATTTCCTGAAACACTTTGACTTTTCTGGAGCAAAAGGCCAACCACTCCTGTGACTACGGTCTTGATCTTTTCATTACCCATACCCATCCATTATCTCAGTTTCCAACACGCATTAACTGGTTACCACTCCATGCCCATCTTCCTAGCTTATTCCCTCAATTACCTCAATTGCAGCAATCTTTCAACAGCCCCCTCCCATTCTGCCCCAAGTTCCTGCTATCTTTTCTCTATCCCTAACCTCTTCTCCTAATCCTCTCTCACATTTAAATCCTGCAATCAATCATCATGCTTACTTACTTGCAAATACTCTCAACTCCGTTGCCCCCCTCTGCTTTTTTGGTTATACTCACTTGGCCAAATCACAACCTTGGTTAAAATAAGCTTTCTGACTACTCTGTGCTTAAACCCAGGCAGCTAAAGTAAGTGGGACCAAATACACAATCAAGATGAACAATTTCACTTTAAACACATGGATTATTAATTTCATAGTGGGTCTTAATGCTGCCAGCTGTCTTACCAATCTACTTATTTTCCCAGTCTCCAAGATTACTGCTATATACTTCTCTTTCAGTCCTGCAAAGCCTCTCCCCATCTATCCTGACCCTCACCTGACAAACCTGTTTTCTACTTTACTGATAAAAGCAATCAGGAGAAAACCTCCACATGCTCTCATCGCCTACCTATGTCTTAACCCACATACCCTATCTTCTCTTCTTTGTAAATAAACTATGGATATTTCTGGCTAAGACCAAATACTCCACGTGTGATTAAACCTCATCCTGCCTTCTCTATACTTAAAGGCAACAACAATGGCAATTCTCCCGTTTCATTCATGGCTCACCCATTTCCCCCATCTGTTGGATTATTGCAGTTAGTTTGCAAATGTTTGTTTGTTATTTTTCCAACATAAAAAAAAATTACCCTCTTCATGGCCCCACTTCCTCCTCTGGCTTTCCTCATTTTTCTTTGAAAAAGTCATCTATGTGTGCTGACTTGCTGTTTCCAATTACTCTTCTTTTTCTTTTTCTTCTTCTTTTTCTTTTTTTTTTTGAAATGGAGTCTCGCTGGAGTGCAGTGGCACAATCTCAGCTCACTGCAACCTCCGCCTTCTGGGTTCAAGTGATTCTCCTGCCTCAGCCTCCTGAGGAGCTGGGATTACAGGTGCCCACCACCACACCCGGCTAATTTTTGTATTTTTAGTAGAGACGGGGTTTTACCATGTTGGCCAGGCTGGTCTCGAACTTCTGACCTCAGGCAATCCGCCCGCCTCAGCCTCCCAAACTGCTGGGATTACAGGTGTGAGCCACTGTGCCCGGCCTACTCTTCTTTTTCACTCAAACCATCTTTTGCCTCCTCTTCCCCACTGAAACCAGTCTTACCAGGTTATCTATGATTTCCTTATTGCTAAGCCTAATCAGAAGCTTTTGACATAGGTAACCACTGTGCCCTTGAAATACTTTCTTCACTTGACTTCTAAATCACAATTACCTGGCTTTCCTTTTAGTTTTCTAGATACTTCTTTGCTGTGTTCTTTGTCTTCCCAGTCTCTAAATGTTGAAGTGTGTTGGGACTTCTTAAATTTTTTCCCTTTTCTATTCATTCTCCCTCCCTTCCCCACACAGGGGGATCTCACCCTGTTTCATGTCTTTAAATACCACCATCCACATGCTTATAATGTCTAAATTTATGTCTCCTGCCTGGACCTCTCCTCTGAACTTCAGTATCTAAATGCATTCAAATATCCCATATACACAAATGCCTACTTGATATTCCATGGGGATGTCTATACATACACGTTTAATTCCCGAACAAATCTGCTGATATTCCCCCACCTTCACTTCTGCTTTTATGGCTGTCTTCCATATCATAATGAATAGGGGAATTCATTTACCTACTTCTTCCAGCTAAAATCTTGGTGTTGTCTTTGACTCCTCCCATTCTCTGGCATCCTACATCTGCTTTGACCCAAATTCTATTGATTCTACCTTCAAAATATATCTTAAACTTATCCTATTCTCCCACAACTGCTGAGTCACTTGCATGGATTAATGGACACCTAACTGATATTTCTGTTTCTTCCATTGCCCCTTTTGGCCTATTTTCAACCGTGCAGATAGAGATGTTGCAAAGTATAAATTTATTCCTATCATGTTCTGTTCACATGACTCTTCATCTACTATCAGGCCTTATATTATTGTCCCTAGTGCCTCTCTGATTTCACCTCCTACCACGATTGTCTTCATTCACTGAACTCTGACCACACAGGCTTCTTTTCTCGTTACTTAAAACACACGGGCATGGCTCCACACCAGAGCCTTTGCACTTGCTACTCCTTTATATGGAAAGCTCTTCCCTCAGACATCTACGTAGCTAGTTCCTTTGCTTCAATCAGGGTTTTACTCAAAAGTCATCTTCTCAGTGAAGCCTTACATGATCACTTTATCTAAATTTCAACTCCTTGCCTCTATCCTAATACTTCTTTCCCATTTACCTAATTTATATGTTTTAGACTATCCAACACTCTATAAATTTCTTAATTATGTTGTTTACCATCTGCCTTCCTCGTTAGAATCTAAACTCAATGAGGGCAGGAACGTTAGTCTGTTATATATTCTCAGTGTCTTGGCACATAGAAGGTGCTCAAATACTTATTGAATAAATGAATGCAAACATCAACACTCATATGGAAGATGTTCTAGAATCTGTGAGGCATTCAAAATGAGTAACCTATGGATTTTACTTATCTATTTGTTGGTATGTTATGAATGCAAATATGCTTTTCAGAAGACTAAAGAAAGAGTCCTAGAAAAATTTATGTATTAGGAATCATTTCTTGGGGTACAAGATTATTTTAAGTGAATATTTTCTAATAGAATAAATAGCATTCTAAGAGCTTACACTATTGAGGGAAAAAGGCAGATCATTCTAGGTAAGGTGGAACATTTAAGTAGTGAGGAAGGAGGAGGATTTTAAATAAAATGATCAGGAATGCTTAACTATAGTGCATCATTTTGCGTATGGAAAAGCACCAGAAATCTGAAGATGCAAGTACTTAAGCAGAAATGAGGCTAGATTTCTCATTTTTCAAAAAGAGATATTAATATCTGTTCTACATTGACTTCCTTAGTGAGCTTCTGTGATTATCAAATGATATGGATATAGAAATGTACCGTAGCTTCTGAAATATTACACAAAATGCAAGGAATTATTTTGGGCACCACCACCGAGGAATGATCTGGTAGGGAATGTGAAGCAATCAACAGTCAGCAGAATGAAAGTCATAATTTATCTAGAGGCTCACTGTTGGCTATTAAGAACAGGTAGAATGTGGCTAAACCAGCGTGTGCTGTTGGATTATTGTGGTCTGCAGTGCATAAGAGGTTAAGACAACCGATTTGAAATCTAATGGAATTTCTGTGTGTAGTTTGAAGTCTGCTCACAGTTACTCCTCGGGGCTATAATGTGATTTGAAGTGGAGGAGAGAATGAAGGCGTAAAGTATGTTTCAGGAATCCGTGTACAAAGCAAACAGCATCTGGCCAATCACTTTGGTGTGCATGAATTCTGGGAAAAGGATCACCAGAGTGTTCAGGAAAACTGACTTGGCAAAGCCATAAACTTGAAAGACAAAAGATGGCAGGACAACACGGAGCAAAACAAAGGGTTATAGGCTTTAAGGTTGAGCAGATCCCTGGTTTGGCTAATAGGAGTGACAAATCTTAATTTTTTTTAAAAAAAGGTGGCATATTAAAATACTCAGATTATACCCACTCACTATCTTTGCAGTTATAAAGTTTTTCCTTATTTCTAACCTCCTGCAGCAATTTAAGCCTGTCTCCTTTTTTACAGTGGTCATAAAATTATTCAGCCTCCTTTTAAAATACAACTACTGCATTTGACTCTCTGATCTCCTGCAGCACTGAATTCCACTGTGTGCAGAAGTATTTCATTTTATTGGTTTTTAAATTTTCTTGCTGCGCCATTCATATGAATACTTATTCTCATATTGTGCAATGGCATTTTAAGCTTGGAATTGATAACTTTGTTCCCTCTATACTTTTCCTAATCTTAAATAGTGCAATTAAGTTTCTTTCTAACTATGCTCATTGTTAGGCTGGGAGAAACCAGGTTTTTGTAATCTTTAATTGCATATCAGTCCTGACAGACACCTCACCTCTCTCACTGCCCTAATCTGGATTTTCTACTAAGTACACTGCATCCTACCCTATAATCACCACCAGGCAGCAATTGTGAGGTACTTTGAAACTCGTGAGGTCATTACCTGACAAAATCTTACATTTAGGTAATGCTTTTATCCCTAAAGATACCCATTGTTCTTTGGCAACAATCTCTACTCTCTAGACAGCAGCCATCTTATAAGGAGGCATGTGCTTGTGGTGTGGGTCTGTGTGTGGACCCTTAAGAGGGGTTCACCCCATCTTTGTGGCCCCCACAAGGTGGAGTGTATGAGGATTGATAGAATGGTCTTATCAGTCTCGCCAAAGGGACCCATGTTTGCTGTCGCTGCAGGCTGGTCATTTAGGTGGTCAGCCAAAAGCCAAATAATAAAGCCAAATAAAATAAAACAGAACATTGAGTGGTTGCTGGAGGCAAAGAAAAGTGTTAGTCCAGCCTTTTGTTATGTCTCTGCTTTCAGCATCAGCGCATGTAAGAAGCCCTGGACTGGCACTAGTATGATATTGTGTAATTTGAAGCAATCAAAGTACAGATGCTGGTTCTTATTAAATATCTGCAGGTTTTAGTCGTTCTACACACCTTCCTTTTAAAAAGAAGAAGAATCCCTCCAAAGGGGCTCACAGTTTTTACTATTCACCTGATTCGCAGCTTTTTCATGTGACCATGTAGCTCCTATCACAGGATAGTTTGACCAACTGTATTATAAACATGTCTAGCGAAGGTAAAGGACTTGTATTTTTTAGGGCAACAACAAGACTGATTGAAGTTATTTAATGCCACCTCTTCAGAGGTCATGCATGGCACAGGCATTTCCTCATTATCATGTAATAATGTGAAGCAAAAAAGCATCAACTGGTGTTACATTGCTGGTGTTCTAAGATTCGGAAATGCAGATGAGCTTGGCAGAAGTCGTACAAATAGCTAGTGCTAGGTTCTGAAATGCAGGCTGGGACTAGGCTGAGACCTATGAGATTATTTCATAGATCCTCCTCATACACTTTCATCTTGAGTTCCAAATTTAAAAAGGAGCTAATAAACTCAACAATCAAGATTTACTTATTTATTTTTTTCTGGAGATGGAGTCTCCCTCTGTTGCCCAGGCTGGAGTGCAGTGGCACGATCTTGGCTCACTGCGGTCTCGGCTAACTGCCATCTCTGCCTCCCGGGTTCAAGCGATTCACCTACCTCAGCCTACTGAGTAGCTGGGATTACAGGTTCACGCCAGTATACCCAGCTAATTTTTGTATTTTTAGTAGAGACAGGGTTTCACCATGTTGGCCAGGATACTCTCGATCTCCTGACCTTGTGATCCGCCCACCTCAGCTGCCCAAAGTCCTGGGATTACAGGCATGAGCCAGCGCACCTGACCAAGATAATATTTTAATGCAATATTTACAAAATCAAAATTTAGTGCAAAAAATCCATAATAAACAAACTATCAAAATTTTAAGTAAAGGCAACAACAGTATAACTGATTTTTTTCTTTTGTCTCAGGGTTCAATATAGCTTGGCATGGTACTCTGTAATGGTACATAACTCCAGATTTTCCCATCTACTGGAACGTAATAACATGTAACTGCTGTCTGCTGTGTAAGGTTTATTCCCTGGCATAGTTCTTAGAAATACATAAGGTGTGGAATGTATGTTAAAAACAAAACAAAACAAACAAAACAAAAATGCCTAGAGTATGACACTTGTTTCCCTGGGCATTACATTCCTATTGATATCACTGAAGACACTGCTCAGTGAATTGAAAATTATGCGATTTTGTCGTGCTTTTTCTGAAGCTCAGATAACTAATATATAAAGTGGTGATACTTTTGTGTGTTGTTTTATTTGATATAATTTTTTAAACCACAGACCCAAAGAGGAAGAAGAAAAACATACAATTTTTATAAAATCATAATTATTTTAAATGGACAAATATATAGAACTTGAAAAATAAGGACTAATCATATACCTGATATGACCTTACACTACTATAATGTGGGGCAGCTCATAATATTACTACTGGGCTAGCCTAATCACTCACTCCTCTTCTTCTCAAGACTCTTACCTAAGTTGAAAACTATCACAGCAAGGCAGGATGAGTTTAAAATAACTGCCCTATTCAGTTTAGCTCAACTGCAGAATTGGGCTTGGTATTGAGACCAAAATGGACCTCCTTCTCCATCCCCACTCTCTTGAATTAATGTACCCAGTTGCAAGAGCAAGATGTGGAACCTGACTTGCCTTATTCCCTTATTCTTGCTTGGGAGTCTGAAGGTTAATGTCCTTTTTTTTTTTTTTTTTTTTCCTCTTGTAGACAGAATGAAGAGACTAGGCCAGGAATGAATAGAGACCTTCCTCATGTTAATTCCACCCAAGAAATAAATGTGGCCAATTCGAGTCAGTTTCTTACCAGAATTAGTCACTGGTGGAGAAAGCCTGAAAATTCAGACTGGTAGAACAATTTCCTGTAGAAGACAGAGGTATTGATAAAAAGCCAATTTTGTAAGCCTAGCTCCTTTTCCTAAACAACAGACATGTACTTGCTTGAGATCACTGTCTAAATAACTAATTGTCAACAATTTCAAGGGTTATGGATATCAGCAGGTTTCAGAAAAGATTAGGGACAGCTCTTAGAGATTAAACAAATAAAGCAGAACAAAACAAAAGTTAGCAGTGGCTTAGACAAGAGGGAAATACATTTATTTTCATGTCACAGTCTAGAGGTAGATAGCTTAGGGCTGGTGTGGTATCAGAACTCAGATTTCCTCTGTCTTGTTCTACCATTTTTTGTGTCTTCTATCGTTCAGATCACCTGATGGTGAACAAGGGTTAGTCCAGCTTCTGTCAGCCCATCAGCATTCTAGAAAGCAAGAAGAAAGAACAAATCAAAAAGGGATAAAGGTAGGCATCAGCTGCCTCTTAATTAAAGCATTTAGAAACTGCTATGTGACTTATGCTTGTATCCCATTTGGTAAATCTAAAGCCATGGCCATACCTAACAGCATGGGAAGCTGGGAAAATTGAAATACTTTTAGTGGCAAGGTACCCAGCAAAAATTTGGAAGAAGAAGGAAGTGTTAAGGAAGAAGAGAACAGCTATTGGGGGATACAACTAGCAGTCTCTACCTAACAACAACTGTTGTTCTCAGAACTTTGAAAATATGGAGCAGTTCCTTGTGGCATCAACTCACAAGTCTGTTTCTTGTTGAAGACGAAATCATTCTTGTTCTAAGGCCTGGGTTCCTAACAGCGGTGGCTCAATGATTCCATCATTAAGTAGTTGAAAACTTAAATGCATTGACTTTCATGTCCTGCTCTTTATCTTTTGTCTTTGATAACCCTGTTTTATTATCTGATCACTTTATTAGCACATGATTTTGCTGAAATTCTTGCTTTCATTCTTTTCTTAATGATAATTTATTTTATAGTTTTCTCTTTGTTTACTTTATTCTCGCTAGGTAAAATTAGGTGTTACCTAATTAACTACTTCATTCTCATTCAGTGTAACTTATCCTTTTCTTCTTTCCTGAGTTTTATAATACATTAACCTTGTCCACTTCTTACTTTGCAGATTGTTTTTAAAAGATTTCAAAACAATGTATAGAAACATCACACGGATCAATCAATCTATCTGTCTATCTATCTATCTATCTATCTATCTATCTATCTATCTATTCATTATGTTGGCTATGAAAGGTTACATTTAGGTAAACTTTCAATAGAAATCCATCAACCTTTACTGAACATCTACGACTGAGCATGTTTAAATAATTGTTGCTTTAACATTAAAAGTCTATTTTCTCCTACCAAAAGCAAAGATTATTAAGTTTAGGGCTTTCGCAACAATTGGCATTAGTAAATTGAGCATTTATGGTTCTGACATTTCTTGAGGGATCCCAATGTCTATAAACATATCTACTTCCTAAAGACATTAAATGATATGACACTTGGGAGTACCAATATGAATTTCAGTTCTATGGCTGCAAGGCTGGAAATTAAGTAAGTTTAATATACTGGTGAGGAAATCTAGCCAGCTGCCCAGAATCTGTTTCTCAATTAGAATAATTCACAATTTTGAGGATTATAGAATTCTGAGGATATATCTATTCAGAATACCAAAGATGTACATTATATCAATTTTTCAGAGGTCAAATTCCTAGATGAGATCATCTTTCTTGTAATTTAGGAAGAGGAGTGTCAATTAAGTTGGATGCTCCATATTATTTGTGATTTTACAGCTCTTTGCTAGAAGGAATTCTTAAAATCCAGGTACATAGAAAATTTTCTACTCAGGTAAACATGACAAATTTAGCAATCTTAGGATGGGATAATATTAAGACATGGTGTAAATATTATTTATTAAATCATAATGGCCCAATAGTTAATAATCTTAATAATACCCATTATTAAGGCCATGGCAGCAAATTCGTCTCTTTGACCCTTGGTTTAACCCATTATTTTAGTCCCAACATGGCCAAAGAATCTACTTGGTATTATTCTACTTAGTTTATTCCTGCATAAGTAATGGTAACTAGTAAATTGGCTGGAGGTGGGACAATCACATAGAATAAGTTAATATGTGCAAACCTAAACCTGTTACAAAGCAATATTTTATGTGTTTCCTTATGGTGGATGCCCTGTTTCAGGAGTCCTAGAACCACAATCTCTTATGACCTGATTTTTCATGGGTGACAGTTGTGAATCTCTATTAAATCTTTGACCCCCAAACATAAGTGGCTATTTTTTAAAATTTAAGTCACTTTAATAATGGTAGGATTCATGCTTATGAAAATTACATCAATAGCTGTAAATCATGACATTGCATTAAAGATTAATGAGGTGGGGCAAGTGAGATTCTGGTCTTGTATAAATGAAAAATAGTCTCAAAGTCAGATTTTAAGGATAGTCCAGGGGGCTTAAGCAAACTCCTTATATCTTGTGGATCTTACTAATGTTCCCTCTGGATAATTGCTGCTACATAAGCTGAATTTATCTGCCAATGAGAAAGAACTAAATCAATACAATTGGCTAAAAGAAAGAAAGCATATGATGCTCTTGACTGTAGAATTCATTGCCTAAGTTGATAGCAAGAAAGTAAATAACTTTGGAATACAGCCAACCTCACACTAGGAAGCAGGGAGAAATTGAGAAAGCCGAATGATGTGAGCAAACTTTGATGCTATGTTACTTTTTGCTTTGATTTGCACTAAGCTTATATCGCCAGTCAAAGGACTTAGAAGCTTAAATGAACAACACAGTAACATTTCCAATAGTGTTAGCTTTGGTTTCAATTTGGCATTTTCAGATCTCTTATTTTTCTTTGTGTTATATGTTTGTAACCTTTCTCTAATCATTATAAAATTAGACTGGTTCTGAATGTTGTTAAATAATGTTAATTTGTGGCTGTCTTTTACACTTTTGCTTGTCGACATTTTACTATTTGTAAAGTAAATATAGAATTTATAAAAGTGCCAGTGGAGCAGCACGAATTTTTGTTTTTTTTGTGTAAGAAAGCCCTTATGATCTGAGATTGCCTCAAGCAGTGTTTATGATAAACTCTTGATGTAAAGAATATAACAACCACTTCAACAAAAGTCTTTCTTAAGGCGCTATGAATATGCAGGGTCAAAAAATTTCTATTCTCTCCTTGTTTAGAAATTTTAAGTAGATCTTCATCTCTGAACACTTTTCCATTGTGTGAGGGAGTATATAGGAGTATTTTAGTATTTTTGGCTTTCAGAGAGTTCCCTTCTTAAAAAGCATCTTGTCCTGAGGGAATGTTTGGAGATCCATGACTGTGTTATAAAAAGAAGTGCTGTGCAGTGAAAACATACTTCATAATAGCTCATCAGCTAGCAGTGCCAGAAACAATTTTAAAATATGAACATTCCTGGTCTGTTTTTGTTTGTTTGTTTTTTTACTTAATTGTTCTTTGCTAGAGGACTAGTGACCAGACACACACACTCAAACTTCATCGCTGGGATGCTTATACACACACACAGATACACACACGGACTCAACATTCACACACAATGCTAATTGAAGATATAATCATGGTACTTAGTGTAATTTGCTGTCCCCTTGCTAGTGTCTGTTACTGGCCACTTTGCTACAGACTATCATTTTTATTGCCAGTGGGAGTCAGTGATAGGCATAGAATTATTGCCTGATAATGACACCATTACTGCATGTCACTACTGTATTTGGACTCAGGGCTATTTGTAACTTGTTTGATCCCCAGCTCAGAGCAGTAACTAAACAGGCTATTCTAAATGTGCACATTTGTTATCCAGATGCCATAGATCAGGGTCAGCTGGGAAGCACCCAGCAGTCCGTTCAGGGCTGTGGTAAGCTCATGTTGAGTTATGTCTGTGCACCCAACCCAACACCATTCCCTCTTAGCATTTTCAGATGGCACCAGCCTCTGTACCGGCAATTTATGCATATTTGTGATTGAAAGTAGGTCCAGTAAAGGAAGCCATATGGTTTGCCGTTCAAGTCTGATGCATTTGTGAAGTAACAGATGCAAAATTGAGCACACCTGGAATTCAGAGGCAGAAGCCCTGACAGAGCAATCTGTTGTGTAACACCATAGATGCTTGAGAATTTGTGGGGATGAAGTCCCTACAGAAATAACCTGCCTTGAGAGAACCCACATCTTAATACATAACCTACATTGGCTGTTGGGCATTTCTTTTTTATGGCTGGCTACATTTATACTCTCATTAGTTTTCTGATGATTGAATAAATATGGTCACATAGAGTTTATTTGAGTGAATAAAAAGAATAAGAGGTATAATACGAAAATGCAGGCACTGTCTTAGCTGTATTGTTCTGTAATATTATAGTAGGGTTTTTACATATGGTGGGTGTTGTGTGTGGTCATTGCTGAGTTTTGCATAACTCTTTTACACAAAAGGGGCTTCTTTTGCATTATTTTTTTGCTCTACTAACAGTGGTAACTCCTTCAGGATAGAGGTTGGCAGTGTTGCAGAATGTCACATGGATTATATGTCTGGATTGTTTAGACCAAATATTACTGTATAAATCTGGGCTCAAGGAAGAGTTGGGCTGAGGCACAATCTAGTTCTAATGCATCTGTCAGTTACAAATCCCTCTCATATCTCTATTGCATATTAGTGCAATAACCTGAAATGACTGATAGCCAGAGAGGTAGTGTAGGCACATAGAAACAAAGATTTTTTATGATCTAGGGATATACAGAAAGGGCTCCTTTCGTTTGGGTGGTATGGTCAACATCTAATCTGCCATATGAGGGTATATTAGACCATCTTAGAAGAAACTTTAGGATGTTTTGTATGTAAGAAACAATAGAACAAAGAAAAAGAGAAAATTTGTCTACAGTGGTCAAAAGATATGCTTGAGCAACATGGATGGAACTGGAAGCCATTATGTTAAATGAAATAAGACAGACACAGAAAGGCAAATTTCACACGTTCTCATTTACATGTGGGAGCTAAAAAATTGATCTTACCAAGATAGAAAGTGGAATGATAGATACTAGAGGCTAGAAACAGTATGTAGGTAGGAGCAAGGGATGAAGAGGGGTTGGTTAATGGGAACAAACATACAGTTGGATAGAAAGTATAAGTTCTAATGTTTGCTAGCAGAGTAAAATGACTATAGTAAGCAACAGTGTATTGTATCTTTTAAAGTAGCTACAAGAGATAACTTGAAATATTTCCAATACGTAGAAATGATAAATGGACAAAATCCTCCCAGATTACCCGCAGACTTCCTCCAAAACGGGAAGAATTAGGTGCCCACCCTCCCCTAAGAAATTTGCATGTTTTGATTTTAATTATAATGCCATTATCATAAAGTCCTACTGACAAGGCAAAATTCAGTGCAACTTTGATCGATAACTTGAACTTCTTTGGTGAGAGTATTTCTTGTTATTGGCTGCCCTTACACTTAGGTTAAAGTAATGCAAATCCTTCCTCAATTCAGCCACATCTCTCCTAGTCCGGTCTCTCACTCTTCAATATCTGGATGACCTAAAGATTTGCCTCTCTGACCCACACTTCTTTCTCAACATCTCTCTACTTAGAAGTTTCTAACATGTTATCTCCTCATTAAAAAAATAAAATAAAAAGCCCATTGTTGAGTTTACCTTTAAAAAATCGATTAGCTGGCCGGGCGCCGTGGCTCACGCCCGTAATCCCAACACTTTGGGAGGCTGAGGCGGGCGGATCACGAGGTCAGGAGACCATCCTGGCTAACACGGTGAAACCCCGTCTCTACTAAAAATACAAAAAATTAGCCGGGTGTGGTGGTGGGCGCCTGTAGTCCCAGCTACTTGGGAGACTGAGGCAGGAGAATGGCGTGAACCCGGGAGGCGGAGTTTGCAGTGAGCCGAGCAGAGATCGCGCCACTGCACTCCAGCCTTGGTGACAGAGTGAGACTCCGTCTCAAAAAAAAAAAAAAAAAAAAAAAGTTGATTAGCTTACTTTTTCCACCTTTTATAATTGCTATTAGAATATACTATTAGTTGAAGAATAATGATATCTTCACTATTATAAGTCTCGTATAAAAACTATATAAAATGTCGACACTTGCGACTTCTTAATCTACATAGTGACATTCTCTTAACCTAACAAAGTTGCTGGATACTGAAGCAGGTTTTTTAAAATTGATAAATAATCTTTTGCTTATTTATGGGGTACTAGTGATATTTTGTTACAAGCATAGAATACACATCAAGTCGGGGTATTTGGCATATTATCATTTGTGATAATCATATTATCAACTTATGTAATTAATGGAAACAATATTACTTTCATATAAATAGATTAATGAGATAGTGTGCACAAGAGAATTTCCAGGTACTGCTGGTCCATTGCTACTCCTACCCACTCTTACCATATCAATCATGTGCACTATAACAACATTTTGGTCAATGCCAAACTGCATTGGAATACAAATTGATAATGTTGACGTAGAAGGATTTTAGTTAAATTTCCTCTATCAAAATACTTCAAAAAAAGCAATAATAACAAAAAGAAGAATAGAGGTAAACTTTTAAAAAACGATTTGCAGTGCAATGAAAATAGTGAAACAACCCTAAGCTGCAAAATAGTAAGCACACCTCCCAAATCTTTGATGCCTAGCTTGAGAGAAGAGAGTTTCTGGGTCCTGACACAAGCCTTTAATCTAGAGCAAAATACAGATCTCCTCTATAGTGTTGCAGTTCTGAATAGAAGTAGTGAACAAAATATTCTTTTTGTTATGAAATGTACACGATAGTGTGGGAAGACAGAAATTAAAGTGCTGGGGAAGGGGATTTCTAATGGTGATAAATTATCTTGAGAAATTAGAACAAAGTAATATGTTGAGTTTATTTTGAGGCTCCGTTGGTGAGGGAGGCCTCTCTGAGAGGATGACATTTGAGCTGAGACCTGGAAGACGAGAAGATGCCAGCCTGGAAAATATCTGGGGGGCAGAATGTGCTAGGAAGAAGCAGAAGCAAGTAAAAGGAATCTAAGGCATAAATGATATTGGCAGGGTTAGGGAATAACAAAAGGGTGATTATGGCTGGCCTGAGCCAGTGGGAAATGCGGTAGGGAAATGTTATAAATCTTGGCAAAGTAATCACATACAATTAAAAAAATTAGAAGGTGAGAAGAATTGGAAGTGGACTAATTTCTTCATCTTTTATAGCGGGGCATGTGTTAACACAGGTTAAGGGCCTAAGTTAACACGTTAAATAGTACAATCATTCCAACCTTTTCAAAATTTTGAACTAATTTCTTAAAATTTAAAATATGAATATCTATTGTGATAAGAAAAATTTTAGGCTTCTGCTAAGTTCAAAGGAACTTTAATATTTGTTTGCTAAACTTAACATTGGTATGATTCCAGTTTCATAGAGTTATTCTCCCTTCCTTCCTTTCTTCCCTCTCTCCCTCCCTCCCTCTCTCCCTCCCTTCTTTCCCCTTCTCCTTTCCCTCCTTCTCTTCTCCTTTTCTTCTTCGTTTTTCTTTCTTTTGTTGTCCTCCCTCCCTGTCTTCCTTATTTCCTCTTATGTAGATAGCCTATAAATAAGCTGTTTGGAATGATGTTCAATAAATGGCAATGATGGTTGTTTTTATTCATTATCTACTTAGTTGTTATTCATAGTGGTATTTTGTGGGTTGTTTGCTGTTGGTATAATTTTTTGTTCTTACCATCTTTGACCTGAGAAATTAATTGAATGATTTTGTGTATGTGTTTCTCTCTTTCCCACTTCATTTCTAGCATTTTAATTTTACCCAAGATCTTTAATCAGTCTTTTATAAATTGTAGCTCTCTCATTTTTTTCAAAGATACTACAACTTAAACAACTTTATCAAAATATTTTCTAGCCTTTTCTACACTCTTGAATTTGAATGCTTTCTTCCAGCCCATATTAAATGGAATCTTTACTTTTTAATTATTTTTACTTTTACATTGATCTTTAATATCTTTCTACAGGTAAGATCTAAAAACTAACACCTTGTGATAAGTTTTAGTAGCTAATGGCTGTTGATATGACAAGTTTAAAAATTACTCTTGCTGCTAATCAATATTTCTTTGTATATGGGAGTTTTGAAACCACCAGCTTCTATTTTTGATACATTCTGTTCAATACTGTTCTCAAAACAGTTGTAAATGCTTGCCTTTCACTTTGTAAATAAATACATATCGCAGAATAAGCATTTTGTCAATAAATTAGTTGTGAAAGGGTTGATCTAATTTATTCACTGTTATCTTGTCTTTAAGTATAATAACTGGATCCCAGATTGCTCCTTGAATGCAAAGACTAGAAGTGTGAATGCTGTAGTAGATCACATTATTGTTCCTGATTCTTCACTCTCTTCATTTGATAGGTTTATACCTTCATACCTCTTACTATGGAAATTTGCAGTACCTCAGATAGCGACTTAAGTCAGGGATCCCCAACCCCCGGACAATGGACTGGTAGTGGTCTGTGGCCTCTTAGGAAGCAGGCTGCAAGGCAGGAGGTGAGCGGCAGGCTAGCCAGCATTACCACCTGATCTCCACCTCTGTCAGATCAGGGCATGAACCCCATTGTGAACTCTGCATGAGGGGGAATCTAGATTGTGCACTCCTATGAGAATCTAACTAATGCCTGAAGATCTGAGGTGGAACAGTTTCATCCCGAAACCACGCCCCCCCCCCCCACCCCTCGTGGATTATCTTCCAGGAAACCAGTCCCTGGTGACAAAAAGGGTAAGGACTGCTGACCTACGTGAAGTGTATTTCTTTGCCTCTTTGAAATTGGACCTGGCTATGTGACTTGCCTTGGTCAACACAACATGAAAGGGAGCAGAATCTGTAAATGTGTTGCCACTTGTTGCCGTTTGTCTCAGCCAATTGTGCTTCTGCCATCTGCCCCAAGTACTTTCTGCCTCAGAACGATGAGGGAATGAACAGACCTGAATTTGACATGCACCCTGGAGGTCAGACAGAGAAGTGCCAAGATACTTATTTTTGTGAGTTACCTGTCAGTCAAGGTAAGGCCACATATTATTTCAGAACACCCAACACCTATGGAAAACAAAGCTGGGAGGGAAGGACAGTACAGAGAAGAAATGGGTCATGGATTCATTAAATGAAAGTTAAATCTGAACCAAGACAACAAAATTATGCATAGATAAGCATCAATGACTACAAATAAACTATGTGTATATGAGGTGGTTAGACACAAGTTTCTGTAAAAACTATCAGCTATATTCTATTCTATTGAGAAAGCATGAGTAAACTAAGTACTAATGTGTAATATTCAAAGTGGCTGTCACACCTCATTTCACAGGAATTAAGGCATGATTTACATATGTACTTCGTGACTCTTACATATCAGGCTTTGTATGTATTAGGCTAAGTGAATTGGTGAATGAGACAGATATGGCCCTGCCTTCAAGAAGTTTACAATCTTGCAGGGAGACACAAAGGCTATCTTTTAGAATGTTTTTCTTTCAGTTTCTCAAACACACATAGTTCTTTCAACCTCCAGTCAGGACCTTTCTACATGCTTGCAGGGGCTCTTCTTATCTCTGCCTGGATCCTCTTCCCCTTTCTCTTGGCAGCCACTCTATGTAATTATAGACTGTGAATTGCTAAAAGGCAATTGAAATGAGCGTAGAGATAGAGAGCTAACAATTCTGCAGGAAACTGAAGGATGACAAGGAGCTGGGCATGTGATATCTCAGAGACAGGAAGGAGCTGTGCCTTTCCCAGAAGTGAGAGGAGGTGGCTGTGGCTGGTACACAGAGAACCAAAGTGAGAGGAAGAGCCAGACCATGCAAGACTGTGGGTAGTATATGATACCAAAAAGGGTAAGGACCTTGTTTGAAGTGCAGTAGGAAGCAAAGGAAGTATTTCAAGGGGTACATAATTAGGCTTTGCTTTAAAATCTTACTTTGCATAGATAATGGATTGGGGATGTGGAAGAGATAAAATGGGGAGAATGATAACGGGGCTATTGTAGAAATCCAGAGAGGCAGTTAGAGATCTGGAGTAGAAGGACAGTTAAGGAAATAGAAGTGGAAAGATTAAAGGGATACTTTGAATGTAGAAACAACAGAACTTGGTGATGGATTGTAAGGAGTGACTTAGAGGGAACACTTAAAGACAACATCCAGGTTTCTACAGAGCTGAATAACAATGATCAAAGGAGATTGCTAGCTAGATTTGTAGACCAGGCTGCTGGCTGGAGACATGCCAAGATGACTGATCAGGAATAGCATTGATTTAAAGAGAGCCTTTGATCATAAAAACTAAAGTACAGACAGAACACGGTGGCAGGTGGGACTCAGAGAAGAGAGGCACAGACAAGCAAAAGTCTAGACAGGTCATGTCCGCAGGCTATTCTCAGACTGGAGACCTGGTCCTACCATCATGTTTTAAAACCACCAGGTCACCAACGCAGGGTGGGAAGCAGCATCAAGGAAGACAAAGTGATAGAGTGCAAAGAGATTCCAGAATCAAGCACGTCTGAGAAACAATTACTGATTATGAAACAATTAATGATCTTATGTGAGTTCCTTGAATTACTTAACCTTTCAGAGCCTCAGATTCTTTATTTATAAAATAAGATGAAAATGTTTACCTTGTATGTTTGTTATGAAGATTAATTCCACTAATGTTTACAAAATACCTTGCACAGAGTAGATGCTAAGAATGTAGTTCTCCTGGCCTCCCCACTGTGTAAATTAATTCATATCGTTGAGAGCTCTCACTCATTCAGCTCCATGACTAATCAAATCCTAACACTAAAGGGCTTGGTTCTTGCCCAGCTCGCCTCCAGGCTGGGAGTGGGAAGTGAGGAGATAGGAATGGGAAAGGATGGAACTAATAATTATGGGGTGTTCTAAATATACAGTGTATCCTAAACCATATGACATTATATACCATGCTGCGTGGTGTTAAATGCTTTAATTCTTATATCTTCAGAATAACTCTGTGAGAACAGTGTGTTTCTTGCTTTCTTTTATAAATGAGTACATTTAAGCAGAATTTTGGAGATCTGAGCAAGGTTTCCTAGCTCCTGCCAGAAGAACCAGGATTGAAATATGCTGGGTCTGATGCTCATACATTTCTTTCTCGACACTCTGTAGGGTCTGCAAAAGACAGGACTTTCTGAACGTTAGTTCTAAAACCTTAAAACAAGTCCTGATTTCCAAAGTGAGAAGTTGTCATTGTCTACAAGATAACAATTTTCCCCCCTTGGGAGGGACATGAGAGGTTTATTTGCAGGAAATGGTTTTGAAGGATTTATGTCCTCTTTGAATTTGGTAGAGCTGAGTCATTTTATTAACGAAATTTAGTCATACTTCTTTATTTTACAGAAGGGAGACTACCGAGTCTCCAAAAGGTTGTTCGACACTTTGAGACAATTCAGCTAGTGGCATTTTGACTATTTTAGTTCAATAGTCTTTCAGTATTTTCATGCTGCCTCAGGCATCTTGTCCAAAGATTTTTTTCTCTTATACCGTGATTCAATCTTTTCCAGAAGCAACAATAATTTTTCTTAGTAACGTGACCAGTGGAAAACACACACACACGCACACCTCCCCTTGGATAACTGTCATCTCAATTTTGATATAATCAAAACAGAACTCTTAATTTCCCTGCCTTAAACCTGCCCCATCTGCTCCTAGCATCTTTCTCTCTTAGTAAATGGCGACTCCAGAACATAAACCTCCATCATCCTTGACTCCTCTTTCTCCGTGGACATAGACCTCCCATCTGTACCATCTTTAAATTGTCACACCCTTCACTGCCACAACCCAACACTATTTTTCGTCAGGACGACTTCAATAACCTCCTAAGTAGTCCTCTACCCTTGCCCTGCTCCCCACCCGTTCGCTTCCATTCTTGCCAGAGGAGCCAACTGATCCCTTGTAATCAGGATCACTTGTAATCCCTGTTGGATCTTTGTAAGATCCAATATCTGCACAAGGACTTTCTGCTCTGGTTGATCTGAACTTTCTGACCTCATGGTCTACTTTTCTCTCTCACTCCCTTTGCTCCAGCCACACTGGCATGTAGCTCCTCCAATGTGCCCACTAACTGTCATCTCAGGACTTTTGCACTTTCTATTCTTTCTGCATGGAACACTCCTCTCAAATGGGCAAATTGCCGATTTTCACAAGTGCTTGACGGCTCTGCTAAAAGATCACCTTGTCAGAAAGGCCTTTCGTGACCACTCATTATTAAATAGCAACAGCCTCCCCAAATATCAGCTCTCTTTCCCTCTTCTGCTTTAGTTTCCTCTGTAGCATTCATCACTGCATCACTGTGTATATTTGTTTCTTGTCTCTCTCACTAGACCCTCCATCCTGCCTTGCCTGCACGTTTAATGAGGACAGGGTTTTTTTTTTTTTTTTTTTTTTTTTTTGGTAAGTTTTGCTCATAGAGTAATTCTTGGCTTGAACTAAGAACTGAATTTATATTTGTTGAATGAATAAATTGATATTAATATTTGCAATATAAATTGTCATTCTTGTAGGCTGTGTCAAAGTTTTAAAGTGTTTTAATTTTAATTATTTTTTTATTGCTCTTAGACTGCTGACCTCTAGATTTATTATAACTAACTATGGCTTTGATAAGAAATAGTCCCAATTTGGGGAAATAACAATCTTTACAGTATATCCTTACCACTGAATGGATAATATTATAGATAAGTCACTTTTTTTTTGCAAAAAATACTGTGAAACAACATATATCTTTATAGAGCTCATTTTGGTGTAGAAATTTTCCATATTCCCATATAACACTAGATTCTGGTGCATTTATTTTGTTTGCTTTAAAATTTAATGCTTATTGTATTTGCAGAGCTAGAACTGAATAAAAGTGAAAACCTTTTCTAATGCTATTATCAGATATGCTATCAAGAGTTTTTAATCTATTTCTTGTAAGTTTTAACATGTAGGACGAATAAGCATTCTTTTTTCCTGACTTAATTCCTGTTGACCATCATTTGTGCTGCAAAAATGAAGGTCTGCATTTTAACTTGTCTTTCAGACAAACTAAGAGTGTCATATTGAATTTCAAAACATGTGCACTTGAAACTGGAAGTCCACTGTCAGTGAGGAGAACCTGCCTTATCCACATCTTGCCTTCTCTCCTGTGATGGGATACAGCTAATCTCAGCTGAACTACTTGAGATGCTTGTTACTGCTGCAATCTCAATGAATTTAGAGTGGTAATCAATTAACAGTAAATAGGTTTCTTTGTCAATTTGGAAGCATCCCAATGAAGGTAAAGAGAGTGGAATAAGGTGATAAATAATTTATAGCTAGAAAGAATCACTAATTCCTTCTGCCCACTACAGGTTCTAAGTTATTTTTTAGGAGAAACATGAGTCCAATAACCAGAAAGCTGGGAAATAAATTAACTCTGTTTAAGAAAGATATATTTAAATTTAAAAATGCACTAATTTTGCTGCTTACACCTGGATTTTATACAAACGCTGCAATTGCAAAAGGCCACCTGTCTCTGAGGAACTCTGCTATTTCCCTCTACGTATTTTGCTGTTTTCTCTTGCCCTCTCCTCCAGGATTATTTTCTGATTTATTTGCATCTCAGTTTGTACCAGTAAAATGCACATGACAATACACACACACACAACTGCTAAATCTCTCTATGCCTCTCAAGGTCTCACCTTGGCTAGGCTTTCCCTGTATTAGAACCTTACCAGCGTGGAGATGGTGATTAGGATATTTAGAGGTCTGAGGCTTCGACGCCCTATGGAGACTCTCGTCCAGTATGCATAACAGTGAGTCCTCATTAATGTCATCAATAGGTTCTTGGAAACTGCTACTTTAAGCAGAACAACTGTATAATGAAGCCAGTTTTTACCATAGGTTAATTGATATAAATGAGAGTTAAGTTTCTACTGCATATTTTTGGTCCCAAATAGATCACTAAACTTCTAAGTGAAGACTCAAAATGATCCTAATATTAAACATTAAAATAAATGTGAGCTATACATACATTTAAGAAGGATTAATAAAAACAAGTAAGATAATTACTTCCCCAATTTTTGGTGAATGAGGAGTGAGGGTGGTCATAGCGGTGGTGGGTTGAATCAAGGAATAAATGTTTGCCAAGTAAAAATTGGAAGGAGCCCCTTCCAATAGGTCTTCATTTGCAGGACCCCTTCCAATGTCCTGGCAGGGTCTCTAGCCCATGTCCACATAGAAGCCACATAGACAGGCTTCTGTAAATTTTCAAAAGGTACCTTATCCACAATCAGTTAAGACCACTGTGTCTTTTCACTGCAACTTCCCCTCTGTCATATTTCCACTCATGTCTGGTGGCACTGGAATAAGCTGGGACCTTTTTTTTTTTTGGCATATGGCTAAAAATAATGTCAATGAGATACATTCAGTTTCGGTTTATTGGAATGGATTTATATGCTTAGGAATGACTTCTATACATAAGCTATGGCCAGTGGTCAGGCCCTGGAGGTGCATGGCTCATACTTTCCTTTAAGAGAATATGTTGGCATGCTTCCTCCAGATGCCACACCTTTGGATCCATCTTAGCATCCCCACAAAATCACACTCTCCCCAAGGTGCTCTCAGCTAATGATGAAACATGGCCAGAGTTCTCGAGCTAGACAATTCCCGTTCAATTCAGAACTTCTCTGATGGGCAGTCTTTGCCTTCCAGCTGAGACTTTTTCAGAGCTGTACTGCAGTCTGAGGGTCTTCTGATTCAATCCTCCTTTCTTCTCTCTTTCCTTTTGTGGGTGTCAGATCTTCATCATGATTTGAAAGGCTCTCATTAGCTTCTGTTTCCTCTCTTTATTTTCCATGGCCATTTCCTTCAATAAATCTCTTGTACATCTAATTCTATCTTGGTATCTGCTTCTTAGAGGACATGAGCTGACACAGTTAAAGGTTTCACAGGCTACTTTGTGTCAGATCAGTATTTAAACTGAGGTTTGGCTGATTCTAATGCTAACGATTGTCACGCTACACTTTCATATGCCTACTGGCCCATCAACCAACCTTTGATTCCTTAACTCAGACTTTAAGTCATGGTCATCTATTCTCATGATCTATTCTCAGTCACTTGCCAGCATTTGATGATATTTCCCACTCCTTCCCTGACTCCAGAGCATTTTTCTAAATTTCTCATTCACTGCTGCCTTCCCTATGTACCACACTGTACCCAAACTGACTCTTTGTCATTATTGGGACAAAACTCTGCTATGCTCTTCCTGTGTCTGAAATGTCATTGCCCAACTAGATCTGTGTAGATTTCTTATTAGTTTTTTCCTGAGGGGACATGAAAATCTGACATTGATAATGGTAACATAAAATCATAATACACCACTACAATAATGACATTCATGAAAAACTGGTAAAAAAATGTCATTAATTCAAAGAGCTTTTAAGATTAATCATTATTTCAGAAAAGCTGAAATGTCCTAAAATCTTATAGGTCGTTTATGAAAGAAGCCTGATGTTTTCTGAAATTTGCCAACAACCCTAAACATTTATAAAATATTACCAATTAAGTGTTGCAAAACCGATAAAAACTTTTCCAAAAATATTAAAGAAATTTTTTTGAGCAAGCATACTAGAAAAAAGACTTAATTATCTATATGCTATGGACTGAATTGTGTTCCCCCAACATTCATATGTTGAAGCTCTAACCCCCAATATGACTATATTATTTGGAGATGAGGCCTACAGGAGGTAATTGAGGTTAAACAAGGTCAGAAGACTGAGGCCTATGTGATAGGCTCCTTATAAGAAAAGACACAAGAACCAGGCACAGTGGCTCACGCCTGTAATTCCAACACTTTGGGAGGCTGAGGCGGGCAGATCACTTGAGGTCAGGAGTTCGAGACCAGCCTGGCCAACATGGTGAAACCCCATCTTTACTAAAAATACAAAAATTGGCCGGGCGTGATGGTGCATGCCTGTAATACCAGCTATTGGGAGGCTGGGGCAGGAGAATCTCTTGAACCTGGGAGGTGGAAGCTGCAGTGAGTAGAGATTGCACCACTGCATTCCAGCCTGGGTGACAAAGCAACACTCTGCCTCAAAAAAAAAAACAAAAAGACAAGACACAAGAGAGCTCACACACTCTCTCCTCCATGTGGAAATACAGAGAGAAGGAAGTTGTCTGCAAGCCAGTAAGAGAGCCCTCATCAGAAACCAAATCCTGCTGGAACCTTGATCTTGGGCTTCCAGCCTCTAGAACTCTGAGAAGATAAAGTTCTGCTATTTGAGCCACCCAGTCTATGATATTCTGTTATGGCAGGCTGAGCAGACTAAAACACTGTCTCTCTATTCTTTCTACAAAATGGTGATTCTCATTTGAATGAGTCTCCCAGGGGACATTTGACAATGGCTGGAGACATTTTTGATGGTTACGACTGGTGGGGGATGCTATTAGCATGTAGTAGATATAGGCCAGAGATGCTGCAGCTCCTGTAATATGTGGAACATCTCCTTCCCTTCTCCCCTTCTCCTGCTCTCAACAATTACTTGTCTCAAAATGTCAATAGCGCCAAGGCTGCAAAAGCTGAGAAGATCCACTGTAGAAAATTTTATAAAATCTTATGAAGAGGCGATCAAAGAGTACCAATTTTATGGGAATAGCATCATTAAAGACATGTTAAAAAGCAAGTTATATATTATCTTAAACTTTCTGGGTGATATTTTCATCTTTTAAAAATCTGTGATTTGTCATTTTTTCCTATTCCTGAGTAGAAACTGATTTTATGTGCAATTTTGTATTATTTTTAAAAAGACATCCCTTAAAATGGTATAAGCTTCCGTTCCCTAAATCCTATATCCATATTGTTTGGAATTATGTTTAATAACTTACATACAACATGAGTAAATTTTGACTTCACTATGGTTTTGGATCTCAGCATTTTAGTTTTCTTTTTTTGGGGTATAGTCTGACAATCTAAAAATGTTTAGTAAAGTTTAATGAAACAGAACATTTTTATAAGTGGAATAAAATGGTATTATTATTGTATATGCAGGCAGGAGATTTGGCCTTTCTCACTAAATCCTCTCTGCCCTTTGCAGAAGATTTTCCTAAGCTGTTAAATAATAGAGCATTCACCTCATGTATCCTGGGGTTTCTCTTTAGTGGTATATGTTCAAATGAGTGTCATCCATAACTTACTGACATCTTTCACCCCATCCCCATAAAATTAATTATCAAGTCATGCCAATTTTACTGTAAAATTTCTCAGATGTTTCTAGTCCACTCATTATCTTACTTAGGGCCTTCATTTTTCCTCCTGTGGACACCTAAACAGCCTCCTATTTACACTGCCTGCTCCTACTTCACAGTCTACACAGCTACCAAGATAATCTATTTCAACTATCCATTTGACAATGTCAGTGCATGTTAAAACCATTCAATGATTTCTAGTTTCCAGTTTTGACTGCTAAGACTTGTTTTTTAGAAGAAAGCTATGAGGCCCTATGTATAGCGCTGATCCAACTGAATCAGAGGAAGAAACCAGAGTCTCTCCCCCTTGGACAATCCCTTACACTTTGCCCTTCTCTGTGACCCCAGGGCACCTTCCCTATACCCCTGCAGGATTAGAATGACCATAATAATTTATCCTACAAAGGAGGACACGTTTGCAAGTGAATGACAAATTTATTACTAATTATGCTGAAACAATAGGTGAAAAGTGAGGCTTTCCCAGGCATACCTTGATGTATGGGCACTCCTGATGTTTCCTGAAGTATAATTAGCAGAATCCATCTGCAAATCAACCCAATTAACTTGGCTTGAAGATTTCTTGGCCACACTCTGCAACAAGAGAATCATAATATTGGGCATGAGGAGGAGAGTGGGGTAGTTCTGGGAAGCACAGTTACCACCAGTTTACAGGATCCATGAACTGATTTGCTAACCCTTGCTGACTTTGCTCCTGACCATGCCTTGGGACACTTAGCTAAGTGCCTAAGAACTAGAGTGTTCTCTGAATACCATGTTAATTTTTGAGATTATATCTTCATGTAGACTGCCTCCTCTGTGAACAGCTTTCAGTTCCTACACCAGGGATTGTCAATCCCTTTGGGAAATGATTTCTGCAACCCTCAGGTGGAGCTGGGTGTGTTCTTCTATGGTCCAACAGAACTCATTGTATGTTATTGCTGCACTTATATTTGTGGGTTATTGCTGTTATTTTCAGTATTCATTTCATTTGCTAAATTGTGAGATTCTGGAGGATAAGGGCCATATCTTACTGATTTTGGATCAAAACACAGTGTTTGACACATAATAGTTGCTCAATAAGTAGTTGATGAATAAATGAGTTGGTAGATAAGTGAATGAAGATAATGTTCATTTTCTCTCCTAATCCTTTGACTACCTAGTAACATTCTAGTTCAACAGCAAACTATCTGACAATTTGTTTTTACTGAATGATTATATTAACATGCTGTTGAGAAAGTTCACTAAATCCTTGTATGGATATTAAAGCCCTAAATCTAATATATATGTTTGAAGATCTTATCATATGGCATTTTCGAACTGGGAAAGAGCTTAGAAATCCCTTAGATCAACTCCCTTGTTTAATGGATGAGAAACTAATGCTCGGAATAATCCATCAGAAATAGAACAATGCATCTAGTCCTAAACACAAACCACAGGTCTGTGTGGTCTCTGCCCCAAGAGGTAATGCCTGGCCTAAATGTTAGAGCCAGGCACTGAGTAAAATAACATCATTATATGTCTTAATGCTGTCAGTTGGTTTCCCTGGGAAGCTGACTCTGAGTGGAGTATAGCTTGCAGGATGTTTGTGAGCAGCACCTTTGAGATGGACACTTGTGAAACAGAAGGGGAGCAAGCCGGATTGGGCAGAAGGAGAGGTTGCAATGCAGTGCACTCCCAACGGTTGCCGCAGCTAATTGCAAAAGGAACTACAGGCCCTTCAGAATTGTCCTGAGTTGAATCAGGAAGGCTAGGACTTTATACTACAGTATGGAAGGTGGGCCATCTCAAGAAAAGGCTAACTCTGGGTGAAAGAGCTCTTTATATTTGAGATAATCCCTACAGGACTGAAAGCTGAAGGCTTTTTGCTGGTAGCACTCCATACATCTGGACCAACAACAATGTTACCAGAATATGCTCTCATAAATATCTATTTTCACATGGATATAAATGCGGATTCTGGTTTAAATCAAGTAACCTCAGCAGCGGGAGTGGTTTTGCAGTTGTCATCTGGGTCTCAGTTCACAGTGAAACCCTAGGCAGTGATATAGTAGATCAAATTTATATTACAGACTGCTGAAATTTTTGCTGTGATCTTTTGGAGAGTTCCTGGATCTGGAACTTTTCCTTATTTTTTTTTTTTTAGAGAGTCTTTGTTACTATGTCGGGATATGTGAAGAATTTTAGCAAATTTCTTTTTGGAATCTATTGAGGTAACTATTTTTGATAACCATTTTTAAAGTTATTATTTGATAACAGATTTCTTAATATAAAATAAGCTTTTGCTGTGTTACAAAAATAAATAGAGCAACCATGATGAATAATTTTTAAAATATAATGCTGTCATATATAAGATTTGACTTATAATTTTCAAATCTGTATGTATATATAAAATTGGCCTGAATTCCTATTTTCTCTATTTTTATGTTTTGGTATCAAGATTATGCAAAAGATTGCAAAATAAACTGGAAAGCTCATCATTTATTTTTATATTCCAGAGGGGTTTATATAGCACAATACCTTGTTGTTCTAATTTGGCACATTTTTGCTAAGTAATTCACTAATTAATGTTTAAATTCCTTCCATGGTTTCTACTTCTCCTAGGTCAATATTGTTAATTATATTTCCTAGGAAACATTTACATTACATTAATAGTTTGAAAGCTTTAGCATAGCTTAATATATGATATTATTTTTAATTACTTCTGTACTGTAATGTTCCCCTTCTAATTCTAAATTTGTGTATTAGGATTTTTATTTTAAGTGATGATTTTATGAAGAATTATTTTGATTGATTTCTTTCATTTTTCAAAGACCTGCTTCTTAGATTATTCTACTTTTTAAATTTTACCTTAAATTGTTTACTTATACATTTAAAAAATAAGTAGTTTCTTTCTTCTACTTTTCCTAAAATTGCCTTATTGTGCTTTCTTTCCTAATTTATGTTATTAACAAGTTAGTTAATATTTTTGCCCTTCTTCCTTGCTTCTCTCTGTCTCATTCCCCTCCCCTCCCTCTCCTCCTCGTCTGTCCTTCTTTTTTTCTCTCCTTCTATCCTTCCTTCCTTCCTTCCCCCTTCCCCCTTCCCCCTTTTCCTCCTCCCTCCCTTCCTCCCTTCCTTCCTTCCGTAGTTCCCTCATTCCCCCCTTTCCCCTTTCCCCCTTCACCCTTCCCCCTTCCCCCCTTCCTCCCCCTTCCTCCCTTCCTCCCCTCTGTTCCTCCCTCTCTCTCTCCATCCTTCTTAATCTAGAAGAATAGTCAGTCCACTGAGTAGTTCTGGCCATTTCCCAGATGTTTGGTATACAATTTTATCATTAGTGTTACTTTAACATTTTTCTAGAATTGTTATTTTTATTTTTTAACATAAGCTATTTATTAGATTAATAGTTTTTTTCAAACATTTAAAATTTTTATTTAGAATTTTAATATTAACATGTAGGTTTTTGAGGGTTTTTTGGTATTGGCTGTAAATAATATGAACCATTGAGTTTTTAAAAACTATTTTGCTTTTTTTGTGGCCTCATACAAGAACTATTCTTGCAAAAGTTCCATGAACATTTCTCTTTTCCTTATATAGTTCAATATAAATGTTAAGTAAATCTTAAGTATTTAGATTTTTTTATATCATTTTAAATCTTATTTACTTAACAAAGCCTATGCATTTTGTATTAAAATATCTCCCTACTTTGTGTTTCTATTTATTTCTCATTTTATTTTTGCCTAATGTATTTTATACTACATTATATAGTATAATTGCTTAGGACTCCAGAATCATAATTACAGATTGTATCTATCTATATATTTAGCATATAGAGAGAGATATATAAAAATTATGCACATTTTAATTTTTGTTACCTTTTACTTTTCTGTTAGTAATATGCTTTATCTGTCTCTTTCTCCTTGGGTTTAACTGAGGTATCTTTGCCCAAATATTTACTTTTAGTTTTGCTTTGTCCTTTTGTGTTAGGGAGGCCTATTATTGCTAGATTTTATTTTCTAGCCAAGTGTAAGAGTTATATTTTAGTGGGGGTGTTCATTATCATGACTGTGATTTTCAGTTTATTCTGTCATTTTGTTTGGAGATATCTGTCTTTTATTGTTGTATATTTTGCTTCTTTTTTATTTTCTTTGTTTTCTCCTGTTGTCATATGAAATGTTATTTTGATTTTTTTTGTCCCAATGATTTGGAAGAAAAAGTCCCTGAAAACAGTATTTTATGATATTTATTTGTTTATATTTATTTTTGAGACAGAGTCTCATTCTGTTGCCCAGGCTGGAGTACAGTGGAATAATCTCAGCATACCGCAGCCTTGACCTTCTGGGCTCAAGTGATCCTCTGTCCTCAGCCTCCTGAGTAACTGGGACTACAGGTGCACACCACCACATCTGGCTAATTTTTTGTTTTGTTTTGTGTTTTAGAGACAGGGTTTCACCATGTTGCCCAGGCTGGTCTCCAACTCCTGAGCTCAAATGACCCACCCACCTAAGCCTCCCAAAACACTAGGATTACAGGTGTGAGCCACCACGCCCAGACACTATTTATTGGTGGTATTTTTATTTTTCATAATTTCAACTTTTATTCTCGATTTGGGGGATACGTGCAGGTTTGTTACCTGGGTATATTGTGTGATGCTGAGGTTTGGCATATGAATTGTTCTGTCACCCAAGTAGTGAGGATAGTACCCAACAGGTAGTTTTTCAGTGCACTTCACCCCCGCCTTCCCCCATCTAGTAGTCCCCAGTGTCTATTGTTGCCATCTTTATGTCCATGAGGACCCAACCGTTAGCTCCCACTTATTGAAAATAGTAGAGTTTATCTTAAAATTAAAAAAAGACATATTTGAACATATATTTGGCTAATAATCAATGTCATGAATAAATCAGAAGCTGTTGCTACTCTCTTGATCTACTGAGTACCCTAATTTTATTCATCCCTTCTTTTGTTTCAGAGTTTTTTTCTTATGATATGGGATTTTTGAATAAATACATATTTTTAAGTTATTAATAACAATATTCTTTCAAAACCCTTTTGGCTTCAGTGCCTTCTGTGCATCTTTTTATACCACAGGTTAACCATTTCTGGGTTCTCTTTTTATTGATCTTTTGAACAGTTTCACATTTTCAGGAAGAACTCTGGGAGATATCCTTTCTGAGCCTTTGCATTACTAAGAATAATTTTTTCTCATTTTATTATTTGAATGAAAATTTGGCTGAGCATAGAGTTTAGTGGTAACCCTTTCCTTTTTAAAAATGTACTTAAGAATTCTTTAAAAAAAAAAAAACAAAAAAAAACCGTCTTACTTTAAACACTTTAAACTCTTTAGAGAAGTCCATGGCCTGCCTCAGAAGTTTTTTTCTGAGAGAGAGAACTCTGAGTGTCCTGGCCCAGCCTCAGGGATGCATGATTTGTCTCTCTTTTTTTTTTTTCTTTGAAAATCATAACTTCACCAGAATATGATGAAAAAAAGGTAAACTCTTTTCATCTAAGACCTCAGGACTTTCTTGAGAAGTTTCCTAGGCTTCTTTTTTATAGCTTCAGTCATGTCCTAATTAGTCATGTTCTAATCTATTATGAAATTAGTCATGTTCTAATCTATTATGAAAACATAATATTATTTTCCTCTATTAGGAAAGCCTTACTCATTTGTGTTGTTCTTTTATTTATTGTCTTATTTGTTCTTTTCTCCCTGCCCCGCCCCCACCAGGAAATCAATTACCCATTTCTTATATCTTTATTTTCTGTATCCCATTTTCATCCTCCCTAATCACATAATTTTTCTCTTCTTTTTTTCTGCATTCTTGAAGTGCTTCTTCAGTTTGTTGTCTTAGGGACAATTTTCTATAATATTGTCCCAGAGATCTTGCTGGTCTCCATATTGTGAGATTTCTTAGCCCTTCATGAAGATATATCAAATAAATAATTTGTTTGTAACTTGATATCATTACAATCTTTCCTTTTTAAAAATCTACCTTCTTTTTTATATTTGCCTGACCCAGTCTGTTCCCCTTCTATCTAAATGTTAACCTTATATTATTTTACAGAGTCGATGTTTTCTTGAATTTCATTCAAGTTCCTGTAAAAAAAAAGAATCTACTAGTTTACCATTTCCTATAGTAGATCTTTTTCAAAGGTTTGTTTTTCTTATGCATCTTTAGTACTTAGGTTCTCTCTCTTTTTGAAAGTGCAGACTATTTTCACAAATATCGTGCTTATTTTTGTTTGGTTTTCTTTTTCTTGTCCTTGGATGAACAGAGTATGTTCTTGCATGACATGCGCCTGCTAACAGGGTTGGTGAGTTCCCTTGGGTTCTCTTCATTGTCCATTTGACAGATTTTGGTAGATTCTCAGATTTTAAACTGGAGACAAGTGTTGCTGGTGTTCTGAGTCTCTGAAATTCCTGGTTTTTTATGTAGGGAGGTCTTTTATGTAGGAGTCCTTTATGTAGGGAAGTTCATCTGGCTTTGGAGAGCTCTGTTTCCTGGTCTAACTGCATTATATTGCTGAGAGTTGGGAAGTAAATGCCTGGGTAATTGAAGCAGTCTTTAGTTTTTCCTTTGCCCTAAACAGTGAATAAATGATCAATAACCTTCCCACTGCTCCCAGATCTCTCAGCCTTCGACCTTCTCTACAGTTTTATTAATGCCCCTGGAGATAAAGCATCACATTTTGATAAATTTCCCATCCTAGCCACAGTCTTTTTTACATTTCCTGCAATCACTATCTTGTGATGTGCTATAGTTTGGATGTCTGTTCCCCCAAACCTCATGTTGAAGTTTGATCCCCAGTGTTGAAGGTGGGGCTTAATGGGAGGTGTTTGGGTCATGGGGGTGGATTCTTCATGAAGGGCTTATTGCCACCTTTGCAGTAATGAGTGAGTTCCTGCTCTATTAGTTCCTGTGAGGGCTGGTTGTTAAAAAGAGTTGGCACTTATCCCTTCTCTCTCTCGCCTTCTCTCTCACCATGTAATCTCTGGACATACCACCTCCCCTTTGCCTTCAGCTATGAGTGGAAGAAGTCTGAGGGTCTCATCAGAAGCAGATGCTGATGTCATGCTTTTTGTACAGCCTGCAGAACTGTGAGCCAAATAAACTTATTTATTTCTTTTACAAATTACCCAGCCTCAAGTATCCCTTTATAGCAACACAAAAATGGACTAAGACCCAGTGGGTAAAAAGAGTGGTACTATATTCACATGGACATTGATCACAGGAATATAGGCAGATGTTGGCCACGTGACTCTGACTACATTAGAAAGCAAGCTGCAAACAGAAAAACGGAGTTTTTTCTTTATTGGTCAGGAATGTCTCCAATAAGGCAGAGACAGAGGTCAAGTACTAGTAAGGTTGGTACTGGCCTTAGCACCGAAGCAGGAACTTGCCAGCATTGTTCCTTTAGTTTCTGACTCCTGGGAAGATCTAGAAGATTTCAGAGAAAAGGCCAGGATTTTTAAGGGACTAGAGCCAGTGCCAGTTAATCAAGCCGCTCAGAAATACGTCAATATTTTACCAACCAGTATGGCCCTGCTGGTAGAGACTTCTCCTACATAGCCTCCACTCCCAACCTATTTTTCTGAGAAAATACACCTTGTTTAGATAGAAATACTCTTGGAGTCATTGATTATTTCCAGTGGGAATAAAACTTTGCATTTCTTTTTGAGTTTTCAAGAGTACTTGATTGTGAAATACTATGACAGAGATAAGTCACGGAGTATCATAAGCATTTAATCTATTTCACAGAGGAGGAAATAGAAACTCAAGAACTTTGTCTAAATTAACATGGCCTGTGACTAGAATACTTATTTATTCTTTTGCCTCCTGCCATATTGTAATTGTATAGCATATTCTTTCCCGTGTGCAGCCCATCCTATAAGAAATAAAATTACTGCCAAAGAAACTTTGCTTAGAACACAAAGGCACAGAATGATATAATGGACTTTGGCGATTTAGGGAGAACGGTAGGAGTGGGGTGAAGGATAAAAGACTACACATTTGATACACTGTTCACTGCCTGGGTGATGGGGGGCACCAAAATCTCAGAAACCACCACTGAAGAACTTTTCCAGCAACCAAACACCTGTTCCCCCAATACTATTGAAATAAAAATAAAGAAATAAAAAACCTTGCTTAGAAACTATAGATTGGAACTCCAACTCTGCTAATTTCTTAGCCGTCTCATCTTGAATGGCTCCCTTAACTTCTCTGAATTTTGTTTTATTAACCTGTAAAATATGCTGTCCATAGAATCAAATGAAATAAAGGCTGTAAGAAAGCTTTATACATCATAAAATTTTAATGTTACATGCTTTTGTATGTGTGTATGTTTTACATTTCCTCCAAGCTTTAAACATACCTGATGTTATGTGTTTGATCACTATTTAAAGAACAGTGCATTGTGCATGATAGATACTATAAATATTTGTTGATCAAGTGAGTATATTTAGGATTTGTCAGCCCACTTTTCAGATAAGTCCTATACAATTCAGAAGGACATATTTAAATTGAGGTTTAAAAAACTATATTTATTTTGAGCAGTGTAAATGCCCTAAAATTATTTTGAATTATTTCTTATTTATTATAACATTCATTATTTAAATGAATATATATGTATTTTATCTCATTAGTGTTAAATAGCAGTTTCTTTCATTGCAAAATTTCTACTCTTGTTTCTTCCATTTACTCCATTAAAAAAAATAGACATTTTGAATATAATGGGTAGGGAAGGACATATCTTTTATAGAATGCCCATTCTTTTTATCTTGAGCATGTAGATTCCTTTTGGTAGGGGTATGAGAAAATTTACCGATATAGTAAATTCAGTAAAAACAAGCTACTAATTTTTTTGGTTTACTCTTTAATAAAATACATTCCAGAGGTTCTCAGGCCGGCAGCTAAGGGAGTGTGCTTACAGTGGAAAGGCTATAGGAATTCAGAGTCGACTCTTGTTCCCTTCTCTCGTACTGAGCTTTCACTGGTTATTGTTGTAGGCGCAGCCCTGACTTTTCGGTGTTTCTTCCCTCTTCACCCAGCAGGCCCCAAGGTGGGCACTGGTCATTTGTTCAATTCTGCATAATTTAGTCGAGGGGACTCTGAGCATTTCACTAGCCGTTATTAGGTAAAAAGTGTTGGCTGGACACGGTCGCTCCTGCCTGTAATCCCAGCACTTTGGGAGGCAGAAGTGGGAGGATCCTTTGAGCCCAGGAGTTTGTGCCCAGCCTGGGCAACATGTGAAACCCTATTTTTTCACAAAAAATACAAAAAAAAATTAGCCAGGAGTGGTGGTCCGTGCCTGTAGCCCCAACTGCTCAGGAGGCTGAGGTGAGAGGATCACCTGAGCTCAGGAAGTTGAGGCTTCAGTGAGCTGAGACCTGGCCACTTGCACTCCAGCCTGGGCGACAGAGGGAAACCCTGTCTCGAAAACAAAAACAAAAGAAAACCCCACAAAGTGTTACACTAGGAGTGAAGGTACACTGCAGTACTCACTAGCTCTGGTGGAACTCAGCTGGGGCATTTCCTTCACTTCCTCGTGGGCCCTACCCAGGGGTACCTGCTTCATCGTAGGGCTGTGGTTTCCACAGCTCCTGGTCTCCTGACCCACTGGCCTTACGCTGTGTACATCAGAACTTTGCAGTCCTCTCTAGTAGGAAAGCAGCGTTATTTATCATCCAAACTAGGACACTTATGAGAATAAAAAAGGGTGAGTTAATAATTTCATCAGGATAACTAGAACCACCTGGGATTGTCCTAGGAAAACTGCGGTAAATTGTTGCCAAAATGATAAGAAATCACATACAGCAGTGAGCAGGGGGAAAGTTGAAGAGGGTATCATTTCCTTATAGAATAGGTGGATTTTAAAAAATAGTCATCTCCGTAAAAGAGTCAACTAACCATGCTTAGATTCACCCAGCTTAAGAAAAATTTTGAATTTCACATTTAGAAATAATTATTTTATTTTGCTATAAGGAGTGAATCTAAAACTTGAGATTTGGCTTGGCAGCTATTCTTTTCAGAGGACACACACACTCAGACAGATTAAAAAAATTTACATTAGCTTTTAGATATTCTATGTGCAAAATATTACTTCGTAGACTTAGAAAATGTAGCTTCATATTCAGAGATCAAATTTATAAAGTGCTACTTTGCAACCCCCTTTTTATCCCTGCTAACTGCCCTTGAAATGCATGCCTCTGTCCTGGTTTATTCTTTAATTCCCAGACACTTTTACTGTTTAAATTGCTCATAGTACTTTTCAAGGAAACCTTACCTGAAACCTAAGCAAAGCATTGCACCATTCCCCTCCATTTTTTATCGAATACTTCCACTCCCTTCCTTCTTTCTTCCCCTCTACCCCACACAGACCTTTATCTGGCAATAGAAAGAAAAACACACCTTATGAAAGCTTTGGAAAAGGATTCAATTCCCTACATCAGAGCTCCACCTCTCCTGGGACCTCATTATTTCTTTGAGGTTCTTGCCCAGCAAATCACGTCTGTACCTCTGGCTCTCTCTCCTGCTTTTCCAGCCCTTTGCTCCCCTATGGGATTCATCTAGATAGGTGGAATGCACTGTTTTCTAGCTCTGGGCAATACCCCAATAATGTAACTGTATTTCTAATTTTTAAAACAACATGTTAAAAATACCAGTTTTTTTCTTTTAAATAAAAAACTGAAGACCTGTGAAGATAAGGAAGCCTGGAGCTTAAAGAATTTCTTAAGACTAGAAGATCAAGGAAGGACATGGATTTGGGAAAGTTTGATTTTCTGTTAAGTTCAAAACAAACAAGGCAGGAAAAAAAAAAGTGTCCTGAGAAATGTTACCAGCAGCCTGAAACCAAAGAACACATTTGAAAATCCTGTCTGCTCAGGTGAAAACTTGACAGGTGGCACCCTGAAGGTAGCTTGGACTTGCTCAGTGTGCCCGACCCTGTGGCTTCGGATGTTCACCGAGTCTTTTTCCAGCAGGCAGACTGGTCAGGTGGTTGTCTGGACATAGCATGGGGTGCCCTGTCCACTGTTTTCAGGGCATTAATACCTGGAGGCAGTCGGGAGGTTCCTTCTCAGTGAATGATGTTTTTTGCTTTTTTCCTTCTTGTCACTGATGGGTGCGGAACCACTTCTGCTTATCATTCTCTTTTAATCTGGCCCAGCAATGAAAAAGACCTACTGGGGCCCACCTGGCAGGTGAAGCATCCAGAAGCTAAGCTCCAGGATTAATTTTACTGGCAGCGGCATCTGGGAGTCAGCTCCTTTTCTCCTGGCTTGGCTGGCAGACTGGGTTAACCCCTTGTAGTCCAAAAGGTGCATCTCTGCGTCAAATTAGCAGTCCAGCTCTCTGGCAGGAAGAGCAGCAGTGATGCTCTTTAAATGCAGGAATCCGTATTTCAACATCAGAGCCTTGAAGTTTTATCAGAGCCTTTGTCCCATAAGGGACAAAGAACAACAGTCCCTGGAGATGATAAGGAAACTGAGTGATGTGCAGCCCTTTCCAAGCAACACCTGCAGAGTGCATTTTGAACAGGAGAGGCCACTGTCAGTGTCCATCAAATGAAAGGAAAGGCAGAGCCTAGGAAGAATATCCTCACTAAGGGGAAATGATTCATAGATGGAAGTAACTCCTGCAGAATGCAATTAGATGCTCACCTACCCTCAGCCGCCACCATGCACATGTACACTCGACATTTGCATCTCACCCTCTTTTCGTTTGAATTTTGCTTTTGCTTGGTGAAACCGTCTTCCTTGTCTCCAAAAGTCAGGAAGAAAATTTACAGTCTGATTCTGCCTTCATGAAATCTTGCCTCTACTGTCGCGTTTTTTGTTGTTGTTGTTGGAAAGTTTACGACTGAGTGTCTGCAAGCAACAGTACTTTTGAAAGGGGCTCTAAATATTAAACTCATTTCAAGTGTGACTTGAGACTCAGGCAGACTGCAGGAGTGGTGACAATTTATTACTCTTCAGAAGCCCTAAAGCAGAGTAAATATAGATTTACCAGTGATAATATGAAAACAACAGATCAATTTGATTTTAAGTAACTCCTTCCCCCTAAAAGCCAGAATTTGATTAATCCATCAAACCTTGCTGGAATCACAGGGAACTAATTGAAACATAGATTAGTTCCTCTTCTCACACAGTTAAATGTACCCAACTGAAGAAAGAAATATTCTGAACTTTTTTCATTGGTGCAGATTGTCATTTTTTCAGTAATTGCTTACTCCCAAGTTTAAATGTTGGATGTCTAGTTTCAAAACAGTTGGAAAGCCTGAGATAATATATTCATTATGTATGCAGGAAAACCAGCCTCATCCAACAGTGTCATAATGGAATTCTGAGATTCTGTATCCAGCTTTGACCCCAGTCTGTGTGCATAGATGGCTGTTTGGAACTGCTCTCAAGGACCCAGTAACCCTCATTCAATTTATTCTGTTTGTGTCCTAAGGATAGAAAAGCCCTACAAATTCCAGAGAGATGTGGTAATACTTTAGTGTCATGAAAATCTAACTAGCACTTTGAATTTGCAGGCTGCTTTTTGCTCTGAGTCTCTCAGAGAACTTTTGAAACATTTATGTAGTTCACAGATATTTGTCACTAGCGGAGATCCACTCAAGAGAGAGTAGGGACATATCTAGCAGTACAAAGAAAGTCAATGCCAAGGTGGTCTAGAGGTAAAATATCTACGGGGTCAACTGAGAAGCTTTGTATACAGGAACTCAAGGTCGTAAAGACTTTATAAAAGTGTGGCAATCATGACCTCTTACATTTTACAGTTTACAGAGTGTGTCTATATATATATATTTTTTTTTCTTTCTTTCTTCTTTCTTTCTTTCCTTCTTTCTCTTTCTTTTCCTTCCTCCCTTCCTTCCTTTTTTTGAGACGGAGTCTTGCTTTGTTGCCCAGGCTGGAGTACAGTGGTGCAATCAGTCTCAGCTCACTGCAGTCTCTGCCCCCTGGATTCCAGCGATTCTCCTGCCTCAGCCTCCTGGGTAGCTGGGATTACAGGCACATGCCACCACGCGCGGCTAAGTTTTATATTTTTGGTGGAGACAGGTTTTTGCCACGTTGGCTAGGCTGGTTCTCGAACTCCTGACCTCAGGTGATCATCTGCCTCAGCCTCTCAAAGTGCTGGGATTACAGGTGTGAGCCACTGCGTCCGGCCTATATATTTTTAAATTCAATGCTTGAACAACTCCAGGATGACTATTTGAATGCCATTTTCAGGTGAGGAAAGTGAGAAACAGAAAGTGACCTTTTCATGTCAACTACTAAGCTGTTATATCTAATGTATTTGAGACTGAGGCCAAGGTCTTTTGAATCACTGCTAAGTCCTTTGTTTTTTTTTTGTTTTTTTTTGTTTGTTTGTTTTTTGTTTTTTTTTTTGTTTGTTTTTTTACCTAGTTTGGACCCCTAGTATGGTTGATGTAGAAAGTTGAGAGACTGCTTTTGTCTCTTTTTGGAAAGTAGCTGCTGATTACATTGAATTTTTAAGCCAGGGAATTAAAAAAATTTTTTTGAACATTGAGACTTTAGTTCCATTCACATTCATGGACTCTGACAGTTAATTACTATTTTTCCCCCCCGCCCAGTATATGCCCATTATTCCACTTACTTTAAGAATGGTGGCAATGATATTAACTTCACGGAGTCAAAGCGTTGAAGAGTGTTCATATAATGGCAAAGTCTTCATATTTAGGCCCAATTTTTATTCTGGAGAAGTTGATAAGCATTCTTTTACAGAGTTCTTCTTGAAAATTAAGTGGGTATTTTCTGCAAGTGCCATGAAGTTCTGATTCCATTCATCTAAAAAAAGAATGATTTATGCACAATCGCATATAAATGATATGTGCACTATGTTCCTGTATGTCCTGAAAGCTCTATTGCTTTTTAATATTGCTTAATAAAATTGAATATGAGTTTTTAAAAAAGCTTTTACTTTGCTTTGCAAAATAAATAGTAGATCCAGGCGGCTTTTGTTCTGCTATAAATTTCATCATGACTTCAGGAAATTTCCCCAAATCATGTTGCTGCCCACTTTTGTAGGTGAGATATGAAGTGAAGAATTTACATTTCTTTTAATCCCTTCATCCTGGAATTTCTCAAGTGAGAAAAGTAATGGTCGGAAAGGGCTGTAGAAATGTGCTTTGACTGTTACCAGGAAGGGAGTGCCGGTAAAAATGTTGACTAATGAATTTCTCCCAGTGAATTATGAGGCCTATAATCATGCCTTATCAGTTGGCTGCGCCATCAAGTCTAGTTAACTAACAATTTTCACCACTATTAATCCCTGGCTGGGGTTCAGTGCTTTGGATTAAAGCTCTGACCCATATAGACGAAATAAAATACAGAAAGTCCACTTTGAGAAAGATTCTGACTCAAGGTATTGACAAGGCTAGGCCTTCATAGGCCAACAATTCTAAGGAATGTATAGACCCTGAATTAATTTCTAATGACCTACCTGTATGCTATGAAATCTCTACTTCGCTAAAATTTGTTAGAAAGAGTAGCTGGGTTAAATTATGCTGCCTAAGTGAGTGGATAAACCTGGAGAGCGGATCTTAAAACATAACTCTCCCCTCACCTCCTGCCAAATCTCAGAGAGTATTAATGATACACATCAGGAAAATGGTGAATCATGTTACTGAGAGAACAGCTCTGCCTTGCTATAGGCTGGTGCAAAAGTAATTATGGTTTTTACCATTAAAAGTAATGTCTAGATCAGGGTCACACTGAAGAGATGGGTAGTCCTGCCTTGCTTATATGAAGACAGGCTCCTATGTGTATTTCCTACTGATCTTTCAAGGCCTGTTTAAAGGTACCTCCTCCATAAACTTTCTCTGATTTTCCTCAATTGTAATTTCTTATCCCTCAGTTCTCACATATCATTTTATGTACATCTTTCTGATGCCTTTGATTATGCTCTCATTTTATTAGGAGTATAAATTAAATTTCCTTTTTTAAACTTTTAGACTTTCTTACTTTTAGACTTTTTTCAATTTTAGAACTTGAAAGCAATTTCTGTGTCTTATTTATTTTAGAACGCTAACTGCATTGAATCCTGTAGTTTACATATAATATATTATCAATATATATTTGTTATATGAATTAATAGGTGTCCGTGATAACTGAATTGTTATGATTATCTGCCCTTCAAAATGAATTCCATGAGTTCTAACCACATAACAAAATTTGAAAATAATCATATATCAACTGAAACATAACTACAGGCATACTACTTCTCTTAGTAGTAGATACTTTCTAGTAAAATTTAACATGTTTTAAAGACAAATTTAACTTCCTTATTTGTTTTGATTTTAAAACTTTTTAAAAGTTTAAAAAGTTGTTTTGCAGAGGAGTAATCTTTGAAAATCATATAGTTTACAGGAAAAATAATTTTTAAATGAAATAATAAAATGAACCCTTTAAAATAAATGCTGTGTTGAAATTGTGAAAACCTAGTAATTATATTAAATGAAGAAGATAAGTCTGATCTCACAAGTGGAAAACTTAGCAGTGGGACATAAATTATAACTGCCTGTTTTCTTGTGTAATTTTATAACTTAGACTTACAGTCTTTATAATTCAGCATAGTGTACAGTATTCTGTGGTAACAAACTACGTGAAAATCTCAGTGGCTTGCACAAACAACAGTTATGTCTTACTGATGTTACTTGTTCACCAAGGGCCAGCCATGGCTCTGTGCCACATTCTCTTCAATGAGGACTCAGACAGGCAGAGTAGGCCCTATCTGGTCATTTTTTATTTCACGTGTCAAAAGATAAGACCACCACTCAGTATTTGAAATAAAAACCTTAAGGCTGAATTTATTGCTTATTTAAGTGAGGGAAAGCTATGTGAATCAAGAATACACTTAAGCAAAGCAGATAACTGATCCTTTATAGGGCTTTTGGAAAGACTGGAGTTTGGGGATTGGCAGATTTATAGTATGGGAGTGTGCTGACATCATCTGTAGAAGCATAGTTACTAGGGGGATACTGTTATTGATTAATTGACATTCAGGGAATCTTCCTTTTATAAATCCTTTCTTGAATCAATGACTTTTAGAAGTAAGAGGTTGTCACTGATTGGCTGATGTTCTTGAGCAGTTCTGATCATTACTATTACCACGGCTGTAGAACCATCATTGATTGCTTAGATAGGTTTAGAGAGTTCTGGTGTTTACTTGTTATTATGCTTTCCATAAAGTTTTTTTCTAAGAGCGTGGAAGCTTTTAATATTTCATTTTTCCATGGCAGTCAGAGATTGTGGAACCATGTGAAGGCTTTTATAGCTTCTATTTGGAAGTGGCATATGTCACTACTGTTCATATCTTATTGCTCAAGGAAACTTGCAGAGACAAGCTTAATAGCAATGGAGAGAGAAGGTACAATCAGCCCCCACAGGGAGGGGCAGCAAATATTTTGAACACTAATAGGATCTACTCTGTAGGTAGAAGTGAAATGTAGTGCACTTATATCAACAACACCAAAAAAAAGTCTCTCTAAAAATATAACCAAGCACTGTGACATTAAAAATACCCATTTCTTATTAGTTTTTAAGACCATCTTCTTGTAAGTATCTTCATTTATGGCACCAGAAGGCTGATTGATAGCCAGAAAACCCTGCTCGTAAGTGTCACAAGTAGTTTTTTAATCTGTATTTTCTATAGAAAATTCTAAGGAGCAAGGACATATTGTGTAGATTGTCTTTATTTGCTATCTTATCTGACTTGCAAGAAGAAAAACATGACCCAATCAAAAGAAGGCCATACGTGGCTGCAAGAACAACTCATTAAAACATCACTTTGGGCTGGGCGTGATGGCTCACTTCTGTAATCCCAACACTTTGGGAGGCTGAGGCAGGTGGATCACGAGGTCAGGAGATCGAGACCATCCTGACCAACATGGCAAAACCCCATCTCTACTAAAATACATAAAAATTAGCCGGGCGTGGTGGTGTGTGCCTGTAGTCCCAGCTACTTGGGAGGTTGAGGCAGGGGAATTGCTTGAACCTGGGAGGCGGAGATTGAAGTGAGCCGAGGTTGTGCCACTGCACTCCAGCCTGGCAATAGAGTTAGACTCTGTCTCAAAAACAACAATTGGCTTTTCCTAAGCTAGAGTGGAAAGTCTAACTTCTCCGGACTAGTATTTCTAGTTTTACTTTTTTAACCTCTTATTAAAAATATCTCTGATGAGTTTAATAATAAATTATATTATTTTTTTCCAGTTTTGAAAAATCTTAGAGTTTTCACATTAGTTCCTCATTTCATATCACACAAACCTTTGCTTTATAGCTGATATGAAAACCAATCAACCCAACATTTAGGCCCAAAGAAAAAGTTTGATGTTCCTATTGCATGCTGGGTAGTAGAAGCTGGAATTTTTCTGAGGTCCAGAGTGCTTTACGTTACAATCTGTTGAGCCAGACAAGTGGAACTACTTGTTACCTTCCCTCAATACCTTTTGCTTTAGTTGCTTCTTGCCTTTAATCATGTTAACTCATCCGTTACGGCATGATTCAACTGGTCTATAAATGAGTAGATAAGACAACGCTGTTTTATCTAGGTGGACTAGCTGACAAGATTGGTTAATATTGAACAGATTTTTCTCCATTAATTAGCTGACCATTTGACTAAGTTTAAACTTGCAGACATTTTCCCGAGTTTTATTTCACAATATTTTCTAAAGGAAAAATCAACACAATTTTCTGAAGTCCAATCCTTTGGTAAGCCTTAGACCCCTAAGTTCATGTACAAACCTATAGAGACTTCCAGTCATACAGATGTACATTGATAACCAATCCTGTGAGTGTGTATAATGATAGTGATGAAGACGATGATGATATCTGACATTTATTGACTATTTATTTGGTGTCTCGGGCTGCATTTTGCATGTATTATCCTTTATAACACTTGTCACAATAGTACATATGATATACGAACTATGTAATCTCTATTCCATAGATACAGTTTGCACAGCAGTAAATGGTAAACCTGGGATTCAAATCTAGGTAGTCTAACTCCAGATCAAATACTTTTAATCCCAATACATTCTGTCTTTCATAGCAATAAATATGCATGAGTGTGTGTGTGTGTGTGTGTGTGTGTGTGTGTGTGTGTGTCCCTTCAGATGTTGTTTGTTATGGAGAAGTTAGGGAAAAATAGGAAGAATGAATCCAATGGATTATCTGAGGCAGCATCAGTGCTGAGTATGTGGTAGATCAGTATTACCATGTCATTACCTGTAACTCTGCCATTTAAACTAGCATTTAGCAAACTGGGTGGCAAAATTTTTAGATTTACCTGATGCTAATGAATATCTTCCTAATGACAGCTATATTAGTCTGACATAAAGCAACTTCTCAAGACTTTTTGCCCTTGCCTCTCTCCTGAATTGTTTTGGACTGCTTCTCTCTGGTACACAAATTGCTGAACAATCTAGTCTTTGCATGGTATGCTGCTAATATACTTCAGACACCACTATGTGAGTTTAAATTACCCAATGCCAATAAAATACTCACTTTCCGTGTCAAACAATGTGTGGAAGAAACATGCTTCACTTCCACTTGTTGGTGGACATGATGTATTGGCTCTATAAACAGAGTGCTCAGCATAGAAAAACACAGTTTTCAGATAAACAGCTATTTTATTCTCTTCATTTTTCTTCCCTGCGTATTTTTTCTCAAAAATACGAAATATATGTTTTGTTATTGCCTCAATTGGCACTTTCAGGTTGGTTTCTTTTAGGATGAACAGGTTTTAGGTTTCCAAGCCGAACAATGAAAGGAACACTGTGAAATCTGACTTCTGCAACAGCCCAAGGGGATGTAGCAAAGTCAGTTGCCTGGTAGAGGTGGTCTTTAACTAAAGGTCAAATAAAATTGTACTGGAAGCTTTGAGATTAGCTTCAAGTGGCTGTTTTAGGTAGGGAGGCTGACCTTGTGAGAAGTGGAGAGAAAAAATAATATTTTAAAGTCACAGTTCTTCATTCCCTCGGACTCCTCTCTTCCTCAATTTAAGAAATAGGAAATGTTAACTTGTCTGCAGTCTTTTTTTCTCTTCATTAGATTATACAGTGGTGTGGACTAGGTCAACAAGTTTGTAATGAAACGTAGCCAAATATACGTCTCAAAATTTACCACTTCCGTATAAGGATTATTTTGAGTTAATGCACTTGAAAAACAGCAGATGCAAGAAGGACATTCTAATCTCTTTTTCTTCCTGAAAACAGGAGATTAAAATTCTTATGTCACAGATGCCCTTCCTGGACCAAGAGAAGAAAAATATTCTTCGACGGGGAGTCATAGCTGGGAGAATTCTGTACAAACAGATATTATTAACATAATTCTTTTCTTCCTCTAGCCTCACCACATTATTTAGTCACTTTACTACAATTACATCTCTTTGTAATTGTACCTAATATAAAAGCATTTTGGTTTTGACACTTCTTTGTGTTTTCATTTCCTTCTATCATGTAAAAGTTACATGCTTCTCTTCTGTTAATCTATCTTATGTCAATTTAATTCTCATGCCCAGCTGGGACTCTAAGAGGGTAGAGGGTAGAGGTAAAAAGTTCACCTCTCTTACAGTAACAATTTGGATGAAATTGAAAGGTATATAACACATTTCCAAAAATTTGGTGGCTTAAAACACACAGTTCTCTTGCAGTTCTGAAGGCTGGAAGACCAAAATCAATGTATCAGCAGGGCCATGTTTTCTCTGAAAGCTCTAGAGGATGATCCTTTCTGCTTCCTCATAACTTCTAGTAGTTGCTGGAAATCCTTGGCATTTCTGGCTAGGCTCGTAGACATTTTGCTCCAATCTCTGCCTCCATCGTCAGATGGTGTTATTTCCTATGTATCTATCTGAGTCCAAATTTCCTTCTTATAAAGACACTAGTCATTGGATTTAGTGCCCACCCTTATTCAGTATAATCTCATCTTAACTTGAATAGATCTAAAAGACCCTATTTCCAAATAAGGTCACATTCTCAGGTACAAAGGGCTAGGACATTTTTGGAGACACAAACAGTTTCTGGGAGACACAATACTACCCACTACAAGAGGCAAGGCAACATAGTGAAAAAAGCAGTAGCTTTGGAGCAAAAGTACCACCAAGTATTGGATTATATTGCACTGGGATGATGGTTAACTCTCATTATTTCCATCAACACCTCTGCCCCCCCTTTTTTTTTAGGAGAACAACTGAGTTTTTTTCAGTCTTATATTAAATGCTGTGCAAATGCAGCTTTCAGAAAAGTCTGCAAGTTCCTTCTCCTAACCTGCCTGCCAGTCACAAACCCTTTGAATGAAGAAATTATGGAGCTACTGACTTGCAATCAGAAGACTTGAGTTAGTTGCAAACTTCACCACTTCCCAATGGTGTGCTCTTGGGTTATAGTCCTTATTCCTTCCGAAGGTCTATCTGATAACTAACAGTAAATTACAGCTCTATCAACCCAGTTAGGTTAAATCATAGAATAACACCATAATAACAGGAATGGAAATATTCCTTTTGCCTCAGAATGCACAACTCTACCCCACAATTAGAGTCTAAGAAATGTCAATAAAATATATTGTTTAAAACAAAACACCAAAACTGGGGTTACTTTCTACAAGCTTTGAATCTGTATTGCCATTCTCTATCATTGCCAACATAGTGTCTCATAAACCCCCATGTCCTTCCTCCCACCTCTACCCCACATCTCCTTAAGCAGAGGGCTGGGGAAGGGAGTGAGAGTGGAGGGACTGTCTGAATGCTGTGTCTTTAGCCCAGTGGGGAATGCTGTGATTTCTCCATTCTTTCTGTCCTGGGGTGCTTCACATCTGCCATAAAGATTGCAAAATAACACTCCCTCCCTTGTATCCAAATGCTTTCTATTGTGACTTTTCAGGTTTTCCTAGCAACAGGTAGAATCTTCATATTTTTTATATGGACTGACTTTGCCTGTTGCTACCTGTTGCTTGACTTGCTTTGGGTAATAGAAAACAGCAGAAAGGAGTGCTGAGTCTAGTTCTCAAGAAGCCTTGCGTATTTCCACTCTCTCTATAATCCAGCCACCCCCATGAGAACAAGCCCATGCTAGCCTCTCAAAGGATGTGAAGGGCATGTGCAGTGGAGGGGACCTGAGATGTCCCAGCTGGAGCCATCACAGCCCATCCAGTTTCCAGCTGACTCACCAGCTGACTGCAGACACATGAATGATTCCAGATATGTTCAGTGGAGCCCTGACTGGATTGGCTGAAATGCCCAGCCACGCTTAGATTTTGGAAGTAATAATTTGTTGCTGCTTTAAGTCATGAAGTTATTGGGTGCTTGGTTATGCAGCATTATCCAAATGATACAGAAATTATTACCTATAAGTAGAATGTTGCCAAAACAAAATCCTAATATGTTGTTTTGATTTTGCAATAAGATGGTTGGTGGAGGCTGGAAACATGACCTTTGTTATACAGGAGCACAACAGGTGTTAAAATGTGGCCTTTGGTAATTTGGAAGATAAAGATTTTTCCTAATGCACTCCTGGAGTTGATCAAGATGATTTCCAGGCAAATGTTAGAACTGTCATGTGGTTGCTTGTAGCTGAACTGGTAAGGTAACCTAAAGAAAGAGATGAGCTAAGAAAAGAATTGGCCAGTTTACAAAAAGAATTTAGACGGAATAGAGAGAACTTTCTTCGTTGGAAATAAAAGCTATTTCTCATCTCTAATCTCTTTTGCCTTTAATGGATTCTCAAGGTAAAAATGAAGCCTGATAACAAAGATCAAATTAGAGTAAGGCTGAAAGATCTTTCGTTAAGACTTAGGAATTCAGTATTAAGTCTTAAAAATTAAGTGTTAACAAAAAAATGAGAATTCTTTTCTGCAAGAATTAAGGCCATGCTTAGTGGGGCTTCTCAGCTGGAGAAAAATGACTTTTTAGGAAACTTTATATAGGTGTGGTCTCACAGAAGTCTGATCCCAAAGTAACAGTGATTACATCTAGAAAGGGGCACTGAAAAACAATTTTGAGTGTAACTTTTGAAACAGGAAGTAGACAATAATCAGGTATGTATAAAGTCCACAAAGTTGTAATGACAAAAGAGCAGCTTAATCAAGCTAAAAGGAACTGACACTGTTCAACTTTTGAAAGTAAATTTATTCCCTCAATTTGACATGGGCAGGAATCAGGTTGAAAAAGGTACTCAGCAGCAAGCACAGGCTCTTTCTTCAGAAATAAGACGTGATGGAAAACAGGTGTTTCAGAATCAAGAGGCAAGAGGGTTGTGGCAAGATCTGAAGAGAACATTGGAAAAGAGGACCACCCCCAGAGAGTAGAACCAGGATCTCATAAAGGAACATTACCCAAACCCTGAATCGGGAGTTCTTGCAGCATTTCCCTGGCAGGGAAATGATTTAGAACGAATATTGAGACTATTCTGCTCCTCTCCTTCTCCACATTTTCGAATGAAGTGTCATTTCTGAATGGAGAGTATGGGTTTATTCTGTCCTAGCTTTATTTTGTATTTGGACTCTAGAAGGCTTGGCTTTTTAGGTAAAAATCTCTGGATAACAAGAAGCCACAACAAGACCTAATGTAGATCATGATCATCATGCCAGGGCTGCGTGGGTGGGACTTGTAAAGGTCTTGGGAGATGGTGAGTATATTTTACATGAGAAATGTATGTAAATAATTGAAGCTGGAGGTCCTCTCTAGTAATTTGATTGCAAAAATTACCCTAATTTTCTGTCTTTTCCTTTATCCTTGCTCTTTAAAATGTAACCTTTAAGCTTCTGCCATTAATAAGTGGAGTCTGTTTCCCTACTTCTTGAATCTGGGATGAAGTTTTGGCTTTTTTTTTTTTTTTTTTGGCTAAATAACGTAGCAGAAGTGATGATATTCCAGTTCTACACCTATGTCTTAAGATACTATGCATGATTCCTCTCTCCTTCTTGGAATTTTGCTATTGCCAAGAGAACAAATCCCAGTTAGCCTGCCAGATGAGAGACACATGGAGGAGAACTACGTCTTCCAGTTGAGACCATGGTAGAGTAGTTAGCTCCAGCTTACCTGCCTGCTGACTGCAGATGCATGAGTGGCTCCGCTGACATGAACCGAGCCTCACCCAGATCAGCAGAACTCTACAGTTGGATCTAGGGTTATGAGAAATAATATATGTTTGATGTTTAAGAGTATTATATGTCTGTGTAGTTTCTTATGCAGTAATAAGCTAACTAATATGCTGCCTGTGTTAGTCCATTTGTGCTACTATAATTAAGTACCTGAGACTGGGTAATGTATCAACAACAGAAACTTATTTCTCACAGTTCTAGAGGCTGGGAAGTCTAAAATAGAAGCAAGTTCTGTGTCTGGCAAGGGCTGTTCTCTGCTTCCCAGATGACACCTTATTGCTCCTCATTCTCCAGAGAGAACTAATGCTACTTCCTTATATGGCGGAAGGGACAGAAGGGAATGAACCCACTTCCTCAAGCCCTTTTATAAGGGTCCTAATCCCATCCATGATGGCTCTGCTTTTCTGATTTAATCACCCCCTAAAGATCCCACCTCTTAATACTATCACATTTGTAATTAAATTTCAAAACACATGAATTTGGGGGGGACATTCAGCTATATGATTGCCTAAGCCAAGCAAGGAGAACGATCCAACAGAACCATCCACAGAGTTTGGGATGCCCATAAGAATGGATGATTAGCTTGTATCCCACCATAGGGATTCCCTTATGCAGTGGACCTATGGAATCCCACCACAGGGATTCCCTCATGCAGAGGCTCTGTCTCTGTGCCTATCTGAGCTGTTATCCTAACCAAAGGGTTTACTAGCTACCAGGCTAGCTGCCCTCTCCCCCACCATCTCCAGCCCAGTGGATTGCCTATGATGTGAGCCACCAGTATAAGTTGAGGCATGTTAGAAAACTCCATGCTATAACTTCCTCATCTTCTTCAGGAAAGTACACAGGAAGTTCATTATGGGAGAGTTAGTAGTGGACACCTCCACAATGAAGGTATAGAGGCCAGTTAGTGTTAGCTGGAGAACAGTGACTACAGCCCAGTGAAGAGATCTTTTCTTCCATCCTTCTTCTACATCTCTGATATGGTTTGGCTGTGTCCCCACCCAAAATCTCATCTTGAATTATAATCCCCATAATCCCTATAATCCCAACATGTCAAGGGAGAGACCAGGTGGAGGTAATTGAATCATGGGGGCGGTTCCCCCATGCTGTTCTCGTGATAGTGAGTTCTCATGAGATCTGATGGTATTATAAGTATTTGGTAGTTCCTCCTGCATTTATTCTCCTTCCTGATGCCCCGTGAACAAGGTGCCTTGCTTCCCCTTCACCTTCCTCCATGATTGTAAATTTCCTGAGGCCTTCCTACCCATGCTGAACTGTGAGTCAATTAAAGCTCTTTCCTTTATAAATTATCCAGTCTTGAGCAATTCTTTATAGTAGTGTGAAATTGGACTAATACAGTCTCCAATCTGAGAGAAGCTAAAACCAGGAAGTATAGTTAGGGGCATAATAAGCAGATTATTCTCACTCCTAATGCAAAGCCCCATGATTGGTTTTGGGGAAGAAAAAAATATGATATTGTAGTTTTAAACTACACTGGATTGGATTTTTAAGGTCGAAACTGACCCCAAATCTATGGGATCTGCCGAAGATACCCTTAATGAATAGAAAATATTTGGTAGAGATTGGAGAAAAATAAAACTGTTTCAAGTACATAACTGAGCAAGTTAAAATTGTTCAATAAAATGCCTATAAATTGCTATCAATATTTTACATTTGCATCTGCTTTACAGTTTATGAAAAAGATTTACAAACATGTTAGTATGTATTCATCAATAAAAATACATAACATTTAGGCCCAGTGCAGTGGCTCATCCCTGTAATCCTAGCACTATGGGAGGCCAAGGCTGGCAGGTCACTTTGAGCTCAGGAGTTCAAGACCAATTTGGGCAACATGATGAAACCCTGTCTCTACAAAAAAATACAAAAATTTAGCCTGGCATTGGTGGATTGTGCCTGTAGTCCCAGCTACTTGGGAGGCTGAGGCTGGAGAATCACTTGAACCTGGGAAGCACAGGTTGCAGTGAGCTGAGGTTGTGTCACTACACTCCAGCTTGGGTGACAGAGTGAGACCTCATCTCAAAAAAGAAAAAAATTACATAACATTCATTTAAGTGTTTTGTAAACTGTAAAGTTCCATGAAAATGAAGCACTCTATCATGTATAATTCCAAATATTTGTTTCCAAATATTTTATTATTTTAAAAGTAGAGAGAGTTACTAAATATCTCAAACTACCTTCACTTGCTCCTAAATTGAATGATTTTTTTTTTTTTTACATTCTTCTGTGCTCTTCCATAACTGGTTGGTTACAGGCTATAAAAATAAGAATTTCTGACTTTTTTTTTTCAGATATATGCTATTCATACAAGACATTTCAAACCTTAGAGTTAATTTTAACCCAGGAATTTTCAATTTTGTTGACAGACAAAGTATTGCATATTTGCATACTATCTACTTTGCTGAATGTTCGTGTGTTTTGCCTACTGCATATTCAGTACTGATTCAAGATTGCTTTTATGCATGTTTTGCTCTCTGTGTTAGTTAGGGTTCTCCATAGAAACAGAGCCAATAGGAGATGACAGATAGGTAGATAGAGATTTATTATGAAAGACTGGCTCACACAATTATAAATGCTGAGATGGTTCCTCTTCTGTAATGCTATACTCACATTAACTTATCCAACAAAGGCTTAATATCATGGGCCTCCTCCTGGGAATTATTCATCCCTAAGACTCACAGAGTCATCACCATGCATCTGCCCATTTAAGCATGTCCTATCCCTGTGTCCCAGTGCCATACTCACACTATGTATCTGAACTGATTTTAACACCAAGCTCCTTATAATGTTGAATTCATTACTCCTTCTCCCAGCTCCCATTAGCACTTTGCTCCTTAAGCTTTTTTTTTTTTTCCCCCTCTGGTCTTCATTCCTGAATAGGCCACAATAGTTTTCTTCTTCCTTTTAACCAATCTCGGTGCTATAGTCTTCCATCTTTGATCTAATGAATGCAATTGGATTTATTTCCCTAAAATCTATTTGCCTCATAATAGACTATTGATTCCATAAAATATTTTTGCTACATGAAATATAGTATTATTGTATTATTAACATGAAAAAGTTGAAACTTACCTTGACATGCAAAGTCCCCCATACTCTGACCTCTTTAGTTCTCCAAGTTCATCTCAACACCAATGAGAGTTCATCTCAACCCCATTCTCAAACACCAATGCTCTATTACAGCAAGAATGATTTTTTACTCTCCCCTCAAATTACCTGCGTGGGCTACACTTTAAGTTTTCAAAATCTTCTTGTCTGCCACGTCCTTCTATTTGTTTCACATTCAAGTTCTAGCAGACTTCAAGGCTCAGATGCACTCTGACTTCTTACAGAAGCTCTAACAACCCCTACCATATCAATCCAAGTTACCAATTTTTCTGTACAAAAAAGGGCCTTGTAGTCATCACTTGTTTTATTGTTAAGTGAAGATGACACCTAACAACTAGTTATTTATAACATATCTTTTCTTTGAGAAGGATTTATAGGAACTTCCTACATCTACGTTTTTACAGTTCACAATGCATTTCAACGTACGTTCTCTCATTTAATCCTTACGAAAACCCTGCCAGAGAGGCAGGACAGATACTAATCTTGTTTGAAGATGAGAAGGCTGCAGCTCAGAGCAAACAGGACTCAAAGAGTTTAGAAAATAACCTCAGGTTAGGAAACTTGGAATGTCAGGGTTTTGAGCTCAGGGCTTTGGACTTCTTTTGCCATGTTCCAGCTGTATACCTCAAGATTGTTTTATACATTAAACAAATGAATTATGCACATGGAAGCCCTTTATCATCTGTACGGGGTTATGGCAATAAAAGTTTTTAAAATTATATTTTTATAATGTTCTCTATTTCAGAAGCAGGGATTAAATTTTATATTCCCAAAATTGATTCTTTCAAGAGGTAGCTAGTCTGAGTTTATTATGTGTGCTAAAGGTACTAGGATTTGAGGCTATAATGATGAAAATATGTGTTCCTGTCCTTACAGAGTTTATAGTCAAGTGGAAAGATAGATAAGTGAAAAACAAATTCAATACAAGATGATGATCCTCATAATAGACAAATGACTAAGGAAGGGCAGAAATAAGGAGTAGAGGATGAAGAGGGCAAAGAAGGAAAGAATGAAATGTTTATTCAAAGCAGAAAGAAAACTAACATAATGAGTATCTGCTTTATGAACTGTGCTAGGTTCTCTGACATATTTAATCATTGCAAAATATTATAAAATATTACTATTAGTGTCACCCAGACTGAAAGCCTGAGAAGATAAGAGGCTTTTAAAAGGTCATGCAAATAATGCTGAGTTCATAGTAACACTGATAAGCTGTATCATTGAGTCAAACACTAGCTACAAATGTATTATCTAAAACATTATTTCTATCGAAAGAAAAAAAAAACCCAGGTTCCTCAAAAACCCAGGTTCCACCTCTTTTTTATTTTAAACAGAATATCTTAGCATTCCTGAAATATCAATAGGCTGAAGTCCATTTTGGCACAATATGGTCTAAGTTATACTGATGAGCAAAGGGCCGGTATATCTTAACAAAAACAAAGGTTATCTAGGAAAGCTTCATTTTGTGGAATTACTATTTTAGAACACTTTGAGAACTTCTGCATACTTATCAAAGCCATACTTAGCCTACTTTGAGAGTTCAACCAGCCATTGATAATTGAATAATAAGCCAGATTTTTGCTAATAATACATTTTTGCTGGGCTTAAGTGTTCAGCTGCCACCATCAACAATCTGATGAGAGTCGAAAGAGTACTACAGATCTGAAATATAAGGATATCCACAGTAGGATTAGCTGGGTGATGATGTTCACCTACAAAATTACATATTAGATATCTGTACCCTGTCAAATATTTAAGTAACAGAACAAGCAAGAGAGCCTTTGTCAACCTCTTATTCGGAACCAGATGCACCCTAGACTTTGTCACCATCTGCATATTTAATCTTAGATATGAAAACATCATGTTAGTTCTAAATGCCCCAGTAATTACATCTGATTGTTTAGGACATGAGGTTTAGGACTTACTATATCTTTCAGTGCGGGTGGTATGATTTTTAGTAAAACTATAATATTCATGGCAAACTGGACAATTTATTTATAATTCAACCTGAGTGAAATTCATTTCATCAAGAAAGTAGATAGATACTTCAATCATTAGAAAAAATCACAGTCCCTTTTGTTGTAGTAATTTTTCTTTTTATAATAAAATTTTTTCTTGTGGAAGAAAAACGACTTTGCTGTAATTGGTTTCTACTATACTTTATTCTTTTATGCATACACCTGTCTTCTTATCTGCATGTCTCTCAGATTTAAGGCTGCAGCATTGGCTGTAGTTCATGGTGGTATTTGTGATGCACTATGGATTGAATTGAAATCCTTTGAACTCATTTAGTCTGTGACATTTTATGGCAGATTAATTAACATGATTCGTAGTTACTTTAGCCTCAGCAGGAGAAGTGAACAGGTTTCTGATGTGAAATTCTCTCTTTGGCCTCTCTCTCTTCCTGCCTGATTACATTGGCAATCTCTAAATTACCGTGTTTCCTTTACAACTTATTGAACAATGATATTTGGGTTACGTACATAGGTAACTTAGTGTTTGTGGACAAAGTAAAAATCCTTGCAATACCAGGTGTTTGTAACTCAATACCTATTCTTGAATCAAGGGACACACGAACTTGCTGGGAATAGAACATCAGAAATGCTGGATGAGGCTCTGTTATGATTTGTCCCAGCAATGCATCAGCTCAACCTGCTTAAAAAGCAGAAGTTGAGACTACCTTATGGCACGGCACCAAGTTGCCAAGAAACTGATTCTTAAGAGCTATTTCTTTCTAGACAGTTCAAATTCATGCCAGGTAACATGAAAATTTTCAACTATTTTATCTAAGACTGGTGATTCTTTCACATAATATCTGAATCAGGAAGTGACAATCTTCTTCAGCTTCATTATCTATGAACATTTTAGCTTCAACTGTAATCATTTTCAAAGGCTTTGTCTGTTTTAGACAATCCAATCCATATGTGAATTACATCTAATGGCATACTCTATTAAATAAGATGAAGAGGGAGTTAACTCTTGATATTTTTTAGCTGATTTTCCAGTCAGTTATTTCTCCTCAAAATTTTTTTCCTCTTATGTCTTCTCTCTATATATTTCTGCTCCCATTTGATTATTTTACTGCTCATTAATTCTGGCAAAAAAAAAAATGAAATTGGACGATGTTCAGACTTGTTAACAGTTCTAATAAAAGGTATACTAAAACTACTAAAACTGAAGGAAAAGAGAATCATGAAGTCTTAGAGCTGAAGGAAATTTAGAAAACATACAGTCCAATTCCCATATTTAGATATACAATTTTAGAATTAGGTGTTAGATGAATACCCAAAAATACTGGAAAAGAGATTAGCTTGGCAAAAACACTTAACAAGTAATGAGCAAAATAATATCTGGTGTTATGTGGAGTTTTTATTTTTAATATCTCTACTAAAAACTGAGAGGTGAAGAGTGAATTTCAAAAGTCTTATGATACTATGGCCCATTTTTGGTGGGTACTGTAATAATTACTGCTCTTAATTCATGGATACAAAACTACTGTTCATCATTGTTATATCATTGATCCAGTTTTTCAATATTTTGGTGGGCACTATAATTCAAGTCTTTTGATTCCAATCAAAAATTGTTTTTCTTTACACCATGGTACACTTAAGATACATAATTCAAAATTGAGAAGAATTATTAACATGTACTTTGGAATTATATTTTCTTTATTTTATGTTTGTGCTTTTTTTAAAAAAAAGTATGACATTTATAAACATTTATGTTCAGAGAGTATTTCCACACCATCTGATGAATGTTAGTTTCATCTCATAACACTTTGGGACTTCTGGTTTGGATCAGTCAACTTTAGATATTACACTCTAATTCAATGCTCTCTCTCCAAGAGACAGAGCAGAGGTTTTACATGGCTGTGGAGAAGCTTATTTAAAATTTTATAAAACCAGTGGCCAGGGAGAGTGTCAGGCCTCTTTCAGTCCCAGGCACTGTTTGGAGCTGCAGGAGGCTGCAGTCCATTCTTGTGATTGTCGTACAGTTTCCAACCAATGTGGCCATTGTTTCTCTCCAGGCTGCAGGCCTTCAAATGCTAGATCTTTCATGGGGTTCATTTGGTGGTTCTTTGAGGCCTTAACTGTTCAGTTCCCTGGCCTGGTTACCCTGCTGAGATATAGTCTCTTCCTCCCATTGTCTCCACAGATGACTATTGTTAAAATAAAAACTTTAGACAAAATTAATTTAACAGACTTTATTTAAGTAAAGGATGGTGAATGAATTGGGCAGCTCTCAAAACCAGGAGAGGTTCAGAGAGCTTGACTCCAGCAGCTTGAGCAGTGGGTTTTTACAGACTAAATGCGGAAGCAAAGTAAAGTACTCTACTAGATTGGCTACAGCTGAGCCCTTGCCCTATATGGGTATAATCTGATGAAAGGCCCCAAATTATTTAACCAGTGGGCTAGTTGGCTATCTATGACTGGCTGAAGCTTGACTCAAAATTAATCAGTTTCTGCATAGCAAAGCAAACAGTTAATGGAGTGAAGAGACAACTGGTGAAATGGGAGAAATATTTGCAAAACCAAACATCTGATACAAGGAGTTAATATCCAAAATATTATAGGAACTCCAACAATTCAGTGGCTAGAAAACAAATAACCCAATTAAAAAATGGGCAAAGTGCCTGAACAGACATTCTCAAAGGAAGATATATAAATGCCAACAGGTATAAATACTCAACATCACTAATCATCAGAGAAATGCAAGTCAAAACCGTAATGAGATATCACCTCATACTTGTTACAATGGCTTTTATCAAAAAGAGATGAGAGAACAAGTTTTGGCGAGGATGTGGAGAAAAGGGAAACTTTAAACCTTTGCTTGGGAATGCAAGTTAGCATAGCCATCATGGAATACAGTATGGAAGTTCCTTAGAAAGCTAAAAATAGAATTACCATATGATCCAGCAATCCCACTACTGGTTATATATCCAAAGGAAATAAAATTATTTTGAAGAGATATCTGTACTCTCATGTTTATTGCAGCACTATTTGCCAATAGCCAAGATACAAAATCAACCTAAGTGTCCATCAACGGATGAATGAAGAAAGAAAATGTGGTATATGTTCATAATGGAATACTATTCAACTTAAAAAAGTGAAAATTTGTTTTCAGTTGCAACAGTATGGATGAGCCTGGAGGATATCATGTTAAGTCAAAGAAGCTGGGCACAGAGACAAATACTGCATGATCTCACTTATAGGTGAAATCTAAAAATGTTTGGCTTATAGAAGCAGAGAGTAGAGTGCTGGCTACCAGGGGCCATGGTTTGGGAGTTGGAGAGATACTGGAAAAAGGATACAAAATTTCAGTTAGATGGGAACAAAGGTATGTAAAATATGCATTCAAATGTCTATCAATTCTAATTGATTTCAATAAAGAAAGGTAGCTTAAAAAAAAAGAGATCTACTCTGCAATATGGTGACTACAGTTAACAATGTATTGTATTTTTTTGATTAATTAATTATTTTTTTTTTGAGACAAAGTCTTGCTCTGTCGCCCAGGGTGGAGTTCAGTGGTGTAATCTCAGCTCACTGCAACCTCCACCTCCAGGCTGAGGCAGTTCTCCCTGCCTCAGCCTCCTGAGTAGCTGGGATTACAGGCACGCACCACCGTGCCTGACTAATTTTTGTATTTTTTAGTAGAGACAGAGTTTCGCCATGTTGGCCAGGCTGGTCTTGAACTCCTGACTTCAGGTGTTCATGCCCGCCATGGCCTCCCAAAGTGCTGGGATTACAGGTGTGAGCCACTGCGCCCGGCCCAATGTATTGTATTGTAAAAATAGCTAAGTAGATTTTGCATTCTCACCACTTATCAAAAAAGTCAAGTTTATGAGATAATGAACACTTTCATTAGTTCGTTGAGCTATTCCATAATGTACCTATATTTTAAAACAAGATGTTGTACATGATAAATACATACAACTTTCATTTGTCAATTAAAAAAAAAAATCTGTTGTAAGAAATGCCCCTAAGTTAAGTTTCAGCTTGTGTGTGTAAGGGTTCTGGGCACAGAAATAGCCTCAGTCTAATGGCCCTTTGCTTATTTTGCTTTAACACCATATATCCTACAACCTGTTGCTTACAGGCTCCTCTAATTCCAGTTGGTGACTGGAAAGTTGACCAAAGTCCCAATTGCCTAACGTGGCATCCATTTGACTCGTATCAAATTCATGAACCCTTGTGTGCTAAGTTCTGGGACTGTGGACTATGTCTACGCAACATGCCTGTCTGTTTCACTGCCTTTCTCCTGACCATTTCCTGGGCACATCGTTTGTTGCTTGATCATTTCACCCTTTTTAGACAGAAGACAGGTACCAGTCTCCAGTCTGAGGAATGATGGATTGGGCACCATAATGGGAGGAATAAGTTAAATGTTCCACTACTACCGATCTTACCCCATGGAGGAAAAGAAAAAGAGATAGCTTATTACCTGATGACTTAAATCTCCTCAGGAAGATATCCCTCCCTTCCCAACAGAAGAAGTTATTTTTTGGAGGCTTACTTAAACTGTGTGATTCTAGGACCATGAATCAAGCTTCCTTTGAACATGACTGCAGATAACTTAGCATCTTTTAAACTGTGAGTCATTCCCATATTTCTGCACCAGTTAGTAGCCCCTTGGAGCCAGAAAGATATCCCAATTGGTATTTTATTTACATAGTACTATATGTTTAAATATATAAATTGATAGATATGCATTATATGCATATAAAAATTATATATTGTATTCATAGTTTTGATAATCATGCCTAACTGAAGTGATTGTGTGACTTTAAATAGACACTTGGTAACAGGTATTTAAAGGTCAGTTATACACCCAATAAGAGCTGACCTCTGAGCTGTCCCCAAAACAGTAGTAAAACTAACACAAAATTTTTGTTTGTTAAAAAATGAAGATTCCAGAGCCCTACCATGAGTGAGTCAGAATGGGAAGGAACATCCTAGAGTCTGCATTTTAAACAAATATCAGACATAGTCTTCATGCAAATGAAGTTTGAGAATCACTGATACTGACAATGGGGAGTTAGTGATGAATTTCGAATAAGAGCACAACAGGACAGCAGTGGTATTTTTCTATGCCAGGTTGTTCCGGAGAGTGGACTAGAGGAGAGAGAGAGGCTAAAAAGCTAATGGAAGACCCCAGGTAGGGAGCCTTGTAATTTCCCAAGTGAAGAGGTAGATTTGCTGGTGACAGCATGGAAGGAAATGAAAAGATGAGAACAAGAAAGATGATAAATTACAATGAAATCACAACACAGAGGGAAGGAGTCTAAGGTGACTCCAAGCTTTTAGGTTTGGTTGATGTGGACAGTCTACCCTCCTCTTCACACCAAACATAGCTGCAGAGAAGGATAGTGGCAGCTGCTGCCTGTGGATGCATGGAGATCTGTGGGCAGCTTCATATCCCACATGTGTGAGTCACACTCTGGGAGCACAGGTACACATAAGAAAACTCGGCCTCTGTTCTGTGTGTGGTGTCTCCCTACTCCACTCATGGTTAGAAGGGTTAGAGCCCTGTGTAAAGCCTGGTAATGCTAATGCTGCCGCATTTAGGCTGAAGTTAGGCAGTTGGGTTTTAGGCTCCTCTAGCATTTAGCCTACTACGAATTTTCTTTTAAAGCAATTTTTAACTACTCGTAGCATAATTACAATCTCTCATATTTATACAGCATTTTACAAAATTCTGTCATGTGGGTCATTCCATCTGCTCTTCAAGCAGCATTCTGAGCTGGATGGAGCTTGTACAGAAGTTATCTTTCTCATCATATCCATGAGGAGAGTTTTGTGTCTGCTGCCCCTTCAGGTGGCAGACCCTCCATTTCCCACCTCCTCTCTACCCAGTCTTCAAGGCCCTGACCAAATGTCCCTTCTTGAAACATTTACCTAATTCTCTCTGACAGTCTCTTATTTCTTTGAGTTGCTCTAGAACTTTCTACACACTTGTATTATAACTTTTATTTCATTTCTTTTCAGTTGTTTATTTCTCTATCTCTCTTTCTCTGAACAGACTATGGGCTAGGAGAGCATTTCTGAACCAAAGCTGTGATTACGTCTGTATGGAAGAAGAAGACGGGGTGCCAGAGTTGAGAAAGGATATATAAATTTCTCCCATCCAGTTGTGGTCAAACAGCCAAGGTATTCAGTGGACATCATGAGGATCTTGCCACTCATATGCTGTCCTGAAGTCAGGGTTAGGGGAAGAATCCCAGCCAGTTAAATGAATCATGGAAGAATGCAGTTGGAAAAGGCAGAGAGAGAACACAACCCAGGATTGATTGATTCTCGGTCCCGAGGGCTTTCCCCTTATCTCAGTCTGTTTTATTTTAGTCAGGAGATAGTTGTTACAGGGATCTCACCTAGGATCCTTTTAGATTATCCATTGTATTTTAAAATCTGCCTAATTGTGTTCTATGAAATGCGCTATTCACTGGCACGTTATACACAATTCTGATACACTTTTTCCTTTTCATCAGTTTAGAAAATGCAGTGAATGAGCTTTATTAACTCTAGCATCCCACAACGGCCTGCATTGTCATTATCTGTGACATTGTACTTTTTTTTTTTCAGGGCCTTTTAGAAAGTATTCATGACTGAGTCAGTTTTATCTACAGTTGAATTTAAAATTTGCGGGGACCATTTTAAATCCATTGTGATAGTGCAAATAGGCAACACTTACCTGATTCCCTTCTTCCTCTAATTTTGTCATTCTGCTGAAAAGAGCTATTGATTGTGTCGGATATGATTTGCTCTTTATAAAACCATGCTTCTTATTGCTCATGATTCCATTAACCTCCAGATTTTGATAAATTTCATCTTGTCAGGCCCGTTTCATTATTTTACTGTTGATGTTAGACTTACCAGGCCATCATTCACAGGTTCACTTCTCTTGCCTTTTGTTAAATGTGTATTTACCCCCCTATATGCCAAGATTATCTCTATTGTACAGTTGGTACTATAGTGACAAATTTCACTGTTTGAGGCTTGCACAATATGTTAAGCATAACCATTACAGAAAAACCTATTTTAAAATGCAAGTATCATGGGAAGTATGACATATCTTTAATATTTTAGTGTCAATTTGTTTTTAATCACATTGTTTTATATTGAAGTATCATCATGAGGACATCTATCAGGAAGAGAGAATGTTGAAAAGTAGTGGGAGGAATGGCAAGTGGGGACAGAGGGCAAGTGAAAGGGTGTCTGTGCCAGCTTGTTGCTATCTGGAAAAAACGGCTCCTTTTTTTCAAGGAAAAGAACTTCATTAGGTATAACTCTCCTTCTCACCCTTCCCAAACGTCCCTGTAATAATGCTAAAATAAGAATTAAACACCAAATTTTAATCTACATCAAATTTAGAAGAGAAAAACACTTAATTCATAAATCAACTTGAGGGCAAGTGATACTTGGAAAAAAACCAGGTAATTTAAAAACGCTGTCTATTTCCCAGAAAAAGAGTCTGGGTTCTCTGTAATGATAGTAATCCCTGACATTTATTGAAAACTTACTGTATGCCAGGGATTTTTATGTGCATGTTCTCACCTAATTCTTCTCTTAAGCTTATGAGGTAGATGCTATTATCCAATCTTACCTATGAGAAACTGAGGTTACTTGCCCTTTGAATCAAAGCTAAGAATTGGTGAGGCCGGGATTCAGACCCTGTGGTCTAACACCAGAGCCCATGCTCTTCAGCACCACCTATTATGCTCAAGGTAGTGCCTGGCAGGATTAATCCTCTTTCCTGGAGTCCTTATTTTCTGCTAGAGCCTGGGAAGGATTCAGGCTCCGATCTTGTATTTACACTTGTGTATTCTGCTTTGGATTGTATTTTGGAGATAAGGTCTCACTCTGTCACCCAGGCTGGAGTGCAGTGGTGCAGTCATGGCTCTCTGCAGCCTTGACCTCCTGGGCTCAAGCCATCCTCCCACCTCAGCCTCTTGAGTAGCTGTGATTGCAGGTGCATACCACCATGCCTGGCTATTTTTTTTAATAGAGATGGGGTCTCACTGTGTTGCCCAGGCTGGTCTCAAACTCCCAGGCTCAAGTGTTCCTCTGCCTTGGCTTCCTAAAATGCTGGGATCAAGCATGAGCCACTGTGCTAGGCTGTTTTTTGTTTTTCTTTTTTTTTTTGACAAATAATTGTATGTATTCATTGTGTACAACATGATATTTTGAAGTATGTCTAAATTGTGGAATAGCTAAATTTAGCTAATTAACAAATGCACTGAATGCCACATGCAGGGTTTGTAAAAAGAAAAAAGAAGCAAAAAAAGGAAAAAACAAATGCATTACCTCACAGTTATCATTTTTGTGATGAAAGCACTTAACATCCACTCTTTGCATTTTTCAAGAATGTAGTATATTGTCATTAACTATAGACACTTTGATATATAACATCTAGATTGCTTGCTAAACATAGCCTTTTAACAATAATATGTAAAATGGACTTATAGCATAAGAGAAGTGATATTTATGAAAATCTGTGGGAGAGATTTAAAACTTTCAGTTGGGCAAGAATTCTTAATATGAAAAATAAAGAAGGTAGTAAAATTTACTAACTTAAACTTAACAAATGCAAATGCTGTATAATTTTTTTTTGCGAGGTAAGGAATGTTAACCACGTTGTTTAATAAAAACAAATCTTTATTTAGTGCCTAAAGTTTGAAAATTACCATGCTGAATACAGTAACAGATCTCAAGAAATAGAAAAGCTAATGTATCATTCTATTCGGTTCTGGTTAGGTATAGTTAAACTTGGACTTTTATTCAACCATTTATTCACCCATTCATTCATTCATTTGATAAATGATCATGAGACCTCATTGGGTGCCAGTTAGCCAGTTAGGATATTGACTTCCATATAATAAGAAATAGAACAGGATAATGTTATAGTTATATCTAGGAAGAGCTACAGTACATCTTGAACTGATAAGCAGAAAAATCTAGCCATTATACGGTCAGTAAACACCATTTGGGTCTTACAAATAATTTCTTATGTTTGTTATCAATTCAAATGTTTACTTTCCCAGAACATACATGTCATGTCATGAGTTTTCCATCCCCATCAAGAACATCAAATTTAAAGGTACGTTATTGCCAAGGCATATTAATATTGATTACATGATGGGGATTCTGTACCAATAAGGATTATCCCTGTCTCTTTTCGGGACTCTGGTACTGCTTTCATAATACAGACGCATGCTTTAAAAAAAAAAAAAACACCTAAGTTTACCATGTAAATATATTGGAAACTGTTCCCAACTATGTTGCAAGGAGGGAATTAATACCTCAGTTATGCAATTAAATACTGGCAAAAATAGCACGCTTTTCTTAGAAATATATGTTCAATTCAATACCTCAGGACCCAGACTATGAATAAAGAGGGTATTATAAAGATGTGGTACGAAAAGGAAATGAGTATGTTGAAGAGATATCTGTACTCCCATGTTTGTTGCAGAACTATTTACAATAGCCAAGTTACGGAATCAATCTAAGTGTCCATCAAGAGATGAATGGATATAGAAAATGTATACACTGGTGCAATGGCTCGCACATGTAGTCCCAGCCACTAGGGAGGATTGCCTGAGCCCAGGAGTTGAGGCTGCAGTGAGTTGTGATCATACCACTGCCCTCCAGCCTTGGCAACAGAGTGAGATCTTGTTTCTCCAAAAACAAACAAACAAACAAACAAACAAACACAAGGAAAGAAGAAAGAAAATGTGGCATATATATATATATATATATATATGTTTATATCCCCAATGAAATACTCTTCAGTCATATTTAAAAAAAAAAAATGAAATCCGACCAAGCACAGGGGCTCACACCTGTAATCCCAGCACTTTGGGAGGCCAAGGCGGGCAGATCACCTGAGGTCAGGAATTACCAGCCTGGTCAACATGGTGAAACCCCGTCTCTACTAAAAATACAAAAAAAAAAAAAAAAAAAAGCCAGGCGTGGTGGCGGGAGCCTCTAACCCCAGCTGCTTGGGAGGCTGAGGCAGGAGAATCCCTTGAACCCTGGAGGCTGAGGTTGCAGTGAGCTGAGACTGTGCTACTACACTCCATCCTAGGCAACAAGTATGAAATTCTGTCTCAAAAAAAAAAAATTTAAAAAAATATCCTGTCACTCACAGCAACATAGATGAACCTGGAGGACATTATGTTAAGTGAAAAAAGTCAGGTACAGATAGATAAATACATGTTCTATCTCATATGTGGAAACTTAAATTTGACTAATAGAAGTAGACAATAAAATAGTGGTTGCTAGAGGCTGGGAAGGTTTGGGGGAGGTGGGAATAGGGAAAGATTGGTTAGAGTTTAAAAACTACAGCTAGATAGGGGGAATACATGCTAGTGCTCTGTAGCTCTGTAGGGTGACTGTAGTAAATAATAGTTTATCGCATTTTTTTCAAATACTAGAAGAAAGGATTTTGAATGGTACCAGCACAAAAAAAAAGATAAAGTTTGAGGTGATAGATATGCTAATTGGCCTGGTTTGATCATTACACACTCCATACATGTGTCAAAATATCACCCTGTACCCCATAAATATGTACAATTGTTATGTGTCAATTAAAAATACATACCTATTTTTTAAAAATTAATTTTAAAAAATTAGTGGGCCGGGCGCCATGGCTAACGCCTGTAATCCCAGAACTTTGGGAGGCAGAGGCAGGTGGATCACCTGAAGTCAGGAGTTTGAGACCAGCCTGGCCAACATGGTGAAACAACATCTCTACTAAAAATACAAAAATTAGCTGGGTGTGGTGGCACGCACCTGTAGTCCCAGCTACTCGGGAGGCTGAGGCAGGAGAATTGCTTGAACCTGGGAGGCAGACATTGCAGTGAGCCGAGATCGTACCACTGAACTCTAGCCTGGGTGACAGAGCAAGACTCCATCTCAAAAAAAAATTAAAGAGATTTTTGAATCCTCTACCAAATTGATGTGAAAGGTACATCATAATTTTTATAACCTTATTTGCTATATTTTGTGTATCCTACAATTTAACACTTTAAAGTTGGCCTAGAATACTAGAAAAGCTTTCTGGAATGATATACATCACTCAGATCTATTAAAATTGTTCCTAGAATCTTTATTGGAAACATAAGTATAATTTTCTAACACGTGAGATTTTAAGTACTTAGTGTTATTCATTTTCTTTTTTCCTCTCTGCAGAAGTAGACAGAATCCACTGGTATAATTACACTGGTGAAGGTAGTAAATTGTGTTTTTGTCGTTTTTATCATTCCTTATTATTTTGTTTACATGAATAAACTTATTAAGACATTTTATTTGTAAGTACAAAGACTCCCATAAGCCACTCTTTACAGCCTCCATCTTTTATTCCCTTTGTGAAAACGTGAAGTCCTCACAGCTGCTTGAGAGGTATTAGAAGGTCTGATTTGTTTGAAAAAGCTTCAGTGCTCAGAGGCAATGTTTAAAGAGGCTTTGGCAAAATAAAAAGTAGAAAGCTTTTAAAGCAGCTGTAGAGATTCTGTCAATTGAGAAGTGAGTCCAAGATGGCAGCGTACATTGGAAAACCATTCAACTTGGGTCATTAGCGGCTTTTTGAGGTTAGTCTAACAGCTAGGGTAGTGTTATTATTGACTAAGGGTCCTTACTGACCAAGGAGCAAATTCAGCCTTGTCTCCAGAGTCCTCCAAAAATGCTTTGCTGAGTAGCTGCAATGGTCTAATTTAAGGAAAAAACCAAATAACTATAACTGCTCAGTTATATATCTTTGACTAAGGCAATAAAAACTGATTTCTAAGATGTTAGAAGGCTTTTTCAATCATGAAAGAGAATTGAAATTATGTAGTCATTTTGTATTTAAAATATACCTTTCACTTTGAAGTATCATTTTATTCCTCTTTGAAAAATTTATATTATTCATATCAAAGTTTTCAACTAACAATAAGATAACTGATGCTTAGTGTACTTATTCTGTATTTACTGAATGTTGATTTATGGTCTGTGCTTAGATACTATGAAAGATGTGAAAAACCAATAGGCGAAGTTTTTGACTTCAGAAAGAGTGTCCTCTCTTTGAGGGAGAAAAAAAATGCACAAATAAATAATTAGAATAAATAGCAATGGAAGGAACTATAAAACATATACTGAGTTCCTTATGGCAGAAAATATAGATAACCACACACTAAAATAATTTTATAGGTACAGTAGACCTCTTAAAATATTACAGTAGCCAGCAGAAGTGGTATAGAGATCATTCAGATTTTGAAAAAAAAAAAATCAGGATTTAATGTCTGTTCCTGTTACCTGCAATTTAGTTCACTTTGATTTCCTTGAGATAATTCCTACATTGCAGGATCCTTTTAACCACTGAGAAATAAAGGTCAAATGTCAAGATGGATAAACATGGCCCTGCCCCTTTTTTCAAGTGAGACAACATGCATGTCAGTAGTACCACGTAGACTTGAGATCTTTTTCTAAATCTTTCTTTGCCAAGAGCAGCAACAGAGGAAAAAAAAGCATGAAGGGGTCATCTAAAGGTGAGTGTTGAAGAGCGTTGTGCTAGACCAGATGAGAGCATGTCCTCCAGTTCAGTGCTCTCAAAATGTGGTCAGGCGAGGCTCATGGACTGCTTGTACTGAAATTAGTGCTGAAATCGAGAGTTCAGTGTTTAGAAATTTCTATAGCAATTTGACAAAGTAATTCTATGTCTGTCAATTTAATAATAAAATTTGGGGGTTATATTTTCTTATGTCTTCATGGATTTTTTCTTTTTCTAATAAGTTATTTTTATTGAAATTTACAGTTTTATCAGTGTGCAATTGGTTCTTTACCACAAGTATTTTGAAAAGCCTTGTTCTAGTAGACAATTTGAACTCCACTAATTGAAACTTGATAGCACTTTTTTTTTTTAAACCAACTGCACAGCTTCTCCTGTTTTTCAACTGTGATGTACACAATATGTTCTTGTCAGGGTGATGTTGGCAGTTGGGGCTTTGCGGACTTCATGGTACAAGTCTGTCTGTGGCTGTTTGAATAAAGAACTTCTGGGAGGCAGGCATAATACAAAGAATTTTTGCCAGCGTCTTAGATGAGATAGATTTATTTTCGTAAATAAATTGGTGGAGGTTTATGAACACAGAATATCACAGCAGCAATGGAATAGCACTGGCCCCACAAACAACATCAAGGAAAATGCCAGGCCCTCTAGAATACTCGTAGGATCATGGGCACATTGCTTCAGGCTGACTGCTGCTATGCAGGTAAACACCAGCAGTCAGCATTTCCCTCTCTGTTGACTTAGAAGACACAGTCTTTTTCTTGGCTGGAGTGCAGTGGCGCGATCTCGGCTCACTGAAAGCTCCGCCTCCCAGGTTCACGCCATTCTCCTGCCTCAGCCTCCCGAGTAGCTGGGATTACAGGCGCCCGCCACCATGCCCGGCTAATTTTTTGTATTTTTAGTAGAGACAGGGATTCACCGTGTTAGCCAGGATAGTGTCCATCTCCTGACCTTGTGATCCACCCGCCTCAGCCTCCCAAAGTGCTGGGATTACAGGCGTGAGCCACCACGCCCGGCCAGAAGACCCAGTCTTAAACTCTGGTAACTTGGAGGAAGTGAGGACCAAAGAAGAAATTTCTGACCATTGTAAGTAAGCCACATGGGAAGGGCAGGAAAGACATCCAGAAACAAAAGCTCTCTGTTTCCTGCTCCCATTTCCTCCCAAGTTGTGGCTACTTTTTAAACGTGTGTATGTGTTTGTAAAGTTCTCAGGCACAAGATCTAAGATTCTAGACTCTTAGATTGTAGATGTCAGGAGCTCAGGATGAGTTATTTTTGGATTTGGTGGCTGGAAGTCAGAAAAGTCAGTATTAACTAACCATACTTTAGATTGTAAATAAATTGTCAATGAATGCCTAATTTTACTCCTTCCTTTTTGAGGCAAAAAAATAGTTGGACAAAGTAATCTATTTGCCTATAAATTCTAAGCTTTTATTTTTTAAAAAGGATTTTTAATAACTCTAAAGTATATTTCTACAAATACATTTTTATTTGGGCATTGTTCCCAGGTCTTCATCTTCCATAAGAAAAAAAACTAAAGGCAGAATGACAATTATAGGAACCCCATGAAATTATTTTAGTAGTTGTTATTTTATTTAACTTTTTGTAGATAATTGTAGGGTTGCATGTAGTGGTAGGAAATAAGAGAGCTAGTCTATGGGCTTTTTACTTAGTTTTCCCACAAAATAACAAACACCTTGCATAACTGTAGTACAATATTACAACCGGGAAATTGACATAATCTACAGAATGTATTCAAATCTTACCAGTTTTACATGCACTTAAATTGCATTAAATTAATCTATACAAGGGTGTGTGTGTCTGCGTTAACTTAATGCGATTTAAAGTGCATGTAATGTCTGCATTAATTTTATGCAATTTTCTGCTATCTGTAGATTTGTGTTACCCGAGATAACAGAGCACTTGCATCCCAACTATCGCTTGTGCTGTCTTTCTATAACCAAAGCCACTTTACTCTTTCTCCCCTCACGTAACCCCTGGCAAACACTAATCTGTTTCCATCCTTATTATTTTTTAATTTAAGTAATACTATATAAATTGAATCATATGACATACAAGATTATATGCTTGGCTTTTTAGCTCACCATTATCCGCTTTAAATCCATTGAAGTTGTTTCAATAATTCATTCCTTTTTTACTGTTGAGTAATATTCACTGGTATGAATATACCAATGTTTTTAAAATGTTCACCCATTGAAGGACATTTGGATTGTTGCTTCAGCGTCCTTTCTTTGTATTGGAAATACTCCTCTCCATTATCTTATGTTAGAAATGTATAAATTTACTGAGCAGTCATGTGTGCCAGGTGGTGAGTGAAGCGTTTTTCATGCACCAACTTCTTCACAGAACAGCTCTCTGCAGTGGATGCTGTTACTATCTGCGCTCAGTGAGTACCCCTAGCCTGAAGTCCCAGGAGTGATCTCAATTCCTGGGTGCAGCAGCAACATGCAGGCACCAAGCACAGCTTCCCCATCCTCGGAGGGAAAGCACTCACGGAGTGTAGGCAGCCTGCGGCCCAAGAACTCAAGCAGCTGTGTATTTACAAGAATAGCAGTGAGGCCACAGCTGGGAAAATGAAGTTGTCTTTTCTTTGGAGAGACTGGATAGCCTTGTTTGGGCAATCCCAAAATATAGAGGCCAAGACCTAGATTTATTCTATGACCTATCCTCAAGGCTTAGTCAGAATTTGAGGAGAATTTGGGTGAGGGGCAGGCACTGAAGCAGCGAAGCACACACAGCCATGAGGGGGATCATATGGTGGGAACATTTTGCTACAACCTGATGGGGGTGTAGGTTCACGTCAAGAATATAAGCAATGAACTGTTAGGGAGTGAAGAGACAGATGATGTCACTAGTTATGCTCTGGGGTATCTGAGGTCAGCAGGACAGGAATGCTGTCAGTTTCTCTCATTCGCTTATTCATCTTTATGTGATCCTTAAGGGAGTTATAGTGGCCCCAGGTAGGTGTTGAGTTGATCACTTCAATAATTTTCCAGTAAGACTTATAAAAAAACCTAAGAGGTGTGTGATGTTGTGTAAAACACATACAGACACATACAATGGACCAGGAGAGAAGAGACCTTGGCTCTTGTTCTGAGTGTGCAGAGTCCTTCAGGCAAGTCACTTCATCATTCAGTGTCCTCACATGCAAAATGAGAAGATAATTTTGAATAATTTTTCAACATTAAAATAGAATAATTCTGTGAAAAACACTGTAAACATTTCCATGCTATTTTGAACTATCATACTTAATTACTAATACTATTGTTATTTAAATTGAACAACTTATATTGCAAAGTTATTTTGGTGATGTTTATCTGCAGATAACCATACACTACATATTGCAGATATATATGTACTGTATATAAATGTATTTTCCCATTTAGGAAATAAAGAAGACTCTTTTTGGGGAGTGTACCATTAGCAGCTTTAAATATTTTCTTTGTTTATATTTATCCAAATAAATGTGGTATTTTGTTTTATGATGGTTTTGTTGGAATTTGAGCAGTGAAAGCCAGAGTGTAGACAGCAAAGGTAGGGGTGATGCTGTGTGAATGAGCGCTGCTAACCAAGGTAAAATCCATTTGCTTACTGAATGGCCTACATGGTCAGGGATGAGAAGAGAGGAATGAAATTTGAATAGGCAAAGCTCCGGAGGTCTTCTTAAAATTGTTCCCTCTTCAATTAATTAAAGATTCCTGTAGACTGGAGGCTCTCCTTTGGAAAGAGTTAAGCATCTAATGCATTGCATTGCTAATATTCATACCTAGAGGTGATCTGTTAGGGAGTTAACTGGGGAAGGAGGGAAATGGGGCAGAAGAGACAATAAGGAAAAAGAAATGGAGGAGCAGCCAGCAGAGGTCAGTCTTTTAGGTGCCTTCTTCTTTAGGCTTCCTCAGCACTTCATTGGACATACAAGGATTCTGGGCTCCAGGGAACCCCTCCAGGAAAACCTAGAGCGAAGTGCCTCTATTATCATTCTGTCCTAACATTAGATAATAATTGCCACTGATAAAAATAACTTTACAGGGAAATTGCTCCTGAGGAAGAAATTCATTGTCTAAAGCAAACAATTTCATCTGAATCTGAATAAAAGCAATAATCTTTAACAAAAAGTTTCTGTCAACACTAAACTCATTTTGCTAGTTTGTTAAAGTATTTAACCTCAGCAATATGTCTTTCGTGCTCATTAAAAGGGAAGCTTTGACATGCTTTTGTTTTCGGATGCTTATATCTCTTTATTAATTTCAGTTAAAAAATATGTTACAAGCTGTCATTTTCTTTCAAATGTTAATACTTGAAAAATGGTGGATATTCTGATAAGCCTCGATGAATATGTCGTAACAGTGATTTTTGACTTTAGTACTCACTTCTGATTATTTCATTACTGATCATTTTACCACTTAGAAGACCAAAGCACTTCACAAACATTAAGGGGAAAACATAATCCATAGAAATATTTCTATTATGAGATAGTCAATTGCAATAAGGCTAGTGTATATTGATATAATATTTACTGTAAACAAATTATTTGTTATAGCATCCTGTAAAAGAAGTAGAACAGCTATAATTTATTGTTTCTATTACAGTTGAGGAAACAGAGCTTAGGAAGCTTATGGACACTGACCAAGGCATTTAATTGGTAAGGGTGCAAAGAGAATCTAGAACTTTTGACTCCTGATCCCTCCCTCCCTCCCTCCCTCCCTCCCTCCCTCCCTCCCTCCCTCCCTCCCTCCCTTCCTTCCTTCCTTCCTTCCATAGGCTCTAACTCTGTTGCCTAGGCTGGTGTGATCATGGCTCACTGCAGCTTCAACTTCCCAGGCTTAAGTGACCCTTCTGCCTCAGCCTCCCAAATAGCTGGGACCACAGATGCAGGCAGCCATGCCCAGCTATTTTTTTCTATTTTTTGTAGAGATGAGGTCTCACTATGTTGCCTAGGCTGGTCTTAAACTCCTGGGCTCGAGCAATCCACCTGTCTTGGCCTCCCGAAGTGCTGGGATTAAGGGGTTAGCCACTGTGCCTGGTCTTCATTTTTTGTTTAATCATTCAAATAAATGGAAGATATTCGGGACCATTTTGGACCTGTTGGATTCTCTGAGGTATTTCTTGTTTTGTTAACAGCCTCTAATAAACAACTAAGAAGAGTCCTCAAAATGGTAGACAGGAATCCTCCTGACAAGTTTTGAACTCCTTAACCATTTCAACAATTTGAAAGGGTGAAGAAACTGAAAAGAGAGCAAGTGACTTGTGAGGCCTCTCTGGAGAGAGAAACAGAGATTCTAAGACTCCCGTCCTCCTAGGGATGGGGGGGATGCCACTGCCTCCTTGCCTCAAGCCTGGAGGAGTGGGCTTCCAGCAGCTGGATCAGAGTGCCCTAGGTGTCTTCCCTCAGTTCTTGACTCTATCCCAAGAGCAAGACAGGAAGAGTTTGTCATTTTTGGTTACTGAGACCCCTACAGGGCAAAGAATGAACTTGCATTTTTCGGGGACCACATGCATGGGGATGCTACGGGAAAGAAGAGTTCATTAAAATCCTGCTTAAGAGACCTGTCCAGTGGGTGAGGGGGCAACAAAAGAGTGAGGACTCCAAGGCCCAAGTTAGGAATCTAGGGAGGAGGAGGAAGAGAAAAAAGAAAATCTCCTTTCCCAGCCCCCAAGTTCTAGCCCCAGCTGGGGAGGGAGTAGGGGAGTAAGGGTTTTTTCTATCTTTGAATGAATACTGGAGTGTTGAATTGGAATGTTTGACTTAAGATCGGAAAAAGGATTGGAATATATGGAACTGGGTACTTTTAACTACTGAGTAGAGACTGTGTGTTTGCAACTGAAAAAGAATTGGATGTTTTTTGCTGTAGTGAAAACCAACAATAGGCCAGGAACAGTGGCTCACACTTGTAATCCCAGCACTTTGGGAAGCTGAGATGGATAGATCACCTGAGGTGAGGAGTTCAAGACCACCTTGGCCAACATAATGAAACCCCATCTCTACTAAAAATAAAAAGTAGCTGGGCATGGTGGCACACGCCTGTAGTCCCTTGGGAGGCTGAGGCAGGAGAATCGCTTGAACCCGGGAGGTGGAGGTTGCAGTGAGATGAGATCATGCCACTGCACTCCAGCCTGGGTGATAGAGTAAGACTCTGTCTCAAAAAAAAAAAAAAAGAGAACCAAAAATAAAATTCGAAGCCCCCAGCCAACTGAGAAACCCTCCCCTCTGCCAAGGGCATTCCAAAGTTAACCCAAAAAACTAGTTCAGGACATAATGGGAAGTAAGGGTCAGACTTTCCTCAATATACCCTCCTCCTGTTGGAATTCAGGCACAGCTGACCAACATTAGCATTAAAACAGAGACCTTGAGAGTGCTTGAACAGAACCTTTAGGTCTGATAAGAAATATTTACAATCTGTTCTCTCTCTGAAATCAGCTACATGGAGGCTTCATCTGCATAATAAGAACCTTGGTCTCCAAAACCCCTTATCTTAACCCAGACACTCCCTTCTATTGATTCCAGGTCTTTAGGTAATAACTCTTTCAATCAATTGCCAATCAGAAAAATCTTTGAATCCACCTATGACCTGAAAGCCCCACCCGCTTCCAGTTGTCCTGTCTTTCTGAGCTGAACCGTTGTACGTGTATTGATTGATGTCTTATGTCTCCATAAAATGTATAAACCAAGCTGTAACCCGACCAACTTGGGCACATGTTCTCAGGATCTCCTGGGGCTGTGTCATGGGCCATTGGTCACTCATATTTGGCTCAGAAATCTCTTCAAATATTTTAGTTTGACTCTTTGTCGACAGTTGTTTAAAAAGAGATACTAAGTTATTGATTTAGTGGATTTCTTTCCAGTTTTATTCTTTTGCTACCATGAACACGATTTTATATTTTGCTTTTTTGTTTTTTTTTTTGATGGAATTATCATAAGTATTTCCATGCTGTTATGTAATCTTCATGATCATCATTTTAATGGCAGCATTGAGTTCCCTGTATGTGGGCCATAATTTGCTTTCCCATTTCTGTGCTGATGGATATACAGGCTATTTTAAAGCTTTCAAAAATAGCCTTTTAAAACTATTTTAATGTTGTTTGTTTGTTTGTTTCTTAGGATATGGGTTTACTATCATCAAGAAATTTCTGACAACTTATAAGCATTGCTTATAATTATAAATTACTCCCTAATTGCAACTTCAACTTCTACTATTACCAAATGTATAAGAGAAAATTTATATTTTATGCAAGCCAGTTTTAGATGTTATCTTTTAAAAAAATTTGCTAATTAAAGGTTTTAAAGTTTTTTTTTATTGTACCTTTGACTTATACTTCTTTGATAACTAGTGGAGCTTGGTGTTTTTCTAATTAATTTTGTACTCTGAAATCATTACCTGCTTGGTTTATTTATTTAAAGTATTACTCCTAAATGTGGAATGTTTAGAAAAATATTGAGACTTTAACAGATACATAATAAGATAACATAAAATAACATAAACAGGTAGCATGCCAGGGTAGAATTATAACTATTAAGTAAACATGTGAGACAGTGCTGAATCACGGCAGTTATCAAATAAATGCAAATTAGAAGAGGAATGAGGTTTATAAATATATTACCTCTTTGTTTACTTGCTATTGATTTGAACCCAATCTTTTATTTGCCTTTAGTTTCTATTAACTTTTTCATACGCAGGAGCTTTTATTTTTATGGGGTTGATTATAGGATTATTTCCTCTTTTTTATATGTTTGTTTTACTTAGAAACAGCCTCCAAAATAAATAATCAGATAAATTTTCTCTAATTTTCTTTAATAATAATTATTTTTTTAATTCCTCAGGAATTAAATATGTTGTACGGTATGAATTGAATTGTACATGGATTCTCCCTTCCCTTTGCTCCTCACCAAATTTTACTAGGGCCATTTAATAGATGATCCTTTTATTATTCTTTAATCTGTGATGCCTCTTTTTTTGTGGGGGAAGGGCAGGGTCTCCCTCTGTGATCAGGCTGGAGGGCAGGAGCACAATCACAGCTCACTGCAGCCTTGACCTCATGGACTAAAGTGATCCTCCTGCTTCAGCCTCCTGAGTATCTGGGACGACAGCCACACATCACCATGCCTGGCTAATTTTTGTGTTTTTTTGTAGGGATGGGCTTCACCATGTTGCCCAGGCTGGTCTTGAACTCCTGAACTCAAGTCATCCACCCACCTTGGCCTCCTAAAGTTCTGGGATTACAGGCATGAGCCACCGCTCCTGGCCTGTGAGGCCTCTTTTATCATATATACGATATCATTTCTTTTTAGTCACCTGAATTGTTGCAATGGTCTGTACGTTTATTTGTAGACAAGTAGGCCAATGTTTTAATTACTGACCTATACAATTTATTTTAAATATATGGCTTTGTTACCAGAAAGAAGCAGGAGAAAAAGGAGATAAGAAAACCTTCTGGATTGGAAAGGGGCTCTGATCCATACCCCAAGAGAGGGTTGTTGAATCTCTTGCAAGAAAGAATTTGGGTGAGTCCACAGACTAACGTGAAAGCAAATTTATTAGAGATGTAAAGAAACAAAAAATGGCTACTCCCTAGACAGAGCAGCAGCATGGGCTGATTGAGTATATTTATGGCGATTTCTTCATTATATGCTAAACAAGTTGTGGATTATTCATGAGTTTTCCAGGAAAAGGATGGGGAGTTCACAGAACCGAAGGTTCGTCTCTTTTTTAGACCATATTAACTTCTGGATGTTGCCATGGCATTTATAAGCTGTCATGGTGCTGGTGGGAGTGTCTTTCAGTATGCTAATGCATCATAATTAGCATATAATGAGCTGTGAGGACCACCAGAGGTCAATTTTATCACCATCTTGGTTTTGGCAGGTTTTGGCCAGCTTCTTTACTGTATCCTGTTTTATCAGTGGGGTCCTTATGTTCTATATTTTGTGTCAACCTCCTAGCTCATCCTGTGTCTAAGAATGCCCAACATCCTGGGAATGCAGTCCAGAAGGTCTCAGCCTTATTTTACCCAGCCCCTGTTCAAGATGGAGGTGCTCTGGTTGGAATGCTTCTGGTAGTTTGGCTAGTTATTATCTTTTGAAAAATTTCAAAGATGTTCTCACCTGGTTATTCTTTTTTTTTTTTTTTTTTTTTTGAGATGGAGTTTTGCTCTTATTGCCCAGGGTAGAGTGCAATGGTGCAATCTCAGCTCACTGCAATCTCCACCTACCAGGTTCAAGCAATTCTCCTGCCTCAGCCTACCCAGTAGCTGGAATTACAGGCTCCTGCCACCACATCCAGCTAATTTTTGTATTTTTGAAGAGACGGGGTTTCACCATGTTGGCCAGGCTGGTCTCAAACTCCTGAACTCAAGTGATCTGCCTGCCCTGGCCTCCCAAATTGCTGGGATTACAGGTGAGAGCCACCATGCCTGGCATCACCTGGTTATTCTTACAGATTAGTTTAATTTCCTCAATATTCAAAAACTGATTCCATTACAATTTTTATTCTAATTGAACTAAGTCTATAGATTAATATCAGCAGATTTAAAATCTTGACACTATTGAGAAATATGAAATAATAATGGAAATATATATTAGATATAAACATAAAATAAATGTTTACAGTTTTATCCCTATAGGTCTCTTACTTTTCTCACTGGAATAATTCTTACAGTTTTTTTTTAAATGGGAATTCTTGAATTTGGTATGTAGAATTGGAACAGATGTTTTCACATACATCTCTTACTCTTCCACTTTGATAAGCTCCTCTATGAATTCTATTTTTCAATCAATTGCTTTTCTAGAACTTTTGCATTATATCTTCTGCAACTAACAAAAATATTTCCTGTTTCTTTCTATTATGTTTTCACTTATTTTTGGTTCATAAATTATGAAATTGATAAGAATTTCTTAAATATCATTAGTTTAAAAATAGAGAGAAATCTTATTTGCTTTGCTAGTGATTTAAAGGAAGCGACTGTAGCACATTCCCCACTGAGTATAATGCTGGATGTTGATTTGAAATAAACTCTGAGCCCATCTTTCTTGTCCTTTTTAAAGGGTTTTAAAATATAAATGGGCGTAATATTTTATCGAATGCTTTTTACCATCCCATTAAAGGGATAATATAATTTTTCTTATTTATCCTTTTTATGTGACATATGATGTTAATCAATTTTATAAATGTAATCCACTTTTCATTCCTCAGATGAATATGTGGCATAATAAATTGTTGGCTTCTATTCCTGTTGTGCAAAGCAATCATGGACAACGTCACTAGCAAAGCAGACTAGATTTAACAGGGTTTTGGGGAGGAAATTTGCTAGCAGAAAAAAGTAGAGCACAGGCATATTGCCCCAAATCTTATAGACCCACAACTTAGGGAGCATGGCTGGCTCATAATGCACAGAGGCTCATGTGTCAAAGGGAAGCGTCTTGCCCTCTGCATTTATGCAGAGGGCCAGGAACATCTAAGTGTGTATTTAAGAGTGGAAGCTCCCTGGTCTGGAAGGAGCCTTTTTAGAAAGGGGGAACTCTAGAGACACAGTAGCTGGTATCAGCCTGTTCTTCCCTTGGGGCAACTCAAGTCTCCTGAGCCAGCTCTGCTAAATTATCAAAAGGGAGAGGAAATGCACCTCTAGGGATAGGAAGATTTGTATCTCCTCTGTTCCCTGTTACTTTATTTCCAGTTTGAGTGTCCATATTCATCTAGAAGATTGAGCTGTACTATTACAGTTTAAAAAATTTCTATGTAGTTCTGTATTTTATACCGTATTTCCTCTGAAATAATAGTCATTTAATAATATTCCAAGGCTTGGGGGTATTTTCATTTGAACCATTTGATTAATATTGAATTTAACTTTATTGTAATTGATTTTCATTCTTTCTCTAGGCCTTACTTATGTTAATTTTATGCCTCTTTAGGTTAGCTGTTTCTTTCACCGTGTTCTGTTGCATAGAAAATGTTTTGTGTGGAAGGAACAGAGAGGGATGATCCCTTTCCTCCTCATCATAAGGGTCACAATTCATATCCCTATAACAAAAGAAAGGTTAACAAGAGAAAAGCATAACAAATTTCTCAATGTATATAAGCACGGTAGCCGGACAAAAATATGAAGCATCAGAGGATGGCCAGATGATTGAAGCTTAAATACTCTCTTCAAAGGCGACAGGGAAGTGGTGGCTGTAGCCAATTTTAGAGAGACAGTAAATGATTTTAGGAGAGATGAATGGACAGAAATTAGCTTATAAATGAGTCTCTTTGTAAACTGAGTGGGAGCAGAGAACAAACAATAGCTTGGGACAAAGTTTATTTGGGCTGTAGGTGTGGTATTTAATTTTCGGTCTCTGTGATATGAGTTGTAATCTTCTCTGGTTAATGAAATTTTAGAGAAGGGATCGAAGGCAATTGTGTTCCTCTTTGGCAGGTCCAGTTTCTAGGTAGATAAGGGCACTTCAGAGAGCAGTCTCATCCTATGTTTGGGGAGAGACAGAAGATTGAGAGACAGGAGGGAAGAGGAGGAAGGTCAGAGAGACCTTGAGGCTGCTGCTTTAGTTCAGCATGTCAAAGTGACAGATTTGGGGATATTATTTTCTGAACCCCAACAGTATTTTCTTATCATTTGTAATAATTTGGAAAATGGATAATTTGATTTTAATTTGATTATTGGCAACTTTAGCAATTTTCATAGATTAATTTGTATATGTTATGCTGTTATAAAAACAAAAAATGACAACTTTGAACTCCATTTCGTGGAAAAATAAGTATAATATTTTTGTGCTTTTTTTCTTCCTATCTGATATATTTTTAATCTGGGGTTGCAAACTCTGCTATTTTTTTAAAAAAGTATTCTTTTTACAAAGCATATTTTGTCATTCACATCCTATGTTAGTTACCATAGTTACACCAGTTATTGAGACCTAGCAGCGTCAATCTTTCTCCCAATAATTCTTAGTAATTTTTGAAGATTTTTCTTGCTTGTTTCTGTATTTATAGCTAGTTCTTTTCTATCACAACTTCTCAATGATAAAGTTTTAAATTTGATTCATTTTTATTTTTGAGTGGACTTATTAATATCTTTAATCTTTTTTTCTTCCCTAGGAATATTGGAGTATTTGAGTATTTTTTTTTCTGAAACTCTGAAGCTCTGCCATTCTGCTCTAAAACATGAGTGCTAAATTGACTGGTGACTATATTTTTGTGTCATCACCTTCTTCAATTTTCACTGCCAAACTCAAAAGACCTATTTCTGTATTGTTTATGGCAGAGAAAAGAACAAAAAAATTGAACTCTTCCTGATTGTTAAGTTAATTACTGGAAGACTACTTGTTTTTCAGTTTAGGTTTCAGGATCACTTTGATTTTGTTGGATGTCAAATTCAAAATTAGTGGAAAATACATTGGTTATTAAATTTGCCGTGACACAGTGAGACATCTTAGCTTCCGTTGGTATCAGGTCCTTTTTCTAACCTGGAAAGATCTTTTTTAAAATTGGCTTTTGATCCATTTTTCTCCTCCTTTGGAGTTGACCATTATTTGTAAGTTGGCTCTCTGTCATTTACCCTTTATATATATTATCTTCTCTCACCATTGTGTGTCTTCATTCTAAATTGTAGAATTACAACTCAGGTTATCTTTTTACGCTTAAAAATTTATTTTTCTGCTGTGTCATATCTGCTGTTTTGTGCTGCAATGCAGAATTTATTTCAATTTCTAAATTTAAAAAACACTGATTTGACCTCTTATTTTTGCCTATCTGCTAAAAGCCTGGCTTTATATCTCATTAAGAACTTGAGTCAGGAATTAAATTTTTTAAAAATTTTTCTGAGACAGAGTATTGCTCTGTCTCCCAGGCTGGATTGCAGTGGCATGATCTCAGTTCACTGCAACCTCCCCCTCCTGGGTTCAAGTGATTCTCCTGCCTCAGCCTCCCAAGTAGCTGGGACTACAGGCATGTGCTAACCACACCCAGCCAATTTTTGTATTTTTAGTAGAGACGGGGTTTCACCGTGTTGGCCAGGCTAGTCTCGAACTTCTGACTTCAAATGATCCACCTACCTCAGCCGCCCAAAGTGCTGGGATTACAGGCGTGAGCCACCGTGCCAGGCCAGAAATTAAATTTTTTTTCCCTGTTTCCTGGAGTAAATCTATTTCTGGGAAAGTATTTATTTTTAACATTTAAAACTTGTATAATATTTTTTTTTTTTTTTTTTTTGAGACGGAGTCTCGCTCTGTCCCCCAGGCTGGAGTGCAGTGGCGGGATCTCGGCTCACTGCAAGCTCCGCCTCCCGGGTTCACGCCATTCTCCTGCCTCAGCCTCCCAAGTAGCTGGGACTACAGGCGCCCGCCACTACGCCCGGCTACTTTTTTGTATTTTTAGTAGAGACGGGGTTTCACCGTTTTAGCCGGGATGGTCTCGATCTCCTGACCTCGTGATCCGCCCGCCTCGGCCTCCCAAAGTGCTGGGATTACAGGCGTGAGCCACCGCGCCCGGCCGTATAATATTAAATATATACAGAAAATTACATAAAATATATGTATGGTATAACCAATGGCTAAAACTTAACACCCATATAACTCCAATGTAAGTTGAGAAGTTGAACACAGCCAGCACCGTAAAAGCGCTTTGCAAGACCAGCTACACAATACGCAGGGCTCAGTGCAAAATTAAATTGTGGGTTCCTTTTTCCAAAGTATTAAAAATTTCAAGACATTAAGAGTAGAGCCTTAAACCAAGCCAGCCCAGGACCTTTCTGAGCATGTGTTCCCCAGACAACACAAGTTGTATGCTAACTTTCAAAGATGATATGAGGAGTAAAGGAGATTATGTATGTGTAACCAGTATGTTGAATAGGTGTGATGCATGGATTTTGATCAAAATGCAACTTTATTTTCTTGTCTCCCACAGTCAGGCAGGGTAATCTTTTGCTCCTGGAAGAAACCTCCAGCAGGCCCAAAATTATTATGCAGTTTCTTAGATAGAACACAGCCCTGCAGAAAAATAAGTTGCAAACCTTACCTCAATTAAATCATTAGAATGTTTAGTACTGTTAATAATTGAAACTTCTAACTTTTATACCTTAAGTTTTTTCCTCCTTTAGCTTGGACCTGCTTCAGCCTAGAGACCTATAGTGGGAAAGGTAGGGTCTTCTACCCCTACTAACTTGCTGTTCTTTCACTCTGAATTTAAGTAGGAAAGAGATTAATCGGATGGGACATTACTGCTTGGTTTTGTGACTTAGATCAGTGGCCTTCATAAAACCATCTTTGCAAAAATTGTATCCGTGAGAAAATTATGACGGTGAAAGAGATCTGAGCTAACCCATCCCCCATCTTGTTATAGTAGGTAGGTAGGTAGTCAGGCATGAGTGGGGAGGGGGCTCCCCCTACCCACCAGGAGTGTCAGGTGACCATTAGGTGATGGTCCAGCAGCTATGACACTAAAATAATAGTTGGTCCCAGATGCCAGGGAGAGGCAATTTCCCAGTATATAAAAACACTTGAAATTGATCATTGGCAGCTTCCAATAAAATCTCAGGAATTGGACAAGTGGGCTTGAGCATGAGCATTAAGAGACAAAATGGCAGAGTATGACCTTCCGGGGGCATTCCATCAGAAAAGGGAAGAAAGCCTCAGATGGGCATGTGCACAACTTCCTGAGCACACTGCACATGCTCATCTCCCAAGCGCAAGGAGGGAACTGCACATGTGGGAGTCCCACCCTAAGGGAAGAATGAAGGGAAAGGGGCACAAGGCGCTGGAAGACAGCCAGCATATAAAGTCCTAGGATCAAGGTTGAACAGAACACTTGACCTCCAAAGTGCCCACTTGGGTCTCTTCCGAGTGTACTTTCCTTTCTTTCCTGCTCTAAATATTTTTAATAAACTTCCACTCCTGCTCTGAAACTTGCCTTGGTCTCTGTTTCTGCCTTATGCCCCTCCGTCAAATTCTTTCTTCTGAGAAGGCAAGAACTGAGGTTGCTGAGGATCTGTATGGATTTGCCATCAGTAACCTGGATATTCACCAGCCCCAACAATCTTGTCTTTCCCTTAATTATTCCTGGGTCATTGGGCCAAGCTAACTTTGGAAGATATTTTGGCTATAGTTTAAATGGTAACAGGCCTTGCCCAAACTCGAAGGCTTTTGCATAGCTATTGAAAGTTCGTCAGGCCTAGCGGGAGTAGAGGCATCAGAGTCCTACTAGAGTGCAGACATAAATAATTGTCAGCTATCATTACAGATGTTATAAGATAGACAACTTCCCCAATCAATCTTGCAAATATCATCACTACCAGAGAACCTAGGGCCAGTTGGCCTTTTGAGATATCTTTTCAAGTATTGTAACGTCTGACACTCATGGATCCACTTGGACCCACCAACCCTGCTCCTGTGGCCCCATCCAGAAGTGATTCAGCCTATAGGAGGACAGTTTCAACCCCCTGTGATTTCATCTTTGCCCCAACCAATCAGCAGCAAGCACCTGTCACCTGGCCACCCCCACCCCTTCCCCCAAACTACCTTTGAAAAACTCCTAATCTAGGAGCTTTGGGCAAGAATGATTTGAATACTAACTCCACCTCCCATGAGGTGTGGCCAGCCTCATATCTATTAAACTCTTTCTCTACTACAATGCCATGGTCTTTCTTTGTGCAGCGGGCAGGAAAACTGCCTCAGGTGGTTACATCTGCAGATCTTCCAAGTTGCCTTTCTTTCTTGTGTATTTAATGAGGTTTTCACTTCAGGTTGGCTCCTCTTTTGTAGTTTCCTAAAGCAGCATTCCCCATCCTTTTTGGCACCAGAGACCAGTTTCGTGAAGATAGTTTTTCCACAGACTGGGGGGTGGGGGAATGGTTTCAGGGTGAAATTGTTCCACCTCAGAATCACCATCAGATTCTCATAAGGAGTGTGCAACCTAGATCCCTCACATGTGCAGTTCACAGTAAGGTTCACACCCCTGTAAGAATCTAATGCAACTGCTGATGTCATAGGAGGCAGAGCTCAGCTTTGCTTGCTCACTGCTCACTTCCTGCTGTGTGACCCTGTTCCTAATAGGCCAGACCACAGACTGGTAACAGTCCATGGCCAGGGGTTGGGGACCCCTGCCCTAAAGGATGTGTCTCAGTTCTGTGGTTGCTGTGATTTCTTTCTAAGTTATCAGGCTATTTACAGTACCTACTTATTGCTGCATCTTTCTGTTGTAGTTCTCCTCCATCCCTTTGTAAATCCTACATAATTTTGGGTGGGAATTATTTTACCTTCACTTTGCTATCTGATAACTATCTTTTGGAGCCCCAATCTTTCTAATATCCTGAAACGTATAGAATTTTTAAAATACTCAATCTTTTGGAGCCCCATCTTTCTAATATCCTGAAACATGTATAAAATTTTTAAAATACTCAATAATAATGGTAGCTATTGTCTTCCTCAATAGATCCCATGACACTTTTTTTTCCCCCTACTTACTTATCCTTTTAATGAAGAGTAAACCACGTGGATTCATTGGGAGAGTTGCTATAAACCACTTCACAGTGGACCTGGGTAGAAAAGATGTTCCTTTAAGAACTGACACAGGCAAAGTCAGTTTGTCTCTCCCTCTGAAACAGTTGTGGTCCACAGTAGATATTTTTAAAATGCCATTTCTTCTTTCCAGGGAACCTAAAAAGACTTGCGATATCCTGGGAGGAAAAGGTGGGGGAGCTTATACTTCTGTAGCTTGATGAATTTCAAAGTTCCTGCATAAAGAAGCAAAAAGAAACTTCAAGTAAGAGACTTTATATGGAACCTGAAGGCAAAATGCAAATTTGGTCTGAGGCAACTGAGCTTCCACCCTAAGAGGTGGAACTCTAAGAACCAGTTAACTTGAATAGCTAGTGGAAGCAGAGAAGTGAAATTAAGAGAGCAGGTTCCAAAAGAGAGCAGACTTTCAATTCAAACTCATGAATAAGGCATAAGGTGTCTTCTAGTGTCAAACCCTAGAAGAACACAACATTTCCTTGATCTTTTTCTCCCCATTGAAGTGCATACAAGATTCTTTTCAAAATAGTTTTATGAGTATTTTAATAAAAAAATTTGCAAAGGGATTTTTGAAGTTATCTTCTCTAGCATTTTTCTCACACACCTGAAGTTGTTGCTTAAAACATAAGAAAAAGTTAATTTTGCATTGTTATCTTTAACATCAACATTCACTCTTCAGCTTAACACAATGTTTCCCTAATAAATTGTTCCTGAACCTGTATCATGTCAGGCATTTTGTAAGAAATAGGGAAGCAACAGTGAACCAAAGTAGATAAAGTCCTGTTCTCATAGAGCCTGCCTTTTAGAGAGAATCGAGAATAAACAAATAAACACGGAAATATGCAATATTTCGTTTGTTTATAAGTGCCAAGAAGAAAAATAAATCAGGGTAAAGGGATAAAGTAGAAGCAAGGAAAAGTGGAATGACGGAGCATAGTTCGTTGAGATAAGTTGTCAAGGAAGTGATGTTTCTTGTGGTAAAATTCTCAGACACTTAAATCAGATGAGCTATTTGAAGGAAGAGTATCAGGCATGAGAACAAATGCAAGTTCAAATATTGATGATAATAGTTATAGAAATATTAATAATTGTGATAGCAATAGCAGTAGGTACAATCCATTAAATGCGTACTATGTATTCATCCATTGTTCTAAGCAATTTCTGTGTGTGTTTATGCTAGTGTCAGCTTTTTTGACGCCCTTAAGAGTTTTGCTTTTTGTTCTTTGTGCATAGAAGGGACTATTTGAGATTTGCTTCTCTTTTTATTATGTTTCAAAAAAATGTGATTGTAGATTCAAGTACAGGTATAAGGAATAATACAGAGAGGGCCTGAACACTTCACCTGGTTTCTCCTAATGGAATCCAACATCTTACTGTACTAAGTACAGTAAGATAATGAGGATATTGATGTTAATGCAATCCATCAATATTATTCAAACATTGCCAGTTTTACATGCTCATTTACATGTGTGTTTATTTAATTTTATGCAATTTTATCACATTGTAGATTTGTGTGACCACCACTGCAGTCAAGATACAAACAGTTTCATAACTCTGAGGATTTCTTATACTGCCTTTATCTACACCATCTTCCTTTTCACCCTGGCTTTTGGTAGACCCTAACTCCTGGCAACCACTAATATGTTCTCCATCTCTATAATTTTCAGTGGTATAATATGAATGAAACCTGACAGTATATAATCATTTAGGATGGGATTTTTTCACGCAGCATAATTCCCTAAGATTAATCCAAGTTGTTGCAACTATGAATAGTTCATTCCTTTTTTATTGTTGAGTTGTATTCTGTGGCACAGATGTACCACAGCTTGTTTAACCATTTACTTTTTAAGGGACATTTGTACTGTTTCTACTTTTTGGCCATTAAAAATAAATGTGCTATGAGCAGTTATGTGCAAGTTTTTCTGTAAACAAAAGTTTTCATTTCTCTTCAATAAATACCCAAGGGTAGAATTGCTGGGCCATATGGTAAGTCATGTTTAGTTTTGTAAAACACTGACAACTATTCTCCAGAGTGGTTGTATCATTTTACATTCCCGAGAGCAGTGTATGAAGGATTCAGTTTCTCTACATTGTTTCCAGAATTTGGTATTTTCATTATTTTTTATTTTAGCTGTTCTAACAGGGGTTACTTTGTTTTTTAGAATTAGTGTTCCGTTTACCACACTCATACATTCAAAAGGACTATTTTAAGTATGAAACTGCAGCTTATGAGACTTATTCTATTAATATTTCTAGGAAATTTTAGCAATTTTCAAGGGCCATTTAATAGTGTTTGGTCTCATTTGCACATTTAATCACTTTTCAACATTTTAAACCATATTTATACATTTGATCTATTTTCTTTTAAATTACTTAAATTACTTCAATTGTCTGACTAACAAATGAAAACTTCAAAGTACTCAAAAAATCATAAGTATAACAAATTCAATTTTTAAATAAGGTGAAACTATGCCCCATAATGGCTTTGGACTTGTGATTTTAAATTGAAAGCTTATTAAATTTACATAGCTAAACTAAAGTTATAGTTTTTGACAAATGTGCAAAGTAATTCAATGGAAAAAGGATACTTTTTAACAAATGATGTTGGAAAACTTGGATATCAATAGCCCCAAAAAAGAACTTTGACCTAAACTTCCCATACAAAACTTAACTCAAAATGGATTCTTATGACCTAAATGTGAAATATAAAACTACAAAACTTTTAGGAGAGAATATAATAGAAAATTTTCCTGACTTAGGTGACAAATTCTTGGACATGACACCAAAGGCATAATCCATAAAAAAATCCATAAGTTGGACTTTTCAAAATTAAAAACCTTTGCTCTGTGAAAGTCCTTGTTAAGGCAATGAAAAGAAAAGCTACCAACTGTGAGAAAATATTTTGCAAATTATATATTTGGCAAAGAACTCATTTTCAGAATATATTAAAAAATTCTTCAAACTAAAACTTAAAAAAAAAACAGACAATCTAATTAGAGAATGAACAAAAGACTTGGACACTTCACCAATGTAGACATCTAGATGGTAAATAAACACATGGAAATATGTTTAACATTATTAGCAATCAAAGAAATACAAATGAAAGCCATTAGGAGATACTATGCACACTTATTAAAATGACCCCCCCCCCAAAAAAAATAACAAATAATTCCAAAAATGCTAGTGAAAATATGGAGAAACATTCTTTCCTACATTGTTGGTATGAGTGTAAAATGGTATAGAACTCTGGAAATTGGCACTTTCTTGGAGTTAAATGTAGACCTTACCTATGACCTCTCAATAGACAGTTTTATTTCTTCCTCTCAAATATGTATGCATTTTATGTTTATTTTGTTTTGTTTTGTTGCTCCAGCTAGGAATTCAAGTATAATATTGAATAGAAATGAGAGTAGACATCTTGACCTTACCCATTCTTAGGAGAAAAGTGTCCAGTTTCTCACAATTAAGAATTGTGTTAGCACTGGGAATTTTGTAAACAGTCTTTACCAAGTTGAGGACATTTCCATTTTTCCTGTACAAATTGATATGATCATGTGATTTTTCTCTTTTATCCTGGTAATATGTAGGATTACATTGATTGGTTTTCAAAGGTTGAACCAGCCTTGCATACCTGGAGTAAATTCCACTTGGTCATGGAATATAATTTTTAATATATTATTGGATTTAATTTGTTAATGTTTTCTTACAGATTTTTCTGTTAATGTTCATGAGAAATATTAGTTTGTAGTCTTATTTTCTTGTAAAGCTTTTATCTGGTTTATATTAAAGTAATTCTGGTCTTATAGAATGAGTTAAGGAGTATTTACAATGCTTCTATTTTCTGAATGTGATTGTGGAGACTTGGTACTATTTCTTCAATAAATGTTTGATAGTGAGTGAAACCATATGGGCTTGATGCTTTCTTTTCTTGTGATGCCATTAATTATTGATTCACTTTCTTTAAAAATATAGGACATCAGGTTACTCATTTCTTCTTGTGTGAGTTTTGATAGTTTATGTCTTTCAAGGAGTAGGTCCATTTTATCTAAGTAATGATGTAAGTATAATTTATGGCCCTAGATTTGTTCATAGTGTTCCATTATTATATAATTTAACTTACTTTTTCATTTCTGATATTGCTAATTTGTGTCTTCTCTCTGCTTTCTTGGTTAGCATGACTAGTGGTTTATCAATTCTATTGATCTTTCCAAAGAAATCGCTTTTGGTTTTATTGATTTTCTAGTTGGTTTCCTGTTTCCAATTTTATTGATTTCTGTTCTAATTTTTATTACTTCTTTTTTGTCTGCGTAGGATAAGTTGGTTAAATCTTAATCTTTTATAGGGCTTATGTCTTAGGTTGGCTGAGAGGAGATGATGTGGGGAGGAATTCCCTTCCCCCAGAGTGGAACACTTCAGAAGTGTGCTTTAGGAAAGCTGTTTCGCTGGACAGTATGCGTTTTTTATGGAAAATGCTTTGGACATGTCCTACAATGTTACTCTTTCCTTCCCCCCTGCCAGAGCCTCAAGGGGATCTTTCTTAGCTCTCCATCTTGAGAACCTGGAGGTGGGCCTCCTGGAGTTAGATTCCATGAAAGTGTGATGCCCTCTTATGAGTGTGGCCACCAAAAGCGTCTCACTGTCATTCAATTCCACACTAAGCCTCTAGAAATTTCTTGAAATTACCCTTTAAGAGTTCCTACCAACTTATGCTCCACTGGCTCTGCTCACAGTGCAAAGATTTTTGTTGATGTATCTTTTTGGGATACACCTGTTTCTCCAGATTTCAGGTTGGCAATTTGCTTTGTAACTTCAGTCCTCTGATGGGTCCAAGAAATGTAATTGCTTGCAGTTGATCCAGATTTTCTTGTTATAGAATGGGAGTGACAACTTTGCAGTTCTTAACATGATGGAGCTGAAATAAGAAGCCTCCACTGTGTTTAATTTTAAACATGATATATTTAATACCAAATGTATCCCTTTTGAAAGATGTTTATGACTAGGAAGAAAATAATTATCTTGAATACCTGAAGTTTTATACCATCTGATAATTTGGTTTACTGTGTGATGTGGAGTTTCAGATGTCCAGGGCCTTCTTTGTACTAACTAACTTCCCTAATAGTACCCTATATTTATATTAATCAAAATAAATTCTGGATTTTATAATTTTAAGAGTCCAGTGGTCAGGTAACACAAATCTCCAGTTTAGCTGTCCTCATGACATCATGGAAGTCTGCCAATTTCCCCAAATTGCTTATTTTTTTGGATTTTGCATTTTAAAAGATATTTTACAATATTTAAATATCTTTATGAGTAGGTCTAAAGGTCTTACCTTGACACGTATTCCACAATATGTAAATGTATTTCCTGCCTTATGAAAAAAACCTTTGACCTTGATTGAATCCTGTATTCCCAGGATCTCAGACATTTATGGATATTATAAATATTGCTAATGATAAAGAGATAATATTACTTCTATTTCCACATAGAAAACTTACACTCTGGAAAATTAAGTGACATTTTTCAAAGGAGAAAATTTGGTTAAGTGTTGGATCTAATGTTCAAATCTAAGTCTTCTGACTTTAGATACTAAACTCAGTCACTGTAGAGGTTAGATGAGCAATAGCCAGAAATATTCATAGCATAAGATACCATGTAGCATGGGATATTAAGAAACAACACACTATTAGGGTTGTAAGGAAAGATTTATCACATCTTATTGGGGAGATTTGGAAAGTGTGAAAATATCACTTTTGAAAAGATTTAAATAAGATTCTACATATTTATGCATAACAAACTTCATCCCTAAAAGGTATGACAATATAGCTTTAGTCATTTAAAAGCTTAAATGTTTAAATAGATATGAAGTTTTAATTCAACAATTTCCCACTAGTAACGTTTTCTAATAGAGCTCATACTAAGTATTTCCATGTATGAAACAATGTTTTTGTACTGATTGAGATGTTAAGAGGAGGATTAAAAAATTACAAACTCCTGAAAAATATAATATGCAATAGTAATGATTACCCCTAGTACTTAAATCTTGGCTTCTAAATACCATTCCTTACTCAAGGGAACCAGGGATCACTGGATAAATGATTTACTCTGTGGCAGGGAAAGTATGCGGTGGATACATTGTATCAGAAAGTAAGGGAGCACTTGAAAGTTTATGGGGACATTTCATACCTACCTAAGAGCTGGCCTGAAGAAATTCTCATTGGCCAAATTTCAAACACTTTGAACTTCAAAATAGATTATGAGGATAATGAATTATGAATATTAAATGAAAAAGAATAAAATAATCCATGAGCCAACTGAGCTAACTTCCCCCAAAATAAAGAGATGGAGGGGCAAAGGAGAACTCTTCATTACAGAGGAATGCCAGCTAATACTTTGTTTGAAAACAAGTTAGACATAATCATTTTTTTACCTAAAATATAATAACTATTTTGGGCAAAATGCATACATAGATACTAAAAGCATTGCATGAAGTGTTGCTGGGGAATGAGATATTTACACCATGTCAACATGTCAGCAAACAGATTATTTATGAATTGCAAAAGGAAACAGCTACGTACATAATGAAATCTGACAGATACTACGTTAGCATTACTAACCATAGAACAAACTAACATCATTTGCCATCTAATGTCATGCAGCAGCAGGGGCGAAGAAACACCTATTCTAGTATTCTGGCCTGAGGTGTTTAAAGTAAAATTGATCATGAAGTAACACCAAACAAAATCATCTGTTGGGGCATTCTACAAATCAACTAGCCTGGAATCTTCCAAGGGTCAGTGTTATAAATGTCAAAGAGAGAGAGAGAAAGAGAGGGAAAGACAGGAAGTATCACTTTCTTAGATTATAAGAGAATAAAGAGGCATAATTCTTGCTTGGGTCACATTAAAAATGTAATTGATGGGGTAATTGGTGTCGCTTGAATATTTACTCAGTGTCATAATAGTGCTATTACAAGTATGGTCTTTAAGACAGTGCCAATTGGCTTTTAAATTTTTTAATTGGTTTTTATTGATCAACAAGGAGTTAAGTACAGAAATTAAGAGTAAACAGGTAGAAATTTCTATAGTAACTTGACACTGTTGTGGCATAGAGGTGCCTTCTCATTTTCTTAGTAATTCATTTTTATTTTATTTTACAAAAGTATTGTTTCTCAGTTGATTGGAGATGACAAATACTGATTCTCCTCCATAGATAATTTGAGAAACACTGGATTAGCTAATATTGCTATACCAGTGTTTTATTTCTTGAGTGTGATCATGATGGTGTGGCTATTTAGAACAATGGCCTGATTTCCTACTTCTTAGGAGATATAACCTGAATTATTTAATAGTTAGAGGTGAATATTTTATTATGTGCAGCTTACTTACAAGCAGTTCAGCAAAAAAAAAAAAGTACGTGTCTTTGTGTGTGTGCATGTGTTTAGACATATAGCATATACGGCAAAATGTTAACAATTGGTGAATATAGCTGAAGGGTATGTGGTATTCATTGTACTTTTTTTTTTACGATTTTTATGTAAGCTTGATATTTTTCAAAATAAAAGGATGGGGTCAAAAGAGGTCTTGAGTCAAAGAAAACTTTGCATCCCATAGACTCTTGAACTTTTTTAGCTCTCCAAATATATCTCTCTTTTTTAGCTTATAAAAATCATGATCTTGTACCAGAGTTGTGTATTTAAAAATGAATAATGAGCTTTATAAATTCAATAATATATTCATTATTACAACATAAGGCATATTAGAGAAGTCATCTTAGAAATATATTCAGGGACCAAAGAATAAACATCAACTGTGATCTGAATAAACTGCTGTTGGGATAAATAGTAATTGAGATAACTTCAAAGTCGTTTCTGTAGCCCCTTTGTTTCTGATATAGGTTGCTATTGCATCCACAGTTATTTTATTTTATTATAATCATTTTTTATAAGTCATAGTTCTCTCCATTAATCTTTATATAGCACTTTTATATTATAATTTGTTTCATAGCTGGTTTCTCCCACCCTTCCTGTAAGGTAAATTTAAAAAATTTTTACTACTAAAAAATAGAGAGGTTGAGTGGCTTGTTCTGTGCCATGCTGAAAGCTAATTATATAGGCAGAATTTAAAGGTATAGGCTTTGCAGTTTTAGCAAAAGAATCATAGCAATACTAATAATAAATATCACATTTAACAATCAAAATCTAATTTTTCTAAAACAAAATATTGGTAATACTCCTGATTTTGTTTCCTTTTCTGGCTCTGATTACTTAAAACTCAAATACAAATTTATTACTTATTATTTAAGACATTCAATAAGTGCCATAGGTAATGGGTACCAAATTACACAAGACAAGGTCCTTCCCCTCGAGATGATATGTCATGGCAAATGAGATAGATTTATAAAAAAGTACAATAAAATGTTATGTGCTATAAGAGAAGTTTGAATGGGGTGTAAAGAGGGAGTGGTCAGATTCATCTGGCTGAGGAGAGTCAGACAACTCCAGGTTTTAGTCACACTCATTGAGATTATTCATAAGAGTTATGAGTGGTTACTGAAGAAATGCAAATACCTTACTCAGCGACTGCAATGGTTTTCAACTGATTTGTCTTTGACTCTGCTTTCTAATATTAGAATTTTGGCAGAACAAGAAAGGGAGTAAACGCCTAAAACATTAAAAAAATCCATAATTATAATGCTATCTATAATAGAGTATGATGGTATCTTCATGTTTATAAAAATAGTTTGCTCTATTTCTGTTCAGCATGATGTTGCTCCTTGAGAAGAAAATTTCCTTTTCTGGTTGTGCTGTCTTGTGTCTCTTGTGATCTCTTCAGCCTGTTGATTCTTTTTCTTAAGCACAAATATTGTTCATTTAATTTTCAAAATTCATAAAGTCTGAAAAAATCTTATAAAGACCTTTAGAATATGTAGATATCCAGCTTTCCCAACATCATGTATTAAAGAGACTATCCTTTCCCAATTTTGTATTCTAGGCATCTTTGTCAAATATTAGTTGACTGTGTGTGTGGGTTTATTTCAGGACCCTCTATTCTATTGATATATGTGTCTGTTTTTATGCCAGCACAATACTGTTTTGATTACTATAGCTTTGTAATATAGTTTAAAGTCAGGAAGTATGATGTCTCCAGATGTATTCTTCTTTCTTGAAATTGCTTTGGCTATTGCAGGTATTTTGTGGTTCCATATGAATTTTAGGATTTCTTTTCTATTTCTCTGAAAAATGGCATTGGAATTTTGATAGGGATTGATTGAATTTGTAAATTGCTTTGAATAGTATGAACATTTTAACAATATTAATTCTTCCAATACATGAACACAGGCTATCTTTCCATTGATTTATGTCTTCTTCAATTTATTTTTATCAGTGTTTTATAGTTTCAGTGTATAGATCTTTCACCCCCTTGGTTAAATTTACTCCTAAGTACTTTATTCTTTTTTTAACTTTTATTTTAAGTACAGGGGCACAGATGAGGGTTTGTTACATAGGTAAACTTGTGTCATGGGGGTTTGTTGTACAGATTTTTTCATTATCTAGGTATTAAGCCTAGTACCCATTAGTTGTTTTTCCTGATCCTCTCCCTCCTCTACCCTCCACCCTCCAAAAGGCCCCAATATTTGTTGTTCCCCTCTTTGTGTCCATGTGTTCTCATCATTTAGCTTCCATTTATAAGTGAGAACATGTGGTATTTGCTTTTCTGTTCCTGTGTTATTTTGCTAAGGATAATGGTCTCCAGCTTCATCCATGTCACCGCAAAGAACATGATCTCATTCTTTTTTTATCAGCCTGTTGATTCTTGGTGCCAGGTTGCTATTTCTCTGGGCTTCTGACCTCTTGTTCACAATGAATATATCCACGCATTGCATGCCCATTTCAGGAAATGTTTCTATTATATATCATATTCATATATTTGGGATTCTTTTTAAGAATCAAATATGCCTAACATAACCTTACTAAAAAATACATTAAGGTAGCTATTTATATTTCTTTTGACAGGGGCATCTGTCACAGATCCTGGCACAGAGTGGGCCCTCAGAAATACTTCTTGAATAAATAGGAGGCTGTCCCAGTAGGTGTGGTTGTCACTTGAGTATGAATGAAAAGTTTAGTGTCAGACAAAAAGTATGTTTCTATTTGTAAAACAAAAGACGTTTGGAAGAATTTATTGCATAATAGTATTTTTATGATATAATTGTTAATTTTATACTACAAGCATTTAAAAATAATTGGAAATGCTGGTGTTTATTGAAGATTAACACAGTTGTTTTTATGAAGGCAACTTGTGAGGTTTCCCTGTTCTCTCTTTTCATCCTCATTCAGTCCTCTACTTCTTTTATGGGACGTTTTCCCTACCACCATTTTGTGGCTAAGCTGTCTTTTGCTACATTTATTTAAACATGTTTGGGGACGTGTAAGGTTAAAGGTATTAGCAAAGAAAGTTTTTTTTTCTTTTAAAAACTGATACTGTGTTTCAGAAGTTGAAATCTTTTATATGTAGCTCTGTTTTTACTTTTTTTCCACAATTTTGCTTTTGGTATCATGAATAAAATATGTGTTATTTTCACTGCTTTATGGATGACTGAAAACAATTACTACAGAAAGTTGTGGGAGGAGAATATGAAGCAGCTTTAACCGTTAGAACATGAATGATTATGCTCAGAGATCTGCTAATCTGTGGGAAGAGAATAGTTAACCAACTACCCACAAATACACAGCAATATTGCATCTGCTAAACTTTTTAAATATTATAGTTGTTTTTTCTTACTCAATGGTGATGGATTACATTTTTATTTTCCTTAAGAATCACTTCTTTGCAACAGCTGTTTATCCTGATACCAGGTTATGTCAAAATGGTTGCTGACTTAAAAGGTCTTTCAATACACTTTATTATACACCCAATGAGAACTGACATTACTACTGAGAAATAGGGCTCTGCATCAAAACATCTTCTAGATTTGTGTTTGGATTGACCTGCTAAACTAATGCAACCTCCCTGTGAACCAGGGCTACAGCATTTTACACTTGGAAGTCATAAATCCTGACATAGCAATGCAAACATTGCTATAAAGTCTATAAAGAAAAGTTTAAAAAATAGCAGGGATAGCTTATCATCATTCAAGAAGGTTTTATGATTACTTTTTAATGTGGTCTTTCCTGTGGTCTGGCTCTAACAGTGGGATAAATTGACAGTTGGTGAGGGCTGTGAGTGCCACATTTATCTCAGGTGTTTGGGCTAGCTAGTCTCACTATAGCAGTAAGGTTAACAGTGGAAGGTGTGGTTTGTTTTCAGTGTATTTGGGATTTAAACAATGCTGCAGACACTTAACAAACCCTGACTAGCCCAGTGTGCAGGTTTACTAAGCGATTTCCCAGAGGGATGGTGTGGTTAATTCTTTCTGAAAAAGATTTTCCTTCACATGGTTACCTAATGTTAATGAAATGATTCTAAAAGCTGTCTTATCTTAGTGTGAGCGAGAGAAGGTCAAGATGAAATGTGTGAGAAACCCTGCTACTAGTCACTAGTCATTTTCACTGACGATTTTTGATGGCTCTGGATTCAACGTGTTGCAGCTGCCAAAATGCTGTATAAACAACAGCCTGTGGAAAAGATATAAAAATGATATTTTCTTTGATGTCTCAAAAAAGAGTTTTGTTTTTTTGTTTGTTTGTTTTGGGGCGCAAGCTCGGCTCACTGCAAGCTCCGCTTCCTGGATTCACGCCATTCTCCTGCCTCAGCCTCCCCAGTAGCTAGGACTACAGGCGCCCACCACCACGCCCGGCTAATTTTTTGTATCTTTGGTAGAGATGGGGTTTCACCGTGTTAGCCAGGATGCTCTCGATCTCCTGACCTCGTGATCCGCCCGCCTCGGCCTCCCGAAGTGCTGGGATTACAAGCGTGAGCCACCGCGCCTGGCCGTTTTTTATTTTTTTTTATTTTTTATTTTTTTAAGAGAATTGTGGATAGAGTAATGAATGCTTTTCCCTTAAATGTGTTATGCATGCCGAAAGAACAGTAGGTGTACTGATAATCTTGGGCTTTCAAATTAGAATAAGGGAAAAAAATAACAGTGAATCTTTTGGCTAATTTAGCTTTGATAATAAGTGATATGTTTCTGTTTCGCTAGTGTCAATGAATAATTTGCATAAAAATCCCGTACTCATTCAATGTACACCTTGCACTGAAGAGTAAAATGTTTCATCTTTTCCAAGTGAACAATAATGTAAATTAGGGAATAGGCAATTGATTTGTTGAAAATATAAAATCTATTCAATTCATTACAAATGCAGAGGAAGGAAACACAAGGTCCATTGAGCCATCTACAGTAGGTAGTTCTTTGTTTTAATAATTATTAAAGAATAATGGAAATGTAATGAGACTAATCTTTATATCTTTGAGGTGAGTTTTACAGAATTAGTCATGCATAATTGCTCATCTACTCCATAACATGAAGGAGATTGTGCTTTGGTCCTGAGAAGAAAGTCATATTAAGCATGCAACAGTGTTAGCTACAATTCTTAGTGTAGGGAGAAGAAATCAGCATTAAGGAATAGTCTTACTACAAATTTTACAAATTTTTCCTCAATGAAGAGACAGAGCCTTTACTTTAATTATTAAGCATTGACTTTTAGCAAGAACATGCTTTTCATCCTGGAAATATTGTAGGAAGTAATCAGTCAATGACTGAGTTATATGCCAGGAGGGTATGGTGATTCCATGTATATAATGTTTCTTTCTGACAGTATTTTAAAAGTTTATTTAGTGTTATATCTAAGAGATTTTGCATGTTCAACCCTTTTTTCTTTTCCACAATAGCGTGACAAGGACCTGCTCAACTTCCCTTTGCCTCATATGTAGCCATTGTTTTATCTTAGGGCCTTTGGTAGATATTCATAGTAAAATATTAAAATAGTTAGAAAGCAAGTAGACAGTATAAATTCACTCTCAAGTACTACTGGGAAAAAATTGAATATATACTCCCTTATTGAATAGAAAATTTTGGTCTGAATTCATTGCTTCAGCCACTTCTCACTATTCCCCTCCCTCTCCTACCCTTCATCACACTGATTATCCCAGATCACTTACCATTGTATATCTTTATGCCTTTGCGTATGCTTTTTTTTTTTTTTTTTTTCCTTGCCAGGGAAAGTTCTTCATTTCAGGAAATCTCAAACAGGAGCATTATCCTACTAAGCTTCTATGTGTCTATGCATTTCTTTACCTTTTCTTTATAGGACTTTAAAATTACCTTGAAACCCAGATATGGCTCTCCTCTGATTTCTCCATCAAGCATGAAACAACCCTGGGCACTTCTTTTGCATTCTCCCAAAATAAAATATGCTTCTCAAAGTGTCAGTATGAACTGTGGAATTTACTGAAGAAGTCATAGTAGAATCCAAAGGAAGAATTCTATACTACACATAACACAAACATTTCACCTCCAAATATGCTCTGGATATCCCCTTTCTGCTGCCAGTTACTCCCTCTTTCAATCTTTCCCCAACTCCCAACAGTGTCTCTATTTCCTCCTACATTCCTGTGCATATAGCTAGACACCCAGGTCTTCAAATCCTGGTTGTCAGCCCTGATTCTCAGCAGATTTATCAAAACACTTCCTAAACAAATGATGGGCTCTCCTTAAGATGATATCTTACTCCAGCTGGTAAGAAAAGGTTTTCCTGCATATTAATATCATGGTATAGGTGATTGCTGATGGTATGTCTTTCTTTTACTAGATCATGCACTGTTCAGGAGCAGAAAAATGTGGCTGTTTTTTCCACCACATATTGTCCTACTACTGTGTACCCTGTCTCAGTAAATGCCAGTCAGTTACCCAAGCTAAATGTCCTTGATTCTTCCATTCTTTCACTACTTCCCTGGTTCACATTCCAGTTGGCCACCAGGTCATACTTATTTTATCTTAAAAATTCTCTCTCTGAAATGCAAATCAAAACTACGATGAGATACCATCTCAAACCAGTTAGTTTGAGATGGCAGTTATTAAAAAGTTCAAACATAACAGATGCTGCGAGGTTGTGGAGAAAAGAAAACACTTATGCACTGTTGGTGGGAGTGTAAATTAATTCAACCATTGTGGAAAGTAGTGTGGTGATTTCTCAAAGAGCTGAAAGCAGAACTACCAATCAATCCAGCCATTCCATTACTGGGTATATACCCAGAGGAATATAAATTGTTCTATCATAAAGACACATGCATAGGTGTGTCCATTGTATCACTACTTACAATAGCAAAGACATGAAATCAACCTAAATGCCCACTGGTGATAGACTGGATTAAAAAAAGTGGTACATATACATTATGGAATATTATACAGCCATAAACAAGAATGAGATCATGTCCTTTGCAGGCACATGGATGAAGCTGGAGGCCATCATCCTTAGTAAACTAACAATGCAGGAACAGAAAACCAAATACCGCATGTTCTCACTTATAAGTGGGAGCTAAATGATGAGAACACGTGGACACAGGGGAACAAAAGACACTGGGGCGTACTTGAGGATGGAGAGTGTGAGGAGGGAGGGGATCAGTAAAGATAACTATTGAATACTAAGCTTAGTACCTGGTTATGAAATAATCTGTACAACAAACCCTTGTGGCACAAATTTATCTATATAACAAACCTGCACATGTACCCCTGAACCTAAAAGTTAGAAGGTAAAAATCCCAAAATTCTCTCTCCATCCCCATTGCTACTGCTCTAATTATGGCTTCATTAGATGATTGTAATAGGTTTCTATGGGACTTTCTGACTCTCATATTGCCATTCCTTCCTACCACTTTGCCACCTACTACTATATTTGGCAAAAATCATGCCACCTGAGAGAAAGAGAGAGAAGATCTCACTGTGTTCAGAAAAAGTGTAGTCTCAAGATCTTTGCATAGTAATTCACAGCTGTGGCAATTCTAGACAGCTATCTCTTTTTCTAATCTTGGGCTACTCTCCTCCATACACCACCTGTTCTAGACACAAAGAAGCATTCATTCCAAATTCCTTGTACCTGACATGTGTGCCAACACCTTCTTGACTTTGTTCATGCTGTTCTTTACACCTAGGATATCTTTTTCCCCAAAGTCTTTACCTCACTAACTTCAGATCTTTCTTCAAAGTTCAGCACAAGTGTCAGCTTTGCTTTGAAGCCTGCATGCCCTGTCCCTTCCATGTAGAATTCATTGGATTTTCCTCTCCACAAACTTGTATGGTACATTTCTTTACTACAATAGTTATCATACTGCATTATGCCTTTAATTATTTGTGTAAGTTTCTTTCCCACCAGATTGGAGATCAGGAACCAGGATTTATTTATCTCAAAATTGCTTTTGTCACCTCAGGACCTAGTACATATTAATTGGTCATTCATTCATTCATTCATTCATAATATGTTTTAGACAGCAAAGGAGTTGAAACTACAATTTACAACTCTGAAAAAGACTATCATGAGGGTGCATAGCAGGGAGATACGCTGCCATATCTATGTTGTTATGTCTATGCTGGGGGAGATTTAGTTGAGAAAAGTAAAGTATTATTTAACTAAGATAAAAAAAGTTTGATGAGGGGTTAAATAAAAACAACAGGGTATCTGAGTGAAGAGCATTTCAGTTAGTGGGAGAAACAGCATATACTCTGGAAGGATGGAGCATGCTTTGTTTGAGACGTGAAAGAAGGTTAACATGCCTGGCAATGCAGAGAGTGAAAGGAGTACAGTGAGAGAGATAATGGAGAGATGGGAAGGGCCGTGAATGGGAATTTCTTTTTAAAACACATAAAAGGAGCCCCACAAACCTGTGAAAACCACTTTCAGGGTTTTTAGCAAACAGTGATATATTCAACCTTGTGTTTTAAAAATAGCATTCTGGCTGCAAAATAGAGAGCAGATTTGAGGGAAGCAAGAATAAAAGCAGGGATAGCAGTCAAGATACATACAGTAGAGGCAGAAAATAGGAGATGTGTTTTAGGAGGCAAAAATCAGCCAGGTTTGGTATTGAGTTGGTTAAGGGAGTATGGAAGAGATATTACAGATGGTGCTAAAATATGTGGCATGTGCGACATAATAAAGTGAGATATCCATTCAATGATATAGAAAACATAAGAATAAAGTTATGGGTAGTAGTGATGGAGTAGACTGTGGCAGATTTTGAATATGATGTTCTGAAGCATCTTTTAAATATCCTGGTGGTGGTGGTAAATAGGCAGTCAGAAAAGTGGCTGGAGCTTGAGATAAAATTTGGTAAAATCTTGTAGGGTAATAATGAAAACCGTCAGCATGAGTGGGAGAATTACTATATTTTAGAAGCAAAGAACCCAAGCCAACATTTAATGTTTTGGTGGCGAAGTTTGACTATACCAAGGAGACAGAGCAGGAATTGTCCAACTCATTGAACTTAGTTCAAAATCATGGAAGCTAAAGGCGGGGAGTATTTGAAAAATAGGGGAAGGGTAGGAGAGTAGCATCAAGGGTAAATATCAAGAAGACATGCAGTAAGGCAAGCACTAGAAAGAAAAAAAAAACTTGAATTTAACTACATGAAGGTCATTGGATGGAGAGTGATTGTGAGAAAATAAAATGTAGATAGGAACTGTAGAAAAGTCTTTTGAAATGTTTTGTTGTGAAGGGAGGAAAGAGATCAGCGGTTGCTAGAAGTCATGTGAGGTCAATAAAGGATTTTCTGTTTTATGGTTTTTTTTTTTTTTTTTTGTATTTATTGTATGGGAGAGAAATTTAGCCCATTTACTTATGGATGGGAAGGAACTACTAAAGAGTAAGAGGTTAGAGGTTAACATACAAAAAAGAAGAAATACTTGATAGTCCAAAATCCTGAGAAATTTGATGGAAATGGGCGATGAAAACAGAAGTGGGATAGATTGAGTCTCAATTTAATCATTTCAGAGGCTGAAAGACTTGATTCTCTTGGTTCAACTGGGATTGATGACGGCGCCAACAATTATGAGCTCAGCTTATCCTGCCTGGGGTTTTGACAAGGCCAGTAGCTTGATACTGTCTATCTACACAACCCAGGCTGTTAGGGCTCCCGAACTGGACATGCACATTCTATGATGATAGAGTTCCCATCAGTTAAGGTTAACTAGGTTTCAAATGTATGATAAGTGTAAATGAACTTGGAATTTGCAAAGAGGTTCCCATATTATTTTATCTTAATCAATCTACATTGCATCACCTCACTTAAACACCAGTTATGTATATATAGCCAAATAAGGTGAACTTATACTAACTATGCATACTTGACAGACCATTTCCATACTTGATAATGAAGTGTAACTTTGAGAAGTGTCTACCCTTAGGCAACACCATATCTAGTAGCAATCTTCAGCCCACTTCTCACATTGCAGAAAATCAAATAGGCTTTATTCTTTAGGTCCATCTCAACTTAAGCATCTCTTTATTTCAGAGTGTTTTACTTGTTCAATACTTCAAGAGGATAGTGTTTTGTGATGGGTAAAGAATGATCAAAAGTAAACATCACAAAAGTAATAATTGTTTATTTTGAAAATTTGAAAAATATGGGAAAGTATTAAGAAGTAAATGAAAATCTTACTCTAAAAATTCACATATAACCATGATATATATATTCCTGTATTTTTCACCAGCCTTATGTATCTATTGTCTATTCCCTCTGTCTAAATATATATAGAGAGGAAAAAAATAGGAATTCTAATATACATACAATTTAGTTTTTCACTTTTTTCCTCCTAATAAAAAGTGCCTAATGGTCATATTCAAATGCATGCTTTTAAAATGGCATTTCAATGGCTGCAAAATGTTCCGTCGTTAGCACACAGCATCATTATTTAACCATCTCTGGACATTAAGGCTAATTTCAGAATTTTATTATAATAATATAATAATTGGCATATTTACACAGAATAATTTATTCTTATTTCTAATAATTTCAGTGGGATAGATTCACAGAAGCAGAATTCCTGAAAAGTGGTGTATGTATATGCCTTTGAGAAAAACTGCAAAATTCGTAACCTTATTAAAAGCAGTTTATGTAACACTGGAACACAAAACCAAACACTGCATGTTCTCACTCACAAGTGGGATTTGAACAAGAGTACACATGGACACAGGGAGGGGAATAACACACATCGGGGCCAGTTGTGGGGTAGGGGCCGAGGGGAGGGAGAGCCTTAGGACAAATAGCTAATGCATGAGGGGCTTAAAACCTAGATGACGGGTTGATAGGTGCAGCAAACCACCATGGCACATGTATACTATGTAACAAACCTGCATGTTCTGCACTTGTATTCAGGAACTTCAAGTAAAATTGAAAAAAAAAAAGCAGTTTATGAGTGTGCTTATCCCATCACACCCTTGTAAGCATTGAGTATTTCAGAATGCATGTATTCTTTAGGTACTGCTATTTTTGTTTTTTTTTTTATGTTTTTCAGGATTGATGTTTGTTTGCTTATATTCTCAAAGTGTTAGCATTGACCACATTGATTTCATAAGCCTTTTTTAATTTTTAATTTTACTTTAAGTCCCAGGATACATGTGTAGAACGCGCAGGTTTGTTACATAGGTAAACATGTGCCATGGTGGTTTGCTGCACCTATCAACCTGTTACCTAGGTATTAAGCTCCACATGCATTAGCTATTTGTCCTGATGCTCTCTCTCCCCCCAGCCCCACCCCCTGACAGGCCTCAGTGTGTGATGTTCCCCTCCCTGTTTCCATGTGTTCTCATTGTTCAGCTCCCACTTATGAGTAAGAACATGCGGTGTTTGGTTATCTGTTACTGTGTTAGTTTGCTTAGGATGATGGCTTCCAGCTCATAAGCCTGTTTATTGAGTACTTGTTGCTGTTTGTCATGTCATAGCAATGTTTGCCAATTAATTTTTCTACCTTTTAAATTTTAAAAATATTTTCTGATATTCATATATTTCAAACAGCTGATTGTCTGATATTTATGTATTCAAATATTTAGCAAAATAAAGTGAAAAAAAATTTCCTTTTATTTGTTTTGCTAAATATTGTTTCTCTGTACAATTATTAGAAAATATTCCCTTAATTTCTTTTCAACTTTTATTGGAGTAGATTTTTTATGTTGAACTCTTTTTATTTATTTATTTATTTATTTCTGTTTAAGACATGATCTCTTATTTTCTAGGATTCCAAGTATGGTAAAATATTTCTAATGTCTCTGAGCATTAAGTCAACAAATCATATATCAAATCTTTGGTTATGTATCAGCTATTTGAGTCCACATGTAGCCCTTACATTTTTCTCAAAATCAGTATGAAATGCAGAATTCAGCTTCTGAAGTGGTTTCAACAAGAAAGCAACTCACACCAAACCTTTCATGATTTATGTCAAATTTACTTTAAAATTATGTGGTCATTCATTGCTATGTACAGAATCCATCATCTTGCTCTTTTCTCTGTACTATCTATATTCTTTCTTTGTCCTTTCTTCTTAGTCTACCTCCTTTCCTCCTCCAGTATTATCTTAAATTCCCCTCCTGAACATTTGCATCTCTCATTACCCTAAGCTTGCCTTCATGGTATCTAAGTTACTTCTCAAATTATTTTTTCTAACAAATGCTGTGTTCTTCTTAAAACTAATCTAAGTAAACCAAATTTTCTCTATGGTTTTAAAGCTTACCTTAATGAAAGTGATTCATGGAATTCCTTCCTTATAATTTACATACATCAAATATTGAGCAAAAACATTGCGAATTCTTTAGTTGAAACTTACAGAGTCACTTTTTAGGCAAATTAGGTCAGTACCTCTGAACTATATCCCATCTAAAAGAAGTCCATCCCGGCCGGGCACAGTGGCTCATGCCTGTAATTCCAGCACTTTGGGAGGCCGAGGCAGATGGATCACTGAGGTCAGGAATTCAAGACAAGCCTGGCCAACATGGTGAAACCCCATCTCTGCTAAAAATACAAAGATTAGCTGGGCGTGGTGGTGGGTGCCTGTAATCCCAGCTACTCAGGAGGCCGAGGCGCGAGAATCACCTGAACCAGGGAGGCAGAAGTTGCAGTGAGCCAAGATCGTGCCATTGCACTCCTGCCTGGGCAAAAAGAGTGAGACTCAGTCTCAAAAACAAACAAAAAAAGTCCATCACAGCTGATGATATGACAACTAAGTAACAAAGGCAAACCCTAAGTGTTCCTTGAACAAATATATGTCTTCAAGTTCTACATAACGCTGAATCAGACCTATGGGAAATCAAGTTGTACCACTGGAGACAAGCACGAGGGCGATTTCTAAGCAGTCATTATCTTCTGCATCTGTGCTTTTGCACTACATCAAACAGAAACCATTGCTCAACCTGGGAGTTTAGATTTAGCTGCAAATGCCGTAAAGCAATGAAACACCAATTGTCTACTCTTCAGTAAGTTATTGCTCAGGAACCAGGCCTTTCACAAGCATTCATGTGAACTGTCTATGCATAAAGCATACATTTTAAAGGGGGGAATTACATTGCTATTCTCAAATGAAATGATTGCATTATGTTTGCCACACCAAACGCTCACATTCTGAATTGTTTGTATAAAAGCTTTGGCTTTAAAATGTAGCTGGTTGCATGGAAATGATTCTGATATTTAAGTCTATAAAGGTGTGTGGCATGTGCCAATTTGCTGTTGTAACGGATCCAAAGTACTTACTTTGCTGGGTATGGGGACCAAAGAAGCCACGGTCAAGAGAATAAGTTACTTTGCCGGATCATTCTGGAGAAAACCATTCATGATTCTGGGACACTGTTCAGTGTTTCTACAAGTGCTCCTAGTTCTAAATTAAATCCCTGACATCTGGGCACAGCTCCTCTGTGTCACTTATTTACAGCATCTCAGATTGACAGACATTATTGTTTCTGTTATTTTAACCTCAGTTGAGTTTGAGGAATGTGCAGACAGAAACCTTATCTAACCTGTCGCAATTGTGCCTCACCACCCTCAAACAAATAGTGAGGCTGAGAGCAGAGAACAGATAAGTAAAGGCCTTCTGAAACACATTGCTGGAGGCTACTGGCCAAGAAGATTTGCCAAATTTCTCATTGCTTAACCTTCCACTCCATGTTCAACAAGAAACACCCATCCTGTTAATGGTCTGACTTTGGAAGTTGCCTCAAACATTTCCATCCACATTTAACTAAAGGCATATGAGAGACACAAAAACATCTTCAAGAAACCTTTTTGTTTGCACTTAGGCATATAGAGTTTTCACTGCAAATATCAGTTTGCGAAGAATTGTACAACTGGGGTTAAACAAGTTCTTTCCACTATAGGGAGGAGGTGATGGGGCTGTGCTACTTTAAGTCTAGAGTGTCTATAAGTCAAGATTGCTGTGTTGATCCCTGCAAAGACAATTCATCTCTGGGTCATTGGCAGTGGTAGGAAAGTTTGAGACCATCTGGCTTTTATTTTGCAGTTATGCCTGATGTAGATTTACCAGCTCACAATGTGAAGAAGCAGGAATTCTTCTCTGACATTCAGAGGGCTGGGATGGCATCACCTGCTATCTCCGTGACTGTTCCACAGAGAGCCTCTCAGCAGTCTGCTGTCTTACCGGTTGAAAAATGATTTTAGCTAAAAAGGAAAGGATGCCATGCTTGCCATGGGGGACTGTTGCCCAATGTGTGTTTCTTACTTTTAACTTAATTTGTTTTGTTCTTTTTGAGGGTCTGTGCATGTTTCAGGAATGCAGAGATGGCTTAACTGTGAGTGATACTTGTCATAATAAAGTGCTCTTTTTGAAGACCCTTTGATCACTTGTGTGGCTGCTACTAAAAACAAACTGATACAAGGATGAATACAAACAATACAGCTAATAACATCTCTGCTGAAGACTTCAGCACAGCTTTGTTCTTAACTCTTTCAGGTGTTATCTAACACAAATTATAAGGAATTTATCTCCCTCTATTTCTCTTCCCTTTATTCTTTCCTTTTCATTCCCATTCCAGATGACCAGAGTATTATATTTTTCTGGTAATGTCTGAGAGCACTGGGAGAGACCTCAGGTTTTTAAACTGCTCCAAGGAGCTAAGCCTGCCTTGTAATGGTAGAAGGTAGAAGACAGGTGAGAAGCAAAGCCAGTGTGTACATTCGATATTCCCCTAAACCAGAAAGGCTCCTTCTCTCTCACTTCTGTATTAGGCTTTTGCTTAAAATTTGGTTGCAAACAAGTCAACAGAATCACAAAACTAGCCAACAGAAAGAACTAGCCATGTAAAAAATCACTCGATCCCTAGACTGGGTGGTGGTGGTTGCAGGTGCCTATATGTGTGTGCACAGTGGTAGTGACAGATAGTGGGGTCCAGCAGTGGGAGCAGTGCACATATCTGTATTACCCAAGGAATCCAGTCAACTTGTACATCCTATCCCCAGACTGGCATGTATCCCTGCCAGTATGCGTTAGTTTGTGAGACAGACAGACAGAATAAGAACCAGAGAGAGAATGAGAGTGTGTGGGAGGAGGAATAGGGAGTAGGGTGGGGTACAGAGGAAGCATGTGGCTACAAAAGAGTCAAAGGACTTGTAAGTATTCCACAGGGATCCCTATTTTCTATTTAGAGAGGGGAATTGAATAGAAGAATGGGTTGCCCATGGTCCACGGAATGGGGCGCTGAACTAGATGAAAGACATGGGCATGTATTTAAGGATTATTAAAATGGAATTATCCAGCAAAATGTGAGGAAAGCAATTTACTTGTAAAAAGAAACTACAGTGAAAGGTACTCCGATTTTCCAACAACTCGGCAAAACATGATTGGAAATGGAAATCAGGAAGGTGGAAGCAGTTATGTGGAAATAAACCTTCCTCTCTAGATCATCCTCTTCCTGACTGGGTAGAGTGCTATATGAACAAGCAATTTGGGGTGAATTGGTATGAGAAAGTCATGCATAATGAGTAAAATCGGCACTGGTCGTCTTCACTCAGGGTCTTCCTCTGTCTGAAAGGTACATGCCCTGTTCTCTTGCCTCTTGGGTTGTTGGCATAATTTCCTGAAATCACAATTAAAGTTCTTTATGTCTCTTCAAAGACAACAAAATAGGAAAGTTAGACTACAGTTATTGTTTCAAAATGTATAGCCAGGTGCAGTGGCTTACACCTGTAATCCCAGTGATTTCGGAGAACTGCATAAGGCCAGGAGTTAGAGACCAGCCTGGTCAACATAGCAAGATCCTGTCTTAACAAAAAAGAAAGCAATTAGCTGGTCATGGTGGTGTGCTCCTGTAGTCCCAGGTACTTGGGAGGCTAAGGCTGTAGGGTCGCTCGAGCCCAGGAGCTCGAGGTTGCAGTGAGCTATGATCATGCCATTGGATTGCAGCTTGGGTGACAGAGCAAGAACCTGTCTCAAAAAAAAAAAATCATAATCTCTTAGGAAATAGTGAAATTATTATTCTATTGGGTCTTGATTACCATTAAAAAATACAGTAGCATATACTAGAAAGGAATAGAGAACCTGGGTGTATCATATGTAGTAAATATTGTTTCAAGAAATTTTTGTCTCTCTTGTGTGTATGTGGTAATAATGAATGATATGAAATGTATTTCTCACCATATCTTCAAAAATGCTTGAAAACCGTGACTTTTGGTTCACAAGAAATATCTCTGTTGTGTATGGTGGAAAGGGGAAACTGCTCCAAAACTGTTGATGGATATTCAGAAGATTTCAATTCTAGTCTCATGGCTACACAATTAAATAGCTAAGTGACTGTCGATTTACTTTCCTCAACTATAAAATCAGGACATTTAATTAGATGATATCCAAGACCCCTTCCAGTCTGAAATTCAGACATAACCTTACCTTTAACCATGTGGCTTACATGATGATGTGTGGAGAATTTTTCAGAGGTTGGGTATGTGAAGCAACCTTTGCCATGCTCAAATTTGATTCTTTTACTGTTCTTAGCCAGGAGAGGAGAGCTACAACCTCTATTTTATTTCAGTAGATGAACAGGAAGACTGATAATATTCCCTTTATAGGTTCTTTTAAAATCTCTACATTGAGAGCCCAAAGACTTCCTATTGATTTTTGAATCTGGCTAATAAAACACTTGGTAGCCAGAACTCGATATAATTTTAGTGTTTTTTTTTTTTTTTCACTACAACCTCTCTGTTACTCACTGAGATTGAATCAGTAGGCTACTGGTTTGCCCAATGTATAATCTCAAGTCCCAAGGAACAAGGGCTCACAGGCACTAGACTTTCTGGCTGTGGAATTTACTTTTCATTTTTATTCATAAAGCGCTGCCAGCCCCGTTTTTAAAACTAAAGTGAAAACATAACTGTCTGGTAACGAATTTGAAATCTCTTAAGGAGAACATATTTTAATGCATCCTACTAGTGTTGGAAAAAATACATATCTGTATATTGAAAATATATGAAGTTCTTATTTTTTAGATTATATTTATGATATTTAAAATGGTGGACATTATACTTTGTCTCTAGATCAAGTCATTAGGATTTATTTTAATATTGCGAGTCTGTTTTCTTTTAAAAAAAGTTACTTAGTCTTCAGAAATGGGGACTGGGTAAACAGCAGGAAGAAAAGATGATTATCAGCAGGACAAGAAATATTGTGCCAAATGCACTTTCAAAGATGCAGTGGGGAGGCAATTCTTTTATCACCATTCAAATGTTTCTTAATTTGAGTTTTTGTATGCTAATGGATATAAATCCTACTCAGTATTCCTTACTGAACCTCTACCATGCAAAATCTACAGTTGGAGAACACAGTTGGATTTCTATTCTTGAAAGAGCTTTATTTTGGAGAGGAGACCTATTTCTAAAGGTGAGATGGTGGGAATTTTATATATTTTGGCACTTTGTCTGATTCTCTTCCTTCATCCTGAAAGTTAGCACACGTGTCAAAAGTTGTCAACTAAAAACATGAACCCAATACACCATGCACCTGCCATAACCAAGGAAATTCTACATTTAATGCTGAAGTGTTCAGAGGAAGAAAACACACCAGCTTGCTCTGTCACACAACATCATCCAATTATTTTTGCTTTCTTGCCCGACTCACACAATTCTCCCTTTAAATAAAAGTTACCCATTGCTCCATGCTTAGCAATTTCCTATGCTAGCATTTGCGATATATTGTGGACATGCAGATTGTATGATCTGTGATGCCGGAGTTAAAGAAACACAAATCCAAATTTTATTCCAATCAATACTTTGATTGATGAATTCAATACAAGAATTTATCTGGGAACAAAGTAGACTCTAGCCTTCAAATTTGGCTCCAGAAATAATAATTTTAAAAAATGATCATAAGACTTTAGAATAACAGACTATTTTTAGTGGGGAGGGGAACGCATGCACGCAAAACACAGCCTGTCCCCCACTGTCTGCAGGTCTAGATTTTATCTCATGAATACTGTGTATTTATTTCTGTAGCACTTTTCTGTGGGTTAAATCTATCAGTTAATGCATGGGGATATTATTCCCAGTCACATATAAAAATGTTGAAACTCAGTGTTTTGCCTGATAAAAATTTCAAAAACAATGGTATAGTTGGTAAATTTTCCACAAGTTCTACAACTACAAATAAAGAAAACCCCAATTACTTTCCAAACTACTGCTCCTTGTATTAGATTAGAAAACCACTAATAGCTTTTGAGCATGATTGTCTAATATTTTATTCAGGTCTTGCTTAGAAACACATTGAAATCATTACCTGACTTTTAAGAAAGAGGAGTTCTTTTTCCAATTAAAAATAAACCCACTGGCACACCCTAGCTCTTATTTCTTTTGCCTGGAAATCTTCATTTGACTTTCAGATGAGGGTATAAAGGATATCAACCAGAGAAAGTGATGTTCCTAGAGGTAGCATTTTTCAAAGGGGATGTGGGCAGTATTTAGCCACAAAATTATGCTCTTTGTTTTCATAGCATGACTAACAAAACAACTAGAAAATGCATACCACACACCACCTTGCATTCTATTTTATGTTTTCAGGGAACATTACTTTTCTTTGGAATACTAGCAAATAAAATACTAAAAATGAGAATATAACAAAACATATAATGTTAAAATGAAAGTTTGCAGATGTTACTTTTGGAAATTCTAAGCTAACCTAACACAATTTGTCACAAATCAGCACGTCTCTATTCAAGTGAACTGTGAGATCATAAAACCTGAATTGTTTGCAGATGAACTGAACTTTAGCGTGGTAGTCAGTCCTTGGCAATTGGAAGATACAAAGGGTAAATTTTAGGTTTGAAATGTTAGTCCTAAAAAGAGAAACATATGGGGTAATATATTTTGTGACACTTAATTGGACACTGGTGGAATTCCAAGCCTTTATCTACATATACAACTTGTTAAAGGAGGTTTCTTTTATTCATAATACGTGACCTTGAATATGTGGTTTACTGGTTTACCTTTTTTCCCCCATTGAGTTGGATATTTTTGTGTAAAATACAAAGCATCAAATAAATAGGTGATACAAGTTATCTTGTCTATTACTTTGACCAAACAGGTAATTCACAATACGTATTTTGGAGATAATTTTGTAGTGTGGAAGGACACATTCTTATTTCGGATTTAAGAGATGGGCACATGTGTCTTAGAAGACTGAGCGAGTACTAAATACATATAAGGCTGTTTTGGTGTGCAGGATTCGGCTTTGCTCTAGCAGACAGATGCTTTTGTAAGATCAATGACTACACTATAAAATTCTTGAGCTCGTTTTCTATTTTCATATAGTATGGCTCACATCTATGGCCTAAAGATATACTGCAATTTTGCGATCTCACATTTGATGGAATAACACTGAAACAGCCATATTAAGTTTTGTTAAAAATTTTTTGGAATCTTAGAATAATACAATATTTCAAGATGACATTACAAGCTTGCAAGAAATTTCAAATCAGCCCATCAATCACTGAACACATATTAATGGCCTTTGAGCAAACATCAAAATACAGTTCATAACCAAGGAAATTTTCAGTGAATTTTATTTTGAACTTCTGATTATTTTAATAGTCAAACTAAAATGGAAGACATTTAAAAAATAAATAAATGCATAAATTCTCTGTGATCATAAATTGCTGAGTGAAGCCAACTTCTGAATAGATACTTAGATAAATATTTATGTTTAATATTATACTAGTTATATACATTTTAAAATATGTAGTCAGTTTTCTTCCCTGCAGGTTTCTTCCTTGATATAGAGTGCTATAAAAATATCATAAAATTTCTTCATAGTGTTATTATATTTCATAAATTGTTTTTTCTTTTTATCTTTTACTCTAATTACACTCCATTAATTAATAATTTGAGTGCGGTGAGGCTGCCTTACTAATAACATTACTAGTGTTAGTTGGGTTATTTACAAGATAATGTTAAATTTCTTCACTTTCTTTACTTTTAAATCAATCCAAAAATGTGTTAATAATTTATAAAAATACAAGAAAAACATAATATTATTCAACATATGATCTTTCTCCAAGTTTCAGGTGGTTTCATTACAGATCAGTGCATTTTAAAAATGCGCAGTAATGAAATAATGTTATTGAATTCTTCTTTTTCTCTCATAATATGTGTTGTTTTATGGTCTGGCAGGAAAATTGAATTACATAAAGAAAAGGTAGGGGAGAGTTGGGCTGTTTCATGATATAATGAGTTCTCTGTTTTAGGAAAATTGAACAGAAGCTTGATGACTTCCCAAGAACAATTTGGTAGAAAAGAGTGCTGATGAAGAAGAGAGGGTATGTGTCTACTCCCATCAATTCTAAATTACTGTGATCATTTTAAATTCTACAGTTCCTTCTGGGGTAATCATTATCTCCTATTGATGGTCTATCAAAAAAGCTAACGACTCAGAATGAAGGGAAATAGGGTGCTTTGGCATGCCACAGGTCACTGTGGGGTTCTTTAAGGTGCACTAGCTTGTTTGGATGCTTTCATCTACAAGTCACAAAATACCGGGAAAAATATGTCCACTGAAGTGAAAGGAAAATGATAAGTATAGGAAGTCTATAGGTAGCCTTTTCCTGGTCAATTTAGCAGATCAAGAACTCACCAAGATCCAGGACCCTTCTGGCTTTCTGCTTTGTGATCTGTAGTGCGTCATCACTCTGCCTTCCTGGTCAGAAGATGGCTTCAGCAGCTTCCAAGCCTCAGTCCTCAGGCTACAATGAGTCAAAAATAGGAAGAAAGGTTGGAGGTTGGGATGGGATGGAATAGGGGAGTGACAAAGCTTTTTTCTAGCAGGTATCTTTTATCCGGGAGAAAATGCCTTTGGACTCCCTCCAGTAGACTTCCTCTTGGGTCAGTAGTAGCTTCCAGGAAAAAAGAAAATTAAGTATATTAAAATTCTAGCATCTTTATTCTCAGAACTTTAGGGCTTTGATATTGAAGAAGAAAGGGCTGGAAACAGCTGTTGGGTGAGGGACAAAAGTTTCTTCAACAAATTACCAGAGTACTGCAGCTCTCACTGAATGGATTCTCGGCATTGATCCCTAATCAGTTCAAAAATTGCTTGCTTCCATCAATGGAGTTGAAAACGTTTTATTGTTGCCAAAGACGTAGATCCAAGACCAGGAGCATGGAGATTAGAGAGACAACTGTCAGAGCAAACACACCCGAAGTAATCTTGGAGTAACTAATTGGTGATCTGATCTTTTGTTTATGTAGTTCCCAGATAAATAATGTCCCTGTCAGCATCATGTTTCTATCTGTTGTGATCATTTCCCACTCACTTGTCAGCCTTTAGGTGACAGTGGTCCTCTCCGACTCATAGATGCTGCTTCATGATTAGCCTCTCCATCTGGGATATGACTCCCCTCATCACTCTTTAAGTCTCTCCCCCTCCTTTTCTATTTTACTTCCTCCCTGATATGGTTTGGCTCTGTGTCCCCACCCAAATCTCATGTTGAATTGTGATCCTCAGTGTTGGAGGAGGGGCCTGGTGGGAGGTGTTTGGAGCTTGGGGGGAGGACTTCCTTCTTGCTGTTCTTGTGATGATAGTGAGAGAGTTCTCATGAGATCTGGTTGTTTAGAAGTGTGTAGCACTTCCTCCTTGGTTCTCTCTCCTGCCAGCTATGTGAAGATGTGCTTGCTTCCCCTTCACTTTCCACCATGATTGTAAGTTTCCTGAGGCCTCCCCAGAAGCAGAAGCCTGTACAGCCTGCAGAACTGAGCAGATTAAGCCTCTTTTCTTTTCTTTTTTCTTTCTTTCTTTCTTTCTCTTTTACTTTTTAGAGATGGGGTCTCATTTTGTTGCCCAGGCTGAAGTGCAGTGGTACAATTTCAGCTCACTGCAAACTCCGCCTCCCAGGTTCAAGCAATTCTCCTGCCTCAGCCTCCCAAGTAGCTGGGACTACAGGCGCATACTGCCATGCCCAACTAATTTTTTGTATTTTAGTAGGGATACGGTTTCACCGTGTTGTCCAGGCTGGCCTCGAACTCCTGACCTCAAGTGATCCATCTGCCTCAGCCTCCCAAAGTGCTAGGATTACAGGCGTGAGCCACTGCGCCCAGCCTAAGCCTCTTTTCTTTTCTTTCTTTCTTTTTTTTTTGAGACAGAGTCTCACACTGTCACCTAGGCTGGAGTGCAGCGGCCCAGTGTTGGCTCACTACAACCTCTGCCTTCCAGGTTCAAGTGATTCTGCTGCCTCAGCCTCTCGAGTAGCTGAAATTAGAGACATGTGCTACCATGTCCGGCTAATTTTTTGTATTTTTAGTAGAGATTGGGTTTCACCATGTTGGCCAGGCTGGTCTTGAACTCCTGATCTCAAGTGATCCACCTGCCTCGGCCTCCCAAAGTGCTGGAATTACAGACATGAGCCACCACACCCGGCCAAGCCTCTTTTCTATACAAATTACCCAGTGTCAGGTATGTCTTTATAGCAGTGTGAAAACAGACGAATGCACTATCTCTGTGGAATAGTCAAAAATCAATATTCAAAAAGACAGAAACCAGAGAGAATGAGAGAGAAACAGTGGAAGGGCAAGAAGAGAGTGAAGATTGGTTGTTGCTGGGATTATGGAGCCAGGGGCCAGGGCTTTTACCTTCCTTGTTTCCCGGGAGCATGAGACAGCTGAATACCTGGGGTGAATCAGGAGCAGGCTGGTGTCAACAGGTGAGGTGGGGCTGCCAGATGCCAACATATTAACTGGGACAAAAATAACAGGGGGAAATAAGAGAGGGGAAGAAAGTACAATTACAGTTACTGATAGCTGAGTAAGGCTTATGTGCCAGGAGACAAGCAAACTTGGTATGTTCCTAGGATTAGGGGAACTGATAAGCATAGGGAAGAAGTGGATGGGGACGAGGTGGCAAATTTAGGTGAGTGTGACAAATAGGACTTCACTGTAGCTCTCTGGGGGTATGTGCTCTTCTAACTAGTAAATGTGTTTTGGCAGATATTTAGGCAACACCCCTCCTGACCTTTTCTGACTCACGGGGATAGTCACCCCCCGCCAGGAAATAAGTTGTTAAAAAGACCTGTGCTCTTTAAAAATTTTCCTGGACAAAGCACTGTGCAGCACGTGTATTTGACAACTGCCTCAGCAAGCTCTTCATTTGCTACTTGAGCATGGTCCCTGTTTCTCTTCCTGGGAAGATTATGGGCATTTCTTATGGAAGATCATAGAACAGGTTCTCTTCAGTTTGGTTGCAAAGCTGGCTCTCCTGTCCTGATATTTAGAATAAATAGCAGAATTTGGGAGCGGAGACTGAGTTCTGTTCACAGTGCCTGATCAAGGAAAAAAAGGTTCTGGAATTATAGTGTATGTTTGGCTTTTGAGAGAAACTATATGTGCTGGAATTTATGTTATTAAATCATGTTACTGCTTATCTGACGTTTACCAATCAAAATGAAACTATTTAAATATTTTAATAATCAGTACTGCCATAACAGTGCATATTGGCTTAAAAACCACTCCTGGATCCTCACTCCATGAATAGTAGTGTCAAGATTATTGTCCCTTCAGTGCAAAGCTAGGTCAATGGCACCTCTTAGACAACATAATATCTGTAGTGATAAATAATACCTTTCTGGATTTTTTTGATTGAAGTTCTGCTTTAAAAATAAATGATGGGATCTTTACTTTCCATGGCTGCTAAGAGAGGTTAGTTTCAGAGCAATATATCTCATTCACTAATAACTTTATAAAAGCTCTGTACAGTTTCGGACAGTTGTTGAAAAGAAACAATGATGTACTAGATGCTTTAACATCATGATAGATTTTATTCTTTAATTTCATTGAATTTCATAATCTTTGACTAAAGGTTGTTATTATTTAACAACAAATAACAAATGTGACATTGTCTCATGATATACACTACAATTTGTACAATTTGTATAAACATAAGCCAATGTTTGGTTTTGGAAAGATTTTGTACAAACATAAGCCAATGTTTGGTCTGGAAAGCCAATTTGTACAAACATAAACCACCCACACAACTGTACTCCCATTCCAAAATATTCAGAACCTGAGGGAAGAGAATAGGGCACAGTGGAAAGAATACAACCTCGAACCACACAGGGACCCTGTGACAATGTGATCTCTGCCACTTTCTTGCTCTGTGAATTGAGAGAGATTATTTCAGTTCTCTCGGTTTTCACTTTCTTAATCCTTTCCTTATTCAATCTGTTTGTTTACCTTGCTCAGACAACACAAAAGAAGACACAGAAGCACCATGGGCAAACCATGGAACAAGAACTGGAATGAATATCTATTCCACTACCTGAACTAAAGACTGCAGACGGAGAAAGGGAAGACAGGGGTTTAACTGGCAATTCAAAGTGAGGTGATCAGCCTTCTGTTACAGAGTTAACTGTGTGTGAAAGGTAAGGAGGCCGTCATACTGCCCCCTTTGTCTCATTTACCCAAATAAGTTTAGTTCACTTCTTTACACTTAAAGGTCTACTTCACTAAGGGGCATTTTGACTTTAAACTAGATGAAGGGATTTCTTATTCCTGATCTCTTTTTCTTGTGCTCTGTCTCTGCCGCTCTTTTGCTTCAGCTCATTTTTCAGTCTGTTCTTTTCTTCCTTTGAAGGTTTCTTAGTAAAAGAGTGTTTGAATTTTAGTTATTTTTTCTTCCAACATGATTCGATTATATTTTGTCCTCTGTCCAGGAGGCTTTAGACACTGTCTGTAACCACTGCTGCTCCCGACACAGCTCCACGGCCACCACTAAGAAAGTCAGGAGGCACTGGAGCAGAATTGGCCCTCCAAAAGCAACAACTGAAATGCATTTCTGTACCTAGAGTCTTTATTTTTTATCCAAGATTATTCTAATTTTTGAATGATTTAAATTTAAATCAGTAATATTGTATTTCTCAGTTCATGTGTGCGTGCGTGTGTCTTAGTGTATACTATGTCAGAAAAATCAGCTAACACTAAGTCATGATAGAATGTGGAAAAAAGGATAATGATCATGGAAATGACACTGTTTCAAATTGTGTTATGATCCTTGCCTTTCTACATCCTTTGCAAAGGCAGGGAGGGCTGTGCTCTCACAGGGCCATTTGTGTGCATCTGTGTGGGAGTGTGTGTAAGTGTGAGGGTGGCAGAGGTTGGGCATGAGTATACACAGAAGCAGGATGCGAAATAGCTTGAGCTCAGTTTAGGAAAACTGGGGATATTTCTAGTTTAAATGATAAAAATGTCAAGAGTCCAGAATCCACCTTCAACTTTGCATATGCTCTCACTACAAAGAAGAAAAAGAAATGAGATCAAATGTCATATATAGCTCAGATCTCATTTCCAAAAATCACATCTCATAGTTTTTTGTTTTTCATTTTTCCTGAATGTATACAATGTATTTGGCTCTTTTTAAATACTAATGGCTTTTTAAAGAGTTGCCTATGTTATCTTTGAAACCCCACTTAGCTGAAGGGTATAATGCAGAAAGAATCTGTTATGCTTTCGGTTGCTGAAATCAGGGAAGCAAGGTTTTTAAAATGAAGTCTTTATTAACAAAATGAAAACAAAACCTTTGAGGTCTTTTTGTGTGTCTTGGCCTTTTACTGACTAGCACCCATGTTTTGTGTTTCTGATGCATATTACCTGTCATGAATAACAGATCTTGGGAGACTCTATTGCAGCCATGGAGAGTAACTGACATTGGAATAGCCCACTCACCACAAACAGCTATCAAACTGGGCACAATATATGAGACAACTGTTGAGACATTCGACAAGAGACAACACAGGGCTGTGGTCTTAGAAAGGAAACACACAAAGTAAGCTCCGTGATCACCATGACTTTCCCTACCTGGAGGCAGTTTCCAGATTGCAAAGCAGGAAGGTGGAGCCCAAACAGAGCTTGATAGTCTTGCTGAATTTAGGAGGTGAAGATTGCAGCACAGGGCTGTTGGGTGGATTGGAATTTTTAAGGCCAAGGACCACAGAGAAAGGAACTATGTAAAAATGAAATTTTCCTAGACATTGTTATTAAGTTTTTTGCTAAATATTAAGCTGTAAGTGTACAGGGAAAGAGGCAGTGAGGCTGGGGAACTGTGAAAATAAATATGGATTCTAGAGGATGCACATTTCTAAAGAGGTGGGGTCATGACAAGTTGAAGTTTTGCTAAACACAATAGACATTCAGTTTAGTTCCTAAAAGTTTAGATATTGGGAATAGGGCTACCTTAGACTTAGAATAATATATAATATGGACCTATTTTAGCAATCAAGTTGATACACTATTAAATTAATTTCCTGCCAGAATAACACTCAATTCGCTTTAAATAAAGACTTAAAAACAGTTTTGACTCTCAACAACATAGTGCCTGTAATGTTTAGCATAAAATAAAATATTACTAAGTGGCATAAAAACAAGAAATTGGGTGTCCCATAACCGGGGGAAATAAAACATAATATAGGCACATACAGAGACAAAAGATATGTTGGAATTAGCAAAGAATTTAAAATAGCAATTTAAATTATGTTTAGGACTTTAAAGGAAAGGATGAACAAGATAAACAGACAGATGGAAAATCCCAGTAGAGAAATAAAAACTTTAAGAAATGGAAATTCTAGAACTGAAAAATGCAATAAATGAAATGAAAAATTGATAATTTATTCCTCATAAATATTAAAAATTTCTGCTCATCAAAAACCTAAGCGGAAGGATTTGTGCATATATATCTGATTATAGACTTATGCCAAACTATGTAAAGAACTTTCATAAATCAATTTAAAAAACCCCAAAAACACAATTTTTAATAAATGGATGGAAGTCTTGAACAGGTACTTACGAAGGGAGATAAATGTCACATAAAAACATGTTCAACATCACTAGTCAGGCTTATGAAAGTTGAAACCACAATGAGATATTAGTACATACTGAGATAAATTTTAAAATGCTGAAAAAAATGATATTTAGATATTGACATGTATTTATAGCAACCAGAAACCTCATATGTTAGAGGAGGTGTAAAACTGATACATCTAATTTGGAAATCCATTTGGCAGTATCTTTTAAAGTTACAATTACCTACCCTATGATTCAGCAATTCTACTCCTAGGTATTTATTCAACAAAAATAAAAACATACATTGAAAAAAAGACTTGTTCAATAATGTTCATAGAAGTTTCATTTATAATAACCTGAAATTGGAAACAATTCAAATGTTCATTGATGAGTGAATGCCTAATCAATTTCAATATAGGCAATGAAATATTATTCAGCAGTGAAATAAAAGAACTACTGTACGTGTAAACACGTGAATTACTTTGAAAACCATTATGCTGAATGACAGAAGTCAATCACAAAAGTGTTTATTTCCACGTTTTAGTGTAATTTTAGAGAACACAAAACTGATCTATGGCATGAGAAATCAGAACAGTGGTTGCTTCTTGTGGAAAGAGCGTTGGTAGGGGAACAGAATGAGTGCATAGGAGTTTCTGGGATGATAGAAATGTTCCTTATTATCGTAGATTTGTGACTTACACAAGTGAGTGTATCCACTGCTCAAAACACATCAAATTGTCACATATAAGGTCTGTGTACATTTTATTGTATGAAAATTATACCTCAATTTAAGATTGAGGTACATGTGGCGTCATTCAATTCTTTATATTTTCTTTGTGATTTCAGATAAACTTTGCGGTTATCTATTTGTGCCTATAGTTTGAAATCTGTAAGCTAAATAGGATATTTTAATTTTTTCAAGTTTCTCTTAACAATATGTCACTATACAGATGATTTATTTCAAGTCTCGGGTATGTCAAATAGATATACAAACACATTCTACTGGCCCACCTAATTATAAGATAGTAAACAGCTGTCTCACAACATAAATTTAGATGACAATATATTATCGCCCTAGCATAAGCTCAAAGAAAATAGTCTTACACTCTAGAAAATGTTCAGGATCTAGTGGGTTGCATTAGAAAACGTGCACTCACATATACAGTCACTCAACAAGGGTGCTACAAAATTGCCAAGGGTCACAGTTCTGGCATTTTTGTTTCTGATCACTTTAGCAATTTTTACTCATGACTTCTGCTTCAACAAATGCTCCCACCCTTTTCTTGGGTGGGGACAAGGGGTACAGTCTTAAAAGACAAATCTGACCTAAGAATTTGGCCAGAGAGGAGAGAAGAGAAAAACTAAAAAAGAGACTGTTAAAAAAAATTTTTTTAAGTATACAGTAAAAGGACAAAAAAGAAAAAAAAAGAATCGAAAGTACAGGTTGGTGTGACAAGGCAGGGATGGCTGACACCTAACCCCTGCCATGACATGGCAAACTATACAAATGTGTCTCATTGCTGCACCATTGCTGGGATAGTAGTTTTGCTCATTCTTTAGTCTCCAAGTGTTTCCATTATAGCTCCCTATTTTTAGGAGTTAATAGCTAGGCTATAATAATTTGCTTCAGGCTGGCATACCAGGTCTCAGTCAGGGAGTACATTTACAATAATAGAATATAGCCTATTTCAGGTGCTTTTACTGTGTGTGCCTGTGTGTGTGTGTGCACGCTCATGTAATCTAAAAATGTTTGCTGTTGCAAAAACTTAAATTTGATAACAGATTGACTTCTAATGTGATGTAGTCAGTTTTGTCTACCCCAGATACTAGAAAAAAATAGTCACTGAAAAATGTCTTTTTGGAGAGGAAATGTGTTAACTCACATTTGTTTCCATGAGGTCCAGGACCTAGTGGGTGTTTAATAAGTGTTCACTGACAAGAGTAAAAACAAAAACAACAATTCTATTTGTTGCACATGGCATTGTCTTCAGCACTCCTTTGTAAGTGTGCTTCTGTAAATGTGATTTACTCTTAAAAAGAATAAGTTAAAATAACTGTAATATTCTAAACAATGTTTATGGCATACCTAACATCTCTTGAATGTTAATCTCAGGAAATAGAATTTCATGAGTTTTATGGAGTTACTGTTTGTTTTGAGGGATCTGCCTATTTGGGGAAGTCAGCTACTTGTCTATGTATTTTTAAAGGTATTTTATTGAGTACGATTACTTTTGGAACTCAAATGACATGCAGAAAACTGCATTGTCATCAAACGCTGATCCTATATGGGAATGGTTGTGTAACCTCATGGGTAAGCATGTGATGTTCAAGAATAAAACCTCAGACTCATTTTCTCCTTATGGTTTGAAGAAGGGGAGTGAATCACAATGGTAAGAGAAGAAAGTCCTACTGTAGCTGAATGAGAAGCCAAGCTACTTGGCAGTACCTGCTTTATGCAAGGGGCTGGTTGTACATTATCCTTAAACATAAAAACTGTGCCCTGTAGTATAATTTTCTGCATGTGGCAGAAAGGGAAACTGGAATTTCAGACGGATAAATGACTTGCCCAGGATCAAACATCTAGTAAAGGAATTTTAATTTGTCATCAAAGAAAATCATCAATAATTGGTGAATAAGAAATTATGATCTTTTTATGCGATACATGTCCAGAGAAATGAATTTGAAAAATACATTTCTCAGAAAAATTGGGCCATAACAGCAGACAGATTAAGGCCTATCTTCTGCCTAAGACCCTCTTTATTTTCATTTATCTAAAATGCAGAGAAGGATACATCAGAGACTTCAGGCAGGATCATTTATCTGGCTCAGGACATGCATGACCCACATGTCGTCAAATGCAGTTGATGCTTTTGGGTTCTCATCTTGTCAGCACTGTTGCACGCAGTTAATTATTCCCTTCTTGAAACATGTTTTCCCTTGGTCGGCATGATGCAACACTAAGCTGGTTCTCCGTTAATTCCTCCTCAGTCTTCTGTTGTTTGTTCATCCACCTCCTTCATATGACTTTCTCAAAATATTCTTATCACTTTGATTCTCCCCACTGATGTCCCTCCCCTGCCTCATCTTCCAACACATGCCATTTCTCCCTCAGAGCTTCATTCATGCTGGACTTCTCTCATTTTCTCTACATGCCAGGCTCTTTCTGTAAGGCATTCACTCATTTTTTTTCCATTTACCTGAAATTCTTTTCCTTTTCCTCTGCATTGTGTGGAATTTAGCACTAGTTATTTATATATAATTTTTTTTGCCATGTCTCTATATACTGATACTATTATCTTCCTTTAATTTGCTAAATTTCTTTAATCATTCTTTTTACTAAAATTAATATACTAGAAAAAGAAATCTAATATCATTGCAGTAAATGTAAAATAAAATCATGATTATATGCTATAAGAGAAAGTTATTAAAAACAAATACACTAAAATACACTGTGTAATAATAATTTATATCATTTACACTTAACTGCATTTTGGGTATAATGGCCTGGTTCACCTCTCTCTCTCTCTCTTTTTTATTAGCGGTAACTCATAAGAAAAACTTGCTTAGCCATTTCTTCCCTAGATGAAATCATGCTACCTATGATGTATTTCAATAACATCACATCTTTTTTTCCTCCTCTGTAGAACTTATCAGTGAAATAATTAATCATATAGTAAGTTGTTTGATATCTTTCTCTTTTAGAATGTAAGATTCATGTATACATCTGACAGTGACAGCTGTATGGCCACAGCTTCAGTGAGTATTTTTTGTAGGGGACCCTTGATATCTATATGCATATTTGTTGATGGAATAAAAGAATGCATTGATTTTTACATTAAAATCATATTTAGTGGGAGTTATCATGGTTTTATTTCTTACCATATGCCAAGAACTGAGACTGTAAATATATACAAGACACAGTGTTCAAGTTGCCTATGCCTAGAGTGCAGGGCTTGGCTATAAATAAACAATTACAGTGTAACATCATGAGCACTATAATTGAGGTAAGAACAATGTTCTGTGGTAGCGTGAAGCAAGACTAAGCTTGCTTGGGCAGTAAGGAGGCACCACATATGGTAACCTCTGAGCTGTGTCATAAAGCTGAGAAGTGTCCTGGGCACAGATGCAGTGAAAGAGAATTCTAGGCAAGGTAGTGGACAAACCTGGAGGCTGCTGAGGAGTTTTATGCAGTTGGATCAAAGTACACATGGAGTGAAGTAGCAAGAAATACTTTTGTCAAAGTAAGCCGGAGTATGCTTATAAAGGGCTTTATATCCCGAGCTATCAAATATTGACTTGAGTCTATTGGAAACAATGAAACATTCAAATATTTAAACAGGGGATGACATGATTAGATTTATTTTTTGGGCAATAATTTGGCATTGTGAAGGCTGAAGTGAGTGGGAAGAGCCTGGAAGCATGAGATAAAGATAGTGTGGGCTATGGTGTGGGCTGTGAGTGGGGACCTAGTATCCTTCTTGTATTTTAAATTTGTGTTATCTTCCCTTTGTGTGAAAATGGGGTTCTCTTTTTAAGGGCTACATCCACTATCTGAAGTAGGTATCAGAAAGGAAGAACAGGTTGACTTACCAGGAGGTATTTTCAAAGGAAGAAGGAAAGGCCTTTCTGATGACTTTAGGAAGAGCTGCAGCTCATAATTTATTGCCCATTTCCTCTCCAGGTCCTTTTGAAATGTATCTACAATCTTCAATTGTAACTTCTAAAAAGGTTCATGTCCCATTTTACATACTCAATTTATTTAAATGTATTATCTGTATTTTACCGTTAAAAGGAGAGAGGATTAGATGATAGGTCTTATGATTTGTCATTTTCTGAGCAACAATGTAGAGTTGCCAAATTTCACATTTATTGTACCACACTGGATACTCTGAAGAGTGGTTAGGTATATTATTATCAAAATGAAAGAGCTCGTGTTATGGACGGAATTGTGTGCCATCAAATTGCATGTGACAGTCCTAAACCATAATGTCATTATATTGGTAGATAGGGCTTTTAAAGAGGTAATTAAGCTTAAGTGAATTCATAAGGATGGGGCTCTAATCCAGTGTGACTGACATCTTCATAAGAAATGAAGGAGATAGCAGGGAGGAATGCACATAGAAATAATGTGATGTGAGGACACGGCAAGAGGGTGGCCCATCTGCAAGCCAAAAAGAGAGGTCTCAGGAGAAGTCTAACCTGTTGACACTTTGTTCTTGGACTTCCAACCTCTAAAAGAATGAGAAAATAAATTTCTGTTGTTTGAGCCGCCCAGTGGTATTTTGTTATGGTGGCCCTAGCAAACTAATACTGCTTGTTTATGGCTTTTCAATAAAACAGTCAAACAAAATACAAAAGAATATTGAGAGAGAGTGCACATGAGAATTGGGGTGGAGGGATGGGGAGGGCCAAGATGATACACTTTCACCAATTCAAATGACACTAATTAGGAAATTATGAAACTGAATGGAAGAAAACAGAGACAAAGTGTCCATTATTTTATTTAAATGGATAGCGTAGTTGACCATTACTCTTCTTCACTAAAACAAGCCTTTCTTCAAGGCAACTGTTAACCTAGTTTGAAATATCTCTTTACAGCATTAATTGAAAATATGAATACATTTCTTAAAGTATATTTTATCATTTGGAATGCCCATCAGTAAAGTAAAAATGCCTCATTTTCATTTCTCATTAAGTTCCCCTCTCACATGTTCAAAAAATTATAGCTAATAACGACCTCCCAACCTCCAACAAAAAACAATTTCATAAAAGAGTAAGATTTTTATTGTTCTCTATGGCCTTCTGCAGTGAGAGAATAACTCTTTTCTTTCTTTTAATTGTTAATGTGAATTATAACAGACTTACAGAAAAGTGCATAAATATAATTTTACAATTTCACGAAGCATTATAAAGTGAACACCATGAAATCAGATCAAGAAACAAAACATTCCCCTCACTCCAGAAGCAACTGAACACCTTCCTGATCACAATCCCCTTCTCCCCTTCCTGGGAATAGTATTATCCAGATTTATATGGTAATTCCTTCATTGTTTTTCTTTACAGTTTTACTGCCTAGTATGCAATCTTAAATAATGTGGTTTAGTTCAGCCTGTTCTTGAGTTTTTATCAAATGAATTATGCTTGTAGGAATTATTTCCATTGTTGGTGTAGCTATAGATTGTGCATTTTCATTACTGTATGGTATTCCATCTAATAAATAAACATCAGATTATTTGTTCATCTTATTATTGATGGCCATTTACTTTTAGTATAAAGCCAAATGGAACAATGTTGTTATAAGCAATCTTTTGTAGGTATCCAGGTGCACATGTCTGAGTTTTCTTGGGAATAAGCCTAGAATTTGAATTTCTGGGTCAATTTCCAGCTTTTGTAGATAATCTAAAAGTGTTTCTGAAAGTGATTGTTCTAATCTACAATTCCAACAGCATGTAAGAGAAACCCATCACTTCACTGCTTTGACAATGTTATTTTTAGTCTTCCCCCCTGAATCTGGTGAGTATGTAGTAGTTTGTCACTGTTTTTTTTTTTTTTTTTTTTTTTTTTTTTACATTTTCCTGCTTATAAATAAGTTCGAGCACTTTTTCACATTTGTTGTCCATTTGCATTTTATTTTCTTTGAAGAGCCTGTTGGAGTCATTGGCCCATTTTTCTATTGGGTTTTCAGGCTCTTTATTGTTGATTATGGAAGTTTTAATATACTCTGCGTATAAGTTCGTTACTGATTTTAGGTGTTGGCTCTCACTGGGTCATTATTACAGAAATTGGAAATTGTTTCCAAATCTTGGCTATCATGAATAGTGCTGCAGTAAACCTGGGTGTGCACGTATTTCTTTGATATACTGATTTCCTTTCTTTTGAGTATATAGCTAGGTGTGGGATTGCTGGATCATATGGTAGTTCTTTTTTTTTTTTTTTTTTTTTTTTTGGGGTGTCTCGCTCTGTCACCCATGCTGTAGTGCAGTGGTGCAGTCTTGGCTCACTGCAACCTCTGGCTCCTGGGTTCAAACAATTGTTGTGCCTCAGCCTCCTGAGTAGCTGGGATTACAGGTGTGCACCACCATACCCGGCTAATTTTTTTTTTCTATCTTTAATAGAGACAGAGTTTTACCATGTTTGCCAAACTGGTCTTGAACTCCTCACCTCTAATAATCCTCCTGCCTCAGCCTCCCATAGTGCTGGGATTACAGGTGGGAACCACCATGCCTGGCCCTGGTCGTTCTATTTTTAGTTTTCTGAGGAACCTCCATACTTTTCTCCACAGTGGCTGTACTAATTTACATTCCCAACAGTGTACGAGGGTTGCCTTTTCCCCATATCCTCGTCAGCATTCGTTATTGCCTAAAAGTCATGTTAAGTGAGATGAGTTGATATCTCATAGTAGCCTTGATTTGCAGTTCTCTGATGGTCAATGATATTGAGCACCTTTTCATATATTTGTTTACCATATGTATGTCTTCTTTTGAGAAATTTCTATTCAGATCCTTTGTCCATTTTTTTTATTGGATTATTATATTTTATTTTTCCTATTGAATTGTTTGAGTTCCTTCTATATTGTGGTTATTAATCCCCTGGGTTGTCTCTTCACTTTGTTGATTTTCTCTTTTGTGGAAGCTTTTTAACTTGATATGATCCCATTTGTACAATTTTGCTTTGGTTGCCTGTGCTTTTGGGGTATTACTCAATAATTCTTTGCCTAGACTGATGACCTTAAAGTTTCCCCAATGAAATGGTGACTTTAAAAAATCTATTTTCTAAGTGTTTGATACTGGCATATAAATATAACTGATGTTTTTCTGCAACCTTGCTACAAAATACTTCTAATTAATCTGTAGATTCTGTTAGATTTTCTACAAATGAAATTATGTTAACTGAGAATAATGACAATCTTAATTTTCCTTTCCTAATCATTATACCTTTCATTTCTCTTTCTTGCCTTTCAGTGCTATCAAGGCCCTTCAGTACAAGATTGAAGTGAAGTGATGATATTTGACATCCTTGACTTCAAAGGAAAGCTTTGAAAATCTCACCATTAGATAAGATGCTTGCAGTGGATTTTTTTTTAAATTTGTAATTAGCCTTTATCAGATTGAGGAAGCTCCATTCTAGTTCTAGTTTTCCATGAGTTTTTATTTTTAACTTTTATCAGGAATGGATTTTAAAACTCATCAAATGCTTTTTATGTATCAATGAGTTGAAACCTATTTTTTTATTTTATTCTTAATATGACCAATTACATTGCCTTTCTAATGTTAAGCTAACCTGAATTTCTAGTATAAACCAACTTGCTTATGATGAAGTCTTTTTACCAACTGCTGGGTTTACATTTTTAAGAATTTTGGGGTCTATGTTCATAATGAGATTGGACTGTATGTTTCCCTTGTCATACTCTCTTGATTGGTTTTTGGTATCAAGAAAATCCAGTCTGATACCATGTATTAGAGTTTATCTTATTTTGTCGTTCTCTGGAAATATGTAGGATTGATATTAATTTTTCATTGTGCCTGTTAGTAAAGATGTTTGAACCTAAACATTATTTTGGAGGAAGTTTTATATTGCTGTTTCAGTTTCTTTATGTTTATCTCAGTTTTTTATTATATCTTTTGTCAAATTTATAAGTGGTCGTTTTCTAGAAATTTTCTGGACAGTTTCTTCTGAATTTCTCAATTTATTGGAATAAAGTTATTACATACAGTTATTATCTTTGTAATATCTATAGAATCTCCTGTTTTATTCCTGATGTAAGTTAATTTTCTCTTCTTAATTATTCTCTTGAAAAAAAAATATATGTGTGTGTGTGTATATATATATATAAATGTTACTAGCCTCCCAGTTTTGGCTTTGTCTTCTCTATTATATTTAATTATTAGTTTCATCCTCATTCATCAATGCTCTTTCTTTAATGGTTTCTTCTTTTTACTTTCTTTTTTGCTGTTCTTTTGTAATTTCTCAAGACAGATGCTTAAAGCATTACTTTTAAGCCATCTTTTCTTTTGAATGTGTGCTTCTAAGGCTATACATTTTACATGCTGTACTTTTCAAATTTTAATATGTAGTATTTTCATTATCATTCAGTTTAGTATACTTTCTTTTTTCTCCCATGATTTCCTTTCGATGTGTTTTTATAATGTCCAAACATATAGTAATTTTCTAGGTATATTTTGATTGTTAATAGTTGTTAAAAACATATACCTTTTTAATTAATTTATTTGTACTTGTTTTATGGCATAGGATACTGTCCAATTTTTATATTTTTGCATTTGGGGGCTATAATATTTATTAAATCTTTCTTTCTCTGTATCCTTCTTGAATTTATATATGCAAACTGCCACTGACTGTGCATTTGGGTTCTTCTTATAATTTTATTATTTTATAAAATTATGCATTTTGAGGTCATGTAATTGAGTGGATGTGTATTTTAAACTGTTTAAACTTTCTTGGTGATTCTTTTATCATTATTTATTTATATTTAATGTGGTAACTGATATTTTTGTCATATTCACTATCTTTATAAATTCTTAAACATATTGTTTTATACAGTTAATACTTACTTAGAGCTGCCTACAAATTTACCACTTTATTTTTTCTTCATTTCTTTTTTCATCTCAACCTTCTTTTGTAGCAGCAATTTCATTTGGCATGAAGAAAATACCTTATTTACCTTTAGGGAGAAATGTAATAATCTAGTCTTGCATAGATAAATCTGGAGAATAGCTGAAACCTGGGAGGTGGAGCTTGCAGTGAGCCGAGATTGTGCCATTGCACTCCAGCCTGGGTGACAGAGCTAGACTCCGTCTCAAAAAAAAAAAAAAAAAGTGTGGATCTCAGTGAAGCCCTGCAATGAACATAAAAATTTAGGTATCATTAGCTAGGTGTTTTCAAAGTTCTGAAAAATGGATGAGATCACCTCAGGTGAAAGTATGGCAAGAGAATATAAAGAGCTATGACTGAGCCCTGAAGAATTTCAGGATCTAAATGTTGGGTGCTGGAGGCAGATAGCCCAGGGAGAGAGAGGAAATTCACGGTGTTACAGAAGGCAAAGGACCCAAAACTTCCGTAAAGAAGGACACATTTTTCCCAGGTAGGAAGAGTGTTTGCCAATTTCACTTTACAAATGGGAAGACAGAGCTACTGATTGCTTGACCAGCTTAGCCTTAAATCACATAACAAGGTTTACTATGATCTTCAGATTTGTTAAACCTGTGTTCAGATGATTTGGCTACTACTGGACTTACTGAGGATATTTAAGTCATTAAGACATTTTGAAGGCCAAAAAATGATGACTTTTGGATTCCACTTCAGGATAAAATAAGCCATGATAGATTGATCCAAGTAATAAAATAGTAATCAGAAGTCTATTCTGAAACTGCTTGAAAAAATAGCAGACTTCTCTTTCAGTTTTTCTCTATTGAAGTCAGCAGGAACATCACTTTGGACTACATGATGCTAAAAAGGAAAGGTGAATTTGTTTCAGATTTGTCCATGGTCTTGTTGATTATATTTGGATCAACTTTAGTGACAGTTATCTTTAAATTAATATCGTCAGGAATATCCCAGATTTTAACTGAAATATAAACTGCTTAAGGCTGATTGTGGTTAAGTAGTGAACATCTTCTATTAGGCTTTTACGAAACCTCACCACTGATCAAGAATGCCAATGCTTGAGGGGAAAAAATGTCTGTTGTCGGTCAGAGCTTTAATTAAAAACTATACTTTGTTTTCAATCCAATTTTGGAAAGAATACAGGAGAAAAAGCAAGATGTAAATTTTACAATGCCTTGGCAATGTATCCAATTCTCAGCTGAACAAAGGAGCTTATATGCAGAAAATCTTGTAGGAATAAAGCATGTAAAATAAATAAAAAGCTTCCAGTGCTTAATTCCAATCTTCTCCACAGCAACTGGAGCTGCTGATAAGACACCTACTCGGAGTAATGATGCATAATATGGAAATGCAATAACCCAGACCTCGTAAGTACGGACGAATGCCATCTTTTTAAAGGAAATGGTTGCAAATGTGAAGTGCAATGTGCTGAGCCATTTTCAAAGGTATTTTCATAAACATGGTGAAATGCCAAGGCTTGGTTTTTCCCAACATGATAGGAAGAGCAAGGAATGTAACTATTATAGGGGCATCTGGTATTTGTCCGTGCCCTATCATATAAATGTTTACGTACTGTCGATTCATTATTAGTGGCAGTTTTAATGGGAATATAAATATTACAAAGTATGTTTACTACAGATAAATCATAGGAGTGCTGAAGTAATTTGTAGTACTAAAGCTCATTTTGGATAATTACAGTGCCCCTGAAGAATGTGTTTATGTATTACAAAGAAGGGGATTGTTAAGAAGAAAACTGTTTTGGGTTGGTGACATTCTGAAAAGAGTAGAGGCTGATCCAGTTTGGGGATAGCTTAGAAATGTGTGAGAACATTAATGGAAAAAGATTTTATGAAATGGAAAAAGAGGAAAGCCCCAGTACTTTCAGTTTCTGGGCTAACCTTATTCAGTCAAATTTCATGCAGATGACTTACTGTAACTACAGAAATAACATAAGAAATGATTAGTTAAGATTATGCTGGCGGTAAAGATACTAATATTTTATTGCACATTGAGTTCTAGTTTACATTTTATGCAGAGGTAAATTAGACTGCAACGTTGTTTATCCTTGTTTTATGGAAGGCTTTTTTCATCACAGTATTAAAGGTTATTATTGGTTTATCTCCTCTCACTTCCTATTTTATTAGAATAAGGTGATTTTTAGTTTCCTTTTTTTCCCTGATAACCATAAGACACAGTAAACTTTAAACACAATGAGTTAACAAGGAGAATTAAACAGTTGTGTCCTAATCTTTGGAAGGTCATATTATAATGAGATTAAAATCTCTCCCTTCAGGTATTGTTCATTTGTAAACAAGTCTGGCTTGGCTTCTCATAAATGTTCCACTGATTGGATTAATCTCCTATGAAACATAAATTCCTTTTCCTTTCTGACAAGCTAGTCAGAGTCTGCCAGTTTGGTGATTGTTCAAGAAAAATGCAGCATGGAAGACAAAAAATGCTGCAGCAAAGTAAAATGAGCATAAAATGAGATTTAGCTGAGATTGAAGTATCTATACTGTCATTCAAAAAGGAATTCAACAGCCATTACGTGAGTTTTGTGTTTAGGCGGAGAAAGTGAGTAACAGCTGGATGGAGAGAAACAACGGGCTTTTCTCCCGCTGGCTGCTCTTCCCCTGGCTCTCTGCCCTCTGCCCCTGCGGATGCCATGCTTTTGGGGCCCCACACATGACAGCATCCACACCTGGGCACTGGTGCAAACAGATCACAGTCCTTAACAAAGAGTGCTACTTGAATAAATTTGTTATTTATGTTACCTGCCTCAAAGTGTTAGTCTTCTCTTAACCTCAGTCTTTCCTCAGGGAAAAATTTAATCAGTTCTACTGGGCAAAAATATCCACATCCTTGACTAGTAATATTATTTCCTGGATTTTTCACTTTGGCTGAAATTTGAGGAGCCTAGTCTAATTCAGATGTGATAACAGATTTTTTATTTTATTTTATTTTTGAGACAGGGTCTTGCTCTGTTGCCCAGGCTGTAGTGCAGATGCAAGATCATAGCTCACTGTAGCCTCTAACTCCTGGGCTCAAGTGATCCTCCCTCTTCGGCCTCCTAAAATGCTGGGATTACAGGTATGTGCTTGCACTTCTGACCTTATTCAAATTGGTTTACTTAAGCTGGCTGCAAATCTCTTGGTGGTATCTGATGCACAGATTGCATTTCATGACTCATCTTCTGCCGTTCTTTCTTTAAAGAGTGAATATCAATAATGCTAATTTTCTTAAGAAAAGAAGCTCTGACGTCTTAGCCTTTTCACACCTATTCCAATTCTCTTCACATCCAAATATGATACCCTTTTTCTTTAAAATGGTTTCAAATGTCAATATGGGGTAGTTACATGTTGAGAACTGAACTTTCATGTTTCATTAGCATGTAGATGAATGCCAGCAAACTTAATTGGAAAAATAGTTCCTTACAAGCAAATTAGGTTTTTTCACCAGTTATCATTAGAAATTGGAATTACATTTTTTAGACAAATAAAAAGAAATTGAGACTGCATTGAAAATTTTGGACAGAGATAGAGGATTATAATATTATATGCTGAACATTAAAGTACAATAACATCATTAGAACTTTTGGAAGTTACTTCCTCTATGTGATACTGAAGTGCTGGGAAGGGAAGGGCTGGTCCCTTTAAACAATATGGAAGAGGGGAAGGGAAGTGCTGGGTAGAGGAGGGTGTGGTCCCTGGCTAGGGCTCCACCCCTGGGCCGGTGCCCATGGACCTAGGTGAAGACAGGCATTTTTGTTTTCCTGCCCAAATGTTGCATTTCCCAAGACCACCCTGGCCTGCCGTGCCCCCGTCGTGTGTCCATAAAAACCCGAGACCCCAGCGGGCAGACACAGAGGTGGCTGGACATTGAAAGGAACACATCAGCAGAGGAACACACAGGGCTGGACGTTGAGAGGGATGCACTGGCGTGGGAGCACACCGGCACGCTGGCATGCCATCAAGGAGCAGAATGATGCGGATTTGCGGGGGAGGCATGGTTTGGAGAAAAGTTGGAACTCTGAGTAAAGCTGAAACTCCCAGTGGCCTGACTCCGGGGGAAAACCATCTCTCTTCTGGCTCCCCCATCTGCTGAGAGCTACTGCCACTCAATAAAACCTTGCATTCATTCTCCAAGCCCACACGTGATCTGATACTTCTGATATATCAAGGCAAGAATCCCAGGATATAGAAAGGCCTTTGTCATTGCCATAAGGCAGGGGTCTAATTGAACTGACTAACACAAGCTGCCTAGGGACAGGTAAACTAAAAGGGTACCCTGTGACACACGCCCACTGGGGCTTCAGGAGCTGTACACATTTACCCCTAGACACTGCGGTGGGGTTGGAACCTGCCCTTCTATATGCTCCCCTAGAGGTTTGAGCAGCAGGGGCACTTCAATGAACCACACCCCCATCACACACCTTGTCCTCCAGGGGGACAAGGGAAACTTTCTTGTTTCCCATGCAATATATATTTGTTCTTTAGTACTTTCCCTACTCTAGAAATGTATTCTCCATGGTAAATAAATCTTCTAAATCCAGAGAAATTTTCTGATGCCAAAGTATGTATCTTATGTATACATATGACATCTAGGATAATTTTTCCCCCATATTCTCCCCACACTCAGCTGCTTCACTGTTGTGTTCATTATCAATTATTACCTAGTTAAATTTGGAGGGGCCTATACAACAGCAATCAAAATTTCAGGTTAAATCTCTGGTTAACTGGTAGCAGGTCCCTGTAGCGGAAGAACCATATCAAAATCCCCACATTATTTCAGCCTCCGAAATAAATCAATGAATCAAAAATAAGATCCAAGCATACAGAGTTGAACAGATTCGTTACTATTACTTGCTGGCTGTGTAATTTGGACAAGTTATTTTACCTCTTTGAAGATCAATGTCCCCATCTATAAAATGGCAATATTAATACTTACCGTGCAGGAATTATGAGAATGAATGAGACGTAAAACTCCCAGCACAGACTCTGGCACATGGCAGGTGCTTAGTTTCATATCTATATGTGTGTGTGCATGTATATATATATGCTTATTATTAACAGTCATGATTGACTTGCACACTTTGTATCTCCTGCTCCTAGTCTTCTCCATGAAAGCTTTGTATAGCATGAGTTCTCCTTCACCCCGACTTAGAGGAACTCATCTTACATTTGACCCTGCTGGGTCCCATGCTCATGGGAATGGGTATTAAACTTTGCTGGCACTGAAGCTGGTCTCAGTACTTGCTAAGTTAGGAACGGGTTGCATCTTTAAGTGGCTTATCTGGCATCACACTTTCCACCGGTGTAATAACACCTCTATCATATGACCATTTTCCCCTATCACCACAACATGAAACCTGGATACTTTCTATTCCAGAGGGCTTCAAGGGTGTTGTAAGCATGAATGCACAGGGAGGGGATAACATCATGAAGAGCCTACAGTGTGCTGTGTAGCTGACACTCAATATTTTATTTAATCTTCATAATATTTCTGAGTGAGATATTATGTTGCCCATTATAATTCAAATAATATAAATATTTTGTCTAGGTTTATGCAGCTAATACTTGTCAGAGCTGGAAGGAGGATGCAGATCTTTTTGATTTCAAGTTCAAGAACGCCATTGAGATTGGTCTCAGGGAGCAGTAACTTCAAAACCAATAGATGTATCTTAGAGGGGAATGAGCTTAAAAGAAAACTCATAGCTATAAAGATGCTAAATCAGCTGTGTACCTCCTGGCTCTGCTTCTGCCTGCTTCTTAATTCCCACTGGCTTTGTTGCCTGATTTATCCCATAGAGTCTATGAATCCACATCAAATTGATCTTCTTCAGCATCTGGTCCTGGCTGTACTTCTGATTCTTTTTTTCTGCAGTGATCAGGTTTTTCATCTTGCCCATCATCTTCTGGACCTCAAATACCTGCTGAAGATGAGATTTTGCCTTAACTTAGTGGGCTTGAACTCTGTACTGATGATATGAAGCAACCCTGCCCTACCTGGTGGAGAAGGAAAATGTAAGATCTATGGACCTTACTTTAGGATGAACTTTTAAAAACAAATATGAAATATTCCCAGGCAGTTCCAAAACTTGTGTTTTATATGTTAAAATGTGTTTACACTAATATAAAATTTAACTGTCTTTTTATTATTGCGAACAAACCAAGTAATACCAATTAATTGAACTGTGCTTCTTAAACATTATTTTAAAATTAACTGTTATTAGTTTACTTGGCTCAGGCTTTCACCTGATCCTTGGCCTTTGTTTATGTGTCCACATCTTCAAGGTTAAATAATTTAAGTTGTCATTATGTTCTATGGTTAAAATTTGCATATCATGAGTGCTACTTTTCATTTCCAGGTCAACTTCTCTCCCAAGTCTGGTGTAGTCCGAGGAATTACTCCCTAGAGTGAAAATTTAAAAAGCAAACCTTGTTTCAAGTATCTAAGCTATCATTTTACATTGGAGTACTTTATGAATTTTTTTTTATTTGGATCTCCTTCGAGAAGTCCCCCTATAATTGCTTATTGAATAACTTCAAGAGTGTGTTATTATTATTTTTTCTAATCGGGTATCTTTAGAACCATAACAGGTATTATCTTCTAAGATGTAGTTATATAGGGCCCAGATCACTGCTACCAGATAAGACACAAAAGGAAAATCTGAAGAGACCCATATAGCTCCACCTACAGAGACAGGAGGAAAGGGAATTTGAAATGTGGAATCAAAAGCTGGAGGCCATAACAGCAGAAAGCAGCAACAATTTTGGATGATGGATTCTCAGTAACTTATATGTGGAGCACATCCCCTGAGACTTCAAGGGAAGTAACCAAATGGGAAATGGTAAGGTCTTAAGTCTGGATTGAGAGTCAAAGTTCAGAGGAGGAATGGCAAGAGTGAAACATAGTATCTTTTCTTAGCAGGACTGAGATCTAAGCAACACACTGGAATCCTAAACAAAGGGGAAACGTTACAGGAGTGCAGGTGGGGTTGAGCTTCAGGTATGTATCTTAGTTCTCAGAACAGGACATAAGGTTACTTAAGCCCAGCTTCCATAGGGTCAGGCAAAACAGCTTGAACATCCCCAATCTACAAATCCAAAATCTGAAATGCTCCAAAATCCAAGACTTTTGAGCACCAACATGATGCCACAATTGAAAAATTCCACACATAACTACTTAACACAACTTCGTTTCATGTGCAAAATTATTTACAATATTGTATAAAATTACCTTTAGGCTATGAATATAAGGTGCATGTGAAACATAAGTGAATTTTATGTTTAGACTAGGGCCCCAAGCCCCAGATATCTCATTATGTATGTACAAATATTCCAAAATCCAAAAGCATTCAAAGTCCAAACACTTCTGTCCCCAAGTATTTTGAATGAGGGAGAGACAACCTGTAGTTCCAAAAATTGCTTCTGCTTGAAGCCCCGTTTGGGTCTGGGGATAAATTTTCATGTACATGCTAGCCATGGGGAGTGGAGGCAAATAGAATATTTCCTGTAACATAGCACCTGTGGTCCTCTGATTACATTTGCACTAATTCCTAAAGTATCACAGGAACGTGTTCTCTTAACTCGGTGTCCCTAGAAACAGAACATGAGAGAAGGATTAAGGAAGTTCCTCCGGGAGCAACAGTGACGGAGTGGAAGAAGACGACAACAAACAAGGGTGTGATTTCAAATGAACCTCATCTAGCCTGATCATGCAGAGTACTGGGCCTAATTGGCATTTTTAACTTAAACTGTAGTCAACTATACAGCTAAATGAGTTCAAGAATAATTATAAGCAAAGATCTTTCATTTTTTTTCAACTTTCATTTTAGATTCAGGGGGCAAACAGGAAGTTTTTTAGCCCTTGCCCCGCTCTCACCCTTTCCCCTCTAGGAGTCCCCAGTGTCTATTGTTCCCATCTTTATGTCCATTTGTACTCAATATTTAGCTCCCACTTATAAGTGAGAATATGTAGTATTTAGTTTTCTGTTCCTGAATTAATTTGAGATTTTTATTTTATTCTTTTTCTTTATTTTTTTAAAAAACAGGATCTTGCTCTGTCACCCAGGCTGGAGTGCAGTGACGCAATTATAGCTCACTGCAGCATTGAACGCCTGGGCTCAAGCAATCCTCCAGCCTCAGTCTCTCGAGTAGCTGGGACTACAGGTGGATATCAACATGCCCAGGTAATTTGTTTTTATTTTTTTGTAGAGACAGGATCTCCTTAACTTGCCCAGGCTGTCTCGAATTCCTAGCTTCAAGTGATCTTCCTGCTTTGGCCTCCCAAAGTGCTGGGATTACAGGTCTGAGCCACCATGCCCAGCCTCAGAATCTTTCTTTACTACAACTCTGTAGAGATACTGCTGGTGCTCTGCTTGGATCCCTGGAATTCTTTATACTGCCCAGTACTGTTTCTGTATGTCCTCCTCCTTCTTCAAAGGATGACTTTGGGCTGCTGGAGTCCCTTACCAGTGCAAACTCTGTGGCATAATGTATGCTCCAGAAGGCTCTGCATGATCAGGCTAGCTGAAGTTCATTTGAAATCACACCTTTGGTGTCTCCTTCACTGCCTCACTGTTTCACCTGGAAGAACTTTCTTAATCCTTCTGTCATGTTCTGCTTCTAGGGACACAGAGTTAAGGCAACCCACACCTGTGATACTTTAGGAATTAGTGCAAATATAATTGTAGCAGCCCAGGTGCTATGTGATAGAGAATATTAATTGTTGGTTTGAGAATGTAATAGAATTTGGATATATCAATTATTTTGTTGCAAACCTCTGCAACTATTCTATGTTGTTTTTCTAGTTTTTTTTTTTTTCCCCCACGATTGGACTGTCATTGAAGTACATTAATCTAAATCTCAATCTTATAGTCACTTACACAGATTAGCATTTAGCTTGATGTTTGGTGATGTGCACCATAGTAGCTTAGAAGTAGAATGCACCCTTTCAAGTAACCTCTTTTTATAAAAACAGAACCAAGAAATGTTAACGTCTTGCTACTGTGTACTTACCTTTGTATTTAATAATCCTTCCATATTGCAGCACTGTTGTTGCTGGCTTAATACTGAAAATTTAATAGTATTTAATTAAAATCCGGAAATGTGCTTTCAATTCTATTACCCTAAAAAGTGGGGAAGAAAGGCTCCTCCTTACCATTTGCATTATACTGGAAACTGTTAAACACTTAATCTTCTCCCATAGTGGCTGTGTGCTTTTAAGAGGATTACATTATTAATTGTTTAATTATTCATTATGCTGCATTTTGCCATTCAGTACAAAAGCTTTTTTTAAATTAATTTAATGTTTCATCCTTCTTAGCAGTCCTTCTTTGTACTGGGCTCTCTGTTCTTTCATGATAGGATGTTGCAGCAAAGAATCAAGAGGACGCCTTGTTGAAAGCTAAGCCTGTTGCTGGAGCAAACAGATCTTTTGCCAGAGCAATGACTCAACACACCACAAGGCAACTGAGTCTTGCTGCTCTCCAGAGACTGTGGTTAGAAATACGTCACCAGCGGGAGCATCATTAATCACAAATGTAGGAGTGACAGTCAGTTTCTTGACCTCATTGAGACAGGCAGGGAGGTCATAGCTTCAAGCAGTTCATTCTTCAGGCAAGGAAAACTATTGGGAAGATTTCCTTTTTGTTATCGCTGGCATTTTTATTTAATCCCATCATTTTCCCCACAGTCTGGGCAGAAGTACAAAAGCTTCAGACAGGCACATTCTGCCCCTTTCTCTTTTTCTCGCTGCCAAAAGTAACCTTGGCAATTGATGGTTTAGGGAAAAACTACCACGCCCCCTTTCCTCAATCTTATTTTCTCTCATCCATCCTTTCTTATTCTCTTTTTTTCTTCGCACTTCTCTTGGGGTCTAAAGATCAGGAGGGTAGAAAGAGTCATCTTAATGGAGCCTGATGTTAGCAGCCCTGCCTATTTCTCTGTATTGATTGTAGTGGAAGGTTAGGAAGAAATCTTCCCTGCATGAGGGCACATATGTCCCTCCCGCAGTCGTCAGCCTGGTTGCTGTTGGAAGAGGGCTGGTGTTGTTATTAGAGCCTGTCACAGCCAATGAATTTCATTCCAGGCCCTACACAGGAAACTTCATAAAGGAAAAACACCAAGAATGAAAAGAATTCAAGAACCTTGGTTTGTATATCTGAGTGCACATTAGGACATTGAAAGCACATTTAATTTCATGCAGAAAATCATCATGATATCATCACAAAAGACAGTTTTGAAATCAGAAAGTGAATACGGTAAAAGGAGATTTAAATCATTCACTGCATTACTACTGTGCCATGCACATAATAGGCCTTTGGGGATACAGAATTTAAGATGCTGGATGTAGTCCTACATTTGTAGTCTGTACATTCCTGGGGGAGGGAGATGGATAAATAAACAAGTTAAAAAAAAAAGAAGAAAATTTAAAATAGAGACAAGAAAAATAAAAGAAATAAAAGAATGAGATGTGGAAGCATGGTGGTGGAGTAAGTACCTCCCCAAGAAAGTACAATATAAATATATACATGTTTATGGGTACTGCATGGAAATTTAAAGAAAATTCTGAATGTGCTAATTTTTCATTAAAAGGGAAAGAAAATTATTGATATTTATCATTATTCAAAGGAAATGGTTGTTTTTCAAGAAAAACAGTTTTAGATTAGTTCCTAACACATTTGGTTGGATCTTTCTTTGTTTCTTTCATTCTTTATTTCTTTTTCTTTCTTTCTTTCTCTTTCTTTCTTTCTTCTTTCTCTCTCTCTCTTTCTTTCTTAAAACCAAACCAACCAATAAAACAAGAAAAACCCCAAAACCTCATTTTAGTTCAGATCTAGTCTATAAATAAGCAGGGTTTTATGTTTCTTAGAATTTAATTAATCCCTAGTAAATTACTATCTTATGAGGGATTTAGATTTTTGTGTAATGCTGTGCCCTTTATTCCAATCCAAAGAGTATCCATGTATTTGGGGTTATAACACCAGTGTCAAAAAGTGAGAGTATCTGTTTACATGATGTGTCACACTTTTTCTCTCTCCACAAATTTGCTTTATTTTAAAAGCAATTAATGGGCTTAGCCATTATCTATCTTCAAAGAGATCTGAACAATTAGGGCTATCCTACTTTTTCCTTTTTTTCCCCCATTTCTGAAAGATACTACCTTTACCCTTGCTGTCATTAAGATGTGTTGCAAGATCTCTCTGAGGTCATGCTGTAAAGATTTTAGCCTTAGAAAATTAAAGCTTATGATAATATGTATCACAGAAACTTCAAAGATCCACATTATCAAATATAGTGATTTCAAACCTCAATTAACGTAGTTTTATGCATGAATACAAACAAACACCTGAACCTATTAAGACAGTGAATTAATGTATACATAAATAATTGTCAGTGGAAAAACAGAAGGGTTTAATGTAAATCTATGGCTGAGGTTTATTTATTTTGTGGATATTTTTACTTTTTTAGTTTTCTTAGTGACAGACAGATACATAAATGTTACATACACATTACGTGTTGAAATATATGTCCTCTTCTTTCTTGATTGTGTCAGTTCTATTTAGTTTATTTTTCAGAGGCTGCTGAGAGAATTACTTCTTTAAGAAATTGGGGATTGAAGATTCTGAGTGTTTTTTAGTCAGGCTCATTACCCCTCTATCTTTAAATGAAAATAGTAGGATCAACAAGGCATCTCAAAGGGCATTTTGACTATTTATCAGAAAATTGTCTAGGTGGTTATTTTTGCACATGAGAAATTTTCTATCTAGCAGTTGACTATTGCTTAATTAACAATTAAGACTATTGCTTAATTAATTAATAAACAAAAAAAAGTTTAATGATGGGAGTGCCCAAGAATATTTGGAGGAAGTTTTTTACCAAATTCAGTACTACTACACTTTCCCTAAAAGATGTCACTGAAAAAACTTCATATTCCATGTTGTCCTTCTATTACTGCAAAATAAGTGTTATTGTGGAGGTTAGCTTTGCACATGAACACAAAGCCCTGAACATATATGGTGAAAGTGAATTAATTTATTTAAGACACTTCTGTTTTTCTCAGAGAGCAAGTGGGAATGTAAAGCAAACTTTTCCTTTCTTCAAAGAATCTTTAAGGACAGCAAATTGAATTACAGGATTCGTTACATAAATAGATTTGTTTTTCATTGGAGGGGGCAGAATTTTATAGGAGAATGTGTTTAGGGTGAGATTTGTGTGGTCACAGGATGAAAAAGGAGGAAGAAACATAAGGAAAATTATTTATAGAAAACAATCAGTAAATTTGAGTCTTGACCTCAAGTTGTTTATGTCAACAGAAACATAATTTGTGGACCACCTTAATTATGTTTTGCTTTCCTGTTTCTGTCTGGCTGCTTTATTTGTCCACATTAAAGAAGGATTTTCCATACTATCTGGTTTCCTCTTCCTCACTTTATTTCTTTGGAACATCATTTTTTGGAATAAGGGAGTTACTTATTAAAAGCATCTTCCTTATGACAGCGTCCTCCTTTTCCTAAACAATGAGTTAGAGATTGTCGCCATTTATATTAACCCAAAGAAAACAAAACAAAAATTAGAATGTTTTTTGGTATAGAAATTTGGAAAAAGGGTGAAGCAAGATGATAGACAAATTTTACTGTGAAATATATCTTTTTTAAAAAGAGAAATTTTACCACACTTTACAGTTATTACCATTTAAACTTGCAAAATTAATAGGTAAAAGATAAATGTTCTTACAAATCAAAGAAATCTCCAAGGTCAGATTCAATTTTAGTACATCGAGTCACCATTCTCTGGAGAAACACCCTCTCAACCTTTAGTGCAGCTTGGAATGAGGCAAAGTTTTTGGTAATCTTCATTTCAGTGCTCTGGAAATCAGATAGTGTTTCTATAACTGGAATTATTATGATAGAATGGGATAAGAATTCAACTTACCTACTTTCCTGAATTGGAATTCCTAACTCCATGCATATATGAGATTTGTATTGGTAAGATTTTGTTTTGGTATATATGAAGTCAAGTAAGTAGCATTTCTGCAGGTAGATCAGGTATCGTTAACCTAGTTATTATAACATTTTAGTTACTTTTTAACAAAAATTAAAGAATAAGAAAGACAAATGACTAGGGAAAATTTACTTTTCAGCAATAATATATTGAATATAATACTCTGGGCAACATAATTAACACTAGTAAATTAATTAGATATTAAAAGAAAAATTGGTGCTCACATTTTAATTGAGAGAAAAATAAGAAGCTAATAATTGAAACACTTTGAGTGCATCATGAATGATAAGGGGGTATATTAATCCATTTTCACACTGCTATGAAGAAATACCTGACACTGTTTGATTGATGTATAAAGGAAAGAGGTTTAATTGACTCACAGTTCTGCATGACTGGAGAAGGCCTCAGGAAACTTACAGTCCTGGCAGAAGACAAGGAGAAGCAGGCACCTTCTTCACAGGGTGGCAGGATGGAGTGAGCAGAGAGTGAAGGGGGAAGAACCCCTGGTAAAACCATCAGATCTCATGAGAATGAACTCATTATCATGAGAACAACATGGGGGAAACAACCCCCTTGATCCAATCACCTCCCCCTAGGTTCATCCCTTGACACTTGGGATCTATGGGGATTATGATTCAAGATGAGATTTGGGTAGGGACACAAAGCCTAACCATATCATTTCATTCTTGGCCCCTCCCAAATCTCATGTGCTCACATTTCAAAACACAATCATGTCTTCGCCATAGTCCCCTAAAGTCTTATTCCAGCATTAATCCAAAAGTCCAAGTCCAAGATCTTACCTAAGACAAGGTAATTCCCTTCTGCCTGCGAGCCTGTAAAATCAAAAGCAAGTTAGTTACTTCTTAGATGCAATGGAGGTATAAGCATTGGGTGAATACTTCTTTTCAGAAAGGGAGAAATTGGCCAAAACAAAGGGGCCCACAGGCTTCATGCAAGTCTGAAATCGAACAGGACAGTCATTAAATCTTAAAGCTCCAACGTGATCTCCTTTGACTCCATGTCTCACATCCACATCATGCTGATGCAAGAGGTGGGCTTGCATAGTCTTGGGCAACTTCTCCCCTGTGGCTTTGCAGGGTACAGGCCCCCTCCTGGCTGCTTTCACAGGCTGCTGTTGAGTGTCTGTAGCTTTTCCAGGCGTATAGCGCAAGCTGTCAGTGGATCTACCATTCTGGGGTCTGGAGGATGGTGGCCCTCTTCTCAAAGCTGCACTTAGCAGTGTCCCAGTAGGGACTCTGTGTGGGGGCTCCCACCCCACATTTCCCTTCCACACTGCCCTAGCAGAGGCTTTCCCTGAGGGCTCCACCCCTGCACAGACTTTTGCCTGAATATCCAGGCATTTCCATACATCCTCTAAAATCTAGGCAGAGATTCCCAAACCTCAATTCTTGCCTTCTGCATACTTGCAGGCCCAACATCATGCAGAAGCTGCCAAGGTATGGGGCTTGCACCCTCTGAAGCAACAGCCTGAGCTGTACCTTGGCCCCTTTTAGCCACAGGTAGAATGGCTGGGAGACAAGGCACCAAGTTCCCCACCTGGACCCAGTCCATGAAACCATTTTTCCCTCCGATGCCTATGGGCCTGTGATAGGAAGGGCTGCCTTGAAAGTCTGTGACATGCCCTGGAGACATTTTCCCCATTGTCTTGGCAATTTACATTTGTCTCCTTGTTACTTATGCATATTTCTGCAGCAGACTTGAATTTCTCCCCAGAAAATGGGTTTTTCTTTTCTACTGCATCTTCAGGCTGCAAATTTTCCAAATCTTTGTGCTCTACTTCCGTTTTAGACATAAGTTCCAATTTCAAACCACCTCTTTGTGAATGCATAAACTGAAAGCACCCAGGTCACCTTTTGAGCTTCTTAGAAATTTATTCCACCAGATGCTCTAAATTCTCTCTCTTACATTCAAAGTTCCACAGATCTCGAGGGCAGGGGCAAAATGGCACCAGTCTCTTTGCTAAAGCATTGCAACAGTCACCATTATTCCAGTTCCCAACAAGTTCCTCATCTCCATCTGAGACCATCTCAGCCTGGACTTCAATGTTGTTATCACTATCGGCATTTTGGTCAAAGCCGTTCAACAAGCGTCTAGGAAGTTCCAAACTTTCCCACATCTTCCTGTCTTCGGAGCCCTCCAAGTCTCTAGGAAGTTCCAAACTTTTCAACATTTTCCTGTCTTCTTTTGAGTCCTCTAAACTATTCCCTAACCTCTGCCTGTTGTCCAGTTCCAAAGTTGCTTCCATGTTTTTGGGTATCTTTATAGCAGTACCCCATTCTTTGTGATACCAATTTGCTGTATTCATCCATTTTCACACTGCTATGAAGAAAAACCCAAAGCCGGGTGATTTATAAAGAAAAGAGGTTTAATTGACTCACAGTTCTGCAGGGCTAGGGAGGCCTCAGGAAACTTACAATCATTGCAGAAGCCAAAGGAGAAGCAGGCATGTTTTACATGGCAGCAGTTGAGAGAAAGAGAGAATGTGAAGGAAGCAAAGAGAGAAGAGCCCCTTATAAAACCATCAGATCTCATGAGAACTCCCTCACTATCATGAGAACATAACTGGGAAAACCAACCCCATGATCCAATCATCTCCCACCAGATCCATCCCTCAACAAGTGGAGACTATGGGGATTACAATTCAACATGAGATACCAGGGGCACAAAGCTTAACCATATCATAGGGTGAGGAGGGTGACCTGGCAGCACAGACCTCAGTCTGAGGCAAAATTTCTTGGAAGAGCATCTACTTAATGTTTCCTCAAGAATAATGAGCCACATTATTATAGGCTGCATTAGCAGGCCACATTTTTACAAGAATAGGCCACATACTGCCTGGGCTGGTCTTGAACTCCTGATCTCACGCAAGGTGGAAAGCTTGGGATTAGGAGCTCAAGACTAGCCTGGGCAACATGTTGAAACTCCACCTCTACAAAAAACAAAACAAAACAGAACAAAACAAAACAAAAACAAATAGTCAGGTGTGATGGCATGTGCCTGTAGTCCCAGCTACTCAGGAGGCTGAGGAGGGAGGATTGCTTGAGCCTGGGGGCTTGAGGCTGCAGCGGACTGTGACTGCACCACTGCACTCTAGCCTGGACCACAGAGTGAGACCCTGTCTCAAAAAAAAAAAAAAAAAAAAAAAAAGGCAAAAAATGACTATGGAGAACTCTTAGGGAATGGGAGGGGCCAGTGGAAAGGAACAGCTTAGTGGAGCTATGAGATGCATTGGGAGAGCTTTTAGTTTCAGCATGACTGGACATTGGGGTGTGAATGGTGAGGAGCTGGAGGGGAGAGGAAGCTCTAGAAGGAAGCTAGATCTGAAAGTCTGCAAGAAGGAATTTGTATTTTACCCTCCAGATGATGAACAGTTAATGAGGGATTTCAAGCAAGGAATAACCTAGGCAGATATGTACTTAATGAGAGCATTTTGACAGTACCATTAAGGATAAAGTGGAATGAGGAGACTGAGACAAGGAAATCTGTTAGTAACACAAGAGATGAGGTGAGGGTTTGAATTTCAACAGTGACAATAGTGTTTGAGGCAAAAATATCAAACTGGTCAGTACTAATGACCTAGCATTAGCAATGTAGGGAAAATTGGATAGTAATGGATGGTGGTTCTAGTCACCAAGAAAATAAATATAAGAAAATGGGCAGGTATTAAGAAGAGAAGTGGTGGATTTTGATTTTGACACATGGCTTTCGAGGAGCTTGAGATGACTATAGAATATAGATGTGTGGTAGGTAGTTGGTTTTGAATGGGATAGAATTTTAAATGAGAAATGGAAATATGGGAGCCAGTAGCTGAAGCCATGAGTTGAATGTTGAGATTGTCTAGGGGACCATTTTTATGTGACAACAAGGGGAAAGTGAGATGGGGAGAGTGGGGCAGGAAAACTTAATGTTTACATAGATGGACATTTTATAGTTCAAAGGTATTTAAAATACATTATCTTTTTTTGATGCCCATAACCATATTATGAAGAAGGCATTATTATGCTCACCTTTTTCCTTTTATTATGAGGACTGAAGCTTGGGGAAATTATGGGACTTCCATAAATAGCAAGGAATAGATCCTAGTCACAAACCAATGTCTTCTGATTACAAGTTTAGTATTCATTTCATTATATCAGAACTGCATTGTGACCACACATAGCTAATTTCATCTAATATCTCATACATGTGTTATACTCGTGACATGGTTGGAAAATAATCTCTCCTTCGATGCTCTCATTGAGACCAAAGGGAAATTTTCTGAAGTTAGTATTATGATAGGTAGGAAATAACAGCTGAGTTTCAGTGGGGGCAGTAACACTGCCTGAAGTAATTTTGAGTTGGTATTTTCAACTGATGTAGTCAGAACTGAATCAGTTCACATTTAAGATGGTAGAAAATACAGTATTAGCCATATTGTGGTTTGCTTTGCTAATGATTTAGCTTCTGCTTAAGTCCCATTTGTTGTGGAAAGATAGATATTTTAAAAATTGACTTAGGTAAAGAAGGAAACGCAAATTAAAATACCACCATCTTACTTAATATGCATACAATCTTACTGAATCAGAATGTTCTATCTTGAGGGAAGTATCTGACAACCTGTCACGTTCACAAAGGGTAGGTAAATGGGTAGAAAAATGTGTAGTAAAATCTAGCTTGCCCTTACAAAGGGCTGAAAAATATTGGGTGATGTTTCCCTATCTTCCCACCAACAAAGTAGGCAATCTCTGCTATAAACGCATCTGGAAAATAAGTGTCTTAATAAGGAGAAACATTAGTGAGAATTAGCATAGGGCTAATGGCCTAGAATGCATACTTGCCAATTTTGTATTTTTCAGCTACGTTTTTAGAAAGACATTTTAAAATTATTTATGCTGTTTTCTGGAGATTTCTGTGGGTTGAAAGAGAGTCACCAATTTATTCTGCTGCGTTTTTGACCATGTGGCATTTAATATGCAAAACGATAGTGTTCTAATGTTGGTGAGGGCAAAGTAGAATATAATTATAAAAGACAAGAAAATGGCTCTCTTCTAAATATGGCTATTGCCTAAGTACAGTTGGCTGATCATAAAATGTGCAATTCAAACTTTCATATCGATATTTTTGATTGACGGTACCCTTGGGTTAGTGGAGTGAGCTTCATTTATTAAGAAGTCATAGAAAGTCAGGTTGATTGTCTGGGCAGGTGGACACTTGCTTGAAGGATAATGCTAAAAAGGCAAGAGAATAGAAAAGCTAGTCCCTATGATGACTGTAGACCACTACAGTTGCCTACCTGATAGACACAGGGTAGCAAAAAATCAGAACAGACCTCACTGTAGATTCTATCAGGTTTTAAATATTTTTGCTTTAATCTTTCCAGCATTCATCTTTTTCATTCACCAAATACAAGAAAATGGTGTGTAAACAATGTCTTCCATGGAAGAAAATGTGGCTGATTGTGCAATATAAGAAACACTATTTGTAATCCCCTCCATTTTCCCTACTGCTTATATCTTCGTGAGCACAGGCAAGGATTTGTGTATTAAAACTGACTCGAGTGATAAAATGTTTGTTTATTCAATTTCAGAAAGAATGTTTATTTTTCTGTGGCTATAGGGCCAAAGATTATGCTAATATGTTCCATATATATATATATAAAGACAGGCTACCATTAAGGCAATCTCTAGATGCTCAGTTCTCTCTGTCACATAAGAAGGCTGAGCAAGGGCTTGTGCAATATTTTGCAGTCATATTTACTGCCATATGGCCATTTCCAAATTACATTGTGTTGTAAGTTGAGATTGTCTGAAGGAGTTTGGCTAACTTCCATCTTGGGAATACCTTTCACAGAGGCTGATGCTAATGGGAATGTGATTGTCTGGTAATGTAACAGCGTTAATATTGTTTTTATTGAGTTAGCTGGACTACTAGCTATTGTATGCTGGAGAAAATACAGTTTATGGTACAATGATCTAATGTTGATAGCTTGCCAGACATCTCTCTTGCTAAGCATGTAATTCATCTAAGTAACCCCGGCTGTGTGATTTTTTTTTTTTTTCCTGTGGTCTGAACCACTTCTTAGCAAAGGTCTCAAAAATTGACATTAAAATAAGCAGGGAGATAAAAATGTTTATCTTATTCTATAGCCACATTTTATATATTTTATAGTTACTATTTTTATGTGTGTTCACAAAACAAAGCTAGTGTGCAAATTAAAAATGTAAATTCATCTAAGAATGTTAGTTTCTATTCAGAATGTTCATTTCTGAATCAGAAACTCTAAGGACAGGCCAAGAATTACATGTTTTAACAAGATTTCTACAGGATTTTCATACTCATTCAAGTTTGAAAACCATTGCTTTAGACCTCTACTTTTTAATGGTTATTGAAATACAACAAAAGATGAAATATAATAACTTTGGAATTATAAACATGTCATCTTACTTGATACTTCCATAGAAGACTCTAAGATGAGATCTCAAAGTCATCTACATAAACCAATTAAAATATACCTCACATAGTGTTGAAATTGATGGTTACTTTCATACCTATTTAACAAATGGAGAGAACAAGGATTTTTTAAAACTTATTTCCTCAGGGGCATAAAGTGAGCTTATTATAAGAAAGAAATGTCTGATTTTAACCAGTCATCCTGTACTCTACTATGTCCCAATGATTAAGACTAACAACAATAACAACACAAAACAAAACAGAATTCCTCATACACTGGCATTTTTATCACACTTTTATGTCCCAGCGTATGAAGTTAGACCCGAAAGAAATAGTTTTTGGAATATGAATATTTATAGAAAGTATTAATTACCAAGTAAACTCCTTGATATATGAAAACGAAAATATACTCTTTGTTTTTCCTTTTACACTCCCTAAAAGGAGTGTAATCTTATGTTTCATGTGATCACCAGCCCTAGAGATTGGAAATGACCGTGATGGGAGACTGCTGCTCTAAATTAAACAAAGTAAAATGGAGTGACCCTCTGGAGATACCTCGTCTGTACTTTGCTGATAATGTTGCATAGCTAAATATGGCTTTCAAAAGGATAAATGAGTGTCATCTCTTTTCTCTTCTCTATGTAATCATGCTGTTGATATTTTCTAGTATTTAAGTTTCTTTGCTAGTCAGAAGGCAGTACCATATGTGATAAGTCACACCCATAGCAATTTTTTAATCAATGTAGTTTGTGAATACTAAGTGTGGAAGAGAAAATAACTGGGGGTCTTACCTTCCTGCCAGAGCCAGCAGTGTTAAGTTTCATGATATTAAAAAAAAAATAAAAATGGAATTGTCAGGGCTGTAAGTCAGCAGCCGAAGCAGGAATGACTGCAACTTAGGGACTATAAATTTTGGAGTGTGAATGTGACTTACCATACATGAATTTTTTAAAAAAATTAAAATATTTAAAGTATCCAGCCTGGATACAGTTTATCCTGAGCTACTGAAAATTTATTTTCAATGTATTTTGGCTACTTCTGAAGTAACCTGAGATGTAAGATAGAAGCCAGAACTAGTGCAAGTGTAAGCAAATGTGTAAAGCCAGCATGATCATTTATGTCTGACCCAATATTTTCTATTCAATTTAGCTATGTGTTTTTCTTCAACATTTTCACTAACTCTTAAAATTCATTCATAGCTAGCACCTATTTCAAAAGTGGCTACTCCCTAGCTGAAGGAACAGGCAAGTTCAAGCTTTCTTATTTTTTGAATGTCACACATATAAGAAAAATAAAGAATGACTTTTGCAAATGTATGCCACAAAATTACTAGCAATTCCCTCAAATATACAAAATCTATAGAAGTATAATACTGGCAACTGAAATTCCATCTTCATTTAATAACTGGATTTTGTAACTGAAAATCAAGGAACCAATTATGTCACTGGTTTCAGAGCAATTGCCCCAAAAGGTGAGTACTGGATGCTTCAAAACTTTCAGGGGGAAAATAAATGAATCAAGTGATTATTATTTAGTGTTTATCACACAGAGTTTGCGAGTAGCCGTGTTAGCTGAGTATTAGCCATAATCCATCTCTTGCTATAGGGAATGGAAATGTATAGAGTATTTTATAAATCAAAAATTTTATTTCTATTTAGAGCTTTCTAGCTGTTATATCTTCTCTAAGACTCTTTCCACTTCTGAAAATCTTGTAATTACAGCTGGACCTCAGGAAAACATGAAGTCACTTGAGGGAAGGTACAGATGGTTACTATCACAGGAACATTTGACATCTTGCCTTTAGTTGAATAAACCGGTAGGTTTTATAATAAATGTCAATAGCATTGAAATTTGAAACTAAATTTGAAACTGAAGCAACTATTGGTTCTTATGGACTAAGACCACTGATCAACCAGAAACTCTAGACTTTGTTTGTACCTGTTTTGTTGTGTTATTGATATTGTCTACAGATATACACATTCTAGGTTAGCTTCTGAACTAATATCTTCTAAGAATTTAAACACAAAAAATTTTCCTAAAAAAGAAGCTAGTATTACTTCTTTTTTTCTATGAGCTTCTGAAGATAAAATGTTTTAATTATGTATAACAAGATTAGTAACAAGATTACTAATACGATTTTCTGATGCCAGAATTGGACATTTTTTTCCATTTTTAATACATGCTCTCTTTTGCTTCAGGTTTTCAAAAATCTGTTCAGTATTCCACATGTTTCTGATATTTACATCTCATAAAGAATAAATCTGGAATGGAGTAAAAAAAAGGAGTTAAGTCCTAAATTATTCCCTATTGATATTGTCCTAATGTGAGGTTCTTCTCAAGGCTGAATTGGAATTCCAGTTCAAAATTTCTACTTAAAAGGGCTTATAACTATATTACTGCACTGAAAAAGTCTGTGAACTGGAAGATAAGTATATGGGCTGCACCTCCACTGCCCTTTGGTTTACAGGGTTCACATCTCATTGGAAAGTGGAGGGCACTATTGCCTGAGGACATTTGCCCTGTGCTCTTGATACTTGTCACATATAATGTACTGTGTTACATATATGAATTCATGTCAGAATCTGCCATTCCACAGTAAGGCAGAAATTTATGCAAATTATGTTTGCTCATGTTGAATGGTTAAATTCTTTGTGGGTCTGAAATGTGATACTTCTTTTAAAATGTATATGTGAAACAGGTTTGGAAATGTGGTAAGTTTGCAAATTTATACACTACACTCAGATGTACAAAAATTCCTCTGTAACTGATTTGAACTTTCTCATAACCTCTATCCACAGGGTGTTAGATAATATGTAAACTTACTAAGTTAACGTATTTCAGCCTCTTCTGGCTTAAGCCTCTCTCCTTTTGGATAAATATTGAGGCTACAGAGCTCATCTCTATTTCAGAGATGTTTCTTTCTTTGCAAATTCCCAAGATACCGTGTGGGCTCGAGGGGGAGACTGCTGACCCCTTTCTCAGTGTGAGGGTCAGGAGCTTAGCTCTCACACAGGCCCCTGTGAGGCCCTTTTGATTCCTTGCTGGTCTCTGTGACAAGGCTTTTGTTGCAGCTGCTCATCAGGCATCCTGTTATCATTTCCGGCAGAGTTAGGAAAGTTGGTGACATTTGGAGTACTTCCTGGGCTGAGTTGGCCTCTCCTAGGCTTCCCTTGTTTCTCTGATCCTTTGAGGCTTAACCAAGTTCTACATTTGCTGACTTAGGCTTTTCTTCTCCACTCTGACATAGGTTCATCATGATATTTACCTCAGTGTCCCTACAGTAGGCAGGCTAGTTCTGACCTCTCAGCTACTTCCGATGCCTCCACTGGGAATATCAAACCCCACGGAAGGTGAGGAATTTCTGCAGCACTAGTCCCAGATCATCCTTTCTCTATTCCTCCTATGCCACTGGTTCTATGCAGTGGCTGGTACATGGTGATGGGAGGCCTTCTAGAAGATGTTTTCCCAGTAGGGCATAAGATCCCTTATAGGGACCTAAGCTCCTTGGATTACCTTCCTCCTAAACTATCTAGAACTTTCTAGACTATCTAGAAACTTTCTACTCAAGCATGTGAGGTGGGCAGAGAATGAGATTAGCATCCCTCTTTTTATCTTTCTTCTTTTGCCCTCTACCCTTGCAAAAACTCCTATTTTTTTTTTTTTTATCTTCAGGAATATTTTCTGTGTCATATTTTCTCCTTTCAAGATAGCATTTCCAGGGATGTATTTACTGAGAAGGAAACGATGTCAGGAAATATTAGAAAATATTGTCCTCATTTTTTACAATATCAAACTGACAGAAATCACTGGATCATATCTTAGAAAAAAATTTCTAGTGCCATTAAGTTGATATATTTTTATATATTATATGTTTTAGTTCAATAGTTACTAAAGTACCCCAATCATGAGCAAAGTAAAGAAAATTTTAGGCTTTTGAAATTTTAATGGCAACAGTTAGGAAAGCCTATTAAAAGATGCTTTTCTGAGACCTATAAGTGTCATAAATGTATGCTACATGATTGAGTTTTGAAAAATATTTTTAATAATATTTATTTAATGCTTTTTACTTTTCAAAGTACTTTAGTATTCATTGTCTTATTTGATCTTCACAACCTTCTTGTGATGTAGGCAAGGTAGATGTTATTCTGTTTTCTAGATGAGGAAATTAAAATATTAAGTGAATTGCTTTGAATCACGTGGGACCTTGACATTTATGTTGGAGCTAGAAGGAACTGTATTCTCAATTCTGCTTCTGGCTTGGTGTTCTTTCCTTGAAACTGTATTTGTAATGTATTACTTAAGAAATTTTTTAAAAAGAGAGAAAAATCAAACCACCCTTTACTTGTCTTCTTATAAAGAGAGTCACTAATATACTTGTGTCTCCTGCATAGGGCTTAAATGTCTGTGCAAGAGTCTTTAACACAGTGGGCATACACTTGTCCCAAAGGCACACGAGCTTCTTTCCCTATCATTCTGATAGTCCTGTCCTGCAGACTCGCAGGCTTCTCCAGTCATTCTCATCTCCTCTTTTCTTGAATCATCTACTCGTTTATTGTCTTTGTTTATCTCTTGGCCATGATATTTTGTGTTGCCACTCCAACCCCAAAAGAAGTCAGAACCTTTGACTTCTGTCTTTTCTCCATGATAATGTTTAATAGTTTTCTTGATTACAGCATTTTCACTTGTTCTAGTCATACTATTGCTAAATCTACCACACAATTGTATAGGCCTGTATTAGTCTGGGTTTTCTAAGGGGAAATAACTAATTGGATAGATGAATATGTGAAGGGAAGTTTATTAAGGAGTATTGACTCACAAGATCACAAGGTGAAGTCCCACAATAGGCCGTCTGCATGCTGAGCAGCAAGGAAGCCAGTCCAAGTCCCAAAACCCCAAAAGTAGGGAAGCTGATAGTACAGCCTTCCATCTGTGGCCAAAGGTGCAAGAACCACTGGCAAATCGCTGATGTGAGTCCAAGAGTCCAAAAGCTGAAGAACTTGGAGTCTGATGTTCGAGGGCAGGAAGCATCCAGCACAGGAGAAAGATGGAGGCCAGAAGACTCAGCCAAGTCTGTTCTTTCCTTGCCTGATTTTATGCCAGCAGTTGATTAGACGGTGCCCACCTAGACTGAGGGTGGGTCTGCCTCTCCCAATCCAGTGACTCAAATGTTAATCTCCTTTGGCAACACCCTTATAGACATACCCCCCAAAAATAGTTTGCATCCTTCAATCCAATCAAGTCTACACTCAATATTAACCATCACAAGACCCTTGATATCCTACACAATTTCTCATGAACTAATTCTCATTTGATCTAATCAGGTATAAATGTAAATTATTTTAGAAAAAAATGTTTTATTTCATGACTTAGGCAAATTGTTACATTTATAGACCATGTTGGCCTGGATGACTGAATATGCTGAGAATGTTCAGTACTGATAGCTTTCTTTAGTTTTGGTGAATCTTGGAAACCAGCACATTATTCAGAGTGAACAGTAATTCATCAGAGTGAATAGAAAGAAGACTGATTAAATTGAATTTATCATCCTCAAATAGGGGGCTTAGTAAATAGCCCCCTATTTGATGGCACACTTAAATAGGGGGCTATTTACTAAGGTGTGGGCAGAATTTAAGTTCTCTAACAAGACACGGGATGGTAGGCAGCTTTCAAGATGACCCCAATGATCCTGATCTTGTGCTATTCACTGCCTCATGTAATCTCCTCCCCTTGATTAAGTTGTATACAACCAACAGAATATCTCAACTTTGAGGGTACGCCACTTCTAAGATTAAATTACAAAAGACTCTGACTTATGTCTTGCTAGCAGACACTTGCCCTCGCTGGCTTTGAGGCAGCAAGTTGCCATGCTGGAGAGTACTACACGGCAAGGGATTGAGGATACCCTCTGGTCAATAGCCAGAAAGGAACTGAGCCCCTCAGTCCTACAATCCAAAAGGAAATAAATACAGCAACAATGAATTTGAACTAAATCCTTCCTTAGTGGAGCTTTCAGATGAGCACCAGCCCTGGCCAATACCTTGATTGCTTCTGCTGGGACACCCAGAGTCAGAGGATACAGCTAAACCATGCCTGATTCCTGACCCATAGAAACTTTGAGATAATTAATGTGTGTTGGTTTAAGCCACTAAATTCATGTTAATTGGTTATGCTGCAATTGATAATTAATATAGATGATGACACTTGGGAGCCACTACCATCCAGGTCTGAGCGGGGAAGGAGACAAAGCAGTTACCAGACTCCAGAGGGCAGCTTTATGGAGAGGGACTGGAGCTGTAGCTGTTGGGAGAGGAACAAACAAGTTAAAGCAACTTAGCAGGAGGGAACTGACAGAATACTTAGTGGCCTTAATCTTCCACTGTCCTTGCATTCCTTCCAGAGCTTTATTTTGACCTACCTGAACCAGATGTGAGAGGAGACTCACTGTTGCTGTCTCTGTGGGCGATCTTCCTGGGCAGAATGAACAGTGTATCCATTTGTTAGGGCTGCTGTAACAAAGTACTACAAAACAGGTGGCTTAAAACAACAGGAATTTATTGTCTTAGGGCAGCATTTTCCACCCCTTGGACTATGGACCTGTAGGGGTCTGTGGCTGGTTAGGAACTGGGCTGCACGTCAGGAGGTGAGTAGTGGGTGAGCAAGCATTACCACCTGAGCTCCACCTCCTGTCAGATCAGCTGGCCATTAGATTTCCATAAAAGCATGAACCCTATGGTGAACTGTGCAAGCGAGGAATCTAGGTTGCACGCTCCTTATGAGAAGCTAGTGCCTGATGACCTGAGGTGAAGCAGTTTCATCCTGAAACCATCCCCACAACCCCGCAGTTCATGAAAAAATTGTCTTCCACGGAACCAGTCCCTGGTGCCAAAAAGGTTAGGGACTGCTGTCTTAGGGTTCTGTAGGTTAGAAGCTTGAAATCAGGGTTTCAACAGGACTATATTTCCTCTGAAGCCTAGAGAAGAGAATCCTTCCTCACCTCTTCTTAGATTCTGATGGTTTGCAGTGATCTTCGATGGTCCTTGCTTTGCAGCTGCTGCTTAGACATCTGGCTCTGTCTTCTCACAGTGTTTTACCCCCGTGTGTCTGTGTCTTTTCTTTTCTTTTATAAGGACCCCAATCATATGCACTAGGGCTCACTCAAATCCAGTATGACCTCATCTTAAACTTGATTACATCTGCAAAGACCCTATTTCCAAATAAGGTCACACTCACAGTTACTGGGGGTTTGGATTTAAACATACCTTTTTGCAGGACACAAACCCATAATTGAGGAAGCAGAGTACATTAGGAAGGACAAACAGAAGAGATCCAGCATATAACACCATGGGAAGAGAAAGGTATGTATGGGGTATTTATTTATAATGTTGATATTAAACATAAGCTTGCAACTAATTCATTGAATGAAATGAGCATTTTCTTATCTTCTTTGAGAACAGATTTCTTTTGTAATCTATGCTTTGTGGAGAAAAGGCTATCAAAGCCCAGTAACTGGTGCAGGCTGTCTCAACACAGAAGACAAGTTTGTTGCCTTTATTGTACTGCCCTAGGCTTTGGAATTGGCATGCTCTTTATAAATCTCCCCAAACCACTAAAATAAGACTCATGCAATTTTGGATGTTATAGGAAGAGGGAACTATATCAACCATGGTAACTACATCTTACATGGCAGAATATTTAGACTTGTGAAATATATTTTATAAAGTACCGCGCATTATTCAAGCTTTGCATTTATTTTCCTTTTAATATTACCTGTTTATATTAGAAATAATCATAACTTTCAGGAAAAATGTTTCACAATTTTGTGATGATTTCTAAAAATTTTACATAGATATTTCATGGCATTCAAAGAAAAGTATCTGCAGTTTAGCCACTACACTTTTTCCTCATAAACTCTAAAGATGATTTTTTTTTCTGGTAAAAATAATTGAGCAAATTTCAGTGGCATGAGAGAATAGGCAATATCTCATTCTCGAATCATTAGAACTTTCATATTTAAATTTTAATTGCTTAATCTGGAAGACAACTTTGATGATTTAAGGTTGTAGTGAAAAGCACTGCAAGCCTTCAAACCTACAATCAATTTACAAAAATATGCCAGTTCTGAATTTATTGACCATCTGTCAGTCTTCCCTCACTCCTAGCTAGCTGTCGGTGTTTATTATTTGATGCAGTATGTAATGAGTCACTGCAAGGAACAACTCATATCTATAGCACAATGATTAATGGGGTCATTGTCTACCCACAATCACCTCAGCCATCATTCTTTCCTTCCAGGCATGGGTAAATGGCAATACCCAAATCAAACGGAGATTCCCAGAGCCATCCTGAAGCACAAAGTTACTTGTGTACTGCACTAATTTGATTGGCATGTAATAAATTCAGCTACACCCAGTCAAACCTCTTCTATGACAATGCTTACAAATGTTAAATCCATAATAATTTTAAAAGACATCCTAAATAAGCCCATCTAGAGCTTGTTTTTTTTACACACAAATACACTCATACACACACCCATGTAATTATTATTTGCTTATAATGTAGTATTTAAAATAATTAAAAACTGAAACTGACAAAGTCAAATTTTAGGACCATATTGACTCTGATCTACTTTTTATTAGATACCACAGATAGATTTAAAGCATACAGGTGACACTCTCATTGCGAGACAGTCTTTTATAGTAGGAAAGGCATGGACATTTGAGTCAGGCAGACCAGAATCTACTGCTGATGAGCTGTGATGCATTGGACAGCTACCATTCTTCTTTCATCTTCAGCATCTTTGCATATAAAATATGGATAATGTTCACTACCTGGTATGCTTGTTGGTAATATCACATGAGATAATACTGCAAACGTCTGTTCTCGATCATGGTATTGGCGGCAACAAGAAATAGAGTGCAGAAATCAGGAGAAAAGGAGTTGGAAAAAAATTCAAAGCCCAAAGCTCCACTAGGTTATCTTTTAGATTGGTAAGAAAGTTCTATGATTTATGCCTTTTAGAATATTGAGCTATTAATTTTAGGACAAGAATCCCTAGGACTTAGGTTGTGATAGTGGATAGTTGCTTTAACCTATTTGGGGGAGACAAAAGTGCTTAGGAGAGAGAACAAAATAGATAAAATGCATAAGAAGATATCTATCTATCTATCTCTCCATCCATCTATCTATCATGTGTTACGGTGCAAAGGCATATATTTGGAAGATATCTATATGTGTACTATTTTAAAAATAGAAGCAGAGCTTTCATATAGGAGACTGAAGGCATCCTGAGAAGTAAGTGATGAAAAACAGAAAGAGCACTTTGGGAGGCCAAGGCAGGCAGATCACTTGAGCCCAGGAGTTCAAGACCAGCCTGGGCAATATGGTGAAACCCTGTCTCTACAAAAAATACAAAATTTAGCCCAGCTGTGGTGGCATGTGCCTGTAGTAGTAGCTACTCCAGAGCCTGAAGTGTGAGGATTGCTTGAGCCTGGGAGGTCAAGGCTGCAGTCAGCTGTGATCATGCCACTGCACTCCAGCCTGGGCGACAGAAGGAGACTCTGTCTTAAAAAACAAACAAAGCAGAAGGAACAAATATGGCTGGACCTAGGTGAGAGTTATATCCATATCAAAAGATGACTGTAGAAGGTGTCTTTAAAATGGCTTGACCTATTAACACATCCCTAGACCCTTCAGCAATGCGTGACAATGACCTGGCTATGAGATAAGTGATGGTTATTACCTAGATACATCTGTACAAATTTTAGAGTGTACTCTAAGCAGGTAATGAAAGTAGCATGGCAGAAAAAGTTTGGTCCAGGATGCGGATGCCTGCTCATTTTGGCAGGGGTGACTGAGAATTAGATGTATGGTTTCTCTAAATGGAAAAAATCCACACTTTGCAGTAAAATAGTTTGTCTTTAGGCTTTGTGCACCTAGTGAGCTGCCTGAATTTGGTGTTAGACATATAAGTTATTAGATAAAACTAAGAACTAAATATTCGATATAATTTAATGATTTGAGTTTGAGTCATTCCATCATTCACTTTAATATCCTGGTCCCTAGAATCATCACTTTGAGTGTTTGCCTTTATGATTATATCTTGCTCACATTTTCTTAATATTCAAATGGAAAAGGTTGAATTTTTTGATTGGCAGCTCATATCTAACAGTATTTTTCTATCAAGTAAACCTCTAAGAATTTGGTCCAAAATTACTAGAGCCCTTTCTACCTGAATAGCCCCGATATTTGGCTTGAAGCCTGCAGAAATGTCCAATGCAGAACTCAGGAAGTAATACATTCCAAGAGAAACTGATGGTGAAGTGGAGTTATCACCAGGGCAAGGTCTGCTGACTCTCTATTATCAGACCTCAGCGTCTTGGTGAATTTACCAGGGCCCGGGATGATAGCTTTGCTGATCCAGTGGTTCAGAAACTTGATTTTTGTTAGTTTTGTAGCGAAATCAGAACATGAAGGAGTTGTTTCATATTAACCAAACTCACATAAGGATAAAATATTCACCGGAATGCATCTTATTGATATTGTGAAAATTATCAGGCAGATTAGAATGTCTGTGCAGTGCCTGTGAAAGCAAATTATTATGGAAGCCAAATTATAATAAGAAGGCAGTTTGGGGATAATAAAAAAGAGAAAAATTTAGTTGAGTAATGCAAATGTTTACTAACATAAAGGAAATACATGCAGGCTATGTGTAGTAAAATATTATGATTTGGATGTTGATAATTTGAGTCAGGGAAATTTCATTTTTTGATTATGACTAAATGGTACTCTGAGAAGGGGCTAGGCTAGAGTTACACATCATTTGGATATAATGTGCTAAGTGGAACTATAATCAGAATTTCAGAAATATAATAAGAATCAAAACACTTTTTCTTTACAATAAATAGAATTTTAAGTCTTAAAGTAACCATAAAAGATCACATGATCCAACTTTCTCATTTTACAGATAAATAACCATGGTGAGTGATGGTTATGTTACTCACACAAGATCACATAACTAATTAGTATTGAGCTCCATCTGGACACTGGTCTCCTGACTATTAGGTACCAGTGCTTTACTCCATCTATTTATCCAAATCATCTCTAATCTATATAGACAGCAAAATGCCATCGAGCAGGACCAATTAGTTTGTTTTACTATAAATGTTTAAAAGCTGAAAATTTAATTTATCAACAATTAATATGTAATTAAGACTTTTCACTATTATTTTATTCAGTAAAATGTTGCTCTACAACAAAGAAGTATATAAACTACCTAATATCATAAAATAGTAGAATTTTCAAATGTTCTTATTACTCATTTGGTGCTCCATTGTACTGTTCAGAAAATTAGTATTGGGAATTAGGAGTAAAGTAGTATTATAAAAGCCAAAATATATGAACCTTAAGAAAGAAGAGTATAAATTCAAAATTTAAAAAAAATCTGAACTTCCAAGCATATAGAAAAGCACCTTCGAAGATATTTCTTCACATATTTTCTAGTGATAAGGAGTTTTTCTCTGGATTCTTTACCCTTAACCAATAACAAATCTACTTTCACTAATATATAGTGATTTTTTTTTAGTTTTCTTTTGATCTTCACAGTGAAGATAGGCCCATAGATTCCTTCAGAAACAAGATGACTTAAAAAAAAAAAGAAAAATAGAAGCACAGGGTGTGTTAGTAAATAAATATATTTAGACACCATTCTCTTACTTCTCAGGGTCACTCAGACAATGTTATTTGGCTAATTTTGTTCTTAGTGTGTTCTATTCTCCTGTTCCCTATCAGAGACAGTCATTTTTGTGAGGATTTAGTGTTCTTTGTGAAGTTTTAATGCAGTTCTAAAAATACATTTTAAACAGATACTGTTTTTATGATGATAACATAGCTTGATAAAAGGCATATTTAACAGATAAAAAACATTTTCCTCTGATGCCTAAATGGGTTGTTTCTCTTAACATTGGTTGTTAGATGAATCAAAGGAATATTAGTTTGTTCATAATTAACAGTAAATGTTATTATATGATTATGTCTAATAAATGTAGAAGTGATTAGAAATCATCATTTGGCAATTTCCATAGCAATAACTGTTTTAGGTAAAATCATTGCATGGTGGGACTAGTGGACAAAAATATAGTGAGCAACAGAGTATTTACTTAGTCTTAAAATATCTCCTCACAGATGTTTATTGGTTATAAAAGGAAACTGAATAATTCTATAGTGGAGATTATTCACACACTACCTTAATCTAGTGGTCAAAGTTAATATCATTATTAGTGGGACAAATTGACTTCATATGTCTCCTAATATGATGCATTGAGAAGGACGCAATATCACTCTTGTATTGCTTTGCCAAGAGGGCATAAACTGATGTAAACATGAGAAAAAAATGGACAAACCAAAATTGAGAAACAGTCTACAAAATGCAGACCTGTATTCTTCAAATGTCAAGGTTGAGAAAGACAAAGAAAGGTAGGGAAATTTTTCTAGACTGAAGGAACTAAAGAAACATAACTTGCAAATGGAGTGTGTGGGCCTAAATTAAATTTGGGGCTAGAAAACATTTTGTTTTCTTTTGCTATGAAGGACATTAGTGGAACAACTGATGAAATGAGTAAGTCTATAGATTATGTTATAATACTGTATCAATGTTTCTAATTTTGATAATTCTACTCTGGTTGTGTAAGTGAATGTTACTGTTCTTGAGAAATGCTACAGTCTGTAGGAGTGAAGGAATGTTATGTCTGATAATTACTTTTAAAATGTAGAGATTTTATTTTTGATATATTGTTTATATGAGAATACTATATATAAAATAATCTGAGGAATCAGAGCAAAGGCTATGAGAGAACTTGTATTGCTTTACAACTTTTCTCTAAGTCTTAAATTATTTCAGACAGTTAAGGAGTTATTACATGGTTGGCATCTAACGTATTTTTATTGTAATTCATTTGACTAAAACAACATTTATTGAGTGCCTACTAAGGACCAGAAGCTGTGCTGCAATTTCCATAAATTATTTCAAGTGGTCTTCACATGACCCTGTGAGTAGGTCATTGTTATAACAATTTCACAGTTAAGGACACTCATGCTTAGGGAATAACCACTTAACTGAGACCTGTGAAGTCACATAGCCAGAAAATGGCAGATAAGATTTGAACTGGGGTGGCCTAATTTTATTTCCATCACTCTTCACTATACCAGACCATCAATCTATATTGTAGCAAATAATTGCATCTTCTAAGAGTAATGAATGACTTTAGAGATAACTGTGTAGAGAGTTCTATCAAAGAGTGACTTCTTTCTCCTGTGTTAGAATGTCATTATTGAAATTGTAGATCCCCAAAATTTGTGAATTTCTTGGACAAGGAGTGCGTTCTCCTGTTGTATGTTTTTGAAGCATCTAGAGAAGTATCTGGCACATAGTACTATTTTGAATATTTGTTGAATAAATCAATGAAAGTGAAACAAAAGTTTGATACAAGAAGTATAGAGACACGGTGGAGAACAGGCCAGGGAGGTTATCAGAGGACTCTGTTAATAACAGCATAAGAATTAAAGGAAGTAAAAACTAGATGAAGATTTCCATTTCCAGTGAATGGAAGCAGCTTCTCCCTGTGACGGTACAGAGTTTATTTTGGCATCTGCCCCTTGAAGTGGGGAGTAAAGTAAGGCAAACTCACCATGAGTCACACAGCCCCTCAAAGGCATGCATCAGGCAACAACCTGAACTGACAGTGACAGCCAAGAGGAGAGATCAGTTTTGAGATGAGAAATGAAGGGAATTGCTGGGTACTCTTTCTGTAGTGGAGTCCTGGAAATTTCTGGAACACTGAACACAGATTTAGAGGGTCATCCAAGGCCTCCATTTTTTTCTGGGTAGCAGAGAACATCATTGCTTGTTGTAATGTGATAAATGAATTTGGAGGCCAAAGGCACCCATAATTTTCACTGTTTTTATGCATTCTTTTTCTTATAAGTCAGACATCTGTGTAATCTGTGACTTTGTTGTTATTTAAACAAAACTTCTTCATATGGTTTCATTTTTAAAAGTTAATCACTCAAATAATGGGAAAGGTGGGGTGAAACAGGGATGGCATAATATTATTTGCCTGTGGAAGTTTGTGAAAAATTGGATGTGTGGATGTTTTATAAGTAAATGAATTCTAATCATGTTAGACATTGTTTATAGAGTTAGGCATAGGCGAAGCTCTTTGCATTTTTAGGGTGTCATTCTGTGGCCAATGTACTAAAGAATGACTACATTCCTTATCACTCTTTTAGCATTGGATGGCTGTTATGGATATCAAGTCCTTTTCCAAAGCAACAAGTAAAGTGGCTTCCACATGGAGAAATTTTCCTGTGGTTATTCTATGCACTCCAAGTGTAACCTTGAAATTAATGACAACACAGTGCTAGCAACACCCAGACGACAGTATGTACAAGAGCCTGGGCGTGGAACATTTTGGTTCAATCATGTAATCTCTCTTATTATTTTTGATATCAACTTGAATAAAAAACAAAAACAAGCAAACAAAAAAGAGCTATTTCAACCACAATTGAAGTTGAATGGTCAACTCATGATAGGCATTGCAACAATCTACAGTTCAGTTAGAGATTCCATTTACTTACCAGTATTACAATATTTCACCATTGATACCTTTCTATGGTAGGCACAGTCCTTTTGCAAGTGAAATATTTCTAAGTCTGAAAGTAAAATTCCACTGAAAATAGTTTCAATGGCATCCATTATTTTTAGAAATAAAATGCAATTTATGACAATGTTTTCATGAAATAAGCAATGAAATGTTCCACTTCTATTTGCTGAATCATAGTGTACTTTTGGATACCAGTTCAGTAGGGCAGATACAACACAGTGATATGCTCTAATAACACTGGTGACATCACCTACATCAATAGGTTTATCTAAGGGAGAAAAATTTAGGAAAAAATCAGTGAGACGTGTTGTGAATCCACTAGAATGGAGAAAATCAGCTGCTTGTCTTAGCCATATAACTAACTGGTTTATGAATTTAGTAAGGAACACTTTATCTGTGTTTCGTATCAGTAAAATGTTGGGGATTTTATAAGAGCTCAAAAGACTCCTACCAGATTGTAAATACAGTCATGCATCACTTAAAGACAAGGATACATTCTGAGAAATGGTCATTAGGCAATTTTGTCATTGTGTGAACATCATAGAACATACTTAACAGACCTAGATAGTATAGTCTACTACACACCTAGGCTATATGGTATAGTCTGTTACTCCTAGGCTACAAACCTGTACATCATGTTATTGTACTGAATATTGTAGACAATTATAACACAGTGGTAATTATGTGTGCATTTAAACATATCTAAACGTAGAAAAGGTACAGTAAAAATATGGTATAAAACATCAAAATGGTATACCTGTGTAGTGTACTTAGCATGAACGGAACTTGCAGGACTGGAAGTTGCTCTGAGCAAGTTAGTGAGTGAGTGGTGAGTGAACGTGAAGGCCTAGGACATTACTATACACTACTGTAGACTTTATAAACACTGTATACTTAGACTAAACTGAATTTATAAAAATACTTCTTCTTTCTTCAATAAGAAGTTACCCCTAGCTTACTGTAAAGTTTTTACTTTATAAACTTTTTAATTCTTTAAAACTTTTGGACTCTTTAATAATAACACTTAGCTTAAAATATAAACACATTTTATAACTGTACAAAAATATTTTCTTCATACCGTTATTCTGTAAGCTTTTTAAAGTCTTTTATTTTTTACTATTTAAACTTTTTTGTTAAAAACTAAGACACAAACTCATACATTAGCCTAGGCCTAGACAGGGTCAGCATCATGAATACCACTGTCTTTCACCTCCACATCTTGTCCCACTAGAAGGTCTTAGAGGGCAATAACACATATGGAGCTGTCAACTCCTATGATAACAATGCCTTCGTCTGGAATACCTCCTGAAGGACCTGCCTGAGACTGTTTTACAAGTTAGCTTTTTTTTTTAATAAGTAGAAGGAGTATACTCTAAAATTATGATAAAATATAGTTTAGTAAAGATACAAACTTGTAACATAGTCGTTTGTTATCAAGTACATAATTGTATGTGTAAAACTTTTTATGACTGGCAGCACAGTAGGTTTGTTTATACCAGCACTGCCACAAAAATGTGAGTAATGTGTTGTGCTATGACATTACTGTGGCTACAACTCACTAGGATCTAGGAACTTTTCAGCTCTGTTATAATCTTATGAGTCACTGGTATACAAGAGATCTGTTACTGACTGAGACATTGTTATGTGGTGCATAACTGTGCTATAATGCTAAGGGTGTCTTCGATGAAATACAATAGTTTGAAAAATGATGGAATGAGATTAGCATTCTCCTCTCAATAGGCACAGAGTTACCTTTTTCCTTCAATGACTCATTTTTCCATTTTGCCTACAGATGTTATAAAGCTGAAAATGTTGCAAGCCTTGTAAAACTGGGAAATATTCAATGCTTCTTTTTGAACTCCTTTTACATTCAACTCCATCCTTACTCTGGTTTCTTATGGCCCATCGTTACAAGATGCTCCAATAGACAAGCCCTATCGGTCAAGATCTTTACCAGGACTTTTTGCTTTTATTTTGCTATAAAATGCTCTTTTCTAGACTTAAAAGAGATGATTACTAAATCCTAAATATCTTTAAATTAATAAAATGAAATAATGCTGGTTGAATTTCAAATATTGTAACTGGTGGTAGACAGTTAGGGAAGGTGTTCATGCTTGTCCTCTGAATTTCTGTAAGTGAAATTCTGACTTTCTCCCCTATGTTCGTAAAGACATTCCTAATTCACACTGTCTCTATGGCCTTCATATCATGTCTCCTCAGTGTCTATCTGATATAGGACTATAGGTAGACAGTTTTGCTTATTTTTGCATTGTTTGGTTTGTTATTTCTTTTGTGATATTTGTTGAATGTCACTGAGTTATAAAGAACTTTAATATCCCAATGTTTGCAAAATGATCAGAAATATTCTATTTAGTCAATACAAACTATTATTTTCTTTTATTCTTTTAAAAGTCATATTCTTTTAGGAAAATTAAACGAATGTGAACAAATGAAAATCAAATACAAATTCCTTTTTATTAACAACTGACTTTTTCCCCTTGGTATTTGCTTCTGAGAAGTTCTCATTATAAATTTTTAGCCTGAGGTCTGTTGAAAATCATTCAGGTCCTTTAGAAATGTAGGTGTCAAATCCTTCTAGATGTATATTTTAACACTCTAGCCTTGTTTGAATCATTTATTCTCTTTGGACCTTTGAGTGTCATGTTTTTAATCACTTTTCCTTGAAGAACTTAGGGTTCTTTTTTTCATTCTTTTTGACTAATAGCCTTGGTTTTTTAAATTTTATTCTCTTTGCCCTTCCTTGCACAAATTCACTTCTGCCATTTCTTTTTAATAACAAGGGGATAAACAGTATATCAAATGAGCTCCCCACCCATTTAAAACACAGGACATTTTATGAGGTGTTAGTGATGCTGATGGCTATTGAGACCTACGAGACAATAGGAAGACAGTGACTTGGTTACTTGTCACCAAATTTCTTTCAGGTTATAGATCAGTGGAAACTTTATACAGAAACATAAATATTAAAATCCTTTTTTATATATTGGCATTATCATGAATAATTATTGTTGGGAATATCTTTTTTTAAAAAATTAGTTTACTATTTTATATTTTTATTTTTTAAATTTATTCTATCCCTTAACAGTAGAAGTATTTCTGTATTCGGTAATCAAAGTGCTCACCCTATATATTAATTTACCTTTCTACTTTTTATTCATACGTTTAAAACCTTTTGGTGTTGTATTACTTTTTTTCACCCCTTTTCCTTGAATATTAATATATTAGGTGTACATAACTAGTCATTTTGCCATTCTACTTATCATGCTTTTGTTAAGTTATTTCCATTTGCAATTCTTTTGGTATTTCAAAACAGTCATGTATTCTTAGTGTCTCCCCTTGAACTTATTTTCTGCTGGATTTTGAATGCAGACAGTTCCTCAGCACAGGAGTACTTTTGATGTGTTGCAGGAGGGACTCCTTTGGGTGGTGCACGTGTGAAAGACGGATGGCAGATGGATTCTTAGGCAGCTGCTCGATGGCAAATGGAGGACAGAGCCCTCAAATATGTGGGCAGAAGGACACAGTGAAGCAAAACTCGAGCAGCGAGGCATAGCTGTGGAACCCGGGGACATGTCAGCAAGAATATCCACTACAGGAAATCAGGGCCTCATTTTGAAATTCAAAATAGCAGCTAACCTCACTGTCTCTGAAGCAAATCTTTTTAAAGCAAAGCATATTAACTGCTTGTTTTGTAATCAAAAATAATTTTCCACTCACCAGCATAGCAGCTCTTGAAGGTTAAGTATGAGATTCCTTAATTTCAATGATAAAACTTAAATCAAAATATCTTATAGCTGAACCTTTTATTCTACCTGCATATTTAAAAAGACATTTACGTTTCCATGTAAAATGCTCTTACTTGCGGTTGTTTATTAAGTATACATCTGATTCAGGGATGTTATTGCCTTAGAGACAATTTGCAGAAAGATTTGCAAAAAGCGTTCAGGCACACACTGTATAGAATAACTAGTTCAAGGCCGGGCGCGGTGGCTCACGCCTGTAATCCCAGCACTTTGGGAGGCCGAGGCGGGCGGATCACGAGGTCAGGAGATCGAGACCATCCCGGCTAAAATGGTGAAACCCCGTCTCTACTAAAAATACAAAAAATTAGCCGGGCGTAGTGGCGGGCGCCTGTAGTCCCAGCTACTTGGGAGGCTGAGGCAGGAGAATGGCGTGAACCCGGGAGGCGGAGCTTGCAGTGAGCCGAGATCCCGCCACTGCACTCCAGCCTGGGCGACAGAGCGAGACTCCGTCTCAAAAAAAAAAAAAAAAAAAGAATAACTAGTTCAAATATATCTACAGTCAGACAAGAGTCATAGTGTATGTCAGTTCAGATATTTGGCATTCTGGAATTATATATAAAATTGAAGATTTTGTATGTCTGGGACTAAATCTAGGAATTGATGTTTGAGATTTAAAACCTTAGAAACCTTTTATGTTTCCTGTATTACATTCAAACGAACACCTATATATTTATTCGAAGCAAATATTTATTAAGTGTTGAATTTGTACATAGTGTGTTAAACCAAGCATATATTGGGATGGCAAATTAATGCTAAGTTTCTTAAGGTGCTATGATCCTATTGGAAGATAAACACAAATACACAGACACACACACACCCACACAGAGCAATATAGTATAGTATAAGAGGGGTACAAATTAAGATCCCAAATTTGAGCTGGCAAACAGGGTTGTAATTTTTGGGAAGAACAGAAATTGAAGAAATAAAAGGTGTTCCCCTCAGGATCAACAACCTGAGTTTGGTTCCTAATCCTGCCCAGGACTTCATGAAGCATGGAAGTTCCTCTAGGTTCTTCTAATCACAGCCCAAACTATTTCAACTCCTCTCCACTATCATCAAACCTCCCCCAATATCTTTCCATTTCTTGGCAGATATCTTCCCACTTTACAAAACGTGTAGAATTCACCTTTAAATGCCATGCTAATCAAATGTCCCAGTCTACCTGCATTTGTTTCCCATCTCTTATCCCTCACTGCTTTTACAATAGAGAAGTTCCCTGAATGCCTGTCTGAAGCGACAGCTTCCAGTTGTGCTTTGGTCTCCTCCGGCTGCCCTATCTATCTTCTCAGGAATCTTTCATTATCAATAATACCCTTTCTTTCTCCTCCTTTTTCTCTGCTCCTCCTCTCTTCGTGTCATATGTTATGTATATATGTGTGTGTGTGAGAGTGCATATATATATATATACATATATATATATGAATGCCTCTTATTAAAACAAAACACCATCTTCATTGTATAAATCCTGAAGCTATTGCCCATTTTTTCTTTGCAGTCAAGCTTTCTGAAAGAATTATCTATGCATGCTGTTTGCATTTCTTCATCTTTCACTCATAAGTTATTTCAATTGAACTTTTACTCCATTATTCCACAAACAAGCTCTCACTAAGTCACTAAAGATTTCCATGTTTCTATGTTCAGTGGACACTTTTTAGTTATCTTCTGGTTTGACCGTCCAGCATCATTTAACAGTGCTGATCATATCCTTAAACCTCTCTCCTCCCTTGGCTTTTCCAGCACATTATTCTCCTGGATTTCTTCCTGCATCTATGCCTTCTTTTCTGGTCTCTCTTGTAGGGTCATCTTCCTTAACGTGGCTTTTCAATGTTGGAATTTCTTAAGGTTTATTATAGGATTCCTTCTATTCTTTTTTTTTTTGGGGGGGGGGACGGACTTTCTCTTTGTCACCTAGGCTGGAGTGCAGTGGCACGATTTCGGTTCACTGCAAGCTTCACCTCCCAGGTTCAAGCGATTCTCCTGCCTCAGTCTCCGGAGTAGCTGGGACTACAGGCGCGTGCCACCATGCCCGGCTAAATTTTTTTTTGTATCTTTAGTACAGACAGAGTTTCACCGTGGTAGCCAGGATGGTCTTATCTCCTGACCTCGTGATCCACCTGCCTCAGCCTCTCAAATTGCTGGGATTACAGGCGTGAGCCACCACGCCCGGCCGGATTTCTTCTATTCTTATTCTGTATTCTTTACCTGTGCAACCTCATCCATTCTATGATTTCAATTACTGTATGTAAAATGAACATCTTTGAATATATCTCCAGCTCAATTCTCTTCTCTGAGTTTCAGACCTAAATGTTTAACTGCCAACTTAACATTTTGCTACTTGACTAACTCAAAATAGTTCAAATTTATCAGATACAAAATTAAACTCTTTATCACCAAACTGTCCCCAAGTTTAAAAAATGACACTTTACTTGTAAAACAGGAGAGCTGGAAGCAATCCCTGACTCCTCTGTTACCTCAACTGCCATATCAAGCCCAATCTGTGTTTCTTTCACGAATTGATCCACTTCCCTTTATCTCCATTACCACCATTATAATCCAAATTAACCTCATCTTTTGCCAAGAATACAGAATTGCCTCAAAACAGATTTTTCTATATTTTGTCTTCTGAATGAGATATCATTGATCTTAGAAAAAAAATCTTTAAAATGACCAGCAAGGCCCTGATAGTCTAGCCCCTTGCTACCCATGATGCCTCTGGTTTCTCCCTGGGCCTCTGCTGTTCACCCTATTAATCTTGAATACCTGGGACCTGACTTCTCACTTTCACCACAGAGATTTTACCTACACTGTTTTTTTTTGTTTTGTTTTGTTTTTGTCATGAGCACACCCTTCCTCTTCCTTCTTTGTGTGTTAACTCATTCATCCTTAATGTCACAGCCCAATTATTTTCAGGAAGCTTCCCGTGATTCCTAGTATAAATCTGATATATGTGAAATATCCTCTCACAGAACTGTCATTATTTCTCTCATTATACCTATCTTGATTGATAATTATATATCACCAATGTGGTTATTTGATTAATACATGACTCCCCTCCTAGACTGGAAGCTTGTTAGGTATAGGGACTATGTACTTTTTGCTCATTGCTTGTATCACCAGCACATAGCACAGAGCTATCACACTGTGGATGTCTTTATAAATATTTGTGTAATTAATAAGTTAATCTTGGCAAGTGATACAGAGGTGCAGCTATTTATGGTAAACAAATCTGGAAGAAAAACTTAGCTATCCAGATACACAGAATTACTGATTAGGTTCAACTCCTGATGCAAAATAATTTTTGTTTTGCTTTTTCTATCTTGTTCTAATATATAAGCATCCATTAAGATTGAGTCTATATTGGCCATTTTTATCTAGGGCAGAACACTCAGAGCAATGTGGAATGTCCAAGAGGGTTTTTCAAATACCTATTCTTCCCCAACCCATATAACTAAGGAATAATATAATCTGGCTGTGAGGTGGAGGGAGGCGGGAATAGGGATATGTGCAGCTATATTTTGAAGAAAGCTGTCCAGATAGTTTGGATGCAGACTCCCTCAACAAGGTGAGAACCAATGGTTTATACAAGTCTTTGTATTTCAGTAACTGAGAAATTCATTGCTTTGGGTTGGCTTAATTGAATAAAATATTCTTCATGTGAATGTTTGGGAGACTGAATCACTTGGATGACCAATGATTGTAAAGTTCAACCACTCAAAACCATTAAATTATTGAAGGTGTGTGTCTGTGTACCTTTGGAAATTTAACATAACTAAATATAAATACTATATATATGGTGTGTGTGTGTGTGTGTGTGTGTGTGTGTATACACAGTGTGCAGGAAAGATTACAGTCTTTCTTTCATCGATGCAGAGTACAGCATGAGTCAGGGAGTGGTGAGTTGAAGCTGGTAACACGAACACAGACTTGATCATCGAAAATCACGTGCGCCATCTTAAGGAACCATTTGTGGGCTTTCAACAAGGAAGTTTCAAAGTCAGATTTTTACCTAGAATTTCTTGATTCTTCACCAGTGGGACAGTGTGGGGATGAAGGTAGGAGGTGATGTTTTAGAATGACTTTGGGGATTTATCCAAATTGCCTCTGCTTCCACGTACCTAGAAGAGTTCAATTATATATCTGGCCAGGAGGGCATTACCTCTTGCTGCCCTGTCTAGTTAAGAATCATTTTTAGGATATGTGGAAAAGTGCTCTACCTTTGAGATGTGCTGACTTCAGAAAACTATTGAGCTCTGGAAACCATTTAAAAATATATTGTCCTCCTATTGGTTGAATGGAGATTATAGGTTTTTGAAAGGAGGAAGATCCTTTGTTCATGCCACACATATTGGTGGAATTTAGGGTCACCATATTCCACATATTCCAATTAATATGCAGTTACTGGCGTATTAGCTGCAGGTGTAACCATGGCATATTGTTATGTCTGTCTGCATGAGGCTTGCGCTGCCATGAGGAAATAAATAACAAAAAAGTGAATTTATACAAATAAATGATATATATATAAATATATAGACGTGAAATAAAATGATATGTTGCAATAAATGCAATGGACGGAATAAGCAAAGTCCTGTAATTGAGGGTAATAGGGAAAGCTGAAGAATTCTTTATGAAAGGCCTTTTGGAGGAGGAAATATCTACTCTTAGAATTGAAGGACAGGAAGTGGTCATTCATGCAAAGATCATAAAGAAAAATATGTTCAGAGAGAACAGCAAGCCCAAAGACCAGCAGAAGTAAAGAGGTTGTTGAGTTCTGAGACCTGAAAAACCGTGGTACCCTGTTGCACAGAGAGTTGGAGCTAGATAGAGACCCAGAGAGCAAGTGTCGTGTACTGAGGAGAAAAGGTGACCAAGGGCCAAATTACACAGGTTTAGTTCATGGAAACACGTGTCTATGAAGTTATAAGTGCAAGGAACAGCTACAGAAGTCTTCAGTAGTTCTGTAAAAAGACATGTTAGCTGCCACATGAAGAATGGTTTGGATGGGCCAGGAGTGGAAGAGCAGAGATTAGTTAGGGAGTTATTTCAGAATTATAGATTAAATAATAATAGAGGTTTGGGCCACAGAGCGAACATTGGCAGTGAGTTGGTTTGAGATTTATATTAGATTCTGATTCTGAACTATGGTTTCTCTGGTGCTTAAAAGTGGATTGGAAAATGTTTTTGAATTAGTGAATGAATGGCCTTGATACAGGAAATAGAGAAAGGTTTTGAGATTTATTAAAGTACAATGGTGTCATTTATTAAGATAAGGATTCTAAGGATGTCTAGGTTTAGGAACTATCATGAGTGAAATTGTAGTCTTATTAAATTTGAGATGAAACATCAAATGAATGTGGTAAGATGGTGATTGGGTAAATTATTAGGTATGCATTAAGTAAAGAGAGAAATGAAGACATACAGATGATAGATGATGAAAATTTGTGAAGTTCGTGCGTTGGAGTTCATGAAGAACTGGAATAACATTGGACTTGGTGTAATGAAACGTGAACTGGAAAGGCAGGAACAGGTCAACAGAGAATGGACTGTTTGGAATTATTTTGGAAGTGACATAGTTTTGTTGATGACAAACTCATGATATTACTCATGATAAACTCATGAGAATAGATAACTGAATTGGATTAGGGATGAAAACATTGTTTCTAGTGAATAGATCAATGGACTGGAAGTCCAGAATATGATACTGTTATTGAGAATGACAACAGAAGTTGCTATGGAAAGAAAGGCTGTGGGCCAGAAGGTAAGGCTTTTGTTGAGTGAAGAGAAGTAGTTGGGAAGTAAGAAAATGGCAGGATTGAGGTGGGAAACTTGTAAGATGGCTAAAATGACTTGCACTTCAACAGTGCCGAATTTATCAAAAAGGAAGGGGGAGAAATGACCTGAAAGCAACAGGAGAGCAAGAAGGACACTTACCCTCATCTCCTGAATGGATGGGACCTTGCTGAGATTGAGAAAAAGAACATCCTTTACTTGTATAGACTAAAGAAGAAAGAGTGACCTCAAAGAATATCCAGGTTAGGGTTAAGGCAAGGGGTATAGGAGTTACTCAGAGGAGTGTGAGGATTCAGAGAAGTCTGCTAATGCTGCATTGAAAGTTCTAGAGAAACAGAAGTGTGGGAGACTGTAGGGAAAATATTTTTATGTTTCTGCACAGGCAGGGAGTTCTGAGCAAATTTTTCTGAAACTTGGGACCTAGATTATAAGACAAGCCTAACTTATCTTATGACTGAGTAGATAATGAGAGACCATCCAGAAAGATTTGCCTCCGCAGAGCCATGAGTTTATATTTTAAGAGGAGATGAGACTTGAGACTGTGGAGATACTCTTGGATTGTAAATATGCTGGTCTTACCTTTCCTTTGGAAAATTTATTTACTGTCCAAAAGATTAGAACCCAGAGTCCTTTCTGCTATATTTCTAAGGAAACATTCTCAGGAAAGGAGGAGGCAGCTGTCTCTCTCTTATATAAATGTCCAGATTTATGTATTTTTGGTTTCTCACCTACAATATTGATTTCCTATGTGCAGGACAACATGTAGCTTTCAACACATGTCTCCAGAGGTAAGAATTGGGGCACAGGAGAACTACACATGTATTATTTTCAATAAGTAATTAATAATGTCTTCTGCTCCAGCAACCTTGTGTGTATATTCAGAATAATGTTAATAAATATAGAAATTAAAAACTTAGCAAAAGCCATGTATGCTGGTTCACACTTGTAATCCCAGCATTTTGGGAGGCTGAGGTGGAAGGATGGCTTGAGCCCAGGAGTTTGAAACCAGCCTGGGCAACATAGTGAGACTCTATCATCTCTACAAAAAAAAAATTAAAAATTAAAAAATGAGGCAGGGATAGTGGTGCATGCCCATAGTTCTAGCTACCTGGGAGTCTGAGGTGGGAGGATGGCTTGAGCTCAGGAGTTCCAGGCTACAGTGAGCAATAATCTCATAACTGTACTCCAGTCTGGGTGACAGTGTGAGACCCTATCTCTAACAAATACAAAAAAGAGAAAAAGAAAACGAAAATGATGCAATAAATGCCTCTTGAAGCAAAAGCCAAGTTAAAGTTAACAGTGGTGAACTGAATTAGGCAATGCTATTACTTAATGAAATAAATTTAAAATAATTTAATGTGGAGAACCAACAATAGTGATATGGTTTGGCTGTGTCCCCATCCAGATCTCATCTTGAATTCCCACATGTTGTGGGAGGGAGCCAGTGGGAGGTAACTGAATCAGGGGGGCAGGTCATTCCTGTGCTGTTTACATGATAGTGAATAAGTCTCATGAGATCTGATGGTTTTATAAGGGGGAGTTTCCCTGCACAAGCTCTCTTTGCCTACTGCCATCCATGTAAGATGTAACTTGCTCCTCCTTGCCTTCCACCATGATTATGAGGCCTCCCCAGCCACATGGAACTGTAAGTCCATTAAACCTCTTTATTTTGTAAATTGCCCAATCTTGGGTATGTCTTTATCAGCAATGTGAAAATGGACTAATACAGTAAATTGGTACCAGGAGTAGGGTGCTGCTGAAAAATACCTGAAAATGTGGAAGCAACTTTGGAACTGGGTAACAGGCAGGCATGGGAACAGTTCAGAGGGCTCAGAAGAAGACAGGAAAATGTGGGAGAGTTTGGAACTCCTTAGAGACTTGTTGAATCACTTTTACCAAAATTCTGATAATGATATAAACAATGAAATCCAGGCTGAGGTGGTCTCAAATGGAGATGAGGAACTTGTTGGAAACTGGAGCAAAGCTGACTCTTGTTATGTTTTAGCAAACAGACTGGCAGCATTTTACCTCTGTTCTAGAGATTTGTGGAATTTTGAACTTGAGAGAGACGATTTAGGGTATCTGGCAGAAGAAATTTCTAAGCAGCAAAGCATTCAAAAGGTGACTTGGGTGCTGTTAAAGATGTTCAGTTTTAAAATGGAGACAGAGAATAAAAGTTTGGAAAACTTGCAGTCTGACAATGCGATAGAAAAGAAAATTCCATCATCTTTTTCTGAGGAGATATTCCAGCTGCCTGAAGAAATTTGCATAGGTAACAAGGAGCCAAATGTTAATCCCCAAGACAATGGGGAAAATGTCTCCAGGCATGTCAGAGAACTTCATGGCAGCCCCTCCCACCACAGGGCCAGAGGCCTAGGAGGAAAAAGTGGTTTCGTGCTGTGTGCAGCTTAGGTACTTGGTGCCCTGCATCCCAGCCACTCCACATGGCCGAAAGGGGCCAATGTAGAGCTTGTGCCATGACTTCAGAGGGTGCAAGCCTCAAGTCTTGGCAGCTTCCACATGGTGTTGAGCCTGCCAGTGCACAGAACTCAATAATTGTTGTTTGGGAACCTCCGCCTAGATTTCAGAGGATGTATGGAATGCCTGGATGCCCAGTCAGAAGTTTGCTTCGTGTGTGGGGCTCTCATGGAGAACGTGTGCTAGGGCAGTGTGGAAGGGAAATGTAAGGTTGGAGCCCTCACACAGAGTCCCTACTGGGTTATTGCCTAGGGGAGCTGTGAGAAGAGGGTCACCATCCTCCAGACCACAGAATTGTAGATCTACTGACAGTTTGCACTGTGTACCTGGAAAAGCCGTGGACTCTCAATGCCGGCCTGTGAAAGCAGCCAGAAGGGAGGCTATACCCTGCAAAGCCACATGGGTGGAGCTGCACAAGACCATGGGAACCCACCTCTTGCATCAGTGTGATCTGGATGTGAGATGTGGAGTCAAAGGAGATCATTTTGGAGCTTTAAGATTTGACTGCCTCACTGGATCTCAGACTTGCGTGGGGCCTGCAGTCCCTTTGTTTTGGCCAACTTCTCCCATTTGGAATGGTATTTACTTAATGCTTGTATCTCCATTGTATCTAGGAAGTAACTAACTTGCTTTTGATTTTACAGGCTCATAGGCAGAAGGGACTTGCCTTGTCTTGGATGAGACTTTGGACTGTGGACCTTTGATTTAATGATGAAATGAGTCAAGACTTTGGGGGACTGTTGGGAAGGCATGGTCAGTTTTGAAGTGTGAGGACATGAGATTTGGAAGGGATCAGGGGTGGAATGATATGCTTTGGCTCTGTCCCCACCCAAATCTCATCTTGAATTCCCATGTGTTGTAGGAGGGAGATAAGATAGTGGGACGTAATTCAATCATGGGGGCAGGTCTTTCCCATGCTGTTCTCATGATAATGAATAAGTCTCATGAGATCTGAAGGTTTCATAAGGGGGAGTTTCCCTGCACAAGCTCTCTTTGCCTACCGCTGTCCATGTAAGATGTGACTTGCTCCTCTTTGCCTTCCACCATGATTGTGAGGCCTCCCCAGCCATGTGGAACTGTAAGCCCATTAAACCTCGGGTATGTCTTTATCAGCAGTGTGAAAACAGACTAATACAGATAGCTTCAGTTTTAAAGAGTTGCCTTGAGATGAAAATATTTTTTTGTGTATGTATGTGGTGGGGAAAAGGATGGGATTCTACCTTGGTGTTTGGACTCATTGTCATCTTGCTGAGACTTAGGTATAAAGAGGGAGAGTTGGACAACCCAGTCCAGGTAGTACAGGATCTGCCAGAACAAGTCCCCTGCCTGACCAGTTTTTAACTCGGGTGGGCAAGAGTTCCAGGGAAGAGGATTTCATGAAGTGGGCAATACGCACATAGAAATGATGACGTTAAGAAGACTGAATTCTTCCAACGACCACGTGAGTGACCTTGAAACTGTATACTAGCTCATTTAAACCTTCATTTGAGACCAAAGCCCTGGCTGGCACCTTGCCTGCAGTCTTTTGAGAGACCCTGGATTTCAGACCAACTGAAACTGTGATATAATAAATATGTGTTCTTTTAAGCTGTTAAGCTGTTAAACTAGCTGACTAGTTTTTTTAGGCAGCACTAAATAACATACATGTCCTGACTCCTAATTAGGGAAGTCACTTTGGTAGCTTGAAATTGTCCATGGTGGTGGACGTTTCTGTCATTAAAACTATTAAATGGTATGAATCGGGGCTTTTGCTTCTCTAGGAGAGCTGGTTGTTAAATATTTACAATCACACCAATGCATACAAAATTCAGAATTGTGGAAGTCAGAAAGCAGGGTTCCCATAGATAGTAAGATACGAGAACAAATTCAAGAAGGATGTTTGGGAAGGAAGGATAACTGGCCTTATAAAGCATTTGGACAATAGGTAAAGGGTGCCAAGAAGATAGCTTAATAGAGAACTGAAGAGTTCTTACATGCTTCATGGCCAGAAAAGGTCCCTTTGGGTAGATAAGCATGGCTGAAGTATGATAATAAATTGGTAGGTGCCCAGGCATATTATGTGGAGCATGGACTGGTGAGCAATAGGATACTTCTTCTGCCTTATTTTCCAACAAAAGAATTAGTACTATTAGATTATCACTTTTTAAATAGCACTGATACATAGCATATTACTGAGTGCAAAATTCTAATTACTGCTGAAAAGCCTGGATATAATGGAAAATTGCCCCAATCAGAAAAATTTTGAATATTAGAAAATTTATTCAGATTAAAACAATACATGTATTCCCTTAATGAAATTAGTAAATGAGACTGGCCTAATAGCAAATAAATATGTTACGTTCACTTAGGATTTTTTTAATGTGGAATATTCCATTTAAAATTCATATGTACTTCTAATGATAATAGCGAAATAAATTCACATTGCTATCTTTGTATTAAAATTAAGGAAACATTTTATTTCTTTGTAATTTTGTTTATTAGTTACACTTATGTATATGTTACTCATTATTTGTGGTAGTAAATTGTTGCTATTAGAAAGATTGAGTAATAGAATATTTCAACAAGCATGAAGATAGAACACAGGAAAATGGAATGTTAGAGCAGCTAGAGATATTTATATTTGGGGAAGCAGATAGGCAGCCACGTAAATAGTGTCACAGGTGTCTGTCAGCATGAAGCAGAGACTGGGATGCAGAAACAGAAATTTCCTGTTCCTAGAGTGAGAAGGGGATGTATGATTAGTAAGAAGAAGGAAAAACTCATGCCACAGCAACTGGAGAGCCATCACATTATAAAGATGGGACTAAAGCAAGCACAGGGGAGAAAGGTGGAAAAGGGCTTCAAATTAGACGCAGGAAGACGGCAGGAACTCAGTTTTATAACTGAGCTGCAACATTAGCCCAGATTTGCAGAGAGGTTCTGGGCTGGCCATCTTGCTCTAGATTATTGGAAGGACTTTCTTCCAGGCCCATGAGCTATAGTCAGCATTGTTCAAAGAGTGAAGCAAAGCTGGCAGTGCCGTGACTGTTCATAGTGCTTAGCTATACAGAAAAGCTGATGCTCAACAACAAACGAGTTTCATGGTCTAAGTCTGCACGTAATTATTTGTCTGCGATTTCTCTGTACACCTTATAAAATTTTCACTTTCATCTCTATGGGCAAATAAAAACACATTAAGGATATTGATTACATTTAAACAAAAAGTCACCTTTGTCCAATTTCTTTGATAATTTAGAAAGTATCTCTGCAATACAAAATTTAAAACATTATTCCATTACATTTTTGTTGAAATACAAATTCTGTAGCAGTCTTTTGTTTTAAAGTTTATTTCTGAGCATATTTGAACTAAGCACTCTGGGCTGACACTTTTTATAGATTGATACTTGGGCATAATAGCTCCAGAGATTTAATTACCATGTTGTCTCTTTCTTCTGCTGACCATTGATGAAGCTGTTAAAAGAGCCTAACTGGACCTAACAACAGTCCCAGTGACACATACAAGATCCTTCCAATCAACTTGATAAACCGTTATTTGCTACTACACTTTAATAAATATTCACACAGCTTTCAACCCATGTGCTAATGCCAGCAAGCAACTAACATTTTTTCAAGTATTATTTCTTGAGAAAACCTGTCAAAAATATGTTCCCAAAATTAAATTTATGATCTCTAAAATATTTCTTCTAAAATAATAGTCAAATAAAATATAAGCTTCATCTACTTCTAAACATTTTTAAAATTCAGATATCATAATCTTATAAACTAGAATATTAAAACAATTTTTGCAAATATAAACACCACAATTTTGTATATAATACAATGAAAGAGGAATTAACCTAACTTAAAATATTATAGACAGCCATCCTGATAACACAAATAGATAGATATTCTAATTTTGGTTCAGCATTCAATCTAATGACTGACTTACTTTCTACTAGAGAGCAAAATATTTCCTATAAAATTTTTAGAATACAATCAGGAAATTATAAAATTATTTAAAGTATATTTTCTGGCTGGGAGCTGGAGCCTGTGGGTCAGAGTCTGAGACAATAATGCTGTTTAGCCCAGGCTGGGAAAATGAGTTGATCCTGGAGGAGGGACAGTGTTGTCACTGCTCCACCTGCAACACCTGCCCTTCCAGTACAGTATCAACTATAAGATCACAAATTGGAAGTATCCAAAGCTGAAAGAAGTGGATAATGTGCTTGGGGGAGCAGCTGCCTGGGAGAGCAACTGCCTAGGAGAATGTCCACTGTCCTGCCCAGCCATGTCCCCAGTGCGAACACCCTCCTGTTCACTTCATGCAGCACAAGACTCACCCTGCAGATGAGCCAATGACTGCCTTCTACAAGGGCAGCAGTGCTCAGTGTGGACACTGCTGGGGGAATTAGGGCCAGGATGGCCCAGCTGCCTCAGTGTCTGCTTACCTTGTCCCCCAGGGTGGATTCTCAGCTGGGAGTATGAATTGTGGGTACTGAGGATCTTTTCTGGTGGAAAGCTAACTCTTTTAGAGTGAAGAGCCAAAGTCTTAGTAACTGTAGCCTATCTGCCAGTCAGGGAGTTTTTGTGTGTGGAGAGGAGACCCATAGCTAAGTAAGCTCTGTTTAAAGTCCTGTTCTTTCACCTTTCATATTTATTGGCAGTTGACATTTCCTCACCACCAGTCAACATTCTTAAATACTTGTACTGTTTCCACAACTTAGTACACTGTCCCTAAATATTTAACTATTAATTGTAAACTTATTTAATCAAAATTTTTTCTGAATATTTCATGAAAGATGAGATCTAAAAAAAGAATATTTTATAGTTTATTACTCTTATAAAGACCTCTCCTCTGCAACACTTTCTCCTTTTTCAATTATTTAAAATTTCCAGAATCCTTTAGCATATCATCTAAATAGGTAAAACTAAGTAGAGATGTTTGATGAGTATTAAAAGCTGATTTGCAGTTACAATTCTCAAGAAAAATAGGTGCCATTTGTGGCAACCAACGGCATGCCATTTTTAAAAATTCTTTTCTTTTGTAGGTAAGATAAAGCTTGATGATAATTGTCAATAGTAATCCATCAGGTTTTATGAATTTATATAGTGCCATTTATCTGACTCTACTTGGAGCCTACTTATACAGCCATTTTATGAATAATGGTATTTTATTCCAGATACACAGTATACTAGTTTGACTATATAGTCAAGCGTTAGTCTACATTAAGCTTTATTATCTGTTTTTAGGTATATACTCTCTATGCTTTTAAATACATTCTTGGCCATTTTTCAAAGCTCAATGCTATTTTAAGACCAGGGTTCTTGCCAAAGCTAAAAAATTTATAATGAAATAAATACTCTGTGCTGTTATCAAATGACAATATTTCCTACTAGTTACTCCAAATTATAAATACAGCTTCCTGTTTTATTGACAAATAAGTAACTATATTTTAAAATAAATTGGAAGACTATGCCTTTGAAATCTTTTTTCAAGATTTTTATGGCTCTTTATTTTGCTGTGCATAGCAATATACAACTAAAAGAGATTTAAATATTAAATACTTATACTATGTTGGTTGATGAAATAAAAACTTCCAAGTATGAAAGGATAATAAAAAAAATTGCAGAGGGACCTAGGAATAAAGATAAAGAAAAAAGTCTTTTTAGACTTTTATCATCAAATAATATACTACAGACCATGATGTGGGTGAGAACAAACAAGCGTTTTCTACCTTATGATAAGGTTCTTTTGTATATTTCAAGATATTGTTTCATGAATTATGAAAGAGTGATACTAATGAGGTACATACTGAGTGACTGGAATGTTCTCACTTTGTTAACATGGCCAATCACATTAAGTTTGTCTCATCACCCAAACGCCCCTAGCAGAGAAAATTGCCAATAATCAGAGAAAATCAAGGTAGAAAATTGGTGCTTTCTGGACACTTCAAGCAACATAGGTCAGGATGCCCTTCAAGAGCACACTAACAAGATGATCCAGGAAAGCTCCTGCCAATTTGGTTGTGGAGTGTCATTTGATCATTGTTAAAACTTTCAAAAGATCTTAAAGCTAGACAAAGTATTGGCTCGAGATGGGTATAAAGTCAGGATTAACATTTACTGTCTCCCCTTTCACTGTTTTTCTATATTTCTGTCAATAAATATGGAACAAACAATCTCACACGTTAGAGTAACATAAAATAATTGGGTATATTTTTAGCCTTTAAATCAATATTAAGCAGCATTAGAATGAAACATTTTTTCATACATATTTGTTATATTATTCTCAGGCATAGCACTGGGCAGAGATTATTGCCTTGTGATGTAGGGAAAAGTAGTACTGGTTCAAATCTTTGTACAATTCCTTGTGATTTGGAGCAGGCCACTCATCTCTAAAGCCCAGTTTCCTTGTATGTAGGTTAGAGATAACACTATCTATCTTATAGAGTCATTGTTAGGATTAAGTAGATAGGAAATGAATAGCATTGGCACATCTAAAGTCGCTCAATTAACAACATATCTCTTTTTTTGATCATGTTATTAATTTTCCTGTGTTGAACTTTATATTCTAAGAAGCTGGCAAATAATTTCAAACACACAGGGTCTCACCTGCAACTACTAAAATCATTTAATATCCTGCAAATACATAGGAATAAAAGCACATGCAAAACCATTAAAATATAAATGACTTCCAAATGGCACTGAATTTAGACCTGGAATGAAATAGAGACAAGTTCTTTGGTTCACTTATGTAGATTTTCTCTTACCTAAGAGTTATCTCTGTAACCTTAATAAGAAGAGTTCCTTTAACTTATTTTGCAACACCTTATGCCTTGAATATATAAACAAAATTATAAAGCACATCTGAAGTGTGAGATATAGTTGAAATCCATTTATGACATGTGTTATAAGTGTTAGGGAAGTGACAGTCATGTGATTTGCTCAGGAGACATAGTATTTCATCTCCAGTATAGCGTTTAGAGTGTTCTTCAGCTGCTAAGAGAGTAACACATAACGTGTGGCATACCTCTCACTTCAGCAATCAACAAGCATATAACAGTACTGCTGCCTGCATAACATAAATGCATAGGTATCATAAGGGTGTTATACCGCTACTCCATGAATTTCACTGATTAAAATGCTCTCAAATCAGAATGTGTCCAATTCAACAAGTACCCCATGTAGCACCTACTATTTACATTTCAAATAACAACATTATGCTGCTAAGTGATACAGCCTAGGCAACATTCTTTCTGAGAAAACATATACCCACCACAGCATAATTCTATAGATAATATTCCCATCACATAATATTGCCCATATTTGCAGTGAAATATGTGAAATTTTAATTAGTAATGTCACAAAAATTTTGTTAACTGGTATGTATGGCTCTTGTTTTTCCATTGAAGTTATATATTCTCAATGGTATTAAAATTTATTTGTATTCATTCAGAGAAAATAATAGGTTATTTTTCAAATCTACATATAAGGAGTTAAACTTTCTAGAAATACTGGTATTCACCAACAACACTTTTATGCAGAAATCAGAAGATTCTGTCTGAAGAACTATAGTAACAACACTTTCTTCTCATGTAGGTACCTGATTGCAATAGATACCTGAAAAAATTCATGCTTCAGTCAGATTTCAAACAATATCAAACAAAACAGACATAGCAATGACTAAAAATAAGCAATACTAGTAACCATCAAGAAAACATCCAAGTAAAGCTCTGACTTCAATACACTGAAAAGCACATAATTCAGAGTTTAAAAAATGTTATTACACACACAATTGTAACCATATTATTTAATTTCTTTATGAAGACAGTAATTTGAAAGAGGAGGTCATGGAAAATATTTATTTTTTTTTTTTTGAGACAGAGTCTCACTTTGTTGCCCAGGATGGAGCACAGTGGCACAATCTCAGCTCACTGTCACCTCTGCCTTCATGGATCAAACCATCCTCCCACCTCAGCCTCTCTGGTAGCTGGGACTACGGACATGTGCCACCATGCCTGGCTAATTTTTGCATTTTTTTTTTTCTGTAGAGACAGGGTTTTGCCATGTTGGCCATTCTAGTCTTGAACCTCTGGGATCAAGCCATCTGCCCACCTCAGCCTCCCAATGTGTTGGGATTATAGGCATGAGCCACTAAGCCCGGCCTAGGAAGACATTTTAATAGAGGTGCTAGCTAAAGAAAGGAGAGAAGAAATCTGTCACAGAATGCATAATAATCAATGAATGCATTTACCAAGTATTTGTTGCTTGTTTCCTGCATGTATGGACTCAGACGCAAAGATGAACAAACATATCTGTTGCCTTAAAGTGATTGAAATTACTCAGTTTTGTTTATAATTTTCTTGTTGGGAAAGAATGAAAATTTAATAGATAAAACAAGTAAAATTTTATTATCTGCATACTTCCCTTATCTGAATACCTTTCCTAGAATTAGACAAATTAGCTGATAAGATATCCACCATTTAATGTTTACTCCTATAAGTGACAGTGGATAACAGCAGAGCACAAAAATTTAGTTTCTTTTCAGATATCCTGTGTATCATATTTCCTTTAGGTATGTTTTTATTCCATGTAATAATACTTTGTCATAATTTTAAGTTCATAATTCCTATATGTAGTTTTTCTTACTTTTTCCTATATCTACTCATCTATTGTATGTATTGCTTCAGTCATTTCTCCTGTTTTTGTTTAATGCCTGCAGTGTCCTAGGTGCCCTCATGTTGGGTTCTGAAGAGGACATAAAGATTAACAAAGTGAAATTGTATTCAAGAAAGCATCTTTAACCTAGATGGGAAGACTCACACGTAAATAATGCATCACAAGTGCCATAGTAGAGTTTTGAAGGAAGCTATTGATGTCAAAGCTGGAATAAGCATTTCCACCCAGGGAAGCTCGGCAAAACTTTGTAGGAGACAGGAAAATTAAGCAAGGTAGTGAGAGTTAAGTAGGAGTTTGCCAGATGAAGAATAAGTGGAAAAAAAGTATTGCAGAATATGGAACATAGAGTTTGGAAGTAATGCTAAAAACTTACAAAGCATTGAGGGATATGAAACTTTAGGCAGATAATCTTGGAAGTGAAAAAAATAGCCAAGGGCATTGGTTGTTTCATGTAAAATGATTTGTTGGCTCTATGCATTGTTGACATGGTTTTCGGTTAGGGTGAATATCAAAGGAAATATTGGAGTAAAAACCATTGTCCTCCAAACTTCCTTATCAACTTGGAAAAAGGCTGTTCTTTTAGTGTCCTATCTAAGTATGAAAAACGATTACACGTTTTAGAAAACACATAACTCCAAATTTGTTTCTTATGTTTTTGTTCGTCTTGTTTTGTTTTTGGTTACACAGGGAGGGAGTCTATCAGTTGCTAAGATATTCTTAGTATCTGTGTTGTTAATACGTCTAGCCTATGGAATAGATACAAAGAGCAAGCAGGAACAGAGGTGTAAGATCTGAGGGTCTGTCCCTCAAAAAAAAGAAACATGTTCATTAGTACTTACAAGAGCATAATTGGGAGCAGATATTTACCTGGGGCCTATTATATATACCAAGAATCAGGTAAAATATAAAACGATAAATCCTTACAGTTAGAAAATAATTTCGGAGTCATGTCATTCTAATTTTTTCACAATTAAGAAATTTTCCACAACATCCTTGGCAAATGGTCATTCAACATTTTATCATTTCCCCAATGCTCACTTCTTAGAAGGAAATCCATTTACCAGTCCATATCATTTTAAATGTCCTCCTGATAAGGAGTCATATCTGACTCTCTGTAACTTTTACTCATACTAGTTTCTACCTCTGGAAATTCCTAGAAAAAGTCTACTTCCCCTTACACACAGTAGACTTTCATATATTTGAAGATTTCAGTCAAGCATACTTCTGTCTCTCCAGGCTAAACATTCCACATTCCACATTTTACAGGTATGGTTTTTGGGACTCATCACCACTCCTGCTCCCATTTCCTGCACACTTTTGGGCTTAACTCCATGACCTAAATAAAGGCATGGAAAGCTCCCCTTACAGCCTTGTTACCTTTTTTGGAACAATATGATACCTCTGGCTCAAATTACTTTCATGTTTACCTAAACCTCTTGCATTTTTACCCAAACTGCAATTAATTACTGTTTCTTCCAGCCTGTATTTTTATATTTAATTGTTGAACAAAACAGGGGTGCATAGAATTTAAATGAAAACTTTAAATATCCTGATTTCACTATCCAATAATTTAGTTATTCCTCTTAAATTACAGCATCTCAAAAATATCTTAGATACAGATTCTGTGGCTTCATCTGATCTATGATTAAAAACATTTCATAGGACAATACCTAGGACACCTTCTAAGATGTGCCCTCAGAGGCTGGTTTCTAGATTGAACATAATCCAGGAGTCACCACTTTGTGTAGCCATCTATTAGTCTACTGTGGGTACTGTTGCTAGACCTCATTTCTCTACCTTGTTCAAAGGAATATTATGAAGGATTCTGTCAAACGTCACCTTCTCAAACAGTTTTGAACTAAACTTGATGACTGGCCTTATGTACTCATGGGGTGAACTGTATCACTTTCTCTTTCCCTTGTTTATAACAAATGTTCTCATTTATTTGGTTTTTCAATGAATGGAATATAAATTATGCAAGGGGTGACCTCATAATGCAAGTGAAACTGTTATGCAGAAACAGAAATTATGTTATCTATGCTTCAAAATAATTTTAAAAATCAAAAAGATATGAGGATACTTGAAATAAGAAACATGTACAAAAATTACTAAAAGATTAAACACTTGTCAGTTAAGAATACTTGTTAACTTTGTGCATTATAATAAACTACGCACATAATGCATTGCTATTTATTGTCTTATCAAAGAAAGTATACAATAGTTTTATTTTTTCTTGCCTTAGTCTCCATATTATAGTGTGAATTTTATAGAATTTATATAATCCTGACATTTCACCTTAAAATATAAGCTTCTTAAGGGCAAGGGCTGAATCTTAATCACCAAGCAGCCACAGGGCTTTCCTAGCACAGAATCTGGCACTGGAAATCTATTTTTTTAAAAAATACAGATGTGTGTAGTAAATGAATGTTTATGGGCTTCTGGAATTGTTAAATGCAAGTTGTACTACCCTACCACTTAGCCCAGATAGCCAAATTAATCACTTTATTACACAGACTTCACTCATATTTTCTATCTGCATGTTGGAGTGTCTATCTAAAATAATTTTGGTTTTGGCACAGTAGATATTAAACTGACAGTGTGTAGCCAGCAGGCTTGGTAGATTATTAAGGCATCTCCTGCAATCTAATAATGAGAAACCTATGTTATCAGTACAGAAGTAAGTGCTTGTCTTGTGTCCTGTGGCAGAAGGGTATTCATTCAGATCAACTGAAAGCTGTATCAAATTATTTTCAAATAAAAAGAAGTACAGTTAGGACACAAATACCTTTCTTGGATTTTGATTGGAATTTAATGTGGAGAGTCCATTCCTACCTGCTCTGATTCTCCCAGTGGTATTATGCTTCAGACTTTGAAGGAATCTTCATAGCCTGAGATCTGTGCTGAGATCACATAGCTTGGCCTATAGTGAGTCCTGTCTATAGAATCAAAGGCTAACTGTAGATCAATACTGCTGACAAAGGCTTGTATTGTTCTCAAATATCTTCTCAGTAAGGTGAAAATTTTCCACAAGTGCAGATAAAAAATAGGGTAGATGTTTAGCAATGGTCAACAATGGAATAGCTTTATCTGAGACCCTATTTTTCTTATAAAGGATATTTTAGTAAGGGGCCCAGTTCCGTGGCATTGCAAAGTATAATCCTCCCCAGGGAGGTCCTCATTCATCCTTTCTAAGTTGAATTGTATGAGCATATTTGAAATTTGTGAACATGTTTTTAGCAATGATAACCTTATTCTCAAGTCAAATTATTTGGATCTTTCTAAATCCCAGATCCAACAAATGCTTTAGTACTCACAACTAACAGATGCACTTAACCAGTTATGATTCCTTATGTTATGATTTCTCATGAGTGATAAAACATGTGACTAAAGCCAGTATTAAAACAAAGCGTGTGTTGGCTCACTTATCTGAAAAGTCCCGAGGTATGGCTGTGTCAGTCAAGCCTGATCCCGTGGCTCAATAATGCCACCCATTTTTCTTACCACTCTGCTTTCTGTTGTGTTGGCTTCAGCTCAGGCCTCACACAGTCCTGCTTCTCATGCAGTGAAGTGTTGCCTTTCTCTACCCTTTTCCACCTGGTCCTTTCTTTATCCAGAGATAGATGGAAGAAATTAGTCAATTCCCAGTGCTTATTTATGTTAAAACTATGGCTTTTTAATTTACAGATTTTCTTATGTGAATAATAGCTACTTAACAAGTTTTTAAGGCTCTTTTAGATCCATAATTTGATATGACCCTGATAATCATCCCAGGAAGTAGATAAAGATTTTATTATTACCTTTCCTTTACAAAGTCAGGGAGTCAATTTCTTGTTTGAGGTCACAGTTAATAGGGGACTAAACAGGGATTAAAGATAGACTTTCTCATCCTAGATCTTACGCATTTTTATCTCTACCATGATACCTCTGCATTGTTCTGGAAATGAGGTAAAGGTGATGCTGTTGTACCAACAGGAGCCTAGTTTGTGAGTGGGGTTGACTGTACTGATCTGGCATAGGCCAGCAATGCACCTGACTGTTCATCTGATGCCTACACCTCTTGTTCCACAGTTGAAAAGGAAAGAACAAAAAGGTGGATGAAAATAAATAAAACAAAGATACATTGACAGATAGTACTTTAAAGAAAAATGAGATGAAACAGTAAAAGTAGACAAGGTGAAAACACAAAATTCAACTGAACAGACAGAATATCCTCAAAGGCCTAAGTTAAGTCTTTTGTCTGAATTTAAAATAGTTAAAAGCAAGAAGTTAGTGCAGTGCCAGAGCAAGAATCAGGGCTACTGTAGAAATCAAAGGGTGCAGCTGTACTGAAGACTATAGGTGGAATTTGTGGGTTTGATATCACCAAACATTTGTAGCAAGCAAGGATGGAAACAGAGAAATAACCAAAGACATAAAGAAAAGAAAAAGGTTTTTCTAAAGTTAGAGTGTTAATTGGTGGTAAGAAGAAGATACATAAATTCCACAACATTTCGATTTCCTATGATTTGAACCAATTTAATCCAAATCTTAGGAATAAGGGAACCACACCTAACTTCTTAAGAGTAAAAGAAGTACAGGCTATCAGAAACCAGAACCTCTTTCAGAAGTGTAGGAATTAGCTAATAGAGGTTTCTAATGCCCAACTCAAAAGCCAAAACAATGGGAACTCCTGTTTAAAATACAAACGTTCTAGATTCATTTCTGAAGATTTTGATTTAGTACTTTGAGATGTGGTCAAGAATTGATCATTTTAACCTGAGCCTTAAGACCTTTTTACTAATTGGGCCTGTCCTTGTCAGTTGGGAACCTTTGGTTTAGTGAATTCTCAACTGTGAAATAAAAGATAAGTATACAGAAAGACAAATGCTCATTTTAGTTAAAGGATTTTGAACTAAGTATTGAGACTGTGCTATGTAATTCTCAGGTGACTATTCACAACGTTGTCAGCATATACAGAATCTCTGTTACCACTTTATCCATGATTCAAATTAATTATGACTGTGATAAATGCTGAGGTTTTTTTCCAGAGCATTGATTTGTCAGTTTTATCAAATGTTGTCAAATGTGAAGGCAAATGCAATGTTTTGTCTTTGTCGGGCATTCTGACAATCTTAGCAAAGTGTTAATGCTTCTGTGAGTAGGGCTTAATATGTTTCTGAGCTTATTTTGATCCTTACAGCAAGAGAAATTATTAGTAAAAATCAGTATGTATGTGGCACTTTTCATCTTCAAAATGCTTTAGAAATATTAACTAATCTATGTCCCTGTTCACAAAATGTAGCACAAGCCTTATTACTGCAGGGGAAGAAAATCTGTCAAAAATCTGCTATGGGAGCTGTTGCACAGCATGCCATGGTTTCTGCAGATTCAGCACTTTGTCAGACTGCCAGTGGACATTGACAGAGAGCAAATATAATTTGGCAAGAAATGGCAATAGAACCCCAGAGCTGGCAGAATGGAGGCTGTGGGAAACAAAAAATTCAGAGCCCATTGGTGTTAGCTATATGTAATATGCATCCGACCTTCATTTGATGTTTTGCTTTTATTTTACCAAACTTGGTATAATTATAATTAATAAAATTCCATATTAATAACAAAAGAACATAATAGTTATATGGTAGATTTAAGTACAAATCTAGAAAATAGGGACCCAGACATTGAGAATTTTTGAGGTTCTATTGCAAAACCTTGTTGACTTTTCCAAGGAGAAAAACATTCATGTATTTTAATAAAACTTTTCTTGTGAGTTTTTTGTTATTTGGTTTTAACCACCATGAAAACTGGTCTGAAAGGTTTTGTTTTGTGGAGGGCTATTATAAAATATTATAGGGCATTTTTTTATTATAATTTTTTTGTGTGACAGAGTTTCACTGTGTCACCCAGGCTGGAGTGCAGTGGCGCAGTCTCAGCTCACTGCAAGCTCTGCCTCCCAGGTTCACACCATTCTCCTGCCTCAGCCTCCTGAGTAGCTGGGACTACAGACGCCCACCACTACACTGGCTACTGTTTTGAATTTTTTAGTAGAGACGGGGTTTCACTGTGTTAGCCAGGATGGTCTCGATCTCCTGACCCTGTGATCAACCCGTCTTGGCCTCCGAAAGTGCTGGGATTACAGGCGTGAGCCAGCGCACCTGGCCTATAGGGCATTATTATGTTTGCTACCTCCAAATTATCACTGATTCCTCTAACTCTTCATCTCGGTTTCAGTAAAGTTGTGTTTTTGTCAAACTGAGACATGACTTCTGTGTTTGGCTTCTCCACAGCCTGGTTCACATTCAAATTAATTTTTAACAACCTCTTTAACCAATCATATAAAAAAGCAAAACCTGAAAGAGGTATGATTTTGTGGCTTTTCCTTTAGATAGGTGTCTCTCATTAACATATTGGTTCATTCATTTTTCACTCATTTAGCCAAAATTATCTGTTGATGAAATAATTTATACAGGATGTTCAGCACTATCACAAAGTGAGTACTCAGAAAAATGTTTTCCTATTATATCATACATACTGAAAAATGATCTATTAAGTGCCTATTACTATTTAACTTGCATTATTTCTTTACAGCTTTCCTTAATCTTTTCACTTTTATGTAAATATTATTAGGATGGAAGGAAATTATTCAAATATCTGGGTAATGGCCCCCTGCTTCCTTCTGAACTTGATCAATTCTTTTCCTGCCCTGATCTTATTCTATAGATCTAGATCACCTAGTCTTAGGGAATGCATTGATTATCTTTTACCTAATCTCTTAATTCTGAAGTAATTACCTACAATAAGCCTGGTTGCCTAGGCAGGATTCACTGATTTCTTTTTCCTTTCTAAAGACATGTGCTTGGTTTAGGTCTTGACTTCTGCCTCTCATAGTCATACATTTCCCACAACGGTGATTCTGTTCACTGGTGTAGGCCAGTCAGTGCCTTGAAATCCTATGGCAACTGTTAATCTCCTGAAGGTAAGCCACCCTTGGATGGCTCAACTGGACTGAAGGGAAGGACAGTTAGAGGAAGAAGCTCAGGTGAATGAAAACCATATTCCCCACTTGTTGCTGGCAGCCATTGTAGGACCATGAAGAAAACCCACTTTTGGATGAAGTTGACCCTGAAGGTAGAAGTAGCAATAAGAAAATACCTAGATGTTATCTCTGAAGCCCTAAATCAACTGATCTTATTATTGGACTGTTATGATTGAAATCATTATATTTTCTCATTAATTGAGCCAGTTTTAGTGGAGGTGTTTCTTACTTGAATGGGAAGACTTTCTAACTGCTCCATTGTGCAACCCTCCTAGCCTTTTACTACCCAGTGGAGGACGCTTGAAATCTGCCAAAAGATCCCTCGAATCCCAACTGCCAAATAATTTCGGCATAAAATGATAGTATCATAGGTAAGGGATATTAAGGTCATTTCATCCAACCACCTATCTGATATTTGACTCTTTTCTGTATCATCCCCATGAAAAGGACTTCTGAACTATGCAATCTATTATGGGGAATGCACATCTTTTGAAGATGATGCATTTCTCTTTGGAAAGCAATGCTCTTTTTAAAAAAACGTCTGTGCTAAGGACTTCAAAGGATTTTTTTTTTTTTATTTAAACTTCAGGAACACCATATGAAGAAAGTTTTCATTATTACTTTTATTATCCCTATTATACAGTTGAGGAAACAGAGGCTTAGAAAAGTTAAGTAAGTTGTCTGCAATTTTAAAACAAATAAATATCACAGATCATATGCTTGGTTTGAACGTGGGTGTCCCTCCAAAATTCACATGTTGAAAGCTAATCACCAAGGTGATGGTATTTAAAAGTGGGAACCTTCAGGAGGTGGTTAATTTATGAGGGCAGAACGGGAATAAGAGCTCTTATATAAGGGGTTGAAGAGAGCACGCTAGAGCCTTTTGTCCTTCCACCCTTCTGCCATGTAAGGACTGAGCAACAAGGCCCTCACCAGACACCAAATTTGCTGGTGACTTGACCGTAGACGTCCCAGACTCTGGAACTGGAAGAAATGCATTTCTTTTCTCATGAATAACCTAATCTCAGGCATTTTGTTACTGCAGTGCAAACAAACTAAGAAGTCATACCTTGAGTTCTTTCCGTCAGATTCCTAAACTAAGTGATGTTCTCTGTAATTATCATTCTCTGAGTATGCTGTTAAACCAGGTAGTATTAATTCATTTGCGTTTTTCTTTCACAGAGCTTTTATCATTTTGTCCCGTCTTCATTCCCATTCTACATGAATATCTTGTTCATTGCCTCTCTAAACACTGATGTACTAGGCCTATCACATTTTTTAAATCACATTTTTACTAACTTGACAAAAAAGATTATTCTGATCTAATTTATCATAAGAAACTTGATTTATTTCTGGGGCTGACACTTAAAGGGAGACAGCCCAGAGACAGGATATAATGACCTCACATTTTATCTGAATCATCATAAATATGTAGAAAGTGTGTGTGTGTGTGAGAAAGAGAGAGAAAGAAAGAGAGAGAGAAAAAAGAGAGACAATGTATCCATATGTGTGAGTGTGCAAGAGTGAGGGTGTGTGTGTACAAAAAAGTTAGAGCATAGCTAGCCAAAATCATAGCTGACACCCTTTTTATCAATTTCAACACTTTATGTGTGTAACAATAAATTTTCAGGTTTTGCTGTCCTTGTATTGTCTCTATATGGAAATTAGCTGACTAGTAAATCTTAAGCTCCATGCAGAGTCCAGAAAAGATTCAGAATTAGTGTCTCTCTCTTATACTCTAAATGGGCTTAGAAGTGTCAGACTCTTTTCACAAATTGGCTAAAATATTCACAAATTATTTTTAGAAGCAACACGAGCATTCCAGCTTTTCTATCCCTTTTCAGGGTCCCCTTTCAATCCCCGATGGCTTGCTGAGCTAGTCCTGCTGGGTGCCAGTATTATTGTCTGTCCTCAATACTCTGAAATAATTTTTTCCATATTCCATTCACCAGAGCTCTACTGCAACATGGACTTGCAGTGTCAGTTGTGAAATTCACCTCGTGTGGCCTGCAACTGTCTTATTTTCTCACATTTTTGGCAGGTCCCACACTTCATTCCATACAGGTTAATTCTTTCCATATCCACAGTTTACCCTGCAAAGTAGGTAGGTGATTAATAGTAATTCTAAGCAAATCACTGCTAGAAACCTGGGGTTAACTCCAGATACTGGAGCACCAAACAGAAAATAGGATAAAAGCCTAGGTGTTCTTATGGACTCAACACAGAGTATTTAGGGAAATGATACAGCTTTGGGGTGAGGGTAAAGATTGGGGACTTGGGGATTACCGAATGCACATAGGCTACCAAGCCTGAGATACTACAGTGTCAATTATTAATATGTTGCATCCTACCAAATAAAAGGACAGAAAATCCTACCGCACTCTCCCTTTCGGGCTTGGCTCAGTAATTTCTCTACAGCTAGACTCATTTGAAAAAGATAGTCTTACATTACCAACTTTTACTTTCATTTTATTATCCAAAGATTAAAAAAATTCTGGTCAAAAAGACTGAAGAAAAGTAGGATATATTTGTATCTATACTATCTATCTGTTAAACCATGCAATATTTTTCAGAAGCAGGGTGCCTACCTTATCCTATCATCATCGTTATGGTGTTCATCACCCTAATTAACATTTCCTGATTATTCAGCACAACCCAGCTATCGTGTTAAACACTTCATAAACATTGGTTTGTTATTCGTCTACAAATCCTATGAAGAAGAACGTAAAGTTTACAGAACTTGAATAAGTTGTCCAGGGTTAAATACTGGCCAAGTGGGTCTTCAATCCAGGCTCTTTGATTACAAAGTCTGTGTTGGGAACTACTGCCTTTCTAAAGTGATTAAAAAACATCCCCTGGGCTGGGTGCAGTGGCTCACACCTGTAATCCCAGCACTTTGGGAGGCCGGGGCAGGCAGATCACAAGGTCAGAAGATCGAGACCATCCTACCAACATGGTGAAACCCCATCTTTACTAAAATACAAAAAATTAGCTGGGCGTGGTGGTGGGCGCCTGTAGTCCCAGCTACTCGGGAGGCTGAGGCAGGGAATTTCTTGAACCTGGGAGGTGGAGGTTGCAGTAAGCTGAGATCACACCACTGCACTCCAGCCTGGTGACAGATCAAGACTCTATCTAAAAAAAACAAAAAAACAAAAACCAAAAACCCCTTGACATATCCCATTCTTACTTATTGTTTGCTTGTTTGTTTTTAGCATGACTGCCTGCTATTTGGATCACCCAGATGCTGTTTTTTTGTTGGATTGATATATCATATATTGAATTCTTTTAAGCTTCAGGTTATGGTGCACCCATACGGCCTCCAGTTTTCTTGAAAGGATTTCAGGATGATCTTCTGGACTCATATCCATGCTGGTCTATGCCTAGAGTCAAGGTCCCCTGTCTTTGGACTTTAGTTTGGACCCCCAGCCTATCTGGGACCTTGTACATCGGCTCTCCCCTAGGCTGGTCCTATCTGGTATTGCTTAAGCATTGATTTTGACAGCCCACATCTGAATCTGCTACCACCTGCAGTATCTATTGATAATTGCTATAAATTCCCCTTCCTACTTATTAACTAAGAGCAACCTACTGTTGCATATTGTAAAGTGACATAGTTAAGCTAATCTAGGTCTAATAATACTTTTCTTCAGCAACACTTACATGTTCATAAAACAGATCAAGAGTGAATATGATGCTATGCAATTGAAAAAGAATGTTATTTCTGATTTACTTTCTTCAAAATTTCATCTTTGAAGTATATAATTATCTGTTCCAAAAATAAGAAGGAGTGGTAAATGTTATGAAGCTGGCTCCTTGGTCATGTCTGACTAATCTTCATTTCTAAAGACTGGAAACCCCAGAACTCAACAACAACAACAAAATGTTATAGCTTATGCAATTTGCCCATAAGCTAAAACAGAGCTCTTTGAAAACCTAACCTCATAACCTAAATTTATATTTTTTATTTACATGCTTCTTCTGGAGGCAAAATAGTGTGTAGGATTCCGGCTGCCTCTCTTTCTCCTTCTGGGCATCTGCTTCTCAGCTGTGTGACTCTGAGTAAATAAATTATTCATCTTGCTTGTACCTCAGTTTTTTCATCTGTGAAGTGGCACAAAAATAGTACACATATCGGGGCCGGGCGCGGTGGCTCACGCCTGTAATTCTAGCACTTTGGGAGGCCAAGGAGGGCGGATCACGAGGTCAGGAGATTGAGACCATCCTGGAGAACACGGTGAAATCTCTACTAAAAATACAAAAAAATTAGCCGGGCGTGGTTGTGGGCGCCTGTAGTCCCAGCTACTCCGGAGTCTGAGGCAGGAGAATGGTGTGAACCCAGGAGGCAGAGCTTGCAGTGAGCGGAGATCGCACCACTGCACTCTCGCGTGGGCAACAGAGTGAGACTCTGTCTCAAAAAAATAAAGTACACATATCATAAGATGTGGTAAGAATTAAATGTTTACATTTCTTAGATAATTATCATACGTACAGAGGTATTATTTTATTTTTTAACTTGTATTATAGGTTCAGGGGTACATGTGCAGGTTTATTATATGGGTAAACTTGTGTCATGGGGGTTTGTTGTACAGATTATTTCATCACCTAGGTACTAAGCCTAGTACCCAATAGTTATTTTTCTGTTCCTCTTCCTTCTCCCACTCTCCACCCTCAAGGAAGCCCCAGTGTTTATTATTCTCCTCTATGTGTCCATGTCTTCTCATCATTTAGCTCCCTCTTATAAGTGAGAATGTGCAGTATTTAGTTTTCTGTTCCTGCATTAGTTTGCTAAGCATAATGGCCTCCAGCTCCATCCATGTTCCCACAAAAGACATGATATCATTCTTCTTTATGGCTGCATAGCTTCCATGGTGTATATGTACATTTTCTTTATCTAATCTGTCATTGATTGGCATTTAGGTTGATTCCATGTCTGTGCTATTGTGAATAGTGCTGCAATGAACATTTGCATGCATATGTGTTTATGGTAGAATGATTTATATTTCTCAGGGTGTATCACAAGAATGGGATTGCTGGGTCGAACGGTAGTTCTGTTTTTAGCTCTTTGAGGAATTGCCACACTCCTTTCCACAATGGTTGAACTAATTTACGCTCCCATCAAGAGTGTATAAGCATTCCCTTTTCTCTGAAACCTCACCAACATCTGTTATTTTTTGACTTTTTAATAGTAGCCATTCTGACTGTTGTGAAATGGTATCTCATTGTGATTTTGACTTGCATTTCTCCAATGATCAGTGATATTGAGATTTTTTTCATATCCTTATTGGCTGCATGTGTGTTTTGAAAAGTGTCTGTTAATGCCCTTTGGCCACTTTTTAATGGGGTTTGTTTTGTTCTTATAAATTTGTTTAAGTTGCTTATAGATGCTGGATATCAGACCTTTGTCAGATATATAGTTTGCAAACATTTTCTCCCATTCTATAGATTGTCAGTTTATTCTGTTGATAGTTTCTTTTGCTGTGCAGAAGCTCTTAAGTTTAATTAGATCCCATTTGTCAATTTTTGCTTTTGTTATTGCTTTTGGTGCCTTTGTCATGAAATCTTTTATCTGTTCCTATGTCTGAAATGGTATTGCCTAGGTTGTCTTCCAGGGTTTCTATAGTTTTGGGTTTTACATTTAAGTCTTTAATCCATCTTGAGTTGATTTTTGTATATGGTATAAGGAAGGGGTCCAGTTTCAATCTTCTGCGTATGGCTAGTCAGTTCTCCCAGCACCATTTATTGAATAAGGGGTCCTTTCTCTATTGCTTGTTTTTGTCAGCTTTGTTGAAGGTCAAATGGGCATACGTTTGTGGCCTTATTTCTGGGCTATGTGTTATTCACAAATATTCATTATTAATATTTATTATTCATTACTATTGGTATTATTTGTTAATATCAGTGTTTTGGATTCTAAACTCATATAGTCTACTGCCTACTCAAAATCTTCAGAGTCATTGCAAAATCAATACTCCTACCCTGAATACATTCTTTTTTCTTTACATCTACACCTTCTACATCTGCCCAAACATGCTTTCCCTCCAATTTTCTCTTTTCAGTAAAGAACTCTGTAATTTATTCAATAGCTCATGCCAAAAATCTAATTGTCATTCTTGCCAGTTTCCTCTGTCTCAATACAAACCCTTCAATCTAATTATTAAGTAGAATCCATTTTAATATGTAAATATTATGTAAATAACATGTAGATTTATTTTAATATGTAATATTGCAACCATCTAGTCTACTACTCAAATAGTGATCCATGGGCTAATGCTAGCCTATAAACTGTTGTTGTTGCTGTTGTTGTTTTGGGGCAATGAATTATCAAAATATAAAGTAAGCATTTACAAATTTTTATAGAAATTTGATGTTGAGAGATGTTTAAGCATGTAATATTTTTCAAGTCTTTCACTTGGTCTGGAATGAATTTTAAAAACAAAACAAAACAACCCAAAACCTGGACAGACATTCCCACTGCAGATTGAGGAGCACTGCTGGAAGCCCCTGTGTGATCTCTCACTTCAACCACAGCCATGGCTCCTAAAGCACCCTTCTCTAAACCCACTTACCCCACTCTCATCCAGGTCTCTCTGGAGCTGAAAGCTTTTCCAAATGCAAATAGTCCTATTACAATATCTGCATCCCTTAAGTCACCTCAATTACCTCATATTGATATTAGCAAGAAATAAAAACTCTGTACAAGTGTCACCTGCCTTTGGGCTATTCATCCAACCTTTTTTTTTTTTGATATAGAGTCTCACACTGTCACCTGGGCTGGAGTGCAGTGGCGTGATCTTGGCTCACTGCAACCTCTGCCTCCCAGGTTCAAGCAATTCTCCTGCCTCAGCCTTCCGAATAACTGGGATTACAGCCACCCGCCACCTCAACCAGCTAATTTTTTTTTTTATTTTATTTTTATTTTTAGTAGAGATGGGGTTTCACTATGTTGGCCAGGCTGGTCTTGAACTCCTGACCTCGTGATCTGCCCTCCTCAGCTTCCCAAAGTGCTGGGATTACAGGTGTGAGCACTGCGCCCGGCCTCATCCAGACTTCTGTTACATGCCCCTCACTTCTTGACTAACATCAGCCACATGGGCCTTCCCTTCTGGCGTCTTTAGACATATTGTTTCAGTGTCCTTTTAGTTCTCTCTAAAATAGGACTTCAAGGAGCATTTCCTGAACCCCAGAACAGGCAAGACTCCCCACACTTATATGGTCTTATATCTTTTTGTGGAGCTTGTCACAACTTTAAATAGTTATTTACATAATTATGTCATCAATAGCTAATGCTGCGCCTCTTCCTCTCTGTTGTTAAATGTATACCTGCAAGGGCATTGGGTGCAACATTTTGTAGTAGTAGAGCAGAGACTCTGGAGCTTTGTTTGAGTGCTTGTGTTTGAATTTGGACTCCACCCTTGTGTGTCCTTGGATGAATTCCTCAGTCCTTCTATACTTCACTTTCTTCATCTTAAAATCAGGATGCCAGGTCTTTTCTTAAAATATTTTTACAGGGACTAGATCGTTGTAATCATGTTAGGCATGGTTCTCTTGAGAAACAGAAGTAAGAGATTTATTAAAAGGAATTGGCTCACATGATTACAGAGGCCCAGAAGTCCCAAGATCTCTAGTCCACAAGCTAGAGATCCAGAAGAGCTGATGCTATAGTTCTAATTTGAGGGCAGCAAAAGACTGATGTTCCAGGTCAACCAATCAGGCAGATGTTCTTTCTTATATGGACTTTTGGTTCTATTTAGGTCTTTGATTGATTGTAGGAAAGCCACCCATATTAGGGAGGACAATCTGCTTTATCCAGTCTACTGATTCAAATGTTAATCTTGTTCAAAAACACACTCACAGACACAGCCAGAATAATGTTTTACCGAATGTCTGGGCACTGCATAGCCCAGTCACTAATAGACATAAAACTCTTTGTACGGTGTTTAGCACATGATGGGAGATAGGTAATTTTGCAAAAAAAAAAAAAAAGGCGATGGCAGAATTATTAATACTTAAGAGTGTATAGCTAGCACTTGCTGAAAGAAAAAAATCAAAAACAAAAGGGAGAGGGCAGTATGCACGTTTAAGCTACTTCATAAAAGAAAAGATATTCCCTTTTTTGAAATGCTTCTCAATTATTTTATATGTGTCTCATTCATTGTTACTGTGTCTAACAAGCTAATCTGGCTTTGCTGTCTCTGTTAGTTTGGGCCTGACTCTGCATCCCCATTGAACCTATTTGTTTCTTCTTTTTTTTTTTGACAGAGTCTCACTCTGTTGCCCAGGCTGGACGGAAGCAGTGCAATCTCAGCTCACTGCAGCTTCCACCTGCCAGGTTCAAGCAATTCTACTGTCTCAGCCTCCTGAGTAGCTAGGACTACAGGTGCCTTCCACCATGCCTGGCTAATTTTTGTATTTTTGGTAGAGATGGGGTTTCACCATATTGGTCAGGCTGGTCTCAAACTCCTGACCTAAGGTGACCCACCCACCTCGGCCTCCCAAAGTGCTGGGATTACAGGTGTGAGCCACCACACCTGGCCCCATTTGTTTCTTCTTATCTCATCCTATGTGGCTCTCAGATACATCCCCGTCCCAAGCTCAGGCACACATGTTTCTCCCTTGGACCATTATAGTCCGATGCTGGATGCTTTCTTGCCTCAAGCATTGTCCTTTTTAAATTTCTCCTCACAGCTGCCTGAGTAATTTTTTCAAAACAAGTATGCAACCATACCACTTCCTTGTAAACCATTTCCAGTAGTCCCCCACTGTCACTGGATGAAAGCCTGGTATATTAGCATGAAACTGGGGGCTTTAAAATGCTGGACCCCAGCTTGGCTCCCTGATGTAATTTCCAGTCACAAATACATACACCATGTCCAGATTCACTCTACTCATCTAGCTCCTCTCACTGGAATAGTCTTTCACTTCTTGTTTAACTTTTAATCTTTTGCTCAAATATCACCCTTTTCCACTCTCCCACAAAATGCAACTTGCTCCTTTTCATATTCCATATCTCTTAATAAATTTGACAAAAACTGTCTGTTAGAACCTACACAGTGTATTTCACTGTTTAGTTTTACATACATGTGCTTATTTTTACACCAGTCATTTCAAAGCTTCTTAAGGACAAGCATTTTGCTCATTTTCACCTCTAGTTCCACATACTAGATATCACTATGTGCTGTAGAGTAATTAGCAAGTAATAAGTGATTGTTAAATATGTGTTGATCACTTGTATTATGAACTTCCCATGTATTCTGTCTCATTTCCCTCTTCTTTTTGACTTCCCTCAATGGCCACCCTGGCATCTTCCTCCATTTACTGCATTACATGCATTACTGTGTCAATCTGATATCATTTCTGGGGACTTTCCAGAAATTGCCCTAAGAAGCCAGAACTTCCATTTGTCAACCACCTGCCAAATCCTCCCTGAGCCAGTGGTTGTGAGTGACAGAGAAGATAAGGATGCAGTAAGAAAAATTTGCACTGGCATAGAGAAGCAATCCTTAATATTGTACCCGTTCTGCCATCTCGGATATTAGAAGCAATCAAAAGCACCCTAACACTTCTTGAATTCAATCTTCCATGAACTTTAGCACAAACAAAATGTATTTTATAGATACATGAAGACATAACATATTTTCTCTTCTTATTGCTTAGTTTATCTTTCAAAGCATATAAATTAAAACTGTGATCACAGTGGAAAATTGCAAAGATAATTATTTTTTTCCCTCGAAAATTCTGGCAAGAAAATAACAATAGTAAAAACAAATGTGTCATCTGTAAAATGTGAGTGCTAAAAAACCCAAAACTAATGTGTATTGTGCACTTGCTGTATGTCAGGCACTGAATACTGACTGATTTACATACACTGTCTCATCTAAGAAACACAGTAAACTTATGAGGTGGGCAGTTTTAGCATTTGAATTTCACTGATGAAGATGCTTACTAAGATTAAGAGAAACGCGAAACAGTAGTAGAACAAGAGGAGAGAATATGTCATCTTGAAATTTTGTTCATTTTAAAACTGAATTTTGGCAATATGCTTGTTCTGCTGTCTTTGGGGCATCAACATTAAAGAAAATAATTGCAACTGCAATGAGATTCTCTCTTGGGAACAGACTAGCTTGATTAAAATGCCTGATGATGGGTTAAAGGAGCAGGAGGATTTGTGCCACCATTTATTTGCTCACTAAATTAGCTATTCCAGTCTTTTATATAAAATGACTGCCTCTGTCGGTATTACACATCTTTCATGTTAAGGTATTAAAACAAGAAAAATAATACCATATACAAGGATAGGAAAAAGTTAATTTCACTGCAACTCTCTTCTTTGTAGTGCAGGTTCCTTGATTTAAGATCTGAGGCACTTCAAAAGCATTGTGAATTTGGAGAAGTAATACATCAGCTAAAATCTAGAGGCTTAAGGCTTGCACTCCTTCACCCCATCAGGCTTTGTGTGATATGTAACAGAAAATGTCTTTTCATTAGTGGAGTTGATAAAGTTAAAACTTTTCTTGATTAATATTCTCTTGCGAAAATCAGTTACTGCCATGGATTTACACTGCAGATTTGCCGTAGTAGTTCTAATTTCTTTTGTGCTGAAGATTCATCTGATACATTTATTTAATAAGGATAATTGTTGTTGAAGGACTGAGTTGGTTAGTATTCCTTAGGTATCTCTGCTGGCAAATCTAAAAAATCTCTGATACTTGACAATGACCTTCAGTGATATTATAGGAATTTTTACAAGCCTCATTCAGGGAAATGGTTCAGGGAACAGGTTGTTCTATTGTTTAAGAAAATGCAATGTGTGGCAAATGTGCATGCCAGATAACTGATTAAATTCTGTCATATAACAGGAGAATTTCTAGTATTCCACCTAGTTTTTCAAATTGACAATTTATAATAAAGTTTCAGTAAGTACATTTAATTTCATATATAAATTGAGTTCATTTTATTTAGCATTGGTGGACAAAATATTTTCTGAGTAGCTTTCTTATCCATGTAAAGTAAATTAATCCTATCAAAATGCTATTAGTTGCAATAAAATAGCGAATTCAAAGATGCTCCACAAGATTAGATTCATTTCCCAAGATTTGTCATTTTTTTAACCTTCATCCTCTTCTCCCATCTCTTGTCTTCTCTCTCATTTTCTAATTGTGATCATTTCTTTCCATAGTTTCCTCTGAAAAAAGTATCCTTTTCTCAAATATGTAAAAGGAAGAATGATGAATTCCTCAAAAGAAGGGTTTTTTTTTAAAAAAAATAATCTATTGATAATATTTTTTGAAAGATAGCTAAAGCTTAGGATAAATTACCTTAAATTATTGTATTCATAATAGTCAGGCCAGAATAATGTATGCCTTAGGCAAAAAAACATGATGCCCAGCAAATTTAATTCAAATTAAGTTTGTTCTCATTGTATTGAATCAAATATAATCGATGTATTTGTTTATATTATGTTTTCAAGGAAGTTCAAATATGCCATTTTAGGGAGGAGAAAGTCTTGTCTTCACCTCCCAATTTTGTCTTGTAATTGAAGAAACAAAATTCATTAAAGAAGGAAGCTTTTTTTTTTTTTGTCTTTTCTTGAAGAGAAAGTTCTCATTTTAAATTCTTGAAGAGGTGTTTTTGGTGTTTCTTCAAAAGCTAACATCACTCCTGTGCTTATACAGCCTGCCTTCTCCTTTTCATCAGACCACCCAGGTTGTAAGTTTGTAATAAGCAAATCTCTTTTCCTTCTGAACTTCTTGACATATTATTTTTCCTCAAAAGCAGCCTATCTAAATTCACTAACTTACAGTAACCCTACCAAGCCAAGAAGCTTCTAAGTGTTCATTATTAACCCATTTTTGGATAAACAAGTTTCGAGCCCCTTTAAAAAACCCATTAAAAGCAGTGGACTCTGTCCTGAGTTAATGCATGTATGCAATTTAAATTTTTCAAATATAATTTCAGAAGCTCCATTAATCCTTAAATCCTTTTTTTAGATCCCAATAGGAATTGTCATTTCAGGCCTTTTAACATAAGAGGTTCTGGGAACTTTCTTTTGAAATATTACTCTAGAAAGAATAAGGAGGAATTAAAAGTATATTTGTTATTCATCAATTGACACCATGCCAATGACGACAATAGCTACCATTTACTGAGCACCTATTATGTGTTAAGCTTTATCTTTTTAAGGCATATTGTCTTTTTTTCATGCTGTGAACAATTTCTACAACTTGCCAGTATTATTATCCCCATTTGATAGTTGTGAGAAGTTTCAAAAACAATAATACCTTGTTTATAGTTATGCAGAATGTCTCCAGTTGCAGGTAAAAGAGAAGCTGACTAAAGCATGTATAGTAATGGCAGGATTATTTTACTCTCATGGCAACAAGTTTGTGGGTAGGTGACTGCTGGCTTTGAGCAAGAGCTTCACAACATTCAGGCTCTGAATCAGCATGCCAGGTATGCTTTTGACATTCCTCTCATGCTCAAAAAATGGTAACCTCAGCTCTAAACGAGGCACCTTAACCAAACCAGAGAAACAGGAGCTTTATCTAAGGACGACAATAATTTTCAGAATAGTTCCTTTATGTTTTTCTTATATCTCATTGGTTATAACTTGGTCATCTGTCACCTCCAAGCCAGGAGGGAAGTTGGAAAAGTTAATATTTATTTTATTCATCTTCAGTAATCCTAACCCAGCTGTGATTTTATTACTCAGGGAACATTTAGCAATGTCTGGAGTTATTGTTATTGTTATTCTTATTTTATTTTTGAGATGGAGTTTCACTCTTGTTGCGCAGGCTGGAGTGCAATGGTGCAATCTCGGCTCACCACAACCTCTGCCTCCCAGGTTCAAGCAATTCTCCTTCCTCAGCCTCCCGAGTAGCTGGGATTACAGGCATGCACCACTGTGCCCAGCTACTTTTGTATTTTTAGTAGAGACGGGGTTTCTCCATGTTGGTCAGGCTGGCCTCAAACTCCCGACCTCAGGTGATCTGCCTGCCTCGGCCTCCTAAAGTGCTGGGATTACAGATGTGAGCCACCGTATTTTTTGTTGTTGTTGTTGTCACTATTTTGAGGGTAGAAGTGCTACTGTCATTCAGCAAGTCCCGGTCAGGGATGCTGCTTAACACCCTACAATGCACAGGAATCTCCTCACCACTCTCACATCACAAATAATTTTCCTACCCCAAATGTCAAAATGCTTAGGTTAAGGAAGCCTGTTCTATAGTGAAGCATGGGCAAGAAAAAGGCTGTCAGAAATGGCCATTTTGTAGGTTTTCTGTGTCCTGTCTATGCAACATGTAAATAAAAGTTCTAACTATTGTGATAATTCTTCAATAGAGCAAGAAATATTTAAATTTGCTTGGGAAGCATCAAGTAAGATTTTACAAATATTATGTATTATAATTTTGTATTTTCTTTTCCAATGTCTCACTTGAATAACCAACCCTTCTTCTAACAGGTTCTCGTTAGTTATTACCGAATACCTGATTGAAAAATTGTTCAACATCTTATAGACAACATAAAGCCTATATTAAGACTTGGGGTTTGCTGTCTAAGCAAAATTTTCCTAACTAAAACATACTGAAAATATTTTGTTATAAGGATACATAAGTGGAGCTCACTATATTTTTGCTAAATTTTATTAATTTATGTCAAATAAGAGAAAACATAAAATATATGTGTATGTATGTACATAATGTATAAAGATCAAATCATTAGAATATAAGTTTTCTTAGATCATGCTTTGACCTTAAGTACATGTAAAACTTGGTTTTGACGTAATGATCAAGGAGTATTTTCCCTAAGGAAGCTATAGTAACCCTCACTAAAATGAAAATAGAAAAATAAAGGATCAATAGCAGGCCAGGTAATAAAATGTTATCAACAAGGATAGAGGATGGATGGAGAAATTGCATATTAGTTAATCATGAATTTTAGAAAAGAGGACACATTTGTTAGAATGTTATTTAGAATCAGTTATAGATAATGAAAACAGTACAGATTCAGAAGACTAATGATGGACTGATCTCATTGTGTTATTAGAAAAAAACAAATGGTGGTCAGAAAAAATATTTTTGAAAATTTAAATTGTACATTCTTTTTTTTCATTATTCATATTTTTATTGCCTTGGATTTTTATCACTAACTCTACATTTCCCAGTAATATCACTAAAATGCTACACTTTTTGTTTTTCCAGCTCACCCACTTTCATTAACTTACAATACTTTTGGTCACTAGGAGATAGGGCTGTGCATAGGGAAAAGCTTGAATATATGAGTCCCCAAGGTTGTGTTTTTGTGCCTGATAGACTAGTACCATATCTGAATGGATCATTTAATTGGTCTTATTGATCTTTATTTATTTTAGGGAGTTAAAAAGACTAGTCTTTCTCATTTTTGGGCAATCATACACATCAAGCAAAGGAATTATTTTTAAAAATTCCAAAATAAAAGGCAATGCCAGGATACAAACTCAAATCTGACAGTATCAGCTTCACACATGAAACTTTTGCTTCCTTTTGTAAATGATCTTTCTTTTTGCTTTGTGTCAAGGTGTTCCTATCACAGTACAGGTGTCCCTTGGTATCTGCAGGTTTTGCATCCACAGAAACAGGACAGACAGGGGGACTTCAGCATTCTGGTGAGGTTTTGGTACCAATGACCTGAGGATACTGGGGAGAGACTGTGATGGAAGGTCTCGAACACTACTCTGCAGCAGGTGCATCTTTTAGAATTAATTTAATTTTTACAACAACCCTAGCAGGTAGGCACAATTTTTCATCCTCTATTACAGATGAAGTAACAGAAGCAGAAAAAGGAAAAGGAAATTGCCCAACTTTATTTTAGTTGGTAATTGACTGATAGAGCTGAAATTTGACACAAGTAAAGGTCTGGGGCTAGATCCTGTTTTCATAACTACTGTGCTACAAAAATAAAATGCACGCAAAGTTATTTTTGAACTTCTCTTCTTCCTCATCCTCTCACCGCTGGTCAATCAACAAATGCTGCATATTTGACCTTTGAAAAGTTCCACACACCAACCCCCCGCCACACAATCCTCCTTCTATTATACTATTGTCAGTGTTCATCTCTTCTCATTTATTTATTGTTGTAGTCTCAATGTGTCTCCTTCTTTTCATCTTCTACTTTCTCAAATCCATTTTGCTCACTGGTATAGATCCTAAAGTATAGCTTGAATCATGTCCCAGTTACCCACCATGCTCACTTGGTCTCCCCAACTTCAAAATGAAGCCTTAGGTCCTAACCCAGTCTTTCCCTGTCCCCAAATATCTGCCCCAAATGAACTTTCTAGTCTTTTTTGTTCCACTATTCTCCTCCGTATTTCTGAACTATATTACTCCTATTTCTTAAAGATGTTCTTTTATTTCTGATTATTTGCTTCAACTTATGTTGCTTCCTTACCTTGTATCTTTGTCTTCCCAAATTTTACACAGTGTTTAAAGAACGAAAGGTACTCAGTGGAATAGAATGGCAGTTACCAGGGGCTGGAGACTGTGGCTTGGGGATAGGAAGATGGTCAAAGAGTTCAGAGTCTCAGCTAGACAGAAGGAATAAGTTCTGGAGTTCTTTTCTACAGCATAGTGACTATAGTTAATAATAAGGTACTACATACTTCAAAAATGGTAAGAAAGTAGATTTTAAATGTTTATATCACAAAATGATAAGTATGTGAGGTGATAGATATTTTAATCAGCTTGATTTCATCATTCCACAATGTATACATAGATCAAAGCATCACGTTATATACCATAAGCATATAAAATTTTTCATTAGTCAATTGAAAAAAATAAACTTAAAAAGGTCCTCAAAACATATTTTCTTGTAGAAGAAATAAAAATTGAGCTTAAATGTAGCTCAAATGCCTGTCCTTCATGAAGTGTCCCCTGAAATTGCTCCCTTGAACTCCCATCCACACCTTCTCTCCTTTGTGGATTATTGGGGAACTAATGGTACTCACCACTTTCAAAAGGTTGATATATTTTTCAAAAATCAAGGGAAGAATAAAATACAACTTGTTAGTAATCACTAGAGTATTTTTAAATTATACTTTATTATTTTAAGTAGCTGAGGTACAAAGATTAAAAAACCAGAATGATAGTCAGATATCTTAACTCTGAGCCCTGCTTCTCCTACTAACTTTGAGAGTTTCTTGAACTTCAATATTTAAAAAATCAAGAAAACATATCTAATAACATTTTTATTATAACGCTATTGTAAGACTAAAAGAGATCATTAAATAAAACATTTTATAAGTTGTAAAATGCTACATACTTTTAAAGGACTATTGGTATTCTCAAATTCAAAATTTTATTAACATTCTTGAAGACCTGCTGCAGGCCAGATATTTCACACATTTGATTTCATCTTATCCTTCTAACCACTTCATATTATTATGCCTAGTTTACGAATATGTTCTTTAAAATCAAATGACTCAAAGTCACAAGGCTAGGAAGGTAAAGCACTCATATGAACATTAATCTTAAGTCCTACATTCTTTCTGCATGCATAGTGATGCCTTCACATGGCGAAAATTCTCAAAGGAGCACAGAGATTAAGAGCATGATTTCTCAAGCCAGCAGTGCTTGGAATCAAAGTCAAGATTTACCATTTATAAGCTGAGTGACCTTGCCTAAGCCCTTAACCCATCCGTGCCTCAATGAAGGTGTATAATAGTAATAATCTCCCCATGAGGTTGTTGGAAGTATTAAATGAGTTCCTATGTGTGTCTTAGGTCTGGTTCCCTAGAAGCAGAGCTTGAGGCAGAGATTATTGTACAAATGATTTACTGGGGGAAGGATTTCAGAGAAAGGAGAGAGATGGAAGGAGGAAAGGGTGTGGGGATAACTAGGTAAAGAGAGGCTCTCAGCAGGATTCTAGCATCAGCCTGATCCTACGGAGAGCTGAGAACCACAAATTACACCACAGAATTGGCCTTTTGTGTACCTCTGTATCCATCAGCCACTGGCTGCAAGCTTGCTCCCAGCGGGTGGCAGTGCATAAACTTCAAGGCTAGTTGGCTTTCTTTCTAGAGAGGGTAATTTTTTTGGAGAATAGGAGAGAGCCTGGGCTGTTTCATAGCCAACATGTACAGCTGCTAGGTGTTGGGTGCTCCACACTACTAAAATAGATTTGGGCAGCCCACTGATAGAATTCACTTCAACATACAAAGTCCTTAGACCAGTATCTGGCTCAATGTAGCTGTCAATAAAAGTTAGCTTTCATTACTTTATTTTGCTCTGTAAGTTTTCTCACATTGTTTCATATGTTTAGCCTTGGCTTTCTAACCAGAATGTAAGTTCCTTAAGGTCAGGGACCAATTCTAATTCTGCCTACTGTGCTGCTCACCTGCAGCCATAAATCGATGCATTGTGATGGCTGCTTAGCAGCTCTGATTTATGTTTGGTGCTGAGGGTAGGTAGGACCTTTGCTGCATTCTTTTTTTTTTTTTTTTTTTTTTTTACTCAAATGCCTGCTTTTCATTACAAAATGTGATAATAAATTAGACTAACTTCCATTTTGCAGGGGATATCTCCCCTTATAGGGTTATGTGTGAAATAATATAATTGTATTTTTATCTGTTCCAGACACATTTTATAACTTTGTGCTCAATTCCCCCAAATTTGTTATTTTATTTGTGAAGAGTTCGTCAATATTTAAAGTGAAAGTTATTAGACAAGTCAGACATGCTCTTACGTTCACCAATGCAGTCTTGTGGGGGAATAATTACTTTTTAATATCTAAAGCAGTTCAGTTGATCAGAATATTGATTCCATTCTCGTTTTTGATCATTGTGTCATTGATTTAACATTATCACTGACTTACCAAGCAGGGTAGAATTCGAGGTGTCTTGCGCATTCATCTTTGTTAGAAGATAAATGCATGAGACAGCCTTTAAAAGCTTTTCAAAGTGCAAGATGCTGGAACTGCATTTTCAATCTGCATTCTCTCCTGCTGTTTTATGGAATTTATTGAAAATGTGCCTCTCAGAGGTCAGATCATTTCTTTCTTCAAGTGGAAAAAAAGATATAAGTAATATATTAAAAGGCCTCTAAGACAGTATCAAGAAATTAGAACAACTTCATTCTATATTCAGACACCCCTCCTCTTGAACATTATGACTCATCAAAAATAAGAATCACAATTCATCTAACTGCTTCTAGCCAACTACGGACTTTTGCATTTTAGATTTCATTGGAACCAATCACACAGGACACTTTTTTTCCTCTAAAATTTACCCCTTTCTTTGTCTTCTCACATCAGGTAATTTAGAAAGACAAAGACTGAATTTTAAAAAGCTTGAGAAACTTTTGCAGTTTTATCTAATTTGAAATCTATTAACTTATTAAAATGAATGTCAATTCTTCAGCTCCTAAGTACTTTAACATCCTCTTTATGCCTAAAAGATTTTCTGAACAGACTACACTCAAAATATATCATTTGTATGATGCTTTTAAATAAGTATAATGTACAAATAATTGTTGTGTGATACGGCTTGGATCTGTGTCCCTGTCCAAATCTCATGCTGAAATGTAATCATCATTGTTGGAGGTGGGGCCTGGTGGGAACTGATTGGATCATGGAGGCCTATTTCTCCTGAATGGTTTAGCATCATATCCTTGGTGCTGTCCTTGTGATAGTGAGTTCTTGCAAGATCTGGTCATTTAAAAGTGTGTGGCACCTCTCCCCTACCCCTCTTGCTCATGCTCTGGCCATGTGATGTGTCTGCTTCCCCTTTGCCTTCCGTCATGATTGTAAGTTTTCTGAGGCCTCCCCAGAAGCCAAGCAGATCCTGGCACCATACTTCCTGTACAGCCTGCAGAACCATAAGCCAATTAAACATCTTTTCTTTATAAATTACCCAGTCTCAGGTATTTCTTTATAGCAGTGTGAGAAGAGCCTAATACAATGTGTGAAAAAAAGGACTGGTACTGGGAAAAGTGGCAGTGTTTTTTCTTTTTCAACAAGCAAGTAGCTAGTCTAAATTATTTATTACTCTAGTTTTCTAATCTATGGACATGCTGCAATAGATCTTTTTATAAATAAGATAATATATACATATATATTAATTTATGCAGAGATGAATGCTGCTCCTTATTTGTGCTTCTAATCTGTGGAGAAGTTCTTAATTATTTCTGGTCACAGTTTGATGAAAATATTTTCACCTTTTGTTGATTGCCTATCTTACAGTTTGAGGTACTTCAGTAAGTCTTCCCTAAACATGAACAGTTTGCTTTCATCTATGTAGAGACAGTCCCCTCTCATTTACTCTAATTAATTGTTAATAGATTGTTCTCTCTCAGTTATTAAAAAGTAATGGTAATGATTCAAGAGCCACTTGGGAAAGAATCCTATCTCTAAGTATTAAAAATGAGCCAAGCGTGAAAAGTCCTCATACCAAATAGAAGCAGCAGAACTCCTCAATGGGCAGAGGGATTCACTAGGCGTTCCTAGGGTGGGGAGCTTTAAAAAGCGGTGCTTGAAGGTGATCTGCTGGTTGATGGGGGAAGGACTGTAGACAGAGACATGAGATTCATGGAGAATATACTAACACAGGTGTCACCGGATAGTACAATGGAACCCTTTCTGTCTCACTTTTGGCCCTAAGATTGACAGCAATGGATGCCAAGTCCTCACACATGGGCTTGTTTGTAGTGCCTGTGAAGGGGCTGTCCCAAAGCTGCCTTGTGAGGCTCATCATCTCTCTCAGCAACACACAGGCAGGGCTGGGGGACTGGTCAGGAGGGCAATGGAGCCAATACAAAAGACTCCCTGGATCGTGTTGTTGGAAACTGGGAGCATTTCCTCTTCCAACTTGTGGGAAACCCAGTCTGAAGGGGAGCATTTGTTCAAGTGGACATTTGGAAGAGCTTGATTTTTATCACCTGGAGTTTGAGGGGATACGGGAGATTGTTCTTATACATGTATGAGAAATCTTAAGGTGAGAGATGAGAGATTGTGACTCTTAACATAACAGAGTTTTGAGAGAGGAGGAGAGGAATGAGGAAGAAAAAGTAGAGTGGGGAGAGAGAGATACAGAGATTGACTCAGGTGTGCTCTGGCACTGAGCCCTCTATAAATGCCCAGAGTAGTGGTGTGAGGATTTTTCCTTGGGCCAAGTGGATCTGTGAGAGGATATTGGCCTGAGGGTGCCAGAGTCAGGATGGGAAGGATGGAATGACCAAGTGACCTAGCAGAGGAGTGAGGTTCAAGTACAGAAGGAGAAAGTTAAGGATGTCTTCCCAGGGGAGCTATTTGTATCAAAAAGACTGCAGTAAAAGCTAAAAAACTCACCTAGGCTCTCTAGAAGAAAAAGGATCTGTTTCGAATGCTTTTCTTTTAAGCAACAGGGCCCTAACCTAAACCCCGCACAATATCAGCTCCTAATTCTTTCTCCCTGTGGGCCTAGGCCTAGAGGCATCAGCAGCAGCAGCTTCTGGGTCTGGGGAGAATTGGGTAGACTAAAGAGCAATGACATTAAGCCACACCTCATCCCACCTCCATCCCCACTCATGCACCTTTACAGGCTTGAAGTGCTATGAAACAGGCAGAGAGAGAAGCTCGAAACTGAATAAGAGCTTGGAATTTTGAAGATTACACTGAACCGCAGTTATTATTACCAGAATTAAGTGTCCTTGTAAAACAAAGTGACTGAAAAGCTCTTTAACCTGACTGAGATTTCATCGAGGGGCAAGGATTGAAGTGTTCCATAGAGTGAGGGTGAAGAGACAGTGGGAAAAAAGAAGCAAGTGACCTTGTAAACTTAACCTGTCCAGTTCAGTTTCTTCAACCAAATAATTAGAGAAGTGTGAATGATTTAAATTTGGGGCCAAGGTCAAGGTAGAAGGATAGGAAAAGCAAAAATGGACAAAGCAGAAATTAGGAGCAACAATAGATGACATATGATCAATATTCGGTATGTTTCAGGAAAGCATCTTATTTAATTTTTACTACAACTCTGTGATGTCAGAATCATTATTTCCATTTTAAAGAAGAGGAAACTGAGACACAAAAATAATCTGCCTACAGCTGCACAGTTAAGTGACTTTTCTTTTTTCTTTTTAGTTTTAGAGTCAGCCTATGCAGCTATTGAATCAACACTATTTGGTGAAAGAGCAGCTGTTAGGAGTGAGGCAGAGAGACAAGCCCACAATGACTCAGAGAGTTAGAGCTAGCATGGCTAAGCAAACATTGATGCTGTGATCGTAAATGAGAAAATCAGGAGGGGAATCAAATGCTGCAGAGAGAATGAAAAGTTTGGTTTTAAACCTAATTTCTTCAAGGGTTTTAAGGTGCAGGTGTCCAGCAGGGAGGGAGAAAGGTGGAACTAAACTGCATAATGGCAGAGATGGGGATGTGCTAATGGAAGATATGCTTAGGAAAGTGATATTCTCGCTTCCTCCAGGGAGTTCATTCTTGCCTTGGGCTATATCCCCACTCACCTACCACGTGGTTGATTCCAAATCTGTGCACAGCTATAGCCATACAGTTTCTGGATTTTTTTTTTTTTTTTTTTTTGAGACGGAATCTCGCTCTGTCACCCAGGCTGGAGTGCAGTGGCGCGATCTCGGCTCACTGCAAGCTCCGCCTCCAAGGTTCATGCCATTCTCCTGCCTCAGCCTCCAGAGTAGCTGGGACTACAGGCGTCCGCCACCACGCCCGGTTAATTTTTTTGTATTTTTAGTAGAGATGGGGTTTCACCGTGTTAGCCAGGATGGTCTCGATCTGCTGACCTCGTGATCCGCCCGCCTCGGCCTCCCAAAGTACTGGGATTACAGTCGTGAACCACTGCGCCTGGCCGAGAGCTTGTATATTCCATTGTTTATGGTTCTTCATTCCCTTCCTGTTTGAAGTAGAGTGCCAACAAATGCTTACATAATTTTTCCCATCTGAAGTTCTAGAATCTTGAAATATATGGCCAGGTAATATTCACTCCATCCAGGCAATTATTTATGAATAGTCAACTCTCCTTTTCTTAGCCTCTTCCGCAACTACTAGTGATGGTAGAATTGGGAATCAAGAAATTTAAAATGTTATGGGGAATTTAGGGTCAAGGAGATAATATATATAAAATAATTTTTACTTTATGAAGAAATATTTTACTTAATGTAAATAAATGATTATTGTGAACCACTTTTATTACTTATTTCTGTATTGATGGGGCTTATAATTTATTTTGCTTTCTTTTGCAGTCTAAAAGGCTGTTTTGTTTTGTGTTGCTTCTAGTTCCACATTAAAGTATCTCAGGCCTTCTTGTTTTTTATTAATGGAGGTATTAACTTCCATGTCCTAAGTCTTGCCTGTGAGAACCAGTCTCTTGGGGTACCTATTTTCAGAAACAAAGTGCAGTTTGGATGCTCAAGTTACAAAGAGCTTTGAGTAACATTTGCTTAACATGCTTGTATATTCCAAATTGGTAAATCGGTATTTTACAAGCCCTTCCTAAATGTACAGGGTTATCTTATTTTAGCATCACACAGAGAACTTCTCCAGCCAGGTGTTATCATTCCTTATATAGATGTATATGGCTCTACCTTTTTCAACAAAAGCAGAAGTGTATGTCTAGTCCCAATTTTGCCTCATATTTCATTTTTTTCTCTTTCAAAGTTTTAATGCAATAATCTCTTCATTTCTTCCACCATCCACTTACAACCTCACTTAGTTCATTCTTTTAAAAAGTATTCCCTAGAGAACTGGAGGAGTGACATTTTAAATTATTTTTTATTTTTTATTTTATTTTTGTGTTTTGTTTATGTATTTATTTTTGTATATGAATAAGTTCTTTAGTGTTGATTTCTGAGATTTGGTGCACCCATCACCTGAGCAGTGTACACTGTACCCAATGTGTACTCTTTTATTCTTCACACTCCCACCCTTTCCTCTGAGTCCCCAGAGTCCATTGTACCATTCTTATGCCTTTGCATCCTCTTAGCTAGAACAGATGATGTTTGGTTTTCCATTCCTGAGTTGCTTTTCTTAGAATAATGGTCTCCAATTCCATCCAGGTTGCTGCATATGCTATTATTTTGTTCCTTTTTATGGCTGAGTAGTATTCCATTATATATATATATATGTGTGTGTGTGTGTGTGTGTGTATATATATATATATATATACACACACACCACATTTTACTTATTTACTCATTGATTGATGGACATTTGGGCTGGTTCCATATTTTTGCAATTGTGAATTGTGCAGCTATAAATGTGTGTGCAAGTATCTTTTGCTTATAATGACTTATTTTCCTCCAGGTAGATACCAGGAGTGGGATTGCTGGATCAAATGGTAGATCTACTTTTAGTTCTTTAAGGAATCTCCACACTGTTTTCCATAGTGGTTGTACTAGTTCACATTCCCACCAACCGTGTAAAAGTGTTCCCTTTTCACCACATCCATGCCAACATTTATTATTTTTTGATTATGGACATTCTTGCAGGAGTAAAGTGGTATTGCATTGTGGTTTGATTTGCATTTCCCTGATAATTAGTGTTGTTGAGCATTTTTTCATATGTTTCTTGGCCATTTGTATATCTTCTGGAGGAGTGACTTTTAATGGGCTCAAGCATAATTATCTCTATGTGTGAGTATGTAAGTATATGGTAAGTCTGTGTCTATACCTATAGTGGGGTTCTGGTATAAACTTCTAATTTTTTTAAATTAAGAAATTGTAAAAACATGCTCAAGCAGAGCTGGCTAATAGCCTCAGTTTGTTTTAGCCTGGATGCATTCTTGTACTGTGCAAATCAGATGCTCATACTGTATATGCCACATTATGCTCACACTGCCACTGTCTCCGAGGAGTGTTGCCGTCTTGTATCACTATTTGCAGGAAAGCTTTGGTTGTCACTTATGCATTCAGTCAAAGGTCACAAAAAAACAAATTTGATAAAGAACAATGTTTTGCTGCTATTTCTTTTAAATTCTAATTTGGATAATTTCGAGTTTCTGTTATAAATCATAGAACAAGACAATTATTTGAATTTTGACTCAAAAATAAGAAATAGAATCTATGTGTGCATTCTTCATTCATATATTCAATTGTCAAGAACTTATTTGAAATAACTGATACTATGGAGTAAATCTGTAGGTTTTTAAAACAAAGAAATAAAAAATTTCTATCTCGTGAACTTCAGGGGTTTCAAGTATGAGCCTTAGAGGAATTTGAAACATATCTTTTTCCCATGATGACAATATCAATATTTAAATTACTTCCTAAACATCAAGAGCTCATAAACCAAAGACCACAGAATAAGAGGGTCTATTGCTAGACTTTACAGGATCTATGAATCTGCTGCACCTAAATAATATTATTTTCTTCATGTGGGAGTAGGTTCATAGCTTTCACTATATTTCTATATTTCTATGAGTCTATATAAGGAAAAAAGTTTTGAACCAATTACATAATTAGTATTATATATCATCTTAAGAGTGCCAAAAAAAGTCCCCAAAGTCTCTTTCATTAGTTGAGTTTAGCAAAAATATCTGGATTTTTTTTAAAACTAGAGAGAATCTTAACACTCTAAGCAAAAAGTGTTATCTCTTTTCTCCCTTTCCCTACCATTATTAGGTATTCTGATGGTGAAGGAGAGAGCTTAGAATGCATGTAGGGTAAACATGTCAGTGCTATAATCTAAATGCTTGGTTTTCTAGCCTGTTGCCTTTATTTTATGTCCCTGTATCTTCTGCCCCTGTACAGTAAGAACAATGGCGTTATTCCCCACTCTTAATTGGAGGGATGTCTACTGCTTTGGTGCTGAGTAGAAAGCAGATTACCAATGGGGAACACTATAGATGTCATACATCCTGTGTATATACTATCATCTCTTCCAAGTTTCAATGGCCTGATATGTTTTGAATAAATATTTATATGTCCAACCTGTGTATGTTTTCTATTTGAAATACTGTTTTTATAATTTATATATATATATTTTTGAGATGATGTCTCGCTCTGTTGCCCAGGCTGGAGTGCAGTGGCGCCATATCAGCTCACTGCAACCTCTGCTGTCTGGGTTCAAGCAATTCTCCTCCCTCAGCCTCTCCTGCACCTGCCACCACACCCAGCTAATATTTGTATTTTTAGTAGAGACGGTTTTCACCATGTTGGCCAGGCTTGTCTCAAACTCCTGACCTCAGGTGATCCACCCACCTCGGCTTCCCAAAGTGCTGGGATTACAGGCGTGAGCCACCGCATCCAGCTAATTTACTATTTGTATTACTATATTCAAGATAGTATTTCAAGTAAACAATCCAAATTGTATCAAAGGAGTTAAAAATTGGTGGTCATTTACTAATCCGAATTTTTGAAATATTTGGAAACTAAATTGAGTTCGGTTTTTTTAATTAAAAAATTTTTGAACACAGTCTCATTTAAATATGAAAGCCAGAAAAAAAGATATTCACTGAATCTTTTTAATATTTTCCAGAATTAATAATTAACTGAAATCTAATATGTGATAATATAATCATAAAAGACTAAGAATCTTTATGGGTGATGGTCTAATTTGAATTCAATCATTAATTATTCTAAGGTATAAGATCACCAGTTAATTAATTCTACATTTTCTTTTTTCTCAATTTTTTGTCCTGTACTGCAGATTGTTGCAATGGCACTGCTGAAATTTCAGCCTTTTTGTGATAAGGCTGTCTATGGTTTTCAATGAATTCACATGCATTTTTTTATCCTATTAGGAAGAGAAGAACAACTGTTCATAGAGCAGGTAAAGAAAAAGGCATTACTGGAAAGGCATGTGAGGAATGAAGCTGTGGATGGCATTCCGCATTTGCTTTGAGTAGTGCTGGTGGCATCAAAAAGAGCAAGAGTAGCAGTGACTAATTTTATCTCCTAGTTCACGGTTTCATCACATATCTCTTTGTTTGCTATTCTGCAACATCAGTGAATTATACTTCTGCACCTTTTGCTGGGTAATTACAGAGTAAATGTAAGTTAGATTATGAGAGCTATTATAATCTTGTCAGTATGTTTGGCTAAAGTATTTTTATTTAATTTTTTTGTGAAGCCTTTTCAAAGGACTGCATCTTCCAAATGTTGTTATTCTTTATTGACCTAATAATGGAGAAAAACATCAGAAAAATAGACTATTTGAAGACTGGTAAAAAAAATTTTGAGATTTTGAAAAGCCATTATCCTCATAGAACTTTAATGAAGTGTATCCTTTCAAAGTTTCAATAAATTTGGGGGTGTGTTTTGCTGTTGATGATGTAAAATTGTGGAAAAGTGCCTATGTTCAGATGCCTAAATGCTTTTGAGGAACTTAAAATTGATTGACAATTATTTTTCATATCTTTTTAAAGAGCATCAAATATATCTTAAAACTATGCATATCAGACAATAATATGGACTATAAAGTTACTCAGCTCAACAAACAACCCATGTTTATTAATATTATATACAGCAGCAAAGAAGTGTGATATGTCCTGGGAGGGAGACAACTCAGTACCTACCCAAGAGGAGTTAAAGATATCCTAAGGACACTAGAGAGACAGAAGAAATCAGTTTCAGCTAACCCAGGGAGTGATTAAACAGAGTAATGAATTTCAACTAAAGCTCCTCATGGCCCTTTCCAAGTTGTTGTACAACAGGTGAATGCTATTCCATTCCTTCTCCCCTATTTAGCTTTAATCTGTGCAGTGAATTAGCTGATGTCATCTGCTTCATGAGTTGGGTTTTCTGGTTAAGTCTTTGAATCTAGAGTTTCATGGCTAAAGTTACTAACCCCCGACACCAATGACAATAGGAAATGCTCTGAGTTTACAGAAGAGGATTTTGGAATTCTTAAAGTCCAGTGTCAGGTATAGATTTAGCCTGGAACATTGTCCAATGTGACGTATGGATTTAACCTGGAACATTTCTTTTACACTGCTACAAAACACCGAAGAATTAAAGAAAACAAGGAAAGGGAAATCACTGGCACCCAAATCATTTCACACTAGTGATAATTCTATGTGGGGTTAGTTTTAAGTTATAAAAATATTCAAAATACTCATATTTGTTCAGTATCAATTCTATGCAGAGAAAAAAATGTGTCAGTTAAAATTATAATTATATAAAAATTTAAGTCATTACACATTATGTATTTGAATAAACTTGTTTAATTGAACCTGTCTTAGTCTGTTTTCTGTTGCTATAACTGAACACTTGATACTGGGTAATTTGCAAAGAAAATAAGTTTATTTGGCTCATGATAAACTTATTTTGTAAGTTTAGAAGGCTAGATAGTCCAAGGACATGGCAGCAGCTTCTGCTGAGGGCCTTCCTGCTGTGTCATGATGTGGCAAAACAGAGGAAGCTGCTAGCTCAGGTCTGTCTTCCTCTTGTTATAAAGTCACTAATCTCATCATGGGGGCTCCACCCCGATGATCTTACCTAATTCTCATTACCTTCCAATGGTCCGCCTCTAGTCAACATATGGATTTTAGGATTGAGTTTTCAACACATGACATTTTTAGCATGCATTCAGACTATAGCAGATCCATATAAAAAGAACTTTAAGAAAAACATAAAAATTTCTATCTTATTGTTTGTCTATAGCATTAAGCAGACACTAAGAGTGGCTGAATCTCATCTCGCAGAATTGGCGCACTGATTGAAAAAGGGTGAATCAATTAGATAAAATAAGTCAATTGCATAAAAGTGTCCCTTTGGATGAATGAGTTTGAAAAAAGAAGGCATCCTTTTTTCTGTCTTATAATTCCCACATAGTCATGGTTTTCCCAAAAGAATAGGTATTATATATCAATCTCATTAATATCTTCCTGGCCTGTACCTCTTATACAAAATCGTTGGCCTGTATTCTTCTAAAATACTGAGTTAAGAAACACTGAGGAATTCTACTAAATTAAAGGAGACTAAAGGGATATAGCAACTAATTGCAAATTGTGACTTGAATTGGGTCCTAGACCAGTGGTGGGGGTTGGGAGGAAGTTAAAAAGGGCATTACTGTTACATTGACAAATTTGAATACAGCCTTTGGTTTAGATAATAATATTTTGTGATTTTGATAATTGAATTACTGTTACGTGGGAGAATGTCCTGCTTTTAGAAAATACACACAAATATTTAGGAATAAAGAAGCAAGAAATCTCCAAGGAACTCTGAAATGCTGTAGAACTGTGTGTGTGTGTGTGTGTGTGTGTGTGTGTGTGTGTGTGTGTGTCTATGTTGAGAGAGAATGATAAAACAAGAAGTAAATTATAAAGTTGTTGGAGCAGATTAAAAGTTATGGGGAACTTTCGTGGACTATTCAGCATAATTTCTGTAAGTTTAAAATTGTATCAAAATTGAAAGTCATAAAAATAAAACCAGGAATAATAGATATAAAAATAAATGTTTTAATGTCTTCTATAAAGCCAGTGACCTCTCACCAGAAGCCAGAGCGTTTCAAATAACAATTATTTGCTGAAAAACGTGAGCATGGTATACAATTGCAAGTAAAAGCAAGCAAATGATGAGAGCGATTGAAGAGACTAAGGTGCTTCTCTGGATGGCTGTAAAATATAATGTTATATTAAGGAACTTCTGTATTTCCCAGTTGTGAATGATCTCTCCTGGATAAAATCATTTGTTTTTTTCAATAGGATATTACTAATATTTTTATTTAAAACCCAACTCATTCTTAATTAAATTAGATAAAGAGGAGTATAAGCCTAAAATCTAGCTTATAAGCATTGTCTGAAACTAGCAGATGATTTCAATTCACATCTACATTTTAACTGCAGCCTCCTTTGGTTTGGAATCACAGACTCTCAGAGTTGAAAGAGGGTTTAAAGGTTATCTTATTATCCTTCCCATGCAGTGCTTAAATTTCCTGTCCACCTTTATTGCCAAATGGAGTATGTTAATATTTCTGCAAATACATTATTTTTAAAAGTCAGAGGATATTTAGAATACTGAGAAGAATGCTCTGTTTTTAATAGACACACACACACACCCTGAAGAAGTCAGTAACAATCTGCTCCTTTTTAAAAGTCTATCTCAACGTTCAGATTCAGGAAATACAGAGAACGCCACAAAGATACTCCTCGAGAAGAGCAACTCCAAGACACATAATTGTCAGATTCACCAAAGCTGAAATGAAGGAAAAAATGTTAAGAGCAGCCAGAGAGAAAGGTCGGGTTACCCTCAAAGGGAAGCCCATCAGACTAACAGCAGATCTCTCAGCAGAAACCCTACAAGCCAGAAGAGAGTGGGGGCCAATATTCAACATTCTTAAAGAAAAGAATTTTCAACCCAGAATTTCATATGCAGCCAAACTAAGCTTCATAAGTGAAGGAGAAATAAAATACTTTACAGACAAGCAAATGCTGAGAGATTTTGTCACCACCAGGCCTGCTTTACAAGAGCTCCTGAAGGAAGCACTAAACATGGAAAGGAACAACCGGTACCAGCCGCTGCAAAATCATGCCAAAATGTAAAGACCATTGAGACTAGGAAGAAACTGCATCAACTAATGAGCAAAATAACCAGCTAACATCATAGTGACAGGATCAAATTCACACATAACAATGTTAACTTTAAATGTAAATGGACTAAATGCTCCAATTAAAAGACACAGACTGGCAAATTGGATAAAGAGTCAAGACCCATCAGTGTGCTGTATTCAGGAAACCCATCTCACGTGCAGAGACACACATAGGCTCAAAATAAAAGGATGGAGGAAGATCTACCAAGCAAATGGAAAACAAAAAAAGGCAGGGGTTGCAATCCTAGTCTCTGATAAAACAGACTTTAAACCAACAAAGATCAAAAGAGACAAAGAAGGCCATTACATAATGGTAAAGGGATCAATTCAACAGGAAGAGCTAACTATCCTAAATATATATGCACCCAATACAGGAGCACCAAGATTCATAAAGCAAGTCCTGAGTGACCTACAAAGAGACTTAGACTCCCACACATTAATAATGGGAGACTTTAACACCCCACTGTCAACATTAGACAGATCAACAAGACAGAAGATCAACAAGGATACCCAGGAATTGAACTCAGCTCTGCACCAAGTGGACCTAATAGACATCTACAGAACTCTCCACCCCAAATCAACAGAATATACATTTTTTTCAGCACCACACCACACCTATTCCAAAATTGACCACATACTGGGAAGTAAAGCTCTCCTCAGCAAATGTAAAAGAACAGAAATTATAACAAACTATCTCTTAGACCACAGTGCAATCAAACTAGAACTCAGGATTAAGAATCTCACTCAAAACCGCTCAACTACATGGAAACTGAACAACCTGCTCCTGAATGACTACTGGGTACATAACGAAATGAAGGCAGAAATAAAGATGTTCTTTGAAACCAACGAGAACAAAGACACAACATACCAGAATCTCTGGGACGCATTCAAAGCCGTGTGTAGAGGGAAATTTACAGCACTAAATGCCCACAAGAGAAAGCAGGAAAGATCCAAAATTGACACCCTAACATCACAATTAAAAGAACTAGAAAAGCAAGAGCAAACACATTCAAAAGCTAGCAGAAGGCAAGAAATAACTAAAATCAGAGCAGAACTGAAGGAAATAGAGACACAAAAAACCCTTCAAAAAATTAATGAATCCAGGAGCTGGTTTTTTGAAAGGATCAACAAAATAGATAGACCACTAGCAAGACTAATAAAGAAAAAAAGAGAGAAGAATCAAATAGACACAATAAAAAATGATAAAGGGGATATCACCACCGATACCACAGAAATACAAACTACCATCAGGGAATACTACAAACACCTCTACGCAAATAAACTAGAAAATCTAGAAGAAATGGATAAATTCCTGGACACATACACTCTCCCAAGACTAAACCAGGAAGAAGTTGAATCTCTGAATAGACCAATAACAGGAGCTGAAATTGTGGCAATAATCAATAGCTTACCAACCAAAAAGAGTCCAGGACCAGATGGATTCACAGCCGAATTCTACCAGAGGTACAAGGAGGAACTGGTACCATTCCTTCTGAAACTATTCCAATCAATAGAAAAACAGGGAATCCTCCCTAACTCATTTTATGAGGCCAGCATCATTCTGATACCAAAGCCAGGCAGAGACACAACCAAAAAAGAGAATTTTAGACCAATATCCTTGATGAACATTGATGCAAAAATCCTCAATAAAATACTGGCAAAACGAATCCAGCAGCACATCAAAAAGCTTATCCACCATGATCAAGTGGGCTTCATCCCTGGGATGCAAGGCTGGTTCAATATACGCAAATCAATCAATGTAATCCAGCATATAAACAGAGCCAAAGACAAAAACCACATGATTATCTCAATAGATGCAGAAAAAGCCTTTGACAAAATTCAACAACCCTTCATGCTAAAAACTCTCAATAAATTAGGTATTGATGGGACGTATTTCAAAATAATAAGAGCTATCTATGACAAACCCACAGCCAATATCATACTGAATGGGAATAAACTGGAAGCATTCACTTTGAAAACTGGCACAAGACAGGAATTCCCTCTCTCACCACTCCTATTCAACATAGTGTTGGAAGTTCTGGCCAGAGCAATTAGGCAGGAGAAGGAAATAAAGGGTATTCAATTGGAAAAGAGGAAGTCAAATTGTCCCTGTTTGCAGACGACATGATTGTATATCTAGAAAACCCCATTGTCTCAGCCCAAAATCTCCTTAAGCTGATAAGCAACTTCAGCAAAGTCTCAGGATACAAAATCAATGTACAAAAATCACAAGCGTTCTTATACACCAACCACAGACAAACAGAGAGTCAAATCATGAGTGAACTCCCATTCACAATTGCTTCAAAGAGAATAAAATACCTAGGAATCCAACTTACAAGGGATGTGAAGGACCTCTTCAAGGAGAACTACAAACCACTGCTCAAGGAAATAAAAGAGGTTACAAACAAATGGAAGAACATTCCATGCTCATGGGTAGGAAGAATCAATATTGTGAAAATGGCCATACTGCCCAAGGTAATTTACAGATTCAATGCCATCCCCATCAAGCTACCAATGACTTTCTTCACAGAATTTGAAAAAAATACTTTATTGTTCATATGGAACCAAAAAAGAGCCCATATCACCAAGTCAATCCTAAGCCAAAAGAACAAAGCTGGAGGCATCACACTACCCGACTTCAAACTATACTACAAGGCTACAGTAACCAAAACAGCATGGTACTGGTACCAAAACAGAGATATAGATCAATGGAACAGAACAGAGCCCTCAGAAATAACACCGCATATCTACAACTATCTGATCTTTGACAAACCTGAGAAAAACAAGCAATGGGGAAAGGATTCCCTATTTAATAAATGGTGCTGGGAAAACTGGCTAGCCATATGTAGAAAGCTGAAACTGGATCCCTTCCTTACACCTTATACAAAAATCAATTCAAGATGGATTAAAGATTTAAACGTTAGACCTAAAACCATAAAAACCCTAGAAGAAAACCTAGGCATTAGCATTCAGGACATAGGCATGGGCAAGGACTTCATGTCTAAAACACCAAAAGCAATGGCAACAAAAGCCAAAATTGACAAATGGGATCTAATTAAACTAAAGAGCTTCTGCACAGCAAAAGAAACTACCATCAGAGTGAACAGGCAACCTACAACATGGGAGAAAATTTTCGCAACCTACTCATCTGACAAAGGGCTAATATCCAGAATCTACAATGAACTCAAACAAATTTACAAGAAAAAAACAAACAACCCCATCAAAAAGTGGGCGAAGGACATGAACAGACACTTCTCAAAAGAAGACATTTATGCAGCCAAAAAACACATGAAAAAATTATCATCATCACTGGCCATCAGAGAAATGCAAATCAAAACCACAATGAGATACCATCTCACACCAGTTAGAATGGCAATCATTAAAAAGTCAGGAAACAACAGGTGCTGGAGAGGATGTGGAGAAATAGGAACACTTTGACACTGGTGGTGGGACTGTAAACTAGTTCAACCATTGTGGAAGTCAGTGTGGCGATTCCTCAGGGATCTAGAACTGGAAGTACCATTTGACCCAGCCATCCCATTACTGGGTATATACCCAAGTATATATACCAAGTATATATATATATATATATATATACCAAGTATATATATACCAAGTATATAAATCATGCTGCTATAAAGACACATGCACACTTATGTTTATTGCGGCATTATTCACAATAGCAAAGACTTGGAACCAACCCAAATGTCCAACAATGATAGACTGGATTAAGAAAATGTGGCACATATACACCATGGAATACTATGCAGCCATAAAAAATGATGAGTTCATGTCCTTTGTAGAGACATGGATGAAATTGGAAATCATCATTCTCAGTAAACTATCACAAGAACAAAAAACCAAACACCGCATATTCTCACTCATAGGTGGGAATTGAACAATGAGATCACATGGACACAGGAAGGGGAATATCACACTCTGGGGACTGTTGTGGGGTGGGGGGAGGGGGGAGGGATAGCATCGGGAGATATACCTAATGCTAGATGACAAGTTAGTGGGTGCAGTGCACCAGCATGGCACATGTACACATATGTAACTAACCTGCACAATGTGCACATGTACCCTAAAACTTAAAGTATAATAAAAAAATAAATAAATAAAAAATTAAAAAAAAAAATTAAAGTCTATCTCAAATCCCTAAGAGAATGAAAATGTTTGAGTAGGGCAATATTTAGGTGAATAGTTTATAACACCTTTCATAACACCACATTATGACTAACATGAATTTTTGCTGTTTGGACAGTCTAGCCTGGACAAACTTTCCTTTTGTTTTGTATTTTAAAAAAATTGTGCATATAATTATTTTTTGTCTTGTTTTTTAAATCCAAAATCAATTATGTTGGATTTAAATTTAACCTAATAGTTTAATAACATTATTTTGTTGTGCAGACTGGAATGCTTGGGACAATTGTTCCTGCCATATTTCACATCTTCAGTATTTGGTTGTTTGTCAAATTTAAAGTGTAAATTGTTCGGAAAATATTCATCAGAAATTAAAAATGTGCTCTGATAGTAAAGAGTAAATGTGCTCTAATCCTGTTGGAGTCTATTACATCAGTATTTGTATAATGATTCTTCCTTATTTTTCTTTTTCATTTAAACATTACCAAATCCAAATTCTGTTTTATATTTTAAAATATTAAAAATAGCTAATGATTTAAGACTCTTTCCTCGTGTGACCACGTTCATCTTTCTCCTCTGATATTTTAATGCAGAAGACTTGCTGATTGTGTTAACTTACAATTCAAGCCCTAGGTATTTTTTAACAAGTACATAAGTTTATCTACGGTATTTCTAGACTTGCAATTCTCCCACTTTTCCTTTAGATATTCTCACTCTCTATTTCAAGTTTTCTCATTGTCTTCCTTTTCCTAAGAAAGGGATAAAAAATCATCTGCCTTTAAATACAGTTACTGATTACTTAAAGTACTATCTACTTCAGGGCATTATACATTTTAATGAGATAAAAAGTTTAAGCTAAACGTGTTTTCTTTCGGCTACCCATTAGTAGATAGGGTAAATACTTTTGGGATCAGGTATCATGCCTTTCCTTCTGAATTTATAGACTATCATTTAGAATGCCTTTGCAAAAACAAAAATGAAGAAAAATACTAAAACAAAAAACCCCTGCCCGGGCGCTGTGGCTCATGCCTGTAATCCCAGCACTTTGGGAGGCCGAGGTAGGGGCATCACGGGGTCAAAAGATCGAGACCATCCTGGCCAACATGGGGAAACCCCATTTCTTCTAGAAATACAAAAATTAGGCTGGCGTGGTGGCGGGCGCCTGTAGTCCCAGCTACTCGGGGAGCTGAGGGGGGAGAATAGCTTGAACCAGGAGGCGGAGGTTGCAGTGAGCCGAGATGGCGCCACTGCACTCCAGTCTGGCGACGGTGCGAGACTCACTTCGTCTCAAAAAAATAAAATAAAATAAAACAAAAAACCCCACAAACAAACACGAATCCCCCACAAAAGCTATTTACAAGAAAACATTGCAGATTCAAGCTTATTAACAATTCATTAGAGTAATTAGCACTTGGCGATGTCTAACTTAGGCCTTTATCAGATAATCCTTTAAAAATGTATTTTAATTTTTAAACACAGAATACATGAAAATATCTTTATGGACAGATCCAAACATTTCAGAAATATATGGAATAAAACATCTAAGTTTAATTCAAATCTCCCTCTACTTCTTCCCAAATGAATAATTTGATATTCAACTGTTGAGTACATGAATTCTGTTACATATGTAATTTTTTTAAAATATGAATTTGAACATACTTTTCATATAGCTCAGCAACTTGCCTTTTCATATAAAAATACGTCTTGGAGATCTGTCTGCATTATTAAAGCTGCAGAGTATTCCATATTAAGTATGTACATAAATCTTTTTAACAATTTCTCTAAGGTTGTTGTTAAAATCCAACATCCAAAGGCCACCAGAAACATGCTTGTAGTCAAAAAGACCAAAAAAAAAAAAAAAAAAAAGTAGGTTAAGTGAGCTGGCTGCAGCTAGGGAGGTTGAAACATGCCCCTCAGAGCACTTGTGAGTCATCTTGAATTGACGGAACAGGCTTCAGTTCTTTCGTACATAGTAATTTTTTAAAAAATTAGAGGAAGTAACCATTTTTCAAATTTTAAAAGTCAATTCTTTTTCAGTTCAATCAAAACTTTTCGTATCTGTTAAAATGATCATACATCATTCTGTTTTCACAATATAATATATATTTATACAGACACATATATTTAAATTGTTATTAATTTTTCTATGTCCATTCTTTTGTCTCTTATGTTTTAACTTTTTTCTCCTATATGTGACTTATTTAATATATTAAATCCAGTAACATTGATAGACTCTGAGTGCCGATTATTGAGCATAAATGCATGTATTTCTAAGAGACATTATGCTCATTCATATGCACATTAAGTTCTTCCTGTATTTTAGAAAATATCCTCTAGTATCTTTGAAAATATTTTCTGTTCTAATTTCTACTTCATGGATTATTTGTGTCTGTATACGCTTTTGTGTTTATCCGTTTTTTAATCTAAATTGATTGTAACTAGTGAAAGCTAGGTCGCTTTCTTTTTTAACAAGCATGTCAATGATTTCTTTCTCAAGTTTTATTCTGTTTTATAAGAGTGCAAATGAAATAATGAATGATGGCATTGATCATTCAAAGTTCAGTAGAATTACTTCCTATTTCTTTCTAGGTACGTTTCCTTTCTAGATTTCTATAGGGAAACTTTACCTGATTTTATTTCCTTTCATTTTAAAATTAGAAATTGATGTGGCCCTTTTTTCTTTATTCATATTTCTCTTTTAGTCAGCTAATGTCAAAAACTTCATTAATGGTTTTCCTAGTATAAGCTTACATGTATTCTGGGGTTCACTATGCTGATTTTGGTGTATTATTCTTTAAATACACTGTTATATTTAATTTGTTAATATTTTATTTTGGTTTGTAAACACATGATTAGTCGACAGTTTTCTTTTTAGATGGTATGATTAACAGCTTTTGGAATTGGATTTATGTTAGTCTCTTACAGTGGGTTTGAAATTTTTCCATCTATTTTTCTATTCTGATTATTTTCAGAGATGTAGGAATTAGCTGTTTAAGTTCAGTAAAACCCATTTGTAACCCTACCTAGGCCAGCTTCTTCATAAAGCAAAGACCATTTTACTTTCACATATGCTTGTGCATCTATTTGGGTTTTTACTTTTCATGAAGTTAAATGTTAGTGATTCTTCCTCCCCACTCTTTACTTTTGAAGTCCAGAAACTTTTCTAACATTTGACTCAATTTTGATCCTGGATCAGATTTTTCTAGGACATGATAGGATATTTCAATCTGTACATGCAAGTTATCCTTCATTTCTGGAAATTTAAAAAAACTAAAAATTACTTTAAAGTATTTGAAAATTCCATTTATTCTGCTTTCTTCCTCAACAGTAACTTTCTTTTTAATAGTTATTTTGACTTTTATTAGCTCATCTTTCCCAAGCTCTTCCTCACTGGCATTCCAGTTTGTCTTTCTCTTCTGTGCTGCTTCTGGTGAGATTCTCATTTCCATGATAGTTTCTATTTATCTCTTACTTCTTTCCTCATCTCTGCCATTTCATGTCTTTGCTGATTGGTTTTATTTCTCTGGTTTCACTGTCTTATTATATATATTTTCTCTAAACTCATTTATCTGCTTTAAGATTTTTTATCTAAAAGGTTTTTATTTAAAATATTGATTTGCTATGCTGTGTTTGATGACAATTTTCATATGTTCCATGACATGAAAGACAACCATTTTTTCTTGTGTTAATTATCTGCAATTTGTTTTTGTTGAATCACTTGTAATTTTCTATATAATTATATATAGGTATAATCTGCTGTACATTTATAGCTTGCACTGTTTCTTTTTCAAATTGTACACATATTTGGTTGAAGTTAATTCTTGCCCAGGTATTTGCCCAAGAATCACTTGAGGGTCAGGCTACAGCCATATTTTATATGAGTAGGAATTTCTTCTGGTTCATAATAATGTTTCTTTTGAAGCAGGGTCAGACATGACCCTGGCTCTTATTTTCTGTTAGCCACAGTGATCAGAAGCTTCAGGGCTTCTCAAAATGTAGAGACTCTCCCTTTTGCTCTGCCTTGCTTGCAGACTGCTTCCTGTAAATATGGCTGGCCGCTGCTACTTCTCACTTGGGCTGGTCCCTCTGGCATCAACTTGTTGCCAATCTAGGACCAGGAAGCTTCCTGCCTGCAGCTGGGTCATATTTTTTAAATATGGGATTGCTGGATTTCTTCCATTAGTATATGCCACCTACTTTGAAAAACTACACTGTTGACTTTGTCTGAAATCTGCAACCTTGAGGCTCCTCTTTAGTATCTTTCTGCAGTCCTCGTTAACCTTCACAGTGTTTGAGGCTACAGATATTTTCTGGCATTATAAAGATTGATCTTTCTATTATCTTTGACTTCATGTTTTGATATCCAAGCTGAGAAAAGGAAAATCCAGTCTTTGTTTTGTTACCTGAAAACAGGAACTTGAAAATCTAAATTATACATAGAGATATGAAATATCCCATCCTATGGATAAAATTTATTTAGTGACCCTCCTAACACTGGATGTGTAGATTATTTCAAATTGTTTCCTATCCTAAATCACATTCTGATGAACTACCTTCTAGTTAAATTCCTAGAAATTGAATTATAGGATTGAAGGTCATAGCTACTTAAGAATCAATACAGACTGACAAATTGTGAACAATATATACCAACTTATGGCTCCACCAAAAGTATATAAAACATCTATAGTCTTCATTCCCTCACGTACACAGGGTATTACTATATATTTAAATACTTGCCAATTTTATATGAAAAATGTTACCTAGGATTTTGATTTGCGCTTCTATTTGAGGTAGGAAAAGAAAGTGTTTTCCTACTCTTACACACTTAACATATTCAATACTCAACACAGAACACTTCACCTCTGGTTACCAAAATGTGCGTGGAGATTCTCCCCATCACCAAGCAATTCTCCAGTGGACACCAACCAGGTGTCCTATAACTTAATTTAATTCGGACTCGATCTACCTGGAGGTAGCATCAGATCCCTTGGGTTTTCAGGGCTCAGTCCCTCAACACAATCCTCGCTTCAGATGCCAATTGCAAGCCACAGTTGTGACCTCTGCTTCTGACCAATCAGCTCTACACTGGGGCTCCCACAATCTCTGCCTCAAGTTCAATTAATTTGCTAGAGTGGCTCATAGAACTCAGCAAAACACTACTTATCTTTACCTATTTATTTTAAAGGATGTTACAAATAATACCAATAAGCAACCAGATGGAAGAGCCATATAGAGCGAGGTAGGAGGGTAGGGCTCCACGCTTCCATGCCCTGTCTGGTCATGCCACCCTCCCAGCATTTCCATATATGTTTAGCATCAGACATCTGGAAGCTCATCAAATCTTGCTGTTGAAGAATTTTTATAGAGCTTGATCTCCAGCCTCCTTACTCCCTTCCCAGAGATCAGTAGGTGGGGCTGAAAGTTCCAACTTACTGACCATTTGGCCTTTCTGGCAGCCAGTTCCATCCTGAGGCTATCTAGGGATCCCATCCTAAGTCACCTCATTAGCATAAACTCAGGTATTATCAAAGGGACTCATTACAAATAACAAAAGACACAAATAAGGTGTCTTAGTGCACGTGGACTGCCATAACAAAATACTATAGACTGAGTGGGTTAAAAAACTGACATTTTCTTCCTCATAGTTCAGGGTGCTGAGAAGTCCAAAATCAAGGTGTTGGCCTTTTTTTTTTTTTTTTTTTTTTGTTTTTTTGAGTCGGGATTTCACTCTGTTGCCCAGGCTGGAATGCAGTGACATGATCATGGCTCACTGAAGCATCGACTTCCTGGGCTCAGGTGATCTTCCCACCTCAGTCTCCTGAGTAGCTGGGACTACAGGTGTGCGCCATCACACCAGCTAATTTTTTTTGTATTTTTTGTAGATGCTGGGTTTTGCCATGTTGCCCAGGCTGGTCTCAAACTCCTGGGCTCAAGCAACCTGCTCGCCTCAGCCTCCCAAAATTCTGAGATTATAAGTGTGAGTGAACATGCTTGGCATGTTGGCCTATTTGGCTCCTGGTAATGGCTCCCTTCATGGCTTACAGACAGGCACCTTCTAGCTATGTCCTTACATGGCCTTTCCTCAGTGCACGTGTACAGAGACAGAGGGAGAAGAAGCAAGCTCTGTGTCGTCTCTTCTTTTGAGGACACTAATCCCATCACAAGGTTTAGACAAGATCCCATCCTCATGACCTCATCTAAATCTAATTACTTCCCATAGGCCCTACCTTCAAATATCATCACATTGAGGATTACAGTTTCAATATGTATGAATTTAGGGGGTGGAATAGGGAGATACAATTCAGTTCATAACATAAGGTTAAATAATTTTTTTATATTTTAAACTGTATTTTTTATTTTGAAATTAGCTGTTCAGATCTTTGCCCTTTTTTCAATTTTTTGAATTTTTTTAATATTCCATTTTAAGACTCCCTTTTCTAGTAGGAATATTAATTTTTGCCACGTATATTGGATTTTTTTTGCACAGGGTTTGTAATTTGCATCTTATTTTCATTTATTTCTTAATTTTTAAAACTTAGATCTCTACCATCCTTTTTCTTTAATTTTTATATCAATTTTATGCTGAGTTCAGTCATCATTGATGAAAACTAAATAGGCTCCTATATATACATATTTGTTTCTCCCAGGAAAATTATGATGTTCTTAAAAACTACTTTATCTCTTTAATCCATCTGAATTTATATATTATAAAACTTTATGAGGCTGGGTGCAGTGGCTCACACCTATAATCCAAACACTTTCGGAGGCCCAGGGTGGATCACCTGAGGTCAGGAGTTTGAGACCAGCCTTGCCAACATGGTGAAACTCCATCTCTCCTAAAAATACAAAAATTAGCCTGGCGTGGTAGCACGCACCTGTAATCCCAGCTACTCAGGAGGCTGAGGCAGGAGAATTGCTTGAACCCAGGAGGCGGAGGGTTGCAGTGAGCCAAAATCGTGCCATTACACTCCAGGCTGGGCAAGAAGAGTGAGACTCCATCTCAAGAAACAACAACAACAAACAAACAAACAAACAAAAATGTATGCATCTGTAATACGTATTTAACCCGTTAACTGCTAACAATTATGAGTTATGCTCATAGTAACTTGGAAATGAGAAAACTCTTCCACCTCAATGGTTGTCTTACATAATCTACCAATTGTGTGGTTGTGTTTTCTTCTTTTAATGTATTACAAACAAAACATGAATGAACAAGTAAAAGTCAAAAGCAAATAATTAAAATTTTTATTAACAAAAGACTTTCCCCTAAAATACTAGTTTCAGGATACATAGTTTGATATTGATATTTTAATGGATTTATTCTACAGGTAAACAATTTCAAAAGCAAAGCATTAGAATATTTTTCAACCTCATTGGCACCATGCTGGTTTTCTATACTGTATTTTCCTTCCTTCATTGTCTACTCTGCTCCAGCAGTTTTAGCAGATATATGTGGATCATCAGGCTCACTGCCTTTCCATTGACATTAATAGTCCTTACAGATGTGATATGATTGCTAAAGCTTTTCTGTAAACTGGTACAAATGTTCTGTATATTCTATATAACACAGACCTAGATTTAAAATATTCACCCAGCAAAAGTGACTTCAAAAAGAGATTGCATTCTGCCTTAGTGCAATCAGGAAGAGGAAATTCACAGTTAAAGATCAAACTGGCAAAACTCAAACACAATAGGACACTGAGCAGAAAGCATTAAGGTGGCACCCCATTGGGAGTAGGTACAGGAGGCTTTGAGCCCTGACAGTAAACTTGTGTTGACTTTGCTCAGAACCTGCATTTTTATTTCATGAATGTTCTGATGTGAATTTTCTTTCTCATTTTACCCTATTTAAATTAATAGGAATCCTTGCTGTGCTGTGCCAGAGGCCTATTGTATATCTAGTTCAGTGGAGCTAAACCTGTGATTTTTTAAATTTATTTTATTTTTAATTTATAATGCTTGAAGTTGTTACTGTTTATTAGTCTTTTTCATGGTTTTTAAGACTTCTGTGAAAACCTACTTGGAGAATTATCATTTTAAGAGGAGAATGACTTATCTCCCCTAATCACAGGGTTTCCTGGAGATTTTGAGTTGTCCCACTAGATGTGTAACTTGGATCTAATTTTTCCACACTTGAATTTGTTGTAACCTGACCACTAACTATTCCCCAGCAGGAAGGTTGACTTACTCCACTTAACCAGCCACTGTTGTCTCAACACACTGTAGGCTTATGTGTTGATCATTCGATGGCTTGACTACCTTGCCTTATCTTCCTCCTTCCCATGAGTCTGATGTCTGACTTCAGCATCTCTCATCAACCTGGTTTCCTTCATTCATCAAGCTCTGTCTATTGCTTGGGCTCACCTTCCCTTCTTTTGCTAAAGAAAGTCGAGTCATAAATGCTGACCCCTCTAATTTGATCATGTGTTTAGTGGCCTGCCTTAACTCAGCATTTAATCCATTTTACCTGCCTAATAACTTAAGAAATGACTCCCAACTGAGAACATCAGATTCCTAGGATCTTCAAAGGTAGTGGTAAGAGTACTCCTGGTATTTAAAAAATAGTTAGCAATCTAATGAAAATCATAAATTTCAATGTGGTACTTGCGAATCCAAAGTCTAATTATTTTCTCTTTTATTCGTAAAAATAGAAGATATAAATGATTGTTTAATGTAATTTGGTATAGAAAATACCATATAGTGAGTTGAGAAGACAAATATTAAAAAAATCCTTTACTATCTTTTGAAAATGTTTGTATCAACTAATCTTCAGAATCACTAATGGCGCATACTAGTTTTATCCCATAATTCAAACCCAGATCGAATGAAGTCTTGTATATTGCCTATGGTACATTCTCTCTTTTTTTTCCCCTAGCTTTTAAGAAATTTAGTTTTAAGGCCTCTTTACTTTTTCGAAGTAGTTACATATACTTTGGGAACATGCATATTTGTCCCTTTGATGACTGCTGGCCTATAAATAACTCTTAAGTTACACGTATGTATATTTATGACTCAGGGTCAAGAGCATCCTGAAAAGTTATGAAAGTTAGAGAAGCAAATAGAGTCAGTCTGTCCAGGGCTTTAACAGGTGAAGGCCAGGTAAGGAGAACTAGGCTTGACTGGGAATTTATTCAAGGAATAAACGAATGATCAAGCAAACATTGGCAAGATATATAAGAAGTAGGCCAAAGTTCTGATGAAAAGAGCATTTTTTCCAGCAAAAATGGGAGATTGTGTATCTATGTCTGCTCTTTTTCAGATTTTGTTTGCTGTGGGAGGCAATAGGTAATTGGCCAATGCAAAAGTCATTATATAGCATGTTATAGATATTATTTCTATTTTTGGTTTTGTCTGTCTTATTTTATTCATGAAATGCTCTTTTATTAGTGCCACATGTCCCCTTTAAAAACTTGACACTTCTGTTAGCAGAAAACCACCACTGATCTTTAAATATTTTCCCTTTTAACACCCACAGTGCGCCTTCACCCTGAAATGCTCAAGGGAGTCCACATTCCCTTATTATGAACTGTATGTTTCACCATGCTGCCTGGGTTGGAGATACATGTGAAAGAGGAGACTTATAAAAAGATAATTAGAGATATAGGTTTAGCTATCAACTCTGAAAGCTGAGGCATTGATAGAGTCAAAGGGTTTGGCAGCGGCATTTTTCCTAAAGTGGAGGCAAGCAGAGACCAAAAATGACCTTACATAGACTTTGTCCCTCCTGGGAAATGTGTGCAGCCCAATTGCTGGTTTCTGTTTCCGTTTGCCCAAAGACTGAGATTTGAGATTTTCTCACTGTAATAAGGCTTCTTTCTCCATCCTGGCATAAATGGCAGCCATCCTGAGATCTTCAACAATGACTGAAATATTTGGGTGCATCAGGGACAACTGAAGAGGAGTTATTGGGTAATGTTATTGAGAACACAGGAGTAAAGGCATTAACTCAATTAAGTCATCTTTATTGTTGCTTGAGATTGTGAGTTCTGTGTGTGCATGTGCTTCTCTGTGTGTATGCGTGGATGTGCATGTCTGGGTGTTTGTATCTTAGTAGCTAGTATGAGTGAGAACAAAAGGCAACGACTTTTGTAATCAACAAATGGATGTGTCACTTGAGAGCCATAAGAGCTTCTGGCACCTCGCAGTAGGTTTGAGAGATCTGTCAGCCCAAAGGCTGACTCACTGTTTGTAAGCATTAAGTTAGATAAATGCATAAAGTCTAAATCTGGACAAAGTCAAAATTCTCAAAACTGAATGTTCTGATATTGGGAAATGATTTGTGGCAGGAAAAAAAATGTGAACTGTTATCACCAAATCCTGATAAAGCAGACCACAGTACGATCGATTATAAGGTAGAACTTGCCAAAGTGAATTAACTGGTCCAGAGTTTGCAAATAACTGTTCAGAATACACATATATTTTTAGCAACCTGAAAATCCAAGGAACTAACCTATGAGCCAGAGAAAATGTTGAAAACCTGTAGACATTGAGATTGCATAAAGAATAGCTTCCACAACTAATTTCAAACAAGTCAGACTTAAGAGTTTCACCTCTTTATGAGATTTCCTGATGATTCTCCCATGTTCCAGATTTGCATTAATAGTCTCAATGCCATTTTCACCTGGGTGGAGATTTGCTAATGTTGTTAACACAACACACATCAATGCCACTCACCATTTTCACCCCAGTTTGGCTCCTCCTCCTGACTTTTTGCTGATGGCTTCCAATATTCTTTTTTAGTCACAGAAGCTCAAGACCTCTGAGTGCTCTTTGATTTGTCTCTCTCCTTTCCCCTATTACCAGTGATTCATCAGGGGCTGTCAATTCCTTCTCCCTACTGTCTCACACCACCCTTTCTTCTTGTACATTACCCTAGCCCTAGTTAACAGTCTTATTACTGCTTACCTAAACTACTGCTATAACTCTTCTCCCTGCCTCCAGTCTTGCTTCTAATCTACTCATTCTGCATTCGGCTGCCAAATTAATCTTCCTAAAGTACAGCTTTGATTATGTCACCCCTGCTCAATAACCTTCAAATCCCTCTTCTTTGCCTACCAAATAAAGTTCAAACTTTCTAGCTTTCGACAACATGATCTAGGCTTATTTTTACGGGTTTAGCATTAATGTTTTTCTCTTTTTGAAACTCTAACCAAACTGAGCAATTCCACATTCTGCAATCAACCCCAGAAACTTCCTTCTACAGGGTTTTAATATTTTTTTCCACATGGTATGATTTTAATGTTATCTGTTACGATTCTCCTCAGCTCTTCAATGGTAGTTTTTTCTTTTACTGAAGGAGCTTGGACACACAGGCCTGGAGTGTCCACACGAGTGCATGTGAGGACCCTTATGTTATGATTAGGAATAAGAGGTGGGAAAATAAAGGGAGAGGATGGAGCAGTAGGGGCAGAGCCAGGGGTAAGGAAGTCTGAAAAGTCTGAGAATTTTAATTTTTATTTGCTCTTTGAGGTCATTGTAAAATTAGGCTCATTATAGTAGGATGATAGTACATACTTGGTATAATAGTTTGTTAGTCTAATTTCTAAATATAAAGACATGTGACATGCAGGCCTCCAGCTATACTCTTGCTTTGTGCCTCACAAATGTTAGGAGCAGGCCTGCTTTTTATCTATGAAACGCAAGGCTTGAACACATTGCCTGTCATCTGGTAGATCTTTATTATTTGTTGACTATGGGATGTAGTGTGCTTTCCTTTCTTTGAAATTCCAGAAAATGTTTCATCTTTCCTGTGATGCTGATTACAGTCCTTAATAATTTCTTGCATTTTGTATGATTTGGCATCTACATGGTAATATCTGTGAAAGAAATTTGTGCAATGCTATACATCCTACATTGTTTGAAGAGTAATAGAGGTTAAAAAATTGTTTACTGGATAAATAATAGAAACCTATGGCTTGTCTTAGAAGACATACATAGGCTGATCAGATTTGAGGGCTCCGAGATAGTTTAGACCCTAACAAACTGATTCTAGAATAGTTAAATGACTTATCCAGGGCTCGTGACTTTTAGTTAGCAACTGTGGGCCTTGTATTTAAGCATTCTGATGCCCTGCTCTCCACGTGCAAGCTCTGTTAGCGCATTATGTTAAACATTAATCAGGAAATGTCATTAAGAAAGACATGACATTCATCCTAAGTATCTATAGCAGTATTCCCTTGTACTAATACTGCAGTCAATTTGATAAATAAACTCAGATAAAGATGCTAACTTTGTAAGGACTGAACATTTATAGAGGAGCCTAGTTTATTCAAATCCACAATTGATACACATTGAAAATGTAGCCAAGTGTACACAGTGTTGACAACAGTTTATCCAGAAGACAGAGGGATTATGTTGTAGCAGTTGTCTTCATAAAGATTTAGTACTAATATAATTTAGAACACCCAACCCCAATATATGTTTGTACAGGGCATTACTGTGAACAAATATTGTCAGATTATAACTAATTTCTACAGCAACATGGCACTTGAAAAGGGTTTACAATCCTAAAATCTGTTTAAGCATATAAAACACAAAGCATTTGTCCTTGGAGACATATCTATAGCTATACCTTTTTTTCCCATGTATTGCAATATACCTATCTAATGGGTGGAGATGGAGAAGCATAATATTTGAAATTATAATGGTCCAGAAGAGGAATCTCAATACTGGTCCTGTAACACTTGCTAAGTCGATTATTTAGTAAAAGAAAAAGCAGAGTTGTATTGCATTGTTTCAAGCTGTTACCTAGAGAAAATCAGATTACAGTGTTTGGCAATGCATGCATATTATTTATGATAAGAAAATATCAGGTGACAGAAAGTTGTTCGTTAGAGGATATGATGTGGCAATCACTTCCAAGAGGAATATTTTCTTCTCACATGTTAATACTTGTGAAAGCACTTAGCCTAGGACTTGAATATATAAACTAAGTTCTATCACTTTACTTGTAGTGCCGTTGTTCAGATATCCTTTCTTGTTGATAATATTCATACTTAAAGGAACAGAGATGGAGGTAGACATGCTTCTAAAACATGTGAATAACACTAGAAAGCTAGATATCTAGATATCTCACCTGATTCAACACATTAAAGTTATTTTTATCGAGAATGAGATTATAAGATCTGTTCATCTTGAAAAAAATAATACCTTAGCTTTTTGTTGTTATTAATTTTGACTGGATAATGCCAAAGTACAAAAGACAACAATGAAATTTTTTTTAAAAAAGTGAATCATATAAGGGAGTGTTCACATTTATAATTTCAGTCACACAGGTTCTAGAATAAAGTGTCCCTAGATTGTACTTAAGTATGAGCATTTTGAACCTGTAGAACAAAATGCATCCATTCTACAGTTATTTCCATCCTAGCGTAGCACTTCTGCAGCCTTGAAACAAGCCTTGAAACAAGGCTACAGGAGTGCTACGCTAGGATGGAAATAACTGTAGAACGGATGCATTTCCAGGGCGTGTTTACAGCACACCTTGCAGAGACTGTGGCCCAGGGAAATGGAGCAGCGCTCTTTAGGGATTTGCGGGAGCATTGCCACATACCCCTCTCCTCCCTCCGGCAGCAACCCTGTTTCCAGCTAGGTGACTGCTATCCTGAGGTTTCTTAGCTCAGCTTGCCATTTCAGGTGTCAGACTGCACGCCTGCTGGGAAGCGGTTACGTGAGCCTCAGGAGGCTCCTGTGCAAATCCGGGGAACTACTAATTGTGTCTCTTGCCATCTAACTTAGACACCTGCTTCCTTTTCACTTGACTGATCTCCACCTATGCCTCGAGACTAATGGCCTGTGTGATCTCATCTTTTTCTGTTACCTTCCAGGATTGCAATTAAATTATATCCTGGTATGCTATTTGCCATCGAGAAGAATTTAATATCAATGGTGGACCTCACTGCTAAATATTCAGATATCAGGGTATAAAAAGGCTTTTTCGTAAGGCAGAACTAAAAAAATTTCAAGTTCAGATGAAACAGCACAGTTCATCTTAATGTCTCAAAGTCCTGCTCAATTAAATATTATTTGCTGAAAATATTAAGTAATGAATAATGAAATTATATATACAATAATTTCATATACAATATGACACAACATAAAGAAAAATTTTAAAAGGTGATAAATGCCAACATGGATGCATACTTATAACTGTGCTATTGGTAGCCTCTGTTTGAATATTTTCTCTTCTACTGATTTTAAAGTGTGACTTTATGCAAGTTACTTAACATCTTTGTTTCTTACATCCTTATTTGTAAAACTGTCAATAATAATGGTACTTATTCCATAGGGTTGTTATGAGGCTTAAATGAGTTAACTTATTTAAAATACTTAGAAAATTGTCTGGCACATAAAAAGTGTCGAATAACCATTTTTTTGAAAATGTTATTTTTGTTCTACTTTCTCCAATTACTTTTCCTAATAATCTTTTTGTTTCAATTATATTTTGATTATATTTAATTTTACAATGAAGTATTATAAATGGTTTGTGAGTAATGTTTTTCTAAACAATATTTTAAGGAGCTAAATAATTTCTAGTTGAACGTAGGTATTGTAACTTATTTAACCATTTTCTGATTGCTGGATAGCTAGATTGTCTCCTGTCCCATGTTGCAATATATAATGAATCAATATACCTCTTTGTCGATAAAAATCGTTTTATACTTGAATTAATCTAGAAATATAATTCCCATGTTTAAGGGTAAGAATATTTTCAGATTTTATGTAATTAATGTATTTATTTATTAACTTATTCAAGTCAAACAGTATCCAGCTTTATTAAAGATACTTTCCATAAACAGTCATGATATTTCAGGCAGGACATGGGCAAACAATCCTTAATAGTATACAACTTTTAAACTTCCTTCTTCAACGGACTACCAAAAATCAGAAAGCCACTATAAAACCCAATGAAGTCTCCATTTGATGCTCTGAACAGGGAAAATTTAGAGTGAGGGTTGACATTTCACATTTAGCATGTTGTTTACAACTTTTCACAAGTCGACGCTGACTTTTAGGAAGTGAAATAAAAATGGCAGAATTCATGTGAAGATCCACAATCTAGAAACAGAACCACTGATTTTTGAGGGGCACCATCTCAGTGGCAGCACCAGAAAGTCCAGATTGCCTGGCACCCTGGTAATCAATTATTGGAGGTCGGGTCCCAACAGGTGTCTGGGTTTAAATGAGTTAAGTCTTTGCTGAAGGTGGAAAGGGAGAAGAGGACATGAAAAGAATTTGTTTTTCCATACCACAAGGCATTTGTGCCAAGGTGGCTGCGTGTGGTCAAAGTCAAGTAGAAGGGAATCCCTTCTCCTGGGAGCCAAGAAAAGTCTCTCAGAGCTAGAGGGGAAAGGGATTTTCCCCATATTAATCCAGCTTCAGAAACATTCTATTAGTGACATTTGCCCCTCCCCCAAAAAACAGTAAAGTGTTGTGTGTGCTAACATAGTGTATTAGTCAGTTCTCACACCGCTTTGAAGAAATACTCCAGACTGGAAAATTTATAAAGGAAAGAGATTTAACTGACTCACAGTTCCACATGGCTGGGGAGGCCTCAGGAAACTTACAATCATGGCAGAAGGCACAGCAGAAGCAGGCACCTTCTTCACAGGGTGGCAGGACGGATTGAGTGCAAGCAGGGGAAATTCCAGACCCTTATAAAACCATTAGCCCTCCTGAGACTCACTTACTATTAGGAGAACAGCATGGAAGAAACCGTCCCCATGATCCAATTACCTCTACCTGGTCCTGCCCTTGACACGTAGGGATTATGGGGACTACGATTCAAGATGAGATTTTGGATAGGGACACGGCAAAACCACATCACAAAGCTTAACAGAAAAGTAAACAAAATTCTGTGTTTTAATAAAACTTGATAAAAAATAGTATTTCAAACTGTACAGTCATCAGAAGCACACAGTTACCAAAAATGCACACACTTCATGTGGCATCTCCAGCACCTTCAGCTTTCCGTGCCTGGTCTGCGTTAGCATCTCCATGTTCTGCAGGGTTATCTCCCTTCTTGCCAGTGTCAGCTTTTCCCTTTTTCCCTTTAGGTGGCTCCTCTCCGTTCTTTGCAAGAGCCTTTTTAGGCTTGGGCTCTGGCTTTGGAGGAGCAGGTTTAGCAGACAGCTTTGTGATTCCTCTGTGGTTCTTCCTTCACCTTGGCTTTAATCTCCCTTCAGCATCCCTTTCAGCCTTTTTCTTGGCCATGGTGGCAATGGTGGTGGGACGTACAGATTAGACGTGGGATGCAGCTGCACAGTGGGCTTTGGTTGGTCTGGGGGTTGTTCTCACCTCTTCTTCTTCCTGCTGCTCCTATTCATTTATTTTTAATATTTCATGATTATTATTTTTAGGCTAGTCAAGTGAAGTGGGGCAGTGAAGAGGGATTTTTAAAAAATGTTTCATTTTCTAAAATGTAGTGGCACTTTTTATTGCCACTCACTATATCTGATCATACAAATTTAGATGAGACCTCAATAACACAATGTGATTATGGTTCAATTTATTTATTTTATTAGAAAATAGGGAAAATTTATTTTATAAATATCTACCCGTGCTGAATGTCCTCTGTTCCAAAGAATGGGGCCTGGTCAAGAAGGAAGTACATGAAATGTCTAATTAAAACTTAAGCACATTAAGGTTAAATACTGAACATCACTTTTCTAACATGGGGCTCAAAGATTCTCATGCTCTTAATTCCTATTAACTCCTATCTTAGTTTAATGATTTTCCAATATCGTTTTAAAGATTTGCAATTGCGCATTTTAGATTGTTCTACAGCTCTCATTTCAAAATCTGCTTAGTGGTTACTGTTTCCATGCAATTTTATTGCAGATTTCACTTCTTCATTCACTCAACAAATATTTCTTGAGCTTCTCTGGTTCTTAATGTGTCCAGAATTGGTTTCTTTTGGTGGGTTCTTGATCTCGCTGACTTCAAGAATGAAGCCGTGGACCCTCACGGTGTTACAGTTCTTAAAGATGTTGTGTCCAGAGTTTGTTTCTTCAGATGTTCGGATGTGTCTGGAGTTTTTTCCTTCCGGTGGGTTCGTAGTCTCGCTGACTTCAAGAGCGAAGCCACAGACCTTCGCAGTAAGTGTTACAGCTCTTAAAGGTGGTGCAGACCCAAAGAGTGATCAGCAACAAGATTTATTGTGAAGAGCATAAGAACAAAGCTTGCATAACGTGGAAGGGTACCCGAGCAGGTTGCGGCTGCTGGCTCCTGTGGCCAACTTTTAGTCCCTTATTTGGCCCCACCCACATCCCGCTGATTGGTCCATTTTACAGAGTGCTGATTGGGGCATTTACAATCCTTTAGCTAGACACAAAAGTTCTCCAAGTCCCCACCCAACCCAGAAGCCCAGTTGGCTTCACCTCTCACTAGGTTCTAGGGATACAGAGCTGAATAAGTAATGATCCTTGTCCTCAAAGAATTCTCCATGGGAGAGGGAGGTGATCCATAGAGGGCTCTCTGTAGTAGGTGATGTGAGATTTGAGTGATAAGAAATTGTCTAGTTAAAAAGGGTGCGATGAAAGACACTTCAGAAGCAGAGATAGAATGCTATAACTTCATGTCTTGCACTGAAAAATTTGTTTCTATTTTCCTCAAACATTTTCTATTAAAAACTAAATACCATTTGCTAATTCTGCCAAAATGGTGTTAGCATACATTATAGGTTATGTTCTGAGGCTTATGGGGGTTGTGTGATAACAGATACTTTTATGCTTAATTCCTCCCATTGGCAAGATTGATTTTCTAAAGTGAAATCAGGGCAAGAAGGTGATTATTAGTAATATCTTCTGGTATTGAAATTTCCTCTGGATTTTAAATTTCCAAACCTTCTCCAAGTGTAAGCAGATGGGGAGGGTCTCTAGGCACTACAGTCTCCTGCGTTACAGCCTGTTTTTCTTCCTAACTCTATATAAAACACGGTCACTTCGTCAACTAAAACCAACTTCTGACAAACCCCAACAACTTATAAATAAATACAAAGAAACATTCCTCCTTACTATATTAAAGTCTCCACTCCCCCCAAAACTATAACTTTATTACCATAACATACAACCTATGTACCGACATAATTCACTACATCTACACTACCAAAGTCCCTCCTCTGCATTTAATAACTCACCTCCTCCCCTCTCCATCACCCCATAAAAACCTTCTATCAGTTTCCCTCATTAAAACACTACTTTAAAAATGCTGCCATTACTCTCCTTACTTATAACAAATAAAACTCCTATTAATCAAAACCAACATTCTCATAAAAATCATTAATTACTCACCAACCAAACAAATCCCCAATTTTTCAAATTACACAGCTGTTATAAATTTCACCTCCATTTCCCTACCTCCCTGAATCCTGTGTATCTTTAAATGGGTTATATAATGCAATTGTAAATACAAAATCTTTATCCTGAGTTTGGAAATTGGTTTTAATTATAACATTTTCTATCATTGTAATCTAGGATGAGCAACATGTCAGTCTTGACCATTAGTACAATCTAAGATTGGCAGTTTTAGAAAATAAAAATATGATACAGAACACCTAGTTAAATTTGAATTCCAGATTTAAAAAAGAATACTTTTTAGTGTGAGTGTATACCCAGCAATAATTGGGACATACTTATGCTGAAAAAAAGTATTCACTGATTATCTGAAATTGAAATGGAACTGGTTGCCCTGTATTACACTGGCCACTCGAATCCAATTCTTACACAGAACTCACTTAAGCCACCCATACCATGGCTTCTTACTCTTTATTTTACCTTCTAAGAGCTAAGTGTTCCGCATAAGAGAGATCCTCCTGAGTGGAAATGAGCACTGGACCCATCTAAATAGTAACATGGAGAGGAGGAAGAGCAGTGACAACATACAAAAGAAAGTACGTCTTGAGAAAGAAAAAGCTTCCCTACTTCATTCCTCCTCCAGAAACTCCACCTTTCTGCAAACTGTTTTTGAGCCCTAAAAGTGGCTCAGAGACGAGTCCTATCATCAAAGACACATTTCCCCAGATTGTTTCACCTGTTACCATTGCAGAACAAACCAGAACAGACATAGAAGTGAAATGAAAGGAAAAATACCTCCTTAGATTACCTCGTTGCTAAGAAAGTGAAAATAACAACCAGAATATTCCCCAAAGAAGTGCTCTGCTAAAGTGCAACATCTGGGATTTACATGAGTTAAGATGTAGGTAGGCAGTGTGTATAAGGCCCCTGATATATTCAACTTGACCTCTTACAGGGTATAATTGTAGAGAGAAGTAGTAATTGCAACTATAAAGAGTCTTTGCCAGTGACAAGTTCCAGAGTGGCCTAAATCATAGAGGCGGAACTGTGTACCCAGCACCAAGGGAACAAAGCCAGACAGGAATGAAAGCATGGCATTAGGTACCTGGGCAGTGGGTGGGGCTACATGGCAGGAGAGTTTTCACTTGTGCATGACCTAACTTTAGGGTACAGATGGCCTTTAAGTTTCTAGAGATATTTAAGCACAGAAAGAAGAAAGCTTGTATTCACCTATCACCCTGAGCAAAGAGTTAGCAGATGAAACCACAGGTGTTTTTACTCAGAAGAACATGAGGGGAAGACTTAGTCGGTTCAATGCTTCATTTCTTCCTCATAAAAGTCTCTAGTCAAGGACATCCCTAGACCTTTATAGATTTTATACAATATTCAGTATTTAAAAGAAACTTTTCCACTGCTTCTTTCTATTCTTAGATATTTATACTTAACCCAATTAAGCCTAACAATTATAAGTACACTATACACTGTACAATATGTATCTTCAATGTGGGCTTGTAAATACTTGAACATTTTTATTAACAAAATACTAGAGTCTTTTATTTATTGTAGCTAAATAATTGTATGCTCTACTCTCTCATTTCTTGTGCAAAGAAAATCACCTATGCAAAGACTGAAAAAATTATACAGTACACAGCCTTTTCGAGTCTAAGAGAGGAAACTAAATTAAAAGCTCAAAATAGAGAATCATAATGGAAAAAGACTTGCAATACATAGTACTGTCATTAAATACTCATCTAAATGATTTTATATATATTATAATTGTGTATCAATATTTTTAAAATAAATTTTTTTACTAAATTACAGTGATATAGACAGGAAGCAGTGAAAGGGGTAGGAAGAACTGTAAAAAGGAATGGAACAAAAAAGCCATCTCAGTTTTGCCATTGACAAAATATGCAAATAAAATTATAATTTTGAAAATTTAAAATTGTATACCTTCCATATTCCTGAAACTTTAATAAAAACTGTACCATGCCAAAAAAGACAGAAGAGGAAGAATAAAAAGAAAGATGTTCAAAGTCTCAAGGGGCATTTATAAAATGTATTCTTGTTCTTAAAAAAATCTTTGTACTTGTCTCAATAGTCTAAGTATGCTACATTCTATAAAGCTAAAAGTAATACTAAGACTTTAAACAAAGTTAACCATTTAGAAATTAAAAATAGTTTCTGAAATAACTAGTTAGTAAAAATGGAGCTCAAAACTAGTGTTGTGAGCCTTGACATATCTTTTGTGAATGTCATTTCCATTCAAGCGACTGTCAAAACTTAACGGAATTAGTAATGGTCAGATATAAAATAAATGCGCAAAAATCAATTACATTTCAAACCAGTGGCAACCATTAGAAGACATAATGGCAATCATTGTTTACAGTCAGTAGCAACCAAAACACTTATGTATAATTTAAAATAACCCTAAAAAGAAAATGGGTAAGACCTATAGGGAGAACTTGATAAAACTTTACTGAGAAAAAATGAAATATTTAGCTACATGGAGAGCTATACCATGTTTCTGAATGTAAAGGCTGAATAATGGAAAGAGTCCTTTTCTTTCCCAATTAATGTGTAGGATTATAATGGGACAAAATGCTCTTAGAAAAACACTTGACCTCCCTATATTCCTTACTGCTCATATAATTTTGATTCTACCTGTGCTTCTACTATCAAATAGAATTATTAAGAATTTTCTGGGAACATATCTTGAGTAATATTGCTGAATCATTAAGCAACAATTGTTCAATTATGTTTTGGAATACCATATGCCAGATTAAAATGTGTGTGTGTGTGTGTGTGTGTGTGTGTGTAAGGGAGTGGGCGCAAAAACCCTTGATGTTTTCTACTAGAAAAAAATGGAGAAAGATAAGGGATTTCTGATAAGGGATAGTTTGCTCAAAAGATAATTCCTGTTATTGCTTGTACACATTGCTTAAAATCTTGAGAAGCTTTTCGGGCAGATACCTGGACACTTACAACGTAAGCCTCTTTGCTTGGGATGCACTAATGAAATAAAACTCGCCTTATTATTTTATGATACAATACAGAATTCTGTTAGTTTGCTTTGTATCTCCTATTGTCATATGATTAATTACTATTTTAGATGTTTGTTTAGGTTTTTCTAATGTGTTTTCTCCAATGCATTCTAATCTTTTTGAGGCAGGAATCATATCTCATTCACCACTGTATTCATAGCTTCTGACAAAGAGGCTGAACAAATTATTCCTGGTAACTCAAGAGTATTTATTAAATCAATGAATGAATAAATGAGTAAGTGAGTAAATAAGTAATAAAGAGATAGGCTATTTTGTAGGTGGTATGAAAAAAATTGGCTCTTTGGGAAAAAAAAAACCTCTAAAAATCGCATTATTTCCTTAAACAACATAGATTTGTAATCCCAATACACAGAAAGGGTGGATAGATTGCCACCTGACTTTGATAATATATTTTGTGTAGTCTGTCTGCAATTACTGACTACCTGTTTTTCACGAAATTTACTCTGGGGAGACCTGAAGGCACTTTCTTCTGCACTCCTCAGGATCAGCTGAAACTAAGGAGGAAAAAGAAGGTATCACTGAATCACTGAACTGCCTGTCTACAGACACTTACCACACATATTAGGATTTCCTGGAAGGGAAAATTAACTGTTGTTTTAGCCTTAACTTAATGATCACTGAGACAGAAACCCTCACCTGTAACACTTGTCACAGATATGCTTTGTTCTTGAGCAACTCTATATACCAAGGATGCTCCAGTGAAGAGGGAACAGTGTGAGGAACCACATCCCTACCTGTTCACATTTGTGCCTTTGAGTAATCTGCTCTCCCCATTAAGTGTGGTGGTGACTTGTCGAGGAAGCTTCCCTATCTCCTCCTAGGTTATCCAGCTGGGACCCTTTAAATTAGGATGACAAAAATACATTAACAAGAGAAAAAAAGAAGTTTATTTATATGTGCATCCTGCAGACACATAGGAGTACTCAGAAGTGAGAAACTCTACAAAAACTAAAAAAATCAGCCAGGCATGGTGGTGCACACCTGTAGTCCCAGATACTTGGGAGGCCGATTTGGGAGGATTGTTTGAGTCCAGGAGATTGAGGCTGCAGTGAGCCATGATCACATCACCACACTCCAGCCTGGAAGACAGAGCATGACCCTGCCTCAAAAAATTTTTAAAAAGGAAATTTCTGCCAGGGAGTTTGAAGTGGGTGGAGCCCACTGCAGCTCCACAAAGCCACTGTGGCCAGGCTGCCTCTCTGGATTTCTCCTCTCTGAGCAGGGCATCTCTGAAGGCAAGGCAGCAGCCCCAGTCAGGGGCTTACAGATAAAACCCCCAACTCCCTGGGAACAGAGCACCTGGGGGAAGGGGCAGCTGTGGGCGCAGCTTCAGCAGACTTAAATGTTCCTGCCTGCCAGCTCTGAAGAGAGCAGTAGATCTCCCAGCACAGTGCTTGAGCTCTGCTAAGGGACAGACTGCCTCCTCAAGTGGGTCCCTGATCTCCGTGCCTCCTGACTGGGAGATGCCTCCTGACTGGGAGACACCTCCCAGCAGGGGTCCACAGACAGCTCATACAGGAGAGCTCTGGCTGGCATCTGGTGGGTGCCCCTCTGGGAAGAAACAGACAGCAATTTTGCTGTTCTGCAGCCTCTGCTGGTGATACCCAGGCAAACAGGGTCTGCAGTGGACCTCCAGCAAACACTAGCAGACCTGCAGCAGAAGGGCCTGACTGTTTGAAGAAAAACAAACAAACAGAAAGGAATAGTATCAACATCAACAAAAAGGACATCCACTCAGAAATTGCATCCGAAGGTCACCAGCATCAAAGACCAAAGGCAGATAAATCCACGAAGATGAGAAAAAAACAGGGAAAAAAGGCTGAACATTCCAAAAACCAGAACGCCTCTTCTCCTACAAAGGATCACAACTTCCAGCCAGCAAGGGAACAAAACTGGACAGAGAATGAGTTTGATGAATTGACAGAAGTAGGCTTCAGAAGGTGGGTAATAACAAACTCCTTCAAGCTAAAGGAGCGTGTTCTAACTCAATGCAAGGAAGCTAAGAACCTTGAAAAAAGGTTAGAGGAATTGCTAACTAGAATAATCAGTTTAGAGAAGAACATAAATGACCTGATGGAGCTGAAAAACACAGCTCCATCATGAGAACTTCGTGAACCATACACGAGTATCAATAGCTCAATCAACAAGCGGAGGAAAGGATATCAGAGATTGAAGATGAACTTAATGAAATAAAGTGTGAAGACAAGATTAGAGAAAAAAGAATGAAAAGGAACAAACAAAGCCTCCAAGAAATATGGGACTATGTGAAAAGACCAAGTTTACATTTAATCGGTGTTCCTGAAAGTGATGGGGAGAATGGAACCCAGTTGGAAAACATTCTTCAGGATATTATCCAGGAAAACTTCCCCAACCTAGCAAGACAGGCCAACATTCAAATTCAGGAAATATGGAGAACACCACAAGGAATACTCCTCGAGAAGAGCAACCCCAAGACACATAATTGTCAAATTCACCAAGGTTGAAATGAAGGAAAAAATGTTAAGGGCAGCCAGAGAGAAAGGTCGGATTACCCACAAAGGGAAGCCCAACAGACTAAAACAAAACTGGACAGAGAATGAATTTGATGAACTGACGGATCTCTCTGCAGAAACCCTACAAGCCAGAAGAGAGTGGAGGCCAATATTCAACATTCTTAAAGAAAAGAATTTTCAATCCAGAATTTCATATCCAGCCAAACTAAGCTTCATAAGCGAAGGAGAAATAAAATTCTTTACAGACAAGCAAATGCTGAGAGATTTCATAACCACCAGGCCTGCCTTACAAGAGCTCCTGAAGGAAGCACTAAATATGGAAAGAAAAAACCAGTACCAGCCACTGCAAAAACACATATAGGCTCAGCCAGGTGTGGTGGCTTACGCCTGTAATCCCAGCACTTTGGGAAGCCAAGGTGGGCGGATCACAAGATCAGGAGATCGAGACCATCCTGGCTAACACGGTGAAACCCCGTCTCTACTAAAAATACAAAAAATTAGCTGGGTGTGGTGGCGGGCGCCTGTAGTCCCAGCTACTCGGGAGGCTGAGGCAGGAGAATGGCATGAACCTGGGAGGCAGAGCTTGCAGTGAGCCGAGATCGCACCACTGCACTCCAGCCGGGGTGGCAGAGCAAGACTCTGTCTCAAAAACAAACAAACAAGCAAAAAAAAAAAACCACACATAGGCTCAAAATAAAGGGATGAAGGAATATTTACCAAGCAAATGCAAAGCCAAAAAAAAAAAAAAAAAAAAAAAAGCAGGGTTGCAATCCTAGTCTCTGATAAAACAGACTTCAAACCAGAAAGATCAAAAAAGACAAAGAAGGGCATTACATAATGGTAAAGGGATCAATGCAACAAGAAGAGCTAACTATCCTAAATATATATGCACCCAATACAGGAGCACCCAGATTTATACAGCAAGCTCTTAGAGACCTGCAAAGAGACTTATACTCCCACACAATAATAGTTGGAGACTTTATCACCCCACTGTCAATATTAGACAGATCAATGAGACAGAAAATTCACAAGGATATTCAGGACTTGAACTCAGCTCTGGAAATTTCTGAACCCCTACCCACCAAAGGAGTGGTTAGAATTTGAGGTTGATATACCTAACTTCCTAGGGGAAAGAGGAGATGAAAGAGCACTTATGGAAAAGCAAGTGAGTATTTGGGCTCTCAAGAAATTACATGGGAATGTGTTAGTTTGTGACAATGTCTGTCTGGATGTGGTGTCCAAGAAGAATAAAGTTGCCCCCAGGGAAGGGATTTATGACAACTTAGTTCTTTTTAGTTCTTTTGGGAAGCTAGGCTTTTAAAGAGATAATAGATTTCAAGAACTCAAAATAATTCTTATGCCAAATTGGCATATTTTGGAGTAGCATATCCTTATTGTCTTCACCTCTAATCAAAAGAATACAACAAACATGATGGATGTCACGCCCATGATTGTGAAACATTATATAAGACTCTTTTTGCTAGTTCTGGTTCTCACTCTTTCTAGCCTTGAAAAAGCACATGACTTGTGAACTGCCTGTGGAGATGGCCACTGGGCAAGGAACTACAGATGAGATGACCTTTTGTGGCCAGGCAGCCTATGGCACACAGCTAGCAAGAAACAGAAGCTATCTGATCAATAGCAGCAAGGAAATGAATACTGCCAATAACTTGAGGAAACTTCAAAGCTGATTCTCTCCCAGTTGAGCCCCCAGATAAGAATGTAGCCTGCTGACACCTTGACTGCAGCCTTAAGACCCAGAGCAGATGACTCAGCTAAGCCATGTCTGGACTCCTAACCCATACAAGCCATTTGATTAAAAATGTATGTAATTTTTAGCCACTGAGTTTCTGGTAACCTGTTACACAGCACAGAAAACTAATGCAGACAGATTGGTTAATTTCATTACTTAAAGATGTTTAACTGAAGCTTCTGAGCAAGATTCAGTAAGCCAGCTATGTTTATGTGTTTTAAAAGCAGCCATTATCAAATAAATTTGACACAATTAAATTAACATTCAAAAGCATGCACTCAATGAAGATTTAATGACATTGAGAAATGCTCACTATATCGATAAGTTACAGTGAAGCTTTATAAAACCAAAAGTAACTATAAGAATATTCATTAAGATATTAACTGTTATATCTGAACCAAAGGCTTATAGAAGATGTTTATTTTGGTTTCACCTTCAGAAAACTATTTTATATAAACAGAAAAATGTCTTTCTCTTTGTTACATTTTGGTTATACAGCAAAATCTGCATGTGGTTAGTGAGAGAGTCATGTCACAATCTTCTTTGGAGAGGTGGAGCTAGATTTGAAACTACCTTTGCAAAAATTATAACTGAGGCAACTATTACAGTGAAAGAGATCTGACCTAACCAACTCCATCTTGCTTCTAACCTCCCAGCTGTCCTTGTTCATTCCTGGGTGTAGGACGAACTAACTTTTGGAGGAACTTACTTTATAGGTTAGCTTTGAAATAAAGACCATAACAGCCTTTCCCCAAATAAATCCCCTCCTGCCTGGGGATTAGACTGCCTTTGCAGGACTAACAAATTGGCTACAAGATTAGACATTATGGTTTAGGAGTCATGCAGCTAGAGGCTGCAAGATTCTCATCTGGTCTTGTGGCTTCCACTCAGGAACTGACTCAGTGCAAAAGGACAGCTTCAACTCTCTATGATTTCATCTCTGACCCAACCAATCAGCACTACCCATTTTCTGACCCCCTACCCACTAAATTGTCCTTAAAAAATCCTATTCCTGCATTTTCGGGGAGACTGATTTGAGTAATAATAAAACACTGGTCTCTCATAAGGCCGGCTCTGCATGTATTAAACTCTTTCTCTATTGCAATCCCCCTGTTTTGATAAATCAGCTCTGTCTAGGCAGCAGGCAAAGAGAACCCACTGGGTAGTTACAGATTGATGTGCTGGATAAGCTCAGAACCTGACTACTTGGTTGAGAAACCCTGCTCTGCTGCTTAGAGGCACTGTGACTTTGGCAAGTTTTAACTGCTCATGTTTGAATTCTGTGCATCTAAAAAATCAGGATACTATCATAATACTCTTGCATTATAAGGTTATCAAAAATATCAATAAGTTAATATAGTGCTTCTAAGAGTGCCTGACAAATAATAATCTACTGATAAATGTTCTCATTCCTTTTAAAAAATTAAATAATTAAGAAGGGAAGACAAGAATGTCACTCTTCCTCCAACCCAATTCTCTTATTTTTCAGTATGAAAACTTAGTGCTGGTAAATTTCATGTATGTATATATGTGTGTGTGTGTGTGTGTGTGTGTGTGTGTGTGTGTGTGTGTATATATATACACATAATCTCCACATATGAGTCAAATGATGTAGGATATATGAAAGTAGTAGAGATTGCCATTCTTCATCTTTTGACATTTATTTGACATTTATTTTCTATTCTATATTTTTCTTAATATAATAATAAAACTTCGGAGCTGGGAGAACCTTGGACATCATCTAGTCTATTCTCTGTGCTTTTCTATTTCTATTTTGCAAGTATGACTGGTGACAAACTGTGGGAATGTTAACACTGAAGCAATCAGGGAGATCATAAAATCCAGGAATTAATTATGTTTTTATTCTCTCACTCTTTCACATGCTCTGTCCCTCTCTCTCTTTATCTCTTTCTCTCTTCCTCTCTCCTTCTCTCTTTTCCTGTCTCCCTCCCTCCTCTTTCCCTTCACATATACACACAGTGAATATTTATGCACGTGTTTGTTTTCCATTTCTTTAGTTACAAGCTCACTTATCAGCAGTGTCAAAGCATTTTCTTTCTCGGCTTCTTCCTGAAGGAAATGTTTATCATGAATTTTTAAAATCCACAACCAAAATAGGATTTCTTAAAAGAAGTGCTGACAGAAACTTATTTATTCTCTTGAGAATGCAACTCTGTGCATAATAAACATTTAGTAAATTGTTAAACAGCATATGATGAAATGTTAACATAAATAAAAGAGAGTACTTAAATGAATTTTCATGCCTTTTGTTTTCCCCTTGCTGAGCTACAGAATCATTTCAATAAATAAAAAGAAAATAGTGGTAGAAGTGAGAACAGAACTCACATAAAAAAGCCTGAGTCCATCCCCCACTCCAGTTATTTCTTTTTGTTCATGCTTTTTTGTTTGTAAGAGCTTGTTTTCTTCAGTGAACACTAACAGCAACAACCACTATAACAACAAGAACAACATCAACAAAAGGTAGTTCCCAAAGAAAAGCAAAGATGAAAGCAGCTTTTAACAGACACTTTGCAAATCTGTGGATAGCTTTAAATACTTAAGGAATCTCTTCATTCATAGTAATAATACTCTATCAGACAGCAAGGAGCCTGTTTTTATGAACGGGGTCATTAAATATAACTCCCATGAAAGTTTACTGGAAAGAGAAACCAGTGGGTGTCACTTGGCACATTGACACATTCACTGTAAAATATAACTTAAGTATTATTTTAAATAAAGCATGGGTAGCCTTTACAATTAATGAAATGCCCAAAAGATATGAAAACTGTCTTTTAGAATTACATTTAAAATAATTCAACTTGTAAAATTCTGCTCAGATTTCAAAAGAAACATGTTCACAAAAAGTGTATTTGTAGAATTTTCAGAATATTAAGCAACTGTTTTGCCAAACAAGGTTCTCTAATTTATAAATCTACTATAAATGCCACTTGGAAACCACCACCTAACTTTTCTGAATGTTCCATTTTCCTCTCTATTTTGAGAAGGCTTTATGGGTGACAATAAAGCTCCTATGCCATGAACTTACTAGGATTTTCTTTTATAAGTCCTCATATAAGTTTAGTGTATATGTATATGCATATGTGTGTATACATATGTATATGTGTGTATACATATTTATATTTACATATTTATGCATAATTTAATTCTTAGACTTTGCCATTTGGCTCAGAGTCCAATGACATGTAATCTAAGCATTCAGTTGTGGGTGGTCCTGTAGGAGCTCATTTTCAGAAAACATTGACTGAACTCAAAGATTTCAACTCAGAATTCAATGGCATGTATTTCCTTCATTTGCTGCTGGGGAAGATTTTACAGTAATTAAACCCTGAGATTTGGCACTAGTTTTCATAAGCAGAGGCTATAGTTTCTGAAATTGTCTCTAATAGCTAGCATTTTTAAAATTTGGGATGAAGCTGGAAACCATCATTCTGAGCAAACTATCGCAAGGACAGAAAACTGAACACTGCATGTTCTCACTCATAGGTGGGAACTGAGCAATGAGAACACATGGACACAGGGTGGGGAACATCATATACCGGGGCCTGCTGGGGGGTGGGAGGAGGGGGGAGGGATAGCATTAGGAGATATACCTAATGTAAATGTTAAATATATATGATATATTATATATCAGGAAATGTTAAATATATATGATAACCTATCCTTCCACTTTCTCATCCATGTGAGAAATAAGGAATAACAAGAAAACAAAGGGAACTATATAAGAATAATTATAATTTACAAAAGAGGCCCCTGAGAAAAAGACATGTTTTATCACTAGGGAAGAGAAGATAGAAGAGTAACTTTGGATCAGACAGTTCAGAGGCTTAAGAGTAATTCATAGCCAACTCTTCCAAAAAGTAAGCTGTCAGCAAGATGTATAGGGTATGGTAAGTGAAAACAAGACTGTAGATCTATCATTTACAATTTAGTAGGCTAATAACATTCTTATATTCTTCTTTGAAATATTAAATAAATGTATGAAATGGATCACAGGGTGTCATTCCAGTATAGCGTGGTTCCGTAAATTAAGGTTGATATGTATCTAGGGATTTTATTTATTGATGTTCTGACATGTGAGATTTTGTTTGTTGCTGAATCAAAACCTATATCTATTACTCTGGAATTCAAATGTATTTGGCATGGCTTCTTTTTACACTGCGGGTGATTGTTTTATAAACTTTTTTTGTCTGTTTTTACATATTCTTGTTTTGCTTTGCCACTTCAAAGTGAAATCTGAAGTTAGCTTTCCCATTCACGGGCAGCTATTAAGAAATATTGGTTACAGTTAACAGAGTTTTTTTGTTTGTGTTTTTTTGCACAGGCTATGGTGACTAAATGTTTAATTAGAAAGAATCTGGAGGAAAAAAAATTGTTTTGTGGTGTAGGAATGTACTGACTACAGTAGAAAATAAGCTTCACAAATTTAGGGTCTTTTTCCCTCCTTGGGTCACTGGAAACTAGAACAAGGCTAGGCACATGGCAATGCTCAAAAAATGAATGCTAAATAAACATAATAATCATGCTTGATGTGATCTTACATATAATATGAAAATATATTAGAATTAGAAACATGTAGTACTACCGTTTCATTCTAAAATGAGATTCAGCAATTTAAGATAATTATCTGAAGTTCACATAGCAAAGCTTAGCTTAAACTTAGCTGGTATCCAAAAATAGTTCGGCTTGGTAGAATATCCCTGCCAGAAATCCTTTTTCAAAAGAGACTAAATAGCATCTTTCTGGGGAGAACACATTTAAGGAAAGAAGAACCCAGACATGATGCACATGGCCTTAGAAAGCACCCCAAAACTGGAGAGGAGAGCTACTTTGAGTCCAGTGTGATGTCTCTGAGTTGAATGTAACCCTAGTCCATCTCCATAGACTTCTAGAGAAGGCCCAGAGGTGAAAACTGAATGAGTGGATTCACGAAAGTCTATATAAACCCCTGAGACATACCAGAATAACTTTAGGTTATTGCTAACAGTGCACAGTAAAACACAATATTACAGATTTCATTAAAATAATTGTTATCATACTGTGGGGAAAATGAATTACCTTAATTGTTAAATACTACAGAATATAAATCCATAACATGCCCAGTATATGTCATGATTAATATCCAATAGTCAAAAAATTTGTTAATTAAGAGTCTAATAAATAAGTTATGTAGTCAAATATATTCAGTGATTTATTGGTATGAAAGGCACAGGTCTCCTTCAGAGGATCTAGTGGATTATTTTCTATTTTAGAGAAATACTGATTAAATATACATTGCTGTAGAGGAAATATATCAAGATATGCATATGACACATATATTTTGCAGAATGCTGAATCTCAATTAATGCACTTAATTGTTTACTTGTGTAGATACTTACTTCAATGTGTTTTTTGCAAAGCCATCAATTTGATCTCAGAATATAATTAATTTGACTTAAAATGCAGGGTTATTATTTAGCATTTAATGAAAATAGAATTCCAAGAAAGAGTTGAAATTATATAATAATATTTTGCTGGTGTTTATTGGTAAGCAAGGGTTGAATAAAAATTGTATTTTTAAACCAGATTAAAATAATTATTAAAAAACTGATAAAAGCAAGTAAATTGGAAACCAATGTTAGAAAACATAAAATTAAAATAGGGTTAAAAACCCTCTCTAATACAAAATAAAGTTTATATGTTGTGCCTCTAAATTATGTCACTTTTTGAATGTCATCATTGGTATATTCTCATATAGTACAGAAGAAAGTGTGTCTCAAATTGTACATGTATGGAGACTGAAAATACCATTTGGTTCTCTCTCTACATCCTTGAGAAAAATGGTCTAAAGGGATTATTTACAGAGTGAGGCAAATAGGAAGGAAGAGGAAACAAATGTAATGAAATACTCCCTGGACCCTGCCAATACACTAAATTATACTAACTGGGGAGGTATATACAAGTGCAGCCACTTGGTGGCTCCCAGGAACAGACATTTTATTTTTATTAGAGTACTCCTGACATTGCATTAATGAATCTTCCCTACATGTATATAGCAGATGTGGCTTGAAAAGTTGGGTTGCAGAAATATGTGACATGTTTATTGAATGACAAAACAAAAATTCTCTCTGCTGTAGATCATTCTGGTCCTCCATTGTTGTGAAATAATAGACCTTCTAGTAATGGATGCTGTACACCACATACTCTCTTATCTCTTCAATTCTCAAATGGGCATGATTATATTACCATTGAGTGAGGTTTGTAAGCAGGGATGCCAGGACCTTATAATTATGAAATCTCATGACTATATTATCTTTAGCAGCTGTGGTATCTTTAATTACTAAATACTTCCCTTATAAAATTCAAGTCACTCTTTTATCTTTATTAAACTTTTCCCTAAAGCTTAGATCTCCATGATTAACGCATTCTATCTCAAATGCCAGGATATGCTCACCATTAGGCAAGAGGCGTGTATATATGATTTTAGTTACATATATGTTAAAATATTCAAATATTTGAATTCAACTATTACGAAGTTGCTAATCAATGTTCTTGTTGTTTGTACATGGATCTGGCATCATATCAATGAATCACACTTTATATTGTCAATCAACACTCTGCCCCTACATGGTTTTAACAAAAGATGCATCTGAGGGAAGATTCTTGACTGGCAGAAAACAGAAACCCCACTGTTATTTGAAACGTAACTGCCAGAAACTGATTTGGTCGTCACTGGTATTTCCCCTGAGGGGCAGAGCCTCATAACTAAATTATATTTTAAAGAGCCAATATTAGAAAGCCAGGAAACACTGAATTCAGTCTCTTAATTATGTCTTAATGCTAGTAAAGCCATGTTATGCTCTGGGGGGTGGCAATATCAATTTTAGTCTAGAGAAAAAGGTAAAATAGTAGCTAGTATAAGCAGTTGAGGTAGAAATGTAAAAGTAGAGGACCTATTTTTAAATGTACAAATGACAGCAAATATTAAAAGGACATTTTATGACTGCGTATATATCATTTAGTAAAATTCTTAGACCTCGGTGAAAAATTACAAGTTTGTAAGTGAAAAATAAAAAAAGAAACTATACCATTAACGTAAACTTTCTAAAAGACTGCTAAGCACATTGTCAGCAAACTAGATGTTAACTCATTGGGAAGATAGAGGTAGCCAAGTTCTGAATGGGAATTGTTGATTAGGTTTGTATATTTTCATAAGAATTATTATGGGGGATTCTTTCAAGTTGCCTTGACTCATGCCTTTCTAGGTATATTAACTTAACATTCTTTCCTTGCCTCAGTGAAGTTTTACAGTCAATGCGGGGTTCCATATTTAAGGCAGGGGGTAGAAAGAGTCACAGTAGGTTGGAAAAGCTCATGAATCATTTCCACAGCTTAGCCTGGGGTAAAGCAAAGCTAACCTTTGAGATACCACAGAGGAAATTTAGAGTCAGAATGATTTTCTTCAGAAAGGAGAAAATGGCAGGATGTTTCCCATACTGTTTTTAGGCTATTCATGGAGAATATGTTTATGAAATGATGTGAGGAACAAGCATGAACAATTTGGGAAATAGGGAAAGAAATGAAATGATAACTCTCTGGAACAATTCACTAGGTAATTTTCATAATGCCAGGGCACAAAATACAAACATTAATGGTATAGCTTATGGATTTCAATTTAAATCAATAGCCTATTTTCTTTACAACTATTTTTCAATGGGAGCTGTAGGTGTGCTTTCCCTTTTCCCCACTGCATTAAACCTTCCTCTTCTTGTTCTCAGCTACTTTTTCACTTTAATGCCACCTTCTTGAGACAAATACAAATCACCTTGAAATGTATTTGATTCTGCCACAGCGGAAACTGAATTCCTGGTATAGAAAGAATTCTACCTTGGCAAAGACTCTACAATGGAAGAGAAAAACAGTACTTTGGGAAACAGATATAGATTCAATGTTCTGGGGTTATAGAGAATTTGAGGTTCTTTATGCTGGAAGAGACATCTGCCAGGAGCCTTGATCATCCCTGCCCATTCTTTCTGAGTGCACCAGGTTACAAAGCTTCTGCTTGTCACATAGGCAGCTGAATAGGTCAGAGTGAGGAGAGTGTGGTTACCAGGTAACTCAGTCCCTGGGCAAAGTAAACTTGCTAGTGGCTTGCCCAAAAGTACTAGATTCTTGGCCCTGGGTTTCTCTTTTTTAACAGAATTCACTGCTTATGCAGGTGTCATTTGGTCCCTTTTGTCATCCCGTGTGAATTGAGACGGGGAAAACTGGCCCAGATATGCTGGCCCTCTGGTTACCATTTCTGTTGTGAGTAATACAGTATTCCCCGCTTACCTGAAGTTTTGTTTTCAGTTTCAGTTACCGGCATTAACTGTGGTTCATGAATATTAAATGGACATTCCGGGAGAAAATGTTCCCACAACTTTTACTGCAGTATATTGTTATAATTGCTGTGTTTTATTATTAGTCATTGTTATTAATCTCTTACTGTGCCTAATTTATAACTTCAACTTTACCATAGGTGTGTATGCATAGGAGAAAACATAGCATAGGTAGAGTTTGGTACTATCTGTGATTTCAGGCAACCACTGGGCATCTTGAAACGTATTTTCCTCAGCTAAGAGGGGACTACTGCACCGCCTTTCTCTGATCCAGAAATCCTGTCTTCTGTCAGCATCCATGAAACTGTGAAAAGCTGTTATCTTTCAAGTAGGGTAAAATCCAGACCCTTTTCAGCTCCTGAAACCTTAGGGATTCAAAGGTGAAAATAGAAAATTTATTAGAAGTGAAAAAGTCTGCTTTAGATATATACATTTTGAAATCAAATATATGTAGGTGGGAATTGAAATTGTGGGCATAGATGTGATTGCCTGAGGAGAGGGTAGAGTTGTCAGAGGCTGAGACCTGCTGGGCTGCATTCCCAGATGGTTAAACATTCTAAGTCACAGGGTGAGACGGGAGGTTGGCACAAGATAACCAGTCATAAAGACCTTGTTGATAAAACAGGTTGCAATAAAGAAGCTGGCTAAAACCCACCAAAATCAAGATGATGATGAGTGACCTCTGGTTGTCCTCACTGCTACTCTTCCACCAGTGCCATAACAGTTTACAAATGCCATGGCAAAGTCAGAAAGTTACCCTATATTGTCTAAAAAGGGGAGGCATGAATAATGCACCCCTTGCTTAGCATATAATCAAGAAATAACCATAAAAATTGGCAACCAGCTGCCTTCGGGGCTGCTATATCTATGGAGCATTCTTTTACTCTTTTATTTGTAAAAGTAGCCCTTCGTTTATGCCTTTACTTCCTAATAAACTTACTTTCACTTTACTCTATGGACTTGCCCTTAATTATTTTTTGCATGAGATCCAAGAACCCTCTCTTGGGGTCTGGATCGAGATCCCTTTCATGTATCAGACTCACATGAGGACTTTGTTTAAGTTTGGACTTTAAATAACTTTAGTAAATAAAGGTTTGGTAGAGGAACCTGGGCCTAAACAAAGACACAAGAGAAAATCAGAAAGGTAGGAGGTAAAACAGAAGATTATTGTTTCATGGAAGTCAAGAGAAGACACCTTTTCAAGAAGAAACATGTATTAAACAATGTTGAGAAATCAAGATATATTAGGATAAAAATGTCCATTCTGTTTAATAAGATGAGGAAGAGAGATATAGGGAGTTACTAGAAGGGAAGTGGGTTGAAAGGTTTATTAAAATATTGAGGAAGGACTAATTGACAAGTTGTGTTTGAACACACTGAGGGAATAGATAGACTGTAAGTTTCTCTGGAATCCAGGATATGATGCCATAGGATGGAGAGGGTAGGGTGACATGGGATTGGATGGATGCGTGGAAAGCACAGGTTAAAATGCTTGAAATTTATTTCCCTCAGAATAAGGGGGGACTACTGCAAGGTGCAGGGGAATACTCTTATGTAGAAAGAGAAGGCCAGGCAAGGTGGCTCACACCTGTAATCCCAGAACTTTGGGAGGCTGAGGCGGGCGGATCACACGGTCAGGAGATTGAGACCATCCTAGCCAACATGGTGAAACCCCATCTCTACTAAAAATACAAAAATTAGCTGGGCATGGTGGTGCATGGTGTGTAATCCCAGCTACTCGGGAGGCTGAGGCAGGAGAATCGCTTGAACCAGGGAGTCGAAGGTTGCAATGAGCCGAGATCACGCCACTGCACTCCAGCCTGGGTGACAGAGTGAGACTCCCTCTCAAAATAAATAAATAAATAAATAAAATAAAGAAAGAAGAAGCATTTTTCCATTATTACAGGAAGCAAGGAAAATAGGGTGGGTGCCCATATTGTAGGAGTTAATGTTTTGTTAGATGGAAGATAAAGTTTCTGATGACTTTGTTTTCTGTCAGAATAAAGAAGCAAAACATGCCGTGACATGTCCTGGGCCTGAAGGTTTGAATCAGGTGGTGAAGCTTTAAAAACTAGGAACAACTCAAATGTCCATTAACTAATAAATAGATAAAGAAAATGTGGTGTATCCATACAATGGAAAGTTATTCAGTAAAAAGAAATGAAGTACTGATACACACCACAACGCGGATGAACCTCCACAGCATGCTAAGTGAAGAAATAACCAGTCACAAAAGACCAGACATTTTGTGATTTCATTTATATAAAATATCCAGAATATGCAGAATATGTACCTCCACAGATATTAAAAGTAGATTATTGGTTGCCAAAGCCAGGGGCATTGAAATTGAGAAAAAATGGGGAACAACGGCCAATGGATATGGGGTTTCTTTTGAGAATGATAAAAATGTTCCAAAATTAGATAGTGGTGATAGTTGCATAACTCTGTGAATATATTAAAAACCACTGGATTAAAAAATTTTAAAGGGCAAATTTTATTATATATAAATTACATCTCAATGAAGCTTTTATTTAAAAAAGAAGAGGTAGGCAGTTTAAAAAATTCCTAAGAATACTTGCTAATTTAAGTTTAATTCTATGTAAATGTACTTTCTTCTATTCTTTTTGCTTTTTCTAGCTAGAGTGAATTATAGTCCCTCCCAAATGATAAATTTTTAAGACTTTCTTTGATGTGTTTCTCCTAAATTTGCTTCTGACTCATCTGTTCCTTAGTACTTCAGCTTTTCTCTATCAATAGCTTCAGTCTTGTGAATCACTTTTCTAAAATTTCTGTTTCTGTCTTTCTTTCAAAAATAGCGCTCTGGAGCTTCTGTAAATAGTTTAGTGATAGCATTTCTGAAATTTTTATTACACAACTCTTAGTTTGCTATTGTAAGTACTATATTTTCCAGGTTTCTCTATAAATAAGTATTCCTCTCATCTTTTACACTTGAAATAAATTTTGAGGAATCTGTGTCTTTACTACAGGATAAGCATAATACCCTCAAAGAACCTATTCTAGTAGAAATAACCAAGTTAAAGATGTTGCATTCCAAATTTATGATTGAATGCAAATGCCTCATTACAAAGCAAATCCTTCATTTAAAATTGTTCACTAGGATGGGTCTTAAAATCTTCAATCTGGTTAAATTTAACACACTGAAAAATCGTATTCAGAAATATTCAATGGGCCTAGAGCAATGTTAGATCAATCTGCATTTACCTCTAAATTTTTATGCTAGTGATTTACTTTATACATGCTATTCTCTTGGATGGAAAGTCCTTGTCCATCTTAATCAAAGTATTTACACAATTTTTTAAGAAAAATCTGGTTCAAATTTTACCTTATCCAAGATGCCTTGAAGATAAACCTGACTTCCTGGTGTCCTGATATTACCCCATCTAAATAATGAAGCGCACAGTTTGTGTGTTATGCATTTGAACCACATAGTGTCCTCTTTCTAATTATTTCACATGTATATACTTTGTCTTATAATTAGATTTCAAATATTTCAATGGCATGTCTATGAATTTTATTTGTACATACTTCATAGAGCATAAAATATAAAATGATCATTATATACATACTGGATTATTTACAAGAACAGACAAATAAAAAATTGTATGGAAAAATAAGACATGTTTAAAATGATATATTTTGTTATGATATATTCCTACCTCCCTGGTCATGTTATCAGTATTTTCCTTGTAATTATTGCCCTTCTAGTACTAGTAAGTGTATTAGTCCATTCTCACGCTGCTATAAAGAACTACCTGAGACTAGATAATTTATGAAGAAAAGAGGTTTAATTGACTCACAGTTCCACAGGCTTAAGAGGAAGCATCGCTGAGAGGCCTCAGGAAACTTACAATCATGGCTTATGGTGAAGAGGATGGAAGGACATCTTACCATGGTGGATCAGGAGAGAGAAAGAGAGAGTGAAAGGGGAAGTGCCCCACACTTTTAAACTGTCAGATCTCATGAGAACTTATTCACTATCATGAGAACAGCAAGGAGGAAATCTGCCCCCATAAGTCAGTCACTTCCCACCAGATACCTCCCCTAAGACTGGGGATTACAATTCAAAATGAGACTTGGGTGGGGACTGAGAACCAAATCATATCAGTAACAAAAGAAAACATTGAGGAAATATAAAAAACACACAAAGCTATGATTGCACCACTATACTCCAGCTTAGGTAACAGAACAAGACCCTGCCTCACACACACACACACACACACACACACAAAAATATATATATATATATAGAGAGAGAGAGAGAGAGAGAGAGAAAAGGAGACAAAATAGTACATGGCTATTAAAAACAGTTTTTCTGCATAATTGTAATCTACTTTGTAAAAAACTGAAAGAGTCAGAGAGAATCAACATAAAGATGAATTTTAGCTTTGGCAATATCAAAATTATCATAGGAAGTGCAATTTCATTATTTTGGAAGTGACAGAATTCCTTGGAAAAACATAGTAGGAAATTCCTATTGCTGAGCTTTAGAGGCCAATACTGAGGGGGGCAATGTGATGTTTGCATAGCATTCCAAACTTGCATATTACTTTATTCCTTTGAAAATTGATGTGAAGTAAGTGGAGTGAACAGGATCTCTGGTGAGCATATTTGACAGATCCTACCCTCCTACACAGTGCGACTATCTGCTTTCCTTCATTTAGTGGTTCACAGATTTATTGAACACTTACTGTGTGCCCCACACATTCCTAGGTGTCAGGGTTAGTACAGTATTTTTCTCTCTTTGTGTCTCTTCAGCTGTTAACCATATGGGTTAGTGTTAGTTCTTGAAAGTGAGGTAGCTGCCTATCCTGAAAGATGCAGGTTTTGCAGGAGGAAGTAGCTAAGATTTAGTGAAAGGGACTATATAGTTTTAGGACCAACAGAAAACGTACAACTGGATGAGATGATGTAATTTAGGCTATATCTGGCTTATTTTTCTAGGAAATTTTAGTGTATAATCTTTATCACATTTCACAATGTCTTCAAATTATGTTCGCACTTTCTATTAAAAGGCTCTTTTCTTCTGAGTTACTTTTTTCTAAAACTTCATCGTGTGTCACGTGAACACGTTATTCTCCATGTGGGTTTTTTTCACTACATTTTAACACAGTGAACTTTTTGTCTCTACCATGTCCTGCCCACTGTGTTACCTGTCATTCTGTGTGGAACAACAGAAAGTATGACCTTACTCACTGTACTACTAATGGAACATGTTTTGGGTCTCTACCAGAAGAGAACCTATATTTGATAGAGAGGTGCCTATCTTTCTATAGAGATAGAGGACCTATCTTTAAAATGTTCTCTAAAAGGAGACCATGGAGGATCTTTAAATAAAGTAGTGCCACTCTATCAATTTTTTTTTGCAGTTTGATTTTGTAATTTAAACATTTAAAACATACTATTTCCGAAAAGTATGACATTGCATACTCAACAGGACGTCTTCCTTTTCCCTCTTGTTGGGTTGAGCTTTGCCATGTGTTTATCTCCTAGTTCAAGTCCACAATGTGTTCCCTTTGCCTGACGGACTGCTTCCTGCATGCCTCCTTTACCTTGATGTTAGTGTTGCTCCTTCCCCAACAAACTGCACTGGTAAAACCCCTTCAAATTCCTCTTTTATACTTCTTTCTACTCTTGTTACATTCTTCTGCATAAGCGGGAGACAGTCACAGTTATAAGTGAGAGATTACCCACAGGGATTTATTTCTATGAACAAGAAACCTCCAGTTAAAGAACATTTCAGTGGTGAGCAAAGGATTTTTTTTTCATATTATATCTTTTCAAGGACACTGGTCCAATAGTTCTTGATGTGCTGAAGATTTTTTTTCTTCCTACAGTTCATCTAGTTCCTCATTTGATGGTTTGTTACCTTCTATTTTTTTTAATGCTGCTATTTAATTTGACAAAAGATTCTAAGTATTTATCACAGGGGAAAAAAGAACTAACCAGTAATTTTAAAATATTTGAAATATATTTTGATGTGTTAAGCAAACAGACATTATATATATATATATACACACACATATATACATATAGCTTTAATAAAAATTCACAGGATGCTTTACAATATGTTTTCCTTAAGAGATTTCTAACACAGCTGCAGACAGATGTTTTCATTTTAGTTTTAAAGGCAGAAATGACAGTGCTCTGTGAATAAAAATCAAAAGTAAATTCCACAATCAGGAGGCCTACTTGCTGCATTCCCCTGTTTCATAGAACTTGAGATGATACATTGGGTAAATTAATAGCCTGCTGATTCCAACCTCAGTGAGTGACAGGGGACCCAGGGTGACAAAAGATCTAAAAATATATCTGGCTTTGGCCATTAAAAGCCTTATCAGCAAGTAACAAAAATCAACAGAGCTTTAGGATTGCCAATGCAGGGATTTAAAAAGGTTCCTAGCAAGGAAATATTACTAACCATCCTGATAATCTGTTGACATACAATGCCAGCCGCCTCTGTCACCACTTTCTGGCTGAGAGCTTTAGGTGATGAAGGGCAGGGTGGGTGGAGGTGGGGCATCAGCATTAATGCTGACAGTCCCATGGGTGTGCTGAGGCACATGGTGAGGGGACGTAGGCTTTACGGTTGTCTCAAAGTTTAGCTGTAGCTCTGAGGTCAGCAGGTGATTAGATTAGTGTCTTTCCAGAAAAGGGCTGTATATATTTCCATATTCTTTATAACATCTCACTAGCTAGTCTTTGATTTTAATACTGTGAATACTAACTAGACCAAAGATATATTCCATTAGTACAGTGAGTAAGTTCATACTTTCTGTTGTTTCCCAAATGCCCGTTGGCATAAAAAATAGTAAAACAAAAACCAAACAGGAGTGCCTTAAAATATGAGTAGTCACTACGTGTGGATTCAAACTATTCCCACTGAGGGGATATAAAAATGGTGTGCCAAGAATATAGTTGGGCAGCACTAGTAATTGTTTGTAAGTAGTGTTTGCATTTCCCAGTCTATCTCCTGATGGATTATTCAAAGTGCCTCATCAGAGACATGTTAATGAGTTGATAAATTACCACAGTTGGAAATTGTCTTCTACTGTAGTCTGTCCATAGGTGAAGGTCAGAATCAGAGATGGCTTTCTATTCGTTTTGCCAAGAAAGGCATATTCTTAATTCTTTCTGAGATTTAAAGTGGGGATGGGAATCAATCTATTTAGCTCAAGAAACAGAAAATATAATTTACCATCTGATGCTTAGAATAAGATACTTAACTAGAAGTCTGGAAAGAAAAGAGAGAGACAACTAGGAACAGTGGGCAAGACAGATGAGAAGAGTCAAACAGAGATGATGATACCAGCAACATAAAACACAAACCAAAGTGAATAAGTAGGCATGTATCAATAGAGCTACTTCCAAGCTCAAGTAACCAGCATATGTCATCAATCGTAGAGAACTAGATCAACCAATTAATGAAAGCTTTTAAGACACCCGTCTAGGCAAGTTGGCAAAATTTTCTAAAGAGAGCTGTATGAAATAAATAAGCTCTTTGAAACCAATGAGAACAAAGACCCTACGTACCAGGAACACAGCTAAAGCAGTGTTTACAGGGAAATGTATAGCACTAAATGCCCACAGGAGAAAGCAGGAAAGACCTAAAATCAACACCCTAACATCACAATTAAAAGAATCAGAGAAGCAAGAGCAAACAAATTCAAAAGCTAGCAGAAAACAAGAAATAACTAAGATCAGAGCAGAACTGAAGTAGATAAGACATGAAAAACCCTGTAAAAAATCAATGCATCCAGGAGCTTTTTTTTTTGAAAAGATTAACAAAAGAGTTAGACTGCTGCCAGACTAATAAAGAAGAAAAGGGAGAAGAATCAAATAGAAACAAAAAATAATAAAGGGGATATCACCACTGATCCCACAGAAATACAAACCACCATCAGAGAATACTATAAACACTTCCATGCAAATAAACTAGAAAATCTAGAAGAAATGGATATATTCCTGGACACAGACACCCTCCCAAGACTAAACCAGGAAGAGGTTGAATCTCTGAATAGACCAATAACAGGTTCTGAAATTGAGGTAGTAATTAATAGCCTACCAACCAAAAAAGCCCAGGACCAGATGGATTCACAGCCAAATTCTACCAGAGGTACAAAGAGGAGCTGGTACCATTTCTTCTGAAACTATTCCAGACAATAGAAAAAGGGGGACTCCTCCCTAACTCATTTTATGAGGCCAGCATCATCATAATACTAAAACCTGGCAGAGACACAACGAAAAATAAAATTTCAGGCCAATATCCCTGATGAACATCGATGCGAAAATCCTCAGTAAAATACTGGCAAACCGAATCCAGCAGCATGTCAAAAAGCTTATCCACCACGATCAAGTCAGCTTCACCCCTGGGATGCAAGGCTGGCTCAACAAACACAAATCAATAAACATAATCCATAACATAAACAGAATCAACGACAAAAGCCACATGATTATCTCAATAGATGCGGAAAAGGCCTTCAATAAAATTCAACACCCCTTCACGCTAAAAACTCTCAATCAACTGGCTATTGATGGCATGTATCTCAAAATAATAAGAGCTATTTATGACAAACCCACAGCCAGTATCATACTAAATGAGCAAATGCTGGAAGCATTCCCTTTGAAAACTGGCACAAGACAAGGATGCCCTCTCTCACCACTCCCATTCAACATAATATTGGAAGTTCTGGCCAGGGAAATCAGGCAAGAGAAAGAAATAAAGTATATTCAAATAGGAAGAGAGGAAGTCATATTGTCTCTGTTTGCAGAGGACATGACTGTATATTTATAAAACCCCATCGTCTCAGCCCCAAATCTCCTTAAGCTGATAAGCAACTTCAGCAAAGTCTCAGGATACAAAATCTATGTGTAAAAATCACAAGCATTCCTATACACCAATAATAGACAAGAGAGAGCCAAATCATGAGTGAACACCCATCACAATTGCTACAGAGAGAATAATCTAGGAATACAACTTACAAGTGATGTGAAGGACCTCTTCAAGAAGAACTACAAACCACTGCTCAAGGAAACAAGAGAGGACACAAACATATGGAAAAACATTCCATGCTCATGGATAGGATGGATAGGAAGAATCAATAGCATGAAAATGGCATACTACCCAAAGTAATTTATAGATTCATTGCTATCCCCATCACGTTATTATTGACTTTCTTCACAGAATTAGAAAAAACTACTTTAAATTTCATATGAAACCAAAAAAGAGCCCATATAGACAAGACAATCCTAAGCAAAAAGAACAAAGCTGAGGCATCACACTACCTGATTTCAAACTATACTAAAAGGCTACAGTAATCAAAACAGCATGGCACTGGTACCAAAACAGATATATAGACCAATGCAACAGAACAGAGGCCTCAGAAATAACGCTGCTCATCTATAACCATCTGATATTTGACAAACCTGACAAAAACCGCAATTGGGAAAGGATTCCCTACTTAATAAATGGTGTTGGGAAAACTGGCTAGCCATATGCAGAAAACTGAAACTGGACCTCTTCCTTACACCTTATACAAAAATTAACTCAAGATGGATTAAAGACTTAAACATAAGACCTAAAACCGTTAAAACCCTAGAAGAAAACCTAGGCAACACCATTCAGTACATACGCATGGGCAAAGACTTCCTGACTAAAACACCAAAAGCAATGGCAACAAAAGCCAAAATGGACAAATGGGATCCAATTAAACTAAAGAGCTTCTGCACAGCAAAAGTAACTATCATCAGAGTGAACAGGCAACCTACAGAAAGGGAGAAAACTTTTGCAATCTATCCATCTGACAAAGAGCTAATATCCATAATCTACAAGAAACTTAAACAAATTTACAAGAAAAAAAAAACAACACCATAAAAAAGTAGGTAAAGGATATGAACAGACACTTCTCAAAAGAAGACATTTATGCAGCCAACAAACATCTGAAAAAAAGCTCATCATCACTGGTCATTAGAGAAATGCAAATCAAAACCACAATGAGATACTACCTCATTCCAGTTAGAATGGGATAGTTGAAAAGTCAGGAAACAACAGACGCTGGAGAGGATGTGGAGAAATAGGAATGCTTTTATACTGTTGGTGGGAGTGTAAATTAGTTCAACCCTTGTGGAAGACAGTGTGGCGATTTCTCAAGGATCTAGAACCAAAAATACCATTTGACCCAGAAACCCCATTACTGGGTATATAGCCAAAGGATTATAAATCATTCTACTATAAAGACACATGCACACATGTTTACTGCAGCACTCTTCACAATAGCAAAGACTTGGAACCAACTCAAATGCCTATCAGTGATAGACTGGATAAAGAAAACGTGGCACATATACATCATGGAAAACTATGCAGCCATAAAAAAGGATAAGTTTATGTTATTTGCAGGGACATAGATGAAGCTGGAAACCATCATTCTCAGCAAACTAACACAGGAACAGAAAACCAAACACCCCATGTTCTCACTCATAAGTGGGAGTTGAACAATGAGAACACATGGACACAGGGAGTGGAACATCACATTCTGGGGCCTGGCAGGGGGTGGGGGGCTAGGGGAGGGATAGCATTAGAAGAAATACCTTACATAGATGATGGGTTGATGGGTGCAGCAAACCACCATGGCACATGTATACCTATATAACAAGCCTGCACGTTCTGCACATGTATACCAGAACTTAAAGCATGACAATAATAATAATAAAAAGACGTTGGAAGCCCATGAACAGTTCTATGTGCAAGAGAAAGTTTCACACTTTAAGGGTATGTCAGGACTAGGAAATGAATTTATCAAAATGACACAATCACATTGAAACAAAAAAATTTTGTTTTTTTGTTCTTCTTTTCAAAAAGGAAAACCCCAATAAGAGGGCCTCAAAGGTGATATCCATGTTCTCATCAGCATACTTGTAATGGTGGCACACACTGGAAGCCTTACATTTCCTCAGTCTGATATAACTTTGGCTGAAGTACTTTCAGGCTTTAGTAATTTGATTGTTTTAAGAGAAATAATAGCCTGAGATGAGGATATTTGTATAAACCCCTTCCTGAAATGTCTAGTACCTTTCATTGCATAATTAAAATTCCTACTGTTTAACAGTAAAGACATTTTTATTATCAAAGAATGATGTTCATGTTTTTCTAGAAAAGCTATCATTACTCTATTTGTTTAAACTTGGATCTTGAATAAAAATAAAACAAGCAAAACAAGTAAAACTGTAAAATAATCTCTTCATTAAAAATAATCATTTTTAATGGTTTTATAGAAACATAAACAATAATAAAGCCCATATTACAAATTTTAAAAAAAGACAGCTGTATGAATAGCAACATGAAAGCTCTTACCATCCATTTGACATTATTGTATTTTTAAAAATTTTTAGTTTAAGGTATCTATAATGGCTCCAATAATAATTTCTATTGAGAATCTTGTCAGGAGTCATCAGTTTGATGTGAAATAACAGCTGAGTGGGAAAATGTCAATGGAATCAAATTGAGAAATGAAATAGCATAGGCAGATTGGGAAGATGTTGGTCAAGGACACAAAATTTTAGCCAAACAGGATGAATAAGTTCATGAGGTCTATTGTACATCATGCTGGCTATAATTAATAATAATATATTGTACACTTAAAGTCACTAAGAGAGTATATTTTAAGTGTTTTTGTCACAAAACTATGGTAAGTATGTGAGCTAGTGCACATATTAGTTTCATTTAGCCATTCCACAATGTTTACATAGACCAAGACATCATGCTGTACACCATAAATAGATATAATATTTAATTGTTGGTAAAAAAGAAGTAAAAAACAAAGAAAAAACTCCACAAACAATGGAAAAATACAGATGATGTTTTCCAGAAGACTCTAAATGAATTAGGACCAAAAATAATTTATATACATTCTCTTCATTCCCACATCAGTGTCCCTCTCTCTTCTCACACCCCTCCTGCATTTCTCATGTACATTTTCCCAAAATAAAAAGTTCCAAGACAATCTTAAAGGGAAAAAGCAGTCACAAACGGGCATGCTATAGACGGAATGGGGTGCACAGGGTGAAGGTGGGAGGGAGAAGAATCTTCCAGTGTGATTTTTGTGATGACTTCAGGGGGATTAGCTTTAGGATTCTGGCAATGCCAACATCTTCCTTTCCATATCTTCCCCAAAGTTTGAAATTCACTAATCGCAATTCATTAGTTTCAACATATCTAAAGACAGCTCTTATTTTGGTTACTGGTGAGTAGTGATTGCCTTTTTCTATGTAATAATTTATTTGATATTCATTCCTTCCAAAAATTTCTCCAACTAACAAGCTTGGGCTTTTAGCCTTTGTTTTTCATTTCGCCTGTCATGACATTGACCTGTTTTATTCTGTGTTCTAGAGCAGGAACTACTGGAAATTGGTGAAATGATTATCTGTAGCAGCTCAGTTTTGAAGGAGTCTCACAGAGAAAGGTGCTATTACGATGGTGATGATGCAATGCAGCCTAAAATTGCTAAACAATATGGTACAAACTTAGTTGCTTTTAATAACTTTTGTTTGCTCCCTCTCCATTCAGCTCAGTTATTAGTGTAGAGAAAAACTTATTTCATGGCCACAGATGACTCTCAATCATGCTGTGTCATAAGATGTGGTTGGAATAGAGAATCTTTAAGATGTTTTCTAGCTCTGATACTTTTGATTCTATAGCTGGCCTTAAAAAATGTGCGCATTGTTTAAAGGGAAAATAGGGAGACTATGACTGGAAAATAACTATTTTTAAAGGAACCCTCCTTCAATAGGCATATATTATCACCTTTGAAAAATTCCTTTTCAACTGGTTTTAAAATCAAGAATGAGTGCATCCTTCAGAATGTTTTTCTTTATGTTAGGAATGCCACATAACCAAGTTCCTAAGATGAAAGCTGTTTTCTTGAAAAAATAAAAAAGAAATAAAAAAGCAGACCTTAGCATTTACTATATCTGGAAAATAACATGTATACAGTACATTCAACTCTGCTAAGTGTCTATGAATGCAAAAATAACTTTCCCTCAGAGTATTGGATAAAAATATTAAAAAAAACTTCAGTTTGACTCTGAATAGTAAATGTATCCAACAATCTTTAAAGGCTGTGTATTCATCAAATACCATTCTAAGCACAGACATGAATGGCAAATATTCCTATGATCTTTCAGTGGTGGCACAGAAGTTTTGTGGATCACTCTCTCAAGCTGTGACACACTACCAATGTCAACGATTCGATAGAAAACATTCATAAGCAGTCAATTATGGAGTGTTTGACTCTAAGCCTGTGTCTACAAAAAAAAAAAAAGCAAACATGTTTGAAAAGTAACAAGCCAATGCATATGTGGCAGGCATTAGATTCTTAATGAAAGCTTCATATTAAAATTTCCCATCCACCATTATTTTTTAAATGCATCTATTTTAGCCCATTTACTGAAGAAATTAAGTCACACTGGTATTTCAGAAACCAATAATGCTGCGTCTCTCTTTGTGAATTTCATAAGGTTGGTGAGTAATGAATAACACTACCAAATGAGACAAAAGGCCAATTTGAAGCTGGATGAGAGTCATTTTTCAGATTATTAATTTCACAAATAATTTTGGCTTTCAAAAATATTGTTGGCACTTAATGCAGATACCTAGTTAGAAGAGTATGAGGAGGGAGGGAATGTAGTGATGATTGTTGCAGTGTCTGTGTAAAAAACTTGTTTTCAGTAGACCGAGTATAAGAACCCCACCCTCAATTTATTTTATGCACTGAATAACCACAGATACACTAAGAAATCAAATCTATTTGTATAAAAATGCTACAGATAAGCCTCAAAGATAAAGGGATATGATAATCTATTCATGCCAGTAAGTGCATTTTGCATGTATTAAAAGAAAAAACATCCAACAACTTCTATATTCTGCCTTTTGTTTCCTTTTTGGTTGCCCTAGAGACCTAGAGGGCAATCATGCTTTGTGACAGTGTTTTGTGTTTACGTGTGCAATATACATTTCAAAGTATACATTTGAAAATAGTTGGGCACAGGCTCCCAAGAACACTGAATCCCAGCCCTGCAAAGCCCAACCCTGATTTCACCCCTAAACACCAGTGGTCAGGACAGTTTACAGCAAAAAATATCCAGAAATAAATACATTTAAGGGTTTCTAACTGTCTTAAGGATTGCCTACTTTCTGTTTTTCATGTAAATCTGAATCTGGCTACCAAAATAAGGATGAGTTTGGGACAATATAATACTGGAAGAGCATTGGGGCTTATCAGGAGCTTGGGGTATGTGTGTGCCTGTGTAGAGGTGATCTTGGGGGTGGTTTTTCAGACTCAGTTCTCCTCTTGGTTGGAAATGGCTTTGAACCACCATTAATGAGTTTCAGCTTGAAGAAGAATTTGATGGTGATTCTCATTTTTGAGAGCGTTACATTATGTCATATGCTTAAGTGAGGTTAGCTTTCCACACTGGTCATCGTGAGAAAATGTGTGTCAGCATCATGTGAACAGAATAAATTGGTCTTGTGATTTTTCATGTTCTTTTCACCAGTCTCAAATTGTATAATCTATGGTACTTACACATTTTGAGCAGTTTACAATATGATAACAAATCTGAGAGTTAGAAACTCAAGCTAACCTCTCATCTTGTGTCAGAAGCTAGATCTCAGAGTGTAGATCTTTTGTCTAGTTGCCCCCTCTTTTTTGCAGGAAGCAACCAAGGGCCTTGAGATGTGAAAGGATTTGTTTGAAGGCATACCAATAGAATTAGTGACAGTCTCAACAAACTTTGAATCTCCTGGCCCCCAGTTTTTGCCATTCTACCTTGCCAAACAATGAACCCAAGCATGATATAACAATTTCAGTGGAATTTTAAATTATAAGATTGTTACCAGTTGAAATATGGTCCCTAGAATAATGGAAAAGATGCCTTTCTAAACCTTAGTATTTGAGGCTTTTTAAATGATGTGCCTTCCCTTTATACATGGCTATTCCCCATTATCAAAAGCAAATTATTTATTTTGAAAGTTCATCCTATACTTTTCCACTCAAGTATAAATCACTTTGAGTTTACTGGCACAATTAATTCATTTGTATTTTATAGCCAAGTCTTTAAAACATAAAATTGATCTTTTTTCAATGACTTGATTATTATGGTTAAAACTATGTTGGTTGACACCGTGAAAATGTGATAATGGAAGATGACTAGAGTGCACTTTTAAAAAGTATACATTGTTTGCCTTATTATGACACAGCAGCCAGATTCATGACCCAGAGCAACAGAATCCAGTCATTTCTTAACTCCACAGGTCACTGAGTTTTACAATGACCTCAAAAGTAAGAAAAGCTTGTTTTCTTTTTTTCTTTTTTTTTTTTTTTTTTTTTTTTGAGACCAAGTCTCGCTCTGTAGCCCAGGCTGGAGCACAGTGGCGTGGTCTCGGCTCACCGCAACCTCCGTCTCCCAGGTTCAAGCAATTCTCCTGCCTCAGCCTCCAGAGTAGCTGGGATTACAGGCATGCGCCACTGCACCTGGCTAATTTTTTTGTATTTTTAGTAGAGACAGGATTTCACCATGTTGGCCAGGCTGGTCTTGAACCCCCAACCTCAGGTAATCGGCCCACCTCGGACACCCAAAATGCTAGAATTACAGATGTGAGCCACCGTGCCTGGCCTGTTTTCCTTTTGAGGTAGCCTATGATCAAATGTATGGATATCCTGTGTTAGAAATTGCCACATTTTCTGCTGTAGTGTTCTTATTAGAAGAGAAATAAAGTGATCATCCTGGTCATACATGCATATACACACGAATTAAATGAAACTCTTGACATTTCACATTTCACACTTTTTATATGTGAAATGAATTTGTATTGTGTGTATGCATATGAATATACATAATATTGTAAATATGTATGAAAATATCTATATGCAATTTTTTTCTTTTGTAAATCTAAACAGCCTGTTGCTTTTCAATTTTCCTGTTTTATAGTAGAAAATGATTGCAGGTCTCCTTAAAGTCACCTGGTCTGCTGCTTCTTTTACAAATTTTTTTCTTGCAATGCTATTGCTGCTTGAGCCATTAAAAGTTAATTTGTGGGAAAATCTTTATCTTTCCTTGGCCTTCTGTACAAACAAATGAGTAATCACTGAGATAAAAATTGACATCAATCCACAAGTTTCAACTATCTATTATCTATAATCTCTAATTACTCATCTATTTACTTATCATCTTCCTAGACAGCTCTTTCTTGGTTTTATTGGGGAAAATGTAGAAATATTTTTGAAGCTTAATATTTACTCTAAAGCTCTATATGTATTCTATAGATATATATTCTTGTTAATAACAGTATTTTGCATGTGCTTTGAAAAGTAATATAAGGCAGCTACTTTTTTAGTAAAACATAATGACCACTATCTTTATGCGGCACTGTAATAAAATAAATTGACAGCTTTGGTTAATGAAATCCTGGGGAGCTTTTCAATGATTGCCTTAGCTTTCGGGAGATTATTTTCAATCTTGGTATGGTGAATCATTTCCTTCAAGCTCTTTTCCCACTAACCAGAATGTGTATGTGCTTAAACTGCAGTATAAGGATTTGTGTTATGCATGAGAAAAAACTCTGTCAGACTTTTCAATATCATATTTACAATAATAACATCAAATTCTTAGATAGCACTTACTATGTGAGGGTACTAAATTCAGCACCTAAATGAAGTCATTTAATTCTGAAACAACTCTATGAGGTAAGTAGTACTATTATCCTTGTTTTACTGATGAGGAAACAAAGGCACAGAAGGATTTAAATAACTAGCCCTTGACTCTACAGCTTGTAATCCATAGAATCTAGATAAGAATTAAGACACATCAATCTAGGCTGAGTGTGGTGACTCATGCCTATAATACCAGCACTTTGGGAGGCTGAGGTGGGCTTATCACTTGAGCTCAGGAGTTCAAGACCACCCTTGTCAACATAGTGAGATCCTGTCTTTACGAAAAATACAAACATTAGCTGGGCATGGTGACATGCATCTGTAGTCCCAACTACTCTGGAGGCTGAGGCGGGAGGAGCACTTGAGCCTGGGAGGTGGGGGTTGCAGTGAGCCAAGGTCATGTCACCGACAGGAGTGAAACCCTGTCTCAAAAAATAAAATAAAATAAATAAAATAAAATAAGATCATCCAAAGTTTTGTTCTTCATTAGTTTGCTAATAGTTAATAAAGTGCTTTGCCTTTGATTGTCCCTGCAAGAATTATCTTAGTCAAGAATACATTTTGGCCGGGCGCGGTGGCTCACGCCTGTAATACCAGCACTTTGGGAGGCCAAGGACAGATCACAAGGTCAGGAGTTTGAGACCCAGCCTGACCAACACGGTGAAACCCCATCTCAACTAAAAATACAAAAATTACCCAGGTGTGGTGGTGATGCCTGCCTGTAATCCCAGCCACTAGGGAGGCTGAAGCAGGAGAATCACTTGAACCTGGGAGGCAGAGGTTGCAGTGAGCCGAGATCACACCATTATGCCATTGCACTCCAGCCTGGGCAACAGAGCTGGAGAATTTTTCTATCTCAAAAAAAAAAAAAGAATACATCTCTTACTTCCTTAGTATATTGATGAAGATACGGGGGCCCAGGAGTGTGTAATGATGTGCTCATGATCATTCACCCAGTCAAAAGAAAGAACTAAGATTCCAGATGTGCATTGTCAACAGCAAAAGTTCATTTAAGTTTAATGTAAGATGAAAACACATTTGCCCAAGATGATTTCATTAATTCATCCTGCTTCCTTGAGACAGGAGTCAATATAAATAATGTACTTCCTCTCTCTTAATATGCTTTGTGGAGTTTAAAAATTCAGTTTTAGAGATAGTAAGGGCAAGTTCACTCAAGATTAAGGTTGGAAGAATAAGTGGTAGCCTGAAGGAGTATTAAAACCTCACTTGTCCTGTTATAATTCCTAGGATTGTTCCAATCAATTCGTAGATTTTCCACTTTTCTTTTCTTTGCTGCAATATGAATAAGGAGGTGACCTTGTGTGTCTTACATTCTTTTGGCTTATTTATATATGTCAGGATTAAATTTATATTTTAACCTCAACACTGCATGCTAACTTATGATTTTTGATTATGTTGGTTTTTTGCCTTAATTGTACTTGACTAGCTCTTGACAACATGTAGTTACAGAATTTGTAGATAACAACCGGAGCTGGTACTGACTGTATTCACTCTGAGTTTGTGTTCATTTTTAAGCTTACCACCTATCTTTTAAATTCTGATAGAGATCTCAAATTGCCTTAAGAATAACTCGAAGAAAAAAAAAAATCAAAACCTTTACAGATACAAATAATAAGTGAATCATTTATTTTTCATATAAAAATCACACTGTACATTTGCCATAAACTCCTTGTTTTGTTCTCTATGGAGAAAACCAAGGAAGCAGCATTACAACTCCTTTTTGGTTGAAGCACGCAGAAGTATCAGTGAATGTTTCATGGTAGCTCTCTCGTCATAGACAAATTTTCTTTTGCATATAGTACAGTGCAATTTTGTTGTACTTTTAAAAATGTGGGGAGGAAAAAACAATATCAACAAAGTGAATATTATTTTTTTCTCTTTCACTTATTACTGGACAAAATGGTGGCAAATCTGGCTTTTATTATCTTACAGACAGTATATTTTTTGCAAGTGTGATGATTGTTTAATCTTTGTGAATGTAAATAAGCCAGAGAACCTCTGTAAAGATTCTTAGAAGTCGTCTTAGAAGAGGCCATTAAAATGCTTATGTTTACTAATCAACAATCAAAAATGCTAATGTGCAGAAGGGCCAGGAAAAGAAGCTTTAATTCATAAAATCTAGTGCATTAAAGGAAATGATGGCTTTCTGATGGATTTTTGACATGCAGCCTACTCTGTTTTTGATCATTTAAGAGTAAGTGTGATTTCTCTTAAATTTCATATTTTCATAGAGAGACTTCATGGGTTTTTTCCTTCAGAAAAGGAGGACTGCACAGATTTCACAAACAATTAAATGAAAGGAGATTTCATTGTTCCACCACAGCCAGAAAGCTTTCACACAACAAAATGCTCTACATACAGCATAGATTGATATAGCTAGGCTAGATAACCACGGGAAAAAGAGGAGAGGACAGGACTCACTCAGAAATGCAGCGATAAGATTGATACTTTCAAACTGGGAATTTAGTTCAGCCTTTTGTTTCGCCTAATCAGAGGCACTGCATTCAAGAATTCTGACATTTTTATTGCATGAATGTAGCAACTTACTATAGCTATCCACATATAAACTAATATGCCTGGGCCAACCAGACTATAGTCTCATCATTTTGTGCATAGTGTCACAGATTTGGTTTTCTCAAGAGAGAAACCATAAAAAATATGACATTAATACAAATCAAAACAGGGTTCCCACTTTCACCTCTTGTGTAATCATATTTATGCTTATTGAGGATCTCTATTCTATTCCTCAATGCTGGTCTTGAAAATGATGATTACATGTGTTTGAGTGTAAATCTCACAAATAAATACTGGAGATACTTGAGGCTCTCCATGCAGCTGGTCTTATCATTGCGTATTTGGGTAAAGTAAAGTAACTTTAGCTTTGAATACTTATTATTATTATTTTTTTAATGACGTGCTCCTGGCTAGTTCCAAATTCCCATACTGACCACAGGTCATTCAGAACTTCATTTATGCCCAGTGTCTGTTGTAGGAGTAGCAGCTATACTGTGAAATAGGAGCTTGGCTTGTGCTTTTTCTCGGGTCTTCCTGGGCACTGGAGTGATTTAAAATTATTCAAAAATTATTGAAGTTGTCTGGTAATGGGCAAGAGATGTGCTTACGGCTTAAACTGACAAATGTTAGCTACTGCCACAATGAATGGTTGCAGTGAAGAATGCCAAAAGGAGCATTGTAGTGTAGCTAGATTCCCTGACTCTTCTACTGTGGACTGCAGACAGCTTAAAAAACAAAACAAAACAAAACAAAACCTATTTTGCTGCACACACCATAAAGCAATGTCCTTTAGATACGAGAAAATAGAAGTTTTTGGGGGGTAAAGGGGTGAGTAGAAGCCCTGAAAATACTTAAAATTTTAACCTCAGGCACAGAGTAGACAGACTGCTATGATTTTTTTATGTTTTTAATTTTATAGCCTTGGTTTTTCTTCTTATTCTTACTTCCCCCTCCATTTTTTGTCTTTGTTCATCTTTCATTCCCTTTTCTGATATGGAAAGTCACAGTTCAGGTGCAGCAGAGTCTAAATCATCTAAAGCAAATCAGGCCAGAAATGGGCTGATAATGAAGGCCAAAAAAAAGTGTGCCTGCTTTTTACCAGTGAATCATCAGTGTGACAATGGAGTCTAAAGATTCTATTAGCATTACAGAAGCTCTCAGGAAGCAATCTACTTTTTCTCTCAATATTTTTCACTCTAGCATTATAGAAGCTTGATTATTAATTGAGACTGGTGTAGCTGTAGCTCAGCATGGTGGTATTTTTTTCTTCCCTTTTTGTTTTTTGGTTTGTTTACTTGTAAATAACTTTTGCAATAGTTATTCTAGTTACAGTTTCTGTCTCCATATCTCACACACTTGGAATTCTCTTTCATTGAATCATTCAATGAACAATTATGGAATACCTACTATGTGTCAGATACTGCAATGGGTGCTAGACAAAGAGCAGTTAAACAAATAGAAAAAATATCTTTACAAATCAGATACTTAGTTTCTATGTTTACTCTAATTATACTATGCATGAATATTAGAAACGCATCTTCAATGACAATTATACGCCACATGGTTTCTGATGTACTATGCGCCTCTTTCTTCCCTATAACGGTACTGCCTAAAATTAAATTGTTTGGAATTTAGACATTTAACAAAAGAAATAATTATATACATTTTAAATTTTATAAATAGCAGTTAGATACTTAGGGCACATCTGACATGTAATTTAATTGCTATATTTTATGTTTGCACTAAAATATAGTAAAATACAGTATTGTCTTTTCAGTTCTGGACAGAGTTTCAGCTCCACAGACTCTCTGGTCCCCAGCAGCTTATAGAGGGACAGAATGCAAGGCTGCCAGTCTGAGAGCTACTCACATTTAATTGTGCATGATTGAGGATTATCTCTGTGTTAATTTAATGGGAGAAGGAAGCAGACAGCAAGGAAATGAAAGAGGGAGTGGAATTATGGATGTGTGGACTTCGTGAAGGGAAAAAAGCAGCCGTAAAAAGATGTTAAATTTTGTATTGCTTTCATCATATTATGGCACCTAACCCCTATCTCCTCACTTTTGAAGAGCTGTCATTTATACATTGTCTCGTGATGTGCCAAATGTTTGGGAAGTGAGTGTAAAGAAAATTAGTTACTTTAAGCTTCTCTGATGCTAAATTGGATGGGGTCTTATTTGTTTTGAATATGTAGCTCCAGAGAGAGATACTAGAACATTGAGAAGGAAGGATAGGAGTGAAGTTAACCAGGGATTGCTTCTTAAGAGCTAATATGATTATCAGGAGCCAGGGACACTAAGGATCTTTTTATTCTGCTGGGGTTGAGGGAGAAATGTCCCAAATGAAACAGACCAGAAGAGAGGTACCATGCCATGGACATTTCTTATTGTCACTGAGTACATATACCTGCACTCAAATAGACACAACCTACAGGCACACATGCTGTTCCTTCCAATCTGGTAATTTTTGCTGTGTGGCTCTGTAGTGGACAGCTGTTGATTCTGCCATCCCAGTATCCATTCCTCCTTCTTGACAGAATCTGACTTCCTGTTGGGGCACTCCTCTATTTCGGTGGTACTGAACTATATCCCTTCTCTCCTTCTGCCAGCACTTGCTGTTGGCAAATGATCCAAGCTGGGCCAACCAATCATTCCATCCCCACTGGAAAGAGTGATTAAGGGATTAAACACATGCCCCAAGCCTGCACAATGAGACTCAATCTGTGATTTTCTTTGGAAGTCAAAATAAAGAGACTTTTCCTAATAGAATTATTAAGATAATATAAAGAGGGATCTGCTAGGGGGCCCCAAAGTAGAGAAAAGTGGCATGAGAAAAAGGTTCTCCGGGGAGAAATAGAGCAGAAAAAAAGGATAATAACTGAATCTTGATATTGTTGTGACTCTGGATCAAGCAATGACTGAAGCTAGGTATCCTTGGATCTTTTGGTAATGTGAGTCAATAATTCATTTTTCTTTCTTAAATTAGAGTGAGTTAGGTTTCATTCTCTTGCAGTAGAAAAAGTTCTGAGTCAGACACACTAAAAACTTATAAAAAGTTTTCCCTTCAGACAGGTTTTCTCCCTGGTTTCTTGGTTGCTATTGAGAATCCAGCATAGAATTCTTTAACGATTTTCTTACTTGCATCCAGTAAAGGCTTCTCCAAAATAACTCATCCTTAGGAAAGTAAAATACCACCAAGAAGACAAAGTTCAACAAGAAGAAGAGGGTGAGTGTGCAAAAATATTTGTTTAACTTTTCAATGAGTTTAAGGCTAATTTACCTTTTATCTTACACAATAAATAGGAGTATTTGAGGTACATTTACACATGCTTATATCTTATAGTAGCTTTTGCTTCTTTTCTTTTTGTCATGTATCACTTTCTAAATATATGAAATTGCTCATAGGATATCATTACCTCAAATTCAACTGTGCTCAAAATGAAACCTGTGATCATTTTTCCCAACATGATCCTCTTTCTGTTTTCTCCAGTTTAGTTTGTGCCTCCAAAATTCAGCCCTTCACACAAACTAGAAATGGGAGAGTCAAGCTTGACAGTTTCTAATCTCGCCCTCTGTCTTAGACTGCTAAGACAAAATACTGTAGATTGGGTGGCTTGAGCAGCAGACTTTGATTTCTCCAGTTCTGGAGGCCTGCAAGTCCAAGATCAAAATGCTTTCAGATTTGGTTCCTGATGAGGTCTGTATTAATCCATTTTCATACTGCTATGAAGAAATACCCAAGACTGGGTAATTTATAAATAAAGAGAGGTTTAATGGATTCCCAGTTCCACACAGCTGGGGAGGCCTCACAATCACAGTGGAAGGTGAAAGAGGAGCAAAGGCATGTCTTACATGACTGCAGGCAAGAGATCATGTGCAGGGAAACTGCCCTTTATAAAACCATCAGCTCTCATGAGACCCACTCAACATCATGAGAACAGCACAGGAAAAACCTGCCCCCATGATTCAACTACCTACTATCAGGCCTGTCCCACAACACATGGGGACTATGGGAGCCACAGTTCAGGATGAGATTTGGGTGGGGACACTGTCAAACCATATCAAGGTCCCTGTTCCTGGCTTGAAGAAGGTGTCTGCTGGATGTTTTCTCATATGGTGGAGAAAGAGTGAGCTCTGGTCTCTCCTCGTTTTCTTGTTAGGACACTATGCCCACCATGGGAGCCCCACCCTCATGATTTTATCTAAACTTAATTACTTTTTTTTTTTTTTTTTGAGATGGAGTTTTGCTTTTGTGGCCCAGGCTGGAGTGCAATGGCATGATCTCGGCTCACTGCAACCTCCGCCTCCCTGGTTCAAGCGATTCTTCTGCCTCAACCTCCTGCATAGCTCGGATTACAGGCATGCGCCACCATGCCAGGCTAATTTTGTATTTTTAGTAGAGACGGAGTTTCTCCATGTTAATTAGGCTGGTCTCGAACTCCCAATCTCAGGTGATCCGCCTGCCTCAGCCTCCCAAAGTGCTAAACTTAATTACTCTTAAAGACCCCCATCTCCAAAACCCAATGCACTGGGGGTTAGGCTTCAACATTTGAATATTTGGGGGGACACAAAACTTCAGAGTTCATAACATTCTCTCCACACATATATCAAATGCAACCCTCTATCATCCAGTTTTACCACCTAAATGCTGCAAGAATTGATCCGCTAATTTCCCTGTTTGTTACCATTGCTCTAACTCAAGTTCTTATCATGTCTCACCTCAATAATCATGATAAGGCCCAGTATGGTCTCATCATCAGTTAAGTTTCATGAAAATCTGTTCCCGAGATTGAAGTCATCATAATCTGTCCAAAATGCAAGTCAAAACATGTTAGTTCTCTGCTTAAAATTATTCAGTGGATTTCACAAATCTTTTGGCACAATATAGTAGACTTGCATGGCTTGTTCTGTGTCTTTCACCTATCCAGTCTCTTGCTGTACTATTGCAGAGTTTACATTTCATGCCCTAACAATCAAGAGATGCTTACTATTCAAACACAGAAATACATACACACACACACACACACACAGCTGTTTCTCACCTGTGTGATTAGTGAATGCTGTTCTCTCCATTGGAACCACATTCTTTTATTACTTTTTTCACCTGGCTAACTTACTTGGCTAAATCAGAGTGATATTTTCTTTTCTAAGGTCCCCTAATTCTTTATGCATCCTTGATTCATTCTATTTATCATTCTTTGTATTACAGTATGAGTTTTTTTTTCTATAGGATTATTTTTCCCCACTAGACTCCTTGTTTCATGAAGACCAGATCCATATTTTATTTTAATTTTTATCTCTGTTTCTGGTACAATACCCAATACAAAGTAAAATTTTACTAAAGTTAACTGAATCTCTATGTCTTTCAAAAATCCAATAATTTGTCATATAAATTAATTATATATATTATTAATTATTGACTTTCTCTTTTTAATTGCTGAGCTTGATTAACTGAAAATGAATCTTATGGAAATGATAAGCAGAAGTGTGAGAGAAGTCTAAGTCTGACTTTCAACTGAAACATTACTCAGCACTTTGTAAATCTGAATTATATAAACAAGATATTAAAATCTTAAGGTAGAAAGTAATAAAAGAAAAAGATGAGTGAAGCATATGTTCAAACAGATAAGAGTGAAGATAAGAATCTTATTAAAGAGAATTTGTATAACACAGAATACTATCATGCCTTATCTTCAAATAATATTTTTCAAAGTGAGAACAAAATTTGAAAAAATTAACATCCCTATCATACTCCTCTTGTCCCTGAAATCTAAAATATCTTTATAAGAGTTTTTAATTGTATTGAGATAGAAGAACACAGTGGGTAAAAGAATGGACCCTTGAGACAAATCAAGTCCCAAATCTTAACAGTCTGTCAACCTCAGCAAATTCTTAATTTTGAAATGCTTTGATTTTTTAATCGGCAAACTTGGGTAATAATCATACATACTTCCTCAAGTTGTGGTGATGATTAAATGATATAATGCAGGTAAAGCGTTTAATGTGGTCCATGGTCCATAACATTATTTTGTATAATATAATATATATCATATGTATATTATAATATATATTGTTATTTCTAATAAGTTACCTGGCAAAAAGTCATATAAATTATAACATGATGGTTAACCAGGTTAAGTAAGTTTCTTTACTGTTGATTTCTCAAAACTTTTAATATAATGATGTATATTCAAATAGACATAATACTCTAATGTGTAAATGTCTAAGGATGACAATGGAATATGTAATATTTTCTAGAGCCTGTGTGACAAAAGTTTAATTTTATTGTAGCAAATGTCACGGAACTACTGTTTCATGAAAACTACTTAAGTAAATGCTACTTTTGGTGAATATTACTGAACTAAAATAAAATGAGAATATAAAATAGAAAAAGCAGCACAGGAAAGGCAGGGTGAAAGCAAGAAACAATGGTGCAGTTACTAGCTTGGAGCAAATAGCTTTATTAATAAAGTTTGCCATTCTAACATACTGACTGTCTATCTTTAGGCCAACTAAAGTCTTGAAGTTTCTAAATCTCATCACGAACTTGCCATCATGGTTACAGGTATTCTCTGTAGGAATTATAAGTAGACAACCAATTGTTCTAATGTCAAAATTAGAAAATTTGTTTGGGAGCAATAGGCTTTTAAACAGTTAGTTGCAATGAAATTCTTAAATGATTTGGACATCTTTATTTTACTTATCTCTTTCTATTAATTTTCTAAATGTAAAATTTGTAGACAACATAATTTTTTTAGGAGATATCAATTCCCTAACAAAAGGAATGATCCTCCCTAATATGTATTAGAATGACATGGGAGCCTTTTTACCACAATGAAATGTTGGCTCAAAAGCATATGCCAGTGAGGTGCTTTTATTTGCTAGCTCTATGATTTTGAAAATGTCATTTTATTTTCTGTGATCCACAACATTATTTAAAGCTTTGTCAAAGGGCAAGTCTGAAACACAGGATATTGGCCACTGAATTGTAATTTAGCAATCACATAACAAAGGAATTTGATAGAAATATAAAACTAGTCATTTCTATGAACCACATTGTTTGAACTAAAATTATATTGTGAGGGTTTTTAAAACTAGAATTACATTAAAATTATTATTATTTGTCATAGCTACTTTTTAACCTCTTTTATTATTAAACCAAAATAAGCAATGGTTATTTAATTTCACTATTTAGCAAATGTTTATGAAGCACTTACTGAGGACAAAGTACAATTTTAGCGGCTATGAATGATGCATAGGTCAGTAAGATTCAGAAAAGACAAGAAAACTATAAAACCACTAAATTAAGAATAAAAATTGTGTTAGAACATAAAAATGGTATTTGTATAGTGTTTCATTAAGAGAAAAGATCCATTTGTTCATAAAAATCAGAGGACATGGTGTTCAGTGAGTATTTGAGGAATGCAAAAGATCCTCAAAGATGGACAGTGGAGAAGGTTCTTGAAACGGAAGAAATGCTTTATCATGTTGAAGACAAACTGCATGCACTATAGTGAAAGAAAGGTAGTTTCTCAAAATTACAGGGTTTTTTTTTAAATCTCAGGTTTGAATAAAATGACATTTTGAGAAATACTAAAAATGATTAAGTTCTGTTTTTTATTATAAACTCAGCAGTGGAGGTATCAAGGAATGGCTTGTGGGGTGTTGGATTCCCATTATCCCTGTTACTTCTCCCAAACCCATCCTAATAAAAAAGACAATGGATGTACTTGCCACAGAAACACAGCTTTCAGATAAATGTTCTAGTCCTAACTTCCGACCTCATTTCTAGAGCTTTCTATGCAGAAAATGTAAAGTCATTACTGAGCACAAGGCTACTTCTAACAGTGACACTCATATGAAGCAAAAGATAATGATGAGATTAGCCATCTGTAGAAATCGTCACCTAAATAATTTGGAATTACGCAGTTCTGATCAAAATCTAGGGCACACAGAAAGAAAGCAACTATGAGCCATGAATCCTTTGGAGGGCATCCTAGCAGCTGCAGAGCAAGCCTGCTTAGAAATTCAGGTGAGCCCAGTGTCTGCCTCCTCTGTTTTCGCAGTCTCTGGTTAGCACATAGCAGGTCATGTTAAAATGATTTCACATTTTATTTAATTTGAGAACAATAAACTTCTCAAAAGCACGAACCATCTTATTTAACTTTATACTTTAGGTGATACCTCATTGTTTAATGCCTAGCAGTTTGTCAGTGCCTTCTAGGCAGAAGGAAGCTTGTATGTGGGGGAAATAATAATAATTAAAATTTACTGATCTCTCTCTCTCTTTTTTTTTTTTTTTTTGAATTCGAGACAGAGTTTCACTCTTGTGGCCCAGGCTGGAGTGCAATGGCACGATCTCAGCTCACTGCAACCTCTGCCTCCCGGGTTCAAGAGATTCTCCTGTCTCAGCCTGCCGAGTAGCTGGGATTACAGATGTGTGCCACCACGCCCGGCTAATTTTTGTATTTTTGGTAGAGACGGGGTTTCACCATGTTGGTCAGGCTAGTCTCGAACTCCTGACCTCAGATGATCCACCCGCCTCGGCCTCCCAAAGTGCTGGGATTACAGGCATGAGCCACTGCACCTGGCCTACTGATCTCTTACGCTATATGTGTAAAGTTCCTGAGCTAAGTGTTTTCTTAAGTCTTATTTATTCCTCAACAACCTAACAATGTAGGTACTTTTGTTATCCACAGTGCTCAATCTCAGTGGTAGAACTGGGATCTGAACCTGAGACTCTGACTCCAGAACTCTAGTTTGAAAATTCCTGCTACTTCCTACATAATTAGGCTTCACAGTAATGGGAAACTCCCCTCTCTAGGACACAAATTATCAGACATTGAAGCCTACATAAGCTCCCTTGTGACAAATTCCTAATGATTATTATTCTGCCATTTGGGAAAAAAAAGGAATAAATCTATTTTACAACACGGTCCTTCCAAATTTATGTTCTTAAAGTTTTTTTCTTCAGAATGAGCATTTTCAATTTCTTCAACATCATTTTATATATCAAAGTAAGAATACAGTGTTGCTAAGATTGTTTAAAAAAATGATGTCATACACTTGCTCAGGAACTCATAGTAGATTTCAGAGTTTTTGTTTCTTTTTAAATGCAAACCCACTGGGCAGGCACTTTGGCTCATGCCTGTAATCCCAGCACTTTGGGAGGCTGAGGTGAGCACACAGCTTGAGGCCAGGAGTTCGAGACCAGCCTGGTCAACATGGTGAAAACCCGGTCTCTACCAAAAATAAAAATAAAAATAAAATGAAATAAAATGCAAACCCATCAATCTAGAATTTTAATTTCATTGCCCCTACTGTGCTTAAGCTTACAACAATTAACAAGGTTTTAATTTTTTAAAAAATGGATATCTCTTAGCTTAAAGAGTTATGAAAAATAGAATAAAATTGAATATTGAATATTAAAATTGAATATTTAGAAAATATGACACATTATATAAAATTCCTGTATTATTAATATTTTCTCAAAGTTGATTTATGCCATGCTTTTTGGATTTATGCTCTTGACTGTTGGTTTCTTAGTTTGTCCACTACAATTTTCCACTTTTTGATGTGGCATTTTTTTCTAAAACTGTTTCTATCGTTTCTTTCAAAAAATGAATTAAGCTACTGAGTGCAGAATGGATTCATTATTTTTTACAAGTATATGGAGGCTTAATTACCAAAAACATGACTCAGGGGATAATCTAAGTAGCCAAAACTATATGAGGAAGAAATAGGTTATTCCTTGAAACATGGTTGCCAAGTATGACCAAAACAAAACAAAACAAAAAACCAAGAAACAATGAACTTTTCACCTCACTACAGAATTGCTAACTGAGATTTGAAATCACCAATTTGTCACTGTTGTAATGGTAAGAACTCAAGTATTTCATGGTCTAATGTCTAGTTAAACCCTGTAGACATGACCTATTTTGTTAAAGTATCTTTGTTAACATAGGGTGCATTACGTATCTATCTTTTCCTTTTTAACAAAAAAGAGTTCAGTAAGATGCATTTGTTACTTTATGACAATTGAAATAATAGAGAACTTATGAGTGCATACCTTATGACAAATACATGGCCAGATTTGTCTTCTGTATTCAAGTCTATTGTATGCTCTACTAATATAATACTGCTTTCAACAGAAGTATGCATCATGGTTTAAATCTAATATGGCCCATTGGTTTAGCAGTATTTGACAACCCTTGATATTCCTCTGAAAGATTCCCCATGACACTGAATTAAGAAAGATGATATTTCTCAGATAGAGCAGTTTTTACTGTCTCATGCTTTATTTCTAATGGAATTAAAGATAACTCAAACAATTTGAAACTCAAAAAGCGTGTTCAGCTCTGAAGAACAAAAACCTCTAAGATAGTTTGCCCTAGCAATGTAAAGGAAGTTTCATGTTCACTGTTAACTTTAAATCTCTGCCAGCATTAGCGAGCAAATATTTCTGAGATCACTTCTTGTTCATTAAAATAGAGGGGAAAATAATATTTTAAATAATGTCAGATTTCAACCCTTCTTACGTATTTATTCATGCCTAGAATGGCTTTAATTATGGATCACTGGAAACAGATTGCTGCAAAGAAAATAAACTCAAGAACAATCAATGATAATGTATTACAACTTTCTAGGTGATTATAAAGCAGTTTTCTTGTTTAACATACTAATTCCTATAGGACACTTTCATTCTCAGAAGAATAATTTAATTTTTATATTACATGTTTTCAAATCTTCCCTTTTTTGCTTTACAATTTTCAGAAGAATGAGTCTTCTAAAGTGTGGCAATCATATTTTGGAATTCATCATATATGACAGGCGATGGTATGTGAATTGTTGCCTCAATTATATTGTGCCATTAAGGTAATTTTTTTTTCTCTAAACCTCATCAAAAAGGAGGCATAACAACTAGCTTTCCTCCCTGAAATAGCAAATGCTGACAAGCTGTTTAATAATTCAGATGGCTTTTTCCTGGATTGAGTTCATCTCTAAGCTTTAGTTTTATAGAAATGTTTAAATATGTTACCTCTAGTTCTTGCAATTTTATTCTAAAAAATATTTTGGAGTTCCTTTTATCATAAAACAGACTACTTTTGAATCTCATGCTAAGCAAGTCTGTTGCACCTCTGCTATTTTTACTTCACTCTGGATAGGTGCTTTTTCACAACATCCAAGGAATAGTCATCTCAGCTAGAATGGGGTAAAGCCTATTGTCATAAAGGAAAATATATCCTTAATATTTTCCCTTTGAGGTAAAGAATCTGTGTGGTTTATTTTCCTAAATGGGCCATAATTTTTTTCTGTAATTTTGACCAAACCATTTAACCTCTTTATTTCAATATTACTAATGTTGAGAATGATGCTTAGATAGAAAAAGCACAGGCAAAAAAAAAAGGGAAAATTTTTTAGCAAAACTAATATAGCAACTGATGGCGAAAAGTTTAGTGTTCCAGGCTGGGGCTTATTCATGAAAATTATCAAAACAGCAATTTCTTCATCTACAAGAAGGAAGTTAGCAGCATAATCTCAGGGTTTTATGAGTATTAACTGATACACGAATTGTAAAGCAAGACACCTGAAGTAGTTTCTCCATTTCTCTTTATTTCCCCTTAGTGTTTCTAAATTTTACCAATTTTCCATGTACAAGTGAAGTTTTTATTCTAACTCAAGATGGTAGTGACTTAAAAGTTAAAGTCTTTCTTCTCAGCTCACATTCTTACCTGGTAAATTCTAAATTTCAAGAAAGTCAGGGCTTTTTTTTTTTTAAGCAATGTTAATAAAAATTACTTTGTTTTCCATTTTTTTGATCTACTTAAATTTGGACAGAGAAACACAGTCTAAATGACATAGAACGTCCTTAATTTCAAAAGCTATTTAATAGTTTTTGATTAAAGTGACATTCCTAGAAATTTAAGTCAGGAGCAGAAGTAGGATATTAATACTCAGGAAGGCAAAGGTATTAAAGGAAGTGTTAGAAAGAATATTGAAAATTTAACTGGAAAAATTAAAAATCTAGAATATTTCAGAGAATCTGATAAGCTTACTCAACTTATATTGTATTTATCTTTGACTTCACATATCTTAAGCTATGCACTTTTGTCTTTTCAGTTTCCTTGCTGAAACAATTTTAAAAAGTGGTCACTTAAAAAAATAAAGAAGTATATATTAACATCAACCAGCCACAAGAGGGAAGTCTTGGCTATGTAAGAAGTAGTGTGCATATAGGGAGGGGTCCATTTTTTTTTCAAAAAAACAAAATAATTAAAAGCAAAAAAAGAGAAAATATATATCTTTTTTATATAGCACGATGCAAAACCTGCTAGAGAAAATCTTTTCTACTTCTAGCGTGCTATCAGACTTTTTACAAATATAGAATTATACTTATGTCATACACTCTCTTAAATCTTGAATCATTTGTTCTCTGTGAAATTCAATATAAATTGATTTTTTAAAAATATATACATATATTATTACCCATATATCTATATTTTATGCACATAATACAAATCATGAATGTAATTACGACTTAGTTCTCTGAGCTAAGTACATAGTGTGGTATCTAATAATTCTCGCTGTTGTTTATTAGCAGCATCTTTGGAATAAATTCTGACTATGTTTTATCCAGCTTGAGAATCATACATTTATAATGACGAGATTTAGAATTTCAGATATACATTTGTCAAGGAATAAATGAAAAGTATAAAGCATTTTTAAATAAGATCAGCTATTAAGCTATTTGGAAATTCATAGTGAAGAGAGACCTGAAATGGATATTGAGCTTTGTAATGACATATTTTAATTGAAAAGGTGTTTGGTGGGAAGTTTTGGATTATTTCTGTTTGCATTCATGATTGCTCATCAAATAATTAGCCTCACATGGTATAATTATACAATACAATTAATATATTATCTAAAGAATAGAATGCTCTGGCAATCTGTGGCAGAACAAGGAGCACAGAACTCTTAAATCTCAACTTTGGTTTTTGAGAACTTTATTAGTGACATATGCAACAGGTAGTCATTTTTGTTTAATATCTCTACTATTTCATCCTAAAAAGCATGCAATTTTGTGCATATTAAAAAGTATGCAATTTATTCATTGGTAAAATTCTGTGAAAATTTGATGTACTTGCATTCATATAGATAGAAAGAATATTATAAAGACATTTAGCGAGTACAGAACACACGTGAATTAGCCTGTTTCTTTCCATATTTATCTCTATACCTATTTAAGTTTGTGTGCTTTGAAGTTACAGTCATTTTGAATATATACTTTAACATAATTTATTTTCTTTAACTATTTAGGGAAAATTTGTCCTTAGTCTAATTTCTAAGTTGGTTAGTGATATGGTAACCCAAAGTAATAAATGGTGCGACTTTGGTTAGATTTAACCTCATTTCTAGGGCATTTCTATGCTCTAAAATGAAAATCCTAAGATTAGTTTACTTAAATATTGGGTTAAATTATACCTTTTATAGTATAATTATATATAACATTGAACAAAGTATACTAATCCCACATGCTTAAGTAAGTCCTATTCTAACTAAAATATTATCTAATATTCATATTGTTTGGATTTGTCACGTGAATAATTTAATAAACTGTGAAGTGTGTATGTTTTATTGGTATGAAACTCATCACTTCCTAGTTTGAAGGGAGCCTGTTCTGTCTTAATTATTTTGTTGTTGTCTTGAGCATACAATTAGCAATTGCCCATGTTCAGAAGAACTTTCAATGGCAGGACAGACAGAATCTGTTATGTTTTCCTTCCACTTGGATAAATCACTTACAAATACTCCCATTGTAATTAGACATTTATTTTACAGTGCAAAATCTATATGGGAATGATTATCTTTTTTTTTTTTTTTTTTGAGACGGAGTCTCGCTCTGTCGCCCAGGCTGGAGTGCAGTGGCTCGATCTCGGCTCACTGCAAGCTCCGCCTCCTGGATTCATGCCATTCTCCTGCCTCAGCCTCTCGAGTAGCTGGGGATTACAGGAGCCGGGAATCATTCTTAACGTGTCTCTGAAGTTCATTTTTATCATCAATGTAGAAGTACAGAAGTAAAGAAAAACAATTAGAAAAGATATTGCATGTTTAAACATAGTTATAAAGGGCCTGGCAGAGAAAAATGCTTTTATGAAAGCTTAGTTTTGTTTTAACGTGGGGCCAGGTATCAATTCACATATAGTACGTGTTTTTTTGTTTTAGGCCTTCAAAATTAGGCTTGAGCTCTATTTAATGGCATGGCAGGATGCTGTATTAATATAAGAAGTATTATTGTCATACTACTGATATAGATGTTAAGGTGAGCAGAAAGTTAGCTCCCAGACTATGGTTACATAAAGAATTAGTGAACAGAATGAAGGTGGTTTAATTCCCAAATCACTATTCCAATTACTAAGGATTAATACAGTCTTATTTTCTCTTTGTTCTATGGGTGTACTGCATGAATGTGCATTTGCTGAGGAGAACTTAAGTTACTCTGAGAGAAATGTGTGCTTCTTTATCAAACAAAAATCAAAGCTTCCTTCTTCAGTGTCATACTGAGAGGTGACTGTGCTGGCAGTCCTCAGAGCCCTCGCTCGCTCTCGGCACCTCCTCTGCCTGGGCTCCCACTTTGGCAGCACTTGAGGAGCCCTTCAGCCCACCGCTGCACTATAGGAGCCCCTTTCTGGGCTGGCCAAGGCCAGAGCCGGCTCCCTCAGCTTGCAGGGAGGTGTGGAAGGAGAGGCGCGAGTGGGAACTGGGGCTGTGCTGGGCGCTTGCGGGCCAGCTGGAGTTCTGGGTGGGCGTGGGCTTGGCGGGCCCTGCACTGGGAGCAGCCGGCCAGCCCTGCCGGACCCAGGCAATGAGGGGCTTAGCACCTGGGCCAGCGGCTGCGGAGGGTGTACTGGGTCCCCCAACAGTGCCAGCCCATCGGCGCTGCTCTCGATTTCTCACCGGGTCTTAGCTGCCTTCCCACGGGGCAGGGCTCGGGACCTGCAGCCCGCCATGCCTGAGCCTCCCACCCACTCCATGGGCTCCTGTGCGGCCAGAGCCTCCCCGACAAGCGCCACCGCCTGCTCCACAGCGCCCAGTCCCATCGACCACCCAAGGGCTGAGGAGTGCGGGCGCATGGCCTGGGACTGGCAGGCAGCTCCACCTGCAGCCCCGGTACGGGATCCACTGGGTGAAGCCAGCTGGGCTCCTGAGTCTCGTGGGTACCTTGGAGAACCTTTATGTCTAGCTCAGGGATTGTAAATACACCAATCAGCACCCTGTGTGTAGCTCAGGGTTTGTGAATGCACCAATCGACACTCTGTATCTAGCTACTCTGGTGGGACCTTGGAGAACCTTTATGTCTAGCTCAGGGTTTGTGAATGCACCAATCCACACTGTATCTAGCTACTCTGGTGGGGCCTTGGAGAACCTTTGTGTGGACACGCTGTATCTAGCTAATCTGGTGGGGAGGAGGAGAACCTTTGTGTCTAGCTCAGGGATTGTAAAGGCACCAATCAGCGCCCTGTCAAAACAGACCACTGGGCTCTAGCAATCAGGAGGATGTGGGTGGGAACAGATAAGAGAATAAAAGCAGGCTGCCCGAGCCAGCAGTGGCAACCCGCTCCGGTCCCCTTCCACACTGTGGAAGCTTTGTTCTTTTGCTCTTTGCAATAAATCTTGCTACTGCTCACTCTTTGGGGCCACGCTGCTTTTATGAGCTGTAACACTCACCGCGAAGGCCCGCAGCTTCACTCCTGAAGCCAGCGAGACCACGAGCCCACCGGGAGGAACGAACAACTCCAGACGCACTGCCTTAAGAGCTGTAACACTCACTGGGAAGGTCGGCAGCTTCACTCATGAGCCAGCGAGACCACGAACCCACCAGAAGGAAGAAACTCCAAACACATCCAAACATCAGAAGGAACAAACTCCAGACACGCCACCTTAAGAGCTCTAACACTCACCGTGAGGGTCCGCGGCTTCATTCTTGAAGTCAGTGAGACCAAGAACCCACCAATTCTGGACACAGTATGATGTATATTTTAATATTGTATATCAGCATTTTCCCAATTTTATTATAAGACCAATGATTATTTTAGTTTAAATAGAAACTAATGGTTATCTATCAACACATTTGGTATAGCATGGGACAAACTTTTTAATTACCATCTATGAACTGAGCTTGTTTTCCTCCTATTGTTGCTGGTCTCTGATCTTTCTAAATATTTATCAACTGCAATGTGAGGTCATTAATTTATAAAAACAAAATTTTGTATTTAAAAAATCAAACTGTAGCTTTATACTTACATGTAATTTTTTTAGCTAAGGATTCTTAAAAATCTCAAACCATAGCATTTTTTTATTTTACAAAATTAGCACGTATGTTAATAAACCAACATACTAGCAATGATATTAGTATAATCCATATATTAGGAAAATGAGTTTTCATGAATACATTAATATAACATTTCCAGAAATAGTTACTATTCCTTTATTCTAGGACTTTATAGATTTGAATGTTCTTCCAACAAACTTAAGGCATTTATCCATTTACAGAGAGCTTAGGGTTCTAATCAGAGCTGTGAGAGGTATTGCTAGGCCATACTATAAAGAAGGAGAAATGTATTGGTTTGGGGTTCCTTCTCCCATTTTACTAATATCTCTTTATATCCTTGGCAAACATATATTGTCATCTTGAAGTTATAATTCAATACATCAGGCAATAACCAGAAGGAAGAATAATTTTGGTTCAAATTTGTATTTTTGCTGAAAGCTTCTGACTCCATTTTTCTGGTTTGGTTAGTCTGCACACAAACTCTTATCTGGAGGAAGTGCTCTAACTAGAAGCCACCTGTTTGGTCTCCCTCATCTCTGGCAACTCTAGGTTGAATATTTGGTCTTAGTTCAACCAATCAAAATTTAAATTAGCCAGAGTTATTTTTGTTCTCTGAAAGCATTAAACCCAACTGGATTTAGACTTAGAGGTCATATACTTTATCATCATTGAACCCAGACTGAGACTGAATGGGGATGGTATTAATTATCATATCATGAGTATAAACCAAGGCTGTCCCGTGTAAACCAGATATGTGGCCACTCTACTTAAATGGTTACTTAAATGATTAGCTGACACCAGCTTAATATAGCTTCCTGGCAGAAGTTGAATTTTACATTGTGACTCTTGATTTGAAAGGCATTCAACATTTGAGGAAATGAATCTATAATGGTAATGCGACAATCATTAGTGCTGATATTTTAGAGCAAAGGTCCTCTCATAAATGAACTCTCGAATCACATGTAGGAGACCGCTTACCCAAATGATTCATAATGCTCTCTCTAGGGGCAGGGAAATTCCAGAGTACCCTTTTTCCCTCCAGAAATAATTAGACTTTGTTTAGCCCACTTGCTCTGCTAGTCCCACGTTTCCAGGGTGACACCACAGTGTTTCCTGAGGATTTCTTCTTCACCAGGCTGCAAAACTGATCATCTGGTGAAAAGGTAATTATGAGCTGAACTAGGAACCATGCCGGGATGTGAATGTCTAGTAACCACATAGTGTTTGCATTGTAACTAATGAATACTCCCTTGCCTAATATAACCCAACCTAACTACCCATAAAGCTTTGGGTAATTTTCACTTGACCCTAAACTTTGTGCATTTAGCTGCTTCTCTACCCATTACTGAATGATAACTCAACAAGAGAATAGTGAGCTTGAAGAGGAAAGGTTGTTCTCTCTGCAATATGTCATTTTTCTGCGTGGTGTTTTAATCAGAGAAAGTCATTTGTTTCAGTAAGTTCTCATTTACTTACCTAATTATCAGTTGTCATTTGGAGAAGAGCCAGCCCAAGAAAAAGTACTTCAAATATTTTTCGCCATTTGTCTCTTTTGTTTTTGTTCATAAATTCTCTTGTACAATTTTCGTCAGCATCCACTGTAAGGAAAAAGAAGGATAGTGAGATCACACCACTAAATGAATGGAGCAATTGAATGTGTCTTACTGGGTTGTAGGTTTCAGGAAAGTGTCTTATTTCTGCATCTCCAGCACCTACTGCCATACCTGTAGCATAGGAAAGTGTTCAACCAATATTTACTTCTTTCTGTATTCATATGCTTTGAGATGATTCCAGGTGGATGCAAAGGATGACACTTAAGGCAGCTGGGGAGGATATTTTGAGTGTATCATTCATAGTTAAAATATGCTATGGAGGTTGTTAAAATAATTTAATTTTCCAATAGAAGCTTTAGATATTACGGAGTCTGACTATGAGCATGTTACTAAGTAATAACAGACAATATTCAGTAGAACAGCAGTTTAGAGATTACATTCTCAAACACTCAGTATACATAAGCCTTTCACAATATGTCCTTAGTCAGAGTCCAAGCACCATGGAAACCATCCCTAAATCCAGACAAAGACGGGAAAGGAAAAGACATATATCAACACCATGGCCATTGGACGCATAGGTTCTAACAAGTTTAACATCACTGACCACTTGATGTATAAAAGTGATGGAATTAATATGAAGAGTAATAAGGAGTTTGAGGGAGGTCACTGAGATGACAAAGGAATTCTTTAGCTATATCTGGGTTTTGATAAAACCATATCATTAATATCTTCTGGGAAAATTTGAGATCAATGAGTGCTATGATGCCATCACTGAGGTTTTAGGATCCAAGGTCTTTGTTAAAAATATGGTTACATGCAAAGGTCAGTGAACCTTCCTGATTTCCTGATTATTGTTGCAGTTGATGGTGAACATAAAATTAGTATCTAAAAAAGTGGCTGACCAGAACTCTGTGAAAGTGCCCTCTCTTTTAGTGTTACTATTTACTATTTTTTAATGTATTACATTTACCCCCTCCATATGCGTGGTGAAGAAATGAGAAAATAAATATGAGATAACCATATCTTTAGGGTTTCTTGAGACATTTGACAAGAAGAATATTGGAGCTTCCCCAGAAAATTACAAAGACTGAATAATAATATCAATGCTAAAGGAAGAAAGAAGCATTTTATAGACCACCATGGTTGATGCTGTGGCAGTTTTAAGTTATTTATTTTTAAAAATCAAAACATTTAATAAGTAGGAAAAAGGATCACAATTCTGACACTAAATTGAGACCATTAAAACAAATTTAATATGATTTTTAAAGCACTCATCGAAAATGACATTGATGAAAACAACAAAAAAGGATTGAGTATTGATTGCATGCCTGCTCAGTAGTTTTTGTGTAATGTGTTGAACATTGTTATCTACCTCACAGGGAAAAAGGTATAACATCACACAATCCTCACACAAGAAACATCATCATAAGAGGTTGCTGCCATCCCTGTAGAGTGAGTGTGCTAAGGAGTCACTGATTTAATAGCCTAAAGACTGAATTATCCTCCTGCATCTGAAGCTGCTCTCTGTGGGTTAGGGTTTGTGGTCTGTGGATAAGGTAAGGAACTGGGGAAGAGGAAGGGAAACCACGTACAGCTGTCTGTGTTATAAATGCTGTGATGGCCAAACAGGAAACCTTTGTCTCTAAGGACTTGTAATCTGACACCTGTCAAGAACACTAAATTCTTTTTTAAAAAATAAAATGGGGCTAAATTGACCTCTTGTCTTAGAGGTTCCTAAAGGGAAGAAGAGAATAAAAATATGAAACTGTTAGAATCAATAGCTTAAGTCATTTTGCAGTATCTTGCTGAGTACGAAGACCTAGAGGTTGTTGCATCACCTTTTACTGATATTAAATGATTCCTTGGAGTTATTAAGTGCTAAAAGCCTTAACAGAGATCATTTTGGTTCTTTTGTAAAATAGAGTTTCCATACACTTTTTAAACCGTATTTACGCTTACATTTGTAATAAGTATGCAAAAGTCCAATAAAGACAGCTCACAGCAGAATAGCATTACACACATTTATCAATGAAAACTAAAAAAAGAAACAAGAACATAAGCTTCAGATAATATAACATAATGATTTACAAAAAATGCAAAATATTTTAAGTATTGATTAACTTAACAAACTTTTAACAAAAGCCTTTAAATGTTAAGCTACACTGGTAATCACTGAGAAATATTACGATGAAAAGAAATAAAGAAATAAAGGGACTTAGAGTCAGGTAGAAAAAACAAATAGTAATTAAAGTATGATACAAGAAAATGGAAATTTTAACTCTACTAATGGCCACAAAGGAATGGTAACTGGATCTTGGCTATCATATATAAATGTATATGGGGAATGTCAACCTGATCAGCAAGGTCATGGGAAACATCCCCAAGGAATGACCATGGCGGATGAGGTCTTATTTCAAAGTTGTGGTAAATGAGATGCGGAATTGGAGGATGATAAATGAAGACAATATTGCAAGACACAGTTAATATTACCTGTGAAGTTTTTGAGCTTAAGAATATGTCAGCATTAAACCAAGAAAACTTGATTGAGAGTCCAATTTTTTTGTGTTTTTGCCCACAAAATATATTGTGAGCAATGTTTTTGTTGTAGTTGTTCTACATACTTCAAATTGTTGTAGTTGTTCTACATACTTCAAATAACCATATTTGTACTAATGCTGGAGCTGACAGGATTCATAGGAAAACTGAAGGTAACATTCAGTAAAGACTCAAATGCATGGGACCCTGATCTGGGTTTTGCATGAACTCATGGACTTGTTTAGGCATAGAGTGGAAAGTAAACAGGTATAGGTCTTGATATTTGGAATTTAAAAATAATAAGACATTAAAATGCAATTAACATAGAAAAAATATATATAAAACAGTTCCATTAAATGTTATGTAGAATTATGATTTTAAAAAAGACGACCAGGCTGGGAATAAAAAATATTTTGTAGTTTAGTTACCTAGTTTAATATTGTGAAAGTAGTTTGAAAATCCTCATAAACTGTACAAATGCAAGAATGATAATAAAAATATAAACTGACAACTCTGAAGAAAATTCAAACGGGATCTTTCCTTTGTTCTGTGTTACTTTTATACAATAATGCATCCCCCTACATAGTCAGCTTCCTAAGTCAAAAATATAGCATTATCCTTGATTCTTAATTCTCATTCTATTGATTATAAAATCCTGTCAACCCTACTCTCTTAACAGCTCTAAATTTAATCAAACATCTCCATTAACAATTCCACTCTTTTACTATAGGTTCTCATTATTCCTTTTGTTTCTGTAGTGCCCCACTTCACTTCATTTGTCCTCCCTCAGATTCATTTTCCATTCTGTGACTAGCGTACACTTCAAAAATGATATTCTAATACTTTAACTCCCTTATTATATATTTCGGTGGTTCCTTATCTCTGGGATACAATTCAGTTTCCTTAGTGAGGCCCTAACTTGAACTTTGCCTACCTCTTCAGCTTTGTAGCCATACTTGGAACATGTGGCTCCTATGGTTGCTGGAGGAAGGGATGAGAGAACACGGAGAATGTGTACCTGTCTTTGTCTGTTCAGGACTATAGGAGACAGATAACTTCCCTTCAAATTCAATAGATGAAAATAAATTACATGAACCCTTCTAGATGCAATACTGTGGTCACTAAAACATTTCATTTTGCTACCTCTACAACTACATGACATTTCCAGATATATGAAATGAAATGGTTTGGTAAGGATATGGCATTTTCTCTGGACCAATACCAAAATATTTTAGTTTAAAATAACAAATTAATTCCCAGAAACTGAAACACATATGTTTGCATGAAATTAGCATATTTTCTCCCTGTAAGTAAGCAATCTGTAATATAATATGAAACATTTTTTAGAAGATCTTATTATGATTGAGTAATTTAATAAGAGAAAGTCATATTAGTAAAATATTTACTGGAGACTAAGACAACTTAGTAACTCCAATGGGGATGATTTTCCAATAAGACCAGAGATGTTAAAGTCTCTTAAATAAAATTCTGTTTCCATTGATGAACACTAAGGTCGATTCCATATCTTGGGTATTTTGAAAAATGATGTAGTGAACATGGGAGTGCAGATATCTTTTTGACATACTGATTTCACTTACTTTGAATACATACACAGTAGTAGGACTACTGGATCATATGCTAGTTCTATTTTTAATTTTTTGAGGAACCTCAATAATTGTAATACTAATTTACATTCCTAGAAACACTGTGTGGGAGTTCCCTTTTCTCTACATCCTCACCAACACTTTTCTTCTTTCATCTTTTTGTTAATAGCCATTCTAGCAGGTGTGAAGTGCTATGTCATTGTGGTTTTAATTTGCATCTCCCTGATGATTAGTAATGTTGAGCATTTTTTCATATACCTATTGGTTATTTTTTGAGAAACATCTACTCAGTTTCTTTGCCAATTTTTAATTGGGCTATGTGTTTTCTTGCTATTGAGTTGTTTGAGTTCCTTATATATTTGGGATATTAACCCCTTATCAGATGTATGGAAAAGGGAAATGTACAGATACACAATAGGATGCCATTCAGCCTTTAAAAAGAAGGAAATCTTGTGATTTGTGACAACATGGATAAATCTGAAAGACATTATGTTATGTGAAATAAGCCATTTGTCTTTCTGCAAAGACAAATATCACATAATCTTATATACATGTGGAGTTTAAGAAAGTCAAGCTCTTAGAAGAGAGTAGAGTGATGATTATTGGGGGTTGGAGGTTGGGGGATGGGGCTGTTGGTGCAATGTTGGTCAAACGGTATAAAACTTCAGTTAGATAGAAGGAATGAGTTCTAGTGTATAGCATGGTGACTACAGTTAATAACAGTGTATTTTATACTTGAAGTGGCCAACAGTGTAGATTTGAAATATTCTTACACTTAAAATGATATATATGTTATCGGGGGAGCCAGCCCCCAATATTTCAATGTAGGTTCTTTTCTATTTTCCCTAAGTGTCAGCCAGTCTGAGAAATAAAGAGTACAAAAGAAAGAAATTTTACAGCTGGGTCTCCGGGGGTGACATCACATGTCAGCAGGTTCCATGATGCCCTTTTTCTTTACCAGATATTGGGGGAACCAGCCCCCAATATTTCAACATAGGTTCTTTTCTATTTTCCCTAAGTGTCAGCCAGTCTAAGAAATAAAGAGAAAGAGTACAAAGAGAGAAATTTTACAGTTGGGTCTCCAGGGGTGACATCACATGTCGGCAGGTTCCATGATGCCACCGAGCCGCAAAACCAGCAAGTTTTTATTAGTGATTTTCAAAGGGGAGGGAGTGTGCAAATAGGGTGTGGGTCACAGAGATCCCATGCTTCAAAGGCAATAAAATATCACAAGGCAAATGGGGGCAGAGCAAGATCACAAGGCCAGGGCGAAATTAGAATTACTATTGAGGTTCCACGTCCTGCTGGGCACACATTGTCATTGATAAACCCCTTAACAGGAAACAGGATTCAGAGCAGACAACCAGTCTGACTAGAATTCGCCAGACTGGAATTTCCTAACCCTAGCAAGCCTGGGGGCGCTGTAGGAGACCAGGGCGTATTTCATCCCTTATCTACAACTGCATGAGACAGACGCTCCCAGAGCGTCCATTTTAGAGACCTCCCCCTGGGAATGCATTTGTTGTCCCAGGGTTATTCCTTGCTGAGAAAAGAATTTAGCGATATTTCTCCTATTCGCTTTCTGAAAGAAGAGAAATATGACTCTGTTCTGCCCAGCCCTGCAGGCAGTCAGACTTTATGGTTATCTCCCTTGTTCCCTGAAAATCGCTGTTATCCTGTTCTTTTAGGATGCTCAGGTTTCATATTGTTCAAACACACGTTTTACAAACAATTTGTATAGATAACGCAATCATCACAGGGTCCTGAGGCGACATACATCCTCAGCTTATGAAGATGATGGGATTAAGAGATTAAAGTAAAGACAGACATAGGAAATTATAAGAGTATTGATTGGGGAAGTGATAAATGTCCATGAAATCGTCACAGTTTATGTTCAGAGACTGCAGTAAAGACAGGCATAAGAAATTGTAAAACTATTAATTTGGGGAACTAACAAATGTCCATGAAATCTTCACAATCTATGTTGTTCTGCTGTGGCTTCAGCCAGTCCCTCCGTTCGGGTTCCCTGGCTTCCCGCAACAATATGTGAGGTAATGCATGTGTTAATTAGCATGATTTAGCCACTCCACAATGTATGCATTTTTTGAAACATCTCATTTGATATGGTTTGACTCTGTGTCCTCTCCCAAATCTCACATTGAATTGTAATTCCCAGTGTTGGAGGAGGGGTCTGGTGGGAGGTGATTGATTCATGAGGGCATATTTCCCCATTGCTGTTCTTGTGATAGAATTCTTACAAGATCTGGTTGTTTAAAAGTGTGTACCACTTCCCCCTTGAACCTGCTCTACCATGGTAAGATGTGCTTGCTTTCCCTTCACCTTCTGCCATGATTGTAAGTTTCCTGAGGCCTCCCAGCCATTCTTCCTGTACAGCCTGTGAAACTATGAGTCAATTAAACCTCTTTTCTTCATAAATTAGCCAGCCTTAGGTAGCTCTTTAGAGCAGTGTGAGAATGGACTAATACAACTTTGTACACCATAAATATATAAATGTTTGTAAATTATAAAAAGAATAAAGAAAAAGAAAAAGAGAATCTCTCTTCTCCTGGCAGAACTTCATGGTGTTACAGACTATATTTTCCTTTCTGAATCTCCTTTTCCTCTGCTTCTTTTATAGGCCAACCCTACCCTATCCTCATCCTTAGTGCTGTGATATATTCTTTCTTGAACTATGCTAATACTTTAAATCATTGTATTAGTCCGTTCTCACATGCTATGAAGAAATACCCAAGACTGGGTAATTTATAAAGGAAAAAGATTTAATTGATTCACAGCTCTGCATTGCTTGGAGGTTTTAAGAAACTTACAATCATGATGGAAGGCAAAGGAGAAGCAGGTACCTTCTTCAAAGGGGGGCAGGATGGAGTGAGGGCAAGCAGGGGAAATTCCAGACACTTATAAAACCGTCAGATCTCATAATACTCACTCACTGTCATGAGAAGGGCATGGGGGAAACCACCTTCATGATCCAATTACCTCCATCTGGTCCCGCCTTTGACATATAGGAATTATGGGGATTACAATTCAAGGTGAAATTTCGATGGGGACACAGAACCAAACCATATCAATTATGTTACAGTAAAACATTGCTGTTGGTCTACTCTAAGCATCTTTGTGAAGAACTCTTTGTATTCTATGGAAACAAGCAGCAAAAAATAAAACTGAACGCAATTATTGGTGAAAGTCTTCAGTGCCCCCCCCGACACAAAATGGAAAAGAGAGACCAAGTATATTAATCATATTAAGGGACAGATATTGCTCACAAATGTTAGGAAAAATGAAAGGGAACAGCACGATTTCTGGACATGTTGGAGATAAATGTATGGAATTAAAGATTACAAAGATGGTTTTTGTATTCTCAGAAGAGCTAGCAATGATCAATAGAAACCACCATGGGTTCACCAAAACAAGTCAATTTATTTTCATTTTTAATTTGGCTATGGTTCCTAGATACATCAAGTAAATATTACAGTGAAAAATCTAGTTTATTTTTATTTTTAACAGCCTCTCATATTATCTTTGTGGACAAGATGAAGAATGTATACTGGAGATTGTATATTATATGTAGTTAAAATAGGTATAGTAAATTAAGCATTCATGCTAGAAGAATAATGGAGAGAAGTTTCTAGTCCTATTCTAATCAGTGTTTTAATTAATTATTGGAATGGAGATATGCGAAGTGCATTTATCCAATCTACTGTTTGAACAGAACTTCAATGAATCAAATATTTATTAGGTACCTATTATGTCTCTGGCACCATGCAAGGAGAAGCTGATAGACTGATTGCATGCGAAGGCAACCAAGTAATTGTAATTCATTGTCAACTCAATATGAGTGCATGAGTGGTTGATAAGGCAAAAAAAAAAAAATACCACTTGAGCCTACCAACAGAAAACAACTGGGCAGAGATAAGGAGGGTGGACTGCAGGTTCAGAATCCTTGAACTTTTATTTGGTTTCTATTATTTCTTAGCTGTATGACTTTGAACAAGTTAACTTTCCTAAGCCTCAGTTGTTCTGTCTTCAAAATGGGCTATTATGTTTATTTTTGAGAAATAAATACAACGAACCATGTAGAATATTAAGCACTCTGTGAAAGAAAGTTCTCACTCAGTAAGTATTTGCAGTTATCGTTAATTATCTATGCAGGTCAAAAGATAGAACAAGAGCTGTGAGACCTGTGTCCCAGTCTTGGCTTGTCTAGTTGCTGACTGTGACACTTTTAACTTATCTCTAGGTGATTATGCACAGTTCTGGGTATTTCATTTAATTAAGTGTATTGCAAATAAATGAAATCCTTTTAGAGAAGGAAGACAGAGATGACAATTTATCTAAAAATCATCATATAAAGAAGTATATTGAAATGTGCAAATTAATTAATTAATGCCTTGCTTTGTTCCAAAAAGATTTTTAAATTGCTGACAAAAATGCATATAGTGTAAGAGGATATCTATAGTTAAATTACTGGAGGCAAAGAGCAAACAAAAAGTAAAACAGGGATTAATAAATGAATCACAGTTGTATTAACAGATGAAGTAGGGAAGATGTAAGACCAGGATAACACATAGCATTAGAAATTGCTTCCTTTGCTCTGACCTTTACCTCCTAATTTTCCAACTCACTTGCCCAACTACTCCCATGCTATAACCCTTTGACCGCATACTTTTGCCCCACAACTTGTAACCCATTGGCCTTGTGTCTTTATTTTCCTGTTCTCTAGCTTAGGTCTTGTGGCTTATAACTGCTTACCCCTTTCTCTGTCAGTCATACTCTCAAGCTAAACCACAACCCTGGATAAAGCACAGCATTTGTTTCTCTTTACCCTGCAAAGGCAATTTTATAACCACATTGGCAGCCACACTTGAAATCAACATGTTGAGTCTGCTATACTTTATTAGCTTGATATTCTTCCTAACTATTTCATACAATGTATGTACATACTCATCTATTATCACAATTCTCTCTCCTGCTCTCTACTCACTCTCAGTTTACTCATGCTTCACTTAGGGAATCTCAGATTCCTTATCTTCCTACCACACTATCTGAAAAGCTGCCTGCTTTTGAAAACCCATTGTCCCTTTTTTCTTCATGTGAAGATGAAGGAATGGATTATCCTCCTATTAAACTTTCTTTCATGTGTGCTCTGGGTTCCATCCCTTTCCATCACCTCAAAGAATTCATGCCTATGGTTATGATTTCATTCTAGTACATCATAAATCTTTCTTTTCCTATAAGATATTTCCATCAATATAAAACCAGCTTTAGTGCCTCTCATTCTTTAAAAAATCTTTCCCTGATTCATAACCATTTTCCAGTGTTTTTCTCTTTCTGGGATCCTCTTCAATAGTCTCAATTCTCCAAAGAGAGACACACACTTCTTTGGTTATAACTCATGTGTCGTCCTCTTAGTCCTGATTGCTGTTTCTACTATTTTTAAAGTCTCTAAGCACTTCTGATATTACCAAATTTAATAAACACTTTTTGCTGTTATCTTACTTAGTGTCTCAACAGAATTTGCAGATTTGACCACTCCTTCTATTTTGGAAAGTCTTAATGATGCCTATGTTATACAATTTTTATGCATTCTCCCCTTTCTCATAACTGATTATTCTCTGTCTCCTTTATTGGCTCTGGTCTTTCCTCAACTCCCATATTTTGACATTGTCCCAGGCTTAATCCTGGATCTACATTTGCCTTTCTCTATATGTCTTCACAAATAAGTGATATTCATGTCCATACTTTTAAATGGCATTTCTATTGATAACTCACAAATCTGTATCTCCAGCACATATATTACCCATGAACTTCAGCCACATGTACCTAGTTGTCTACCTGGTGTCTCCATTTGAACATTTCACAACAAAGCAAACTGAGTTGATCCAAACTTGAATTCTCCATTTCCATTTGCCATAACACTCTTTAAAATGTCTTCCTATGCCAGACTGTAAGGAAATGACACCACTTCACTCGGGAGTCATTCTTGTTCTGCTATTTGCATTACCTTCTAAACTACTCCATTAGTAGTTCCCATCGATTCCACTCTTAGATTAAACCCTTAATTTGCTTGCAATTTCCATGGCTACCATCATAATCTAAGCCACCATATTGTTAACGAAGTCTACTTCAAGAGTCTCTTAGCTATTTCTTTTACTTCCACCTTTGTCCTTTCTAACCAATTTTTCATATAGTAGTCAGAGTTATCTTTAATAAATGAGCATCACATCCTTGCCTAAAATCCTTCAATTGACTCCCATTGCTCTTAGAATAAATTAATTGCTCAGTATGCTTTAACTCTTCCTGGAATCTTTTCAATAATTTTTTTTTTTTTTTTTTTTTTTTGAGACAGAGTCTCACTCTGTCGCCCAGGCTGGAGTGCAGTGGCGTGATCTCGGCTCACCACAAGCTCCACCTCCCAGGTTCACGCCATTCTCCTGCCTCAGCCTCCTGAGTAGCTGGGACTACAGGAGCCCGCCACTACCCCCGGCTAATTTTTTTTGTATTTTTAGTACAGACGGAGTTTCACCGTGTTAGCCAGGATGTTCTCGATTTCCTGACCTCGTGATCTGCCCGTCTCGGCCTTCCAAAGTGCTGGGATTACAGGCGTGAGCCACCGCGCCCGGCCTGTCTTCAGATTTTTGACCATAATCCTTTATCCATTACAACTTTAAATTAGATCCCTCATAGCTTGTTAATTGTCATATTTTTCTACCTTCAATATAAATGTAATCTCCTTGGAAGGGAGTTTTCTAAACTCAGTATCGAAATCAGACCCCAACTTTTCTATCCCCCTTTTCTCTATTACATAGCAATTTAATTAGTTCCATTCATAGCATTTATCTCAATCTCTAGTTTTTTTTTATTTATGCTTAAAAACATTTTTAAAAGCTTCTTCATTTTCATGTTAAGGTCTATGAGTCAAGAGCATGCATATCTTGCTTACAGCTGTATTCCCAGAACTTAATAATGTGATTAGAGAATATATCTTTATGAATAAATAAATGAATAAATGCATTGACATGCTTTACAAGTGAAGAGGGGATAGACTATGTTGTAGCTATAAGTGGTCATCACATATCAGTTGCTAACAACACAGAGGCTTATTTTTTACTCATATTGCTGCAATTATTCTCGATATGTTTTTCATTCCAGGGACCTCACTAAAAGAGAAGATCCTATGGGATAGGGAAGGGAGACATTAAAAACCATGAACTAAACTAGATCTTGAGGCTCTGCTTGCAAGTGACATGTTCATTTCCATGCACATTTCATTGGCCAAATTGAGTCAAATGGCTACTGCACAGTTTGAGATGATGCTGTATAATCATTCTTCAGAGAATGGGAAAATAGAATTAGCATCCCAGTAAGAGGCTGTAAATATTTTAAATAATAATATCATTTCTCATATATGGCACTGGCTATCCATTGACAGTGGTTTCCCATGAAACTGAGTTAGGAAGGATTCTGAAGTTAGATCTAGACTCAGTGAGAAAGGTGGCTTGTGTTGTATGATCATGATGGGGTGAGTAGTAGCATGTTTGCTATACATTTGTAGTCTCTGACATATGTGTAGTGTTATTGCTAAAAATAATTGAAGGACTGTAATGTGGATGAGGAACTGAAGTGAGATAATATATGAGAATTAAGTTCTTAATGAGAAGAAAATTTAGTGAAGTGTGTCTCATTCAGCTAAGGTAAAAGCATTGTATCACAGCCTTTTAAAAATGATATACTCTGCTCTGTACAAATGAGACATTTTTAGTCATTAAGAGTATTCACACAACAGTTCCATGTCAAGATATTAGCAAAGCTGTAAATTTCTACTTTGAGTGCTAAGTAATTTTATATTTTCTTTTAAGTATAACAGTCTATGAGATCATCATTCAGTATAAAGACCACACTTGCAGTGTGGTCTGGATTCGAGCATTGGCCTTGAGGTAATAGGTTCCAGTTATGCCATCCACATTGTGAGAATATTGGGCTATATAATCTCCAAGGGTCTGTTATGCTTTAAATTTGAGATTTTTCTTTTCTATCAAGTATTAATTGAGTATTTACTCTCCACAAAGTATTGTATTAGGTCGTAATAGCACCTAATATATCCTAAAAATATGAATACAGATTCCACCCTCAAGAATCAACTTGGAGAAGAAGATAAAAATTTATGTAAGTAATGAGGAAGTATATGCCAAGAAGACCAAAAGTGTAATAGTGAATGAGATGTTCTGATGAGAAAGCAGCTAGAGGTGGTGCAAAGAATTGTCTTTGAAAAGTTGGAAGAGTTTTGTTAGACCAAGATGGAAGAAAGGGAAGACAAAAGAACATTTCAGAAATTATATGACTTATTTTTTTCTTCACCAAGTTCCCCAGAGCTAGAAATAACTTTAAATTTTTAGTGCAAGATGGTAGACTAAGACTATGTTTTTACTCAAGCCCAACCTTTACAACCACAAAAGGCAACAAAGCTGTTGGACAAAGATTAAACTCATACTTTTGGAAAACAAAGAGAAAGGCCATTTGGTATTTTTGTTTGTTTGAGACAGAGTCTCGCTCTGTCTCCCAGGCTGGAGTGCAGTGGCGCAATCTCCTGGGTTCAAGCTATTCTCGTGCCTCAGCCTTCTGAGTAGCTGGGATTATGGGTGCACACCACCATGCCTGGCTAATTTTTGTATTTTTAGTAGAGACAGGGTTTCACCATGTTGGCCAGGTTGGTCTCGAACTCCTGACCTCAGGTGATTCACCTGCATTGGCCTCCCAAAGTGCTGGGATTACAGGCGTGAGCCACCGCTCCTGGGCTCCATTTGGTATTTTTAACATTTATTTAGAAGATAGAAAATAGATGGAATGTGATTGAGATACCTGAGCAGAGAAAAATATCATCCAAACACATGTGAGAAAGGGTTAGGCAAAGGTTAGAGCCATACTTCTCATAAAGAGGTTTAGCAGAAAGACTGACAAAAGATTCTTTCCTCAGCATATAGAGCATGTGTTTGCCACAGGTGTTATTACCCTTGAGAAAGTTATATTTACATATAGAAAAGTCGATAATATGTCTGTAAAACTGAAAGCAGTCGTTAGAAAGTATTTCCCCAAGAATGATGTCAAAAGAGATTTGCAATTCTGGGTTATTTTAAAAGAAGTAAAAAGATTTTGATAGAAATTTGCTGAAGCTTTTAATAGAAAATATATATTCAAATATGTATTTTAAAGTCCAAAGGAAACTTACAGGAAAAGCAATATAATATATAAATTTCAAATTATAAAAATAAGAAAAAATAAAAAGAATAATAACAATAAAACTGTATTGCATCATCTAAGGAGAGACTCTCAAATTCAGTAAAATGAATATGTAGAATAAAGCTATGCTTTCTTTACTAGAGCTATGTTTAAAACAAAGTCACAAAACCTTTGAAAATAAGAGATTGTCAAATGCAGGTCTCAAGTTAAAGAAATTGACACAAGGGTGAATTTTAATATCAGGCAAAATAAGAAATACAGCAAAAAGTCTTAAATGGGAAAATTAACTTATAAGGTTGATAGGTAGAGAAAAAGGAAGAACAAGATCAAAAAACAAAGAGCAAAACTGATTGTTATGAACTCATTTTCTGTTAATGAACATATTCTCAAAGGGAGCTCAAGATGTAAGCCTCATTTAGTTTTAGCTTTCCATTGCTCCTTATGGTGTATAGCATTAGGGTAAGAATATTTCTATTGTTTAAATATACATTTTTGAAAGTAAAAAGTAGATCTCTAAACATAAACCAGTAACTTCATTTTGTGCTCATCAGAAGACCCATCAATCTGTTCCAGTGTTGCTCTCTGAGAAAGGTATTTAAGTTACCAAAATGGAACATTCTCAAGGAACGTTTCAACAACATTGACTCTCATTACACAAACTGTAGATTCATAACCTTATATAAGACACTACATTGCTATGTGTGTTTCTGTGCATGCCAAAGCACACATTCTTCTAAAATACCTAGAAACATTGAGGAAAAAGATCATTAAAAATGTGGTCACAGAGAAAACTGCCTAACTGCCGATATTATCATGCCACTCTAGCTACATTTTCTGATCATAATGCAAATAAATACATATTAAATTAATGAATTCAGAGCAGAAGAAAAAATGGCACCTTGACCTTGAGTTTAAATAATGCCCTTCTAAGGAATAGTTAAGTAAAGCAAAAAAGCAGACATTAGAGCCTGTTAAAAATGAATTATAGTGTATTACATTTAGAAATCTACGGAATACATTACTTAGAGCAAAAAGTATTACTTTAATGCATGTATTAGATAGTATATGTGATACAAATAAATAAAATAAGCCTCAAATTCATGAAGGTGACAATGAGCCAGCAAGTGAAAACTTGAGCCAGCAAGTGAAAAACAAGAACATCTTGGCAGTGAATGCAGAGGCCTAAGGGTAGCTGGTAATTTTACATGTTCTTGTTATGTTCTAAGCATAGGCAATAAATAAATAAGTAAATAAATAAAAATCCAGTGTATTTGTGGCAAACAAATCAAGGAGGAAGAAAATGGTAAGACAGGAGACTGGGACAGAAGGCTTGGGGCTAGTCATTTAAATGATCTTTTAGGCTAAGACACTGAGCTTGCATATATTCAAAAAGTATATATTGGAGGACATTGAAGCGTTTTAAACAGCAAAATGCTGTAATTTGATTGACTGCTGTGCATGAAGATTAAGTAATGTGAAGCAAAAAGAACAGGTAGGAGGCAAATGAAGTAGTTAAGAAGAGAGCTGATGGAAGCTTGGAGTAATTTGCTAATGGTGGAATAGAAGTGGATAGACCCATAGAGCATTTTGAAGGCAGAGTCAATAGTAATTTGTGGTGGACTAAATGAGGGGTAAGGGGTGAGTAAAGAGTAGGGGGAGAAATCAAGTTTGACTACGATGGGGAAGGTTTTTGAAAGGACAGACTTTTGGTCTGCATATATTCATGACACCTAATAGATGTAGATGTTGTGATATCACAGACTTTGAAAATATGAATCTGGAGTATACTAAAGAGATATGAATGGGAAATATATAAAGTTATAGTAGGTATAAAAATTACCAGTCTACCAATAGATTTGTGGATACCTTTCTTCATGATGATCAAAGATCGGGGAAAGTACCTTATAACTAATAGAAAAATGGCTTGAAGGGCATAGTTAGCTGCTATTTGGTCTGTTGTATAGCTGGTCTCTCAATGGTTTTGACATTCAGAACTCCTCCACTCTGCAGTTCTGTCTGAAAGAATGACACTTACTAGGAGCCATGGCCACATAGCAAATGAAGTGCAGCTTTAACAGCCAAATCCTGAACAATTTCTGAGTTAGAGCTCTGATAAGCTGAAATGGAGAACACTGTTTAAGTCACAAGAACCAAATCAAATTTTTTGTTTCAATTTCCTTTTCTTGAATCTAAAATGGGTGGGATTGTGTCCTATCCTTGTCCAACATAGTTTCTTTTAGTTCAGCCATTGTGGAAAGCAGTGTGGTGATTTTTCAAAGAATTTAAAACTGAATTACCATTCAACCCAGCAATCCCATTACTGGGTATATACCCAAACGAATATATATCATGCCACCATAAAGATACATGCACGAGTATATTCATCTCAGCACTATTCACAAAAGCAAAGACATGGAATCAATCTAAATGCCCATCAACAGTAGACTGGATAAAGAAAATGTGGTATATATACACCATGGAGTACTGTGCAACCAAAAAAAAGGACAAGATCATATTCTTTGCAGCAACATGGATGGAGTTGGAGGCCATTATCCTACACAAACTAATGCAGAAACAGAAAACCAAGTACCACATGTTCTCACTTATAGGTGCGAGCTAAACACTGAGAACATATGGACACAAAGAAGGGAGCAACAGACACTGGGGCCTACTTGAGGGTGGAGGGTGGGAAAAGGGAGAGGATAAAAAAAATTCCTATTCGGTGCTATGCTTATTACTTGGGTGATGAAATAATATGTTCACTAAACCCACTGACATGCAATTTATCTTTATAACAAACCTGTACACATACCTCTGAACCTAAAATAAAAGTTAAAAGAAAGAAAGAAGAAGAAAGTAAGAGAAGAAGATGGTCAGAACAGAACAGAACAGCTAACTGGACAGAAAACTTACTTAGAGGTGCTTATATTTTGAAAATTGAATATGGTGCATGATTTCTAAGGCATTAGTAGTAAAATTTGCCTTCAAATAATTTCTCAGGCATTGGCCGTGCAGATCCGTAACTTGTTTTGCCTTGGGGAGGAATCAACAGAAAGTATGAACAGAGGCCTCTTAACGAGGGGAGAAGGGTTTCTCTCTCACAGATAAAGAGGTGTTTTTGTGGTTCCATAATAAAAGAGCATCAGGAGAATCAAAGAAATTAAAACACAACCAATTTCAAATAAAATGCTAGAAAATACTTTTTAAAGCAATGTATAATTAACCTGTCAAATTCTTTACCTTACACACTATTCAGGCAAACAACTTAAAAATATTCTACTGACAATGGAGTGTAAACTACCTTGTTGAGAAGGAATATTTGCAACAGTGCTTTTAATATTCTACTTGTATTATCTATTTTTTGTTGTGACAAATCTTCAATATGTGAGAAATATGAATAGCATTTGTATTTACATTAGCACAGATAAAATTACAAGGATTATCAATCCCTATTCTTTATGACATATGTTTGTTATTATCTTTTAAGAAGATAAAACTATCCTTCCTGAAAAAAGTGATGCAGATAATTCTGCAGAACACCAGTTTGTGGTGGGAAGGAGTGCGATAGGTGAGCAATAGAAAATATTTTTCTGACCAAAAAGAGATTCTCTTTATATTTGTGATTCTCATTTTCAAGAATCTTAGTAGATATTTCAAAATGAAATCCAAACTACAAATCGACATCTTTTTCAAGCAAAAAGGCAAGTATTGAACCGACTCTTATATACACAAACACACTTACACAAATAATTCCTTTAATACAACACACGTCTCTTTGTGATCTGAATATTGGATTTTGGTCTCCTTTCATCTTTCCTTATATATCTAATGTTCTAGACAAAGTATATCACTCACAGACCTTCCTGATCTAGCCACTCTGCACTCAGTATGCCTTGACTATGACCCTAAGAATATTTTTAGAGACTTACAATACTATCTTGGTTCTCCCCACAAAAACTTACTCCATGATACTTGGCTACATCATTGTCATTCATAAAGATTCAGATGCTCAGATATCGTCTCCTGGGGAAGCCTCTCTTGATCTCTCCAGTCTGGGTTAAGATTTCTCTAGTATGCTTCCATTGCACACTGTACTTCCCTCAGTTATCCTAAGCATCACACTGTAGAAGAACAGGTAGGAGGCAATTGAAGTAGTTGAGAAGAGAGCTAGTAGAAGGTTGGAGTAATTTGCTAATGGTGGAATAGAAGTGGATAGACTCATAATGCATTTTGAAGGCAGAGTAAATAGTAATTTGTGGTGAACTAGATGAGGGGTAAGGATACTTGCCTCAGTTATCCTAAGCATCACACTATAGAGCTATCTTCAGTTCAATTATCTGTCTCCTCTACTGATCTACTTTTGGTAGAGACCATATGTTCTAGTTTCTGACATTTCTAGAAACCAGCGCAATGTTGATCATGTGGTAGGCATTCATGAAATATTACTTAATAAGTGAATGAATAAATCATATTTTTCATTTTGTAAGTTATCTCCCAAAATCATTTACCCACAACCTGTCCATCTTAGAAGAATGGTATGTAGAAATCTGGTTATAATTAGAAAATTACAGAGAGGGACTTAATAAATAATATTTATATTTGTGTTTAATAAAATGTATATAAATGATTTCATATGTTGATAGAAATGGTTATATTTTGTTAATATTAGGTTGGTGCAAAAGTAATTGGTCTTGGTTACTTTCAATGGCAAAAAACACAATTACTTTTGCACCAATCTAATATTATTTAGATAGATGGTAAGTAGAAAGAAACCTTAAGAGTTTATTGTCTACTTAAATGAGAGTTTTCTTTGTTCATATTATTTAGTTTTCAAATCATACAAGGAAAAACTCAAAACATGTATTGAAAAATGTCCAGTATTGTTACCTAGATAAAATAGTCTTTTCATAGAATAGACTATGAAAATGAAACAGAATTACATTTATTGTTTTATGACGATTACCATTCAACTTATGAAGCAACTCTTTTTGCTTTTGCTTTTATGGTCCTATTGGTTTATTTTTCCTCTCTGGTCTTCTAGAACAAGACACACAATTATTATTCTAATTGCTTCTCAATTTCTCTTTCCACACATACACACACAGAAAAATAATTTTGGTAAAAATTGTATATTCTATTACAATTGCTTGTCTCCTTTTCTCCATATTTTCTCCATGTACAACAATTTGCATATTCCTTACATGTGTATAATGATCTTGCCCCACATAGCTATGAAAATATCTGTTGCTATTACCATTTATGCCATTGACTGGCCAGCTTACCCAAGGCTAGTCATTGAGTATTCTGAATTTCAATGTCCTTATCTGTAAAAGGAGATGATAACAACCAAACTCATAATTGCAAGAAACCATATGAGGACCTAATTACAAAAATTGTACTACTGCTACATTTTGATAGCAACATGAAACAGACAAATTCCTAGTCAGACAGGGACAGGTCACTGGTGAAACCTGACCTTCAAGCCAAAGACAGTTTAAAACCTTCAAGCCAAAGACAGTTTAAAACCTGCCAGTTCTAGATAGAGTCCAGGACGAGAGAGAGTGGGAAACTCTATCCCTGTCTTACCCTTTCTCTCTATTGTATTGGTTCCTTCTGGATGATGCCTTTTAACCAATGGAATGGTGTTTTTCCAAAGCCCAATCACGGATTTATCAGTATACACTCCCCTATTCTAAGCCCATAATCACTCCAGACTCAGCCTCACAGATGGCTACCTGCTTCAGGTCCCTTCACATGTTGAGAGCTTTTCTGTCACTCAGTAAAATTCTTGTCTGCCTTGCTCACTTTCCCGTGTCCAATATTTCATTCCACTTGGTTGTGGGACAAGGACCCAGAACCTGTTGAACAGTGGGTGCAAAAAGAGCTGTAAGACACATGCCAGGTTGCCACACTACGAGAACGAAGAGCTGCAACATCTCTTGGGGGCTCAAACCTCAGGACTCCCTGAGTAAGAGCTGTAACACCCCTTGGGTCTCTGTGATTGCTGGCATCTCCTATTCTTTGAGTGCTATCCCATTCTCTCATCTAGACATTGGCACCCAAGGCAGAAGCCACTTGTGGCTCATCTGGTCCAGCCACAGGCTGAGCACAGAGCCATGGCAGGTGAGGGATCTGGGCCGGGTTACAAGCTCAGCATAGCCTGCTAGGCCGAGCAGGTGGAGTGAGTCCAGTGGGCCCTGAGTGAGGCCCAGACAAAGGCAGCGGTGGCCGCAGAGATTTCTGGCTGGCAAAGTGGCACTGAAGGAATCCTTTAACAATTTCACAAATTTACTACTTTTAACAACATTAAAACACTAATGTGTACCGCCTGTTGATGTCTCTTTAACAACTGTGCAATTTATTAGCTATTAATAGAAAAGACAGAGAATATTAGCAAAAATCAGCTTCTTTCTTGTCACTGGGTACTCTGAGGCAAAGAATGAGCTGGCAGGAATATATATCTAATTCTCTCCTCTTCTTTTATATATTTACTTCCTTCCTACTTAAGTATGAGCGAAAATTTATTGCTTTTTCTCAGCACAACTGCATCAAGTTCAGGACACAGAATCTGAGGATACTGACCTATTCTCCTTTTTTTCTCTTGAAGTAAAAAGGGCTCCAGAAAAAGGGGATCTGAATTTCCAAATGATTTTGATTATTCTATATTCTCTTTTATTTCTTGCTTATAGAAGTACACATGCCAAAAGTAATTAAAATAGTTTTTTACTTTGGTGAATGAAAAGATACCAAGCCTAGGAAAAAATGTTAGCTGAGTGAAAGCTTTCATTTCATTCCTCATCTGATGACCGGATAATTTGAGAAGATTCTTTTTAGGTATGTGAGGAGAGCAAAATCACCTAGTGGCCATTGAACAGGCCCTGGAGACAAAAATTCCTTATCTGAGGCACTTAGAAGGGAGCAAAGACCACCTGGTGACTATCAAACAGGCCATCCAAAGTCAAAACTCCTTATCTGGGGAAATCAGAAGTAATCAGACTTCTCTACTATCTAAAGCAGGCATCTGGTTCCAGATTTCTTTCCCTGCCCCTGTAAAATTTATAAGTAACTAGAATTTCTATACATCTCCCGAATGCCATGCCAAAACTCACTGTTCAACCCTTGCTGACATTAAGGCACCAAAATGTCTACAAATGTAATCACTTATCATGACCTACATGGCTAATATGGTCCAAATTTCCCTTAAGCTCCTGCCTTAAGGTCCATAAATGTTCCTAATGAAAAATCCACCATGGCACGCTCAGCCCTCTTGCTGAGGCACCATGCTGCACTCTTCTGCAGCGTTTTCTTTCCAATAAACTTTCCTTTTTCAAACCTATATTGTTGTCAGTAAATTCTTTTTACCAACCCGCCAGTTGACCACCTACTGATGACAGGGCTCTGATACCTCACCTGGCAGTATGCATTAGGAAAAAGTTTGGAAATTATGTGAATAGATGTTTTAACAAAGACGAATTGTTTAACAGCATACTTAGAGAGTTATAATAATTCTCCCATCTACTTTTTAATATGTAGATATAATCCTGGGCAGGTCCTCATTAAACAACGCAGTCCTAAATTGTTCTGGGGTTCTTTGTTTTACTTTTTTTCTATGTCTTTCTATCTGGTAAAAATCAAACTGAAATTGAAAATATTTGTGCCAGCAACAGAAAAACCTAGTGTTAAATGTCGATAGGACTCAAAAAAGGCAATGTCTCACTTCTACCATGTGAAACTGGGGTGGGTATCACATAGTCCTAAATCCACTTGAGTTCATGAGGCTCAAGTGGAAGGCTTCTGGCTCTGAGCTTTCTGAATCTCCAGATTCTTGGGAGAATGTTTAAAAGTGATTCTGAAGTGACTATGCACTCTCAGAGATCCATAACTGCAGCTTGGATACTCATCCTCTCTAAATAAGCATTGTTTGGTCAGGCCTGAGATTTTGGCTTTTTTTTTTCCTATATATATGCCTCATGTTAACCAATGTGTTATTTAGGCTTAAGCTATGTTCTCATTACACAAATGCAGAATACTTGAGTGAAATTAGTTCTGTTCACTATTCTGTATCAATGGCATCAGGAAATTTTCTAATGAGTAGTTTTCCAGTCACACAAATAGTAGCACACAGATCAATAAGCATCATGGAATGTGAATATTGAATTCACCCTTTGAAGTGGCCTTAGAAAGTTAGCTCATTGATGTGGGAAAGCTTTAATTGCAGTTGCCATTAAATGAACACAAAATCCAAATGTCAAAAGCTCCTTTGCAATTGGGAGAGCAATGAAGTTAAAATATCCATGATCATCAAAGTGCTGAGTTCAGGAAATTCCAGGAAATCACAGGAGTCCTTTGAAAAGCCAACAGCAGTTGGGTCAACATTAGCATACATTGTGTGAGTAAAGGGCTGCTTTTATTCACTGTTATGTTCCTTTTTTTTAAAATGTAAAGATATATTTCAATTAAAGTGCCAAGATGATAATGCCTAAGAACATTTGAATGACTTCTCTAATATGCAAGATTAAAATCAGTTAACAGAGCTAAGTAGGCAGTTTAAGAGTCTAGATTTGAGGCTAGGATGTCAGGGGTGAGGCTATCAAATACATACATAAATCATGAACTTCTGTGTCTGCAGGTTTCATAGCACTGTAGAGCTTAAATCTGTGATAAAAATGAGCAAAGGAATAATGGCATAATTTAAATTGCTGAGGAGTATAATTTTGCATTCAGGTGGTTAGACTGGAGTTGTGAAAATGGCGGAGGGGGAAAAATTGGGTGATAAAATTTCAAACTGAACTTTTCAAATTGATTGTCACTCTTAAGATATATAAATTGCTTTTTATTGTAATCACTTTTCACATGGTAGAAATGCAATAAATATTAGTAAAATTATTTATAATTATGATAATAATCACAACTAACACTGCTAATATTTATTGGATGTTATGATGTCTGAGGCTTTGTTATAAATGCTTCTTATACTCTAATTTAATCCTTATAGAACTATACAAGGCATATTTATTACTGTCCACATTTTAGAAATGAAGAAATTTAGTGAATTAAATGTACAAAGCTATAAAGTGATAGAGCTCTGTATAATCCTATGGCTCTTCCTCTTAGACATCATTCTCTAAGACCTTCCTCTGAAAGTTAGTTTTATTTATCTATTTATTTTATATTCACTACTCTAAGCTCCCCATTTCACAAATGGAAAACTGAGCACTTTTTGCTTTCTATTAACAGCTTAAACTCCAACAATATTAACTTCACTTATTCCTTATAGTTGTTGGCTACAGCTTTTGAATTTTGCCACATTAATTAGTATAATTTCTCCTGCTTGGTGACCATTTAGTCATAAAGTTCTTCTAGAAAAGTTAAGGACAACTTCATCTTCTCTTTTATGTATGTGGTAAATTCAAGGAGGAAACTCAAGCCTCTCTTTATATACTGTTTCTTTCATGTACGGCAAGAAGGAGAAACAAAGATGGACATTTATCCTGAATAATGAAGCAACGTTAAGTACCTGCTATATATGTGTAATAAACAAAACAGAAACAAAATAGATTCAAGTAGGAGTTAATGGAACTGCAAGCAACACAAAAGAAAATGCTGCTAATTTCCCTAGTGATTAGAAAGTTGCTACGTCAAAAGTCTGATGCCACTATATATTGGTTAGGGTAGTAAGCCGTGATTAATGCAAGAGTCTCTAGGCTGAGGCTCACTGTATTTGGAATACAACATCAAAGCCTGTACATATTACCAGTACTTAAAGAGCAATGCTTGGGAGAGTATTTACCTTCTGATGTGGCTACAGTTTAGACTCAACACTAATTGCTAATATTTGTCATTTCACAGTTTATTGATTGGCTGGTCTTTCTTGCTTATTAAGATATGAGTTGTCAAGTACTTGCCAATACCCTCAGTTGCTGAAAGTTAAAAAGATATTCCCTCAGAAAATTGCAGAAAATGCAGCTCCCAATTATAAATCTGGGTCTCATTATCTGAAAAGTGGGTCTGTGATTTCCAATGACTTTACTCTCCTACACTGTGCTGTTTTTCTCAGGGCTTTTGTTTGCAGTGTATCACAATTGTACGTGAATTAAATGACCGACTTAAACTTTCTCTTATTTTCCACTCCTGACATTTCTTCATAATTCAGTCTGGCTATTTCCAGTGGCACTAATTGATGTGCTGTTTTCTTCAGCAAGTATTTAAGATTTCTCTCTCTCTATATATATATATATACATACGGCACTGTGTGTCATGTGCTCTATTTCTTTGGCTTTTTTCTTAATTGGACTTGGTTAGTCCTACATTCTACAGAAAATTTTGTCAGCATCACTCATTTCTTTAGCTATGTCATCAAATTAAAAAGCTACTAGTTTACTGTTTATCAGAAATCCTTCTTTTCCAATGTATTATGAATTAATAATCATGTAGTGATAAGACTGTTAATATCCTTAAAAATTCTTGCCTCTTCACTACTATCTAAAAGATTAATTCCATGATGCAAACCATACTTCGAGTTAAGTAGTATTCTTTTCATAAAAGACCACCAGGTTTAATCCTGGTATATCCTGTATTTCTGTTTTCTTCAGTAAATACAAGAAGTTTGAGTTTTATAGGTCATTTAACATCACCATATTCCTATCTCCATTCTTTTTCTGCTTGTTCTGTAATTTGACTCATGATCTGATCACTCCCCATCTCAACTCATCAAACCCGTTGACCACATCCTCTGGAACTCAGATTGTATTTGTTTTCCAGGACCACCATCACAAAGTGCCACAAACTGCATGGCTTAAACATCAATCTTTTTTCCCTCAATTCTGGAGGCTAGAAATCTGAGATCAAGGTGTTTCCAAACTGATTTCTTCTGAGGCCTTTTTCCTTAGCTTATAGATGGCCATCTTCTTCCTGTCTCTTCACATGGTCTTCTCTCTATAACTGTATCCAAATTTCCTCTTCTAATAAAGGTGCTAATCATACTGAATCGGGGCCCACAATAACGATTTCGTTTTAACTTAATTACCTCTTTAAAAATCCTATCTTCAAATGCAATCACATTCTGAGGTCCTGGGGGTTAGGACTTCAACATAGGTATTGTTGGAAAACAAATCCCAGCCTTTGAAACCTATATACATAATTTATTCCGTAAACATTCCATTAATCTGTTTTTTTTTTTTTTTTTTTTTTTTTGTATTTCAAATCATTCTCCTAAAGTCACTGCTTTTCCACAGGTATTTTTGTTTATGGTTTTTATAATGGCAGTTATGGTACATGGCTATTAACATATACTTCAGATATGCAAAGCCTAGGGGTAGAGTAGTTATCTTCTTTTGCATGGCTATAACTTAGACCTCATCATGATCAAAACTTTAATACCTTCCATATTGCAATTTTGCATAGTTCATCTTTGATGGCCCCACATTCCAACCATCTCCCACCAATTGTGATCACTGACTGACCCTATTACTTTCCCACTGTCTATATGTCCTATCTATTCCTTTTCTTTTAAATTCAGTTTAGCATCCCTTTCCTTCTGCAGCATTAATCTGGTAAACTCCAATCCTGTTAAGCCCAGCTGTCTCCTGACTATTCACCAGCATTCAAGAAGATTAGTGAGGCTGGAGGCCTATTACACTGTGGTAATGGCCCTATTTTAAATTAATGATTCTAATTTGAGGTGGTCCTTGAAACAACAAGTATTTTTACTCTGTTCACTAGGTCAATTCCTTTTCCACTCTCTGAGTTGATGTTTTCACACCTTCTCTTCTTTCTTTGAACCTCTTATAATCTGTCTCCCTATTCTCACTTTCATTGGATGATCTCACTTTTTTTTTAATTGAGGAAAATAGAAGCTACCAGAACAAAAACTGGTGAGCTGAATAATGTGCCCCTCCCTGTTCCAAAGATATTCATGTCTTAATTTCCAGAACCTGTGAATGTTACATGGCAAAAAAGACATTGCAGTTGTAATCAAGTTAAGAATCTTGAGATGGGAAAATTATCCTGGAATATTCATGTGGATGTGGGCCCACTGTACTCACAGGATACTTAACAAAAGGATACAAGAGGAGGCAGAGTCAGACAGTGGGAGATGTTGACAATGAAGAAGAGGTTGGAGTGAAGCAAAAGATTGGTGTGTGTGAGGAAGAATCTGTGAGCCACAGAACGCAAGTGACCTTTAGAATATGGAAGCAAGGAAACAGATTCTCCCTTGAAGCCTCGGAAAAGAAAGCAGCCCTACCAAAACCTTGATTTGGGATATCTGATATCTGGAACTAAAAGAAACAAATTTGTGTTGTTTTAAATCACTAAGTTTTTGGTAATTTCTTAGCAGCAGTAATAGGAAACTAAAATACAATTTTACTTTATCTTCTGATTTTGAAGTATATTAATATCAAACATCGACCTCCAAATCCTTCTTCTCTCCTCTTATTTTAAATGTTAAATAGAAAAAAAATTGTGACCATTTTTAAATGGAATATTGTCTCACTTATTCAACTATGAACTTATATATGATAAGGTATATTTAGTATAGCCATATCTGAACATTTGATATTGAAATGTATATTAAATAATATAAATTAAATTATTTTTATTTCTTCTTTATACTTATTAAAGTAGTATAGATTTAACAACTATGGATATAAAAGGATATTTAGCATGTAAATTTTATATTAGGGTAATACAATGGCTCTTAAAAATATGTTATGATATAATGCAATGGACATGATTGGGTTGAAATCATAAAGGTGATCTCACATGCTTTTGGTTTGCAAAACATTCTATACCTTATCGATTATTTTTATTCTTTCTGTCTGCCCTAACCTAGAATCATACCTTTGACCACCAACTTAATGTAAACCAAAAATAAAATTCTAATCCCTACAACCATCTAAACGAGCCCCTTCTCTTGACCAAAGGCATTACAAAACTAACCTGAAAAACTAGTTCAGGCCATGATGGGAAGGGGGAGCTAGACAGCCCTCATTATATCCTTCTCACTTTTGTAATTATGGATAGAACAGATTCTTCAAGTCTGATAAGAAATATTAATGTTTATAATCTATTCTCTCTAAAGCCTGCTACAAGAAAGCTTCATGTGCATGATAAAACCTTGGTCTCTACAATGCCTTATTGTAACCCAGAGATTCCCTTCTGTTGATTCCAGGTCTTTAGATAACAACTATTTTAACCAATTGCCAATCAGAAAATCTATGACCTAGGAGCCTTCCTGCACTCTCCCCAACACTCCACCCTCCCACCCTCCCCAACCCCTGATCCTCCAATATATATCTTACATGTATTGATTTATGTCTTATGCCCCTAAAATGTATAAAACCAAGTTGTAGCCATACCACCTTGGGCACAAGTTCTCAAGATCTCCTGAAGGCTGTAGGGCTGTGTCATGAGCCATTCATCACTCATATTTGGTTCAGAATAAATCTCTTCAAATATTTTACAGAGTTTGACTCTTTTCATCAACATTAATATTTCCATTTCTAATAGACATCACAAATATAGAACCATATATTTAAAAGCATTCTCCTAACCGACCTTTTCTCCAACTTTTCATCTACAAAATTATTCCAATATTAACCGATTTATCAAGCAAAACACCTACAACTCTTTGATTCCACACTCTCAGTGTCCATGTCCATCACTCAGCAAGTTTTTCTGCTCTACCTACTCTTTTCCATATCTCAATATTTCCCAGTCCATTCTCCTAGTTCCTTTAAAATATCTTAGCTTTTGAGGCTGTAATAACTTTCCTTTTTCTTTAACGTCTATGTGGCATCTATGAGCCTGAGGGCTTGAGGTCTGGGTGCACAGGATAATCCCCACTGCCTTTCTTTGAATACAGAACTGAACAAGCAAGAAAATTCAAGGGAACCTTCTGTAATGCAACTAAAACCAGTGAATAAAGAGGAAGAATTTTTTTGTATTAGAAAATATTAAAAATATGCTAGGAGGTTTACCCCCTTCTTGTATAAATTGCCCAATTAAACTCTGAAGTTTCTAATCAGAATTTCTTTCTTCCTTCCCTCCCTTGCTTCTTCCTTCTTTCTCTCTCTTTCCCTTCCATTTTTCCTTCCTTCCTTTCATCCTTTCTTTCCCTTCCCGGTATCTAAAATCTTCCTCCAGCTTCATCCAGGAAAAACATAAAACAAAACAAAACAAAACAAAGAAAAGACGGAAACTGGAATAACTGATCACCTCAGCTTAAATGGAGAAGATAGTACAGAGATTAGGAGTGGGAAGTGGGCATTCCTTCATTCAAATAGTATTGAGCTCCTATTACATGCTAGATATTACTTTGTTGCTAGAGGTACAGTAGTGAACCATGTAATGTTTATGCCTTAAGAAGTTAACAAATATGAAAACAATTCATAAAATGATTATTTCTTCAAGAAATTAGAATATCTGGCAAGGAGGAAGGATACTCTTCCAGATAAAGTTGGTAGGATGTTTTTATGAGAAAGTGACTTTGAACAAAGACCTAAATGATGAGGGGCTATCTCATCAGAGAGAAGTATAACCCTCAGAGGGAAGATACTGAGGGACAGAAGGACAAAACTAAATGTGTTTTAGGAAACACATGAAAGTCACTGGAAAGAGTACATTGAAGAGGACAGTGGTCGGAAAGAGGCCAGAACACAGAACACAGTGTTTTGGGGTTTTGCAGAGTTTGGATTTGATTCTAATTCTAAGAGGGATGGGAATTTATTAGATGATTTTAAGAGGGCCATAACTGGATTTACATCTAAAAAAATTATCTGACCTCTATGTAGAGAATAATGATAAAGAAACACTCATGACCACAGAAAAGTGACACTCCAGTGAGAGAAGAGGGTGGTTTTGTTCTAAAGTGGTAATGGTTAAGCGGAAGAATGAGAAACCTTTATGGACTGACAAGATAGTAGGGGAAGAGGAAATGAGAAGGTGCATAGAATCTGGAAAGGTAGATGTGGTCCCTCAGATCTCAGATATGAGTTGCTTTGTGGGCACCCATAGAAGCACAAGGTCTCACTTGCACTTTGAGAATCTGGAGCAGCGGCAGATGGCAGAGTGATACGGTATAGTAGGCTCTCCTGAGTCTGTATTCAGAGTGAATTTCATAAGAATTACAATAGTTTGAGACTAAAATAAACAACTTTCTTTATACCTTTTTCTGGGCTCCATGTTTTGGTAATGGACTATGCAGTCTGATGTTAAAGACCAGTGGCTTACTTTAGAGTATATTTGTGATTTTGAAGTACTCAGCAATGGTGTGGGGTGTTCTAGTCACTGTAATATTTTAGTCATGACATAAATGGTATGTGTTTCTTTATGAGACTTGTCAGTCCTCAAGAAGCTTCACTGAAATAAGTGAGCTCACCAAGTTCTAATCCATCTTGGATGAAAGTAAAGTGATTCTTAGCTTAGTTCCCTATCCCTGACATGCCATTTGTATTAACACATGCCATCAAATAGGGTCAGATGACACAGCAAGTCAGTCTCCAATTAGGCCCAAGTAGGCCCAGTTGTCAGGCACCTGATGGGAAAAAGTTGCTCTGGAATTAAATTTGCACAGTATTGACTTACTTGATTTTCCAGTGTTACAGAAATGGAAGAAAAGATGGCAGGAAGGGAATCAAAAGCTCCTTCTCCATCAGTGGGATATAAGCATGAAGAATGAAGACAGCTGTAGGAGCCCAAGCATTTAAGGCATGTTTCAGTAGAACTACTCTGTCAAAAGTCAATCATTTAAGGACAAGATAAAAGAAATGTTGGCCAGGCATTGTGGCTCATGCCTGTAATCCCAGCACTCCAAGCAAGGTGGGTGGATCTCTTGGGTCCAGGAGTTCAAGACCAACCTGGGCAATATGGTGAAACCATATATCTACAAAAAAATACAAAAAAAAGTTAGTCAGGGTTGATGGCACACACCTGCAATCCCAGCTACTAGGGAGGCTGAGGTGGGAGGATCTGATCTCTTGAGCCTAGGAGGTCAAGGCTGCACTGAGGCATGAGTATTTCACTATAGAAAAAGATAGACCTCATTTGTTATAAGTTAAAATTTTGTATTTTATTATTTGTTTTTTCAGTTTGAAAGTACTTGTACTATCTCCAGAAATCTCATCATCTTTCAGGGAAGTTGATGGGAAAGTAGTTAGGAATAAAGGCTGTTGGGAGATGTGGTGTGGTTGATAGCAGCATTTTTGGAAAGAATTTGTAAGAACATGAGGTATGATTCCTTAAGGTCTTAGACAATGTAAGACCACATAGAGAAAACAGTGCTGAGACCCCTTGCTAACTGTTGATTATGATGTAATTCTATATATAAAGGCATCCAGGGTAATTTATCATGCAGGATTTGAGTAGGGGTTTCACTGAAGAGCCATTCTGAACTTTTCTGAAATAACTAGAAAATGCTTCTAAATCTAATTTGCTAACCTCAACAAACATTGATACCAGATTGGAGGAACTAGAGAGAAGAATGATATCAGGGGTGATGGCAGGGAAAAAGACCCTCAGAATTTGCAATAGTCCCAAAAAGTTTGACATCAAACTTTGGTATCTTGCTTATTAAACTAGTACTAAAATGGGCTATCTTAGAAATTTTGAAGACCCCTCTGTGGAGAGAATACCATTTTATGTGGACCAAGATGACTACCTTACTTCCTTATCAATATCAGATTGGATGTACTACTAGGTGGCAAATCTTGGTGAAAATAATCAGTATTTATTGTTTCTCGGGAATGAACAAAGGGAATGTGCATGCTACTGGCCTCATTCTCAGTCAATGGACACCTTTCTAGTGAAGCATTAAGAGTCACCTGGAAAGGCTCACAGGATGACAGGCTGGGGTTACCCTAAAGGAATGCCAGTAGTCCTGGCTTATGCAAAAGCATAGGGTGTTCCTTTTTACTGGTGGTAGATTAGCCAAGAGCCTACTGGATCAACTTGGAGGTGCAAAGATGGTGGATGGGAGAAGTAAGCCCTTCAGGTAAGTGTATGAACCTTCTGAGGTGTGGAAGAGGAGCTCTGCCTTAGGAATAGCAGATCTTATCACATATTAATGGGATAATGTATAAAACAGTGATTCTCACCCTGGAACAATTTTGCTGTCCCCCATCTTCACTCAAAGAGGACATTTGGAAATGCCTGGAGACGTTTTATTGTCACAACTTGAATATGGATGCTACTGGCATCTGATAGGTAGAGGCCAAGAATGCTATTAGGTATCTTACAATGCTCAGAGCAGCCCCCAGCATGTCCAATAGTGCTGAGGCTGAGAAACTGGTTATAAGTATTACAATGCCTATACATTGGCTACGAAAGTAGCCCAAGATATATCCCCCACATAGTTTCCCCATGAAGAAAGGAATAAGGATGGGACCATGGGAAGGAACATATTCTAGAGCTCCTTGTGATACCTTTCATTTGCTCCAAATGAAAAGATTATTTCCATCTACCAATGGAGACAGCAGAAAGCACTATCTCATAATAACGCATATTTAGAGGTAATCAAGACTACATAATGTCTAGAAATTTTTCTTTGGAACTGTATACTCCATATCTGTGCAATATCCTTGTGGCTACAGATCATTTAACTGGTTGTTCCATGAATATCTCTCTGTTAAGCATTTGCCAAAATAACAAATAAGTCCTTTTTTCTATGGTTGGCCTAACTTTTAGTTATTTTAAATAAGGCATGAATCAGATAGGACAACAGAAAGCTAGCAATAGGTGGATTATCTGTTGTCTGGACATTGTTAATGTTCTCTCTTGGAGCCAGGGTTTGACAGCGAAGGCAACCAGTCATTAACTCCATTACACCATTTGAGACATTTCCAAAGGCAGATCCCTTGTTTTTCAATGGCAACAGTAAACAAAATGTTTCACACACTTTGATAAAAAGATTCTCGAGAAGAGCAGGTGGAGCAGATCAATCCCAATCCTCCTGTCCTGTGGGACCATGTATGGATTTTTGTGTGAAATCTGGGTCTGAAGTAAAGGTGCAAGTCTCAAAGTGGAGACAGGGGGTGCAAGTGAGGGACTTAATTTGAAATATGTGTAGGAAATAAAGTTTTTAATACTGGAAGATAAATTAGTTTGAAGATTTGAAGTGATTGGGGTGTTTAGAGATGAGACTCAGTTTCCTCCTGCCTTACAATGAGATCTAGACCAAGGAAGTAAATATGCTTTGGAGGTAGAGATGATGTTTACTTATAGTCATATTAGATTTGATGATCTTGAAGTACACCCAAGTAGCTATGTCTGGAAGACAGCAGAAAATACATACCTAAATGTCAGGATAGAGATCAGGGCTCCAGGTGTGCTAGAGATGATGACTGAAGCCTTGGAATAGGCGCTTTCCTAGAAAGGGTGCGTAAGGCAGAGGGCCTCGACACCAATGACCTTTAAGCTTAGGCAGAAGAGAGACCCAAAAATGAGCGTACAAAGCACAGTCAGAGAGACAAAAGCAAGACGACCACTCCAGTATCATGAATGTCCAGGGAAAGAAAGTAGTTCAAGAAACAGGGCAGTAGTTCACTAGGGTCGAATGCTAGTTAAAAGTCAAGTAAGGTCAAGACTAAGTGTCCATATGATTTTGCAAAATTAATACAAACTCTGATGAGAGAAAATTCAGTAGATTGGTAAAGGTAGAGGCCAGATTACCGAATGTGAAGTGAAGACAGAATAAATAGTGTGCCTACACGACTTTCAATAGGTTATAAAGCACAAGACATAAGAAGCCACTGGAGAGGACCATGCAGCCCATGCAAAACGATTTAGTTTAGGAGATAACTGAATATCCTGAATGTTTATGGGGAATAACTAATACTGAAAACAGAAAAGAAAATAGAATATTTAGTGAAAAATTGGAGAAAAGATAGAAGCGGAGTGAATCAAGTTGCCATATTAAGCAAAAAACAAAAACAAAAACAAAAACAAAAAAACAAAACCAGGATGCCCAGATGAACTTGAATTTCAGATAAACAATGAATAATTGTTTAGTATAAGTATGTTCTAAATATTGCCAGTGACTTATTATATTATATAATATGTTATATGACTTATTACATATATAATTATATATTGCATACATATATATAATTTTATTATCTTACAGTCAAATTTAACCGGGAATCCTATATTTTATCTACCAACCCTAAGACATCTCAATCAAAGGTGAAGAATTAAATATAATAGAAAAACAGTTTCCATTATAACAAGATGTGATTTAAGTTTAGGTTTCAGATCAAGAAGTTATTAGATAGTCCCTTCTAGCAACTCCTTTTTCTTTTTTCTGTGAAGTGAGAAATAGGCCCTGGCTAGGAGAGAGGCAGAATTGTGGTATCATAGATTTGGGGAAATGTAGACAGTTTGAAATAACATCTGTGGACAGTAGAAGGAGCTGAGTAGGAAAATATAGAATTATTTCCAGGCACGTTGAGAACTTCATTGACATCAGAGACCTTGCATTGATAAAGGTACCAATCCATGTAGATTCATGCCACTAATCTCTTGAGGAGATTAAATTGGCAAATGGGATTGCCAATACCAAGAGGCTGATGGACGTGCTGGACCACCCAATCTAAGTTAGACAGAGAGAGCAGTTAAGGAGTGGAGGGAGAAAATGGAAGAGTCAAGGAAATAAATACGGTAAGAAGATGAAAATCAAGCTAAGTAAGAATAACTGAATGAATGAACTAAAAGGACGCTGTGATTGGAGAGTGGGATGTTTGAATTTAGTATCTCCAAGATATCGACATTCTGGGTAATGATAAATTTCAGTTTGGTGCCATGGGAAGAGAAACTGAAAAGGAGGAAACTTACTGGAGATGAAAAGGCATTAGGGAATACAAAACAAGGAGTATGCAAAAAATGTCTCTTAGTCCTAGGGCATTATGGTGTGGATGAATTGGCAGTGTATTCATTAGGGCACTGCTCACTGTTGTAACAAAAAAGCATCCATAATTTAGTGTCTTAAAATAAAAATTATTATTACTTTTTGCACTCATGCAACAATCTCAGTTGTCAGCTCTTCTGACTGGCTCTCGTCCAAGAAATGATTTAAGGACCCAGGTTCGTTCTGACCTTGGCTCTACTGTCATCTCCATAGGTGGTTCCCAAGGCTTCCCTGGGGTGGTCTCCAGTAAAGCCAGCAGGAAAAGGGAAGATCCTTTACAAGATTGCACATAAGAAGTTTTTATGGGCCATAACTGGAAGCAGCACTCACATTTTTCCTTACACACATTGGCACATGGTCACACTTATTTGTGAGGGCTGCTAGGCCAAGTGGAAAAACAAAAACAAAAACAAAAACAGAAACAGGTTTTGATGAACAGGTACCAAGTCTTCGTCACAGATAGCTTTTACTTGTGGGTGCTTCAGCGCTAGTAGCGTATTTAAGGAGAAAACATTTTTGCTTAAGGCAAGATGTTAAAATTTTCAGTGAAACCAAGGTCCAAGTGCAAAGGTTAGGGAGGAAGAACACTGTAAGGCAAGGTTAGGAGAGAGGAAACACAGATTATTATTGGACAAGAATATGGGACGGCACAGATACCTGAAGATATTTCTGTGTGGGAAGATATGCTGTGTGGTGGGTGATTAGAGTAACCGGGGATGTGAAGTCACGTTTGCTAACAAGGTTTTCAAAGGAATTATTTGCTGTTCCCATTGACTCCAGTGTCATTTATAGGAACCAGAGCACTCTGGGCACAGGAATTTTTGGCCAGTAGCCTGGTATTCTGACCCTCAAGGTATTGTGGCACTGGTTCCAAACTTTAAAGGCTGGGCTCTGTGCCTCTAAAATACTTTCACATGCCCCACCATATAATCCATTATTTTAAGTTTTTATTAATGTATTCTGTTGTACTCTATTATATAAATGCAATTTTATGTGATGGGTCACTGTGCTGTTCTCCTTCCCCAAAGTATATATCCTTTAGAATACAAAGAATTCTAAATCTCGAATTATATTGATATATCATTTACAGTTAATTAAACATGATATTTGTGGCTATTTCTATAAAAACGGGCATCAGGCTCTCTCAGGGTTAGAAATGTAACCTTCTATTATAATTTTGTTCCACTGGGAAAATAAGATGTGAGTACCGTTATTTCAAATTACAATCCCTTTTCCAGGAATTTAATCTGCAATAAATTTGAACACAATCTTTTGAGGATAATACCTTAATAAAACACTATTATAAAGAAGGAAAAAAATTAACTCAATATAAGACAAATTATTATTAGTGCTTTTGCCAGAAGTTCTTAGCTGAATGAGAGAAGCTCTCAAGATTTTTATTTTTTCAAGAGAAATGGCTTCAAAGACTCATGTTCTCTATCTAGTATATTTTGAAATTAAATAACATCATAATATTTTTGAGAAATTAAAAAATGTATACCATTTTTTTTCTCATCAGTCACTGAGCCATTACTACGCCTATGGTGCACATATGAGGCTCTTTGAGCTTTTTACAATCGAATTATGGAAAACAAAGTGCTAGAGAACAATAGCAAACTATTAATGAAGAACAAATTAGAAAAAAAAGTGATGTTTACTCATGTCCCACAGGTATTCATCTTCTACATTTTGGATAAATAATAACTAAAAATTCATTCTCCCAAATGCATGTTTTCCTCTCCATTCATATTCTCTTCTGAATCACTGCTCTTATATTTTCGTTTCACCTAAGACATAGTTGACTTTAGTAGATTTCTGGATGGACTTGGATCCTTCCTTCTTTGTATTAAGTAGTAGCGGATGTCTGTGATCTGTATATTACCTCCTCCACATATTACGATCCTATAAATACTTATTTAAAGAATAAAACCAAGGTAGAGGTAAAAGCCTCGATTATGCCTCCAGTTAAACCTACACTTCAAATAATACCACAGATTTATTTTTAAATGTCATTTTAAAAGAAATAATAGAATTAGACGCTGTAGAGAAAAAGAGAGATTGTATACAATGAAAGAGTAAATAATGAATTACTCATAAATTAAAATAATAAAATAAATACTGTTCTTGTAAGACACAGATAGGAAGAAAAGATCAATCTTAAAAAACTAGCATAAGCTGCATCTGATCCGCTGTCTTCCTCTGTTCAACTGACTTTAAAAGAGTGCAAATCTGAATAATTAGAGGAGGCTAAGAAGCTAAAGCCTCTCTTAGTTGGCTTGCAGTATAAACAATATTGTCAGGGAACCACACAAACAGCTGAGGAAGCACATCTACTATGTGGGAAGGCCATAAGAATGGGTACTGTCTGGGAACAATAAATCACTAAGCAGAGCTAAGACAGGAAGAAGTGAACAGAGGTATGTGGAACAGAGTGTCATTTGCACTGAAATAGTGATACAGAGAGAGAGAGAGAAAGACAGAAAGACAGAGACAGATACAAAGACAGAGAAAGAGAGAGAGAGACAGAGAGGATTATATACGTAACGAACATAAATCAAGCACAGCCTAAGAAAAAGTTGGTGTCTCGCTGGGCACAGTGGCTCATGCCTATAATTCCAGCACTTTGGGAGGCCAGGGTGGGTGGATCACAAGGTCAGGAGTTTGAGACCAGCCTGGCCAACATAGTGAAACCCCGTCTCTAACATACAAAAAATTAGCTGGGCGTGGTGGCGGTTGGTTGTAATTCCAGCTGCTCTGGAGGCTGAAGGAGGAGAATCGCTTGAACCTGGGAGGCGGAGGTTGCAGTGAGCCAGTGTCTCACCATTGCACTCCAGCCTGGTGACAAGAGTGAAACTGTGTCTCACAAAAAAAAATAAATAAATAAGGAAGGAAAGAAAAAGTTGGTATATCACGAATTGAGTTAAGGAAAGAATGGGCTTTGGTTTCATACAGATTTTAAAAAGTAATTTCTATTTCCGTAGATGTATTTATGGCAACACATAGATTAAGAAAATATTTTAAACAGGGCTTCTAAAACTTTTTATATGAGTGCTATTATAATAGATGAGACATAATGCAAACCTCCTAGGAGAAAAAGAATAAAGTCCTAAGGAGCTCATGGCTAGACATTTCTTGGAAAGCTTGTGCTTTATTTTTTAAATTTATGTGAAGCATTGAGGACACTTTAGTCATTTTTTAATAGTGTGTAAAATTACCAAATGGTAGCTAGTAACATACTTTTTGGGAAAAGCACTGGACAAAGACCAAGAAGATGTGTGTTTTTTTTTTTTCTTGATTCTGCTATTAACAAAATATTTGCTTTGATAAACTTACTTTAACTTCTCCTAACATCATTTTTTTCAACAACAAAATGAGATAATAATCCATGTTTCCTCTTATACCGTGGGAGAAAGAGTAGTAAAAAGTAGCAAATGAGGTAAAGATCGTTAGAGGCAGAATTGCAGGATGCACTGCTGTTATGAAGTGTCTACATCTATTCCATGTGTATATATACATATTTGTATATTGTAAATAAGATGAACTAATGTATAGTTATCAACTTGATGAGCTTGGCAAAGTTAATAAAGTTTACTATACCAAAATTTCACACTGCAAAATATTTACCATGCTTAAAATCAGGTGTCCTTAATTTGAATAATAATGTAACCACTTACCGAGATGTGTGTCTTTAGGCCAAAAACTTAATCTTCTAACCTGATTTCCTCATTGGTAGAATAGAACCATAAGCAGTCCCTATCAGGCTCCTTCACTGCACCCAACACATTGTAAATTTTCCGTATGAAATTTTTCGTTATAGTTGAGCAATTTCAGATCACTGTGAATACACATAATTTTCTTCTGGCTAAAATTTCATGTGCTCATTTTTATTGTAGTAAAAAAGCATATTTAGGTATGCAGTACAGTAGTGTTAGTTATATGCACATTATTATATAACAGATGTTTGAACTTTTTCATCTTGCAAAATTAAAACTCTACACACATTGAACAACTCCCCTTTCACTCTTTTTCCAGCCCCTAATGACAACTATTCTACTATCTGTTTCTGTGAGGTTGAGTAAATACCTCAAATAAGTGGAACCATGCAATATTTGCCCTTTTGTAGCATAATGTTCTCAAGGTTCATCCTTGTGTAGCATATAACAGGCTTTTCTTCCTCGCTTAAGGCTGAAGAATATTCCATGATATGCATATATCATATTTTCTTTGTCCAGTCATCCATTAATAGACACTTAGGTTGCTTCCACCTCTTGGCTGTTAAGAATAATGCTGTGATAAAGATAAGTTGCAAATATCTCTTCAAGAGCCTATTTTTATTCCTTTTGGATACATACTCTGAAGTGGAATTATTGGATCATATAGTATTTTTAATTTTTTGAGGAAACTTCATACTGCTTTCATCATGGCTGCATTGTTTCATAATCCCACCAACAGTGTACTAGAATTCCAGTTTCCCCAAATCTTTACCAGCAATTGTTATTTTTTTTTTTAAATGATGGTCATACTAATGGGTGGCAGATGATATTTCATTGTAATTTTAGTTTTATTCCCCTGATGATTAGTGATGTTGAGCATCTTTTCCTATGCTTGTTGGTGATTTATATAACTTCTCTGAAGAAATATCTATTCAGGTCCTTTGTTCATTTGTAATTGGTTATTTGGTTTTGTTGTTGTTAAGTTATAGAAATTCTTTATATAGTCTGAATATTAACCCCTTATAACATATATGGGTTGCAAATATTTTCTCCCATTGCATAGATGATCTTTTCACACTATTGTTTCCTTTACTATGCAGAGGTTTTTAAGTTTGATGTATTATCTTTGCCTTTTTTGTTGTTGCTGTTGCTTGTGCTTTTGCTATTATATTCAGAAAATGACTGCCAAATCCAATGTCCTGAAACTTTCCTGTTATGTTTTCTTCTAGTAGTTTCATAGTTTCAGGTCTTATATTTAGGCTTTTAATTCATTTCAAGTTATTTTTTTCTAGATGGTCTAAGATGAGGGTCCAGCTTCTTTCTTTTGCATGTGGATAATCAATTTTCTCACCATCAATTGTTGAAGAGACTTTTCTTTCTCCTGCATGTTGGTACATACTTTTTTGATCACTCTGGCTACGTAATATGTTCTGGAATCAGGAAGTTTGAGGCCTCCAGCTATCTTTTGTTTTGGTTACTTGGGGTCCCCTGAGATTTCACAAAAATTTTATTTATTTTTTTTAATTTCTGTAAAAAATGACATTGAGACTTTTGTACAGGTTGAATTGAATCTATAGATTGTTTTGGGTAGTACAGACATTTTACTAATATTAAGTCTTCTAATCCATAAACACTAAATTTTCTTTTTAAATTCAATATCTATCTACATTACAAATAACTGTTTGTCATCAATAACTTCCTCCAATAAGATTACAAGTGTAGTTAGCTCCTCTTTCCTTTTAAATTTTCCTAACAAGAAATCTAGGTGGACAACAGGGGAGTCAACAAAAAACATCTTTTGGTGCAAGTGAAATAATACCAAACATACTTGCTTACATGCTGTTGCAAATTTTTGTATTTGTTTTACTTAATTACCTTGTTTTCCCACTTAAATAATTAGCAGAATGTTTACTGTCAAATAGACCTGGGAGATCTAGTCTAATCCAATACAAAAATGATGAAATTAAAATTCAATGTGTTTGGTGACATATAGAGAAAACATACCCAAATGGGGGGTCTAAGATAATAAGACAAGGTATATGCAATAGAACAGAGGAGAAACTCGTCAATGGTAAAAAGTGCTCAGGAGAGGGCCAGCTATGGAAATGATCTTTAGGTTAAAACCTGAGAAATGTGAAAGCGTAAATACATAAATAGTGAGGTAATCCCAGAGTACACACATCTTTTGCTATAATTGACTTTAACACAATTTTAACTTCTGGAACCATACTGAACTACAAATTTTGTGAGGACACTGAATGTGAGGCAAACTTGAATCATGGCTGTCTGTGGTAAATGAAAAGGACCGAGTGGATAAATGCACAAGTTGTGTAAGTGGATAGGGAATAGTCTTCTAATGCCTTTTCTATGTTGATCAGCCCTAGGATATTTTAGACCACTTACTTGGTAACCACAAATTCTCACATTTTATATTAAGCCTAGCTTACAGTCTTTGCCACTCCTTTGTAATACCATCTCAATGTGCTGGCTGTCTCTTTACTCAATAGGTTTAGTTATATGATATTATCATGCTTCTCTCTGTATGTGTGACCTGAATGTTCTTTCTGACAGATCTACATTTGTTAACTTAGCAGCCATTCTTCACTTTCTTCTCTCTGCTGGTGTGACTCAACTCTCGTTACAAAGGTTGAAAAGGCTGGGTGCTAGTTTTCCCAGCCTCCCTTGCGGTAAGCACCCTAGTAAATTATTCTATTTTAGCCAATAAGGCACAAAAGTTGAGAATTCTAGGAAAGTTTTCTCACTTTATAAAATACTCACTGAGAGAATCTCCTTGCCCTTCCTTCCAGCTTTCAAGTGTTGCTCTATGAAAATGTGATTTTTAAAAGCTGCTGTAGACTTTTTGCAAAAACAAAAACAGCACCTCTGACATTGAGTTGCTGAGTTAACTAAACCTATAACCATGCAACATCAGACTTCCTGCTATATGAAATTTGTTGATGGACCTCTTTGCTTTAAGTCCAACAAATAGCAAAAATGTTCTGAGCAATACAGTTTTACTACCTGAATGTTAGCATAACAAAGAGCTTAAAAATCATTTCTCTGTGATCTTGGACAAGTTTCCTAACCTTGATGTACCTATTTTCTCACCCTTAAAATGTGGAGAGTAATAATATTTATCTCATAGCTTTGTTATAAGAACTCAATGAAACAAAATACATAAAGTACTTATGTTGGCACACATAAAAGGCTCAATAAACTTGAGCTGGTACTACTTTTATTCATGCTGTCTACACTCCCCTTCTCTTTATGTTAATTTTCCATTCTTAGTGTTTCCAGTTTGTCTCCAGCAATTCCCTCTTGACTCCACATCAATCAGTCTTTATTCTCCACTACTCTATGTCAAGGTCACTAGTGACCTTCACATTAGTAAATCTAATCGTCAATTTTTGGTTCCATTTTGTTTGATATATCAGCAGCATTAAACAGTCAATCATTCCCTCTTCCCCAAAATACTTTCTTCATTTGTTTTCCAAGTCATTATGCTCATTTTATTTTCCTTTTACTCTTCTGGCTATTTCATTTATGTTTGGTTCCTCTTTATTGTTTCTGAAACCTCCCGCCTATCCCGACGCCAAAATCAAAAACGAAAACATAGCCTATAGCAGAAAACAAAAGACAAAAAATTCCCACAAACTTGTGCTTGTCATAATACTCCTCATTTCAAGAAATGGAAATTCTATAGCCTAACTGTCCAGGTAAAAATACCTGGAGTCAGCCTACACTCCTTAATTTCTCTCACATTCTATACCTAATCTATCAGTGCATCCAATTGGTTCTATCTTCAATCACAGCCCATGAACTACAAGACTAACACTTCCTAATCCAACCAATTATCATATTATCCCCAATTATTGGAATAGCTCCATCTGCCTTTGCCTTGCTATAGTCTATTCTTAATGGAGCAGCCAAAGTGATCAAATTAACATGTGAGGTAATCATGTCACCCTTCTGCTAAAAATACTTTAATAGTTTCCATTGCCAATCAGAATTAAAGTCAAAGTTCTTACAATTATTCCCATAATATACACCTGAATGATAGCCTCCAATTCTTACATCTTAACTACTCACTTCCTCAGCAGTCCACTCTTTGAATATGTGAGACATATTTCTCTCAACATCTTCCTCTAGTTCTCTCCAAACCTGGTTCTCCAACTTCCGTAAGTCTTTACTCAAATGATATCCCCTGAGTGAAACATTCCCTATCTAAAAAAAATAACTCTGTCCTCTTTTTTTGAATACTTCATATTTCCATTCCATGCTACATGTTTTTTTCTCCTTGATACTCATCAGCATCCTATACGCTATGTATTTTATTTATTTTCTTGATTATTTTTTGCTTTTCCTTGTAGACACTTTTCATTTTGTTCACTGCTGTATCCTCAGCAAATGACACATTGATTTTATTTGTTGGAGGAGTGTGGTAGGGCCATGGGAGGGATATTTTAATTCCCTTGTTACTTTTAATCTAACATAATTATTAGAGGTTATAATCTATAGAAGTCTCTAAACAATGCATGGTTATTAATCAATCACTAGAAGTTCACATAACTCACTGATGTAAGGAAATGATTAGATATCTAGATAATGATTAGATACCAACCCTACCTTGTGGGGATATAGAAATACACTGCCTGCTTCCATGGGATCAAGAGATGGTAGAAAATTAACTCCCTTTTTGCCTTGCTGGAACTGCGAGGGGTGAGTTGGAGAGTTCTTTTGGTACATTCGCTGTCCCTTTGTTCAGAGAAAGCAGGCTTTCCTTGGAGCTTATTTTTATCTATGCCTATTGGTAGCTCTGGGTTGTGGGTGTCTGCAGCGTCCTGTCACAGAGTTATAGGTAGCAATAAGAAAACCCAAGGAACTTCCTGCAGTGTCATTCCTCAAGTTCTGAGGTTCTGGATAGTTTCCTTCTTCTTTCTACCTTTCAGAGTCTTTTCACACTTGTTTGTTGTGTTATGTACAGGGTTTTTTAGGTGCAAGGGAAAGGAATGAACTGCTTCATCTTGGCTAGAACCTTAAGTTCTGGATTGTTTATAAGTTCGTTGTCATCACCTTATAAACATTTATTGTCATTAATTTTCTAATACTCTTAAGAAGTTTTCATTTCAACAGGTAAGTAATCTCAACCACCAGTTTTCTTTCTTAGAAATCTAAGAAAATGAGGCCGGGCGCGGTGGCTCATGCCTGTAATCCCAGCACTTTGGGAGGCCGAGGCGGGTGGATCACGAGGTCAGGAGATCGAGACCATCCTAGCTAACACGGTGAAACCCCGTCTCTTGGTGGCCGCATGTAGTCACAGATACTCAGGAGGCTGAGGCAGGAGAATGACGTGAACCCAGGAGGCGGAACTTGCAGTAGCCGAGATCTTGGCCACTGCACTCCAGCCTGGGCGACAGAGGGAGACTCTGTCTCAAGAAAAAAAAAAGAAATCTAAGATAGTGAAATAATTTATATATAGATCCATTATAACCCTCGAGAAGAGCTCATTTCAAGGTTTTCCTAAACATATTCAAATGTTTAATATTCATTTTGTATGTATTATATCTTCTGTAAGTTTTACAAAAGCAAACTTCTATCACTAGTCCTTTTAAGTTGATTTTCTTTTTTTAGGAAAAGAGATATGTGGAAAGTAAAGGGTGGTAAAAGTTCTTAAAACAGGATTTTCCCCCCCTAAGTTCTTTCCATTGGGGGAATTAAATTTAATGATATAACTTTACATCTACATTTATTTTGAAACAAAAATAAATGATCACCAAGGACATGAAGCTTTTGAACACTTTTCTTTTCAGAAAAGGATATGAAGAATCTTTGAGGCTATTTTATTAATAAATAAAGTAGAATTATAATTCATACCTTTCATCTAATCTCATGAATACTTATTTCTGCAGTAAAGAATTAGAAATACTTCCAATTCATGTAATATCGATAGTTAAAATGCTAAATGTTCTAAAGATTCATATACACATAAATATGAAAAGCATATTAAAAATCAGTGGGTAGGCCATGACAACATCCCATAAAATCAAGAAGTGGAGTCAGGGACTAAATTATTAAAAGTAAGACATGATGGTAAGAAAATTCATCAAATTACTAAGATTTGAAAACCTAATTGAGAGCTGAAAATGTAATACTTAAAGGAATTACAGACTATATTGAAAGGAGCAAGTATCTTTGTGCTAATGCCCAGAGAAATACCAAATGAACTCCTTGACCCATACATTTACATGACTTTGTATAAGCACATTTGCAGTGTCCAGAATGTTAATGTACTAGAAATCAAACAGTGATTTAAAATATAAATATGAAATTCATTTTAAATATGAAAACATTTTATATCATTTTGGTAAGCAGTACTCCTGGATTTTCTAAGACAATTATTATTTGAAATAGTCTGTCTAATATTATTCAGGCATGTGTTGTACATTTCAATACAGAAAAACATTCTCTCATTCTTTCTTTTTAGTTTTTGAAATATTCCTCTCTCTACAAAATCCTTGGGTACCGTTTAGAAAAAACACATACATTCTTGCAACATCTGCTGCCAGACACTGAAATTCTATGTGTACAAACAAAACCTGAAATTCTTCAGAACCAAAACTACCACAATGTAGCCTTGACAATGTTATAAATTTAAACATAAAAATATTATTAACATCAAGATCATTCATTTTTAAATGCCATTTATTCTCCATGTCGAAGAATGTTTTTAATCGATTGTGAAATTGATTTAGTGGGTTTTGCTCAGCATTTAAAAAATGAAATAATGTAGACAAGTGTAGAGTATAATGGAAGACAAAAATATACCAGAGCTCATCACACACAGAAAGGGAAATATAATTTCATAAAAATTTATTTAGTTTGTAAATGTATTGAGTTGTGATTTAATTATATTATTTGAGCAGAGATTTATATCTGGCACTAAGACATTCAACTCAAACTTTTACAGTCCTTGTGCAGATAGGATTTGCATGACAGATAGATTTCAGCCACTGGAATTGGAGACAACTGATTTGGAGACGTGCTGTGAAAAAGCGAACTATAGATACTGAAGTCCTTGCTGATTTGAGTTTTACTAGTGGACCGGGCGGGCAGGTTGAGTTTGAAAGATGATCCAGAATGAACAAAAGCATTAGATAGAGGCTTAGCCTATCTACCACTCAAAGTACAGTTCACACACAGGGGTAGGCAGCACAGATAGCTGTTTGTCTATGTCAGAAAGGATTATGTACCAAAAATGAGCCCTAAGTATAATGGAAATGTTTCGATCTTGGTTAGAAAACACTGCTCAGTGGTGCAGAGGCAGTGACATATTGAGTACCTGAAAGCTGGGGCCTCTGAGACCATTTGCTCTCTCAGGACCAGGAGTCATATATTTCAGTGATTGTGGCCCAATGGTGTAAATCTTCACAATAGATTTGAGGGCATGCTGATCACCTGAGAATCACTTGTCAGACAGAAAATGGAAAGCAGTGCATGTTAATATTGAGATTAAAGACTTTGGTAACATGGCTACTGGACCAGGTAGCTTTTGATTCAGAGAATGTGGAAGAGATTTAAATGAATATGAGCAGGCATATATAAGTGTGGTGGGCTGCTGCTTCTACAAGCTATATTTGATTGAACTTCTGAATATCTTCAGAATTATTGAGGCCAATCAAAGAAATGAAAGGAGAATTGTTGGTTGCCCTGTGCAAAGGAAACCAGGAGAGTATCATTTTACTTCACGGCACTAGTCTTAGGTCTCACCAGCAAGGGCTGGAGAAAGCTTGTCATAGCTGTGAAAAGCTCTAGCTGACACTTGGCTGGCTTTGGGAAAGCAAAGATGATACTCATTTCAGCCTTCTCTGTGTCTGTTCTTCTAAGCTTTACAAGCCTCTAGCACTCATGCAACCACAAATTATGGTTACTGTAATACACATTCTTCCCAGTGTATTTATTAATTGAAGAATATTTTTATGCGAGCCTGTGACTGTATAGACCCCCATATAGCTTCTGAACATAGCCGCAGTAGTAACCATAGAAAGGCACTCTGGTTCTTGCCCGCTGTTGTTTCCATGAATCTTTCTTAGCTTGTCTGTGAGTTAAATTGCCTATGCCTTTAAATCCATCCTCAACTGAAAGCCTTTTGCTTCAGATGGGACCTAAAGTCCAGAATTGCCTAGTCACACAGGAGTTGGTTTTGGTTGTCTTTTGCTGCATGCCCTTTAGAGACCCCCCTACCCCATTACTGGCACCAATGCTCTGGCAGGGACCCCAGGTCTTCCCTTTCCTACAAGGAAAAGGAAGATCCACACGGTAGAAGTATTTTGAGGCAAACAATGCAACACTATTAGAAAAATGGTTGTAAAAATGCTTCTGTTATATGATCATGAAATTTGATTTCATGATCACATAACAGCTTACCATAAAAGCAGAGAAGCTTGTGTTGACCATACTTCTTTTAATTCAGAAAGTCTTAAAGAAATATTCTTCTATTCTGATGGCTGTAATTAATGCTATAATAGTACACTGCCTTATCAATTTTAGAGTCTAGAGAACATTTCCTGAAATTCAGCAGACTTTCTGGCTGTGTCTTTTGTTTATAAAATACTTTATAAATTGACATTTAGAAATTTCTATTTGCTTGAACTCAGATGGTCATATATTACATAAAAGAAAATTAGAAACGATTGTAACTTTTCCCAAGTCAGGGAAAATTCAATATCTAGTGCATTGTGCATTTTTCCTATGCACCATTAAAAAATACATTTCTAAGTTTCAATTGCCTTTCTAACTTTACCACTTGTAATGATGATAAACTTTGTGATTTTCTAGAAGTAATCCTGATTATAATCCAATTCAGCCACTTGGTCTTACATTTTTATGTTGTGCCACAATAATATGGGTGATCTAAGTTGCTAGAAGGTGTGCTCATATTTTATGCATTGCCTTTATTCTAAGTAGATTCTTTCAAGATTCTCATTTTAAAAAGTCACAGTAAGAAATATTAAAAGTAAAGACCAGGAAGTGAAAAAGATATAAAGTCCTCGAATGTGTGATACAGACAGTAGATGGGACTTTTGAGGACGAATTCAAAGAAAATATAATGATTAATAGTGATGAAGCAGGACATTGCCAAATATGTCATTTTTTAGTCAAACACATTATATGAGGTGGAAATTGAACTTTTGAGGCTTGTGTTAACATTATGCTGTTCAGCTTTATCAAGGCAAGGAACAAAGGGAGAAATATGCAACAGCAAAAGGACTGTAATGTGATAAGACTGTCATCAGCTAAATATTTCACCTGCCCGCTCTCTACCAAAATGACACTGGTTTTAATACAGTAATTATTTGGGCAAGATATGGCCCTTATTTCAAAAATCCATTTTATATTTAGTCATATACCTTTTGTGGATAGAGACAGCAGTTGGCTTGGCACTGTCTTAGTAATATATCTTTGAATCCTTTTGTTTGTGGTCTGTAGCAAGAGCTCGTTGTCATTTCTGCACAGTACTGAGACAAGGCAAAGCCTTTCCATTTTTCATTACTAAAGGAAGCACAGTGGTGTGATAGAACTGGTTTAAAAAATCTTATTTGTGAGAATAAATCAAATTTTAATTTTTTCTGCCTCAACTGATCATGTAACAGTCTTCCCTTCACACTATAATTATGCTTTTGCCATCATTTTTTCATACTATTTTATTATTTAAGGTAGCTCTGTGGATACCTGTTCATTTGTCTAATATCTATCCACTAGTTACCTACTATGTGTCAGACACTTTTTTCATACAAAATTGAATATAAGTATTAAAAACATTTGTTAGGGGGCTTCACAAATGTTGATTTAAAAAGATTATTTATGAGTGTGGTTGAGTGAAACAAAGGAAGGTCACTTCTTTTCTTTGTTTCACTCTTAACTATAAGAGTGAAGCAGAGCAAGATTTCTGTTTCAGTACTTAGAGTAACCATTGAGAAGTAGAATTTGTTTCTGATAAATAATGCTTGAAATGATAGAAAGCAAAACCTACAAAATTTAGCAAACTGCCCTAATAACGTGTTGGATTGCAAGAGATAATAATCCTAACAACCTCTACAAACACGTTTTCCAGTGTTTTATTGAGCTGCCCAAATTGTCTTTCTGAGTTTGACTTTGGCTCACTTGTGGATACCTGCACTCTAAGATTTAGCCTGCTTGGCAGGGCATGACTGTCTATCTATCTGTCAGAGCCACATGTTTCTGAAGCAGACCAACCTGAGATCTTAAAGATAGCTTCTTATCAGTGAAAGAGTATGTTAGATCTTATATCATATAAACATATCATTATTGGAGTTTAATTGTATGAATTTCTTATTCAGTGTTTAAAGAGCATAACAAAGACATTCCTACTTTGTCATTGTATCTCTTACAAAATATAATTATTTATATTAGATTAATATTTCAAGTTTCTTTTAAAGTAAGAATTCTTGTTTTATTTTAATATTGGCTTTATTCATGTCAATGGCATCATCTTCTTGCCTATTAAATTCATTTGAATTAAGTGCTGTGTTATTCCTTTAAAGAAAATACATCAGGCCATCTGGGCCTGATTTGAACAAATAAAGCAGGTTTAAATAACCTAAATCTGAATGGATTGGGAACTAGCATTCAAAAAGCAACTGACATATCATGAGATAGCCAGATGGCTGACTTTGAAACATAGTTAGGATCTTAAGCCTTTATATCTTGCCTTTAAAAGTATGGTTTTCCTTAATTCTAAGTTTCAAATGTTAGTATCTGCATCTATTTAGTTTTATGGTTTTATTTTTTATATCACCAGGCACATTTATCTTATTTATTGTAATTATGTATTGTTATATGTCTTTTCTAATATATTGTATGCCTCCTGCTGGTGGCAAGGATTTTTCTCATGCTATTTCTCTATCCTTTGTGCTTAGATAGTGCCTGGCAAACATGAAGCCTTAAAAATAATGTGTAGAAAGTACAAATTAATACTTTAAAAATGATAAGTATTTTTTCATGGTTAAAAAGGATTATTATGTTGAAATTTACTATTACTCTCTCACCAGCTTGATATATATGTTTTCCCCTGAAATTTCAAGTTCATAGAAGAATAAATTCAAAGCATTTTTTCAAGGCGGGGCTTCAAGATGACTGACAAGAGCAAGACATCTGGTATTCACCCCTCCACAAAGAAGAACCAAAATAGCAAGTAGATAATCACACTTCAGATAGATCATCTAAGAGACAATGCTGGAGTTCAACAGAGCAGAGACAGGAAATACGGGAAAGAGGGAAGTGAGGCAGCTTGCTTGGCTAGGATTGGCTGGGAGCCTGGAGAAGCTCCCCAGTGCCAGGAAAGGGTGAGTAAGTGGCCCCCCAGCAGTCCACATTCACACTGTGGACTCCTGCACCCCTCCACCCTTGTGGGCTCTAAAAGCTGCCTGGGGACCACAAGACAACATTGCTTCAGAGAGGGAGCTCATGCTGATCTATCTGAAGTGTGATTATCTACTTCAGCATGAGCTTACCCACACACCCCTGAGTCCGAAGCAGTTGCAGCACAGTGCTATTTTGAGAGCACAGGCTAGCCAGACTCTATTCAGTTTTGGGGCACAACAGTCCTGGCATCTCCACATTCTTAGAGCAGAAGTGTAAGCCATTGGCAGCAGTCCACATTCCCACTGTAGCTATCCTCAGTAGCAGAACCCACACACATTTAACAGTGCCCTGGGAAAGGCTACCCTATTGAAGCTGCCACCTGGGGCCAAAGCACATGTTCCACAACTGTTTGTTTACAGCTACTGCCACTGAAAGCAACCCCAGACTCCCCATCAACAGGGCAGCAGCACAATAGCACAGAAGCCCAGCTGCTGCGTCCCCTACCTGAGCCTTCCACCAGGGGCCTGGGGTTTACCCCACTCCTCTCCACCATAGCAAGCAAACATACGCACCACTGGGGGACCTAAAGACAAGCATGCTCCACCTGACTCTACCCTGTCCCCACATCCCCACTCATGCCTAAGCATGCCTTCCAGGGGCCTGGAGACTGTCATGCCCCATCCAACACATGATTACTTCTCCTGGGGCCTAAGAAGGAGCCAACCCCATCCACCACTACCGCAACAGCTGGCACCCACCTGCATATACCACCAGTGGGCCTGGGGACTGGCCTACGCAGCCCAAGGCAGTTACTGCCAATGTCAGTGCAGACTGCTTGAAAGTGAGAGAATTATCCCACCATTGCTATTGCCATTGTCCATGCCATGTCCACTGCTCAGGGACCCAAGTGTCTGGCAACCCACACAGCCCACAAGTGCCACTGCTGGCACCTGAGCAAGCTGCCTGGAGGTCCAATAATTGACCTGCCCAGAAGTGCTAACATTGGTGCCAGGGTACACTACTCTGGGACCCAAGAACATGCATAGTAGGCCCACTGAGTCCACCACTGGGGCCCAAGAACTGGCCTACCTAGGATTCCTCATCCACAACAAAACTTCACCATGGCCTCCACTAACAACCACACCCTAAGACACTGGGAAACTAGACCCTACTGACACTGTGACATTGTTTACAGCTGAAGAAATCATACAAAGACTATACTACTGTATGTACCCAGAATCAAAGCCTAAGTGCCCTACCCACCCAACAGCATAGACACATCTGGAGGAAAAAAAATCCTCCCTCATGAAATAAATTCAATAAAAGAAATTCAAAAGTGACTGATCAACCAGATGTGCAGATGTAAGGGCACAGGAGAAGGGCATGGGAAAAGCAAGGAAACATGACACCTCCAAGGGAAACCAATATCTCTCCAGCAACAGATTCCTACCAAAAATAAGTGTTTAAGACATTGGAAACAGAGCTCAAAATAATAATAATAAAGAACTAAGTGAAATACAGGAGAACTCAGAAAAATAATCCAAAGAAATTAGAAAAACAATTGAAGATAGGGATGAGAAATTTACCAAAGAGACAGATACCAGGAAACAAACAGAAATTCTGTAACTGAAGGATCTATTGAATAAAATACGAAATAGATCCAGAAGCTTCAACGACAGACTAGATCAAGCAGAAGAAAAAAATTCAAAAGTTGAATATAGGTCTTTTGAAGTAACTCAGTAAGACAAAAATAAAGAAAAAAGAATTTAAACAATTGAAACAAGCCTATGTGACATATGGGATAGCATAAAGTGACCAAATATTTGAATTTTGGGTGAACCAGAAGGTGAAGAGGAAATAAAATGGATAGACAAACTATTTAATGAAATAATAGATGAAAATTTCCCATGTCTAGCGAGAGATTTAGGCATCCATTTACAGAAATGAAAACCCAAAAGTTGGTTTTTTGAAATGATAGACAAAATTTATATACCACTAGCTAGACTAACCAAGAAAAAAGAGAGAAGACCCAATTAAATACAATCAGAAGCAAACAAAAAAAGACTAGGTGTATGATACTGATACCATGGAAATACAAAAGATCATTAGAGACTATTATGAACAACTACATACTAACAAACTGAAAAACATAGAGGAAATAGATACAGTCTTGGATGCATACAACCTACCAAGATTGAATCAAAAAAAATTAGAAAATCTGAAAAGACCAATAATGAGTGATGAATTTGAATCAGTAATAAAAAGTCTCCCAAAAAGGAAACATCAGGACTAGATGATTTCACTGCTGAATTTTACCAAATTTTCAAAGAACATAAATTGTCCTCAAACTATTCTAAAAAATTAAAGAGGAGGGAATTTTCCCTAACTCATTTTATGAGGCCAGCATTACCCTGGTACCAAAACCAGACCCATTCTATGTTCATAGATGGAGATAATTAACATCACTGAAATAATCATACTGCACAAAGCAAACTACAGATTCAATGCAATTCCTATCAAAATACTAATGTCGTTTTTCACAGAAACAGCACAGCAAAGGCAATAATCAACAGGGTGAAACTTGTTGAATGGGAGAAAATATTTGCAAACTATTTTTCTGAAAGAAGACTAATATTCACAATATACAAAGAACTCAAACAACTCAACAGGAAACACAGATAATTCCACTCAAAAGTGTGCAAAAGGCATGAATAGGCACTTCTTAAAAGAAGACATACAAATGGCCCACAGTTATATGAAAAAAAACTCAACATTACTAATTTTATTTTTATTTTTTTGACAAATGTCCATACTGTTTTCTATAGTGGATGTTCTAATATACTTTCCCACTAACAGTATATAAGAGTTCCATTGTCTTTGCATCCTTGCCAGCATCTGTTATTTTTCAACTTTTAAATAGTAGTCATCCTAACTAGGGTAAAATGATATCTCATTGTGATTTTGACTCGCATTTCCCTGATGATATATAAAAATCTGAGAAGAATGTAATATAAAACAGGCACAAAATGAGAATATAACAAAAATAAGAGGACTTTACATTTGTAAGGCATTTTTCAGTTTATTAATCATATTCTCACAAGTTTTCTCATGTTATCTTTGCAAAACCTCAGTGGCAAAGTAGGAATCATTCTTCTTGTTTTATACAAGCTGAGTCTCAGAGAAAACTTAGAAGTCAATTCATGCCAAAAAAAAAAAAAAAAGCTAATAAATGGAGGAAGCAGGGTTCAAATACCTTTTTGTTAGTTTCAAATCCCTTCATTTTTTTCTACCAATAGGTACTACATTTCAGGAGTAAATGTTCTGCAGAGGACCAAGCAAACAGGGTAGATCCTCATGTTGAGACTACAATAAGAAGGGAATAAAAATGTTAAAATGTACCCTAAACATAGTGCCACAGAGCTTAATCTGACTATTTCTGAGCTATCATTAGCAGCAGTTTGTGCTTCTTCAATGCTTCATTTTTTATCATTTCCCGACCCTTAAATAGACACTCATTCTTGATTGACACATTTCTCTACTCTTACATGAACGTTTCCAAATTGAGTTTAAAAATTTTCAAACATTGCTTTCTTTCTTTCACATCTTTTGTGAAGTTTTCTCTTATCTTTAACCCCACATTCAAACCTAAGTTGGGAATTCCTTACCAATGCTGAGAGTGTCTTATATCTTGTATTAGTCAGGGTTCTCCGGAGGGACAGAACTAATAGTGTAGATGTATATATGAAGGCGGTTTATTAAGGAGTATTGACTCACAGGATCACACGGTGAAGTCCCACAATAAGCCATCTGCAAGCTGAGGAGCAAAGAAGCCAGTCTAAGTCTGAAAACCTCAAAAGCAGGAAAGACGACAGTGTAGCCTTCAGTCTGTGGCCAAAGGCCCAAGAGCCCCTGGCAAACCACTGGTGTATGTCTAAGCATCCAAAAGCTGAAGAACTTGGAATCTGATTTTGGAGGGCAGGAAGCATCCAGCACGGAAGAAAGATGAAGGCTGGAAGACTCAGCAAGTCTGCTCATTCCACTTTCTTCTGCCTGCTTTATTCTAGCGGTGTTGGCAGCTGATTAGATGGTGCCCACCCAGACTGAGGGTGTGTCTGCCTCTCCCAGTCCACCGACTCAAATGTTTATCTCCTTTGGCAACACCCTCACAGACACACTCAGGAACAATACATTGCATCCTTCAGTCCAATAAAGTTGACACTCAATATTAACCATCACATGTCTATTTCCAGAGCATACATACCAGTAACACTTTAATTGTATTTATCTTTCACTTAACTATAAGGTCTTTCAGTTTGTTTTATTTAAGCATCAAACAAACAATATGTATGCCAGGGACTGTGTTAAATGCTGAAGATACAAAGCGGAGGGCAACTACCTCCTTATCTTTGACAAATTGAAAACCTAGTGGGGGAAAACAGACACACAGATTATTCAATGCAATGTGGAGGGTGCAGAGGCAAAGACTTGCAATGAATCTTTAGTGCACTCAGTGCACAGAGGTCAAGTGCAGCTTGATTTCTCAACAGGAATGCCAAACTTTTAACTACACTCTGTAGCCCAGGATCCTGTATCTGTTTGATAAAGCCAAAATAGACAGATATTGCTTGAAAGTCAAGCTAGATGCACTGAATGGCAACATACAGAGAAGTAGCCAGGATCTAGATCATGTAAGCCTTTTTAAAATCCCACCTAGTTTGAAATTTCCATGTATTGAACAGTGTAGATCCTGCTCTATAAGAACTAAAGGGAAATCTTATTAAGCATATCAATTCCACCAGGGAAATCTGAATAAAGTAGGTTAAATACATTCATCTCCAGAAATTATGATGCAAAATTGATAGAATCCATGATTTTTATTTTCCAAAAGATGATTCTGATGTAAGACAAAAAAAGAACCAATGCCTTGGTAACATTGGGTTTATTTAAGTGGGCAAATCATAGGTTCGAATTATCTTGTAGGTAGATCCTTTGGTTAGAGGGGTGGAGGGAGAATCTGAAGGGTGCAAGCGAGACTGGATGATTTTCACTTTGAGAGTGCAAACCCTGAAAAGCCTCAAAAACTTGTTGTTCCGAACTTCTATGAACAGCTGCTTGGGAGCTGCAAGAAAGCTCACCATGACCTTATGCCTATCCACAGGGAACTGCTGCTTAGAACTGCTATTATCCCACATGGAGCCCGCTCAGAAAGCTGGCAACATCCCATGAGCACAAATAAGCATCAGAGAAATGCCATCTCATAAACAGGCAGAAGCATTTGTGAACACAGCAGTAGGTCTGCTTGTCCATACTTATCTTGGCGATTATCAGAATTATTCTTATATCCCCTTCTTGGGCATCTCTTTTTATAGTGATAATCATTCCCACACTACTCTGGACAGCTCTGAAACAGATCCCAGCATCCACCCACCTCCCATCTCTGGAATGCTCGCTCAGGGACCAGGTATCCCTTTGACCAACATACACATCTTCTTCTCAAATCAGTTTCTCCACTTTTTTTTTTGCCTTAATTAAACCTTAAAAATGTTGTTCCTTTGTAATTTTCTCAAGTAGGAGCTTTTATGTTATCATATCTTCATGCATCTTTAACTGTGAAGACATGGAAACTTCTTTTCTCATTCATTACTCTCCTTTCTATCCATCACCCCCCTCTGGCTTCTCTTCCCTTTTTGACCACCTAGATTCTGAGATACTTTACTTCAACAATTCTGTTAGAAATATTCTCGATTCTTTTTCCTCTAGTTTCTTTCATCATACAGCACTAGTCAACCTCTCTTAGAAATATTCTCCATTCTGTAATCCCAGCACTTTGGGAGGCTGAGGCGGGCGAATCACGAGGTCAGGAGATCGAGACCAGCCTGGCTAATATGGTGAAACCCCGTCTCTACTAAAAATACAAAAATTAGTCAGGCATCATAGCAGGCGCCTGTAGTCCCAGCTATTCGGGAGGCTGAGGCAGGAGAGTCACTTGAACCCAGGAGGCGGAGGTTGCAATGAGCCGAGATCGTGCCACTGCACTTCAGCCCGGGTGACAGAGCGAGACTCCACCTCAAAAATAAAAAAAAAAAGAAATAGAAATATTCTCAATTCTTTTTCCTCTAGCTTCTTTCATCATACAGCATTAGTAAGCTCCAACCTGGATAAGCCCGTATTGCAGCCTCCATGACTTCTCCTCAACAGTCAAATATTGATAGAGAATGCCACAACATTCAGCTGCTTTGTTTCAATCAAATTAATATTCTTGGCACCCCCAACTTTATTTCTCTAGTAAGCTTGTTTTCCTATTCCCACAGATGATTTCCTAGCTTCCCACTCCTACAGCCCCACCATCCATTTTATACATCTTCTTTTAACTGCCAGCTAATGACCTCCCCTCAGTTAAGGCCACCGTTATTTCTTACCCAGGTTGCTGCAACTGCCTGCAGAGTAGTGTTTGACTTCATACTCGCCATCATCAATTCATTATCTATTTGTAGCAAAAATGTAGTTGGAATTATGCTATCCAATTGCTTAAAATCTTTCAATGGCTTCCAATGCACTTAGAATACAATTCACACTTGTTTCTACAGCTGTCTAGGGGCTGCATATCAGGCCTTTTCTGTCATAGTTCTTTAGTCACCTTAGTGATTTTCTTAATGCCTCAAATATGCCAAGCTTTGTCCAACCATCAGTGTTTTTCTCTGCCTAGAATGCTTCTTGCCGACATTTTACCGTTACCAAAGACATGAATATATTTTTCTCTTCCATTACATCTCAGAAAAAATGTCTCATTTTCAGCTAGGCTTTCCTTAGCCACCATTTATCTAAAGTAGTCCTTGACTCTTTTATCTTCTGTATGAGTCCCATGTCTATTTCCTATTTTGCACAGAAGAAAGGCCACACAACCCAAATTTAGATGTAATAAAACTGCAGTGTATTCCTATTCTCTGCTCAGTCCCCCCTCCTACTTTACAAATGTGGGTGGGAAGGGGGCTGCTAAGTTTCCATCTCCTGCTGGGGTTGGGGGAATTTGCTTATCTATATTTTGCCTTTACTTATAATATTAATAGTGAGGTTTTAATATATGTATTAAATTTCAGAGTTTTAAAATTTTGTGCTTACTTAAATTTATCTTTTTCCTGTAACAGCAATTAATGAGGGCAAGGACTACTTCATTCTTGTTCATCATCTATGTATACAGTGGCTAATACAGCATAATGCATACATAAACACATATACACATAATATTCATCCTCGTTTCAATAACTAAAGCACAACACATATGTATGTGTGTGTGTGTGTACTCATTCCTATTTGGATTCAGAAAATATAAGCTTTTTCAGAAAATTAAAACTTCAACTCTCCATAAAACTTAAAATTTACTTCCTTACATTACCTTTATGCTTCTTAGAGTTACAGATTCAGATGAAGTCAGATTTCAAAAATTAGACTCTTACAAACTTCTCCATGCCTCAAGTCTTTTATAGACCTCTGGTTATAAACCAAATGACCAGCCAAATAGTTAAACGCTATTTCTGTAAATAGTCGGTATTACAGAGAAAAAAACTTTTCAAGTTAATTTTCACTCTTGGTTTAGAAAAAGTAAATATGTTTCTTTACCACAGAAATTCTCGAGTTAATATTTGAAGATGTCCTCAAAGTTCCAATTGGATGTACTTATGTGGCCTTTAAACCCCTGTATTTTTAAATATTGACTTAGAGTATTATTATTATCCAAGATACATTAATTTGGTAAACTCTGCCCTAAACTCTTTATTTTCAGTATTCATATAAATAAATAGATATCATTGCCAGTATTCCATCACTTTCAATCCTTTGAGGTTTTAATGGAGGACAGCAATTATTCCTTTTCTGTTTTAATTATGGCTCTGAATATTTTCAGTAGAAAAGATCTAGATGACTGTTTCTTAGCTTACTTAGGTACAATAGGTAAAAATGATTCACAAGTCTATTTGCCGTGGGCTATTTCTCCAGCCCCTATCTTTGCTCTGGAAGGGGCATGTGGCCCTGTTCATGTAATTCCTTGTTACAATTTGGAAGGCCCTAGCAGAGCACTCTGACCTGCTTATGTCAATGCTGTTAGTCCCCCATCAGCTCCAACTTGCTCAGCTAATGGACTATAGTTCTAAAGTACCAGTCTTTTCTTCATCTATGGCTGGTATGTGAGATTAGCTAGTACTACTGCACTGTCCACTTCACTTCTAGCTTTCCCATAATTTCTATTATCAGAACTAACTATACTCACCATCCTCTAGATGAAAAAAAAAAAAAAAACGATGAACAGAGATGAAAGAAAAGGCAATTCCTTCTTGTTATCTCATAAATATAAAATCATGTTCTCTGCAGACAAAAATACATTGTAGTGTATTAGAAAAGTGCATTATACTTTGTATTCCCAGGATATAGGGATTGTAAAAATCTTATCGACAGGTCGTTTAAACCAAAACAGTATTGCAAAAATTATATACATATTTGTGTTAATTGGGAGTATATATTTGCATTATTGTTTTATAATTATACTCTATAAAATATTCTATATTTCTATACTTTATACCATATTTCAAACATTGTATATATCTGATCCCTAATTTTAACAATGTCTATATATGTATATAATGTTGCATGCATTTTCTAGAATTTATGTCTATATTGTTTCAATTCAGAGGAATACGAAGTTATCAAAAAAAATAGAAAATTATGTTTGCTTTAATTTCAATCATTATTAGTTCCATATTCTGTGAAAACCGATGTAAAAGCTGAGTAGGAAAGTGTAAACCAGGAAGCAGGTAAATTTGTACTTATTTGGTCATTTCATTAAGGGTATATTTCCAGTGTGAGAACACAGCCATTACTTTAATGAAATTATTGATGCCTGGAGGCAAATATAATTTTTATAATAAAATACTTGGTTGATGCAAATTTGTAAGGCATAAGGAATAATAAAAAAAAGAAATATCAATCTATCCACTAAGAACTTTGTAGCCTCTGTAAGCCCCTTCCCCAGGATATTCCCTGCTACCCTTTCACACAGGTACCTGCCAATATGAATGTTATGTATATTATTCCCCACATTTTCTTTATAGTTTTACCATGTATGTAGCTATCCCTAAATAACATGTCATTTGGTTTCACATGTTTTTGGCTTGATATAAATCAGATTGTGCTGTATATACTCTCCTATGACTTGCTTTTTAAAATCATTTTGACTTGCTGAATTCAGTCATAATATGTGGTTGTAATTCAGTAATAAACATTACTGTATAGTGCGTTTTTTTCCATGTTCCATTTTTATTTTTCCATGTTACTATGAAGACTTTTAGGTTACTGTCTTTTTCTGCTATTTTAAACAATGCTACTATAAAAATTTCTGTATCTATTTCTTGGCACACACATGCAAGTAGAATTGGTGGTTCTTAGAGTTTATAGATCTTCCACTTCATTTATACAATGCTCAATTGTTTTCAAAATAGGTTGTATGTATTAATATCTCTACCAGCTTTGTATGAGAATTATCAGATGAAATTTCCTGTTGTTCTTCATTCATATTAAAATTGGATGTGCATTTTTAAATTTTTTTGCCCATGTTGTGGCAATATCATTGTGGTTTTAATTTGCATTTTTTTGTTTCCAAATAAGGTTGATAACATTTTCAAACGCTTAAAGGCCATTTATTTTCTTCTAAGAACAAGATTTCTGCCCTTTTCTTCTTCCAAGTTATTTGTGTTTACTCTACTTATAGTAGTCCTCTATCTAGTGTTGATACTAAGCCTTTGCATATAACTTGCCAAAACACCACAGTTTATGGATTTTTCTCTTTAGTCTCCCTTTTTAGCACCTTTTGGTTAATAGAAATTCTCAAATTATTAGACTTCATCAATATTTTCTTTATGGTTTGGATTTTGTAGCTAGAAATCTTTTTTTTTTCTGAAGTGATATCGAGTTTCTTATTATCTTTGGAAATTAACTTTTATGAATGAATGAGATAGGCATTCAATTCTTCTCATGTAAATAGCCAAATGTCCCAACACCAGTTGGATATCCCATTCTTTGACAGTGATCTGTAATGCTGTATTTTGTCTGCCCCATTGTCAATTTGTTCTTCTTGTGTCCAGGTCCATTCTTATTTTATTACTTTAGTTTATGTAAATCTTGCCAGCTGTTAATGAAATTTTGTCCAGTTTGTTTTCTTCAGGAGGCTCTTGGCTATTCTTGATTCTTTTTATTCCCATTAACATTTTGAATCAACATACCAAGTTGTCTCAAAGAAAGACAAAAGAACACACATGAAAATCTTGAGATTTTAATTAGAACTTAATTTACTCAATAGACATATTTAAGGAGAAATGATATATCATCATTTAGGTATTCTGTAATGTTTTTCAGTAATATTCTATATATGAGCCTGGTGATTTTTGTAGAGTGATTTTTTAACAATTTAATTTTTAACAGTTATAGAATTATTCAGATTTATATATCCTCTTGAATATATATTTTTATAAGAATAAGTTTATTTTGCTTAACTTTCTCTAAATTTTTGCTATCAAATTATAATAGTTTATTTACAGTTTGATTTCTGCTGTATCTATAGATACCCTTTTTTCATTTTTTTCTCTTCCTCCATCCATCCTTCCCTCCCCATCTCTCTCTCTCTCTCTCTCTCACACACACACAGTGAGAGATAACTTTTGCAATTCTATTTTTGTATTAATCTTGGCACAGGTTGATGATTTTGTAATAGTTTTTACAATTCTAATGATTCATTACATCTTTCCCACTATATTATTATATATTATTATATATTATTATATATATTTTTATATATTATATATATTATTATATATTATGATATATATATTATACATAATATATAATATATAATGTATATATGTATATATAATATACAGTATATATTATATATTATATATATTATATATTATATATACATTATAATATTATATTATAGATAATATATATTATAGATAATATATATTATATAATATATATTATCTATAATATAGATAATATAATATATATTATCTATATTATAGATAATATATATTCTGTATTAAATATATATTATATATTATGTATTAAATACATATTATATATTATATTATATATATTATATATAATGTTATCATATATTTTAATATATAATATATAATACAATATAATATATAACATATTATAATATATAATACAATATATTATAATATATAATATAATATATAATACATTATAATATATAATATATTATAATATATTATAATATATAATACAATATATTATAATATATAATATAATATATAATACAATATATTATAATATATTATATAATATATTATAATATATAATACAATATATTATAATATATAATATAATATATTATACAATATATTATAATATATAATACAATATATTATAATATAATATATAATATATTATAATATATAATACAATATATTATAATATATATTATAATATATAATACATTATAATACAATATATTATAATATATATTATAATACAATATATTATATGATATTATAATATATAATACAATATATTATAATGTATAATATATAATACAATATATAATACAATATTATAATATCTAACATATATATAAATATATTATATACATTTTGTTATATAAATATATATAAATATAATAAAAATATATATAATTATATAAATATATATTTTATTATATAAATATAATTCATTATATATTATTGTATAGCAATATTATATAGCAATTCACCAATTGCTTCTTTTATCATGTTTATTTTCTTTATGTTTTTATTGTGTAGTCTCTTGTATCGATTGTGTTGTATATTGTATTATTGTGTTGCCTCTTGTATCTGTTAGATGACTTATCTCCCTAATTTTTGTCCTTTCTTTTGCACCAGATTTTCAGTGTATACATTTTCTTTAAATATCACTTTAGCTGAATCACAAAATGTTGATATGTGATATTTTATTATTTTTCAGTTATTTTTAATTTTTCTAAAGAATGTTTTCCTTGACCAATGAATACTTCTAAATTATGGGTGTATTACAAATTTATAACCTGGTGACATCTTATTTTTTAACTCCCTTTGTGTTATTTACTTCAGGCTTAATTACTTTGCAATTAGAGTACATGATGTGAGTTATACAGATTTATTTAAATTTGTTGAGATTGCCTTATACCCTGGTATGTGTCCAGCCTTTGAAAAGAAAGTTCATTCCCTAAAATTGTGAAGTTCATTCCCTAAAATGTTCATTCCCTAAAATTTCTGAAAAAAAATTCATTCTCTACAATTGTGTTTATTCCCTATATCTGTCATTTTTAAAAATCCTGTTAATTGTGTTACATCTCTGATATTCTTACAGATTTTTCTATCTGATCTATAATTATACTGAGAGATATTAAACACTCCTATTATGATGTTGGGTTTGTAAAGTTTTTCATGTGGTTTTCATTAGTTTTGTTTCGCATATGTTGAAGCTATATTATTTTATGTATGCAGACTTAAATTACATATCTTCCTAGTGAATTGAATATTTCATGACTACATTGTAACGTTATTTATCTATTTTCTCTGTGTGGAAGAGTCTATCTTGGAAAGATGACTGCAATGACATCTCCTATCTTATAGACTCTTTTTACAATATGATTTGACTCTCCTTCCATTGAGAGATGGGTCTTTGTTCCCACCTCTTGAACCTGGGAAACTTGTGATTAAGGGGGAAGTAACACTATGTGCCATCTGAAACTAGATAGTAAAAGGCAATAACGTTTCTACTGAGCTGCCATGTTGTGAGGAAGCCCTAACTAAAGAACATGAGATACTACATAGAGAGGCCACATGCAGGTTTTCTGGCCAACAGCCAGATGATATCTATTCTTTGCCATTGAATCAACCCCAGACTTTGAATCTTTCCAGCTAGGGCCCCCCCAGACACTGAGAATCAGAGACAGGTAGTCTCGATGCATTGTTTGAATTACTGACCCACAGAATCTAAAGCATAACATTTTAAACTGCTTTTTAGAGATTACTTATTAATCTTCCACAGATTACTGAAATAATCTGGTCATAATTAGTCACACCAACATTCTTTTGATTATTATTTCTGTGATATGCCACGTAGGATTTAGTACCGCTACATGTAACCAAACAGCCAAACTGAACTGTAAGGCTGCTTTTTTCTCTTCTATAAAAGAAGTCTGGAGACAGCTCAGAAATGACAGCCCATGGAGCAAAGTTCCTTATCTCTTTTTCTTATGTCATTTTTAGCACAGTGCTTTAATTTTTAACTTTACCTCATGTTCACATTCCAGACATCATGGAGGGAAAATGGGAATAAGTACAAAATAGGTCTTCCTTCCAATTGACCGATCCTCTATTAAAGAGAGTTCCTTGAAACCACAGTTTATGCTTCATTAGCTACACCTACCACAAGGCAGCCTGGAAAATGCAGTTTTAAGTTTGACAGATTGCCATTTGAAGAAAATCAGTGTTCAGTTGCTAAGAAAAACTGAGAGATTATATTTGAAGTAGTTCCTGCTGACATTATTTGCTACAAGTGGTGTATCTTCTCCTTTCACTCTAGCTGTATCCCTATTGTTCTAGTGAAAATAGTACAAAGCTGGAGTGTTTGCAGTTGGACCATTTTTGGATTTTATTAACGCATTCATATTTATTGTGATGAGATTGATGTCTATCAACTTATCTTGTGTTTATTTATCTTCTTATTGAAAATCTTTAAAACATTAATAAGCATAGACTTAGGGACTAAATGTAATCACTTAATTAATGTACTTAATCTTCACATTGATAATGTTGAAGAAGGCTCACTACACAAGCCTACAGCTTTGTGATTTTTATCTTTGACACCAAGATACATGGTAACAAGGAAGTTGTTTTATGACAGAATTATTTAAAAATAATTCAAGGGATAGGGGATAGTATAATTTTTGAACCACTGTAATGTTACAAGTGTAAACAGCATTTTAAAGGCTTTGATCAAATATTGGAAATAATGTCATTTTGGTTCTGAGAGAAGCCAGAAACAGCTAGTGAAAGTGGAAAAGAAGAAGCATGACAGCTACAGAGTAGGTTTAATAGGGGGTGCTAGCGGCTTGTGTAACCTGAAGTATGTCTTAGGTGTTTTTTGTTTGTTTGTTTGTTTGTTTTTTACTGTAGGTATAAGAGCTAACTTCTACTTGCTCTAGAAATGAAGGATTTATTCTAAGAAAATGAGTCCAAGACAGAAATAAAAATACAGCCAGACCTTACTGAGTCCAAAGGAGAAAACTGGAGAGCTATTAGAAGAGGATGCCGTTCTCTCGAGGGCAGAGTCTGCTTATTGTTTCCTTTTCTCTCTTTCTTTCCCATTTCTCATCTCTGTGGATGCCCAGCTGGTTTCTTCAATTTATTCATTTCCCTCTTTCTTTCATTTAGGTTCTCTTGATTACTCTTCTCATTCATTTCCCATAATGATTACCCCAGGTTCTTTCCCATCATGACAACACAGGGTGCATTATTTTTGCCACTACTGAAAGCTGGCAAATATCATCTGTTATTTCAGTCAAATTTTTCTCTGAGAGAGGGAGTTTTCTGATTCTGCTTGTATTTTTGAACCAGGTCGCAGCCCTAGTTTACTGGCCAGAATATGGATCAATTTTCCTTGATCAGGTTTATACACCTAATCTAATCAGTTGAAGCCCAGGCTCGGATAAATCATAAGGTATATAACTCAGCAGGGGCAATCTAGGGCCCTTATAGAAACGTATTTAACATATAACATATGTGCATGCATGTTGGTAGCTTTTGAAGCCAAAAGTATTATATTAATTTTCAAAATTCTAATAATATGTGCCTGCTATCCATTGGCAAAGTGGTTCCAATGTTCTTTGCTTGTAAACAATTCCTATTTTTGGCCTGTAGACAGCATTAGAATGATTTTTAAATTCACATGTAGTTTTTTCTCTTATATGTGTTTAATAAACTTCAAATTTTACAACAGTTTAGATTTACAAAATTGTTGCAAATATAGTACTAAATTCATATGTGCCCCTAGTTTACTCTACATTAATATGGTACATTTGGCACAATTAATGAACCAATAATTATACATTAAAATTAACTAAAGTCCATAATGTATTTGGATTTCCTCAGTTTTTCCTATTATCCTTTTTCAGTTCCAGGATTTCGTCCAGGATACCACATCACATTTAATACTTATAACTTCTTAGGGTCCTCCTGGATGTGGCTGTTTTCTCCTTTTATTTCTTTTTCTTCTTCTAGCTTAAAAAATTCTAGGCTGTTTTCTTGAGTTGTTTCGAAATTCATATTGATAGAGCTTCGGAAAGGCTTTTGTAAGTAGGATTAAAAGCTTAATTAATTCTGTAGCTTAATGGAAGTATGAAGTCAAGCAAAATGAAAAACAAGGGTAATAAAAAATACTCGTTATTTTAAAAAATAATGACATTTAAAGCCCTATGATACTAATATTCTTGTTGAAATTGTTTTACTTTGCATATTTATTTACAAAATTTTACTGATGAACTTATTGCTACATTTAACGTGTACTTAATTAAACATTATAAAATCTACGAGTCACACTTAAAGTTCTTTCATAATTTTAAATTTAATTATCTGAAAATTATCAATCATCTTATTAGTCAATATTGAAATTGCATGCATGTCAGTATAATTATTAATACCAGCCCATTTACTGGCTCATTTACTCTGGCTATGCACAATTATGTGTGACATTTAAAAAAGAACACTGTGTTCATCATGATACAATCATTTTTTCTGAAGATCAACAAAAGATCTATTTCTTATAATTCTGTTACTTATTGTTTTTCTGACTAAATTCACAGACTGAGAAGAACCAGATGGTAATGGAAAATATACCAGTGGTAGTCTATTTAATTGGTATCTTAAATTGTTTTTCTTTCTATTACACAAGGATCTATATTTTATTTCTTTTACTACAGGAAGGCAAAAAAATTCAATCTCTTACATTTTATGATACTTTTAACATTTATTTCTCATTTGAATCTTACATATTCCGTGATACAGATAAAGTAAATATAAACTCAGCATCACCAGGGCTCATCCACCTTTGGGTACAAGTAAAAGAAAATAAATATTAATACACCTATTATACTGACTCATTTAACCACATTTGCAAAATGTAGGTCATCCTTCTCTTTTCCCATGGTCTATTCATTCTCTTGTACCATGTGCTCCTTGATGAAGTCCAATCTTAAGAAGCCATTGGGTGAGAATGCTATGTTGATTGCTGACATATTAAATGCAGTTATTATTTGATTGACCGCTCTTAGAATGTATACATTGCATTTGTTTTTCCTTTTGTATCATTCACTATTTTGTTTAAGTAATTTATGTAATTCCTACTATGTACCTAACTCTCCTTTGTATGTGACAGTTTTAGGGTGTATTAATAGGCTTGTTTCTTGCTTTAAGAATTTTATATCCTTAATTAGGTAAATAGGACAAGCAATAGACAGGTACATAAGAAATAGACATGAAAATTTCAAAAAGTGATGGCTGCTATGAAGAAAATGCAGTATGGTTATGTGAGAAAGAGTAATATAGTTGCTACTGAGATGGCTTGTAAGTTGAGATTCAATGATGAGAAAGAACCAAATGTGAACAGTCAGAAGAATAGGGTTCCAATCAAAAGAAACAGCCAGCTTAAAATCTCAAAAGCTTCATGAACTTAACTAGTATTTCCAAACAAATTTGTGGCCACAACACATTGAATAAGGGAAGAGTTTCTCCTGAAGCGATTTGAAGAGACCCTAATAGGACCAGACAGCCTTACTTTTAGAAAACAGACACAATTCTAATTCCTATATAAAACAGCCCAACGTAAAGGCAGTTATATCATTTAATATCAAGCAAGTGGTCTGTATACCAACCATACTCAAGTTTTAACTTTTCCCTGATATAGCATATTCTTTTAAGGTTTCCCCTTTGCTATCAAACCCCTCCACTTTCTTCTTCTCTGCCTGTAGAAAAGCCCTATTCATCTTCTGAGACAAGCTAAAGTGTTCCCTTCCCTGGGGATACTCTCGACTTCCTTAGGATGTAAGGTCCCAGAGCACTCTGTGAATATTGCTTGCATGGAATTTAGTACATTGTAATCTGCCTCCCCCATCCCTGCTTTATGAGCTTGTCCATGAAAGGGCTTTATCTCATTCATTTTGCATTTCTTCCCTCTCCACTACAACCACCGGGCAAAATTGCATTTTTTACAAAATAATTACTGGTTGAATAAATAAAGAATAATTTAATTAATTAAATAATTTTAAAGAAAATATATTTTAAGAAATGTTTAATATTTATTTTTAACTGGGATTAACACAAACAGGTAAATGGTGCTACAACATAGTGCAGATGCAATTTTTGACTTCAAACAAATTGGTGCTAATGAAATAACAATAAATGCATATTGGTTATAGTTTATTGGGTTTGTGGAAAAAGCTATATATAGAAAGCTGTCAGAGACTTAGCTACTCTTTTAGTTGGACACAAAGTAGCAATTTGGCAAATTTATATCCAAATGTTTAAATCAATTACTGGTCATATTCTTTTACAAAAAGAAAAAAAGGAATAATACTTTTGACCGTTTTTGTTTGCATTATTGGCATTTTATTCTTGAGGCAAACTTGAAAGTATATATTGTGAAAAGTAGACTCTAAGCATTCTTCCAGCTGGAATTTCAATATTTTTCCAGGTTGAATTCTCTCTTTTTGTTGTAGAGAAAACATTAGGGTGTTGGGTCAAATGTTGACATTTTGGTGACATCATTACCATCAACTGCTAATGTCAACTTAATTTGAAGGGGTTAAAAAGAAGTTTTATAAGGCAATGAATACACTTCCCACATGTTAGGAGGCATGGCAGATATTGTTAATGCAAATGACACAGGTGAGATATTTAATTTTTCTTGACTATCCAGAAAATAAAGAGTTCAGTTGTTGATGTGCTCATGATAGGTTGATTGCTTAGAGAGAGAAAAGCTATTTAAATAGATAAGAAATGTCTTTATAGTCACTTTATGCTATTTAATAAAAATGAATTTTGTGAATAAACAAAATTATAACAATAACTGTTTTTTTTTTGCTATCAGCCAAATTATAGTTAGCTTTACAATATAAAATGTTAACACGAAAATACCTAATGTAGTGAAATGGTAATATTTCTTGCAAACTGATGCCAGAAACTGTTAATATATACCCAACAGCTTTAGGCCTTATCAGAGAAAGAGCTGAAAGTGTTGAAATATCTGAATAATTAGTGGGGAATATCCCGTTGCCCACACATTGCCATTTTCAAGCATATAATCTTAGAAAATCTGCATGAGCTAGTCTCACATGTCATTAACTCACAAGTCTGAAAGTGAATGCAGGTAAATGTTTCTGATATTTTAGAGGGACACTGGGAGTGATGCAATAATATTTTACATTGGTTCTATGATCTCCTTATAAGACCTGGGGTCACCATAAAACATAGTAACAGAGACAGGTAACCCCTTTATACTGTAACCTCACGTTAGAACCTAGTATGTTAGTTATTACAATGGGACTTTAATTTAACCTGGATATTTCAGCCATACCCCTCCACATTTCAGTTCTTCATCCATAGCCCTATTAATAGTTCATTCAATATCACTTATCATTTTACATACCAAAGTTAGCAAAATTATTTATCTTTACTATAATAATAATTATTATTATGTGAGGCAGGGTCTTACTCTGTCGCCCAGGCTGGAGTATGGTGGCTTGATCATGGCTCACTGCAGCCTCCATCTCCTGGGCTCAAGTGATCCTCCCACCTCAGCCTCCTGGGTAGCTAGGACTAGAGGTGTGCACCACCACACCTGGCTAATGTTTTGTAGAGACGTGGTTTCGTCATGTTGCCCAGGCATGTCTTGAACTCCTGAGTGCAAGTGATCTGCCCTTCTTGGCCTCTCAAAGTGTTGGAATTACAAGCATGAGCCACTGCACTCTACCTAACTTTCTCATTTTTGACTTTTCTACAAGGAGCACATACAATGAAGGCATTTTTGTAATATCCATTCATAATCCCTATTATTTAGAAACAATAACTATATACATTTTGAAATGTCTAAACAAATATTTAATGGGTGCATAATATACGATTTCTATTGTATAGTTTAAGTTGCAATATTTAATTAGTTTTTCTTTTATATTTCCAAGCTTGTACTAATATAAGTAAAATCACAATCTTGTCTTTATACCTAAAATTTTGAATGGTTTCTTCAAAACAGCTTCTAAGATTTGCTAAGATGTAAGATACAAATATTTTTTATTTTTTGGCAAAAAAATGTTGCGTTAGCTCCTTCAGAAATTCTTCAGATTTATACTTTATCACTAAATGATTGCTAATGTCATAAACTCTCAAGAGCCTGAGTATCATGTAACAGAAGTTAATTGTGACTATCATGTATAAATAAATGATACTTAAATACTTCATTAATTCCATGAACATTAACATTTTTTGATAAATAACAAGAAATTAATCTTTTGTACTTCCCATGTTGTATAATTCTTTTCATTTATCTGATGGATTTCAGTGTTTTCACTATCAATTGTGTGACTGGCATTATATTTTTGGTGAAATCCCTTGCATTTATATTTATTTCCTTGTATAGATTAATGCATAGCCTTTGTCTTCTTCTCGGGGATTTTCATCTACTTTGTGTGAAAATAAAATTATTTCTGGAATCCTTGTATATAGCTAGTTGGCTCTACCCCACAGCCACCATTTTTGGTATTACAAGTACACGCAGTGTAAGTAAATTTTCTTCTCCTGCGCTATTTTCTGCATAAATCAGTTTCTTTTCATCAGGGCAGTGAGGGGTTTGCTTAAGTGATATCTTAAGTACTACACCTTTAACGTTTTTTGTGACTTGACTGTTTAAGGACAAGGACTAGGTCATTCTTTTATTATCATTCGGCATTAAATAAAAAGTGGTGTGCACAATAAACACCTTTGTATTATAACAAACAATAGTTGCTAATTAATGGCATAGTGCTACTTGGTATTATGGTTCTGTACATGTTGTATTTGGCTCAGATGTGCAGTTATGTTTTTAAATTTCCTCAAAAAGACTGCACATTTGGTCAGGGCTTGTGTTATTTCTTTTATACAGTCTCTTGAATGCTACGTACACAGTGTGTGTTAAATAAATGCTTTCCAATTATTGGGGTAGAATAAACAACTGGGTGCTTTATTTTGTTGAAGTGCTAATAATAAATGGCAAAGAAATAAAAATTAATCTGAAGTATGAGGCAGAAGTTTAAAAGAAATGTTTTGAAACAGTTTCAAAGAATAAAAACACATTTAGAATAAATGGATTGTAAAATAATTGTAATCTAGCTGGGGTTTTTTTTTGTGGATGAAATATAAACTTAAAAAAAGTGTCCCTTGATTATCTTAGTCTCTGAATGTGCTGCAATGACTAAATCAACAGAAGATTTAGTCTTGGACTAAACACTTATTTAGAAATCCCAATACTGTTTCACATTGAGGATTTGTTCCATCTATTCATTCATGGAATGGTTATAACTATTTTCCCAGATATATTACATCCAACTCTGTAATGATTAGGCCAGATTTGTTCACTCGCAATTGCCACCATATATGTTTTGGCTTTCAAAATTAATATTTACTAAATTGAGACATATAAACCATAGGCAAGAGAGGGGGCGAAAATATTTTTCCAGTGTGCTCTGTTGTTCTCCACATATGAGCATTCTTTCAATCACATTCAATGAAGTATTTTCTTTGTCTTTAATACTGAAATTTTTGTAGGTGAATTTTAAGATAAACATTGAGGTTTTAAAATTTATTTATCAATTATTAGAGTAGAAGAATATATTTTGATACATTAGAAATTGATGTATTAGTAACAGTATTATTACAACAGTAACAGTACAGCATTATTTTATTCTAAAAATGGGTTAATCTTTCTTTGAGTATAAATATAGCTTATGTCAGAAATACTTCTGAATATATATATACAATAGTCATTTAATTACCTTTTTACTGTTGAATATAATGTCTACATATAAATGTAACATGTATTTGATAGACTTTTTGCTTAAAATTTATGTTTGATTTCAAAAGCCTATGTGAAATTCCATTGTTTTTACTCTGTAGGCACATTTTAGATGGTTGTAACCATGCGTATATGAGTGTGGACAGACAGGCAGACACATAGGGGCATACAGTCCTGTTGAGAAACTTTTCTATCTTGGTGACATGCTCATATAAGAAACAGTATATGCTTGCTGATGGACCTATTATGTGCAGATTGGCAAATAATACCCTCCTATGCACAAAGAAAAGTTAGTTGAAGACTTGTAACTAAAGAGCAAATTTATTAAAACTGAAATCAACGTTTTAAAACAATCACCATGATGGAATTTATTACTTTAATCTGATGGCTGGATGGACAAAGGCATGTGGGTTTCTGTCTCACTTCAATATCTGTAGTGCCAAGTGCAGTGTGCCTGATGCAAGGGAAAGCAGACAATAAATATGCACTAAATGGAAAAATGAATGAATAAATGTAATACATATAAACATATCTGCAAATATGCATATGAGTTGTTGAGGCTGAACTAGATGCTTAGTTACAACAAGAAACTTTGCATCTTAATATCTTAGTTAACAAATGACACTATTTCAAAACCAAACATCTTTCCATTTACTGACAAGTATTTATGACTAAAGAGAGCTAAACAATTTACTTCAGATGATTCGGAAGTATAAATAAGACTAACACAACTGAATGAGCTGTTTCCCTATTCTGGGGAATTCACTTCAGTTCCATCTTGATTAGTGGCGAGCGCAGTGCATCCTAGCTATTCTTTGTCTTTTGTTTCTACCTTGGCTGTTTCTTCTGGAGGCATCTGTCACACTGTATTCAGTTCACTCTGCATTCTGTTACTGCTTTGAGCTAGCTGTAGGGTATCTGCTTAGGAGCAACTAGAGGTACTCCCAGTAGGGACAATGACATGCAGAAAAAATAAGCAAAAACTACCCACAGAGGTACTGGCTTCCAACAATTTTGCAGAAGTGTGAAGATTTACAGCAGAAAATAAAGCACCTCATGCTGGGTCTGGCTCCAAGCCTCCCTCAAGAACTTTCCACTTAAGCAATCTCTTTTATCCTGTGAGCTTAGTGTTCTGTATGAAGGAGTTTAAGTTTCATATTAACAAATTGGCTTAATTATTTTTAACCAAACTGTTAACTACCTGCAGTGACTTTAGAAAAAGCTCCCAACAAGTTTTAGTTTTTCTTTCAAGAGGAAATTACACAAAGCTGTTAAAACTGAATAGAGTTTTCTCTGGGAAGGAGTAAGATTCCTCTCCCAGGGAGAGCCTGAGCAGCCAGGTGGGAAGCTTACAGGCAAGCACAGCTTCCAGGAAAAGAAGTAAAAAGGATTTGAGCTTGCCCGCAGCAACACAGTTTGTTTATCACTAAAGACTTCTTTCCATTACGTTGTTTAAATTTCTAATTTAGTAGCCATCAAAGAGAAGCACTGAGGTATGTTAATTCAGGTGTGTCCTGCCAAACTTCTCAAGAGCATATAGGTATGAGTATTGTATTATGAAGAATTCAGGGCAAAGAAAATCAATCTGGTGGGTTTCACTTTGCCCACTGGTGTGGCAGTATTCATTTAAAACTAATTGTGGCCAAGAATTGGTTTCTCTTCTTCAATATAGACAGGTAATTGTAGCACATCTATGCAGCACTACATTCACTCTTCTAAACCTCACAAAGTTGCAAAGTTCTAAAATTATAAAACATATTCATGACTATTGACTTCAGATTATTCATAACCTAAGTAAAAATGTGAAAATACTTCTATTAGCATCTTTTAATTTCATATAATGTTGGTAGAAACACATGAGGCTTATTCATTTTTGATCATTATTACCATGATGTTAAATATGATTTTGTTTAATTATGCTAAGCACATTCATATGCACAACCATACTTTTCTATTATTCTATGTTGTAATGGTAGCTGTTTAATTCCTCAATAGAAATTGATAACTTTATTCTGTTAATCAAGATTTATTTTGAAAACTTTCAGCTGCCATCATTCTAAAAGAGAAGCTTCTGGAGCAGTTCAGCGGTGCTTTCTGAGATGCAGATGGTTGACAAAGACAGCCTGCACATTCTCCACAGCCTGACTAAACTTCAGCCAGGTCTTTTCCTGACTCTAGGTCCCTGACCTCCCTTTTCTTAGAGCCTTTAGAAAACTTGCAGTTTTCTCTGCCTCTTTGAGACGTACATCATCTCCTAGCTTCTTGCCAGTCTCACAACCCAGGAATGTCTGTGTCAAGGACCTGGGAGCCATCCTTTGAAATGCAATCATCAAAGAAGATAGCATAGCACCTCTATCTCCCAGTTTCTGTGGGAAGCTAGGAGTCTGACTTCGATATAGGATAGGGGATAAGTGGCAATTAGCAAATGCAGATGGCCTAATCATAGACCAATCTTCTCCCTAACATACTCCAAGACAAACAGATTATGAATAAAATATAAAAAATGTGATGGCTGGTTTGGCACGTGGAAAGAAGATTTACCAAATGACTTTTACAGTATTGGATAAAGATAATGATAACAGCAGTATCATTTTTCTTCCCTTAAGAATTCTAAGTTCTTTACAGAGAATCATCAAAACATTGTGATCTAGATTAATAGACATATAACATACATACATATAGATTTTTTCCCTAAAATGTGGCATGAAATAAATGTCTCAAGATTATGGAAAACACATTTAATAGAATCTGAAACACTAGACAGTTACACTCTTTTGTTTTAGCTTCATCACCAACAATTTAAAATTTTTATTAATTATTAGAAAAAGAGCCATTATAGCTTGAAATTTTTTAGGATATTATTTTAGCACCTCGTTTTAAATATACACACTACTGGCCCTGAGACTTAGATTGGAACATAATGTCTGTGAACATTTTGCTGGCTGAATGTGTATTTTCTTGTATCCTTTTAAGGCTATTTGTCTAGTTGGAATACTGCTCACCGTGTCATTCTTTGACGTAACTCTATGTTTTTGAATTTTCTGGAATTAACATGGGTTGCTTGGATAGTTTCTTTATCTCTCTATTCTCTTTACAATTTGCTCCTTTAGGGAATGGTTTATGCTTTGCCAAGTTACTTTCAGATTCCCCTGGGGCTTGTTTCAAATCCTATTTAGCTTTATATTTAGATATTTTTAGTGAATAACATTATTCAATGCTGTGGCCTGCAGTGTCATATGTATGCAGACGATACTCAGATATTCTTTCCAGTCCCTGCAGACCTATGAAGCGGCTTGATGTTTTGCATAATTGTCTGTGTGATATTCAAGCATGGATGTCTTCAAATTTCCCTGAATTTAGTATAGATAAAATTGGGTTGCTACTGATTGGTTCTCCAGGATAAATGTTTAAAATGTAGTCTATGCTGGTAACCTTAAAAGAGTGATTTCTTTGCTCTAAAATCATACTTCTGACCTTAGAATTACTGCATAGGTGTGTGTGCACGTTTTATTAACCATACAGTCTTCTTTCTGTACCCATCCTGTGCCGATCTGTTACATAAAGATTTCCTGATTCCAGGAGAGTTTCTGCCACGATTTACAATCAGTGACCTCCACCTGCCACCTTTCAGTCTGATTCTAATAAGATTCTAAGATCACAAAATCTTTCACACTCAGCTTTTCAACTCAAGAATCTATTCTTTTATGCATGAGAACTTTGAAATTACTGTTGATTTGTAAGGTTTAATTTAAAAACTTATTTGTTTGATTTAGCCTTTTAAATATGTATTGTATCTTCTTTTATATGAAGTCCACATTTCACTGTGGGATGGACACATGAAAGACACTTCATAAATATAATTGGGTTGACTGATAGGTCATGTGAAGTGTTTGCAGAATGTACTATTTTACAATGAGAAGGGCTATTAATGAATCCACAGTGACTTTGAGCTGTGAATAGATGTGTATCTAACATATCCTCTTACCAGGCAGATGAAGAGTGTACAGTCTTTTAGATACTGCATTAAATAAATGGGGTAGAGAATAATATTCATATGAAATGGTCTCAATTCATTAGTCTGGTAAAGTTTAGGTATCACTTTAACTAAAAGGTATTCTGGATGATAACTGGTGCTTTCTTCAAGCCCTTTAAAGAAATGGGGCTTTACATTCTTGTTTGATGGCCTGAGAAATTTGAATTAGTTGAGCCTGCCTTAAATAGGAAAATACATGTAATTGGTAGACTGTAACACAGAAAAATCTGAACACTAAAGGGACGGTCCCCGATGTATGATGGTTTGACTTATGATATTTGACTTTATGATGTTGCAAAAGTAATAAATATTATCAGTAAAAATTACACTTTGAGTACCTATACAGCTGTTCTGTTTTTCACTTCCAGTATAGAATTCAATAAGTTACATGAGATACTTAACACTTTATTATAAAATAGACTTTGTGTTAGATGATTTTGCCCAACTGAAGGCTAATGTAAGTGTTCTGAGCACATTTAAGAGAGGCTAGGCTAAGCTATGACATTTGGTAGGATAGGTGTATTAAATGCATTTTCTCTTTATGATATTTTCAACTTACACTGGGTTATAGGAACTAACCCTATCACAGGTCTAGGAGCATCTGTGCTTACCTTGCCAGATACAGTTATGAGATTTCTGAATCTGTTCAAGCTTTCCTGTTAAGAATGTAAATACATATATTGGTTATAGATGGCTACCAGAATTGGTAAAATGCAGAACCACAAATGGTTTACAGAACTCTTGTATACATCCCTTCCAAGCTTACCTACTGGAATTACAAAACAGATAGAATAAATAAAATGCTTAAAATGAGAAGTAGAGATGCAGAGATAAGAAAAGGAACAATTAAGTTAAAAGCATTCACTATATTACTTTCACATTCAGAAAGTACTTCTAAAATATGATGGTAAAACAAAAAGGCATATCTGTCTCTCAAGAACCTAAAAAGAGTAGCAATGAAAAACAAACAGCATACAATTCCTTTTCTTAAAAGCACAAATTTAAAAATGCAGAATACCTTTCACATACGCTTACAAAGATGCCTTGTGTATGCTGAGAAGACACGGTATATGGTTGACTGTGATAATCTCTTATCAAGCTATCCTCAATAAGCAAAACCATGAAAGTCCTAGAAGAATATAAATGAATCCATTGGTAGATGGGAGGTATAGGAAATCAAGACAAAGAGTTGTTTAAAGTTTCAAAGCTTTAGCATGGCACTACAAACTGAATAAAGCAGGCTGAATACACCTCCCAGAGCATTATAAAACTTCTTACAATTTAAAGCCTTTAGGCTGGGCACACTGACTCCAAGTGTCCACAGACCTCGCTATATCCTACTGCTTTACCTCTACCCAACTTCACTTTAGGTTTTTTGACTGGCCTTTGTGAAAATGGAAGATCAAATATGAGAAGGTTTGAGATTTTGGAAAAAGATAAAAAGAGAGGGTGGGAGGGAGGGTGTGAGGAAGAAAAGAAGGAAAGAATGGAAGGAAAGAGAAAAGATAAAAATAGAAAGAATGAAAGAAGAAAGGAAGACAGTGAAGAAAGAAATGGAAAATAAAACTTAAAAAGAAAGGAAAAAGAAAAAGAAAGGATGGGAGGAAGGAAGGGAAGGGAGAGAGGAAAGGAAGGAAGGGGAGGAGGAAAGAAAAATCACTTATGTGGCTCGAAATAGCATTTTATATCAAATATATAAAATATTTTATAGCAAATATCTCGGTCAGTGTTATATGAGAGAATAATTTACTTCACCCAAATTAAGCAGTACTTTAATATTATTTAAATGCATATAAATGAAAACCAATTTTAATGTACCCTCTATATGTATTTCGAACTAGCACATCCTCAAACTTGCTGTAGTAGTATAGAATACAGGGACAATGACATTTAAAGTTATTTGTTCAGAAAATTACAACTTGAAGCAGGGAATGAATGAATTCTTACATTATCATCAAAAGGAAATTTTATACCTGGAAACTAAGAATGCTGGGAAAGTGTCAAAGCATCTGAGCCATTTATTATTATTTTTTCCTTACTATGCATAAAAGTGAAGAGATTCTGATATATAAATTGGTTTCTCACAATAAAATGAGCCAAAAAGGTAAAAAGAACAAATCAAGAAAAAACGATCTATTAGAAAAATCTTTAAACTTTGTCTCTTTATTTTGGACTTGTGAAAAGGGGAAAACGTGCACACCCACCCATACATCGGTGTGTATTCACTACACACAGCACTATTTGCATTTTTCCTTATCCAATCAGGCAGTTTGTACATATTTAATATCCTTCTTTCATTTTCATGCCTATGAACAAGCAGGTACTACCAACACACATAGGAACAGGATGTCTTATGCATATACAATGTGTACCCAAAGATGAAAGTTTTGATGAAAACTTAGGAAAAAAACATTCATCTCATTGGAATACAATTTGTGAATTTTTCAGCAGTTTCATGAAAAACTGAAAACTATTTGAGAATAAATGAGCAATTTCACACAACTCTAGTTTGCTTTCTCTTGGTTCCTGTTTTGCTCTGTTATGCATGGTAGAGAATCTTATAAAAGATGCCTTATATTACTGACCCAGCTCTTTCTGAAAGTGGTTTTGTCATCATTCAAGTCCTTAAAGAATAATATGAAAGTAAAAATATGGAAGTGTTTGCACTGAGGAAAATGAAAGTTGAAAGGCATAAAGGATGGGGAACATGGAGACTTGTGGATATTGACAGACATTCAACATCTAATGAACATTGCAAAATGGAACTTCAATAAAAAGAAATAGTCTGCTTTAGTGGAAAAAGAAGAATATTAGAAAATTATTCTTAGAAGAAATAGAGCAGATTTTGAGTTACTAAAACATACAAAGGAGGATTATAGACTGTAGAATTCATAACTGAATTGGTAAAGGCATTACTTAATATAATATTTGGCCTAACACTAAAATGAAAATACATTATGTTCTAATATAACTTGAGAATATGTTCAAAATTCAATGGTAAAATAGGCTTTAGTACACCCAAAAGAATTTTTCTCTTTCAAAAGACTAGTGTTTGGATTAGTTTTTTTTTTTTCCTTTTCTTTTCTCTTTTTCCTGAGGAGTGAGAATAGTAGTTTTCAGAAGGCTTGTTTCCTCCCTTAAACATCAAAGACATTACTTTTCTGAAAAAGAATCACTGTAGATGAACCACCCCTTTTGCTTTGACTATAAAGAAAATGATAAAAGGAGAATTTTTAACCTTTGGCCCATCTTTCATTTCTTTAAATAAACAGTGATTCAGGATATGAGAATTGATTGGTATTCAGATTCTATGTTAAAATCCATGGGTATCAAGTCTGTCCCAAAGCAGTCATACAAATCAGATTGTGTTGGTTCATAAACTGATGAAGAAAAACCTCTAATCTGCCTCAGTAAGGGGAGCAAATATACTTGTACACCATTTTCAGAGGTGTGTGAACCAGAACAACTCCATTTTGAATGGGAGCTGGGTAAAATGAGGCTGAGACCTACTGGGCTGTATTCCCAGATGGTTAAGGCATTCTAAGTTGCAGGATGAGATAGGAGGTCAGCACAAGATACAGGTCTTAAAGACCTTGCTGATAAAACAGTTTGCAGTAAAGAAGCCAGCTCTAACGCATTGAAACTAAGACGGCAATGAGAGTGACCTCTGGTTGTCCTAACTACTACACTCCCATCAGTGCCACGACAGTTTATAAATGCCGTGGCAATGTCAGGAAGTTACCCTATATGGTCTAAAAAGAGGAGGCATGAATACCAACTCTTGTTTAACATATCATCAAGAAATAACTATAAAAATGGGCAACCAGCAGCCCTCAGGGCTGCTCTGTCTATGGAGTAGCCATTCTTTTGTTTCTCTACTTTCCTAATAAATTTGCTTTCACTTTATAGATTTGCCCTGGGTTCTTTCTTGAGCGAGATCCAAGAACTCTCTCTTGGGGTCTGGATCAGGACCCCTTTTCTGTAACACCGTCTCAAAGAAAGCCCCTCTTGCCCTTATTTGCCAACCTCCAAATCCAAAAAAAAAGAGAAGAATCAAATTCAAAAGATGGCATAATAATGTGGTAAGATATTAATATGTGAATGTATCTAAAGTGTCATGTTTGCAAAACTTTCTTAATTTTAGACTATGACATAAACTGTATTAGCTATAGTGACTAGAATGTGACTTTATTCTGGTAAAAATGAATTTACTAGAATAAATATTGCATGTGATTTTCTCTGTTAATGTTAATGATATTTCTCACATTTGGTATTACCTGAACGTGCCTTGGGAATTGCTGCTACATAACATGGATTTAGGACATAGGCCTATTTTATCTGTAGTTTTAAAAGTAAAAGTTGCAATCTAGTGAGTACTCACTATATGTCATACTCTAAGCCTTTCATAAGTTTTAAATCAGTAATTCCCAGGATAATGCTATAAGATCTGATTATCTCAATTTTCAATATTTTAACAAAGAGGCACAGAAATGTTCACTGATTTGCAAAAGATACAGGGCTAACAATGTCAGGCCTAGACACTAAACTCAGGCTGAATGGAGCAGAATCAGAGTTCCTAAAGCCTTGCTTTGCTGCCTCTAACACCTTAGTCATATTTAAAATTTGTTGAAGTTCTATGAGTTAAAACAATTTTCTGAGCCACTTGTCTACATTTTTTAATGACTTTAATCAAATTTGATAAACCATGTTTTATATCTAACAACAAAGAACATAAGAGATAATATTATAAAACACATCAGTGGCACTTTATCTGTTTTACCACCTACATTATACCATTTAAATCATCTTAAGTTATTATAAAACATTGGTTGTGGCAAGAATGCAAACATTTAGACACCATTATAAAGTGTTTTGAATGCAGTACATATATTATATGGCTCTTTGTAAAACCTTAATTATGTAATGACCCTTTTAATCCTATATCAAGCTCTTAGTTTTATAGACACACGCAAAAAAATCTCTATTTCCTTAGGTTCCAAAATTTACAAGACACATGATGAAGGGGCCTATATTTTACAACTGTGCTAACTGTCAAGAACCTCTTTAGATCACTATTTTATTCTTCAGCAAAGATCAATAGAAGTCACTTATTGTGCTTTTTGTGGGCAAAAATAGAAGGGAGATCATTGATGGGCATAATTCAAAATCACATACTGTGTGGGAAAGTATTTGGGAGTCACTGTAACAATGAAAGTGGCAGCCTGTAAAAGTTATTTATATTCATTTGAGGAAGAGAATGGCAGAATTAGCCACTCCACAAGACGGCTCTGTCTCTATAGACATTTTAATGGCTCTCTTTGATAAATGTAAATTTGCACAGTATTTCAAAATGTTTGAGTGATTTAAGTAATTTGTGTATGAAGCATTTGCCTATACGTACGGCTAGTGCTTCCTAAAATCTTGAGAATGTAATAAAATTTGCTGAGCAACAGTATTTGAGTGTTTCAGAGAGGCCAGAAGAGAAACAATCTTTTAAAACATCATCAACAGTGAAAGTTGGGAGGTAGAATTAATTTATTGTAGAAAACATGGTCCCTGCATATAAACTGCATACAATGATCCTTTCAATTTCTTCCTCTAAACCATGTTCTATGTGTGTAATCAAAGTTTGTGGTTCATCTCTTAGGCAATGAGTTAATTAAAATTAGTATGATACACGATCACAGTACAGTCACATAGTAGGCATAGATCTGATACCTAGTAGTCACAAAAAAGATTTATGTTGAATTAAATTAATAACCATACACCTCTATATGATATGGTATGATATGACATAATTAATTTTTATTGATACCTGCTATTTTTAAGGCAAAATGCTGATACTTTGTAAATATTACATGAGATGGGTGTTACTTCAGTTGCATAAATAAGAAATCCCAAAATCATATTTTACATATTTGTCAAAAGTCTTCCTCACCTATCATTATTTATGATAAACCTCACCTTGTTTAATTATGACTCAATTTCTTTTTGGCATTGAGCTAGTTTATTCTCCCTCACTTTTTAAAGATATATTTGTTTATATATTTATATCTTATGTGGTCATGAAAGAATATTTAGTCTTTATTGATATGTTATCTTAATGATAATATATGCCCTCTAAAAACTATTAAGATACATTTAAAACAAATTGGCATAAAGAAAAGTGCCAGATAATTTACTTTACTACCTATTGGAGATTATGTAACTCTAAGAAACGTGAGTGGCAGGCAACTAATTAAAGTAGAAAACAGCTAATAGAAGACTTTCAAGATGTTAATACACCAAAGAGAAAGCATGACACCATAAAATAGAGCATAAACAGCTATTTGCAGTAGATGTCATACAAAGCAGAAATGAAACACAAGGAGACCCATCAGGGAGCCACACTGCAAAAGAAAATGTTTTCAGTGGAGACAGTTGAGTCCTAGAATAGAGTGCTGTGTTGCAGCCAAATTCCAAGGAAGTTCATGAAGAAGCAGCTGCCTCCTGAAGACAGAAGTGCAATATTAATGAGTTGGACATTTGCTGACAACAGAAATCCAACAGGTCTTTGTAAGAATAGTAATGAATTAGTCCAAAGTCTATGATTCCTTTTTGCTGTGCCCTCTAAGTGGACTTCCCTGTTATTGTTTAAACAATCAAAATTTAGAACACTGTAAGGACTCAAATGTATCTCAAAGCTTTATAGAAGAGCAGTTGTGATATGTTTTCATAATCGTTTTACTGGAATCAGATAAAAAGTAAAGTTAATTACCTCCATTAGGTAACTGCAAAACCCAGACAACTTTTAAAAATAGTCCTGTTATTTCCAACTATCAAGTTAAGTGTAACCAAGGGTTGCTGATAGACAACGACTGTAATTTATTTTTCTGAGTGTAATTTAATGTAAACAATGATGAACTTATGAGAAGTGGATAGATGATCAAATAGGTGTTGACCTATGATAGGCTCATTAATTGTCCCCATACTCTAACTACTGATGCCAGGCATCAATTTTATGTTTGTTGCTATTTTTAGAACACCTAGCATGCAGAGATTCTGAAGAGAAAAGTAAACCTTGAAAAACCTTGAGACAAGCGGAGTTTTGTCATCCCTAAATATTTTGAGACAGGAATAATACAGGGTGGTCACAGGTGAACAAAAAAAAAAATTCCAGGCAGCAGTTTCACATGACTTTAGGCTATGGGTTGATCAGAACCTGAAAAACAGGGTGTGGATCAAGCTGGCTGAGACTGGCTGGACCCAACACAGCACTGGATTTGACTTAGGTTTCACCTAGGACCTCATTACACACTCATTAATATACAAAATCAGCAACCTACCCACCCCATGACAGTTCTGGGGAAACCTATATTTGGGGTAAACATGGGTGACATCACAGTTCCTAGAAATCTCTACCTTTTTCCAGGAATTTTCATGAATATTCTACCCCTTGGTTAAAGAAAGCCACAATGATAGAAATCTCAGCACATCTCTCTCGAGTATGTCTACACTCGCCTTTCTTGAGTGTGTACTTTGCCCTGTACAGTAAATCTCTGTAATTTCACTATTTTCAGACTCATCTTTTAATTCCTTCTCGTGATCTTGTCAAGAGCCTGGACACCAGGTGGGGTCGAGGTCCCACTGGCTTTTGGGGACCTCCCCCAGCCCACCAGTGTTATCGTCGCTTGTTCTTGTAGTAAACTGGAATTTTTAAAAAGCTCCTCTGTCCCAAAGCAAAATATGTTTATCAAGGCAATGTATCTTAAAATTCATATGGAAGATTATAATACATGTATGTATTTTGAGTGACTCCAAAGTCATCTATAGTCTCTTTTGCTGTATATGTGTGTGTGTGTGTGTGTGTGTGTATAAACACATCTGTAGTAGGCTGAATAATGGTACCCAAAGGTTTCCAGGTCCTAATTTGTCCTGGGCCTGAAATGCAGCTACAATTGTCCTTATAAGAAAGAGGCAGAAGAACATTCTATTACAGCAGAGAGAGAAGGTGATGTGATGACCTCAGCAGAGAGAAAGATTTGAAATGCAATTCCGTTGGCTTTGAAAATGGAGGAAAGTGACATGAATCAAAAAATGCAGATCTAGGCTGGTCGCAGTGGCTCATGCCTGTAATCCTAACACTTTGGGAGGGCAAGGTTGGCGGATCACCTGAGGTCAGGAGTTTGAGACCAGCCTGGCCAATATGGCAAAACCCCATCTACTAAAAATACAAAAATTAGCCAGACGTGGTGGCACATTCCTGTAATCCCAGCTACTCGGGAGGCTGAGGCAGGAGAATCGCTTGAATCTGGGAGGTAGAGGTTGCAGTGAGCCGAGATTGCGCCACTGCACTCCAGCCTAGGCAACAGAGTGAGACTCCATCTCCAAAACAAAACAAAACAAAACAAAATGCAGATCTAGAAATTTAAAAAGGCAAAGAAATAAATTCTGGCACCAAAGTCTCAGTCCAGTGTAACCAATTACAGATTTCTGGAACTGTTGAGACAAAATCTGCATTGCTTTAAGCCACAAAGTTTATGGTAGCTAGTTACAACAGCCACAAGAAACTGTACAACACACATAAATATTTTCAAGATATTTAGAAATTGTCCAAGAAGATTAGCCGAAACTAAGAGAATCAACAGTAATTCCCAACTATTAGCATGTATAAGAATTATCTTGGGAGTTTGTAGAATACCAGATTTCTCACCTTCCCCTCAGTGAATCTGATATAATACAACTGAAGATAACCCAGGAGGCTGCATTTCAGCAATCCCTCGCAGGTAATATTGAGAACGCTGAAATACAGTGACACTGAGAGACGACAGGGACATGACTTTACATGACTCCCGGGCTGGATTCCTTGTTTTAATGATTAAACTGTGCATTTTGCCAGTTAATAGGCTGGCTGGAGAAAGGGTCTCTTCCTCCTGTTTCTTTCCTTCCTCTTTCTTTACTTCCCAGAGTTTCTACTCTCTGATATCTGGTAAACTTTAATGCTATGTTTATGAAATTTTAGATGTATGACAACCAGCAACTTTTTCAATATTGCCAGAAGCCTATTAAAAGTTAGACAATATAAAAATATTTTTGTTCTGTCATATATGTGAACTTTTAAGGTAAGGGTATAAATATTTTCGCCCCACCTGTTTGAAATAAAGGATTTTGAGAAAATGTACATTTAGCTATGTAGATTGGAACTGTATAAAAATGACTATTTTTGAACTTAGATGTATTTCTGAATCACTGATTTACCATTTGCCTGTATTTAATTGCTATTAGATGCAGAAGTGCTCACATTTTTATACTCACTTTTTATTGTGAAAAATCCTAGCATAAATTTATCATCTTCACCACTTTAAATGTGCAACGTAACAGTGATAAGTATGCTCATGTTGTTGTGAAACATATCTCCAGAACTTTTTCATCTTGCAAATCTGAATCTTGTTAAATAACTTTCCTTTTCCTCCTACCTTCAGCCTTTTCTAACCACCATTCTGATACCTGTTTCTACCCATGTTGCAGTATAGACAAGATTTCCTTCCCTTTTTAAGGCTGAATAATATTTCACTTTATGTATATACCGTATTTTCCTTAACCATTCATTTATCCATGGACATTTGGGTTACTTCCACATCATGGCTATTATGAATGGTGCTGATATTAACATGTGTGTACAAATATATTTTTAAGATTCTGATTTCAGTTCTTTTAGATATAAACCCATAAGTGAGATTTTTGGATTATATGGTCATTTTATTCTTAATTTTTAAATGAAACTCCATACTATTTTCCAAAGCAGTTGCACTATTTTACCATCACACCAACAGTGCACAAGGGCTCCAATTTATTCATAATCTCACCAAAAATTATCATTTTTTTTAGTAGTCATTCTAATGGGTGTGAGGTGATATTGTGGGTATGATTTATAATATTCTGATGATCAGTGATGTTGAGCATTTTTTTACACTTGGTGGCCATGTGTATATCTTCTTGGGAAACATGTCTATTCAAGTCCATTGCCATTTTTTACTCAGGTTATATGATTTGTTTTTATTGTTGAGTTGTATGAATTCTTTGTGTATTCTAGATAGTAACTCATCAGATACATAATTTGAAAGTATTTTCTCCCAATCTATAGGTTATGTTTTAACTCCTGGTTGTATTCTTTGATAAATAAAAGTGTTTAAGTTTGATTGTGGAAGATGAGAAGCCCCACCATCTTGCCATCTGCAAACTGGAGACCCAGGGGAGTTGGTGTAATTCCAGGCAAAGTCTGAAGGCTGAAAGCCACAGGAGCTGATGGCGTAAATTTTAGTCCAAGGGCAGGAGAAGGACAATATTTTAGCTCAAGTAAGCAGGCAGGTAGGAGACGAATCTTTCTTTCCTCTGCTTTTCATTCTATTGAGGACTTCAAGAATTGAATGATGCCACACCCGCACTGGGAAGAGCAACCTACTTTACTGTGCCTACCAATTCACATGTTAATCTCTTCCAGAAACACCCTCATGGACACACCCAGAAATAATGTTTAATTTCGGCACTTTGTGGCCCAGTCAAGTTGACATGAAAAATTAACCATCACAAAAATAACTTCATTATTTTAATGTCAATATCCAGTTTTCATGGCACTATTTGTTAAAGAGGATATACTTTTCCCATTGAGTGGCCTTGGCATCCTTGCGAAGATCATATAACCATTTACATGAAGGTTTATTTCTGTGCTCTCTATTCTATTTCATTAGTCTTCTTGACTCTCTTTATGCCAATACCACACTGTTGTGATTAGTATAGTTTTGTAACATTTTTTCAAATCAGGGAATGTGAGTCCTCTACTTTAGTTCTTTTTTTTTTCCAAAATTATTTGGGTATTAGGGGTCCCTTGAAATTCTTTATTAATTTTAGAATGATTTTTTCTAATTCTGCAAAAAATGGCTGTTGAGATTTTGATAAAAATTGGATTGAATACATAGATCACTCTGGGTAGTATGAACATCTTAACAATATCACATTTTCTAATCAATAAACATGGAGTTTTCTTTCATTTATTTGCGCCTTCTTTAATTTCTTTCAACAACGTTTTGACTATAAAACAAGTATACAAGTCTTTTGACTCCTTGGTTTCAGTTTATTCCCAAGTGTTTAACTTTTTTTGATGTTATTATAAATGAAATTGAATTTCCTTTTTGGATTGCTCAGAATTAGTATATAGAAGTAAAACTAATATTGGTGGTTTTATATACGGCAACTTTGCTGAACTTGTTTATTAGTTCTAACAGGTTTGTATGTGTGAAATCTTTAGAGTTTCATTACATATAAAATCATTTAATCTATGGACAGAAATATTTATTCTTCTTTCTGATTTGGCTTCCTTTGATTTCCTTTTCTTGCTTAATAGCTCTATGTCTTCTGTTACTAGGTTGAATAGAAAGGGCATCTGTGACCATTCTTTCTTTGTTCCTGATTTTAGAGGTAAGCTCTTCAAACTTTCGCTGTTGAGTATGATGTTAGCTGTGGGCGTGTCATAAATGGTCTTTATTATGTTGAGCTAGTTTCCTTCTATTCTTAGATTGTTGAGCGTTTTTCACATGCAAAAAATGTTAAATTTTGTCAAATAGTTTTTTTCCATCAAATTAGAAGATCACATGGTTTTTGGTCCTCCTTCTGAGACAGGCAGGCTGGCTGGTTTCTTGTTTTGATGTAGTTTAGAGAAAAAGAACAAAAGCCTCTTACTCAAGCTGTAGCTTACCTGACTTCCAGCCAATCAGCAACGAAAGACCCAATAAATTATTAACCACAAGTTGCTGCTTTAGGCAGCTAAAGACTTTTCCAGAGCCCCACATGTGCAGTTAGATTCAACTTATAGTTACCCCTTTCCTAATTTTAATGTTAAAAATTACAACCTGGGTGGAGATTTAAAATCTTAATGTTACACACAATGTATGTATGAAGAAACTGGTAAAGCCACTGTGCAAGGGCTAGAAAAATTCCTCCTATACATGCCCTGACTAACCACTTCCCTATTGGAAGGCCCTATAAAACAATCCACAGACTACCCTCAGGGAACAGCGTATCCTATCCCTTTTGAAGTGCTGACTTCCTTGTGCATAAGCTAAATAAATATTTGTCTTTCTCTTTGATGCTATGTCTGGTGATCTCTCTTGAATTCTGTCCTGGGAGAGTACAAGAACCCAGGATGCCAATAACACTTCTGTTAATGAGATGTATTACACTGACTGATTTTCATATGTTGAATCATCCTTGTATGCCAGGAATAAATTCCACTTGGTCATAGCATATAATCCTTCTAAAGTGCTGTTGAATTCAATTTGCTAGCATCTTACTGAGAATTTTTTTTCAATATTTTTCAAGGATATTGGTCTGTAGTTTTCTTTTCTTGTATTGTCTTTGCTTGGTTTTGGTATTAGAGTAATCTTGGCCTCATAGGATGACCTTGGATTCCTCCTGTTTAAATTTTTGAAATTATTTCAGGAATACTAGTGTTAATTCCTCTTCAAATTATATATGGAATTCTCCAGTGATGCCATTTGATCTTGGGCTTTTCTTTCTTGGAAAGTTTTTCATTACTTATTCAACCTCCTTACTTGCTGTCCATACTTGCACTGCTATATATATACCTGAGAGTGGGTAATTTATAAAGAAAAGAGGTTAAATTGGATGACGGTTCCACAGGCTGTACAGGAAGCATGATGGCTTCTGGGGAGGCCTCAGAAAACTTTCAATCATGGTGGAAGGCAAAGGGGAAGTAGGCGTGTCTTACATGGCCAGAGTAGGAGGAAGAGAGAAAGTGGGGAGGTGCCACGTGCTTTCACACAACCACATCTCAGGAGCGCTCACTCACTGTCACAAGAGCAGCATAAGAGGGAAATCCACTCCCTTGATCCAGTCACTTCCCACCAGGCCCTACCTCTAACATTTGGGGATTACAGTTCAGCAAGAGATTTGGGTAGGGACACAGATCCAAACCATATCACTTGCTATTGGTCTGTTCAGATTTTCTATTTCTTCATGATTCTGTTTTTGTAGGTTTTGTGTATCTAGAAATTTATACATTCCTTCCAGGTTATCCAATTTGTTGGCACACAATTTTTCATAGTATTCTCGGATAATTTTTGTTTTTATTTCTGTGGCATTAGTTGTAATGTTCTCTCTTTTATTTCTGATTTCATTTGAGTCTCCTCTATTTTTTTCTTAATATAGCTAAGGGTTTATTTTTTTGATCTTTAAAAAAAGTGCTAAGCGTTTTTTTGGTCTTTTTTCTGCTGATTCTATTCTATTTATCTCTGTTCTAATCTTTATTTTTTCATCCTGCTAGCTTTAGGTTTGGTTTGCTCTTGTTTTTTTCTATTTTCTTGAAGTAAAATTTAGGTTCTTCATTGGTCATTTTTCTTTATGTGCACATATACAGTTATAAATGTACCTCTTAGCAGTACTTTTGCTGCATCATAGAAGTTTTTGTATGTTGTGTTTTCATTTTCATTTGTCTCAAGGTGTTTGCTAATTGTCCTTGTAACTTGTTCTTTGACCCAGTTTTTCTTGTACTGTTGAATTCTAGTATCATTGTATTAAGAACAGAAAAGACACTTTGTATGATTTTATTCTTAAATTTGTAAAGACTTGTATTGGGTGTCTACATGTGGTCTAACCTGGAGAATGGTACATGCGTAGCAGAGAAAAATGTCCATTATTCTGTTATTGAGTATAGTGTGCTGTATATGTTTGTTAGGTCACTTTGGTCTATAGTATTTATTTCTGTATTTCCTTATTAATCTTCAGTCTGGTTGTTATATCTATTATTGAAAGAATGAAATTAACGTTTTCTACTGTTATTTTCTTGTTGTTTATTTCTCCATTCAGTTTTGCCAAAGTTTGTTTTATATATTTAGGAGAGCTGAGGTTTGCTACATAAACATTTATAATTGTTTTATCTTCTTGGTGAATTGGCCCTTTTCTCTTTATACACTATCCTTCTTTGTTTCTCAAAAAACTTTTCAATTTAAAGTTTATTTTTCTGCTCTTGGTATAGCTACATTTGTTCTCTTTGTTTTTATGAGATATCTTTTTTCACCTTTTCATTTTCAGTCTACGCATGTCCTTAGATCTGAAATGCTTCTCTTATATAAAATACATAATTTGATCTGGGTTTTTCGCTCTCTTTTTTTTTTTTAATGGAGTCTCACTCTGTTGCCCAGGCTGGAGTGCAGTGGTGCTGTCTCAGCTCACTGTAACCTCCGCCACCCAGGTTCAAGCAATTATTCTGCCTCAGCCTCCCAAGCAGCTGAGATTACAGGCACCTGCCACTGTGCCCGGCTAATTTTTGTAGCTTTAGTAGACACAGGGGTTCACCATGGTGGCCAGGCTGGTCTTGAACTCCTGACCTTATGATCCACTTGTCTCAGCCTCCCAAAGTGCTGGAATTACAGGCATGAGCCACTGCTCCTGGCCTGATCTGGGTTTTCATATCCATTTAACCAATCTATGTCTTTTGACTAGGCAGTTTAACCCATTTATATCTGTAGTAATTAATGATAGGGAAGGACTTAGTATAGCCATTTAAAAATTGTTTCCTTTTTGTCTTATAGCTTTTTTGTCCTTCAATAGTGCTTTTTTGGTGTTTTATTGATTTTTTTTTCTTGGTGATTTGCTTTGATTCTCATTTCCTTTGCGTATATTCTACAGTTTCATTGTTGTTAACACTGCAATGACATAATACATCTTAAAATTGTAGCACTGTATTTTAAACCATTATTGACTTAATTTCAATTGTATATAAGTACTCTAATATACAATTAGAATATAATACAAAAAGTACTAGTCTTTTTGGTTATACCCTCCCCTACTCATGCTATTAATGTCACAAATCACAAATCACATCTATAGATGTGATCTATAGATATACATCTATGTATCTATAGATCACATCTATATATATACACACAGAGATCTATAGATATATATATAGATCACATCTATATATATATATATATACACACAGAGAGAGATGTGATTTGTGTATATATATACACACAAATATATAAATTTGCATATATATACACATATACATACATATATACAAATCTATTAATACAGATTTATAGATTTTTCTCTATTTTTGCCATTTAAGTTCTATGCACCAAAATTATAATAATACTGGCTACTAAATTTTTACATGTATTTACCTTTACTAAAAAGTCTTATATTTCCATACAGCTTTATGCTTTTGTGGACCATCCTTTTATTTCAACTTGAAGAACTCCTTTTAGTATTTCTTGTAAGCAGGCCTAGTGACAATGAAGTCCCTCAGTTTTTGTCCATTTGGAGAAAACCTAACTTCTCCTTCTCCTGAAGCATAGTTTTGCCAGATACGGTATCCTTGGCTGCAATTGTTTTTCTTTTTTCTTTCAGTACTTTGACTGTATCATCCTACTCCCTCCTGGCCTGCAATATTTTTTCTGGGAAGTTCATTGATAATCTTATAAAAACTTACTTGTTTGTGATGAGTAACTCTATTTCTGCTTTCAAGATTGTCTTTGTCTCTGACTGTAGACAGTTTGATTATAATGTATCTATGTATGGATCTCTAAATTTATATAATTGAAGTCACTTGAACTTCTCAAATTTATATTTCCATTTCTTTCCTCAGATTTAAGAAGTTTTCAGGCATTATTTCTTCAAATAAGCTTTCTGCGTATTTCTCTCTTTCTTCTTCTGAGATCATCATAAATCACATATTGGTCTACTTGATGGCATCTTATAAGCCCTTTAGGCTCTACTCTTTTATTTTTTTTATTCCTTTTGCTCTTTTAACTCAATGATTCTAAATGACCTGTCTTCAAGTTTGCTATTTCTCCTTTCTGATCAAGTCTGCTGTCGAACCTCTTGATGAATGTTTTTAGCTCAGTATTGTCAAACCTAGAATTTATATTTGGTTCTATTTTATTGTTTCTGTCTCTTTGTTGATATTCTCATTTTGTTCCTGCATCATTAATCTGATTTTATCCAGTTGTTTACCTGTGTTCCTTTAGGTCATTGAGTGTTTTTATAATAGTTATTTTAAATTCTTAGGCAGCTCTTAGATCCACATTCCTTTAGGGTCAGTTCCTAGAGTTTTATTTTGTTCCTTTGATTGACTATGTTTTCTTTTTCTTTTTTTTTTTTTTTTTTTTTGCATGCCTTGTAATTTCTTTTTACTGGGATTTGGGAATTTGAAAACAGCCATCTTTTCCAGTCTTTGTGTACTGGCTTTGTGCAGGTGAATACCATTCCATTTGTGAATAGTGTTACAGTAAACAGGAGAGTGCAGTCTCTTTGACAATATGCTTTATTTCCTTTCTTTCATGTATATACTTAGCAGTGGGATTGCTGAATCATGTGGTAGCTCTATTTGTGGTTTTTTTGAGGAACCTCCAAACTATTCTCTATAATGTTTGTACTAATTTACATTTCCACCAACAATGTACAAGGGTTCTCTTTTCTCCATATCCTCACCAGCATTGCCTGTCTTTTGGATAAAAGTCATTTTAACTGGGGTGAGATGATATCTCATTGTAGTTTTGATTTGCATTTCTCTGATGATCAGTGATGTTGAGCACCTTTTCACATACTTGTTTGCCATTTGTATGTCTTTTTTTTTTTGAGAAATGTCTATTCATAGCTTTTGCCCATTTGTAATAGGTTTAACAGATTTTTTTTTTCCTACAGAGTTGTTTTAACTCCTTATATACTCTGGTTATTAATTCCTTGTCAGATGAGTAGTTTGCAAATATTTCCTCCCATTCTGTGGGTTGTCTCCTCACTTTGTTGATTGTTTTCTTTGCTGTGCAGAAACGTTTTAACTCGATGTGAACCCATCTGTCCATTTTTGCTTCAGTTGCCTGTGCTTGTAGGATATTACTCAAGAAATCTTTGCCCAGAACAATGCCCTGGAGAGTTTCATAATGGTTTCTTTTAATAGTTTTATAGTTTGAGGTCTTAGATTTAAGTATTTAATCCTTTTTGATTTACGTACAGTGAGAGATAGGGATCAAGTTTCATTCTTCTGCATATCAATGTCCAGTTTTCCCAGTACCATTTATTGAAGACACCATCCTTTATCCAATGTATGTTCTTGGCACCTTTGTCAAAAGTGAGTTCACTATTGATGTATGGATTTATTTCTGGGTTTTCTAATCTGTTTCATTGGTCTATGTGTCTCTTTTTATGCCAGTACCATGAGATTTTGGTTACATAGCTCTGTAGTATAATTTGAAGTCAGGTAAAGTGACTCCTCTAGTTTTGTTCTTTCTGCTTAGGATAGCTTTGGCTATTTTAGGTCTTTTGTGGTTTCATATAAACTTTAGGATATATTTACTATTTGTGTAAGGAATGTTCTTGGTATTTTGATAGGGACTGCATTGCTTCTGTAGATTGCTTTAGGGTAGTACGGATATTTTAACAATATTTATTCTTCCAACTCATGAACATGGAATATCCTCCCATTTTTATATACCCTCTTCAATTTCTTGCATCAATATTTTATAGTTTTTATTGTGGGGATCTTTTATTTCTTTAGTTAAGTTTATTCTTAGGTATTTTATTTTACTTGTAGCTATTGTAATGAGATTACTTTCTTGACTTCTTTTTCAGATTTGTGCACTATCTACTTATTGTATATTGATTTTGCATCCTGAAACTTTACTGAATTTGTTTATCACTTCTAATGGTGTGTGTGTGTGTGTGTGTGTGTGTGTGCGCGTGTGTGTGGAGTCTTTAGGTTTTTCCAAATATAAGATCATATCATCTGCAAAAGAGCATAATTTGATATCTTCCTTTCCAATGTGGATGCCCTTTATTTCTTTCTCTTGTCTGAATGCTTTGTCTAAGATTTCCTGCTTGCTTTTGTTTTTAGCAGCTTCCAAACTCTGGCAACTATCTTGTCAGCTCTCTGAGTCAGGTGGGAAAGAAACTAGTCCCTTGGAGAACCCCTAGACCCATTAATCACATGGTCTACTCTTTTGTTGTACTACTTGGTCTCACAGTTAACTACTGTGTTCCCATTCCAATGGAAGATCCTAAGTTTAGTGGGTTTCTATCCAATTGCTCTGGCTATGACACACGGGGGGAGGTGGGGGAGTGGGAGGGGGTCATAAACAGATGTGCCAATTGCTACAAATTTTTCTGCTGTTTTCACTGAAATCTAGTCCTGGTTTTCAAAGGCCTGAGTTTTGTAGCTTCTCAACCAGTTCCTAGAGTCCACACAGAGGTATTCTTATCCATATATAGTTGTTAACTTGGTGTTTCTGTGTGGGAAGAAGGGCCTGTAGCTTTCTTCTAGTCCTTCTATGTTGCTGCTGTTACTCCCATATGTGCTTAACATTTGCATATTTCTGCAATAGAAACACTTCTTTAAATGTTTTCTTAATCATTTTTTCTCTCTTTAGTAATACTTAAGAAAAAGAATGTCTTAAGACAATACTGATTTGGATTTAATAAAATACATAAATTATATGACTTTACCTTAAAAACCTCTGTTCCTTTATTTATAAAATGAAGACAATAAAATTAGAACCAATTTCATAAAGTTAGTGAGGATTCAGTCAGATCATTTATGCAACAAAGTACTTTTTAGCTATTCAGAAAATGTTTGTGCTTCCTCCTCCTCTCCACCAGCCCTCTAGCCTGCAGTGGAAAGAGCACATAATCTGATAAATGGTCTCACTTACAGTCACCTCCTTTATTAGATAATAGGTACTCTCTAGAAAACACTGGAAAACAATATATTCAGTAAGTCTTCAGATGAGACTGCAGGAATTTTCACTATATTTCACTTGAAATAAAGATATTTTTGCACAAACGCTCAGAAAGGCAGACTCAGTGCAAGAAGAGTCTGAGCCCTAAAAATGTGTTATTTATAATTCTTCCTACATTTTTCTTTCCTCCTTCTGTATATTCTATCAGCAAAGAGGGATAGGCTCCCTAATAGTTCCTACAAACCCTCTTCTTAATTCATAGAACAATAAAGACCTGGACATTGAATATCTCTATGTAGGGCGAGAATTCACTTAATTGAATAACATTATGAGAAAACAATTTATTGGATGAGCTAGATTCTATATTAATATTAGTTCAAATCAAGACAATTTGATAAACTAAGTTATTTAATTGATGAAGTCAGAGAAAATGTTAGATTAATTCCGTAACAAAAACTGTAGGTCAGAGCAGGTTAAATGTTATCTAAACCCTAGAAGAAAACCTAGGCAATACCATTCAGGACATAGGCATGGGCAAGGACTTCATGTCTAAAACACCAAAAGCAATGGCAACAAAAGCCAAAATTGACAAATGGGATCTAATTAAACTAAAGAGCTTCTGCACAGCAAAAGAAAATACCATCAGAGTGAACAGGCAACCTACAGAATGGGAGAAAATTTTTGCAATCTACTCATCTGACAGAAGGCTAATATCCAGAATCTCCAAAGAACTCAAACAAGTTTACAAGAAAAAACCAAACAACCCCATCAAAAAGTGGGTGAAGGATATGAACAGACGCTTCTCAAAAGAAGACATTTATGCAGCCAAAAGACACATGAAAAAATGCTCATCACTGGCCATCAGAGAAATGCAAATCAAAACCACAATGAGATGCCATCTCACACCAGTTAGAATGGCAATCATTAAAAAGTCAGGAAACAACAGGTGCTGGAGAGGATGTGGAGAAATAGGAACACTTTTACACTGTTGGTGGGACTGTAAACTAGTTCAACCATTGTGGAAGTCAGTGTGGCGATTCCTCAGGGATCTAGAACTGGAAATACCATTTGACCCAGCCATCCCATTACTGGGTATATACCCAAAGGATTGTAAATCATGCTGCTATAAAGACACGTGCACACGTATGTTTATTGCGGCACTATTCACAATAGCAAAGACTTGGAACCAACCCAAATGTCCAACAATGATAGACTGGATTAAGAAAATGTGGCACATATACACCATGGAATACTATGCAGCCATGAAAAATGATGAGTTCATGTCCTTTGTAGGGACATGGCTGAAGCTGGAAACCATCATTCTCAGCAAACTATCGCAAGGACAAAAAACCAAACACTGCATGTTCTCACTCACAGGTGGGAAGTGAACAATGAGAACACATAGACACAGGAAGTGGAACATCACACACCGGCGCCTGTTGTGGGGTGGGGGGACGGGGGAGGGATAGCATTAGGAGATATACCTAATGCTAAATGACAAGTTAATGGGTGCAGCACACCAACATGGCACATGTATACATATGTAACTAACCTGCACGTTGTGCACATGTACCCTAAAACTTAAAGTATAATAAAAATAAATAAATAAAAATAAAATAAAGCAAAACCAAGGAATCATGAACAATTCTAACTTTTGGAATGGAAAATAGCTTATACAATGGTTTTGGCTAATTCTAATTGAGACCTAATCTGTGTGACATATTTTATAATCTACTTATGATACGAAAAGGAAGTGCGGGAAAAGGCATGGTCCCTTAAAATGATAGGGAAGGGGGAAGGGAAACGCTGGGTAGGGGAGGTTGTGGTCCCTGGCTAGGGCTCCACCCCTGGGCCTGTGGCCATGGACCTAGGTGAGGACAGGCATTTTGTTTCCCTGCCCAAATGTTGCATTTCCCGAGACCACCCTGGCCTGGCACACCCCCATCTTGTGCCTATAAAAACCCCCGAGACCACAGAAGGCAGACACACAGGTAGCTGCGCATCGAGAGCAGCATATCAGGGGAAGAAGACACAAACGGCTGGATGTCCAGAGGATGTTGAGGGGGCCATAGCAGTGTTAAGTGCACACCAACAGACGCTGGCAAGCCAGCAGGCCACTGACTGGCAGAACGACGGGGAGTTTGGCTGGGGCAGTGGGAGAAAAGCCCGGCCACCAAACGGCCAGACTCCAGGGGAAACCATCTCCCTTCTGGCTCCCTGATCTGCTGAGAGCTACTTCCACCCAAAAAAACCCTTGCACTCATTCTCCAAGCCCACTTGTGATCTGATTCTTCTCCTACACCAAGGCAAGAACCCCAGGATACAGAAAGCCCTCTGTCCTCGTGAATAAGCAGGAGTCTAATTGAGCTGACTAACACAAGCTGTGTACAGACAGCTAAACTAAAAGAGCACCTTGTGACACATGCCCATTGAGCTCCAGGAGTAAGCCCCAGTAAACATTCACCCCTAGACACTGCCGTGGGGTGAGAGCCCCACAGCCTGCCCATCTGTTTGCTCCTCTAGAGGTTTGAGCAGTGGTGCACTGAAGAAGTGAGGCACACCCCATCGCAAGCCCTGCGAGGGGGCCAAGGGACCTTTTCCCCTTTCAACTGGGGCTTATCTGGGATCCTGGAAGGTGAGTATGAACGAATGTGAAACTATTGGGTCTGCCTCTCTTCCAAAATCCTGCCACCTCTCTCTCTTTCCTGCAGGTAAGAGGCTCTATTTTTCTTCATGGAGTTTAAAAACTCTGCCCTAACTGGGTGGGTCAAAAGCCCCAGACCTTGTCTCTTTTCTCCTTCTCACACGGTTTAAAATGGCTCATATCTCTTTCTTTATAATGTTAAGAGTTTTGCTACAGGCTGCACTAATGTTACTAATAACTGGCTCAGCTGCCAAAGGTGCAGAACAAACAACTTGTTCCTAAAGGTGCCATGTATGCCTCCACCTTGACAGCCGCAGGCACGCACAGCTCAGGGCATCTTCTGTTACCCTTTCTCTTCCCATCTCGGGTGCCTGGGCATGCCCGCAGCAGGCAAAAGCCAAGCCCAACATCCAAAAATACAAAAGGAGGTGCAAAAGGAAGCTGAGGCAACAGTCGGGACCCTGCAGGGTGCTTCTTACCCACTGCGGCAACGGAACCTTTCCTCCCCTGGCCAAGGAATTCAACCTGATCCGAACTGGAGGAAGGATGGGAAAGTTATGACTATTACAGGGGCCCACTTGCACTAAGCAAGGTGTTCTTCTCCAAACATCTCCCTGTTTTGCCCCTTTAACTGTTTTTCTCTTTTTTTCCTTTTCTAAGTGAGAGCCACCTCCACCCCGGGCCTCACTCTGTTCCTGATAGGGAAGTTAATGGAGGAACAACTCCTGCTGGCTGAGAAATGCAAATTCGGCAGGGCACATTTGAGATGCTCTAAACGAATACAGACTCTAAAATACCTTTTCAGTCCCAAACTCAATTCCAAGCTTCAGGCTGCGGACCTAGAAAGCAAAATCAGGTCTGAGGGATCCAAACAACACGCACAATGTAAAGGGGCAGGACCAATTCCTGCTCACTGAGCCCACCCCACGGAAGGAGGACGTGCTCCATGGCATAAACAGGCCTAAGAAACTCAAAGTTTGCCGACATCAGGGAGAAACGGAGGCATAGGTGAGGGTGGTTAATTCCTATTCTCCAGGTTTTCCCTGCTTCATGGGTACATACCGCATCTGCCAAGGTCACTGTGAGAGGTGACAACGTGCTGGCGGCCGTCTCTCGCTCTCAGCGCTTCCTGGGCCTTGGCGTCTCCTCGGGCCACGCTTGAGGAGCCCTTCAGCCTGCCGCTGCACTGTGGGACCCCGTCTCTGGGCTGGCTGAGGCTGGAGCCGTCTCCCTCTGCTTGCAGAGAGGTGTGGAGGGAGAGGCGCGGGCGGGAACTGGGGCTGCACACCCGCTCTCCAGGGCGAGCGTGAGTTCCGGGTAGGCGTGGGCTCCGCGGCCCACACTCTGAGCGGCCGGCGCCGCCAGCCCCAGGCAGTGAAGGGCTTAGCACCTGGGCCAGCAGCTGCGGAGGGTGAGCCGGGTCCCCCAGCAGTGCCGGCCCGCCAGCGCTGCGCTGCGCTGGAATTCTCGCCGGGCCTCAGCTGCACCCCCGCGGGGTGGGGCTCAGGACCTGCAGCCAGCCATGCCTGAGCCTCCCCACCCCTGTGGGCTCCTGGGCTGTCTGAGCCTCCCCAATGAGCGCCGCCCCCTGCTCCCTGGCGCCCGGTCCCATTGACGGCCCAAGGGCTGAGGAGTGCGTGCGCACTGGGAGGGACTAGCAGGCAGCTCCACCTGGGGCCCTTGTGCAGGATCCACTAAGTGAAGCCAGCTGGGCTCCTAAGTCTAGTGGGGACTTGGAGAACCTGTATGTCTAGATAAGGGATTGTAAATACACCAATCAGCACTCTCTGTCTAGCTCAAGGTTTGTAAATGCACCAGTCGGCACCCTGTCAAAATGGACCAATCAGCTGTCTGTAAAATGGACCAATCAGCAGAATGTGGGTGGGGCTAGATAAGGAAATAGAAGTAGGCTGCCCCAGCCAGCAGTGGCAACCCACGGAGGTTCCTTTACCCGCTGTGGAAGCTTTGTTCTTTCACTCTTTGCAATAAATCTTGCTGGTGCTCACTCTTTGGGTACACACTGCGTTTATGAGCTATAACACTCTCGGCAAAGGTCTGCAGCTTCACTCCTGAGGCCAGCGAGACCACAAACCCACCGGGAGGAATGAACAACTCCAGACACACCCCCTTAAGAGCTGTAACACTCACTGGGAAGGTCTGCAGCTTCACTCTTGAAGCCAGCGAGCCCATGCATCCACCAGAAAGAAGAAACTCCTAATGCATCTGAACATCAGAAGGAACAAAGTCCGGACACACCACCTTTAAGAACTGTAACACCGCGAGGGTCTGCAGCTTCATTCTTGAAGTCAGTGAGACCAAGAACCCACCAATTCTGGACACAATTGGGGCTCAGAGACAAGTGGTGGAAAGTGAAAGGAGGATGCTCGCTTTCTAAACTCTCCATCACAAGCTGAGTTTTCTCTGAAAGAAGGAGGGGAATGAGGGACACCTGTATTCCCTGTCTTTCAGAATGGGCAACCAGTTCTCTTCACCACCCCCATCTTTTACTCTTCGGGAGTGTGTCCTGAACAGTTGGGACTGTTTGACTTTCAGAATCTGGATGAAAAATGGCTCATAGCCCTCTGCACAAATGTTTCGCCAAATTATGATTTACAGGAAGGACTGGTTTAGCCTCAGAAAGTGACCATTCATTTTGATACCATCTGGCAATTGGAACTTTTCTGTAGATGTGAGGACGGATGGTCTGAGGCCTCAGCTTTCTATACCTTGCAAGGCTATCCAGACCTTTGTCAACAATGTAGGATTGTTCCAGTCCTCCTGTTTTCCATCTTAGGGAGGGCAGTAAGGGGCAAGCCCAGGGAATTAAAAATATGAGTCCCAGAGGCACTCCCAGCAAAGGAGCCAGCTCCCTCCAGCCCTGCTCCTGGTCCCCCAACCTCCCTATTCAGCTTCAGCTTCTCACTTGCCCCCTCCTAGAAATCCTCACTGTAGACAATCCCCAGTCTTACTCTTGCCCCTCCAACAGATGCCCAGTGAATTTGGGCCCAGTGAGGTCCAGCTCCCCTTCTCTCTACAGGACTTAAAGCAAATTAAGGGAGATCTTCGCAAGTTTTCAGATGACCCTGATAGATACATAGAGCCTTTCCAGAATTTCACCCACATATCTGAACTCTTACCCTTATAAAACTTTTGTTTTTTCTCTCACTCCTAGAAGCCATCAAATTCCAAATGGTCAGGCAACCAGAGCCTCAGACGATGGCTCCCCTTTGTGAGGAACCCTTAGATAGGCCTTTGGGAGAAACCTGACTGCCATTTTCCCCAAAACAACGTCCCCTGTCAGCAGGAAGCAGCTAAGACTGGTCATCATCCATATTCTAATGACAGTTAGATATACGTCTTCAGAGGGAGAAAATGATACAGAAGGGAAGTGCTGGAAAGGGCATGGCTGCTTTAAATGATATGGAAGGGGGAAGGGAAGTGCTGTGTAGAGGAGGGCGTGGTCCCTGGCTAGGGCTTCACCCCTGGGCCTGTGCCCATGGACCTAGGTGAGGATAGGCATTTTGTTTTTCTGCCCAAATATTGCATTTCCCAAGACCACCCTGGCCTGCCACGCCCCCATCCTGTGCCAATAAGCCCCCCGAGACCCTAACAGGCAGACACACAGGTGGCTGGATGTTGAGAGGAGATCATCAGTGGAGAAACACACAGGCGGCTGGACATCAGGAGTAACACATTGGCGGAAGAAGACACAAGCAGCTGGACTTCGACAGGATGTTGAGGGGAATCACGCCAGCAGAAAAGCACACCAACAGGTGATTGCAGGTCAGCAGGCCACTGACTGGCAGAATGACATGGAGTTTAGCTGGGGCTGTGGGATGAGAGCCTGGCCACGGAGCAGCCCAACTCCAGAGGAAAAACCATCTCCCTTCTGGCTCCCCCATGTGCTGAGAGCTACTTCCACTCAATAAAACCTTGCACTCGTTCTCCAAGTGCATGTGTGATCTGATTCTTCCGGTACATCAAGGCAAGAACTCTGGGATACAGAAATCTCTCTGTCCTGATAATAATGCAGGGATCTAATTGAGCTGACGAACACAAGCTGCCTACAGATGGCTAAACTAAAAGACCACCCTGTAACACATGCCCACTGGGGCTTCAGAGGTAAGCCCCAGTAAACATTCACCCCTAGATACTGCCGTGGGGTGAGAGCCCCACAGCCTGCCTGTCTGTTTGCTCCCCTAGAGGTTTGAGCAGCGATGCACTGAAGAAGTGAGTCACACCCCCATCGCATGCCCTGCGAGGGACACAAGGGACCTTTTCCTATTTCACTTTTAGTCACCAAAAATATTTCTCTTCTAATTTAATTACAGGTTATTTAGAAATGGAAATGATTATTATTTCCTTGAAAAAGGCTATTTTGTGAGCATTGTATTAATAGTGTTTTGCAACCTTAGAACCTAAATTAATATAAAACACACTATTCCAATCTCCCAAAATAATGTTTAATATTCTTTAAATGAAGTTGTTTAGAATAAAACAAATTTATCTCAAAAGTACTAATGTGTATACATTCTCTCACACGTCTTTAGAATTACTGGTGAGTGGTAACACAGCTGCCTCTGAGATCAACATGTATGTGCTTATGATCCCTACAGATCATTTCATTTCAGTGGCTCTTTCTCCATCAACAGTGTGACTCTTTTTTCCTAGCTTCTAAATTCAGTACCTTCAAGTAATCTTTGATTTTTGCCTCCCTTTCCCTGTATGTTCAATAATTTGCCATTTAATAATTCACCAAGTTTTATTTAAAATATCTCTTGTATTTGTTCCTTATTTCTCTTTCAACTGCCACTATTCAAGCCCTGGCTCACATATGGAATTACTGCAATAGCTTCTTGATTAGTTTTCCTCTCCAACCTTCCCCTCTCATTATTTCTGTATCCAATGACATAGTAACATTTCTAAATTACTGTTTTCATCATGCTACTTCTCTGCAAAAAAACTTTCTACGGTTGTCCTTGTGGGATAAATTCAAATTCCTCAGCCAGGCATGAAATCTCCTCCACCAGCTGACCCTGTTTACTCATTCAACAAATATTTATTGAGAATTGACTGTGTGTTTAGCATTCTCAGTCTCTTATAACTCCAAATACCTTAAAGTATTTTACTGTCTTGTTGGAGATTTGTGAAAAGATTCAAGACAAGTTAAATAAAAGAGCCAGATAGCAATTTAAGAGTTTCTGTAAGACAATGTGTGTTTGTGTGTGTGTGTATACTTGTACATACATATATTTGATAAATATTATATATTGACTGTCACCAATTGTATGGTTTTCTACTGCATTATAGTTATTACAGTTTATAATGCATATTTAGATATGCTTTCTTAATTCTTCTGCACAATAATTAGAAATAGAGACAAATTGGTGTTAAAACTAAAAGGAAATGTGTGCCAATAAATAAAATATATTTGTCCAAAATCTGAAGAGATAGAACTAAATTCAAATATATCAGATTTATGACTTATTATTTTGTCTGTTAATGCAAATTTTATAAATGTATTTTTTACATTACTACAACCATTAATATTACTATATATATATATATCACACTGCACATTTTCTCTTTCTGGGCACATGGGATATCTGTAAGCCTGTATCACCCATTTCCCTTGAAGCTAGTTTGGGTTGCATGACTGAGTTCTGGCCAAGGTATGTGGACAGAAGTGAGATGGGTCCCTTTTGGATCTATTCTTTATACTTTCTACTGTTTCCTAGATTTCTCTTCACCTGTTGGTGTATCTTTGAAGTTCCCTGTTTCTGATGGCTTAGCCACCAATATGGGAGAACGCTGTCTGACCTGCTTCAGACTTTGCATGTGTAAGAAGTTAACTGTATTTCATTAAGTCACTGAAACTTCTGAGTTCTTTTTGTTACTGCAGCATCCTAAAAGGCATGTTCTGTATTGAATGCAGATTCTAATGTTAGTTTTAATGCTACGACTTTTAAAATGCTCAATAAAATTCACTAGAAAACAAACAGGAATGCTATTAAAATAAAGACAACCTTGTACCTATTCTATGTACCTGTATATACATATACATAGATACCTGCAAATTTGCACAATGTGTTATGCATGTATGTATAAAAAGAAATCACATATAGACTTCAAAGATATTGTTATTAGTAAATAACTTGAATTCATTACATATCATACACTTTACCAACATTAGCTGATTTAATGCTCACAAAAATTTTAAGAGTCAGGTAGTAATGTTAGACTAATTTAAAAATAAGAAACCTAAGGCAGAGAGAAAATAGCTTGATTATGGTTAGCATTGTTAGAAGCACATTGCTTGGGATATATCATGCAACTGAGATAGCTGAGATGTGAGTGACAGAGCATAAATAATCTTTCTGGAAAGTTCTCCCAAGCATGGTGGGCTCTTGCTCATTCTTCCTATCTCAGGGATTACCCTGGCCGCACTATTGCTAGCTACTCTCTTGCTCACCACCACCACAACCCTCCTGAGTTTCTCACTGTTTATTTTCAGGGTAGCTTTTAAAATTTTTAATTTGCTTATTCCTTTTTTTGTAACTAAGATCTATAGTTTTTGAGAGAAGAGACCTTTTTAGCTTTGCTTGTTGTGCTTCTCCTAACACAGTATCTGACACATAGGTATTTTCTACTAATATAGTTTAATTGAATGGATAAATAAATGGCCAAATTAATGCTGTATTTTAGAAGAGCTATAGGTTGTGTTTTTAAGCTTTGTAGCTCCATTAATTGGGAAGAACTGGATTATATTCTTGACATGCATGACGGTTTTCTCTTTACAGATGCCAGGCTAAATGTAGGGATTAAACATAACTTTATCACACAAAAGTATTTAAGTTAGTAGATATACCACATTGTAAAGGTGGAGTTATTTCTATTTATTTATTTTGAGACAGGGTCTTACTCTGTCACCTAGGCTGGAGTGCAGTGGTGCAATCTTGGCTCACTGCAACCTCTGCCTTCTGGCCTTAAGCAATCCTTCCATCTCAGCCTCCTGAGTAGCTGGGACTACAGGTACATACCATCACACTTGGCTAACCTTTAATTTCTTTTTAGACATGAGGTCTCACTATATTGCCCAGGCTGCTCTCAAATCCCTGGGCTCAAGTAATCCTCCCAGTGTGGCCCCCAGAAGTGTTGGGATTACAGGTGTGAACCATCATGCCTGGCCTAAAGGTGGATAATTCTATGAGTTTATAGAAGCTCATAGAATTTCAGTGACTTGTATGAAATCCTGTATCTGATGATGGATTTGAAACCTAGCTGTCTATTTCTTAGCTCAGCAAACTTCCATTACTCTTACCTGCCTTTCCAGAAAATGAAACTCCAATTAATGATAGTGCTTAAAATGGCTTTATGAAGATACAGGATATGAACTTGCCCATATAACATTAATAAAACTTCTCCTCTTCATAAACTTTTTTTTTTTTTTTGAGACAGAGTCTCACTCTGTCACGCAGGCTGGAGTGCAGTGGCATGATCTCAGCTCACTGCTACCTCTGCCTCCCGGGTTCACGCTATTCTCCTGCCTCAGCCTCCCGAGTATCTGAGACTACAGGCACATACCACCACACCTGGCTAATTTTTTATTTTTAGCAGAAATGGGGTTTCACCATGTTGGCCAGGCTGATCTCGAACTCCTGACCTCAGGTGATCCGCCTGCCTCAGCCTCCCAAAGTACCGGGATTACAGGCGTGAGCCACGGTTCCCGGCCCATAGACTTTTTTTTTTACTTCTCCTAAGAGTTTTCTTAAGATTATTGCCTTGGGACTTCTATTTTCCTCCTTGGTATTTTATATATTCTTATAACTTCACATTTTTCTGGCATTAGCTGTATGTATCACACCCATCAAATGTGTGGCCTATTTTCTATTTCGTGGATAAAACCTAAAACAGGTCTTTACAGACTCCTGCCTTTAGTTCATGTATTTTCCAGTGATCCTTGTGCCTGTTGTAGTCAATACTGAACATTTAGGTCAATTTAAATTTTTAAAAATAAGATTATAATTATCCTTTCAAAATCCTCAGGATTTCTCCAAAACATAAAGGTAAAGCCCACAATTCTTATTTATCCAGATGTTTGTAGCCTTCTACCTTTTCTGTCTACCTTTTTGCCCACATTTTCTATCCACATATGATCCTTCTTTGCCACACTGAGTCATTCACTGCGTCACCCTTCTTCTATTTTGCAAAATGAAAACATTGTAAAAATCTTCCCAAGCCATGTTACTTTTGTGTATCAAAGTCTTCTTTGTTAAAGCTCAACTCAGAAACCATTTTCTAGATTTTCTCTTTGTGGTCCATCTCTTTCCCATGCTACTGCAAACCATATCTGCTCAATGTCTTTCTTTGAGGATTTGTGTAATCTATGATGATCCTTTTTACATTGTGTTCCAGTTATAGGTACATTGGTCTCTTTTCTCTTTCTAAAGGATGTATTTTTAGATTCCCTGTTGTATCCCTTAGAGTACCTAGTACATGCCTATTTTCGAGCATTTCTGGAGAAACTAAAATAGCTTATATTCCATGTCTAGATTAAACATAGATTTTTAAATGAGGGGTCCATTTTTACTTAAACATAGATAATCTAAACAAAATTAAAAATAGGTTTGAAATGCAATATATAAATATAAGTATATTTTAAGTGGAGAATACGAAGGAATCTAAGTTCATCTCATGACTTAAAGGTGATCAAGAGAAATACAAGAAAGGATACAATCAATTATATTTTAAATGACCCCCAAATACACATTAATATGCACTAAAATCAAATCCTACCTTTAACATGTTGTCTCTTAAATTAATTCTTGAAGAAATAGTTGGACACATTTTTCTAACTAATGGACCTGATATTATTAGGCTATTACACTATTTTCTGATATTATGCCAGTTACAACATCATTTGCATAGCAAAGGCATTGAGTTTAGTGTTATCCTTCAAGTAAATACGTTGTTTCTTGTAAAATGAGTTACTTGATAATTTTGTGTTACTTGATAATTTTCACATACCTAACTTGTAAAAGGACTTATAATTAATGTAAATAACAAAACTTTTAAATATCTCTTTAATTTTAAATATTTTAGACTTTGATTCTCTCTTTCATATGGATTTAACCTCTAAATCAGTGATTTTCAACACTCAGCATCAGTTTAAATTTAGTACACTTGTAACAATCCAAAATATTAAATATATACACAGATATTCTCCATAGCAAAAACTGAGTGTTCTTACACATAATAAAGTGATCCATGGAGTAAAAATATATTCATAATATATGTCCTTGAATCACATATTTAAATGATTGACAGTGTGTGCCAAAGCAGCAATGATATCAAGCAACATTACAACAAATCACAGATTTACAGGAGATCTTGTTTCAAAGAAATATCAGAAGACATTGCACTCACAGTGCATTTGATGCTCCAGCCTCTGCTGCAACTTGTTTATACTCCTAACAGTGCTCTGTTCTCTGAAATATAGAGAAATGAAAATGTGCTCACCTTCCCATAATTGTCCTGTGTTCACTTAGATTTCTGGCCTTCTTTTAGAGAGTTGACATTTGGTTCCTGTGTTGACTAGAGCTCACACAAATTACAAATGTAAATGAGAACATCTCATGACCAAATTCAACACAGATTGCCTGTTTCATCCTTCAAATGAAAAAGCAATTAGCCATTCAAACCTGTGCTTTTGGCAGTGTCCATACAATTAATGAAGGTGCAACAATTTTAAACACCAATGGCTAGCGAAGTTTTATATTTTACATGGTTAAATATAGTTCAATATTATACATATGTTTATATTTTATGTCTAATAAAACTTAATTTTTGAGTCAATTTTACTAAATGTACATAAATGAATATAGGATATGGTACATATTTTTAGGAGAATGAAGAATAAATATACCAGATAAACTTCTTGTGTTTTTTGAGTGAGGGAGTATAGCAGGCTGCAGTTGCTCTAAGTTTGTCTGTTCTTTGGCAAATAAACAAAACCTAAATGTATACAGATATCTCTCTTTGCTGAGCAATTTCACAGCAGCCTATAATTGCACCACTATTAGTGATAAATGCTGATTTACAGCTTAATTGGCCAGAAGTGAATACAACCTCAAGGTCACTGTAATAAAGATAGCAGGAACATTCTGGAGGAACATAAGTTAAGCAAGAGATTATCTGGTGTAGCAAGTAGAGATCTGTTTAAAATATTTGAATACTACATGGGGCTGTATTGTACAGTGCTGACTCCATACATACCACACAAAAGGTCAATTTGAAGTGCTCACAGAAGTCCTACAATAAAATACTTTATATTTAACAACAAGAGTCTGGTATGTTTTTTTCCTACAAGGGAAACCAATAATTACATGATGTCGAAGGGAATTAAAAATGGACCAATTAAAGCCTCCAAGAAAGTTAAGCTTTAAAAGAAATGCAGCAGAAAATTGGAGCAAATAGAAGCAAAAATTTAAGCAACCTAGAATTGAATGTGGAGCTAATGCATTTGAGAGATCTTGTTATTTCTCCATAAAAAATAAACAAAAGCTCAGGATATAAGGAGTAATTCTGATTATAGCAGAAGAAATGATAACAAAGATATTACAGAAAAGTTTGAAGCTCACTGTGTTCTTAACTGCAGTGAAATATGTGAAAGACACCTTTGCTTTTCCATGAAAACAGAAAAAAGAAGGGAGATCTTATTGATCCATGAGCAACTGATTTTCAACTGATGACTAAATCATGTGAATTTGAAGCATGATTTACAAAAGAGAGAACAGCATGTGAAATTGCACCAGACTAAGGGTAGAATGAGCCTAGTCCCTAGAGACATGAATAAAGTGAGAGGGTGTAAGCGTTTTCAACTGCCTGTAGTCAAAGAAATATCCAGAAATCTAACAAAACCTCTCCTATTAATAGCATTGCTTGTCACCAGGGACTGTAGCATATTTGCTTTGTCAAAAGGGGTTTTAAAACTTCTTTCTTATGTTCTCATCACAAAAACTGTTAAATATTTGAAGTGGTAAATATATTAATTAGCTTAATTTAATCATTTCACATTGCATTAAAAAAATCACAACACTGCTTTGTATCCCATAAATACATACAACTATAATTTGTCAATATACAATGTACAATACATTTTTAAATAATATCTAAAACTGGTTATTGTTACTATATTAAATATGCATTATGTAGTAATAATATGGTCTCTATTTCCGAGCTTATAGCACAGGCTCAGAAATAGTCTCTTTTCATTTGTTATGAATATTTGAATTCCCATCAGCAGTTATACAAAAAAGAAGGAAATGTTCTTAAGGGAGAGAAATCTTGGGGACACTGAGTGAAAGCTAAGACTACAGAAAGCTCTGATAAGAAGTCTCCAGAGAATGAAGAATTTGCTCCATGGGAATACATAGATTCTAGAAAGAGTGTGTCGCAGGAGAGGTAAAGGAACAGTATTTCACATAAAGTTTCTGGAAAGTGGATCTTTGGATAGCTTCATGACTTGAATTGCCCTGCTTCATGAACAGACTTTTTCTCCCTTGAGATAAACTGCTGTCACAAAGACTCCAATAAGACTGCAATATTAGAAACTTACAAGGGATTATTCTTAGATTTGTGTTTTTCCCTTCTGGTGCTTTTTTTCACCATAAGCACCAGCTGTTAAGGGCTCAAGAGAGTCACAAAATCCCATTATAAGTAAATCTATAGGCAGGCAACTGCCTGTTGAGGACAAATACATGTGAGCAATATTATAGGCAACTGAGTGCAGCTTCCTCTGCTTAGGCATCACTGGAACCAGGAGACTCGGCACTAGTTGTCTTGTGCTGGGCCACCCAGGAAGACTCCACAGGTCCCCATTACCATCTATAACAACATCTGGCTTTTAAGAAAAATACAACTTACCAAGAAAATTATTTATAAATAAAGGTAAACATATCAAGTAAAAGAAGGAAGAATAAAATGTTAACATGAAATCTTGAGAAAACAAAATGATGAAAGTAGGAAAAAGTATTTAATCACGAGTAACTGGTTGGATGAGTTATTGAGAAGACAAAGTGTATAAAATAGACTAGGTGCACACCTGAGATAACAAACCTATTTCTCCTGGGCATGTAGAATTTTTGTAGCACTAGACTGACTCATAAAAGTAGCATGGGCAAGCCAGGGGTGGTGGCGCATGCCCATAGTCCCAGCTACTTGGGAGGCTGAGGTGAGAGGGTCACCTGTGCCTAGGAGTTCAAGGCCGCATGGAGCTATGATTGTACCACTGCCCTCCAGCCTGGGTGACAAAGGGAGATTTCCATCTTAAAAAAAAGAAGAAGGAGAAGAAGAGGTAGTATGGATGGTGATAAAGGCATGAATAGTTTCAGAGTGAATCATGTTTCATGATACCCATATAGATTTCCATACCATTTTCACTTCCTAGAAATTAAATGGAGGTTCATATGGTGAGAGAAATCCTAGTGATATCAATTTAAATGAGTTTTCCAAAATGCACCAGCTGTGTGACATTGGGGCAGGCACTTAATCTCTTTGAATCCTATTTCCTTCCCTGTTCTATGGAGTTCATCATATCTGTGAAATCAGATTATTTCAAAGTCTCTTCTTTTTCTAAATATCTGTGATTTCAAACATTTTCTCCTCTTATTTACATTTTTTTTTAAAATAAGCTCATCTACCTTCCTGCTTCTCCTCTTCTGAGCTATCTGTTCCCAAGTGGCCTACAGTTATGGCAGCAACAGAAATGCAAAGCACAGGAGAGAAGGAAGTGTTTATCTCCTAAATTCCTTCACCTACGTAGCTAAGCTCAATACCTGGATCCCATGAGCTCTCACATTTCCTCCCCATGGAAGTATGCTCACAGAGAAGTGCAATGTGCTAATGTTTTTTGTTATTTGTTTTCATTAAAACAAAATCTCAGGCCGGGCGCGGTGGCTCATGCCTGTAATCTCAGCACTTTGGGAGGCTGAGGTGGGTGGATCAGGAGGTCAGGAGATCTAGACCATCCTGGCTAAGACGGTGAAACCCTGTCTCCACTAAAAATACAAAAAATTAGCCGGGCGTGGTGGCGGGCGCCTGTAGTCCCAGCTACTCGGGAGGCTGAGGCAGGAGAATGGCGTGAACCCGGGAGGCGGAGCTTGCCGTGAGCCCAGATTGCACCACTGCACTCCAGCCTGGCGACAGAGCTAGATTCCGTCTCAAAAAAAAAAAAAAAAAAAATCTCGATAGGTTTTTGACGAACAGGTGGTGTTTGGTTACATGACTAAATTCTTTAGTGGTGATTTCTGAGATTTTGGTGCACCCATCACCCAAGCAGTGTATACTGTACCCAATGTATAGTCTTTTATTCCTCATCCCCTCCCACCCTTTCCCCTGAGTCCCCAAAGCCCATTGTATCATTCGAATGCCTTTGTGTCCTCATAGCTTAGCTCCCACTTATGAGTGAGAAATGATGTTTGGTTTTCCATTCCTGAGTTACTTCATTTAGAATAACGGTGTGCAATTCCATCCAGGTTGCTGCAAATGCCATTATTTCGTTTCTTTTTATAGCTGAGTAGTATTCCATAGTATAAATACACTGCATTTTCTTTATCCACTTGTTGATTGATGGGCATTCAAGCTGATACCATATTTTTTGCGATTGTGAATTTTGCTGCCATAAACATGCATGTGCAAATATCTTTTTCATATGACTTCTTTTCCTCTGGGTAGATACCCAGTAGTGGGATTGCTGGATCAAATGGTAGTTCAACTTTTAGTTTTTTAAGGAATCTCCACAGTTGTTTTCCACAGTGTTTGCACTAGTTTACATTCCCAACAGTGTAAAAGTGTTCCCTTTTCATCACATCCACTCCAACCTCTATTATTTTTAGATTTTTTTGATTATGATCATTCTTGCAGGAGTAAGGTAGTATTGCATTGTGGTTTTGATTTGCATTTCCTTGATAATTAGTGATGTTAAGCATTTTTTATATGTTTTTTGGCCATTTGTATATCTTCTTTTAAGAATTGTTTATTCATGTCCTTAGCCCACTTTTTGACAGGATTATTTGTTTTCTTCTTGCTGATTTGTTTAAGTTCTTTGTAGATTCTGGATATTATTCCTTGTCAGATGTATACATTGCAAAGATGTTTCCCCACTCTGTGGGTTTTCTGTTTACTCTGCTGATTATTTCTTCTGCTGTACAGAAGCTTTTCAGTTTAATTAAGTCCCATCTATTTATCTTTGTTTTTGTTCCATTTGCTTTTGGGTTCTTGTTCAGGAAGTCTTTGCATAAGCCAATGTCCACAAGGATTTTGCTGATGTTATCTTCTAGAATTTTTATGGTTTCAGGTCTTAGATTTAAGTCTTTGATCCATCTTGGGTTGATTTTTATATAAGATGAGAGATGAGGATCCAGTTTCATTTTTCTACATGTGGCTTGCTAATTATGCCAGCACCATTTATTGAATAGTGTGTCCTTTCCCCACTTTATGTTTTTGTTTGCTTTGTCAAAGATCAATTGACTGTAAGTATTTGGCTTTATTTCTGGGTTCTCTATTCTGTTCCATTGGCCTGTATGCCTGTGTTTTCACCAGTACCATGATGTTTTGATAACTATGACTTTATAGTATAGTTTGAAGTTGGGTAATGTAATGCCTGCAGATTTGTTCTTTTTGCTTAGCCTTGCCTTGGCTATGCAGACTCTTTTTTGGTTCTGTATGAATTTTAGGATTGTTTTTTCCAGTTCTGTAAAGAATGATGGTGGTATTTTGGTGGGAATTCCCTTGAATTTTGGCAGTATCATCATTTTCACAATATTGATTCTATCCATCCATGAGTGGGGATGTGTTTCCATTTGTTTGTGTGATGTATGATTTCTTTCAGCAGTGTTTTGTAGCCTTCCTTGTAGAGGTCTTTCACCTCCTTGGTTAGGTATATTACTAAGTATTTTATTTTCTTCGCAGCTATTGTAAAAGGAGTTGAGTCCTTGATTGGATTCTTAGCTTGGTCCCTGTTGGTGTATAGCAGAGCTACTGATTTGGGTATATTAATTTTGTATCCTGAAATGTTGCTGAATTCATTTATCAGTTCTAGGAGCTTTTTGGAGGAGTCATTAGGGTTGGTTTTCTACCTATGCAATCATATTCTCAGCAAACAGTGAGAGTTTGACTTCCGCTTTACCTATTTGAATGTCCTTTATTTCTTTCTCTTGTTGGAAGGCCCTGGCTAGGACTTCCAGTACTATGTTTAATAGAAGTGGTGAGAGTGGGCATCCTTATCTTGTTCCAGATTTCTAGGGGAATGCTTTCAACTTTTCCCCATTCAGTGTAGTGTAGGTTGCGGTTTGTCATAGATAGTTATCACTTTAAGGTATGTCCCTTCTATGCTGATTTTGCTGATAGTTTTATCAGGGATTTCTGCTTTTGCATCTTCCTCATTTTTCTCTCACCATCACCATGTAAGAAGTGCCTTTCACCTCCCACCATGATTCTGAGGCCTCCCCAGCCATGTGAAACTGTAAATTCAATTAAACCTCTTTTTCTACCCCATCTCAGGTATGACTTTATCAGCAGCATGAATATTGACTAATACAGATCCCAATCTTTTCTATCTTGTAGGGCTTCTCCTGAGAAATCTGCTGTTAGTCTGATAGGTTTTCTTTTATAGATTACCTGATGCTTTTGCCTCACAGCTCTTAAGATTCTTTCCTTCATCTTGACTTTAGATAATGTGATGACTATGTGCCTAGGTGATGGTATTTTTACAATAAATTTCCCAGGTGTTCTTTGAGCCTTTTGTATTTGGATGTCTAGATCTCTAGCAAGGCTGGGGAAGTTTTTCTTGATTATTTCCTCAGATATGTTTTCCAAGCTTTTAGATTTCTCTTCTTCAGGAAAACCAATTATTCTTAGGTTTGGTCGTTTAACATAATCCCAAACTTCTTGGAGGATTTGTTTATTTTTTAAAATTCTTTTTCTTTGTCTTTGTCAGATTAGGCTAATTTGAAAGTTTTGTCTTTGAGCTCTGAAGTTTTTTCCTCTACTTGTTCTATTCTATTGCTGAGACTTTCCAGTGCATTTTGCAATTCTCTAAGTGTGTTCTTCATTTCCAGAAGTTGTGTTCGTTTTTTATTTGTACTGTCTGTTTCACTGAAGAATTTTCCCTTCATATTCTGTATCTTTTTTATTTATTTAAGTTGGGCTTCAACTTTCTCTGGTGCCTCCTTGATTGGCTTAATAATCAACCTTCTAAATTCTTTTTCTGGCAATTTGGAGATTTCATCTTGGTTTGGATCCATTGCTGGTGAGCCAGAGTGATCTTCTGGAGGTGTTAAAGAATCTTGTTTTGTCATATTACCAGAATTTTTTTTTGTTTCCTTCTCATTTGGGTAGACTATGTCAGAGGGATGTTCTGTGATTCAAGAGCTGTTGTTCAGATTTTTTTTTTTTTTTTGGTCCCACAGGGTGCTCCCTTGATGTGGTACTCTCTCCTTTCCTCTAGGGTTGGGGCTTCCTGAGAGTTAAACTGCAGTGATTGTTACCAGGTTCTGGGCTGGTACTGGGGAGGGCGTCAGCAAAGAGTCCTGTGATATGATTCATCTTTAGGTTGTTCAGCTGTGGATGCCAGCACCTGCTCCAGTGGAAGTAGCAGGGGAGCCAAGTGGACGCTGTGAGGATCCTTGGTTGTGTTTTTGTTAAGTGCGCTGGTTTTGTATTAGTTGCCCTCCAGCCAGGAGATGGCGCTTTCAAGAGCTCATCAGCTACAGTAGTATAGGGAGAATCAGGCACTGGGTGAGGCCACAGAGCTCCCAAGAGATTATATCATTTGTCTTTAGCTACCGGGGTGGGTAGAGAAACACCTTCAGCTGTGGCATATCTGAGCTCAGACTCTCCTTGGGCACGGCTTGCTGTGGCTGCTGTGGGAGATGTCGATGTGGTTCTCAGGCCAATGGAGTTATGTTCCCAGGGGGATTATGGCTGCCTCTACTGTATCACACAGGTCACCAGGGAAGTGAGGAAAAGCCAGCACCCAAAGGCCTTACTCAGTTCCCCATGCAGCCTACAGTCCGAAAAGCTGGTCTCACTCCCACCATGCCCCTCACGACAGTACCAAGTTTATTTCTGGCAGCTGGTGAGCAGGGCTGAGAACTGGCCCCAGGCTACAAGTCTCACAGCAGAGAAAGCAAGCCGACTCACAGTTCCTAGGCTGTCCCGCTGAGCCTGCAGTGACAGTCCATTTCCTTCAAAGGATCTGTGGATTCTCTCGACTTTCCTGGTATGTTCCTGTGGTGCTTCTTGGAGTAAAAGTTCACGCTGTGGGTCTCCACATGCTGCTCTGTCTGTGTGTAAGCTGCAAGTTAGTCCCCCCTCCTATTGGTCTTTTTCCTAGTAACTGTTAATTTGTTTATCAAACATTTGTTAAATGTCTGTGTTGTTTGATGGGAAAATCACACAAATAAGTCACAGCTCATACATGTCATAGGATCTTAAACAATGGTTTTGTGATAGAGTGAGAAGTAATATAATGAAAACTATGAGAGCACACATGAAAGGAATCTAACAAAGCAAAGAGAAAGGAGGCTTATTCTCCTTGAGGTGAATGTACACTATATATTGAATGTTCAGTGAGTTGAATCTGACCAGGTAAAGAGGTCGAGAAAGGATGTTCCAAATGGAGGAAACTGGATGTTTTTAAGCAGAGGAGAAAATTTAGATTGAAGTTTCAGATCGATTCCTATGGTAGTATGAAGAAAAAATAATAATACTGAAGAAGGGAGATTAGGTAAGGGTTACTTTGTGGATTACAGTGATTATGTGTAAAATGCCTGAAATGTAGTAGGAGACTGTCAGATCATTAGTCTCCAAATTCCAGGAATTTAAGAACTTTATCTCATTTGTCACTGTGTATCTCAGATATACAGAACCACAGCACAGAACCTGACAATATAGCAGTCACTTAACCAGATGACTATTAAATAATATGTGTAATATCTGCAGCATAACATCAAGCACGTATCAGGCTTGCATTATTTCTTGACCTGGATCTCATTATCATAAGGTGATAAAATAAAGCAGGGAGAAGAATATGAGGTATACAAGGAAGATTGTTGTTTTAGACAGGGACCTAGAGAAAGCTCAATGAGAAGATGCCATTTGAAGGATGTAAAGGGCTTAGCCACATGGATATTGGGGGTGGAGGGCAAAGGAGCATTTCAGGTAAAAGGAAGAGGCAGGTACAAAAGCCCTGAATGAGAACCTCTCTAGTGGCTCTGAGAAATAGCAAACATAGTAACTCTGGATTCCAGACTATGAGGCATGAGAAAAGAAAACAGAATCTTCAAGGAAGTAGTATTAATAATAGACAGCCGGGTTCCAATTACAGCAAGAAGGTGGAGGGAACTTTCATGGAAGTAATTGAATTAAAAGTTATTCTGCTAATATTTGACTTTGAGTTTCAGAGAGCACAAAGAAATGATTTGAATAAATGGGGAGTGGATAAGATAAAAGGCAGAAAAAAACACTATGAAGAGTCCAGTGAATATTAGAATCCAGAGAATGGGAGATTATCTGGAAGTCCAAGATGTTTTCTGGTGACCTGTTTTAACAGGGGCCAAGGCCATGATGAGCTTACTCTTCACTGTCAGACTCAGGTGCACATGGAGAGTCTCTGATAGTTGAAGGATACCATCACCTGCCTCTTTATCAGCATCTTCAACACAACAGCATTATGTAGCCATATTTCTTTTTACAAAGTGATGAAAGGAAGGAAGGAAGGAGTAATATAGATAATATAGATAATAATAAATGAAGTAGTAAAGTAATATAGATTATATATTAAGTAATATTAAAATATTAAGATATATACAATTTTATATTATTTATAATAATATAGTAATTATATTATATAATATGCTATTTATAATAATATAATGATTATATATGATATATATCATATAAAACATCATAGTAGAGTTGTCAGGTTCTTTATTTTCAATCCCAGAAAAATCCCCATTCTACGAAGCTCAATGATGCTAATTTTCTTTCTTTGTTCTTTAAAAGAATGGGGTGATCTCATTCCACAGTGTGTGACAGTTATTTTAGGATTAGCCTTTTTTTGTCTTTGTTTTTTATTTTTAAAAATTTTATCTAATTTTTGTTAATTGGTTCAAAATTGATGAGGATAATATAAAGCTGGCACCTCCCAAAAAACACAGGTTCAATGAAACATACTAAAACAAAACAAAAGCAATTACTTATTGTTAATTCATGTCCACAAATAAGTTGTTGCTCTTACATATATGTTCATGTTCTTTAGTTGACTCTCAGTGGAACAATCATTGCAACTCCCTGAATGGGAAACTATTTTCTTGCTTTTAAAAATGTAGTCAGAACACTATGCTGATATTTGCTTTGTAGATAGAAGGTACACCTAGTGCATAGGTGGTGACCTTTTGCAAAAGTTATTTTTATGTTACTTGCCTATGTCTCTGGCATTAAAACCAGTGGATTGGGGAAAAAGATGAACAGAATAAATGATTACTGAATTTTCATGTAGCACTACCATCCATTAGATTTTTCTTTGAGTCAGGTGCTGTACTAGCTACTTTCCACACATTATCTCAGGAAATCAACCTAGGGAGCCTGGTGCTAAAATGTCCATTTTTAGCCAGTATGTGTTGTTTCCCAATTTTCAGTCATTCACAATACCAATTCATAATTTCAATCCTCGCTATAACCACAAAACACTTATATATTTTTAAAAATAATTTTTCATGTTAATTCAGGTTTTCAAAACTTACCCTTAATATAAGCAAGGATGTCAATTAAATCAAGAATTTAATGTGTTAATTAAACATTGTTAATAAGTATTAAAATAAATGTAATGGAAGTTGTTTAAAATGTATGAAGTAAATTTGCTATTAAGTAATTATTTTCAAATATTCCTAAAATGTCACCTAAAATTACCTCTGGTATCACCAGTGTCACCTAGCCAGAATTTAGGAAATACCTTTCTGCTATCCCATTTCCCATCCTAAGAGTATAGGTTTAAGCCATGGAGCAGAGGATATAGAATATGCATAAGTTTTAAAGCAGGTTACAAAGGGATTTGAACCACAGTGAGCACACCAAATGATTCATTGGACTGTTGAAAATACTAAGCATTTATATGGATTTACATTTTCTTCATTCCTTTTTCATTTTGTTTGCTTAAGGATGTATATAATATATAATTTATAAATGTACAACATTGAGGGGTATAATCAAAAATAATTTTTCTGATGGAGTAAAAAAGTCTTTTACTTAGTGTACAGAGATTTATACTGTCCTTGTTCCTCCACCTTATGTATAGCTTCATGACCTTTGCTTGAATGAGGAGATTCTGCTTGAATGTAAATAGTCACTGGTCCACTGGTCTTTGAAAAAAATTCATAATCCTTAATAATGTATTCAAAATTTTTATTGCACAATATGTAATACAAGGAGGAAAAAGCAAAAATAATAATCCAGAACTTTGTAATTTTGAAATCCATAAAGCTCAGAAAATAGAAACATTTTTATAATCACATGATTATAAAACTTGATCTGACCTGAATTTCTTTGGCAGAAAAACTCGATTTGAACTGGCATGAGAATCTTATGTTCTTTATGCCTTTTTGTCTGGATATTTATGAAACAACTGCGTTGAATGAGTTCCCCAGTACTCAAGCTCAGTATAGCTTTAGTCATTATTTGCCATTAAGAAACAACTGCGTTGAATGAGTTCCCCAGTACTCAAGCTCAGTATAGCTTTAGTCATTATTTGCCAAGGGATTGTAGACATGCAAACATTAGATGGGTGGTCAAATCATTTTACATACTAGTTTTTCTCTAAACTTGATATTTTGTGATTCTATAAAATGTCAGCAAAGATGTATATAACCAAATATAAATTATACTTTGATTATCAACCCATTTGAATTAGCCTTATACCCTTCTTTTCCATTGTGATTATATCTAATATTTTGATTCATTTAATAACTAATACAGATTACATGTCCTACTTAAAATTTATTTATTTATTCACTTATTTTTTGAGACAGGGTCTTGCTTTGTTGCCCATTCTGGAGTGCAGTGGTACAATCATGGTTCACTGCAGACTTGACCTCCAAGGCTCAAGTGGTTCTCTCACCTCAGCCTCCTGAGGCATTGAGACCACAGGTGCACACCACCACACCTGGATAATTTATTATTATTATTATTTTCTTTTTGTAGAGAATGGAATCTCCCTGTGTTGTCTAGGCTGGTCTCAAAGCTCAAGCAATTCTCCTGCCTCCACTTCCCAATGTGTTGGGATTACAGGTGTGATCCATCACATCCAGCAAAATCTATTTATTTTTTAATGGAAACCTGTTGAGCAGATCAGGAGTTAGAATTGACTAACACACAGAGTTTAATTTTGATATTCAAGTATGCTGTTGACTGGTAGTTTTGACAAATATGAATTCATTTATACAAACATGAAGGCTTTACTGCAAATGTTGGCAGATTTTACTGAGACTGGGGACCTAAAATAACAAGCCCATAGACTTGTCTCAGAAGACAAAGACAGACCATCAGGGAAACATGCTAGTTAAGTCTCTTTTGAGGAATAGCTTTAAAAGAGATGACATGACATATAATAGCAGTTATCACTAAGATGGAAAAATCTGGAAAGCCAGACAGATTTTTGTCCTTGGAATGGTAATATAATTAGAAAAAAGAAATGATGGCAGTGTGATACGTACACTTTGACATCACCATTGAGACTGCAGTTAAGAAGAGAAATACAGTTCAAGTGAATGTTTTAGTGTCTGGAATGACATAAAAATGGAAAGAATTATTAACACACTACCATTCTCAAATATTTTAATATAAATGAAAATGTACCAGAAGGTGTAAATTCTTTGGGATTAGGGATTCTGTGGCTTGGAATAGTATACCAAAGCAGATGCATAGAAAGAGCGAACAGCCCCCTGTAAAACTCATCTCAAATGTAAATTATTCATGTTCAGATCTGGCTAGAGGTATATATACCCATATCTCTAAGGAAAATTGTGACCACTGAAACTATTCCTAACTTGAGGATGTCTTTAGACATTTTCTGTAAGTTAGATAAAGAGAGTTGATATGACTATTTTTAGACTGGAAGTGTCAATAAGGTCATTTTGAAGATGAATCTAACTTCCTATAATTTATTCATAAATTCACAATGGGGTTATTTATATACATATTCATACACTTTACTTTCTTATTTGTGTCTAAGTGTGACCCTCAAAGACTCCTCAGTTCTTCTCTGGTTCACTATCATAGCCAAAGGAGTGACCTTAGCTCCTTATTTGCAAAGTGACTTTCCTCAATCATTGAAGTTGTTTGAAGAAAAGTTAGATTTTCAGTTGCACCTATACTGTGTGTTTCAGGAAACACACCCAGACACATATGGGAGTAGAGGCCTGTGTTACACTGTGGAACCTAAGAGATTAGTGACCATAGAACAGAAGGCACTAGTAGAAATTCAGAAATCAGGGAAATAAATTGGAAAGGGACTTTGACATTGGAAGTGAATATTTTCATATGCATTTTGTCAATGTTGCTTCCTGCTTTGTGGATGTGTAACTCCATTGGTATTCACAACTATGTTACATCTGAGCATCTATGGTCCTTAATATGTTACATCTGAGCATCTGTGGTCCTTTCTAGTTTGCCACAAGCAGTGAAGGCTTTAGTAAAAAAGGCACTGGGAAATTTGCTATGGTAGGGTTTGCATTTTTATTACACTTTTTCTTTGATTAGTTAAATCCATTTTACAGTTGATACAGCTAATTGCCCTAATTCTCTTGATAGTTAATATAAATTGCTCACTTTTTGGGCTACATATCTTTAAAAAATCATAATAAATAAATAAAGGAATTACTCTGAATAGCCATGATCCATTTAGTAAATTTCACCTGAGATCTTGCTAAATGGTTTTATAGTCACCTGAGATAGTCTAATGTAGAGAAAGAAAGTTACCTTTCTTAATTTCTCATGTTAAAAAACAAAAATTAATACTTACTTACCAATGTTATAAAAATGAATGCACAATTACTACTGTTTTCAGGAACAGCAGTCTCATATAAATTCAATGTACCAATGTTAAGATTTATGCCATATTGATGAGTAATTTTTAAACTGGAAGATTTTTATCATCTCATATATAGCTAAGAAAAATAAAAATGTCAAGAAGTAAAATGTGAGGCTTCCCTGAGTTTACTTTATAAAATAAAAAAAAAATTACTTTAGAATAATTTTAGGCCAGGCGTGGTGGCTCAGGCCTGTAATCCCAGCACTTTGGGAGGCCGAGGCGGGCGGAACACAAGGCCAGGAGATCGAGACCATCCTGGCTAACACGGTGAAACCCCGTCTCTACTAAAAATACAAAAAATTAGCCGGGTGTGGTGGCGGGCGCCTGTAGTCCCAGCTACTCGGGAGGCTGAGGCAGGAGAATGGCATGAACCCGGGAAGCGGAGCTTGCCGTGAGCCGAGATCGCGCCACTGCACTCCAGCCTGGGCAACACGGCGAGACTTTGTCTCAAAAAAAAAAAAAAAAAAGAATAATTTTAGATGTATAGAAAAATTACAGATATAATACAGAAAGTTCAATATAGCTGACACTCAGTTTCCTCTATTATTATCTTACATTAGTATGGCACATTTATCACAATGAATAAACCAATGTGATACATTATGTTTAACTAAAGTCCACACATTATTCATATTTCCTGAGGTCTCACCTAATATTTATTTTCAGTTTCCAGGATCCCATCCAGGATACCACATCAAATTTAGATATCATGATCCCTTAGACTGCTCTGGGCTGTGACATTTCTTGAGTTTACTTTTTGATTATTTGAATATTGCTAAGTTTTGGCTGTGTCCCCAAATCTCATCTTGAATTGTAGCTCCCACAATTCCCACGTGTTGTAGGAGGGACCAGGTGGGAGGTAATTAATCATGGGGGCGGGTCTTTCCCATGCTGTACTTGTGATAGTAAATAAGTCTCAATAATGGTTTTATAATGGGAAGTTTCCCTGCACAAGTAGTCTCTTGCCTGCCACCAGGTAAGACACGCCTTTTGCCTTCTGCCATGACTGTGATGCCTCACTAGCCACGTGGAACTGTGAGTCCTTTAAATCTCTTTATCTTCATCAATTACCCAGTTTGGGGTATGTCTTTATCAACAGCATGAAAACAGACTAATATGAATATTAAATAAAGTATTTATATTCACAAAAGATTGTTGTGAATTAAGCATCCTGTTGTTTTCTAAATTTCTATGATGACATAAGCCAAATTCATATTTAAAAGTACACATACCAAAATTAATATCAATATATACACACACAACTACATATCCCTTTTTAATTGGCTTGAGATATCCCTTGAAGATGATATAAAATTAATAATTTGCACTCCATTTAGGCACACCTTTGGCATGTACAGTCTTTTCAGTGGAACATTTGCGAAATGCATATGGAGAATGTCCTTTGATAATTACTCTTAACACTGCTACTATAGACTCTATTAATAAGCCTGTATTAAGAATAATTATCAGAAATTTTCACTGCAAAGTATATTTTAAAAGTTGGTATTTTCACATTTTCTCACTTATAAGTTGGAGCTATATGATGGGTACTCATGAACATAAAGATGGCAACAATAGACTACTGGAGGAGTGGGGAGCAGAGGGAGGGAGGGGGCAAGAATTGAAAAACTAACTCTTGGGTACTATGCTCCATACTCTTAATCTCAGCATCACACAATATAACCAGGTACAAAACCTGCACATCTACTTTCTAAATCTAAAAGTTAAAATTATATTTTAAAAATTGTTATATAATATAAATAAAACGTGACTTTTACATTAATAACTTCAGGAACATTGATGCATAGGTCTTTCTTACAGTTCAATGTCTTTAAATTGAACCCCATTTTGATTTTGAAGTCGATGGTGGAGCATTTGGTACAAGAGTTTCTGTTAATGTATCCAGTAAACATCATTAATACATTTAAAAAAGTAAGAAAGACCTCAGAATAAAGATATATAGGCTGTTCTTGCTTTGTTATAAAGAAATACCTGAGGTTGGGTTAGTTGTAAGAAAAGAAGTTTGATTGTCTCATGGTTCTGCAGTGGCATCTGCTTCTGGGAGTGCCCCAGGAATCTCCTAATCACAGTGGAAAGTGAAGGAAGACCAAGCATGTCACATGGCAGGAGTGGGAACAAGGCAAGGGAGAGGTGCCACACACTTTTAAATAACCAGATATCTGGAGAACTCACTCAATATCATGAGGACAGCACCAAGGAGATTGCACTAAATTATTTATGAGAAATCCACCCTCATGATCCAATCAGACACCACCTCCAACACTGGGGATTACAATTCAACACGAGATTTAGAGAGTACACAAATCCAAAGTGTATCAAAAGAGATCTAAGAAAGGGTCAAAGAAGAGAGATAAGAAACAATTCACACACTAAACACATCACATATTATCAGATAAAAAGGAAAATTTTGACAGCTATGGGTAGAAAAAGCAAATAATTTACAAAGAAAGAAAAATTAGACATACATCAGATTTTTCAAACTCAATACTGGATTTAAGAAAGCCATGAGACAACATTTCAAAATGTTGAAAAAAAAAACAACAGTGCATAGGAATCAATATCTGGATGAACTTTTCTTTAAATAACAAAGCATGACAAAGAAAATCTTTCAGAAATATTTTCACACACACATTTATGCCTCAGGACAGCTACTACACAAATATCTTCAATGAGAATTTTTGGACAAAGTACTTAAAAATACAGAGATACACACTCAAGATAACTTTCCAGCTTTAGGATAACTAAATACATTTGTTATGATCTTTAACTTAATAAATATTATTATATTTATATTATGCCTTTATATATGCATATGTGCACGTACTTAAACACAAATAAAGAGAAACACATAAATATGTTTGTAAGAGAATCTAAATTAAAAATTTAGACAATATTAACAAAATGTCTGATATTGTGGAAGAGAAGAATACTAAGAAAGGAGAGAGTATGCGAAAGTTCTTGTTTTAGTTGTATCCAAGGTTGGAAAAGGCATAGATATCCATTTAAAAGAAGAGTAAAAAGGAGATTTTTAAAAAGTAGAAAAAGTGGGAAAAACTAAATAATAAACTCTTATGGTAGAAACAGTAACATATTGGTTAATCTTTAAAATAAACATAAATGAACTAAACTCACAAGTTAAAAGACAAAGAGACAGATTTATTATGAAAATTAAATTTAGCCATAACAAGAGACACGTCTAAAAATAAAAGAAAATAAAAGCTTAGAAAAAAGAGATATCAACATATAAGGCCTATTAGCTACCATCTGTACTTATAATAATATTAGCTACAATACGTCTTAAGATGAAGATGTTCTTTCAGGAACAAGGAGGTGGGTTTACCTTCCCTGTGACCTAGCATAAACAAGTAGGGTTTATTTCAAGAATGTAAAGTTTGTTCAACATTTCAAAATCAGTCCATGTAATTTGTCCTATGAGTAGATCAGAAAAAGCACTTGATGATACTAAACACCATTCTCAAACTAGGAAGAAGAATGGATCATCCTCATCCTATAAAAACCATCTAGCTAACGTACTATTCAAAGGCAAAATAATGAATGGATGTTCCCTAAGAACAGGAATAAGGTAAGAATATTTGCTCTCAAAATGTTCATTCATTGTCATATGGGAGACCCTAGACTGTGCAATAAAGTAAGATAAAGAAATAACACTCCTCAAGATTGGAAAGCATGATTGTGTACATTAAAAATCCAAGGAGGTATAAATACTTGAAAGGAAGCAATGCAATATTCTTTATTTGCAAACAACCTCATCATGTATATAGAATATACTAAGTATTTTATAATAAGGTACTAGAAGCATGAAGTTAATTTAATACCATCACAGAATACAAGGTCAATGTTCAAAAGTCAATTTTATTTCTCTAAACATGAGAAACTAAATTGGATAATAAATCTTCAAAATACAATTTACACTAACAGGAAAAATACAAATCTTCAAAATATAATTTACACTAACAGGAAAAATACAAAGGAAATTTAGAATAAACATGAAGTAAAATATACAAAATCTCTTCTCTAGTAACTAGAAAACACTGCTGAGAAAAACTAAATAAGACCTAAAGAAATGTGATGCTTGTAGATTGGAAGACTCAATGTTCCAATGTTGTTCAGATGGTAATTTTTCCCTTAACTGATCAATAAATTCCAGACAACCTTAACAAACATTCCAACAGGGTCACCCTCTGTTGCCAGGCTGGAGTGCAGTGGCTTGATGTTGGCCCACTGCAACCTCCACCTCCTGGACTCAAGCGATCCTTCTACCTCAGCCTCCCAAGTAGCTGGGGCCACAGGTGCACACTACTGCACTACATTCTAGCAAGCTCTTTTGAAGAAATAAGTGATTCTAAAATTTATATGGACTGGGCACTGTGGCTCAGGCCTGTAAATCCCAGCACGTTGGGAGGCCAAGGTGGGAGGACTGCTTAAGGCCAGAAGTTTGAGGTTATAGAGAGCTATGATTGTGACACTGCACTTCAGACTGGGTGACAGAGACCCTGTCTCTAAAAATACATATAACAAAAAAATTTATATAGAAACATCAAGAATCTAGAATAGCCATCTTAAAAATAATATATTTAAGACCTAAAAAATAAAGCTATAGTTTTAAAGAATGTGGTTGACTTGGAATAGACAAATATATAAATGAAACAGAATGCTAGTTGCTGATCTGTTCTGTCCAGTAGGAATGCCACTAGACACATACGGTTATCTAAATTTAGATTAATAAAAATTAAATTAAGTTAAAAAGTGTTTTCCTCAATCACACTAGCTACCTTTCAATTACTGAACAGCCATAAGTGGTTGACTACCCCAATGGAGAGAGTAAATAATAGCACATTTGATTATCGTACAAAGTTTGAACAGTACTAGTCTTGTTAGACTCATTCATATATGCTCAGTTTGATTTTTGACAAAGACACAAGGTCAATTCAAGGGAGAAATGAATATTTTTTACAGATACTATTGCTATTGTTAATGTATGTCTGTTTTTAGCAGATACTACTGCAGATACAACTGGAAAACTCCATCAGTCCAAAAAAAAAAAAAAAAGAAAATACAAAAATGTCAATACTCAGTTTACTCTGTGCACAAAAGCCTGGATCACATTCCTACATGTAAAATTCAGAGCTATAAAACTGTTAGAAGAAGACATAAGACAATAATGTTCTGTTTGGGGATAAAAATAACGTACCTAATTGAGCAGAAAAATGACTTGCTCATAAAGGAAAAATAAGCAGGAAATGAAGCTTCATCAAAAAAAGCAATTTTTTTAAATTAAAGAATACCACTAAGAAAATGCAGGTAACAATATTGGAAAAATTATTTGGAGTAATTTTATCTGTCGATAGTGCTGAATCCATATATATATAAAACTAATAAAAATCAACAATAATAAGATGAGAAACCTAATAAAAATTGGAAAAAGACTGGCACAGACATTTCAAATGGCTACGAAACACTTAGGAAAAGTTTTCCTCATTACTCATTTGGGACATGCAAATTAAAACTGTACAAATTCAAAGCACGATGCACCACACGCACACTAGAATGGCTAAAATAAAAAAGTATGATAAAACCAAATGAGAGCAAGAGTGCAAAGCAACTGGAAATTTCATACATTACCAGTGGGGGTGTAAAATGGTAAAACCATTTTAAGAATTGTTTTGCAGCTTCTCATGAATTTAAACATACTTTAACCCATTACTCAGCCATTTTGTTCCAAGAGAAATGAAAATATATGTTCACAGAAATACCTGTAAAAGAATGTTTAAAAGAGACTTATTTGTAATAGCCCAATGTGAAAACAACCCATATGGCCATGGGCAGGAGAATGGATAATCAAATAGTGATATACCCAAAATATGTAACATATTGCATATTCATTCTTTCCATCTAGTCAGAGGGAATAATCTCTTCTTCCACACAGTTTTAAAATTATGCTGGATGCTACTTTGCAATGCTTGCTAAAATCTTTTCTTTACCTGACCAGGCACTAAATCAGACTTGCTTTCTCATTTTTATTTATTTTTGAATTAAAATACATCAAAATGCAATATTTTGAAAAAATAAAATAATGCTTTTAAATCAGTGTTACGTGTTAACAGTTTCTGTTAGTTTTTCTGCAATAGTTAGAGTGAAACACTTAGTGGTCAGTTACACTATCCAGCTGTTCCCTACTTGCAATTTATGTGAGGATGCAACTTTGAGAGACTTCCCATGAAAACTAATTGTTGTTCCTCCTGTATCCCCTTTCACTTCTCAGTATCCCATAACACAGCCATTTGCCACAGCCTGTAAAATAATCACCCTAATGTCCCATCAGCTATGTGTGTTCTCTGACCTCCTTTCTACTGACACTACCCATTTTGTTATTGGGAACCCTGATTCTATCAGTGAGACAGTCAGCATACACATACAATAATTTAGGGAAGAAGTTGAGAATATGACCAAACTGCAAATGCTGGTAACTTTTGGGAATGAGGTGTGCAGGAGTGAGGCATCAAAGGGAAGAAAGCAAAAAGTAAGATGACTGTGATGGTTAATACTGAGTGTCAACTTGAATGGATTGAAGGATGCATAGTATTGATTCTATGTGTGTCTATGTGTGTCTGTGAAGGTGTTGCCAAAGGAGAATAACATTTGAGTCAGTGGGCGAGGAAAGGCAGACCCACCTTTAATTTGGGTGGACAAAATCTAATCAGCTGCCAGCATGGTTAGAATATAAAGCAGGCGGAAAAAACATGAAAGCACTAGACTGGCCTAGCCTCCCAGCCTGCATCTTTCCCCCATGCTGGATGCTTCCTGCCCTCAAATATAGGATTCAAGTTCTTTAGTTTTGGGACTCAGACTTGCTCTCCTTGCTCCTCAGCTTGCAGACAGTCTATTGTGGGACCTTGTCATTGTGTGAGTTAATACTTAATAAACTCCCCTTTATGTATATATCTCTCTATTAGTTCTGTCCCTCTAGAGAACCCTGACTAATACAATGACAGACATATTTTTAGTATTATATAATTTACTGGAAGAAGTGGAGCAGAGTTTTAAAAAATTTTGCCATCTTTTCTGAGAAGTCTCCATCAACATTTTCTCTTAAGTGGGATGTGTATTTCCCCTATGATAATTTGAATTATTTTTTGGCAAATACTCCCACTACTACTATGAATGGAATATGTACTGCCTTAATCCTTGATGTTAGGCTTGTTCATATGATTGCTCTTCCCAAAGGAATGAGAATATGACACATTTAGGTGTGTTACATGTGCTTGTTCTGTTTGCCTCAGCTGTCATGTGAAGAGCATGCTATAGATAATCTTTCCATTTTAGCATGGGGCCCAGCAAAAAAATATGTGGAGAAATCTTGAACTCAATTTGCAGCCTGGAAATAAAGCCCAGGAAAGTCAAAGCCTGAAGACAGAGCCTTCTACACTGAGTCCAGCTTAGATCAGGCAAATCACAGTGAACCTGTAGAATGTACACATGAAAATAAATGCTTTTTGTTGTAAACCATTGGATTTTAGCATAGTTACCAATGCACCCTTGCTGTGAAAATAGCTGACTACTACTTCCTCAAAGACACCATCCACTCAAAATACTCCTTATCTGTCCTGCTCCTTTGGTTTGTTCAAATGATGAAATAAAATAGTGCATGTGGGCTGGGCGCGATGGCTCAATCCTATAATCCCAGCACTTTGGGAGGTGGAGGCAGACGGATCATGAGGTCAGGAGATCGAGACCAGCCTGGCTAACACGGTGAAACCCCGTCTCTACTAAAAGTACAAAAAATTAGCCAGGCATGGTGGCACACACCTGTAGTCCCAGCTTCTTGGGAGGCTGAGGCAGAAGAATCGTTTGAATCCGGGAGGTGGAGCTTGCAGTGAGCCGAGATTGCGCCACTGCACTCCAGCCTGGTGACAGAGTGACACTCCGTCTCAAAAAAAAAAAGTGCATGCAAAAACATATATGATGAAGAAAACACGTAAATATGAACTAGTGTTTTTATCTTAATTTCCAATACACATTCTTTTTGCTTTCCAGGGTTTCTACTAATATAGAAACTACCCCTCTTATTGTTTCCTATTGTTTTAGTCATTGTCTGTTTGTCTTTAAGTTATTCTTTTATATTTCAGAACTCTAGAAAATTACCACCTCTTTCACACTTTTTTAGCTCTCCCTTATTTCTGTACAAATTAAGTGTTTGTGTTGATGGTCCAACTAGTATCTGAAACTCAACTCTATTCATCTTTATCTCTGGTTTAGAAATATCTGGCTAGCATAGATGTTATCATAAAAGGAATTCTGCTTTTTAAGTCATGACCTCAAAAATCTACATCTCAGAAAACTACTTCACCCTAAGACTGTACTCCATGTTAATTTGTTCATTCAAATAAAATTCATGTAATGTTTTATGCGAAATGTTAAAGGAGATAATACTTCTCAATAGTATGTACTCAGTACCTTGTTGTTTCATTCTGACTCTGCTGATACCTGAGAAGTGAATCATTTTTATAGTCCTTGCTTTGTGCTAATGTCATGCCAGTATTCTCTGGGGTGGTATACCTTAAAGACACCCCAAACGCAGGAAGTCTGCATAGTAACTGCTTAAAAATAATTATCCCCTAAAAACTGCACTACAGTGCTTCACATACAGTAGATGGTCAATAAATATTTATTAAAAGAATGCTGACATATCCAAAGAGTAACTCTCTAATGAGGTGCGGAGAGGATTTTGATATTGTGACTTAATATTACATATTTTAAATTATTTAAAAGGAAAAAAAGAATACCTACTTTCATAACTTCTACTTACAATGCTGATTTCTACTCATAGCCTTGGAAGTAAAACATGTCTTCTTTTGTTTTCTAGTTGTAGAAACAACTTTTGTAGTTGCGATATTTCATTTTGAATTCAAGTTGATACTATGAGAGAGAATTGTAGCTTCAGAAGAATTGATTATGACCATACAGATGTATTAACAGAGGCAAAGTGATCCGCTCACCATCCGTAATGTTTCTATTTGTGACCTTTGAGGAAAGGCAACATAGTAGATTATTTTTCCCATGTTTCTGAATTGTGCTTTTTATCTCTAAGTAGCAGCAATACTACAAAAAAAAAGCACAGTGCATATTAAGATGATCCTTGCATGACAAGGAAAGTCATTTATTTCCAATGAACAAGTCAGTCACAAAATCAAAATAATTTTTTTTCCCTTTGGATTCATTGTCAGTTTTGTTGACAGCGTGACACTCTCACAGAGAAGGGCAGTTATGTCTTTCACTACATTCACTACATTAAGCTGAATGAGAGAAACAGAAAGAAAGAAAAATTATAATCAAAGGCGCTACCAAAAAAATTTAATGTAACTGTAACAGATTCAGTTAAGCAAAACAAATAATTTATTATTACTTTTAATAATTTTGCTCTCAATTACTCCCTAGAGGAAAGACACATAGAATAAATGCTTCTGAATTGAATTAGCAATGATATCACATGGCAATAGAAATATACATTTCAGCCATCATTATGATATATCACAAGACCACAGACTTTTTATCGTGAGTTTCTTGTGGTAACTAAACAAGTGGAAGATTTGTGTAACTTGCATATTTTTTGAATTGTACAATTTTATTTTAGTCAGCAATTTTATCATTGTAGGCTTATGTGTTTAAGCTCTATATTTTATCTTTGATCACTTAAGTCATAGCAAATCTAGGCATGAAATTTGCATTCTTCTCATACATACATATCTATGAATGATACTACATTATGCTGTAGACACATAATTATCTCTTTAGAATTTTGATGGAAATTCTGAAGGAACTTGTCTGTGTCAAAATGCAAAGTTCTGTAATATAAGATCTTCCCTGACTACTTGCGTTTTGCCTCCTACAGCATTTATGTGGCATCTCTCACAAATGCTTACACTTCCGTATTATAGATTTCCCTGTGTTACATATTATTCAAATGTTAACAATGCATCTAAAAGGCTCTGTACACACAATTTACCTATATGACAAACCAGCACATGTACTCCTGTACCTAAGGAGAAGTCAAAAAAAAAATTAAAAGGCTACATAAACCCCTTTTTCTGAGTTTCTGCTGTGCTGGGAGTATCCTCTATTCTGAGGAAGGACTTACTGATGACATATTCTTGGTACATACAGAACTGAAAAAGGTTCAGAATTTTTAGTGCCTGGAAACATATCTTCACTAAATAATGTCATAGTCAATTCAAGCTGCCAATGCTAAAACAATATCTATATGACCTCATTTAGTCAATTCAGTTAAAACATCAGGGAAGTAACTCAGTGACAAAACTCAAACAGACCAAAGACTGCTGATTGGTTGCTTTTCAATTTTCTTCTTGAAAGTGTGGCTTCATGTAGCCATAAATTATGTGTTTCTTTTGTGAATTCTTATCACATCTTTGGTTTAGGAAGTACATGAATATATGCATTCTTGTGTTCAAATCAGATTTATAACTGGCAAATACATTTTCAGAAAATTATACCTTCACCTCTATGGGCATTGAAAAAAAAAGTGAAAGAAGGACTTTCAAATTATCTTCTGAAGTAGTGAATAAAAGGTTACTCTTTCCAACTATGTAACAATCTATGAAAATAACAGTACTACTGTCTGTAAGAGAGGTTCTTATTGACAAGGTATAAGCTCACACTCTAAATTCTATTGCTGAGGAAAGCTATAAACTTTCTAGTAACCTGGAAAACTTTTTCACTTAAACTAAGTAGGAAAAATAATAAACATATTACTGTTTACATTATGTCCCTAAGTCCAAATTACCATTGGTGGTTTTTATCAAATTTGAAAATTTAGTGAACATTATAAAACCTGAATAGAAAAATCTGTAGTCACAGTTTCACTGCTTTTTTTTAACTTTTAAGAACTTACAAACAAGATAAATTTGCTGCAAATATATTTTGAAAGTACAAAAATTTTAGAGGAAAAAAACAAAAAGAAACATAATTCTACTTTCCAAAGGTCACCATATATATTTTAATGTATTTTAAGTTATTTACTAATCTCTTAATTGCGAAATTTTTCATTTCAGTTATTATATTTTTAATTTCCAAGAGATCAATTTTTGTTCTTCCTTTGAAGCCAGGCTGAATTTTGAAAATAAATCATTTCATCTTGGTTTTTCACTTGATATTAATTTATACGCATTTTTATATTGCTAAATCTCTTCAAAATGTTTGATTACATAATGTCCTTATGATAAGAATGAGGCATAATTTCATAACTTTTTTCTTTATTTTTATACATTTTGGTTATTTCCTTGTTGTGGTACTTGCATTATAAACACTGATTTGGTATACAGAATTAGATTATTATAGGTATAATTCTGACTTTTATTAGTAAATCAATAATCTGAACATATTTTATTCTTTATTCTTTTTCAAAAACAAAAGTTACACATTCACACACAGAATCACATAGTTTTAGAAATTGTAGTTTCCTGTTCCTCTCCTCTCTTTCTCCCTCAAGACAAATATTGTCAATTATCTCAGCTAATTCATTGTCGCCAAGTTTTAACCACCATATTCTAAGTTAATGTGTTTGCCTTTCTACTTCTTAATTTTTTCTATTTGAGGCATTAAGTTCCCATTATGGAAAATGACAAAGTAGCATTTATTTCTCCCCTAGTCTCTAACACATCATGCTCTTGTCCCTCCTGGCTCTCTTTCCTAATGCACGTAAAGCATAATATCAGCAAGTTCCTGATTAAGTGTATATCATTATGTTTGTATGCCACCTATTTTTACCTCTGAAAGCCTGTAAAATTTCAGAGTCCCTCCAGCTTCCTGAAATTTCAAAATCGTGTGCCTTGGTGGGGGCATGCTTTTCTCTACTGTGCTAAGTACTATGAGCCCTTTGTAATCTTACACGCATTAGTTCTGAAAAATGTTCTTGTTTTATTTAATTGGTGTTCTCACCTTTTACTTTATTCTCTCTTCCTAGAATTCTCAGTGAATATTAAACTTTTTGGCTAGTACTCTACATTTTCTTACCTTTGCTCTCCAATATTTTATTTGTTTGTGCTTTACTGTATTTTCTGGGATATTTCCTCAACTCTGTTTTCCAACTCTTTTATTAAATTTTTCATTTCAGTTATTATATTTTTAATTTTCAAGAGATCTATTTCTGTTCTTCTTGTAAAAAATAGTATTTCATTCTTGTTCCAAGATGTTAGTAACTGCTACTATCTCTAGAATTATATATATACATGCATATATATATATACCCCCACAAACATATATATAATTCTATTACTATAATTATATATATTCACATGTGTATATATATACATTTCATTTTATACACACACACACACACACACGGACACACATACATACACACGTATGATTTTCTCCTTGGCCATGAAAATGTCTGTTCCCTCTAATTGTCTGCTGTTTTTTATTTTGGCCTCTGTCTTTCATGTAGAGTTTTCTGCAGCATGTGGTTGGTAGTTGCTGCTTGAAGACTACTCTGAGTGTGATTTGATGTCTTTGTATCTTTTATGCTATAAATAAAAATGTGATTTTTATTTAGCCTAATCCTATGGGAGGCGGGTCAGTTAGGAGAAACATACTGGAGGTTTCCTCATTCAGTAAGTATATATTTTCTTCTCCATTAACCCTGCCTGGTATATGCAGTCCAGAATCCTCCATTTTGTCCTTTTTAGAAAATAAAGTCCAGTCTTTTCTAGAGTGAGTGGTTGAGTGATGAGAGACAATTGTTACACTATTTAGAGTTAAGATGGGGTCTCAAAAACAGAATGGATCTAACAGCTTCTTAAGACAATTTTTCAAGCAGGGCTCCTTATTTGAAATATCCTTCTTTTCTAGGAATTTGGATTCACCAATTATTGAGGACTTTGTGACTGAGGTTTCTCTGTTTTCCTAAATCTTTCATCTGATTTGTATTTTCCAAAATATTGTTCTTTTTTTCTTCTTTACCACTCTTCTTATCCTTGAGGCATTTTCACTTTTAAAAAATTCTCTTTTTGTTTTCTCCAAAACAAAATTAGTGGTCATGTCTTCTGTTCCTATCAGGAAGTGAAAGTCTGAACTATAGATTCTTTCTGTACATTTGCTTTTCTGAAATACTGTACCAATTATGTTCTTACTAGGAATGTCTAAGGGCTTTTATTACTTATTTCATAGTGAGAGGTGACAAGGTGCTAGCAGCCCTGGCTCGCTCTAGGCGCCTCCTCGGCCTAGGCGTCTGCTCTGGCCGCGCTCAAGGAGCCCTTCAGCCTGCCGCTGTGCTGTGGGGGCCCCTCTCTGGGGCTGGCCGAGGCCGGAGCCGGGTCCCTCTGCTCGCAGGGAGGTGCGGAGGCAAAGGCGCGGGAGGGAGCAGGGGCTGTGCGTGGCGCTCGCGGGGCAGGCGCGGGTTCTGGGTGTGCGGGGGTTACGGGTGGGCGTGGGCTCGGTGGGCCCAGCACTTGGCACCTGCTGGGCTTTATCAGAGACTGGGTCCTGTGCGTGGACCGCCGTTCCCTCTTTGCGGGGTCGTTGGCCACAATGGTGGGTCTGTTTCTCACTTCCCTCCTTTTCCTCTTGGTTGTCTGGGACCAGCTCCCTCTGGGATGCCGGAGTGCCTGGGCTAGGAACTGCAAAGTCCCGCTCCAGGTACCAGTTAGAGGTGAAGCAGGCTGGGCTTCTGGGAAAGGTGGGGACTTGGAGAACTTTTCTGCCTAGCTAAAGGATTGTAAACGCACTAATCAACACCCTGTGTCTAGCTAAGGGTTTGTAAATGCACCAATCAGCACTCTGTGTCTAGCTAAAGGTTTGTAAATACATCAATCAGCACTCTGTGTCTAGTTAATCTGGTGAGGACTTGGAGAACTTTTGTGTCTAGCTGAAGGATTGCAAATGCACCCAGCAGCACTCTGTGTCTAGCTAAAGGATTGTAAACACACCAATCAGCACTCTGTCAAAACAGACCAATCAGCTCTCTGTAAAACGGACCAATCAGTTCTCTGCAAAATGGAACAATCAGTTCTCTGCAAAATGGAACAATCAGCTCTCTGTAAAATGGACCAATCAGCAGGATGTGGGTGGGGCCAGATAAGGGAATAAAACCAGGGCACTTGAGCCAGCAGCAGCAACCTGCTCAGGTGCCCTTCCACCTTGTTCTTCTGCTCTTTGCAATAAATTTTACTGCTGCTCATTCTTTGGGTCCGCACTGCCTTTATGAGGTATAACACCGTGAAGGTTGGCAGCCTCACTTCTAAAGCCAGCGAGACCACAAACCCACCAGGAGGGACAAACAACTCTGGACGTGCCACTTTATGAACTGTAACAGTCAGTGCAAAGGTCTGCAGCTTCACTCCTGAGGCTAGCGAGACCAGGAACCCACCAGAAGGGACAAACAACTCCAGACGCCTCACCTTAAAAGCTGTAACACTTACAGTGAAGCTCTGCAGCTTCACTCAAACCCAGCGAGACCACGAACCCACCAGAAGGAAGAAACTCCGAACACGTCCGAACATCACAAGGAACAAACTCCAGATACCATCTTTAAGAACTGTAACACTCACTGCAAGGTCCGCACCAATTCTGGACACAATAGTACACTTCCCAACAGTATTTTAAATTTGTTTTAGTATTGCCAATTTGATAGGCAAATAAATGTCGTAATTTAAAATGAGAAATGGGGAAAACAGCTAACCTAAACTATTACGGAAAGGGAAATAGCAAGTGCTCCATAAATGAGTGAGAGAAGGAGGGTGACTGAGGATCAGAGATATTTAGCAATTCTGGGTAAATCTCAAAAGATTCATGAAGTTTTGCACTGATAAGAGCTGGTTAGCCTTCCATTTTTATTCCATATTGGTCCAGGGATAGAATAAATAGAACCTCAAAAGTCCAAATGGGAAAAATTATATCCCAATTTTATTAACTTTATAATAGTATTACCAACAACTATAATCTTGTCACCAATAGGAATCTTAAGAGTATTCATATAATTTTAAGTTGTAGACTTACTGTAATGCTCAGTACTTGAAAATTACGGTAGTTAGTTCATACTCTAGATCTTATTTAATGTTAATAAACCATATATATCCATTTATAAATCTATTTTTAAAACATCTTGTTAAATATATTTCAATATTGTTGGTTTTCATAATAATTTTATGCATTTTACTATAGGAATTTAAACATAAAGAAGTTTACAAATCTCTAGCTTTCATCCCTAGATGAAAAGTTATCCTGAGAAGAATGAGAATTGGATTAAAGTTTAAAGTGTGCGCAGACTTTAAGTATGTTGTGGATTAGATTATTTGCTCAGATAGTTTTAAATTATTGCTGTTTTAAAACATTTTAATTTGATACCCCTTCATTTTATATTTTTTATTTTACATTTTTAAAAAATTTAGCATTTCACTTTGTGTTCAACTAGTACCTTCTTCTAAAATGAGGAATAGAATTAAGTAAGATTTTTGAATGCTTCATTTGTCTTGTACATTTTTCACTGATGTGTTGGGAATATTCTAAGGAAAGAATGGAACAATTTGCGATTCTAGTTAGACTGTTGTAGAACTTAATTTGCTGTACTGTAATCAACATGTTTTTTATTCTTTTAATGCAAATTTAAAGTTAAAAGAAGAAAACTGTACTGAAGAAAGTAACCAATAGTCCATTAGTAAATCGGGTGATAAAATGTTTGAAGTGAAGAACCAAAGTTGGCCTGGAAATAAATATACATTTTTAAATACAGAACTTGACATTGTAATGTGCTCCTGTGAATTATTGGTAATAAAATAGAGCAATTCTTTAAAAGATGAGAAATGCATATAGACCTATGAATTAGACAATATCCGGAGAAACACATTAGAAACTTCACTTTAATCCTTTAGGCTTTTGTGACATACACAATGAAAACACAATGAAAACAAGATACATACCGTGATATTAAAATACTCAGAGTTCTGATATTAAGAACAGACAAGAATACTAATAAAATCTTCATGTGGTAATTAAAATATATATATATATGTATCACGTATATTGTGGCACCAAATAAAGATAAATAAATTGTGCTTGTTTGTGGCAGAAAAGGGAATTAACAGAACATTTGTCTCCAAAATGAACATTTGTATCCAAAATTATTTGAGATGGTTTACAAATTGAACATGTTAGAAAACAGGAAATTTGGTAATAGAAACTAAACAAAACATCTAAATCAAAGGAGTAGATAACAGTGGAGTTTAGTTCATTAGTACAATTGGCTTCACTTTTCCTGTTGCATAGGGTAAAAAAGAAAATCTGTTTACTTAGATTAGCTATTACTAGTGGAATATTTTACTGTTTGCTTATATTAGCTTTATTCTATAGGATATCATCTAAAAGATACTTCCAGAAAAAATAATCTGTGATAAAAATATTGAGGAAATTTGGCAAAGAGTGGGACTAGCTTTGAGACTATGTATATTCGACTTAAAGAATTCTTACTGTAATGAAAATTGTACTAATTCTATTGCAAATGACATCCATATCCTGAAGAACTAGTATTTCATGGAACATATTCTGGATATACTCGTTTGATAGTCTTCAATTAATGATACATACAATAAGCCCATATGTTTGCATGATCACATTTTCCTAGTTAATAAACTGTTTTGAATAAAGTAGCCAGAGTAAAGTCTAATAAATTGGAAATAAATAGATGAAATAAAAAGGAAGTCAATATGGAGACAATTTAACAATTTTCTTTTGTGATAGTTTTTTGGGTAATATTTCATAAACTGATGTTTATTGCTAATTTCAAACTTCAAAAGAAAATACAGTACATACAAATTATCAAAAATACTGAAGACAGGCTGGGTGTGGTGGCTCACACCTGTAATCCCAGCACTTTGGGAGGCTGAGGTGAGTGGATCACCCTAGGTCAGGAGTTTGAGACCAGCCTGACCAACATGGAGAAACTCTGTCTTTACTAAAAATACAAAAATTAGCAGGGCATGGTGGCAGGCGCCTGTAGTCCCAGCTACTCAGGAGGCTGAGGCAGGAGAATTGCTTGAACCTGGGAGGCAGAGGTTGCAATGAGCCGAGATTGTGCCACTGCACTCCAGCCTGGGCAACAGGGTTAAACTGCGTCTCAAAAAAACCCAAAAATATATATATAGAAAAGAGTTGGCATTTTGAGTGCTAAATATAATCTCTGTGAATTAATAAAATAGAATTTAAGATTATTAATTCCTATATCTTATAACAAAGTATGTGAGACTCCTGACAGAACAATTATAATTGTTACAACAATTACAATAGCTGTGTCATATATGCAATCTATTGATTCACTTGAAAAATCTCAGAAATTGATTTTCTAACTCTAGATATTTTTCTGAAACAAAGTACCAGAGAGACTACTAATCAAGACATTTTATGATTAAACACCTCTGAATAATAGAAATTTTGATAAAGATAGAAGAAAACTACTTGCCAATGTGAATGGCATTCTTTAATTATGAAAGAGAATACTAACTCCGGCAAAAAATATTCAGCCTTAAAAGTAGTAATACATTCTAAATAATTGCGTATATTTTCTATTTAGCAAAGTTCAGAACCGACAAGTTTTGAGAAAAAGAAGAAAAATAAATTTGTTTAAAACAGTTGCAAAGTTTAAGAAAATATTTAACAGAAGATAAAAAGTCGTCTACATTTTATAGTTAAATGTCAATTTTCTTATGAACAAGACACATTATTTCTCATTGGACAATGAGCAATATTAACTGAAATTCAAGGAAAACGGGTAGAACAAAAATAATTTCAATCAAATAAAGGCCATTATAAGAGACAGAATTCTTTCAAATTAGGAAAATAGTTGCATATATTGTGCCCAAATGGGAGGACAAAGAAAATTTTAGAAAGTATGTTAGAGACTAATAGGCTGAACCAAATGCTTATTTATTGTATTATCTGCTTAAGAATTTGGTGCCTGAGAGAGAATAATAGAACAATGATTGCCTTTTCATAGTGAATAAAAGCTGCAATAACTTTTTTCTTTTTTTTTTGGTCACAACCGACATTACTTGCAATAGAAGTAGTTAATAATAAATTAAGGCAAATGAGGATGGAACAAATATTTGAATGCATGTGAATTATGGGCATTCCTAACACTAACATTGGAGTTTTCATTTTAGCCAGGCTTTCCAATTTTGGCATCACATTAATTTTATTATTTTCTTAGGAGGAAATTTAAATTTAAAGCATATATTTTTATTGAAGGTATTTTTAAGTTATGGGCAAATGATATAATGTGCATCAGTGCTCACAAGATATTAAATCAATGTTTTGATCTATTTTCAGATCGTTCCAAACGATGGCCAATTTCTTTGTCTTTTAAATTTGATTGTGTTGCAGGTATTTATCTCAAATTGGTGCTTTGTTGGATATTTTCCCAATCTGCTGCAATATTAAGCAAGGCAAGTCATACAAATGACTGCTAACAACTGAAATTGGCATGTATTCTAAGTAGTTGTGAAGGGGATTGGCTGGCTTGAAACCCACCTGAGGGGTCTAACAATTTTCAAGCCATTAGCCCAAGTCTTCTTCCCATGGAGAAAATAACAAGATGATCTATAAGTCTGTGGCAAAAAACCAAAAATATTTTCCAATTATTTCTCAAAATTAGATCGTTTTGCCTCCCTATTTTGCTCCTATTCCTTGATTGTGTTCCACTGAAAAGTGCACAGAAGATCCAAAAAAACAATTCTATTTTTGGAACTCTTTAAAAATGCCTCTCCAGAAATTCTAAAAAGGTATGTCAATCTGAGATCATGTAATGTCCACAGACTTATTTGACTTTTATATTCTCACTTACTGATTTGATCTTCAAATACCTGTAGCCGAGGTTCTTATTATGCATGTAGTTCTCTGATGGTCTGAACTGAATTGACTCATCAACCAATACTTTCATAGAAACAGAGCTTGGATCTACAACTGATCTTCATTTTCTCTATGATTCTCAAAATTACTCCTTAAAAACACTCATCATAATGATTATTACCTCTTATGTCTTTTTTTTAAAAAAAGTAATAAACCAGGGACACGGTCTTCAAATTGCAATAGTGATAGCATCAACAACAACAAAAGAAAAAGATACTATTGCTATTATACTCTACATTTTTTCAACCTTTAGAACTATAAATAATTTATATCAAGCTTATAGATAGCATTGTCGATGTAACTTCCAGTGGGGAAAAAAACCCTTATAAATCATTGGTATCACCAGTTCTACAATCACACGTTTAAGTGTATCAGCAATAAAACACTTGCATATATATTATATAACATTTTTAGTTACTTGTATTTATTAGGTGTTTAATGTGTCCTAGGCTGTGCAAAGCATAGTGGACACAAAAGCAAACAAAACAGGTATTGTTTATATAACTTATATTTTGAACAAGGAAATGGATAATAAGCAAATACCTAATTGTATTGACATAAAGCAAATGAATAATTCATCTAGGAATCTATTCCTTCAAGTTGCCAAACATTAGTCTTTGGGATAAAAATGGCTGTGTTGATACTTTCTTTTTTTTTTTTTTTTTTGTGAGACAGAGTCTCGCTCTGTCACCCAGGCCGGACTGCAGTGGCTCTATCTCTGCTCACTGCAAGCTCCGCCTCCCGGGTTCATGCCATTCTCCTGCCTCAGCCTCCGGCGCAGTTGGGACTACAGGCGCCCGCCACCGCGCCCAGCTAATTTTTTATTTTTTTGTATTTTAGTAGAGACAGGGTTTCACCATGTTAGCCAGGATGGTCTCGATCTCCTGACCTCGTGATCCGCCCGCCTCAGCCTCCCAAAGTGCTGGGATTACAGGCGTGAGCCACTGTGCCCCGCCTGTGTTGATACTTTCAAAAGTCCCCTGGTAGGTACCCAGATTTTAAATGTCTGAAAGTATGGCCAAGAAAGTTTTCTTGATACAAAGATAACTTTGTTCCTCTTGAAGCCACAGTCACCACAAAACTTTTGTAATTGATGGATGAGAAAGAATAACAGAAGCATCATTATGTATGGTATTTATTGAAAGCCCACCACATGCTAGGAGTTGCTGCAATTGTTGGAACTCTAAAGCATGCATGCTCCTTTGAATTCTCATAGTAGTCTTCACTTGATCTTAGCCAAAATGCCAAGAAGTGACTCTCATAGCAGTCTTATGTACTCTTTTCAAGGTGAGAATTCTGAGAGATAGAAAGACTGTGCAATTTACTTATAATTGCACAGCTATTAAGTGAAGATAGGTCTATATGATTCCAAATCTTGTAAGCAGTGTATTTAATCCTTTGTCTATTACTACAACTAAGAATCTATTGAGTAAATGTAAGCAAAAGAGCAAAACTGGATACTGCCAGAGTCCAAAAAAGTGAACTAAAATAAGTGGTTCTAGAAACATGTGATTTAAAGCTTAAGTTTCTTTCTGGTATAACCGGAAAAGATGAAAGTAACTCTATATATTTACATATATTGGGAAAGCAGAGTTATTTGTGGATGCATTATGCTCAGAAGTTATTAATTTCAGAATTCATAAAAAGGTAAAGAAAAGAAGAAATTTATTACAAATTTATGCAAATTCATGACTATGAAGCCTCCTCCTTCTGGAGCAAAAAAGGACTTGAAATGAAAGCAAAACAAAAAACTACAAAGGTATAGCCTAGGCAAGAGCGGTGTTAACATTTTTAATATTACAATTTGAGCATGTATCATAGATAATATTTGTTAAAAAATTGTATGGGTGCTGTCGTGGCATTTATTTTCTGTCCAACAAGTGAGTCTAATAATACATTCCTGACTGGGTGCTAACAAGATGTGGTTAGACCCTCAAAGTGAACTGGATGCATCAGTCCTCTTACAGTGGACTGATAAGCAAATGCTGATCAAGCAGAACACAGAGGCAACTAGATAGAGAACAAAGAACACATATTAGAAAAGGACAAAAAAGTATCAGCTACAATTAAGTAATGGGAAATATTCTCTATTAATACTGCCAGATGTTTTGCATATATAATTGAGAAACAATACTTTCTTAATAATTAGATTATGTCTTAAAACACACCAAAAATATCTTAAAACACCTGTATATGAAACACATATAAATCTATACCTTTAACCCAGTCTATTTTCAGAGATAAACATTAATATTTTTACTTATAGAGTCTCAGGCAATCTGACAACTACTCTACTGGGTACTAAAAATAAATACGTGAAATAATTAAAAGCCAAATTCTAGCCCTCAAACACTTGGAAGGAGAGCTAACTAAAATATGTTGATTAGGCTGGGTGGGGTGGCTAACGTCTGTAATCCCAGCACTTTGGGAGGCCAAGGCAGGTGGATCACCTGAGGTCAGGAGTTCGAGACCAGCCTGGCCAACATGGCAAAACCCTGTCTCTACTGAAAATACAAAAGTTGTAGGGGCAGACACCTGCAATCCCAGCTACTTGGGAGGCTGAGGCAGGGGAAATCACTTGAACCCAGGAGGCGGAGGCTGCAGTGAGCCGAGATCATGCCACGGCATTCCAGCCCAGGTGACAGAGCAAGACTCCATCTCAAAAAAAATATTTAGGCTGGGCTCGGTGGCTCACACCTGTAATCCTAGCACTTTGGGAGGCCGAGGCGGGTGGATCACGAGGTCAGGAGATCGAGACCATCCTGGCTAACATGGTGAAACCCCGTCTCTACTAAAAATACAAAAAAAATTAGCCAGGCGTGGTGGTGGGCACCTGTAGTCCCAGCTACTTGGGAGGCTGAGGCAGGAGAATGGCGTGAACCCGGGAGGCGGAGCTTGCAGTGAGCCGAGATCGTGCCACTGCACTCCAGCCTGGGCGACACAGCAAGACTCTGTCTCAAAAATAAAAAGTATATATATAAAACTTATATATATAAAAAAATATATATATATAAAACTTTTATATATATAAAAAACATATATATAAAAGTTTTATATATATAAAAAACTTATATATAAAACTTTTATATATATAAAAACATATATATAAAACTTTTATATATAAAAAACTATATATTATATATAATATATAAAAACATATATGAAACTATATATTATATACTATGTATAAATACATATAAAACTATTATATATTACAGTTATATATAATACATAGTTTTATATATAGTCACATATATGGATATTTAGTCAAATATTCTATAGAATCCTGATTTCACAGCTTACTTTTTAAGCTACATATATATATATATATACACATACACACACACACACACACATATAGACTAGGACATTTACATACATATCTATATAGACTAGGATATCTATCTATCTATAAACTAGGATATCTACATCCAGCCATGATAGAGTAACTAATATTAAACTAGCTTTTCTGTCAGAACAACAATAGTGAAAGAAATATATGAAATAACTATTTTCATATACTGAAATAAAGAGACTGCACAGGTCTGTGTTCCATGAGGGAAAAAAAGAGATTAACCATATGATCATCTCTTTTTTTTAAAACCTGGGAGCATTTACCACATCCCTAACACAGAAAGAGTGAATCCAACCAGACCTTTGCAGTCTTGCGGGGCTGGGAAAGAGATAAAAGTTAAGAAAGATTAGATAGTTGGACTTTTAGGAGCAGATTTCTAGAGTGATTACTCTAGAAATCTGCACTAGAGGGCCGGGCATGGTGGCTCAAGCTTGTCATCCCAGCATTTTGGGAGGCCAAGGCAGGCAGATCACTTGAGGTCAGGAGCTTGAGACCTGTCTGGCCAACATGGTGAAAACCCATCTCTATTAAAAGACAAAAATTAGCTGAGCATGGTGGTGTACACCTGTAATCCCAGCTACTGGGGAGGCTGAGCAGAAGGATTGCTTGAACCCGGGAGGCGGAGGTTGCAGTAAGCCAAGGTTGCACCACTGCACTCCAGCCTGGGTGACAGAGCAAGACTCCTTCTCAAAAAACAAACAAACAAACAAAACCCAGAAATCTGTACTAGATTCCCTTCAACCTTGGTCTTAATTCTAAGCTACATGTGTGTAGAATGTAGACAGGCAAATAATATCTACCAGGAAAAGATTAACTGAAAAGGAACTGGCACCTATAGAATTCTTAGATCTCATAGGGTTGAGAGAATTCATGATATGAACAACTTGTGTGTAGAGATCCTGCTGAATATATACGACATTCAGTAGATATTCCAGAAAGGCCTCAAAATAGATATAGTGTACAACTACTAGTCCTAGGGCAAAAAGGTATTTTATACTCCTCCTCACAAAGCTGAAAAATAAATCTCAAAAGGATCAAACTGATCAAATAAAGTGCCTGCCAAACCAAAACTCAACACTCTTTTTAAAAGAAAATAAAATCCAGATACTCAACAATATTTACAATACTCAGTGCACAATTTTTAGATATGTGATAAGGCAAGAACTTGTATCCTATAACCAGAAGGAAAGTCACTGAATAGAATAAAAACTCATGAATGACAGAAATGATGAAATAAGAATTAATGGACTTCAGTATATATATATATACACACACACATACACACACATATATGTGTGTGTATATGTGTGTGCATGTGTGTATGTATATATATGACTTGGAAAAAATATGAATGTAATCAAAGTAGAAACAAAAACTATAAGAAAGAGCCAAATGAAAATTCTAGACCTGAAAAATACAAAATGTGAAATAAAAACCTTATGGCTGAATGGCAGATTAGAAACTACAGAAAAAAAATTGATCAAGCCAATGAACCTGAATAAAGGGCAATGAAAACAATTTAAATTAAAATATAGTTAGCAAAAAATGCCAAAAATCCAGCAAAACAAAATCTTGTTTGCCCGTAGTACAGTAACAAATAACCCATCATTGGTTTAGTGAGAATTCCAGAAGGAAAGGATATGAAGGAAATGGGAGAAAAGTTACTTGAAGTAACATGAACAAAAAATTTTCAAATTTCATGAAAATCTGAATCCAACATATTTAAGAAGCTTAGGCAAGATCAACATAAAAAATAATACCTAGTTGAATTATAGTAAAGACATTAAAAACTAATGATAAAGAAAAACATCATAAAAAATAAACAAAGGGACAGAGAAAAGAAAATCCACACACATTATGTAAAAAGGAACAACTACAAAAATCGCATGTGCTGCTTTTTATTTTTAAAAACTGCAGAGCAAATAACAATGGTACCACATCCTTAAAGGGCTTAAAAAGTAAGCTGTTAAATCAGGATTCTATAGAATATTTGACTAAATATCCATAAAAATCAAGGAATAATAAACACTTTTTTCAGACACAATTACTGAGAGAATCTGTTGAGAATATTTGTATACTGCAAAAATGTGTTCCCACCATAATTTGTTTTCACCATAAAGACACATGCATGTGAATGTTCATTGCAGCACTATTCACAATAACAAAGACATGGAATCAACCTAAATGCCCATCAATGACAGATTGGACAAAGAAAACATGGTACAGATACACTATGGAAAACTATGCAACCATAGAAAGAGACCGAGATCATGTCTTTCACAGGAACATGGCTGGAGCTGGAGACTACTATCCCTAGCAAACTAACACACAAACAGAGAATCAAATACCACACGTTCCTACTTACAAGTGGGAGCTAAATGATAAGAACTTATGAACACAAAGAAGGAAACAACAGACACTGGAGCCGACTTGGGGAGGGAGTGTGGGAGGAAGGAGAGGAGCAGAAAAAATAACTATTAGGTACTGGGGCTTAATACTTGGGTGATGAAATAATATGTACAACAAACCCCCATGACATATGTTTACCTACATAACAAACCTTCACATGTGAAGGGCAGAAGGAAAACAACTGGAAATGAAACTAAGACCTAGACAACTAAGACATGGCCCAGAAATATAAAGGCATAGGTAAACATAAAATAATTTTTTTCTCATTTTTAAAATTTATTGTAAAAGTTTGACCTTAAACAACATAGAAGCAATGCATTGTGGGGTTCATAACATATATTGAAAGAAAAACATATGAGGGTACTATCACAAAAGACAGGAGGAGAGAAGAAAATAAAACAAAAACAAAGATAAATAAATAAAACCCAACAACAACAAAAAAAGAAAAGACAGGAGGAGAGAAAATTGAAGCATATCGTTATATGGTACATAAATTATACATGAAGCAGAAGACTATATTATATATAACATAGAACAATATTATAACATATATGTTGTAAATTCTAGAGAATTTGCTAAAATAAAATTAAAAGGTGAATTGAGTCAATAGAAGAGATAAAATTAAATATCCAGGAATCTTCTTTAAAATCAACAAGAAAAAAATTAACTCAAATAAAAAGTTGGCAAAGGACATGAATAGACACTTCAAAAAAGAAGATACACAAGCAGCCAACAAACATGAAAAAAAATGCCCAGCATCATTAATCATTAAAGAGATGCAAATCAAAACCACAAGATACCATCTCTCACATCAGTAGAATGGCTATTATTATGAAGTCAAAAAAATAACAAATGTTGGCAAGGTTGCGGAGATAAGGGAACACATTCACTGCTGGTGAGAATGCAAATTAGTCCAGATCCTGTGGAAAGAAGTTTGGAGATTTTTGCAAAGAACTAAAAGTAAAACTGTCATTTACCCCGGGAATTCTATAACTGGGTATATATCTAAATGAAAATAAATCGTTCTACTGAAAAGACACCTGCAGTCATATGTGCATTGTAGCACTATTCACAGTAGCAAAGACATGGAATCAACCCAACTGCCCATCACCGGTGAATTGGATAAAGATAATGTGCACATATACACCAAGGAATACTACACAGTCATAAAAAAACAAAAACAAAATCATGTCCTTTGCAGCAACATGTATGAAGCTAGAGGTTATTATCCTAAATAAATTAATGCAGGAACAGAAAACCAAATACGTTGGGTACTCACAAACACAAAGATGGCAACAATGCTAGATGGGAACAGATGCTATGACTGTGGAGACAAAAACCAGCATTCCTTTCCTCAAAAGTTCTTTGACTGTATTCCCAAAAATATAGTTCAGAAAGCAAGCAGAAATCCTCTTTTGGGGATTCCAAAAGGATGGAGGGAGAGAGGGGAGAAGAGTTGAAAAACTAACCTATAGGGTACTTTGTTCATTGCTTGGATGATGAGATCATTAGAAGCTCAAACCTTAGCATCACACAATATACCCGTGTAACAAACCTGCACATGTATCCCCTCAATCTAAAATAATAATTAAGTCTTGTTTGATAAAATATGGCAGAGAAAAAGAAATAAGGAACAAAGGCCAGTTGGGACTAACATAACACATAGAGCATGATGGTACATTTAAATCGAACCATATCACTAAATATAAGTGGTCTAAACAGTCCAGTTAAAAGGGATAGATTGTATTAAAAAAACACAACGATGCACTTCCTGTCTACTAGAAATAAACAATAAAAATGAAGACATATTGGTGAAAGTAAAATAATAGGAAAAGACATACTATCTAAAGAATAATCCTAACAAAGAGTGGCTGTATCAATATCATATAAAGTCAGGATCTTCCCAAATCTGGCAGAAAAAGAAACAGATATTCTAAGAACAGAATGTTTAATATGCAAGCTTATCTTCCAAATAATACCTTAACAGTACCTCCCTGTGTATTCAAGTTTGACACTCCTAAAATATTTCCACATAGAAATTTTGAATCATCATGGCCTCTGTTATATTTTCATAGTTCTTGAATTAATAAGACCTTTACCGCTCACTGTTGCCTAACTTTCCAGCCCTGTTGATTACTTTCCTCACAGGCACCTTAATGACACATGCTGAGCAACTTGCAGCTGTTCAAATGCAAACACAACATATGTTAATCAAACATCTCAGTATTTTTACACATTGCTTTATCTGAAATGTACATTCTCTCTCCTATATCTGGGTATTTCTTACAAATACTTAAGTATTGAGCTCCAATATTACCTCTCACAGAAGAGTTTCCATTATACCTTCAACGTGGGTTAGGTTATCTTTTCATGAGCTTCTACAATGACCCCTCTCAGTGCATGTCACCTATTTCTGCTTGCTTTCTGAACTATATTTGTGGGAATTCAGTCAGATAACTTTTGAGGAAAGGAATGCTGGCTTTTGTCTCCACAGTCATAGCATCAAACTCCATGGTTAGTACAGTGAGATGACAGTTTTACAAATGGTACTGACAGTGAGATATTTGATTCTAACGTTTTGATTTGAGCACAGGTACATTATTTTGCAGGATGGAAAATAAACTCTTAAAATTGGAGCTTTCTTACGATTACTAAGTAATGTTTACAACAGACATCTTGGCTTCATTTCTATACTTCTTCATCCTATTTAGAGGCAATCTTGACTTTCATGAAGCTTCTGCAATTTCCAGGTCATCTCCGCTAGAAATATAACAAGATGGGGAGAAATGAAGCATTATCATATTTCAAGAATAGAGAAACTTACATTTTATATTACTTTTAAAACATGTCATCCATTTTTTTCCATGCGAGACTTGATAATACTAAATTTTCTAAGTAGCAAATTCAGTTAATAATTATTTATTGAGAGCACGCCATGTGCCAGGTGCTATGTGGGATGTTATTTAGCAGTAAGCATAGAGAAGGAGAAAAGACAGGGATTAAATGAAGTATTAGGCAAAATCAATAAATTATATGCACGATATGTGTTTAAAACAAAATACACTGGATGTTACTTACAGTTTCCTTTGGATTACATTGTTGATCAACAAAACAACAAAGAGAAAGACAAAAAGCTTCACCCTAGCCAGCAAAAGCCTTTGAAATCTGATGTTGGATTTTATAATGTCTTATCTTCTTATCTCCAGGTCATGTCCTTAATGTTTATGAAAAGCAATCACTGAATTGAAAATGTTTTGTTTTCAATTCAGTGATTGCTCAGCTATAATAAACTGCTAACACTTTTTAATTTGATACGTTACCTACTCATTACACATATAACACAGCAATAGGTTTTACTTTTCCCCAGGATCAATTTTCTCCAGAATATGAATATTTCAACACAGTTCCTTAATTTTTAGGATCGCTTTGCCTTGGTGAAATGGATTTATTTGTTCAAGAAGAAAATCCAAAGAAAACTTCACGAAATTTACTAGTTGAAAATAAATATATGGCAACAACTCACAGCAGGGATCATAGAGAACTTTAGAAGCTTTGGTCTTATCTTCATATGGAGGGCATTGAATGAATGAACTAAAGAGACTATCAAAAACATGTTTGACCCCGATTCTAATTTTCTCACTGTTGAATAGGTACATCTTTTCACAGTTATCACATCATTCATGGGAGTCCTTTCTGTGTCTAACTATGACCATGAAAATGACTGAAGACAAATTCTATAATTTTATATGGAATAAGATATTGGGTAAAAGAGAAAGTTTCTTTGGGCAAAAGGTGGAAAGAGAAGAGAAGATCAGTTTGAAGCCTTATCAACTCAGGAGAGTAGCTGGTTTAGGGATCTCTTGGGATCTAAGTGTGTGTCTTTGTTTCTACATGGAAATTCTACTTCTTGAAGATTTACTTTTCATAGGGAATCTATGGGAATGTGACATTTTCAGTAGAGAATGAACAGGGTGCTGGCTGGCTGTTATCCAAGAAGAACAACAGATTGCTGTGAAAAGGATTAAAAAAAAATCTTTGGATAACCAGGTCCCTGAAGGAGTACTGACCCCACCCTTTCTAAATCAAATCTGCCTTCCTGGTTAGTCCTGTCTAATTATGTTCCCCAATAATCTACTTTGTAAAAAAATCTCACTTTTTATACTTTATAACTCTGCACACACTTTTTACATTAGGGATTGTCTGAAATGAAGCTCCTTACCAGCTCTCTCTACAGGAGTTAAATGCCTTGTGGGCCATGGGATTTTGCCCTGTTTGCATGTAACTCTTCCTACTGGGAAAAGCAATATCCCCCACTTCCAGTTTCCTCTAGTGAACCAAAAGTGATCTCCCAAGGTTATTTTTGGAGAATCTTCCTTATTTCACTATCGTAGACATGTAATGAAAAAATAATTCAACTTGGACATATTTAACTGCAATTATTTTGAATAAAAAAGTGGGAAATTTTTGAAAGGAGTTATCCAATGAGAGAAAATAAACTATTCACTGAATAGATACAGAGAGCCCTTGATGAAGCAGAATAAATCTTTAAAACTACATTGACATAAAGAAAATACTTTCAGAAATGTACAGTATTAGTCAATTAAATTAACAGAACATATTGCATAAATTTGTGGCTTGAATGTGAGACCATGAGATGTGTGCTCAGCCATCTGAAATATGCTTAAAGTGGATAAATAAATATGCTATGTAGCTTCTGAATACTAATGCTAAGTACTTTTTTTCTAACAAATGTCTTTATACTAAATTTTATTTTATTATTTATTTTTAATAGATATTATTTTACTGAAGGGAAAATGAAGTTAAATTTTCTTAAGCTTTTCTACCTTCTACCATATAGCAACTAACACAATCAACTGTCATTTCTCTTTATCTTATAAATAATTTGTTAAGATTGAATCCAGGTAAGGAGCAGTGATTCTAGGTCACCAAGGAGTGTACACATATCCAGTATCTTCAGTGGAATATGTTTGTCCCTTTCTCTCCATCAAAATTTGAGTTCCTCTGAGTGCTCAGAAGTAGGGGGAACGAGGCCAGGTGCAGTGGCTCACTTCTGTAATCCCAGCACTTTGGGAGGCCGTGATGGGTGGATCACCTGAGGTCAGGAGTTCGAGACCATCCTGGCCAATATGGTGAAACATTGTCTGTACTCTGTGGTGGTGTGTTCCTGTAATCCCTGCTACTCGGGAGGCTGAGGCAGGAGAATCGCTTGAACCTGGGAGGCCGAGGTTGCAGTGAGCTGAAATCACACCACTGTGCTCCAGCCTGGGTGACAGAGTGAGACTCCATCTCAAAAAAGAAAAAAAAAAAAAAGAGGAAGAAGAAGAAATAAGGGGAATAAGCTTTTTCATCATCCCATGATATCTATTGCTCAGATGGTGACATAACCATTCAAACTTAAAACTATTATTATCAACACCTTCTTAAACACCAAAGTTTTTTTTTTTTAGTAATAGGCAACTTGTCACGTAATAATCTTGAGAATGTACTTGTTTATTTTTTGTCAAAAAACTAAATTACATGTGCAATTTCAGTTGTGCTTATTTCAGTGATTATGTGTCATTTATGAAGCTTGATGACAATATGTTTATTTAGAAAATATTCGAGAACTTTATATGTCAAACTTGTAATTTTTTTTCTTTGCTTGTCTAACAAACTCCAAATATCATCATTTTCAGTGCACACCGATGCTAACAAAGGGTGCAGGTTTCAAAAGCAAGGAAAGTGCCTCAACAATTAACTGAAGTATGTGTCACTAATGCTGATTGCCACTGGGTAAAATGAAACACAGTTGAACTAATTATCTGTGCCAATATATGTATATTTTCACTGACAGAGGCAGGGTTGAAATCAGATGTCTGATTCCTGGTGAGTGACCACAATTTCATTCAAGTAGCTCCCAGACATTACAGGTACATGCAACATATGTGACTTGTACCTATGGTATTAAGATGCCAATATTCTCCATTCACAAAGAAGACACCTGATTCAACGATGCTAGGCAAAATGCCATGGCAACAGCTGGCTTCTCATTCTAGCAATGATTTTATAATCCTGCTGGAAGGCCATCAGCTGTAGGCTTTTCCTCTTTCTTTGTTCAAGCTCTTTTCTAACACAGCAAGTGAATGTTAGACACTCTTCAGAAAGTGATAAGGAGGAAAAACGTAGTATAGAAATACATATGGTACTATTCTCCTATTAGCAGTAGAAAGAGAGAGGAAAGAGAAATGGCAGAGCCAACCCATAGCAAATGATAAAAGGATTCTGATGAAAAGGATAAATGTCAAGAGGCCCTGGCCTCTAAAGCGAAAAAATGCTTTAGAGGAGGTGAAATTTAAATTTAGTAAAAGTAGTAGCACTAAAAGAATGGTGTCTAGACAATCAGAAAATGAAGAATCTAAATGAATGGAAGGGAGAATAAGTAGGAGATAATCAATAGGAAAAAGAAAAGGAATAATTCATATTCATTTCTCTCTTAGTAAAGTTATAAAAATAAATTAAAGCAGGAAATGCCTTTGAAAACCAAATAAATCAAAAGAAATTTACAGAAACATTGGTTTGGAAGGCAACTGGAAAACTGTAAATTGTTTTAATCATATGGTAGCAGAAACATGAGGTAGTAATATTTTGTTACCTGATATCATAAATTATGCAGTAAATAAAATATGTAAGTCTCATTGACATAATACATAAATCAATGACATAATGCATTGTTCCAAAATGCATACATTAACATTAATGTGTGACTTGCTATGGTGCACATCCTAACACCTCAAAAGCTTTTAAATCTATTGTATGAATGATCCATTTTTCAAAATTATAAGATCAACTGCAAATTGTACTAAAAATTTCATTATTTAAATGGCTGGCAAACTATTATAAGAATAGCACTAATAGATGTTCCAAGTTACTTTGCAAGTTTATTTAGTATTTACACTAATATTTACTCATATGTGGCTAAATTTAGACACTTTCTAATTTTAGTGATTCAGTTTAAAGAGTAAACAAAGACTTTCACAATCCGAACTGTATTATTATTATTTTAGTTTGTGTACTGTTTTTAGTGTGTGGGTAGGTGTGCCTAAAGGTATTTTTACCTCAATGAATTTAATCTCCTTTAAGCTAGGATCCATGATTTTCATTTCTTTTTCTTACATATTATTTTGCACAGGTTCTTGCGCCTAGTAAACACAGAATAAATGCTATTGAATTGTTCAAAGTTAAAATAAAATTTGCCTATAGTGACATGATTTTATTTTCTAAGAAAACATTAATTATATAGAGCAATGATTATGGAAGTTTCATAAATGCATATAAATGTTGCTGTCATAAGACCATGAAAGACTATTGTTTGTGTCAATGACTTCTGCAACAGAATTTTCTCTGAATCATGTCTTAATCCACATCAAAAGACATGGTGCTAATGTTTCCATAAGAGATGTATTTGGTCCTAAATTATAAACTAAGATAATCTAATACATTGATGAACATATTAGGGGACAGTGTGGTCCAGATTGTCCCCTGTGACCTTGACAGTGACATCAGTTCCTCTGCCCTTGGTGAGGGAGCAGTTATCTTCCAGGACCATCTTGTCAAGCTGTTTCCTCATTTCTAGAATAACAACTGGTTCAGCAACAGCAAATATCTGATCATCACAGCATTTCACATAGCTTCCAACTAGAAAACAGAGGTCCCTGTTCTCCACTCTAAGTATGGGAGGAATAGTGAGTGTTCTCATTATGTGAAGATTTATGTCATGATTTTATTGCCATTTACTGAAACTGTCACATCTCATACGGATTTCCACATCAGATAACAGCTATTAAAATTGACACCATTACTGTATAAAAAAGAAACAAACAGTAAACAAACAAGAACAGAAAAAAGATATATACATGAAAAATGAGCCAAAAAAGGGAAATATTTACATTGCTATTCTTTTTATAAGTTGAAGATCTCTTTTCTGACATATTCTTCAGGGAAAATAAATCAGAGATTACTTTTGAAAAGGATCCCTAAAGTTTGACAATTTAAATAACAGCTATGTTTCCCTGCCCAGTGAAATCCATACAGTTTTGTTGGATCCTTTTCCACAACCAAAGACATTGCATTTTCAGTGTATCATCCTAGAAGTAACGGACTATGTGCAAGAAGCCTCTTCACATTATTCTTCTCTAGTTTCCTTCTGTCGATCTGTGAAAGATGATTTAAAAATTTTTATCTTGCTTAATTTTCCATCTACTTTCTGACTGCCCATTTTAAAAATTTTTACCTTTTGATGTGTTTGCCAAGACAGATTTCTAAGCTACTTTTTAGTTTTAATTTACTTCTTGATCTAATCTCACTAATTCCTGCTTAAATAAGCTTGCTAGATTCTTAATAAGCTTTTTTTCTTAAATAAAAATGTCCATGTAAAATAAAACACACTTACCAAGACACTTGTTTCACTCTTTATATCTTTCACTATGTTGGTGTATGTGTTATGTGTATACATGTGTGTATAGTTCACAGTGCCTAAGATGAGTTCACACACACACACACACACACACACACACACACAAGACCACACAGCAGTGAAGTCTATACCCAGACAAAGCAGGCTTATGTTGACCTTCCACTAACACAGTTTAAATGCTTTTCCCTTCTTAAATGCTTCAATTAATGAAATTAGCTGTTTTATCTATTATACTCTGAGTTTCATATTTTTAAATTAACATATTACAATTTTACCCTCGAAAACCTACCAAAAACAGGGAAAATGAGAATTTTTACATATTCATACCTCTATTGCAATGTATGCTTTATTACAAAAAACTAGTATGTCTAATTTCAGTTGTTATTAAATACATTATTCTTTTATTCACTTATCTAACTTTATTTATTGGGTACCTTCTACTCGCAAACACGTTTGTGTGGTACTGCTATATACTGAATGTTTGTGTCCCTTCCAAATGTATATATTGAAATTCTAACTCCTAAAGTGATGGTATTAGAAGGTAAGGCCTTCAGGAAGTGATTTAGTAATTAGGACTCAGACCTCATAAACAGGTTTAGAGCCCTTATAAAAGAGACCCCAGAAAGCAGCCTTGCCTCCTCCTCCAAGTGAGAACACAGGAAGAATACAGCCCTGTGTGAACTAGGAAGCAGGTCCTCACCAACCACGGAATCTTCTGATACCTTGATCTTGGACTTCCTAGCCTCCAGAACTGTGAGAAGTAAGTTTTTGTTGTTTATAAGGCACCCAGTCTATGGTATTTTGTTATAGCAGCCAGAATGGACAGAGGTACTGTGAAGACTTCGACAATAACTATGCATTATTGTAGCCCTTTACAGAGTTTTACATGGTTCTCAGCTTCTCCTCTTATTTTTAATGTTGATCTGTATTCAGATCTGAATAAAAACCTGTGATGGTCACTATACAATACAATTCAGTTGATATGAATGTCTGTCATTTATAAATGTTCAGAAAGGAATATGGCGACATGAAAAAATATTTTAAAATACCAACAAAAGTTCATCTGTTATATTTATGGAAATGAATATGCCAGATATATTCATAGTTAATCAGGAGAGAGTGACAAGAAAATATGTTTTCAAAGTAAGTGAAATTGGAGATAATTATTACTATCTGTATTCCCGTGAGTAGAGAAAAGAAGTTACAAACTCAGAAAATTATTTTAGATGATACCCAAATGATTCTAAAACCCCATAATCTTCATTTACCGTAGATGTGATATAGCAGCCTGCCTAGTCATTCCCAAGATTTGTCTCTAGAATCCTTCAGTTCTTAGTTCCATAATCTTATAGAATGAATAAATAATTTAATTTAGGGTATGGTATTACTACTTGAAGACAAAAGAAGTTTCTGCTGTTTCTTTAAAAATTGTATTCAATGAAATTTAATACAAACAGAGCTTTATTTCTGACTTTTATTTTCCATTAAATTTAGATTTGAGACTATACATTTTTTTCCCAAAAAAAGAGAACCAAAGGCTCTCTTTTATTAATAAGGATAATTTAAAGAGAATTGAAGAATCAATGCTCATGTTTATGCACACATATTAGAATAAAATCTATGTATACACAGGTATAAATTATAGATTGGCTAACCAAAACTACATTACTGTATATGAACTTAGTTCAAAAGAAATTATGATTTTATTTCTGGGCAAACAAATATACGAAACAAGTAGAAAATTCTCTGATACAAACATCTTGGGGACTGAGGGTGGAAAGCGGTGGTTCCAAAACAGTAAGAAAATAATGCTTCTTATGCCCAGTTTATAAGCATTTACAATTTCTGCCTATTAATACAAGGCCATCTCAACACATAAATGTCATTGTGCAGGCAGACTGGCTAAGCTTAAAACATAATTGATTTAGAAAACGAACGATTTTTCATATTATCCTTCTCAAAATGAAAAAAAAAAGCAAGATTGAAAAATGGGCAGAATTTATTTCCCTTTTCAATTCTGTGGTTAATCTGCTATTTTTCAACCTCTTTTCTTTTATTAAACTCAATTATGTTTTACTGGCTCAGTGCCCTTTTTGTGAGGTAATTTCTCAATGTACATTCTGAGGCCTCCTTGACTCATTTTTTGAGGATAATTTTAGTACATAGGATTACTATCTACATTACCTGAATAGAAACCTTGTACTTTTCAAATTCATTTTGACAGCTCAAAGATACATCGTAAACTTTTCTTCCTTTCTTTCCTCCCTCCCTCCCTACTTTCTTCCCTACCTCCCTCGTTCCCCTTTCCTTCCTTCCCTCCTTCCCTTTCCTTCTTCCTTCCTTTTCCCTTCTTCTGCTCCTCCCTCTTTATCCCTCCCTCTTCCCTATCTCTTTCTCTCCTTTATTCCTCTACTTTTTTCTTTTCTTTTCTCTTTCTTTCCTTTGTTCTTTCTTCTTTCCCTTCTTTCCTTCCTTTCCTTTCTTTTCTTTTTCTTTCTTTCTTCTCTCATTCTTTCTTCCTCCCTTCGTTTTCCTTCCTTCCTTCCGACTTGTTTGATATACATTATTATGCCACTACTTCCATATAATTGCTTCAAGCATTAATTTTAAAATGCTGACTCTCAAAGGTAGTTGACAACAATTTTGAGTAAAATTGACTACTTTTCTCCATGACAATTATCATAACCAAGAACTGCTGTTTCCTGATCTTTATAAACCGTAAACTTTACATACTATTCTCACTCTACTCATGGGAGAGAAAGGCCTAAAAGTCACCCTGAAATTGTTTATTTTCACACTCAACATAGGTACCTATATATTATTATTTGTGAATGTTACTAGTTAATTTAATAATATGCATGATGAAATTTTAGAGATCAGCTGATACAGTCTTTCTATTTAATAAGAATCTTAAGCTCAGACATCACAAATTCACACAATTAGAGATTTTGCAAACCATAGCTAGATCCTAGGTAATCACTCTTTTAATACTACATTATTTTCATTACAAATAAATCTACTGACATATTTATATTTTTGTTTGGCCTACATCATTAACAGTAACAGTCACCAATATCTGTCTAGTACAGTGGCTGACAGAGTCGTCAATCTCTCCTGAATTGAACAATAAAAATATTTCTGTATCTTAAATTATCTTATTGTCACATAATTTTGTGGTATGCATATTATTAATTGAATTTTACATATTAATAAATGGAGGTTCAGTGCATAAATTACTCATGATTAATCAATTGGTAAAGGGGAAATTCTAATTTTGACCTTGGATATTTCTGATTTTCTTATATGTTCACACATTTAACAGTCAAAACTTGATAATACCTTTTCTCTGTTTTTCATAAAATAAAATCAAATGAAATAAAAATGTATTTTATAGTATAAACTTTATAGTAGCTTGTTCAATATATGGAATTGAATCTGGGACTATAATATGTGTAATAGAGGAATTTATTCTAAGATGATCTTCAAAATTGTTATCAGTTTTTCTATTCTTCTTGGCACTGTCATTACAGAAAAGCGTAAAAGCAGTTATTAAAACACCACCCAGAAAAAAGTAATAGAAATTAGAGACAATGTAATAATCTATTTTTATGACTTATGTATTCAAGTTACATTTTGCAAAAGACGAATAATTTTAAATTAAGATATAATCAATTGGAACTGAGTTCTAGACATCAATGTTCAATATCAATATGAGAAATAACATATTAATCATCCCAGTATTTATTGCTCAGTGCAATAGTAAGTAATTTATCGCACAAGTTAAAGAAGAGAAATGACTCAAATCTGCAAATGTAACCTACAATAAACACATGAACTTGAACAAATGTAACTTGCTGTCCTTTTCATGCTTTCTTTAGTAGGTAGTACTCACTGAAGTAACTAACATTAGCTGTAACAAAAATTTTTTATGTATTTTCCTAATTCTTTTTTGAGTTATCTCTGTGATCAATGATCTTTTACACACACCCACGCACACAAACACACATGCACACATAACTGATTAAATAAATGATATGTTATAAATTGAAAATATGGCGTTTCCATTAAAAAGAATGAACAAGCCTATAAAAGCTGATAAAGGAATGACCTGCAAAACATATTATTTAAAACAAACAAGCAATGTAGATGAATGTGAGAGTATCACAGACGTAAAAATGGAAGGGCAGAGGATATACATGTATTCTCTAAGTATGAGCACCGAATATCTCTGTGTGATACTTAGCAGGCTGACTGGAGTGTCTGCCTTTAGAGAGGAGAGTAGGGTCAGGATGACAAGAAGACTGATTTTTTCATCACGCAGCCTTTGTACTGTTAGAGTTTTTAAAACTATATACATATATTACATTAAAAAAAGAAAGGCTGGGCGCGGTGGCTCACACCTGTAATCCCAGTACTTTGGGAGGCCGAGGCAGGAGGATCAGGAGGTCAGGAGATCGAGACCTTCCTGGCTAACACGGTTAAACCCCATTTCTACTAAAAATACAAAAAAAATTAGCCGGGCGTGGTGGCAGGCGCCTGTAGTCCCAGCTACTCGGGAGGCTGAGGCAGGAGAATGGCGTGAACCTGGGAGGTGGAGCTTGCAGTGAGCTGAGATCGCGCCACTGCACTCCAGCCTGGGCGACAGAGTGAGACTCCATCTCAAAAAAAAAAAAAAGAAAGAAAGAAAGAAAGAAAGAAAAAACATGTGGCCAGGAGCGATGGCTCACTGCCTGTAATCCCAGCACTTTGGGAGACCCAGGTGGGAGGATCACTTAAGGCCATGAGTTCGAGACCAGGCTGGGAAACATGGTGAAACCCCGTCCCATACAAAAGTTAGCTAGGTGTGGTGGCACATACCTGTAGTACCAGTTACTTGGGAGGCTAAGGCAGGAGAATCACTTGAGCTCTGGAGGCAGAAGTTGCAGTGAACTGAGCTCATGCTACTGCACTCCAGCTTGGGGGACAAGAGTGAGACCCTGTCTCAAAAAACAAACAAACAAACCAAAAACAAAACAAACAAACAAAAAGCAGCCATAGCTTGTCAGTATTTGTGATCTTTATGTCTTTTAAGGTTTGTGTTTGTGATCAATGTTTGTGATCTTCTATTATATCTTTATTTTGTGCAATATAGGGTTTATCAAGGTTTCCAAGTATTTTCTGGAATTATAAGTCAGTTAAAATGCTATAAGAGCAGCTCACAGCAAAACATTTTCAAAATATCAAAATTTCTAAAATATTTATATTTAAAAAGCCTTATAACTGGCCAGCTTCTTCCACATATAAAATTATTATAATAATATGAATAGAATGTGAAATATATAGCTTCTAGGAAGAATTTTGATTTTGTCAAAATTCTTAATCAGTGCTTTTCTCTTCAGTTTTTTTCTCTTCAGTTTCAGGGCAGATATTTGTCAGGATTCAATATAAGTAATTTGGATGCCAGTTCCTATGTTGGACATGTATCAAAAGGAAATGGTTTTATGGAGGAAAGAATTTGAAAACTTAATTTAACTTTATTATTATAATGTTTTCATTACATTTATTATCGCTATTTGATTCTTAAAGAAGAGTGATATGTTCGAAGAGATAAATTTAAAATTTTTTTCAATTATTTATTCATTGAAGAACAAAGCCAAGTAATTACTATTTTCTAACTTACATCACCTTAGCTGTTACAAGCACTCTCCCAAATGCTGGATTTTAAAAAAGAAATTCTTACATTAACTTGATATTACTTGTCACAAAACTCCTAAGTTCTGTGGCTGAGACATGTTAGCTCTCCTAAGCCCTGTTTAAGTAGTTGTATTCATTTTCTACTACCACTGTACCAAGATTAATTACTTACACAAAACAAATTTTATTTTCTTATAGTTCTGGAGATAAGAATTCTCAGATCAATCTCACTGGGAAAAAAGTCAAAGCTTCAACAAGTCTGGTTCTTTTCAGAGGTGCTGTAAAAAGAATGTTTTTTCTTGCTTTTTTTCAGCTTCTCTAGATCACCTATATTCCTTGGCCTTTTTCTCACATCATTTCAATCTCTTGTTCTCATGTGAGTATTCTCTCTTTGACTTCTTCTGAGTCTATCTAAGAACTTTTGTGATTATACTGGGCTCACTAGGGTAGTCCAGGATAACCTCCACATTTCAAGATCATTAATGTAGTCACATCTACAAAGTCCTTTTTTTTCTATACAAGGTAATACTCACGTTATAGGTATTAAGAAGGGGATATCTTTGGGGTACCAGTGGTCAGCCTACCATAGTAGCCTACACACAAGGGTCTTAGAAAAAGTCTCAACATAGTTATACATTTAATTTCTCTTCTTCTTGAATAGGAGGCATGAGCAACTACATCTCCAAAATTATTTTTTCGAATGGAAGTTAATTTTGCCATTAGCGCTTTATGCAATTCTGGGTTTCATCCTTTCAGCTTTGAGGATTTATATCTTGTGAAGGCAGTAATGGGTAATAAGCTGCCTTATTGCCTTCTTAAGTCACAACCTCCATTTTTATGGTAATTTAAAAATCTCATAATCTATTCCTTTATAAATTCCATTGAGTTTGTAACAAGGCCCTAGTTTAAAGCTTCCTGTAGCCACCAATTATATTAAATAAAGAACCTTAAAATAATGCAGGAATGTGGTCTTCTGAGCCCGTGATGCCATCAAGTTACTCCTCATCATGAGCAAGAACTGATAATCATCTATTCTATGTTATCAGAAAGTTCAGAGTTAGAAGGAAGAGTTCAGACTTTTATTATTATATTCCAAACATAAAGTAGATTTTTCTTTGATGTGAGCTGTAATTTTCCAAATGTTGCAATATGTTAAAAAGCAAGAACAATTTCCTATCTTAAAACAGCATTTAAAAATAATCCAAGAATTTTTATTTTAATAAATACGTTAGTTCAAACACATATGCAAAATACAGGAGACTTCCTCATATGCCTGTCTTACAGATATGTATTTGGGTGTTGATACGGGGCTAATATGAACGTATGTCTTTTTTTAATGAATGAAATTGTTCACATGTATGCTTACTGTTGAAACAAATATCTTGTGTTGAAAATTGTCATCATGTTTTACAAACTTTTATTTTAAAGTTTCCTGCATATTTATTTTGTTCTCTATCACTTGTTATATGGTCTCTGTACATCCTGTTTTATTACTTTTTCTTTGTTTTTATTTTGGTTTAAATTAGGATTTTTACTATTTGTCTTTCATAATAATACATGCATGCATGATATGTTGTTTATTATTTTTTTATTAGTGTTACTAGTAGTGGTACTTATAATGTTAAAATATATGCTTAAAGCCATTTCCTCCAGTTTTAATAACTTTTAACATGTTTATATATGTGTGTATAAATACACACAATATGAACGTATATATTAAATTAAATTATTGTTAAAACTAAAGGATACTACAAATTTTATCAAAACTAGACCACGGTTGGAAAAATTTTACCTAGAAATTTTGCTTTAAGAAATGTAAAGTACTGAGTTAGCACTTACCATTTTTAATATAATAAAAATAAAAGGAAGAAGGCTAAATATATTTGTGTTTCCATAAAACAGAAGTTAAATCTTACTTATTCTAAATTAATCTTCTATATAAAGAACTTTCCTATATTTCTAAAGATTGCTTTTAATAACCCCAAAAACTATTGGCTTATAATCCTGAGAATACGAATATTTGGAAGAAGAAACTCCATGTGTTAGAATGCTTGTTGCACAAACCATTTCTTCATCACTGAAATATGTAAACTATGCTTGTCATTAACTGGCAGTCTGTAGGTACACTGATTTCATTCTGAAAACAGAGTGCAGATAATTGTAGAGAGAAATGGGTCTGAAGTCATTACTATGCAAAACCTATTTTGCCATTAAAATAAATGTTAGAACACAATGAAAATATATCATTCTTCCACACAAATGTTATTCCGTAATGAGAATGAAGAAATTCTCATACCTATTTTTGTTCACACTTCATTCCCTGGGCCCTATTTCCCATATTTTCTACTGCTTCATTTATATGAATATGGTTGTCAGTATTAGCTTTCTATTGCTGCCGTAACAAATTGCCATAAACTTGATGGCTTTAAAGCAAAGTAAATTTATTATTATTCATTTTTGCAAGCCAGAAATGTGACAAAGATTTCACTGGAATAAAAGTGTTGTAAGGGCTGCATTCCTTCTGCAGGCTGTAGGGGAGAATCTGTTTCCTTGTCTTTTGTAGCTTTTAGAGGCCATTCATATTCCTCTCTTCTGGATCCCTTCCCTCTGTCTTCAAAGCCAGCATCGTTGTCTTTCTCTGACTATCTGTCTCCTTCTGACCATAGCAGGGAATGTTTCTCTGCTTTTAAGGATCCATGGGATTTGATTAGGTTCACTTTGATAATCCAGGATAATTGCTTCATCTAAAGTTTATCAACTCATTCACATCTGCAGAGTCCCTTTTTGTTGGGTACTTACTACACAAGTCTATCTCCAATTTATACATGTATTCATTAACAACAAGCCTGGTATGGGCAGTTTCTCATCAGGGGCTACAAAGACAAATAAGATGCTAAAAAATGTTCATTGAAATCACTAGGCTTTTACCAGGAAGCAAACTCATAAAACACATCAGTAGAGTTTCATAACTGGTGTTTCAATTAGGATAAATTTGAACCTCTTTAATATGGATGGCAGAGAAGAGCTCTCAATCTCATGACCTTATTATCATAACTTTCTGCTTGTCTCTACCTCATGCTCCAAGCTTATGGAACTAAACACAGTCCCTCAAATCTGTCACATGTTTGTGCTGAAGGTAAAGGATATATCCCTTATGGTACATGCCCCAGCCAATTTCTTCTACTAGTTTAAAAGCAAGAGGCTACTCCTTATACCCTATGACCACTATATAAAGGTCCAGAGATATGTACCTGTTGCAAGAACAACACATAAGGTAGCCTGGTGTGAAAGGGTATAACCTTAGGAGTAATTGTAATGAGCAAGTCAATTAGCTGGTTCCTTCCGAAATCAATCTTAGAGAATGTCATGACAGGTCACTACATTGTAAAGGGGTTACATAGCAAATTGTCAGCGTAGCTATGGAGAATTACAAGATAAACTCCAGCCATGAGTGACTGAGTAATAGAGATAATTGTCAGTCTTCAGATAAGTGCCTTATTTCCTCACGATTATTATTGTTAATATATTATTATTATTTAAATTCTTGATCATTTATGTACTAGTACAGATTGATGCTACTGCTTTGATTCATGCTAAGGTACCAGAAATTTTACTTATCATTAGTTTGACACCATCAGTGCAAATGCCAACACAGTAAAAAGACAAACAATATCTTGGTGTTACTGTAAAAACAGTTTAACACATTCCACCCTGTCTACCACCCAAAGGATCTTGAGCTACCAGGAGACTATGGACATATCGGCACACACTTTTTTAAATCTAAAGAGTGTCTGATCTATATAAGGGAAATGGCCTAACATTATTTGAATGCTATTTCTCTACCTGGAATGTGTTTCTTCAACTGCCTCCTGCAAAATTTTTTATTGGTCAACTCAAAGAGCCTAACTCAAGTGGCTTCTATACTATGTAAACTTTTTTCTTTTTCTACAAATAAAATTAACTTTAGGGTTGACATTTTGAAAATGAGAATGAGACTTTATAATTTTTTCTAATGAACGATCAGGCAGTATTTTTAAAACTCAGTGCATAGAAAAGACTCAGGTGTGACTCATTTGAGATCTGCCACTGCCAAAGGAATATCATCATTACAACCTGTTTAGCATGCATGCAAGGATGTTGTGTGGTTGCTGTGACAGGTACCACTTCAGAGATTCAAGCAAAAGCTACATTATGTTTCTTCTTTGAGCCTGTGGCATTAAATTACACAGACTAGCACTTTAAAGAAGAAAGTTTTTTATAACTGCATTTTTATCAAGGGTACATTTGGATAGCAAGGTTTCAATATCCATTTTAGCTGAAGAATTGTAAAACAGAATAATCCTTTTGAATAAAACATTCATGGATATCCCAAGAAATTATTTTTATATGTAGTTCTCAAATACCCAGTCCTTTAGAAAATATTTCTGTAAAGACTTTATTGTATTGCAGAGCATAAAAACTAACGCATCATTTTCAGCCAATATTATTTTTTCTTCTATGAATTTCTTTATAAACTTTTGATACGGGTAACATAGATAATTTTTTAAGTTTAGTTGTTTCATAAAGAAACAGGAAGAGTTCACTTCTAAGTGGAATTATTCAACTTAATTCAATAACTCTTTATTGCCCTCAGACTATTGTCAAGATAATAGATTTCACGTTTGTCACTATACCAAATACATCTAAACAATATAACATTTGAAAAATGTAAAAATTTAAATTCTGTGATTTAAAGTAATAGAAATTATTTTCAACAGTATTTGAAAATTAATATTTTATTTGTAGGATTTTAATGCCACTTTAAAAAGTAATGTAGAAAAAATGTGTCTTTTATTTACAAAATTCTGAATGGATAGTGAAAGTAATAACCTCCTTTGGCAATTCAAATCTCTTTATGCTGTAGAGATATGTGTTTTTATTTCAAAAATAATACATTTAGAATTGACATATAAGTTTCATATGCATAGTGTCTATGTCGAAAATTGTGCTTGATATTGTAGTACTCACTAGCCAATTAATTTTACATTTCTTTGCTTCCCAAACTGTCAAGCTGCTCAATATTTGCTGACAAATAATATGTTGAATACCTACTGTATTTAAGATGCTGTGATACATGATTGCAAGTTCCAAAAGTGTAAAAGATGGGGTTTTGCTCATGGAAAAAGGTAAAGAAAATAGTGTCATATATTACATTACACCCGTACACACTGTGCAATAATTTTAGATTGTCCCCACTAGGGTATCCATAGCGGGCCTTATTTGTGGAAAAATCAGAGTAAATTTAATCCTCTTGCCATAATAATGGCTTTAAGGAACCCAAGTCCAAGTCAGCCAATAAATGCTGTGCCCAAGAATATCAGGATGGTTCAACATCGTTGTAACTCAGGATACAGTTTGGTGATAAGAGGAAGGAACAGCCTGCTCCCTGGATATGAATGAAGAAGGCACTTGTGGTTGACTGATGCCTGTAGCTATTTTTGAAGCTGGCATAAGACTAAGGCTGACACTTTGGAAGACAGAGCCTCCAAAATCAAAAAGAATTAGAGCAAAGGATACAAATATATTTGAGCCTACCCTCCTTTTAGATTTTCAGAAATGTAAGTAAATACATTCTTATTTTAAAGTTGACTTCTTAAGGTTGCACTTGAAAACATCTTAACTAATAAATCATCAAAAAACAAAGCTGCCTGAGACAGATGAATTCAGGCAGAAGAAATGAAGTGGAAAAGAGAGCAAATGAGACTACTTATTGGCTAAGTCAGGGTGGAAAATTCAAATGCTCCAACTCAGGAGACCTATAGTTATGAAGCAAATCAGAAATAAGAAGAATTAGCAAATATTGCCCAGAATACTATTGACATGTTTGAATGTAAATCCAGTACTATGAGATCTATTTTCAAGAATTTTATAGAGGGCTACTGAAGATATTGTGTAGAAGATGCTTGGAACAGTGCCTTATAGACATGAAGCAATAAATAAGTGATAACTATTATTATTTATGAAAATGATAGGAAAGTGTGTGGGCAGTCAATACATTTTAACTTTCTTCTTTTATTCGGACAGTCAGAATTGGAATGACTGACATGGGCATTTGAATACAAAGGATACTAGATAGGTAAAAGGAAGAGAGAAGTTAACAACAAAGGGAAGATGTTGAGGAAAAAATATAAAACATTATTAATTGGCCGTATATAGTAGTAATTAAGGTCAATGCTCTTATTCATATGTGGGAGCTAAAAAAAATGATTTCATAGAGGCAGTGAATAGAATGGTGATTACCAGAGGCTGGAAAGGGTAATGGGGATGGGGAGATAAAGAGGGGCTGGTAAATGGGTACAAAAATACAGTTACAAGGAATAAAATCTAGTGTTCAGTATCACAATAGGGCAACTATAGTTAACAATAATTTATTGTATATTTTAAAATTACTAGAAGAGCAGATTTGGAAAGTTCCCAACATAAAGCAATAATACACGTTTGAGGTGATGAATTTCCCAATTACCCAGACTTTATCATTATACATTGTATGCTTTTATCAAAATATCGCATGTAACCCATAAATATATACCTCTATTACATATTCATAAGATTGAAAAAATTAAAATAAAAAAGGATTACAAATATATGCTTTTGAATTTAAACAGCTTAAATCAAACCTCTATCAGACAATACATGTGCAACCTTAGACAAGTTAATTAACCAGAGTTTCAGACTTTCCATCTATAACGTGAAAATATTAACAGCAAGTCTCTCATAGGGTTCATATGAGGTTAAAAGTAATAATGCATATGCATTAGTCCATTCTTGCATTGCCATAAATAACTTCCAAACACTGGGTAATTTATAAAGAAAAAGAGGTTTAATTGACTCACAGTTCTGCAGGCTGTACAGAAGGCATGGCTGGGGAGGCCTCAGGAAACTTACAATCATGGCAGAAGGCAAAGGGGAAGCAGGCGCGTCCTACATGGCTGGATCAGGAGAAACAGAGAGTGAAAGAGGAGATGCTACACACTTTTAAACAACCAGATTTTGTGAGAACTCACTTACAGCAAAGGACAAATTTACCCCCATGATCCAATCACCCTCCATCAAGCCCCTCCTCCAAAACTGAGAATCACAATTTGACATGAGCTTTGGGTAGGGACAGAAATCCAAACCATATCGGCATAGAAAGGAGGGGATGAGATGGACAATTAGAAGCAACTGTAGTCTGCAGCACTTACAGAGAGGAATGAAAGGGGGAAGTTAACTCAGCACCTTCAACTGAAATACGCAGGATCTCATATTGGGACTTATTAGGCAAACAACTTGACCCACAGAGAATGAAGAATAGTAGCATGGGGTGACAGCCCACCCAGGACAGCATGGTGCCAAAGGAACCCCCACCCCCAACCAAGGGAAGTGGTGAGTAATTGTGCAAACCCACTGGGGAAAACATTCTTCTCCCACAGATCTTTGCAACTGTTGGACCAGGAGATCCCCTCATGAACGCATGCATTAAGGGCATTGGGTCTGATACACAGAGCTCTGTGAACTCTTGGCAGAGCAGCCACTCAAGCACACAGAGACTCAAGAGTTTTACATATTCTGGCCCCAGGATCCCTGGCAAGGTGAGACATCCATCCATACAGACTCCTAGGAAGGGGGTTGAATCTAGGGAGCCAAGCAGCATCATTTTGTGGGCTCCACTTCCACAGCACCTCACAAGTTAAGACTCACTGACTTGGAATTCCAGCCAGCCAAAGACAACAGGCTGCAGTCTGTCTGAGATGGGACCAAGTTCTCAGGGGGAAGGGTGGCCACCATCTCTGTAGTTCGATTGACTCAATTGTTCCAGCCTGCTAGCTTTGGGGAGTCCAAATGGTCTGGAAAAGGAAGGGCCTCCCACAGTGCAGCACAGTTGCTTTGCCAAATCGTGGCCAGACTGCTTCTTTAAGTGGGACCCCAATCCATTCCTCCTCACTGGGCAGGACCTCCCTGTGGGGGCTTCAGCCACTCCAGCCAGGGTTATACAGACAGCTCTGATCTCTTCCTTGGACTGAGCTCCTGAGGAGAGGGACAGTCACCATCTCTGTCATTCAATTGAATCACCCATTCCAGCCTGCCAACTTTGGAGAGGCCAGATGGTCCAGATGAGGAAGGGTTCCCCCAGTACAGCACACCTGCTCTGACAAAAAGCAGCCAGACTGCTTCTTTAAGTGAGTCCCTTATGTTGTTCCTCCTGACAGGGTGTGACCATCCAACAGGGGTCTCCAGCAACCTACAGGGATGTTTGGGCCAGGAACAGGTCAGTAACCTTCTGGACTGAGCTTGCAGAGGAAGGATCAGGCTGCCATCTTTTCAGTTTTACAGCCTTTACTGGTGATACCTCCAGGTGAGGGGAAAACTGAGGCAACTAGAGTATGGAGCAGACCCCCAGGAAACCACAGCAGCCCTATAGAAGAGTGGCCTGACTGTTAAAAGAAAAACAAACAAATGGGAAACAACAAAAACATACAAAAAAAAAGACTCCACAAAAAACCCATTTAAAGGTCAGCAACCTCAAAGACCAAAGGTAGAAAAGTCCACAAAGATGAGAAAGGATAAACATAAAAACAACGAAAACTCAAAAAGCCAGAGTGACTCTACTTTTCCAAATGACCATAACACCTCTCCAGCAAGGCCACAGAAGTAGACTGAGGCTTAGATGGCTGAATTGACAGAAGTAAGCTTCAGAAGGTAGATAATAACAAAATTTGCTGTTCTAACCCAATGCAAAGAAGCTAAGAATCATGATAAAACAATACAGGAGCTGACAGCCAGAATAGCCAGTTTAGAGAGGAACATAACCAATCTGATGGAGCTGAAAAGCACAATACAAACTCACAATGCAATCAAAAGTATCAATAGCAGGATAGGCCAAGTGGAGGAAATAATCTCAGAGCCTCAACACTACCATTCTGAAATAAGACAGGCAGACAAGAGTAGAGAAAATAAATGAAAAGTAATAAACAAAACCTCTGAGAAATATGAGATTACATAAAGAAACCGAACCTACAACTGATTGGGGGTACCTGAAAGAAATGAGGAGAATGGAACCAAGTTGTAAAACATACTTCAGGATATCATCCAGGAGAACTTCCTCAACCTAAGAAGACAGGCCCACTGCAAATTCAGGAACTGCAGAGAACCCCTGTAAGATGCTCCACGAGATCAACCCCAAGACACATAATTTTCAAATTCTCCAAGGTTGAAATGAAAGAAAAATTGTTAAGGGTAGTCAGAGAGAAAGGCCAGGTCACCTACAAAGGGAAGGTCATCAGACTAACAGAAGATCTTTCAGTGGAAACTCGACAAGCCTGATGAGATTGGGGGTAAATATTCAACATTCCTAAAGAAAGGAATTTCAAACCTAGAATTTCATATCTGGGCAAACTAAGCTTCATAAATGAAGGAGAAATAAGATCCTGTTCAGACAAGCAAATGCTGTGGGAATTCGCCACCACCAGGCCTGCCTTGCAAGAGTTCCTGAAGGAAGCACTAAATATGGAAAGGAAAAACCATTACCAGCCACTAACAAATACACATTGAAGTACACAGACCAGTGACACTATGAAGCAACCATATAAACAAGTCTACAAAATAACCAGTTAGCATCATGATGATAGGATCAAATTCACACATAACAATACTAACCTTAAATGTAAATGGGCTAAATGCCCCAATTAAAAGACACAGAATGGCAAGCTGAATAAAGAACCAAGGCCCATTTGCATGCTCTCTGCAAGAGACCCATCTCACATGCAAAGATACAGATAGGCTCAAAATAACAGAGTGGAGGAAAATTTACCAAGCAAATAGAAGACAGAAAAAAGCAGGGGTTGCACTCCTAATTTCTGACAAAATAGACTTTAAAGCAACAAATATCAAAAAAGACAAGAAGGGTATTGCATAATGGTAAAGAGTTCAATTCAACAAGAAGAGCTAACTATTATATATATATACCCAATACAGGAACACCTAAATTCATAAAGCAAGTTCTTAGAGATCTGCAAAGAGACTTCAACTCCCACATAATAATAGTGGGAGACTTTAACACCCCACTTACATTATTAGACAGATCACTGAGACAGAAAATTAACAAAGATATTTAGGGCCTGAACTAAGCTCTGGATCAAGTGGACCTGATAGATATCTACAGAACTCTGGCACTTACTCTAAAATTGATCACATAATGAGAATTAAAATACTCCTCAGCAAATGCAAAAGAACTTAAATCTTAACAGTCTCTCAGACCACAGCACAATCAAACTAGAACTCAAGATTAAGAAGTTCACCTGAAACCACACAACTACAAGGAAACTGAACTACCAGCTCTTGAATGACTCTTGGGTAAATAATAAAATTAAGGCAAAAATCAAGAAGTTCTTTGAAACTAATAGGAGTAAAGAGACAATGTAACAGAATCTCCGGGACTCTGCCAGAGCAGTATTAAAAGAAAAATTTATAGCACTAAATGCCCACATCAAAAAACTAGAAAGATCTCAGGTTTACAACCTAACATCACAACTAAAAGAAATAGAGAACCTAGAGCACCCAAACCCCAAACCTAGCAGAAAACAAGAAATAACCAAGATTAAAGCTGAACTGAAAGAGATAGAGAAACAAAATCTTTCAAAATATCAATGAATCCAGGATCTGGTTTTTTGAAAAAGAAAAATATATATGTATACTGCTAGCTAGACAAAGGAAAAAAGAGAGACGAACCAAATAAACAGAATCAGAAATGATAATGGAGACATCACTACTGTTCCCATAGATATACAAATAACCATCAGAGAATGATATAAACGCCTCTATGCACATAAACTAGAATGTCTAGAAGAAATGGATAAATTCCTGGACATATACACCCTCCCAAGACTGAACCAGGAAGAAATTGAATCCCTGAAAATATCAATAATGAGTTGTAAAATTGAGGTAGTAATAAATAGCATACCAACCAAAAAAGGCTCAGGACCAGATGGATTAACAGCTGAATTCTACCAGAGGTACAAAGGAGAGCTGGTACCAGTTCTACTAAAACTACTCCAAAAAAGGGAATAGGAGAGTCTCCTCCTTAACTCATTCTATGAGGCCAGCATCATCTTGATACCAAAACCTGGCAGAGATACAACAAAGAAAGAAAACTTCAGGCCATTATCCTTGATGAACCTTGATGCAAAAATCCTCAACAAAATACGGGCAAACTGAATCCAGCAGCACATCAGAAAGCTCATCCATCACAATCAAGTTGGCTTTATCCCCAGGATGCAAGGTTGGTTCAACAAATGCAAATCAATAAATGTCAGTCATCACATAAAGAGAACTAAAGACAAAAACCATGTGATTATCTCAATAGACGCAGAAAAGGCCTTTGATAAAATTCAATATCCTTTCATGTTAAAATATTTCAATAAACTAGGTATTGAAGGGAAATATCTCATGTATGAAAAACTGACAGCCAATATCACACTGAATGGGCAAAAACTAGAAGCATTCCTTTTTGTAAACTGGCACAAGACAAGGATGTCCTCTCTCATTACTCCTATTCAACACAGTATTGGAAGTTCTGGCCAAGTCAATCAGGCAAGAGAAAGAAGTAAAAGGTACTTAAACAGGAAGAGAGGAAGTTAAATTGTCTCTGTAGATGACATGATCCTATATGTGGAAAACTTCATCAACTCAGCACAAAAGCTTAAGCTGATAAGCATCTTCAGCAAAATCTCAGGATACAAAATCAATGTGCAAATTCTCTAGCATTCCTATACACCAACAACAGGCAAGCAGAGAACCAAATCATGAATGAACTCTCATTCACAATTGCTACAAAAAAGAATAAAATACCTAGGAATGCAGCTAACAAGCAAAGTGAAGGACCTCTTCAGGGAGAACTACACACCACTGCTCAAAGAAATCAGAGGACACAAAAGGAAAAGCATTCCATGCTCATGGTTAGGAAGAATCAATATCATGAAAATAGCCGTACTGCCCAAAGTGATTTATCGACTCAATGCTATTCCCATAAAAGTACCGTTGACATTCTTCACATAATTAGAAAAAAACTATTTTAAAATTCATATAGAACCAAATAGAGCCGTAGTAGCCAAGACAATTCTAAGCAAAAAGAACAAAGCTGGAGGCATCATGCTACCTGACTTCAAACTATACTTCAAGGCTACAGTAACCAAAACAGCATGGTACTGGTACAAAAACAGACGAATAGTCCAATGGAACAGAATAGAGAACTCAGAAGTAAGACTGTACACCTGCAACCATCTGGTCTTTGACAAACCTGACAAAAAGAAGCAATAGGGAAAGGATTCCTTATTTAATAAATGGTGCTCGGAGAATTGGCTAGCCACATGCAGAAAATTGAATCTGGCCCCTTCCTTACATAATATACAAAAATTAACTCAAGATGGATTAAAGACTTAAATATAAAACCCAAAACTATAAAAACCCTGGAAGAAAATCTAGGCAATACCATTCAGGACATAGATACAGGCAAATATTTCACGACAAAAACATCGAAAGCAATAGCAACAAAAGCAAAAATAGACAAACTGGATCTAATTAAACTAAAGAACTTCTGCACAGCAAAAGACACTATCATCAGAGTGAAGAGACAGCCTATAAAATGGGAGAAAAGTTTTTCAATCTATCCATCTGACAAAGGTCTAATATCCGAGTCTCCAAGGAACTTAAATTTATAAGTAAAAAAAAAAAAACAATTAAAAAGTGAGAAAAGGACATGGACACTTCTCAAAAGAAGACATACATTTGGCCACAAACATTTTAAAAACCTCAACATCACTGATTATTAGAAAAATGCAAATCAGAACCACAATGAGATACCACCTCATGCCAGTCAGAATGGCTATTATTAAAAAGTCAAAAAGCAACAGACACTGACAGGGTTGCAGAGAAAAAGGAATGCTTTTACATTCTTGGTGGGAATGTAAATTATTTCAACCATTGTGGAAGACAGTGTGGCAATTCCTCAAAGACCTACAGGCAAAAATACAATTTGACCCAGCACTCCCATTAATGGGATATAATAGAATATAATATAATAGAATATAAATCATTCTATTATAATGATAAATCCACATACATGTTTGCTGCAGCACTATTCACAATAGCAAAGACATGAAATCAACCTAAATGTCCATCAATAATAGACTGGATTATAAAAAATAGTACATATACACCATGGAATACTATACAGCTGTAAAAAGGAATGAGATGATGTCCATTTCAGGGACATGGATGGAGTTGGAAGCCATTATCCTCAGCAAACTAACACAGGAACAGAAAACCAAACACCACATGTTCTCACTTATAAGCAGGAGCTGAATGATGAGAACACATGGACACATGGGAGGGAAAGACACACGTTGGGGTCGGTTGGAGGGGTTAAGGTCAGGGGAGGGAGAGCATCAGGAAGAATAGCTAATGGATACCTGGCTATTCTGTGATAGGATATTCTGTAATGGGATGATCTGTGCAGCAACCACCATGGCACACATTGACCTATGTAACAAACCTGCACACCCTGCCCATGTACCTCAGAACTTAAAATAAAACTTGAAGAAAAAGGGCTGGGTGCGGTGGCTCACGCCTGTAATCCCAGCACTTTGGGGGGCTGAGGCGGGTGGATCACGTGGTCAAGAGATCGAGACCATCCTGGCTAACGTGGTGAAACCCCATCTCTACTAAAAATACAAAAATTAGCCGGGTGTGGTGGCACGCCTGTAGTCCCACCTACTCAGGAGGCTGAGGCAGGAGAATCTCTTGAACCCAGGGGGCAGAGGTTGCAGTGAGCCACGATGGTGCCAATGCACTCCAGCCTGGGGACCGAATGAGACTCTCTGAAAAAAAAAAAAAGTTGAAGGGAAAAAAAAGAAAGAAACTTTCTAGTTTAACCACAAAAAACAAAAACAACAAAGAAACATATTTAGTTCAGTGTCTCACAGAACGTAGGTGCTTAATAAATATTACTAAGTTTATTGTTGTTATTTAGTGAGGAGTAAAGAAGGACAAGTAAATAAGAATGAGAAGAAAGGAAGTACCAGTTTTAAAAAATAACAATTACAAAATGAAAAAGATATAGATTTTTCATAGTAAGAGAAAATCAATGGCCACAGAAAATGTCAAATACAAAGAATACAGAGAACAAGTCATTACGCTTGATAAGTCATCAGAAAGTTACAGGAGGTTTCCATGAAAGGTTCAGTGTTCAGTTTGGAGCTACAGAGTAAGGGATTGAGGAATGGGGTGGTAGTAGGAAGCAGATTCACAGGATGTAGATGATTGTTTGAGATTATAACCAAAAGCAAGAGGAAAGTATATGAGAAAACCTGATAAGGAAATTTTTTGTTTCTGTTTTTGTATTAGATTGGTGCAAAAGTAATTGTGGTTTTTTACCATTAATATAAAGGAGACCTGAGCATATTGTAATTGAGATAGAAGAGGTCTCAGTAGAGTTTCTGGGAAGAGAAAGGGGATGATAATGGAGGTGCAATGGCAGAAAAATAAAGATTAACCTTTATTAGGAGGGAGTAAGACACCTCTTTTTTTAAAATAGAGCATAATGGGAGAGAAAAAAACATTTTAAAAAGATGAGAGTTTGCTGTCAGCTGTAAGCTGAAACCATGATGCTCATATTTCGTACTAGCCTTCTCAGTATATTAGAATGTTTGGCCAATATTTGAGCACAAGGGATATGGTGAGTTCAAAGAATATAGAAAAGTCTTGGTAAAATTACTTATTTATTTATGTGTGTTATTATTCCAGAGAAGATTAGGAAAGTTCACAAGATGCATAAAATTCACCAAAATAGTAAATTAGAAATATGTATTATAAAGAAGTGGCTAGGATAGAGGTATAAATAAATCTAGAAATGAGGCTAGAACACAAAAATTTGAGTCACAGTTTGACTCTAACCTTATACTATAGCAGAAAAGCAGACGAGAAAATAGGATAAGCTCATGAGTCATAGCGTCTGTAGAGAGCAAACTATGTTTTCCAAGTTGCTTCCAAGGAGGACACTGCAACCTAACAAACGAAATTCTCATTTACATCTACTTGTAAACACAGCTTTGAATTGTATAGTGCTATTTCTTATACTGTAACGCTAATGGAATTATACTAAATCACAATTTAACAAAACTAGTCCTGTGGGGAACCAATACAATAGTCCTCATCTATATAAATATTTGATGAGTTAAGTAAAGGCATAGGAATTACGGTATCTAGAGAAATAGACTATATAATCTTCAGGCAATCCTTCCTAAATGTTATTTTCTCTTAACCCAACTTTTGACATTAGGCGGTAGCAAGTCTGATATTATGTACCCTGACAAGAACTAGAGTTCAGATCATCTATATTGGCAGCTAAATATGATATGGCAAGCTTGTCTGTGAACCAAAACTGATATAGTATTATCAAACCTGAGGAGGCTGACAAAGGTGTATTCTGGTACATAAAACCACCATGACACTCTCAGGGTCAAATGGAGGAAGCACCTGCTGGCAGCATCAAGATTTTCCTGGGTTATTAAATTTGAGTCAGCATAGTTCTTAGGTCTTAGGTAGATGATAAATGACTTTTTACAACCTAGTCATTACTTATGTCAGTTGTTTATACACACTTTAAAAATGTAACACTTTAGATTATTTGAACATTAGTTCATAGAATTAAAAAAAAATAGTATATTTCTCATTCCCTTGATTTTACAAATAAGTAAATCAATATTTTTTTGCTTTGTTTTTTCTTATGTAGTTTTCTTCACCCCCATTTTCCTCTGTTTCTCTTTTCCTTTTGATCAAAAGGCATTTATTAAATATCCATGTCAATGTGGCTCCTTGCCAAGCCCTATAGAAACAGTTCTTAGCTTTCAGGCCGGGCACGGTGACTCACACCTGTAATCCCAGAACTTTGGGAGGCCAAGGCGGGCGGATCACCAGGTCAGGAGATCGACACCATCCTGGCTAACATGGTGAAACCCCTTCTCTACTAAAAATAAATTAGCCGGGCGTGGTGGCGGACGCCTGTAGTCCCAGCTACGCAGGAGGCTGAGGCAGGAGAATGGCGTGAACCCGGGAAGCGGAGCTTGCAGTGAGCCGAGATAGCACCACTGCACTCTAGCCTAGGTGACAGAGCAAGACTCCATCTCAAAAAAAAAAGAAAGAAAGAAAGAAAGAAAGAAACAGTTCTTAGCTTTCAGAGCTTGCATTGTGAGGCAGATGATGACTCTGTCAATAGACAAATATAAGGCGTATTGACAACATAAGGAAAATGTTAAACACCACAATGTGGTTTTTTGTTTGTTTGTTTTTAAGTACAGTCGGGCAGTCCTTTCATGGGAACTATTCTTTCTGAAACCCACAACTTTTCTTCCTTTTACATTTTTAATGCTTTCCCATTCAGTGTTGCAAAATCTCCATAATGTGTGCTCTGCGTGACATGTCTTCTAGATATTTCAATCAGTTCAATCAACACATCTTATAAGCAGAATTATTTTTGTGAAATACTTGCACATTAATAAACCCTTAATTCTGCTGAATTAGGGCAAAGGCTGTTGCTCCTTCTCCAGGCACAGCTCCATCACCTGAACCAAACGGTTTATTCTATTTATGTCTAGGTACAAAAATCTTACTTAACAGTTCTTGGGGGCTTAAGAAATCAAAGCAGCCAAGCGCGGTGGCTCACGCCTGTAATCCTAGCATTTTGGGAGGCTTAGGCGGGCAGATTGCCTGAGGTCAGGAGTTCGAGACCAGCCTGGCCAACATGGTGAAACCCCGTTTCTACAAAAAATACAAAAATTAGCTGGGCGTGGCACATGCCTGTAATCCCAGCTACTCGGGAGGCTGAGGCAGGAGAATCGCTTGAATCCGGGAGACAGATGTTGCAGTGAGCAGAGATTGCACCACTGCACTCTAGCCTGGGCTACAGAACAAGACCCTGCATCGGGAAAAAAAAAAAAAGAAAGAAAGAAAGAAAGAAAAAAAGAAATCAAGGCAGTTTCATAACAGAAATACTGGATACACTTATGCTTTGGTTTAGGCTGTACAATAGATACCTGTATACGATCCTCATGAATGGCAGTTGCTGGCTGCTTCTTGCATTCAAACCAATCCATCAGCAATTGTATGTTTTCTGTCCATTTGGAAAAAACGTGACTGCCAAATTCTCAAGTATTTACCTTGCAGGGAGTTGTGGACATGGGAAATAACATGTATAACAATTTGTCTCTGAAATGACAAAAGGAAGCCAACAAATAAACAGCAGGTTATTTTTCTACATGAATAGCCCAATGTTCACAGTGTAGATCAAAACATGTTTGGTAGTAAAGTCTGAATTTACAAGGAATCATTGAATTGGTCCTAACGATTCATTAGGAATCTGAGTGTCAATGTCTAGAAGTATACTATGAAAATATTTCTTCTCTTCCTATTTACCTAATAAGAGAATTAATGTACATGAGGACAAAATGCAAACAACATGTGTTTAAGTTTTGAGTTAAAGTATCATGAATAGAAATTATAGTGAAGTTTATTATTTTTTACATTATTGTTCTGCTCTTCTCCCAAGGAAGAGTCGTATTACATTAAAATAAGAATTATATGGTAAAATATTCACTATTTCACAATATATAGTCATACTATCATTAGAATTTTATCAGTTGCAAGTGATAAAAATCCATTGCAGGCCAGGCGCGGTGGCTCACGCCTGTAATCCCAGCACTTTGGGAGGCCGAGGCGGGTGGATCACGAGGTTAGGAGATCGAGACCATCCTGACTAATACGGTGAAACCCCGTCTCTACTAAAAATATTTAAAAAAAAAATTAGCCAGGCGTGGTGATGGGCGCCTGTAGTCCCAGCTGCTCGGGAGGCTGAGGCAGGAGAATGGCGTGAACCCGGAAGGTGGAGCTTGCAGTGAGCCTGGGCGACAGAGCAAGACCCTGTCTCAAAAAAAAATCCATTGCAAATTGGTTGAAGCAAATCAATTAATGAATCTAATCTTTATCTATCAACTAGCTTTCATCTACCTATTTTGAGAAAACTGTACAGTATAGCTTCTGTGGTTATATCCTTACCCAAAACCTTCTGCACTATGAGTGGGACCAGAGCTGCTGCCAGAAGAGTGGGGCTATAAATAAGTGTTCACTATATTGATAAAATTCGAGCAACTGAAAGAAGTATCCGTATTCCCACTAGTTTACAATAGCATAGAATAAAGAAAAATGTAACAGCAACTATGTTAGGAGCAATGCAGATCTCTGCTCATGGGTTAACACATATTTATTCTTATTGTCCCTAATCCCAGAAGGGAATTGCATTCCAGAAGAATTCTCAAATAACTAGAGAATATCTGTATTTGACTCTAATTAAAATTTAACCTTTTAGATAAGTTCTATTAAAACATAAAATTTATTCTGTAATCCCTAGAGATGCAGCATGTATAGTATATTATTAATAAGACTAAAGGAGATTTATGGAAAATGTCTGAATAATCAGCCAAGACTTTAACATAAATGTATGCAAATTTGCCAAACATTGATGTAAAATCTTGAGAAGTATCCTCAGGAATTTTCCTTTTTATTATGTTAATGGCCAAGATCAATTGAAACATGAAATATATGGAAATATATGGACTTTTATTTAATGTAAGTGCTGCAAATTTTGCAAGGCAAAATACATAAGAGAAGCCATTCAGATTTGGATTTAATATGTAAGCTTGGAGAAATTTGGTTAGACTGAGTCTTTTTCAAGGGAGGGGCTTATCAAAAAATATTACAAACCCTAAACTAGTTAGAGAAGAGTTCAGGCTTTGGGTCTTATTAAGGTGGCCGTATTCCAGTTTTCCCAGGATGGAAACAGCTTATACCTATTGTCCCGGTATCTCATCCTATCTTGTTTAACATTGTCGCAGTGTTTTGGGGGGATTTTATAACCAAATGTTATTAATAGCTGCAATACACTGAGTACAATATCAGATTGTTTGATGCTCCCCCAAGTCCCCCTCCCAATTGTTGCTTGTTGTTTTTGCCAATGGTTTCTATTACTGTGAGACTTGCATGTGTAAACAGCATTCTCTAACATATAATCGGAATGAAACACAGCCAGTGGTAATCCATATTTCTTTTTCCGATCCTTTTCAGATAAAACATGATTAACAGATCCCTGTCAAAAAAAAGTTTACAGTGTTCTCTATTAAAAGGAAGAGTCCTCCAACACAGGAGGGTGGGAACACTTTCTTCTTCCATTCTTCCACTTTGCTGCCATTGGTGGCCACTTGGTGCAACAGCTTGTTGTACCTTGACCCATACAATGGCCTGCTAGGTACAAGAAGCCTCTTGGTCCCCATTGACCCAAATATGTGGGAATATGTATGGGAAATGCAGGCTGAGCAGCTTTGCCATTAGAGTATAGAGACTAGTACTGATGTACCAGCATTTCCTGGATCTCAGCCTATTTATTTCACTTTTTTGCTGTGCACTTCTTTGGCAGAAATGGGCTCACAGAAACAAAATATATGTTTAATAAAAAATTAATTTATTTCCTACTGTTTATTTCATTTTCAAAAGAAATATGAAGACAAAAGTATAACTTGCACAAAATGTTTGTTAAAACCTGCTGTAAGCTACAAGGGTTAGGACCACAGGAAAACCAGGAAACATAAATCTGCTGCAGCAGGGTCAACATCTGCTTCAGAAATTAGTAGCTATTTTTAAAAAGCTGTGCTCATTGACGATAATTTAATACAAGAATCTGCAAAAGGTTTATTGACATATTCTGAAGGATGACTTTTCATTGGGATCAAATGACTATTCTTCTAAATTAAGTTCACTTATTTTTAAAATTATGCTATTGTTTACATAAAATAAAATTTATGTGGAAGTACAATTTTCAACTTCATTTATTTTTGTCCCAAATGCTTTTATGCACATAGAACAAGTGAAATAAGTGATAGCTGTTATTGTGTTGGCTACATTAGAAGATGAAAACTTTCATGAGCAATTAGATAATGTTGAGTTTCATATGTATCATCAGAAGCTTCAAAGAACAATATAAATTAATTCTAGTAATAGCTTATTTTTTCCCTTTCCAACTCAGAAAAGATATAAAACTTTTGAATGTTCTTTTCATTTAAGGTGATATGTCTGACATTACTGTAAATCCTTTTAGAAATTCATTTAAAAATTCATCACTGAAAATAAAAATATGTGAAGAAAATACACATTTCAAGTTCAGTAGAATATAGCATAGGTGCATATTGTCTATACTAATTTAAGAAACCTATGAAACATTGATGTACTTGAAATTGACTTTGGTGCAAGTATTTAAATGAGCTATGATATTCCACCAATCACAACAAGCTGTGGTTGTCAAAATTTACAAATAATTTTAACTTTACTTGTGTTTTGTTAAAAAATTTTTAAATCTAAATTGTACGTCTAATCTCTACCAATTAATATACTTGTAGATGTGTTGTCAATGGGGACTTTGTCACTGCTTGTTGAGGCTTAAACAACTATTCTCCCATAGGGAGGCTTTGTGTGTGTGTGTGTATGTGTGTGTGTGTGTGTGTGTGTGTGTGTGTGTGTGTCTTTTCCAGTTAATGTGCTTAGGGTTTGCGGCAGGAGAATCTAGGACCAAGCCACATCAGTTCTCTCCTTAATCCACTCCATCTGCCTACTCTTCCAGTTGTGCTACCATAGTGCTCAGTGCATTTCTAAGAGCAACAAAAATGAATAAATCTCACATGAGTTTTTAAAAAATAAATACATAAATTAAAATATTTTGCATCAAAATGTTCCACAAATGAAACACTAAAAACTTCTGTTTTGAAACATTAGTGTATCTTAGTTATTGAAACTAGTATTGCAAACTGGAAGATACTGAAATCTACTCCTGTAAAAGCAAAGGAGGGGCTGGGAGTGATAACTCATTCCTGTAATCCCAGCACTTTGGGAGGCTGAGGCGGCTGGATCACCTGAGGTCAGAAGTTTGAGACTAGCTGGGCCAACATGGTGAAACCCTGTCTCTACTAAAATAAAAATTAAAAAAATTAACTGGGCCTGGTGGTGGGTGCCTGTAATCCCAGCTACTTGGGAGGCTGAGGTGGGAGAATTGCTTGAACCCAGGAGGCAGAGGTTGCAGTGAGCCAAGATCTCTCCATTGCACTCCAGCCTGGGCAGCAAGAGCAAAACTCCATCACAAAAAAATAAAAAAATAAAAAAAGCAAAGGAGGAAACATGAATTAAATTTTAAATTATGATTATGCTAGTGCAAGTAGAGTTTAAAACTTAATTCTGAAAGTCTACAATATTATTTGGAATGTCTTCACATGTGGGAGAAATCTTTTGATAGGGCATATACATGTATGTATATATGTTTTCTTTTAAAATTGAGACTTTTATTAAACCCTGTTTTTTAAACTCCCATCATTTTTGTACCATGTCACAGCTCTGGCTATAATTTGCTCAATTAAATTATAATTTACAATTATTCATGCAATATTTTAAATCCACTATTTTCAACTTGAATACATTTTTTATTTAACTGTTTTTTAATTTCAACTTTTAGATACAGGGGTACATATGCAGGTTTGTTACATGGGTATATTGCACCCAGGGAGTGAGCATAGTACTCAAGAGGTAGCTTTTCAACCCAGGGCTCCCTCCCTCTCTCCCCACTGTGGTAGTCCACAGTGTCTATTATTCCCATATTTATGTCCATGTTTGCTCAGTTTTTAGCTCCCACTTGTAAGTGAGAACATATAGTATTTGCTTTTCTGCTCCTGCATTAATTCACTCAGGATTATGGCCTCCAGCTCTATTCATTTCTGCAAAGGGTAAGTTTTTATTCTTTTTCATAGCTGTGTAGTATTCCATGATATATATATATATACCACAGTCTCTTTATCCAAACCACCACTGATGGAGGCCTAGGCGGATTCCATGTCTTTGATACTGCATATAGTGCTGTGATGAACATTTGAGTGGATGTGTCTTTTTGATATAACGATCTATTTTCCTTTGGGAATATACTCAGTAATGAGATTGCTGGGCCAAATGGTAACTCTATTTTAAGTTCTTTGAAAAATCACCAAGCTTCTTCCCCCAGTTGCTAAATTAATTTACCTTCTCACCAGCAGTGTATAAGCATTCCCTTTTCTCTGCAGCCTCACCAGCATCTGTTATTTTTTGACTTTTTAATAATAGCCTTTCTGAATGGTGTGAAATGGTATCTCATTGTGGTTTTGATTTGCATTTCTCTGATGATTAGTGGTGACGAGCATTTTTTCAAATGTTTGTTGGCTACTTCTAAGTCTTTCAAGAAGTGTCTGTTCATGTCCTTTGCCTACTTTTTAATGGGGTTATTTATTTTTTGCTTGTTAATTTGTTTAAGTTTCTTATAGATTCTGGATATTACACCTTTATTGGCCACATAGTTTGCTAATATTTTCTCCCAATCTGTAGGTTTTCTCTTTACTTTATTGATCATTTCTTTTGCTGTGCAAAAGCTCTTTAGTTTAATTAGGTTCCACTTGTCAATTTTTGTTTTTGTTACCATTGCTTTTGGAAACTTAGCAAAAAACTCTTTGCCAAGGCCAATGTCAAGAAGGGTAATTTCTAGGTTTTCTTCTAGGATTTTGAGATCTTACATTTAAATCTTTAATCTATCTATCTTGAGTTAATTTTTGTATATAGTGAAAGGTAAAGGTCTAGTTTCATTCTTCTGCATATGACTAGCCAGTTATCCCAGCACTGTTTATTGAATAGAGAGTTTTTTCCCTGTTGTTTTTATTAACTTTGTCAAAGATCAGATGTATGGCTTTATTTCTAAGTTTTCTATTCTGTTTCATTGGTCTGTATCCTTTTTTTGTACCAGTACCATGCTGTTTTGGTTACTTAGCCTTATAGTGTAATTTGAAGTTGGGTAGTGTGATGTCTCTGGCTTTGTTCTTTTTACTTAGGCTTGCCACTGCTATTTGGGGTCTTTTTTGTTTCCACATGAGTTTTAGAGTCGTTTTTTCTAATTCTGTGAAGAATGACATTGGTAGATTGATAAGACTAGTGTCGAATCTTTAAATTGCTTTGGGCAGTATGACAGTTTTAACGATACTGATTCTTCCAGTTATGAACATGGAATATATTTCCATTTATTTGTTTAGCAGTTTTAGCAGTGTTTAGCATTTATCTGTTTTAGCAGTGTTTTGGTTAGATGCATTCGAAGGTATTTCATTTTCTTTGTGGCTATTGTAAACGGAATCGTGTTTTTGATTTGACTCTCAGCCTGGACATTATGTGCATAAATGTGCATTCTAGAAATACTATTGATTATTGTACATTAATTTTGTGCCCTGAAACCTCGCTAGAATCGTTTATCAAACTGGAAAAAGACAAAGATGCCCCTTCTTACTACTCCTATTCATCATAGTACTGGAAGTCCTGGCTAGAACAATCAAGCAAGAGAAAGAAATAAAAGACACTCAATAGCAAAATAGGAGGTAACACTATCTTTCTTCGCTGACAATATGATTCTATTCTTAGAACACTATGAAAGACTGCCAAAAGGCTACTAGAATTGATAAACAATCTTAAATAAGTTTATTTTAAAAGAGAAATTTATTTCATCATCATAAATGGAGCTGTATACTTTTTGCCATAATGAATTACAAATAGCCTGTAACTATTAAAAAGTAAATCACATCCATTTTTCTCTGAAACTCTTCAAGAATAAAAAACATTTTAATTGAATAAATGTATACTTTTGTTAAAATGAAACAAAATTGATGAAGTCTACCATTTTGCATCGTTTAAATTTAGGAAAAAAGTCATCATAAGTTGAAACTTATGTGCATATTCTTATGAAACATTAAAGCAAGATATTTTGAAAGGAGGCAAAGAGCCTTTTGAAAAAAAGTGTAAACTAAAATATTTTATATTTCAGTATAAATGCTATAAAGTATTGAGAATATATTTCATTGTACAGAATTTAATTTGCTTTTACCAGGTACCTCAGTGTGTCCGGAATTGGTGGGTTCTTGCTCTCACTGACTTCAGGAATGAAGCCGCAGACCCTGGCGGTGAGTGTTACAGCTCTTAAGGCGGCGCGTCTGGAGTTTGTTCCTTCTGATGTTTGGATGTGTTCGGAGTTTCTTCCTTCTGGTGGGTTCATGGTCTCGCTGGCTTCAGGAGTAAAGCTGCAGACCTTCGTGGTGAGTGTTACAGCTCACAGAAGCAATGCGGACCCAAAGAGCGAGCAGCAGCAGGATTTATTGCAAAGAGCGAAAGAACACAGCTTCCACAGTGTAGAAGTAAACCCGAGCAGGTTGCCACTGCTGGCTTGGCAGCCTGCTTTTATTCTCTTATCCGGCCCCATCCACATCCTGCTGATTGGTAGAGCCCAGTGGTCTGTTTTGACAGGGCGCTGATTGGTAAGTTTACAATCCCTGAGCTAGACACAAAGGTTCTCCACCTCCCCACCAGATTAGCTAGATACAGAGTGTGGACACAAAGGTTCTCCAAGTCCCCACCAGAGTAGCTAGATACAGAGTGTTGATTGGTGCATTCACAAACCCTGAGCTAGACACAGGGTGCTGATTGGTGTGTTTACAAACCTTGAGCTAGCTGCAGAGTGCCGATTGGTGTATTTACAATCCCTGAGCTAGACATAAAGGTTCTCCACATCCCCACCAGACTAAGGAGCCCAGCTGGCTTCACCCAGTGGATCCGCAGTGGGGCTGCAGGTGGAGCTGCAGGTGGAGCTGCCTGCCAGTCCCGCACTGTGCGCCCGCACTCCTCAGCCCTTGAGTGGTCGATGGGACTGGGCGCCCTGGAGCAGGGGGCAGTGCTCATCTGGGAGGCTCCGCCGCACAGGAGCCCACGGAGGGGGGTGAGGCTCAGGCATGGCGGGCTGCAGGTCCAGAGCCCTCCCCTGCGGGAAGGCAGCTAAGGCCCAGTGAGAAATTGAGCACAGCAGCTGCTGGCCAGGTGCTAAGTCCCTCACTGCCCGGGGTCGGTGGGGCCGGCCAGCTGCTCCCAGTGTGGGGTCTGCCGAGCCCATGCCCACCCAGAACTCACGCTGGCCGTCAAGCACCATGCGCAGCCCCGGTTCCCGCGGGAGCCTCTCCCTCTACACCTTTCCGCAAGCTGAGGGAGCCGGCTCCGGCCTTGGCCAGCCCACAAAGGGGCTCCCACAGTGCAGCGGCGGGCGGAAGGGCTCATCAGCACCTTTGAAAATAATATTTTCTCCATTAAAAATATTATGGTCTAGACAGAAGAGTCATTTTAAGGAGGAGGTAACTTGCAACTTGTTAACCATAAAATGCAGAAATTTATGGATATCTTTCCAAAGAAAAAGATACTGTTGCTCTATTCAGAGGTAGAGCAGATAAATGGAATCTTTTTTTTTTTTTTTTTTTTTAGATGGAGTCTCGCTCTGTCGCCCGGCCTGGAGTGCAGTGGCGCCATCGTGGCTCACTGCAAGCTCTGCCTCCCGGGTTCATGCCATTCGAGTAGCTGGGACTACAGCACCCACCACCACGCCCGGCTAATTTTTTGTATTTTTAATAGAGACAGGGTTTCACCGTGTTAGCTAGGATGGACTCCATCTCCTGATGTCATGATCCGCCAGCCTCGGTCTCCCAAAGTGCTGGGATTACAGGCGCCCGCCACCACGCCCGGCTAATTTTTTTTTTTTTTTTTTTTTTTTTGTATTTTTAGCAGAGGCAGGGTTTCACTGTGTTAGCCAGGTTGGTCTTGATCTCTCGACCTCGTGATCCGCCCATCTTGGCTTCCCAAAGTGCCGGGATTACAGGTGAGAGCCACTGCGCCTGGCCGAATCTTTTTTTTTTCTTTAATCAGAAAAATCATATGAGGATAGCTGAAGTATTAGGATCATAAAATACAAGAACCCAAGTTTACCTTGTGGAAATTTTTATATTTGTATTGTACCTCATTTATTAGAGGTAGTCCTCCAAATGATTTGCTGACCCATGGCTACATGTGAAAATGTGGAAATCACCCAGTCTCATTTAAGTTAAGAATTAGGTTGAACACTCATTTTCAAAATGTCATGATTAAGCTAGAGTACCCCCTCAGTTGCAGTTAGATTTCTTCTTGAATATGTTTTTCCTTCAGGTATTAGAACTTTATAGGAATGAGAGATGTATCTGTTGTGATGATGCTGGGGCATTAATACTGGCCTCTGTAATGTATTGCAGTTTATTTCTGATTCTGAAGCAAATTAACAATTCTAAAGAGAACTATTTTTCAGATTTTTTTTGTGTATGTTAAAAAGTGTTGGTATCTCTCACAGTGTGAAGAGAGCTATTGGTAGTTTTTTTTTTTGTTTCCATATTTTCTGTCATAATAACCATAAAATCAATCTCATTGAGGTGACAAAGACTGTCTTTAGTTTGGAGTTACTGGTTTAATATTAATGTTTTGCATAGTTTCTTTAGAAAATTCTGGCAATGTATTTTGCATTCTGAAGATAGATACAGTCTGTGAGCAGAACTTGGCCCTTGAGTAGAAGATGCAACAGAAGTGAAATTATTTGAGTGATACAAGAATCTCATCATCAGACACTCTTGCCTTTGGAATCTAAAAACATTTTTACATTAAAGATATTCTTTTTATGGTGCCAGTATATCTGCAAAAGAACATAAGACTGTTAAGGCTCAGGAGGCTGCAGGTGGGTTAGTGTTTTACTGTTTTTATTCCTTTGTCAGCTTATCAATAATCACTGCATGATAGGGATGACTTTTTTTTTTTTAAGATAATGCTGAAACTAAAAATTTTCCTTTTCCTGTTGAAGTCATTGTGAATATAGAATTGCTCATCCTGGAATGGTAAATGGCAGAGAAAATCCATTTCCTGATAATTCTCAGGAGTATTATATGTACACATTAGCAGAGAATACCATTCTTAAAATGGAATATTTAAATACCATTTAAATACAATTCTTAAAATAGAGTATTTTTAGTATATAGTACAAAAAGAGAAAGAATACCTTACAACTTTAAAAACAATGTTGACACTGAACTTAATGTCCTAAACATGAGCAATCATAAACAGAATTTTAATATGTTAGTTTATGGGAATTACAGGAAAATAAGTAAATGGCATTGAAATAACAGGATACAAAAGGTAGCAACAAGATAAGATCAAATTCAGGGTAGAGCTATTTCTGGATAGAGACACTGTAGTCTCTTTCGACACAGTGAGAATGATAACACTAGAATCTTATTTTGTTTGATCTGTCTCTGATATGTATGCATGTATGTATGTATTTATCTATCTACCTATGTGTCTATTTATCTATCTTTTTCTTTATTTTTAACCTGAGGTATAATTCCTGCTACTGCTTAAAGTGTACAATTTGATGAGTTTTGACAGATGTATACTTCTTCAATATCGTTGCTACAATGAAATAACAAAACATGTTCATCACCCTCGAGATGTCCACTAACTAGGACTTCACTCAGTTGCTAATTTGCTTTATGTCACTATAAATTAATTTGCAATTTTTTAAATTATGTATTTATATATCTGCATCTGGCTGTTTATTCTTCTATTTTTATATAGGTGGAATCCTACAGTATTTTCTCTTTGGGTATCACTTCTTTCACCCTGTGCAATGATATTGAGATTCATTCATTTTGCTGTATGTATCACTAGTTTCTTGTTATTATCTAATATTCATTGCCTGGATATAGCTTATATGTTATTTGTCCATTCAAAATTCAACTGTTATTGAACATTTGGTTTGTTTATTGTTTCTTGGAATTATAAATAAAATAGCTAAAGCATTCATGTTGAAGTCTTTGTGAGGACATATGATAAATAATCCAATAAAAATGGCCAAGAGATTTGAGCAGGCATTTCATGAAAGAAAATATATGAATGGCTAATAAGCATATGAGAAAATGATCAATATAATTTGTCACTAGAAGAATGCACTTAAAAGCATCATTAAAATACTAATCCACACCGATGTGAAAGTTATCCATACAAACATGGAGTCACTTGTGTTAAACTCAAAATAAAGTCAGGAGATTAGAAAGGGAAAACCCTCATGCAAACATGCCTGTGATAAGAACTATTGTAAAGACTCTCTGAAGGTTCTTATGCACATAAGCCTGTAACAAAAACTTTTGTAAAAGATTTTCCAAACTGCAACTTGCTACATGAGTCACAAGGACATTTAACCATAAGTATAAGAACCTGTGCCTGATACAGTCTCCACTCATGAGCTGACAGTCAACTCCTGCAATAAACCCTTCTAACCATTGTTCTCTTTGTTGCAAAATAACTGACATGGACTCCTCCTTTTGCCTTTAAAAGCCTCCTTGTGCCTCAACCTCCTCAATTGTGCCTATAGTTGCCATGGCTCGTGTACTCTGTATGGCAATGCTTCTGCTCCTTCCTAAATAAACTGATTATCTTTGGAGAATCTCTCTTTGTCTATTATTTAGGTTGATGCCTAGTAGAGTGGCTGAAATTTTAAATTACTGAAAATACAAAGTTCTGGCAAAATGTGATGGCACTGGAAAACTCATAAACTGCTGGTGATACTGTAAAATTATAAAACCACTAGGAAAATTGTTCCAGAGTTTCTAAAATAATTGAACACGTCTATCATACGACTCAGCCACACATCACCTAGATATTTACATAAAAGAATCAGAAACTTATTTTAAAAGCAGCATATCAAGCAGAAATCTGAGCCTTGCTACTTTGTGTGACTGGGTAGGTTGATTAATCATTCTGAGTTTTAATTTCCTCATTGTTAAAAATTGGGAGTAAATGATAACTATTCATAAAGAGCCTTGCTTATCACCTAGAATACACTGATACTCAGAGAGTGTTAGTTACTTTTCTTTATATGTTAATTGTTCACTGGGCTCTAAAACATTCAATCCAGGCCAGCTGCAGTGGCTCATGCCTATAATCCCAGCACTTTGGGAGGTTGAGGCGGGTGGTTGCTTGAGCCCAGGAGTCCAAGACCAGACTGGGCAGCATGGTGAAGCCCTATCTCTAAAACAAAAAAAGAAAGAAAGAAAAAAATAATTCAATCCACAATGTAGATTTATTCTTTCTAAATTATTTTATCCAGCTATTTAAAGTTTCAGTTGCTAAAAAAATCATTAAGCAGAAAGGTCTGTACCAGGCATATCTGACTGGAAATTAGGTAGATTCTATAAGATCTGATGATATGGTTATTATGGAGAATGGTGTCCAGCTACTGTCCTAGGAAACAAGACAAGGGAAGACCCAAGAAGCAGGCAAGGACACTGGCAGGTCAGCAGGGAGGCACCAACGTCATGATTTTTGAGTGACTTTCATGACTTTGTTGGGTACAAATCTGTAGATAATTAGAATAAATTCCCCACATTGTTTATATTATCTGTACCTCAAAGTTCATATAACTATTCACACTTGGTAGTTGCTATGGTCTGAATGTTTGTGTACCCTCAAAATTCATATCCTGAAACCAATTCACTAATGTGTTGGTGTTGGGAGATGAGGCCTTTGGGAGGTGATTGAGTCATGAGTGTAGAGCCCTTACGAATGAAGTTAGTCCCCTTATCAAAGAGGCGCCAGAGAGCTGCCTTGCTCACTTCTTACCTTGTGAGGACACAGCAAGAAGGCACCATGTATGAACCACAAAGCAGACCCTCACCTGACACTGAATCTGCCAGTGATTTGAACTTCCTGAATTCCAGAATTTGTGAGAAATAAATTTCTGTCATTTTTCTTGCCATGGCTCATGTACTCTATTAGTACCCAGTTTACTGCATTTTGCTATAGTAGCTCAAATGGACTAAGACGGTGGTAAATATACCAGTGATTGTTTATATAACCACTGGAGGATTACTAAATAACAAGAATTCAAGCACTAGGAATTGTCCCTGGCTTCAGAAAACAGGTTATGACATGTAAAACACGTTTATTAACTATAAATACAGAGTGTTGCAGAAATTCAGAGTGAAAGGTAATCACTTTTCCTAGACTATTTGGGGAAGATATCAGTGAAAAGTATGTGTATGAAGAAGCAGATAAGCATTTCACAGGTGTGTTTGAGAGTGGTTTTATGAGAAAGGATGGGGAGGCTGTAATGTCAGACTGAGAGATCATAGAGCAGCCTGGCTGAAGTGGGGACTTTCCATAATTGAGGAGTGTGGAAGTGTGGCAAGATAAGCAGTGGCTAGGGGGAGAAGGAGGTGGCATTTATCCTTTAGTTATAGAAAGCTATGGAACCCTACATGTGGCTCAAGTGTGATCAAAGATGCTTTTAAGAAAGAATAAATCTGTAGGCAGGCCAAGGTAAATTGAGAATCTGGAGGTAGCACAGACACTAGGAGAATATTTAGGTGACTTTTGTGGTAATCTAGGATCAACGTTAATCTTTTAACTCAGTGGCTTTTCCCTCTATTCCTCTTCTGTGGCCTTTCCAAGCCCTAGATTTGGAAAAAATCCCGATTCCCCTGACTTTGCAATGAACTTGGACTACTGTGCAAAAGCTGAATTATTAGGAATGTGAATTCAGACCCATTAACCTTAGAGGAATATCACAATGTTAAGGAGATGTTGTGCTTTTTAGAGGGAAGAAAAATGTGTAAATACAGAACATTATCAACAGCTGTCACTTTAGAGGAAAGATCTTTCTCTTTGTTATGTTGTGTCCCCTGAGGAACAAGTGAAGGTCATGTTATTAAAAGTGCTAGTATATTATAGTACTCATGTCAGCTAATTAAATCTGTCATATCAAACAGCTTCTATTTTTCCTGGCACTTTCTCTTAATTCCTTCTGTTTCTATTCAGTAGATACAGAGAGTCGGCAGGGGAGAAACCTCAACTGTCAGAGTCAGATTTTCCAAAATGCTGCCAAATAACTCTGTGTGCACTTCATTGTATTTGTAATGTCTTCATTCTGGATTTTTTTTTTTATCAACCTGGATTATTCCTGAGAACTGCCTGATTTATCAAGCACAGCATCTACTTATAAATATTAAAGAAAATAACAGTGATGAAGAGAGACAAGTTTTAAAAACTACTAGAGAAAAAAAAAACCTGGCTTTTTGAAACAGTTATCCAATTTAAAGGTTTATGCTCATAATTTACTCAAGAATAATTTAGAATTTTCCTAATAATTACTTCAGAATAAACTCTAGGAAATACTGGCCTCTCTGAGGCAGGTCCCACATAAAGCTCTACAAATGATAGTCTCATTCTGAGGTTGCTACGAACATGTCTACAAAGTCTTATTCAGCATTACATTGAAGCTAACCTTCTGCTTTACCAATTTATCTCAAAAAAAGTTTTACTGCCACCACTATCAAAACAGTGTCCTAGAAAACAAACTCATAAATTATGTTCCCTGTTCTTCCAGGTCCCTAAGCTTCTACCAATAAATTCTGCAGTCGTCTTCTTCGGTGGAGAGGTTTTCCACCTAATCTATAATTTCTGTATCTTGAGCATTTTTTTATATGTAGTCTTTTAAGTTTTCAAATCTCACTGATTTCAAATTAAACTTCTCTTTTTTAACAAATTAAATTATGAATAATAAAAAACCAAAAAAACAAATGAAAATTATCATATGGGATGAACCCTTCACTGAGGTCTGTATCAACTTGATCTCTTACTTCTTTTTTCTGATCCTTTCCTTCTACTGGATAGACTCAGTACAGTACAAAAGATAGATGTGGTAAGGGCCAGAGGACACTTTCTCTGTCCTGCTTACTAACTCTGGGCTGTAATCCATGCAAGTCTTGGAGGAAAAAAAATGGCTCTTCTATGTCTGGTGAATGCTATAACAGTAACTTTTGGCTAATACTATTCCCCAAGAGTATCTGAATCCCACTGAGAAAATAAACAGAGCCGAAATTTAAGCAAGAATTTGAAGAATCCTGGATTTAAATATGTTTGTGACTCCACACTTGCCCATCTTCAATCATCCTACAAAACTGAGCTCCGTGTTTATAAATCTATTGCTATTGGACAAGACTACACTTTCATCACTGCCCACTTAAGCTGATGGAAGGGATTAGCTGATAATTTGTAAATTTGCATACATCCAGCACACATACACAAACACACACATAGTCTATGTTAGAATATGGAAGGTAAGTTAGTTACTGACAAATCAGTTACTTAAAGCATAAAACTTGGTTCATAATTTTATTTATTACAGTGGATGGTATTCGTCTGTTCTCTTGCTTCTATAAGGACATACCTGAGACTGGGTAATATATAAAGGTAAGAGGTTTAGTTGATTCACAGTTCTACATGGCTTGGGAGGCCTCAGGAAACTTACAGTCCTGGCAAAAGGGGAAACAAACACATTCTTCTTCACATGGTGGCAAGAAAAAAAGATGCAGAGTGAAGTGGGGAAAGCCCCTTGTAAAACCTCCAGATCTCATGAGAACTCACTCACTATCACGAGAACAGCATGAGGGGACTGCCCCCATGATCCAATCACCTCCCACATGGTCCCCCCGTCAACACATGGGGGTTACAATTTGGATTACAATTCAAGATGAGATTTGGGTGGGGACACAGAGCCAGACCATTGCAAAATTCTCATACAGCATAAGAAATCATACTTTTAAAATCACTTTTAAAGTAAACTAAACATAACATATGAGCACCATACCCTGAGAATATTGCCCATGTTAGATTGTATCCCCCCAATTTTTTGTTCTCTGTTTGAACTCATGCTTTTGAATCCATCAGTTGCAATTTCAATTGCCCATTAGAAAGAGCACAAATATTTTGCAATAGAATTTGTCATTACATAGGATGTTTCAAAAATATTTTAATAAAATGTGAAAATCCTCAAAATATGGTAGACATCTTTAAATGAGATGATAAGAACACAACTGTATATATGTGTTAAATATACCTATAGAAAAACTATATTTTTCTACCTCATCATACCTCAAAATATTAAAAATGGCTAAATCTGGGCTGGGATAGAAGTTTAGTTAACTTTGTTTTCTGTATTGTAAATTTTTGCATCCCTGAAATTTTTACAGTGAACAATTATCTATTAGTTTACTATAAGAAAAATAATATCTTAATTTTAAGTAAAACCATGAATGTGACATGCATGACACACAACCTTATACATAGTAGTTATTCAATAAACATCAAATCCCTTCCCCACTCAGACAGTATTAAATAAATGGGTAAAGATACATTTTGTTATCAATAAATCTTACATTGTCTAGAAAGCAACTGTACTCAAATATAAAAAGCCTTGGCTAAAAAGAACAGCATAAAACTTAGAGACAGAGGTTAGCCCTGGGCAAGAAGAGCCTCTGCAGAAGAAAGTTAAAAAGACTCATTGATGCACTAAGGTCTAATTAAGCAAGTGAAGCATGAGGGTGATATCATCAAAAATTGTTCTAACGGTAGGGAAGCGATTATGGAAACTATTGCAATGGTCAAGTTCACTCATAATGAACACATGAATAAGAAACTTGCATTAGCCACTGAAAGCAAAGTTTTATCTGGAGCATAGTTTTTTCAATGATAACAAGCAAAGTCAATGCTGACTCTAATTCCCATTTTGGAGGGATGGTGAAAGGTCAAGGTCTTAAGTGGTCATAAAACTCCCAGTAAAATTGGAGTAAAATTTTCTGTCAGGTAAATACCATGGTCAGGGACATATAGACAACTTTAAAAATTAGAAAAAAAATTACTCAAGTAATAATTTTGGCTTTACGTAAACCACATAGTTAAACATAATGAAATTCAATGAAAAGAATAATTGCATGTTTGGCTTCAACTTTTACACACTTCTCTGCCCACACCTCTGCCCTTTTGGGCTTTCCTCTTCTGTTTTCTCATGGTCCATCTCACTAATAAACTAATGAAATGCAATAATCAGAGATAACACTTTTAGCAGAACATTACTCCCTTTATTCCTGCAATTGTTACGCATTTATCTATTCAGTATGTATTTGTTAAGTTTTCTTTCGAAAATATTTTTGGAGTATGCACTAAGTGCTCAGTAGGGTTCTGTTTGCTGAAGATTTAAGGCAGTTAAACTAAAAAATTCCTTCATTACTATATTTATATTCTAGAGTATGGCAGATAGAAAATAAATAAGTAATACAATTGGACTAGGATATGCTGCTGTACATTTAACTACACTGTGAAAAGAATGCCCAAGAAAAAGTGGATGCTGCTCCTGCCAAGCCACCTGATTGCACTTCTTCTGCTGGCTTCAATGCAGTTGCTGGGGATTTAGTCTGGCTTGTTTCTTGGCTTTACGTAGGGCTTCTGATAATGGGTCATTTTGTCTCAGCTGCCTTTGTCTCCCTCAGTCCTCTTTGGCTCTGGACCCCAATCCTCTCTTGCCCCTTCTCCTTCCAGCTCAGGGATCTGAGGGTACATCCCAGTCTGTACTGTAGGCTGATCTCGTTCTTGCATGTTGAGCCCAACAGACTGTTAATATGAATAAAGTGACTTTTTGTTATACAGGTACTGAGAGTGACACAATCAAGGTAAACCTCAGGGCCTCCATGATCAGGCTAGGTGATCAAGTTTATTTTACTATGTCTCGAATGCAGATATTGAGGGAGAAAATATCCAGAGAACTTAGGTATGCTATTTGCATATTTTACATGCTATTTGAAAAGCAGAAGGCTCAAAATTAAAAAGCTGAAACTCTTTCTAAGATGATTAGCAAATTTAAGGGAATTCCCAAATAAAAAGAAGAGATTTTGGCATCTCAAAATTGAAATCTAAAGTTCTTGTGGTTAAGTAGCAAGTAAAAGTATCCATAAAAATTCTGAAAATAAAGCATAACGTTGAAAGACTAGCACTACTAACTTATAACACATATTATAAAGTTATAACACTTTTTAAAACCCTGTGATGTTAATGCATAAATTAACAGATCACTGTAAAAGATGAGAAAACCTACAAATATACCCAAATACGTGCAGGAGTTTAGTGAAAGACAAAGTATGATTTTCATAATAAGTGCTATTTCTACAATTGTGTAGACCCATGGAAAATAAATTAACTTAAATCCTATTTGATACTATTACTCCAGGGAGAATTCCATTTGGGTCAAATATTTAAATGTAAAAATAAAACCACAAAAATCCTAGAAGCCATAAAACAATATATGTATTTTTTTAAATATCAGAATGGAGGTCTTTTTTCTCTTCATGGCACAAAATTCAGAATAAATAAAATATATATTATATATGTGTGTGTGTGCGTGTGTGTGTGTCTATATTCCACAGCAAAATCAATGTAAGCATAGCCAAAAGACAAATATGAATTAGAAAAACATTTGCAATCATATCACAAAGGAGTAATATCTTAACACCTAAAAAGCCTCTCGCACTAACGCAGAAGAAATACCTGACAAACCAATAGCAAAAAGGAACAAAGATATGGGCAGACATCTTTACAGAAAATTAATTACAAAATGTAATCCTATAAGAGATGTGCAAAATCACTAAAAAAGTTAATACAACTACAGAAATATATTTTATGTATTACTTTTCACCTGTTATATTGGTGAAAACTAAACCATATTAGTAAAGCTATAGGGAATTAGAAGCTGTCATATATTGCACTTAGCCACTGAATTACATAAATTCTCTTGACTACTTCTACTTAGCCCTGGAACACTGTCCTAAATTGTCCCATACAAGTTTTCTTACCTGGTATTTGAGCCTTCTCTTTTTCTTCCTGACCGCTGTCTTTCATATCAAATCTCTCCTTCCTATAAACTCTTTTAAAGCTTTCATACTATTATCTATTTTAATTATCTATGAAATTGTCAACTATAAGCATCATAAAGCCTAAGCCTTATCATATTTTTTTTCAACAAACCCATTGCCTTAACTTGCTGTTTGCTAATAGTAAAAATATATGTAATGGTATTAGACATCACAATTTTCACAGGCTTCTGATATCTTCTCATTTGTTACTACAATAATTCCCAGACCTGGGCATCACCATTTACCCCATTCCACTGATGAGAACATTGAGTGAGGTTATGATCACGTACTGACCAGCTAGCAGAGCCTATAGTGCAGCTGTGTGGAAGTCAGAAAACCTATATATAGATCTTGCCTCTTCTACTTTTTGCTCCTGTGAGATTTCGTAATTTATTTAACTTCTTTAAGCTAGTTTCCTTATCTATAAAAACATAAATGACAATAACACTTAGCTCAAGGCTTCTGAGAAGAGTAACAAAGAAAATGAAAAGAAAGCATTTGGCATAAGACCAGTCATTTAAAAAGTGCTCAGCTATTGTTGTGATTATTATTATTTTTCAATAATATAGCTTTTGTTACTTGTAGATTTATTTTGCTTTACAGTGTGCCCTTCTGACTCAGCACCTTTATAGGTGACTTAAATGATGAGAGTTGGTTATTTTTGGTGATGGATTGATGGCAAATTCAATAATTGAAACACATTTAGTACTTTACCAACATACTTTTCTTACATATAATTCAATCAAAGAACCAGTAATAATCAGGTAAATGTGAGCTGGCATTGAATAGCTTTATTATCTAGTATTACTGTCACATTAGCCCTTCACATCTGTTTTTGGTTGCACTGTGTGTAGTGCATGAATGATACTTAGTTTGATTACTGTCTATTCTTTTTTTTCTAAGCCTTCATCAAAACATTTGTCTCATATCAATATGAATTTCTCTCTAGCTGTTTCTTTTTTTTCTTTTTGGTACAGAATTTAATCTTGGTACAGAATTTAATCTTTGGTACAGAATTAAACACAGTTTAATTCTCTGAATTACCAGATCTCTTTTTACTTTTGTTGTCAAAAGCCCAAATCCAATGAAATAATAGATCATCATTTCCTATTGTGAAAAGACTGAAAATAAAAAGTAGCTTTAATTTAGAAGTCTCTTTCTGTTGGTGTGAAAGAGAAAGTTCTTTTACCTTTTTTAGCTACTGAGTTATGGTCAACATATACATAAATGCTGGCAAGAACAAATTAAATGTGGAAATTAGGAGGCAAAAAATAATTTTATTTTATGAATATTTTCTTTTTTTATTATGAGTAATGCAAATTATAATTATGCTATTAAAACAATGATTTTAGCAATAATTTGGTTATAATTTACTATATAATCATAGCAAAAATTCTCTTTTCATAATTTCTTTGTTGATCTGAAAATGAAAAGTTATCATTTTATGTTCACAATAGTTTGTGAATAAGGTAGCTACAAAATTCCATAAGGGAAAATAAGTTAAAAATAGAATTTTTTTTTCCACATAATATATTGACACATAACGAGAGACGAGTTTTTGCAACTTCTATTGTGGATTAAACAATTGAAGTTTAATCTGACCAGCTGAAGTGGAAATCTCTAAAGAAGGTATACAAATTAAACTACATTTTTATACAAACAATTTTTCTAGGCCCAAAGGCAAAGATCTTCTGAAGCAAGATGATAGAACATGGTTCTAAGTTGTTTTCACAAGACGAAAGCCGGATGCTTAAATTGAATTATCTGAGTACATGCATTTCTTCAACAAATAGGTTTTGAATATTTACTCTGCCCCAAATCACTGCCCTAGGAGTAAAGGATACTGTGGTAAATTAAGGTGAAGTCTTGTTTCGCTGGAAATATTTATTTAGATAAAAAATATTGCCACAATATCATTTTATTTATATTTTATAGCTACATCTACTTAGTAATACTAGGTAAATTGCATTGAGTATTTAATTTATTAGCTCAGGCACTAATGTGAGTATATTACTTATAGGAAAACTCCTCACAGCCCTTAGATAAGAAATATTGCTTCCCTGATTTAAAATGAGAAATTGAGGTTTGGCGAGGTTAGATAATATAGTCTATTTTTCCCAGCTAATCGAAGAAAATATTTGCAATTTGAATCAAGTCTAGTTTGATTTAAATTCATCATTTCCATGTGAAATTATTTAAGTGTCTCCATTTGTAGCAGTTAGTATATAGTTGAACATAGGCAGATTATCATGTGTTTGTTTGTTTCTGACAATATGTGGACCACCAATGCAGCAGAGCCCATGCTTGAATATGCTATTTAAATTTCTGTAAGAATTGACTCTCCCCAGGAAGGAAGTCACCAATTCTAACCCCTACAAACTGCTTTCTACCCTTACGGTGCCTCTCTTTCTGTTCTAATATCTTTAGCTCCACCTATCCCTACTTTTCAACTAAATACATCTCTTAAAGAACTTCCATTCTGAAAAGATTGCTGAGCAAGTAATATAACCTGCATCTAGGCTACTTCCTTCTCTGTCTGTACAACTAGTATTGTCACAGTGCATGCATGCTAAGTTTGAATTTCAGATAATCAATAAATACTTTTAAAATATAAGTATGCCCCCTTGCACCTAATATACTTAAAAATGCATTTGAAATTCAAATTTAACTGGGCACCTTAGATTTGATCTGGGAACACTATTCCTGTTGAGTATATATACAGAAGTGGACAAGGCTTTTGTTTATGTTGCCAGATGGAATGGCGTTACTAGGTGGTCAGTGTGGAGAAGGTTATTCTTTGCGATCAAAATATGTTTACTGAAGTTACAGCCAATGCCCTTTCCTATGACCCCTAGAGAACTATCCAGGAGTTGTTCTGCAAACTACCATGCACAATACCCATTATTAAACCAAATGTCTTAGACAATTTTATCTTAAGCATGTGTGAAAGTTTTGCTAACAAAGGAACCAGCAAGAAGACTAAAGTGTGAAATGTTTCGACAGAGTGTAGGAAAATCATTTTAGAACCCATGAAATAAGTTGTCTGCATAAGATCATGAAATCCAGACTACTGATTTATATTTTGGGATAGAAAACTATCCTACCTTTATTGTTATATGGCTTAACCTAGGTCATGACAATTTCAAGCCAGTGCCTGAGGATGCCATGCGTGAACCATTAATCAGAAATCATAAACAATGAACGTGTGGCTCTTAGTAAGATATAGTGGACTCCATATAATAAACAATGCATCTGTGGCTGTTGATCACATATAGTGAGCAAGAAAATTCCATTCTCTAACAATGTCAGATAAGGCTAATTAAGAGATTCCAGCTACAAATTTCTTTCTTCCTATTTTTCCCCCAAGTGACTATCAGAAAATTCCTAAACATATTAAAAATCACCAAGTTGTATACTCTTGCCTGTTTCCTAAGTTTGGAAAAATAATTTTAATTTTCACTAGTAAACAGAAGTACAATTTTCAATATTTATTTCTCTAAGCATGCTGGAATTGTACCAAAATTATGTGATGCTGAGGGAAGGCAAGTCAATAAATTAGGCTTTGCTTTACCTTGTTTGAGTTTACCTGGAGGTGGCAAGGACATAGGTCTACAGAATGAGACCCACATGAGTGTGCCCTCACGTTAATAAGTTCTTATCCCCTCTCTTTTAATTATTTTAGGTATTATTTTAATAATACCTCCCCCTACTTTAAGAACCTGCCTATCTAGTGTTCTTCTTACCAGTTCCAAGTATCATTTCCAACGGAATCTTAAAACCCCTGGTCCCCTTTTTATTCTAGCAAATTTTATAATGCTCTTTTCTCTGCATAGTCTATAGCTTTATTTCTGATAGGAAAAAGGGAGCTCCTTTTCTGTGGATATTGGATAGAAGAGTATCACTACTATCTTTGATAACATCAACAAACATCTGATTCACCTCTTTTTTTCTGAACCTGAATTGCTTTTTATATTCTGGGTTTATCTATAAATAGTAGAAGTTTCTGCCAACCAAATGTATGTTTTAATGATTAGATCCATATGAAACAGACTTTCTGAAAGATGCAAATCCTACAGAGTATGTTCTATGCAATAGTTAAGAGCAAATAAGGACAAAGAAGCCTATTTATTTCATTAAAGATGTCACCCTTCAAAAAAATTTTTATCCTTAATAATTTCTTTTTGATGTAATTAAAACATGTATTAGCCTTTTTTACAAGGAAAGTGTATAATAAATTATTAATTCAAAGTATCCATTAACATGTGTGGGACACTCTGGAGTTGGATTAAAGATGGTGATAAGTTTAAATGACTGGGGCAAAAACGTATATGAGAAAACAAAGTTAAAAATATAAGAGATTTCAGCCGGGTGCGGTGACTCACACCTGTAATCCCAGCACTTTGGGAGGCCGAGGTGGGTGGATCACAAGTTCAGGAGTTCCAGACCAGCCTGACTAACATGGTGAAACCCCATCTCTACTAAAAAGACAAATATTAGCCGGGCATGGTGGCGCACGCCTGTAATCCCATCTGGGATTACAGTATCTACTCAGGAGGCTGAGGCAGCAGAATTGCTTGAACCCGGGGAGGTGGAGGTTGCAGTGAGCCAAGATCACACCACTGCACTCCAGCCTGGGCAACAGAGTAGACTCTGTCTCAAAAAAAAAAAAAAAGTTACATAAAAAAATGAAATCAGAAATGAAAGAGCAAACATAAAAACTGACACTACAGAAATACAAAGGATCATAAGAGACTACTATGAACAATTATATGCCTATAAATCCGATAACCTAGAAGAAATATCCTGAGTGCAGTGGCTCATGCCTGTAATCCCAGTACTTTGGGAGGCCGAGGCAGGCAGATCACGAGGTCAAGAGATCGAGACCACCCTGGCCAACATGGTGAAACCTCGTCTCTACTAAAAACACAAAAATTAGCTGGGCGTGGTGGCACATGCCTGTAGTCTCAGCTACTCAGGAGGCTGAGGCAGGGGAATTACTTGAACCCAGGAGGTGGAGGTTGCAGTGAGCCGAGATGGCGCCACTGCACTCCAGCCTGGCGACAGAGGGAGACTCCGTTAAAAAAAAAAAAAAAAAAAAAAAAAGATAAATTCCTAGAAACATGGAACCTAAAAAAATAGAATCAAAAATAAATAAAAACTATAACTGTATATAGACCAATAATGAATAAAGAGATTGAATCAATAGTAAAAAAAAAAAACTAACCAAAAAAGCTTAGGTCCAGATGACTTTATGGAATAATTCTACTTTAGTTCTGCTTATAAAGAAAAAATAATGCCAATCCTTCTCATGCTTTTCCAAAGAATTGAAAAGGAGGGAATACCTCCAAGATTTTTTTGTAAGACCAGCATTACTCTGATACCAAAGCCAGACAAAAACTCTCCAAAAAAGGACATTTACAGGCCAATGTCCCTGGTGAACTAAATGCAAAAATCTTCAACAAAATACTAGTAAACCAAAAACTAAACATCATACTAAAAGGATTATTCACCATAGTTGATTGAAATTTATCCCTGAAATAAAAGGATGGTTCAACATACACAAGTTGTTACATGTGGCATACCATATTTACAGAATGAAGGACAAAAACCATATGATCATCACAATAGATGCAGAAAAATACATGTGATGAAATTCACAATTATTTCATGATAAAAAACTCTCAACAAATTAGGCATAGAAGGAATGTACCTCAACACAATACAGTCTATATATGAAAAGCCCACAGCTAACATCGTATTCAATGGTTAAAAGTAGAAAGTTTTCTCACTAGAATCAGAAACAAGACAAGGATGCCCATAGTACCACAAGTCCTAGCCAGAGCAATTAGACAAAAAGAAAGAAAGAAAGAAAATAAACAAATAAATAAATAAATGCCATCCAAATAGGAAAGGAAGAAGTGAAATTGCCACATGATATTATCTTATACATAGATAACCCTAAAAACTCCACCAAAACTGTTAGAACTGATGAATTCAGTACAATTGCATGATACAAAATGAACACAGAAAAAATCAATTTCATTTCTTTACACTAAAAAGGAATTATCTGAAAAAAAATTAAGAAATCAATCCCATTCACAATAGCATCAAAATATAAGATACTCAGAAGTAAATTTAACCAAGAAGGTGAAAGATCTGTATACTTAAAACTATAAAACATTGCTGAAATAAATAGATTACAACATAAATGAATGAAACAGTATTCCATGTTCATGAATTAGAAGAATTAATATTGTTAAAATGTCCATACTTTCAAAAGCACTCTTTAGATTGAAGGCAGTCCTTATCAAAATTCCAATGCCATTTTTTTCACAGATATAGGAAAAACAATCCTAAAACTCATATGGATCCACAAAAGACCCCAAATAGCCACATCAATCTTGAGCAAAAAGAACAAAGCTGGAGGCATCATACTGCCTGACTTTAAAATACACTACAGTGCTATATTTATCTAAACAGCATGGCACTGACATAAAAACAAACACATTGACCAATGATGCAGGATAGAGAACCCAGAAATAAACTCACATATTTATGTATTTATGCTCAATTGATTTTCTACAAAGGTGCCAATAAGACACAATGGAGAAAGAAGAGTCTCTTCAATAAATGGTATTGGAAATATTGGATAACCACATGCAGAAGAAAGAAATTGGACCCTTATCTCCTACCATATACAATAATCAACTTAAAAAGGATTAAAAACTTGAACATAAATCCTGACACTCTAAAACTACTAGAAGAAAATATAGGTGACATTGGTCTGGGTGAAGATTTCTTCGATAAGACCCTAAAAGCACAGCAACAAAAGCAGAAATAAACAAATGGGATTGTATCAAACTAAAAAGCATCCATGCAGCAAAGAAAATAATTAATAGAGTGACAAGACAGCCCACAGATTGGGAGGAAATATTTCATCCCTTTATCCTCATCTGATAAAGGACTAATCTCCAAAATATATTTAAAAACAACACTCAAATGTCTCAATAGCAAGAAAACAAAGAACCCAATCAAAAAAATGGAAAAGAACTTATATAGACAGCTCCCAAAAAAGTCATACAAATGCTCATGATCACTAATTATGAGGGAGATGCAAATTAAAATCACAAGATACAAACTCTTACCTTTTAGAATTGTTATTGAAAAGATGAGATATAACGAGTGTTGGCAAGGGTGTGGAGAAAAGGGAACTCTTGTGCAACATTGGTGGGAATGTAAAGTAATATAGCCATTATGGAAACTAGTATGGAATTTCCTCAGAAAACCAAAAATAGAATTACCATATGATCCAGCAATCTCACTTCCAAGTACATATTGAAGAGAACTGAAATAAGTTTGCCAAAGAGGTATCTGCCTTTCCATGTCCACTGCAGCATTATTCACAACAGCTAAGATGTGGAAGCAAACTCGGTGTACCTCATTGGATAAATAATTAAAGAAAATATGTCATATGCATACAATGGAATACTATTTAGCCTTATACAAGAAGAAAATTCTGTCATTTACAACAACATATATAAACATTGTGCTAAATAAAATAAGCCAGGCACAGACACAGAAAGACAAATACTGCATGGTCTCACTCATATGTGAAAACTAAAAACTTCAATATATAGAAATAGAGAGTAGAATGGTGTTTATCAGAGGAGCAGAGGGGTTGAACAGAAAAAAGGGAGATGTTGATCAAAGGATAAAAAGATTTCAGTTGGACAGGAGAAATAAGACTTAGTAATCTGTCACACAGAATAGTAACTATAATAAATAATAACTCATTGCATGTTTCAAAGTTGTAGGTTTTAACTATTTTCACCACAAAAAATGATAAATATGCAAGGTGATAGATGTGTTATTAGCTTAATTTAATCATTTTGCAATGCAAACATATATCAAAATATCACAGTGTACTTCAAAAATATATAATATATACAATTATTTTTCAATTAAAAAATAATTTAAATAGTATATTCATGATGAAACCTTTATTGATGCACAAAGTTTAGAGTTCTCAGAACTTACAAAAATAAAGTTGTTACAATGTGACTTAAAATACTCATTTTTATTTTAAAGTAATTAGTATTACACTAATATTATATGTCTTAATGTATAGTTTATATTAATTACATATATTTGCTTCAATAGATTTATGCTGAATATTTATAATGAAAATGCAAGTAAGTTCTTACACTATATGTTGAGAAAAATTAATCAGTTTAGGTTTATTGAGCATTTGAAATGTCTATATCAACTGATCACATCACATATCTTTGGGTGGCTGCTCATCACACTAGCCTTTGCCTAAAAAAGAGTGTTTTAGATCAGACTATTCAAGCAGCACCCTATGGACCGTGAAGAAGAGATTAGCAATTACAAATTTGGATGCTAGTGTCAAAGAGATGAGAGTTGAAATCCCTGCTTTGTTGTTATCTACTTTCAAAATTTTCCACACGACATTTAACATTTTCATTGTTTCTACATATTTCCATATGATACTTAACTTTTTCTTTGTTTCTACGTATTTGAAATCGAAACAACAATAATATTGTGCACTGAAATAATACAGTAGCATAGAATTGCAAGTGAAAATTAAATAAAACAATATATTAAGTGCTTCTATAGTAGCCCAAATGCAATAAACATTGACCAAATATTAAATAATTTTACAATTACAGGCCTAAATTTACCTGTTGCTACTGTATATCTGAAATGCTTTTTTAATCTTAACTTTTAGTAAGTAATTTAAAAGTGCATATTGTAAAGATATTCTTCACAAGCATTATTAGTTCAGCACTCTAGATGGGGACTCTTCGGCTCACTAAAACCCCAATTTTGAATCAATATAAAGGCCCATCAGTAAGCCATTTAAATATTTCTTTTTAATATATGAATTGTCCCTTTCTTTTCTATCACTAACCCATCATTGTTTTCCATGTATATCTTATGTGTATCAAGCCAGCACTGTCCAGTAGAATTTTCTGTGTTGATGAAGATGTTCTAGAGTTCTGTTGTCCAATATTCTAACCACTAACCACATGTAGATATTTAAATTAAATTAAACAAAATTAAAAATTTGTTCTTTACTCATGCTAGCCACATTTCAAGTTCTCAATAGTCACATGCAACTATTGTCTACCATTTTGGATGGCACAGTTACAACTGGTCCACCTGACACCAATTTCTCTACAATCAGTTCCATTCCACAGAATTCTCCTGGTTTAATATTAATAATGAACAGTTTGGATCACACTATTCTCATGCTCCAAACCTCTCTGGTCAAAAGCATATTCTTAAAAATATATATAGTTACATGGAAAAAAATGGTTGCATACTATAAGGGTCAAAAATATCATTATGAAATAATAACTAAGTTTCAAAAATTGTGTTTTATTTATGTTTATATATCTATAAAAATGCTCATAATATTAAAATGCTTACTTGTATATTTATTTTAAAATGATTTGCATTTCATTTTCTGCATTTTATGCCTTTCCACATTATTCAAATATTTGAAAAGAATTTTTAGTGTTTTCTATCTGTCATTTTGTCTTCAGATTATTTGTCTTTAGTGTTTCTTAGCACTTGGTGGAGTTGCCACAAGCCTCACTGAGGCAGATGTCCTTTTAAATAATGTTGTCTAGTAATGATTATACTACCACAGATATGAGCTGGAAAAAGCAAGATAAAATAATTTTCATCAGTTTCATTTTACTTAAAATTGTTTTAGCTTTCCTTTTATGACTTCAAAGACTTGTTAAAAATTTCAATAAGATCAGGTGGGAAGAACTTGGTAACAAACAAAGACCTTTGATTATCATGTATTATCAATTAATATTCTAATATTTTGCCTTCCAATTAATATTTTCCCATTTTCTTTTAAGGATATCAGTGAAATAGCTTTACTAAGGACAAACATGGCTTGTTGAAATCAACAAAGTTTGTCTATAAAATTCACCTAATTTGACGGTCTAGCAACTCTATCAAAAAAGAAGTTATTCTTTGTGAGCCCACGCTGGCTCCTAACGATCATTGCTTTCTCTTCCAAATGCTCCCAAAACATCTGTTTAATAACTTCTAGAATTTCACTAGGTCCTTTCATGCCATGCCAAGAAGTTTGGATTTTATGTTATGTACAAAAAGGGAAGGATCTATGTTTTTACAGTTATTTTATAGTTACGTGGTTTTTTTCCATTAAAATGTACATTTCTTGAAATGACAGATTGTGCTTATGTGTCAATCTAAGTATAAACGTATAAGTAATAATACTCAATACACGCTAGATAGATGGATCAAAAAATGTGACAATATTTAAAATATTTTGAGGGAACTTTCCAGAACACTTGGCGAGAGGTGGAGTCGTGGCTGCCGCATCTGAGCACAGCTACTAGGTGCGTTGCTTTGCACACCCTCCACATCAGCCTCAGCCCACTTACTGCCAGTAAAAAATGGTGAGAGAACCCAGTTTCTGTTATGCTTTGGGGGTAAAACTCAATGCTGCTCAAAAATATTATAAGAAAAAGGTTTATAGGAAACTGGCATTGAAGTACCACTCTCGTAAGAACCTGAATGAAGGAGATAAATTTAGGCAGATTTCTCCAGCTTGTCAAGTTCTCTCTGATGCAAAGAAAAGCGAATTGTATGTCAAAGGAGGAAAGCCAGGTAATTAAAGAGGGTGGAGCAGGTAGCGCTTCTGGCTCTCCTGTGGACATCTTTGATATGATTTTTGGAGGAGAAGGAGGAAGTATGCAGAGGGAAAGGAAAGGTAAAAATGTGTGTCAGCTGTCAATAACCTTAGAAGATTTATATAAAGGTGTGGCAAGAAAACTGGCTCTGCAAATAAAACAAAAAAAATGTGATTTGTGACAAATGTGAAGGTAGAAGTGGTAAGAAAGGAATAGTAGAGGGCTGTCCCAATTGCATAGTTACTGGAATGCAAATAAGAATTAATCAGATAGGACCTGGAATGGTTTAGCAAATTTAATCCGTGGGCATAGAGTGCTAGGGCCATGGAGAACAAATCAGTCCTGAAGATAGATATAAAAGCTGCAATGGAAGGAAGACAGAGAAAAAGAAGATTGTACAAGTCCATATTGACAAAGGCGTGAAAGATGGCCAGAAGGTAACGTTCCATGGTGAAGCAGACCAAAGAACCAGGATTGGAGCTAGGAGATATTATTATTGTGTTAGATCAGAAGGAGCACACTGTTTTTATTCAATGAGGAGGAGAGCTTTTCATGTGTATGGACATATAGCTGGTTGAAGCATTTTGTAGCTTCCACTCTTAATGACTGAACTGTAGTCATCACCTCTCATCCAGGTCAGATTGTCAGCATGGAGATATCTTGGGTGTGCTAAGCGAAGGAATGCCAATTTATGTAGCCCATATGAAGAGCTGCCAAATTATCTAATCGAAGGTAAACTTTTCCTGAGAATGGCTTTCCCTCAGCTGATGAACTCTCTTGCTGAAAAAACTCCTACCTTAGAGGAAGAAAGTAGAAGAGACTGATGAAATGGATCAGATAGAACTGGTGGACTTCGATCCAAATGAGAAAAGATGACAGCATGACAATGGAGAAGCATATGAGGATTATAAACATCATCCTAGAGGTGGTGTTCAGTGTCAAACCTCTTAATGGGGCCAGTGAATAACACTCACAGTTGGCATTTTATGTGCAGCAGTGAATGAGTGGAAGACTGTAATCGTAATATGCTTACTGCTTGCTATTGTTTTTGTTTCAATGGTCAACTACAGTAGTGTTTTAAAAGTTGTATTAGACTGTTTTCAAGCTGCTGATAAAGACATACCTGAGACTGGGAAGAAAAGGGGGTTTAATTGGACTTACAGTTCCACATGGCTGGAGAGGCCTCAGAATCATGGTGGGAGGCAAAAGGCACTTCTTACATGGCAGTGCCAAGAGAAAAATGAGGAAGAAGCATAAGCGGAAACCCCTGATAAACCCATCAGATCTCATAAGACTTATTCACTATCACGAGAATAGCACAGGAGAGATCAGCCCCCATGATTCAATTACCTCCCCCTGGGTCCCTCCCACAACACATGAGAATTCTGGGAGATACAATTCAAACTGAGATTTGGGTGGAGGCACAGCCAACCCATATCAAAAGTTAAATGAAGAATAAAGGCAAATATAAAATCTCTGACTCTGCACTGTATGTATGATGACTTCAGTGTGCAAGATGGAGTTTAATATCTGTAAAAACTACTTTAAAAAGAAGTTCCATTAGCATTTGTTAGGCCAAACCTTGTTATTGATTTCATCTGTGTCCATGAACAAACTTGGACTGAAATGCTACGTATATGTCTAGGCTGCAGTGTATGACCTTTCATTCTTAATCTATAAAATTAAAACTGTATTTAACCAGCAATTAGAAAAAAAAACGTAATTTGTAGAGAAGTGTTGGTTTGTATAGTTATTTGTATTATATAAGTTCCATTGTGATTCCTCTGCATTTATTCTGTTGCCTCAACTGTTACTTGAAGATGGCATGATATAATTTAGGCTGTGGTATCAATGATATAAAGGATACCTTTCTAAAGAAGGAATTTTTCATAACATGCTGCTACTTGAGGGCTTGAACTTCTAGGATTGTTTTCTCTTCTGCACACACACCCACACCCACACACACACATGCATATATACCCATATGTATAACTTGACCAGTCCTAGTTATTTTTAATCCTTTCTCTTTGGACCATAATATGCCCCTAAGTAGTAACTTCCGGAGATGGGTAACTTAGAAGTTAAAGTAAAAAGACCTTGACATGTACAATTAATTTTCATGTATAATATAAGAAAGTGTTCCTTTGGTATGTCACAGGCTTACTTTAAACCTTTTGTCTTATGCTCCAACGTAACTGTAATTTAATGTTGGTAGTATAGCAAATTATAATGAATAACTTCAATTGTATGTTTAAAAGTTTCATCATATGTTCACATGCTTAAATCTGAATATCAGAATTCAAGCAATTCTTGAAATGTATGAATGTCCCCTTAATATACTGATTACAAAGCATTTCTCAAAAATATTTTGAGTAGGTGAGCTAAATAACTAAGCACATATTTAAGAAATGTTATTTTGAATAAAAGACTGGAAGGAGATGGGGAGTAAGCAGGGGTAAAGCTACATTCTGGGAGGCTTATTAAGAATCTATTGAAAGTGTTAAGGTAAGAAAAGATGGGGACTTGAGTTAAATAATGGTGGAAATATATGGGGGCAAATGGGATAAATAGATGATTAATTGATAAACAGATAGCTATATGTTTGCACACATATGTGTGTGCCTATATGTACATGATTGATTAGATCACATAAATTCAAAGATTTGTAATGACATCCAAGTTTTGGGCTTAAGTATCTCTATGTTTCAGAATATTTAAATTAAATTAATTCCCCCATATGACTATGGCTTTAAGTGCAATAAGATGGTTACTCCTTGTTCATAAAATGTAATTGTGTGGGGCAGCTCTGTTCAACAGTCATTTAGGTTCCTAAGCTGAGAGGGATTAAACTTTCAATTTATGGCAATCAAGTTTGTCGCAAGATTCCCACCAGTTAAAAGAAAATTCAAATGAAAGAGCATGCATTGGGAATGTCTGGGACCATGTGTGGAAATAGAACACATCACTTCCTCTCAAATTAAATCAGCTGAAAATCTATGGCTACACCTAAGCACAAGGGAGGCTGAAACATATTTTAAGTGATTAAGAATGAGGAGAGGAATATAAATTTAGGTGAGCACTTGTCATTAGCAAAAGAATGAGAGAAGGGAAAATAATAGATGTTATAGGGCTATAAGTTCATTTTGGAGCATAAGCCATGTAACATCCATATATAGAGGTATCTATTAAGAGAACAAAAATACAATTTCTAGGGTCTAGTGGGAGGTTTGCTTGGAGTTGCAGATTTAGAAATCATTGGTTTCTAGATCATTGAAGTCATGAGTGAAAGGAGTGTAAAATTAAAGTAGACCAGGTTAGAAAAGAAAAACGGAGGAAAGAAGAAAAGCTTATAGATAAATCTTAGACAAAACAAAACCCAACAAACCTAACTCTGTATAATCAAAGAAGGACTCTGAAAAAGAAAGGCAAATCCCAGGAAAAATATATCATGGCAGCCAAAAGACCCAGGTGAAAGAAAATAGCATAATAAATGAGAGTGGTCTTCAGTTTCGAGGACCACAGAGAGATTAGGTCAGATTAGGATGGAAATGTATTCTTTGCTTTTGGCAACACTGTGACAGGTGTGCCTTTTAATAAATCAGTTCCAATGGTGTTATGAAGGAAGAATTAGATGAAAAGTTTAATAATTAGACAAAATAGATTGTGGCGAGAAGGATGAGGGAAGGGAAATGCTTTTGTTTTTGATACTACAGTTAAAATGGTGCATCTTAGGCAATTTTAAACATTATAAAAAGAAAATATTAGAGGTGGAAATAATTTAGACACAGGTGAGAGGATATGGAATCTCAAGTATGAGTAGAAGGATTAGCCTCGTGCAGGAAAAGGGGCCTCTTTTCCTTTAAACAGTAGGGAGGTTAAGAACAACCGTCTCACAGTACTCGGAGATATAATTTGTTGAATTTTTAAACTTTGATTTACTTAAATAGCTTGAAAATATTTAAAATATAGTTCACATTTAATTTTACAGTTGTACCAGCTATTTCACTTATTATATTTGTTAATATCCTCAACCAATAGTCTTGTGTTGAATGCTTATTATGTAAGTAATGAACTAAGTTTTTTAAAAAGTACCAAAAAGAAAAGGCACAGAAAATGTTTCAATGAGCATTAAATAATGTTGCAATTATAAAAAAGTATATATTAAACAATGATATAGAGATTAAGTTAGGAAATGTTGATCTTAATGTGGGTTTATTTATATTTGCTTTGATAATTTTATTATTTTTAACAAAGTGTATATTTATAATGCTTATGTTAGATTCAGGTTATTGACTGCTCTGCCACCACATAAAGAGATTGCTCTTATATTTATCCTATTCATTCAAATCCAATTATACTCACAGTAGTAAAGAATAGAAAAGTAGCTAATTGTTGGGTGTGAAATTTAGAAGTTTCCATTTTTTATAGTTACCTGGAATAAACAACATAATGAGCTTAATTCTTTCCACCACAGGGTGCATAGACTTAAACTTGGGAATACGAAAGAATTTTTAGAATCATATTAGGTTAGATATCTTCACAGTCATTGAGTTTAATCATATTTTCCTGAAGTTTGGTTTCTAGTAAAAGAGTTTGGAATGAAAAAATAATAAAACAGTTTCACTCACTAGGATTCTTGACTCTCCAACAAGAAAGCTGAGGCAGTATGGCTTATTGGGAACACAGGCTTTAGAAATTCTGCTTTCTTTCTCACCCCTGCTATAATCTGATTGAGAAGGGAACTGGGCTCCTGACAAAGCCACCCTCAACAACTAAACTGGTATGGGGTGCATAATGATGATCATTATTAAATTGAATAATCTCTACTCTTAGCTTCTTATATATCTTTGAATTTCCACACATACACTGACCACTTATTTTTTACACCTGTTAAAGAACATCACAGTTATAAGGACTCTTAGATCTTAGAGCTCCTATAATCCAATCTTTCACTCAAATGGAAATCAAATCTGTAATATTCCTACAGTGAATGGCCAATTCAGACTGGACAATGGTCCATAAAGTTTCCATATTTCCTTGCATGCCCTCAAAAATACCATTGCAAAGGATTATACTTGTAGCCAGGAAACATCTTTAAGGCAGGAAAGAGGATATGGCTTTCCAACAATTGTTTTAAAAACTAACAAAAACAGAACAAAATACTTCTAGAGATTAACTTTCCACCTGAAAGTTATGATTGCTGAAGGAACCTAGAGTCTAGCATTCCAATAAGTGTACTGCCTGAGTACATTTTTATTTCAGGACTGATAGATTTCTTGTAGGCTAATCATTGAAATGGCTCAAACAAGCAGTTTCAATTTTACCAAACCAGGCAGCACTTCAGTTTGCAGCTCTAAACTAGAATTTAATGATAGGTAGGCCAATGCAATGCACCCTAGGCAAATGCCACTGAGTTCTTCCCTATGCGGGAAACCAATAGCCATGACAATACAATGTGTATTTTAACATGCTTAAGTGTTCTAATCAAAAACTTGGGTTACACAACTTTCAGAATTAACAAAAATATTCATTTGTATTTTATTGAAAAATAAGTGTTTTAACCAAAATGTGGTTCAATTTTAGAAAATATCAATATTTTAACTGACTGCTAAATATTAAATTTTCTTTTAAAAAATAAAACACCCTGTGAGCAAACTTAGGAAACTTTAGCTTAATATGTATTCAGCAGTCATGACTGATGGTAAACTGAGAAGAAACATAAAATATACAAGCAAAACTATGTATATGGTCTCATCATATGCTTAGATATTTTATTTATAATCCATTGATTTATATTCATAGTTAAAATATAACATGCATAAAATATTTACTTATAGTTATATATTTATGGGGTGAAATGAAAATAAGTTTCCAATGTCTACTAAAATATCTTCACTAATGATTTTAGAACACATTACAATGGAATATCTAAGGCAAAACCTACAACATGAAGGATAAAACTTTTTATCCCTATGTTTACTTTCATGAAAAAAGAAGCTATTTGGTAGTAATAGGAAAGTAATCGAAAGATATTTTATTTACTAGCAGCTAATATTGCAAGAAAATGAAAATATTTTTATTTAAAAATGACTCTAGTAACTGGGACAATTTAAAAGGGAAGATAATTCCTCTTGGTTAATAAAGATCGATGTATCAAGATATTCACTAGACGGATATATAGAATTTATATGTATATATATATATATACACATATATATGTAAATCTCATAGCTTGAAAATTTTTTTCATATTTCTCCCTTATAGCTTTTATTAAATGCATATTCCTTAAAGCTTCTTCATGCCTGTAACCCCAGCACTTTGGGAGGTCCAGGCAGGCAGAACATGAGGTCAGCAGTTCGAGACAAGTCTGGCCAACATAGTGAAACCCCGCCTCTACTAAAAATACAAAAATTAGCCCGGCGTGGTGGCAGGCGCCTGTAGTCCCAGCTACTAGGGAGGCTGAGGCAGAAAAATCACTTGAACCCAGGAGGCAGAGGTTGCAGTGAGCTGAGACCGCGCCATTGTACCCCAGCCTGGGTGACAGAGCGAGACTCTGTCTCAAAAAAAAAACAACGACAACAAAAACAACAAAAAGCCAAAAATTGAAAAACAAAACAAAAAAACCCCATAAACTTCTGTTTCACACCCTCCTCACCTCTATTCTCTTCCCTACTTTCCCCCACCCTCACTGCTAAAAACTGAGCCTCCTGAAGGGTCAGTGCTACTCTGGGCTATATTAGAGAATCAGACAATCTTTTCTAAATGTAACTCTGCATTCACAATTTAACTTTAAAATATGACATTTTGTGTGCTTATGGAAATCAGATACCAGAATTTACAATTTTCCAATGATAAAAGGTCATGTAGGAAAATGGTAAAGAGGGGTAAATAGCCAACATAGAATATGTAGAATATGAGACAGGACAAGCCCACAGAAAAAAGTACTAAGAGGGTGAAAATTTCAAGGCAGAAAGTTTTGCAAGATATTTTGAGAAAAAAGTAATAAAATGTAGGGGCTTTAAAAATGTAATCAAGAAAAGAAGAGAGGGATAGGTATAATGATTGAATGTTGATAAGTGACAAAGAGAAGGCAAAGACACTCAACTCTATTTTACTTGTCTTTGCTTGTCATTGTGAGTGATCTATGAACTAGAAAGGATAGAATGAATGTTGTTGAGAGAAATTTAAGTTTAAAGCGGGTGAAAAGATTGTAATAGCTCTGAACAAGTTTAGCAATTCTGGCTCAGATGAAATACATCCCAAAACAAGGAAGGAGTTTGCCCATGAGACAGTCAGGCCACTGTAATTGATATCTAGAATTTTAAAAAGAAAAAAAAGGAGCTATATATTACAGGATGTTTCTTAAACTAACAACAATGGCAACAATAATTTATGAAATAAGAGGAGAAAGGGAAGAGAAATAAATTTCCTTGTAATGAATGATTACTGAGTGATGTTGATCTCAGACCAAATTCAGAACCAATTTTGTTATGGAAAGTAACAACTATTCAAAACCAGCATGGAGTCACTGAGAATGAAATGTGGAAAATGAGTTTTGTAATCTCCTTTCAGGGCAATGAATATGTCTTGATTGGGTGTACCTGATAAAAATAAAGGTGTTTTTTTTTTTCTTTAATTTCTCCCTTTGGCAGCCTAGCAAGGCTAAAGATCAGGATAAATCTAAAAATATACTGTATCTAAATTTCAGAAAATCATTTTTTATGAATACTTTTGCATAACGTCTTGAAATAAAGAATAAAACATTAATTGTAGTATGATGTGGGTTGGTGGTTCAATCTAGTTAACGGAAAATAAAATGTGATTCAGACAAAGCTGCAAGTAAACCAGCCATGCTGCAGTTAGCCTTAAGCCATTCTGAACAGCTATGCCTTATCGGTTAGAATGAGGAAGACAAAGCCACAACCACCAATGCAAAACAGTGGAACAGAGTCTGTGGAAGCAGAGACACCAAGGTGCCCAACCACATCTCTGAAAGCCAACCTTGCCATCCTTTCAGAGTAAGCACACTAACACAGAGCTGGTGAAGAGAGGATAAACTTTGCATAGACACAGGATAAGGCTGTATCATTTAAGGCTTACCTTGAAAATGTCAGATCGCAGAAGAGTGTCTTAAAAGTCTGTTTTTCTAAGAACATGTGACTTCACATAAAATCCAGGTGGTCGGGAAGCAAGTCATGGTGTGATCTCCAATGGCTATGGCAACCTGTCATAATCCAAGAAACTGTCAATGTCCTTTTAGTCAATGAGGCTTTCAGATCACATATTAGGGGTTACAAATTCTAGTTGATATTTAAGATTCAAAAGACAGAAAAATATCACTTAATTTGCATAGGCTTGTAGCCATTTTTTTTGGAAATTTCCTGGAAAGGGATACTGGCGGGAAGCAAGAGGACTTTACTCTTATTAAATTAATGGTAGTAGTAGAAAGCATAGAAGTAGAAAGTAGTAGCAGCAGTAGCTTACCAGGATCACTACTAACAGCAATCTGGGTTTCCCATCAGAACTTTATACTTAGAGAAGCGTATTTGGAGTACTAATCAAAGTAACTACTAAACATGATTCTTGCCAGAAACCTGATCCTTTGGACTGGACCAACATGAAGATGGAGCTCAATAGCACTTATTAATTTATTAATTTGCGATCATCCAGGAACCCACCTTTCATCTTTATGTGCTAGCTTTGAAGCCAGGAAGGAGACATAAAGAAGTACTACAGACCAAGCAGCTAAGAATTGCATCATCCTCCCTGGGCTTGTAGTTTTGCTTGAAATTACATTCAATTAAGTGAGAAGGAACTGGGTAGAAGACATGGTTATACATAATATTTCTATTATTCTGTTTCAACTGGTAAGGACCTGAAGTTATCGGTAAAGAAGATCAAGAACTCTTATGTCAATGAACCTTGGAAGGCTAGGCAGGTGTAGGAAGGATGAATTCTCAGTCCACCACTTATAAACTATACGAATTTGGACAAGTTGAAACCATTTTCGGTTGTATATCCCTATATATAAAAAGGGAAAAACTGTACTTATTTCACTTCATCAATAAAATAAGGTCATATGAACTAAACCACATAGCACAGGCTGTCATTACTTCAGGTAGAAAGCGTTAAGACCACAAAGATCACATTCATTTTTTCCAACATTATTAGTGCCTCACACAAGGTAGAGTATTTCTTAAATTAAGAAGTTCTATTATATTCACAATTTTTGAACAAATATTTGCATGAAATTAGGGAATACATGTTTAAATGGGCAAATGACACATGTTTGGCCAACACACACAGGTCTTAGAGAGACAGCATTTCCTGTAAGAAAAAAATATGGTATTTGGAGTAAAATGAAATAAATAGAAAGCTTGGTGCTACTGCATGATTCCATCATAAACTAGCTCTGTGACCTTGGATATCTTGAGTCAAGATATAAAATATAAAGCTCCAAAACACAGAGCTTCAAGTTTTTTAATTTTTGTGATGATAGATGATTAGATTATGTAATATTAAAAGTAATTTTTAAATCTGTACTTTTGTAATTATAATTTTGTATTTTAACCTGGATTTGAAGAAAATGAAACCACTGATTTTAACAGAATAATTCTCATAAGAAGACATTTTCTTCTCAGTTATAGCACATAGCTTGTAAGTATATGGAACAATATGTATATTTTTAGCAATGTACACGTTTATGCATATTTATCAGACAAGTATTGAAAATTTTACCTGGGAGATATAACCTTATGGCGTTCCTTTATTTCTTTCTTTTGATATATTTGAGAGCTCTATAAGACATTCAAATGTGAATCTATTTGTGTATGTTAATATAACACAATTTTACAAAAAAAGAAATATAATATATACTTTATTGTAAAAATAAACTGAAAATATAATGTTGATTCATAATATGTATGATAAATAAACCTTTCTATATTTCACCTCCTATAATGTTGTCTAATTGTTTTGAGAATTTTTACTCATATTGTGTCAGCAAGATGTCATATCTTACCTTGAGAAACTGATGTCAATTAATCCAGTGATATACTGCAATTTATTTCTGGTAACCAGAGAAACCATTTTTACATACAGATAAATGTATTACATTAAAGTGATCTCGGGAAGCACTGAGATAATTCTTACAATTGAAGAGCACACTTTTTTTCTTCATCAAGTAAATTTAAAATATTGATTGGAAAATGCTAAACTTGCAAGTATGTTTTGTTCAGTCCATACATTGACTATATTAAATAATGATAATAACAGCAGCATTAAACTACATTAAGGACATGGCTTGAACTAACAAAGCTAAGAAATTTTAAGGTGACATGGAAATTTATCATTTATAGCAATTTCTAACCATTAAGGCCCTTTGAAATCATAGTGACATTTTCTGCTTTAAGCACCACAGAATCAAGACATTCAGCCAGTCCAGGCACTGCATAGAATCTATAAAGAGAGCAGGTGTTTTGTGTGTCTAACCACAGTGGATTCGTTGAAAGATGATGCTTCATTATGAATTCAGAATACCTCAAGCATTTCCTCTTTCACACTGCATTGTTGACATTTGTATTAGAGTAAAATCCACATTTAAAAGTGAAGTCCTTTACAAACTACCTGCCTTCAATCTCTGCCTTATAGTCTGTCTCATCTGCTACTGGGAGCATATCACTTCCCTTCCTCAGCCACTTTAAGGATTCTGATAAATATAGAGTCAAAGTGGCAGTTACTCTTTACTAAATTGTCAAAATTTTAACATCTGATCACAAAATAGTAATAATAATTATGCTGAAAGAAATTTATTATTCAATAATTATTAATTTTGGTAAGCACCATTATTATGAATATCAATGGTTAACTTTTATAAAGTGATTGCTTTTTGCAAAGAACCATGGTGAATGAAATACATTCTTTCATTTTTTATACGAGAGATCCCATTTCAAATGTGTACCACCACAATTGACGCAGAAACTTTGTTTTATAGTACACTGAATTAATGTATGTTTTTCAAATGCATGTATGGTTAAGTAATCAGGTATCTAGCAAGTACCTATTATGGTTTAAAAGATTAGCTAGATATAATACAAATGAGTTTGCAATCTAATTGGTAAGACAACATAATGAAATAATTTTAAAAACGCAACCTGTATATAAATGTAATTGATGGTCTTTCTTTATTAAATAGGAAAAAAGTATGGTTATGGGTATATCTAAGACCTCAGAGACATAAACTTGAGATATGGCTGACAGGCTGGCAATATTCTACACTATCCAAATGTGCTGCTCCCCATGCCTGAAATAAGCAAATTGTTTGGGAGAAACTTGATGTATCTCTATTGCCTTTGAAAACCTGGGGGAAAAACAAAACAAAACAAAACAAAAACTCAAACTGAAAGATTTAAGAGTATCTGTGGACTAATTATTTTTCCAGACTGATAGCTAAAACTTTGGGAAAGAATGAAGAAATGGAAGCTGGCTGTTTTATTCATAGTTGAGGATATCAGTTTTCTGGTACTCTAGTTATGACAAAGCAATGGGCAAGGAGACTGGTTGCTGCTTCCTCACATGGTGGAAGGCTAAAGGGCAAAATTGACTGAGAGTTTCTTCAAACCCTTTTACAAGTGTCTTAATCCCATTTGTGAGGACAGACCCCCACTTCTCAATACCACCTCATTGGGTCTTAGGCTCCTATGAATTTTGGGGGACACATATATTCAAACCATAGCAATAGCATATTAATAGCATAAGTATTAATATGACTTGGTGAGCAGAGAAATGTGAAGAGAAATGCACTATGTAATTGATTGAATGTTTGTGTTTCCCCAAAATTCATATGGTGAAGCTCTAAACCACAATGTGATAGTGTTTGGGAGATCATTCGGTTTAGAGTGGGATTATTATCCTTATAAGAAGATACATCAGAGTGTTTGCTCTCTCTAGCCTCTCCATGTGAGGACACAGCAAGAAGGTGGCAGTCTGAAAGCCAAGAAAACAACCTTCACCAGAACCCAAGCAGGCTGACACCCCAGTCTTGGACTTCCGGTCTCCAGAACTGTGAGAAAATAATTTTTTGTTGTTTAAGCCATTCATTCCACCTTATTTTGCTATAGCTGTCCAAGCTGACTAACATACATGTCTCTAACTTATTCAATGAAAAGGAGTAACAGAGGAGGAACATATTGAGAACATTTATAATTTTATGCTTTATTGTTACATGCATGATTTGTGAAGCCAAGTAGAGAGTCTATGAGCAGGGGTACAAATAAGAAAAATAAAGAGAATTAATATTATTGTGGATTCATGTTGCACCAAAATCTGGCTGTTAGGAAATACAACATAAATACAAAATAGGTATGATTTGAAAGAATGGCTCATATAATATACATATTATATTATATATATTATATTTTTTATATATTATATATAATATAATATATATTACATATTATATATTATATAACATATATTACATATTATATATTATATAACATATATTACATATTATATATTATATAACATATATTACATATTATATATTATATATATTATTTATAATATATTACATATTATATATTATATGTATTATTTATAATATATATTACATATTATATATTATATGTATTATTTATAATATATATTACGTATTATATATTATATGTATTATTTATAATATATATTACGTATTATATATTATATATATTATTTATTATATATATTACATATTATATATATTATATATATTATATAATATATAATATATATTACATATTATATATTATATATTATTTATAATATATATAATATATTATATATATTATATTATATAATATTAATAATTAATAATATTATTATTATATTAATTAATAACATTAATAATAATATTATATATTGTATAATTAATAATATATATTGTATAATATATAATATTTTATAATATATAATATATATAATATATTATATATATACATACACACACAAACAAAATGAAGATTACAGTTAAAAATTTGTAAAAGATTTCCAACTTAACAAAAAACCGTCTGTATGCAAATAATAGAGAACTTGAACTGTATGAGCATCTGTTTGAAATCTAATTCTGCTAAAAGGATGGCACCTAATAAATTTGCTATTTACCTTGCTGACAATTTCATCTTGCATGAGGAAGCAAATGCGCAATTGCTGGATTTCATTCAGACAGGGAAAGAAAATTGGCTGAGGTTGTAAGAGTGATGGAAACCTTTCAATTAAAGTGGTTGTGTCTATTTAGAATTGAGAAGGACAGAGTTGCATAGCAGACTCAAAGACATACTCTCGACTATTCTTACGAAAGCTGAAAAAGGTGAATGTGACCCTACAATTTTCATAGGTAACTCTAAAGCATGTGTCAAGAGTGTTGAAATGTTCTGAAATAATTTTTATGAAACATTTCTGCATAACTATTGTGCTTAAGAACAGTAGGAGACAGCAAGGGGATCCTATAGGATAGTTTGGGGGAATCTACAATAAGCTTGAATCTAAAGCGGCTTTCCAAAGATGAAAAGCAGGGCACAAAACCAAGACAAATGCAAAATAAAACCAAGAAATTTTAAGAATAGAAATAAGTTAAATCCAGAAATAAGTTACTGAGAAAAATGCTAAATTCTGTTGTTAGAACAGAAAAAGAATATATGTTAACAAGGTAACTGTCACATCTTAGAGAGAAAAGTGCAATATTCATGGAAGGTAGAATCAAAGCTAAATGATCAATTTCTGAATAATTTTGCTTAGTTCAGTAAGAGGATTGGTCTTCACCAATTATCTCCTAATAATCTTTTTTACACACCAATAATAAAGGATACAAGCCTGGAGTTGTCTCAGATCGAGTTCCCTAGAAGCAAATACTGAGATGGAGATTTGTATAAAAATGATTCTTGTATAAAAAAGGTTCTTGGTGGAGTAGTGGCGGGAATAGAAACGTGTTGCAGAAAACAAAGTGTATTCACTTCCTAGGGCTGCTGCAACAAAGTGCCACAAAATGGGTGGCTTAAACAACAGAAATGTATTGTCTCAGTTTTGGATATTTGATATCTAAGATTGCGTGTTGGCAGGGTTGGTTTCTTCTGAGGGCTGAGAAGGTAAATCTGTTCCAGACATTTCTCCGAGCTTCTGGTGATTTGCTGACAATCTTGGACTTTTCTAAACTTGTAGATTCACCACCCCATCTCTGCCTTCATCTTCACATGGCATTCTCCCTGTATGTGTGTCTGTTTCCAAACTCCTCTTTTTTATAAGGCTATCAGTCAGTTGTTAGGGATCACCCTAGTAGCAACATTTTAGTTTGCTTACCATTGTAAACACCCTATTTCAAAATAAGGTCCTCTTCTAAAGTTTTGAGAATCAGGACTTCAATGTATCCTTTTTGAGGGACACAATTAAACCCATAACAAGATGGGAAGCCAAACAAGAGTGTAATGTCTAGCTAAATTCCATATTAGATAATTTGGCACAATTCCCCAGGAACTCTGCAGAAATCGTAGCCTGCATTTCGGGGTTACCTGTCCAGGAACAAGAAAATGGGAGTATTTATTCCACTGCACCATCATGCTTTGGTTAGTGATTGCCCTGGGTAGGGATACGTTTCCAGATACTCCCAAATCTAGACCTAGCACTCTCATGCCAAGACTCTAGTAAAGGACTGAAGGAACTGGCTTTTGGGGTTGAAAGCACATTGAGAGCCAGTAATGCATGAAAATGACAAAAGGACTTGAGAGGCTATAAGCAAACACTAACAATGTCTGTTTTAAAGTGTCACAAAAGAGAAAATAATTCATTTAAATGCTTTTACATCTCTAGAAGTGGAAGAATTCTATTATACGATGCTTAAAAATATATTGTAATTTTAACCATAAAATCACTGTAAATAATCTTTGAGAAATATGGGAAATACAAAAGATTATTTAATATTGGTAATGAGCACATGTTCTATTTTTGAGAAGACAAAGTATTCATTCTGGTAAATTTGATGTATAATGAGAGTATTTAGAAATGACATCATTTGTCACTATTAGTCAACATGAATTGTTCATGAATTCATTGTGAACAAAAGAAAAAATAACATAATGTATTTTCAAATACATTTCAAGGGAGTATTTAGAGGGTTGCCTGTTTGAACAACTTTACAGGTGCCATTTACATGGTGTTCCAAGAAACTATGTAGCGCACAATTATCTTGGTCAATTATAGTGGACCTGTACATGCAGATAAGTGTAATAATTTATCTTGACTTTAAGAGTACATTTAATAAAGATTCTAAGTAACATTCTTATAAACACAATGGAGAAATAGCTGTATCTGTAGCCGATTAGACTCTATGTTGATGAATAGAACTGTACAGAGCTAGGAGGTCAGTAGTAGCATACAAATGGATTGATTTTTAGATTTTTCTGAAATATTATCAATTGCCATGGTAAAAGCATATTTTATCAAAATGTCTTATTTATTTATTTGGTTTTAAAGAAAAACCCAGTGTCTTGAACACCTACAGCATGTCACAGCTATTATTGAATCTGAGAAACAAAGTTGAAGGACATGGTCCTTTTCCAAAGGTGCTTACAGCCTGGCTGAAAATCTACCTTAATAGTCAAAATAATACTAACTAAAATATATCAGTTCCTATAAGTAAATCACTAGGCAATAGACTTTACAATCAGCAATAGTTGCTAGGAACATTTCATAGTTTCTCTCCACTTTTACTTTACCAAAGAGAAGTGGTGCTGATTTTTCATGCAATCCGAACATATTTATTGAGTGGGCTAGATTTCTGGAGGTCCAAACATTAATAGCAGGGTAATACGCCTGACATGGTCGAATGTGTCATCAGTCTTTCTTTAAGATTATTTTGTTCTATATACTTGGAATTGTAAGAACAACTCAGAGGTGATAAGGGCTGTTATGCTAGCCATATGAAGATTTGGAGTAGTCAGCCGAGGTCAGGTCTCTTAATGACTGGTCTGTTCTACCTACTACAGGCTTTTCCATTCCGCAAAGTAGAGAGAAATAAGATTTGAGTTTGGTCTTAAAACGAATGGAGCAATAGAGTCTACCAACTTTAGGGTCAATTCGAAGTATTAAACCTACCACTGATATAAGGAAAAGCAATCAAGTTTGATTCATTAGAGTTCTATGTCGTGGTTAAGGCAAAATCCTTACTTGTAACAAAGTATGCTCCTTCTCTGCTTTTCATATATATTAGAACATTAAGTTCTTAGAGTGGATTTTCTGGAAATGGCTTCTGAGATGGGAAGTTGCATGAAGAATATTCACTGAGGAGTGATTGGTCTTGTGTAACATATTTGTAAGAAAGTGAGGAACATTGGACTGGGCAGAAGGTGAAGTTGACCCTTAATGCAATTGTGACTGAAAGTTTAGTTATTATTCAGAGTCCTGGATATGGGATAATTTTTTAAAACCTATTTGTACCAATTTGTAACACAGAGGCTAACCTTTTGTTTCTTTATATCAGTCTGTCATTGGCTGTGGTGGCCTCTGAGCAAGGGGGTTCCTCGTGGCCAAAGACAATCCTCAACGTGGGGCGGAGCTATCATCTGCCACCAGTTTCTATTTCCAGAATTTGGGGTTAGAGTGATAGACTTTTAAAAATGGTTCTGCGTGGAACTACAGTATTCATTACATTGGTTAAAAATATTGAAAAAAAGAGGAAGGACAATGTAGGGGGGAAATTTTCCTAGATACTTCCAATAAAAGAACATATGCAACCAAAACAGTATGGTTGTTTTGGAGAACACGTAACAGGCTAGATTCAGGGTAGGTTAATAAAAATAATGTAAGACACAAAAGACTTCAACAGCTAGGGATCGATGTGACTAGAAAAGTCAGACACTCGTGGTGGAATTGTGGAGAGCCATCTGTTGGGATATTAAAGATTTGTCACCATGGACATCAGTGTAAATAATACAGTTCTACAGACTAATTTCTTGTGCTCTTTTTAACTCTGAGTTTTAGCAAAACTCAGTATAGATTACTGAGATTTCACAGGCTACCAAAATTAAAACGTTAAAATTATTTTATATATATATATGTTTGTGTGTACATATGTGCGTGTGTATATATGTGTGTACATGTGTGTAAGTGTATATTATATGTGTGTGTATGTGTGTGTGTACACTCACATATACAGACTTGTTCTTTTTACAAGGAAAAGGATATATTTATATATGGTTGTTCTTAGTAAAAAAATAAAATAATATCTATTATATAGCAAACTTTAAAAATAGCTGTTGAATTTTATGCCATAAATTTCCCAAAGTTCAAAATTTGGGGAGTCTGGTTTTCAGAATAACAACTTATGTAGGATCTTCCGTGCTCTGTTATGTTTTCAATATAACATTATTTGATTACTTTACAGGTGTCTTATTCAGTTTAGGCTGCTATACCAAAATATCATAGCATGGTGGCTTACAAACAACAGAAAATTATTTCTCACAGTCTGGAGACTGGGAAGTCCAAGATCCAGGTGCCAACCTATTTGGTGTCTAATGAAGTCCCACTTTCTTGTTCACAGATGGCTGCCTTCTTCTTGTGTCCTCATATGGCAGAAAAGATGAGGGATCTATCTGGATTCTCTTTTTATAAGGGAATAAATCCCACTTAAAAAGGCTCCACCCCCATGATTTAATCAACTTGCAAAGGCTCCATCTCCAAATATGATAACATTGAGGATTAGGTTTTAACGTATGAATTTTGGGAAGACACAAAGATTTAATCAATAGCAGATACTTACATTAAGTACTATACAAACTTGGCTGTTTTTAAGGAACTCATGTTCCAAAAGGTTGGTGCTGATCATAATCCCAAAAGACACAATTCCTAATGCCATAATCCATAATGTTGAAATCCTAAAAAATCAAAATCCTTGAAGTCTAAAATCTCTAGTTTTTAAAATCCTAAAAATTACAATGCTGAAATATTAAAATCCTGAATGTTGAAATCATTAAAGCTAAATTCTGGGGAAAGAATTAGTGTGTTTTTGGTTGTATGCAGGATAATTGCATCATGTTAGCCAAAACTATTACCTTGTTATTGTCTTTATTTGGATATTAAGTTTCAGTTAAGGAGATGTATACAGTTGCCAAGTTGACAAGGGGTGGACTTGTGGACTTTAGGTGTCAACTTGACTGACTAAGGAATATATAGAAACCTGGTAAAACTTTATTTGGGGTGTATCTGTGTGGATGTTTCCAGGGTAGATTAGGGTGTGAGTCTGAGTGGATTCAGTGGGGAAGGTATTCCCTCAGTATTGTTGGGCATCATCCAATTGGCCAGGGACCTGAAGACAATAATACAGAAAGTGAATTCTCTCTCTGAGAGCTGAGACAGACCTTTGCTGCCTTTGACATCAGAACTTCAGGCTCATTGAGCGTTGGACTCCAAGATTTATACCAGTGGCCCCCTGGGTCCTGAGGTTTTCAGTTACACCAGCAGCTTTCCTGACTCTGAGGTCTTTGGACTTGGACTAAGCCATGCTACTGATATCCCAGGGTCTCCAGTTTGCAGATGGCAGTCATAGGATTTCACAGCCACCATAATTGTCTGAGCTAATTCCCCTAAAAATTTCCCGCCTTATGTATCTATATACATACCCTATTGGTTCTTTGGAAAACCCTGACTAATACTGATTTGGTACTGGGAAAGCCGAATATAATTCCTTCTTATTATATTCCTTACAACACCATGAAATTGCCCCCCTCACAAAAAAAGCGGTGATAAGTTAAGTGTATGAGGCTACTTAATGGTGAAAGATAAAAGTTTAAAAGCTAATTATTACTGGTGCTGTGAAAGCAGAAAATCACTTAATTGCAACAGCTGAGCAATAACCAGACTTTCAAACGGATAGCATATTCTTACGAAATAGACCACAATCACTCTCTAAAATACAAGTGCAGCAAGTGTTTAGAGGATCATAGAAGTGAGAATGTAGGTGAAAAATACAAGAAATCGTCCATGCCAAATTATTCAATTGTGTACAACTTCTGCCCATTCACACACGGCGCAAATTTGCTAGGCTATATATTTTATCTTTGCAGCATTTCTAATACTGGAGGTATAAATTGTGTCAAGACTTTTAGAGATTTCTAATTAACTTCATACATTTTTGGCAGATTCGACTCCATAAAAGTGCATTATCACAATGTTGAGTTTATGTGTAAGCATTGTGTGTGTACATAAAACTGTTTGAAATTTCTTAGCACAGGGAGATATTTCTTTTTTTGTGAATCTGTATTTGTGAAAAACAGAATTTTCTGAGATCTTTGTTCTTTGGGTGATTGCATATGTCATGGTGACACATCTGGATTTTTGATCAATCTCGTCAAAAGACTCAGATTATCTATCAGAATATTTAAATGACCGCAATTTTAAGGCTGGGTGCACATAATTACCAACCATAGTGATATGTGTTTATACCTCTTGCTTTTTGACCTACCTCTTTATGAATACAGTTTGTCTACTCATAACTGTTATACTCATGAAACATCCTTAGTATACCTGAGTGTTTATGCTTGCAAAAATATGTACATTGCTATTGCCTAGTGACCTATAAAGTTTTCTGTCATGTTTTTATGTTTTCAGATAAACTGTCTTTAAAAAATGTAAATAAATATCTTTTAAATAATGTGTAAACATTATTTTTCCAGAATTATATTTTTGCAGTTTTGATCTCTTGGGATTATATTTTTTGAGATTTTTGACTTTAGAGACTTTTATCTTTCAGGATTTCAACATTCAGCATTATGGCATACAGGATTGTGTCTTCTGGGATTTTGGCCCAAACTCTCAAAAGTTGCCTTTTATGTATATACGTACATCTTTTTTGTTGTTGCTTATATGTGTCTTGAATACACTTAGCTTTTTCTTACATTTGGCATATCAAGGTAATTTGTCATAGTTTAATCTACAATGTTTCTTAATATTTTCTGAATTATTTCTGTTGTTGGTTAAATTCTACAAATCTCTCCAATTTTCTCTGATAAAATACTAAACTATTAAACCTAACTTTTTGTTTTTTTGTTCATTTTGTAAATGAATTTATTTACAAATATTTAGCATTCCTAAGTGTCTGATATTATTTTCTGTACCAATTTGTTGATTGAACTGGTATGACAGAATAACTTGCGATTAGAAGTTAGTAACTTATTAACATGTATTATTATTTCTTTCTCCTTTTACTCCTTCATTTTTGTCTATATTTCTGAAGGTAAGCTTAAATTTTAATTTTGATTTTGTAATTTTTCGATACAGTAGGCCTCTCTTCCTGTTGGATTCTGTCCTGTAGGCCACCATATAAGCTTTGGAATATATTTGAGGGAAGTTTCAATAAAATCTTCTATGAGATTTTTAGGGAGATGAATGAGTTAAAATATCTGAACAAACAAGGCCAGGATAGAAAGCCCTCTTAGCGTTCATCAAGACTAATTTGCATATTCAAATTACCAAACACAATGCATTTCTAACGCTTGAATATATATGCATATATCTATAAGCATACTCAAATACTGTATATATTTTCAATTACATGTTGGATGGATTGAAATCTTCAATGAATTAAATGATACAGAATAATATGTACATCTTTTAAGTGGATGTTTAAGAGTGCTAAGCAATATGTGAAACAATTATGCAAATATATGCACTAATATATTTAGAGTAATTAGATGCCATAGAAAAGAAAGGAGACCTTCTGGTGTATGTTAATTTATTAGGTCTGCATTGATGTATGATGAAAATCTCAGTTTCTATTTTTCTTTCAGCACTAATATATTGCATGTGGTTTACATATATTTAAGGAAATACTTTTAAAACAGAATTTGAATATTTAGAGTTTATAGAATGCTTTGGTGCAAAACTAAACTAAGGTAAGCTATTAAGTGCTTATCCCAAGGTTTTATTTCAGTTAATGCCTACAAGACAGACAGAGAGACATTATTTGGTATATATTTTATTTATAACTATTTATTTGATTTATTGCCAGATCTATACTAAATTTCATAAAATTTATATTTTTTCAAAGCCCACAATAGCAACCCAAAGATTACATCATTGACCCTGAGTAACCTCAGAAATGAAACTTCTCCCTCTTAGGTGAGAATAACATATCCAGGGAATGAATTAGCCCACTGATTTGAGCTACATGCTCAGTGCTGGGTCAAATACTGCATTTATAAAGTGTTTATAATGACATCTATGTCCTCCCAATATGACCTACAGAGATCATGGTAATTACCAAACCCCAAAGAAGCTCCATACCATGAGACACGGGATCTGGCTTCCCCAGCAGCTGCTCCAAGGGGCCAGGTATTCCAGAAGTACTGAAATTGGGATTTAACCATCTCTACCACTCTCACAACTCCCTTGGGGGAACTTTCTCCAATGAAAGCTAGAAAATAGTAAGGGAGCTAAAGATAGGCAGATAATTTCCCTTCCTATCTCCCAATGACTGCTCCTAGTTTTCCCTCAATCCTCTCCAGAATGATCCCTCCTAGACGAATGATCATGACAGTGAAGCAGTGGCTACCTGGATAACACATCATCATGTATTTGCTCCCATTCTCTCCCAACACACTGAACTTTTCCTTCACTCCTTCTTCCATAGTATTACACATCTCACTGAAGAGTCAGCAATTACTCTTTGACTTCATCTCCTAGGGAGTCCAAGCTAACATAAACACTATCTCGTTTGTTTATTGTGTTCATTGCTTTTAAGATAAGTTCCATGAGTTTTAGTGTTTACTACTGTATCTCCATTGCCTAAACCTTCCTGGCTTATGCCAGCTCCTGGATAAATAATTATTAAATTCAAAATTTATGGACTCCACTTTAGATTACATGGCCTCAGCAGTACTATTACAAAAAGAAGTGCAAAAGAGGACTCTTATGACAAGTATAGAATGAGTACTCAAGAATTCTTCAATAATATTGGGAAAACAAAATTGATTCCATGTTGGATCCTAGCCATTTACTCACTAGTATCTACTGCTTGTGTAATGCAGGTTGCTCAAAGTATAATAATAACAAGACAGAATCTTTGCCTTCAAAAAGTATACAGTCTAGTCTTGGCATGCATACATTCATAATTGCCTTAAGACTTTTCAGAAAATTGAATATATTATAATTACCTCATTTTGCATGAGATAAAACAACTGAGCTTTATATAGGTGATTACCATCCTATTGCTACTTCTATTTCTAAGGTAGAGATAGTTACCAGGGATGCAAAGTCCACTCCAAAACAAACTACTTTGCTTAGATCACTGGAGCACTTTGCATATTGAAATTTTGCAGCAAGCTAAGATGGAGTAGAAACACAACTCAGCAGCTTTCTTCTCCGTTCTAGTATTTATTTTTCCTTTTCCATCTGGCAACAAGGGAAAATAAACAAAGGCAACAGCATCTGTTGCTCCTGCTGCTTTGAATTAAGCTGACTTAGTTTCATCAGTTTGCCCCATTAAATCCATTGCTGCACCTTCCCAGGTATTAGTCTGACCTTTAGTTTGACACTACTGTTTGCTGGCTTTACCAGATTTTTTTTTAAAAGACATAAAGCCCAGAGAGATTGCAATTAAAAAGCCAAAGATGTTTAATAGCCTTTGCTTCAGTTGTATATGTGCATATAAACATAAGGTTTTTAAAATCCAAATTTCCATATTAGTGTCTATATTTAAAGCACAAGTAATAAGCCTCTGATATTAAAAACAAGGGATTGCCTAGAGATTTGTTTTAAATGATAGGCTTTTGAAGCTTTAGTGATGGTTGTGGGGTGGATCTCCTTGATAAAGAGATGGGATGTAAGAGAGATTACTAAATGATTTTGAGTTTCGGGAATGCACTGGTTTTTATGCAGGTCTTGATATGCTTGAGCACACAAATACATTCCATAAATCTGTCTAAGTTCCCCAGAACTCAAGGGTAATGTATTTCCTCTTGAATTTCTGTCCTGATAACCTGATCAGCAACACACACACACACACACACACACACACACACACACACTCCCCTCATAAAAAGCAGTCCTAGCATAGAGAAAGAGGTGTAATTTCTAACCCATCAATCTAAAGGCGAGAGAATAAGAGCAATTTCTTCTCATGAAGTTGTCTCTGGGTATTTGAAATTTCTTCACATGATTGTATAGCAATATTATACCTGTAAAATGTTTAGAAAGTTTGTTCTTTATTTTGAAGTACTTAATTAGAAATAAGCTTGATATGAAAGTTGTTATGCAATTAAACTTATTGACCATATTAACATTTAAATGAGAACAAGCAACATCAAGATATTCAGAATTCAAGTTCAGGAGAAGATGCTATCAAGGCTCTGACAAAGAGCATTTAGGATCTATACTTACAAGGTTCATATGCTAATGATCAGTTTCACTCATAAAAATACAACTAGTAAACATTGCCCAAAAATATTCTAAATCATAGCCCTCAGTTCCAACAACTTCAAATTCAAACAGTATGTTTTGATGGTTAATGAACATAAAGCTTACCAAGTTAAAGGTTAAAACATACTACTGTAACAACTACTCATTTTTAGTAAATAGGCAGTATTTTTTTAAACTAACATTCTGTTACTTGCTACTGTTTTTTATAGCGATGAACAGTTGTGTTTTGCTTAAACAACAGTTGTGAAATGTCTTATGCTGATACTTGGTAAAAATGGAAATATCAACGTTGTTTATGTAGGATTTTCAAGCCGTAAATCAGTCAAAGGTACATTCTGTTCTGCAGTCTACCTATTAAGTATGAATGGGCTTTTCTGATTGGTGTGACATTTTAATTGACAGTGTCAAATATCAAAGACAATAATACCCATTTAAAAGTAAAACAGAATGAAATGTTCGTTTTTGTCAAATACAGAACAAATGATCCTTGTAAGAATAAAGCACTTTGCTACTCTCAAATCGTCCAATATTCAAGAGCACATTTACCACCAGTCATTAAAGTAATTTTGTTAAGAGTGAATTTTGTGTACTAGTGATTTTTTAGACTTTTTATTGAGAATGTGAAGTATTTTACTCTTTAAACTGAAATTCCATCATAAATAAACATCACTGGAAGTTTTTAAAAATTAATTTGCCTTCAGAATTCTTTCCTTTGTTCTAAATCTCTTCCTTTTTACAGACTTATGGAATAGAGGAGAACAGAAATTTCATGAGTGCCTACTCTGTGCCCGACGTTTCACACACATTGTCTAAGGTTATTCTTCTAGTAACCCTGCTATCTTGTTAATTGCATTTAACAGGAGAGGAAATGGAGCCTAAGTGAGATAAGGAATTTTTGAATAATATGTCACCTGCCTGCTCCCTCATTCCACGTGCGTAGGGAGCAAAGCCTGTATTGTTATTCACTGTTGTCTTGTCAAGAACAGACATTAATTTTGCCACCCAGGAGTGAGGGCCCGGTGGTGGCTGAAAATTGTATTGAAGAGTGTTTCCTAACCCTGTTGGGGTTGAATTTTGTATTTTGGAGGGGCGGGGGGTCTACTCAGACTTTCTGTATAGTCTCACCCACTATAAACTGGAGATGGCAAGTCCATCTGAGGTTGTTGTAAGGTGAGCATATTGTGCATATGCCTGTCACAAATTAAACAATTGACAAACAGTATTCATTATTCTTATGATATTCCATATTTATTTGCTGAACTCGACTGAGGAGAATATAAAAACACTTTGGATTTTATGAACTCCGAGTATCTGAGACAGGTCTCAGCTAATTTAGAAAGTTTATTTTGCCAAGGTTGAGGACGCGCACCAGTGACACTGCCTCAGGAGGTCCTGACGACATGTGCCCAGGGCAGTCAGAGCATGGTTTGGTTTTACACATTTTAGGGAGACCTGAGACATCAATCAACGTATGTCAGATGAACACTGGTTTGGTCTGGAAAGGTGGGACAACTCGAAGCAAAGATCAGAAGACTCGAAGCAGGGAGAGGGCATCCGGGTCATAGGTAGATAAGAGACAAAGGGTTGCATTCTTTAATAAGCCTCTCCAAAGGAGGCAATCAAATCTGCATTTATCTCAGTGAGCAGAGGGGTAACTTTGTATAGAACAAGAGGCAGGTTTGCCCTAAGTGGTTCCTAGCTTGGCTTTTCCCTTTAGCTTAGTGATTTGGGGGCCGTAAGATTTATTTTCCTTTCACAATTTTCACACAAAATGAAACAAAAGGAAATATTTTTGAAGAATAAAGAAAAATATTCTAACCACTAGGTTTGTGAAGCCTTTGTACCAGAGCCCATTACTGCAGATTTTTATGAAACTGGAAGAAAAGCCTTGCAAATGACCTATTTTCCTTAGTTTGGGGATATTCATTTCCACTTAAAGTACAGTATCAAATGAGGTTTCATGGGGGAAATAAACGAACAAGGCAGAAGAACACATTCGTTCATTTTTATGATTCTATGTAATGAAAAATTATTTTCCTAGGCTCTTTAAATAGAAATATTTAAATTGGTGTATTTGAATACATATAAATAATTTACCAGAAATGAGGGCAAACCTGACAAAAATGGGATTTTCTTCATTGTGTATACAATAAAGACATATTTGTAAGAAACCATTTCAGGTGTCTTCTGAGTTTGAGTGTTAATTAGCAGACTTTTACTTTTTAGATTACGAGTCATATTTTCATCTAATTTCCTACTGAATTTTATAATTAATTACATTTGCTCTATGCTTCGTTAATTCCCTGAAAACAAATCACAGTTTTAGTGTCTTTTATGCATCTAAATTTTAAAGTTTTCACTTTCTTGAAAAATAAATAGATCACCTTTTGGAGAATCACTTCTATTCCAAAACTCTATTTTAAATAGAATTATAAATTTTGCTTAATATTTCTTCATATATTAGAAAGACATGTAAAATATATTTCTACAGCATATAAGATAGAAATGTGTATAGCAATTTAGTAAATACTAACACACACGCAAAGATAATAGTAAGAAAGCTGAAAGCAACTCTATTCAGTAAAGAACATAAATAAATATTTTGAGCAGTAGAAGTTCTTTTATAAATTATCTTCTTAGAATCTTCTTGCCCTCTACTTTATTGGGAAGTTACAGATTGGTTAGTCACAGAGTGATTGTCAGAGATCATTTATCTAACATTTTGTTCCTTAATGAACTTTGTCTGAAACAGTTATTTCACATTTATCATTTATTAGCTCAAAATTTTCTTTCTATATGTAATAACTTTTAATACTCAGATTGATCTATTTGGTTATCCTGAAATAGTTTGCATAGAAAAAATATAGGATAAATATTAAGAACTTTTCTTGCTTTTTTTCCCATTATCTCTTTTATGAGTATCATTTTGAAATTAGGAGTTTTTCTATTTCAATATGGGTCAATCCACTGTAGCTATTATTCTTTCCAATGATCAGATTGTTCGATATCTGGCCACTGGAAGCTGGTTTTTGTGAGTTCCTGTGTCATTTTTCTTGTTATTTTATTTTCTCAGCTTTATTAAGATGTTAACATTTGGCAAACTACACATTTTGAAAGTGTACAATTAGATGTTTCAACACATCTATACACCCATGAAGTCATCCCCACAATCAAGAAAATGAACATAATCATCATCCCCCCAAATTTCCTTAAGCCTGTATAATTCTCCCCTCCACACTCCTGCCACCAGCTCCTTCTCCATTCTATGCCCATTCACTAGGCAACTGCTGATCTGCTTTCTGTCTCTACAGTTTTGCCTTTTACAGAATTGCACATAATTGAAATTTTATAGTACATGTCTTTTGTGTTTGAGTTCTCATACTTGGCATAATGATTTTGAGATGGATCAATACTGTCTGTATTAATATGTCTTACTGCACCTTATTGCTGAGTAGTATTCCATAGGAAGGATGAATCACATTTCTTTATTCATTCATCAGCATATGGACATTTAAATTATTTTCAGTTTATGGGTATTACAAATAAAGTTGCAAAGAACATTTATGTACAGAATTTTGTAAGTATGTATGCTTTCATTACTTTTGGGCAAATATTGGAGTAGAATTGCTAGATTTGATGATAGGTGTATGTTTAATTTTTTCAATAACTGTGAAACTGTTATACAAAGTGATTGTAGTATTTTAAATTCCCAACAGCAGTATAGAAAAATTATGTTTTCTCAACTTTTAGACATTCTAATAGGTATGTGCTTGACTACTGCATTTTGGCATTGTCATGTGCTTATTTGCTATCTGCATATCTTTCTGAGAAAGTGTTTGTTCAAATACTTAGCCCATTTTTATCGTGTTGCTGATTTTCTTATTATTGTGTTTTGAGAATAATTCACGTTTTGGATACAAGAATTTATTAGATATATACATTGCGAATATATCCTTCCTATTTGTGGATAGTCTTTTCTCTCTCTTAAAAGTGTCTTTTGGCCAGGTACGGTGGCTCAAGCCTGTAATATCAGCACTGTGGGAGGCTGAGGAGTGTGGATCACTCGAGGTCAGCTGTTTGAGACTAGCCTGGCCAACATAGTGAAACCCCATCTCTACTAAAAAACTACAAAAATTAGCCCGGTGTAGTCCCAGCTACTTGGGAAGCTGAGGCAGAAGAATTGCTTGAACCTGGGAGGCGGAGGTTGCAGTGAGCTGAGATCACGCCACTGCACTCCAGCCTGGGCAACAGAGTACAACTCCATCTGAAAACAAACAAACAAACAAAAAAGGTGTCTTTCTTATAAATCATGTTTTACTATTATATTAAATAAATATTTCATAACCCAAGATGACAGAGTTTTTACTCCTATGTTTTCTTCTAGGAGTTTTATAATTTTAGATTTTACATTTAGGTCTACTATCCATTTTTAATTAATGTTTTGTATATAGTGCAAATTACGGGTTGAAGGTTGTTTTCTTGCATATTTTCCGGTATCATTTCTTTTGTTGATGTCATAACAGTTTTTGTTATGATGAATAATGCCAGTATGAAACAACATTTTGCATAATCATTTCATACTGCCAGAGTAGAAGAATGCATGTTTTCCCATATGTACTGTAGAGTTAGAGTTTTGACAATAATATGTTAGTTATCGATATACATGCAAATCTCTCTTGGACCCTACTGCATTCTATTTTTCTACTCATCTGCCTTTATACCGGTATCACACTGTCTTGATTTTTGTCTTGATTATGGTAGCTATACTGTTAAGTTTTGAAATTAAGTAGTGTTGCCAGGCGTGGTGGCTCACGCCTGTAATTCCAGCACTTTGGGAGGCCTAGGCGGGCAGATCACTTGAGGTCAGGATCAAGACCAGCCTGACCAATATGGTGATACCCCGTCGCTACTAAAAACACAAAAAATTAGCCAGACGTGGTGGCAGGCACCTGTAGTCCCAGCCACTTGGGAGGCTGAGACAGGAGAATCGCTTGAACCCAGGAGGTGGGGGATGCAGTGAGCCAAGATCGCACCACAGCACCCCAGCCTGGGCAACAGTGCAAGACTGCGTCTCAAAGAAAAAAAAAAAAGAAATTAAGTAGTGTTTGTTTTCCAAATGTTTTCTTCTTTTTCAATATTGGTTAGACTGTTCTAGGTCATTTGAATTTGTATAGACATTGTAAAATCAGTTTGTCACTTTCTATTTTTAAAAAGCCCTGCTGGGTTTTTTATTGGGATTGCATCAAATTTGTAGATCAATTTCGGTTAAATTGACATCTTGGTGATATTTGGTCTTTATACCCATCAAGATGGTATATTTCTTCATTTACTTAGGTCTTCTTTAAATTCTCTAAGCAATGTTTTATATATATATATGTGTGTGTGTGTGTATATATATATATATATATGTATGTACTGGGCTTCCTAATTTGCCATATTTATTTATATTTCATATTTTTGATGCTCTTGTAAATGGCATTTTAAAATTTTTAATATTTGCTGCTAGTATAAAAACAAAAATGTGTATTTTGATTTTATATCCCACAAAATTGCTAACTCTATTCTGGTACCTCTTTTTTCTTGCCTTATTTTACTGACTAGAACCTCCAGTACAATATTGAATGGAAGTTATGAGACTAGACTTCCTTATTTCTGTTCTTTTAAAGAGAATATTCAGTCTTCCACCATTAAGTTGGATGTTAGCACTGAGTTTTTTGTAGATACTTTTTTTCAGATTTAGGAAGTTACCTTGTATTCCTAGTTTGCTGAGAGTTTTGATCAAGAAAGTGTGTTGGCTATCAGCAAATGCTTTTCTGCAAGTGTTAATGTAATGTTTATTTTTGCAGTTAAAAATGTGTATATGTGTAAATACAACTCTTTGCATACTATTTTATACCTTACTTTTAAAACTTAACCATATATCCATACGACAAGAAGAAATCTTCTCATTACTTTTTACAACTGCATGTTTAATATGTGGTTATACTCCATAACTTACTCAGGTTTCTATTAACGGATTGTTTCTAATTTTTGTTATGACAAATAATGCCACTATAAAACATTTTGCATAATCATTTCATATTGCCAGAATAGAAGCATACATGATTCCCCACACCCACAGCAGAGTATGTTATGAAACTTTGGAGTTTTGCCAATAATAAGTTACATTTAATATCTTGTTTTTGTTTCAATTTATATGTATCTTCTTTTGACTGAGATGTATCTTTTTATAAATGTAAAGGGCATTTGTAGTTTTCTTTAAAATTCTCTGAATTGCTTTCTCAGATCTGTATCTCATTAAGATTGTGATTCTTTTATTCTCAAGCATTAAAAACTCTTTATACTTGGAATATTATCCTTTGTGACATTAATTGCAAATGTTTTAGTTTAATTTTAATTTTATTTTTTACTTTATTTATGATGACTTTGCTTTGTAAATGATTTTATCCCTTTTTTTTTCCTCTTTCATTGCTTCTGTATTCCAAATGCTACTTAATGGGAGTATTTTCCTTGATTTAGATAAAAAGAAATTCCTTTGTTTTCTTCATAGGTCCTTATATTATTATGATTAATATTATTATTATGCCTTTTACTCCTTTGAAATTTGTCTTTGTATATATATATATATATATATGACATATCTTTAGCTCCTGCTTCTGTTACGCACCTGGGAATTAAAAGCAAACTCCCTAGGTTTTGTGTTAGTAGCAGCCTACATACAACCCCTATGAAATGACCAGCCTCTAATTTGGTTTTACATTTCCATTCAACTTAAATGCTCATAAAGAAAACATAGAATTGTAGACTAAACATCTTCAAAGCATTAAAAACAAAACAAAATAAGCAAAAACATCTCCATTTCACCTGACTTTTCAATTTTATTGGTAAGATACACTTGAGGTGCTCTGGTAGGTATATAGCACATGTAGAAATGGGACATGTTTTCCCCATTAGGTCTAAGAGCCATTCAAAAAAACTATGGAAGTCTGGAGTTTCTTTATAATGTAAAATAAAGATTGTCAATGTAATAAGAGGTATAGTTATGATTGCGTAATGTTATTTTGAACTCCTCATTATACTGGGTATTATGAATCATTTGTGAACACATTAAAGTAAAATTCTCTAATTGTGGTTCTCCTGATAACCTAGGAGAGTAAAATATGCATTTCTTTAGGCTGTTACAAAGAGTACAAGATTTTAAAAACAAAATAGTCAGCCCTCTCCTTTGCATTATCTCATCTTAAAAGCATTTTTGTCCTCTTCTGTAATGTAAATTGTCAATAGACTAATTAAAACATAATCACACGTTCTATTTCCCAATGTTTAGATTATAAAGGTCAACATAATGGCACAAAAACTTCAACTGTCAAATTTATTTTTAAATTTCTGAGAAATAATACCGTGTATTCCATTCTATCCAAGTACTTTAGCAATTTTCTAAGCAGCACTCAAGCTGGAGGGAGGGACGTGGTATGTTTTCTGGGAAGTATTTCTTTTCTGTTTTAAATTCAAGTGAATCAACCCCCGTGAAACTTATTTGAAGAGAGTAATTAATAAGAAAATATTAGCACTAGAATGGACGTGCCCCTCTTTTTGCCACTTTCAAAATAAAATGGCTCTGTGGAAATGATATTACAGACATATTGTTTGATAAAATATATAAAAGATAAAGTCAAATAAAATCTGAAATAACAAAAAGGACCAAGTTATGCACAAAAGAGAAAAATTTAAGGTTAGTTTAGTGTATCTGAGCCCTTATGTGGTGCCTGTTGAGAAACTCTCTGCTCATATTTGCATGAAGTTAAATATAGGATTTTGCGTGTATTGATAATACTTAAAAAAACAAGCAAAACCTGCAAAATACATGCATATCTTTTAAGTATATTAATAGACTACACGACATTTTAAAATAATCTTAAGATAATATTGTAAGCATAGATTTGTTTTTTTCAAAAATGTGTCCAATTTGCAATTTGCTCTTCTATGTTATGACTATATTTTAACTACCTATTTTATCTTACTGTAAGAAATGTAAAAGAAATACTTGACTTATCTTATATGCACCATGTAATCAATATCAAGGTCCTTGTAAATATTACTTGATTAGGTATCTGCACTAAGTCTAGGCAATTATAATTTCTTGCTCAGACTCTTGCAATAGTTACCTACCTATATCCATCTCCAGATAATCCATACATAATTCATTATCAGCTAAAGAACCACTGCCTTTGTCCTATTAAAATACACACACACACACACACACACACACACACAGTATCATAACATTTTATCACAACCTTTCTCTGATCAAATATCTTCAATCACATCCCATATTCTGACTCTACCCCCTCTGCTGCACCCTACTACCTCAAAAACCTAAAACCCCTAGCCTGGCTTTATTTACTCTATCTATCTTTAAGTTTTATTGTCTGCCAGTAGCCTCTTTCCAGGCTTTTACTGACTATCCTCTTTCATATTTTTCTAATAAAATTCAGAGGAATTCCAATAAAATTCAGGGAAATTTAGCGACTTGCTTCATGGTTTACACCTCTGCCTGTTCAGTGAGGGCATTTTCTAATTTCTCAGGCTTTCTATACACAGGATAATAAAGTAATAAACCAGTATTTCCCTAAAAACAGTCTAAATTGGCTGGGTGCAGTGGCTCACACCTGTAATTGTAACGTTTTTGGAGGCTGAGGCAGGGGGATCGCTGGAGCCCAGGAGTTTGAGACCAATCTGGGCAACATGGCAACTTTTTCTACCAAAAGTACAAAAAATTAGCCGGTGTGGTGGCACCAACCTGCAGTCCCAGCTACTTGGGAGGCTGAGGTGGGACAATTACTTGAGCCCAGGAGGGAGAGGCTGCAGTGAGCCAAGACCACACCACTGTACTCCAGCCTGGGCGACAAAGTGAGACGCTGTCTCAAAAAAAAAAAAGTCTAAATTTTACCTAATAAGGAAAAAAGGCCTGTGCTTTGGTAATTTGAAACTCAAAGGCTTTATTAGTTATAATAGTTATAGTCTACAGGGGCAAAAGATATGAGTAGTTATAGTTTTTGCCTCTACTTCTGTATTGTTCCAGAATCTTCTTGCCTGTGACTGCCTGTCACTCAATTCTCAAACATGGCTGAATCTTCACCCAGTCTTACCTTTATCTTTGTACTCAGATGAAAATAATCTTTGTTACCATGCTTCATCAATTATCCATTCCTCTTTGCATATCCATAAATGGCTTCCATTCAGACTTCAACACAAGCTAAGTCTCTCCAGTACAGAATGAAAGGGAGAGAGGAAGAGAAAGAGAAAGAGAAAAAAAGAAAATAAATGAATTGTCCTTTTGTCGTCTTTCTAGGTATTGCTCCATTTTCTGCCTCAGACACAGCTAAACTTGCAAAATATGTTATATACACTTATGTATTCAGTTTCTCATTTTAAAGCAATTAAGTTTGGTGGATAATTGTGTAGGACCTAAGGGAAAACTTACCCTTTTTTCTCTAAAGATTCACTAAAAATCAATGGACAAGAGGCAGATCAATAGGAGTAAAGTCATACAAAATTGACTAACATGCATGTTTGTTCATGGCAGTCATACAAAATATGAAAACTCAAAGGGCCAAGTAACAGACACCTTTATATCATGTTGAGGTAACAAAAAGAATCGGGGCTTGGAGCTTGGTAAAACAGGTTATGGGAGGGAGGGAAAGAGAAGGGCATGGGGCAAGAATAACCTTGTTGTATAGATAAAACCTCACAGGTAGCAGCTTTCAGAAAGAATAGATGTTAGTCTCTGATAAAGCTTCTCTGCCAGACATTCAAAAGTGTCAGATTTTCAGTTAGTCTTTTCTAGATCTGGATAAAGTATGTGGCGGCGTCAGGGAAAGCGTGGCTGTTCATTTCACCAATGCAGATTTACTCTACAGATGCAAGTTTCTTCCACAAAAGGCAGCTTTTCAAGGCTATTCTTGTCTGCAGCTCCTCTGAATAGCCACCTTGAAAGATGTCAAAGAAGTATATTTTGGGATAAATATTTTTGGTTTTCTTTAGTCCCCCATTTTAAACTTTACTTTTAGAAAGCTTATTAAGGTAGGATTGGCAGCTGTGTAGAGACTTGGGTTACATGTTTACATGTTTACAGATAAGAGACAGGCAAAGATATCCATTCACTGCAACCTCTGTGAGGCACCTCCCAAACTTTAGCTTTTGCTAGTGCCTTACCAGCCATCATACACCCGAAGATCAAGTGGTCTCTCATAACACAAAACAATCTCCAGTATTCCCAAAAGCCAAAGAGGTCAGGGAACTCAATGCAAAAGGAAGTAGAGTGTTAGTCCTGAGACATCACTGCCCGTGACTCTTGGGGCTTCACGGGGAAGACAGAACCACCCCAAAAAGATGTGTATGGCACCTTTTTTTCTGTGTTCCTCAGGGGGATTCTGGGCTGCCAGAAGTCCCCTTTAGAGCTTTTCATGTGGTATCAAAGGTGGCAAGAAAAGGAGGAGTACAAGTAAATGGGAGAACAAGTCTCAGAGGAGACAATTTGGAGAGATCTTAAACCTCTCCAAAAGGCTAATGAAATTTTACCTTTTGTCAGCAAAAATCATGCCAACAAGAAAGGAAGCAAACAGAGGGACAGATCATATAATTAGATATATATATGTTATATACATATGTTTTATATATATAGAGAGAGAGAGAAGCTTTATCAGAGATAACATCTATTCTTTCTGAAAGCTGCTACCTGTGAGGTTTTATCTATACAACAAGGCTATTCTTGCCCCATGCCCTTCTCTTTCCCTCCCTCCCATAACCTGTTTTACCAAGCTCCAAGCCCCGATTCTTTTTGTTACCTCAACATGATATAAAGGTGTCTGTTACTTGGCCCTTTGAGTTTTCATATTTTGTATGACTGCCATGAACACACATGCATGTTAGTCAATTTTGTATGACTTTACTCCTATTGATCTGCCTCTTGTCCATTGATTTTTAGTGAATCTTTAGAGAAAAAAGGGTAAGTTTTCCCTTAGGTCCTACACAATTATCCACCAAACTTAATATATATATATATATTTTAGTCAGCTGAAAATTTTTTCAGGGGTGAAACAGGATACAAGAGAGAAAAAGCAGAAAGGCCCTTAAAAAATTATGACCTAAATATCAGCTTTTAGTTAAGCCAACTTTTGACCGTACAACTCACTTAAAAATATTTTAAATATACACACAGCAAGCTCTGTCCCATGAGCAGTCAGCCTTTCACCGGAACCTAGGGAATGGTGTCTTACCAGCAGCCTTTCCCCTCATGACCTGGGAAGATGTTTGCCTCATCCACTCACCAGTCAGTTCTCAGCAGTGGCAGGAAGTGTGTCTTTCCAATCAAGGATAGGAAACAAAACAATGGAAAGCAAGTTGTTATTCCACACAAAATACAAACCAAAGTTTTAAGTCAAAGGTATACCTAAATACATAAGTCCAAACAAAAAGAAATAAGTACACATGAGAACAAAACCAAAAAGCCCTTCTTGGCTATCCCAAGGTCTCCAAAGAGGGAGTAAAAGCTTCAACCTTCCCAAGATTCAGACAACTCCAAACAACAGTTCAAAGAAAGAAAATTTCACCAGCCACAAATGGAGCACATCCTACATTTCTGTCCAGCATGTTCTCTAGGGTTTCAGTTTCTCAGTTGAATGTCTGCAAAGACCTGACAACCTGTGTTCCATACACACAGGAAATTTAAAAATAGTCAGGACAAGTGGAAGTCAAAAGCTATCTATGGGGGTACAAAGGATTACAAAATAAATGGGTACAGATATGCAAATATCAAACTATTTTTTTATTAATGTTTCCAAGGGACTTTTACCCTGGTCAGGAATTTAACCCAGGCCACAGTAGTACAGACATAAATTCCAAGCCACTAGACTATAGGTCTTTTTGCAGATTCTGCAAAAGATCCAAAGTAGGAAGTTTGTGTATGCAAAAAAAAATTTACTTTTGTTTTAAATCTGATTTCTGCTTTTTTCTTTTATTCTTGCCAAAGAAGGTTGTAAGTCTATAAATTCATTTTATATCTTTTCATAGGTACAAAAAGATAGCTGTTTAAGATAAAAGCTCTCTAAAAAGTTTTCTTTTAAATATAGCCAATTTATTTATTCTATAAGTGACTCAAAGCAATAGGTCTTTGTCATGAAAACTTCCAGAGATAACTTTTCAGGTTTGGATTACCATAGATGTAAGTAATGTCTTTAAAATGGGTGCAGAGGATGAATCCTCCCATGATCCCCAGAAAAATTCACTCCTGGAAATAGGCTAGAATAGCAAAATACTTTTGTTGCTATAGAAGGTTAAAGATGGCGTTTGCGTGTATGCTGCCTCCAGTATCCCACAAATCTGTGATGGGGGGCACCAGTCACTGACTTGTTAATCTGTGGCACTGGGTAGGCTCTCCTGGGATTGGACTTCCCCAAGACTAACCAGGCAACAAGGATTGAGATCACAAAAGCCCCTTATGGATAGGACTCCTCATGAAGGCAAACTCCCTAGAGAGTTTGGCAGATTTGATAAAGAGTGTACTGTTCAATATCTTACATGTCTTGGGTTCCTACTCTTTTCAGACTGGCCACTGGACGTGACCCAAATCATGCCCCACAGAAGGCTGAGACCAAGAGAGAATGTTCCCACTTTGTCACAAGCCAAGTTCTCAACAACATAAAATAAAACGAGAAAGGAATCTTACCCAATTTCTATTTCAGGGTCTATGGTAACCCTCTTTATGACAAAACACAGTAAGACAGAGACAAGGCAGAAAATAACGACTATTTCTGGGAGGAAAAGGATCAGACAATGTAAATATTCATACAAAATATACACCAGAATTTGTACACCTAAGACTACTCTCTATAAATGCTTTACTCCCATCAGTCTCAAGTTTGAAAGGGAAACGGTAGAGTGATTTTTATCATTTGCTCCACTGGATTCTATAGAGAAAGACTGGGAGTCTCACTAGTAAGAATTTCTTACCCTTTTGTGAACTTCTCAGATCCTAGGTTCCCTGGGCTGTGGCTTCCAGAAGAACAGAGTGGTTTTGGTATCCTGCTCACAGTGCCAAAACTGTGGGGGCCAAGGGAAAACCTGCCCATCATTCTCTGAAGGTTCACTGAAAATGAACTGACAAAAGGCAGATTAATAGGAGAAGAGACACACAAAATTTATTAACATGCCCACATTGTGTCCGGAATTGGTGGGTTCTTGGTCTCACTGACTTCAAGAATGAAGCCGCGGAGCCTCGCGGTGAGTGTTACAGCTCTTAAGGCGGCGCATCTGGAGTCTGTCCCTTCTGATGTTCAGATGTGTTTGGAGTTTCTTCCTTCTGGTGGGTTCGTGGTCTCGCTGGCTGAGGAGTGAAGCTGCAGACCTTCGCAGTGAGTGTTACAGCTCATAAAAGCAGCATGGACCCAAACAGTGAGCAGTAGCAAGATTTATTGCAAAGAGCAAAAGAACAAACCTTCCACACTGTGGAAGGGGATCCGAGCAGGTTGCCAATGCTGGCTCGTGCAGCCTGCTTTTATTCTCTTATCTGGCCCCACCCACATCCTGCTGATTGGTAGAGCCGAGTGGCCTGTTTTTTCAGGGTGCTGATTGGTGCATTTACAATCCCTGAGCTAGATACAAAGGTTCTCCACTTCCCCATCAGATTAGTTAGATACAGAGTTTCCACACACAGGTTCTCCAAGGCCCCACCAGAGCAGCTAGATACAGAGTGTCGATTGGTGCACTCACAAACCTTGAGCTAAACACAGGGTGCTGATTGGTGTGTTTACAAACCTTGAGCTAGATACAGAGTGCCGATTGGTGTATTTACAATCCTTGAGCTAGACATAAAGGTTCTCCACGTCCTCACCAGAGCAGCTAGATACAGAGTGTCGATTGGCACAAACCTTGAGCTAAACACAGGGTGCTGATTGGTGTATTTACAATCCCTGAGCTAGATATAAAGACTCTCCACGTCCCCACCAGACTCAGGAGCCCAGCTGGCTTCACCTAGTGGATCCCGCACCGGGGCTGCAGGTGGAGCTGCCTGCCAGTCCTGCGCCGTGCGCTCGCATTCCTCAGCCCTTGGGTGGTCGATGGGACTGGGCGCCGTGGAGCAGGGGCTGGCGCTCGTCAGGGAGGCTCGGGCTGCACAGGAGCCCACGGAGGGGGTGGGAGGCTCAGGCATGGCGGGCTGCAGGTCCTGAGCCCTGCCCCGTGGGAAGGCAGCCAAGGCCCGGCGAGAAATCGAGCGCAGCGCCGGTGGGCCAGCACTGCTGGGGGACCCAGTACACCCTCTGCAGCCACTGGCCCGGGTGCTAAGTCCCCCATTGCCCGGGGCCAGCAGGGCTGGCTGGCTGCTCCGAGTGCGGGGCCCACAAGCCCACGCCCACCCGGAACTCCAGCTGGCCCGCAAGCGCCGCACGCAGCCCCGGTTCCCGCTCCTGTCTCTCCCTCCACACCTCCCTGCCAGCTGAGGGAGTGGGCTCCGGCCTTGGCCAGCCCAGAAAGGGGCTCCCACAGTGCAGTGGGGGACTGAAGGGCTCCTCAAATGCCACCAAAGTGGGAGCCCAGGCAGGGGAGGTGCCGAGAGCAAGCGAGGGCTCTGAGGACTGCCAGCATGCTGTCACCTCTCAACATTATATGGGAGTCATACAAAATATGATAACCCAAAGAAAAGGCTAGATAATTGATGCTTTTATACCATCTTGAGGTTACAAAAAGAATAGGGGGCTTGCAGCATGGCAAGATAGGTTATGAGTGGAAGAGAGAAAGGCATGGAGCAAAGACAGTCTTGTTATACAGATAAAACCTCACAGATAGCAGGTCTCAGAAGACATACATGGTAACCTGTGATAAAGCTTCTCTGTCAGTCTTTCAAAGGGGTCAGATTTTAAGTTAATCTTTCCTAGATCTAAACAAAAAGGGAGGGGACCTCAGGGAAAGCCTGGCTGTTTGTTTCACCAATGCAGATTTTCTCTACAGATGCAAGCCTCTGACAAAAGGCAGCTTTTCAGGACTATTCTTGTCTGCAGGCTCTCTGAATTGCCATTCTGAAACATGTCAAAGAAGTTTCTTTTGGGATGAAATTTTTTTGTTTGTTTTTAATTTTCACACACATATAATAATGCATACCAAAATAAAATTATTTCTCTATAACTGAACTGGGAAGTCTGGCAAAAGACTTTTTGTCTCTGGAATCCCCTAAATTCATTCAAAATTTCTATTGAAACTCGGCCATCCATTAATTTCTTAATATTGATTCTGTTTTATCATATTCTTTTTTTTTGTGAAGCACCCACCTCCCATTCCCATTTTTGTTCCATATCTCCGTTTGGTTTTGTCAACCTAAAACAATGAGAGTCAGAAAATATGACTAAGTATAGAGTTTATTTGAGCCCAAAGCTTGAGAATGGCTTTGGGGGTAGGGAGGCATGACTGAAGTCCCATACTCATATCTCTCTGGCCTGAAAAATTTTGCAGATGTCACATAACTCAGACTTCCCTAAGCTATTTTTCTTTTCTCATTTTGGTCACAGAAAAGCTTATAATTTTATTACGTGGTTTTCTCTGCAATACGACTCATGACTTCTTTGGATTTTAAACTTTGATATGTGCAATCAAGCTTTTAGCATTCACAAAATCCTTTTCTTTCTCAAATCTATGGTTCTAAAAATTGAGAAACATGGCTTTTAAATTGCTCTTTGCTAGAGAGTTTTTAAGTGTCTACTGCAATATTGGCACTCCATTGAATTTCTCTCATTAAGACAAGCAATGACCTGCTAGTTGCCAAACCCTATGCATATATTTAGTCCTTATTTTATTTGTCCTCTCTGGCCTTTAGTACAGTTAATTACTCAGTGCTTGAAATTTACCTCTCCCAGGATGTCTGGGGAAATGTTCATTCTTGATTGTCCTCCTATCTGCACAGAGTGCTCATTCTAGCTTTCATACTGATATCCAAGAAGAAACTGTATACTTGCCTCTTGTAATTTAGTCTGCCCATGAATTCCACTGCCACTTGATATGATGAAAGCGGAAATGGAAAAGTTCCTTTGTCTCCCTTGTAGGGTGTGTGACGGGGGGAGTGGCTCGATTCTTCAGTGCCCCACTGCTCAAACCTCTAAGGGGCGCATGCAGCGGGCAGGTTGTGAGGCTCTGACCCCACAGCAGCATCTAGCGGTGAATGCTTACAGCTCCTGAAATCCCAGTGGGTGTGTGTTACAGAGTACTCTTTAGTTTTATTGTCTGTAGGCGGCTTGTGTTAATCAGCTCAATTAGACCCTCTGCCTGATGGCAAGGACAGAGGGCTTTCTGTATCCCAGCGTTCTTGCCTTGGTGTACTGGAAAAATCAGATCACACGTGGGCTTGGAGAATGAGTGCAAGGTTTTTTATTGAGTGGTGGTAGCTCTCAGTGAGTTGGATGGGGAGGCCAGAAGCAGGTGGAGAGGAAAGGTAGTTTTACCCTGAGTGGGGCGGCCCAGCAGCAGGGCTTTCCTCCAACCATCCCAGCCAAACTTTGCGTCGTTCTGCTGGTCAATGGCCCAGTGGTGTCTACCGGTGCCTATCGGTGTGTTCTTCACCATTGTGTTCCTCTCGACGTCCAGCCACTTGCATGTGCTTCCATTGTTGTGCTCTTCTCGACATCCAGTTACATGTGTGCTCTCCCCACTAGGGTCTCAGAGTTTTTATAGGCACAGGATGGGGGCGTGGCAGGCCAAGGTGGTCTTGCTACATTTGGGCATGAAAACAGAAATGCCTGTCCTCACCTAGGTCCATGGGCACAGACCCAGGGGTTGAGCCCTCGCCAGGGACCCCTCTCTTCTCCTCCTAGCACTTCCCTGCCCCCCTTCCATATCAAAAGTACTCACAACTAGATTTCCAGCACAGATTCCCTTGAATTCCTATATGGAAGCCCAGCATATGGTCACTGCTTCTTTGCTTGTTTGTCTCACCCAGGCATTAACAGTACTACTTTCATGTAATCTGGCTTTGCTCCCTGTCCAGCCTCATATCCTGCTATTTTTCTTCTCTACATTACAGTTTCAAAAAAGCAAACTACTTTAGTTGCTTGCAGTTGCTATACTCCCTCACTCTTTGAAGACTTTACACAAATTACTTCCTCTGTTTAGAATGCCTTCTCCATCACTACTTACCACCAGGCACGACACTAACCTGTAATACATCATTCTAATGCTCCCTCCTCAGTAAAATTCTCCTGGACTTCCTCGGTCAAGTTTTCTTTTCCATAAGCTTCTTTTCTGTACCTTGCATATAATCTTTGTTATAGCAGTTATTATGTTGTGTTGTACTTGTTTGTTATGTATTTAGTATTGTAAAAAATTCTGATGCATTTAGGGCACACTGCCTATTTTATTTTGGTATTTCTAAAACCACATGGTGGACTAAGTAGAATAGATAGTCAATATTGGCTAAACGAATGAATGGTATTTGATCCAGCCTTGCTTTGGATATCTTACTAAATGCACATCAGCTTCTTCATATGTGCTTTGTTTGGCTCTGTGTGATGTCATTCCTCATGAGTAGAGACTTCATGTTTTCTATTAGTTTGAAGATGCCCCCTTGCTGTACTATTGTCTCTAGTTAGTCATTGGTTATGGCTAGTTCGATGTTAAGTAATTTATTAAAGATTTTTTTTGTAACGGTCATCTCTGGCATTACTTCTTATCAGGGGTGTAATCTGCCCACTCTCAACAGGGAGAATTATTAAAAACTTATGGCTGAGCGCAGTGGCTCATTCCTGTAATCCCAGCACTTTGGGAAGTGGAGGCGGGAGGATCACAAGGTCAGGAGGTCGAGACCATCCTGGCAAACATGGTGAAACCCCAACTCTACTAAAAGTACAAAAAATTAGCCAGGTGTGGTGGCGGGCACCTGTAGTCCTAGCTACTCAGGAGGCTGAGGCAGGACAATTGCTTGAACCCGGGTGGCGGAGGTTGTAATGAGCCAAGATCGCACCACTGCACTCCAGCCTGGATGACAGAGTGAGACTCCCTCTCAAAAAACAAACAAACAAACAAACAAAAAAAACCTTACATGTTCAGCCCTAGTTGGTCTGCTCGTAAACTGATCTATGCACATTAGCAAAATTTAAAATATAGTGAAGATTTTAATTCTTAAAGCTCTCATTATAATTTTTAATTTTATAAAATATTTATCTCGATAAGACTATTATTCAGCAATTTGTCTTCTATTATATAAGAAGACATGAATCTCTTCCAAAATAACTCATTCAGAAAAATTAGGTATAATCTAACATTTAGGAAATAACATTGCTTCTGGAGCAATACATTTTTATTTTAAAGGTGTGAATGTGTGTGTGTGTGTGTGTGTCTGTGTGCGTCTGTGTGTGTGTGTTACCAAAATGCCAGGGGTTCAGTCTAGGTCCTGCTGCTGCTGCTCACTGCACAGAAAGCCAATCATTGAGACAAGAGTTATTGCCAAGGAAGAAGGCTTTAATAGGGTGCTGCAGCTAAGGACATGGGAATTCAGTCTCAAATCCATCTTCTTGACTGACTGGGGTTTATACAGCAGGAAAGAAATGTAACAATGTGTAAGAAAACAGGAATTAGGGAGGGGCAAAGAAGCAATCATGATGAATGTGGGGTCCAGCATCTCATTGTTTGGATATGGTGATCTGATGAGTTTCATTTTTTTGAAACTTTTTTGAAAGGCCTGAGGTTGTTTCCTGATGAAGGAACTCAGAGAAAACAAATAAAAGTTTCAAGCTTTAAGATCAGAAGGGTCAATTTCTATGTTTATTCAAAAACTATGGAACTATTAAGTCGGTGTCATTTATAACTCATATGTCTATAAATAAATGTGGACAATCCAATAAATATTTTACATGTACAAATACAGAAATAGGAATTCTGGTGGAAATGGAGAAGTTTTCTTAAGCACCTAGTTCAAAACTGCTAAATGTTCTATTAGTATTTTGGTTATCAGGGCTTTTAGCTGATTTTTTCTCTTTGTGGTTTATATAAAAACAAAGAAAGTTAATTTTTTAAAAGATCCTTTTTGTTTTATAGTGGTTCTTCTAAAATATTATCTTTATTTTTATCCTTACCTCAGTTTTTGTTCTGATAAAATACAAATAAAACTTTCAAATGTTTTAAAGAATATTTCTAAAACACAGACTTACATAATTACTAATATACACCTAAAGTAGATAAGTCAGAAGTTTAAAAGTTATAGCTAAATTAGAAAAGGAAAATGTATTAACAGCAGTATGACTTTGCACTGACTATGAACTCTAGTAATTTATTGCTAAAATTTAAGATACTCGGGGAAATAGTTTGTGCAGGATTGTGGAGACCATCCACTGTCTAGGAGGAGATGTGCAGAAAATCATTGGTCTTGTAAGAATTGGCGATGAGCAATTGGTCTTGTGAGAAGAGTGAACACACTATAGCATATCAGTTAGGGAAATTTGATGCTAGTTGATGGAGAAGGGCCAGCTACAAATGAAAACATATTTTACCCAAGAATTTGTTATGCGGGAAACCTTTGGAATTTTAAAGAAAGTCGTGTGAGAGGTGAGATTCATTCTCTTTGCAATATAGACATGCCCCGCAAACTGTCTCTCCATTAATGTGCTCTCACTTAACCTCCTCTTCGTCTTTAAAACCTAAAGTTCATAGAATATCTGATCCCTTCTTTTTTGGTTGAATTTTGCCAGTGTTAACATATGGATGATTTTTATTTAAGTGTTCAAAACATAATATACCAGGTGTGGGAAAACTTGCTATCCAAAAATTGGTAAAGTATCACAATTATGCTTAGATGCTTAGAAAAGTAGGGTAAATGTCAAAAACAAGGATGTGCCGATGCAGTTATGAACATTTTTCTTTCATTTATTTTTATTTTATTTAATTAAATAGATATTTTTTGAGAAAGGATCTCTCTCTTTGTCATCCAGGCTGTAGTACAGTGGAAAGTTTTATTTGTATTTTATCAGAAGAAAAACTGGTGTAAGGATAAAAATAAAGATTATAGCTCAAGCTCACTGCAGCCTCAAACTTCTGGGCACAAGTGATCCTCCTGCTTCAGCCTCTTGAGTAGCTGGGGCTACAATTGTGTGACACTACACCTGGCTTTTTTTTTTGTACAGACAGGGTCTCACTATGTTTCCCAGACTAGTCTCGAACTCTTGGCCTCAAGTGATCCTCCTGCATTGGTCTCTCGAAGTGCTGGGATTACAGACTGAGTCACTGCACCCAGCTACTCTTTCAATTAAAAACTGAAATTGACTAGATGCTGCTAACACACCATATTAAAAATAGACGAAATTAAGCAAAAATCAGTTTTATAACTTTTTTTTAACTTACAGCATCAATCACCAACCATAAATTTGTATTCTTCCTTCCTGTTAAAGAGTGTCTAGAGCAGCACTAAAATGATGCAGGAATCTGTCTGTTCTTCTGAATCTCAAAGTTGTCCTGAGATTGTTCCCCCATTACCTAGCTCCTCTTGAGAGGTGAAGCCTGCTGGGCTTCTGGGTTAGGTGGGGACTTGGAGAACTTTTCTGTCTAGCTAAAGGATTGTAAACGCACCAATCAGCACTCTGTGTCTAGCTAAAGGTTTGTAAATGCACCAATCAGCACTCTGTAAAACGGACCAATCAGCACTCTGTAAAATGGACCAATTAGCTCTCTGTAAAATGGACCAATCAGCAGGATATGGGTGGGGCCAAATAAGAAAATAAAAGCAGGCCACCTGTGCCCTCAGCGGCCACCCACTTGGGCTGCTTCCATGCTGTAGAAGCTTTGTTCTTTCTCTTTGCAGTAAATCTTGCTGCTGCTTACTCTTTGGGTCCACACCGCCTTTATGAGATGTAACACTCATTGCGAAGGTCTGCAGCTTCACTCCTGAAGTCAGTGAGACCACAAACCCACCAGAAAGAAGAAACTCTGGACACGTCCAAACATCAGAAGGAACAAACTGTGGACACACCATGTTTAAGAGTTGTGACACTCACCATGAGGGTCTGCGGCTTCATTCTTGAAGTCAGCGAGACCAAGAACCCACCAATTCCAGACACACACTGATGCATTACCATTTGCAATAAGAAATAAATGCTCTTTCCTTTCCTTTTGTCAACCTTCTTCAGGCTTCACTTTTTACTGTATTGGGGAAATAAGAAAGAGTTTGTTTTTGGAAATTGCCTTACTTTAACTATAAATTTTTATTTGTTTTATTGAATTTATTGCTGTGTGTTGTTGCTATGCTTTGTCAAAAATGTACTATTGGTGTAATGGCATGAAAAATGTACATGCCAATTCACAGAGAAACTGTTAAAAATAGATTGGTGATCAGGAAATGATGCCTTAAGCATTTAACATATTAACATGATAGTTTGTTTCATACATATGAATATTTTACTGTATTTTAGTTACATTTTAGGAAATTAGTTGGGAGTTTTGGTTTTATATATAGTAATATAAATTTTCCAGTTAAAAAAAGCTGGGAAATAGGCATCAGGTTAGCATTTTAAGGCAGATTGTTTGGTTTTTCAGGATGGGATCAGGAATGGATTGCAGATGCTAAGCAGGAGACGTTTAATCTTTATTTTTTAATTTTTTTTTCTGTTAGAAACGATGGGCTTGTAAATAGGAGATGGCCATAGTAAGTTGAGGAGATCTATGCATAGATTTTTCATATTTCAGGATTGGAGTTGAATTGAGACAAATGTGACACGTGTGTATTCTAAATTAAGCTTTGCATCTCTGAAGTAAGGTTGAGAAAAACTTGAGTAACACTTTAGTAATTTTTTTCCTAATGACAGTGCCAGAAGAGCCCACTGGAGGCAAGGTTTTCCAACCCCCTGACTCCAGTAAGAATGAACCTAAATAATTTCAAACAGATAGCTATTTCCGTTTCTAAAATATATCAAGGAAATGAGAATCTACCCTTTGGTAACTAGTTCCACTATCTCACAGTCAGTTTGCCAACATGTACTATTAAGAGGCCTAAATGCACACATTACTGACACAATGGGCTATAATTGTGCTTTTGAAACTGCTACACAATATCCAATCTATGATTATTTAGGGAGTTTACATCCACCCATTATTGATGCAACAGCCCTTAATAGCACCTTTGTTGTCAGAGGGTGTTGTGTTGCTTAATATCCCTAGCACTGTTTGAAACAAATTGGTAAAACACCACAAACAGTTGGAAGATTTCAGATATTTATGTGTGAGTATTACAGTCTACACTTAAAGTTGAATTTACATATTATGTAGCTGGAGAAAGACTTCACTCTTTTGGAACATTTTTGAAAAACATTCCAATTCAATTGAAAGTTTCACATTAACCAGAGTATAAAATGAACAAGCATCGATGCCACAATACCATGGTTAGGATGTTTTTAAACATTACATTTCAAGCATTTAAGAAAAAAATGAAGCAAATAAAGCTCTATTTTTTTTAATTCCCTAGCTCTTCAGGTGGCAACATTTAGCTAGAGAATGCATGTTTGTGTCAGTTTTTCACTATACTCCCAAAAGACCAAAATAGAGGATCAGAATAAAAATCCAGTGAGAACTTAACTATCATATATTGTTTTCCATGTAGAAAATGAAGTGAATAGGGATATTTCAGAACCCAGGTTGCTAAGAAAATTATTTTCTTTAATATTACATTTAATTCATAGACTAATTTTTTTAATTTCTGAAAATGTCTTTTCTGGATACAAAGTGATGGTCACTAATACTTTTTGGTATGATATACACATATCCAGAAGATAGCCCTAAACAATGTGTAGCAATAAAGGATATAAAGTCAGGAGGGAAGACAGGAAGGGAAGAGAGATGAAGGGGAAAGAAAGGCAAGAAAGTAAAGAAAAAGAAGGAGAGGAAGGGAGGGAAGGAGGGAGGGAGGAAGGAAGGAAGGAGGGAAGGAAGGAAAAGTCAGACAGGGAAAGACAGAGATAAAAGGACAAGGAAAGTGGAAGGGATAGGAAGAGGAAGGGAGAGAGGGAGAGAGAGAAAGAATACTTTGATTTGATAGTTGGGTAAAGATGGTTAGAAAATACTTCTTTAAAAGTTCTATTTATAGTTCTTTGAGTTCTTGGGAATCTGTAAGACTTAACTGCCAACACATCCAACTTTTTTTTTTCCCCTGAGTGAATTACAAAGGTAAATATAAACTAAATATATATATTTTATATAGATTTTCTCAGAAACTATTTTTAATAGTTTAGTCAAAATTTTACCTCACATTTTTGTCTATATTCTCAAGTTTTTTTTTTGAGTTTTTTGAGACCTAAGTTTAATTAGCTTATTCTTTCTTTCTAATCTGTTCTGCAGTTCAGAGGCATGTGAAACCACAAAGCAAGATAATAAGCAGAAGTGAAGTAATGCAACACACTGAAACTAATTTTAATTTATATTTCTCTCTACTTCTCGCTAAAAAATGAAGAAGTTGAAGTTCCAGAAGTTGAAAAGCTGCAGTTCAGTTATTTTGAACGTATCACAAACTCATAGTTTTATAAAAGTGGAGCCTTTGCAAATTCAAGTCATAACCACAAATAAAGGAAGTTATTGAATACTTTTTCATTTATTTTTAATTTTTTAATATGGGGTCTTGTTCTGTTGTCCAGGATGAGTGCAGTGGTGTGATTATAGCTCACTGCACCTTCCACATCCTGCACCTGAAAGGTTCAAGGGATCCCTTTACCTCAGCTTCCCAAGTAGGTAGGACCACAGGCATGCTCCACCACACCAGCTAATTTTTCTTTTCTTTCTTTCTTCTTCTTTTTTTTTTTTTTTTTTGTAGAGACTGGTCTCACTCTCTTGTCCAGGCTGATCTCAAATTCCTGAGCCTCCCATCTCAGCCTCTCAAAGCAACAGGATTATAGGCATGAGCCACTGCACCTTGAATACTTTTGGAAAAAGATATTTTAACAGAGAATAGTAAGCTTCCACATCTGAGAAGATGAACTAGACATGCTTTTCCATATTCCTCCTGCTGAGTATATCTGAAAACCGCGGTATTATATACATAAAAAAGACCACTCTGAAAGGTGTAGAGAAGAAAGGAGACTACCTAGGAAACTTAAACCCGAGGATGATGATGAGTTTCTTGGTTTTATTTTTGCTTCATACATCCCGGATTTAGAGATGAAAAAGCCAGCAATGCAGAAATGCCAGCAGATACAAACAAACAAACAAAAAAGCAACCTAACCTTCTATTTGTGGCCAAAGGACCAGGAGAAGTCAATTGATCAAGATAGAAAACCTTTACACAATAAACTCTCCACTCCATCCAAACACCAGCTCTGGTTCCTCTCCTACCCATGACAGCAAAGTCCAGGTGAGGAACGCAAACTTCCACACTTGCCAGGCTGTAACAAGGCACCCAGGGTTCCTCACTGGAGTGTGTCGGGAAAGGCCTGTTAAAGACCTGGGACTTTCATCTTCAGCAAGTGCATACCCCATTCCAGGTTCCTACCTCTTCCCACAACAATGTCAATGGAGACCATGTATGGAGGCTGGGCTTTTATTCCCACATGGAAGTAATAAGTTGCCATCCTCATCCCCAATAGAATGGTGTCAGCGAAGACATACTGGAGAGTCAGAACTTTCACCACCTGCCCCCGGTGCCGCCTGCATAGTGTCAATGGTGGCCACATAGGGAGCAGCAATTGGGGCACCATTATCCCCCCTGGACAGCCAGGGCAGTATCAGTGCAGGACTAATGAGAAGCTGGAACTCCTTCCCATGCCCAACAGTTATGAAAAAATTCCACAGCTTGAGTGTCAATAGAGGCCAAATGGGTTACCTGGATTTCTAGCCCCGTCTAGCAGTAACAAGGCACATCCTTCCTCTTTCCCTTGCCCAAGCAGTGTCAGAGGAACTTAGCTAAAAATGAAGGTTTAAATAAGATCTGGAGTTTCAATATACAATATCCCAATGCCAGATTCCAATTGAAAACCATTTGTAATACAAAGAACCAAGATGATCTCAACCTAAAGGAAAAAACATAATCAATGATGTCAACATTGAGGTAATAGAGAAGTTAGGATTATCTGACACAGATTTTAAATAGGCACGAAAAGAAAAGCTTGAATGATCAATTAGAAACACACATAAAACAAATGAAAAAAATAGACTCAGAAAAGAAATGGAAGTCTCAGCAATGAAATGGAAGTCTCAGCAACAAAACAGAAGATGTGAAAAAGATCCCAATGGAAAAATTTAGAACCAAAAATTACAATATCTTAAATACAATGTCTAAGGATGGGCTCAATAGCATAGTGCAGGCGACAGAGTAAAGGATTCTATGAACTGACGGGTAGAATAAGAAAAATTACCCAACTCAAGCTGTATAGAGAAAATAGACTGAATAAGAATCTGCAGACATTCAGAGACCTGTGGGAGTATAACCAAAGGTTTGATATTTATGTCATCAGAATTTGGAAAGGGGAAGAGAAAGAGTTTGGGGGTGAAACAGTGCTCAAAATAATAATGGCTGAAAATATTCCAAATTGGTCAAGAAACATAAAGCTGCAGATTCAAGAAACCCCAAACAGATAAAAACCCTAAAGATATTCAAAGATATTCACACCATAGTGAAATTTCTGAAAACTAAAGACAAAGAAAAAATCTTGAAAGCAGTGAGAGAGAAATACAAAGAGAAAATAATATTAGTAGTGGATTTCTTATCAGGAACCAGGAGGTCAGAAGGAAGAAGCACAACATTTTTCAAGTTTCAAAATAAAAGAATTGTCAATCCAGAATCCTATATCCTGAGAAAATATTCAGGGGAATTTAAGACATTCTCAGATGAAAGAAAACTAACAGAATTTGTCAACAGCAGACTATTTTTTTTTTTAAGACAGAGTCTCTCTCTGTCATCCAGGCTGGAGTACAGTGGCACCATGTTGGCTCACTGCAATCTTCGTCTCCTGGATTTAAGCAATTCTCCTGCCTCAGCCTCCCGAGTAACTGGGATTACAGGCGCCCACCACCACACCTGGCTAATTTTTAAAATATTTTTCATAGAGATGGGGTTCCACCGTGTTGGCCAGGCTGGCCTCAACCTCCTGACCTCAGGCGATCTGCCTGCCCTCAGCCTCCCAAAGTGCTGGGTTTACAGGCGTGAGCCACCGTGCCCTGTGCAGACTAACCTTAAAAGAATAACAGGGAAGTTTTCTAAACAAAAAAACACAATGAAAGAAGTAACCTTAAGACATCAGAAAGAAAGAAATATCACAGTAAGCAAACATGTGAGTAATATAATAGACTTTCTGCTGTCTTGAATTTTCTAAATTGTTTTTGACAATTGAAGCAAAACATTATAACACTGTTTGATGTGGTTCCATATGTATGTAAAGGGAATATTTTAAAAAATTATATTATAAACAGGGGACAAAAGGAGGTAAGCATTCTATAGTTTATTTGAATTGGCAAAATGATAATATCAGTAGATTATAAATTATGCATATACAATGAAATATATAAAGCAAACACTAAAAAATTTTATACAAAAATATATGCTCAAAACTGCTGGTCATGGAAATAACACCTTGATTTCCTGAAGTCTGAAATCAAGGTGTTAACTGGGTTATGCTTTCCCTAAAATCTATAAGAAAGAATTATCTCTTTCCTGTTTCTATCTCCCCTGGTTCCTGCAGACACTGGCATTCCTTTGCTTGCAGCTGCATCACTCCAATCTCTACACACAAATTTGATGACTTAAATGAAATGAAATAATATTTCAAAAAAAAAACAAACTGCCACAACTCACTCAAAATGAAATAGATAATTTGGATAGCCCTAGAATTATGAAATTGAAGTTGTCCTTTGAAAACTCCCAAACAAGAAATCTCCAAATCAAGATGATTTCACTGGAGAATTTTCTAAACATTTAAATAAGTATTAACACCAATGCCAAATAATTTCTTCCAGAAAACAGAATAATAGGGAAGAGTTCCTAATTCATTTTATGAAGTTAGTATTACCCTGACACCAAAACCAGGTAAAGGCAGACTAACAACAACGAAACTATAGACCAATATCCCTCATAATTAAAAATAAAAATATAAACAGTCTTAACAACATATTAGCAAATAGGATTCAGCAACATGTAAAAAGAATTATATAGCATTACAAAGTTGTGTCTGTTCCTGGAATCCCAAGTTGATTTGTTATTTGAAAATCATTCCGTGTAACTCACCAAGCTAAAGAAGAAACATCACATGATTGTGTCAATTGATACAGAGAAAAGCATTTGACAATATTTGAAATATATTCCCTATTGAACTGAGAATAGAGGGGATCTTTTCAACTTGATAAATAGCATCTACATAAAAAATGTACTATTCACTTTGTATGTAATGGTAAGACTAAATGATTTGCCCCCAAGGTCAGAAATAAGGCAAAGATATTGATTCTCATCAGACTGAACTGCGGTGGTATGATCACACCTCACTGTAATCTGAACTCCTGGGCTCAATCCATCCTCCTGCCTCAGCCTTCCAAGTATCTAGGACTAAAGGCTTGCACAACTATGTCCAGTCAAATTTTTACTTGTATTTTTTTATTTTTGTAGAGATAGGGATCTCACTATATTGCCCAGACTGATCTTGAACTCCTGGCCTTACATGATTCTCCTGCCTTGGCCTCCCAAAGTGCTGGAATTACAGGAATGAGCCATTGTTCCTGGCCTCATCAGTCTTACTTATCATGATTTGGGAAGTTTTTGCCAGTGCCATAAAGAAAAAGAAAACAAAATTGTTTCTACTTATAGATAACATTAATTGTCCACATAGAAAATCTCAATGAATTAAAAATATGCCCCCAAAACTTCATAGAAGTAATGTGAGTTCAGCAAGTTCACAGGATGCAAGATAAGCACACAGAAATGAAATGCATTTCTGTATTCTAACGGTAAATACATAAGTAGCAACATTAGATGTACAATAACATGCACAATTGCTCAATAAAAATAAAATGCACAGGTATCAATTTAAAACTTCTATTCTGAAAACATCCTTTAAGCAATGGTGCTTAAAGAAGTCAGAGATTTTAATAAATGGAGAGCTACATGATGTATAGATTGAAATACTTAAAATAGTAAAAATATAAATTTCCCCAAATTCTATGGACAAATTTATATACAGATTTAATTTGTACTACCAGAAAGATTTGTGTGTGTGTGTGTGTGTGTGTGTGTGTGTGTGTGTAGAGATAGAAAATATTATTCTAGAATTTATATAGAAAGGCAGAGGAAACTAAAATGCCTAAAATAATTCTGAAAAACACAGAATAAAGTGATAGAATTCAGTCTACCCCATTTTTGGAGTTATTATTAGCTACAGTAATAATATTGTAGCTAAAGATAGCCTTTTCAATAAATGAAGCTGAAAGGATAGGACATCCATAGGCAAAAAATTAACCTTGACTCACACCTTAGACAAAAATAACTCTAAATACACTCTGGAGTTAAATGTAATAATTAAAACTATTAAACTTTTAAAAAATAAGAAAAAAGGATCATTCGATTTAATAATATGGACCTTTCCATGTTCTTCATCCATGTCATGGCTATGCACAGAAGTGAATTGTTTAGCAGGTTGGTCAGGGGTCGAGAAAAGAAAGATTGGAGGATCATGGAGATGTTCTAGCATGCTGCAGACCATTGAATGTCTTAAAACTTTTTTTTAAATGTGGTAATCTCTGAAACTTTGTAGTGTTTATTTCCCACTCTGTAGCACATTTGTTTTACTTGTACTTGACGTGTCTTATTCTTAATTCTGATTAACTTAATATTGTAAATAATAGTGAGCAAGTGTGATTTTCTACACAATTCTCTGATGGTTCAAACCTTTCTATACTACATTATGACAAAAGAAAAATTCTAAATGTAAATTCTTGCCCTTTCCACATGAGTCCAAGCTGTTTCTGTTCTTCTTCCTGATGAGAATAGAAACAAACACACATTTTCAAATAAATGACTGCAATACCAAATGATATGGTTTGGATCTGTGAACCCACCCAAATCTCATGTTCAATGTTGGGGGGCCTGGTGGGAGGTGATTGGATCATGAGGGTGGTTTCTCATGAATGGTTTAGCACCATTCCCTTGGTCCTGTTCTTGTGAGAGTGAGTGAGTTATCACCAGATCCGGCTGTTTCAAAGAGTGTAGCACCTCCCCACTCTTTCTCTCTTGCTCCTGCTCTGGCCATGTAAGATGTGCCTGTTTCTCCTTAGCCTTCTCCCATGATTGTAAGTTTCCTGAAGCCTCACCAGAAGCAGAAGCCACTATGCTACTGTACAGCCTGAAGAACCAAGAGCCAATTAAACCTCTTTTCTTTATAAATTACCCAGTCTCTGTTATTTCTTTATAGGAGTGCAAGAACAAATTAATACACCAGACATCTGAAAGGTGATCTGTTCTTGCAGAGGTACTACATCTGGTACAGTAATTGCCTGTTACTCTTAGTTAAATTTACGGTAGTTTATTGTCGTCCTTCAGGATTCATCTGTTTTTGGAGATATGTTAAATGAAAATATGATGGAGATCACAATATCTTCATCTTTTAAATATTTAAGGGTGGCACTACTATTCGTCTTTACCCCCAGAGGTAATGCTCTTTTCAACTGCATGCTAATATGAAGATATTTCAGAAGCTACTACTTGGCTTTCCTCATGATTGTAACTATTATCTCAAAGTCTAAGGAACCAATATGGAATCCTGCCAACTACCAAGAGTGTCTATCCTAATTATGCATTATGTAGATAAAGTGGAATCACTATGTATCAGACTTGGGCCAAGAGTCAATTTATTACATTGGCTTCATATGCTGTATGCTTCCTTTCTAGTATCAAGTCCATGATGAAGTGTTGAGTCTCTTTTTCCAATATGTGCATTTAAGGCTACATTTTTTCTTGTAAGTCTACATCTGACATGTTTTAATATATGGTATTTTAATTGACATTGAGTTAGAAATATGTTATGTTTTTCATCATAATTTTATGTTTGACTCAATGGTTATTGAGAAATGTATTTTTTAAAATTCCAAACATTTGGAGATATAAAAAATTCTTATTATCATTAATTTCTAACTAATGACATTTTTATCAATGAATGTAATTTCTGTATATTATCATCTTTATATTTGTTCAGATTTATTTTATGACCCAGGATATCATCAGTTTTTATGAATGGTCAATGTACTCCTGAAATGAAAGGTATATTCTACATTTTGGGATAAATATTCTATAATTGGCCCAGAAAGTTGTTTGTTCATATTTTTAAAATTTTTGTGACCTTCTGTGTGTTTGCTAGGGCAGCTGTAACAATATACCACACAACGAGTGGTATAAACAACAGAAATGTACTCACAATTCTGGAGGCTAGAAGTCCAAGGTCAAGGTGTCAGTAAAGTTGGTTGCTTCTGATGTCTCTGTTATTGACTTATAGATGGCTATTTTCTCCTTGTGTCATCCCGTGGTCTTTCCCTTATGTTTGTGTCCTAAATTTCTCTTTCTGTAAGAACACTAGTCAAATTAAGTTAGGGCCCTTTTTAATGCCATCATTTTAACCTCAATTCCGTCTTCAAAAACCCAATATCCAAATATAGTTACATTGTGAAATGCTGAGGATTAAAATTTTAATGTGTGAATTTTGGGGGGACACAACTCAGCTCATAATGACTTCCTAATTTTAATCTGCTTTTTCTCTCAAGTACTGAGAAAAGAGAGAGATGTGTTAGAATATTCCACTGTACCACACAGGCACTCTTATACATTGCTGGCAGGAAGCAAAATGGTACAGACCCTATGAAGGGAATTGGCAATATCTAATGAAACTATTTGTGCATGTACTCTTTGATGGAGCATTCCTACCTCTAGAAATTTCCCTTAATGAAATACCTCCAATAGCTAAAAAAAAACAACAACAAAACAAGCAAACACACAAAAACAAACAAACAAAACACATATGCATAAGTATTTTTCATTGCAAATTTAATCATTATTTTTAATTGTAAAATGGTGGAAATGACCTAACGGTCCAAATATAGGACCTCCCTAAAATATAGTTGATCCTCATACTGCAGAAGTTGGTTACTTAGGCTAGCTGTGAAGGTGGAGGATGATAAGAGAGGTTGGGGGACTATATGAAGGAGTGACTTTTTCTGAGCAAGTAATTTTGCAATATAGATACAGATAACATTTGGAGACATGCCAATGCTCTACACATTTAAAAATTAAAATTAAATCAGTAAGGACAAAAAGAAAAATAAAACAGCAACCTAGCACTGAAAGCAGGCTGAAGCTTATGAACTCAACTGAACTTTAAATGAATACCATAACCACACTAACATGGGAAAAGCATACTTGGATAAGTTTTTCTTGTTGTTTTGCCTTTTAGTTTGATTAATTAATTAATATTGCAAAATTTTTTGCTCGGAAAATTATCACTTTTTTTCCAATATTTATTTTTGGTTCAGAGGATACATGTGCAAGTTTGTTACATGGGTAAATTGCACATATGGTTTTTTGATCCTCACCCTCCTTTCACCCTCAACCCTCAAGTAACAACTGGCATGTATTGTTCCCCTCTTTGTGTTCGTGTGTACTCAGTGTTTAGCTCCCACTTATAAGTAAGAATATTCAGTATTTTGTTTTCTGTTTCTGCATTAATTTCTTTAGGACAATGGCCTCCAGCTGCATCCATGTTGCTGCAAAGGACATGATCTCATTCTTTTTTATGGCTGTGTAGTATTCACTGGAAAATATATACCATATTTTCTTTGTCTAGCACACCATCGATGGGCATGGAGGTTGATTCCATGTCTTTGCTATTGCGAAAAGTGCTGCAATGAACATGCCAGTGCAAGTGTCTTTTTGGTGGAATGATTTATATTCCTTTGGGGATATATCCAGTAATGGGGTTGCTGGGTTGAATTGTAGTTCTATTTTAAGTTCTTTGAGAAATCTCCGAACTGCTTTCCACAGTGGCTGAGCTAATTAAGCATTCCCTTTTCTCCACGGCAGCCTATAAGCATTCACTTTTCTCCACAGCCTCACCAACATCTGTTATTTTTTGACTTTTTAATAGCTATTCTGATTGGTATAAGTTGGTATCTCATTGTGGTTTTGATTTGCATTTCTCTGATGATTCATGATGTTGAGCACTTTCTCATATGCTTGTTGGCCATGTGTATGTCTTCTTTTGAGAAGTGTCTGTTCATGTCCTGTATTAGTCTCTTCTCTCCTTGCTATAAAATAAATACCTGAAGCCAGGTAATTTATAAGGAAAAGAGATTTCATTGGTTTACAAGTTCTGCAGGCTGTACAGGAAGCTTGATGCTGGCATCTGCTTGGTTTCTTGGGAGGCTTCAGGAACCTTTCAGTTATTGTGGAAGTCAAGGCAAAGGGGAAACAGGCACATCACTTGGCAAAAGCAGGAGAAAGAGACTGAGGGGGAAGGTGCTACACATTTTTAGACAACCATATCCCATTAGAACTCAGTCACTATCATGAGGACAGTACCAAGGGGGATGATGCTACACCATTCATGAGAAATTTACCCCCATGATCTTATCACCTCCAACCAGGCTCCACCCCCAACACTGGGAATTTCAATATGAGATTTGGGCAGGGACACATATCCAAACTATATCATGTCCTTTGCCCATTCTTTAATGGGGCTATTTTTTTGCTTGTTGATTTGTTTAAGCTCCTTACAGACTCTTTCTCATATATCTGCCAATCTCCCTCATCCCCCTCCACCATTAGCAGACGTAGGTAATCAACTTCTTCATTATCTGTTTTTTACTTCTGTATTTTTTTGTAAAAATAACAAATGTAAGCATGTTTTTCACTTCTTTCTTACTTAGATAGTAGCATAGTATATAAAAGCAGTTTGGTTTTTATAACTTAGAAACACATGCCAGAAATCACTGCACATCAGTTCATAAAGTTTTACCGCATTCCTTTTTACACTGCATTTATATACTATGCTACCATTTGTGTAATAAAGATGTGAAGATAAACCATAGTTTATTAAAAAAAACACTTATATGTTCGGACTTTTAGGTTATTTCCAAATTTTTGCAATTACAAATAATAGTGCAATTTGCAATAACAAATACTTATGCATATGTAATTTCCAGTTGTTGGAAGTATACTATTAAGGGAAATTTTCAGAAGTGAGATTGCCTCATCAAAGGGTAAATGCACAGGTAGTTTCAGTAGATATTACCAATTAGCTTTCAGAGAGGCAAGAAAGAACTAATCCAAATAATTTATGAATAGAGTGTTTACTCGTATATTCTCAGTCTTGGGCAGTGTGGTGTTGCTGTGGAGAACTGTATACAAATTCTACGTATCTCTCTATACATCAGGCTTTTGTATTTTCTTTTCTTTTCTTTTTTTTTTTGAGACGGAGTTTCACTCTTGTTGCCCAGGCTGGAGTGCAATGGCCCGATTTTGGCTCACCGCTACCTCTGCCTCCCGAGTTCAAGCAATTCTCCTGCCTCAGCCTCCCGAGTAGCTGGGATTACAGGCATACGCCACCATGCCTGGTTTGTATTTTTAGTGGAGACGGGGTTTCTCCATGTTGGTCAGGCTGGTCTTGAACTCCTGAACTCAGGTGATACACCCACCTCGGCCTCCCAAAGTGCTGGGATTACAGGCGTGAGCCACCGTGCCCGGCTGGCTTTCGTCTTTTCTAATTATTAGCATTTGAAATGAGATCATCACCTACTTGCCAATGTATGTTGATGTTTACTATTTAATTACTTTTACTTGGAATATTTTTTGTGTTTTTAAGTCATATCATCTTGAACTTATGAGTTACTTTCAAATATTTATTAAAATGTTTCACATGCATGTTTCTTTTAAATTGACTTTCAACTGTTCACTAATCGTAATTTATTATTGCTAGTAAATGGGATTTTTATGTATTGTACCCTGCTGATTATTTAGACTTACTTTATGGACTGGTATTTGGTCAGTATTGGCAATTGTTTCAGGCATGAGTGACAAGAATAAATATTGTATTTATGTGGTGAAGATATTTTTTAATGCTGTTGTTCAAATATCCTATATGTTTATTAATTTTAGATATATTTAATCTATCAATTACTAGGTAGGGCATGTTAAAAATATATTATGACTGGGAGTTTGACAATTTCTTTATGCATTCCTGCAAAATTATTTGCTATGTGAATTACACTGATAGACTTTTCATTACTTTTCACCTTAAGTGAATTGAAAATAATGTTTTATATTTCTATTTCATTAATTTTATCTGGAAATTTAACATACATACTTGAGTCATTAGAGTTTAAAGATAGAGTATTTTTCACTTTGCAAACACTTTAAAATTCTATCATTAAAATCCCCGTTTATCAACTGATTAGTATTGTAGTTCTAACTCATTTTTCAGCATCAGAATAACCATAATTTATTTTCCTTATTTAATTCAGTGAATGCTTACTTCATTAATCTTACCTTTAACAATTTTCTTACCCATCATTATTTCTTGAACTTCATTTCTTTATTCTAAGTTTAATGCCTTCTTCTTGAAATATGTGGTATATTGTAGTCGTTTTTTTTTTTAAGTAGTTTTAGTGGATTTTTTTCCCTAGTGAGAAACTCTTGATGGTGTAGGCCAATTCTTTTTCTGAAAATGTATTATTTTTATCATCAGTCTTCAAGTGACACTATAGCTATGTATAGAGTTCTAGGTACAGGTGGACACCTATTTTCTCTCAGCACTTTGAATATAACTTCATATTCATATGGCTTAAATTTCTCATACATTCTCAGATATTAATAGAATGTCTTCTGTGTTCCAGACAAAGTTCTTTATTCTGTGGGTACAGTACTTTGTTCTAAACACTTTTCCAGATTCTAAGGATACAGTTAAGAAGACAAAGTCCCTGCTATATCTTAGCCCCTTCATCATAGCTCTTGCCTTCTTATTGAGTGGAGACAAAGGGGATCAGTGCTACAAAGATTAAATGGGGAGGCAATGATATTTGGGAGTGGTACATTATTTAGGGTGAATGTTGAAGGTTTTTTCCAAGTAGAAAGTGGATGAGAAAAACATCCCAGAGAGAGAAAAAAGGAAGCAAAAGAGCTTGAGACAAGAGTGTGCTTAGTGTGTAAAGGCAAGCAGGCCAGCATGGTGGGAGTATAGTGACAGGAGAGAAGCAGGAGGAAATATCAGAAGTGTAACAGTGTGTGTTAGAATGTAGATCCTTCTGAATGGAAATGTAATTTTATTTTAATCCGTGTGAAATGAGAAGTCTTGGAGGGTTCTGAGAAAAGAAGGATGTGATCTGACTTTCCGTTAAATAATAAAAATAAAACTCTGCGATTACAAATGCAAATAGGGAAGGAAAAGGAGGATTGAAATAGAGACACCAATTAGGAAACTGTTGTGATAATACGTATAAGAGATTGCTTCCTGTGGGGGTAATTTGGAAATATCTTAAAGAAGTGCTAGTAGGATTTGCTAAAGGATTGGATAGATGAGAGAAAGTTATAGATGACTGCAGTGTTCTTGGCTTGAACAACTGGCAGAATAACTACCATTTACTGAGATGGGGAAGATACGAGAATAGAAATCTCAGGAAAAAAAGTATCCAGGAAGATATCTGCTGTCTCTGTTTTCACCTTATATAATATACCACCCTTTTCCAATTATGATTGCATGTCTTTCATCCTCTTTAATTCTTCTTTTACCACTTATGTCCAACAATATTATGTGTTTGTTGTTTATTACCTGACCTAATAGTGGTGCTTCATTTGTAGCTGATCTATTTTTCTGCTTTGGGTCTCTTTCTCTGTTTAGTTACTTCAAATTATACTAATTTAGTGTGGAGAGGGAAATTTTTAAAAATCTTGCTTGGATTTTTTTTCCCTCTAAAAAGGAAAATTCATGTCTTACATAACACTTGGAAAGTTACCTGTCAATATTTTTTCATGTATTGCTTTTCCATTTTACTTTCTACCATCTTTGTAAATGCAATTAGATATTAGGCCTCGTTTTCTTCGCAATAGTTTTGACTTCTCATATTCATTGTGTCTTATCTTTTTAATATCTCATTTTAGATAATTTTCTTGGGTCTGTTTTCCAATTCACTCTTTTTTTCATATAAATATAATTGATTTTAACATATTTATTGAGAGTATTTAAATTTCAAGACATTTTAAAAATTACTATTAGTTATTGTTAGTCATTTTTTACACAAGGTTTTCTTTTTTTTTTTTTAAATAATTTTGGCTACTTTACTTATTTATTTATTTATTTATTTATTTATGTATTTATTTATTTTGAGACGGAGTCTCGCTCAGTCGCCCCGGCTGGAGTGCAGTGGCGCCATCTCGGCTCACTGCAAGCTCCGCCTCCTGGGTTCACGCCATTCTCCTGCCTCAGCCTCCCAAGTAGCTGGGACTACAGGCGCCGGCCACCATGCCCGGCTAATTTTTTTTTTGTGTGTGTGTATTTTTAGTAGAGACGGGGTTTCACTGTGTTAGTCAGGATGGTCTCAATTTCCTGACCTTGTGGTCCACTCGCCTTGGCCTCCCGAAGTGCTGGGATTACAGGCATGAGCCACCATGCTCCGCCAATTTTACCTACTTTAAATATAATTATTTTATGTTTCTATTATCAGAAGTCCTTTTTGCTCTTGATGGTCTTTATAGGGCCTGGAATTGTCATCCATGAAAGCATCTTTAGAGTAACTTCTTTGTGAATAGGAATTTAGTGTATCTAGTTTCAGATTACGTCTCTACAAAAAAGTTTTTCATTTGATTTGCCAGGTGCCCCAGAAAAATCGCAAAACATTTATTTTCTTAAAAATACTCTTTATTGTATTTCTTTTTTTTTTTTTTTTTTGAGACGGAGTTTCACTCTTATTGACTAGGGCTGGAGTGCAGTGGCACGATATGGGCTCACTGCAACCTCTGCCTCCTGGGTTAAAGCAATTCTCCTGCCTCAGCCTCTGGAGCAGCTGGGATTACAGGCGCACACCACTACACCCAACTAAATTTTGTATTTTTAGTAGTGACGGGGTTTCACCATGTTGGTCAGGCTGGTCTTGAATTCCCGACCTCAGGTGATCCGCCCTCCTCGGCCTCCCAAAGTACAGGGATTACAGGTGTGAGCCACTGTGCCCAGCCTGAATTTCTTTAAATTTAGAAATAGTACACCCTAAACTCTCATGAGACATAGTGTATGGAGAGAGACATAGAGACAGTGGCATTTTCTTCTTTTTTCCCACCCAGAGCCCAAATAAAATTTCTAGTAACTTGCCTGTGCCAGTATACAGGATCTTTCACTCAATATTTGTTGAAGATGTGCATGAATCAGTAAATAAATATTTAGAGAGCTATGATACCACGATAATATAACATAATACAGTTCTAACTGCAATTCTAATAAGTATACTTAGAAGTCTAATAAAATCTTATTCATGTATTACAATAAAATAAGGTGCATTTTGAAGTAATCATTCTGAAAAAATATTAAAATCTCATGAAGTGATATTTGACTTATCTTATAGTATAACACTATAAATCCATAACAATAAAGGCATTATGGAACTAGCACAAGAAGAGTGAGGCTGATGAAATACAGGAGAAAATGAAAAAGTGATTCCAGTGATGCAATAATTAGGATAAGATGAGAATAGCAGTTCGAATAAGCAGATACAGAACTGATTAATCAATAAATCGTGTTGAGGCAACTAATGAACATTTTGAAGAATAAATATCCTCATCCTATATCTTATACCAAAATTAATTCCACATCAATTGGATTTTTTGGCCAAATACTAAAACCAAAAATGTATATCATATAATGTGAAGGGATATCCATGTAACCTTATAGAGAATATGCTACTGCAAGAATGATACATAACATGGATCACTCAAGGGAGCTGATTGGTAGATTGTTTTAACTTATTAATTTTGAAATAATATTTAGGCTACCAACAAGTTGTAGAAAGAATGTATACATTTGGGTATAGCCTTCAATTTGCTTTCCCAAATAACATTTTACATAAAAGTAATACAATGTCAAAACAAAGAAATTAACATCGACATACTTGCTAATTGTCCCACTAATGTCCTTTCTTTGTCTTTCATGACTTTGGAACTTTTGAAGAGTACTGGCCAGATATTTTGTAGAATCTCCCTCAAATTTTTGTCTTAAGTTTTCTCACGGTTAGAATGAAGTTTATGTATTTTTGGCAATAATATGACAGAAATTATGTTGTGCTCTTAGAGTATCATATTAATTAGGAGGTGCATGATGCTGTGTGTCAGTTTATCAGTTACACATTTACTGTATTTCTACCTTTAATTAGTAAACATTGTATGGGGAGGTATTTTGAAACATTGAAAATATCTTGTTTCTTTTCATACTGTTGCTCACAATTTTAGTATACACAGATGATCCTTGCCTGGAAGAATTTTTATTGTACTCTTTGCCAAATGGTAATTTTTCTTTTCCATTATTTTTCTACACTTATTAATTGAAAATTCTACTTAAGAAAGAGGTGTACATTTTCTCCATTTATTCATTTACTTATTATTTATTTATGTCAGTTTGAACTCATGGATACTTACTTTACACTATGGATTATAATCTGTCAATTATTTTTGTTGTTGTTGTTGTTGTTGTTGTTTGAGACAGAGTCTCACTCTGTCGCCCAGGCTGGAGTGCAGGGCGCCATCTCAGCTCATTGCAAAATCTGCCTTCTGTGTTCATGCCATTCTCCTGCCTCAGCCTCCTGAGTAGCTGGGACTACAGGTGTCCACCACCACGCACAGCTATTTTTTTTTTTTGTATTTTTTTAGTGGAGACAGGGTTTCACCATGTTAGCTAGCATGGTCTCAATCTCCTGACCTCATGATCCGCCTGCCTCACCTCCCAAAGTGCTGGGATTACAGGCATGAGCCACTACGCTTGGCCTCAATTATGTATTTTGATGTTCAAATAATCCTAGGTTTGATCATTGACATTTCCTTCAGGTTGGCTGCTGCCAGAATGATAGACTTGACTGGACCAACAAAGAAAACTTTCCATGTATTAGAACGTCTTAAACAAAAGTTGTAACACAAATGTATAACTAATCAGATTATTAACTAAAAATGAAAGCATCATTAATAATTTTAATACGTGTTTCTACAAGTTAAATGATAATAGGAACTAATAAAACACGAAAAGCATAAAAAACCAACAAGCATTCAAAAATTAACAGGTGATATAATTACAAACTACCGTTTTTATAATAAAGAAAATGGACATTTAAACAAAAGATTATAGCAATATAATTTTTAACATTTATTTTTGAAAAGACTTTCAGTAAGAGAATAATCTGTGGTTTCAGAGTTTATAGAAGCAAATGCTAGCTAACAATCATTATGAGAGTTTAAATTGGTATCAGTTTTTGGAGATAAATAAGGTAATGCATATTAAAAGTCTTAATGCTGTCATATCTCTAGGAATATTTTCTCAAGAAATAATAATGAGCTTATATAAAAGCTTATCTAAAATAAATTTTACCTTAGTGTTGTTTATTGGCAAATACTGGAAAAAAAGTAAAATGCTCACCCAGATGAGACTGATAAAATATAATTCAGCAACACAGGGAGATATCAATGGAAGATATACATATTCCTAACAGTAGTTGCAAGAATACTGAAATTATGGGTGACTTTAAATTTTTATCTTTTGTATGTCCATATATTATAAATTTTGTCTATGTTTTATTTTTAATGAGATAAAATCACAATGAATCATAAAACTCATATTTTTGGTAGATCAAAACATTCCTTTACATTGTTTTATCTGTGGAACAAAATAATGCCAAAGATAAGGGTGATCTATGCTACCAAATTCAGATTTCTGTAAACATTTGCTTTCACATGATTGAAGAAAAATTTTTTGCAAGTAAATATAAGCAGAGTCTCCTTCTGTCGCTAGCCTGGAGTACGGTGGCCCAATCTCAGCTCACTGCAACCTCCACTTCCTGGGTTCAAGCCATCCTCCTGCCTCAGCCTCCCTAATAGCTGGGACTACAGGCACAGCACGTGCCACCACGCTCAGCTAGTTTTTGTATTTTTAGCACAGACACGGTTTCACCATGTTGGCCAGAATGGTCACGATCTCTTGACCTTGTGATCTGCCAGCCTTGGCCTCCCAAAGTTCTGGTGTGCCCAGAGTTGGTTACTTCTGATGGGTTCGTGGTCTCACTGACTTCAAGAGTGGAGCCGTGGAACCTCCCGGTGAGTGTTACAACCCTTAAAGATGGCACAGACCCAAACAGTGAGCAGCAACAAGATTTATCACGAAGAGCGAAAGAACAAAGCTTCCACAGTATGGAAGCAGACCTGAGTGGGTTGCCACTGCTAGCTCGGGGTGACCAGCTTTTATTTCCTTATTTGTCCCTGCCCATGTCCTGTTTCTGTCCTATCAGAATGCCCTTTTCTCAGTCCTCCCCACGATTGGTTACTTTTAGAATCCTGCTGATTGGTCCATTTACAGAGTGCTGATTGGTCCATTTTACAGAGTGCTGATTGGTCCATTTTACAAACATCTTGCTAGGTACAGAGCACTGATTGGTGCGTTTCTGCAGAGCGCTGATTGGTGCATTTTACAATCCCTTGTAAGACAGAAAAGTACTCCAAGTCCCCCCTCCGCCCAGGAAGTCCAGCTGGCTTCACCTCTCACTGGGATTACAGGCGTGAGCCACTGCGCCCAGCCGAGCAGGTATTTTTAAATGGACTACTGTCTTCTGTTAGTGAGACTAGTGACCTATCTGCATGCAATCAAACAGCCTTTGATTGTCTGACGATTGAACTATACAAGTCTATACACCAATTTAAAGACTTTTGCTTTTGAGTTGACAAATTCTATGTACAAAATCTCCTGGCTATTAATTATGTTGGAGACTAGAACACTCTGAGACATGATTCACTTGTCTTAGAAGCCCACTTTTTAATAGCAATAAATGTCTGCAGCAGACACTTAACTGGGAGGTGGCAAAGTCATAAAAATGAGCTTCTATTCTCTTATGATTTCTGATGACTTTTCTCCGTGTCCAGGCTCTCACTTTCCTCTCTCATCCTCATGCTGCAAATGCTATCTGTAATCAGGAGTGAAGGGATGGATGCACACTGCAGGCTGTCACCTGAGTGATTGCAGCATTTTAACAGGATAATAATACTTGGAAGTAGTCAGGATGAAAGAAGCATCCTATAATGTTTTTCTTCCAAAATACATATATAATATACAAAATCGTTAATGCATGAGTTTTTCTTTACCTTCAGTCAAAATGTCCATTTTTAAGGTCATCTAGGGTGAGCTATTTAATTCAGCCAATTTTTCAACCTTCTATATCTGGTAGACCATTTGGCAATGTAATTCTCAAGACTGTCATGTTCAGTAATTGGACTGGACAGAGCCTTATTAGAAAAGGGCTTTTCCCTGATTAATCACAATCAGCTCCCATGTTCTGAAGAGCACCGAAAATTTGTGGAACTAGCTTTCAGAGACACTCAAGCCAGATGTTTTTATCAGAAGTGGTGCTTTTTATATCCACAAAATTAGAACCTGAAATTCACTGTATTATTGTTCCACGAAACCAAGCTCTTGTGCTATCAGTGTAAAAGTCCATAAAGCGCATATAACCTTTTTACTATTTGCTTCCTAAATAAAATACTCTGTCCCTTAATTTCAGAGTTTATGTCTACATAGTTTATATACTAGCGACCTAGATGTTCTAAAAAAAAATTTACTTCTTTGGTTAATAAAAATATAAAATTTAGGATAAAATATTTTAATGAAAGTGAATATAATTTATAATTATTTAAAAACAATAGCATTGGATTTTTAACAATAGATGCTTTAAAATTTTATCTTGGGATGAATCTATGATATAAATTTGATATAAAGTCACTTCAATTTTTATAATGACCATTCAGCTTTATTCCAAAATATCATTCATTGTCAGTTGCAATATTAGCATTTAGTAGCTATAATGAATTGGACAATTTTTAATTACATCATTTAGTTATATAACATAATTGTAGATGCAGCTTAAAGTAGTGTTTATAGCAACTACATATGAAGGACAGAAAATATTTTAAATATTGATGTCACAGTCTCCACTAGCAAAATTTAAAAATAAAGTAACACTTGAGAGCAAGGGTTGTTTTGGTTTGTTTTGCTGATTTATGTATTTTTAGATTTCCTAATGATTTTATTAGATTTTACATATTGTACAGATATGTAATTTAAAATATCTGAAATACTAAATAGGTAAATGAGTGAAAGTTCTTTTTCTTTCTCTTGCCCTCACTATCTTGTTACCTGCTTTTCCCAAATTTAATAATTGCTGTTAGTTTATTGGAGAATCTTTGAGAGTTCATATATGAACAAATATGTATAAAAATATTTTTGCTTTTTTTGCTCAGTAGTAAAGTGCTTCAAACATTTTTCTACTATCTTTTTTTTTCCTTTCTTTGTTCACTGAGTTATCTACCTTGAACATTTTTCCTCACATAAAAATATTTCCTAATTTTTATGGCTGTATAATATTCTGCTCTATTGATAGGTAGAATATATGTATATAATATATCTTATATATGTGTGTGCATATCTGTAATTAGTGTTTTGTTTTTTGATTTCTAGATTGTTTTAATTCAATAACAAACATTGCTACCCAGAGTAAAGCTGCACACTTGTGATTTCACTTGTATGTATGCAGATCTGTAGTAGAAATACCTAGAAATAAAATTGCTAGTTCAAAGTGTACAGTACTTGAAATATTTGTAGGTACTGGTAACATTGCATTAGAGTTAGTTCTGATACACACTCCCACTAAAAGTGTATGAGACATCTTGCTATATAGGTATATAAGTCATGTTATCTGAGCTTCTTGATTAAACATTATTAGGAATCTTATTCTCAAAACTTAGTTTGTTTTGCTGCAAATGTGTTTAGCAGTGCTCTAACTTTTCTCTCTTCTAATGTGTCAAGGGATATGGCAATCTCCTATCAGTAACAGTGGTCTATTAATGAAATTCTTCTCAAGTAGAAAGACAAAATATACTCCACCATAAGTTGCATCGAAACCTTGATGAAAGGAGATGATCAAGCATGGGATTAGTATTCTCTCCACCAAGAATTTACAAACCCTTTCTTAATTTTGTGAACAAATGTGAGTGGCTGGGTATGACTATCACTGTCTATGAAACTAACTTTTCAAAAGATTAGTCATTTATCCACATAATCCTTTAAAACAGGCTGGTCAGTGTGAGCAATAATATATTTGAGAACCTGACAAAAATATGGTAACAAAATACTAACACTTTGGATATCAATCATTGTAAAAAACAAAAATGTAAGCTTCATGAAAACGAGCTTTCCTCTCCGAATTAGCTTCATTGATTAGAATTGTACTTGGCACATGGAAGATCTTGCCTAATAGTATTATTTTTTAAATGGCTTATTAATTATGTTATAGTAGAGTAAAAAACACAGTTTTTAAAATCATACTCATCTCAGTTCTAATCTTGGATTGGCCATTTGTTAGGTGTCCCTGAACAACATATTCAAACACTCTGTCTCAGATGCTCATCTACAAGATGAAGCACAAATAGCTACCTTATAGCCTATTCATAATATGGTAGAAATAAAATTTCATTCTGTTGCTTTTTCAGGTCCCAAGTTGAAGAATCACAGCATCAAACTAGCAACTTCCAGACCAAGCAAATTTGCCAGAGTCCCTCTGCAGTCATTAGAAAGAAAACAGTTGATCCACAGGACTATTCAAATGGAGGGTAAGCAGGCCTTTGCCTGTCCCTCTGGCACACCAAACAGCTCTGCCCACAACCATATTAATACAATCAGGTAGAAAATTGTCAATATCAACACTCCTCTTTTGTTTATAAAATAATTGATTGGATGTATTATTCCAGGAAGGATGTGTGGCATATAGGCATCCCTTATTTGATGATGCAACCTTAACTAGCCTAGTTCAAGTTTTCCAAAGGCTTCCTTTATGTTTAATCTTCTAAAGTCTCCTTAACTGTTTTTACACATTGTAAATAAGTCTCTGGTACTCTCAGACCCAAGAGTATACTGACTCAGATTTATTTTGAGAAATAATCTTGATTTTCCTAGAAGTACTGAGATGGCTTTACAAAACCTTATCTCATAAGTAAATACCATGCATTTTTATTTTTAGCCTTATTCCCAATCTCCCAAGGCTAAAGAAATTAAATATCAAAATTATATTTAACTGACATTAAGGCTTCAATACATATCAGCACATGCTAGCAAATTTGTTTAACTGACTTAGCTCTTGCTTGTTTCTTTAAATCACTTTTAAGGGTGTAAACCTAAAATATAGCACCAGCTTTTTAATTTTCCCCACATTTTATAAGTTTGGTACTATTTAGAACATTCTATGTGCATCCTGTATTTTTTCTCTACATGATTATATGTCAGGTGTTCAATGAAGTTGCTTAGAAATTGGTAGGAAGACAACATAGAGAGTAATATAAAAACGTGGTTCAGAAAATAGAATATACTTGAAGTAAAACCAAGTACCTATGGTCAATAGGTGTGTATGTTCATGGCTGATGCAAGACCTTGGTTCTTGTCTTCTTAGTTTAAAAGAATATAAACAAGAGACACACAGCAAAGGAGATGCAGCACAGAGTAATTTATTGCAAAGGGGAAAGAACATTTTGAAAGTGATCCGGGAGTGCTGGGAAGGGAAGAGTGTGGTCTCTTTAAATGATAAGGAAGGAGGGAAGAAAAGTGCTGGATAGAGGAAGGGCATGGTCCCTGGCTAGGGCTCCACCCCCACCGACCTAGGTGAGGAAAGTCATTCCTGCCTTTGCGCCCAAATGTTGCATTTCCCAAGACCACCCTGACCCACCATGCCCTGATCCTGTGCCTATAAAAACCCCAGGGACTCTAGCAGGCAGACACACATGTGGCTGGATGTTGAGAGGTTGTCCAGGGAATCACATCGCAGAACAGCAAATCAGCAGGCATTTGCAAGCAAGCAGGCCACTGATTGGTGGAAGGAGGCGGAGTTAATCTGGGACAGTCAGAGGAGAGCCCAGGCTGCCCATTCTACCAACTCCAGGGGAAAATCATCTCCCTTCTGGCTCCCCCCATCTGCTGAGAGCTACCTCCTCTCAATAAAACCTTGCACTCATTCTCCAAACCCACGTGTGATCCAATTCTTCTGGTACACCAAGTCAAGAACCCAGGATACAGAAAGCCCTCTGTCCTTGCAACAAGGTAGAGGGTCTAATTGAGCTGCTTAACATAAGCCGCCTATAGACGGCAAACTAAGAGAGCACCTATAACACACGCCCACTGGGGCTTCTGCTGTAAACATTCACCCCTAGACATTGCCATGGGATCGGAGCCCCCATGGCAATACATACAGCCTGCCCATATGTATGCTCCCCTAGAGGTTTGAGCAGCAGGGCACTGAAGAAGTGAGCCATACTCCCATCAAACGCCCTGCGAGGGGGACAAGGGAACCTTTCCCATTACAAATGTTAAATGCAGAATAGACAGTACATCCTGAGAGAGAGAGAGAATTCAGGGTCGGCTGCTTATAAGGATGAAACAGTAAAGACTGGCACTAGAGAGACTCCCTTTATGGGAGTCTCACATGATTATTCATAAGGGAAGAAGTGTTATTAGTAAGCATGTTCTGGGAGGTCCTTTGGGTGCACATGCATAGTAGCTTTACATGTTTGTTCACAGGTTGCATGTCTCATTAGCATCTTAAATCTCCACGTAGGGGTGTTTTTTGTGTTTTTTTTTTTTGTTTGTTTGTTTACTATTATAATGAACAAAAGGTTATTCTGAGGACAGGTAAAATCAAAATGTGCATTCTCCCTATAGAGGAAATTCCCTACTGGAGATAGCTTTGCTTGATTGAGCTTGACTACCATGCAGATGCTGAGGCTTACTGTGTTAATTATACGGTTCCATGGTTGCCTTGTCCTGAGAACATGGTTACTTTCCTGACTACCTACCCTGCCTCATGTGTACCTGAGAAGCTCAAGCAGAAAAAAGCAGGAAAATTTGAGATGTTTTTACATTTAAGATTTTCTTAATTTCAATAAACCTTCTGCTTCGAACTTACAAGATAATATATTTATCAATATGCTGACATTGAAATAATCTCAGGTATTTAGAAGAATATATACATGAAATTCTGGAGCCAGGAGTGGTGGCTCACGCCTGTAATCCTGGCACTCTGGGAGCCCGAGGTGGGCGGATCACGAAGTCAGGAGGTGGAGACCATCCTGGCTAACATGGTGAAACCCTGTCTCTACTAAAAATACAAAAAATTAGCCGGGCATGGCAGCACATGCCTGTAGTCCCAGCTACTTGGGAGGCTGGGGCAGGAGAATTGCTTGAATCTGGGAGGTGGAGGTTACAGTGAGCCCAGATCACACCACTCTACTCCATCCTGGGCAACAGAGAGAGACTCCATCTCCAAAAAATATATATATATCTGACATAGTCCCATGACTCAATGTTTTGTACACCTCTCTTTTGTGCACAGAAAATTAGAATTTTTCATTAAATATTTTTTTTTGAATGGGAGTTTTCTGGATATATAAGTCGTAAAAATGCACAAGCCTATCCGTGGTCCATACTCCCTATTTGAGATCCTCAGTGCCTTCAGATCCCATTTCTAATTTTGAGTCAATTATGTGTATCACTAGCAGCTCAATCAATTAAAAAAAAAAGTTTCTGAAACTGTGTTCCTGGCTGTCTGCCCAAAGAAAACCCTTCTTTTTTTTTCTGGATTCCCTCTTGGTGCGCACTTAATCAAATTAACTCCAAATAGAAAAAGTGATATAGAGATCAAAGGAAAATGTTTAACTATAAATTACCCACACACCTCTTGGGAAAGCATTATCTCCCTTTAGATTAAGAGTGAAAGTGTTTCTTTCTCTTGTATTCATTTTGAATCTCCCCAGTGTAATGTTCAGAATATATAGAAAAGAGGATATAAAAAAATACAGTCAGAAGGCTGTCTTCTGGTTATTGATATTCTCCAAGCATTAGTCATCAAGATGCATGTGATAGTTTGGGAAACGGTAAAAATAAATGCAATGCCTATATTTTAAATTCAACAATATACTTATAAGATATCATGTAATCATACCTTACTCTCATTTTGACGATATTAACTGATATAGTCTGAATTTTTTTTGGAGACCAGGAAATATTACAGGATTATGTTTTAGGGTAAATTTATTAATGACAAATTTGTTTTGTTTTTATTTGCATTAAAATGTTCTACTGATGTTGGTACTATTTTTGCTGGTTGGGTGCCCACATTCCCAAACTGCCTCTGCAAGTGACACTAATTGGCAAGTCTTTTGGCAGTCACAGCAAGGAGACAAATGACCATTGGACAGAGAAACTAAACAAGGTATTACCTGCAAGTTAGAGTTAAAGTGCAGAGTTAGGAATCTATATTGCCATTACATTTGCTTCCACTTGATGTCAAGAAGTGAGAATCTGGAATTTCCAGGCTGTTAATTGAAAATTGTTCATAGGTATCATTCTAAACATAAATTTATCAAATGTTGGCTTCTGTATGTAACAACTAGAACAAAGAGTGCCAATAAGAAAATCAGGCAACTTCATCATTACTATAATCATTACATGAACTTTGAAATCCTTTCTGGCATACAATTAAGTGCCATTGTTTTAAGCTTATACAAAATATTTTAACAGCATGATCCTGGCTTTCCTAGATACACATTTCCAAGTGACTATGACAGATGGGTACACACTGTCAATGTTTTAGGTAGTCTGAGGAAGAACTACACAGGTGACTAGTCTCCACAGACTTGGACTTTAGGAGACTTTATTTTTAAATGGACTATTGTATAGGGGTTCAGTCAGGATGGTGGGAAAAATTGTAAAATAAATACAAACTTTCTTGGAAGGCCAGAAGGTTTTTGCAAAAGCCTCAGGATAGAGTTATGGGGAAGGCAGCCTAATCCTCTTTGAGCTATAACAAGGGTAATTAACAAAGGAATGTAGAAGAGTCTAAATAGTTTGTTTATTCATGTGGTCCTAAGACTAACCTTTGACCATCCATGGGTGTATGATTGCTCTCTCCTCAGGGGGTTGGCAATGGTAATTACCTTCTGGTAGTGTTCACTTGAGACTTTTGTCATTTAATGTGTGCTGAATAAATGCAGGGAAGGCTAGCAAGTCAGGCCGAGTTTGCAACTCTTTACAGCACTCTCCTGGGAGTCTGTAAGCGACCCAGACTCTCAACCAGACTGACAAACATAATATCTGTGTCAGTGTACGTTATTCAACAGTCGTTGGGTCAGGGTCTGTGGGATGGACCCCACAGCATTGCAAATGGTCAAAGAACTCCCCTTACCTTGTTTTCTATCTACAAGATACATTAAAGACCATCAAGTTTAAATTGAGGACGCAGGAATGACACAATTATGCCAATTGTGAGCAGCAGATATTTTTGGTAGCATAAGTGAGGTGTTTGAGTTTCTTATGTTATTTGTAGTTACCAGTTTTTCTCCATCTTAATAATTGTTTTTAATACTATATTCTTGGAAGGCACTCCATGAAGCAGGAGGAATAATGGTAAAGGTGGGCATCAAAGCAAAAGGAAACCTAGTAGATGTCTTGGATTGGCTCTTGAGATTTCTATTTTGTTTGACTTTCTCACTAGCATGAGAACCCTAGAGGGCATTATGTTAAGTGAAGTAAGCCAGGTATAGGAAGACAAATACCACATGATCTCACTCATACGTGGAAGCTAAAATGTTAATCTCATAACAGCAAAAAGTAGAATGGTGGTTACCAGGGGCTGAGGTGATTAGACTGGGGCTCAAGAAGAGCAGAGTTAAGGGGATGATGATCAAAGGATACAAAATTTCCAATAGGAGGAATAAATTCAAGAGATCTATTCTATAACATGGTGACTAGAGCTAACAACATATTGTATTCTTAAAAAATGGGAAGAAAGTGAATGTATTCCCACCACAAAAATGATAACTATGGGAGGTAATGCAAATGTTAATTAGCTAGATTTAGTCATTACACAATGTATATATACATGTGATGTTGTGCATGATAAATACAATTTTATCTGTCCATTTAAAAATTAATTGTATATATAAACATATACATATATACATATATAATTTGTTTATGTAATTATATATTTATATTATATACATATATGTATATAATATGTGTGTAATATATACATATATTATAGACTATAATTATATACATATATAAATTATATATAAACATGTATATATAAACAGTGTTGTGCATGATATACAATTTTATTTGTCAATTTAAAAATTAATTAATTTTTTTAAAAATTAGTAGCTCAAGACAAAGTTCTACTCAGTAGAATGTGGTAGCTGGAAACCTAGACAGATGTAGCTATGCTCTTGAATTCTGCCTTAACCATTTAAAAACTGTGTGAACTGCGGCAAATAACGGGACTCCTCCAAAGTCTTAGTTTTTTCACCTGTATACTGGAGAAAACACCACCTCATGATTCTGTTATGAAGAATAAAGTAAATGTCATATACAAAGAATGGTATTTGCCACTTTTGGAAGTGCTCAATATGTTGTAACCAACATTATTAGCTTGGAAAAGAAAAGGAGGAGTATATCTGACCTGGCATTATTTTCCCTCACTGCCCCGTAGCTCATAATACTTAAGTGTGATGGCTTATGAGTTGATGGCTGAAGAAGTCTAGTAGAATATAAGCAAGCTAATTCCACAGCTCTCATAAGAAAGAGAATTGTCAATAATAAAAACTTAGGGAGCTTCGGAGCCAAGATGGCCGAATAGGAACAGCTCCGGTCTACAGCTCCCAGCGTGAGCGACGCAGAAGACGGGTGATTTCTGCATTTCCATCTGAGGTACCGGGTTCATCTCACTAGGGAGTGCCAGACTGTGGGCGCAGGCCAGTGGGTGTGCGCAACGTGCGCGAGCCGAAGCAGGGCGAGGCATTGCCTCACCTGGGAAGCGCAAGGGGTCAGGGAGTTCCCTGTCCGAGTCAAAGAAAGGGGTGACGGAGGCACCTGGAAAATCGGGTCACTCCCACCCGAATATTGCGCTTTTCAGACTGGCTTAAAAAACGGCGCACCACGAGACTATATCCCACACCTGGCTCGGAGGGTCCTACGCCCACGGAATCTCGCTGATTGCTAGCACAGCAGTCTGAGATCAAACTGCAAGGCGGCAGCGAGGCTGGGGGAGGGGCGCCCGCCATTGCCCAGGCTAGCTTAGGTAAACAAAGCAGCCGGGAAGCTCGAACTGGGTGGAGCCCACCACAGCTCAAGGAGGCCTGCCTGCCTCTGTAGGCTCCACCTCTGGGGGCAGGGCACAGACAAACAAAAAGACAGCAGTAACTTCTGCAGACTTAAATGTCCCTGTCTGACAGCTTTGAAGAGAGCAGTGGTTCTCCCAGCACGCAGCTGGAGATCTGAGAACAGGCAGACTGCCTCCTCAAGTGGGTCCCTGACCCCTGACCCCCGAGCAGCCTAACTGGGAGGCACCCCCCAGCAGGGGCACACTGACACCTCACACGGCAGGGTATTCCAACAGACCTGCAGCTGAGGGTCCTGTCTGTTAGAAGGAAAACTAACAAACAGAAAGGACATCCACACCGAAAACCCATCTGTAGATCACCATCATCAAAGACCAAAAGTAGATAAAACCACAAAGATGGGGAAAAAACAGAACAGAAAAACTGGAAACTCTAAAACGCAGAGCGCCTCTCCTCCTCCAAAGGAACGCAGTTCCTCACCAGCAACGGAACAAAGCTGGATGGAGAATGACTTTGACGAGCTGAGAGAAGAAGGTTTCAGACGATCAAATTACTCTGAGCTATGGGAGGACATTCAAACCAAAGGCAAAGAAGTTGAAAACTTTGAAAAAAATTTAGAAGAATGTATAACTAGAATAACCAATACAGAGAAGTGATTAAAGGAGCTGATGGAGCTGAAAACCAAGGCTTGAGAACTACGTGAAGAATGCAGAAGCCTCAGGAGTTGATGCGATCAACTGGAAGAAAGGGTATCAGCAATGGAAGATGAAATGAATGAAATGAAGTGAGAAGGGAAGTTTAGAGAAAAAAGAATAAAAAGAAATGAGCAAAGCCTCCAAGAAATATGGGACTATGTGAAAAGACCAAATCTACGTCTGATTGGTGTACCTGAAAGTGATGCGGAGAATGGAACCAAGTTGGAAAACACTCTGCAGGATATTATCCAGGAGAACTTCCCCAATCTAGCAAGGCAGGCCAACGTTCAGATTCAGGAAACACAGAGAACGCCACAAAGATACTCCTCGAGAAGAGCAACTCCAAGACACATAATTGTCAGATTCACCAAAGTTGAAATGAAGGAAAAAATGTTAAGGGCAGCCAGAGAGAAAGGTCGGGTTACCCTCAAAGGGAAGCCCATCAGACTAACAGCAGATATCTCGGCAGAAACACTGCAAGCCAGAAGAGAGTGGGGGCCAATATTCAACATTCTTAAAGAAAAGAATTTTCAACCCAGAATTTCATATCCAGCCAAACTAAGCTTCATAAGTGAAGGAGAAATAAAATACTTTACAGACAAGCAAATGCTGAGAGATTTTGTCACCACCAGGCCTGCCCTGAAAGAGCTTCTGAAGGAAGCGCTAAACATGGAAAGGAACAACCGGTACCAGCCGCTGCAAAATCATGCCAAAATGTAAAGACCATCGATACTAGGAAGAAACTGCATCAACTAATGAGCAAAATCACCAGCTAACATCATAATGACAGGATCAAATTCACACATAACAATATTAACTTTAAATGTAAATGGACTAAATTCTCCAATTAAAAGACACAGACTGGCAAGTTGGATAAAGAGTCAAGACCCATCAGTGTGCTGTATTCAGGAAACCCATCTCACGTGCAGAGACACACATAGGCTCAAAATAAAAGGATGGAGGAAGATCTACCAAGCAAATGGAAAACAAAAAAAGGCAGGGGTTGCAATCCTAGTCTCTGATAAAACAGACTTTAAACCAACAAAGATCAAAAGAGACAAAGAAGGCCATTACATAATGGTAAAGGGATCAATTCAACAAGAGGAGCTAACTATCCTAAATATATATGCACCCAATACAGGAGCACCCAGATTCATAAAGCAAGTCCTGAGTGACCTACAAAGAGACTTAGACTCCCACACATTAATAATGGGAGACTTTAACACCCCACTGTCAACATTAGACAGATCAACGAGACAGAAAGTCAACAAGGATACCCAGGAATTGAACTCAGCTCTGCACCAAGCAGACCTAATAGACATCTACAGAACTCTCCACCCCAAATCAACAGAATATACATTTTTTTCAGCACCACACCACACCTATTCCAAAATTGACCACATAGTTGGAAGTAAAGCTCTCCTCAGCAAATGTAAAAGAACAGAAATTATAACAAACTATCGCTCAGACCACAGTGCAATCAAACTAGAACTCAGGATTAAGAATCTCACTCAGAGCCGCTCAACTACATGGAAACTGAACAACCCGCTCCTGAATGACTACTGGGTACATAACGAAATGAAGGCAGAAATAAAGATGTTCTTTGAAACCAACGAGAACAAAGACACAACATACCAGAATCTCTGGGACGCATTCAAAGCAGTGTGTAGAGGGAAATTTATAGCACTAAATGCCCACAAGAGAAAGCAGGAAAGATCCAAAATTGACACCCTAACATCACAATTAAAAGAACTAGAAAAGCAAGAGCAAACACATTCAGAAGCTAGCAGAAGGCAAGAAATAACTAAAATCAGAGCAGAACTGAAGGAAATAGAGACACAAAAAACCCTTCAAAAAATCAATGAATCCAGGAGCTGGTTTTTTGAAAGGATCAACAAAATTGATAGACCACTAGCAAGACTAATAAAGAAAAAAAGAGAGAAGAATCAAATAGACACAATAAAAAATGATAAAGGGGATATCACCACCGATCCCACAGACATACAAACTACCATCAGAGAATACTACAAACACCTCTACGCAAATAAACTAGAAAATCTAGAAGAAATGGATACATTCCTCGACACATACACTCTCCCAAGACTAAACCAGGAAGAAGTTGAATCTCTGAATAGACCAATAACAGGAGCTGAAATTGTGGCAATAATCAATAGTTTACCAACCAAAAAGAGTCCAGGACCAGATGGATTCACAGCCGAATTCTACCAGAGGTACAAGGAGGAACTGGTACCATTCCTTCTGAAACTATTCCAATCAATAGAAAAAGAGGGAATCCTCTCTAACTCATTTTATGAGGCCAGCATCATTCTGATACCAAAGCCGGGCAGAGACACAACCAAAAAAGAGAATTTTAGACCAATATCCTTGATGAACATTGATGCAAAAATCCTCAATAAAATACTGGCAAACCGAATCCAGCAGCACATCAAAAAGCTTATCCACCATGATCAAGTGGGCTTCATCCCTGGGATGCAAGGCTGGTTCAATATACGCAAATCAATAAATGTAATCCAGCATATAAACAGAGCCAAAGACAAAAGCCACATGATTATCTCAATAGATGCAGAAAAAGCCTTTGACAAAATTCAACAACCCTTCATGCTAAAAACTCTCAATAAATTAGGTATTGATGGGACGTGTTTCAAAATAATAAGAGCTATCTATGACAAACCCACAGCCAATATCATACTGAATGGGCAAAAACTGGAAGCATTCCCTTTGAAAACTGGCACAAGATAGGGATGCCCTCTCTCACCACTCCTATTCAACATAGTGTTGGAAGTTCTGGCCAGGGCAATCAGGCAGGAGAAGGAAATAAAGGGTATTCAATTAGGAAAAGAGGAAGTCAAATTGTCCCTGTTTGCAGACGACATGATTGTTTATCTAGAAAACCCCATCGTCTCAGCCCATAATCTCCTTAAGCTGATAAGCAACTTCAGCAAAGTCTCAGGATACAAAATCAATATACAAAAATCACAAGCATTCTTATACACCAACAACAGACAAACAGAGAGCCAAATCATGAGTGAACTCCCATTCACAATTGCTTCAAAGAGAATAAAATACCTAGGAATCCAACTTACAAGGGATGTGAAGGACCTCTTCAAGGAGAACTACAAACCACTGCTCAAGGAAATAAAAGAGGATACAAACAAATGGAAGAACATTCCATGCTCATGGGTAGGAAGAATCAATATCGTGAAAATGGCCATACTGCCCAAGGTAATTTACAGATTCAATGCCATCCCCATCAAGCTACCAATGACTTTCTTCACAGAATTGGAAAAAACTACTTTACAGTTCATATGGAACCAAAAAAGAGCCCGCATCGCCAAGTCAATCCTAAGCCAAAAGAACAAAGCTGGAGGCATCACACTACCTGACTTCAAACTATACTACAAGGCTACAGTAACCAAAACAGCATGGTACTGGTACCAAAACAGAGATATAGATCAATGGAACAGAACAGAGCCCTCAGAAATAACGCCGCATACCTACAACCATCTGATCTTTGACAAACCTGAGAAAAACAAGCAATGGGGAAAGGATTCCCTATTTAACAAATGGTGCTGGGAAAACTGGCTAGCCATATGTAGAAAGGTGAAACTGGATCCCTTCCTTACACCTTATACAAAAATCAATTCAAGATGGATTAAAGATTTAAACGTTAGACCTAAAACCATAAAAACCCTAGAAGAAAACCTAGGCATTACCATTCAGGACATAGGCATGGGCAAGGACTTCATGTCCAAAACACCAAAAGCAATGGCAACAAAAGCCAAAATTGACAAATGGGATCTAATTAAACTAAAGAGCTTCTGCACAGCAAAAGAAACTACCATCAGAGTGAACAGGCAACCTACAACATGGGAGAAAATTTTCGCAACCTACTCATCTGACAAAAGGCTAATATCCAGAATCTACAATGAACTCAAACAAATTTACAAGAAAAAAACAAACAACCCCATCAAAAAGTGGGTGAAGGACATGAACAGACACTTCTCAAAAGAAGACATTTATGCAGCCAAAAAGTACATGAAAAAATGCTCATCATCACTGGCCATCAGAGAAATGCAAATCAAAACCACTATGAGATATCATCTCACACCAGTTAGAATGGCAATCATTAAAAAGTCAGGAAACAACAGGTGCTGGAGAGGATGTGGAGAAATAGGAACACTTTTACACTGTTGGTGGGACTGTAAACTAGTTCAACCATTGTGGAAGTCAGTGTGGCGATTCCTCAGGGATCTAGAACTAGAAATACCATTTGACCCAGCCATCCCATTACTGGGTATATACCCAAAGGACTATAAATCATGCTGCTATAAAGACACATGCACACGTATGTTTATTGCGGCATTATTCACAATAGCAAAGACTTGGAACCAACCCAAATGTCCAACAATGATAGACTGGATTAAGAAAATGTGGCACATACACACCATGGAATACTATGCAGCCATAAAAAATGATGAGTTCATGTCCTTTGTAGGGACATGGATGAAATTGGAAACCATCATTCTCAGTAAACTATCGCAAGAACAAAAAACCAAACACTGCATATTCTCACTCATAGGTGGAAATTGAACAATGAGATCACATGGACACAGGAAGGGGAATATCACACTCTGGGGACTGTGGTGGGGTGGGGGGAGGGGGGAGGGATAGCATTGGGAGATATACCTAATGCTAGATGACGAGTTAGTGGGTGCAGCGCACCAGCATGGCACATGTATACGTATGTAACTAACCTGCACAATGTGCACATGTACCCTAAAACTTAAAGTATAATAAAAAAAAAAGAAAAAGAAAAGAAAAATAAACAAGAAAAAAAAAAAACTTAGGAATATGTAATTTGTTTACTGCCATATCATAATTTTAAATTTAAAAATTATAATAATTATAAATATAAATCTGATAAGGTACTATTAGATTCACATAGTCACTGTCATTTTTATCAAATGCTGTTTGTCAAATAGCATGTCCTCTCAAGTATAATATAAAACTCAAGGGCCATTAAAAGTTGAGATTTTTTTTGGTGCCTTTCTGATAAATGTTACAAGCAGTAACTGATTACCTCTGTGTCTCTCTTCCTCCATAAATATGTATATATAGCTTAAAATATGAAAATCTTATATATTTTCTCATGTAAGAGCTCAAGATTTCTTCAAATATAACATTAGATTTAAATCAGGAAAATTTAATTAAAAGAATAAAAATATACAGCCTAATTATTTTGCTTCATGGCATTTAAGCTTCTTTATATGTAAGGCAAACATTTCAGCAAATATTATATTCTTCATTCCATCTATGAATCACACCTACCTGACAAAAACTGTTTTACTTGGATAAACAGTTAAAAGAAAGTGTTATAAAAAGAATTAGCAGACAATGAGGCAGGTTTTATATGGAACCTTTCCTATAATATTTTAGAATACATGTAGATAAAAAAATGTTAACAGGACTGATTTGTTTCAATACCAGAGAACTATGTCCTTTACCCATGTATCTACACAATTTTTAATTATTCATATATTTCATTAAAAATTACTTTCCCAAAGCATTTTTATACTGTATCAACATTTTATGCATGTTAAAATTGTAAAAGATAGTAATTAAAAATGTATGAGAAATCAAATATAAATTGAAATCCTAATAATTTTCTCAAATACCCCAGCATATCTCTGGCATGTGCACATTCCAAGTTGGATACCAATCATTTGGTAATAAAGTTTTATATTATTTGTTTGCTCTCTGTATATTTTGCCCTAAATTCTAAAAATTCTAAATGTAATTAAAATGTTTTTAAAATTTAGATTTTTATGCCTCTGGATGTGTGTTTGTGTTTTGTGTGTGTGTGTGTGTGTGTGTTTGTACACATGTATATATCTGTGATTATTCAAGGCATATACACAGAAAGGTTAATAAAATAATCATTAGGCAATTTGTGCTAAATACAAGTTTTTTATATGCAGACTTGGATGGATGTAAATGTGCTCTAAAATAATGTTTAAAAATCAATCTCTAAACACAGTCTTTATGCATATATCTTCATTAAATAACTTAAATATATATTTATCTATGTAATTTGATGATGGTTGCAAGTTATGAATTGACATAATACCTTACAATTGTTGATGGATTTCAACAGCATTTTTTAAATTAATCATACATTTATTGGTGGCTTCTGGTAAAAAAAAAATTAGACAAGTACTGACTGGTTGAAAAGTACTATATCATTGAAGTACAGTGGCATGAAGATGAAATGGATAAAATTAGATGAGTTTTTAATGCTAGTAGATAATCCGTGATTTAATGCTAATAGACCTAACACATTTTCAAAATAGCTTGACCTTTAACTCATGATTCCTATATATTTCAGATGTCAGCAATCAGGAAGTGATGAAGATTAGGGCAGCCACCTCAAGGAATTTGATTGACAAAGATGTGCGTCCAAAAAGAATGATATTGATTTAATTATAAATAGCTGACAAATTGTTAAATATCATTCAAGTCTTGGTAGCTTACCTTTTACCAAGGCTGCTGCTGCAGTGCATTTATAGCATGCTAAAAATTACCTCAAGTTTATTAGAAACTCTTTTGAGTTTCAGGAATGAGAGTCTTTCTTGGCCAAATACAAGATAAAACCCTTGAATATGTTCCTTGTATGATTTTGTTTGTAAATGTATTCTATTAGGGTGAAGAATGATCCACCAAAACTACAAAATCATTGTTGCCTGTTTTAATCTGAGTTTGTGGCATTGCTTATTTTGCATGCTATTTGTCTTTACACTTTCCATTTATTTCCAGATTAAATACTATTGTATGATAAAAGAATCAGAAGGAAAAATAGCTATTTCCTTGGACTTTTTGTTGGGCTTTTTAATTGATGAGAAAAACAGTAGGGCACAAGATTGTTTTGAGGTAGGAACTGAACTATAAGCTTTGTCATACTGACCATCCTTAAGTGACATAAGTTCAATTACTTTCTTCCATGAATCACACTCCAATAATATCAGTTGGAAATACTAGGTTAACAATAGGTCTGTAACCCATAATCTCTCTTTTCAGTGACAGAGATGGCCAAGTCAAATATCTCTCTATGCAAAATCTCTTGGTAAATGCACTTAAAATATTTATGAGCAGAAAGATAATGGCAAATTCATAACTTGGAAATGTTTTTGTCAGGATACATGTGGTCTCTCTGTGATGTTAAGGAACCCAGAGTTTATGCTTTTAAGGGGCATGGCTCACTGATAGATGTCTCATATGTTATATAGTAATAGAATATTAAAAAGAGATGCTCCAAAACTGAATGCATTCCTCTCTTCACACAATGATCTGCATGCATTACTTGTATATCACGTACAAAATCTATACCAGAACATTTCCTAATCTGGGAGAGAAATAATATTTGGAAAATTACATTGACAATGGCAAATTATGCTAGGGGAAGAATGCTTGGCCTGTCTGTACTATTGCCTCTGTCTTTAAATCAGTAAACTTGGTTCTCCCTATAATCTTTCATTTGTGTTAAGGGCAATTGGACAATTTGGTCCTTTTTATTATTTACAAGGCAACATTCTCTTTCCTCTTCCTAAAAAAAAAAAAATTGCAAAACTTATTTTGTGTGAACGTAGCCTACTCTTTTTTTCATTGATTTTGTTCTAATTTATTGGCTATTTTACATTGCTTTTCTTTTGGGAAATACGTAAGTTTTGCTTCCCTACCTACACTGGTACCTCTTTAGCATAAAGGGAAGTGTATAGCTGGTGATCAAGTATCACTTAAGGAGCGAATGAAATTTTCAGATGGTGGATTAGGTCTTCTTTGAAAATCTCTTTCAGAAGGGAATTAAATGACACATGGTGGTAAGAAAAGTGAAGATTTAGCTGACGAGAAAGCTGTTAATGCTCATCAACACAGACACTTTTTTATAAAAGGGTAAAGGTCAGCTCAGTGATTAAACTGGGTTGTTTGATTTCCTCTTCCAATCATTAGCTTTGTTGTGGGCAACAAAATGGAAGAAGCATTGGTCAGAGTTTGCACAAAGATAATCCAGTTCAGCCAAAAAGTAGAATGAGTTGATAGAAGGAAGCAAATGAACAAACAATAACTAAGAGAACCCACATAGTGCTATTAAATATAGGTGTAAATAGTTCTAAATCTTTTTACATTCTTTCAGGATATAATGTCATTATACAAAGTTTAAATTTGAAATTGTAATTCTGTGCAATCCATGTTCAAAGTTTTCCTAACAAGTATGAAAAGGAGGCTTTCATAAAACTAATCTAAAAATGACAGTATTTTAGAAAAAAAATCCATCAAAACATAGTTACTTTATCAATTATTATACTACATGGTAAATATTTGCATAATTTTCTGTTCTGTATTGTCACCTCTTTGAGCAACATCTTTTCAGTTATTCACTGGGTAAGAACTCCTTTTTCCTTGTTCACAGTGATTATTCACAGTGACCATTCAATAAATATTTTAAAACTAAGTAGATGAATGCAGGACATTCAATTTTTTATTACAAAATGGTCCAGCACATTTTACAATAATGCTCAATAAATAATTATTTTAAAACTATGTAGCATACTTAAATTAGAAACTAGGAAATGTAAATTGATTGATAGGTTTAGATAACTGTTTCCAAATGCTTAGTCTTTGGGTTATTTGGTGTTAATAGTGAAAAGGATTTCCTGCACAGGTAAGTTTAGGAAACTTAAATATTTATTATTGCTGCAACATTTTCAAAACCTCTAACATGCTAATATACATTGAGAATGATGAAAAAATATAATATTAATTCAGAATCTTATTCATTTTAGGAAATCCTTAGACCTCAAGGCACAATTTAGGGAACCCGGTTTTTAAAAAATTGATTTATATAAAAAATTAATATTTCCTTTTCAAAACTCCATGCAGAATCAGTAACCAGTCTTTCTTGCAATTTGGAATAGTGTTTTTAAATGGTAATGTTTCCTAGGGTAAGTAAGAGGCAGTGCTGGAATCCAGAATTTTACTGTGGTAATGGCAAAGCATTTACAAAAGAAACCAAATTAAACTGATGGCCATAACCACAATTTATTTTATGAAATATCATTTTCTTTGGATCTCTGGGATTCTATTGACTATAATGCAATTATGACTAATCCAAAAATTTATGGAATTTTACAATTTGGGGGACAAAGCTTGCTGCTAGTCCAGTCTGGGAAGTTACTAGCAAATTATCACTGATCATTTTACATAATTTTTGACTCTCTTCATAAAGCTGGGGCTTTTGATTTTAGTTCAATTCCTGCTATTTACTTGAATCTCCTATAATACGTAGTTTTTGAAATTTAGCTTTAATGCTTTCATTTTTTTAAAAGTCAGAAAATGGAGAGTTATATCTAAGTATTCTTTCATAAGAGTCAAATTAATAGGTGAGTTGAGAAAATAATAAATTTGTAGAGTAGAACTAGAGGCAAGAAATAACAATTTCTTTTATTTCATATGTTTTCATGTGCTACTTTCCTTCCTGCTTCAAGCCAAGTCTAAATGGACACTAGATTTTTAATGTGACCTAGCATAATATGTTCTAGTTTATTGGAATGTAATGAAAATAGTGAAATTTTTACAATGAAAAATTGCACTTTATCAGAGATGCTGCTAAGCTTTAGAAATGAAGAGAAGTCTTAGACATTGCCAATTTTTATAATCGCTTCACACTTTATTGCTACAATAATATTTATTGAGAACTAAAATTGCAGGCACTATCTAAAAGACAGATGAAACAAGATCTTCACAATGTGCGTATGCAGTTTAAATTATACAGCAAATTGTTGGACCTAAAAATGTTTAAAAATAGACTCTAGAGAAAAGATGGTTATTAACTGAAAAAGAAAAAAATTAATTTAGCATAGAATAACCTCTGAAATCTTTACTTTCCTCTCCAATTATCTTTCATTTTAAATGCATTCTAGAAGTAATAGAATATGTGTATTTCTGTGTATAAATGTTTATATCAATTACACATAATTAATATATCATACTCAAAACCATGTATCAGCACCTAGTGCTGAGCCTAGCACATAACAGATGTTTAATAAATACATGAAAAACCTTTGCTGCATGTTGGCTTTGTGCCGGTAGCTATCTTCACAGAAACCAGAAACAGAGAATCTGGTTAGCAAATGTAGACACTTAGGAACAAAAACCAGTAGAAATAGTACATAATTCAGCACGTTCTAAAATATTATATCACTTTTTTAAAAAACAATGGGTCATCATTTGAAAATAATCATGGAGAAGTCTATTAAGAAGGTAATACTGGGACAGCATCAGCAAAAGCATTGTGTCAAGAAAGACAAAGCTGAGACTGTTTTTAGCCTTTCTGTATATCAAACTTGTTAATAACTGTATGGGCTTATCACAAAAATTTTAGCCTACAAGCTCTGAAAAAACAGGTCCATGACACCAAATTTATAATCATTAACTGGTTAATCCAGCTTCTGCTATTCATCATATAGTCAATTAAATATTTTATAATAACAATTCTGTCTAACAAATGGATCAAAGTTTGTGTTGGCCAGGATGTTCTTCTTTCAAAAGAATGGTTATTCTAGGAAACTTCACGCAATTAGAAACCAACCTGAAATGTCATGGAAAGGACAGAGGCTTTCAGAAATAAGCTTGTGTTTGCTAAATGAAAATTCTTATGAGGTTGTTGGAGTTTTCTGAGTCCTCTCTTCCTGAGCATACTGCCTGAAACCTGCTTTGTTTCAAATCTCCAAGTTATTCTTTCTTTCTTTTGATTGTTCCATTGGGTCCACTTTTTGTTTCAGGAGGAGATCCTCTACTAGGCACTAATCTTTCTTTTAACATCCTTTCAGTTCCAGCAACTATCTTTGTGGGAAAAAATATACTCAAGGGAGACAGTTCTTGGATTAGTAACTCGCAGATGGAGCATGAGAAAGGAAGTAGGAAAAAGTAATAAAGTTAAGAGAACAGTTTTTTAAGTGCTTGATTGGAATCAGCACCACTTTCACTGGCTGCTTCTTTTTTTTTATTGACATATTTGTCAAGATCTGTTCAGAAACAGGGCCTAAACACACCTTAAAATCTCAAAGTAATGATTAAACAACTTTATGCAATTTTCATCTTATAAAGTGATTTTGTTAGCTGATAGGATATAATAATGCCAATAATTCTTAATCTTTGTACATAGTAATGTCATTATTTTTATATGTAGAGGACTTCACAGTTTTTGTTTTTGTTTTTGTTTTTGAGATGGAGTCTCACTCTGCCACCCAGGCTAAAGTGCAGTGGCGTGATCTCAGCTCACTACAACCTCCGCCTCCCAGGTTCAAGCCACTCTCCTGCCTCAGCCTCCCAAGTAGATGGGATTACATGTGCCACTACACCCAGCTAATTTTTCATATTTTTATTAGAGGCGGGGTTTCACTACGTTGGCCAGGCTGGTCTCAAACATTGTGATTCACCTGCCTCAGCCTCCCAAAGTGCTGGGATTACAGAGGTGAGCCACCACGCCCGGCCCAACCTGACAGTTTATAAAGCACATTATAAAATAGTTGCACTTGATGTTGACGGAAATATCTTGGAACTACTTACTTGATAGATAAAGTTTCTGCATCACAGAGAGAATGTCACATAACCTATAGGATTTTATAACTTTGACTAGAAATCAGGTGTTTTGACTATGAATATTGTAATTTTTCAAATATCTTATCCTGTAGAACTTAAGTCAGATGCTCTATAGAGCTAAAGTTGACCCTGAGACATCACTTCAGCTTCTGTCATGACCTTACCTGATACCCCGTAGGGTCTAAGGCTTAGATTACGGCCACTCTCTGACTTTCAAGGTTCTCTTTAAAACACACACAATCCTACCAAAAAGTATGGGAAAAATTTTCATAGTGAAGCTTAATCTGGATTTAAAATTTTACCTTTTGGTATGGAGAAAGTTTTAAGAAATAGGCAATCAGAAATGCTGGTCCATTTTGAAAATCCAAAATGACTTTGAGTGGCAAATGGAGTAACCACTAGATTTGTCGACTCTTCTTGAATTGGATGGATCCTTAATTTCTTGGACTCATTGGGAAAGACCCCACTCCTCCTCCTAGAGCAATCCCAAAATAACATGAGCCAATCAATGTGTTCCAAAATCTATTACTGGGGAGCCTAAGTCAGAGATATCAGGGCTACTGCAATTCAATTTCTAACTCGAGCTATTGTTGAAATAGATGCTTTTATCTTTTGCGTAGAATTTTAATTTAGAAACATGTTGTGTAGAAGAACTTTTCAGTTATATGATACAACAATTTTCTTTATTGTTTAAAATACATTGTGTATTTTTTTAACATTTTAACTAAAAGTACCCTAATTGATACAGCAACAACATTTAATTGACTTCTCTTAAAGACAAAACAATGTCCTGAATCTTGGCAGAGCAGCAGCTTCTACCATCTCTTAATAAGCCCTTAATTACATCATAATGAATCAACCAGCTGCCATTATTATTCACATCTGTTTGTTTTTACCTTGCTTACTAAAATAATAAGAGGAAAGCTGGTGCATTTAAGTTTTCGTCTTTTAAGAAAGTTATCACTGAAGAAGTGGTACTTCTCAAAAAAGAAATTTTCACAGACGTTTTGATTTCACTATATCTTTCTTAAATGAATATTTTATCAATAAACTCTAATCATTATGCAATGCATTTTCACTAAATTGTTTTTTTTACCTTTAATTGGTGTCGTCTACTAGTCAAAAAAATGTTGGCATTTTTGTTTGAAGAGGAGGTGAAATCATTGTATTTGCCTGACATGTAAGTTCTAAACTCTATGCTCTAACAATTAGTTCTGAAAAATTTATAGTGAGTCTATCATTTCTAGATTAGATCTTCTTTCATCTGATAGTGTCGTAGTAATCATTTTCTAATGCTTTAGATACTTTTCTCAGTAGAGTAAGCATTGGGATAAAAAAGGTTATTTGAGGATATAACTGAATATTTAGATGTAGGCAGCATAACACAGGTAGAAGTGTACTGTTTTTAGTGTCTGAAAACCTGTATATGAAAAAAAAAAACAGATGTCAACTCCACTGAGTCAGTCATCTCATTCTTTTCTTTTAACTCTGTTCTTAGATGTTATGAAATTTCCCCAAAGGGAGATTCTGTTGCACTTGATATTACCTTAACTCAAGGTGTATTCTAAAAGACAACCATTCTATTTCATAATTTGGCCAATAAAGAAATAAAATTGAAATATCAGAGGAGATGATTATTGAGTAGTTGGATCAAGCACTGGGAAACCAGGAATATGTGCTGGAATTGGAGAAATGCTATAGAGTTATCATAGGAACGTTCTGAGCAGGCTATGTGAAGACACATCACAGTTGACCTGTGTGTGTAATGTTGCAAAATTCTCTGAAACCTCAGCCAGCAATCAACTGATCCACAGAAGCATAATGATGCTCATGGTAGCCTAAAACATACTCCCCCTTAAAGAAGACACAATTCTAGTCTATTATGCAACATAGAACAAAATTTACTAAAAACATGAATATATTTTAAAATATGAATATATTCCATATATGAAATATATATTTCATATGTTTTTATATATTCACACATATTTCAAATATATATATTTCATATATATGTTTTTGTATATTCATATATATTTCAAAGATATATATTTCATATATATTATATATCTTATATATGAATACATGAAATATATATTTCAACATATATGAATACATATGAAATATGAACATATTCTTACGAATATAATATAATTTACTTGCAAATTTTTCTGTTCTATGGATATAACACTATTTTAAAATATCCTATTGTTTACATTTAGGCAGTTTTAAATTCTGTAATATTATAAATAATGCCTTAATGGTAGGTTGGTAATAAAAAAGGTCTTCAAAAATTCATGAAAAATGAATATTATGAAAAAACTATGTATAAATTTCAAAAATATTTTACACCAAAATAAACTCATAGTAGTAGCTTTTTGTAACCTCTGAATAGAATCTAGGTTGAGGCACTAAGAAGGATAAGATATCAGTTTGAAAAAGGCCCTATCAGAGCAACATTATTTTTCTGCTAAAATTGAAACAAGAACAAACATCAAATTTATGAATAATCTAGGGTGGAAGAATGGTAAAATCATTAATGGTTTACCAAAAGTTTATAGGGACAATGCCCCAAAGAAATCAGCAGTTTACACATGAATAACTCATTTTAAGAAGGGACAAGACATTGAAAATAAAGCTGGAAGCGACAGACCATCCACATTAATTTGTGAGGAAAAAACTAATCTTATTTGTGTGCTAATTGGAAAGAACCAGCGGATTCACAGCAGAAACAATATTCCAACACCATAGATATCTCAACTGGTTCAGCTTGGACAATTCTGGCTGAAAAATTAAAGTTGAGAAATGTTTCCACTGGATGAGTGCCAAAACCATTGTGCCCAGATTAACTGAAAACAGAAGCAGAGCTTTCTCTCTCTCTCTTTCTTTTTCTTTCTTTCCTTCTCTCCTTCCTTCCTGTCTTTCTTGCTTGCTTTCTTTCTCTTTCTTTCTTTTCTTTCTTTCCTTCTTTCCTTCTTTCCTTCTTTCTTCCTTCCTTCCTTCTCTTTCTTTCTTTTCTTTCCTTCCTTCCTTCCTTCCTTCCTTCCTTCCTTCCTTCCTTCCTTCCTTCCTTCCTTCCTTTCTCTCTCTCTCTCTTTCTTTCTTTCTTTCTTTTTTTTTTTTTTGATGGCGTTTCACTCTGTTGTCCAGGCTGGAGTGCAGTGGTGCGATCTTGGCTCACTGCAACTTCCACCTCCTGGGTTCAAGCAATTCTCTGCCTCAGCCTCCCGAGTAGCTGGGATTACAGGCACCTGCCACCACACCCGGCTAATTTTTGTATTTTTAGTAGATACAGGGTTTCACCATCTTGGCCAGGCTTGTCTTGAACTCCTGACCTCAGGTGATCCTGATCCACCTGCCTTGGCCTCCTAAAGTGCTGGGATTACAGGCGTGAGCCACTGTGCCTGGCCAAGAGCAGAGCTTTCAATGGAGATTTTAAACAAGTGGGATCAAAATCCTAAAGCATTTATTTGAAGAAAACAGGAGATGAAACACGGCTTTACCAGTAAAGTCCTGAAGACAAAAACAAATGCAATGGCTGTCAAGAGGTGAAAGTGGCCCAGTCAAAGCAAAAAGGAATCAGTCAAGAGCAAAGTTCATGATAACAGATTTTTGGGGATGTTCAAGCTATTTTGCTTGTTGACTTTCTGGAAGGCCAAAGAATGATAACATCTGCTTATTATAAGAATATTTTGAGAAAGTTAACCAAAGCCTTAGCAGAAAAATGCCCAGGAAAGCTTCACCAGAGAGTCCTTCCCACCACAGCAACGTTCATTCATCTCATCAAAAAATCATAATTTTTCAAGAGTTTCAGTGGGAAATCATTAGGCATCCATTTTACAGCCCCGATTTGGCTCTGTCTGACTTCTTTTTATTTCCTAATCTTAAAAAATAAAGAGCACCCATTTTTCTTCAGCACCCATCTTTAATGTCAAAAAGACAACATTAAGATGGTTAAATTCCCAGGACCCTCAGTTTTTTAAGGATGGACAAAATGGCTGGTATTCTCACTTATTAAAGTGCCTTGAACTCCCCGGAGTTTATGTTGAAAAATAAAGTGTAATTTTTTCTTTATCTTTTAATTCCATTTTTCTATGAAGTTTGAGTCCTCTCATGCTTTAATGCACATCCCCTACTAAGTTCCTCAGAATAAATTCTTAACCTTTGTTAAAGATATGGCCATTTGCATAGTCCTTGATACAAATTGTCAAATGACCTCCAAAGAATTTGACGTGACATATGCTCCTAGTTGCTGCTTAATAAAATGTCTGTTTATTGTGCCTTTGGATACACTGAGTTTTAGCTAACAAACATTTGCCTTCTTGATGGATAAAAGCATACCTTTTTAAAATCTGCCTTTACTTGGTTAGGTCATCTTCTCCTATTTTCTTCCCACTATCAGACCCTCTCGAAAACTATGCTCACATTCCTCTGCCCCCCAGCACCTGTGACTCTTATTTTTTGGAGTTGGGTATTTTGTCTTTCATTATTCTCTTTCCAGTTTAATAGATAGCAGTAACTTTGTACCCTGCTAGCCTCAGATCCATTTTGGATGTAAAAACAAAAAAATACTAATGAACAACATTGACTTTTTTGCTCTTTCCATTTCCAGTGTAATAATCTTGGAAACAATCTGTCTCTGACTCACTAGGAAAAGGAAAGTCTCAAAGGAGGAAATGAATAAAAGAGAATCACAATAAGTTATATTTCTGGTTCCCTCATTACAACTTTATTTATTATTTATGCATCTTCTTTTGTGAAGTGTCTCTTTATCTCTCTTATCCTTTTCATTATTATTATTGTAAAGAACTAACCCAGTTTTAAAGAGCTGTCATTAGATTTTGACTTGGATCCCTCTTTTGATTTTCTTGGACAGATTTCCTACTCCCCAAAGAAGAGAAATTTTTGCAATAAGTTTAAAAGCTCCTGTTGATTAGAATTTTCCCACAGATTCTTATTCATTATTACTGTTATCAGTCCAGACCCGATCATTAACATAAGCCCTCTAGGGATTTTGAAAGTATCATTCAATCATTCACAGGAGTTTCAAATACAAATATTTTTTAAAAATCATAGTATATACAACAACTTTTGATCAGCACAGTGTAACTTGACATCCAAAATAATCTTGTTTTAAATTACATTTTACTCTGTAAACTGAATCTGAAAACCTATAGAAATATTAAACTCATTACACAGTATTTGGCGCTTCAAAAATATAAATATTTCAAAGTCCCCTTAGAGACATTTAGAAAACATCTCAGAACCAAGATTTATTTTCACTTAAGAGGACTTAGGGTTTCTCATGTGAAACACAGTTAGGGAATAGCTGATGTAGAAATCATTTCTTTGTCATTTAGATTATAATTTATAAATGGATTAGTGCTATGGGGTGCTAATTTTCTCCCGAATGAGAATCAGAGATACAAAACCTTGTAAATAATATTAAGATAAAAATACAGCTCTAGCACACCAGAAAAAAAAAATCATGAGAAAAAAAACAAAAATAGATTTACATCAACCTTTTTAATTTGTGACTTTAGGCCTTCTTCCAACCAATAAAAATCTTTAAAAACTAGCCCAAAAACAGTCTGTCTATATAACATTGGTTGAGTTAGATCTATTGTTTTAATGATTCAGAAATTTTCTGGGCAAAGTTGGTACAGTTCCAGATCAAGTGATAGCTTAATATGGTTATGAGAATAACTCATCCAAATTGATTATAATTGTTTGCTTTGCATCCACAAGCTTACAGTGGTACTGATAAAACTTCTTATTTTCCTAGGAATTACAAGGGTCCCCACAGAGCATTCTAGGGTCATTACAAGAAAACAAAGGAATGTGTAGTATGGTTTTTATTTTAACCAATATTTTCACTCTGCTCCTGCTGTGCATTATTTCCTAATTTTATAGGAAAAGAAGTCTGAGAAGTTCATCTTGTTTTTACTCCTGCCCTTCAACGGAGTATAATCCAATGAAGGGCAGGAGCAGCATCTCATTCCAAACTGTATCATTTGTTAACAGCTTAGTTTTTAATATATAACAGATGCTAAATAAATGTGTGTTGTTGAATAAATCACCAATCCATTATTTTTGTCAATCAATTTAGGGAAAAGAGTCAGTTGAGTTTCACTAGATTAGTATTTTAATTTGATCAAATATTTGTCCTACTAACTCATGCATACACAAATATCCAAAACTTTTTACAGGCATCTATTTGTCATTTCAAGTAAAAAATCATATGCATTTATAAAGTATTTTACTATTAGTATTATAATTGATATTTTAATTAATTTCAGGCAGAATATATATTTTCTTTCCCTACAAGAAATTCTTTTCAGATTTGGTAGCCCTTATATCAGGCATTTCTAATATCCATGAAGAATTAATTCGATCCATTTTTTTCCACCAAAATTTGCCATCTGACTTGATTTTAACAAGTTTTCCATCATTCCTTCTTTTCTTTTACAGGTTCAAGCCTTGTGCTTTGTTGCTTTGCTGCACTGGACTGATTAGGTGATGAGAATGGATGGGACTAAGACGGCTCAACAATTACCTTATGGAAATCTAAAGACAGCAAACCATGAACCAGACACACAGAAAGACAAAAACGTTTCCAAGACACACCAGGAGGGTAACTTCAAAAATATTAGTACTAATGTCAGTATTGAGGAAATTACTGCAACCATATAGAACTTTCACTTATTTTGAGCAGCTCTGTCATCATGCTGACCATGGGATCCAATGTATGTGCTGTTAATAATTGCATGCTTAGCAGGAGGCAACAATTGCTATAATTAAAAATTAGTTTCTATGTTAAAAAACACTCAATACTAGTAATGATGGACTTTTAAGCCATAACAGTAAAAATTAATGGGATAGATCATAGATGTGGAATATTGCAAAATGTATGAGATGAGATACTAGCTAATAATTTAGGCTTTTAATTGCAATCTTATTATCAACATTTTCCAAACATGTACTGAGCATCTAGTGACATATGATTCAAAACATACTGTATTAGTCCGTTTTCATGCTGCTGATAAAGACATATGAGAGACTGGGAAGAAAAAGAGGTTTAATTGGACTTAGAGTTCTACATGGCTGGGGAGGCCTCAGATTCATGGCAGGAGGGGAAAGGCACTTCTTACATGGCAGCAGCAAAAGAAAAATTAGGAAGAAGCAAAGGCAGAAACCCCTGATAAACCTATCAGATCTCATGAGACTTATCCACTATCATGAGAATAGCACAAGAAAGACCAACTCCCATGATTCAATTACCCCCCCACCGGGTCCCTCCCACAACACATGGGAATTCTGGGAGATACAATTCAAGTTGAGATTTTGGTGGAGACACAGCCAAACCATATCACATGCAAAAATAAATATATAATAGAGATATAAAATTTGTTATAGGACATTTTATGTAGTAAATTTGGGATTAAGTGAAGAGATTGTCAAGAGAACGAGAAGTCTGAATAATTTAGAAAAATATTCATATTGTTTTACATTTAGATCTGTTTTGATTTGTTTTGATAGTGTGATCAGGTCTCATTTCAATAATGGAAATACTGGAAGCAAAAGAATAGGGAAAAATCCAAGGACAGCCAAGATGTAAATTCAACAGTGAATAATTACGGGACAAACAGGACAGGCTAAAGTTTGCAAAAGGAGAGAAGGAAATGGGGAGAGGAACTGAACCACTCCTAGCATGAGGAACAAGTCCCTCAGAAATATGTCTCAAGTTATCTTGCCAGCAGAATCAGCTAGTGCAGCTCATCATAATCATTTCTGACAAATCCTTTTCAGTTTTGTATTACAAGACATTGTTCATGTGCTGCCCTCAGCCAGCAGTGCCCTATACTGTTTCATTAGCTACCTAAATCCTTCTCAAAAGTGAAGGTAAATTTTTGAATGAACTTTTCTGTGATCTTCTTAGGCAAAATAAGACTGTCTTACTAAATCACATTTGTAATATATTTCTTTTACCTCTATTTAGAGCTTCTGTAATTGTGTATGACATTTGAGTTTGTTATAAATGGTACCCTCCATTAAATGTTAAATTCCTTAAGACATAGACATATTTTTAGCAAAAATTTTATTCTCACAATGCCAAGAATGGTAAATCACACAAAGTAAATGTAAAAAATTGGTTAAAATTGAAGATAATAAAAGATAACTAATACAGGATGATATATTGAAGGAATTTGAAGAGGAGAACAAGGATCTTGATCCATAATATGATGGTAACACTCTAGAAAATAAAAATCAAAACGGAAACTTATGCTACAATGTGAATAAATTCCAAAAGCAGAGGAATGAACGTAATAAACCAGATATACCAGAGGACACATATGTATAATTTTATTTAAATAAAATTTTAAAATTTCAAAAGTAATATTTGAGGTTAGGATTCATGACATTGGCACTTTGGTTGTGACTAAAAGGAAGGAGTACAGGGCATCCATTGGGCTGCATATTCTCCTTTATATACATACTGGTCAAAGGAATATCTTCTACTTGTGAAGTTTGTTGAGCTTCAGATTTTGATTTGTGTACTGTTCTGTATGCATCTTATACTATTGAGAGCAGTTGGAGGCAGCCAAATACCTAGGCAGATAGGAGTGGGTACCCAGTGAAACCCCACCTACAAACCAAAGACAGTTTAAAGCCTGAAAGCAAAACTACACATGAAATGCTCTGACTGGATTGGGAACTTGTCTTCCTGTTTGGTGCACGTTCCTCTAATTGATCCCCACCCTTCACCTGTTTTACATATGCCTACCTTTTCCTAATTGGTTTTCTACACTGTCATACCCACCTTTGAGTAGGTGTCTTTGCTTTAACCTTTTTTGCATACTTACAAACCAATCAGCATGCATGCCCCATTCTGTGCCTATTACCCATCCTGTGCCTATAAGACCTCAGACTTAAAGGAAGATAATCTGTCCTTCCCATCCCCTCTCCAGCTTCCCTCTCTGCTGAGAGCTGTTTTCATCCTTTCACAAAATTCTCCTCTTTCACCACTCTTTAAGCATCCATGTGACCTCATGGTCATGAGGTTCTCTTCTTGGACACCAGACAAGAGCTCGGGACTCACTGAGGGCGGGTACCCAGAAAAGGCTGTCATATTGGCCCTTGACCTTGCAGGCAGAGGGCAGCCAGGCCAGGAAACAAGGGAAGGGGCCAACTGAGTGTCTAACATGCCACCGACATCAGACTATGGACAACATAACTAAAGGGCCCTTTCTGGGGCATGGGGTCACAGGCATCCTCACCCAGGTGCCACCACAAGGTGCCAACTGAGCTGCTAACACACCACCATCTACAGACGGTGGAACTAAGAGATCGCTGTAGCACCTCCTCTGGGGTTGTCATAGGCAACCCCACCTGGGTGTCGCCACAGGCACCTCAAGAAGCTTGCTCCTGTGTCCGTGCTTGGAACGTCTGGCGAATCCAGCACTTGCTCATTCACGTTCTCCCTCCTGAAAGGGGTTGAGTGCAGCGGGTTGAGTAAATGGGTTACCCCTGTCATAAGTTTGACGAAGGGAATAAGAAAAATCCTGAATCACTATGATAAAAAATTTTGCAACAGAGTATAGGTTAATGAAAGTCTGTGTAGGGAGCATGCTTGAAAGCAATAATGAAAGTGCCATGACACAGGTCTCAGTAGAATCTTTCATGAAAATATCACTTCAGGATACAACAGGCATAGAAATGGCAAAAGATGTAGAATTGTGTCTGTGTGTGTGTGCATGTGTGTATTCTCTGGTGTAGAAAACATTTGAAATGTCATACACTGATAGATATCTCAGGCCTTACAAAAATGACCCTCCACCACATTTGGTGATCAATAGAATGGGCTGTCTTTGAACAACACAAAATAAAACAACTCAGGTGATGGCTACATTTTGTTCAATACATTCTTATTATGATTTGAAACAACCTCAAAGTTTGTTAGAATATGTAGATAGCAATTAACATTTTTTAAAAAAGCAAAAAAGCTGATCACAAAACATTGGATTTTGTGGCTACAGGTAGACATGGACTGTGAGTCACTGGTAACATTTGTCACATTCAGCCCTTCAGACCAAATAGCACACCACATGGGAGCTGAACACAGTATTTAAGCTTGTTTGCAATATACTAGGAATTCAATTTTATTTTCTCCATCTGTTGTTATTTTTTATTTCTGATTCACAGTTTAAAACTAAACTGAATACCATTGTGTATGTTTTCTAAACGAGCAACATAATATGTGTGTTAAAATCCCAACTCTTGGCAGAGAAAAGAATACGTCGAATTTTCTTCATTTGAACTTTCCCTCCATTCAAATAAAAAACATTAGGTGAGTTCTAAACTCACAACTCATCCCTGACTGCCTATGCTTGAAGTAAAATTGCATTTTTGAAGAATTGAATACTTCTCTAGTTAACTCCCCCGTGCATAGTTATTCTACTTCTATTTTCCTGAAATGAGGAACTGCTATTGTGCAATGCATCTGGAGGTCATTAAAATGAAAGTTGGTAATTTCTGAGCATGGTGCTGATAATAAGATTTACTTTGTTTTATGGATAAGCTTTTATATAATTGTCCAGTTATTTTAGATGAATTTTCCAAAAACTAACAATAAATGTTGGCCTCTGCTAGCCAGACTAATGTGCCATTTATAGAAGTGGTACACAGACATGCTCATTGGCGTGGGATCTGTAAATGCTGTAAGAGAAAAGTAGTGGCTTTTCAGCCACAAAACTTTCAGATAATGCAGATATTTATTTATTTATTTATTGAGATAAGGTCTTGCTTTGTCACCCATGTTGGAGTACAGTGGTACAATCATGGCTCACTGCAACCTCTGTCTCCAAGGCTCAAGTGATCCTCCCACCTCAGCCTCTCTAGTACAGCTGTATGCCTCCATGTCTGGCTAATTTTTTGTATTTTTTGTAGAGAAGGGTTTTGCCATGTTGCCCAGGCTGGTCTCCAACTCCTAGGTTCAAGAGATCTGCCCACCTCGGCCTCCCAAAGTGCTGGGATTACAGGCGTGAGCCACTGTGCTTGGACTACCGTGGATTGTTAAAGAGTATCTTATTTACATTGTATTTATATTGAAATGCTTACTTTTTTACACACAATGCTGAACTGCTTATCTGGAATTTTGATAACTTTCCAAGGGTTTCCTTATTTGCATGGAAACAGCTAATGATTATGATTTTCTGATCTAAAACTTGGAAACCTTTGGCCTAATTTTCACATATTTTGAGATAAAAGTGATTGGGAAAGGTAATTATTCCAGTTACCTGGTAAAATAAAGAGCACCAGAGTTAATAAGGCATTTAATAAATTTTCTATGTCTAGTATCTAGTCCATGACACTTGTCCAGAGATTGGGCAAAGTCTTCTGTAAAGGGCAAAGTTAAAGTTCTGCTGCTGCCGTGCTGTAATTTTTATATGTTTTTAAAATAGCAGATCCAGCATTTTCATTTTGCACTCAGCCCTGCAAATGACATATCTGGTCCTGATACATATCATTTCATGTATAATTTGTCATGTGTTTTGCACCATTAGGGTTCTTGTGAAACCCTTCCTGGAAAATCAGATCATCATCTTGTCTGGGACATCATTTTCCTCATCCACTAGGTAGCATTGGATACCTTCACTTACTGTAAGCTTCCTGTGTACAGCATCACTGCATTGCTCCCCAAATTAATGTCAATTAAATAGTTCCCTGTTGTTTTTCAAATCAATAAATCTCTTTGAAGATGGAAATAAAAGTTACATAATTCATCCTATATCAGAGTCAGGGTTTGGCTGGGAAAACTGAAGCCACTGTAGGTATTTTTCTAATAGAGAGGATTTGATACCTCCCCCCGAAAAATGGTCACATAAGTGTTGGAAGGCTTAAACAACAACAAAAAAGAAAATGCTAAAGTGACACAGATATTAGTAACTACAGGAATCAGTTACCCACCCTTAGGGCTCAAACAACAAAGAACAAGATTGTAATCACTAGAACAGCATGGAAAGTGGTGTAGTGCCACTGGTGCTGGTGCTGGTACCTCTGACATGGAAGAGTGTTATAGCTGGTAATCTGACCAGCTGGTACCTCTGAGGGATGCATGGCAGGTGATAACAGGAATGCTGCAATGAGCTGGGGCCTGGAGTGGTACCTGGCCCCTGTTACAGGAAGGAAGCAGCAGAAACTGGAGACCAAAAAGAAATCTGTTTCTTCCTTGTCCTGCTTTCTAAACTCCCTCCAGGCTCAGACACTACCAGACAGTGAGGTAGCAATGAGTCTGGGAAACAGTGTGCAGACTATCAGTCTCAGTGTCACAAAACAGAATACAGAAAGTTAAGCTTGGGTTGAAAGGTAATAAGCCAATATATAAAATAAAATAAAATAACTTAGTTGTTCAAGAGAAAAATCAACAAAATATGTCTTTCATGCTTTCTCTGTAATGTATGCATAAAAAGGTAATAATATCGATACACTAAATGTATTATTGCAATTTATATTTTCTTAGGATGTTCCACTGTTTAAAATGGTGACATTGGGCTGGAAGCATAAGCCATATGAACCCTTTGGGGAGCAAAGGAAATCTAACTACCTTAATCCAGATGGTTTCTCTTTAAAGATTCTTCAACAAGACTTTTAGCTAGGTATCAAGCAGCCGACCACTCAAACTTGTACAACCTGATCAGCAATTAGACTCTGTTGCAAGTTATGTGACAATTCTTTCTAGAATCTGCTTTAGCAAGTGAGAAAACCCAAAGAAAAATCTTAAGTAAGCAAATAAATTACTTTTTAGAACTATTTAAAGAATCAAAGTGATGTTTGAAGTAGATAATTGAAAAATTAGTTTAATATATATCTACCTAGAAAGAAAGCCTGCATGTGACACTCTCTATCAGTGTTTTACAGGAATAAGCAAATTTGGTGACATTTCTAAGATGATACTATACTGTGTTGAATAAATAAATGATGGATATGGGCCATGAATGTAGGTCAGAGTATTCATGTTACCACTTAGGTCCCTAATCAAAAAGAATAACTCTTTTGATGACAAAAAAATCAATAATTAGAGAAGAAAGCTTCCTTTGAGGACTTTAAGGCAATGGCTTTAAAAGTAATATTTAGCCTGTGCAGACAGTCCCAGAGTGGAAGTACCAGAGTTTATATGCATGCATTTCAAAGGATAATATAGACTCAGATGAGTGAAAAACTGAATCTTTGGATTGTACCCTACTCTGCCAGAGGTCAATAAACATTGGCTTAGTTGTTAATCTTTAAGAGTTTTAGGAGCGGTTTACACATATGTACACACACACACACACACACACACACACATATATATATATAGCATTCAGCTCTTTTAAGAGAAAGAAGAGAGATATTTTGTGATTTTTCTTTTCAGCAGTCAAGAAGCAGTTTTTATCGTTAGGAGCTGTACACCGCACTGGATCAGTGGCTTTCAAACTTGGATGCAAGTTAGAATCACCTGTACAACTTTTGAAACACCAAGATCCAGAAATCATTTCTGAAAACTCTTATTTAGTTGGCCTGGAGTGTGGCATGTACACAAGAGTTTTTTAACCACATATTCCCAAATGCTTTTTATGTGAGGCAAGTGTTGAAAATCACTGCAACTAGTGTATTCTTGAGGACCCTGAGCATGAAATAAGATAATCTCAAGAGTCTTTAATGTTGCATTATTCCAACACCAACTATACTTTTAGGTTACTTGCTCTTAGAATTGTTACTCTAATTCTCTGGTCTGTTACAGCTATTGAAAATACTACACATTTTCATCTTCCTCTTACTATTCTCTTACAGCAATGGCATGTGACAAAGAATTTGAATTTTCAGTGGAGACTGTGAGGTTTAAGACTGTAAAGGACACATGAACCACCGCTGAACCACAGATCTCAAAGCCCCTGCTTTAGGACTACGGTTTCAAGAGATCACATTCTATGCAAAGAGTGCAAGTAGCTGGGTGCATTGTTACATCATCACATGATCACTTGCACACCTGCCAGCTCTTCTGTACAGACAAGTGGTTACTTCTTCACTCAGGAAGAATTGCCAGACCATGGTTTCTTCTGCCAGTTCAATTCCTATAATTTTAGTCGTGATAGTCTTCCAGGAATGCTTTTCTCCTTAATTTCTGATACCTACATAAATGAGAATTTGAATTCCTTATCACCATCCTGATTTCAGACCTGAAATTTTAAATATGAGATATTTAACTATGTTTACTATTTCCTGGTAACACTTTATAGCAGGAAAAATATCCCTTCTGTTTTTAAGGTGAATAAAATGAAGAGCAGATGATTCAGAAATGTTTGGTGTTATTTAATAGTCAGCATCAGAGCCAAGAATTTAAGACTTTGGGTTGGTATTGATAGTCTTCCAAGAATGCCTTGCTCCTTAATTTCTAGTATCTACATAAATAAGATATCAAATTTTTGACCATCATCTTGACTTTAGACCTGAAATTTGAAATCTGAGTTGTTTAACCATGTTCACCATTCCCTGATAACACTTTACAGGAGGAAAAAATATTCCCCTTTGTTTGGAAGATGGATAAAATGAGGTACAGATGATCCAGGAATTGTTTGATGTTATTTAATAGCAACAGCAGAGCCAAGAACTTAAGAATCCAGGTTTTCTGGCTCCTGGTGTAATGCACTATCCACCAGATCATTGCTGACACTCTCTAGTAATAGAAACACTGAAATGAGACATCTGTTAAATATTGTATGTGACAAATGTTCATATAAGTACTCTCAGGCTTACTAGGAACATTTTTAATACTGATATATTTCATGATACAATATGAAAGAAATACAGTGAAATATATATTTTTACAATATAAATTTTCAATTAATTTTTTATCATTTTCACTGGAGATAATGAATAGACCGAATATATTGCCTGTAAAATGTGAAGAACATGGTCTATCCTAGAGTGAGAAGATAATATTAGATGTTTATCAGCACCTTTAGCACCTTCTTCTGTGAAGTCAATATATAAATACACACACATACATACACACATAAAGATATAAATATATACACACATATAAATATATACACACACACATACACACATACACGTGTGTGTGTATATGTGTATGTATATGTATATATTTATAAATTGATTTCATAGAAGAGTAGCTTTAAAGGTGCTTATACATACATGGCTAATTTTCTATTTTGAATGGCAATCTTAACTATTTTGGGGAGTCAGGAGTCTAAACTTTAAGTAGAAAGACTGTTGTTTGGTGAAAAGAGCACCATGAAATTCACATCCATTGGTATTGCATCCTTGTCCCCTCTAGAGACTGTGTAATAAATTCCATTAAATTAGATTTCCCACATGCATCAGATTATGTGCAAACAACAGTGCCCAATATCAGCTATACACACTCTGTGTGAAAAAAAGGATTTGAGGTATACTGAATCCTTCTACTTTCCTTCAACAATGATCATTTCAACAAAGGTTCCTCTCATCAAATGGAGATTATTGTGCAGAACTGTCATTTGTTTTTAAGGCAAATGTATTGCACCAGAAAAATGAAGGCAAGTTTTTGTTACAGAGTTGGCTTTTCCTAATTCCTTCCCAGAATATCTTAATTATTTTAAAAGTTAAAAAGTAAAATTATATAAGAAAGAGATTATGTCCTTGAATATGCTTATAATGGCTTAGTCCTCTTGTGGAAGTGCATATGCAAGTGCAAATATTTAATTAATAATATAATTTTCTGAGAAAAGTAGAGCCCTTGGTGGAGGATATTCTTTCTTTCTTTTTTTTTTTTAATCCTTTTGGAGAATTTGTTTTACCATTTGGGGGCAGCTGCTTCCCAATCCCATGGGCCTTATTTTCTCACATAGAGCTGAAAATCTGATGTAACTTGACCACGCTAAAGTAGATCAGAGATGCAGCCAAAAGGAATCATTTCTATGGTGTTAGCTGGAGCTAATCTTCACTTCAGGATTCCCTCTTTACAGGCTGTGCAAACCTAGAGCTGTCACTGGACACGTTTGTGATTCCTAGAAATGAAGACCGTACAAAGAAATGAGAGATGAGGTATAGAGAAAGTATATCCTGACTGATGTACAATCTCCAAAATAAGTCCATGAATATTATAAATATTTTCTTGAGCCATCATGCTAATTTTGTTATTTTCTGATTTTGAGTACAGAAAATTAAATCTGTATAAGTGGTTGGATCTCATTTTATATAGGGTTGATCTTATTAATATATTTAGAATATTCACCTTAAATACTGGAATAGGCATTGAGCATTCTTTATAATCTCAATTCTTTGCCTACAAAAATAATCGGACATAGTCAAGTACTTATTTATAGTGGGTTAAGAACTTGATTTAGACAGAAAGGTATTTGGAGAAAACTAATGTCCAGAATGTCCAGAAACTAATGTCCAGAATGTCCAGAATGTCCCAAACTAATGTCCAGAAACAATAATAAACTGTTGCATCAACAAATATGGTTTTCTTTTTATTAATTTTTATCAAAAAAGGAAAGGTAAGGCCAGGCACGGTGGTTCACGCCTGTAATGCCAGCACTTTGGGAGGCCAAGGTGGGCGGATCACCTGAGGTCAGGAGTTTGAGACCAGCTTGGCCATGGTGAAACCCCAACTCTACTAAAAATACAAAAATTAGCTGGGTGTGGTGGTACATGCCCGTAATCCCAGCTACTCAGGAGACTGAGGCAAAAGAATCGCTTGAACCCTGGAAGCAGAGGTTGGCAGTGAGCCGAGATCGAGAACACTGTATTCCAGCTGGGGTGACAGAGCAAGACTCTGCCAAAAAAAAAAAAAAGCAGTGTACCTATATACTACTTCTCTTTTGAGATAGAATAGACTTTATAATAAGGTGCACAATACTATTAAGTCACATTTCTCTGTATATAGCTATTTTACTTCAAAATATTTCATTTTTTCCTCTAAATAGAGTGACTAGTAAATTTTGGTGAAAAAATTAGGAAAATGAGGAAATGACTAGCGACTATTTACTTGTTCATTAATTCAATAAATATTCAATGCCTGCAGTTCACTAGTCACTCAGGTAGACACTGGAAGTAGAACAAAAAGACAAAACAGACCTTCACTCCTAGTCCAGCAAGGAAGACAGGCATTGATCAAATAATCATAAGCGATATAATTATAAAATGGACTGAGGTCTTGGAATAGATGCCATGATAGTCCATAGTGGGGGCTAGATTTTAACTTGGGGTGGGAAAGTGTCAGGAAATTATCTGTGATATAATTATTGGGCATTTTAATATTTTTGAATATTCCATTTACCTTTTCAGGGCAAGATCCTAATTTTCCTTTTGCCCCATTTAACTTTGTTTATGCCATAGTGTTAAAATATGTATAACTATGAATTATTAGAAGCAGCTACATAAAGCTATAAGAAGAAAGACTCTATTTGATATACCATAGCTATTAGTCTAAGAGCAGGGTATTAGCACACTTCTGTTCACAATATAAACCCATTATTGTAGAGGTAAAAATACAAGGCACTTATATTTTGTTTCATTAGTAGTTGACCAATCTATGTGTTGACCAACTGTGTAAAAATGTTAAGCTAAGGAGGCAAAATTATTGAATATAGTAAATAAAAAATGCAATGTAAGTCAGGTGCATCGTTGGAAAATATTTAAAATGAAATCTGAAAGAGTACAAATTTAAGAATAATTGAACATGTTTGTATATATGGCAAACTGAGATTTTTAAAAACTAAAATTATTTAGCCTATTTCCCTTGTTCATAAGGGAGGGTTCTAAAAGCAACTAGAATCCAGGGGTCCTAAAAACTTTATTATATTTCCTATTAATGCATACCATCCTAAAGTTGGAGTTATAAAAAATAGGAATACATTTTATTTCTTTCAATATACTTGAGTTGAGATTTTTAAGATGTGTTTGTTTATGTTTGAAGGTAAGTGAGCAGAAAAACTAGGTGTTTTTGAAAGAGTTTTACAATTATTAGTAATTTAGAAACTATTGATACCTCCAAATCTGCTTCAAAAGATTTTGATTAAGTTTATTTTCATGTATGAAATATGGTTTTATATCTAAGCCTAGCAAGTAGCAATTGAGTCAATTTCAGGAATAGTACAGCTTGTGATGAAAGAGATAATTCTTTTTCAGCTACATTTTCTCCTAATAGTATCTGTTCCAAATATTCCACAGAGTCCCCAGCAGTATAGGTGAATTGATTTTATGAAATATTTGTTTAATTGGAAGATGACTGTCACATGTTGAATTACATAATTAATGTCACAGTTATGACATTTTCCTATAAAATATTTTCATTTCTGTGAATATCAATAGTGTTTTTCCCTTCTAGTATTCATTTTGGCTCTGTGCTTTAAGTCTTTTGACAGAGCTAATCTATTTTCTTTTTAAAAGTGTACTTCTATTATCAAAACCAAATACAAAAAATTTTTCTTTTTCTTGAGCAAATGAGTTAGTTGCCAGTCTGTATCAGGTTTATGAACAACTCATATCCTTCTGAAAACCAGATTTAAATATTGTTTATTTTAGCTTTTTGGGAAAAGCAGTGTGGCATTGTCATAAAAGCATGAGTTTTGGGGTCCTGTAAGTTGGCACACCCCTTGCCTCTGAGGGTTACTGGTCTTGTGTTCTGACATGCAATGTCCTGGGAGCAGTCATCTTGCCTGATTGCCACAGAGCCATTTCCCTGTGTGAAGGTTTCTATCCTGATTCTCAGACAAGAGCCCAATAAGGGGCTGTGTCAAACATTCATAATCTTCACATCTGAATATCTTAGAACATTGCTATAAGCTTTTATGTTGTCAAGATGTTTACTACACAAAAGAACGAGAATTTATTTTAAAAGATCATAAATAGGACATTCAGTGATACAGCCTTTCTTATCCCCTAGCTTGGAATTTGACAATAGGTTGTAAATGCTGCATCAAAAATACCTTTATAATTAATCTCCATTACAGATCATGTTTAGTTAAAAAGAGTAATCGAATGGTTTCTATCACAAGAAAAGGCACAAAAAACTGCTAATGTATAACGTAGTCCTTTTAATGTTACTTCTGATGGTCTGCACTTTTATACTTATGACCCTTTAAACTTTAGTTCCCCATACATAGCATGAGACAAAGTAGTATCAGACCATTCTGATGACTTTTAAAGCTGCTGTTAAAATAGATTTATTTTCATTTACTTAAACAGCAATTCTGCATCTTACCATAGGATTTCATAACACATTATAAATAATCATATTTATGTATCACACACAGGTCTAGGATTGTCTAGATAGATGGAAGAAAATTAAGCACATATATTAACTCGTTGTGGACCATGTATGCTCTAATGCCCTGAAAAGGTGAATGGAATTTTGAGTTCTTGCCAGTGAGTAAATTAAGCACTTGGAGAATTTTCATTTAATGATCTCATGAATCCTCATAATATTCCTTATGAAGTAGATGACAAGTTGTATTAGCCCCATTTGTATTACAAGAAAAATGAGGCCTGAAATTGTTGCAAAATTTCAGTACATAGGTTGAGATATGTGTTTCTATCACAGCCTGGTCCATGGTATGATATCACTGCACAAGAGCCCATCAAAAATACCTTTATAATTATTCTCCATGTGTTATAATTACCCTGTGCGTGTAAAATTACTTTTGAGCTGCCTTCAAATTGAATTTATATCCTTTTACTTTGTATTTTATACCTTTTTATATATCAATAACCACTGTATCCCAAAAGCCATTTCTAAGACTCATATTTTGCATTTTTCTGAGTACAGAGCTTTTCCCATTTGTAGAAATAGCTACGTTAAAATCTCCCAGAAGAGGCCTGGCACGGCGGCTCACGCCTTTAATCCCAGCACTTTGGGATGCCGAGGCGGGCGGATCACGAGGTCAAGACATCGAGAACATCCTGACCAACACGGTGAAACCCCGTCTCTACTAAAAATACAAAAATTAGCTGGGCGTGGTGGCGCACGCCTGTAGTCCCAGCTACTTAGGAGTCTGAGGCAGGGGAATCGCTTGAACCTGGGAGGCAGAGCTTGCCGTGAGCCGAGATCGCCCCACTCCGCTCCAGCCTGGGCGACCATGCGAGACTCTGTCTCAAAAAAAAAAAAAAAAAAAAAAAAAATCTCCCAGGAGATAGACCCATCTTCACCGATCAAATCTTTTAGTTCTGGGCACTACTCAGCCCTCCTTTAAAATATCAATATTGCAAGTGGGTATGGAACCATCATTTAAGTGGTTCTGTAAGTAGTAGTACTATCATTTATAGACCGTTGTGAGAAGACATTACTTCAGCTATCCAGAAACAAGGAAGACACAGAGTCTTAGCTATGGAAGGCTTGCTTATGTAGTCCGACTTAGCAAAGCACTGAAAAAATAAGGACACAATGAGATTAAATGGGAAACATACTGAACAGGAACAAGCTCATTTTGAACTGCCATGCCATTTGATTTCGAATAATCATACAGTCCTCATGTATGAAGCTAAATGTTCTAGTGAAACCTCATTTTACATCATGGTGAAGTAATATAAAATATTAGGCCTTACTAGATTTTTATGTGGAGTTTCATTTTTGCCATTCTTTAGCAAATAGTTGAGATAAACAATTTCATAAAACCTTGATTTGTACATTTGCAATTATGTATTGTGATGGATTATAAAATGAAATTTGGCATGACTTTGATGTTCTATACATTCATATACTTCTATGAGATGAACACTACATTGATACTTTTGGAATGGAGAGTATGAACTAAATACATATAATTTACCTACTTTAAATGAATAATTAGTTGTCTTCCCATTGTCTCCACTGAACTAACCATTACTCTGAAAAATGCTGCAAGTGTAATATCACCTAAGATGATACCTTCTTGCTTCTGGTGTCACTCCTAGAAAGAGTTCTTCGGTTTCTGTAAAAGATACTCCCTTCAAATGCTGAGGCAATAGAGTAGCCACGTGAACAATTAGTAATGGGTTCAGTGTCTAACTCAATGAGGCCTTCAGAATGAAGTTACATATTTATATCATATACATGAAATAATTAAGTTGATGAGAAGTATTACATAGCAGTGATTATCTATGAGAAGGATTGAAGGAGATGTAAGGTGATGGTTAAGGAGACCATTAACTTACTTGCTAATATATTATTTCCTTAGAGTAAAACAGAACACAAATAAACATAGTAGTAATTCATATTTGAGTGTGCTGATATGAATGAGTTTTGATTACATTAAAATTTTGTGCTTTTCTGTGTTTTAAAAAATTTGTTAAAAATAAACTTAATTTATTGGAGGCAAGTAGAGAGAGAAGAAAGGTTAAGAACATAGTTTGAATTATGATTTTGAATCCTGGTGTATACTTACTTTCTCTGTGACTATGAGAACCTTCTTAATCCATCACACCTCAGCCTCCACAACCATTAAGTGGCAAAAACAAATATCACTAGCATTGCTGCAAGGATTCAATGAAATAAAAGGTCTGGAAAGGATTTATCACTATACTTTTCACTTAGCAAGCTTTCATTACATTATTTGTACTTATTGTTGTAAAACAGAAGTCGAATTTTTTTAAAAAAATAGAAATTATTTATATCCTGATCAATTAACTTGTTATAATATATATTTTTGTGAAGATACAGGCTAATAATTCTCAGCTACTAGGTGTCTAAAATTCAATGGTCTGTTTATATAGTATGTGAGCTCTTGGGCTTCCATGAATATGTAATATAAATTATTGATAATTTGAGGATGAATATGCAAACATTACATAGGAAAAATATAATTACTAAGAAAAATGATTAATTTGAATCTTAAAGCATTTAAGAAGACACACATGAATGTTCAGATAGGATTAGAATGTTAATTTGTGGAATAAAATGGTGAAGGATAGAGAAAAGAACTTAACTTACTGGATACTTGTGCCCCTGTACCCAAATTACTGTTCAAATTGGATTGGAAACTTGGAATTTATGTGTTTGTTTTTTTTTCCATGATTCTTTCTTTTCCATTTTTAATGTTATTTTCCTTACTCCTTGGTTTTAATCACTTATTCCTTAGGGGCTTGAACCTACTTTTTTCTGTTATAAGTTTCTAGAAAAAAAGAGGTAAGTGGTATAGTAATAGACTTGGGACTATTTCTTTCTTCCATTTATTTTTGTTTATATTTTAAAATATCTGAAATAGAAAAGAAGTTTATTTTTCCTGTTATAAGAAGCACTGAGTTGGTGCTCAGTGAATAATAAATCATCATAATAAATGTGTTGACTAGATTTCTTGCAGAGCTGCTGAATTCTGGTTTCTATATTGTTGGAGAATGTGGATCTCTTGTTCCATGTGTTACTGCAACTAATTTAAGGAGGCCTCAAGTATCTTCTACAAGAAAAAAAGAGAGCGATTTAAATAAATATGCGAATTCTGAGGAATATATCAATCGTATTCTTTTATTAATTTTCTTCTATTTTTATAAGTATAACCAATATACTTCATCCTTTTCTCTTTCTTTGGGAAATTTGTCATTTGTTTGTTTGTTTCTTTAAGCCATGAATTTTGCACCTCTTTCTTGTTTTTGCTTTTATTCTTCAATTCCATTATTAGTAGGAATAGTCTCTGTTCCACTTCTGTAATGGTGCTATTTTATGACCTTGGATACCATCTAACCCATGTCACTCCTTGTTTTTTTTTAAGTTTCATTCTGTAATAAGATCACTGCAGTGTATTACAGAGGAATATAAAATGAAGGCAGGAATACTAAGACACTACACAACATTGTTCTCCTTTTCATGACATCAAAAAACGATATCAAACAAGTATCAATTACTCTACTCTGCCATTTTAAAAATTGTGAATAAGAAAAGTTTGGATATTTAATTAATTAAAGACATAGAGGAACATTTCAGAATGTTCTTCTACATGTTTGATTGTCAGCCTTATTATATATAAAGTGAACTAAGAAAATCTACACAATAAAAATAACAGATAATTGGGAAGCCAGGGCGGGCGGATCACGAGGTCAGGAGATCAAGACCATCCTGGCTAACACGGTGAAACCCTGTCTCTACTAAAAATACAAAAAAAAAAAAAAAAAAAAAAAATTTAGCCAGGCGTGGTGGCGGGTGCCTGTAGTCCCAGCTACTCGAGAGGCTGAGGCAGGAGAATGGCATGAACCCGGCAGGCGGAGCTTGCAGTGAGCCTAGATCACGCCACTGCACTCCAGCCTGGGCGACAGAGCAAGACTCTGTCACAAAATAAAATAAAATAAAATAAAATAAAGTAACAGGCAATAAAATCTACCTATACATATAATTTTATAAATCAATACAATGATCTAAATGTATGAAAGAGAATGAAAGAAAATAAAGTATAACTTAATAATACATATGTCAGTATGTAATTACACAGATATGACTTCCAGAGAAGATATTATAAAAGTCAGTTCTGGCCGGGCGCGGTGGCTCACGCCTGTAATCCCAACACTTTGGGAGGCTGAGGCGGGCGGATCACGAGGTCAGGAGATCGAGACCATCCTGGCTAACATGGTGAAACCTCGTCTCTACTAAAAATACAAAAAATTAGCCGGGCGTAGTGGTGGGCGCCTGTAGTCCCAGCTACTCGGAAGGCTGAGGCAGGAGAATGGCGTGAACCCAGGAGGCGGAGCTTGCAGTGACCTGAGATAGCGCCACTGCACTCCAGCCTGGGCGACAGAGCTAGACTCCGTCTCAAAATAAATAAATAAATAAATAAATAAATAAAAATCAGTTCTCTGCAACCTATTTCTGACAGCTACAAATATAGATCGATACAGGTGACTTATTAATGGCTTAAATACCATAAGAGGCATTGCCACTGGGGATGTGATTTTCTGAAATAATGAACAGCTTTGAAAAAATGTCATATAATATATGTAGAGTTCTTTCTGGATATACAGTTTTGGGGTTCTCAGAAAATTCAGTGTATATAAAATTTATAAAACAAATACTTTGTGTTTTTATGTAAAATGGAATTAGATTCTAGTTTCAGATAATTTTAAGTAGCATGGGTTTTGTTTTGTTTTGCACTTGAAAGAAAGCTTACTGCTCATACAAAGGGCTGAGTCCTAGTGAGAGCTGGTCTGATATAGGCAGGTTTGGGCTGGTTTGCATAAACTAGAGGAGAGTAAGTTGGGCCTTTACAGCAACAAACAGGTTGGACTGAGACAAGTGTCGATGCAGGCGAGGCTTAAATTCCTGTCAGCTGGCCAGGCATAGCGGTGTGTGCCTGTAATCCCAGCTGCTTAGGAGGCTGAGGCAGGAGGATCACTTGAGCCCAGGAATTTGAGGTTACAGTGAGCTATGATCATGCCACTGGCCTGGGTGATAGAGAGAGACCCTATCTCTAATGAATAAATAAATACATAAATTTCCTGTCATTGCCAAATAGGGAGACACACACATGCAAGTGTATTCTTATCAGCCTGTTAAATTGTGGTTCTAAAGAAGAAAGGAAGGGTGAGGCTTTTAGAAAAACCTGTGGTTTACACACCTGACATGGAGCCCGACTCTTTATTACAATATTCCAAATTTGAGACAGCATAACTATAAGTGTACTGCTATTACTACTACTATTATGACTTATAATAATAATTACTACTATGTAACACTATAATGTAGTATATATAATAAGATAGTATAAAATAGTATCCTATTATTAATAGTAATAATTATATTAGCAGTAATGATAGTATTTATTGACAGTACTGATTTTTATTTTGGCTGGGAGTGGTGGCTCACACCTGTCATTTCAACACTTTCAGAGGGCAATGAGGGAGGATTTCTGGAAGCTAGGAGTCCAAGACCAACCTGGACAACATAGTGAGAACTAATCTCTACAAAAAATAAATATTAATAATTATCCAGGCATGATGGCTCATGCCTGTGGTCCCAGCTACTCAAGAGGCTGAGGTAGGAGAATCTCTTGAACCTAGGAGGTCCAGGCGACAGTGAGCTATGATGTGCCTCTGTATTCCAGCCTGGGCAACAGAGCAAGACACACTCCCTCAAAAAATTTTTTTCATCTAGTGTCTTCTATGTGTCAGGCAAGATATTAAACACTTACATATTATCCTTTAATCTTTATAATCCTAACACAAAACAAATATCATTATTTCCACATTTGAGAGAGGCAAAGATTAGAAAGACATGAAAAACTTTACTCAAAATTCTTAAGGCTCAACAATTACTAACAATCATACATTTGACTTTGTAAAATTTATCTCATTTTCAACTGAGACACACTCACGTTTTAGAACTCTATATTACCTTTTAGAACTCTATATTTCAATTACTTAGTGTCTTTCTTGTAGAAACAGGGTTTCAAGCTAAATAAATACTCCATGTGACATTAAAATGTTGTATGGGATGTAGGAAAATCTTTATTGTATAAGGCTGTCTCACCCAAACCATCCTCACCTTCGAAATGACAATAATATCCCCCAATCATTAAGACAAAAAAACTTCTACACACCTTAGAACCCATGGAAAAGCAATTCTCAAGGAAAAACAAATGTTAACAACCATCGACACTGAAATATTCCTGATAAATCCGTAAGAAAACATTTATGTTTTGAATGGTGTCTTTAGGGTGCCATCATAAAACTTAAATGCATTAATTTCTTTTTCTTCATAGTTTTTATAAATTATGTCACCAAAGTTTATTTATGTAATAGGGTGTATGCTGCATGAATGAAGAGAGACAACAATAACAATATTACCCCCATCAAGTTTACTTAAGGACTTTTCAGAAATCAATACTTCATTTTTCAAAGCATAAAATAGGCCTACTGGAATTTCAACTGTCTACTTACTTAAAAATGTATATGTAATTTTGTCAATCCTAGAACACTACTTTTCTGTGCATATACCTTTATTTCATTTGTATGAGGAGCACCTTTTATAATATGCGCCTTTCCTGGGTTGCGTAAAGGATATCCTCATACTCACCCTCATGACCAACATAGTGTTACATACTCTATAATCCATTATCACTGTAACTATAGGTTTTAAAATCAATTTGTGTTTCAGCCAATAGGGGATTTACAAATACAGAAAGATGATAATATAGTGGTATATTCATGAAGGGAAATGAGGACCTCACAGTATTCCTGAGGGCCATTTGAATAGACTGACAAAAAGGACAATCATGTTACAGACAGTTAAGAAGAGAATAGATGATAAAGAAGTGAAAGTGGTGTTAGCGCTTACTAATTATCAGAGAAAAATCTGAAAATAGAAGGATGAAAATAAAGCAGACAATTGCTTGCCAAGTAGCAGTTTCATGTAATTTTTTTGCTGAAAACTACTCAATTTTTATAGCTTAGCATTCTCTAGAGATGTTAAAAATTGCAATAATATTTAAGGAAAAAAAGGAAAGAAGATCTACAATGAACGATATTATAGATTACATTTATCTCTTAATTTTATGTTTGTATGTATATACGTACATATAATATTTGGAAATATCAAGATTGAAAAATCTAAGATTGACAATTATTTTGACCTTGTGGAAAAATATTTTATTCAGTCTTCAAAAGTGCAATGAAAACATCAAAAATTTTCTCTATACTAGCAGTTTTTTAAACAAATATATCTAGTTTGAACAAAAACAATTTTTCAGACAGCATAATTCATCTTATCTTCTCATACCTATGCACAGAGGCATAATGTTAATATATTCAGGCCCTTTGATTGGAGACTTAACATTTACACTGGCATAAAACATTAATACTATCATCCAAGCATGAAAATTCCAAATTAACAGGAACCAATGCTGCTATTCAGGCAAATTGGGAGTTAGTATGAGAAACAGAAGCAATTCTATAACACATGGTTTAACAGGATATTAAAAATATAGATTTAAGGTTTATTCTTAATATATGATAGGACAAGGCGTTAATCCATTTGCCATCTCTGCTTTGAATTATGCTTTCTTTCCATGAATTTAATATGTATACCCAATGAGGATTCCAGGCTCTGAATCCAAACTGCTTAGCTTCAAATCTCACTCTGCCAAGTAACATTGGGCAAACTTCCCAAAAATGCTGTGCCTCAGTTTCCTCACCTTTAAATGCGATACTAATTTTGCTGCTGTTCTAGAGATGACACACTTGGAATATGAGAGGCAGACAGTGAAGGTGAACAAGTTTTATTGCTTTCTTTAAAACCAAATGATTTAATTGAAAAGTCAAAAATGATTAATGGTAATCTATACAACTACACAAAATAGTTGTTTAGGTAGAAAATTATCTATCATATTAATTAAAATATTATCATTTAATTACTAAAGTTAATATTTTTCTTTTTCTCCAAAATTCAAAGACATTGTCATTTTGCTGTGTTTAAGCATTTTTCTTTCTTTCTTTTGTTTGATATATCAGTCTTAACAAACGTAGTCAGCAACAACTTAATCAAATTTTTAAATGAAAGTAGTGCATCTTTAGCTATCATATATATTATTTATATTAACTTCACGTTTGAAATCCACCCATTTGAATTTTTGTTTCCAATTATTTCTATCTTTGTGTACTCTTAGAAAAGTAATGAATGATCCAAATGTCTTTCCTCACAAATTTTAGTTTGCAATGATGAAATCACTCCTGAAGCCAGGAATACAGTCCACAGGAAGGGAAGACACTAATGAAAATTAACATTCCAAAAGAATCTACTGCAGTTGTCATCATAAAAAGAAACTGATTAGTGGTTTGGACAGTGCTAACTCTGTAAATTATCAAACAAAATTCTGCAGAAGCATCCATTTACGTATATGAAAATTATAATTTGAACATCACACTTAGAGCACATTAATCAACTTCATTCTTTGTTTTTATGGGTAATGAGGCTTAACAGAAAGGTAAACAGCCAGCTAAATAAAGTTGCTTTAGTAAAAATGGATTAAATATATTCATACTTTGTAAAAAAGAAATGTGCTAAGAGGTGTATAAATAAAGGAAGCATTCGACTGGTCATTTATTTCTATTTTTAGTTTCTACTTAGGTTTTCCACTTTCTGGCTTCTTAATTTTTTATCTTCTATCTATTTCAGTTTCTTTCACAGTCACTGTATCTGTTAAGTGAATTATAGGACTTTAAAAACTGATTAATATAAATATCCTACCACCTTTTATTTAATATCTAACGTATAACCTTAATTAAAATATGTTGGTTCTTAAAAGCTACTCAACTCTTACATAATTTGTTGTAGGGCTATAACAGTAACTATTCCCTGTGGTGAAAATGGGTTGAATTATTTCTAATAAATTTTTCTGTCTTGGATGTAATAATTTGTATAAAGAAAGCTTCTCTTTTCATGAGAGTTTTTTATATTTATATATATATAACTTAATTATTACCCTTACTTAAATAATTCTTCTAGATCAAAGTGTATCAACTCTTCACTGTGTGATTACATGTACTAAACATTTTCAAATATCCTCCTGCTAGCACCAACTTAGAAAAATTCAGGAAAGTCAACAATTAACATATTAATTTTAATTATATATATTATATATATATATATATATATATATATAATGGAAACAATGTAGAATACGGCTAATCTGTAGTTCTGATAATCTATGGGAAAATGGATTAGGAAGATGAATAAGCCAAACATTCACATAGTGAAAGAATAATTGTTTCTTTAACTATGTATTGACTACTTAATATGCACTAGGGATTGGAAAGGTAGCAGTGAACAAGGTTTAGATGACTGGCAAATATGGCACTGACTTGTACTAACCAATGGTGGAAAATCACTGGGGAACTGAGAATACAGCAAGTCAAAGATATCAGTGAGAGTACTGAAAAGCAGATGATTATATTTCAAATATAAAAGGTACAATTTCCAATGTGCCTATGCCTTAATTATTTTTTGTCTTGGTCAACTTTCTTACAATGGATTACAGAACAGTACTTTGGCATCTCTTTTTCAAGTGTCAAGTGTATACATTCCATTATGAAGATTACTTGAGAATCCCACTCCACTTTTTATTTGTTATATATTTTTTTTTCTGGTCAGTGTTTTCAAATTTGTCTCAGGCTTTATGATTATAACCCCTTAATTATTACCCTTACTTAACTAAATTCTTCTAGATCAAAGTGTATCAACTCTTCACTGTGATTACATGTACTAAACATTTTCAAATATCTTCCTGCTAGCACCAACTTAGAAAAATTCAGGAAAGTGAACAATTAACATATTAATTTTTACACAAAACAATAATATTTTTCTAGTGTTTATCTTCATATGAAGTAATGTTTTTCTCCACATAAGGTGTGCTAGAATACATGGGTGGATGTTGTAAAATTAAAGTTAACAATTCTGGTTTATTCCAAATTTGGGGAAGATGAAATGCATTGGGTTTAATAAAGAGAAATTATATTTGGTGGGGAAAAATAATCTTAATTTTTAGAGAAGTAAATTAACCAAAAAGTGGTCATCTTTGTGGGTGATCTGGTGCATTATTTAAAATTGTAGTACATACTTTTTCTATTGTTTATGTTTGATAACTTTGAGTTAGATATACAGAAAAACTTTTATGTTTATCATACTCAATTTGTACATTAACCACAGCCACGCTGCTTGTACACTCAAAGGAATAAAAAAGGCAGATTAGCAATGTTTACCTTAACCTTTTAACCCATAGTGTTTCTTATATGCACGCTATCAGTCTCTAGATGCTCAGGCAGAGTAGAGGGATAAATATTCACTTGGATCTTTTCCATCTTTTTGACTAATGTTTTCCTTGGAAAAGTATATGCATATAGGAAACTTCTAAAACAAATCCCACTTACTGGTCAATTTTTGCAGTATTTTTCTTCAAAGAGCTTCTGTCTTTAAAATTATTTGAAAATGCTTTTTGTCTGCCACACCATTAATCAGTGATGACTTACCCAGCAACTTATATGTTACAGGAGATATCCTAATTTGATTTTCTAAAATTGTACCTTGTCAGTGCCAAAGTGAACAGATGCTTTGGTGGTGGTTCCTTTCATGATCAAGGTTATACACACACTTTTCACATAGAAAAAAGTCTTTTCATTATGTCATTTTCAATATGTGGTTCTACAAAAAATATTTCTCCTATTTCCCTGTATACATTTACTTAATAATTTCTTTATTCTATATAATAGCATAGTACACATATGTCATTTCTTTTATATTTCCAGTGTTAGGAGTTAATGTTGGTGCTATAATTAGAAATCAAATGACTTTCAGAAATAGTGCTGTATAGACTGTGGGAATATAGGAGACTGTTAGTGAGAAGAGAGTAACATGGGTGGAACGGCCTTCCCTGGTTTTGTCTTTCTTCTTGTAGCGTGTAAGAAGTATGAAATCAGACAAACTGAAAATTAAATTTACCTTCATATAATCACTGTATGCTTTCCAACACCAATTATGGGCCTAAATTACAAAGGTGGAGTTCTTATCATTCTGTATATAATTTTTACCTTAGTGGTGGAGAATAATTTCTGAAGTTTTTTGAAGAGTTTTCACCTCCAATAAGCTCATCCTTAGAAAAACAAGTTTTCCTGTTTTTCTCTCTCCTCCTTTCTCTTTTGTAAGATATCTATTTTTAAGATATTTAAGATATTTCAAGTTAAACGTGCCAGTTTCAGTGAAGCTTATAATGTAGGAAACACTGTTAATCTGTGTAATATTTTGAGACGATTCTGCTTTAAAATGCCTTGTTGTGCGTAGCCTTTTCTAGATATTTGCAATGCTATTCTCTTTGTTAATGATTTATATTTTGTTTTCCAAATGTTTGCCTACTTGTTTGTTTTGCTGACTTACTTGCTTCTTTGTTTTAGCATGAAAACTGTATCAATTAGTTTTGGTTAAGTTATGCTATAGTAATGAGCCAGTCTCAAAACTCAAAAACCTACAACTACAACTTCTTCAATTATAGTTGATGTCTTTTGTGGGCTGTCTGTGTTTTTTCATGTTGGGACCTAGGCATGTCCTCCATGGGGAATGTCCTAAAGCTCAAGGAAAAGGGAAAGGAAGCCATGGTGATACCATATGATGACTCTTAAAACTTTGGTTGAAAGTGGTTCTCATCACTTCTGCTCACATTTCTTGGCCAAAGCAAGTCAATTCCTATAAGCAAAATGAAGAGAAGGGAATAATTTGAAAAAATAATACGACTAATCACAGAGGAATTTAAAATAAATGACATGGCCAGATGCAGTGGCCCATGCCTGTAATCCCAGCACTTTGGGAGACAGAAGCAGAAAGATCATTTGAGCTCAGGAGCTCAAGACCAGCTGAGCAACATGATGAGACCCCATATCTACAAAAAATACAAAAATTAGCCAGGCATGGTGGCATGCACCTGTAGTTCCAGCTGCTCAGGAGTCTGAGGTAGGAGGATCACCTGAGCCCTGAGCCCGGGTGGCTGAGGCTGAAGTGAGTCAAGATCGCATCATGGCATTCCAGCTTGGGAGGCAGAAAGAGACCCTGTCTCAAAATAAATAAATAAATAATATTAATAAAATAAAATTACAAAGAAAAAAATGAAAATATATAATTGCCCAAGACCTTTCTAAGAGTAACAACTTGCAGAAAATTTGTGGGATTGTACCTGTACTAAATGCTCCTCCTAAGGTTCTTTTCCTTGACAGAGAGTGATTCCATGGAATATTACTGTGGTTAAACAATTTGAATTTGTGCTTATTGATCTCAATCTCTGAATATATCTGCTCTTAGCTGGAAGGAAATACAGAACATCACCTCTTCTTTGGATGGTTTCAGTGGGTGTCTTGGTCATTTTTTTACAAGGTGTAAAACATCTGCCTTTTCCTTCACTGACAGCCTAACTTATTTATTTAATGGACTGTGATTGATTCAAAACATAGTTGCTGCCAATTATTCAGAATTTATACCACTGGACGAAAAGCTTGTTCCAGTGGCACTTGTTGAAGGCCATGTTATACCACTAAGCTAACTCCGGTTCACAATGCTTGTCAAAAATAAAAACTTACCTTCTTGGACTAGATTTCTTTTCACCACTCATAATTTGAAGTCAACTAAAACAGGGCTCTTAACATCTTCCTTGCTGAAATATGTCTCTGCATGTGGTCTCCCTTTGAGCTACAATACACCTGCTTCAAGGAACTCCTCTACGTCTATTGATATTGGCTTCAGGTTTAAGTTTGAACTTAAGATGTGTTTGTTGTCATTGTCACTTACCTGATTTTAACTAATTAACTCAGCAGGAGAGATAACGTTTTTAAGTTTAATGTCATTGCAAAGCACCTTGAGATACCACAGCATGACAAGATGACATAAAAGTTAGTGTGTATACGCCTCCACCTTCTTTTAGAGTTAGGCACCCTGGTGGTTTAGACAAATGCATTGGTTGTTCAAATGGAAACTTGATACTAAAAGCCATGGGGAGAAAAAAGACTGAATTCTAATTTGATGTTTCCAGTCTGTTAGAAACATAAAGAAATGGGGGAATCAGTTATAATTCCTATGGATCCTTGAAATCAGATAGAAACTACTGAGATGTGGAATAAATTCCTGGGACAAGTGCTTAATGATGCTGTCATTCTTATCCCATCTCATCTCTTTTTATAAATACTATGGTATATTATTTTTAGCCAGCATTTGTATAAGATTAACATTTTAAAACTTCTTTCACATAAATTATTCTTAAAGTTTCTGTAACTATGTTGTATTATTATTATCTCCATGTTACAAAAATAAATAGAATTCTAAAAGTTGAATAAAATTATCCAAATATATAGAAATTATAAAGGAAAGTAGCATTGAGAATCAAACTCAGATATCTTCTTAACTAATGTTGCTTATGTGGATTATTTTAACAATTAAAATTGTGCAATTTTATAAGAAGTGAATGGTCTAGGAAACAAATACTATGTCTATAAAAATTACACTAGTGGATATCTTGGTTGAAATATTGTGGCCGGTGTGGTGGCTCACGCCTGCAATCGTAGCACTTTGGGAGGCCAATGCAGGTAGATTGCTTGAGCCCGGGAATTCGAGACCAACCTGGGCAACATGGCAAAACCCTGTCTCTACAAAAAATACAAAAATTTAGCCAGCTGTGGTGGTACATGCCTGTAGTCCCAGCTGCTCAGAGGGCTAGGGTGGGAGGATATATTGAGCCTGGGAGGCAGAGGTTGCAGTGAGCAGAGATTGCACCACTGCACTCCAGTATGGGCAACAGAGCCAGACCTTGTCAAAAAAAAAAAAGAAAAAAAAGAAAATGAAGAAAGAAATATTTACTGGTGGCACCATAAAGCATAAACTAAGTTAAATCAAATATTTATTACATGTTGCTCTGGTTTATAAAATAAATTAGAATATACAGATATCCAAGCACTCATAATATGTATGGAATATTATTAGGAAATGAAACTTGTGCATCATGGTATACTTGGAAAAGACATGTGATTTTAAATATGGGCTTATATTTATAAGAAACTCATTGAATTATCCTGTTGGACTTTGATAGTATTATGGGAAAATATGTTACAAATTCATAGGTAACAAACTCTTCCTGTGTGCATATGAAATCAAATGAGAAAAGGCCAGTTTATTTTCAAGTTTCCTATTTTTAGAAATGAAATTTTTTTAAAAAAAATATTGAGTGTCTCAAAGGCTAGTTGTACATAAAGTACTTGATGATGGGGTATTAAAAGCCATGACACAGAAGAAGAAGAGAATCCAGATTCCTCAAACTCTGGGGCAAAAGGGAACATGCATGTAAAATGTAGATAGAAACTAAGGTAGAACAGATATGAAAACCAACGGAATATAGGGCCAACAAAAAGACAGTCTCTAGTTAGTATTTAAGCTAACTGCAGGGTAGTTTATAGGTTATATGCTAATATGATTAGAAGAATATCTAGGATAACACTTTGTAGTTAACTATTCAAAGAGGAAAGTGGATTACTAGATTGGAAAAAAAATCAAGATTTAAATGTCACACCTAAACCAAAATCAGGATTGATATGTCTTCCTTTTCCTTTTGTAATTTGGACCACTGAGAATGTCTTTTACTGCTAGATTTGATTTCCCTAGAGTTAAACATTATGATTTTAGAGACATTCAAGTTTTACCTGGATGTATATGTTAATCTGTTACTCATGGAATTAAAGTGTCATAAATGAAATCACTTGACCAATATTTTTCTGAATAATATGAATTATTTAATGAATAAATTAGAATATATGTTTTATTATATGTATTAGTTTGCTGGATTTTTAAATTGAGAATATTTTCAAAATAAATAGCAAGCTATGTATAGGATAACCAATGCATTATGTAGATTTAAATGTTCGGCTTGAATATATACGTAAAGTTTCCTTTAAAAGAGTTGCTTAAATAGTATAATGTACATATTTATATTCATGAATAATGCATTCTAAAGGTCAGTATTTTATTTATTTTCTGCTCTTCAAAATCAGAGAGAGCTGCCTACCTGTCATTCTAAGAGAGAATGAAAAAAATATATTATTAGTAAACAGGCAATGTTTGTGGAAAATTTTTCCAATAAGGATATAAAACTTCTTAGGGGTATTTATGCAGTAATAGGTATATAATCATTTACCATTAGTAAGATGTGAAAAGGCCAGTTCTATATAATGGTTTTTCAGGGGATGACATGCCAAATAAGTGATTATGTCAACAAGTGGTCAACCTAATTTGATCACTCAAAAGATATGGCGAAAACAGCCCACTCACTTTAGTCATCTTCATGACTAAATTAGCTATCATCACTTAAAAACTATTATCTATCATTTGCTGAATGTTCACAATCTGCCTAGTACAAGATGACTCTAAGGCAAAAATCTACTCCAAAGATACTAAGAAACTTTTAGTGAAGACCTGATGAATAAATAGATTTAGACAGATATAAAGAAGCTGTGAAAGGTTTCTTATCAAATAGAACAGAATACCCCACAAGGTCCCCCAAAAGAGTGCAGTATACCTTATAAACTGAGGAAGTGCCATTTGGTCAAAGTATAGATTGGAGTATGAGCAATATATTTTATAAAGAGAAGCTAAAGAAGAAACAAGAGTTATAGCATTCTTAGTTTTCTATTTGTGCATAACAAATTACTGCAAAATGAGTGGTTTAAAATCACACTCATTTATGATATCACAGTTTCCATAGGTCAGTCCAGGCAAAGATCATCTAGCCAAGGTTTCTCTAGGCTAAAATCAAGGTGTAAGCCAGGGCTAGGCTATCATTTAAGGTTCTTTCAAGGTCATTTGGGTTGTTGACAGAATTCAGTTCCCCAAACTTGTAATACTGATTTCCCAATTTTCTTGTTAAATGTAATCTGGGGATGCTTTCAGCTCCTACAGGCCATTTTCAGCTCCTAGACATGTAATACTCTCACGGCTTGGGAACTTACTTCTTCAAAGCCAGCAGAAAACTCTTTCCCATCTGCTGATAACACAGAAAAATCCCAACTGGGACTATCCCACTACTTTTCCCATATGATGTAACACAATCAAGAGAACCCTGATTCTATCATGCTTACAAAAACTCTTCACACTCAAGGAAAAGGTATTACACAGAGCCTATTTACTAGGGAAACTTGAAGGTCATCTTAGAAATCTCCCATTGACCTTTATGCATAAAATTAGTTAGACCGCAACAAGACAAAGAAGCAAAACCTGTCAGAGCCTGCTGCAGTTTTAAGATGATTGTGAGGTAAGGAAACAGGGATACTAGATGAAATAAAGATTATATATCTTTGAGAAATAGTTACTTAGTAGAATAAAAAAAGATCAAAGATCATTTATTGGTTGGGGAATAAAAACTAAGGGAAAATTAAGAGTAAAGGATGTTCCCAGGTTTCTGGCTTGGATGTTGGAACATTGGAAGACATAAGAGGAAGAGAGAAAAGTTTTATGAGTGCAGGCACTTCATTTTTAAAATAATGTTTATTTATTTTTTTAAATTCACTAGCTGGATAGATATTGGCTTATTTTGAATAATTTGGCTACTTAGAAGTTCCTTACTCTTTTTTCTCTAGTGCACTGCATTTCTTGGTGTAGATTCAGATTACTGTCTAGTGTCATTTCTTTTGAGCCCAAAGGATGCGAATTTCTTTTAGCATTTCTTTTAAGACAGATATGCTAATGACAAATCTTTTGTTTTAAATTTTTTTATAATAACTCTATTTTGTTTTATTTTTGAAGAATGGCTTTTATAGATATGGAATTATTGGTTGACAGGTGGTTGTCTATTTTTTTTCCACCACTGTAAATACATAATTCCACTTCCTTTTGGCCTCTGTTGTTTCAAATATAAAATTAGCTGTTAATTATAGTGGTGTTTGGCTATATGTAATGTTTCATTTTTCTCTGTCTTCAAGAAATTTTTTTGTCTTTGTCTTTAAACAATTTGATTATAATATTTAAAGATGTGTATATATTTTAGTGTATCCTACTTTAAATTCACTGAACATATTGGATGTGTATATTAATGTTATTTTATCAGATTTGAAAGTTTTAAGTCATTATATATTCAAAGATGTTTTTGATCTTTTCTCTCTCTCTTGGTTAGGTCAAGCAGAAGACTGAAAAACTAGCCAGAAACTTAGTAGGGAGATCTGGAAAATGAGATAACTATAGTGAACCTTAATAAGCTTTCATATTCCTGATACTCCCATGTGAGCCTGTTGGTATATTTTATGGTGTCTTAGGGGTCTCTGTGGCTCTTTTCAGTTTTTTTCATTTTGTTTTTCTTTCTGTTCATCAGATTGTGTAATAGATATTGAGGTATTACCAAGTTTACTGATTCGTTCTTTCATCAGTTCACATTTTCTGTTGAAGTTTTAATTTCAGTTGTACTTTTCAGTGACAGGATTTTCATTTCTTTATTTTTATAACATCTATCTCTTTATTAATATTTGCTTTTTTGTGGTACATCATTAATACTTTCTTTTAATTTTTAAACATGGTTTGTTGTGGTTCTTTGAAAATATTTATAATGGCTTTTTTGAGATTATTTTCTGCAAAGTCCAGGATTTGGGACTCGCAGAGACAGTCTATGACTTCTTTTTTTCCCCTGATTATGAAGTGTTCTGTAAACGTCTATTAGGTCCATTTGGTCTATAATACAGATTAAGTCTGATGATTCGTTGTTGATTTCCTGTCTAGACAATTTGTCATTCCTGAAAGTGGGGTGCTGAAGTCCCCAACTCTTATTGTATTGGAGTTTGTTTCTCTCTTTAGTTTTAATAATATTTTCTTTATATATCTGAGTGCTCCAGTGTTGAGTGCACACATATTTACAATTGTTATATTCCCTTGCTGAATTGATCCCTTTGTCATTATGTAATGACCTTGTCTGTTTTTATGATTTTTTTTCACTTACAATCTATTTCATAATAGATTTTGTACTCCTGTACATTTTTGGTTTCCACTTTCATGGAATATTTTTTTCCACCCCTTCACTTTCAGTCTACATGTGTCTTTATAGGTGAAATGTGTTTCTTATGGGCAGCATACAGTTGGGTCTTGCTTTTAATCCAATCAGCCAGTCTATATTTTTTAATCAAGGAATTTACACAGTTTCTATTCAAAATTGTTATTTATAGGTAAGGACTTACTCCTGTCATTTTGCTAATAATATTCTGATTGTTTTGTACATCCATTTTTCCTTTATTCCTCTTTATTGATTATCTTTAAGATTTGGTGGTTTTCTGTACTTGTAACATTTGATTCATTTCTCTTTTTCATTTTTGTATCTGCTCTACCAGTGAGTGTATTAGTCCATTTTCATGCTGCTGTGAAGAAATATCCAACACTGGGTAATTTATAAAGGAGAGAGGTTTAATTGACTCACAGTTCTGCATGGCTCGGGAGGTCTCAAGAAATGCAGAATCATAGTGGAAGGGGAAGCAACACGTCCTTCTTCACATGGTGGCAGGATAGAGAAGTGCCAAGCAAAGTGGGGAAAGCCCCTTACAAAACAATCAGCTTCTGTGAGAACACACTCACTATTATGAGGGCAGCAGCATGGGGGTAACCTCCTCATGATTCAATTACCTTCTGCCATTTCCCTTCCACAACACATGAGGACTAGGGGAACTAAAATTCAAGATGAGATTTGGGTGGGGACGCCGCCAAACCATGTCAGTGAGTTTTATACTTTCACATGTATTCATGATGATAGATATTGTTCTTGTTCTTCCAGATGTAGGACTTCCTTACGCATTTCTTGTAGGGCCAGTCTGATGGTGTCGAATTCCCTCAGTTTTTCTTTTCCTGGAAAAAACATTATTTCTTTTATTTCTGATAGATAGCTTCATTGGGTATATTTTTGACTGGCAGGTTTTTAATTTTTTTTTCTTTCTTTCTTTCAGCACTTTGAATCTATTATCTCATTTTCTCTTAGCCTGTAAGGTGTCCCCTGACCAATATATTAGCCTGATGGAAATTTCCTTATTTGTGACTTGATGCTTTTTTCTTGCTGTTTTTAGGATTCTCTCTTAGTTTTTGACTTTTGACATTTTGACTATAATATGTCTCAGCGAAGACCTTTTTGGATTGAATACATAGGGGAATCTTTGGGCTTTTTGTATATGGATGTCAATCTTTCTCACAAGACTTTGGAAGTTTCAGCTATCATTTCATTAAACTGGTTTTCTATGCTTTTGCCCATCTCTTCTCTTTCTGGAACTCACAGAAATTCAAATTATTTTGCTTTATGCTGTTCCATAGATCAAATAGACTTTTTATTGTTTTCCATTCTTACTTATTTCTTATCTGACTGGGTTACTTCAAAAGACCTGTCTTCAAGTTCAGAAATTCTTTTCTCTGCCTGATCTTGTCTATTGTTGAAGATCTCAATGTATTTTTTAAATTCAATTCATTGAATTTTTTAGTTCCAGAATTTCTGCTTTGCTCTTTTGTATAATATATATCTATCTGTTGACTTTTGTTCTCTTGTATCTAACAAAGTTTCCTTAATTTCATAATTTTGGATTCATTTTCAGGCATTTCAAATACTTCCTTTTTGGGATTTGTTATTGGGGAATCATTCTGTTTCTTTGGAGGTGTCATGTTTGCTTGCTTTTTCATGATTTTTATGTTGCTGTGTTGATATCTGCATATCTGGTGTAAAATTATTTCTTCAAATTTATGGGTTGGTTTTTACTGAAAATACTTTTTTGTAGACATATCTATAGTGCTGATTGTGTAGGGTACTTTGGATTTGATTCTGAGTCATAACAATAGGGTAGTCTCTGTATAATTGCTTCAGCTGCAATCAACATCAGTGGTGTCTGTGAGTTCCTCAGTTGCTTATGATGCAGTTTTTAATAGAGGTTGTGGCGAGGCTTTGCCAGGGACAAGTATTCCAGGTACATTGGTCTTCTAGCTCCTGGGTGGCATATGCAGACACCAGGGTTGGTAGTGGTGCACTAGGTGTGCTAGTCATAGCACCCCTAAGCTGCATACTTGGGCACCAGCAGTGGTTGGGTCGTTGGGGTGGGCTAGTCCTCAGGCCTCCAGGTGGCATGCAAAGGCACAATGGTGGCAGCAGCACACCACATGGGCTGTTCCTTGTTGCTCTGATAGGTACGAGTGGTGCCAGCAATGGCAATAGTGGCAGCAGGTCAGCCCTAGATCCCCTGGGTGATATGTGCTGGTTGCTGGCAGTGGTGGTAGTCAGCTGGGTGAGTCCATCCCAAGGCCTTCAGGTGGCACACTTGGGTGGGAACTGGTGACAGTAGCAGTGGGTGGGGGCTGATCCTTGGTCCCCTAGTAGGTGTGTCCAGGCACTGGCAGTGGTGGCAATGGCCTGGGCAGGCTGGTCACTGGGCCCCCAGAAAGGGCTCATGGACACTATCATCACTGGTGATGAGGGGGATGGGCCTGTCCTCAAGCCCCAGGAGAGTGCACAAGGGTCCTGTCAGCAGCAGGGCAGAAGGGCTGATCCTTAGACCCCCAGACTGCACACAGGTGGCAGTGGCAGCAGCAGCAGCAGGCAGGCAGGAGAGGTCCCCATTTGGAGTATGTGGGTACAAATGATGGTGAGCTGGGAGGACCAATTTTCAGGCCCCTGCATGGCGTGTCTGGGCATTGGCATTGTTGCCAATGGGTGGTGTAAATCTGTCTTCAGGCTTCCAGACAGTACGCGTGACAAGCTGCTCCTCAGGCCCCATTAAGGCATTGCAAGTACATGGTGGCCCTGCCACCACCATGGGTGGGGTTGCTGTCAATGGTAGCAGCCCTAGGAAGGTGGGTCCCAGCTTCTGGGCAGTGCACAATTTGGTTCCCTTTGTCTTGGGTGTGGCCTCCCTGGTGAGCTGCTCTGCCTCTTCCCCAAAGTGTAGGACACTGTGTGGGCTAGAGTGCTGCGGTCCCAGCCACAATGTTGCAGCCAGTGGTGTCATGACGCTGCAGTCCTCTGGGTGAATGTGGGGAAATGTCAATGGGTTTGTAGGGATGTGGATATGCAGGGAATATTGGAATCAATGACAGAATATAGTCTGGTGGGGACTTGGCTCTCAAAACGATGTTATGCTGCCACAGCTCAGGGGATGAGTGGGCCCCAGCATGAATTCCATCTGTAAAACAATGTCATGGTGTAGAATTCTGACAGCTTTCTATACTAGCTAGGCTCAGGGCTGTGAGGGCCAACAGGCTCTCCTGTGGCTAGGGTTGCAGGTGTCCATGGTGGGAATGTGGAATGGTGGGTATCTCTCACTCACATTTTCCCTGTAATGGGTAGTCCCTCCTGGCTCCTCAGCCAGTCCCACCTGGCCAGCTTCTTCACCTGTTTCTCCTTTCAATACCACAGAAGGTCCCTGTCACTTCCCTGCATAATTCCAATGTTCACTCTTTTTTTTTTTTTTTTTTTTTTTTTGAGACGGAGTCTCGCTCTGTCGCCCAGGCTGGAGTGCAGTGGCGGGATCTCGGCTCACTGCAAGCTCCGCCTCCCGGGTTCACGCCATTCTCCTGCCTCAGCCTCCCAAGTAGCTGGGACTACAGGCGCCCGCCACTACGCCCGGCTAATTTTTTGTATTTTTAGTAGAGACGGGGTTTCACCGTTTTAGCCGGGATGGTCTCGATCTCCTGACCTCGTGATCCGCCCGCCTCGGCCTCCCAAAGTAATGTTCACTCTTAAATACTGTATTTGACAGCTAAGTGTGGTTATCTACTTGCTACTTTGAGTTAGCAAGTTATCTTCTTGTTATTCAACCACACTTGAACCAAGTGTGGTTATCTGTTCGTTATTTCGTTCCATATTTGAGGAGGAGGATAGTCCGGGCACATCTAGTCAGCTATCTTGATGACGTCTCCATTTTTTCCCTAAGTATGGATCACCCTTTCCTGTTTCTTTGCATCTGATAAGTTTCTCTTAAGAACTGGATATTTAAAATAATATATTGTGACATACCTATCTACTTATTTTCCCTTAGTGGCTATAGTTGATGATCTTTTGTGTGTTTATTTGTTTGTTTGATGAATATAGATGATGAGTATACTGGTGATTATTATATTGAGGTTTTCTTTATCTGTATGTAAGTTTAGAATATTCCATGTAAACTTTGAAAAAATAGTCCTTAATATATTTATATTTAATTATTCTGGCTGGAATGTTAAATAGTGTATCATGGGAATGAAAGGAATACCACCTGGGCCAACCTGAAGAAGATGGAGGTAAATGGGACAAGCACACAAAGTACCATTACCGAGGTAATGGTAATGGTACTTTGTTATAATTACAAGCTAGCAATAGTGATTTAGATCATTGCTGAGAAATTTGCAGTATGTTAGTTAACATAAGAAAAAAAGTAGTTTCTACTTTCTAGTTGATTCCCTGGTGTAGGCTACCTGTATAGTGACAACAGACCTTCCAAACACTACTATGAAATTATTTTATTCTCTTCTCTGAAGACAGAGATGAATGCCTAAGTAATCTTTTCTCATTTTGTTTCTAATAAATGCATATACTCTTGCAGTGTGCACTTGCTAACGTTTAAATTATTATTATTTTCTATACTGAAAAATTTTTGTGATTTTACTGGCTAATTTCAAAATAATGCCTTGGATTAAAAGGCAAATAGTTTGAATTATTTATTATTTTACAGTTCCACATTGCCATCATCAGGATCTAACAAATAAACAAACAGTTGATATTTTTGGACAGAGATCTCTCTGTTTTTATTGAATTGTTCTGGGCAAGATTTTGGTATCAGAAATTTTCAGCCAAAATGACTTTTTAAAGTGAGTCTCGGCAATAGACTCCCCATTGTATCTATATTATCTCTAATAAACCAGCCATTTAATCGTGATATGGTTAGACTCTGTATCCCCACCCAAATCTCATCTGGAATTGTAATCCCGGTAATCCCCACCTGTGGAGGGCAGAACAGGTGAAATAACTGAATCATGGAGGCAGTCTCCCCCATGCTGTTCTCATGATAGTGAGTGAGTTCTCATGAGATCACATAGTTTTATAAGAGGCTTTCCTTTTTGGTTGGCACTCACTCCACCCTGCTGCCTTTTGGAGAAGGTGCCTGCTTCTCATTTGCCTTCGACTAGGATTGTAAGTTTCCTGAGGTCTCCCTAGCAATGTGGAACTGTGAGTCAATTACCCAGTCTTGGGTATTTCTTCACAGCAGTGTGAGAATGAACTAATACACGTTGCTAATACAGTTTCCGGTTCTTCTCTTGGTATGATCACTTCTGTAATTGCAGGTCTTACCATAATTATGAAAATACCAAACTTAGTTTATATATGTTTGTAAAATTCAAACATATTTAACAAGTAAGTTGTAAAGGGACATGCATCTGTCTGGAACCAATTTGGGCAAATGATAATGCATAATAATAATAATCAAAATATATGTTCATTGAGTTTCCTATGGTTCTACATAAATATTATGGAATTAATAGTCAGGTTACAGCTGATTAGAGAGCATCAGGAAAGATCATATAATAATTAGGATTATTTAAAAAAACTAAGCATATTTGGCATGAGGGAAGTAGAAGACATTTCAAGAAACAGAAATAGCAAACATAACTATTCAGAACTTTTAGTGTTAAAATTAAGAATGTGCTTGCGAAAGATGGAAAAGTCATTAGTTTCCTGGAATATTCATAAGTTCTCACTTCTTTTTTATAATGTAAATATATGTATTTCTCTCTATTATATGCACACGGAAATAGAGAGATATTGCTCTGCCTGTCTCAGAATATTTCTTATTCTACAAATATCTGAGAGAATATATATACATTTTTAGACGTAGTTTCACTCTTTTTGCCCAGGCTGGAGTGCAGTGGCACGATCTTGGCTCAATGCAACCTCCACTTTCCGGGTTCAAGCGATTCTCCTGCCTCAGCTTCCTGAGTAGCTAGGATTACAGGCATGTGCCACCACGCCCAGATAATTCTGTATTTTAGGAGAGAAAGGGTTTTACCATGTTGGCCAGGCTGGTCTCAATCTCCTGACTTCAGGTGATCCACCTGCCTCGGCCTCCCAAAGTGTTGGGATTACAGGCGTGAGCCACTGCGCCCGGCAGAGAATGATTCTTATTTTAATATTGTAGGAACACAGTTGCATTCAGAGTATGTATGTTTGATGTGCAATGTATTTTGCATGGTTCAAGGTTGCTTTTGATCCACATTGTATTTGTGATTGGAAAAGATCCAGAAATTAGGGCTGACTTTTGGCATTTCACCGAAAGTGTGCTTGACCCATTTACCTCTATCTTCTTCAGGTTGGCCCAGGTGGCATTCCTTTCATTCCCATGATACTCTATGCATTTCCGTAAACTGCAGAATATTGTATGTAAATTATAATAATATTTGTCTTTGTGCCTATTGCCCCTAAATGAACTTTGCCAAGGAGTGTCTTACTTGTCTTTGCATCTCTAGTGTTGATCTAAACTGTTAAATTGTGTCTGGCATAAATTGCCCTTTCTCATAAAGTGTAAAATTGTGTGGTAGAATAGTTTATTAATTCATTTATTAAAAAACCTTTATTTAGTGACTATCAATGCCAGAGACTAATTAATTGAAGTTTGAAACTAAAAATTTGTACTTTTGATTTTTACTTTAAGTCTACATTATTTGTATATATGACAAAAAGCAGGTAATATTTCTACATTATACATAATATAAAGTTTTAGGACATATGCATAAAAAGGTAAATCAAGTTTAGCATGTTGTTGGCCAAGTTATGAATTTTGAAATTGAACATCTATTATACATTAAAGTAAAAATAATATTAATTCCCATGATGACATCTGAAGTTCTGTCTGTTTGCTTTGAATGACCTGTTATGCTAGAACTGGAGATTTCATTTTTTAATTCTTTATTTTTTCTCTCTCTCTCTTTTGTGTGTGTGTGTGTGTGTGTGTGTGTGTGTGTGTGTGTGTGTGTAGGGATAACATAAACAGAGGGCTATTTTGTTCATTCTGAAGTTAACGAAACTAATCTCTGATTCAGAAATTAGAGGACCCAAATAAAAACCTTAAAATTATCCTTAAAAATAGTAGAAATGGGATAATTTCCCCACCTGTAATATGAGATAATAAGTCCTATCTCAAAACGTTGTTGTGAGAACTAAACCAGTTAATATAAATTAAATTGCAAAGTGAAAATGATGTAAGCATAAAGCACTATTATCCGGCAGACTCTGTGTGCACCTCCATGGTAGCCTTCAATATTACTAAGTGTTTATGTTGAAGTAGCTGTTTAATTGCTTTGGTTTTATTTCTTTGCTTAGTGTTGCAACACTGCTTTTGTTGTTTTGTTTTTTAATCTTTGCTACCAAGAAAGGACGAGCCTGCATATATCTGTAAGAATGTCTACTTCCTAATATATACAGAATTTAACATCTTAATCTCATTAAGTTGCTTTTAAGAAGGATGTCTTTTTAAAGCATAAACAGAAGCACATAGCATTTATCTTGAGTGATTTCTTCTTTAATTTAAAGCTCAGATTTAGAAACTATTCCATTACAGAATATGAAAAAAAAAAAAAAGACCTGATTGACTGGCAAAAACATGTATTTTATTCAGAAAAAAAAAAAAAGCTTCCAAAGTCTCTCTTTTCCTTATTTCTTTTTTTCTTTCTTTTTTTTTTTTTTTTTTTTTTTGTTCCATTCACTCGTGGTTGCCTAGAAACCAGTACCAGGATCATGATTTAAGGAGTGTAATTTTATGTCCCTTTTTTCCCCTAATGCAAAAAGAGGACTAGACTGAATATCACTCAAAATTAACAGCATCTCATTAGAACTTTGCAACATTTCCCTTTGGGTGGCCACACAGGCAGGCCCACTGCTTACTGTCTTTAAAACTAAGGATGCAGACTCTTGTTAATTGGCCAGCAAGGGGTAGCCAATTTCCTGCTTCCTTCTAAACCAGGGATCGACTCTGTCATATTCTCCAGGCTGCTCCTTCTCAGATGTTTCGAGCACAGTATTCTAGTGAATTATACACAATTTTGTAGAATCTTTCTTTACAACTGTATCCTATGTGTTTTTTAAAGTTTCTCTAGTAACAAAGAAAATGATGTAAGCATTGCTAAGGTCGATGCAGTGAAAGGTGTACATAATTCTATTTATTCTTTTTTTTATACCTGACTTCTTATCAAAGAACTAAGGACACGCAGCTCAGAAAACTCAAAACTGTAAATGTGCTATTTGTGAAGAGCTAAACATAATAACATTGATAACAATTCTATGGAGGATACACTATCCAGATTCATGTGAAGCACACGTGATTCGTCATTTAGTTCTATTGTGTTCAAGTACTTTTTCTTCCCATTTCAGATGATACCAGAGATGAAATTTAACCAGGCTTTAGCTCTTTCCCCAGGGAAAGAACAATTTGTATTTGAAATGAACTATGAGTGATGAGGAACTAAAATGGTCCGGCCCTGATTTGCTAGTTAGGAAGGTATGTTTCAAATCAAATGGGACTTGATAAAGCCATTTGACAAAGAGAGATTAGCATTAAGTCCAAATGTAAACAGCTTGGGCTAGAGTAAGACTGAGTGTGGGGGCAGAAGGAAGCTGATTAGTAATTCAGATTTTATCTTGAATGAAAGGAGACTGATAGTTGGAATCCTGGCAATCTTCACCTTTTGTTGACCATCTGTACTGTGTGTTCCCCAGCAGACAGCCAGCTCATCTGGGGACAGGAGAGCAGAAGGGCATAGCTTCTCATATGAAAGAGAAACCAAAAGCCACGCTAAATACCATCAATTAAAATACATTAGTCCTGTAGGAGCTGCCCATTAGAGTGTTGAGTGTGCACAGATGCTGCTGTTGCAAGCATGACACCAGTAATTAGGTGTCACAAGTAGGAGGACTTCACACACTATTTAGCAAAAACATCACACTATTTTTGCTTAAACTCTTGCCATAACTTTAATTGCAGCTGATTTCACCAATATTGGTTAAAAGAAATATTGCCATTTTGCAGAATCCTGGACTGTTGTTGTCTAATTACGTTTAAGACACAAAACAAAATAGATGGGATTACTAAATAGAAGGAAAAAACAAGAGTGTACTATGCTATTATAAGTGCGTTAGTTATGATAAATGTCTATACTTAGTCAAGAAAAATTAAAGCTCAATTTATTCTTATACATTTTCATGTTCCCTGTCATTGCTGACTGATGGCTTGTCTTTTGAGTGCATCTGTAATGCTTTAAAGTAAATAAAACAGAACTTGAATCTGCATCTCAATTGCTGCAGTGTTTTTTCACTTGCACTGTAACTCCTGTTAAAAAAGTCTTTACTGTTCAAGAAACTGTCCCTCTCTTTTTCATTTTTAGTCTCTCCCTCTCAGTTTCTCTTTCTCTCTCTAATATATTGCTCTTTTCACAAAATTCAGAGGAAAAACAATAAAATGATTCTGAGTGATACTACAGAGTCTATGTGATGTAGACTGGGCCACCCAGAATGGGATATTGTTAGCAAGTTCTCTGTCAACCAGCATCACTTTTCTAGCTGTAAAACATCATACATACAACAGACCCTTTTCTTCCTTCTGTCTTGAAGTCTCAAGGAAAAAATAATGAAAGGGCAGAGTGCTTCTCCTCCCCAGTCCAGAGCTATATAAATACAAAATCTGGCCGCCTCAAACATCAACATATCACGGCAAACCTCTCAAAGGAATGGGGTGCACAACATGCAGATTAATAGAAAAGACAGATTAAAGGAATCATTTGGGCATCCCTGGTGCTTCCTTCCTGCTCCCCACACATCTCCTTTGTAGTTAGCTCTCTGCGTTACTCTCATTAGAACAATCTGTACAAGCCCCTATATCTTTCAGGAAGAGCATCACAGTAAGAAAATGGGAATCAATGGTGAAAGCTTCAAGAGGACAATCAGGCAATCCCCAGGACAATGAGGAGGCAAGGAAAACAACAGCCTGTGAAGCTTGACAAGCTTGAGTCAGATGCTGCTTTGGGACTCCTCTTGCTTGCTGTCTGACTCCTGAAATAAGAACCTTTTTCTTAGGGGAGGCCACAGCCCTGCTGTCTTTATTTAGGATGCATAAAGCTGCCCAAGGTAGAGGTCCAGAGTGATTTAGAGAGTATATTTCATACAGAAATGATAACTTGACCATTGGGAAGACTAAAAATAGAATAAAATACCACAGAATCTGTGAGTGTATGTGCATGTACATGTGGGTGTGTGTTTAGGTCTGTGTATGGGGACTGTGTGTGTAATCAATAATCTAGCAGCCTTTCACTGAGCTATTTAGCTACAAGTCTAGGGAAAAAAAGAAAATGCTTAAGAGATAAATATGGTTGATCATTTTATTTTTATTATCTATTGTGTTCTTAGAAAATCTACCATGTTCTTAGAAAACAATTTTTTAAATCATATTTTAAAATTCTGAATGTTTAAGTTCATTTTCCCAAATTAAGCTATCAAGACACTACAATATTAATCTATATAACTTGTCAGATATATATATATATGTATATATATATATACACATATATATATAAAGATTATATATATAATCTTTAAAATCTTCAAACATATTCTAAATGTGTTCTACTAATTAGAGGTCAAGTGAAAAAGATCACAATTGATGTGTCAGGGTTTCTTATTGCAATCTATGAATACAGAACAGAAATTGAAGTGGCAATCTAATTGTTTTGAATACAAACATCATATTATTTCATTGGCTTGGTATTTGCATAAGATGATTAGTCCTCTCACCAGTTGAAAGAAGCTATCAGCGCTAAAGAAACAATTAAAAGTATTTCTGATCCTATGAGGCACAGGCTAGTAAAACTCACTCCCTCTTGGGAGAAAAGTGCTTGTCCATATGAGGTAAATTATCTCTCCAAGGGAGCCAAATGATGATAATGATTTTCAGAGGCCAAGTAATAATTCAGCGACAAGCAAAATTTTTCCATGGCAAGTATGAGTTTAGACTATTTATAGATACCCCCGAGCCTTTCACATTAGAAATATAGCAAATGGCCCAATAATTTGCTATTTCTAAACCTAAATGCATTTACCCAACATATAGCTGGTTATGAGAGATCATAGCAATGTTTATCACATGAGTTTGCTGGCTCTGTAGGTGTGCATCACATAGAGACTTGCTGACATCATTTAAAGCTTTAAAACCTAAGGTATTAGGATATGAGCTACTCAAGATTACACATACACACACAATGGTAATTGAGTAATTATACATATGTCACACACATTTATCTATTTCATCTTAAGTATACAGCTAAGAAGTCTACAATCATTCAGTCAGGAATTTTGCAACTTGTCATGAAATGTTCTTTCATTTTGTTTTCATCATGGAGCTAACTACAGTGGAAGCTGAGGTGATAATAGAAGAATATTTGTTTCCAGTGTTTTCTCTAGCTTCTTTCTTAGGGGTATGTATTATTGGATCAATCTCATTTGCAGGCTTTCTAAATAAATTTACAGATTTCTATAGGGTTGATGGACAATTATGCCTATGGGCAGTGGGTATTTCAAATGGTACCAAGCAGTGAGCTTTTGCTGCTGAGTTATTTAGTTCTGGTGAAGTCAGTGAAACAGAAAACATAGCTGAGTCTTCAATAAAACTTAAGACACAGTCTTCCTTCAAAATTACACTTTGATTGAAGTGCAAAGGTTCAAAGCCAAAACAGCTAAATATATAGGAGAGAAAATAGTCCACGTTCTCAAATAATGAAAAATATATCAATTTATCACACACCATATATTCTTCTAGTTTGACTTCCATTCTTTATAAAAGCAGAAATAAATTGTAGATATCTTTCAAGGCAACTTGAAAAACTATTGCAAACTCATCTCTGGTACTGATCCTGCATATAAAATTGCAGAGAAAAAGGGGAGCTGGGTTGAAATAAGTAGTAACCAGCAAAAGTGTAATTTTTATACTAAAACTATAGAAGTGGCATAGCATCATTATATATTATTATAGTCTTTCTTTATAATATTTAATTAATTCCTTTCATATTATCTACTTTTGCAGATCTTTCCTATAAGGGGATGAATCCCATGAAAAGTTATCTTCTCTACTTGTCTGACATTTTAAATCTTATAGCCAGAACCTCAATAAATTCTAGCATATTGAAATAACTTCATAAGATTTTCATCAGAACATCCTGTTTCTTTCTGATTTACTATTTTATGCTTCCACTAATTTGGGGAACATGAACTTAGCATCACCTTCATATTATTTTCTTGTTCTCTGCAAATGGCATTCTCTTGTGTTCCAAAACAACCTGATATATGTTTTAACTCTAATAATTCAAATCCGCTTGAAATAACCTCTTTCTTGATGAAGTAATAAAAATGACCATTTAGAAGAATAAGCTTGTAGGAATCAGCAGAAAAATCCTATAAGGGTAATGAAGAAAAAATAACATCACTTAATATTTTTCAAAGTACTATAAAGCTATGATAATTGAAACATTGGTAACTCAATCAATGATGTAGAGATGACCAGTTAGTCATTTAGAAAAGCAAGTAAGTAGTTTTCTAACCTTACTTTGCATGGGTTTATAAAAAGTCATGTGGTTCAACAATTTAGAGGTAAAATAAAAGTAACATAAAATTAGTTTAGGAAAGCATTGCAAGATTTCTAATATATATTATTAAGTGAAAAAAAGTAAGGCAAAATGCAGAACTTATGGAAGGGTGTAATTTCAGTTCACTGATTTATGTGCTTATGTGTTTGTACACATATTGGATGTTTTTGAGGAGAACCACGATGCAGTCAACATGGTTGACAACACTGGGGACAAAAAAAAAAAAAAAAGGAGTCCAAGAAATAGGTTTACACAAATGACTTACTTTTCTCAATATGCCAATTTATAGTTATTGAACTTCTTAGCCTTAATGTGTATATTTTCATAATAAAAATTCACACTAGCTAATAAAACAAGAAAATATATTCTACTTCAAGATTTTCCTTGATAATGATATAAATATCCTCACTGCCTTTCTTTGTACATACTATACAATACTTTTGTCCTATAATGATCAAATGATGGTATTTCACATATCTATCACCTCCAACGTTTATCATTTTTTATGAAAACATCCAGAATATTATCTTCAAGTTATTCAAAATATACACTATAATGTGGCTTACAACAGTCACCCTATTGTGCTATAGAACACTGCAACTTATTCCTTCTATCTAGCTATAATTTTGTATCCCTTGACCAATTTCTTTCCATCATTCCCTCTCTTATTCCCTCCCCAGGCTCTGATAACCACTATTCAACTGTGTACATCTATGAGATAAGAAACTCTGTCATGTGTGGCAACATGGATGAACTGAAGGACATTTTGATAAGTGAAATAATTCAGGTACAGAAAGAGAAATACTGCATGATCTCACAAATAGGTGACTTATTTCACTTATCTGCCAAATTTTAAAGGATTGATAAGATGATCTTTTGGCTTTTTAATATGCAATGGGTAGAAACCAAAATGCTTCGTTTTTCTATATACACTCAGCAATATTTACTTATCAAGTTTGTCACTGAAGACTTCTTTATCTCCACAAGGGCCAAGCCATTTTTTTGAAAGTTCTTTTTTTTTTTTTTCCCCCACTTTTATCTTGGGTTCAGACATACATGTGCAGGTTTGTTATACAGGTAAACTCCTGGCATGGTGGTTCATTGTAAATGATATTTTGTTACCCAGGTACTAAGCCTGGTACCCGAAAGTTATTTTTTCTGTTCCTCTCCTTCTTCCCACCCGGACTCCACCCTCAAGGAAGCCCCAGTGTCTCTTATTCCCCTCTATGTGTTCATGTCTTCTCATCATTTAGCTCTTACTTACAAGTGAGAACATGCAGTATTTAGTTTTCGGTTCCTGCATTAGTTTGCTAAGGATAACGGCCTCCAGCCTCATTTATGTCACCACAAATGACATGATCTTGCATTTTTTATGGCTGCATAGTATTCCATGATGTATACATACCACATTTTCTTTATCCAATCTGTCATTGATGGGCATTCAGGTTGATTCCATGTCTTTGCTATTGTGAATAGTGCTGCAATGAACATTCGCATGGATGTGTCTTTATGGTAGAATAATTCATATTCCTCTGGGTATATACCAGCAATAAGATTGCTGGGTCATATGGTAGTTCTGTTTTTAGCTTTTTCAGGAATTGCCACACTGCTTTCCACAATAATGAAACTAATTTACATTTCCACCATCAGTGTATAAACATTCCCTTTTCTCTGCAACCTCACAAGCATCTGTTATTTTTGGACTTGTTAATTATAGCCATTCTGACTAGTGTGAGATGCTATTTCATTGTGGTTTTGATTTGCATTTCTCTAATGATCAGTGATATTGAACTTTTTTTCACGTGCTTCTTGGTGCCTCTATAATCTTGTTCATATACTGGTTCATATGCTTGTATGTCTTCTCTTGAAAAGTGTCTGTTCACGTTCTTTGTCCACTTTTTGATGGAGTTGTTTTTTCTTGTAAATTTGTTTAAGTTCCTTATGGATGCTGAATATTAGACCCTTGTCAGATGCATAGTTTGCAAATCTTTTCTCCCATTCTGTAGGTTGTCTGTTTACTCTCCTGATAGTTTATTTTGCTGTTCAGAAGCTCTTAAGTTTATTTAGATCCCATTTGTCAGTTTTGCTATAAACATGTTCTTAATCTTGACCTTTCATAAGGATATCCTTCATCAAGAAGGTCTTAAAAGGGAGCCAAGAATGCTTGGAGTGGCCGGGCGCAGTGACTCATGCCTGTAATCCCAGCACTTTGGGAGGCCGAGGCTGGCGGATCACGAGGTCAGGAGATGGAGACCATCCTGGCTAACACGGTGAAATCCGGTCTCTACTAAAAATACAAAAAATTAGCAGGGCGTGGTGGCGGGCGCCGTGTAGTCCCAGCTACTTGGGAAGCTGAGGCAGAGCTTGTAGTGAGCACTCCAGTCTGGACGACAGAGCGAGACTCCGTCTCAAAATAAATAAATAAATAAATAAAAGAATGCTTGGAGTAAGATCATCCTTTTCCAGCTCCAGTTGTTCGCTGGAAAGTATGACATGAGGTCATTGGACCCCGTCTTTCTCACTGTCTAACCTCACCACCATCATTTGCCATGAAACTCATTAAGTCTATTTTCCAGGATTTTTAAATTGATCACCATGAGAAGCCCTAAATTCTCAGTCCCTCCCATCCAGTTCTCCTATTCTGTCCCTGTCTGCCGTCCTTCTTTACCACCTTAAACTTTTCCACCACTCCGGAGTGCAGAGTTCATTCCATCTCCTCTTTGTGCCCACATTCTCAACCTCTTCAATTTCCTCTTGCCTTCTCGCTTTAATTAAAACCTGGTTGTTCTCCAAAAACTCTATTTCCTCCTTTTCCTTCTTAATTACTGGAAGTTCACTCTCCATAATTCATACTACTAGACCTAGCAATGGAGTAGATGTCTCCATTACTTCTCAGTATTTATTCCAGGCCCTCTCTCCCTCTCTTCTCTAAAGTTCCTAAACTTTGAATCCCAGGTCTTTGCACTATATTGCCAATAACCTAACAAACCTCAAGTTTAGTCATGCTCATCTCTCAAGTATTTCAGTTTTTGGCTCTCTCTCTTCCTCACTGCTCCATATTTAATTATTTATAATTTCAATGTTTATGTAAACAATCCCACTCTTCCTCTGTAAGAGATTCTCAAGTAGCTGAATAGCTATCTCCCAATGACTGTGCTCCACCCAGTTATTCTTTTCATTTCCATGGCTGTACCTAGACTGGATCATTAATCATTACTAATTACTGTAACCCTTTCTTGATCTTAATTTTATTCATTTTATTCCAAGATTTCCAGCCTTTTTTTCCAGCTCACTTTCTCTTGTCCTCAACCTTCTGCAATCTTTGTCTTCTCTTGCTTTGCCACATCAAATTTCAACCTGAGTTAAATCCAAAACTCTTTTCACCCTAACCTTGTACCATGCAGCTGAATGTGGCTGAAGAAAAAATACACTATCATGTTTACTATTTCAGCTTTAAATGTTGGATGATTAATGTTCAGTGAGCCTTTAGCCTTGCCAGACAAAAACAGTACACCCCCTACCTCTACATAGTCTCTCACTATCCCAGAAGACTACTTCCCACCTTGTCCTCTCTTTTTCAATCTCTACTTCCCCACCACCTTTCTTATGCTCAGCCAAGCAGCTCATTTATTTCATTGAGACAATACAGAAATTAGAAACTTTCACAGACTTCCCTCCTTCCCAAAACAATCATCTGCAACCATTTTCACTGTGTACTCTGTCTTCTCTGCAGTTTCTATAGATGAGTACATTGTACTAGATCCTATCTCTTGTCACATACTTAAGAACATAATTTCTTCAGTCTTCTCTCCTACATCAGTGTTAACTCTGTTTCCGAGATAATTCCACTGAACACAAAACAGGATACTGAGACTGGAAAAGTTCCATTGTCCCTCTTGCAGGGCGTGCGATGGGGGTGTGGCTCACCTTTCCGTGCCTTGCTGCTCAAACCTCTCCGGGTGCATGCAGACAGGAAGGCTGTGGGGTTCCAACCCCACTGCAGCCTCTAGGGGTGAATGTTTACAGCTCCTGAAGCCGCAGTGGGCCTATGTTAGAGGGCACTCTTTTAGTTTAGCCATGTATAGGCGGCTTGTGTTAGCTCAATTAGACCAGCTTCCTTATCACAAGGACAGAGGGATTTCTGTATCTTGGGGTTTCTTGCCTTGGTGTACTGGAGGAATCAGATCATACGTGGGCTTGCGGAATGCAAGGTTTTATTGAGTAGAAGTAACTCTTAGCAGATGGGGGAGCCAGAAAAGACATAGTTTTCCCCTGGAGTTGGGTGGCTTTGCGGCCCGGGCTCTCCTCTGACTGCCCTGGCCAAACTCCAACTCGTTCCACCAGTCGATGGCCTGATGGCCTTATGGTCTGCAGGCATGCTGGTGTCTGTCTGTGTGCTCTTCAGCCAGCGTGCTCCCCCCATGTCCTCTCAACATCCAGCTCCTTGCGTCTTCTTCCGTCGATCTCCTCCTCTTGACATCCAGCTGTCCGTGTGTGCCTTGCTAGGGTTTCAGGTTTTTTTGTTTATTTCTTTTGTTTTGTTTTTGTTTTTGTTTTTGTTTTTGTTTTTAGATGGAGTTTCGCTCTGTCACCAGGATGGAGTGCAGTGGCGGGATCTCGGTTCACTGCAACCTCTGCCTCCGGGGTTCAAGCAATTCTCCTGCCTCAGCCTCCTGAGTAGCTGGGACTATACGTGCGCGCCACCACGCCCGGCTAATTTTTGTATTTTTAGTAGAGAGGGGGTTTCACCGTGTTGGCCAGGATGGTCTCGATCTCCTGACCTCGGCCTCCCAAAGTGCTGGGATTACAGGCATGATCCACTGGGCCTGGCAGGTCTCGGGGTTTTATATAGGCACAGGATGGGGACCTGGCAGGCCAGGGTGGTCTTGGGTAATGCAACATTTGGGCATGAAGGCAGGAGTGCCAGTCCTCACCTAGGTCTGTGGGGGTGGATCCTAACCAGAGACCACGCCCTCCTCTACCCAGTACTTCCTGTCCCCCTTTCTGTATCATTTAAAGGGACCATGTTCTTCACTTCCCAGCACTCCCCTATGAATATTTTTTCATCTGTATTAAATGATAAAAATAATAATATAAGAACCTTGCATTGATGGCATTACTTTGGAAGTCAATGCCTTACACTCACTACAGTAAAACATCTCAAAAAGTTAGCTATCTCCAATTCTTCTCATCACATTCTCACAATCTTTTATAAACCCAATTAAAGGATTTTCCCAACATGTCTCCATAGATATTGATTTTATCAAGGTAAGTAATTATCTTCACGTACTAAATCCAGTCCTTCTTGACCTCTCAGTAGCAAAGTTGATAATTTCCACCTTTTGAAACTTTTTATTCACATCATTTTCATATTTTCCTTCTAATTGTCTGATCCCCTGGCTCCTCCTCCTCCTAATCTCTTTTGTAAATTTCTGTTTAGAACAAACCATTTAATGTTGGAATGTCTCAAGGCTCTGATTGTGATCTTTCTTTTTCTGTATTGACACCCCTTCTTTATTTCTTTCAGTCTTAGTCTTAAATAGCATCTATATATTGATAATTCACAAGCATATATTTCCACTCTGAACCTTGCCCTGCAATTTGAAACAAATTTGCCTACTCACATCCCCCATTTGAATAGCTAACAAGAAATCTAATGATCGTATCTCAAACCAAAGTTTGATATCCCTCCTGCTGTAAAACTAGCATTCTCCATCTAAGTTGATAGCGACTTGCTCTGGTCCACTTGCTCTGGTCAAAACCTATGGAGTTATTCTTGACTCTTTTCTAATTTCCAATGCAACCATGCTAATCCAGGCACTAGAGGTTCTTATCTGGGTTATTGCCAAGACTCTTTCCTGAACCCTATGCTATTTTCCCTGTCTTCCTTATTTTGTATTTTCAACATGGTAATTGGAGTAATTGTATTGAAATATAGGTTAGATTTCACTTTGTTTTTTAAAGGCTGCAATGGTTCCTCAGTTCAGCTGGAGTTTAAGCCAGTCTTTACTGTAGCTTCCAAGAGCCCGGCCCTCTGATTACCACTCTGATCCCTTCTGCCACTACATTTCCTGCTGCCTATTCGGCTCCACTCTCCCCCTGCCCCTTGTCAGACCTACTCCTTCCTCAAGGGCTTTTTCTTGCTGCTTTTCCTACTTGGAAATTTATTCTCCTGGATAGTCACATGGCTCACTTGATCACCTCCTTTAAGTCTTTGCTCCAATTATCACCTTCTTTCAGTGAGGTCTTCCCTGAAAAACTTGTATAAAATGTCAAAATGTTCCTCAGTTGACAGCTCTTATCCCAGTTCCCGTTGTTTTTTCTCTTTTTAAATTGCCTTTTCTAATGTAGAATACGTTTTCTTTTTGTCTTTTTAGTGCCACTTTCACCTCCCATAATATAAAGTAAGATGTATGAAAATGAGATTTTTTTTTACCTCTGCATTCCTTGTTGAGGAGATGAACATCACTTCTTATATAAGTATGTATTTTTGTTGTTGCTTACTGTATGTAAAGCAGATATTTAACAGTGATTTTTAGACAGTGAGGAAACAAGTTTGAGAAGAAGAGGAATAGACTAGTGTTACACCAAAAACTACACTGCTTTGTAAATTTAGCTTCAGTTCCAGGCCTGAAGGTTAGACGAGGTGTCTCACTCTTTTGTTCTCTAGAAGACATATACTGTCACATTGGAGGAAAATAATTATAATATTTTAACTTTGACACTGTGCTCATCAAGGTGTAGAACTGAATTTTCATAAATTTAATTGCAAATTATTTAACATATCTATTAGCTCAATTCCTATTGACTGTACTGATGCCCAAAGATGCTGGCATATGCCTCTGAAAGTCCACTGAGCCTACTGAAAAAATGGAACAAAAAGCTCTACTATGTAAAAATTACTCCACCTCAGATATGCAGTGTGTTCTACAGATTGTTTCTATAGTTTTAAACTCCTTTCAACATTTGAATATTAGAAATTACTTGCACTTATTAACCAAACACTTATGTGTTATTTATTAGAATGTCTCCAATGACAACTCATTCACTGAAGAGTCAACTGTTCTGAGTTTGTAACACATTTAATTTAATCGTGTTTCTTTAATTAATTTTGTTTTATTAATATCTTGCTCTTTCAAGTGAATGTCTGAAATTCCTTTTTAAGTAAGCTTTCTAATGATAATGTATTTGTCAAATGATCTCAAGCAATTTGTACAATTTATATACAGATGACCCTTTTATATATCCAAGAAGTTTAATAATCCCATAAAAATAATAGCTATTTTTAGACAATGTGAGAAAACTGGCCTTGGTTGTTTTTAGCTAACACAATGACTTAATTAAATCACTCTCTATAGTCAATACAATTGATTGCCTTGCTGTAGAATATAATGAACAGACAAGCTAAGGCCAAAATAAATACAGATGTGTGTTTGTGTATGTGTGTATGCATGCACATGTATGTATGTACATGTGTATAGCCTGTATAGATACAATTATATAAAGACTTGTATTAAAATACACATGATTCTGTATTGATTTATCTCAAGATTTCACTCTACGATTAGTAATATGTTCTCTCAGTGACTCATGATATGATAAATGATTAATATTTAGTCCCTCAGCTATTTTTCAGAAATGTTATGCAGTAGTATGAAATGGATTGTCACCTATCAGATGAGGTTTGAATAGCATCTCACCTGTCCCTGGCTGAAAAACACTACTTAACATTCCACTATCAGTGATTCATTATTCAAGTTAATGCTTTTCCCGTATTAAAATAAGAATACCCCTTGTGGAAGAGAAACATGTTATGCATTATTCAGCGGTTAATAAAATTCTGTAAAAAGTATCTATCTTGTATTTCTGTATAATATCTCAATTTAGCTCAGGTTATTTATCAATATTCTCAGTTTATAGCAAGTAGCGATGGAAACCAGTATTTTGCAGGAGAGAGGCTAGAAACTCACAGGACTGGGTCACTATCTGTGGAAAATTGATGTGGATGGGGCATGACAGGAAGAGGGTGAGAGTACCCAGAGGCATGTACAATGGGACAATGGGTCAGGGATGGTGGTGGCAATTGAGTGTGCCGTGAAGACAGCTAGAGAGTAGGTTAAAAAGGTGGAAGAGAGCACACCGAGAGTTACAGTAGCATATTTAATTATTTAATCTAGTGCTATCCCTGCACGACTCCATACCATGACACATATGAAAGTAATAAACATAATTATTATTATTTATCTTCTGCTACTCTCCCTGAGAAACTGGTAGATTTGCAAATGTCTTCTAGCAGGAAAACATAACCATTAGAAAAGCTAATTAAAATCTGGGATTTTTATTTGGCTTGAAACCTTCACAGGTGTCAATCTTTCTTAATTAACAATGCAGTGAAAAAAAAATCCATATTACTCTAAGCAATTTCGTGCACTGTGAAATTACTTTTCTTCTCTCAAGAAAATGTGAAATCATTTATTTTTCTTAACACACATTCCAGACGTTTTAAAAGGGTATTTCCTTGAAGAGCCATAAAATCCGCAAAGGATTTCCCTGAAGTACTTTCACTTTAATAAACACCAAACAAACAAACAAAAAAGGCAAAACTATATGTGTGTGTGTGTGTGTGTGTGTAAGTATGTGTATGTGGCAAAATTAATATATGTCTTTATATAATTATGAATTTAATATAGATACACATGTAAACAGAAACAGAATCTATATGCATATATTTAATATATGCATATTATATATGATTTTGTTTTACTCATTTTAATATTACTTATTATTGCCGTCTTTTCAAAGAGCTCAGACAACTTCATGCACATCTAATTCATCCTCAGTATTTCTTCAATGTAAGTAATAAAGCATCATTAGTTTCATTTTTTTTTACATTGAGGAAAAGGAGAATCAAATAATAACACTAGAAAAAAAGCTCTTTTTCTGTTACTCAAAAAAGGTGCAGTTTTATACAGCAACCTTACAAAATCTGAAAAAAAATAATGTGATAGTTATATTTGGTGTGTGTGTGTGTGTGTGTTCGTGTGTTTGCATGCTTAATAACAGTAACTGATTTTTAATACACAAATGAATCCACATGGTCAAACATAAATTTTTTTTCTAGCTCTTTCAAATTATTAGCCATTAAAGGTAAAATAATTATGTTAGTGACATCACATTTATTTTCCATTGTTTATTACTTTTATATATGTAAGTAAAGTTTCTATGTAAAACAATTAGTGGCAAAGCAGAGAAAATGCTCTTCCCTCTCATTTTCTGTGAAGAAAAGATAGTTTATATGACTTCGCCAATAACTCATATGATAAATGAAGTCAAGAAAAGCTCTGTTCAGGTGTGATGAGGTATAACTAAGAGCTTAACAATAAATAACAATGTAATAGACAACTGATATGTATGCTATGGCTAGGAAATGAAGATAATGAAGATGATAATTAATATCATTAGCATTTACTGAGATATTACTATAGAACGTAATTGGCCTACCTCAACTAATTTAAATTGTGTTGTGTCTGGTAAAACTAGCAGTGACCACATTGTTTTTAAAAACAAAACCCTTAATAGCCCATATGAAGTTCTTTAAAACAGGTCTGGAGTCTTCTGATTCAAGATTTTAACAAGACTGATTTTTAATGTGTACTTTGTTAAACTTTTTTTGTGAATTTTAATGCAAAGTTTCAAATTATCTAAATACCAATTACCTAGTTTCACTATAAGAAATATTTTTTATCCTACTAATGGTTGACTATTTTATTTAGTATTTTATCTTTGTAGCTCAAACTAACTTACTTTATAAATACTGCCCTGAGTAATCTACTAAAATACTAACAGATCTATTATAAATTGTAATGTATTGAAAAATTAAAAGACATTATCATTGGTATTGACTTTCTCCCTGAAGATATGGCACAGCCAGGTGTTCCTGGCATACTGGCTGAAAGATTTCTTTTCTAGTCGTCATAATTGGCCATTCTCATGCCTATGTATGAATACTACTTCCAGTGATGTTTCTTTTGATGTCTTTGATATGAAATAACACTCCATTTCTATATAATAGCCATTTTAGTTCCTCAGAACACGTGCTACATATCAACAGCTGAATTACAAATGGATTCTCCACCTAAACCTAGATAATAAATAGATGTCTTTCTGTAATACCTTTAATGAAAGATTTCCAAGAGCAATTAATAATGTAATGCTCAAGAAGATAAGTGACTGTAATCTAGCAGATGGAATGTACAATTATTCTTATTCCATTTGTGATTGACTTGGCTGGAGATCTTTATTAGTAAGACTGTTCCATCTTTTCAACATGTTATTAATGTCTTAAATATGGAATATTTTTCTGAGAGTACCAATAAATAGGAAATATGAACACTGAAACCTGTGATAAGAACAAAAGAATAAACAACAAATTCTACCTGTGTAAACAATTTATTCAACTTGTTTGTTGATGGGTTTGGGTCTGTGACATATGTGGTATGAAATACATGGTATGGGGGGTGGGAGAAAGAGAGAGAAGGAGAGAATGAGCATTACATGCACACTTCAAGAATAATTAGCTAATACCAATTGGACATATTGAGGAATGACGATAATGACAGAAGTGTGCATAATGACAACATCTTCTTGGTCTCTAAAATGTCCTCGCAAATGTACAAAATCTTATAAAAGTATATAAATATATGTGCAAAGTGCAAATATATGATTACATAAAACAGCATGAAAATAAGACAGAAATTAAATTTTTTGCATGTTTATTTTGGCCAGAGCTTCACTATTAAGTAACAGAAAAGGATAAAGAATAAAAGTGTACAGAAATCAGCTTCTGTATGTAAAAGGGCAGAGATACCAGCAAGTCATGTCTGTTGTGATAATATGTTATGTGACAGTGTTTTCTGAACCAAAACACAAATCTCTTCAGTAGACCCTAATACTTCCCCTAACAATTCTAGGCTCCTGGAGGCTATGGGATCCCTAACCATCTTTTCTCACTGAGCTTTGAGGTTAGATTTTTAGACGGTGTTCATGTTCTTCTAATCAGAATTTCTGCTTCCTTCCTCTATTGCCAAAGCACTTTTTTCATGCCCTTATTACTGCACTCTTAATGTAAATGCCTTACTAAATTATAAGATAAGAAAGTTGGCTGTTACAAGTTGCAGTGATAATTGTTTTCTTTTTCAATTGAGGAAACTGAGGTCCTAGACCAAAAATTCAATAAAAAATACTGAGTAAACCAGGTTAAAAAAAAAAACTAAACAATAAAATTATTGAAATACTCTGAATTTCTAGATTAATCATTTCTCCCTTTGTGTAAAACAACATCTGTATTTTTTTTCATTTTCAGTCAAAAATTGCTACCCCAGTTAGAGAGTTAGAGATAACACAATTTTTACTTGCCTGGTGATTTTACAAGTATTTGTAAAATGAAAATTTTCCTGTAAATTGTTAATGGAAAAATCCGGAGAAAACCCAGTAATTTAATAACATTGTTATAGTCAAACAAAAGTTTGCCTCTGAACTGATATTTTTAAGCATTGGGTTGAAGCTTCATATATTACCTTCTATAGAAAAATAGCCTGTTGCCTGGCAAGAGTGGCACCATCTTGAAGCAAAACTGCCGTGATGACTGTGTTTTGACCCCCACACACCAATGTGTTCTGCAGTAAGGTCTTTAAACAATGCCTGTAGCATAGATAAACCCTCATAAAGATGCTTACTTAACCTCCCAAATGGTCACAAATCTTGGCATGAAAGCCTGAATACCTCACCAGCTGCACATGTTTTACCTTAAAAACTTGCTATATAAAGAATACTTTCTGGAGGGCAGGTGCCAGGTTTCACCATCTGGTGGCTACCTGAGACATAGCTTCTATTTTAAAGCCCCTATTTTATGTTTCCTTCTGAGAAATGGGATTTGTTAGCCTCTTTCTTTGGCCTCTCAGCTCCCTCAGCCTTTTGCAGGTAGGTTTGCATAGACCTGCTCACTGTGGAACACCTTCTATCTACTACTTTGATTTATTAACTTAGATCCCAGCTTTTTTTTTCTCAAAGGGTTTTAAATGGCATTCGGATTAAGGAATCTTGAATTTTAAAGATAGAAAATTAAAGAAACATTTGCCTTGTATCCTTTCTTGGGCTATCTAAAAATCAAAACAGAAAATGTGAGGGACACTCTTATCTTACAGTGAAGAACTTCCCTCACTTTCTCTTTCTGTCTTGTAGCCACTGATCTTATACAGAATTCTCATGTCACAGAGCCACCCAAAGGAAGTAGATTACTCTATGGAGAGACAATAACCTCTTGTGAATATGTTAGAAACCTGAGAAAGCCTCCCACATTTATAGAAATGATGATTCTGAAGATAATATAAACATGATAATCAGGGAAAATGCAGAAATTATAATATAAATTACTAACATTAAAGAATGGAGTTGAGATGAAAAATATTATAAGTTGATAATCTTTATTTTTGTGGTTATGAATTAAAATATATTTTTCAAAACTGAGAAGTTCAATAATGAAGATACATTAAAGTTTAAATATGTGATATTGTTCATACTGGTTGGGTGATAAATGCAGCCTAGCATTAGAGGATTAAGTATATGGTCTTCTCTCTGTATACTAGACTTCAAGGTCCAGTAACTAAAATCTCCTATAAGAGCAGAGACTGTATCTACCTTGTTCAGAATTATATCTGCAATGCCTAGCCTTTCATATATATATAAAGCATACATGTAGTTTTCAATCCATATTTGTTGAATGAATTAAATAGTCCCTTCAGCCATTTTTCTTCTTAGCATCCCCCATCTTTCATCCACCCCATCAACTCCTACTCCACCCCGCCTCCACTTCCAGGAGCCCATTTTTCAATCAACCTAAACTTCTGCCTCCATGGTAACTTTTCTCTGATGGATATTGCTAAGGATTATTTGAAATCCTTCCTAAAAGTGTGAATTTGGGTCAGTATCAACTCCTGGTCTCTAATCTCAACCAGAAAGTCTTTGCAACAATCCCAGGGAACCTTTTTCCTCCAGAGGCTGTTTCAAATATTTGGCATTTCTCTCCCTGATAACCAAAAACCCTCACTCTCAAGAGGCAGATACCTCCAATGTCTTCACAGGAAAAAATAGACGTAAGTGTAGAACTCTTTAACGCCTCAAACAACACCATAAGTGCTTTCTTACTTTCATCCATCTAAATTCCTTCTTACCTATTATGATTCCAAAGCAAAACAAAACAAGAAAAGCAAAGAAGCGTCAGCTAACCAATTTTGCTGTACAATTTCCCCCTGGCCAGCTAACATGTTTCTACAGATAAGTGTTTGGAAATAATTTGCTAAATTTATTTGCTACATTTACTTCTCATTTACCCCATGGTTCTTCGAAAGTACCCTCTTTGTTCCTATTAGAAAATTCCAGTCAAGAAGACTTTTTGGACTTTATCTTAACATCTCCATTGTCTTCGGCATCAATTGAGTTTGTTTTCTTTTCTATTCTTTTTCCTTTTTCTTTTTGTCTTGAGTTGCTTTGCATTTTTGATTTTGGTGACTGAATACATTACAGCTTTTCTTCCTACTTTTCTGGAATCCCATGTCCTTTATATGTAGTGTTCCCCTTACATGTGTACTTAGCAGTCTCTTATCACTTGATATACTTAGGGTAAGCATTCTTATCCACAGTAATGACTTTATTCACCACCTGTAAGTTGATCACTCGCAAGGTCAATTTGAGCTATAGGCCAGCACCCTTTGCCTCCCAGCAGATTCACTTAGATATCTGATATGGTTTGGCGGTGTCCCCACCCAAATCTCATCTCATCTTGAATTGTAGTTCTCATAATCCCCCCATGTCATGGGTGGCAGTCAGTGGGAGGTAATTGAGTCATGGTGGTGGTTACCCCCATGCTGCTGTTCTCATGATAGTGAGTGAGTTCTCATGAGATTTGATGGTTTTGTAAAGGGCTTTTCCCCCTTTTGCTTGGCACTTCTCCTGGCTGACACCATGTGAAGGAAGACTTGTTTGCTTCCCCTTCCACCATGATTGTAAGTTGCCTGAGGCCTCCCCAGCCCTACAGAACTGTGAGTCAATTAAACCTCTTTCCTTTATAAATTATCCAGTCGGGTATGTCTTTATTAGCAGCGTGAGAATGGACTAATACAATGTCTCACAGGCAATGTAGCAAACTGTTCAAAAACAACCTCATTTCCCTGCTCTAAATCTGTTTCTTTTTGCCTCTGGCTATTTTCAGTTGATAACAGTACACAATCCAGGAAACAGGTTGAATTTCCCTAGTTCCTTACTTCCTTTATCTAGCCAACAAATCATGTTGATTCTGTCTACAAACTATCACTTGCATTATGAATCCACCTAGTTTTAATATTCTCACTGTTGCTACCTTAGTTTAGACCCTCACCTTCTCACGTTTGGATTTGTATAACAGCCTCCTAGCTGGATTCCTTCCTTCTAGTTTTACTTTCCTTTAATCCATTATTTACACGCTGCCAGAGTGAGCTTTTGAAAACGCAAATCTAATCATGTATTTTCCCTGCTTGGAAGTCTTATAATGACTCCCATAGCTTTCATGATAAAGTCAAACTCCTTAGCATGGCATATATGGTATTTTATGACCTTGGCATCTGTTTACTTCTTCAATTGCACTTCTTTTTATTCAATGACTTTCCAATATTGAACAAAGACCATTTACAAAAAGGATACATCTACTCTAGACTGTGCATGTATCCCAACCCTCTATTTCGGAGGTGGCTTTCATTCATCTTTCAAAATCCAATTCAGAAGATACCTTATGCAGGGAGGCAAGTATCTTGATTCTACCCCAGTGTTGAATACTACCACTAATACCTTGCATGACAATATAATATGAAATACAATATTTCATATTCTATTTCTGCTCTGCAGTTTGATTACTTCAATACAAGATATGGAGAGTATATATTGTGGCTTATTTTTCCTTCTTATATTCACTAAATGCTTAATGAACAGATGAAAGAATGGAGAATAAGGATAGGCATAGTAGTTCTATTTATAGGGTTTTTAGTGAGTTATAGGCGGCATTTTTAATCCCATCTCACTCTAACATTTACTATTTGTGGGACCTTACATAGTTACACAGTCTCCTGAAGTTTCAGTTATTTCATGGAAATACTACATAGTTCCTAACACCTAGTGAAAGATAAAATGAGGTAATTCAAAGAAAGTACCTATTACAGTGCTTTAAACATGCTAGCTCCTATTATCCTCAGCGACAAGTGGCCACATGGACAGGTATTTTTTATTCTACTCTAAAGAGAAGTAGAATCAATGGGTGGTATGAGTACATATACTTTTCCCAATATAGGAAAAATCTTTATATAAATTTTAAGTGTTCTATTATCAAATAGCTGTCTTGTGAAGTAATACAAATGTATAAGGGAGAGACACAGTTTAGTATCATAGTGTATTCAAAACAGGACAAAAATTTCAATGGGCATGAAATTTAATCTGATTCAAAATTTGAATAATCTAAAAATGATCGGAATTATGACTTATAAGCAATATAATATCTAGAAAAAGAGCAACATTCATTCAATTTATACTATGATTGTTGAACTATATCTAGAGTTTGCAATCAACTTGAAATATTGTTTAAATGAGAAAAGAGAAGAAACATGAGGATGGTAAGGTTATAAAAACCAGTGAGATGAAGAATAGTAAAATGGAACCAGGGGAGTTTAGTTTGGACAGAGAAAGGTGACAAGTAGATATTACAGCTGCTTTCAAAAACTGTAATCCAGTGTGTGGCCTTAGAGGATGCAGTTTCACTCCTCGCTTACTGATTTATAAGCAATGTGAACTTGAAGAGGGATTTAGCTTATCTGAATTTAAGTGTCTGTGTTTTTACAAGAGGAAAACAATAAATATCTCTAAAGTTGTTGGGAAGATAGAATTAGATAATTGTATATAAAGTTATTAGCTTGGTGACTGGCATTTAAGGGATGAATAAAGTGTAGAAACGATTTTTAACAAGTTTAAGCTTTTTTTTCTATTGAACTATAAAGTCACAGTCAAAAAAGAGGTACCAGCTTAATATTAGACAATTGCTACAGGTAAATATGGGTAGTCAGGTATAAGTTTCCTTTTATTGGATCTCAATAATCACTTCCTCAAGAAAGTCTTCCTTAAAATATCAGTTACTTGTACTTTTCCTTCATGATACAACAACCCAGCTATTGTTTCATATTTATAAAGTGTATCTCTCCCATTTAAGTATAATATTCCATGAGGGAAAGAATTATTCTAACTTTATTCTACTATTGCATTACCAGAATCTAACACTTGAATGTTTGAAACAGGATAACACTTATATACTATGTCTTAAAAGTACAATCAAAGGCGTCGCAAATAAATTAATACAATCACATTGAAATAATATTTTTTGAATTAAGGAATGGCTGAAAGATAATGTCGAAGATACTGCAGAGAGATTTTAAAAATTCGATAGTGGTTAGACAAATTACCAACTCAAGTTTTTTCTCTTGCCAAGATTCATTTAATCTTGAGTGTACACCTATCCTTGGAAATTTCTGGTAAGACTTGCTGTACATATATCAGAAATCATTTTTTAAAAAAATTACTCACTATTCACTACTTAGAAGGTTTGATTAGGTGGTCTTTAAGTCACCTTCTAACATGAAGATCCAGTGAACTATTTCATGATTATATTTAGTTATGAATTGAAAAAAAGATTATATATAAAAGTGCAAGAACAGCCTCTATCAAAGAGCAAATCTGTTCTCGGGTTTAAATTAAGGTCCAATTTTTTTCCTTTGCTGACCTGATTGGTTTGTAGATATAATAATTATTAGAATAGCCTTTTCTTTATACAGAATGGCTTCTTAGTAAGTGGTTACCTAAGTAAGTTATTTCACAAATGATAAATCTACTAAAAATGTTGCATTAAGTCAGAAGTAGGGGGTAGCCAATTTGCTTTCCAGCTTTCAGTATCTTCGTTTATTTTCTCTCTTATCAAGAGAGCGGATAATACTGCAAGAGAGGCTCAGCATAGCTATTGATTGGACTTCCTTGAGACACACTACAATTCTGTAAGAATCCCAGGAGGAGGAACATAAATAGGCAGCCTTTGTTCCCACAGCCTCCAATCCCCACTCCCCAGACACACCCCTCTTCCATGCCTCATAACACTGGCATTTCTAAATAAAAGGTGTCATGCTATCACAAAGGAATGTACATGTGGATTCCTGAGTTCTAGTACACCTCTAGGCTCAAATGTGCCTTGTTGGTAAGAATAGAAAGAGGTAGCACATGCAAATGAGTTGGAAGAAAACTATAAGGATAGAAAGAGGCAGCACATGCAAATGAGTTGGAAGAAAACTATTTGGCTGCCACAGAAACAATTGCATGTGTGATTACAGAGGTGTCCTGGAAAATCCAAGTTCAGAAAAACATCTCATATTCATGGGTTAGATCGTACATGGTTTCTCAAACTCAGCACTATTGACAATTTGGGCTAGATAATTCATTTTTATGGACTATCCTATGCACTGTAACATATTTAACAGCATGCCCAGCCTCTACACACTAGATATGAGTAGTACTTTACTCCTAGTTATGACAACAAAAAGTCTCTCTCTGTAAAATTCCCTAGGGGGCAAAATAAGTAAATTGGGAACTACTGGGTTAGAGTGATGGAGGAAATTCCCTGAGACTAGGGTAGTTTTCTGATATTAAAGCCATAAGAGGCTTAATTAAGCAGGGTCTGGGAGATAGATACAAAATGTGTCTCAAGTTTTCACTCTAGGACAGGGGTCCCCAACCCCAGGGCAGTGAACAAGTACCTCTTTGTGGCCTGTTGAGAACTGGGCTACACAGCAGGAGGTGAACAGTGGGAGACCCAGCATTAGCACCTGAGCTCTGCCTTCTGTCAGATCAGCAACTACATTAGATTCTCATAGGAGCAAGAACCCTGTTGTGAACTGAGCATATGAGGGATCTAGGTTGTGCGCTTCTTATGAGAATCTAACTAATTCCTGATGATCTGAGGTGGAACAATTTCATCCCAAAACCGTCCCTGCCCTACCATAGTCAATGGAAAAATTATGTTCCATGAAAGAAGTCCCAGGTGCTAAAAAGGTTGGGGACTGCTGCTCTAGGTGCTCTCCCTGAAGGGTGATTACCTTTTATAACAGAATGTATCAGACCTATGGAATCAAAGATTAAATGATAAGTAGATATCATAGAATCTGATAATAAGTCTTACTTCTGACACCCTCCTCCCCACCAAAGGCAAAATAAGGATAGGAATGTGTTTAAATATTATATACACCCTGACTTTAAGTTAGCAAATCTGTTACAATTTAATAATATAAAGATTTCTTCTCCATAACAATGGAAAAATGTGAAAGTTAACATATTCAATTTTTTTTCTGACCAGGATTTTTTGACATGTGCATGGCTTTCTGCTTGTATGTAGGTGTGAATATCTGTGTCTATGTGGATTTTATATACCTTTGAAAATGAGAATGGTGCCTGTTAATTTCAAGATTTTTATTTTTAACATTACCACTAAGTTATTTTGTTTATTTGTTTCTGCTAGGTTTCTATCATGAGGTGTCAAGTGGATTAGATTAATATATTTAATTTAATAGGATTTGATTAATATATTTAACTTATTGCAACTGCATTTGCTTCTGTCGAATAACAAGATAAACTTTGTTAAGGGTAGTTTGTAAATACCCTGTATCCGAAATACTACATGATAAGCACTTTGCAATTTAACTCCACATGCTACTCTTTTCCATATGTGCTTTATTACTCTCTCAAGGAGTTCAATACTAGACATGAATTATCTGCAAAAGGCTAACCAGTAAGGAAAATTAAACTGACAAACAAAGGCACTGAAGCATTAAACAATCAGAAGAGTTTAGAATCTTCTTTCTTTTAGTGTGATTTTTGTAAATGATTTCAGATTTTTTCATATCCAATTTCCCAGGGGGTTTGTGTCTTCCTTACACAGTAACTTACAAAATTCTGCTTATAATATTCTTTTATGCATTCAAAATGCCCTTGACTAATGCAAAAAAAAATGCCCTTTAATTCATTTTTGCTATGGCTACTGTAGGGGGAAAGAATATTAACTGAGATGGAATTAGGCTACAATCTGCATAGATTATATATTTTGTAGGTGATTTTGTACATGGAACATGTGATTCATATTTTATAATTTATTGCTTAACAATAAAATTCATTTCATTGTTACAAAAGGGAGATATATTTAAATTCAATTTCCCTTGGATCCATTTACCCATTTGGCCACTCAGAGACAGAATCAGAAGGTAAATTGCCACAGCACTTCTCTATTATGACCTGGAGTAGCATAAGCAATTGACCCTCTTGAATGTAAGAGGCACAGCAGCACACTTTGTGAATTATTTCTTCTTTGTATTATTGGTTCAGCATTTCTCTGCAAAGTTCAATGAGGTTCATTAGCTTATCTAAAGAGAATGGGACCGGTACTTTTGAGACAGCTTCTCTCTGTGACTTTTCTAATTAAATCCCTTCCATCAGATGAAGAGTTGCCCTTTTTACTTGACAAACATTTGTTCTAATTTGGCCTTGCTTGATTTTTCAGTGCTTTTACGTCCCTCTCCCCCCTCTATACCCACTAGCATCTGTTAGTCAGAAGATCACTCTGGCTGACATTTACTCTGAATGCGCTTGCTTATTAAAATATTTCAATGTTAGACAAGCTTATAAGTTGAAAAATACAATACAGTTCTGGAGCACTGGTGAAGCTCATCTTAAAGGAATGTTTTGTTGTACTGATGCATCTTTCTTAGTTTTTATGAGATAAGATTGAAGATATTCACTCATAGATTTAGAGTCTGTGGGAAGTAAAGATACATGTTTTGTAACGTAAACTAAATCCTCTCCCTTAATTTTATCTCTTAAGAGTAAGAATTCCATGTTGCCTTGGTAAACAGGGAGTCAACTTATGACTAAAATAAAAATAATATGAAGCAACAGACTGGTCATATTTGCAAGTAAAACTAAATGGTCAGTGCTGGTATCTCCCTGACTTTAGACAGAATGTGACTACTGAAAGAGTTGACAACTCAAAAATACTTAAATTACAAGAATGTTTCACAAGCCTTGAAAACACTAGTAAAAGCCCCCACGTATCTGGCTGTGTGCTGACTAATCCTTTAGGAAGACTCTTCTTCATAGACAAAATGATGATGTGTAAGGTTAAGTGCTCACCTAGGAGCAAGTGAAGGTCAGGGCCCTGAGTATTCACCCTGGACTTCAGAAAGGCATGCTCTGTCAGTGACAAGCCTTGCTACATTCAGTTTATTCTCCTATTTTCTTTAACACTATCCAGTGCTATTAACTTGCCAGCCATGTAGTCTGTAAGTAATAGGTTGCAATAGCAGCTGAAATTGACAAGTGCTTAGCCCACAGCATGGATTGAATGTAATTCATAGGGTTCCTGAGTTAATTTCCAATACCTATTTCATCAAGGCAGACAGATAGATGGCTGCCAGCATCTTTTGGCTTTATCTGTAAATCCCTATGTCTTTTACTGCCATCATTTCGTTTTTTATACATTCCATCCCTTGCATTTGCTCCTCCCCATTTCCATAACTTCAAATGGAGCTTCTCTCTAGGCACATCAGTCATTTAGGTTCGAGGCCCTTGCAGCTAAATGCAAGACCTTCAAATGTTATTGAAGTGCATTTTTCCATGTGGCCCTGTTTAAAGTGATGTTTCTTTAGGGACTGCTGGGTGAAATATGCAGTTATCTGGGAGAGTAAATCTAAGATGTTGGACAGATGGTGAAGCGTCAGTGCATCCACAGAAACGCATTTCATTTTTATACAGGGGACGCTCTCAATCAATTTTGGCTTGAGAAAACAGTTGCTTGTATTGCATCAATGGCTTTTTTATTTTTTTGTCTTTAACAGATCAATAGTGAAGCTTATAATTCTCTAATAGATTTTTAAATAAATTCATGAATAAAATGAACCCAGAAAAATTCAAAAAGAAAAAAATCGTAAAAGATTAAGAACTTATTGAAAATGGAACAAAGGTTGCCACTAAAAGATCAAATGGAATGACTATTGGTAAAACACAAAACTCATTTACTCTATAGGACATGAGAAGATCCATTTCTCACCTTAAGTGTGTTTTGGGAACAACAATCTTTTACTGAAGTTCTTATTTAAACTTCGCAGAATGACTGTTTTTTTATTGAAGGTTTAAAGCCTCAATTTTTGCTACATATATTTGAGATTTGTAAATCACCCATCTCAATCTTCTGCTGCTTCCTTGAGTCCTATTCTGGCTACTACTACCCTCAAATCATTCTGCTTTCATTTAGCATTTGGAAAAGAATGCTTGGAATACTGGATATTTTATCTGTTGTCAAACTGCCTTTTGAAATTTTTCATATGAGAATCCAACAATATTTTGGTGTATATTATTCATTCATGGGAAATATACCAGACAGTGTCTTCTACAGTTATGATTTACTATTTAGCACATGCTAAACAAGTTAAGTGTAAACTGATTTCCTCAATGTAAAGTATAATCAAACGTGGAAAAATCATACCGGAGAAGGGCAAATTAAATCATGTGGATTATTCAAAGGTAGACTTATTTCTTCAGAAGTATGAACTTTCAACAAGCATATGGAGATTTTCCCAAAGCTCTGTTTCTGTATTTCAAAAATGACAGACATTTTACAAATGGTTGCTTGATGATGCTGGAATTCCATTGAGACTTGCCTACAAGGTGAAAAATTATTTTGGTAAAAGAATCGAGTCCTAGAGATGAATCGAGTCCTAGCTTAATGGCATAGGCTCTGGAGCAGAGTTGGCAAGTTTTTTGTTATTGTTGTTTTCTGTAAAGGACCAGTTATTAAATCTTTTTGGTTTTGTGCATCCTATGGTCTCTGTTGCAGCTACTCAACTCTGCTCTCGTAGTACAAAAGCAGCCACAGGCAATACATAAACACGTAGCCATGGATGAATTCCAATAAAACTTTATTTATAAAAGCAAGTGGGGCAATATATTTACAGCGCTCTGCTCTAAATAACAAATTTAGAGCCACATTGGCCTGGGATTGAATTATAACTCTCTCATTGACCAATTGTGTGACTAAGTGTGTTATTCAACCCATCTGCTTATCAACGTCTTCTTCCATACTTGAGGATAAGTGCAAAAGAACTTTTAAATAAGATAGTATCCTTATGTTTGTAATATGTTGTTAGTGTTTAATAAATGGAAAGTATTGGGGCTAGAAGATGGCAGCACTAACTCATTTCAAAAATGTCAAGGCGTCCCCACAGAGGAATGGGTCAGAACAGCACATGCAGGGGAAACCATTTGGATTTGCCAATCATTGTCTTTGGAGGCAAGGGAAAAGGTTTTCGCAAAATCCAGCATCCCCCATTTAAGGTTTCTAGAATTCTTTCCTGAGACGACAGTAGGGCTCCAAATTGCTGTAGAAAGAATATAGTAAAATTTTACACACTCACAGTAATTGAGATGGAAACTCTTCTGGATCATTGAAAAGTTTGAATTATATGATGCTTTTTATAGAAAGCAGTTTTGTTGTTTTCAAGTACATACAGTAATTGGCAAAACATCCAAGAAAGTATTGCCAAGTAGACTTCCTGCTGGCATGTTTAAGTGAAAAGCTGAGACTCATTTAAAATTAGCATATTATTATATGTGTATGGAAATAGCCCAAATAAAATTCTTGAAAACAGTTTGTTTTCTTAGGCAGGTTAGATATTCTTTTTAATTTATTATATGAAAAAAACCCAAACAAATAAACAAAACCAGGCAGTTTATGGTCATTGTGCTTTTTCAACAGGATTCTTTTATCTACTTCTGCACTTTAACTTTCTATCGCTTGAAGTAATGGTTAGAAACCATGGCCTCAGAATCCCAGCATTTCTCTGAGATGTTGGCCTTTCTTGCCTCATTGGTACCTTGAATTCCTCCACGTAGTTCAAAATAGACTGGGATAGTTAATCATTTTAAATTAAGAACTAATTCATTCTACAGTGTGAGGCAGTTCATAATAAAATTTGCATGCATGTAGGGTATTATCTTAAAAACTTACCTGAGTGTAGGTTTAAGACACTACATGAATCCTTAAAGGTGGCCATTCTTGCCATGCCTCTTACCATTTATTAATTTCTTTCTATGAGCATTCCTTTTTTAGGTAATAAGTCTAGGTAACAAGTTTCCTGCTTTTGGTCCTGATTACATGCTTGATTTTTTTTTCTTTTAAGCCCTTTAAAAGCTTTAAATAAATGGAGTCCTCCATTCATTCCACATTTTTTTATTTGGTTGAATAAAATTGCTGAGTCAGTATTGTGTCTGGCATTATCCTAGGCACTGAAAAACAAAGATGAATGGCCAATTTATTCCCAGTGAGGTCTTTCCTTGGAGACTTGGGTTGTATCATTGTTAGCCTTCAGGACTCCTCTGTTGCTGCTTTAATCTGAGGTGTGGGACACAGATAGCTCTCAGCAGTGTGCTCCATAGTCCCTGCCATAGTATATATAGTTTGCTCCCTGTTTCCCATCAAAAGTAGACAACAGTTTCACCAGTTCTACTGTGAGGTTGCAACTGCCCTTCCAGTAGCCACTTATGACAGCAAATAGGACAGTTTCTTTTGGACTTTCACACTGTAAATTTTTGACAATCAGAATTTTTCTTTTCTTGAGCATCCTTCTCTCAGTTTATTCATTTTGAGTTTTTAGCCAGTTTTCTTCTCTTTTGTCTTTGTAAGGAAGTCTATTCCTAATGTAATTTCTCATTTCATCCTAGACCATACTGTCTTGCTTTTAATTGTACACTTCTCTTTTATGTGGCAACATTTTACTTAATGTCTATCTCCCAAATAAGCAGGTTTTCCAACACAACTTTGAGATGCTAACCCTGTAATCATGGTTATGAGTTACTGTTCTTCATAAGGAAGCTCATAACTCAAATACACATTCATGGAGTAATACACGCATACCTTAGGATAGTATGGGTTCTGTTGCAGGCAACTGCAATAAAGCGAATATGGCAACAGTGAGTCACATTAATTGTTAGGGTTTCCCAGTGCATATAAAAGTTATACTATTCTGTAGTTTATTAAGTGTACAACAGTGTTATGTGTAAGAAACAATGTACATACCTTAATTAAAAAATACTTTATTGCTAAAAAATGCTAACAATCATCTGAACCTTCAGCCAGTTGTAATCTTATTGCTTGTGGAGGGACTTGTCTCAACATTGACGGCTGCTGACTGATCAGCACAGTGTTGTTGAAGTTTGGGGTGGCTGGGACAATTTCTTAAAATAAGGCAATAGTGAAGTTTGCCATGTTGGTTGACTCTTCCTTTCCTTTCTCAGTAACATGAGATGCTGTTTGATAGCACGTTACCCACAGTAGAACTTCTTTCAACATTGGAGTTAATCCTATCAAACCCTGCCACTGCTTTATCAAGTAAGGTTATGTAACATTCCAATTTTTTTGTTATCACTTCCACAATGTTCACAGCATTTTCACTAGGACTAGATTTCTTCTCAAGAAACCACTTTCTTTGCTCATCTCTAGCAAGCAACTCCTCATCTATTCAAGTTGTATTGTGAGATTGCGGTAATTCAGTCACATCTCCAAGGCTCCAATTCTAATTGCAGTTATCTTGCTATTTCCACCACATGTGCATTTCCTTCCTCCACTAAAGTCTTGAAATCCTCAAAGTCATCCATGAGGGTTGGTATCAGCTTCTTCCAAACTCCTGTTAGTGTTGATATTTTGACCTCCTCTTATAAACCACAAATGTTAATGGCATCTAGAAAGGTGAATTATTCCCAGAAGGTTTTCAATTTACTTTGCCCATACTCATCAGAAGAATCAAAGTCTATGGCAGCTATAGCCTTATAAAATGTATTTCTTAAAGAACAAGAGTTAAAATCCGAAATAAAAAATTTGATCCATGGGCTGCAGAATGCATGTTGTGTTAACAGGCATGAAAACAATGTTAATCTTTTTGTACATCTCCATCAGAGGTCTTGGGTGACCAAGTACATTGACAATGAACAGTAATATTTGCAAATTTGCAAAGAGGTTTTTTAATTTTGTTTTGTTTTTGTTTTTGTTCTTTTTTCCTGAGCCATATATCTCAACAGTGGGCTTAAAATATGCAGTAAACAGGCCAGGCATGGTGGCTCATGCCTGTAATCTCAGCACTTTGGGAGGCAGAGGCGGGTGGATCACAAGGTCAGGAGTTCGAGACCAGCCTGGCCAACATAGGGAAACCCCGTCTCTACTAAAAATACAAAAGTTAGTTGGGCATGGTGGCATGTGCCTGTAGTCCCAGCTACTCAGGAGACTGAGGCAGGAAAATCACTTGAACCCGGGAGGTGGAGGTTGCAGTGAGCCAAGATTGCACCACTGCACTCCAGCTTGGGCAACAGAGTGAGATTTCATCTCAAAAAAAAAAAAAAATGCAGTAAACTAATGTGTTGTCATCCAGACTTTGTTGTTTCATTTATAGAACACAGGCAAAGTAGTTTCAGCATAATTTTCAAGGGCCCTAGGATTTTCCAAATGGTAAATGAATATTAGCTTCAACTTAAAGTCACCGTCTGCATTAGCCTCTAACAAGAGAGTCAGCCTGTCTTTTGAAGATATGAATCTAGGCATTGACTTTTCTTCCCTAGCTATGAAAGTCCTAGACAGCATCTTCTTCCAATGCAAGTCTCTTTCAGCTACACTGAAAATCTGCTGTTTAGTGCAGCCACCTTCAATGATCTTAGCTAGATCTTCTGGCTAATTTGCTGTAGCTTCTACATGAGCACCTTCTACACTTGCTGCTTCACCTGGCACTTTTATGTTATGGAGATGGCTACTTTCCTTAAACCTAGTGAGCCAGCCTCTACTAGCTTCCAACTTTTCTTTTGCTGTTTCCTCTCCTCTTTCAGTCTTCATTAGGCTTTAGCTTAAGGAGTGTCATGGCTGCTTTGATCTTCTATTCAAACCACTCAAACTTTCTTCATGTCAGCAGTAAGTCTCTTCCCCTTTCTTATCATTCTTGTGTTCACTGGAGTAGCACTTTTAATTTCCTTCAATAACTTTTCCTTTCATTCACAACTTAGTTGCTTGACACAAAAGGCCTAGCTTTCTGTTTATCTTGCCTTTCCACAAACCTTCTTCACTAAGATTAATCATTTCTAGCTTTTGATTTAAAGTGAAAGACATTCTATTCTTTCTCTCACTTGAACACTTATAGGTCATTGTAGAGTTATTAATTGTCCTCATTTAAATACTTTTGTGTCTCAGGAAATAGGATGGCCCAAGGAAGAAAGACAGATGAGCAAACTGCTGGTGGGTGGAGCAGTCAGAACACATAAATCAATTAAATTTGCCATCTTAAATGGGTATGGTTTATGGAGCCCCCAAAACAATTACAATAGTGACATCAAAGATCAGTGACCATAGGTCACCACAACAGATATAATAGTAAAGAAAAATTATGAAATATGAGAATTGCCACAATGTGACACAGAGACACAAAGTGAATACAAGATGTTGGAAAAATTGTACCAATAGACTTGCTCTATGCAGGATTGTCACATAGTCAATTTGGAAAAAGATGCAGTATTTACACAGTGCAATAAAATGAAGTATGACTGCATAGATGTCAGTCTACAAGTTGCCTCTAGAGAGTTGGTTTAGAGTAAAACTTTTTCAGTTAGCATTCTAGGTTGTGATTAGTATAAATGCCAACTCAAACTGGCTTAACCAAAAAAGGGAATGTTTTTGATTCATATGAATTCATGTGATTTAGTGGCATCAGATCCAAACAGATTAATTGATCAAATGATGCCTTCAGGGCTCAATTTCACTGCCACTTTGTTAGGCTTGACTTTCCTCCCTGTGTCCTGTGTTGGTTTCCTTTTCATGCTATACATAGTGATGAGATAGATGCTGCAGTTTCCATTTTATTCTCTCTTGGCTCTAGTTTAGAGGAACAGAACAAACATCACTTCAAGATATTCCAGTAAAGTCCCCACGTTTAACAATAAATGAGCCTCATGTGGCCATTTTTAAATGAATCTCTGAAACTAGATAAAAAGAACACACAGAATGACCTAAGCCTAGATTGGCTTCCATTCAAAGACACAAACTGAGAACTGGAGACAGGTGTTGCTAAACTGAGATCATGGGCTCTAAAGAAAAAATAGAGTAAATGCATGCTGGCCATTAGCTCCCAAATGGTAAGTACCCATTAGAAGAAATCTGGCTTTAAAATCAGAAGCTATTATTTAGTGTCTTAGTTACCAAACCTAATAGTGACTGAGGAACTTTGGCAAATGATTCAACCTCTCTGAACCTTAATTTTTTTTCAATTTGAAATCTGAGTAAAGACATTTGCATGATTGCATTGTTTTAGGTAATTAACACAATTACATGCATGGAACTACTGTACTGATAGACATATAAATTTAGTAGTAGTTATTGTACTGGTAGTGCCAACAGGACTGAAATAATTATTTTTCTGGAATAGAAAGAAGACCCAAGTTGCAGGTTTCCACTGCAAATATAGGTAAGGGGAAGAGCAGTATTTGAAAACTCAACAATAACAAACAGGGAGGTTTGGATCCAAATGAAGAGTTTTTGTTTGAAAGAAATTGACACAATATATGGAGTATGGAGCAAGGTGTGCAGTAAAAACAGAGTAAAATTTATAAGAATGGAAAAGCAAGGTCCTTTCTTTAAAATTGTGGTAATTACTTATTTTCAGGAAAACATAAACACAAAATTGTGAAAGTACTATACTTGTCACACTTTCTAATTTATCTTTTAAGACATAATTCAAGTGTTTGCTCTTCTCTGCAACTTTCTGTCATATCTATAGAAAGAATTTCTTATTATTTACTCTGTTTTTGTAAATATATATTAATCAATTATCTGTATCTATCTATCTATCTATCTCTCTATCTATCTATCCATCTATCTATCTATCATCTATCTTAGTCAGCTTGAGTTGCCATACAGAATACCGCAGATAGGGTGAGGGTGTCTTAAAAGACAGAAATTTACCATCTCTCAGTTTTGGAGGCTAAAAGTGTAGGATCAGGGCAGCAATAGCATTGGTTTCTGGTGAGCCCTTCCTTCTTGGCTTGCAAACAGCCACCATCTTTCTGTGTTTTCAAGTGGCCTTTTTTTTTTTTTCTGTGTGTACATACTCGGTATCACTTCCTCTTTTCATAAGGACATTAGTCCTATTGTATTAGGGCTTCATCCTTGTGACCTCATTTAACCTTAACTACTTTCTTTAAGGCTCTATCTCAAAGTCACAGTGGGGTTAGGAGTTCATCACACTTTTTTTCTTTTTTTTTTGAGAATGGGGGACACAATTCAGCCCATACCACAATTCTCTATTTCTTTTCTTATGATAGTACTTAAGATAACATTGTAATTGATTACATGATTTTCTCTTTGTGTTCCTTGAGGGTACTCCCCTTATTTAATTCTCTTTATATCTTTTTTTTTTTTTTTTTTTGGAGACAAAGTCTCCCTCTGTGGCTGGTGGTGCAATCTGAAATCCCTGCGACTCCCTGGTTCAAATGATTCTCCTGCCTCAGCCTCCCGAGTAGCTGGGATTACAGGCATGCACCACCATGCCCGGCTAATTTTTATATTTTTAGTAGAGACGGAGTTTCACCATGTTGGCCAGGATGGACTCAATCTCCTGACCTCATGATCCGCCTGCCTTGGCCTCCCAAAGTACTGGGATTACAGGCGTGAGCCACCGTGCTCGGCCTATAACTTTAATTTATAGTATATTTCTTGGTTTGTTTTGGTGCTCAGTAAGAATATAATGGTTTTTCAACTTTAATTGATAATATGTAAGAGGCTAGCAAAATGAGTTATTTTACCTTTGTCTCCTTGAGAAAGAACCAGTAATATCCTCACTGCCACATTTGACCACTCTGCCCTGTTATGGGGTTCCTTCAATACTTCGTCCAATAAACTTGATGAATTATAATATTCCCCCTATAATAAGTCACACACTGTCTTCTACTAGAGTTTGAAAAATATTCTAAAATACAACCTGTAATTTAGCCTCTTTCTGGCATAATCCCTCACATTTTGTGGGAAGGTAGAGGGAATGTAGTTGCAAACTCTATATAGGAAATTTGTTTAATAAAACCCCTCTCTTTAGATCTCTCTCTCTTTAACACACACACACACACACACACACACACACGTACATACACATACACGCACATACACACACACACACACACACACTTCAACGTGGATAGACTCAGACACATTCAGACAGGAATTTAAAATTAAAGATATTAGATTCAAATGAATACAGATTTGAAGCACCAAAAGAGTAGACAGTTACATTCTTGTAATCTTTTAAAGAATTGGTAATTTTAAGTTTATGTACTCAAGTGTGCTACTGATTGGTTTTCATGTTGCGGATTGCTCTTTTTGTTCAACAGTAAGTTTAAGGACTCTTTCTTCCCAGTGTTCAAAATATGCTGAATTTCCTGCAAGGAAAAAATAAGATCATACTTGAAAACCTATATCAGTATTTGATTTCTAACTTTGAGATAAGTTGGTAGATATGTAACACTGCAGACTTCTTATTTGGAAAGTGTTATGATAGTACTTGCAACCAGCTTTTAAACACATGAAACAGAAATACCCTGGAGGTTAATGACATTAAAAACCTGCAAATTGCTGGAAGTTCCTTGAGGTTGGAGGCCGTATAAATATAGCTGTCATTCTTTTCCTGGGACTTGACCAAATTTCTTTTAAAAGCAAAAGGTTTTCATCTTGTTTTCCTGAAACATGACCTATGTTAGCAGTCATGATGCTTTATAGCATTGATGCAGCTGCTTACTGAACCATTTAGAGCACCTTTCGATCTGGAAACTTTGATTACATTTTATGATCACTCTCCTAAGGTCAAGGAATTTGATTTGCATCCATCAGGCAAGTACAAGAAGAAAAGTCTTTTCTGAAGCTTTATCAGTAACTCTTCTTAGGGGACTACTTTCCAATACTTATTTCATACACATTCAGCTCTTCAGAGTTACCTGGGATGTAGATATTTTGTAGTTTTGCTCTAATATTTTCAAGACTTAAAAACATAAAATCATGGGCTTTTTAGAAGCTGGAACAAATGTAGAATTTCAATTTATTAAGTTGTTTTAGGTCCTGGAGACTCATTGCCATTTTGAAAGTTTCCAGAAAGCAGTACTTGTTTGATAAAACCAAGTAGCCACACATCAGACAATCACTTCGTAAAGGGCATGCAGCTGGTGGAGCCAAAATAATTTAGACTGCAGATGCTGCACTAACTTCCTCCTGGGATTTGGAGAATCAGCCCTGGAGCTGCCATTTCAGAAGCTGTCTCCTAAGCCACATGTGGGAAAACTTACAACAAATTAAGTCTTGGAAACGTTTAATCCTAACACTCTTTGCTAACTTTATTAGACCTAATAGGGAAATATTTGTTTTCTGAGGGCTACCACTGATATAATAAAGTCTGGAGAGCTGTGAAAGTCAGAAGGTATCCATCCCAGTTTGCAACCCGACAAAGAAACCTACAAACAGGAGAGGGTAAGCAGCTATTCCACGCCCTGGGAGGCAGGGAAAAAGGATGGAATTTAATGTTTGAAGGATGGCTGTTCACAAAGTTTCATTTGACTTGATGCAACTCAGTGTCAAATTGTGGCAAAAGTAAACAATGTCAGAAAATCTGAGTTTTATTAAATGGCTTATGTCAGCTATTTACAAGGTCACCTTAAGTTTCACTACAGAGCTACTAAGATTTCCTATTTTGTCAAAAATACCATTACCACCTCATGTGGCATCTATAACATTTTTGAAAAACAATTTTTTGGGGAGTATTTATGCTGCAGACCTCCATATTTAATAAAGATGTCTCAGTAAACTTCAATGCATTTTCCATCCCTTCATTTTTGTTGGCTTATTCTACAGTTAATTGGTAATCAAATCTCTGTCAAGATAAGCAATTTGATCTACCTAAATGGAGTAATGAGCTCAGTTGGGAAGTGATAAAAACTCATTTCATTATAATATGACCTACACTGCAGGTATTGCATGGGTTAGGACAGACATTCTGTTTGTTTCTGTGTTATGGAGAAAGAAATGTCCAGGTTTGTCATAAATGTACTGACACCACATTTATATATAAAAATTTTACAATAGTGTGGTGTCTCATTGTATATTAATTATAAATCATTGGTTGAGCATTAGTGAGTGCCTAGTGCTGCGCCATGATGGAGAAATTGTTTGGAATTTTAACAAATGAATAAGGCTGTGTTTCCCTGTCCTCAAAATATTAGTCAGTCAATTGTGAAGTTTCATAGAAAAACAAGGAAAATACCTCTTTGGGGCTGGTGACTCAGCCAAGACAAACTTGAAAGTTTGATTGTATGTTTCATCAGGCTTCTGTAATATTGTGGATAAGCCCTGGTATGTAATTAAACATACCTCCTTTCCTTATACTGATGCTGAATTGATTTCACTACAAGATCCAGAGTTTCTTTATTTAGCACAAGAGGGAACTGTGTAGGTGATATTCAAAAAGATGCAGACATAGTCCAAATGTTGATTCAACAGGATAAGAAGAGAAGGATGGTTAAGAAAACTTTGTCTTTGGCATAAGTTTGGCATTAAGTCTTGGAATAAGACTTTGGCATAAGATTGATCCAAAATCAGAGGAGTGAAACATAAAAGTCATAGGAAAAAGGTAGGTGTGGAATATGCATCCCATTCTAGGGCAAACTTTATTGTAACACACAATTAGTTGAATTACTAGGGATTCAAGAAGCATAATCTAATAAAATAAAATAGCCTATTAACAACAGGTATCATCTAATGACTTTTGTTTGTGTGCATGAGGGTATAGACTTCAGAGCCAAAATAACTATGTATCCAGTGATTTATGCAATGCCAGAATTTATAGTTTAATTTTGTTTCCATGTTATACTCTTAGTAACTACTGAAATGCACTTAATGTTGAGTCCATGATCAGGAATACAATAAATACTTACATTTATTTATTTTAAAAATATAATGTAATTTAAATTTAAGTGACTCTTAGGAAGAAAAAGATCTTATAGATTGGCTATACGTGAGGTGTGTGTGTGGGTGGGTGTGTCAGTGTGTGGTGTATGTGCTGTGTGCATGTATTTGTATTAGTATCATTTGAGATTAATAGCAGGTAACAATACCAAGTGTTTCCACATGCATAATTTCAGAATATTTAAAGAGAGATAAATCTAATAACTTTCTCTCAGAGCATCAATATACAAGTATACAAGACAGAAGATTTTGAGTTTTGGATTAACTAATATATACATTTAAAAGTTAATGAGATTATCATAAATGTTGTGAAGGAAATAACACAAGGTTGTGTGTACATGGGGAACTCCTTTAGATTATGTTTCTAGGTAGGGAAGCTTCTCTGAGGAACTGAATGTGAGCATATCTGCAAGGGGAGATAGAACCAGTCACACAGAGACCCTTAGAGGAAAACTGCAGGAAGAGAACATAGCAAGGACAAAGGCCCAGAGTTAGAAATACACTTTGAGATTTAGAGGACCTAACTCTCTATGGGACAGTAGCAAGAAAATGGGAGACAGGTACCCAGGAGTGTCAGTGATGGGCAAAGTTCAGTTGTGTAGAACCACGTAAGCTATGATGAAGAGTTTGGATTTTATTCTGGTGCCATGGTAACCAGGGTGTTATAGTATAATGCATATTTCTAAAATATTATGTTGCCTGACTCTCTGATAAAGAACTCCCAGTGATAAGAGTGAAAAAAAAAGAAACAATTGAGCATTTACTTTGTTAGTCTAGGCAATGATAACAGACAGTATTATGTGAAGAGTGGCCCCTCACTTTTCTATATAAAAAGAGGATTAGGTAGGAGAGAGAGAGAGAGGGAGGGAGAGAGAAAGGGAGGGAGGGAGGAAAGAAGGAAGGAACGAAGGAAGGAAGGAAGGAAGGAAGGAAGGCAGGAAGGAAAGTTCTCTCTAAAATAGGTAAGTATAGTTACTTTATAGTCATTTTATAATATCTTTTATAAAAGAGAAACATAAATTTTAAGGAAAGAAACTGTGTCTGTTTCTCAAATATTTAACCATTATTTTTAATCACTTATTCAACCGGCTTCTGAAGCCAAATAAAGCAGCCTTTGTCTAATGAAGTAACCATATGATCTGAATTTTCTAGATAATCTATTTGGCATATGTTATCTCACCATCAAAATCCAGTATTACCATGCTCACATACATCCTTCGAGGCTGTGATATAATTTGATATAATTTTTCTTTTTAAACCAGGGGTCTGACTGGGGTTAGAGAAAGATTATTCTAGTTTTCCTTGGGTAACTGTGGCTGCCAAAGAGTTGAGGAACAAATATGTGGCCTCTGTCATAGAAGTGTATAGGAATTCACTGCCATGATTTTCAATGGTCAGCATCTTAGAAGCAGCAGAGTAATTTTCCTGCATTCCAATTCTTGATTAATTTAATCAGTTTTCATAATGTTTTGCATGGCAGGATCAAAATAACTACTTTTTGTGTGCTAGGCATTACGGTAGCTATTTCTTTATGGGTTTTCTAAGTTAATTCTCAAAACATGCCTGTGATATAGATATTACTACTACAATTTTAAAAAATAATGGAAGAAGGGAACTAAAACAAAACAAGATTAAATTACTTGCCCAAGGTGATAGTTTGTAAATAACAGCCAGGATTCAAACTCAGATCATCCTGACTCCAAAGACTACGCTCCTGAGTAATGTATTATCATTTTATGCCAGCTAAACCACTATGTCAAACAATTCTATTGTTTGTGTATGTAAATACGTAAAACACATTTATGTAATATATATAGAAAATATTTAAAATTCATGTGTGTTCTTGAACGTTGAAGCGATTTTCTATTTAAAATATCTGCTGTCATTTATTTCCAATAGATCTTTAGGGAAGTTGTTAAAAACTTAAATTTAAGTTGGCTTAATATTTAAAAATTAGTTTTAGATAAAATTAAATATAGATAGAAATTACAATACGACTTCTTGCATTGCCATTGAATTATTTTGCATCTGAATTATCCCTTTGGGTCTTCCTTGCCCTATTATCAGAATCCTGAATTCTGCTCTGTAAGAAAGGTATATGTGCTGTTTCTATCATCTGTCCCATCCAATTAAGTCTTCAATACATTCATTGAATTGATTGATTGATGTAATATTAGAAAACGTAGGATTCAGAAAACTGAATGCAATACAGAATGGAATATCTATGTTACCCGGGCATATAAAACAAACACAATTCTTGTGTCACAAGCTTTGGGTAGTTGTCAGATGGAGACCTGAGCCAATTTTTTGAACTGATAAGAATAAACATTGCATTCTCTAATTATGATGTCTACATTCCTTGTCTGCAAATATTTCCTGGCCCATCTTCATATATGCCACAGGAGGACCCTCTTCATCTCTGACCTCATACAAATCTACATCCTTTTTCTTTTCACTCCAAGTTATTTACTTTCATCATATGGAAATAAAAAATATCAAGGGAAAGTGAAATGCACCTCTTTAGCTATACTACTTCCTAAAAGGCAGTCATCCTTTTTGCATTTTTTTCTAATGGGTAATGTTGATAAAATATAATATAAAGTAATAAAGAGGACTTTCTCTAAGTATGTCCATGGGTAATATATCTTTAAAAAATTACTCACATGCTGCACTTCGAGGAGACAAGGCAATGTTTCTCCCATAGACAGGTGAGCGAGTTAATGAGGACAAAGGAGATAGCTGAAGAGGAAGATGAACAATCTGACACCTGACGGTTTGTCTTGTAATCTCAAGTTTGCACTTGCCCACAGAGAAATTAGAAGGGAATAGCAATAAACCACTACTTGCTGACAAAGCAGACTGCTTTCTGAAGGCATTCCTACCTATTGACAGTACATGGCAAAGTGTTTAATTTATCAGAGTAAATGATAGTTAATTTTCCATTCTAGGGTCAGTCTGAGTATCTGTCTAGATCTGAAGATGCACATCCAGACAAAAGTTAGAAGACTGGGTAAAAACAAATAAGAATAAACAGTTGATAATTATCTAGGTCATAACACACACATATATATATGTGTGTGTATATAACACATATATAATGTGTGTGTATGTAACACATATATACACATATATGTGTGTGTATATAACACATCTATACACATATATGTCTGTATATAACACGTCTATACATATATATATGTCTGTATATAACACACACATATCTTGTAATCTCAAGTTTGCACTTACATTGTATATATACACATATATACATATATACACACATATGTGTGTGTGTTCATGTTATATTTTATTTATTATTTATTTGTTACATTTATTTTATTTATGTTATATTTATTTTATTTCATTCATTCATTTTATTTTTCAGAATTAAAATCTAGCCTGAGTCTTACATAATTTCACCTGTAGTAAGTAAGAATAGCCATGACAATTCAGGAGTGCCACAGATGTTTGAGCATACACAAGGGTTTTTTTTTTTGGCTTATTCTCAGTTAGGTCAAGTTTAACTTATACATTTACATTGAACTGAAGAAAAGTGTTCAAAATAAACGGACTTAGCTATTCTTTCTCTTGCATTTTTTCAGTGGCATGATTCTAAGTTATTTAGCACACGTTGAATAGAATGAAAGACATGGAAGTAGTTTGCTACAAGTTGCAATTAAAATATAATACTTCTCCCCCTTACTTTCCCGTGTTCTGATTTATGAATACAATATCTGAATTCAAGAGAATTCAGTTACAGCATGTTCTGAGAAGCAGGACATATTCTGGGTGTTTGAAGGCCTCTTCCTCATTCTACCCAGCTTCATTTCAGTTTCCATGAGGCTCACAAAGTATCTAATTTTGCTTGGTAATAGTTCTAATGTTCCTCAATTTTCATATAGTTATTTGAATACAGGGATCCTTTCTAACTTGCAGTTAGAGGCAAGTATTTGCTTTGTAGTGCTTCATGTTGCCAAGTAATAAAACTTCACTTAACTATTTTACAGATCTACTTATTTTCCAAGAATGGCGCTATATTTGGGGAATACTACGATGGGTAAGAAATCTGTTGAGGAATTTAAAATCCCCTAAGACAGTTGGGCATAGAAATATCAATTTAAAATGTGTGCTTGGTGAGGGCAAAAATACATTTATAATCAAAGAGATGTCAGAAAAGTTGGAGAGAAAAGGTAACATTTAAGGTAAGTTTTAAATGCTTAGTGACCATTCCCTAGGCAATTTGGAGATATTTGTGTGTGTATTTGTGAATGTTGGGGCTGGGTGTGAAGAACTGAGAAAGTAGCTAAGAAGACAAAACAAAGGCACAGAGTTTTTTTCACATATGTGAACCATCTTTTCACAATAGGGGATCTGCAAGGGATCTGGAATGGGCAAAGAAAATACAATGAGGAAAGAGGAATGTGGAGTTAAAGGGAAGAGACCAGGTCAAGGAGAGCCTCATGTATCATGCTAAGGAGTCTTTATTTATCCTGTGGTAAACAGGGAGCCATTAAAGCGTTTTAGACAGGAGTAAACGTGATTAGATTTGCATTTTAGAAAAATCAATCTGGCAGGAAAAGCCAGATGGATTGTGCAAAACTGGAGGGGAAAAAAACTATTTAGGAGCTTATTATTAAAAATCAGACTGTGGCTAGGGTTTTCACTAGAGTAATAGGAGTGGCAATTAGACAGGAGAGACCAGATACAAGAAATGTGAAGGAGGTAAAATTGAGCGAAACTGAGAACTGATTTGTTTGTGTTATGGTGGCTGGAATGGTAGACACAACTGAAAAGTTAATCACTTTCTCACTCCCTAGTTTATGAGCTTTAACATGGGATTGGACTTAACATGCAAAATTGGAAACCAAACATCTAATGTAAATGCAGGAATGGAAGATATGAAAATGGTTGAGGTTACTTAGAGAGTTTATGGACTAGAGAAAGAATAAGGCCGAAGATAAAAATCCTGGAGAGAATAACAAATATGTAAGGAAAAGGCAGAGAAATTGGAGTCAGCAAAGACCTGGAGTCTCAACTATTTGGGAGGCTGAGATGGGTCGCTTGAGCCCAGGAGGTGAGGCTGCAGTGAGCCATGATCACACCATTCCACTCCAGCCTGGGTGACAGAGTGAGACCCTGTCTCAAAAAAAAAAAAAAAAAAGAATAGAATGAGTCTTAGAGTCTTGGAAACAGTGTCGCTATTAAAGCCAGCAGAAGAAAAGGCTTTAGAAAGTAGCCAACGCAATCAAATGACTCCTAGTAGTAAAGTAAGAGAAGGATTAAAGGGTCCTCTGGATTTGGTAATTGTTATGTTACTGTTACTTTTTATAAAAGCAGCATCAGGCTGAGTGTGGTAGCAGGCACTTGTGTTCCCAGCTGCTCTGGAGGCTGAGGTGGGAGGATCACTTGAGCCCAGGAGTTTGGGGCCAGCCTGCGCAACATAGTAAGACACTAACTCTTAAAAAAAAAAAAAAGAGTAGAATCAATGTAATAAAGGAATACAGAATAAAGTTATGGTCATCTTATAGTAATAGATGGCCACAAAGGACAATAGACACACTGTCTGTAGCATATTGTAGTGGAGTGTTTTCGTGAGAATTGAATAATGTAATTAGATAAGGATATAAAAACAGAGGTAGTATGTTGTGATGGTGTAAAATAACTGACAACTTCCAAATGTTTACAGAGTAATACAAGAAGTTTGTTGAGAGGAAAGGTCAAGTAAATTAGTATTTACTAATGCTTGGTAGCATTAGAGATTATAAATAGAGTACTTAACAATAAAGCAATAGATTATGTTGATATTTTGTTGGTCTTTGTTAATTCCATTTCTTATGAAAAACACCCAGATGGAAAGTAAATTTAAGATTTTGAATCTTTTTTTCTAAAATGAAAAATACAAAAAATATTCTAGTTGAAGCACACCAATTGCTATACAATATCTGTGCTGCATTTGCACAAACTATAATACAAAAGTTATAAATGGAAATTTTTTGGGAGTAGACCTCTAAAATTCATTTCTTTGCATGTAGGATGTGACTTTGTCTCCCCACAATATGAACACTTACCTACCTAAGTTTATACATAAAAATACATCTCGGAATGTGTAATGTCATTTCATATTCTGGTCATCTAGTGTTTGGAAGAGATAGACTGAAACTAATTTCAGGTCTATAAAAATAAATTTTAGAAATCTTGTTATTATAAAAAGAAACTGTTGATCTTCTAACTAGTCAACAAGCATATTGAATTATTTTCCCTAAAAGCAATTCAATAGTGTTCTTTAATTCTATCCTCTGAAAGAGCAATAATACCTATTTGCAGAATTCCTGGTTGCAGATTGTGGAAGGAGGGCAATCTGGGGCAGTGGAACTTAGAAAAATAATTGACTCATGTGGGATTAACCCTGTGACCCTGGCTTCATTAACATTTTGTCACAACCAACCAAGCTAAACAGCCTAAGGCCCCAAAACTAATATAATATAGGTGCATAATAAACAGTTTCAAGTAAGAACATGCAGACTTATTACAAGTCTAAAATAAGACTTTAAAACAAAAAATCACTAACTCAATAAAATAAAATTTAAAATCAAACTTTTCTCTTCCAAACAATAATAAGATGAATTTTAAGAGGTTGATTTGCAAATCTCACCTGAGGTTACTTCTGCCTGCAAATCAATACATGTACATGACATTTGTATTCTCATGATTAGGATATTAGTGATAGATGTTTACTAACATTCTGAATAGATGAAAATAGTATGAGTCAGAAATAGTATTAAAAATTGGTCTGCACAAGTGTTTGGTTTTCAAATCTGACATGCAAAGATCTTGGCAATTGTCACTCCCATCCTAATAACAAGAAAAAAAACCTGAACAAAATGAAAACCAACAACTTTTCTTGTACCCAACAGAGAAAGTTGCACTGCACATCTCCATATGAAAATTAGAGAATGTTGACTATGGAGAGTCACAGACAAGATCTGCTTACTTGGAGCAGAAGCTGCTAGAGCATCATAATTGCAGGAACACTAAAGTGATAATTTGAAAATGTGACAGAGGATGAATGTAAACTTGTATGAGAATAAGAATCCCTTGAGGGCAGCAGTTTTAGAGAAATCCCACACTTTTGTAGGTATTACCTCCAGGAACTTTGCCAGGTCCCAGAGTAAAAATCCCAGAAGATCTTTGTCAGTACCAGAAATGAGAAGAGGAAAGTAAGCATTGTGAAATATGTCCAGAGTGTTCTCCAAAATAAAAGCCTCTCTTCAGTGGAAAAGATCTTTGAAGAGTCTGATCTCACCTGGAGGAAGGCTCTTCCTTTCAAACCAGTCCTGATATGGTTTGCATTTGTGTCCCCACCCAAATCTCACGTTGAATTGGAGGAGGGGTCTGGTGAGAGGTGATTGGGTCATGAGGGCAGGTTTTCTGCTGGTTGTTCTCATGATACTGAGTGAGTTCTCACAAGATCTGATGGTTTAAATGTGTAGTCCTTCCCCCTTCTCTGTCTCTCTTGCCACCATGGTAAGAAGTGCTTGTTTCCCCTTCACCTTCCACCATAATCATAAGATATTTTAGGCCTCTTCCTCATGCTTCCTGTTAAGCCTGTGAAATGCGAGTCAATTAAACTCTATTCTTCATAAATTACCCAATCTCAGGTAGTTCTTCACAGCAGTGTGAAAACAGACTAATACAGAAAATTGGTACTGGGAAAGTGGGTCACTGCTATAAAGATACCTGAAAATGTGGAAGCAACTTTGGAACGAACTGGGTAACTGGCAGAGGCTGGAACAGTTTGGAGGGCTCAAAAGAAGACAGGAAGATGTGGAGAAGTGTGGAAGTATCTAGAGACTTGTTGAATGGTTGTAACCAAAATGCTAAGAGTGATATGGACAATGAAGTCCAGGCTAACGTGGTCTCAGATGGGGATGAGGAAATGTTGGAAACTGGAGAAAAGGTCACTCTTGCTGTGCTTTAGCAAAGAGAATGGTGGCATTTTGCCCCTACCCTATAGATCTGTGGAACTTTGAGCTGGAGAGAGATGATTTAGGGTATCTGACAGAAGAAACTTCTAAGCAGCAAAGCATTCAAGATGTGGCCTGGCTGCTCTTAATAGCACACAGTCATGTGCATTTGCAAAGAGATAGTCTGAAATTGGAACTTATGTTTCAAAGGGAAGCAGAGCATAAAAATTTGGAAAATTTGCAGCCTGACCATGTGGTAGTAAAGAAGAACCCATTTTCTGGGGAAAAATTCAACCTGGCTGTAGAAATTTATGTAAGCAAAGAGAAGCTAAATGTTAATAGCCAAGACAATGGGGAAAATGTCTCTAGGGCATGACAGAGACCTCTGTAGCAGCCTCTCCCATCATAGGCCCTGAGGCCTAGGAGGAAAAATTGGTTTTGCATGCCAGTCCCAGGGCCCCACTGCTGTGTGCAGCCTTGGGACATGGTGCCCTGCATCCCAGCTGCTCTAGTTCCAGCTAAAAGGGGCCAAGGTACAGCTCAGGGAATTGCTTCAGAGGGTGCAAGCCCCAAGCCTTGGCAGCTTCCACTTGGTGTTGGGCCTGTGGGTGTGCAGAAGGCAAAAGTTGAGGTTTGGGAATCTTTGCCTAGATTTCAGAGAATGTAATGCCTGGATGTCCAGGCAGAAATCTGTTGCAGAGGCAAAGCCCTTATGGAGAACCTCTAATAGGGCATTAAGCAGGGGAAATGTGGGTTTAGAGTCCCCACACATAGTCCCCATTGGGACACTGTCTAGGGCAGCGGTGAAAAGAGGGCCACCCTCCTCCAAGACCCCAGAATTGTAGATTCATTGACAGTTTGCACTGGGAAGGTGGAAAAGCCACAGGCACACAATGCCAGCTCATGAAAGCAACCAAAGGGGCTGTACCCTGCAGAGACACAGAAGCAGACCTGCCCAAGATGTTGGGAGCCCACCTCTTACATTAGCATGCCCTGGATGTGAGACATGAAGTCAAAGAAGATTATTCTGGAGCTTTAAGATTTAATGACTGACCTTCTGGGTTTTGGATTTGCACAGTGCCCATAGCCCTTTTGTTTGGGCCAATTTCTCTCACTTGGAACAGAAGTATTTACCTAATGCCTATTCTTCCATTGTATCTTGGAAATAACTAACTTGTTTTTTTATTTTACATTTCCCTAGGTGGATGGGACTTATCTTGTCTCAGATGAGACTTTGGACTGTTGACTTTTGGGTTAATGCTGAAATGAGTTAAGCTTGAGGGACTATTGTTAAGGGATAATTGCATTTTGCAGTGTGAGAAGGACATGAGATTTGGGAGGAGCCAGGAATGGAATGATATGGTTTGGATATGTGTCTCCACCCAAATCTCATTTCAAATTGGAAGAGGAACCTGGTGGGAGGTGATAGGATAATGGGAGCAAATTTTCCCCTTGCCGTTCTCTGGGTAGTGAGTGAGTTCTCATGAGATCTGATGATTTAAAATGTGTGGTACTTCCCCTTTTTCTCTCTCTCTCCTGCCACCATGGTAAGCAGTGCTTACTTCCCCTTCACCTTCCACCATGATTGTAAGTTTCCTGAGCCCCCAGTCATGCTTCCTGTTAAACCTGCAAAACTATGAGTCAACTAAACCTGTTCCTTCGTAAACCACCCAGTCTTAGGTAGTTCTTTATATCAGTGTGAAAACAGACTAATACAAGTCCCTACCAGAGTTCCATTCTCACACCAAAAGTGGCTGAATAAAAGCTGTAACAATGGAGAAACATTTATGAAGGGCACAGACCAGAGACACAGGCCACCAAAAGACTGAGATTAATATTATAGAATACCCTCCTTCACACATGACAGCTACAGCAACTGGACTCCACTAAAGTAACAGGATTACAGATAATAAAGCTACAAGAAGACATGCACTCTCTGAGGTTTAGTACTCAGGAAAGCCCAAAGTCAAAAAGAGAGACAAATAAAAGGATGCTGGATGAATTTGAAGCTTCTGGAATGTAAAGCTGTAACAAACATTAACCACAGACAAATTCTGAGACAGATTAATGTGAATCCTCAAACTAAAGGCCTATTGACCTCAGTCCCTAATACCCTACCTGCCATGTCAATCTTCCAACAAAAAATTACAAAGCATGGCAAAAACGCAGGAAAAAACATAATCTGAAGAGACAAAGTGAACAACAGAAACAGACTCAGATTTGACACTAATTTTGGAGTTATCTGACAATTTTTTGAACAATAACTATGATTAATATATAAGGAGAATAGAAACAGTAAACAACATGTGAGAACAGATGGATAGTGTAAGCAGAAGGACAGAAATATCACAAAAGAATTAGAAGAATATGCTAGAAAGAAAAACCAATCTAACAAAAATAAAGAATGCTTCTGATGGGATCAGTAGAGTGGACCTAACAAAGAAAAGAATCAATGAGCTTGACGATAGATTAATAGAAATTTCTCAAAATGAAATAAAAAGAGAAAAAAAAGCAAACAAATAAAAACAGAAGGAGACATCCAAAAACCATGACATAATTTCAGAAGTATAACATATATGTATTTATAATACTATAAGGAGAAGAACGAACAGAACAGAAGAAATATTTGAAGTAATAATGGCTGAAAACCTTTCAAAATGACAAACATCAAAGCACACATCCAGAAGACACAAATCAAATTACAAAAGTAAAATAAAAAACAAGATACCAACAACATTTAGTTATATAATATTTGAACTGCAGAAAATAAAAGACAAAACGGAAATATTAAAAGAAAATGGGAGTAAAACCTATAACCTAGAGAAACAAGATAACAATCATAGTAGAATTCTCAAAAACAATGCAGGTAAGGAAAGAATGGAATAAAATATTAAAAGTCTGAAGAAAAGAAAAACCAAAAAACTCCATCAACCTAAAATTATTTACTAATTGAAATTATATTTCAAAAGTGACAGAGAAATACATTCTCTCACAAACAAAAACCAAGGAAGTTTATCATTACCAAAACTTCTATCTTATGTAAGTTTGAGCTGCTATAACAAAATACCATAGACTGGGTGACTTAAACCATAGGAATGTATTTTTCACAGTTCTGGAGATAAGAAGTCCAAGATCAAGTTGCAAGCAAGTTCAGTGTCTAGTGAGGGCTCTCTCTTTGGGCTGCAGATGCCTGCCTTCTTGTTGTGTCCTCATATGGTAGAGAGGGAGAGGTCTGGTGTTTCTTCCTCTGTAAGGGCACTTATACCACTATGTGGGCCCTGTTTTCATGACTTCTCATATACCTAATAGCTGAGTGGTAGTTTGCCTAGCTACTATTGCCTCTATAGTTGATTGAATGCTTCCAACAAGGAGAGGTAAGAAGCAAGGGAGTATTAAATAAATTCTTAGTATGGCTAGAGCTACTTCTATTAAGGTCTTGAACTTTCTGGAAAATGAAAACTAGCTTCTAAAGAGAGAATCTGGAGACTTCTTTTTCTAAGTTTGAACTGGAACATGGGTGAATTTTCTTATTCTTGTAGTTATTTCTATAATAGCTATCTTATTGTCATCAATTTCTAGGCAGCAATTAGATTAAACTTTCAACAATGTCATAAAGGATGAGAAGGAGGAATTTGAAATACTGTTATACATGTGAAGGGGTATTGTCCTATTTAATAATGGACTGAGATTTGTTGAAAGAGTATATAAGAAACTCTAAGACACCATTAAATTTCAGAAATAAGAAGTAGAATCGTTATGTAAAGAAGGAGAAAGCAAGGAACCACATAAAACACTCAACTAAAATGCTAGAAATCAGATTAAAAAGAAAAAAGCGACAAAAGAAAAAATGAAATTGATATAAAAAGGGTTACACATACAATCAATATTTATTCAATTTTGTAAATAATCACTTTACATGTAAATGGACCATATGCACCAATTAAAAGACAGAGCCTGTGAGAGTGGATGAAAAGAAAAAAAAAAACAAGATTCAACTATATGTTGTCTACAACAATTCAATGTTAAAGACATGGGTAGGCTAAAAGTAAAGAGATAGAGAAAAATATATTACACTACAGCTAATCAAAAGAAAACTAGAATAGCTTTATTAATTTCAGACAAAGAAGACTTCAGAAGAAGGCAAATTATGAAGGATAAAGAGAGGCATTACCTAATGATAAAGGGGTCAATTCTCAGGGAAGATATAATTCTGAAAGTATATGCACATAACAACAGAGCATCAAAATATGTAAAGCAAAACACATAGAACAGAAAGGAGTAAATAGATACTCCACTATTATAGTTTCAGGCTGTAACACTCCTTTTCCAGTACTTGATAAATCAAGCAGGCAGAAAAATCAGTAAGGATAAAAATGACATCAATAACAGTATTGGTCACATGTATCTAATTGACATTTATAGAATACTTCATATAACAACATCAGAAAACACATTCTTCTTTAGTTTACATGGAGAAATCACCAAGACAGACCACATTCTCCATCATAAAACACAACTTAAAATTTTTAAAAGAATGAAAATTATATGAAATATTATCTCAGATCACAGTGGAATTAAACTAGAACTCAGTAGCAGAAAGGTAATTGGAAATCCTCAAGTATTTGGAGATCAAGCAACACACTTCTAAAAACATATGTACAAAAGAAAAAATCTCAAGAGAAATTTGGAAATACGTAAAACTGAACAAAAATGAAAACACAACTTAGAAATTGTAGCACTTGTGCTGCAAAAGTGGTGCATAGCAGGAAATTTACAGCATTAAATGCAAACATTAGAAAGGCAGAAAAATCTGAAATCAATAAACTAAACTTTCACTTTAGGAAACTAGAGGAGAAAGGAGAATTTAAGTCTAAAGAAGGAGAAGAAAATAAATAATAAAAATTAGAGCAGAAATCAATGAAACTGAAAACAGGAAAAGAATAGAGAAAATCAACAAAATTAACAGCTGGTTCTCTGAAAAAAAAAATCAATGAAATTGACTAACCTCTAGCCACGTTAACCAAGAAAATATGAGAGAAGAGATAAATTATGAATATCAGAAATGAAGTGAGAGTCATAACTACTGACTTCATGGATATTAAAAAGATAATAAAGAAATATCATGAACAACTCTATGCCCACAATTTTCATAACATAGAGAAAATGGACCAATTCCTTGAATGACACAAACTACTAAAACTCACACAAGGAGAAACAGATGATCTCAATATAAGTACATCTATGAAAACAATTCAATTAATAGTTAATGTAGTTAATGTCCTTAGAACATCACCAGGTCAAGAGGGATTCACTGGTGAAGTCTACCAAATATTTTTGGAAGAAATGCTATCAATTCTGTAGAATCTCTTTCAGAAAAAAAAAAGAAGCTGAGAAACATTTCTTAGCTTATTCTATAGGGCCAACATTATCCCAATTCCAATAATAGATAAAGACATTGCATTGCAAGAAAATAAAAGATCAAAATCTCTCATGAACATACATGCAAAACTTGTCAAAAAAAGCAAATAAAATCCATGTTTTATGCACCATGAGAAATTGAGATTTATTCCAGGTATATAAGTATGCTTCTACAATTGAAAGTCAGTCAGCGCAACCAACATTATCAACAGGCGAAAGAAAAGAAACATTGTATGACATCAATCAATAGAGAAAGAAAATGATAAAATCCAACTCTCATTGTGATAAAACATTTCAGCAAACTATGAACAGAGGGAAACTTTCTCAACTTGATAAAGAGTATCTTCAAAAAATCTATAGCTAGCACGACACTGAATGGTGAGAAACCAGATGTTTTATTCGTAAGACTGGGAAGAAGGCAAGAATATCCTTTCTCAACCCACCTGTTTGGCATCAGATAGGAAGTCTTAGCTAGTGTAATAACACTAGAAAAGAACAATAATGTTTATTGGGAAGAAGAAAAAAACTTTTTGTTTGTAGATGACATGACTGTCATTATTCCTGGGACAAGTGAGTATAGTAAGATTACAAAACAGAAGTTTTTAAAAGTTAATTATTTTCTTACATAAAAACAATAAATAATTGAAATTTGAAATTTAAAACACAATAATATCACAAGATGACAATAATATCACAAGATGACAGGATCTGTATGCAGAAAACTACATTATCAATTTGTTATTTTATTAATTGTATTTATGATTTTGTATATAAAACTCATCACAAAATCCAAGGTCACCCACATTTTACCACGTTTTTTATTATAGAAGATATATATTCATTCATTTTATTTGAAGGTTATGGTTCATTCTGAGTTAATTTTTATAAAAGATGTTAAAACCCAGTTTTTTTCTCTCCATTTCATTGCCTTTGTTCCTCTGACAAATATTAGCTGACTACATTTGTATGGGTCTATTTTTGAGTTCTATCTGTTCTTTGAACTACATGTCTATTATTTTGCCAGTACCACAATATATTAGTTACTATAGCTTTATAGAAAATCTTTTAATCGAGCAGTCTTCTAACTTTTTTCTTCTTTTTCAGGACTATCTATTTTTTTCTAGTCTAAGTCTTTGTGCCTTTTCACATATATTTTAGAATTTGTTGCCAACATCTGAAAACTGATATTTTGATTGGGATTGTGCTGAATTTCTAATACAGCAAGTTGGTAAGAATTAACATTTTAACAATATTTAGTCTTCCAATTCATGAACACAAAATATCTCTCTTCAATTATTTAGATCTTTGATTTAGTTCATCAAAATTTTACATTTTCTCTGCACTTTTAAATGTATACCAAAGAACTTCATCTTTTATTAGTATAATTGTAATTTTTTAAATTTGAAATTCCAAGTGTTCATTATTGGTATATAGAAAAGAAATTGATGTTTTTGTATTAACCTCATATCCTACCTTATAGGAGGCTTCAAAGATTTTTGTTTGTTTTTTGCTTTTTTTGTTATGGGGGCGGGTATTTTCTAAGTAGAAAACTATGGCATTTGCAAATAAATATTTGTTTCTTTCCAGTCTATCCATTTGTATCTCATTTGTGATTTCCTCCCACTGAATGCAATATGGAAAGGCGTGGGAAGTGACAGTAACTTTATAGGGGAGACACTTGACAAACACTACCTCAGCCAGGTAACCAAAGATAAGATCAACAGTTTTATGTTAAATTGACAATACATATCCTTGATGGGATATGATGAGAATGGCAGTTGAAATCTGTAGTCACCCTCCCAAAAGCTATATCTCTAGTCTGATAATGAGGAAAAACTGGGAAAATCACAGCTGAGTGATATTCTACAAAACACCTATCTAGTACTTCTCAAAACTGCATAAGTCATTAAAATAAGAAATCTGATTAACTATTACTTCCAAGAGGAGCCTAGTGAGACATGAATATCTCTAGTCTAATGAATTATCCTGGATAGGATCTTGGAACAGAAACAGAACATTAAGTAAAAACTAAGATAATTTTTTTAAAGTGTGTACTTCTGTTAATAAAATAATAAATTACAGATTTAATACATATATTAATTATACATGTATGAGTTTTATATATACACACATACATATGTGTATATATCTGTATATATCGTTCTAATATTCAAGTGAATGTATACAAACTATACAGTTCTAATAGTCAAGAGAATGTATACACACATACATGCATATACATTCTCTTGACTATTAGAACTGTACATTAGAACTTGCCTGTAATAGGCAAGACTATACAGTTCTAATATTAAAGAGAATGTGATACAGCCAGGAGGATAGACACATAGGTCAATGTAACAGAATAGAGAACCCAGAAACAGACCCCACAAATATGCTCAACAGATTTTTAATAAAGGTGAAAACATTTTTGATGGAGGAAGAATAGCTTTTTCAATAAATGGTTCAGGAAGAATTAGATAATCAAAGGCCACAAATAATAAATAAAACTTCCACCTAAACTTCATACATCATATACAATTTAACTCCACATGGATTATAGGCTTAAATGTAAAATGAGTATTTTTCTGACAAAATTTTTCTGAAAAAATTGTTAGGGCCTATTGCTAGGCAAAAAGTTCATTCACTTGACATCAAAATATGATTTATTAAAGAAAAAAAGTGACAAAATGGACCTCATAAAACTAAAACTTTTGCTCAGTGAAAAAGCCTAAGAGGATAAAGAACAAATTACAAGCTGGGAAAAAAAATATTTGCAAATGACATATCCATCAAAAGAATTGTGTTTGAAATATACAGAGAAGTCATAATACTCAACAGTAAATAAACCATCCAACTAGAAAATGGGCAAAAAAAACTGAAGAGACATCTCAGTGAAAAGGTTATACAGATAGAAAATAAGCACATGAAAAGACGCTTTAATACCATTAGTCATTTAGGGAATGCAAACTAAATTTGCAATGAGATAGTACTACTGATGTCTCAGAATGATTAAAAAGTAATTGTGAAAACACTAAATGCTAGTGAGGACGTAGAGAGATTGAATCACTCATACATTGCTGGTGGGAATGTAAAATGGTACAATAAGTCTGGAAAAGAGCTTTGCAAATTTTTATAAAATTAAATACATGATTACCATATGATCCAGCAATTGGACTTTGGGGCATTTATCTCAGATAAGTGAAAACTTATGTTTAGGCAAAAACTGTATTGAAATGTTTGGAACAGCTTTATTCATAAAATACTCCCAAATTGTAGACTAACAAAAATGTCCTTCAAGGTTGAATAGCTAAACAGTGTTTTACTCATACCATAAACTATTGTGTGGCAATAAAATGGGACAGACTATTGATACAAGCCATAACCCGAATGTTTCTCAAGTATATTATGCTGAATTTAAAAATCCAAAGTCCCAGTGTTGCATAATGAATGATTGTATTCATATAACATTGTTGAAATAAAATTATAGAAATGTAGAACAGATTAGTGGTATCCAGGTGTTAGGCATGGAAACAAGGTAGGTGCGGCTATGGAAGGGTAGCACAAGGGTGCTACACGGTGATGGAACAGTTCTGTATCTTTATTGCAATAAAGGTTATGTGAATCTGGAAACTTGAAAAAATTGTTTAGTACTATAAACAAACACGGATACAGACACATATGGGAAATAGCTTGGCACTGGTGAAATCTGAATAAGCTCTGTAAATTGTGTCAGTGTCATTTCCTGGTTTTGATATTGTACTACAGTTATGCAAGTTACTAGCAGTGAGGGAAATTGCATGAAAGGCACATGGGACTGCTTTCTATATTTTAAAACAACTTCCTGTGAATCTATAATTGTTTGAAAATTAAAAACTCAAATAACTTTGTCAGGATTTTTGACTCTGAGTAGCATTCACAGGACTTAAACATAAGCCTGATCCATTGCCATTTTACACTAGACAGTGTGGTTTTGGTTATTGCATGCTAAGCAAACATGCATTATCTCACATACTTATCATTTTTGTTGAAAAAATATTTAAAATCTACTCTGAACAATTTTCAATATTTTTAAAAATTATAATCTATTAATTTGGAAAATTGTTTCTATGACTGTCAAAAAAGTGAAGAAATAAATATCACTTGTGTTAAAGTCATATTTTATGTGTGCTGCTAGATTTGTTGTGAGAGTGTGAAGACCATTTTGTGGAAGAGGCCAAAGAATTTAGTACACTGTTTTACATGTCTATGCAGTATTTTTTATCTTTGAAAACCTTACACATCTTATATTGTATGAACATCACCTTAACCACGTATTTTGCTTCAAAAAGAGATATTATGTTAATTTTTCAAATTAGAACATTTAATCTCATAGGTTAAATATGGCAACTGATAGCACACTAAAGGTAATGGATAAAATACTGGATAAAAGCCATTTTCCTAATCTCTTGTATTATACAATCTGTTTGTGGTTATTGCATGTTTTATCCTCTCCCTGAATGTATAGAACATTATCACCAAAAGCAGGTGTTTATTTTTATGCTCTATTGTAAAAAACAAACAACAACCAAAAAAACCACGAAAGAATGGAGTGGGAAATACATGTAGTCCTTCTTCAATAAGATTGAACAAAGCAAGTCACATATGAACATATGAACGCAGGTGTTAAGTATATTCATGGGAAAAATGTAGAGATAATTCTTAACTGTTTCATGACTACTTAGAAACTAAAGCCGTGAGCACTAGAAAATAACATGACCATTCTAAGAATAATTCAAGACAAATTGAAATTTATTAACTTTTTAGACATGGAAGATGATTAGAATACACTTAAATATCATTGCCCAATTATAGTGATATATTTTAAGAAGGGCATTAAAATTAGAATTATTCTAAATAATACTAGCTTGGATAGTGCAGAGTATGATGAGAGTCTTATAGGAAGAAATTGAGAGGGTTGGATTCGTTGATGAAGATTTAAATATAAGATTTAAGGGAAGCATCAGAAATATCCTGAAAGAATTATATTTTCTATAATAGAAGAAAGAAGAAAGTTGCTGTCTACATGATATACTTAGCCTAGATAGGAAATATAGTTTAGGTTAACATAAGCGAGGTAGATTTTTAAAAATTATAAAATTCATAAAGATCTAAAGGTAAGAACTATTTCATCAAGTGACAAGCTCGTATTATTGAGATTATTAAAGCACAGTTATAAAGATACTTCTCAAGTTTTGGTACAAAGTTTCTTACCTGTAAAAGATATTGTCTTAGTCTATTTTATGCTGCTATAACCAAGTCCCACAGACTGGATAATTACAATGAAAAAAATTAATTTGACCTACAGTTCTGGAGGCTAGAAAGTCCAAGATCAAGGAGTGGCATCTGGTGAGGGTTTTCTTGCTGCATCAAAATGTGGCAGAAGGCATTATACATGAGAGTAAGAACGAGAGAACAAGAGGGAGCCAAACTCACTTTTATAACAAATTGACCATCTGTGATAACAATCTCTTGTCAGGAAAAAGTAATGCTCAGGCCATTTCCATTTCCGTATCATTTTTGGCTTTTTTTCTTTTCTCTATGTGCTATCTCTTCTATTATAATATTTTTCATCTTGTCTTCTTTCCTAGTATATTCTTGCTCTTTTCAAAGTTTCCATTTTTCTCCCTCCCCATATCCACATTCTTCTCTCTTCCTTTATTGTATTTGAAGTTTTGTTAACTTTATTTTAAAATTCTTTTTGATTGACAAATTAAAAAAATGTGTATATTATGGTGTACAATGGGATGTTTTGAAATATGTATGCATTGTGGGATGGCTAAATTGAGCTAATTAACATACACATTATGTCACATAGTTATTTTTTATTGTAATAACACTTAAAATCTACTCTCAGCAATTTCAAAGAATATGATATATTATTAACTGTAGTCACTATGCTGTGTAATAGTTCTCTCAGATGTATTCCTCTTATCTAACTGAAATTGTATATCCTTTGATCAGCATTTCCCCAGTTCTTCCTCACTTCCAGCTTCCTGTATCCACAATTCTACTCTCTGCTTCTGAGTTTAACTTGTTTCGATCCACAAATAGGTGAAATCCCCCCTCTTCTTTTCTAAAAGACATTCTAGAGAAGCACTAATGCATAGCAAATGTCTTAAGATATTCAAACTCAGATCTCTAACTAATAAGTTATACTTTTATTAATTTTAATAAAGGGCGTGGTTGATCTTTCTGGGGCATCTAATCTTCCAGTGATCTCAGAATTGCTATAGTTCACCACATTAACTAAGTGGTGCCCCTTTATGCACCATGAATGTTCATTGAGATTTTTTGCCAAAGGCATTGCCTTCTGAGACAGAGAAAAATCATACTTTAGTAAGACATATACCGTTGGTTTTAAAGGAAAAAGAGTTTAAAGTTTCTAGCTCTTCATCCCCATATTTCAGTTATCACAACACCATCACCACCACACTGTACCACTACCAAAGAAAAGTGCTAATTGGATTGATCAAAGGACGCTAATTAGACCACTTTTTGTTGTGGTGTATCATTAGCTGGAGAGGTAGTCTATATTGGGAAATAGGTGGCTTTTTCTCTCTGGAATTTTTTAATAAATGCAGAGTGATAAAGTGGCCTGGGATTCTCCCTCTCATTTCCCAATACTTCTCTCTTTCATCTTATTCTCAGCATCTGTCTCTATATCTTTTTTGTTTTCCTGTATGTCTCTTTCTCTGCCATGAGAAATCAATGAGGATAGATTATCCAGAAGGTAACTGCCAAGCTCATTGTCCTACCCTTAAAACTCTTTAAGTTTGAGGGCTAGATAGCTTTTCTCTAAACAATAGGGAAAGCTCTTTACTCAACTCTCTTCCACTTTTTAAGGATGGATATGATACAGCGTTGCCTATCCTTGTTGCTGGAAGAGAAATGTCTGAGCTGTGGGTATAAAAGGCTGTTCTGGACTCAAGGCCGCTTTGCAATTAAGCAAAAAGATACTTCCATTTCTCCTAGTGAAGCTCATTAAACTTCACTCTATATTTGAATTTGGAGCTTCCACCTAACAGTAATATATTTATTTTGTGAACTACAAGGGAAGAGTTACTGATTGGTACAAGACAAGACTCAGGTTATTCTGGATTTGGTCAAAATCCAACATAGTGCTACTTTGTTAATATCTGACACAAATTCCATAGCCTCCTTCCTTTCCTTCCCCATACTTTCACTAAAGTGTCCACACTGTGATACCTGTTATATTGGAACCAATTTAAAAAATTCTCTTAAGAAAAAGATTGAATCCTCTGATGCACTATAAATGTTACAGTTAAATATTTGTAATAGAAATTCAATAAACCTGAACCTTCACTTAACCAAAATTGTTAGACTGTCAGCTTTTTAAGGAAAAAAGTCAAATGACCCCAAAAAGAAATAATAAACTAGGTTGATATCAGGGCTTGGTAAAAATGCAATTTCCAGAGTTTTACTTACATTCACTAGAGTTTCAGTCTGATCTATGCCCATAAAATGAGGATTGATGTTTGGAATGATGTCCCTGAGGCATTGCTGGATTCTGAATCATGAAAGATTCAATTACCTTCAATAAACTGAACTTAACTATCTTAGGAAAGGTGATGAATACAAATAAGAAATATCATCAACAAGCAATGCTCAAATACAGAAGTTTTCTGATTAAGTATCAGGTAACTAGCATTTCTGATTTATTGGAAACTATTCTCTAAGCATCCTAGAAAAGTGAAATTTCCTGTATACACTTCCTTGTGGTTCAGCTCACTGTAGTATAGCCCCCAAAATATTAATATTTGGGTTATCTAGAGTAACCTAGACAATAAAGACTAGCCAAAGACTCCAAATATTTTCAATTAGTTCTACTTCATCTATTCTGCTATAATCTCTTTTGCTTGGATTCCTGAATTGGCCTTTTCTTCTACTATCTTACCCCGTATCTTCTATCTGTACCAAACACAACATGATTTTTTAAACCAAATTAATATCCTTACTTCTAATTTATTTTAAAAGAGCCTGCAAACGCTATATGATCTGGCTTTATCTTTTTATCCAGCTTCCTTAATGCTACTATCTTCCTTCTCACTATGATATTGACAAATAGGATTACTCAGTCTCCTTAAATATACTTCAGAAACAACCTAGAAATGGATCCTTGTATATATGAAGATTTAATATATAATGATGTTTCCAGTTACTCTATTTATTATTCAGTAAATGATTCTGATAAAAACTGATGGCAATGTGGAGAAAAGCAAAATTTAGGCTTTATCCTATATTACAAATACAATGTAAATTCCAGATGAATTACATACTTACATGAAATAATCATAACTATAATACTACAAATGTAAAAAAGTAGTACTATAAGTGTAAAAATAATGATAACACAAAAGGAAAATCTACTTGATTAAGTATAAAATTAGTCTGGGGAATCCCCAAAACCCATATTCATAATATAAAAATTAAATTTGCATAGAGAAGGTCACAACAACTATGTCAATAATAAAGCAGAAAATCTGGGAAAAATATGGGAAATAGAAGGAATAGAAAATATAAAGAAACACTTAAAGACAGATAAAAAAGGAATAAACAAACAACATGGAAGAAAAATGAAGACAAAGATATTAATAGGTATTTCACAGAAGGGCAAATCCAAATAACTAACAAATGCGAAAAGATGCTCAGACTTAGTGGTCATCAAGAAAGTAATGTCAAAATAACCTAAAGGTATTATATTTACTTATGAAATAGACAAAAATTTAAAAGTTGAAAGGGCCTATTCCTATTGTTACCAGTGATGCAAGTGAGAGAGCATGTTTATTTGTTACTGGTGGAAATGTAAGCTGTTGCCGCTGTTTTAGGATAAGCTTACTAATAACTATTAATAAAATAATGAAAACTTATGACTCTACAATCAAGTAAGTGTAAGCTTTCTCTGGTAACTTTAAGCAAGCTTAAAAATATATGTGTGCTTTTGTGCTTCTGTTTGCTTGTGTGATTTCAGAATTTACTGGTAGCAAAACCTTGAAAAATGTGTATTTGTAAATATGGTTTGGCTGTGTCCCCACCCAAATCTCATCTTGAATTTTAACTCCCACAATTTCTACATGTGGTGGGAAGAACCTGGAGGCAGGTGATTGAATTATGGGGGTGGGTCTTTCCTGCACTGTTCTTGTGATAGTGAATAAGTCTCATGAGATCTGATGGTAAAGAGGCGTTCCCCTGAACAAACTCTCTTTGCCTGCTGTCATCCATGTAAGATGTGACTTGTTCCTCCTTGCCTTCTGCCATGATTGTAAGGCCTCCCCAGCCATGTGGAACTTTAAGTCCATTAAATCCCTTTCTTTTGTAAATTGCCCAGGCTTGGGTATGTCTTTATTAGTCGCATGAAAACAAACTAATACATTTGTGCTTATTTACTTTTGATGGAAGGAATAGCAAGAAAATGCAGAGGAAAACATAATCAGTTATCAAGAGAGGTTACAGTGAGGGGAAGAGATCATGGGAGGTGAAGGGCCTTCTTTGCGTGGCTGGCTCTCTTCCCTCCAAACACCCTTTTGAAAATGGCATCACATCCCAATTTTCTATTTTTTTTTTTTTTTAGTTTTAGCACTTAATATACTATTCATTTATATATTCATTGCTTTTTTTCTTTGCTATGGATATAGTTTGGTGATCTTACTCTGTCTTGTTCATCATGGAATGTCATTTCAGAGCAGTATGATTGCACAAAACAGGTACTCAATACCTGTTTGTCAAATTAAGGAGTGTTTTGGTTTTAATCTCACTTTTGTATCTGCAGATCCCTTGTCAGCCCCTCAACTAAACAGTTCATTGCATGGCAGTTTGTAGGAGGTACTTTGAATTAGAGAGAACATAATTTGTTAAATTCATAATCCATCCCAACCACTGGGCTAGTGTCTTATAAATTTTGCTTAATTTAATGTTTTCTACAAACCATATCATGATTTCCCATATAGCAATGGCAACACAGGGTTATGTAATTTAAGTAAATTCATTACTAAATTATCAAAGGGTGGAGAAAAAATTTGGAATAATGTCTATTTGCTTTCCTAATCTTTGGCATTTACATTCTACCATATTACTTTACTACCAGGAAAAAAATATAGGACACTAAGTAAATGGAAATAATAATTATTTTCTCCTTCTCTGTGTCATGCACCTTACTCAGTGTTGGCATGCATTGACTCGTTTAATTTACACAGAAAATTGCATAATATTTTATATGTAAAACATATATATATGCACAGCAAGGATTAAAACACAGGGCATCTATGTGTACATTAAGTGTGCTCTGCCACGTGCTATACTTATTGAAATCTTAAAATCTACTTTTGAGTTTAAAAGTTCATTTTAAAGTTATTATCTTGAATCTCAGATGACTCTAAATTTTTAAAAGTGAGTATCATTATCTTTCTATTGTAAGACCCTGGACAATTTATTTAACTTCTCTAAGCCTCAGTTTCCTCACTGATAAATGCTGATAATAATAGTATCTACCTCACAACATAATTTTGAAGATTAATCAGTTAATCTAAAACTAGATGTGTTTTGAGGAAGTGGTCAAGAAATATCAACAATGAAGTATTATTTTTACAATGATTATGTGGCAACTGAAACTCAGAAAGCTAAGTGACCTGTATGGAACTTGATTGAAAAAAGATGAGAAAAAAGTGGAATTTATTTTATCTTGTTATTTGATATTCTTTTTCATTGCCTTACAGTGAGGTGTCCACTGAAGGAAATTTATTATTTGATTAGTATTTGAATGGTTAAAAGTGAGTACTGTCTCTTAATTACAGTATGGCCTCCAAAGTCCCTTTTTATTCTACTAGGGAAGGAAAAATCACAGAGAGTTGCTGCTGCTTCTTTTAGCAGTTTCTTGGGGGTTAAGAAGTAAATGCTCATGATAGTCACTGTTGCAGACCCTGAGACATTTCACTATTATCAAATCTGTCAGAACTAATTCTGCTTCACAGGGGTCACTGCTGTTGAGTTTCTGTTTGTAGTGATTGACAATTGTAGGTATTAAGAACCTGGGGTTATGCACCTCTATGATCAGGGTTTCTGTAAACAAGTGTTGACAATCTGGGCCATTTGACAGTGTGCAGACAGAGGGTCAATCAGAGCATCTGGGCCTTAATTACTTGGGTTCACTAAACTTCAAGTGACATTGATACTCATTTTCATTCAAACAAAGATGCAAAATATGCCTTGCTTTAAAAATCAACTTTTAATTATAAGCTATGTTTATTAAAATCAAGGCATGTTATATTTTCTCTCTTGTTTCAATTAATAGAGTTAATATTGTTTCTTCATTATAGAACCTTTTTATGATATAAGTGATATTGGATTTGTCTTGGATAAATCTATTATTTGGAAGATACTAAAAATATTATTTAAATGAGGTCAAATGTTTGTATTCATAAGAGAGTACACAATCAACCAGTATGTAAAACTTCCTGGACTGATTTATAACCTGATTATAACCTGATTTTTAATTAATTTACTACCTCCAAATTCATCCTTTCTTTTAAAATACTAGTTGTTACTGTATTGTGAACAGCAATAACAAATAAACACTAACTTATAAGTAATCTTGGGTGGGTTAATTAACTTAAATATACTGGTCACTAGAGTTCTCACTCTCCTTAGTCTTTCCATAGTTTTCTGGAAATATATCCAAAAGAAAGGAAATCATTATTTTGGAGAAATACCTGAACTCCCATAGTTACTGCAGTACTATTCACAATAACTAAGATATGCAATAAACCTAAGTGTCCATCAATGGATGAATGGGTGAAGAAAATATGGCACATGTACACAATGGAACACTATTCAGCCATTAAAAAGAATGAACTCCTGTCATTTCAGCAATATGGATGGAACTGGAGGACATTATGTTAAGTAAAATAAGCCAGGCACAGAAAGACAGATACTGCATGTTCTCACTCACATATGGGAGTTAAAAACAAATTGAATTCATAGATACAGAGAGTAAAATGAAGATTAATATAGGCTGGGAAGAATATTGGGAAGAGGGGGATAAATAGGTGTAGTTAATGGGTACAAAAATAAAGTTAAATAAAAGGAGTACCTAGTGTTGGTAGCACAATAGGATGACAAGAGTTAACAATAATTTATTGGGTATTTCAAAGTAACTGAAAGAGTGGAATTGAAATGTTTCTAACATAAAGAAATGATCAATGCTTGAGGTGATGTATATCCCAATTACCCTGATTTGTTCATTACACATTGTATGCTTGTATCAAAGTACAACATGTACCAAATAAATATGTACAACTGCTATGCATCCGTGATAACTGAAAATAAAAAATTAAAAACAAACCTTTCTGCAAAAGAGGTCAAAAAAGGTGTTTTGTTATGTGTGGAGTAACAGAAAGAAAATGGATCTTTTATTATTGTTTGTTGGCTCCCTATTAGATTTCACCATAATGCATAGAAGTTAGAACTTTCTCTGGTTTGTGGAATCTTAGGAAGCCTTACTGATCTAACGAGATTTGCTGATATCTTCAAAGCCGGCAATTTTGCATTGCCAACTTTCAAGATATCAGGAAACCCCTAGCAGTCCTTTTATCAACATCATAATAATCTGTGTACTAGAGTGTGGCAAACTGAATAATGACCCCTAAATAATCTACGTGGTCTCAAATGATATGCACATCCTAATCCCCAGAAACTGTGAACCTTACCTCACAGGGCCAAAAGGGCATTGCATATGTGATTAAGCAAATGTGGAGATAATCCCAAATTCACCACTGAGAGCAATGTAATCACAAAAGTCTTTATAAGAGAGAGGCATAAAGATCAAAGTCACAAAAAATAGATGTAAAGATGAAACCAGTGGTTGGAATGATGCACTTTGGTGATAAAGTGGCCAATCCCAAAGAATGCAGACAGAAGAAACTGGATTTCTCCCCTATAGCCTCCAGAAGAAAAAATAGCCCTGCTAATCCTTTGATTTTCTGACTTCAGAAATGTAGAAAAATAAATTTATGTTATTGTAAGCCACTAAATTTCTGGTAACTTATAGCAGCAGTTGAAAGTGTACATATAGTGTGCAATGAGGCATTTTCATGGATTGTGAATACTGAATCTACCAGTGCGCCATCCTTCCATGGGCCATCCTTCTCATTATGAACGCCCTTCATTTGGAGAGGTTTCTCTTTTCCTTTTTGTAAGATTATGGCCATATATGAGTGATCATACTTTTAGTGGCAGGCAATAGGAAACTCTAGTTCATTAGATCTAAAATTAAATGAATTAGAAAAAAAAATCATGCAAATCTCATGGAAGTCAAAAACAAGCTTTAAAATCAAACAACTGAAAAAACAGGGTCAGGACTGCTCTGGAGAGCTCTGCACAAAAGATTTATGAATTAACACAAGTATTCAAGTGAACATGATCTCGGCTCTAATTACTCTGAGTCTCTATGTCTCTCTTATCAAAATGGTAAAATTTCTGATTGACCTAGGTTGGTCCATGACCTCCTCTGGATCCGTCAGTCATGGTCATGAAAGAAAGGCCATTTAGTAGCAATATGGTTGCTGGAAGGCCACCCCAACATGACTCTTGCAGACCATTCCCAGAGAAGGGGGATCCATGAGTGTCGAACAATGATTCTGAGAGATGACTATACATGGGGCTATGACACCATGGATATTGCTTAATTCATTTAATTCTTCTCGGAGGCACAGATTGCACAAATAAAAATGAAAAATATCAGGTTTAATTCAATTACCAAAACAAAAGCAAATTATGACCTAGTATATAAATAAGAAAACACTAGATATTTGCTAGAAAACACTGCCTAGATAATAAAAAATTAATATATAAATATAACAATGTAACATACTAACATGTAAAAGGGTCGTTTAAAAAAGTAATACACAGGTTTTAGAAATTTAAAACTGAATCTATGTGTCTAAAAAACGTTATCACAATTACATTTGTGTTGTTCTCTTTTTAAATCCAACTCCAGCACACTGTGGGAAGATAGCATGGAGTCATTTCCTCCATGATAACCAGCTGTGTAATTTTGGGCAAATCACTTAACCTCTCAATGTCTCATTTTTTTAATACAGAAAATGAGGATAATAATAATTTGAAGCATTGTTAGAATTAGAAGCCACATGTGACAGTTCCTGCTACATAGTAGGCATTTAGTAAATATTAGATGTATTTTCCCTTTCTTCAGTATAAACTAGAGAGTGTGTACGCATGTAGTAAAAAAAAAGCATTCATGTTTAACACAAAGGAATGAAGAATTTTCTTGAAAGACTAGTCTATTCTTACACTTTACTATTTCTAGTACACATCTCTTTCACTTTTCAGAAAATATATTTAAAATTATAAATAAATTATGTACTTAAGGAGTGTGTTTATCCATAGGGGTTGCCTGCTTTTAAAAATCACATTGGTGTTTAATAGCCTATTTAAATATGCCCCTTATAGTTACTGCCCTGCTCTTTCATGTATTTAAAGAGACTTAATTTACACAAACATGTGAAAAGCAAAGTATCTATGACAGTATCCCTGGAAAAATGGATGTAAAATAAGGATGATGAAAGTATAAGATTGTGAAAAGTGAATGAAAGAGGAATAGTTGAGACATTTGAAAGTGTTGATATTCAGGGTTATAATTTCCATTAAAATGCCTTGTACTAAAGTAATTTAGCATTCTCAGGTACATTTTAGGTAACTAATAATTCTGCTATAACCTGCACTTGAAAAAGATGTGCAGTTCTGTAATCATTTATTCCCCCTCACATGCCCAGTCCAATCTTTGCACAATAATAGATGTTCATCGTGAACTTTATAGAACTGAATTTAGATTACTTGAATCACCAACCAAGTGGAGCATAATTAACTGGCAATTAAAAATCTTACCCAGTTCTGCTGGGCACGGTGGCTCACGCCTACAATCCCAGCACTTTGGGAGGCCGAGGCAGGCAGATCATCTGAGGTCAGGAATTCGAGACCAGCTTTGCCAACATAGTGAAATCCTGTCTCTGCTAAACATACAAAAATTAGCCGGGCATGGTAGCAGGCATCTGTAATCCCAGCTACTTGGGAGGCTGAGGCAGGTGAATCACTTGAACCTGGGAGGCGGAGGTTGAAGTGAGCAGAGATCACGCCATTGCACTGCAGCCTGAGCGACAGAGCAAGACTCCGTCTCAAAAAAAAAAAAAAAAAAAAATCTTACCCACTTCAAGAACCTACAAAATGCCAGTTTCTTTGTTTATAAACAGAAAACTATTTAACTTCTTTGCAGGGTTTAAATGAGGATTTTTATGAAGCTTATAAAAGACCAAGCACTATCTTCAGTTATTGCTGCTATTATTTTTAAATAATGGAAATCTTGTAGAATACAGTGAAACTAGAGGGCAATGGATTAAGTCTAACTAAATAAATAAGAGAAAAACTCTATATTATTAAAATGGTGCCATCAATTTTGTAATCAGCATGTGATATATTTGAGAATATGAAGGGCTAATCTTAAGACTGTTTATATACTGATTAAACAAAATTCAAGGAAACCCACGAAATACTTACCAGACTCACTCGATCTTGTCTTTTAGGTATGTTGTTAATCATCTTTTCGATTTGTTCCATTTGTTTCTGTGTTGGGGTCTCTTTCTCACTATCAATTACAGTCTCAATCTCCATTGTTGCCCTGAAGATCAAATTTACTCTGTAATATCTAATGTAACTTACCTGCATACTTCATTCGCTGAGATGAACTCCATGTGAAATTTTTGGGCCACCCTCCATACTATGTGTGTCTAACTCGTGCCTCTGTTCTACCCGTTGGAACCCCAAATCCTCTCAAATAAATGCAAAAACTAACTTACCTGAGGAAGTCAAAAGTAATTAAAATAAGTTAGAATAAATTAAAAACTAAAGTTTTTTTTGTAGTGGAAATCAAGCTGAATGTTTATAAAAATATTTGCTATTCTTTTTTATTTTATGAGAATAGTTAAGCATATGGAAGACATTATAGATAGTGAAATATATATATACATACATACACACATCTGTGTGTATATATGATATATATCATGTATACACATCTGTGTATTCATTTGTGTGTATATCATATATACACATCTCTATGTGTACATACATTTCACTATTTATAATGTATGTGCATATATTTATAATGTGTGTGTATATTTATAATGTGTATACATCTGTGTGTATATATACACACACTTATATGTATATATATACACACGTGCATGTGCACGTGTGTGTGTGCATGTTTATATTTATCTACCATTTGTAGAAGTCTAGAAAATCAGGTAGATACATTTTAGCTTCAAACAGGAAGAGTAGACATCATATTGTTTCTTTTTAAAAACAAACCAAGTTTCAAGGCTGAAAAAATTTATATAAATATATAACTAACAGACGTCAATACACTTTATTCTTACGGTTCTGAGCAGTTAAACCAGTTGGTAGTAGCAGAAAGTAATACAAACTGAGTTGGGAATCCCTGTAGCAATCCCAATGTACAAATATTTTTACATATATGTAATCTATAATGATATTTGTTTCATTTTAGAAGTGAATTCCCATAAAGAATGCATTTAATTTTAATGGAAAATTTGAGGTATTAATTAAATATGAACACCAATACTATATTTCTTTCGTAATAATAATTCAAAGTTTCAGATAGGCTTGGAGACGGTAGAGCAACATTTACTGTGCTGGCCTCTTTAGAAGATGATGTATCAAAACCGTTTCTCAACTTAAATGTACACTCCAAATGTAAAAGATTCTATCTTTGACAGATGATTATGTCATGAGGGCAGATCCCTCATGAAAAGTATTAGTGCCTTTATACAAGAGGCTTGAGGGAGCTTCTTAGCCCCTTTTTGCTCTTCTACCATGTGAGGACGCATAGAAGATACCATCTATGAGGAATCGGCTCTCACTAGACATTGAATCCCCTGGCACCTTTATCTTGGACTTCTCAGCCTCCAGAACTGTGAATGCTAAATTTCTGTTGTTTACAAATTATTCAACTGTGAACAATAAATTTCTGTTGTTCATAAATTATTCAGTGTAAGGCATTTTGTAATAACCCAAATGAACTAAGATGGAAATGTGTTTAGTTTTATACATTTGCTTTATCTTATATTTTCTCCCATTAGGCAAATATATTTACTTGCCTTGGTATCAACCTGCCAATATTATATTTAGCAATAATTTGGTTTCAAAACACTGAAGTATAGAAATAGAGAAGATGTTATATAATATTAAAGCAAGTCTCTCCCCAAAAATCCTTCTTCAACATTCCAGTTTTACGATTATCCCATGTCTGCCTGAATCTTTCCAGTTTGGAAAGTTTGGAACATGAGCTATTGAGCTATGTTTGGAACAGAGCTATTGAGTGTTCTACATGTGACAGCAGGTCCTACATTAGTTCATTTAATCCTCACATTTCCCTAGGAAAGAGCCACATTGAGCCTTATTTCTGGGATGAGGAAACAGTCTGAGGTAATTTACATTAATTGCTCCATGTCTCACAGCTAATAAGGGGACGAGTCATGATATGAACCAATTAAGTATATATCTACCTGCCTGCAAATCTTTGTTCCTTTCACAACATTTACTACCTTTCAAAAAACACAAACAGACACAAAACCTATAAAGCAGCTGTATATATGCTAATTAAAACACATGATAGGTGAGTTTCAAAAAGAAAAATAACATTTTCGAGCTGCAGTGTGGACTATGTCCTAACCATCCCACTCATGATGTAAACTAATGCTAAGAGAAAGGAGAAAGAGAAGTTGAATTGTTATTAATGCCTCAATTTAAAAGGGCAAGCATGATTATATTAAAAGGTAAGGTGTGTTTTTGAGAAATATATAATCATCTTTATTTACAAAGATTAACAGTTTAAAAGCTGAAAGACATGGACTGTACCATTCTTTGTTCTAAATAATAATTTAAAAACTCAGTTCACTTTAATAAAGTTAGTCAGAAAAATTAAGCTTAAGTCAGAATTTCTCCTTCTCCTACTTGCTTCTAAAGGATTTAAGGGAAAATTTTCTTTATTTCTGGACTTAAATTTTTAACATCATACAGGGCTTCTGTATGACTAAGTCCTACTCATAAGGTTTTTTTTTAAAGAAAAAACTTCCCATCTAATTAATATTCATTTTTGAGGAGTAGACGTCGGCTTTCTCATTTTAAGTAAAAATAAAGGGCACTGCTGTTTGTAACTAATTGCTAATTGAGCAATTACTCTATCATGTTGCACTGGTAGAAAGCATTACTTGAGGTTTTCGGCAACTTCTGATTTTAACTTAATAATCATTTGAGTCAAAATTATTTAGTAAATTAAGCATTTCTTTACCAGGCACTCTCTATACTTCAAGTAATTTCTAATTATGCTACCTAATGAAGTAATTATATAATTAGTTAGAAACTTGTCAGAGTGGTAAGTCTTTTTTAAAAGAATAATAAAATGTGATGATGATTTTTTCATGAAAAGAAACAATAATAAATATAAACCATTAAAAACAGTTGCCCAAATATATGCCTACTTGTAGCTGGTGGAGAGGAAATTCAAAAGAATCTTGCATTTGCTTTTGTCTAGCACTGATTCACGGTAGATTAACTGGAAGGTTAAATGGGATCAAATTCTCAGTCCTCACTACCTTACTCTCATTTCCAATTCCACCCCCCCGGCACTGCAGGTACCTTGCAGAATCAGAGTTAAAATTGATTAGCCTAGGTACACAGCCTGACCTGCTAGGCCTTCTCTCAGAAACCTTTGGATATGTTTGAACCATTGGTACAAGGGATCAAAACCTGCCAGTGCTCATCAAACCTGACTTTAGTGCAGAGGAAACTATTACAACTTTGCTAGGGTTTCCACTATTAAAACTTTTCCAAAAACAGAAATATACTATGGGAAACTGCTCTTAAGAATCACTGAAAAAAGGGCATTTGAAAATGGAGGGAGAAACTTTCAACCAATTTCCTCTGCTAAAGAAAATGTTGTATTAGCCTGCACAGAAAATTGGCTATTGCTACTCCTCCTAGTCCCTCTCCTGTAAGTACTGCCAGCCAGTTCATTTAGCTCATCGGCCAAAGCTGAATTAGAAACTGCCATCATTTCTGCTCTCATTTGTGCTTTTTCCAATATCATTATTACATAGCAGTGTGGTCTGGTGGGATGTGCACTATACTTGGCAAAGGGATTCTCGGATTGTGTGTACCCATCAGCCCTAAATGACTCATTTTGTGAATATAGAAAGTCATATTTTTGTCTCTGGATTCATGTCTTCTATTTTTTTCAAGTAGGTTGCAGTGATATATCATTCAAAATATTTTAAAACTACACTCTAAAATTTATATTTCTATTAAGAAAAATATTCAGTTATAGATTCCAAAATATTGTAACACTTAACTAATAATATGCAAATTATCTCTAAGATGTAAAGAAAACAGAACCAGGCTATGTTCATTAATCTTCCCAATCCAGATAAAGAAATCTAGAGGAAATATATAATAATGTTTTATTTACCAAGTAACATATAAAGAAATTCTGGTTCCTCCAAATATATACTAGGATGATGCCTTTTAAAAAAAATTCAACTAGCAAATTCAGAGACTCAGCACTGGAGCCTGAAACGCAATCCTACTGAAGTGGTCTTCAGATTGCTTTTGTAAGATTATAACTTTTATTGATGCTTTTCAGCCACTTATGATTTTCAATCTAAAATCATTTAATTCAAATAATTATGATTTATCACTGGAGGATTATTGATAGTAAAATCCAACTTTGGCTTTTTACTCAGCTCTTCTGTATTTAAATTAATGAATTAATTTAAAATTATGTATTGATATACCTACACTGTTGTACACTGGTTTAAAACTAGAATGCATTTTTCACTCTAGTGAAGAGGAACAATAAAGAATACAAATAAATATATATTGTAGGATACGAACCATTTAAGAAAATACAACAGAATAATGTCCACAACAAGAGGCTAGTTTAGCTGGTGCACTCAGGAAATGTAAACTCTTACCTCTTACCTGAAAGGTGGGAACAGCCATGCAAAGATCTGGTGGAAGAGTTAAAAGCAAGGAAAAAGCAAATGCAATGAACCTGAGACAAAGATGGACTTGCCACACTTAAGGTAGTGACAGAGAATAGTTCTGAGGCTGGGTACAGGAAGGGCTGAGGGATGAATGATGAAGGTGGGGAGAGAGAGAGGCCACAGCAATGTGGAATAAGTAGAAGTAAATGTGATTCCTAACAAGATGTCAGTTCAACTCCACCTTCTGTTAGTTTAAAAGGGACAACTACACTTGCTCCTGTAAAGCACTTTTGTTGAGGCCTATAAACCAATCAGAGCAGTTATTTAGGTTCTATGTGTTGCTTATATGTGGAAAAGACATTCTGATCCTAAATTCTTAGTGGTAAGCAGGGATGGGGGTTGTTCTGAGTGCTGGAAATTGATGACTGTAGTAGCAGGAACATGGTGGTCTAAAGCAAAGCTCTCAGAAGGGTGGTCTGCATGGATGTGAGAAGTCTACTCCTAATACGATATAAAGTACTGGGAAACTGCTGCCTCATTTATGTGCTGAAAATTATGTGCTTGGCTGACAAGTCCTCTTATATGTGTTCTGAAGTTTGCAATAAAATATATCTTACTTTTCATTGCCACCAAAATATGAGTAAACGTTATAGCATACGTTCACTATAAATCAGACATCATTATAAAAGAAACAAGTGAAAAGTTAACTGGATTGAATTTCTGTGCTTTTAAAAAAAGCTGTCTCTTATGTTCATACACACACAAACACACACAGACACACACACACATATATAATATATATAATTTTCCCCCTTAAAATGCTATAACAGTTGAACTAAACACTAAAAGGAGGAAAAAATGTTTTACAAAAAAATAAACTTCATTGATATATAACCTTAGGGGATTTAAAATATTAGGGTCAGATAATAATACATGGATTGTTATTTTTAAGAAGAATCACACTTGGAAGATGATAGTAGATGATGACCAAAAGGAATAAAAGGATTTGTGTGCATGTGTGTGTGTGCACGCGTGTCTGTATGTGTGTGTTTTCAGAGCCACTCCAACAATCCCCAGGTAAGCCCTGTGCTATAGACTCATCTCTGCTGCAACTTCAGAGAGACTTTTTCATCATTAGCTATCCGTTTCTTTTTCTTCCTATTATGATTTCTCACTGCTGCACTGCAGCAATACTGCAAAGAAAAGCTGAAAATGCTCTTAACTCTGGAGCACAGATAAAGGAAAGGCTATCACTTTGCTCCTCATACTCCCTACTCAATCTGCCAATTTGCCGAAGTGGGTTACCAGTTTCATTGCTAATGATGAGATCAGAAGATGCAGTAGCTGCTCTCACTCCAGCAAGCAATAGATATCCCTCGTCAAGGACGCAGTTTTCTTGAATTTTTTCTAAAGGATCAAGCTGTTAGTGCTACTGCTAAATGCCAATATCAGAAAAAATCTTTTAAATACTGTGGGGTGCTTTCCTTCTCCACTCCTCAGAAAGGAGTAGTTTTATCCATCAACAATTAAAAAAATACAGGATAAATGTAGAGGCATTCTCAACAATGCTTGTACCATTGGATACCATGTTTGTAAACATTAAAATATTACTTTACCAAGAAAAGCCAAAGATGTCACAGAACTCCAGAGATATAAAAGGTTTCCTGTGGGAGCTCTGTGCTTTCCTTATAGGAAACCTGAAATTACAGAAGAAAGCAGATCACCCAGAGTGCTTAAACTGGTAGGAAGAGAGAAGTATTCACATTTTTTTATCTGAATAAGCTACAGTAGATTTTTTCCGTAACTTGTCTGAGAAGTCCTCTGAAAACTGCATTTAATTAGGTAAATTATCTCAATCAACAAAGAGTTATTGCAAGTTAAGTAACTGTAATGTAACAGAGACAAAGTGATATCTGCGCATGGAGAATGGCTGTTGAATGTCCAGTGGCAATGTGTCTAGAGCAAGGGAGTCTAGAAGGGGCTTTTCTTTGATCCACTTTTTAGAAGGATAGCCAGGAGAAGAAATGTGTTATACTCTTTTGGTATAATTTTCCTTAACAGAAGCAGAAAAATTCTCAGAGCATCTCCAATCATGGAAATAATATATACATATTGAAATCTTTCTATGCTCCCAGAAGGATTCTGGATGTTAGGGACACAGCAAGAAAAACAGAAACAAAACAACACAGCAGCAACAAACCTCCCTTTGTGGGGCTTTCTTTCATTCCAGGGAGGGAAATAGGGGTACATACATACATAAAATCTGTAGCATGCCAGAAAGTGATAAAGTCTACTAAATGAAAATGCAGCAGTGATGACTGATTTGAGGTTTCAGGAAGAGGAATTGAAAATTTCAATTCGAGTGACCAGAAAAGTCAAGACTGCCATCTAGGAAAGTCATTCTAAGGGGCTGAAGTAATTGCTACAAACAAAAAACCTTCCCTAGAAGTGCTGGTTCAACTCCACTTCCTAGGTTGAAAAAGCAAGAATGAGGATGGATAACAGGAAGAGTCAGTCACTCTTGCTCAGTGGAAATGGTAGGACAGGATCAGAAGGGAATGTTTTTGGCTGAATTCTGTCAGTAAGGGGAAGACACACCCATCTTGGGATTTGGGTGACTTTCCTTGAGGGTTGCACACACACAAATGCATAAAGTGAAGGCACTCACTTTCATCTGAAAATGTAGTCTTGAAAGCTGAAAAAAAAAAAACAGTGAAAGAAGGGCTAAACTAGCTCAAAGAAAAGGACAGGTAATGGAGTGGCTGACTCTCAGCTACAGACTGAATTTTTTCAGGATTTCAGTCAGGAGCAGGAGTGAAAGAAAAAAATTCCAGTTGAATCAGACTGGATTCTTATCAGCTAAGTTTTAAAATCAAGCAGCGCAACACGTATTTGCTAACAAAAGAGTGAAAATTGAACTACTGACTTTACATATTTGTGAAAATACTTTGCAGGAATGATTTGACTAAATTGTTCATTTTTTTGGTGATATCCACGAATTGCATTTATCACAAATATTTGCCATTTTTTAAATGTAATAATTCCATTCTTTCCAAACATGTGAGAGATGTTAGTGGCTGTTTTTGTGTGCCATCAAATCCTGAAAAACAAACAAATGGAAAAACCCTAAATCAATATTAAAAATTTACTTGTGCCTGCTTCAGGAGCCTACAGAATTTCAAACTCCATTACAGTGTAAGTACACTTAATTTAAAAAGTAATTAGAACTTATTAGGTGAGGAGAAGGCAAGAACATTTTTGGATAAGAATTTCTGCTACAATGGCAAAAAGATCTGTACTTAAAATGGCAAGTATATAACATAACCAAGGATACGGCTTAAGGACTTAGCTATAAGGTATACACAGTACACTTTTCTTCTGGTGCTACTTCATGGCCACAAAAATTAATCAAGAAGCTTTTGTCAAAGATGCTACTTGAACTCAGCTGTAAAATCTTTCAAGATAGTCTTCAGTAGCAACATATGACTTGGAACATTGGTGAACTTCTATAACTTTTTTTAACACTTTATTTAAACATTATTATTATTTTTATTTATTTATTTATTTTGAGATGGAGTTTCTCTCTTGTTGCCCAGGCTGGAGAGCAATGGCATGATCCTGGTTCACTGCAAACTCCACCCACCCCCATCACCACCATTCAAGCGATTCTCCTGCCTCAGCCACCTGAGTAGCTGGGATTACAGGCATGCGTCACCATACCCGGCTAATTTTGTATTTTTAGTAGAGACGGGGTTTCTCCCTGTTGGTAAGGTTGGTCTCGAACTCCTAACCTCAGGTGATCCACCCGCCTTGGCCTCCCAAAGTCCTGGGATTACAGGCATGAGCCACTGCACCTGGCCTATTTAAACATTATTTTTAGTCATATCTATAACCAAAGATAAAAATTGCTTGGTCCCTTGTTTGATTGTATAATAGAGAACTTAATTCTTTTGTTTAGCTTGGGAAGGAAAATATAATAGAACAATCCTGGAGGTAGAAACTTACCTTTGACAACCATTTTGTATATTTGTTTTTTCTGGTTATAATTAGATAAGCAAACTTAATTTATATGAAGTTCTCACATGAGGAAAGAAACCGGCTTTCATTTTGTCATGTGACACAGCACAGCTTGAGTTTCTATTAAAAGGATTCAAAATGACAAAAAGAAAAATGCAACAAAAGGATAAACATAAAAATAAATACAAACATGATTATTAAATTATCACTAGACATCCTCAAAATTTCTGCTGTATTTTTCAGAAGAGTGAGACCTCTTCGGCCTGTAAATACACTCAATGTACACTGGCATTTGCATTCAACAGCAATTAATTGAGCATCTTGTTCTTCCTTAGAACCACACTCATCTTATTACTTTGTTCAACATAGAATGGACACCTAATGCTAGTAGCTGCATACACAGTGTTGATGAAACTTATTTCCTCTTCAATGGAAAAAAACATAACATAAAACAGTTTTAATAGAACTTGAAAATGTAGTTTTTCTAAGCATGGAAAAATAAAATGGGGATACAGTGGAGGTAGGAACTATATGTTTAAGTCATGGGAGATGAGGTAGGGGATGATGCAATAGAGAAATATCCCACGATATTATACAAAAAATATGCTGCCATACTATAATCGCCCACACTCTGTCTAGCAAAATGAGACAAAATTCCCACAAGAGTAGGGACCTTGTCTAGTTTATTTATCATAGTATAAACATAGCCTAGCAATGTCCCTAGCACATAGGATATAGTCAATAAGTGTTTATTGAATCATTCTACTTATTAAATGGAAACAATTATATACTAGATATATGCTTGGGAATATACATATTACAAATTTGATTATAGATTATAAAAAATCATCACCTTGTGAAGATAACATTACATGTTCAATTTTTTATTTTTAATTTTTGTGTGTACATAGTAGGCGTATATATTTATGAGGTGCATGAGATGTAATATTACATTTTTATTTTCATATATGATAAGTAGGTACATAAGTTGAACAAATGGAAGAGGTGTAGACTTATGAGACTGTAGACTAATTATTCCTAGCTCTTGTTTGAACATAGGAATGAAGGGAGCAATGATAATACAAAGCAGCACATTAGTGTGGAGCAGGACACTGTGCACCAGTTACTAATGCCAGGGGTGGACTCTAACTGCTTGAGGGATAGCAAAAATCCTCACTATGGCAATCACTAGAAATAGAAGTCCAAAACGCTTGTGTCCGCTACAGTATTGGAATCGCCAAGGAAAACATGGTATGTTCAAGCACTGGTACAAGGCTTTTTATCACACGGAGAAGAGACAGAGGAAGATCAGCTCCAATATTATGCATCAGTCCTCCGTGGCTAGTGGGTCTCCCCCTAATTCTCCCCCATTAAGCCAATACAGGGGAATTGCACCCCGCTTGTGCAGTAGAAACCCCCTTCTCTTCCCCCAGGAAGTCTGAAAACATTGCAAGTCGGGGGCCTCAGGGTTACTCACTGAAGCAGAACAAAGGAGGACACATTGTGTCTGAAACAGGGACTATTACACAAGGCAGTGAGCTCTCTACAGACTGTGTGGGCCTTTATTCCGTGGTAAAGAAGTGTTCCAGGCCCAAGGCCCATTCCCATGGTGTAGAATGAGAGTTAGAAGATTACCATGTAATGAGACTGCCTTTCTCAACACTTAGAATTTGATATAAGATTATTTTTGCACCATATTTTTTAGTTACTCAGACTCACTGAGATTGTATTTCTTAGGAACAAATTTAGGAAGTTAATGAGAGATTACTTGAATAGTCTAAAATTGAGAAAAGAGTATTCAACCTTGGAATTACAATCTATTTTTTCCTCTTCTTAAGTAAAAAATTATTTTGGTGTAATTAGAAAGTCAAGAAGAAGGAGAAGAAGAAGGAGAAGAAGAGATTTCTGATTTCTGAATCTCTGAAAGAAGATACTAAATATTGTCTCTCCATTGCACTTTATATTTCTAAAATAAAATATAAAGAACATATGCGAAAATTTTTCCATATGTTACTTCTGTTCATACTTAAAATAAACCTGTAAGGTGTGCAAGCCATATTTTATTCTCATTCTGCTTTTGCAAAACTTGAAAAACTCTATTATGAAATGCCTTCCTTGTTCTCTGTAGTCATATATAAGTGGTTTTTAGCAACATGCCATCAGAAGATATAGCAAGTAGAAATTAAAATTTAAAGTATTAAGAAAGAAAGTACAAGATGCAAATGCTCAAAACATAGATTTTCATCGAAAAATGCCAAAATCGAAAATACATTTAAAATATACAAAATAAAAAATATCCAGAAGAATAGAAGCATTTATTTTAAAATTTCTAATTAAAAGGTTAAAAACTACACTGATTAAAAGTAAATATGGTTTGCAATGTAGCCAATAGTTGATGTGGGACTTTTTTTAAAAATAGGAATTGCTGAAGTTTTATGTTTTTAATGGCAGTAATAAATGATAACTCTGAATTTGTATTCACAGCTTTCGTGTCCAACTGCCTCCTGAACATCTCATTTCTATTTAACAACAGGCAAATCAGACTTATAATATATTTCACACTTAACTCCTAAAATCCCTCTCCTAATGAATCATTCTGTCACCCACATATTCCCCACCCCCCACCAGAAACTTGTAAATCATCCTATATTTTTTCCTCTCTTTCAACCAATATCTAAACAATCATTACATTTTAAATATTTCAGCAATATATTCCCTAGTTCTCTTCCCCTTTGCTAGGACTGTGGTTTAAGCCTCATCATCTCCTGCCTGTACTGTTTTTTTCTGAACTCTTTTCTGGTCTTGCAGGTGACAAAGATCATGCCTGGAGGTAGCAATCACTCCACCCACCAGGAGCTGTGGATCCAACAGCAAAAAAGGCAGAGTCCCTACCATCAAGGAGATGCAGCCAGGGAAGTGGTGAATGTGGTGGAGAAAGTAAAGAAGACACAGTAAAGTAAACATGTAATCATCTAGTATTGTGATGTGTCATTTTCGATAAATACAGAGGATGCTTTCAGAGTACAAGAGATGGTTACCCAAACATGTCCCTTCTCTATAATCCTTATTTCCATTCATGAAGGGAAAAACTTCTAGATTGAATTGAATGCACTAATGGTTTACCCATTGCATACACCTCAAGTCTCTGGCACAGCCTGTAGCATTCAGAGGGAAGCAGGATTGCCTGTCACTTCATGGTTTACTGCCTGGTTGCACATCCTGGCTTCAACAGTTACCAGGCATGTTTCTCTAGACAAAGTACTTAACCACTCTGTTTCCTCCAGGGTAAAACAGAGCTAACAGTAGATCCTCATAAGATTGTTAAAATAAATAAATGACTATGTATATAAAGCACTTATATTAGGGCTACATATGGATTTGCTGTATTACTATCATCAACCTTGCAGGAGAAATGGACACTTTTGCTTTATGGGGTTACAAAATATTATTTGAACAAATTTCAGTGGATTAGAACAAGCTTTTCGCCCTTACCCTGTTTACCTGTAAAAGGCTTACTCATCTTTCTAGACTTCCATTAATCATTGGAATTTAACGTAAGAATAGAGACTCTAGAATTAGATTGACATTGGTTTGATTCTGAGATTTAATATTCACTAGCTGCATTGTCTAAGTAAATTTACTTTTTCTGACTCTATTTATCTCTGTAGATAATATTACCCAGCTCTTATAGGATTATATTAAAAAACAAGATCATTCTATAAAGATACTCGCCTAGTATGGCCTCTCAATTAATTTCTATTAATGGAGAAGTAGGCAGGCTTTGTTTATATTTCTACCATATTTACCCTGACTATATTATGTGTAGTTATTTAGTTTTGCATTTGTTTTCTTGGTTGTCTTCTCCCTTAGACATAAAAGCTTTCCTTGAACAGGAATTTTGTCTTTTTTAAGCTTGATTTCTAAGACATAGCCAATCCCTAATCCCTGCATACAGTGTACATTCTGTAAGTACTTGATGAATGAATTAATAAATATATAAATTAAGACATGGATATTTTAAATATGGAATAATTCATATTGTATTGCTTCTATTATTTCCTTGCAGTGCAAGTATACTTTTATTATAACTATAGAAGAGACAGAGAACAATGAATACCAATATCTTAAGAATTTACACAAGGAATAAAGACCCGTTGCCTTCTGGTCGTTGATGACTGCTCAGTGGGTAGCACTGAGTGGGAAAATTTCGTTATGTTATCAAAGGGGGTTAATTAAAAGGTCATTAAAAAGGCACCATTAGTATTAGGAGCTAATGGTCTTTGAACATCATTAGAGAGTTAACTGGTGTATCAAAACCTGAGACTTGTTTCCCTGTGATTTACACAATTCTCACAAACCTTGCCTTATTAAAATTCTTAATAATTTTTCCTAATTTCTCTCTTCTGTAAGGTTTAGATACCATAACTTTGTTAACAGACGTAGATACTTAGTAATAAGAAGAAAGTTGACTGAGAGGAGTGCTAGGCATCTAAAGAGGTCAACTTATAATAATTTTTAGCTGAAAATAATTATAAAATTATTTTTTTAAGACTGAATAATTGGTCTTTAAAAAATAATCTAGAAATTATTTTAAAATAATCTTTATAATAATCTAAAGATCATGAAGAGTTAGCCTCGTTATTTCTCTTATTAAAAGTTAAGAAATAATACTTTTTCAAGATATAAACTATTACAAAGGCTATTTTAAACTGATTAAATTTCTGCTCAGTATTTCCATTTTCTTTTCAAATTTGGTTGGTAAAGAAATGCAAAATGTTAGCTGATTGACTTGTTCCTTTTCATGATAGGTTAAGTAACTAATTAAACATGAAGCTTATAAATAAAAATTGAAGAAAACCTATTTCTTGCCAATTAGTAAAAAAGAAATATCAAAAGATAAGAATTTTAACATTATAGACTTCAAGTGTAATTTGCAAAATCTAAAAAAAAAAAAAAAGAAAAAGGATGCATTGATAAAACTAGGACTAGGACACATTGGTATCCATTACCTATAATCGCCTAGTCACTTCCAAGGAATTGTATAATTGTATATGCACTTTTGGGGTCAGGGGGATGGAAAACTTTCTATTTTTCTTCTCTCTACCATACCTTCTCCCTCACTTATATCACACATATTTATGTATAATTAGCTATCAACAAGAGGCTTAGACATGGGGGAATATGTTTTTCTTCATTGCAATTGTTAGTGTCAATCAATGAATAGCAAAACATATAAAATAACATGAATTGAAAGATAAATGAGCGTCCGGTCATGGTGGCTCATGCCTGTAATCCCAGCACTTTGGGAGGCCAACGTGGGCGGATCACCTGAGGTCAGTAGTTCAAGACCAGCCTGGCCAACACGGTGAAACCCTGTCTCTACTAAAAATGTAAAAATTAGCTGGGCATGGTGGTGCATGCCTGTAATTCCAGCTACTCGGGAGGCTGAGGCAGGAGATCGCTTGAACCTGGGAGGTCGAGGTTGCAGTGAGCCGAGATGGCATCACTGCACTCCAGCCTGGGCGACAGAGCAAGAATCCAAAAGAAAGAAAGGAAAGAAAGAGAGAGAGAGAGAGAGAAAGAAAGAAAGAAAAAGACAGACCAGCACATAGAAGCCTTGATATAACATATTTAGTATATTTTTATGTCCATTTAAAGCTAGGTTGGCATTTATTATTTATATCTTTTATATAAAAAGGTAATGAGATATTAATATTGAACTAAATTTACCAAATTAGAAAATAAAAACTGTATTAACAAAAAAAAAGATATACTTGGATAATTAACCCAATTAGCCATCTAATGTAACCCAATATTAAATATTCAGATATATTTCCACTATTTTAAAAAATTTCTCCTACTGTAATTTTATGATTGTGAACATAATACATATATATACACATATATATGTGTGTATATATATGGGTATGTCTTGATTTTAAACTAAATGTATTGATAAACATCTGTACATCTTCAGAGCCTTTATTCTCATGATCTGTCTCATGTTCTAAGTTTATTTAAAAGTTTCCTTAATTTAGTCCTTTGGTTCAAACATTTAGGTTGCTTTCAATTTTTATTTTTCATTGATCTCACTTTTACAAATACCTATGTCATACAGCATTTTACTAATTGTTGGATTTTTTATTAGGGTAATTTACAGAATCAAAAATAATGTTCAAGACAATGAACATTTTTACGGTTTCACTTTCATATTGCTAATACACTTTCCCAAAATTTGTGTGTGCCAATTTACATTTTTAACAGAAATGTATGAGAACATGGTTTAACTTTATTTAGTTTAAATATATTTTTGAAGCGTTTTTTAATTAATTAGGACATTTCTTTTTTTCTTTGTGGTTTTTTGTTGTTGTTGTTGTTGTTGTTTAAACTTTAAGTTTTGAGATACAAGTGCAGAATGTGTAGGTTTGTTACATAGGTATACGTGTGCTATGGTGGTTTGCTGAACCTATCAACCCATCACGTAGGTCTTAAGCCCTGCATGCATTAGCTATTTGTTGTAATGCTCTCCCTCCCCTCACTCCCGCCCACTGACAGGTCCCTGTGTGTGTTGTTTCCTTCCCTGTGTCCATGTGTTCTCATTGTTCAACTCCCACTTACCAGTGAGAACATGTGGTGTTTAGTTTTCTATTCCTGTGTTAGTTTGCTGAGGATAATGGCTTCCAGCTTCATCCATGTCTCTGCAAAGCACATGATCTCATTCCTTTTTATGGCTGCATAGTATTCCATGGTGTATATGCACTGCATTTTCTTTATCCAGTCAATTATTGATGGACATTTTGGTTGGTTCCAAATGTCTTTGGTATTGTAAATAGTGCTGCAATAAACATATGTCTGCATGTGTCTTTATAGTAGAATGATTTATATTCCTTTGGGTATATATCCAGTAATGAGATTGCTGAGTCAAATGGTATTTCTGGTTCTAGATCCTTGAGGAATTGCCACACTGTCTTCCATAATGGTTGAAATAATTTATGTTCCCATCAACAGTGTAAAAGGGTTCCTATTTCTTCATAGCCTCACCAGCATCTATTGTTTCTTGATTTTTTCATAATTGCCCTTCTGACTGGTGTGAGATAGTATCTCATTGTGGTTTTGATTTGCATTTCTCTAATGATCAGTGATGCTGAGCTTTTTTTTCATATATTTGTTGGCTGCATAAATGTCTTCTTTATAAGAAGTGTCTGTTCATATACTTTGCCCATTTTTTGATGGGGTTGTTTTTTTCTTGTAAATTTGTTTAAGTTCCTAGTAGTTCATCTCAGAGTTACATGGCCTATATCAATTTTCCAGGATTGTTCTCTCTCTCTCTCTTTTTTTTTTTTTTGTTATTTACTCCTCTTTTTCCTCTGTTTTCTTTCTCTCTTCCTCCCTCAATTTTTTCTTTGCAGGACGGGAACTTCACAACCTGCTAAAAATGAGCTTTCCTAACAACGTGGGACCTATTCATCTAAGAATAAATTGTCCTAGCCATGAGAAACCAGACAAAACCCAAGAACAGAGACTCATTTTCTTCTAAAATGCTTTCTCTGAAAGATTTTAAAAATAAAATAAAACAATTTTTAAAATATTTTAAAGAGAAAATAAAAACTTGGGACTCCAATTTGCCACGCCAAAAGTAAAAAAATTAAGCTGAAAGCTGAGTCATACAAGAAACTGCCTTTAGCTTTGTTCCTAAATAGATAGGTAGCCACAGATAAAAGGTTAAATATTTCCACAGGTAGCTGCTCTACATTTACCTTATGTAAAATGCTGATTTACTGCCTGTGAGATGAATACATAAGTGACTATTCCTCTCCCTACTCCTTTTTATCTAGCAACATGTGAATTCAGTAGTGTGACCTTACCCCCATCCTACCCTGCCTCTTTCTCCTCCAGCCTACTTTTCCCCTTTAAATATTGAAGTCCTCAAACTCTTCTTTCGAGAAAGTCATAGATCTGTGTCCTAGGCCTGTCTGTAACCTTGGCAAAATAAGTTTCCAAATTGACTGAAACTTCTCAGATACTTTTTGGTTTACATATATAATGTGCATTTTGAAAAAAAATAGAAAAAGAAAACAAATTATTTAAAAAAATAGTTAAAATTCTCATACGGCCAAAAGCAATCTACAGATTCAATGTTGTTTCTATCAAAATACCAGTGTCATTTTTCATAGAATTAGGAAAAAACTACTCTAAAATTAATATGAAACCAAAAAAAGAGCCTGGATAGCCAAGGCAACTGTAACCAAAAACACAAAGCCAGAGGAATCACATTACCTGACTTCAAACTATATTATAAGGCTATAGTAACCAAAACAGCCTGGTACAAAACGGACACATAGACCAATTGAACAGAATAGAGAAACCAGGAATAAAGCCATGCACTTATGACCATCTGATCTTCAACAAAGTCAACAAAATTAAGCACTGAAGAAAGGAGTTCTTATTTAATAAATGGTGCTGGGATAACTGGCTAGCCATATGCAGAAAAATACAACTGGACCACTACCTTTTACTATATACAAAATTTAATTGAAGATAGATTAAAGATCTAAATGTAAAATCTCAAACTATACAAATCCTAGAAGATAACCTAGGAAATACCATTCTGAACGATACCGTTCTTGGCCTTGGCAGAGAATTTATGACTAACTAAGTCCTCAAAAACAATTGCAACAAAACAAAGTTAACAAGTAGGGCCTAATTAAAGAGCTTTTGCCCAGCAAAAGAAACTATCAACAGAGTAAACAGACAACCCACAGAATGGGAGAAAAATACTTGAAAATTATGCACCTGATAAAGATCTAATATCCAAAATTTATACTAAACTTAAACCAATCAGCAAGCAAAAAATAACTCCATTAAAAAATGGGCAAAGGACATGGAAAGGCACTTCAACAAGAAGACATACAAGCAGCCAACAAACATGAAAAAATTTTCAACATTATAAAGCAGCAAGGAAATGCAAATCAAAACTACAATGAGATACCATCTCATACCAGTCAAAATAGCTACTATTAAAAAAAAAAATCAAAGGCTGTAAGATGCTGGCAAGGCTGTGGAGAGAAGAGAATGTTTATACAATGTTGGTGGCAACGTAAATTAGTTTGGCTAATGTGGAAAGCAGCTTGGCAATTTCTCAAAGAAATTAAAATAGAATTATCATTCAACTTGGTAATTCCACTACTGGGTATATCCCCAAAGGAAAATAAATCATTATACAAAAAAGACACATGCACTCTTATAGTCATTATAGCACTATTCACAGTGGCAATGGCATGGAATCAACCTAGGTGCCCATCTATTGTGAATTGGATAAAGAAAATGTGGTATATATACACCATAGAATACTACACAGCCATAAAAAACGAACAAAATCTTGTCCTTTGCAGTGACATGGATACAGCTGGAGGCCAACATCCTAAGTGAATTAATGCATGCTCAGAAAACCAAATACCATATGTTCTCATTTATAAGTGGGAGTTAAACATTGGGTATGTATGGATATAAAGATGGCAACAATAGACACTGGAGATTACTAGAGAAGGGAGAGAAGGAATAGGGCAAAAGCTGAAAAATTACCTTTTGGGTACTATACTCACTACTAGGTGATGGAATCATTTTTACCGAAAACCTCATCCTATATACCCCTTTAACAAACTTGTACATGCATTCACTGTACAATCACTGTACAATCTAAAGCAAAAGTTGAAATTATTTTAAAAAGAAAAAATAGTATCTTCAATTTAGGTGAAATTCAAAACAATATTCATTGCATTAAACCTGTTTAGAAATTGCTAAAAGATGATTAATAATGCTTTGATGACCCAAGGTACCACACATTCAGTTCCAAAGTGCTATACATTTTTTCAGTTACTGACTAAAAAATACATTTTTGTTTTACTTTATTATTAGAAAATATCAAAGGAAGAAATTGTCTATTAAGTAAACCATCTTCTTAAGCAGAAAGAATCTATCATTCTGGGTGAATGATTTATTTTTGCAAGAGTAATTGTTTATAATTTTAAAGTTTCTTTAGCTACTGAGTGCCTGTTTTTATGAAATACATGACCAAAATCTAATTATACAAATAAACAGTCATATTTAAAAGTATAAATTACAACATTGGCAGAAAATTGAAGATTACTTGTTCTAACCAAAATCCACAATCAACTCTTAATTTATTAAAATTAGTGGGGTGAAAATTAGAACATTCAAATGAGAAATTATAATATTCATTAAAGAGTTAATGAAAACATGTCTATCCTGAAACTTAGCATCTGGCAAAGATGCCATCAGGTTTTTACTCCAACCATATGAGGTTGCCACAGCATCAGTTGCAAAAATCATGCACAGCGTAAGCCACTTACATTCAGAAATCAGTTTCCTTAAGGGGTCTCTGGAAGAAATCCAGATTCAATTTGAAAATTAAAGAGTGCATGGTCATGGTGACACTAAACAACTGAAGGGTGTGGAAGAAATAGCAGTGCTACATTGATTGCTTGACACATATTGAAGAGGCAACATGCAAATCATAATTCTACAAGATACAAAAAAATTGATCACTGAGAAAGAAGTTCCTGTAAAGTAAAAGTGTGTCATGCAACACAGTGTGTGTGTGTGTGTGTGTGTGTGTGTGTGTGTGTGTGTGTATGTTTTTCTCCCCTCTGGCTGCTCTTTCTCCATGAGCAGGTCAATAATGATAAAAATTTTCCCTTATGAAATAGGGTCTCAATCCCTCCCTAGTGACTGGCCTTTTCAAAATAAAAACTCAAGGCAATGAAACATATACAGCTGAAAATCATCCAGAAGAAAAACATGAACCATCTTAATAACATATTCAATCTCTTTTTCTCGCCATATAGAGGTCATTATGTAGACCATAATGTGTGGTGGTGAATGAATGTGTGCATGTGTGTACGTATGTGTATATAGTTATGAATATATTATTCAAGGTTATCTCTGATTTGGAAAAGTCTACATAATTATATAAATCATGCATAAATATAATATATATGCATATTTACATATACATGCATACTTGTTTTCAATTCTCCGATGAGTTAAAATGAACACATATTTTCTTCTATACATACATATATACAAATTTTAAAGAAAGGATAAGCTGTATGTGTAATAATATTTAGTTTCTTAAATACATTTTATAGATTAATATTAAATTGCACAAGCCTATCTCTACCCTATGGCTTTACCTTTATATAATTTTTTTTTTTTTTTTGAGACAGAATCTCACTCTGTCACCTAGGCTGGAGAGCAATGGTGTGATTCAGCTCACTGAAACTTCTGCCTCCCAGGTTCAAGTGATTGTCCTGCCTCAGCCTCCCAAATAGCTGGGACTACAGGTGCCCACCACCACTCCCGGCTAATTTTTTTTTTTTTTTTTTTTTTGATACGGAGTCTCGCTCTGTCACCCAGGCTGAAGTGCAGTGGTGCGATCTCAGCTCACTGCAAGCTCCGCCTGCCAGGTTCATGCCATTCTCCTGCCTCAGCCTCTCGAGTAGCCGGGACTACAGGCACCTGCCACCACGCCCAGCTAATTTTTTTGTATTTTTAGTAGAGACAGGGTTTCACCGTGTTAGCCAGGATGGTCTCGATCTCCTGACCTCATGATCCGCCTGCCTCCGCCTCCACCTCCGCCTCCCAAAGTGCTGAGATTAGAGGCATGAGCCACCGCGCCTGGCCCTTTTTTTTTTTTAATGTTGGTGTTTTATGCCTTGTACTCTGAATATAACTGAACAACCAAATTCTTCTATTTCAGCAGTGTTGAAGAAACTAAGTTTCTAATTCAATTATCTTGGAAAGTAGAATCTTAGCTTGGCATTAGAAGCCACATATTAATCAAGCAATGACAAAAGGTAACAGAGAAGATAAAAAAAATTAAATCATTACATTAAAAATCAAACTACTAATCAAAATCTTGTATTATACTTAGGCAATGTTTTTGCATCTACTAGAAGATTATGCATTAAAATTATATCCCAAAGTGGTTCATGATTAAACTACAGCTCTTGACTGAGGATCATTTGTTGCTGTATACATGAGAGAGAGTGTGTGTGTGTGTGTGTGTGTGTGTTTGTACATGTATGTGTCTGTTGGTAATTCAAATATGCAGAAAAAATCATTATCCAAAGAGCATTTTTTTATTTATGTTTCTATACTTATTACCTAACAGTACCTAAGAATTCAAAGATGCTCAAGTGAAATAAATGTATAGAACTTGAAATTTATCCAAAAGTTACTTCCCTAAAATAGCCTTTTTTTTTTTAATATACTTTAAGTTTTAGGGTACATGTGCACAACCTGCAGGTTAGTTACATATGTATACAAAGAAGCTTTGTTCTTTCACTCTTTGCAATAAATCTTGCTGCTGCTCACTCTTTGGGTCCACACTGCCTTTATGAGCCATAACACTCACCGCGAAGGTCCGCAGCTTCACTCCTGAAGCCAGTGAGACCACGAACCCACCAGAAGGAAGAAACTCTGAACACATCTGAACATCAGAAGGGACAAACTCCAGACACGCCGCCTTTAAGAACTGTAACACTACAATCAGAGTGAACGGGCAACCTACAAAATGGGAGGAAATTTTCGCAACCTACTCATCTGACAAAGGGCTAATATCCAGAATCTACAATGAACTCAAACAAATTTACAAGAAAACAACAAACAACCCCATCAAAAAGTGGGTGAAGGACATGAACAGACACTTCTCAAAAAGAAGACATTTATGTAGCCAAAAAACACATGGGAAAATGCTCACCATCACTGGCCATCAGAGAAATGCAAATCAAAACCACAATGAGATACCATCTCACACCAGTTAGAATGGCAATCATTAAAAAGTCAGGAAACAACAGGTGCTGGAGAGGATGTGGAGAAATAGGAACACTTTTACACTGTTGGTGGGACTGTAAACTAGTTCAACCATTGTGGAAGTCAGTGTGGTGATTCCTCAGGGATCTAGAACTAGAATTACCATTTGACCCAGCCATCTCATTACTGGGTATATACCCAAAGGAATATAAATCATGCTGCTATAAAGACACATGCACACGTATGTTTATTGTGGCACTATTCACAATAGCAAAGACTTGGAACCAACCCAAATGTCCAACAATGATAGACTAGATTAAGAAAATGTGGCACATATACATCATGGAATACTATGCAGCCATAAAAAATGGTTAGTTCATGTCCTTTGTAGGGACATGGATGAAATTGGAAACCATCATTCTCAGTAAACTATCGCAAGGACAAAAAACCAAACACCGCATGTTCTCACTCATAGGTGGGAATTGAACAATGAGAACACATGGACACAGGAAGGGGAACATCACACTCTGGGGACTGTTGTGGGGTGGGGGGAGGGGGGAGGGATAGCATTAGGAGATATACCTAATGCTAAATGACAAGTTAATGGGTGCAGCACACCAGCATGGCACATGTATACATATGTAACTAACCTGCACGTTGTGCACATGTACCCTAAAACTTAAAGTATAATAATAATAAAATAAAATAAAAAAGAACAACAACAAAAAAAAGGAACTGTAACACTCACCGCGTGGGTCCACAGCTTCATTCTTGAAGTCAGTGAGACCAAGAATCCAGCAATTCCAGACACATTACTCCTAATATCACAGTGGGGGTACACCCTGTGATGATATGATTTGTAATTTCTAAGGGAGGTATTTCTCCAATATCACAGAGGTGTACATCCTTTGAAAATATGATTTATAATATCTAAGGGAGATATTACTCCTAATATCTTCTTTTAGATATTACAAATAATATCACAGGGTGTACACCCACCATGATATCAGGAGGAATATCTTCTTTTAGATATTACTAAGGCTTTACATTGCCTTGTGGCTTCTGCTGTCTTGAACGACCTTTGACATCCCCTAAGGGAACTCACTCTAGAGCCCTTCATGAGAGGCCACGTGAAGACAGAGGCTCTGATACCATATTAACCATGTCTTTTTATGTATTCTGACGTTTCGACATCTAGGGCCTTGCTGACCTTGGCAGGCCTGTCCCTCCCAGGGTTAGCCAATTCCTAGAGACAGTAAATAACTTGCGCATGAGAGTGCTTTTCACAAACAAACTAACCAGTCCAGAGCTCATGCCCCCAATTACCTATTTCATCAGGCTTCCACAGGACTCACACACTCTAGGCCACTACTCCTCTGCCCTGAGCACTCCAGAGCCAGGTACCAGACAACTAGGGACAGCCCCTATAACCAGAGCTTGCTGAAATTACTCAAACTAAAATAGCTAACCTTAACCCTGCTCATCTTGCCTCACTTATTCCTTCCCATGGAAACCACCGTAAAGGCTCTTGCCCATCTTTTTCCATCACTCCTGCCTTCTCGCTGACCATACTGTCTCCCTATTTGGTCCTGCATGGAATAGTACTTTCCTTTCTCTTGGGATCTGTGAGTAACAAACTATCTTTTCAGTGGCAATTGACTCTTGTTCTGTTGGTCTCTCCATACCTGAAGAATAATGCAACCTATATATTTTTTTTAAATCAACTAAAATTTATTTAATTAAGCATAAAGTTAATTTCACATTTGTCTACAATCACAGTAAATACAGTTCTTTAAATGCCATGGCCTTTAAAATGTAAAGCCTCCCCACCTGCAAGATTACATATATAAAACTCCCACTATTGTTTATATAATAGTGGATTAGTTAACCAAATTAAAATAGTTATACTATCTAGAATAAAATAAAATGGAAATAATTTACACATAAGATTCATATTTAAATCATCCTTATTTACAAAATACTATCCCGAGAATTATAATTCTATTAAGTTTCAATTTGAGCAAAAGTGTAATCACTGAAAATGAGAACAGTCAAAATGACTTTTGAAGAGAGCAAAAATATTGTCAGGTTTCTTGCTGTGGTTCTGGATCTTCAGCAGCAGGCTCATTTGAAGGCAGACTCAACCCTGAAGGGAACTCACTCTATCTTCAGAATGTGGGGGTGGTGGGGGGAAATCCAGGTCTTAGGGGAAGGTAAGGAGGAAAACCCCTCGGTGGATAGACATTTCTCATTGCAAATGGAAGCACGTGGTGGACCTGGGACATCCCTTGGTGGAAAATAATCTGGAGAAGCTCCAAACATGGTTCCTGGAGGAGGTGGAGGAAAAGGAGGTCCTCTTCTCATGAACGGGCCCCTCATATCCACTGGAAACAATGGACCTCTGATTGGAGCAAGAGGTGGAGGAACAAAGCCAGGGCCAGTCACTTCATTTCCAGCAGGGAGAGATGAATCAGCCACATTTAAATTACCAAGATTATCTTTGGTATCATTTCTACTGGATTCCATTTCTGAAGGCATTGACCCATCCATTTTATCCAAAGGAGGCTTATTAAAACTTCTGAGTTCTGCTGGTCCAGAGCGTCTAGCATAATTAGAATAAAATCTGTCTTGCCTTTGTGGAGGAAGAGCTGAATCAGGATATGATTGTCCTGGTGGAGGAGACATCATCCTACAGTCCTGTTCCCATGGAGGTGACAGGAACCCAGTGTCAGAAGGAGCCCTGTGAGGATCGGTAAACCTATCACAGCTTGATTCTCCTCTTTCCTTGGTAATCTGGTGGTCCAGAGGATTCCCTGGGCCTCTTGGGCCTCTTCCTCCTCCCCCTGGAAGCAAAGGTGAGAGTCTCAGTGGACCCTCCAACAAAGATGGAAGATAGAGAAAAGCTCTCATTTCAGATGAAGGCCGACCCAATGGTGAGGGACCATATGAGGAATGCTCTCTGCCAAATGCTGTATTTGGAACATCAAGTGCATAAGGATCTTTTTCTAAAAGTTTAATTGTAAACTCTGTTTCAGCTCATTTTTGTCTGTTGTGAGCATTTTCTTTCCTTAAATCGTCAAGGTTTCTTTCAGCAGTCCATGCTGCCAAACAATTATCGTGTGCTTCTTTCTAATGGTATATAATCTTCCCTTGATAAACATGAATACTTCTCTGAAATTCTTCTTCAAGATCGTTTGCTTGCTTTCTGCAGGTCTCCAGCTCTTCAGCAGCATGGCTGATCATTTCATCTACTTTAGAAAGTTTCTCTTTCTCTAGCCGGTTATTTTCCTCTACTATTAATTTCCTGTAGAGTTTCATTTCATTTTCTTGATATAATTCTGTCATTACCTTAAGTTTCTGTTGAAGCTTCTGATTCTCACTTTCAAAATGTGTGTTTTCCAACTGCAAAGATACTTGTTCCGTCTGAAGATTTTTAATATGCCCTCTAAGCTCTTCCTTGGTTTTATCAACTTCAGATAACTGAATATAAATTTGGTTTCTTTCTCCTTCTAAGGTTGTTAAAGAAGCATTTAACTTAGCAGCATGAAGCAGTTTCTTCAAAGCTCCTTTTGGAGGATTATCTACGTAAGCACCATCTTCTGATTCACTGTTCATTTCTAATTCCAAGTTACCATCATCTGTTATGTCTTCTTCCAGCACAGCAGCCTGATCTTTGTGATCTTTAGCAAGCGTTCAGTCAGAGTCTTGATGTGATTTTCTTTATCATTTAGAACTTGTTCTGCGTGTACTTTGGAGTCTTCAAATGTTATTTTCTGTTGTTTATTAAGTTCACTCACTTGTTCTTTCCATGCTTCAGCTTCTTGCAAAAGCTGTTTCTGGCTTTCCTGAAGTTGAGAATTTTCATTTAAAGCATATTGTATTCCTATCTTCATTCTTTCTTCATTCATTTGAAATCTCTTGAAGGTCATTTTGGCTTCAGCTACATGGGATTTGAGGGATTTTGACTCATCTTCTAGAGACTGTATCCTTTTGGAAATATCCGCCATCACCTCATCTTGTTCAGAATGTTTAGATTTCTCTTCTTTTAACTCCTTTTCTAGACAGGGTATTTCATGCTCCAGTTCAGAATTGGACCTGCTCAGCTTTTCACAGGTTGCCTCCAAACTCTGTGCTTCTGTTGCCTCCTTCTCAAAGCTGGAATCGTCTAAAGATGACTCTATTTCATAGCTTTCATACTCTTTTTGAACAAGGCTAAATTTTTCAAGTAGTCTACATTTTTCTTCAATTAGTCCAGAAAGTGCTACAGCAAGCTTTTTCTCTCTTCCCACATAAAGCCGACTCCTAACCGATCTAAAACTTCTCCACAAGAAAAAGGGAACAGCAAAAAATCCAACGACAGCGGCACATATCACCAATTCCCATGGTAATCCATAAGGATTCGAATCTGGTCTCCTGCCTTCAGTCAGTGCTGCCATAACCCTGCGTGGCTCCTCCAGGACCAGCCCCCAGTAAGGCTGAGGGGTAGCCCTGGGCGCCTCCATAGCGCCAAGGCTGCTCTGGCGATGGCCGCAGTTACCCAGGCTTGTCGGGGCCACAATAAGCTGCGGAGAACACTCAGCTTTCAGTTAGGAACAGAATCTGCACCTGGCAACCAGAGCGGACCACTGAGGAGCCGGCTGCGGGGGGAGCTGGGGGACGCGGGAACGCACAGACCTCACAGGCCCATAGAAAAGGTACAGTAAAAATATAGTATAAAATTTTTTTTAAAGATATGCTTGTATAGAGTACTTACCATAAATAAATGGAGCTTGCAAGATTGGAAATTGCTGTGGGTGAGTTAGTAAGTGGTGAGTGAATGTGAAGGCCTAGGGCACTACTATACACTACTGCAGACTTCACAAGCGCTGCACACTTAAGCTACACTAATTAATTAAAATTGTTTTCTCCAATAATAAATTAACCTTAGCTTACTGTAACTTTTAAACTTTATAAATGTTTAAACTTTTTTTAACTTTTTTACTTTTTTGTAATAACACTTCACTTACAACACAAACATATTGTACAGCTGTACAAAAATGTCTTCTTTATATCCTCATTTTATAAGCTTTTTTAATTAAATTTTTCTTTTTTTTTTACTTTTTAATAGTTTTTTGTTAAAAAAACCAAGACATAGACACACACGTTAGCCTCAGCCTACACAGGGTCAGGATTATCAATATCACTGTCTTCCATCCCCACATCTTGTCCCACTGGAAGGTCTTCAGGGGCAATAACAGGCATGGAGCTGTCGCCTCCTATGATAACAATGCCCACTTTTGGATACCTCCTGAGGGACCTGCCTGAGGCTGTTTTACGGTTAACTTCTAACCATACGCTCTAAAATAATGACAAAAATTATAGTACAGGTTGGTCCAATGATAGTGGGTTATCAGAACTTATTAACATTTAGTGTCACTAAAGTTGGTATAAAACCCTCCACTGCTAAATTTAAATGGTTTATAGGTTTTTGGGCTTGTTTTTTTTTTTTTTTAAATAGGCTGGGTGCAGTAACTCACGAATGTAATCCCAGCACTTTGGGAGGCTGAGGCAGCCAGATCACTTGAGGTCAGGATTTCAAGACCAGCCTGGCCAATATACTGAAACCACATCTCTATTAAAAACACAAAATTAGTCAGGCATGGTGGCACACACCTGTAATCCCAGCTACTCAGGAGGCTGAGGCAGGAGAATCACTTGGACCAGGAGGCAGAGGTTGCAGTGAGCCAAGATAGCACCACTGCATTCCAGTCTGGGCGATAGACAGAGACCCCATCTTAAAAAAAGAATCATATACCAGGTACATAAATATCAATTCCTCATTCATGGGGAATCTTGTTGATCATTCTGGATGCTTCATATTGAGGAGGGGCATCCTGGGCAGCCTCATACCATGGGTGGCTATGTGGCCCCCCAGGAATCAAAGGTTAATCTAATACTATCCTTTTCTTCTGAAACAATCTTTCTTTTTCCAGTCCCCTACTTCCACCAAAGACAAATCTCAGCGAGACAAATCTACCCGCAAAATAAGCTGGAGTCCCATAAACGTGGCCTGATTATCCCACAAAGTGCAGCAAGAATTGCTGTCCACATAGGCTCTCCTAAATTGGCCTTGCTGGAACCTCTCACAAGGCCATTTCAGTCAAAGACCTGGGAAAATAGCCAGTTCATCCACCTGTGTCACAGTGTAAAATAAAATAGATTCTTATTGAACTTATGCAAACAAACACATTGCCATGAATTAAGAATATTCACAAATAATTTACAAATTCTGGATAAGTTAGGCATAGAGAGAACTATGCCTCAAATTCTGTTTGAGGAAAGCATACTGTATTCAATATACTTAAAGTATACTCAGAGGCAATAAAAAGCTCCAAAGAAAAAAATTCTCCAGACTCTGAAAAACAAAACAAAAAGAATCAGCAATATTTCAAACGAAAAAACCATAACAAATTATTTCAGTCTCCATTAATTCAGTCCATGCAATCAACTTCTGGTATCCTTCATATTGAGTTAGCAATCTTTATGAACATATCAGCATTTCAATTAGTGCCCTGGAAGTTTTCTCTCTAATCCAATGGCACAGTCTACAAAGTTATCAGAAAACTGCATTCGAGAGGTTGAATTTTTCATAAACTTCCCCAAAGAAGAAAGCCCTGGACTGTAGCTGATTATAAGTCACTTTTTGAGAAGGATCAAAGCAAAACTACAATTGTGGATGACAAAAGTTTTAAGACAGCCATAGTTAAAGGCACAGTTAACAAGAGTATTTTGTTATTCCTGTGGCATACAACTTAACATAATAATAATAATTACTGTGACAACATATATTAAGACATGTATTCATTTTATAACTGTCATATCATCCTGGAACTTCCGGAGGCCAAGGCGAGTGGATCACCTGAGGTCAGGAGTTCAAGACCAGCCTGGCCAACATGGTGAAACCTTATCTCCACTAAAAATACAAAAATTAGTTGGGCGTGGTGATTCATGCCTGTAATCCCAGCTACTTGGGAGCCTGAGGCACAAAAATCTCTTGAATCTGGGAGGCAGAGGCTGCAGTGAGCTAAGATTGTGCCACTGCACTCCAACCTGGGCAACAGAGCAAGACCCATCTAAAAAATAAATAATAGATAAATAAATAAATAAAACCCAAAGGAAGCTGAACACCACCTGAGATTGACAATGCTTCCTGCATAATTCTAACATAACAAATAAGCCGAATAAACCTAATATGTCTCTCTTGGATTCAGGGAACCTTATACCCAAAAAAGTTAGTTTGAGGTCAAAAAGACTGAATTTAGAACTTGAAATTTTGCCATTGGAAAGTTTGTTAGAGATCAAAGTTTTAAGACACTTGACATCACAAAACAGGATTACAAGTCACTATAAAATAGCCATTCATTTAGCAAAAATGGTAATACAAAACAGCTTACCCTTTGATAGTGAGGAGACTCAGCTTCCCAAACAATAAGCCCTAATAAAGACAGCATCAGGCCAACTAGGAGGGAGAGAACCCTCTCTTTTTCTGTAGTTTTACTCAAAAATCTCTTATCTCCTTTTTTTTCTTTAAATTATACTTTAAGTTTTAGGGTACATGTGCACAATGTGCAGGTTAGTTACATATGTATACATGTGCCACATGTGCCATGTTGGTGTGCTGCACCCATTAACTCCACATTTAACATTAGGTACATCTCCTAATGCTATCCCTCCCCCCTCCGCCCACCCCACAACAGGCCCCAGAATGTGATGTTCCCCTTCCTGTGTCCAAGTATTCTCATTCTTCAATTCCCACCTATGAGTGAGAACATGCGGTGTTTGGTTTTTTGTCCTTGCGATAGTTTGCTGAGAATGATGGTTTCCAGCTTCATCCATGTCCCTACAAAGGACATGAACTCATCATTTTTTATGGCTGCATAGTATTCCATGGTGTATATGTGCCACATTTTCTTAATCCAGTCTATCATTGTTGGACATTTGGGTTGGTTCCAAGTCTTTGCTATTGTGAATAGTGCCGCAATAAACATACGTGTGCATGTGTCTTTATAGCAGTATGATTTGTAATCCTTTGGGTATATACCCAGTAATGGGATGGCTGGGTCAAATGGTAATTCTAGTTCTAGATCCCTGAGGAATCACCACACTGACTTCCACAATGGTTGAACTAGTTTACAGTCCCACCAACAGTGTCAAAGTGTTCCTATTTCTCCACATCCTCTCCAGCACCTGTTGTTTCCTGACTTTTTAATGATTGCCATTCTAACTGGTGTGAGATGGTATCTCATTGTGGTTTTGATTTGCATTTCTCTGATGACCAGTGATGATGAGCATTTTTTCATGTGTCTTTTGGCTGCATAAATGTCTTCTTTTGAGAAGTGTCTGTTCATATCCTTGGCCCACTTTTTGATGGGGTTGTTTGTTTTTTTCTTGTACATTTGTTTGAGTTCATTGTGGATTCTGGATATTAGCCCTTTGTCCGATGAGTAGATTGCAAAAATTTCCTCCCATTCTGTAGGTTGCCTATTCACTCTGATGGTAGTTTCTTTTGCTGTGCAGAAGCTCTTTAGTTTAATTAGATCCAATTTGTCAATTTTGGCTTTTGTTGCCATTGCTTTTGGTGTAAAATAGCCTTTTTACTCAGTTTTCATAATACCTGCCAGTCTATCATTAGAGATTCATTACTTTGGGTTTAGTATTGCCCTCTTCAGGTAGATTCTTTAGATAACATGTAATCTAAATAATGAGGTAATCCATTATATGTCTACCTAATGAGATTTGTTTTTATCAGACATTTTAGTATTGACAATAGGTACCGTGAAAGGATAAAAAGTATTTGAATTACTGTAAAATTATAGAAAGTTGAGGAAAAGATTCTAATGTACAAATGTACCTGGAGTCAATTTTATGTACTTGAGTGTAAATAAGTTATTTTTTATAATCTGACTACTGTTTTTGATGCTATTTAGTTAAATCTGTCACTGTTGATGTTTTAACTTTGCTGGAAAGAAAATGGAATTATTTGAAACCACAATTCTATTGTGCTACTATTGTTTACTTTTCCATCAACGGAAGTTTATATCATCCTTTATCCTGTTTATATATTTAATTACTAATTTCTTACATTTTGACACATAACACATCTTCACGGATAATTCTGACACCAAGTTAACACATACTTAGCGTTGATTATTTATCAACTCTCCCTTTCTTAATTTGTTTTCTGGCCATTCTCCTATGCATAGAAAATGTCATGTAGTGAACCACTCATTGAAAATGTGAGAATGTCGTTTTATATATTATATGAATAATAACAGGTAAAGTGATAGTCATTGTTAGAAACTTTATCACACCTAATAAAAACCAACATTTCCAATGTCAGTAGAAAAATCGTCAGGCATGTTTTTCAGGTTTTTAAGACTATCATATCAATAGACTTTTTTTTTTAACTGTGGAATAAAGAACTCCATCATGACATTGTCCTACTGTCTCATTATACACATCTCTGCTGTGCTTCCATCTGTTGGATGTTAATATATAGTCAATGGGAACCATAGGACATTCAAAATTTTTATAGGAACACATAGGTGATAAATGGCTATCGGGATTAAAAGTAATAAAGGAATTTCTAGAAAACATCTAGATTGAAAATTATATATAAGCAGACCTGATAGATAAATCCTTCCTCAAGTAATAACTAGTTTATATAAAAAACTGAGCTAAATGACCTTTTGTTAATAACCATCCAAACATTAGTTCCTGCTCACCTATATACTCATCTGAAAGCATGTTGCTCACATTTCCTGAACATAAATTTCATGTTATTTTCTGCTTCATCAAAAGTTTCACTTGTATTTAAATAGAATAGAGGATTCAAAAGCTATCTACATAATTCAGGCAAAAATATAGTTAAGAAAATAAAGCTCAATATTCAATTGTATTTTTAAGATTGATACTAATTAATTCAACATCGATCAAGATATATTTTCTATATATACATTAGTTATAAAATTGATAACTGTATAATACTTATAATGTTATAATAAAACTCCAGTTACTTTGTTCAACCAGGAAATATGCATATCAAATCTTTTGCTCAGAGTCTGGATTAAAAAAGGAATTTCCAGTTCATTATTCTATCAATTCTCCAATCTTATTATTTCTTATTCTTCTCAGTAGTTTCCAGTTTAGGTTATATATATTTTTTCTGTCTTTTCTTTATGTGCTTGCTCTTTCTTCTCTCAGTGTGAGAATTTGTGAAGTGCCCTCAAGGTACATATCCACCTTTAGATATTCAATTCAATTTCATTATGTTTGTAGATTTCACTGTAGAAATAATAAAGTCTGCAGCATGTGGTAGAACAATAAACTTTGCACCTTCTGGTGCACTCAGAGGCATAAATGTGTCTTTTTTTTATTCATCTGTCTTGAACAGCTACAGATTTTAATTCTAAGTTACTCATTGACATTCTAAATGTTGTGGGGTAAAGGGATGGGGTCACCATGATATGAAACTATTTACTAAGCATCTATACTTGGAAGTGACAAAGTATATTTATATGTCGTTGGTGGAAAAAATGTTCCAAGTAAAAACACATTCATCATGTCACACAAATATTTTCTGTCTGTAGTTGCCATACTCAGCCAAATGTCAAGGTATTGGTACTTGAACCTAGAATTTTAACTGTGGCAATTGTGCAACTAAAAACTTTCTGGAAGGCAACATATCCCTAATGAATGCTTCAGGTGGAAAGTAACAACATAATTGGGCATATGTAATTGCCAGAAGTGACTTGTTTTTATTTGCATGCATAAACCAGTAAGAAGGAATGTCTGTATTTTGTCAGAAGTGTCATTTATGTCCAGTGACTATGTCTACAGCATTTTGTAAGCTCCAGTAGAAAAATTAGATTAATAACATGGATTCATGGAGTCAACCAACCCACTTTCTAATGGAGAGAAAAACATAGGCATGTTCTTATAGCTATGTAATATGCATTAAATATAGCTGTATACATACACAGTGAGAAGAGAGAGAATTGTTTTGAACTTAACAGAGAGATTATAGTTCTGCCTTAAAAGAAAACAATGCTATGCTTGAAAGGCAAAAATTTGAGAAATTCTTTTCTGGCAAGGGTAATGTAGTATGGAAGTAAAAACTTTTGTGAAGGAGTTCTACTTCAGTACTCTGTCAGATTTCATTGGTATTCCCTTACACCTTCAAACTGTAAGGCTCATAGATAGAATTATCAGAATAGAAGGAATACTAGGAGAGAGTATAATATCATAGAACTAGGCACTTTTCATGGATTAAAGACTTAAACGTTAGACCTAAAACCATAAAAACCCTAGAAGAAAACCTAGGCATTACCATTCAGGACATAGGCATGGGCAAGGACTTCATGTCTAACACACCAAAAGCAATGGCAACAAAAGCCAAAATTGACAAATGGGATCTAATTAAACTAAAGAGCTTCTGCACAGCAAAAGAAACTACCATCAGAGTGAACAGGCAACCTACAAAATGGGAGAAAATTTTTGCAACCTACTCATCTGACAAAGGGCTAATATCCAGAATCCACAATGAACTCAAACAAATGTACAAGAAAAAAACAAACAACCCCATCAAAAAGTGGGCCAAGGATATGAACAGACACTTCTCAAAAGAAGACATTTATGCAGCCAAAAGACACATGAAAAAATGCTCATCATCACTGGCCATCAGAGAAATGCAAATCAAAACCACAATGAGATACCATCTCACACCAGTTAGAATGGCAATCATTAAAAAGTCAGGAAACAAAAGGTGCTGGGGAGGATGTGGAGAAATAAGAACACTTTTACACTGTTGGTGGGACTGTAAACTAGTTCAACCATTGTGGAAGTCAGTGTGGTGATTCCTCAGGGATCTAGAACTAGAAATACCATTTGACCCAGCCATCCCATTACTGGGTATATACCCGAAGGATTACAAATCATACTGCTATAAAGACACATGCACACGTATGTTTATTGCGGCACTATTCACAATAGCAAAGACTTGGAACCAACCCAAATGTTCAACAATGATAGACTGGATTAAGAAAATGTGGCACATATACACCATGGAATACTATGCAGCCATAAAAAATGATGAGTTCATGTCCTTTGTAGGGACATGGATGAAATTGGAAATCATCATTCTCAGTAAACTATCGCAAGGACAAAAAACCAAACACCACATGTTCTCACTCATAGATAGGAATTGAAGAATGAGAACACATGGACACAGGAAGGGGAACATCACACTCTGGGGACTGTTGTGGAGTTGGGGGAGGGGAGAGGGATAGCATTAGGAGATATACCTAATGCTAAATGACGAGTTAATGGGTGCAGCACACCAGCATGGTACATGTATACATATGTAACTAACCTGCACATTGTGCACATGTACCCTAAAACTTAAAGTATAATAATAATAAAAAAAAGAAAAAAAAAAAGAACTAGGCACTTTTACAGAATTTTCTTGACTGCTTATCCACAAAGGACTATAAAGAGCTCTAATACACAAAATTTTGGATAGAAAACAAGCAGAATTTATTGTAAATTGTCTTTCAAATATGTTCTACTTCCTCATTGAGCCATATACCTTAAAATTTCATATGCGAAGAAAACTCAACTATGTTATAACCACGGGTTCAAAAACGAAATGGGTTGCACACCATGTTCTTCATTGTTTTTATCCTTTAACAAGAACAATTTGGAAAATGAGAAAAGCTTGCAGGACACGTGACAAAAAGGAAAATAAGTGTGATAATCTTGATAAAGAGCTTTATTACTTTATTTCCCCCTCCCCCATCTCTAAAAAGAAATCAGAGAGTCTAGGAAGAGAATTTTGACTATGATTTGGGAAAATGGAATGGGAAATTATTCTTCCCTTACATGAACACTTGGAATCCATTTTCACGTCATTTTCCTATTTTTTCAGAGCAAGAGTGTGGCAATTGTGCATTGAATGCACTTATTCAGTTCTTATGCATCTACCATATCTATTTAGATGGAATTGTAACTGTGTGTTCATAACAGTGCTATGAATTAGGGAATATAATGGAACTAGACCAAAAGGGTTTGGCCCAAAACAAGCTATCTGAAAATCTCATCATTTCAAGCATTTCTTCTGGGCAATTTTCACACGTATCCCAACTGGAGAAAATTGTTCATTGGCTACACAACAAAAATCATATCGCTGATCCAAATTCACAACATAATTTCCTTGATACTTAAGGAGAAACAACATTCAGCACTGTGTACCTGTGGAACAGGTTCAGGAACTGAATTTTTTTATGTTTACTTGTTATCCCTTAGCCTTCTCTTCTCACCTCCTATGCTAATTCAAGGTGGAATTGATAGATAAAACTGCTTCAACCATATGTTGATTTCATCAACAATATCAAGTTTTAATATTATGATGTATATCTGAATCCTATCCTCTATTACTTACTATGTGGTATGTCATTAACTAAATCTAACTAAAATAAGGCTTTGCCCAACTTGTGTTATATTTGCTAACATGCAATTAAAGTAGTAGGCAATATGATTTTTCCTAAGCACTGAATAAATAAAACTGGGATAATAATACATATTGACCATATTTCATGGACTATGTAATATTGAGAATAGTATCTAACATTAAGAAAAAAAATACCACAGCTGGGAGAAACCATGGAGGAAAACAATAAAGCATGCTGGATTTCTCATAAGTAATAATTAGAAAAATACATTATTTTTTGGCATTCATAATGTTAATTTCAAGAGGATTGATGACAAGTATATGTTTTAATAAGCTTTTTATGTTCAAAAAATATATTCACAGGAACATTGCAAAGATTGTACAGATATTTTCTGTATAACTTTCACCCAATTTCAGTTTTATTTAATGTTGTTATCTTCCACTATTGAAGTTCATTTGTCAAAACTAAGAACACAATATTAGTGCAGGTACACCTCAAAAATATTGCGGGTTCAGTCCCAAACAACTCCAACAAAGGTAATATCCTAATAAAGCAAGTCACACAAATAGTTTGTCTTCCCACTGCATATAAATATGCTTACACTGTACTGTAATCTATTAAGTATGCAATAGCATTGTGTCTAAAACCAATGTGTATATCTTAATGTAAAAATAATTCATTGCTAAAAAAAGCTAACAATCCTCTGAACTGTCAGCTAGTTATAATCTCTTTGCTGGTGGAAGGTCTTGCCTGACTGTTGATGGCTACTAGCTGATCAGAGTGATGTTGGTTCCTGATGGCTGAGATGGCTATGGCAATTTAAAAAAGAAAGGACAACAGCGAAGTTTGCCACATTGACTCTTCCTTTCACTAAAAGATTTCTCTGTAGCATGAGATGCTGTTTGATAGTATACTCAAACCCTGCCACTGCTTTATTAAGTAAAATTATGTAATACTTTAAATTATTTGTTGTCATTTCTACAATGTTCACAGCATCTTTACCAGTACTACAATCCATCTCAGCAAACCACTTTCTTGGCTTATCGCTAAGAAGCAACTCCTCATCCATTAAAGATTTAGCATGAGATTGCGGTAATTCAGCTACATCTACAGGCTCATTTCTAATTCTAGTTATCTTGCTATTACCACCACATGTGCAGCTTCTTCCTCTGCTGAAGTCTTGAAATCCTCAAATTCATCCATGAGAGTTGGCATTAACTTCTTCCAAACTCCTGTAAATGTTAATATTTTGACCTCACCTCATAAATTACAAATGTTCTTAATGGCGTCTAGAATGGTGAGTTCTTCCCAGAAGGTTTTCAATTTAATTTGCTCAGATCCAGTGAGGAATCACTATCTTTTGCAGCTATAGCCTTATGAAGTGTATTTCTTAAACAATAAGACTTAAAATTCAAAATGAATCCTTGATCCATGGGCTGCAGAATGAATGTTTTGTTAGCAGGCATGAAAACAATGTTAATCTCCATCAGAGCTCCTGGGTGACTAGGTGCATTGTCAATGAGCAGTAATATTTGCAAAATTTGCAAAGAATTTTTTTAACTGAGCCATAAGTCTTAACAGTGGGCTTAAAATATTCAGTAAACCATGATGAAAACAGATGTGTGGTCATCCAGGCTTTGTTTTTCTATGTATAGAGCACAGGCAGAGTAGATTCAGCATAATTCTTAAGGGCCTTAAATTTTCAAAGTGGTAAATGCGCATTGCTGCATTAGCCCCTAACAAAAGACAGTCAGCTGCCTTTCGAAGCTGCGAAGCCAGGCATTGTCTTCTTTGCTCCAGCGATGAAAATCCTAAATGGTATCTTCTTCCAATATAAGTCTGTTTCATCTACAATGAAAATCTGTTGTTTAGTGTACCCACCTTCATCAATGACCTTAACTAGATCTTCTGAATAACTTGCTGCAGCTGCTACATGAGCACTTGATGCTTCATCTTGTACTTTAATGTGATGGAGATGCCTTCTTAAACCTCATGAACCAATCTCTGCTAGCTTCAAACTTTTCTTCTGCAGCTTCCTCACTTTGCTCAGCCAATATCGAATTAAAGAGAGGTAGGGCCTTATTCTAGATTAGGCTTTGGACTTAAGGGAATACTGTAGCCTGTTTGATCTTCCATCCAGACCCCTTAGATTTCCTCCATATAAGCTATAATAACTTGATTTCACTTTCTTAGCATTCCCGTGTTCACTTTTAACTTCCTTAAGACCTGTTTCTTTGCATTTACAACTTGGGTTACTGTTTGGCCCAAGAAGCCTTGCCTTTGGCCTATATGGTCTTTTGACATGCCTTCCTCACTGAACTTAGTCATTTTTAGGTTTTCATTTAAAGTAAAAACATGTAACTCTTCCTTTTATTTGAACACTTAGAGACCATTGTAAAGTTATTCATCGTTCTAATTTCAATATTGCATTTCTCAGGGAATATGGAGGTCTGAGTAGAGGGAATATAGGGGGTATAGCCGGTCAGAAAACACACTTTTATTAAGTTTGCTGTTTTATAAGAGTGTCATTGCAATAGTAAATTCAAAGATCACTGATCATAGATTACCATAGCAGACATAATAATAATGAAATATTTAAAATATTGCCAGAATTACCAAAATGTGACACAGAAACATGAAATGAGGACATGCTGGAAAAATAGACTTGTTCAACACAGGGTTTCAACAAACCTTCAATCTGCAAAAAATGCAGTATGCACAAAGGGCAATAAAGCAAAACACAATGAATGGAGGTGTACCTGTGCTGTGCATCACTATCTACTAATCTCTAGAATTAATTCAAATTTCACCAGTGCCTTTTTTTTTTTTTTTTTTTTTGGCAGAGTCTCCCTCTGTTACCCAACCTGCAGTGCAGTGGTGTGATCTCAGCTCACTGCAAACTCTGGGTTCAAGCAACCCTCCCACCTTAGCCTTTGGAGTAGCTGGGATTATAGGCCTGCACCATCACACCCAGCTAAATTTTGTATTTTTAATAGAAATGGGATTTCGCCATATTGGCCAGGCTGGTCTGAAACTCCTGGACTCAAGTGACTCACTCATGCTGGCCTCCCAAAGTGCTGGGATTAGAGGCGTGAGCCACCATGCCTGGCCTTAAGAGTGTTTTCTTTCTTTCTTTTTTTTTTCCATAGGTTATTGGGGAACAGGTGGTGTTTGGTTACATGAGTAAGTTCTTTAGTGGTGATTGGTGACATTTTGGTGCCCTCATCACCTGAGCAGTAAACACTGCACCCTATTTGTAGCCTTTTATCCCTTGTGACCTCTCCCACCCTCCCCTCCAAGTCCCCAAAGTCCATTATATCATTCTTATGCCTTTGTGTCCTCATACCTTAGCCTCCACCTGTCAGTGAGAACATAAGATGTTTGGCTTTCAATTCCTGAATTACTTCACTTAGAATAATAGTCTCCAGTCTCATCCAGGTCACTGAAAAGCCATTAATTTATTCCTTTTTATGGCTGAGTAGTATCCCATCATATATATATCTCTCACAGTTTTTTTTTTATCCCGTCATTGATCGATGGGCATTTGGGTTGGTTCCACGATTTTGCAATTGTGAATTGTGCCACTATAAACATGCGTGTGAAAGTATCTTTCTTGTATAATGACTTTTCTTCCTCTGGGTGGATACCCAGTAGTGGGATTGCTGGATCAAATGGTAGATCCACTGTTAGTTGTTTAAGGAATCTCCACACTGTTTTCCATAGTGGTTGTACTAGTTTACATTCCCACCAGCAGTGTAGAAGTGTTCCCTGATAACCACATTCAGGTCAACATCTACTGTTTTGTTGATTTTTTTTATTATGGCCATTCTTGCAAGAGTAAGGTGGTATCACATTGTGGTTTTGATTTGCATTTCCCTGATCATTAGTGATGTTGAGCATTTTTTCATATGTTTGTTGGCCATTTGTATATTTTCTTTTGTGAATTGTCTATTAATGTCCTTAGCTCACTTTTTGATAGGATTTTTTTTTTCTTTCTGATTTGTTTGAGCTCATTGTAGATTCTGGATATTAGTTCTTTGTCAGATGTAGAGATTGTGAACATTTTCTCCTGCTCTGTAGGTTGTCTGTTTACTCTGCTGACTGTTCCTTTTGCTGTGCAGAAGTTCTTTAGTTTAATTAAGTAAGTCCCAGCTGTTTATCTTTGTTTTTATTGCATTAGTTTTTGGGCTCCTGGTCATGAAATCTTTGCCTATGCCAGTGTCTAGAAGGGCTTTTCCAATGTTATCTTCCAGAATTTTTATAGTTTCAGGTCTTAGATTTAAGTCCTTAATACATCTTGAGTTGATTTTTGTATGAGGTAAGAGATGAGGATCCAGTTTCTTTCTCCTACATATGGCTAGCCAATTATCCCAGCACCATTTGTTGACAAGGGTGTCCCAGGCTGGGCGTGGTGACTCACACCTGTAATCCCAGCACTTTGGGAGGCCAAGGTGGGCTGATCACAAGGTCAGGAGATTGAGACCATCCTGGCTAACACTGTGAAACCCCATCTCCACTAAAAATACAAAAAAAAAAAATTAGCTGGACATGGTGGCGGGCACCTGTAGTCCCAGCTACTCGGGAGGCTGAGGCAGGAGAATGGTGTGAACCCAGGAGGTGGAGCTTGCAGTAAGCCAAGATCATACCACTGCACTCCAGCCTGGGCAACAGAGCAAGACTCTGTCTCAAAAAAAAGATAATGAAAAGGGTGTACCTTCCCCACTTTATATTTTTGTTTGCTTTGTTGAAGATCAGTTGGCTATACTTATTTGGGTTTATTTCTGGGCTTTCTATTCTGTTCATTGGTCTATGTGCCTATTTTTATACCAGTAACATGCTGTTTTGATGACTATTTCCTTATAGTATAGTTTGAAATCAGGTAGTGTGATGCCTCCAGATTTGTTCTTTTCGCTTAATCTTGCTTTGGCTATACAGACACTTTTTTGGTTCCATATGAATTTTATAATTGTTTTTTCTAATTATTTGAAGAATGATGGTGGTATTTTGATGGAGATAGCCTTGAATTTGTAGATTGCTTTTGGGAGTATGGTCATTTTCACAATATTGATTCTACCCATCCATGAGCATGGGATGTGTTTCCATTTGTTTGTGTTGTCTATGATTTCTTTCAGCAGTGCTTCATAGTTTTCTTTGTAGAGATCTTTTGCCTCCTTGGTTAGGTATATTCCTAAGTATTTAATTTATTTTTGCAGCTATTGCGAAAAAGGTTGAGTTCTTGATTTGGTTCTCTACTTGGTCACTGTTGGTGTATAGAAGAGCTACTGATTTGCATACATTAATCTTGTATCCAGAAACTTTGCTGAATTCTTTGATCAGTTCTAGGAGCTTTCTGGAGGAGTCTTTAGGGTTTTTTTTTTTTTTTTTTTAATTATACTCTAAGTTTTAGGGTACATGTGCACATTGTGCAGGTTAGTTACATATGTATACATGTGCCATGCTGGTGCGCTGCACCCACTAATGTGTCATCTAGCATTAGGTATATCTCCCAATGCTATCCCTCCCCCCTCCCCCGACCCCACCACAGTCCCCAGAGTGTGATATTCCCCTTCCTGTGTCCATGTGATCTCATTGTTCAATTCCCACCTATGAGTGAGAATATGCGGTGTTTGGTTTTTTGTTCTTGCGATAGTTTACTGAGAATGATGGTTTCCAATTTCATCCATGTCCCTACAAAGGATATGAACTCATCATTTTTTATGGCTGCATAGTATTCCATGGTGTATATGTGCCACATTTTCTAGAAAACCCCATCGTCTCAGCCCAAAATCTCCTTAAGCTGATAAGCAACTTCAGCAAAGTCTCAGGATACAAAATCAATGTACAAAAATCACAAGCATTCTTATACACCAACAACAGACAAACAGAGAGCCAGATCATGGGTGAACTCCCATTCACAATTGCTTCAAAGAGAATAAAATACCTAGGAATCCAACTTACAAGGGATGTGAAGGACCTCTTCAAGGAGAACTACAAACCACTGCTCAAGGAAATAAAAGAGGAGACAAACAAATGGAAGAACATTCCATGCTCATGGGTAGGAAGAATCAATATCGTGAAAATGGCCATACTGCCCAAGGTAATTTACAGATTCAATGCCATCCCCATCAAGCTACCAATGACTTTCTTCACAGAATTGGAAAAAACTCCTTTAAAGTTCATATGGAACCAAAAAAGAGCCCGCATTGCCAAGTCAATCCTAAGCCAAAAGAACAAAGCTGGAGGCATCACACTACCTGACTTCAAACTATACTACAAGGCTACAGTAACCAAAACAGCATGGTACTGGTACCAAAACAGAGATATAGATCAATGGAACAGAACAGAGCCCTCAGAAATAATGCCGCATATCTACAACTATCTGATCTTTGACAAACCTGAGAAAAACAAGCAATGGGGAAAGGATTCCCTATTTAATAAATGGTGCTGGGAAAACTGGCTAGCCATATGTAGACAGCTGAAACTGGATCCCTTCCTTACACCTTATACAAAAATCAATTCAAGATGGATTAAAGATTTAAACGTTAAACCTAAAACCATAAAAACCCTAGAAGAAAACCTAGGCATTACCATTCAGGACATAGGCGTGGGCAAGGACTTCATGTCCAAAACACCAAAAGCAATGGCAACAAAAGACAAAATTGACAAATGGGATCTAATTAAACTAAAGAGCTTCTGCACAGCAAAAGAAACTACCATCAGAGTGAACAGGCAACCTACAACATGGGAGAAAATTTTTGCAACCTACTCATCTGACAAAGGGCTAATATCCAGAATCTACAATGAACTCAAACAAATTTACAAGAAAAAAACAAACAACCCCATCAAAAAGTGGGCGAAGGACATGAACAGACACTTCTCAAAAGAAGACATTTATGCAGCCAAAAAACACATGAAGAAATGCTCATCATCACTGGCCATCAGAGAAATGCAAATCAAAACCACTATGAGATATCATCTCACACCAGTTAGAATGGCAATCATTAAAAAGTCAGGAAACAACAGGTGCTGGAGAGGATGCGGAGAAATAGGAACACTTTTACACTGTTGGTGGGACTGTAAACTAGTTCAACCATTGTGGAAGTCAGTGTGGCGATTCCTCAGGGATCTAGAACTAGAAATACCATTTGACCCAGCCATCCCATTACTGGGTATATACCCAAATGAGTATAAATCATGCTGCTATAAAGACACATGCACACGTATGTTTATTGTGGCACTATTCACAATAGCAAAGACTTGGAACCAACCCAAATGTCCAACAATGATAGACTGGGTTTTTGAGATAAAAAATCATATCATCGGCAAACAGTGACAGTTTGATTTTCTCCTTACTGATTTGGATGCCCTTTTTTTCTTTCTCTTGTGTGATTGCTCTGGATAGGACTTCCAGTACTATGTTGAATAGAAGTGGTGAGAGTGGACAACCTTGTCTTGTTCCAATTCTCAGAGGGAATGCTTTCAACTTTTCCCCATTCAGTATTATGTTGGCTGTGGGTTTGTTATAGATGGCTTTTATGACATTGAGGTATGTCCCTTGTATGCCGATTTTGCTGAGAGTTTTAATCATAAAGGATGCTGGATTCTGTTGAATGCTTTTTCTGCATCTATTGAGATCATCATGTGATTTTTGTTTTTAAATCTCTTTATGTGGTGTATCACATTTATTGACTTGCATATGTTAAACCACCCCTGCATCCCTGGTATGAAACCCACTTGATCATGGTGAATTATCTTTTTGATATGTTGTTGGATTTGGTTAGCTAGTATTTTGTTAAGGATTTTAGCATCTATGTTCATCAGGGATATTGGTCTGTAGTTTTCTTTTTTGGTTATGTCCTGTCCTGGTTTTGGTATTAGGGTGATGCTGGCTTCGTAGAATGAAGAGAGGGTTCCTTCTTTCTCTATCTTGTGGAATAGTGTGAATAGGATTGGTACCAATTCTTCTTCGAATGTCTGGTAGAATTCTGCTGTGAATCCGTCTGGTCCTGGACTTTCTGTTGTTGGCAATTTTTAAATTACCATTTCAATATTGCTACTTGTTATTGGTTTGTTCGGGGTATCTAATTCTTTCTGATTTAATCTAGGAGGGTTGTATTTTTCCAGGAATGTATCCATCACTTCTAGGTTTTCTAGTGTTCATAGTATCCTTGAATGATCTTTTGTATTTCTGTGGTGTTGGTTGTAATGTCTCCCATTTTGTTTCTTATTGAGATTATTTGGATTTCCTCTCTTCTTTTCTTGATTAGTCTCACTAATGGTCTATCAATTTTATTTATCTTTTCAGAGAACCAGCTTTTCGTTTCATTTATCTTTTGTATTTTTTTGTTTCAATTTCATTTAGTTCTACTCTGATCTTGGTTACTTCCCTTCTTCTGCTGTGTTTAGGTTTGGTTTGTTCTTGTTTCTCTAGTTCATTGAGGTATGACCTTAGATTGTTTGTTTGTGTTCTTTCAGTATTTTTGATGTAGGCATTTGAACTTTCCTCTTAGCACAGCCTTTGCTGTATCCCACAGGTTTTGATAGGTTGTGTCATTATTGTTGTTCAGTTCAAAGAATTTTTTAATTTCCATTTTGATTTTGTTTTTGACTCAGTGATCATTCAGGAGCAGTTTATTTAGTTTCCATGTATTTTCATGGTTTTGAAGGTTCCTTTTGGAGTTGATTTCCAGTTTTATTTCACTGTGGTCTGAGAGACTGCTTGATATAATTTCGATTTTCTTAAATTTATTGAGGCTTGTTTTGTGGCCTATTATATGGTCTATCTTGGAAAAAGTTCCATGCACTGTTGAACAGAATGTGTATTCTGTGGTTGTTGGATGGAATGTTCTGTATATATCTGTTAAGTCCATTTGTTCCAAGATATAGTTTAAGTACGTTGTTTCTTTGCTGACTTTCTGTCTTGATGACCTGTCTAGTGCTGACAGTGGAGTATTGAAGTTCCCCACTATCATTGTGTTGATGTCTGTCTTATTTCTTGGTCTATTAGTAAATGTTTTATAAATTTGGGAGCTCCAGTGTTAGGTGTATATATGTTTAGGACTGTGATATTTTCCTGTTGGAAAAGGCCTTTTACCATTATATAATGTCCTTCTTTGTCTTTCTTACTGCTGTTGCTTTAAAGTTTGTTTTGTCTGATATTAGAATAGCTACTCCAGCTCGCTTTTGGTGTCCATTTGCATGAAATGCCTGTTTCTACCCCTTTACTTTAAGTTTATGTGAGTCCTTATGTATTAGGTGAGTCTCTTGAAGACAGCAAATAGTCAGTTAGTGAATTCTTATCCTTTCTGTGGTTCTGTATCTTTTAATTGGAGCATTTAGGCCATTTACATTCAGTGTTACTATTGGTCTTTGAATTAATTCCATCCAACAATGACAAAGAAGAAAGAATAAGAAAATATTAACAAAGCCTCCAAGAAGTCTGGTATTGTGTTAAACTACCAAACCGAAGAATAACCAGCATTCCTGAGGGAGAAGAGGAATCTAAAAGTTTGGGAAACATATATGGGGGAATAATTGAGGAAAATTTCCCCAGCCTTGCTAGAGACCTAGACATCTAAATACAAGCAACACAAAGAACACCTGGGAAACTCATTGCAAAAATATCATTACCTAGGCACACTGTCATCAGGTTATCTAAAGTTAAGACAAAGGAAATAATCTTAATAGCTGTGAGACAAAAGCACCAGGTAACCTGTAAAGGAAAGCCTTACAGATTAACAGCAGATTTCTCAGCAGAAACCCTACAAGCTAGAAGGGATTGGGGCCCTACTTTCAGCCTCCTCAAACAAAACAATTATCAGCTAAGAATTTAGTACCCAGCAAAACTAAGCATAATATATGAAGGAAAGATAGTCTTTTTCAGACAATCAAATGCTGAGAAAATTTGCCACTCCCAAGCCACCACTACAAGAACTGCTGAAAGGAGCTCTAAATCTTGAAACTAATTCTGAAAACACATCAAAACAGAACCTTGTTAAAGCATAGATTTCACAAGACCTATAAAACAAAAATACAATTTAAAAAGCAAAAATGAAAAACGAAAAACAAGGTGTACAGGCAACAAATAGCATGATGAATGGAATGGTAGCTCATATCTCATCAGTGTTTCCAATAATGTCCTCTCTCTTTTCCAACATCCAATCCAGGATACCATGTTGCATTTAATCATCATGTCTCTTTAGACTCCTCTGGTCTGAGAGTTTCTCACTCTTTCCTTGTTATTTAAATGTCCTTTAGAGTTTTGAAGAGTACTGGTCAAATATTTTGCAGAATAGCTTTCATATTTGGTTTGTCTAATGTTCTTTCATGCTACTAAGTTTGCCAGTTTTTATGAACAATACCATAGAGATGAACTCCCTTTCTCATCACATAATATCATGACATCCACATGAGATCATTAATGATACAACTTTGACCACTTGATAAATGAGTATCTGCCAAACTTCTTCATTGTGAAGATACTACTTTTCCCTATTCTATTGTTTGGGAGCGAGTATCTAAGTCTGGCCAACAGTCAAGGAGGGGGCAGGTAGTGTCTCTATTCACTTCCTAGAGGCGAGAATGTCTACATATTTTTTGGAATTTTTCTGTAATAAAGAAGATTTTCTGTATTTGTCTGTTCATTTATTTTTTACATTGGTATGAAGTTGTGGATATTTATTTTATACTTTGAGTTATAAAGCAATACTAGGCAATTGATTAAATTATTCCAAGTTTGGCAATTGGAAGTTCTTTCTGAATAGCTCCTGTGTATCTTGTACATGTCATCATTGCTTTATTTTCAAACAATTTTTTTTAAACTTTTTGGTTGCTCCATACTCATCTTATCTTCTCCCTGTCCCAGCAAGAATTAGCCATTCTCCATGGACTCCTGGCTCCTTTGGTCAACACATATTTAATAATTAATTTATCTAAAAATGTATTAAAACATAAAAGCATGTTTTTCTAGATTTATGCAAATGAATACCTATCACCTTATATTTATGTAGCATTGACTCACAAATTATTTAACTATTTGCCTACCTTCTCAAAGTGGTTACAACAGTTATATTTCTAGATTTATTTTAACTACTTCTACCTCTTTAGATCTTGATCATTGAGAACTGGTACAATAGCTTTACTCTTCAGTTGTGAAGCTAAGTTTCTATTTAAACCTAATATTCTTTGTCATTTCACTTTCTAAACATAGCTCTCTCAGGTGGCTTATTGGAAAGACATTATTTCTGCAAATATTTTTGTTTCCATAACCTTTTAGGACAAACATACAATAAAGGCACATGAAATCGTTTTATGATTAATGCATGTTCTCTGGCCTCAATATTTGATGGCAGAGATGAAAATCCTGCCTCATGATTGGCTGTCAATGCTCATTATCACTAAGGCTATTTCTCTTGCATTTCATTTCAGGAATGTGCAACAGGAAGTCAAAAACAATGCATGCATATGATTTATGCAGATTAGTTACAGAGAGTTCAGTGAAAAGCCTCACACTCTAGAAATTAATGTTCACACTAACATTTAAAATTTTCTTTCTGATGAAGAAAGCACTGTAACTATACTACATTATTAAATTCACATTTTATGAAATATCAAGAATCTCTTTTGTCAATATTACTAATCTTCTAAGTAAATATACCGTGTGTTTGTCTCACAGCCATAGGCGTTTTTAAGTCAGTATTTCTTTATGTCCATAGAAATTTTTATTTATTTCATTTTAGAAATGATAAAGATGAGGTTATGACGGTTAACTATATGTTACTGCCAAATACATTTTTTAACCATTATAAACTCATCTCAAAGCATTTACAATGCTAAACAAAATGGAAACATGCACATCTATCTCATACAATATATAAGTACCAAAAAATCTATATTTTTTCATGTCCCATAGTACACATATAGCTTTCAATCACAAGCATTAGTTTCCATATGTGCCAGTGCAAATGCTGGTTTGTGGCATTTTAAAATAAAATTTATTTTTAGGGAATAGTAAAAGTATATTTGGAAAAAATAAATCTTGGAAGAAAAATGCACACTGCCATACAATTCTGCAAATAATTTAGGAGGTAAGGGTACATGAATTTTTTATACAATCCGTTGACCCCCACTTGGAGAACTACTGATACAAGTGTCCTCATGAACAGCTCTTTTTCTCCTCTAAGTTCCTCTTAAACAATATCAAAGCAAAGTGTTATATAAAAATCAACATTCCCAACATGTCTGATTTCACAAAGCTACGGGATTTATCTGATATACAGCAGCGACAGATGTCAGCAAGATGGCATAATAGAACTTTCCATTGCCCGTCCTTCCCCTACAGAAACATCAATTTAGACAACAATCAGCACACTAAAACACTGTGTGAAAGATCACATAATTGGTTGTAGCACAATAATAAAAGAAAATGCATAGAAAGGGCAGTTTTACATTACTGATGTTACTCTTCCTTGAACCTCGGTCAGCACAGGTTGTAGAGATTGTAGGCCCAGCACGGTGGCATATGCCTGTAATTCCAGCACTATGGGAAGCAGAGACAGGCAGAACGCTTGAGCTCAGGATTTCAAGACCAGCCTGGGCATCATGGCAAAACCCCATGTCTATAGAAGTAAAGAAAAAGGAAGGGAAGGGGAGGGGAGGGGAGGGGAAGGGAAGGGAAGGGAAGGGAATTTAAATTTAAATGTGGGGGTGGTGGAGTAAAAGTCTAGAAGATTTTTTATGTTATGAAAATTAATTTATCAGCTTAAAATAGACTTACAACTGTAAGATATTTTATGTAATCATTATACAAAATAAACTATGTCAAAAACTGTAAAATTAGACAAAGAAGGTCATTCTATAATGATAAGGGGATTAATTGATCAAAAGAATGTAACGATTGTAAATATATATGCACTCAACATTGGAGCAGCTAAATAAATAAAGCAAAGATAATATACAGCAGATTGAAACTGCCTCCTTACTGACTCCCAGAAACTTTTGAAAACTTGTAGGAACACTGTAACTTGTATAGCTTCACAATTATTAGGCTGCTGAAAACCTCATATAAGGTTGTGTGTTGGTGTGTTTTGTCTATAAAACTGGGATCCATTCCTTGCTCAATGAAGGATATTTTTCATATACAGGATTCAGGGTCAAATAAACCTAAACAGGACCACTCACTGGCCAAAACTCTGACCTACCTGTTTTGACTTAATGTTGTAATTCAGAGGTGTGAAAGGCAGAGGGGAAAGAATATGTTTGCAGAAAATTACCAACAGGCAAAATATTCTTTTGAGTCCATTGTCTTTTTCCTAAAAGTTGGCATAAGACAACTTGCCTACATGAGTTGATTGACTTTGGAAGGTGTATAAGTAGCTTATTTATTTATTTTTTGAGACAGAGTCTCACTCTGTCTCCCAGGATGGAGTGCAGTGGCACCATCTTGGCTCACTGCAACCCTCACTTCCCAGGTTCAAAGGATTCTCATGGTTCAACCTTCTGAGTAGCTGAGATTACAAGTATGCACCACCATGCCAGGCTAATTTTTTTGTAATTTTTTTTTTAGTAGAGATGGGGTTTTGCCATGTTGGCCAGGCTGGTCTCAAAACTCCTGACCTCAAGTGATCTGCCTACCCTGGCCTCTCAAAGTGCTGGTGAGAGGTGACAGCATGCTGGCAGCCCTCACTCACTCTTGGCACCTCCTTGGCCTCGGCGCCCATGCTGGCCACGCTTGAGGAGCCCTTCGGCCCGCCGCTGCACTGTGGGAGCCCCTCTCTGGGCTGGCTGAGGCCAGAGCCGGCTCCCTCTGCTTGTGGGGAGGTGTGGAGGGAGAGGCATGGGCAGGAACCGGGTCTGCGCATGGTGCTCACAGGCCAGCGTGAGTTCCGGGTGGGTGCGGGCTCAGTGGGCCCCACACTTGGGGCAGCCAGCCGGAGTCGCCAGCCCTGAGCAGTGAGGGGCTGAGCACCCAGGCCAGCACCTGTGGAGGGTGCGCCGGGTCCCCCAGCACTGCCAGCCCGCCCATGCTGTGTTTGAATTCTCAGCTGCCTCCCCGCGGAGCAGGGCTCAGGACCTGCAGCCTGCCATGCCCAAGCCCCCCACCCCGCCCCCAGTGGGCTCCTGCACAGCCCAAGCCTCCCCAACGAGTGCCACCCCCTGCTCTGCAGAGCCCAGTCCTGTTGACCGCCCAAGGGCTGAGAAGTGTGGGTGCACAGTGTGGGACTGGTGGGTAGCTCTGCCTGTGGCCCCCTGTGCGTGATCCACTAGGTGAAGCCAGCTGGGCTCCTGAGTCTAGTGGGGACTTGGAGAACTTTTATGTCTAGCTGGAGGATTGTATACACACCAATCAGCACTCTGTGTCTAGCTCAAGGTTTGTAAACACACCAATTAGCACCCTGTGTCTAGCTCAAGGTTAGTAAATGCACCAATTAGTGCTCTGTGTCTAGCCAATCTAGTGGGGACTTGGAGAACTTTTGTGTCTAGCTCAGGGATTGTAAATGCACCAATCAGCACCCTGTCAAAACAGACCAATCAGCTCTCTGTAAAATGGACCAATCAGCAGGACGTGGGTGGGGCCAGATAAGGGAATAAAAGCAGGCTGCCAGAGGCAGCAGTGGCAACCTGCTTGGGTCCGCTTCCACACTGGAAGCTTTGTTCCTTTGCTCTTTGCAATAAATCTTGCTGCTGCTCACTCTTTGGGTCGGCACTGCCTTTATAAGCTGTAACACTCACTGCGAAGGTCTGCAGCTTCACTCCTGAGGCCAGTGAGACCACGAACCCACCAGAAGGAAGAAACTCCGAACACGTCCGAACATTGAAAGGAACAAACTCCGGACACACTGAGAGGTGACAGCGTGCTGGCAGTCCTCACAGCCCTCGCTCGCTCTCTGTGCCTCTTCTGCCTGGGCTCCCACTTTGGCGGCACTTGAAGAGCCCTTCAGCCTGCCACTGCACTGTGGGAGCCCCTTTCTGGGCTGGCCAAGGCCGGAGCCAGCTCCCTCAGCTTGCAGGGAGGTATGGAGGGAGAGGCGTGAGCAGCAACCGGGGCTGCGCAGAGTGCTTGCGGGCCAGCTGGAGTTCTGGGTGGGCATGGGCTTGGTGGGCCCCGCATTCGGAGCAGCCAGCTGGCCCTGCCAGTCTGGGGCAGTGAGGGGCTTAGCACCTGGGCCAGCGGCTGCTGTGCTCTATTTCTCACCGGGCCTTTGCTGCCTTCCCGCGGGGCAGGGCTCGGGACCTGCAGCCTGCCATGCCTGAGCTTCCCCCTCACAGTGGGCTCCTGTGCAGCCCAAGCCTCCCCGACGAGCACTGCCTCCTGCTCCACGGTGCCCAGTCCCATCGACCACCCAAGGGCTGAGGAGTGCGGGTGCACGGCGCGGGACTGGCAGGTAGCTCCACCTGCAGCCCTGGTGCGGGATCCACTAGGTGAAACCAGCTGGGCTCCTGAGTCTGGTGGGGATGTGGAGAACTTTATGTCTAGCTCAGGGATTATAAATACACCAATCGGCACTCTGTATCTAGCTCAAGGTTTGTAAACACACCAATCAGCACCCTGTGTCTAGCTCAGGGTTTGTGAATGCACCAATCGACACTCTGTATCTAGCTACTCTGGTGGGGACGTGGAGAACCTTTGTGTCGACACTCTGTATCTAGCTAATCTGGTGGGGAGGTGAACCTTTGCATCTAGCTCAGGGATTGCAAATGCACCAATCAGCGCCCTGTCAAAACAGACCACTCAGCTCTACCAATTAGTGGGATGTGGGTGGGGCCGGATAAGAGAATAAAAGCAGGCTGCCCGAGCCAGCAATGGCAACCCTCTCAGGTCCCCTTCCACACTGTGGAAGCTTTGTTCTTTTGCTCTTTGTAATAAATCTTGCTACTGCTCACTCTTTGGGTCCACACTGCTCTTATGAGCTGTAACACTCACCGTGAAGGTCTGCATCCTCACTGCTGAAGCCAGGGAGACCACAAACCCACCAGGAGGAATGAACAACTCCAGACGCGCCACCTTAAGAGCTGTAACACTCACTGCAAAGGTCTGCACCTTCAGTCCTGATCCAGTGAGACCATGAACCCACCGGAAGGAAGAAACTCCGAACACATCCTAACAACAGAAGGAACAAACTCCTGACACGCCGCCTTTAAGAACTGTAACACTCACTGCGAGGGTCCGCGGCTTCATTCTTGAAGTCAGTGAGACCAAGAACCCACCAATTCCGGACACAACACCACCTTTAAGAACTGTAACACTCACCACGAGGGTCCGTGGCTTCATTCTTGAAGTCAGTGAGACCAAGAATCCACCAATTCTGGACACTGGAATTACAGACATGAGCCACTGCACCTGGCCAACAGCGTGTATTTTTTTTTTTCTTTTTCTTTGAGATGAAGTCTCACACTATCATCTGGGCTGGAGTGGAGTGGCGTAATCTCAGCTTACTGCAAGCTCCCCCTCCCAGGTTCACGCCATTCTCTTGCCTCAGCCTCCCGAGTAGCTGGGACTACAGGCACCCGCCACCACACCAGCTAATTTTTTGTATTTTTAGTAGAGATGGGGTTTCACCATGTTAGCCAGGCTGGTCTCGATCTCCTGACCTCGTGATCTGCCCACCTTGGCCTTCCAAAGTGCTGGGATTACAGGTATGAGCCACCACACCCGGCCAACAGCGTGTATTTTTAATGTTGTCTATTTTTCCCCATACTCAATTAGGGTGGTGAAAATAACAAAATCCATGGCAAATGAAGACAAATATCCCGAGTAAACATTGTACTGAGCAGATTAGCTGATTTAAAACAGAATCTAGGGAATAAGCATCCAGCACATGCTTCACATGATTTCTGCCAAAGACAGACCAAGGATTAGAAAGACAGTTTTCTCCTCTTCCTGGTTACAAACTTTAGAGATGAGAATTAATGGAGCTAATAAGCCTCAATCATTCTTAGTGGGACAAACACTCCTAGAATCTAGGATAGAGAGCCGGTTTCTAGGCAACCAGTCCCAACTGTAATGTATTCCTGGGGTTAAGTAAACTTGTCCAGATATTGGTACCCCTGGAGTCTATGGTGTATGTGCATGTGTTTGAGAATAATCAAGATATGTCATAACCACTTTCATTTTTCCAATAATGAACTGCTTTATAAATACTCTCATCCTTTGAAGTACCTGAACAGTCTGCTCTACTATTACTTAAAACAACTGAGAAAAAACAAAGTTAAAAAAAAAAGGGGGGAGAAATAGAAATAGGAAGAACTAATTAGAAATTTCAAAGTAACCAGGCACACTTTAAAAATAGGAAATTTAAGAAACAGCATCTGAACAAGAGAGATATTTCAAGTCTTAGAAAATAGCTACCATTTTAGAATAAGGAAACCCAGAGTGAACCCAAACCTCTTTTCAAACTCCCGTTAACCCCAGGGAACTGGTGGGTGAAGTAAAGTTCCCGACCTCCTACCAGGATTCCCAATATGAAGTTTAATTTCCATATGAAAGAATTTTATATTATCCTTTGTGCTCTGACTTCAAGTTTTGGGTGAACACAGTCTTTATGTCATTCTTAATATTAGCTGACATGTTCTTCATGTACCTAACAGCCACTGCATTAGCAGAAACCTTGATTGAACTGTAAATGATCTTTTATAGCTTTTTACACCACAGGTTATAACTAATGCAGCAACTCCATAGAATATGAGCTCTTGATTTTAAATAGCCGTTCCCACAGAAAAGTCTAGATTTTTAAAAGCCAACAGCAGCTTTAGACATACAGAGGGAATATCTAGCCTGCATCAGAGGATAAAGTGGACTTGGAGGTCAAAGAGTGATTAGATAAGTTGGTCATCTTGAGCAATGGCATATTTAATTACCATTTTTATACTCTCCTGAGAATTAAGCATTGGAAAATGAATAAATGTCTATTTTAGAACATTCTTACCATTTAGATGGTCAAAATACATGTCTTGTAAAATAACAGAAGAGATATTTGACTTGAAATATATGAATGTATACAACAAACAGACTAGGCTTTGTTTACATAATTAAGCTTACTTAAAAGTTTTCTCAAATATTAATCATCTTGAGCATTTTTAAACTAAATACTTTTAAAGATTAGATATAGGTAGATCGTTCATTTCCCATAACTATACTTTAACAATGCACATGCTTTTTCTTCAGTGAGCAAATTAAATATCTCTCTCTCTTTCTGTCTCTCTCTCACACATACACACACACATTTCAAAGAAATTCTTAAGCAGTTGCATCTGCCTTTATTTCCCTGTCATTAACTTCTAAAAATTTCCCAAGTCAAGAATAATCTGTTGTACAGGCTTTTATCAAAAGCTGGACAGGTTTTTTTTTTTTTCTTAACTGTGCAGAAACACAACAGGGTTCTCTATTATTAAGCAACTCATGGAGGATATTAATGAATGTGAAGTGTTGAACAGATGCCATCAAACAAAGTGACCAGAAAGCAAGAAACAATAGAAATGAGGGAAGGAAAGTAGCCAAGGACAATACTTACTGAGATAAATGAGAGGCTAAAAGTCACAGCCAGGAAAACAGATGAGTAGGCAGAGAAAGAAACAAATGAGCAATAATACAAAACACACTTGCCACAGAGGCATGCCTGAGATAATGGCGGCCAGCTGTATATTTTGAAGACACAACAGGAGGAGAATTTTACATAAAACTTTGAAACAGTTTACAATGATAGCTGTAAGCAAAAAGAACAGAAATAGGTTTGTTATTATCATTATCACCAATAATAAACATTTAAGGAAGACATATTATACATTGGACGCTGTGTTAATTATGGTTTTAAAATTCACTTGTCTCCACCTAGCTCAACAAAAATGCGTGGTGCAGCCTCGCAAACAACAATGAATTGCATCCTAATTTAGGATGTCTAGCAGGAAAGAAAAAGCAGTCCCTAGCTCAGATTGAAACAGTAGCAAAATTCCCATTTCACAAGCAGTGATTATGTGTATTTGAAAACACTTTGGTGAAACTCAAGAGGAAATGGACTTCCATCATTAGAAGCATATAATTATCAATTGAATAAACCCTTTATAAAGAAGTAACAGAGATATAATAATAATAGCAATGTTAGTAATAATAAAAGTTTCCATTTTCAAATTTTAAGTATTGTAATTAGAGCAGTTGAACTTTAAGAACCTTACAAACTTGGAAGTCTAATTTTAATGTGTTCACTTTGGTGAAGAAAACTTGTTATAATTTTATAAATACCATTAAGTGACAAGCATTCTAATGGGTAATTTATATACATTTCATTATTTAGTCTACAGCAATACCTCTTCTAGTTAGACATTTTTATCTCCATTTCACCAAAGAAGAAATGGAGGCTCAGAAAAACCAAAGGGCATGCAATAGCAATTGCCAGATCCAGGTACCTAAACTTTTATGGCATATTTAGTCCCTGGCATAGTGTTATGCCCTCCATAGGTGAGTGTTTGTCCTTCTGGCTTTCATATATTATTCTTTCTATTGATAAACCTTCAGATTTTTGAAATGCTTTTAGTTCCTTTACAAGCTTATACTTTAGGAACATTAGTTCATTTGGTGTTAAGGAGCTCAAGTTTACTCATACATGTTAACTTGTTAAAAATTCTCCTTGGGAGGCCGAGGCAGGCGGATCATGAGGGCAGGAGTTTGAGACCCGCCTGGCCAATATGGTGAAACCCTGTCTCTACTAAAAATACAAAAACTAGCTGGGCGTGGTGGTGCGTGCTATAGTCCCAGCTACTCAGGAGGCGGAGGCAGAAGAATCGCTGGAACCCAGGGGGCGGAGGTTGCAGTGAGCAGAGATGCAGAGATAGTGCCATTGCACTCCAGCCTGGGTGACAGAGCAAGACTCTGTCTCAAAAAAAAAAAAAAAATTCTCCTTCAATTTACAGAGTCTGCAGGTTTCTGCCTTGTTCCTTGTTCTATTAGTATTCTAGCTAAATTTAATTACATCCCCCTTAATCGGCTAAGTTCTCCAGGACATTCAATATGATTTTCTGGAAAGGATGTGTTTGTACAATTACTTTCCCACAGATTGAAATATTTACTTTTTATAGTTTCCAATTAACATCTGTACATGAACATCATTGTTCCTTCTATGTTCACTTTACTTCTATTGCTTTACTACCTCAAAAAGAAAAGGCAGAGAATATGGTACAATATATGTGAGAAGTTTTGGAAATTGACTTCAATCATTGCTGCATACCAGGAAATTTTTTCTAAAGGTTTAACACGATAGGATCAGAGGGTGCAAGTGAAGTGATTACCTCATTTGGGATTATCTGGTGAGAGCCATAGACTATTTTGTAGCAACCTCTTATTCTGTAATCTTTAATGGCAAAATCTTGTTTATCAAGAAGTGCTCTGTGAACAGCTGCAAACAATTTGCCTTTATTGATTTTCCTGCTAAGTCTGACTGACTGCTTCACCCTGGCTCCAAAGTGCCTCATAGGGACCACGCCCCCTTTCTTAAGGCTTCTCATCTATTGAACTGGAAACCATTTACCACCTCTCCCATCTCAGTCAAAAACTAGTAACTTATTACTTACCTCTATTACCAAGAGACAACCTACTTCATAGTTATAACATGGATGATAGGACAGACTGTTAACATTATTTAGTTTTGAATTTAAATTTTAAAAAGACCCCAATTCTTAAACAAGACAAAGAGAGACAGAAACATAGACTGTACACTAAAACAGATTAAAACATTATATTAACCAATTGCAATGTACAAATATTATTTGGATCTTGATTTCAAAGCAAACAATTTTTTTAAAAAATATGAGACAACCAGGGAGATTTGAGCATTGACTGGACATTTGTGATATTGTAATTATTGTTAATGTATTAGCTGTGAGAATGATATTGGGAATACATTATTTCTAAAAGGATCTTTGAGAGATATTCTAAACAGTTTATGGATTGAATGATAGGATGACTAAAACTGTTTTATAAGAATCCATTGCTGAAGAGAGAAAAGTTACATGGTTTGATAAAGAACTTCAAGGTCATTTATTCCAGTGTATTATTCAATTTTAAATGTTGCCTAAAGTTTTCATAGTAAAAAGTTACAAAGAAAAAAGTCAATTAAATCCAGTAGTTTTGCAATTTAGTAAAAATATAAAAATACTAATGATGACAGCTGAAGACATTTTTGAACATTGAGCATGTGCTATACTAAGTAGTTTGCATATGCTATGTCGTGTAATCTTTATAACAACCCTGTGAAGTATGTATAAATATCCTTATTTTACAAATGATGAAATTAGAACTTAAAGAGGTTAAGTAATTTGCCCAAATTTTCTTACGTGACAAGTGGCAGAGCCAGAATTCTACAGAACATTCCATTGCAACAATCACTGTCAGTAGTCTTTCATTACTGTTTAGATCCCACCCCTACTTTACCTCTATTTTATAACTAATATTAATATGAAAGTTTCAAAAAGATGCTTTATGAGCCATATTTTCTGCAAAGGTACTTTGGTTAATAATTGAAACTTCATTTTCAAAATTTATAAAATTAACATCATAAGTTTGCTTGTTTTTAGTTTTTCATTATTAAAGGATTTTTTGGGTTATAATTTACCATTGAAGAATTTTCATAAATGTTGCCATTTCTTATAAATGGTTAAATTTTCTGATGCAAACCCATTGGTTTGTTTTCAATTGATAATTTCTTAGCAAAAGCAAAAATGACATCAGCTATTGAATTGCTTCCATAATACAAAATTCTACTTTGTTTGTCTACATAAATTATCAAGCCACTTTGGGTCTCAGTTTCCTCATCTGAACAGGAAGGAAATTGACTTCATGCAAAATGGTGAAAAAAATTCTCTTTGATCTTCATGAGACTTCTGAAGCAAACTACTACATCAAAGATTTTACTTACTTTTTATTATGTCAGAAATGTTCATCAAATTTCTATATAATCCATGAATTCATAGCTCTCTTTTCCTCAGAGAGGACATACTTTACCACTCTATGTGTAAGCAGTACACCTTTTCTCTGTCTCCCTATATTGCTTTATTTTTTGTTTTGAGCAACTTGTCAAAGCAAAAATTACACTGGACAAAGTGATACAGTCAAGGAAAATGTTATTCAAGACTACTGCCATTAAAAAAAAAAAAGACTATTGCAGTAAGGTGATGAAGCCAAGTCCCGGTATGAATTCAACTCCACTGAAACAAAGGGCAGGAAAATTATTAAGTGCAGGGGTCAGGATGAGATATTGAACATATGTGTTTGCTAACTAGCCTTCTCCGGATTAAAATTAAACTTTCTCATATATTCATGCAAATAAATCGTTTTACAACTTTGAGCAATGTACCCTCTGTGGGAGTGTACCTTGTTAGGCCCTTACTCTCCCACAGAAACTGGGAGATAGGGATGCTATCTCCTTTGATGCTTATGGTTCAATGAAATGGCTTAGTTCCTTTAGAATGACATTCCTGAGCTGCACAACTGGCAAGAGGCTTTTTTAAAGAATTGAATCTTAAAGAGGCAGGCAAAGAATTTATAATTACATGTTTTCTAACGTAAATGCTCTAAGGAAAGAGAGGTCAGGGGCCTAGTGTCAGGTAAAAACCTATGTAAAGTTTAGTCAAGTTGAGAGAAACTTCTTGGTCAACCTTCATGTTCAGATCAAGAAAAAACATCTGTGAATTTTTAGTATTTATTGAAAATGTTTAATATTTTTAATCCAATTGGTTTTTCTATTCATAGCCATCAACAAACTCGAAATTTCTCTCAAAATTTTCGTTTTGAAAATGCTTTGACTATGAAGCATGTATTCAGATTGTCTTTCAAAAAGTTTAACACAGGAAGGCAAAGCACATCTGTAAACATTTACTGCATTCTATGACAAATGTTAGTTTTATTTTTTCTAATATTTAACATTTTCAATCAACATATATTACAATATATGAAAGACATTTGCAAAATAATTTGGGACCAGGAGAGTGGCTCTGGTATTTCTTTGTTGTTGTTCTCCCTCTACATACAAATTCAAATATTAAACATTCTCAAAAAGTCACATGCATTAGGCTTTGCAATACCAAGGCTTGAAATGACCTAAATTTAAAAGAAACATCTCTGTATTGTGAAGCAATTGAAATAGAATACTAGCTTTACAGTGAAAAAAGAACATTTGAAGCTCCCATTAAATAGTAAAAAGTTATTTTAACTCAAGTTTGAGGTGAATTTTCCCTAAAATTAATCATCTCCATTAGACATGGCTCATATTTTAGCTTTTGTGCTTTTGTCATTTCTTGAATTGTTCTTAATTTTTTTATTACCAGGTTTTATTCACTTTGAGAAAATTGTTTCCTTTAGGTCTTGCTTTGTTTAATAACGTTCTTTTTTCTACTTTATTCACACCAAGGCTTTTCATATTATAAATATTATATATTTGATAGTCCTATTTTCATAGGCAATTGCCGAAATGGTCTTTCTACTCATAACCATCAACAAATCAAAATTTTCTCTCAGAATGAGTGTTAATTTAGAAAATTATTTTACAGTAAAGCATGTATTTAGATCGTTATGTGTTTTTAAAAAATTATAATAAAGGAAGACAAGGTACATTTATAAACATTTACTAAATTCGACAAAAGGTATTTGTTGCCTTTACATTTTATTTTTCTTTAATTCTCACAATAATCTTCTATGGTCAGATGTTCAATTACTTGTTACCTAACGAAATAATTGCTGGAGCTGTAAATGAAACCTTTTACTAAAGCTTTTTTTTTTTTCCTGCTATGACTCACTATCTGCTGGTCATGTTCTTGTTTATAACATCCTTTGACTCTATGTAGTTCACAATATTACTCAAATATTGTAAATTATTATATTTATATTCTATTTATATATTCTATAAATATATAGGAGAAAATTTTATAAACATATTTTGTGAAATATTCTAGTATAATTTGTACCAAACTTTTTATTTTTGGAGAGTGACCACAGGTTTTATACAAGTTGTGATTCCTAAACAGCTTAATTACCGTTTTCCTTATTTTAGCTCATCCTTTATTCCACATATCAAATATACTTGGTATTAAAAAAAGAATCCACGTTTTATGGGTCTAATGTTTACAGAGTTTCAAAGCTCTACACAAGAAAATGAAAGTAAAATTAGGTATAAAGGAAAATATGTATTTAGAATAGCAACAACAAAAAATTACGAATTTTAAATAATTGGCAAATGCTGAAAGATACCACAAGTAAAAGAGTTCATGCAAGTTAGGGACTCTGAAGATATTACCTTTAATTCTGTTTAATTCTCCTCTGTAAGTGTTGCACGGTCTTAAGTGTTTTATGGACTCTTCAATTGAATCAGCTTCTCAATTTCCCTATTGCCAGATTGTATATGTTAATGTGCAAAATGAGACGTATGTTTGATCATCTATTTTTCTCCAGAAGTATAAGCCATCAAAAGTTTTCAATTAATTGCAGATGAAGAAATATCAACTTGTCCTAGATTTGAAGTATATACTATTATACCATTGTTCACCTTTTAAAAAACTAAACAATAATGAAGTGCAGTTAATCTTTGAAAGTTTAATTAAAATTACCACATTGTTGTATTTCGTTAACTTTGACTAGCAAAAGTTACAACTTTCATAAAATTAACATTATAAGAATAACTCACAAGAGAAATATGGAACAAAGATCAACAAATTATATAAAATTGGTCAAAAAATTAAACGCAAAACTTAAAGCAAGAAAAAAATGCAGTAATATTTAGGAGTTTATATGTATGTGCTAGATTCTAGAGGTTTGTCTTAAAAATAATGAAAACTCAGAAGTTACAAACAAAAATATAGATAAAGCATGTACTTAAACAAAAATGTAATCATTTTGTATGGCAAAATAACTCATAACAGGGTATGGTGGCTCATGCCTGTAATCCCAGCACTTTGGGAGGCCGAGTTGGGTGAATCACTAGGTCAGCAGATGGAGACCATTCTGGCTAACACAGTGAAACTCCGTCTCTACTAAAAACAACAACAACAAAAAAATTAGCTGTGCTTGGTGGCGGGCGCCTGTAGTCCCGGCTACTTGGGAGGCTGAGGCAGGAGAATGGCATGAACTCGGGAGGCAGAGCTTGCAGTGAGCCGAGATCGCGCCACTGCACTCCAGCCTGGGCGACAGAGCGAGGAGCGAGACTCCGTCTTAAAAAAAAAAAAAACAAAAAAAAAAACTCATAATAAAATTGTGTATAATGAGAACTGAGGAAAACTGCAAGACAAATGATAGAGAAAGGGTTAATTTCTGCTGTACACAGTTTTTTCACACTGTCAAAGCAAATAATCTCAAAGTAAAATAGTTAATTTACAGAAAATAAAGTCTAAATTACACACATATGTGCAGTTAAAACTCATGTCTTTTATGTATTAATGAAAAATTATCTTTTAAAAACTCGAAAATAAAATAAAATAAATATCTAGATATTGCCAAAATGGAAATATTTTGCAACATAATATGGAATACAACCAGAATAAAACATAATAAAATTTACACTTATATTAACAAAAATTAATTATTTAAGAATTCACTCAAGAAGTTAGAAAAATAAAATAAATATTAGCTTAAGGACAAAGGAAAGCACTGGTAGAACAAATAGCAGAAATTAATAAATTAGAAAACAGTCAAGATAGAACTTAAGATAATTCAAGAGGGAACTCTCTGAAAAAATTATAACAATGAAATGTATCACCAGCCATCTAATCAGGGGTGACAATGTAAATAAACAAATAAAAATACAAGTTTGGAAATTAAACTGACAAATGACTACAGATACAAAGGAAAATAAATGAATTGGAAGAGGATGAGAGAATGCCCTAATCGACTATATACAAAACATCTTAAAATTTCTGAACTTAGAAGGCACAGGAATTTTTGTGGTGCAATTATTCTGATAGCTAAGGCTAAGAAATTTGATAAAACTCCTTTCTTGTCTACTTCCTCACCAAAAGTTCCTAATCTCATAAAATAAAAAAAATTACCAATAATAGGTATCTTCAGAATGAATTTATATCAAACATTCAAGACACAGACAAATCTAATTATACTTAAAGTTTCAGAACATATAAAATGAGAAACACCTTTAAAACTTTTATATAAAGCAAGTATAGCACTATCTATGCACATGCCCTAAAACATGCCAAATATATACTCCAACATACAATAAGAATATTCACAAAACAATTTGATTTATAAGTACTTATGAAGAAATTCTAAAAAAAAAAAAAAAAAGCAAATAGAACTCAGCCAAAAATCAAAAGAAATCAAATAAAAGACTTATCCCAGGAATTCCATGATAGTTTAATGTCATAAAGTTTATTTAAATAATTGGAAGGAGAAAATCATATATATAGCAAATAGCTTATGTAATGCTGATATAAATGACTAAAAAGGCATTTCAAAAAAAATCAATGTATAACTAAAGATAATAGATTCCTATGTCTATTAAGTCAGCAACACAAAATGATGAGCAATATTGCTAGTATTGCTTAACATTTCTCTGTAAGAATAAGTCAATGAAATTTGGTAAAATTATAAAAATGAGAGAAAACTTTTTTAAATGTGTAAAATTATTTTCTGGTGATATGTGCCTACACATGAGAAAATCCTCACCACACACTGGATCTTTCAGCACCTTGATCTTGGACTTCCCACCCTCCAGAATTATAAGAAATAAATGACTGTTCCTTAAGTCATTGAGTTTATAGTAATTTGCTATATCAACCGGAACTGACTGAGATGGAAACTGATATCAAAATACCTAAGAATAAAGTTAATAAGCCATATTTAGGATTTGTGTGAAAGAAATATGAAACTCTCCTAAGAACTATGAAAGAAAAAAAATCTGAATACATGATAAAAATAGACTATTCTTTAAAGAATAACTCAATAGTTTAATATTCTTAGTTTTCAATTTAATCTCAAATTACAAGCAACTTTCTTTTTTATAAATATAGACCAGCTGTATCTATGTTCTGTACAAAAATTTAACTTGCAAGAATATTCAAGAACATTTTGAAAGAAAACTGATCAGTAATGTCTTTGTGTTGAGGAAGTACTACTCTGCCTTCCAGCTATTAAGGAGAGAGAGATTTTAATAGTACAAAATGGAAACACAGGAATCTGTGCATCTACCTATCTGTAAAATTTAACATATCATAATTATAGTGTTTCAAATAAAAGTCATGTTGTTATAATTGATTAGCTACGTAAATAAAAATAAAATAAAATTGGATTCTTAATTATGCTAAAATAAATTCTATGTGAAACAAAAATTATAATAGGGAAGAAAATATATTTCCTCAAAAGTAACCATTAGCATAGTTTTAAAAATAAACTTGGAATTGAACCAAAACTTCTAAAATAAGACAATAGCTAGGAGCAATACAGTAAAAGATTGCAGGTAAATTTGACTCATCATTTAAAATTTTCTGCAGGACAAATAATTTATAAGCCAAATGTAAAGATAAACAGAAAAAACTATGCATAAATGATGGGGAAAAAGTTAATTTCTTTATTATAAAAGTGTATTTATAAATTAAGAAGAAAGTGACAAAAGTGACCAAACCATAAGAGAAAAACAGGCAGGGCCTGAAGAGGCTGTGCACTGTAATAAACAAAGCAAAGATAAATGGCTTTTAAACATATGAAAACATACTCAATCATGTGCATAATTAAATGCAAGTATAATGACATGCCATTTTTCACTTTCCACATTGGCACAGATCAAAGATGTGTAATAATATGGTGTACGTAAAGGTATGAAAAAACAAGGCATTTCATACACTGTTTATAAAAGTGAAAATTGGTGAAAGTTTTTGGAAAGCAATGCAGAACTACAAAAATTTAGACACACATACTTATGGGCCAGGAAATTACATTTCTAAAAATGTCACTTACAGACATGTGTATATAAAATGCATGTAAGCATCTGTAAACTACTTTATTTTCTTTGATAAAGACTGAAAAAAATGAATATTCATTAAAAGAAGATTGGCTTAATACTGAGGGGCCTATACGAAAATAATATGCAGTTATTTAAAAAAGTAGACGCAGGCTGGGCGTGGTGGCTTACGCCTGTAATCCCAGCGCTTTAGGAGGCCGATGCGGGCGGATCACGAGGTCAGGAGATAGAGACCATCCTGGCTAACACGGTGAAACCTCGTCTCTACTTAACCAAATACAAAAAATTAGCCAGGCGTGGTGGTGGGCACTTGTAGTCCCAGCTACTGAGGAGGCTGAGGCAGGAGAATGGCTGAACCCGGGAGGCGGAGCTTGCAGTGAGCCGAGATGGCGCCACCGCACTCCAGCCTGGGCGACAGAGTGAGAATCCGTCTCAAAAAACAAAAAACAAAAAACAAAAAACAAAACAAAAAAACCGTAGAGACAATAGGTTGATATATACACAGAAAAATGATCTTCAAGACATATTTTTAGATAAGACAGTAGGTTAGCCAGCTGGAGAAAAGGAATGTATCTCTATATATGCTATATTTATAAAAATATACACAGAGTCTGTGTACAAACTAACATACACACATACTTAGATTGCTTGTATAAGCATTACATGTGTCCAAGAGAATACATAACAAATGTATCAAATATACTGGTTGCCTCTAAAAATGAAACTTACAGTGCTAGTGGGTGGTGGTGGGAAGGATATTGACCTTACACAGTATTCCATTTTGTACTGTTTGATATGTCTTATCATTTATTAAACCATTTTACCAGGTACTTCATTACCATTTCAATAAAGAAATGTAATAAGTAAAGAAGAATAATGAACAATTTTGAGCAGAAATTAAAGAATGAAAAACACATTGCAATTTAAGGAACCAATCTCATTGTCCTTTTTAGCTGTAAATATTAAACCTTTCTCTGTAACTTTAAAGAATAGTTTTAAAACTTTTACTCGTCTATGGAAATATAACATTTTAGAGCAAAGAGATTGTAGACTTTGAAGAACCACACTCAGTGTACAAACCACAGTTTTGTAGAATTTATATGAACTCAGAAAAAAAATATTCCCATTCTCACTGCATCCTTCTTGGCTATCTGAAATTGTACAGAAAAATGTATACATGAAATAAAATGAGTTGAATTTTGTAAAGTTCTAGTAGCCTGTGAAATCCTAAAAGAATTTCCATGGTTCTTGGGTATCAGGAGTCTTTGATTCACATTAAAATCTCTTTGCTTTGCAGTTCCCCCCCCAAACCCCCTCCGCCTTTTTTTTTTTTAACTTTCTTCACTGTGGCGTTAATAGCACAAATAATATAGTCTTGTTCCTGAGGTCAATCAACCCAAAAAAGACTGAATTCAGTTTCCCTAAATCATTGGTCAGTTAGTGTAATCCTAATTGCTTCCTTTCATGGAAATTGGAAAGAGAAGAAGAGGGAAACAAAACCAACCAACCAACAAATATGCTTGAGTAGGCCAATGTTTGTGAGTATGACTTCTTAATTTTTAAAACCAAAAGTGAAAAGATTTTTTTCTTATAAAAGACTCTCTTCTTTAGCCATTTATCGTTTTGAACAGTAACTTGTTTTATTTTACTTTGCTAAAAATGCCTAAATTAACCCATTACCTATTGATGCTTCTCTTCTACTATTTTAGAAACTGACCACTCAAGAAATACGGCTTAATTTTAAGAGAAAGGCATGATATTGGAAAAGTTGCAAACACACAGCATGGCAGAATTGGACAGTAAAAAAAGAGCCATGCTTATCTTTTGAAACAAAACTCCAACTACCAATAGTTGCATCTATACAGGTAGGATTGAGGATTAGCAGCTGCATGTGCAAAGAGGTCTTAGGAATTTTAAATGTCAAAAAGTTCCATATGACTGTACATTTTTATATAGATGCGTGAAATGCTGCTATCCTACAGGTAGCATTGGGAGATATTTTAGCAGGACCCATAGAGATGCTAGGAGCTGAACTAAAACCATGATTGATGCTGAGTATTGAGTACTCCCTAAAGTATAAAACAGACTGGATATAAATTTAGAAAAATGTTTCAGAGAATATCTTAGTAAGCTAAGGGATGTTTGCACTAAAGACCTTTATTTATATCCTATAGTGGGCCAAACAGTGGCCTCCAAAACCACCCACATCCTAATTCCTGAAATTTGTGAATGTTATGTTACATGACAAAAAAGACTTTGCAGCTATAACTTTAAAATGAGGGAATTATACTGGATTATCTGGGTGAGTTCAATCTAATAGCATCGCACCTTAAAAATAGAGAATTTCCTCTGCCTGGAGTAAAAGAGAGATGCTTCAAATAAGAGGCAAGAGAGAAGCAACAGACAGGCAAATTAGAGAGATGGCAGGCCTAAGAAGGCTCAAAGATGCACAGGTCTCTGTGAAAATAGCAAAGAGAGGCTTCCAGGGACTAAGTGAAGCCTCTATCTGACAGCAACAAAATAGATACCTTACTCCTACAACTGCAAAGAGCTGGGCTCTACCAATGATGCAGGATTTTTCTTCTCAGTCACTTTGCAAGCCGGGGACCTCCGGCTGGCAGTGCCCAGCCTGGGTCCCGCCTAGCCTGGGTCCCACTCAGCCTCAGCCACACTGGCGTGCCCTAGCCCGCCTGAGTTATAGCTTGTACCTGTGTTAAGTGGTTCCCAAGCTCTTGCACCATGTCCAAGAAGAATGAGGATACACTGGACATTGAAGGGTGAGGAGGGTGGCAAAGAATTTTAATTGAGCAATTAATCAGTTTTCAGTGGAGAGGGGAAGTGGGGGTAGTCTCCCTAACTGAATGTGGGCAAGTCCCTCATGTGGCTGGATCCAGAGCCTTCTATGGACTTAGAATAGGAGGGTGTGCTGATTGGTTTGTGAGTATGCAAAAAAGGTTAAAGCAAAGACACCACTCAAAGGTGGGCACAACAGTGCAGAAAACCAATTAGGAAAGGGTAGGTATATGTAAAATAGGTGAAGGGTGGGGATCAATCAGAGAAAAGTGCACCGAATTGCAAGACAAGTTCTTAATTCGGTCCTAGGATATAACTTGTAGCTTGGCTTTCAGGCTTTAAACTGTCTTTGGCTTATAGGTGGGGTTTCACCAGGGACTTGTCCCTATCTGCCTAAGCATTTGGTTACCTCCTGCCGCTCTCACCGACACCCTGAATGACCTAGGAAAAAGCTTCTAGGCCTCCACAGAAGAATGTAGATGGCTGACACCTTCATTTCAACCCTGTGAGACCCTAAGTAGCAACCCAAAGAGCCATACTGTGCCCAGACTTCTGACCCAGGGATACTGTGAAATACTCAATATGTGTGATTTTAAGTGGCTAAACATGCGGTAATTACTTATAGCAGTAATAGAAAACTAACACAAATCTCTTGTAATACAGATTCTCTCATCTCTGGAGTTTCTAAGTAATACCATCTGAAATCAAGGAACTAGCCAAATGTTTATGAAAAATACAGAAAATAGGGAGGATAGGAGTAGAATGATTAGTGAGGCAAGTACACATGATGGAAATCTCTCATCTTCATTCTCTCCACACCCATAGTATTTGGTACATTTTAATTGATTCAGATATTACTGAGGAGCTTGGTACAAATTCAAATTTCTAGACCACATACCCAAAGTTTTACATTCAGGACATCACATTTTTGTTTTTGATATTGTTCTTTATTCGTTTGTTTTTTTCCTAATCTGGATTCAGATTGCTCTCAAACCACATTTTGAGAAACATTGATCTGAATGTCAATTTCCCTGTGAATGTCAATGTTTCCCAATTTCTAAGTATACATTTATTTCATTCATCATGTCTGTCTGTCTGTCTTTCTGTATCTATGTGTCTATTCATTATTTAGTAACTCTAATTCAAAGCATTGTGCTGGGATATAGACTAATAAATGATGATACAGTCCTTGTGTTTGGGAAGTTTTTATCTTAGTAAAGAACTAAGAATGTACATTTAAAAGCATGAAGAGGGAGATAGATGTCAGCATGAAAGGTACAAAAACATTATCACAAGTATTTGGGAGGAGATCAGCTGCAAAAAACATCACAGGTGAAAAGAAGTTGAATTGAAATTGGCATTTAAGAATGGTTCAAAGTACACCAGGTATAGACAGAGAACCACAGCCATTCCAGGAGGAATGGCACAAGCAAAAGCCCAGGGGCAGAAAGAGACCTCTTTGTGTTCTGTCTCTAGCTCCGCCGAGACTGACTGCCTGGTGGGGCTTCCCTGGAGCAGTCTGGCATATGAGAAAAAGAGCTGTACTTGCTGTGAGTTCTCATTTCAAATCCCTGCTCTGCCACAAAGTTGTTTAAGCCTCTTTCCAGGTCAGTGTCTCCTCATTACTAACTCTGGGGTAGCTTCCTATTTCTAAAATTCTTCAGTGGTGAAAAATAAAAACATTCATATTTGTTTTGTTTTTAATTTTAATTAGTGAGACCAAGATCATGATACTGATTTGAAAGACAGAACAGAATGCCTTTAGAAAAGAGGGAGGTGAAGAAACATGACCTAATTCTTTTTTTTTTTTTTTTTTTTTTGAGACGGAGTCTCGCTGTCACCCAGGCTGGAGTGCAGTGGTGTGATCTCGGCTCACAGCAAGCTCTGCCTCCCGGGTTCACGCCATTCTCCTGCCTTAGCCTCCCAAGTAGCTGGGACTACAGGCGCCTGCCACTACGCCCGACTAATTTTGTTTTTGTATTTTTAGTAGAGACAGGGTTTCACCGTGTTACCCGGGATGGTCTCTATCTCCTGACCTCGTGATCCGCCCGCCTCAGCCTCCCAAAGTGCTAGGATTACAGGTGTGTGCCACTGCGCCTGGCCCAATAATTTTCTAAAATATTTTGGATTTTAGACATTTGCCTTAAGTTTGACATAAATAGCCTGCTGCTGTCATAATCTTCAACTTAAATTTTAAGCTCTTCGGTTGCATACCTTTAAAAATATTTTAAACATTATATATCTCCTTTTTTGCTTATGATTTGCACTGATTTATATTCATAGATATGTAACAGTATTTGACATCTTGATTTTTTTATTGTTTTCTTTTTTCTATTTTGAAGGATAATTCACCACCCAGCCAACTAAGCAACAAGCATTTTTTGCACTTTTTATATGCAAAGGATATTCTGTTACTGCTAATTGGGTGGATATACAGGGAGTGTATAGTCTACAAATTTACTTGGACTAGTCCTGCCTTTCGGAAATATAAGATTGTTATTATTTATAGGTATTACTTTTTTCTGACTGTGTTTCCTTTATCCTGAGTCAATTTAAATAATATAAAATTGAAAGTCAATTTAAAGTATATAAACAATACAAAATTATCTTCCAATGATTTAAGCATATAGATGACTTACAAGAAGGTTTAGAAGACAATAGGGAGAGCTGACTTTTGGGAGAAGCTCTATATCTTCTTCCTTATGCATTCTGTGTCTCTGGAGAAGAAAGTTGTCTGGAAAGAGCATGAGGTTGTTGGAAATTCTGAATTAAATTTGCCCTGCTGTCATTACATAGAAGTGTGAAACCTCTTCCTGTTTTAGGGAGAACATATTATTTTAACCACTGTTATGAAAATAATTCTGGGTTCAAGGGAAATGTATTCATATTTTAAGTTGATCTGTTTAGAATTAAGAACAAGAGATATCACTTCTAACATTGTTTCCTGAAAAGAAATACGTCCGAATTCAAAAAATCAATATGACACATGGCAGAGACTTCTACTTCCAGAGAAGTCTGGAAATAGAATTGGGGATCATTACAAATGAATCAAGTTCACATATCACGCATTTCTAATAGATAACAGAGTGTTTCAAGTACCTTTCTCAAAGCTGATGACACATATAGATACTATGGCCACTAAAAGTGATGATATACATTAACTTGACTTAAACGAGGTGGAAAAGAAAATTGAATTTACATTGATATTTTATAAGTGATATATTTTGGTGAACCAGATTTTGTATGTCTTTACATTTGAGTTGAAGGAAAGAATTTGCTGATTTATTTCAATATCTACCCCCTCAGATCTGCTTAAAAAGCAAATGACAACACTACACGCTGGCAAAATATCCTTCAGTTGCAAAATATATAAACTAATCAGTAGCAGACGATTCTTATTTTTTTCCTTTCTCCTACCCTATTAAGTCGTCAAAAGCAGTTGATGCAACAACCAAAATAAAAACGAAAAAACTTTGTATGAAAGTTTATAACTTGAGAAGTGTTTTCACTTGATTATGGCTAATCAAAAGAACTCTGGGCCGGGCGCGGTGGCTCACGCCTGTAATCCCAGCACTTTGGGAGGCCGAGGCAGGCAGACCACAAGGTCAGGAGATCGAGACCATCCTTACCAACACTGTGAAACCCCGTCTCTACTAAAAATACAAAAGTTAGCTGGGTGTGGTGGTGCACGCCTGTAATCCTAGCTACTCGGGAGGCTGAGGCAGGATAATTGCTTGAACCCAGGAGGTGGAGGTTGCAGTGAGCCAAGATCGTGCCACTGCACTCCAGTTTGGTGACAAAGAGAGACTCTGTCTCAAAAAAATAAAAAATAAAAAAACCAACTCTGGAAAGCAATACGGGGTCATGATTATTCTCCTGAATAAATGAATAGAACTCTGAAGGTAAGTAAATAGAATTATTATGTTACATAATTTGATTGAGATTAGAGGTTAGTAATGAGTAGAGTCAGAATTCACTTTAAGCTTTATGAGACAGTTACATTCTGTTTTATCTTAAAAAATGAAATTTCTGAAAATATTTGTATTTAATAGTTTAGGAACATACATTGCTGTTTTCATTTGAGCCTTATTAAGATTAATCAAGTATTATTTTACCAAGTCCTTGTTCTGGGAAATAGTTTGTCTCATGAGTTAACTCTGAATACTTATGTGAAAAAAAGGACAGCTTCTTTATACTTTTTATAATAATATATCAGCTGCCTCTGAGGTTTGTAAAATTAGAATACATAGTACTCCCAATATGTCCAGACTCTATCTAGCAAGGAAAGACAGCATCTGTACTTTCCTGAAGTGTTTATTCTTCAATCTCCAAATGTTTGCCAATTTGAATTGCCAAAGAGGAAAAAGGAATAATTTGTTTTTTATTTGCATACCTTGTGTGTTCTACACTAACAGGCATTTTTGTTGTTGTTGTTGTTGTTGCCATTATTGCTAATGAATGACTGGATGACTGGAGGGGTGACTTTTCCTGAGAGGGGAAAATACGTCCCAGTAAGAAAATACAGGTTCAAATTTTCTGACTCTATTTTGTGAAGATTAGTCTGTCTCTTGCCTCTTCTCTGGGTTAACTTCAATTCTTTAAGTCTGTGCCATTCTTTAAATGAGGATTTAATTTCTTTGTATCCAATTCCAGAGATATAGCAGCTCAGCAAACTGCTAGAGGATACAAAGCATGGTCTTCTTCAGCTCAGGTGAATGGATGGCTTGACTCAGGTCATGACAGGTGTGACCTTGGTGATCTTTCAGCAAGCCTCTGGAGGGACAGTTTGCGTTGTTCCTTCAAGGGTTTAGTTGGCAGAAGCAACTGCTTGCATTCAAAATAGCATGTCCTATTAATTGGATATTACCCAAAGGGATTCTTTATTAAGGAAAGAGTAGTATTCCTCTGAATGTTAAGTTGTTGGTTGTAAGCTATATTTGCATAAAGTGGGCTGGCAATAAGAAATAGCTAATGGAGGCTTTATATGTGGTCCTCTCTGAATGTTTTCTATATTATCTTGCTCACTTAGAAACCACGTTCTCGGCCAGGTGTGGTGGCTCACGCCTGTTATCCCAGCACTTTCTGAGGCCGAGGCAGGTGGATCATTTGAGGTCAGGAGTTTGAGACCAGCCTGGCCAACAAAGTGAAACCCCGTCTCTACTAAAAATACAAAAACAATTAGCCTGGCGGTAGTGGCATGCGCCTGTAATCCCAGCTACTTGGGAGGCTGAGGCAAGAGAATCACTTGAGCCTGGGAGGTGGAGGTTGCAGTGAGCCGAGATTGCACCATTGCACACCAGTCTGGGTGACAGAAAGAGATCCTGTCTCAAAACAACAACAACAACAAAAATGTACTCTCCAATTAAACCAATTAAAGAAGTGAGCACAACATAAGACAAATTGTCCGTCACAGGTGGCACACAGCTTGTTCAGACCTCATTATTGGGAAAGAAAAACCCAGGAGAAAAACAGACCAAGGGGTGAACTCCTCAGTAATCTTATCATGTACCTTCTGCCACACAGTCATTAGAGCACTAGATTTTTTTGAAGCTGAGCACGTAGATTTCTACTCACTGATAGACATTGGGTGGTGAATGGGAATTGCTGCAGTCTCAGACTGAACTGGCTTAAACAATGAAAAATCTAGTAGGCTAAACTGTTGCAGAAAAACCACAGGGTAAGTGAATTCGACCACATGATCATTTGTATCTCTTTCACTTTATGGTCTTAGAGGTTTGGAAATTATTTCTCTGAACAAGACGAACCTCTGAAGTTAAAAATGGCTGTGAGGTGTCTTCTACAATATTTAGGGCAAATGTGTGTTTAGAATGCTGATTATAAAATGATTGTGGCATTTTCTTCATCTGTAAAAGCTCCTTGTAGTACCAGATAATATCATCTGATGGGGAATTTGCCTGTATGCTATAACTTTTTGTTTTCCTTTATTTCCCATAACTCTGAGTTGGTTTGAAAGTAGGAAATAAAAATAATAATTTATGTGACTTAAGGGCTTCCCTAATTTGCTGGCCACCTCAGTGGTTCCATCTCACTGATCTCTTTCTTTTCTTCTTTCTCAACTGAAGAAGTAAATTTAAATGATATTAGTTATATAAAATTATAGAAATATGCTGCTATAGTTTGGATACATATCCCCCTTCAAATCTCAAGTTGAAATTTGATACCCAATGTTGGAGGAGAGGTCTAATGGAACATGTTCAGGTCATGTGGGTGGATCCCTCATGAATGGCTTGCTGCCTTCTCTGTAGTAATGAGTTCTCAGTCTATTAGTTCACAAGAGAGCTGACTGTTCAAAAGAACATAGCACTCCTTACCCCCTCTCTCTTCCTTCCTTCCTCTCACCATGTAATGCCTGTTCCCATTGCCTTCAACCACGAGTGGAAACTCCCTGAAGCTCTGACCAGAAGCAGATGCTGGTTCTATGCTTCTTATACTTAGTGCAGAGCCATGAGACCAAATAAACCTCTTTTCTTTGTAAATTACCCAGTCTCAGGTATTCCTTTAAAGCAGTTCAAATAGATAAGACATAAGCATATATACCAATTATATATAAAAATATACATATAATCCAGACCTGATACAAAGCATTTGTATTGCTAACCCCTAACTGCACTCAAATTGCATTAATTGTCCATTGGTGTAAAGTAAACCAGACACAATATTCAAATAGTTAATAATTGCTACAGCAGAGCAAGCACAATGTACAAACAATAAACAGTATGGCTTCCCTCATGTGTACTAGCTCTGACCACCAGCACAAGACATAACAAAGAAACAATTAAATTTAAGTAATTTTTAAACAACCATAATTGTAAAAAATTAATATTTGTGTAATGTCAATAAAAATTGTATTACCATCAGATTAAGTATAAATAGCAAAACATAAATGATCCCTAGTTGTGTATAGGTACCAGAGGGGATAAAGGAAGCATGTGTGGCAAAGGAGGGTTAGACTGCAATTGAAGAACCTGAATTCTAGTACCTCCTCTGTTCGTACTTGGCAGGGGAATACTAGCATGTAATTTACTCACTGTGAATTTTATTTTCTTATTGAAATTGAAATGGTGCAAATATAAACGTGATAGCATCTTAGATATGATTCTCTGTTGTTCACCACCTGAGAAGCCTTCTGCATAAAGGGAGAAAAAAGCAAACTACCCTTTTATTGAAGCAATAAGACACAAAAAGTTCATCAGGGCCAACATAAGACAAGCAACGTGTTAATGATCAATGTCATACAGGTAGCTTTGGTGCAGAGCACATCACACAGGAAATGGTAGGCATTTTTACAGTAGCTCACTGAGGGACCAACGAGCAGCAGATCCCAGAAAGAGCCTACAAGAATGTCTTCTCAAAGATCAATTATCCATTCCGAATTGCACATGCTGGAGAACTGAATTGTAACAGAGTAGATTAGGCAAAGCCCTCACCCAGGAACGACTGAGCGTGAAGACATGTAAATTATGTTTTTGGTAGGGTCCCAGTGAAGGAAGTTGGGTGAGGGTGGGACCTAGGTAGCAAATCTCAGGGGTTGTAGCAAAATTACATGTCTTAAGCACACATAATTTACTTACCTTGGAGCCAAACAAAGATTGGCTATAGTAGTCAATGGTGTTAGTAATCATGGTGGCACAAGGTATTAGGAACAGAAGCCATCCTGAACCTAATTGTCTTCAGAAAGACAAAAGGAAAACCCATAAAGGCACTAAATTTTAATAAAATATTTGGTCATCTAGGCAAGAGAAGAGATAGTCTTTGAGTTAGGAAGCCTGGAGGGCAATCTTGGATGCCATCATATGCCACCACCCTAAAATAAAAATAAAAATAGACCAATAGTGCAACTGGTTCTGAAAAGCCCAACTCTGAATGATAAGTCATTAAAAGGGATCCGGCACAACAATACTATTAACAACATTGTGGTGAAGGGTCATAAAGTTGTTGAAGATTAAAACAATATTTTAACAAACTTTGCATGTAAATAACACAGACAAAAATATAAGAATTCAGGGAATAGGGTTGAGAATAAGAGAAGAATATGTGAACTGGCAAAATCGTGAATTAGCAAAATTCATGAAAAAAATGAAGAAAAACAGTTTTAGAATTTAAGATGAAATTGAGTGAAGCACAAGAAAAGATACCATGTGGAAACAGTAAGAAATATGAAGGATATAAATGAAGAATTATATGAAAATACCCCACCACCACACACACAGAGATAATCAAGGAGTGGAGAAAGTGGTAGGAAGAAAATGATAGATTTAGAAGATATCCAAAGGAGAATGTTTCACAGCAATGGGACAGAATAAATATTTTAAACTATAACAAGCAGCCTTGAATCTACATGTTGAAAGTTGTGTTGTGTGCCAGGAAAAATGAAATAAAATGCTCAATATTGGGATATAACCTAGTAAAGTTATTGAAATTTAAAAATAAAAAATAAATAGTTTGGCAGCAAAGCAAAAATCCAAGTTATTTGTAAGGAAAAGCATAAAATAAAATGAACATTTCCTTAGGCTACTCTACTCCATTATTCAACTCCAGAAGACACTGGGCTTAAAATGTTCTTAAGAAGATAAAGGTCGAGCCAAAGATTTTATATCCAGCCAAGATCTTTCAGTTATAAAAGCTACAGACAAATAGTTTTTCCCAAGAATCTCTTGAGGAATCTAATAGAAAATGAATACAGCCTGCCAAGAGTTGGTGGTTGAAAATTTAGCCAAAGCCACAATAACAAGCATCAAATACAATCAACTGTAAAACTAAGTTCTAAAGAAAAATGTAGACCAGAGTGGCAAAATGAGGTCTGAACATAATTAAAGAACCAAAAAATGCTAGAAAGGGATGAGAGGAAAAGTTGAGAACTTACATACTGCCCCACGGAATTAAACATTATAACATAAAACTGACAAATGAATTGATAGAAGTATAAGTATATTTAACTGCACAAGATTAAACAGTAAGAAAACTATACCATAGACTAATTCTGTCAGTAGAAGACAGGTATGGGATATGGGAGGAAAAGGAAATAATTTTGTTATTTTTTCATAGTAGAAAACTCATACTCTATACACAAACAAAGAACTAAAAGTATTTTATGAAGTCATTATATAATCTCTAGAACAATAATTGAAATTTTGTAAATATTAGAAAAAATGGCAAATGGAGAAAACAGACAACAGAGGAATTATATTGATTTTCAGATTTTATTACAAAGCAAAATCTAAACCTATAAAAGAATTAAAATGATTCATTCAAAACAATGTCATTTAAATTTTAAAAACAAAAGATTGAGTAAAGTTATTCCAAGTACATGCTTTCAGCTAAAAACAATAAAACAGACAAATAACTGTAATTTATAATATACAATGAAGATAACAATTATGAAAAAATCTATGTATCACATAGCCTAGCTGTAATTTGGTTACACAAAAAATGCAGGAGATAGAGGAAAAAAAATTTTTAATGAGGCTTTAGTAAATCTCTAAATTCAGAATAAATTGAGACCTGTTAAGCCCAAATACATAAAATGTTAACAACATAATCTACAAAGATATCTGATTAATATATATCAACTTCAATATTCTAAAATTAGGACTGTGCTTTCTTTAAAATTTCTTAGGCTATATTATAATATTTAATATATAATTTATATGTGTGTATAGTGTATTAGGGTTTTCCAGAGAAACAGAACTAGTAGAATATGTGTATACACACACACACACACACACACACACTAGAAAGAGACAGAGATAGAGGTCGAATTTATTTTAAGAAATTGGCTCATACAGTTTTTGAGGCTGGCAAGTCCAAAGTCTGCAGGGTAGGCAGGCAGGTTGGAAAACCAGGAAAAGACAGGTATAGTAGCTTGAGTCAGAGAACAGTCTGAGGCAGAATTCCCTCTAGGTTGGAAGACATTAGTTTCTTTTCTTTTAAGAGATTGAATGAGACCCACCCATTTTATGGAGGATAATTATCTTTAGTCAGTCTAATGATTTAAATTTTAATTTCTAAAAAGAAAACTTTCACAGCAATATCAGAGTAGTATTTGCCAAACTATCTTGGTACAATGGCCTAGCCAAGTTGACACATAAGATTAATCATCACAGAGAGATATGCATATGCACGTGTGTTCATATAGATATATGTGCATGGTCATATAGATGTGTGTGTGTGTGTGTGTGTGTGTGTGTGTATTAGAAGAATGACATGTTTTTTGTGTTGCAAATTTTTGGTAAAATTGATCACTGATTGTATTAGTCCATACTGCTATAAAGAACTGCCCAAGACTGGGTAATTTATAAAGGAAAGGGGTTTAATTGACTCATAGTTAAGCATGGCTGGGGAGGCCTCAGGAAAGTTACAGTCTTGGTAGAAGGCAAAGGGGAAGCAAGGCACCTTCTTCACAAGGCGGCAGGAAGGAGGAGTGAATGCAGGAGGAACTACCACACACTTAGAAAACCATCAGATTTCATGAGAACTCAATCACTATCATGAGAGAACTGCATAAGGGAAACTGCCCCCATGATCCGATTACCTCTACCTGGTCATGCCCTTGACATGTGGGGATTGTGAGGATTACAATTTGATGTGAGATTTGGGTGAGAAAACAGCCAAACCATATCACTGATGTTACACTATTCCATCAAAAAAGATACTTCAAAATATATCGACATGCCTCTATACCTCTCTATTGTTAGACTCGATGACATTGACACCTATCGTCGGTATATTTACCCTTTCTTGCTTTTAGTATAGGAGTGAAGGCACAACCAGGTTTTACATGAGGACATGGCTACTCACTCAAAAGACTACATTTCCCAGATTCCCTTATAGCTGCCAATATCTAGGGGACTAAATTTTGCCAAGGACACAATGATGTATGCACCTTCAAATCTGCATCTTTTTTTTTTTCTTCTTTTTTTGAGACAGTCTCGCTCTGTCACTCATGCTGAAGTGCAGTGGCACGTTCTCGACTCACTGCAAGCTCCGCCTCCTGGGTTCAAGCAAGTCTCATGCCTCAGCCTCCCGAGTAGCTGTAATTACAGGCATGTGCCACCACGCCCGGCTAATTTTTGTATTTTTAGTAGAGATGGGGTTTCACCATGTTGGCCAGGCTGGTCTCGAACTCCTGACCTCAGGTGATCCACCCACCTTGGCCTCCCAAAGTGCTGGGATTACAGGTGTGAGCCACTGCGACCAGCCCAAACCTGCATCTTAAAAGCAATCTTTGCTCATGCTCCTTCCTCTTTCCTCAGGCTGAATGCCAGAGGTGGTAGTGACCCAGCTTTGACTATCTAGAGAGAGAAATTACACATGGAGGCAGCAGAGGAGGAAAATTAAAACAACCTAAGTTTCTGAATCTTATAGAACATAACTGTCTATTAAGAACAGTACTTTCTGTTCTTATGAACAAAATTGTCTAAGTTATTAACCAGACTCTTGTGTAAGACATGAATAAACTTCTCTCTTATCCAAGCTGTATTTAGGGCATTGTTATTACAGTAGCATAGTCTTTATTCCAATAATGTGCAATATTTTTTACCAGAATTTCTATATTACGAGTAAGGCTGTGATGCATGTATGTTCATAGTTTTTATTCTGTATTTTGAATTTTTTAGAACCTTTATTTTTAAATCTCTTTATGAAAAGATTGTACCAATTTATTTTGACATGTTCTGTGCATGACAATAGTACTATCATTAAAACCTAAATTATTGAACTCCTTTGTGACCAAAGAGAGATTAAAAACATCTTCTCGTTGTGTACAGTAAGAGTCTTCACAAACTCTATTCACCCCACTCCTTTACCAATGTCTGTATTAAATCTTATAACTACTTTTATATAAGAAATATTACTGAAGTTTAAATGACTATGAGAGAAAAACTGCTTTGTTTTCCTTTGGAGGTTAAAGAAAAATAATTATTTTAATTATATGATACTTTTCATCTTTAACCCGACTTTCAATAATTAAGCCTCTAATTATGTTAATTAAAAAGAATACTTTAACGTTAATTATATTGGGAGGAGGGAGTATTAAGAGAATTTTCTTTTGATTTTGCTTTGACTTCAAATGTTACTTAGTATCCACTCTGTTCAAATTGCCCTCTCATGCGCTGCTGTGATTACATCCTGTTCATTCAGCTTGGAGATGAAGGGACACTGAAAGCCCATTTGGAGCTTTTATCTTTAGACTATACACTCACCTCCTTCACCTTTTGTTGCTTTGACAGTCAATTGGACAATCACTTATGGTGAAAATGTCCTGCTGATAAAACAGAATTTAACCCGATTTTTACTTGTTTACATGAATATCTTTCATAAGTTTTAGGAACAAAGATTTTTGAGAGCCACTCCCCCACCAATTTAACAGTGACTCAAGACGTAAAGACAAATCCAGACTATGCTCTGATAACAGCACCTTTCAGCCGACTGCTTGGGAAACTTCAGACCCACTTTCCCTTGGCCTGTGTTGCTCTCTTGAGGAGCACAGCAGGTTCCCAGCCATTTGCTCCGGCCCAAACTGTCATGACAGAGGCAATTAATGTGGTAATGAGAGTTTGGCATCCAAAATGTTATCTCCTGCAGGGCTTGTCACATATTTCAGAGAACACTGGGAGCAGACAAAAATCTGCTTTTTCTCTTCCCATCCACAAACAGTTGAACCTTGGAGGTCTCATACATTAGAGTCATACCAGGGAAACAGATTGACGAAACAGGAACGGAGGGCAATGCTTACGGTTTCAATGTTGATGACTGGTTGATGAAAGTTGTAGTGATACTGAGAAATTAGGTAAAAAAAAAAAAAAGTTCAATATAAAGGTTTACTCTTACAAACTAACGTCTCTTTAATGCAGATTAACTCCAAGTTTCCCATGGGAGACTGACCTTTCTCCTGAGTTTGAGAGGGTCTCACCTTTTCTGTATACATAAAATTGCAGTCTTATTGGGGAAGAGTGCAGGACCTTGAGAATGGATCTATAGCAAGCTTAAATTTCTGCCACAAACTAACAATTTTGCAAGCCTATAATGACTCTGTAATTGGACTCAATTTGGAGACAGAGAAGTGTTTAATTTAAATTATGAAGTGAGAAAAGCCATGAAAAGTTCTTTCACATGAAATTTCCTGAAGCAAAACTGCAAAATAAGTATCACCTTTTAATGTGGTCTCAGTGAAATGTTTAATAATTGTTCTGTGAAACAAATAGAACAAATTCATCAATGTGCTACATCATTTAATTAATAAATTAACTAAATACTAGCAATGAAATTCAGAATAAATTGATAATGGTTTGAGGGGTGACTGGGCTTGCTTGTCTGGGTTATTTTTGTCCCAATGTTTCCTTGGGGAAATTTTGTAATGGAGTCTAAAGTGTCCATGTCAAGTCTAATATTCTAAGATTATGTGACGTAGATGATTTAACCCAGTCTCTCAGAGTGGATAATTGCTGGATGGTTCTTTCCATTATGCATGAACCTTGTGACATCTGGGATATCCACATGCGCATTTGTGGAGCACTTTGAGGAGAGTGGTGCTTCATAACTGCTATGTGATGTCTGTGAAGATGGCAACTGTGTTGCCAAAGTTCCTAAATCCATCCCCTTTTACTGGCTCTGCAGTCTAAGAAACATGGCATAGTGCGGCTGACTAATGCCTCTATATGTGCCCACAGAGACTAAACTGTGTTCTCTTGCATAAAAGACAACTTAACTTTATGGACACCTGTGGCCTGGACAATAGTCTTCCATCTTTTACTCTCCATATGTCTTAAATACAGACCTCTAAGTAATTCAATACCATGGTTTAAATATAAATATTCTTATTCTGTTCATGAAAAGAAAAATTAACTACTGAGATGTTGAGAGGAAGAGATGTCAAAGGCAGAAAAACAGAATGAGATAAACTAGTAATAGTGTTCTGATAATCAACTGCTGCCTTAAAAGCTGTTCCCAAATAGTGGATGGAAACAATAGCATTGTGCTCAGGAGCTCTCATACAGTGACAGTCAGACATTACTGAGGCTGGTATCATGTAGCTGGCAGTGGGTACTGCTATATACTGCAATCATCAAACAGCTGGAAGATGGAACAGCTGTACTTCTTGATCATCTCTCTGGCTCTGTGTAGTTTCCACAGCAAAGTAGCTACATGGCTGTGCAGAGTGCCAAATGTGTGTGTTCCACTAGAGAGAAAGCCAGAAGGGAATTCTATGGGCAATGCAGGCACATTGACACATCAACAGCTAAAATGTTGACAGCTGCAACATTTTATTTGTTAGAAAGAAAGTTATTAAGGTAGCCCATATTGAATGAGAGGAGGATTAAATTCTACCTTTTGATAGGGGAAGTGTCAAAAAATTAGCTGATATGCTTAAAACTACCACAAATAGGCCAGGCGCCTGTAATCCCAGGCAATCCACCAAGATCAGCCCATCACTGGAGCTAGGAGTTCAGCACAAGTGGGAGCAACATGGTGGAACCCCATATTTACAAAAAAATACAAAAATTAGCAGGGCATGGTGGCACAAGCCTGTAGTCCTAGCTACTCAGGAGGCTGAAGTGGGAGGATCATCTAAGCCGGAGACATCAGAGCTACTGTGAGCCGTGATCCTACCACTGCACTCCAGCCTGTTTTCCCCACCAAAAAACCTTACCAGAAATATAAATGTTATTAATTTTCTATTATTTCTAATATTAAAAATTACAATATTAACCTTAATAACAGTATCTAAAATGTATCAGGTGCTTAATATTTGCCAGGCATATATTAAGGATATTATCTGTAGTATATCTTCTGAAATAGTTACCTCTATCATCCCCAGTTTAAAGATGAAGATTGAGAATTGAAGAGTTTTCATTGTGTGTTCATGGTCCTACTGCTAACAGGAGTTAGACATGATATTTACGAGGATCTTTATATGGTAAAGGACTCTCTCCTCAGCATTGCCCTCTATCTACTACATCAATTTACATGTCCTTGTAACTCAATATTCTACATGGTACTGATGCATGGGGGCAGGTATCCTATATGATTTTACTTGGGTTTTTGTTAGATCATTTTATGTCTTGCTAACTGACAAAACAAATATGTTAAGTAAAAGTGCTGTTATAGATATGAGAGATATGTCACTCCTGTTCATGAATTCATTACACGCTCTCAGAGAAAGCATCAGATAGTAAAAGAAATTAACTTGTAAAACCACTGTTAATTTATGTTGACACAGAGCAAAACTGAAAATAAGGAGGTATTTGTAGCTGATAGGTAACACTTGGAAAAACTGCTGAGTGGTTGTCTCTTAATGGGAACATTCTGAAGTATTGCATGACAGATGACAGTATTGTCCAGTATTATTACCTCTTCTTCAGCAGGAGTTATTAAAAGAGCCTGTGAGCCAAGTTGCTTTAAACATCAATAACATTCATGTAAACAACCACCGCAGTATAACCAAATACATCACTATGGGGAAGCATGACAACCAATTCAAAGTGCACCATGTATTAAAACTGGTCATTTAATATACCCCTCATAATAATATGAGAATCGAATTATACCAAATACCAGTCCTAGAGGTTTGAACTCGTGTGTATGTGTATGATGGTTGCATGCCATTTTAATGACTTATGCACTAATAAGAAAGATCAGTCATTGCACTTAAGCAATTCTTATGTATTCTTAACCATTTTACTGTTTTGTGACATTTTATCTGCAGGCTATTTGGAAATTAAACAAAAGTTTGTAAATCTAGTAATGAAAAATTATTCACAATCAATTTTATACATACTTAAAGGATCTGAAAAGATGAATCTTTTGAAAACCATACACATTATAGTCTAATTTTTATTAACTACTTTATATTTCCCAAATGTTCCAGTCTTTAAGAATGATCACATTCATTCTTAGATATGAAATGTACCTGAACCTCCACTCATTGATATTTAAAGATAGAGTGTTAAGATTTGGTTATTAAAACATGCATTTTGAAAAAGCAGTTTGACTGCTGGCATGAATGAGGGATTTTCAGCTAAGAATTCAATATATAAAATCAGTTTATTCTACTAAGCACGTATGATACTTAGGGCAAGTCTCTAAATCACTTAGTGGTTCAATTTCACATTTAAAGATCAGAATATTAGGGACTGTATTTCAAATGTGCTTTTCCCTTAAATGGCTTATACATGATATGCATGATTATCTTTGAATCATGGAGGAGGAAGGAACGTCATGACTCTCTATAAATCGGGAAATGAGACATACTCAGGGCAGCTTATCACATAGCTCATTAATGAAAAATTTCTCCCATGCCATATTCTCAGCCCAACTAAAACATGTGAATTGACTTTCAGTCTGGATTTCTTTTCATTAAATCATTTCCATCAAGGAAAATAAGAAGCACAAAAGCAGGAATTGTCCCTCAGGTAATCCATATTGGCCCTTTTACTGTATCAAATATTCCAAGATGAAAAATATTTCAATATTTCTATATTTTTGGCCAATGAAGATTACCACTTCTAGCAGGAGTGACATGTAGGCCTTTTTTTTTTTTTACATGCATCCCTCTTCTACATCAAAACAGATTTAAGATTTAAAAAAAAAAAAAAACTCTGACTTTTAGTAAAGGCAGGCCTACAATTAGACTACCAAATTCTACAGTCACATAGAAGAAATGCCTAAAAATCTTTATTCTTGGGAACTCCATCATAACCATTTTTAAACATTCTAAAACTATATAAGATTCTTTAAATGCTAAGGGTACATATGCTATCTCATACTTCTTGTTTCCAGCCAATCCCTGTGCACTGACATGGCTAGTTATCATAAACTTCACGTTTTGCAAGTCTTCCACTCCAAAATTGTCCACAATTCAGTGGCCTTACTCATTGTAACAGAGGTATGTCTTGCATCTAATGTTCAGTTGTCTCTCTCTTCAGTTTTACCTCTGTGGTCTAAACAACCTTATTTTTCTCCTCAAGCAGCATCCTAAATTGCCTCCCTTAGGTCCCTCTTGTCTGCTCAATACAACACACCTGGCGTAATAGTTACAAACATAAATCAGATCATGTATTTCCCCTGCTAAAAACTATTCCATGACTTTCCATTACACATATAAGAAAATTCAAAGCCCTTAGCATGGGCACAAGACTATACACTATGACCCTTGCCTGCCTCTTTCACTTACTCCCTTACCACTCTCTGCTGATACCCCATGAATCAACAACACTGACCACTCTTCTGTTCTTCTAATGCCCCACTATTAATTATGCCTTTATAGCTTTTGAATTTAATGTTTATTCTTCCTGAAATGCTAGGCCTCAGATGTCAAGTGTGGCTCCTTTACATCATTCAATACAAGGTATCTAACTTTCATTTCCGTCATCCCAGTAATTTTTTCACTATATCTACTAATTGTAGTATCTGTTGGCACTAATAATTAAGGAAAATTAATTTTTCCTCTCATTTATTCTCTTACCTTTTAAAATCCTCATTACTTCTGCCTCTTATCATTAGAACACAAGCTTCTGAGAGCCAGTTTTCTGGATTGCTAGAATCTGGAAAAATGTCAAGCACAGCAGCCTCTTGATAAATGTTTGATGAATGAATATATATTGAATTTATAAATAAATGTCAGGTATACAGCACATGATAAAAATCCACCCCTCTGCTGTTGCTGTTCCTTCATGCTGTCACTTAGTGTCACTGGAGAAGACCAGAAAGGTAAACCATGTAATTATGACTAAGGCAAATGACCAAAAATACCAGCAAACCTTATGAAGGGAGAGCCAGGCATACATGGGCTGCTGACGTTGTAGGTGAAACAGTGTTCTCACTACTCATTGAAGATGCTGAAAGGTCATCCGGTACCAGGCCATGTGACTGAAAGATTGGATTTGTACTGTGTGGGCATGCATTAGCCAGTTTTCACTATGCATCTTTTTTTTTTTTTTTTTTTTTTGAGACGGAGTCTCGCTCTGTCGCCCAGACCGGACTGCGGACTGCAGTGGCGCAATCTCGGCTCACTGCAAGCTCCGCTTCCCGGGTTCACGCCATTCTCCTGCCTCAGCCTCCCCAGTAGCTGGGACTACAGGCGCCCGCCACCGCGCCCGGCTAATTTTTTGTATTTTTAGTAGAGACGGGGTTTCACCGTGTTAGCCAGGATGGTCTCGATCTCCTGACCTCATGATCCACCCGCCTCGGCCTCCCAAAGTGCTGGGACTACAGGCGTGAGCCACCGCGCCCGGCCGCATCTTTTTTTTAAATTTCATTTTTTATTTCAATAAGTTTGGGAAAACAGGTGGTATTTGGTTACATGAATAAGTTCTTTAGTGGTGACTTCTGATATTTTGGTGCATCCACCAGACAAGCAGTGTACACTGTACCAAATGTGTAGTCTTTTATCCCTCACTCATCTTCCACCCTTTCCCCTGAATCCCCCAAGTCCACTGTAACATTCTTATATGTCTCCTGTCTAAATAGAGCTTCACCACAAAGGTCTACTTTGACAGGCTCTCTGAAGCACAATATTGTTCCACTTTACTCATATTTCAAGCATTCCCTGTGCTTGAGTGTGCATATTATTTAAAAGGAAGCATTTGATTCTTCTGCCGAGTTTTTTTGTAATGGTTGTGGCTGACTTCAGAACCCCTCTCTCCCATTCCTGCATCTCCAGCAAACAATATCCTCACCATTTGACTTTCTGGCTTAACTTTTATTATGTTTTGTTAATATAAATATTGGTCTAAGCCCTTAGAAACAACAAACCACAGTAATAGGAACAATAGAAGTAATAAGAAGAACTAACATTTATTGTTTAATATGTGTGGGGCGCTAGGTTAAATGCTAAATAAACATTATGAAGTAAGTGATATTATTGTCCCAATTTTATAGATGGAGAAACTCTTCTTATTGTGCTTAAGCATTTCCTTCAAGAAACTGTACTCATGCCATGATTTCTATCATCCCTACACACAGATGGCTCATATTTTCTATCAGCTTCAGTCCTATGCATCCAACTACTATCTTGATATCTCCTATTACAAATCTCAAAGAGAACTCAAACCATCTCTTCCAGAGTTCCCTATTGCAGGAAATGGCACCACCCACTTGTCTAGTCATTCTCAACACACTATTCTCACACCTCACCCTTAATATATGCAATCCGCCATCTCTTCCCTGTTATACTTCTATGTATTTCTTCATTTGATCCCTCATATCCATCTAGTATAACCCAGCATCATTTTTATCAGTTATACTATCCAACTCTGAACTGTTCTACTGATAGACACTATCTCCACCTCCACTCCAGCTGGTCTCTGCACATCAGCCAATGTAATTTTTTAATGCAAATTACCATGTTATCTTTCTGTCTTAGAACTTTTAAATAAGTTTTTATTGCTCTTGAAATAAAAGAAAAACTCTCTTAATGTTGCCCAAAGGCTCTATAAGACCTACTTCTCTCTCTAGCATTGTCTATCTAATGGCTTCACTCTCTGTACTTCAGCCACACTGGCCTTCTTCATATTCAGCATGTGATATGGTTTAGATTTGTTTCCTCACCCAAATCTCAATTCGAAATATGATCCCCAGTGTTGGAGAAGGGGTCTGCTTGGAGGTGACTGGATCATGGGGCAGATTTCCTTCTGGCTGTTCTCATGATAGTGAATGAGTTCTCATGAGATCTGGTTGTTTAAAAGTGTGTGGCACCTCCCCCTTCACCCTCTTCCTCCTTCTCCAGCCATGATTGTAAATTTTCGCTTCACCTTCTGCCGTTTCCTGAAGCCTTTCCTGCCACGCTTCCTGTACAGACTGCAGAACTATAAGTCAACGAAAACCTATTTTCTTTATAAATTACCCAGTCTCAGGTAGCTCTTTATAGCAATGGGAGAATGGACTAATACAGCATGTCTCCATGTAACCAAAGAAACTTTACTTAAGCTATTTTCTTTTCTTGGAACACTATTTCCTTGCCCTCTTCTCCTAATTTTACAATTGCTGTTTTATTATTTGATTAATGTCTATCATTCTCCATTCTTGGTCTTCATTGTGAAAAATTCGAAACAATGGATACATTTTTAATATACATGACAGCTGGAGACTGACATGATAAAACAGCATGAGAAACTATTTCACTGATGTCCCCTAAGGAACCATAGCATCTGCTGTACATGGTCTTGTGAAGCCACTCCCTTCTAATTTATAATCAATAAGTTGTGTTGGAAGTAATGCTCTCAAGCTTTGAGCCTAAGATGTAAGAAAGCCTAGCAACTTTTTTCCTTTTTGGGAAGCCATTCTCCATATAAGAAATCTAATTGTCCTGAGACTACCATTATGTGAATTTAATCTAGCCCCATGGAGAGGTTAGGTAGAGAAAAACTAGGGCTTCTGACAGTACAGCCCTAGCAGAGCTCCTATCCATCAGCCAGCACAATTCACCAAACACCTGAGTGGGGTTATTTTAGAAGTGGGTCTTACAGCTCCATTTGAGCTTCTATTGATGACATCACATGCAGCACAGAAAAACTATCTCTTCCAAATGCTGCTCAAATTAGAGAACTGGATGCAGATAAATGTTTGTTGTTTTAAGATACTAAATTTTGGAGTGGGTATTATGTAATAATAGATAAGCAAAACAAAGAAAGAGCATCATGAGCTGAAAGCCCAAAAGGTATATTCTGAAGTTGAAGTGGGTAGGGGAGCAGGAGTCAGAAGCTAGCCTGAACAACACGGGGAGTCACTTTTTAGCAGATTGGTTTGGAAGAAGAAGAGACCTTGAAACGTTAACAAAACTGGTAAGAGAATTGAAAGAGTGAAAGGGAAAAGAATATTTTAAAACAAGTTTTCTGAACATTAGTGATACATGACCCTTTGGAAAATTTTCTAAAGAAGATGCAAAAAAGGGTTAAATGTTTTCATTTATATTGATGTGTGTATAAAATATTGTACATGTTAATCATATAATAATTTCATGCCAAGAGTAGGCAATAAAGAGAGGTATGTTATTCCCAATGGAAATATCCATGGTGATATACCATTGCTAAGAGCACTATAAAAAAGATAGACAGAGTTTAGAATCAGCATTTAATGCTGATTATGCGCACATTTTATAGTGTTTTTTAAAATTAATTTATTCAAATGGAATAAATTAAAATCTAAGATCTAAAAATATTGGTTTAAATTGAAATAGTAAAGTTAAAATGTGAAATAATTATAAATGGCTATGGATCTCAGATCATAAGAATTGTGCACAGAATATAACTTTATTTTCTGCATCTGAAATTAAATTTCTGTTATGAGCCCCCTTTCCTCAGGATGGGAAAACTAGAACACTTAAAGTTCAGGCTCTTCTTCTACCCCCTATGCTGGGTTATGTCAGGGTTCCTTAGTAAATTATACTGTGTCAATTTCGAGGAATTGAAAGCAGTTGGTCTTTGTACTTTTCTATCTTTCTTGTTCCTCACTGGACTTTGGATTTCATTCCCCGGAGGTGTATGCTAAGTAACTGTGCTGTGGATAAAAGTCCTCCTCTTGTCTTACAGTTATCTATAACACATGTGTATTCTTTCAGAAACAGGCAACATACTCTGTTGTGCCCTATGACACTCTGAAGCACATGAAGCCTTTAGACGACTGTTTAAAGGCTTTTATCCAGACATAGTAGGCAAACATTTCTTCCAAATTTTATTGTCCTGACTGTGTAAAAACGATGAGGGATTTTCAGCTTCCACTGTGCTCCTCTGAGGCTAGGTTATGCGGGTCCTCTCTGATACGTGTTTGCCAAACCGTCTGAACTTTCTAGTACCCACCATATTAAAACTCTATCTTGACAAGGCATAAACAAGGCACAAGAACTCTTTACGCAGACTCAGCCATTTACAGGTCCTCCCTTTCGTCTTCCTTATTCTAGTCCTTATTCTTTGCCCAGTCAAGAGAACTCTATCTTGCCTCGATTGTAGTAATGTGATATTTCATATGTTTTTGAAAATATTTTATTTATAACACAAATTTTACGTGCTCTTTCAGGTCTTACATTTTTTTTCTTTTCTTTTTTTTTAAGACAGTCTCGCTCTGTCGCCGACGCTGGAGTGCAGTGGCGCAATCTCGGCTCACTGCAAGCTCCGCCTCCCGGGTTCAAGCAATTCTCCTGCCTCAGACTCCCGCCCGCCACCACGCCCGGCTAATTTTTTGTATTTTTAGTAGAGACGGGGTTTCAGCGTGTTAGCCAGGATGGTCTCGATCTCCTGACCTCATGATCCGCCCGCCTGGGCCTCCCAAAGTGCTTGGATTACAGGTGTGAGCCACGGCGCCTGGCCCAGGGCTTACATTTTTGAAACTAAAAGTCAGATTCCTGTAACATAGAAGCTTTGGGTGGGTAGGAGGAAGGGCAAAGAAGAGAAACAAAATCCTAGAGAACACAACTGTCAGTTGATAGTCTATTTTTATCAGACATAATACTTTATGGACTTGTCCATCCACTCACGATAGGGTTTAAATGCCTTAGTGCTCTTCTTCTGGCTAAAATTTGTTCTCTGTAAAGGGTATGAGATATAAGCCACTGAAAATAATCTTATTAATAAAGATGGATACTGATGGTTTACGTATTTATGCCTACCATTCCATTTTTTGAACGCTAAGCATGTGGGAGTTATTTATATCCTACTGCTCAAGGTCATCGCCAACGTATGATTGCAAAAATTCAAAAAATTGCAACTTCAGGCATAAATGGGTTAAAGAAAGACTTTTGATATTGGTATATAAAGAAGCTGTCTAGCAAAGAGGTACTGTCTCCTAACTCAGATAAAATAGCCTTCAAATTCATATGCTGCCATTTTATTAGCTGTGTAACTTTGAGCACATCGTATAAACTCTCTGAGCTCATTGGCTTATCTGCAAAAAAAAGGGCTGGGGAGGAATAATCATACTAAACTTCTCTTAACACTGTTGAAGGGATAAATACAAAATATATCAGAGAAATTTATCACAGAGTTATTAGCATAGTAAGCTTCCAACGGATATTAACCATTGTGCCTATTTCATCAAGAGAGGATACGAAGGCATCTCACAAAGAGTTTTCATTTACGGGATGTGTAGATTGCCTCCCCAGAACGCTGGTAGGCAGGGGTAGAGCTAGTCTCCTCTCTATCACACTGGAATGCAGCCACTTATGGATGGAATCATGGTATGCCTCTTATTTTTTCTACCCTTATGGGAGAGAAGAAAACAGCATTTCCAATTAAAGCACACCAGGCATGTTATGAACCAAATGTAATCACCGAAGTTGGAACTATATCAGGAAACTCAGAAAAGAGAGAGAAAAAAGATGCAAGATTATGGTATTGAGGAACTCTACAGTACAGCAGACATTAATTTAATTTATTTCAATTCAGTTAAAAATTAATGTTTACCTGTTGCATACTAATCACCTTGATATATTCTATATTATATAAAGAATAGAAGAAAACATGCATCCTGTGAAAAGGACTTGCAGTCTTTTGGGGATAATAATGCATATTCATATAACTACCAAGTAATACTGAAAGTGTCAAATAATACTGGTATCAATAAGTAGTTTCATGGAACACTTACTATATACAAAGTACTATTATAAGCCTTTTGCTTTTATAATTTAAATTTCACAAAATGCCTATGATCAAGGAACAATTTATTTTTCTCATTTTGCATATAAGAAAACTGAGGCGTCAAATGCTTGAGTAATTAGCTAGGGTTCATATGGATATATTAAATGGGAAAACTAAGATTTGAGCAGAAGCGTTCTGATCCCAGAGCATTTTGTCTTCACCAATGTACTGTGCTGCTGATTTTCTAATTTATCTGCACAAAAGCTAAAAGCAAATATATAATAAATGTTACACGTTTGTAACATGTAATACAGAGAAAGAAAAGTTCCCATCCATATGGGAGTTGGAAGAAGGGCATTGAAATATATTTCCATTCAAGGAAGAATTTCAAAGAAGGATATGAAGAGAAGTTAAAAATCTCAGTCAGAGTATTTTAAGTGGGAGAGAGACCAGATGAGCAAGGTAATGGAAGGCAGGAAGTATAGGCCGTGTCAGAAGAAAAATGGAGTTTCTACTTTAGGAAGAGTCCAAGTTAAATAGGACATAGTAGGAAAGGACTGTGCAGATAAATGGGAGCCATAAAAGATCCATGTCTGAAGATCTGTTTTCTATAGCTAATGGGGGGTGTATTGCAGACTGAAACATAGACACGTCAAATGTAGAATGAAGATAATTGCCTAAACCTTTACCTTCTTACACCCTACCTATTATTTCTTCTCTTAGACAAGGTGATTATTTAAACAAGTAACAATAACACACTTTTAAAAAGTGGAACTCCTTCTTCACATGAAATATTTTGTAGAAATATCATGAAACTATAAATAAAGGGAGAAGGAGGCATAAATCCACCCATCTGATACTCTTCCTTCCAATGTTTCTTCTCTGAATTCTGGGGCTTTGAAGAACACATCTGAGAAGTATCCTAATTAACCTGTGGACAGGATGCCACAAAAAAGCTTCTAAGAATATAATAATCTTATTAAGTTTATCCTTTTCTTTATAGATTTTTCTTTTTCTTTCTTTCTTTCATCCTTTCCATTTCATCTAATTATATTCAGTTTTCTTTTTTTTTTATTTTGCCTTTTAAATGGTTACTGCAGCCTATGTCCATGTAATTATAATCATAGGCAAAAAGTATTTGGGAAAGTTCCTGACCCATTGGCCCCTTGGTGTTAGCTGTTGCTGCACATTGTTAAATGCTACTGGCATTAAATTAGAAAAGATACCTCTCCTATAAATCTGTTCAGTTCTTTCAGTGTAAAAGTGCCATATCAGCACAAATATTTACTAACTTACAGAGGAGCCAATGATGTCAGTCAAGCTTAAAAGATCTGATTCCCCTTAGATCAGATTTGTATAGACAGAATGGACTTGTCCCATTAAATTAGAGCTTTTGGAACTGATTTTATTTGGCTACTCCATGTAAAACTGGCATTAATAACATTTATTCATTCATTAAACTTACATTTGCTAGGGCTTCACCTTGGATAAGATTTTGTGCAAGACACCAGAGAATGATGACATATTTTAGGTGTCTCCTGACCTCCAGAATATCATCTTGGAAAGCTTATCTATGTTATATTCATAATGGAGGAAAAAAATCACCACACTCCAAAATCAGCCAGTATTGCTAACTGCAGCAGTTTTAAAGATCTGGATAGATTGCATATTATTGATATAGCAGCAGCAATTCATACCTATTTTGAAGATAGACCATGGTAAGCTACTCTGACAGGTTTCCTTCATTTGGTTTGTTTTTCTAGCGTGCATAAAAATGTGGCCTGAATACTGACTTATCTAAGAATGATGCTGTAAAAAATACCTGCAATTTCTAAACAATTTATGATGACTACACTTCTGTATAACCATTAAGCACTGTTAATATTAAGTACTTTTTGTAGAATAATTCAACATTACTATAAATATTTAGACATCAAAGAAAGAGTATAAAGTCAGTAAATTGACTTTTCACATTTTTCAATCAGAAAATAATTTCCCAACCTCTGTATTCTGCAGCAGAGGATCCAATTTAAGGAATTATCATAGTCTTTGAACCAAGATGAGTGGGTAATTAGAACATTCACGTTTTCTAAGACAGAAAAGAACTAGTTCTGCACAACGAAATTACATAATCATGTTATCTTTGAGAAGGATAACAGGTTGTTTTTAAAAGGATTGTTGTCATTCCAAATAGCTACTGGGATTGATTCAAGTAAGAGCTTCCTAGTGTTATAAAATCAGAATGCAGAATGGAACACACCCTCATAATTGCACCAATAAGGATATATCATTGGTCACTTCAAATATGAGAGTATGTTTATTCTTATTAATACAGTAAAAATTCCAATATATCTGATGAATAACCATATTAATTAACCTTTTCTCTATTTTCTTATTGTTTTGTATCTCTTACTTTGAATGAAGTAAGAAAATGGAACTCGCTTATTCCCCCACCATTCTGATGAACCACACGATGCTGTCACCAGAACTGTTCTATAAACACTTGATTTTTTTTAACTCAATTACCAAACAATGGAGCTGAATCCTGTATGTTAGTGGTTTAGTACATTTGGGCTGCTATAACAAAATACACCAAATTGATTAGCTTTTAAATATCAGAAATTTACCTCTCACAGTTCCAGAGGCTGGAAATTTAAGATCAGAGTGTCAGCAGGATTCAGTTCTAGTGAGGTCTGTTTCCTGTTTCATAGATGGCACCGTCTCACCATCTCCTCATGTGGCAGAAGGGGAAAAGACACTACCTCTGGACTCTTTTTTTTTTTTTTTTTGAGACGGAGTTTCGCTCTTGTTGCCCAGGCTGGAGGCTCACCGCAAACTCCGTCTCCCAAGTTCAAGTGATTCTCCTGCCTCATCCTCTGGAGTAGCTGGGATTACAGGCATGCACCACCAGGCCCAGCTAATTTTGTATTTTTAGTAGAGATGGGGTTTCTCCATGTTGGTCAGGCTGGTCTTGAACTCTCGACCTCAGGTGATCCACCCGCCTTGGCCTCCCAAATTGCGGGGATTACAGGCATGAGCCACCATGCCCTGCCTTAGACTCTTTACAAGGGCATAGTAGCAGTAATGAGGTCAGAGACCTCATGATCTAATCCCCTCCTAAAGGCCCTACCTTGGCCGAGCGTGGTGGCTGATGCCTGTAATCCCCGCACTTTGGGAGGCCAACGTGGGTGGATCACCTGAAGTCAGGTGTTTGAGACCAGCCTAGCCAACATGGTGAAACCCCGTCTCTACTAAAAAATATAAAAATTAGCCAGGCGTTGTGGCAGATGCCTGTAATCCCAGCTACTTGGGAGGCTGAGGCAGAGAACTGCTTGAACCCAGAAGGCGGAAAGGTTGTGGTGAGCTGAGATCATGCCACTGCACTCCAGCCTGGGCGACAGAGCAAGACTCTGTCAAAAAAAAAAAAAAATAGGAAGGAAGGAAGGAAGGAAGGGAAGGAAGGAAGGAAGGGAAGGAAAGGAAGGAAGGGAAGGGAGGAAGGGAGGGAGGGAAGGAAAAAGGCCCTACCTCTTATACTATTGGGCTGGGGATTAGGTTTCAACATATGAATTGTAAGGAGACATAAACATTCTAACAGTGGTGGTAAGGAATGAAAAAAGCACTGGACATTATTAATCCAATCTGTTAAGATAAATGATTACATCAAATATCTATGAGTCTGCAGGTCACTATGACAACTGAAATTCTTGGATCAACCTATAAATTGGCCCTGCTAGTTAAGAGACAGGTTCAGTGAACATATTATTGTTTGGTGGTCCTTTTCCTCTTAGATAGTAGACATAAACAATATATTGTGTGTGTCATTGGCTTGAATAAAAGATGCCAGTAGCCTCTTTCAGAGTAATTTCCCATAGAAAATGTACTGTATAAAACAAAAACAGATGTTGCCCGCAGGGCCTGTCACATATTGCTGTTTCCTTCTTGGCTTCATTACCAGGATTTTCTACTGGTATCTTTTGCCTATATTTCAAAGTTCTTTAAAGTAGTTAACATTTCATATGGCGTTTCTAGAAAAGTTTTAACAATGTCTTAGGATTTATTTTGCACCAACAAGTGTGGATGATTTAGAATAATAAAGTTCAAGTTCTGATTCTGCCTTTTTCTAATTCTGTGGTCTTGGGCAAATCAGTTACACATTCAGAGTCTTTGATTTCTTCTCTTTCTTTTCTTTCTTTTTTTTTTTTCTGCACAGCACAGAAAGCAACAAGAGAGTGGAAAGGGAGCCTGTGGAATGGGAAAAATATTTGCAAACTATGTATCAGATAAGGGCTTAATTTCCAAAATATACAGATGCCTCTCTATTTACGATGGGGTTATGTCTCAGTAAACCCATCGTAATTTGAAAATATGATGTTGAAAATGCATTTAACACTTCTAACCTATCAAACATCATAGCAGCCTAGCCTATGTTAAACATGCTCGGAACACTTACGTTAGCCTACCATTGGGCAAAATTATCCAGCACAAATCCCATTTTATAATAAAGTGTTGAATATCTCACTTGTTAAATACTGTAGTGAAAGTGAAAAAACAAAATGGCTATATGAACACGTGAAGTATGTTTTCTACCGAGTGCGTATCTAATGCCAGGGCAGCACTTTCTCATTCCTCCCATTCTCTAACTTCAGCCCTCATAATAGTGCTACCTGTCCCTACCCAGAACCTGAGAAAACAAGCTTGAGGAAGGCCAATCTAAGATGTAGGAACATGAGTGTCAGTCGGGGGCTTTCTGCCATCAACAAGAGGATCTTCACCTGGGTAGCCTGACAGTGGAAAACCAATCTCTTGCACCATTTTGAGTGCCCTGGGAAGGTGAGTTGAGTAAAAATAGCTACTTCTGAATTTTGACTCCAAAATGGATCTCTGTACTTTAGAATATGTTATTTGACCTGGAAATATTAAACTTAAACCTTCATTTTGTAGATTCCATTCAGTTCTTGACAGGCTAACATTAGTAACAATTGGTTGTCATCAAAGGAATAGATTCTGGAATTGGCATTATAAAATTTTGGAGATGCATTTGATGAATTATATTTTATGTTCTTTTGTGTTTAAGACAGTGTAAATTATCTGATTGTAGACCTCCCTGAAACTCTGAAAATCAGGCTAAGCTCCATCTTCATCATTGTCCCCTGTGACTTCAAGAGGTTCAGACCTCTTAGTCCTGGTAATAGCACATGGTTACAATTTAGCCCATGGTCAAAAGGTTATTATAACTTTTTCTCAATGAAATATTTTATTCACATTCCAACTTTTTAATACAATTATCTTTTTAAAGAGTTGTTCTGAAAATGGAAAATAATTTATGCCAAAATCTGTAGAAAACATTTCAACTTATAAACAAAATATGGTGATTACAAGATGAATATTTAAATGAATAAAAATTATACAATAGATATAAAATAATTTAACAACATTTACACAAGGGGAAAAGAAAAAGTCTTGGCATATCAGAGATGTTTAATATGAGCCAGGAATTCTGCTAGGCACTTTGTGTATGTTTTACCTTAGTCATTTTATGTCTGAATGAATGCTAAGTAATCTCAGCACCATATTACAGATATGGAAACAAAACTGTAAGGTGAAGCAAATGATAGATTGTAAAGCTAGAATTCAAACTTAGAATTGTCTTGCTTTAAATACATTGATCTTTACATCAATATAATTCACTTATTAAGTTTAAATATGAGCAGTAATATATCTTACACTAAACTCAGTAAACAGATTAAATAATCACATCCCTTTATAAAACAAAGCTTGATATTACTTCTAATACCTTATTTTTTCAACTTTTATGTTAGATTCAGGTGACACATGTGCAGGTTTGTTACAGGTAAATTATGTGTTGCTGAGTTTTGGTGTACAAATGATCCCATCACCAAGGTAGTGAGCATAGTATCTGACAGGTAATTTTTCACCCTGCCGCCCTCACCATCACCCCCCTTTAGGAGTTCCCATTATCTGTTGTTCCAATCTTTATGTCTATGTGTATTCAATGTTTAGCTACCCCTTATAAGTGAGAACATGCAGTATTTGGTTTTCTGTTCCTGCATTAATTTGCTTGGGATAATGGCCTCCAGCTGAATCCATGTTGCTGCAAAGGACATACTTTTGTTCTTTTCTATGGCTGAATAGTATTTCATGGTATATATGTATCATATTTTCCTTATCCAGTCAACTGTCAATTTGCAGCTAGGGTGATTCCATGTCTTTGTTATTGTGAATAGTGCTACAATGAGTATATGAGTGCATGTGTCTTTTTTGTAGAACAATTTATTATTATTATTATTATTAGAGTATATACCCAGTAATGGGATTGCTGGGTCAAGTGGCAGTCCTATTTTAAGTTCTTAGAACTGCTTTCCACAGTGGCTGAACTAAATTACTTTCCCACCAACCATGTATGAGTGTTTTCTCCATAGCCTCAACAGCATCTGTTATTTTTTGTCATTTTTAATAACAGAAATTCTGACTGCTGTGAGATGGCTTCTCATTGTGGTTTTAATTTGCATTTCTCTAATGACTGGTGATATTGAGTATTTTTTACATATTTGTGGGCCATAGATATGTCTTCATTTGAGAAGTGTCTGTACGTGGCTTTTGCCCATTTTTAATGAGGCTATTATTATTTTTGTGCTCGTTCAATTGTTTCAGTTTCTCATAGAGTCTGAATATTAGACCTTGGTTGAAGGCATAGTTTGCAAATATCTTCTCCCATTTTGCAGGTTTTCTGTTTACTCTGTTGATACTTTCTTTTGCTGTGCAAAAGCTCTTTAGTTTAATCAGATCTCGCTTGTGAATTTTTGTTTTGTTGCAATTGCTTTTGAGGACTTAGTCGTAAATTATTTGCAAAGGCCAATATCCAGAATGGTGTTTCCTAGGTTTTCTTCTAGGATTATGATAGTTTTAGGTCATACCTTTAAGTCTTTAAACCATCTTCAGTTAATTTTTGTATATAGGTCCTGTTTTATTCTTCTGCATATGGCTAGCCATTTATCCCAACATCATTTATTGAATAAGAATTCCTTTCCCCATTGCTTGCTATTGTTGACTTTGTTGAAGATCAGAAGGTTGTAGATGTGCAGCTTTATTTCTTGGTTCTCTATATTCTGTTGCACTGGTCTATGTAACTGTTTTTGTACCAGTACCATGCTTTTTTGGTTACTGTAGCCTTATAGTATATTCTGAAGTCTGGTAGTGTGATGCCTCCAGCTTTGTTCTTTTTTGCTAAAAATTTATTTGGCTATTTGAGCACTTTTTTGGTTACATATGAATTTTAGAATAGTTTTTTTCTAATTCTGTGAAAAATGAAGTTGATAATTACGTAGCAATTGCGTTGAATCTTTGTAGATTGTAGACTGCTTTGGGCATTATGGCCACTTTAATGATACCGATTCTTCTAGACAATAAGCATGTGATGTTTTTCCATTTGTTTGTATCATCTATGATTTCTTTCAGCAGTGTTTTGTGGTTCTCCTTGTAGAGGAAATTTTACCTCTTTGTTAGCTATATTACAAGGCATTTTACAATTTTTGTGACTATTGTAAATGGGATTACATCCTTGATTTATCTCTCAGTTTGAATGTTATTGGTGCATAGAAATGCTACTGATTTTTGTGCATTGATTTTATATCCTGAAACTTTACTAAAGTCATTTGTCACCCTAGCAGCCTTTTGTTGGAGTCTTCAGGGTTTTTAGGTATAGAATCATAACATCAATGAAGGGAGATAATTTGGCTTCTTCGATTACTATTTGGATACATTTTATTGCTTTCTCTTGCCTAATTGCGCTGGCTAGGACTTCCAGTACTATGCTGAATAGGAGTGGTGAGAGTGGACATCCTTGTCTTGTTCACATTCTTAATGGGAATGCTTCCAGCTTTTGTATGTTCTAATGTTGGCTGTGGGTTTGTCATAGATATCTCTTATTATTTTGAGGTATGTTGCTTTGGTGTCTAGTTTGCTCAGGGTTTTTAATCACAAAAGGATGCTGGATTTTATCAAAAGCTTTTTCTGCATCTAATGAAATGATCATATGGTTTTTATTTTTAATTCTGTTTATGTGACAAATCACATTTATTGATTTCTGTATGTTGAACCAGTCCTGCATCACAAGAATAATGCCTACTAGATCATGATGAGTTTCCTTTATCATGGTGAATTAACTTTTGATATGCTACTGGATTTGGTTTGCTAGCATTTTGTTAAAGATTTTTGCATTTTTTTTCATCAGGGGAATTGACCAGCAGTTTTGTTGTTGTTGTTGTGTCTTTGCCAGGTTTTGGTATCAGAATGATGCTGGCTTTGTAGAATTATGTAGGGAGGAGTCACTCCTCCCCTATTTTTGGAATAGGTTTAGTAGGATTTATACCAGCTTTTCTTTGTACATCTCATAGAATCCGGCTGTGAATCCATCTGCTCCAAAGCTCTTTTTGGTTAGTAAGTTTTTTACTACTGATTCAGTTTCAGAGTTCAGTATTCATCTGTTCAGGGTTTTGATTTCTTCCTGGACTTAGTCTTGGGAGCTTGTGTGTTTCCAGGAATTTATCTATTTCCTCTAGATTTTCTAGTTTGTGTGCAGAGAGATGTTCATAATTGTCTCTGAGGATCTTTTGTATTTATGTGAGATCAGTTCTAATGTCACCTTTGTCATTTCTAACTGCACTTATTTGGATCTTTTCTCTTTTTTTGTTAATCTAGCTAGTGATCTATCAATCTTGTTGATTTTTTTCAAAGAACCAGCTTTTCATTTTGTTGATCCTTTGTATGGATTTTTGGATCTCAATTTCATTCAATTCTTCTCTGATTTTATTTATTTCTTTTCTCCTGCTAGCTTTGGGGTTAGTTTGATCTTGTGCTTTTAGTTCCTATAGGTGTAATGTTAGATTGTTAATTTGAGATTGTTTAACTTTTTGGTATAGGTGCTTAGCACTATAAACACTGTGTTAGCTGTAGCCCAGAAATTTTGATATGTGTGTCTCTGTTTTCATTTATTTAAGATAATTTTTAAATCCTGCCTTTATTTTGTTGTTTACCCAAATGTCTTTCAGGAGCAAGTTGTTTAATTTTCATGTAATGTTGTGGTTTTAGATGATGTTCTTGGTATTGATTTGTATTCTTATTCCACTATGGTCCAAAAGTATGGTTTGTATGGTTTTGACTTTTCTGAATTTATTGAGACATGTTTTATGACTGAGCATGTAGTCAGTCTTAGATTATGATCTGTGTGCAGTTGAGAAGAATTGATATTCTATGGTTGATGGGTGGAGTGTTCTGTAAATGTCTATTAGGTTCAATTGGACAAAAGTCAAATGTAAGCCCAGAATTTCTTTGTTGGTTTTCTGCCTTGGTCTCTCTAACACTGTCAGTGGCATGTGGAAGTACCCTACTGCTATTATGTTGCTGTTTAAGACTTTTTGTAGGTCTAGAAGTACCTGTTTTATGAATCTGTGTGTTCCAATGCTGGGTGTGTATATAAGATAGTTAAGTCATATGTTGGATTGAACCCTGTATTATTTTTTTAGTGCCCTTCTTTGTCCTTTTTTTACTGTTGTTGGTTTAAAGTCTATTTTATCTGATATATAAATAAAGACCCTTACTCTTTTTTGTTTTTAGTTTGTGTGATAGATGTTTCTCCAATCCCTTGCCTTGAGTCTATGGTGTTCTTACTGTGAGGTGGGTCTTTTGAAATAGTAGATAGATGAGTTTTTTTTTTAAATCCAACTTGCCCCTCTTCCCCTTTAAGTAGGTCATTAAAACCATTTAAATTCAAGATTAATATTGATATGGGAGGTTCTGATTCTATCATAAAGTTGTCAGATTGTGTTTTGTAGTTTCTATTGTGTAGATGCTTTAAAGTGTCTGTGGGCTAGGTACTTAGGTATAGTTTTATGGGAGCAGATATTGCTCATCTCCATGTTTAGAACTCCCTTAAAGAACACTTGTAAGGCTGGTCTAGTGGCAATGAATTCCCTTAGTGATTGCTTGTCTGAGAAAGACTTTATTTCTCCTTCACTTATGAAGCTTAGTTTGGCAGGGTGTGAAATTCTTGATTAGAATTTCTTTTCTTTAAGAATGCTGAAACTAGGCCCCCAGTCTCTTCTGGCTTTTATGGTTTCTGCTGAGAAGTCCACTGTTAGCCTGATGGGGTTACCTTTGTAGGTAATCAGGCATTATTTCTAGTTGCCTTTATCTAGTATCTTATTGATGATAAAATTGTATTTGTTCTTGGCCATATGGGGATGTTATTCTAATAACTACTAAATCCTGACTCCAAAATGTACCTCTGTATTTTAGAATATGTCATTTGAAATAGAAATGTTAGATTTCTATCTTGTTACCAATAGGAACTATGTGACTCTGGCACTGATCTGTCATTTATTTACTTCTGACTTGAAATTTCCTTACAAAAATTTCCATAAGTAGAAAATTTAAGTAGGTATGTTGATAGATATTTTTCCTCCCTTGAATAACATAGTTTTATAATAGTAGACAACATGCTGGGATAGCGGGTTTCAGGGACTGATTGTTCAAAATTAACGCTCAAAAGAACACTTGTTAGAAACAACAACAACAAAAAGTTTATGTGGTAAAGTAATCTGCTGAAATTTTTAGGCCATATGTCAAAGATGAGAATTTTACCAGAGAATTTATATTGTTTATGGAACTGAGAATTTAGGATAACAACTTTTATATTATGTTCATTTATTAATAGACTATCCATAAAATTTCCTGCGATTAAACATGCCTTTTTAAAACAAATTTTATTTAACTGTATTTTTAAGATTTTAATAAACTTTTTCCCATTTGTCTCTGATATAAGCATTTACATACAATCATGCTTATTATCTACTTTTAAGTTTGTTTTCCACACCAGAGCTTTCAAGTATTTTTATAAAATAGTTGACAATGTTTTTTATTTAAAACTCTTTTTAAAAGTACTGCATCTACAGTATGTGCTTGAATTTTTAATAATGATGCTATAAAGAAAATAGCTCATGTAAAATTTGTTATATTTTAATTTTAATTTCTAGAGAAACTTTTCCTATAAAATTTGTTTGACTAACCTATATGAATTTATTCAATTTAGACCAATATAACACTTAATTGAGAGCTAGCTGAATTTTATATGTTTTTTTCTTAAATATTTCCCAGGTACTTATTTGTTTAGACAGAATTTTAAGGTATTCATTGAGTGTCGGCTGTATGATAGGCATCAGAGATAGCATGGTAAGCAAATTGGCACAACCCTTCCTTTCTTTGAGTTTACAGTCTAGTGATGATAGAGATGTAAACTGAATTAATCAGAAAACAATTTAATTACAAACTAGTACGAGTGTGTGAGTTCAAAGAACATGAAATAATAAAAAATGACAATATGATACATCGAAAATATTCTATGAATAAAGTAAAATTTTTGATCAAGGCTAACTGATATGTAGAAACTTAGGAATTATTGTAGCTTTAGTAAGACTTCAATTTCTGGCTGTAATGGATCAACTTAGAAAATAAGCCCTTTTGTGAATAATAACTGGAAAAACAAAATACCGAAACAAAATCTGCAAAATACAGCCAAAAGAAACAAAACAAAAACAATTTTTTTTTAAGTATCAGGGAACTACTAAGGCAGCCAGAATTTAGGGCACCATGATCTTGAAGAAATGAGTAAATGCACTAAGGTAAAGCTGACATTTAGTGTCACTTCCCTCTGTAAATTATTTGCTGATTTATAAATGGCATAATACCTACAGATTGAGAACCCAAACAAAGTTTTCTGAAGCCAAAAATTCTAGGAAAACAAAAACTGGATATCAGGGCTCTCCAGGAAGGATGGATTCTTATATGCAGGATTTCAGAAGAAAACACTGAAATACTAAACCCTAAGAGTAAGATTTAAAAGAACCAGACAAAATTCCAAAATCCAGTCCCCTTCATCTGAGAGTGGATTAGGGTGTAAGGTGATTTGCCCTTAATCAAATTCTTCATCAAAAGCAAAATTAAATCCTCTATGGAAAATTTAGCATCATATAGAATATCTACAGTTTCCATTTAGAATTTATAGCATTCAATTAAAAATTATCAGGAAATAAGAGCAAGAGGAAACAGGCACACAGGTGATTCATCTATCAGATGTATCAGACACTGTCTCTGAATTTACTGTGATTAGTATGTTTTTTTAAAAGGTGACAAAATACAGAAATTTACCACAGATCAGGCATACAGAAATACAATAGAACGGAAATTCTAAATAATATAAAAATTGTAACTAAGATTGCAGTAAGCTTGGCATGGTGACATGGGCCTATAGTCCCAGCTACTTGGGAGGTTGAGGTGGGAGGATTACTTGAGCCCAGAAGTTCAAGACCAGCCTGGGCAATATAGCAAAAACTCATTTCAAAAAATAAAAAAGATTACAGCAAATGGGTTTAATAACAGATTAGATGCAGCAGTTGAGAGGTTTATTAAACTGGAAGATAGCATAAAATACTGATATTAAACCATGGAAATAAAATGAGTAAAAAATACAGAAATCCAGCATAGAACAAAAAGCTACAAAACATACAACCCAAATATATAAAGAATTTCTACAACCCTATATAAATAAGAGAGAATTTAATAGAAAATTGGACAAAAAGCAGCTGAGAAGCAATATACCTATTTTCATGTTTTAGAAAGTAAGGACTTTCTGAGCAAAGAAAACAGCAACTTACTCTAACGAGCAGAGCTTGAAAGTCAGAAGATGACAGAATGAATGAGAACACTAGAGAGATTTAACTGCCTGGAGGCATGTATTTACATTTTAAGGTAAGAGAAAACCTGGAGCCATGGAAACAATACTTGCCTTATCTCTCCTCCCACCCCATATAAACATTTACTTACATTCCAAAAGATAAAATCCCTCCTACAGTCCTCTTCTTTACTGAAAGAGACTTTGTTCACATCAGAAAGATTAGATTCCTCTCATTTCTCGGAGTGGTGTTGGGGGTTGGTGGCATCTGGACAGCATACATAAAAACTCCTAGGTTCCTAATTTCAGTGTTCCTCCACGTAACATTAGAAAACTTCTTTTGTTGCCCAAGCAGGTCTACTTATCTGGCTCTCATGCATTGCCCCACATGGGGGAAAGAACACAACATGGAGTAGTAATGCAGTTATTCCTGTACATAATAATAATGTGGTCTTGTCCAGAAAATTTATATTTACTTTCAGAATAATATGGCAAATACAAATATTAAAAGTTTCAAAAATCTACCTAAAGACATCTATCAATAAGAGGGGATGTCCAAATGGCAAAGAAACACATGAAAATGTTCTCAACCCCATTAACCATAGGGAGATACAACTTAAAACTGCAACTAGAGATCACTGTATAGCCACCAACATGACTAAAATGAAAGACTGATGATACTAAGTACAATGGTGAGGTTGTGGAAAAACTGAAACTCTCAAAAACTGTTGTCAGATGTGAATTAGAATGACCATTTTGGAAAGTTATTTGGCAGTGCCTAATAAAGTTAAATATAGATGGCTGGACATAGTGGCTTACGCTTGTAATTCCAGCACTTTGGGAGGCGGAGGCAGGCGGATCACCTGAGGTCAGGAGTTTGAGACCAGCCTGGACAACACGGTGAACCCCCATCTCTACTTAAAAAAAAAAAATTAGCCTAGTGTGGTGGCGTGCACCTGTAATCCCAGCTATTTGGGTGACTGAAGCAGGAGAATTGCTTGAACCCGGGAGGTGGAGGGTGCAGTGAGCCGAGATCCCTCCACTGCACTCCAGACTTGGCAACAGAGTGAGATTCCATCTTTAAAAAATTAAATTAAATTATAAAAACATAGAAATTGTTCATAATGCTAGGTATATTCTCCACATAAGCATATATAAATATACATTCACAAATGGTCATCGTGGGATTGTTTTAATTTCCAAAATAGTGCTAATGTCTAAAATCATAAACAGTAATACCTCCATATATTCAACAAAATGCCAATAAATATGCTAAAAAATACATAAATAAAACAATCATTGGCAAATTATTTATTTATAATTGTTCCCAATTGGAAATAACCTAAATATCCCTAAAAAATACATTAGATAAATACTGGTGTAGTCATATCATGGAAAACTAGCAATGAAGTAAATGGGCTACTACTATAGAGAATTATGTGGTTGTATCTCAAAAACATAATGTCGATCAAAAGAAGATGGAAGCAAAATGATACGTATTATATAATACAATTCTATATATGCCTTTGATAAATTGGCAAACTTAATCTATGGTGAAAGAAGTCAGAATAGGGATTAACTTTTAAAAGAGGAATAGTTACTGGTAATGTACACAAAGATGTTTCTAATCGTCTATTTAATGCCTGTTTGTACTGTTGTGTTTATTTTGCAAAAATTTATACAGCACATATAATTTCTGTACTTCATATATGTTAATTACACTTCATTTTTCAAAACAGTTTATTCAAAGTTGGTATAATTTGGGATATCAAAATCTTACATTTTATGTAAAAATAGTTTAATAAAATGTTAAGTTCATATTATTTTACCTCATTTTTATTGAAAGAAAGATGAAACTTCCAATTTTCTGATCTTTAAAAGGTTTTAGCACATAAAATATAAAATATTAAAACTTTTATATTTCAAAAATGAAATGCTTCCCTTGAAATATTTTTAAAATTAATTTGTAGCTAGTTTATACCAATTTGATCTTCAACTTATAGGTTGTGGAGAAGATTAAGGATTTATCCACTGTTTTCTAGAGGCAGAGAAGTAGTCAGAATGGCAAGCAGCTTTTCAGAATACAAATTCTAGGCTCTATTTTTACTCCATCTTTAGAGTTTTGCTAAAACTGTTTTTTTGCACATTCTTCTCTTAAGAATACTAATTCACAGCAGAAATTACATGTTTATGTAGGATGTTAAATTCAACTGTCAAAAGATGTGTGTCTTAGTCCCTTTTGACTGCTATAACAGAAATACCATAGACTGTGATTCTTAAAAAACACTTATTTCTCATAGATCTGGAAGCAAAGAAGTCCAAGATTAAGGTGCTAGCAGATTTGGTGTCTGGTGAGGGCCTGTTTCTTGGTTCACAGAGGGCACCTTTTTGGTGCTCACTTGGCACAAGGGACAAGGGAGTTTTCTGGGATCTCTTGTATAAGGGCACTAATCCCATCAAAGATTAGCTAATAAGGTCTCTACTATCATTATCTAACCACCTCTGAAAGGCCGCATCTCCAGATACTAACACAATAGGATTTAGCTTTCGACCTATAAATTTGGTGGGGGTGGTGGAGGGTCACACATTCATTTGATAGCAGTTGGCTTCAAGGTTTATAACTGGACAACCTAAATGAGTACCATGTATATGATAGATGCTTTTTTGTGTTTTTTTCAATTGACCTTCCCCAAATCTCTGTGCTAGTAAGGAATAAAACCAGAATTGTAACCCAGTCTGTCCCACTGTGAAGCCATATAACTCTCACTGTGTTACATCAAAACCAATTTAATTTTCATTATGGAATTCGTCAGCTCCAAATATGAAAATCTTCATCTACAGGCTGTTATAATAGTGTGTTTCATTCTATTATAGGTGGTAGATCTTATTTGTCTGTATTAAAACATATAGAAGAAATAGCCCCTACTCAGGCTGCGTGTGGTGGCTCACGCCTGTAATCCCAGCACTTTGGGAGGCTGAGGCAGGTGGATCACCTGAGGTCAGCAGTTTGAGACCAGCCTGGCCAACATGGCGAAACCCCGTCTCTACTAAAATTACAAAAATTAGCTGGGCATGGTGGCGGGTGCCTGGAATCCCAGCTACTCGGGAGGCTGAGGCAGGAGAATTGCTTGAACCCAGGAGGCAGAGGCTGCAGTGAGCCAAGATCACGCCATTGCACTCCAGCCTGGGTGACAGGAGTGAAACTTCATCTCAAAAAAAGAAGAAAGAGAAAGAGAAAGAAAGGAAAAGAAAAGAGCCCCTACTCCTACAGGTAGTGATATGTTGCATAGTGTTTGGAAAAAATATCAGTGAAAATATGCTAGAAAACACACTCTCAGTCATGTAGAAATGCCAGCCAAAAAACAAAAAAAGCATTTACCATCACTTTTCCTAAGTAATGTATGCATGTTAACCTATATATATGAGCATGCTGATCTATATATCAGCATAGATCGGCATAAAGGAGAGTGAATAACATGAACATTCCCTGCTTGAGGCACTTTAGGTAGTTTTTTTTTTATAATATATATATTTCTTCCTAAATCCATTAGAGAGTAACTCATTTCAACAAGGGCAAGGTTGTGATTGGTTTTCATAAAGATAAGGTAGGGTTTATAATTAAATTTCACCAGGGACCTACCATCCTGCCTCAGGGAAAAAAATAAAAAGGCTGACAATCCTGCCCTAAGAATATAGTAAAGGGTCAAAACACAAATTCCTTCTTGCTAGAATGGTAACTGGAGATTCCTTATTGGGACTTGGTTGATGACTTTTTTTTTCTTCCCCAAACATTCCCAGTTTCTTTACAATATCAGCTCCTATCCCCAAGGTCTTTTGAGTCACTGAAATTTCTGACATTAAGACAAAAACCTGATAACAGAGCAAGTGGTAATGGTGCCTATTGCTTAGATTTTTCCTTTAATGGGAGAAAAAAAGGCAAATTCCTTTGACTATATTCTGCCTTCAAGTCTGCAGATCTTCTACTTTAATGTAAATTTAAAAAAGGAAAAATCAAACTATTATCTGACCCAGCAAGGAATGGCATCCCTAAATTTGGCAGACTCTTAATCTCCCAGGAAGCATAATAGTATAGCAAGGATGGGAGGCAGCATCTTCAGATTGCTCTCAAATCAGGAAATAACTCAAAGAAATGGAAGGCAAAAGAAGACACAGAGCACTCTGTAGAGTCAGAACAGTAAGACCTAACACAAGAGGAGCCATTCCTCTGATTACTGAGTGTTAGAAACTGAACTGTGTCCCCCTAAAAGATACGTCAAAGTCCTAACCCCCAGGACCTGTAAATATCAGGTTATTTGAAAATAGAGTCTTCACAGATGTAATCAAGTTAAGATGAGATTATAATCAGTTAGGGTGGGCCCTAATTCAATACTATCGGGTATCTCTTTAAGAAAAAGAGAAGAGGCCAGGCACAGTGGCTCATGTCTATAATCCCAGTGCTTTGGGAGGGCTATGCAGGAGGATCACCTGAGGCCAGGAGTTAAAGACAAGCCTAGGCAACATAACAAGACTCCCTTCTCTACAAAAATAAAAAATAAAAGAAAAAGAGAAGAGACACAGACATAGAGAGAGAAGATAGCCAATGTGATAACAGAGGTAGAAATAAGAGTGATATAGCCAAGGAACACAAAAAACTGATGACCGTCACCAGAAGCTACAAGGAAACAAGTAAGGATTCTATCCATAGGCAGAGGAAGCACATGCCTGCTCACACCTTAATGGTTGGCTTCTGTCCTGCAGAACTGTGAGATAATAAATTTCTGTTTCCAAGCCTCCCAGTTTGTGATCTTTGGTTAGGGAAACCATAGAAAAACAACATACCAAGTAACCCAGGATGTTGGCACAGGAAGGCGTCATGCAGGGGGTAAGCTATACCAGTATAGTACATGAAGCACACTTCAATTACTTCATCAGTTAAAATGAGGAAAAATTTTTGTGTAGCAATAGGACTTCGTAAGAAACAAAGACTCTTAGAGTGTAGATGGAAAAGAACATGGGAATATGTAGGAAAAAACATAATCCAGAGTGGAAACACTTTCCTGCACCAACTAAGGGCTTCCATAAATTTCTTAGACTGGTGTAGAAAAACTAGAAATTAATATCAAACTCTTATTTTCTTACATCACTTATAATTTGCTTCAAATAGACACACTTTAGTTATTTGTATGTAAAATATACATTTGTCTCATTCCAGCATATACATTTAGTCACTACCCAGAAAAAAATTATATGTAAAAGTACATAATATTTTAAGGAATAGAAACTTTCCAGATATTAAAAAATTCAGTGACTGCACAAATTAGGTAGCCAACTTGTCTACTGCCAAGAGTCAATAGTCCACAATATGGGTTAACTTATGTAAATAGCAGATTGTTGGGGAGGCTTCTTGGCAGTGTTGATTTTGTTTGCATTTCAATATCCATATTTCACCATAGATTAGTTCTGATTCCAGAAAAATTAAGTCCAGATTCACGTGTGCAAAATGTATAAAGCTAATCCGTAGAGTTGAATGAGCTAGAGTTCTGTGTGTTACTGTGAATATACAGGGAAAAAAAAGGCTCAGCAAATATGGAGAATTTAAAGAAATCTTCACATCTTTAAAATTTCATATTTTTTCCCACTTAAATATGACATTTAATAATAAAAATGACATACTACTCATATATTCAACAGCATAATCAGTTCTACACCACTTAAAAATAGGTTGTGAGTAGGTGTGGCCACTAATCTATCATCAAATATCAGTTGCAAAGAAAGAAATGAAGAGATATTTGCCCTTTTCCCTTTATGATTTATATTTGGCATAAAAGAATTGTTGAATTTCTTAGGAAGTTATGATAATTGATGCTAAATAAACACATGGATTGCAAAATCATTCCAAATGTCAAATAAAACATGGTTTAACAATTTTCATAGAAACAAGACCATTTTATATCATCTATTTTGCTAAGTTTAATCTTTTTTTTTTTAATTTGAAAGTAAGGAGTATCTTTAATGAAAAATGTTCCAATATATAATATATATTAAACATTGTAAAGACTCAATATACTGCTGTAATTATAATAATAGTATTGAGATTAATATATAAAATGTATCAGATATGTCTATAAATATAAAGTTATATGGCTATATATATCTATATGTTTCTCTATATACAGATATATATATCAATGTAAATAGATAAATAAATAAATAGATGTAAAATATATCTTGGAGTACATATAAACACCTTGAAGAATGCTTTTATGAAAGAGATCTATCCATGTAGCATATGTGCTATATAAATATATTAATTAATTGATCAATTTTGAACAACAGTTTTTTTATTGTAGTCACGGGTTTAATAGGTAAATGTGCCAGCCCCCTTTAAAGTTAATACTGGTGTGCCTAAATATGTCAAATTTTATCGTTGATAATGTTTCTGTCTATTTCTTGCTTCCCTAATCTATTTGGATCATAAGCAAATAGTAATCAAACAACTGTTGAGTTCCCCTAAGGACTTAGCAATATACTAGGTATTTGAACACTGAAAACTGTAAAGAATATGCTTAGTTACTGTTGAGTTGAAATGCTGAGAGGTTCATTAGGCAGAATGAGTAACTCATCCATCAGAGACATCCATGGTAAATGATTTCTCTGACAGTTCATATGTTGAATATGAGAGCACTCATGAGAACATATACACTGGATGATGGCATGCTAACTTTTCTATTATTCCAAAAGTCTGTTCTTCAATAAAGGCCTGTAATTCTATCTTAAATTACCTGTCACGCTGTACATAGCATAGGCTATAAATAACTCTGACCAACACATTAGATCTATTGAAATATAACTCAAGTGATTAGATTTGTGGCATGGGATCACTGAAACCCTATAGAGCACATGGATAATCTGGAATTTAAATCGTTAAGGGAAAATGATAAGAAAATTAGCAATATTCATAATATTTGAAAAATCCTAATTTGCACACTAGTAAATAGCTGTATAGAAATGACACCAAAATATACCCATTAGGTTACCAAATCTTGTGTAACACAAAAGCAAGAGAATACATATTTATATTAATAAGAGGGATAGGCCAGGTGCAATGAGCCACATCCATAATCCCAGTGCTTTGAAAGGCTAAGTCAGAAGGATAACTTTAGGCCGGGAATTTAAGACCTGCCTGAGCAACGAAGCAAGAGCGCATCTCTACAAGAAAATTTAAAAAAACAAATAGCTAGGTATGGTGATGCACACCTGTAGTCCTAGCACTTGAGAATCTGAGGTGGGAGGATCACTTGAGCTCAGGAGTTCTAGGATACACTGAGCTAATGATCCTGTAACTGCACTACAGTCTGGGTGACAGAGTGAGGTCTTGTCTCTAAAAAAAAAAAAAAAAAAAAAAAAAAAAGAAGAAAAAAATGAATGGGGATATCATCTGAAAGAAAAAAAGACCTAGGCTCAGTGATGGCCTTTATTAATCCTCCCAGCTCTAAATTATTCTTTCATTTATAATCCTACTGATAATACTATATGTTAAATATAAATATTTTACATGAATAGTAAATAATTTGTAATATTAGCTTGGTGTAAAAGTAATAGTGGCTTTTTCCATTAAAATAATATAAACATAAATCTTAAACACTAAAATTGAATACTAAATACTAAAATATAAGCAAATACTAAATAAATCCTAAAAGTGAATAATTTATATTGAGTTTAAAATGTTCATTACAATGAAAATTGCATCTGATCCAATTATAGCAATAATTATTACCTTAATGGATATATAAATAGAAATCATGATTTACAAGGACTTCTCATTCATGTTTGTAAACAACGTGAGGATAGAGATTAGTGTGAAATAGAGCAGTTGGAAGCAGATAAGTATGTAGTGAAAAACAGAAGAACAAATGAATGGATGAAAGTAAATATAAAACCAAACCCAAACCAATGTCAGTTTAGTGAAATATAATTACATGAGCACTTTGTTGCATGTGATTGGAATTTATGGAGCAAATAAAAGTTGGGAAAATTTAAACTGCAGTTGTTTTTTGGAGGGAGGGATTAGCAGTTCCATTTATTTCCTTAAATGAGATCAAAATATGAAATGGTATACATTAAATTTATCTCTATATTGACAAATTATTTCCCTTTATAAGCCTTTAATCTCTCTATATATTTAAGATATATGTAATTAAAACATTATTGATATTATCAGTGTATTTTCTATAGCAGTAATATGAGCATGAAGTCTTTATATTTTTATTGTGTCACTTTTTATATTTGGGGATGATAATGATTACCTTTCAGTATAGCCATCCTCCAGCAAAAATAATAAATCATCATAAATAATGACATCTCCTAATGGGTGCATAAAGAGAGAAAACTGAGTAAAGAAAGAAAACACACTGAATAAAAAAAGATAAAAAATGCATTACATAAAATGCTCACTTATACCACTAATTAGTGATTTGTCTCCAGAAGATAAAAGCTACATAGCTATTTTTTGAATTATTTTTAAATTTAATTTAATTTTATTTTATTATCTTTGTAAGAGTCTAGCTCTGTCACCCAGGCTGGAGTGCAAAGGCACGATCTTGGCTCATTGCGACCTCTGCCTCCTGAGTTCAAAGGATTCTTCTGCCTCAGCCTCGTGAGTAGCTGGAATTACAGGCACCCGCCACCTCACCTGGCTAGTTTTTTTGTATTTTTAATAGAGATTGGGTTTCACCATGTTGGCCAGGCTGGTCTCAAATTCCTGACCTCAGGTGATCTGCCCGCCTTGGCCTCACAAAGTGCTGGGATTACAAGCATGAGCCACCGTGCCCGGCCTATTTTTGAATCATTTTATAAACATACAGATTATTTCTAGGGACACCAATTCTTTTATTTATTCACTCATTTAATAAAGCAATCTAAAGCTCATTGAGTAGTTCCATGAGCCAGCCAATGGAATGTAAGTTCTTTGAGAGCACTCATTATTTTGTTCTCTGCTACCCCTATAACAGAGCCTGGCACACAGTAAGTATTTAATAAATTTGTGTTAAGTGAATGAATGAATGCTATGTGCTGGCATGTAACAGTGAAAAGATCATGTACAGTCCATGGCCTTCTAGTGTTTCCAATGCAGTGGGTGAAGCTTATAGGTGTTCATAATTATTGTTACATATTAATGCAAACTTTATAGCTATCACCTAAGGCAAATAAAATTTTTGTTCAGCAATATTAAAAATAAGGTAACCCAGATGCAAGATGCTGAGTAGCTCTTTAGGGCAAGGAAATAGAATTGTGAGACGTTCCAGATCTTAAATGAGTGGCTTCTTTCAAAGAAATCTCTCAATGTCTGTGCAAAATAGAGGGATCCGCATGTCTTTTGTCCCTCTTTTCACACTTCTTTCACATTAGAAAGGCATCTTTACACATGAAGGCACGTATGGGCAATTTAAGAAAAATCTTGGCTATGAGTCTCTAAATAGTGGAATTAAGCACAGATTGGCTGTTTATTCACCCTGGAAGAAGATTCTTTAGGGAAAGATCAAAAATCAGGAATGATTCAATATCCCTGGGAAAAATTCAGTGATAAGCCTATCAGCTATCAGCTCCTAAGAAGTATTCCAGGAGTCAGATCTTGGATCCACAATTTAGTATGCTTACTGAAAACTTAGAAGGAATTGTGAAGAAGCTCAAAATCTCCAATTACATTAAAATGGAATATATACAAAATTCAAAGAACAGAAAGATATCTTTTGAAGTGTCAAGGAAGAGGTGATTACAAACTTTGAAAGTTTATAAGGGTTATCTTATGGACTATAATCACAGTTATTGTCTATTTTTATCAAGGAAAATAAAAAGGAAAGCACAGATATGTTGTGTATTGCAATTATCTCATATTATGCCTTTTAAAAAATTTGCTTACAGTAAAAATTTTAAAACGTGTTAAATGTTTTAAACACTTAGTGACTTATTTGGAAACTTAAGTGACTTATTTTGAAAAGTATAATAATAACATTTTCCTATTGAAGAATATTTGTGACATAAATACATTTTCTCCTTCTGGTATGGATAAAATTCTTCCAAAAAAGGTAGGTTTAGACCTACTGTAACACTGTAGATTCTTTGTAAAAAGATACTTTATAATCTTAATCCTCTCTCCATTAATTAATTACCTCAGCTAAATTTACTCATTGTTTTGTCTTTTACTTACTCAACTATGAATGCTATGTTGCTGAGTTACATATGTTTTGTAAACCATCTCAAATATTTAATGGAACAGTGGAGAATATGAGTTAACACACTGTAAACATTTTGTTTAAATGAGCATCATCTGAAGTATAGTAACTCATCTAGGGCACTTGGGAACTGAGTAGTATTAATATAGATCAAGAGAATCCATAAATTTTAATTTCCCCTGACAATTCTGAAGTTTTTTTTTTAATTTCTTAAGGCTAGGTTTTGGGAAATAAATATTTGTTAATAATCAGATTAACAGTACTAATCATAAGAATTAAAGCCCAATTAGATTTTAAGATGAGGAACTCTTGGTTGCTAATTCCATGGTAATGCTCAAGCAACATATCTGGAGAAACACAGGAAATTGTGTACTGCAGAGCATTGTAGGGAGAGAAGGAAATTCACCTATACAGTGCCCTTTTAGCTTCAGCAATTATTGATTTCCATGTTAACTGAGCCCTTCGAGAGCTCTACTTTAAAACCATAAATCAACAAAAGTTATACAAATCATCTAGATTCTTACTAAATGAAAAGAAGATGTGATATGATTTATAAGATTAGGGTTGAGATGTGTAAGCAGGATTCTTATGATTAATTATCCAAAGTAAACTTTATTATTTAAGAGCTATTCGACTATAAAGAAGTTGATTTTTTCCCCAACAACGTGGATTAGATTTACATGGTGTCATATTGACAGCATTGTGCTAGTCATGCATTTTGATTTTTCTTTCATACTGAAAATCCTATAGAAATAAGGATTATATAAACACATTTAGGATGGATGCACTCAGGAGTTGAAATGATGGGACCAGTGAGTCTATGACTATTAAGTTGTTTTCATGCTGTTAAATATTTTCCATAACAGTGGGGAACTGAGGTACAAAGGACTGTTTCAGCATCTCTTACTACAACTCTATTTTTCCCATGATTTGTACATAGATTAAGGTTAATGGTTTTTAGTCTTTTTCCATGTGCTATTAAGTAGAAGGTAGTATATAAAAATGTAAATGTATTTTTTTTTAATTTGCAGTGAAAGTCAAAAGCTGCAGAGAATAGGTATTAAATACCTACCTATTCCAAAGAATGGTGTTAGAATAAAGCCATGCAGCATCTACTAAAGGGTAGCAACACTGGTCAAGCACCCTACTTTACAGGTTGTATAAGACTAGAAAAGTAAAAGAAGAGAGTCTTTCAAGTGAATTTTTGCAGTAGAAATGGTGATTTCCTGCAAGAGGGTGAGCCTAACATCTCTCTGCTTATCAGGATATTTACTAAGCTGTGGCACTGCAGCAGCTGTGAGGTTTTGCACTAGACAACCTTAGAACAGAATGATGTGGGCTTAATAGAGGTTGATGCACATATGAACATACAGACTGATGTCTGCTTTCTTTCCCCTGCCAGAAGTCTGAAGGGAGGCTTCTGGCTGGAGCAACCAAAAAAGGAATCCTCTAAGGGAGATCCTAGAAATTTCCCCAGTTGCCAAGGCAAAGATGCCTCAGCTCTAGTGAGACTACAGAAGCTGAGTAGCTCATTCTAAGGAGACTTTGCTTTTGACTAAACAGGAGAGATGATTGTAGAATTAAGAGTCTTTGTCACAGGATCAAGAGGAGGGTGGAAGGCAAGAGGCAGGAGGAGAGCACTATTCCTGTCAGAGAAACAGGCAGTGTGGTTATCACCAAGGGCGGATGTCTGCAATCCACAATGACTCCCACAAAATAACCAGCCTTTGTCATGAGAGTAGGATGCCAACCATTATCAGCTAACGTTAAACTGTAAACAGTCCTAAAACTACCAATACTCAAATATAATTGATTATGGTTCCACTGGTTGGTTTTATTGTAGTCTTCCTAAATGATACATTTTTAAAAGATCCATGGGGGGAAGAAAACCAACAACACTGAAGTACATTTAAGGGAGGGTCTCAATACTGTTAAGGTGTCTGAAATTTATGCTTCATAAAGGACAATGGGAAAAATGTGGAGGTGATGGAAATGAGAACTACAAATAATAAGGTTGGGAGAGGTGTGAGTATTCTATTTATATATTTAAAGGATTCTCATGTGGGAATTTGTTTCAGAGGCTAAAATTAAGATCGGGGGTGAAAGATAAAAGGGTGAAAATTCTGGATAAATATAAATAAAAATATTTAAGAAGCAAAAAAATCCATTAAAGGATTAACTTGTGCAAAATATGCTTTCTCCCATCATTAGAATTATCTAAACAAAACTAAATAATTATCGTGGATGAGTCTGGAAAAATATCACTGACTAGATGATTTTTAAAAGATGACTATGTATTTTGATTTTCAAAGAAATTTCTAGTTTTGCCTGTTGCTTTAGAAAAATTATTAACAGGGCCCTTTTCTATAAGATACAATGAAAATGTGGTCACTGTACCTAAAAGAGACTGCGTAAATCTAAGAGTCTATGAATCTATGTCTTTGGTAAAGTCAATGACCTTCTTTTAATGATATTCCTCATACACAAAAAGACAGCCTGGTTTACTTTTTGAGTTATTTAGAATCAAAACTGATAATATACTAGGAGAAACTTCAAAAGTATTACATACTCTGCAAATTTTGTTGTTTTGCAACTATTAATTTTTGCTGTTAAATGATTTCATAAGCTAAGAATATATATTTCCTGCAGCTATATGACTTACAAAATAGGAGTACACTCTGGGTGGGAATTTAGAGACCCTCTTTCTCAATGAAGAGTGGCCAAGCAGTTCCACAGGACAAAACTGGTATTAGAGGAGAAACAACATATGAACAGTGACTGAAACTGTATCAAACTACATATTTTGGGATTATTGTCTTCAGGCTCCCAACTGAAGAAGATGGAGCTGACATTAACAAAAGATGAAAGCAACTGTTTTGGTTGTATTTGCTTAGCTATTTCCACAACTTCCATTGAGCTTCCTGGAAGAATGACAAGAGAGCTGAGACGTTAGGCTTGCAGGAGAAGAAACCACTCTGATCTAAACTTACCATTGGGGTCTATACTCCAATCATTTCATGATTTATAATGCAAAGACTGTCCAACTATCTTAACCACACAGCCCTGGCTCAGTTCTCTTGCCTGCGAAGATTATATTTAAGGAATGAAGAATGTCAATGTCTGTAGAAATAATGGTAGGCAGAAAAGAGAAGAGAGTTATTAATATTATCTACTGAAAAATAAACTAAAAAAGTGATAATGACTACTGTGTTCTGATATTCCAGCATAAGTAAGGTAACTATATGTCCTGTTGTATTGGAGACAGCCTTGGTTTAGAGCAGTTTTCTTCATATCCCTTACCGCCCATTTTCACCCACGAAAAGATACTGATTGGGATCAAGGTGCTCAAAGAGAATGTGGCCCTGATCTATTAACAGAAAGGAGAAAAACAAAATAAAACATTAAGCCACTGGCAAAAATTTATGGATCCAAAATTAGTTTAATGAGTTTTTTGAACTTTGTCTTGTCGGGGCTCTTTTAGTTTCACAATCTATATCAGTTGATCTTTTGAAAGGCAGATATTTATTTAATTAATTAATTAATTTATTTATTTATTTATTTTTTGAGACGGAGTCTCGCTCTATTGCCCAGGCTGGAGTGTGGTGGCGTGATCTCGGCTCACTGCAAGCTCCGCCTCCCGGGTTCATGCCATTCTCCTGCCTCAGCCTCCTGAATAGCTGGGACCACAGGCGTCTGCCACCAAGCCCGGCTAATTTTTTTTTGTAGTTTTAGTAGAGACGGGTTTTCATCGTGTTATCCAGGATGGTCTCGATCTCCTGACCTCATGATCCCCCCACCTCGGCCTCCCAAAGTGCTGGGATTACAGGCTGAGCCACCGCGCCTGGCCGCAGATATTTATTTGCTTCTCCTATGCATAATGTATCTCATTCAAATAGTTTATATGTCCCCTGAGAATAAAATTCACATCAAAATGTCTTTAGTACATCTCTCAAAATATTATTATTTTCTAAATAAATATTAAACATACTCATGAAGATGACTTTAGAGTGAATCCAAATTCTGTTAGAAATTTAGGAATAAACCTAGAAAGAATAAGTCTGTTTCAGAAGACCTGGTACTTGTATGTCCATGATTTTAAATTACGTTGCATCGTAATTAAGTATAAAGGTCATGACATTATTCTAGATACATCTTCAAAAGCCACATCTGAAATTATTTATGTCTCTAAAAATAGACTCAGTGCTGACATAATTCACTTTTCAGTTTAGCGTTTTTGTGGAAACACCTTTATTGCAATAAAAATTGAAGTGATTGACCTGACTTGAGAGAAATACCTTTTTGTACTGTATTTAACAATAGAGACTTTAAATAGGAAGTGAAAAAATAAGCAGCTGAATATAAGGTAATGGCAAATAACATATTTTTAAAATAGGCAGTAGATAGACTTCTTTCTCTGAAAATATGAGATAAAAGAGTTAAAACAGAACATTTCAGGGGAAGCAAATATCACGATTTCAGTGTCTCTTAACCACTAGAATTGTTTAACAGGAGGGAAATACTAATTAAGATTTCACTGCCGCCAAGCAATATTTACTGTAGTTGAACTGGATGAGTTTAAAGCGGCTCAATCTCATTTCCTTGTTAAGATCTTCATACAGAAACCCAGGCTCCTCAGATTTAATCAGAGGCAGCTCCCTCTCCTCCCACTCTCCCCAACAGAGAAGAAACACATTTGGTACTCCACGACCTCAAGGGATTATTAATCCATAAAAATGTTCTTGCCCTCCCACAACCTCCCAGCCTATGACAATAATTATGATGGCTGCTGCAGCGCTGTATTGCTGTTAAAATGGCAGTAATAATGATGAAATTAAATCCTCTTTCCTTATGTATAAATGCAACACTTATTTCCATGCTATTTGGATCGGCTCCATTCTTTTCCAGCAGCCACGGCTATGCATCATTCTTAAATGTACTATAAATCTTCTAATAATTAATAACTGCTAAGGCTCGATTCCCTAAAAATGAATTTCTATGAAATATGAATCACCTGTAACTGAATCATTTTTTCCCTTTCCTCAGCTGTAAAGCTAAAAGGAAAGGGAGTGATTATCAAATATGTAAATAATAATTTAAAAATTCTCTTTAAAATATTTTGGCGTTCTAGGTTGGCTTTATTTTTTATTGGATTAATTCCTTAGAACTGTTCTTTGATAGTCATTTTGAAGAGTATATTTTGTTACATTTGGTTTCTCAAGCATTGTTTTGTGTTCTACATGTGAATTTCTTTTTATTATGAGATTAGTATAGTTTGTTTAGAAATACATAAAATGTTAAAGGAATTAAAATAAGTGGATATAGCACCATATATAATTGGCATTAAGTTTTTTTAGTATATTCATTTAGAGTATTTTGTACACAAATCTATGTATCCATGTCTATATATCTGTCTATATATATACATATATATTAGTGGGATTACACAAAATATTATTTTTAATTTAGTTATTATTAAAAAGCAAATATTTCACATTATTGCAAGTTTAAAGCTATTGCTACTTTACCGTTACTTAAGAATCGCAGACTATTTCTTTGAAAGGGTAATTTATTTCACCAAAATCATAACTAATTTTTTAATTTGAATTTTTAGGCACAAAAAAGAGAACTATTAGTATACCACATTATACATTTTTGTACACTTCCTAATTCATATTATTTTAAATTTTTATTTATATCTCTTCTTTTTTCCATTCCTGCATCCCTCTATATCCCATCTATAATTTCCACCTTGTCATGGAAGCTGGGGTTCAAAAAGGCTTAGTAGCTTGTACAAAGTTCCACAGTCAATGAGTGGTAGAACAAAACCTGTTTTCAAAATCAAGAAGATCTGGCATGGTGGGTAGGGTTTGGAAATAGACAAAATTCTGAGTGAGTAATTTAGGTACAAGGATTAAGTGCAGTAGCTGATCCTGGGTGAGAAAGACAAAAGTGTTGGGATAGTTACTCTAAAACATGAAACATCTGTAGCTTGGCTTCTGCTTGGCTCAATTTTACAAGGAAGGAAGTTTTCTGCAAGTAAAAACTAATAACTAAAACGCTTCATTCTCAAGTATTCTAAATATAACAAATACTATTTAATAGCTGTAAGATTCATTTGATATTATCCATTCTATTTTTCTCTAGCTTTATTTTTATAAATAAGGAAACTGACTAAAAATTTTAAATGATCTTTCCCAGATTCCCCAGATAACTTGTGTAAAATTATGTAAATACTTTGGAATTGATATTACACAACTTGAAATATATATATAATAAAAGCACAAAGAAGGAAGGAGGAAGGAAGAAAGGAAGGAAGGGAGGGAGGGAAGAAGGAAGGGAGGGAGGGAGGAAGGAAGGAAAGAAAACACTGATTTACTTTGCCTTTCATACTTGGTGTATCAACTTGACGATGCGTGCCGTATAGCTTACCGGTTATTTGAATATGAAAAGTATGTCTCAATGTATTTTCATTCCTTCAACAAAAATGTTGAATTCTGGAGAGAAGGGGAAGGTTAGGATGTGGGGATGCTGTTTCAAACAGCAAGTACTAAAATACTTAATAGATCGATCATTTTTTTAATGCAGAAATGATAGCCCTTTATGTGAAAAATAATCCCACTCTCTGCTTGTTTATCTCTGTATCCTCAATGTGTTTGAATTGGTTTTCTCGTATGTTAGTAAGTAACTATGTCAATATGAGAGCCCATTAAAACTTATCCATCACTTCTACCTTAATTGAAATCTCAAACTTTTTTTTCCCAGAATGTTGTCATATAGGGGAAGAATCATATAAAAGGAAAATTCTACCCCACAGTGCAGAATTTAGCAGTAAGTAGATCAGATGTTTCCAACCAATGAATATGGTAGCAATTTGTCTTTTAACTTTTCTGTACGTGTGTGTGTGTGTGTGTGTGTGTGTGTGTGTGTGTGTAATTTTTTAAAACTTTGCCAGTGCCACATTAGGTTAACAAGAAAAACAATTACACTAAAAATGATCCAAATATTTGTATTGGGAGCCAGAAAGATATGTCAACATAGCGAGACAGTATCCTAGGCTTTAACCAGATGTTGAGCTCAACGCTCTCAGGCACAGTAGGCTTATAGAGGAGAGCTTTATAGAGGGGCTTTAAAAAAGGAGAGAAGGCAGATGCAACCCTGTGGCCTGGGGCAAGGCTGAAAGGAGTGTGCAGGGAGCTGGCCAGGGCCTAGAAGTGACTCTCCGCCACTCTGTAAAAAGGACAGTGTGTTTCCCCAGTAGTCCACGCTGGAGAATGAACACAACTTTGCTTGGGGGCTTGCCTTACTTAACACAAAGAATGCATTCCCAGAGGGGAGAATTTAGCTCAGTTTTGTCAAAGAAAAACTTTTTAGTGATAAATGGAGTAAGAACTCACTGCTTTTAAGCAACTACTTCTAAAACAAGGTCAGACAGAAGGATCAAGCTACATCAAACAAGTAAGAAATATCTAGCAAGGAACTTCCTGAAACAGTGAATATAACTGAAACTAAAACCCAGAATGTTAGCTTAAATTTCAGACACAAAATGTGATTGAGCATAGAGACAGCACCAAGTATTACTAATAAGTAGGTGTATTAAAAAAATGACAGACTAACACGATCCCCAGACTCCACAGAGAGATCTTCATTTTCACTGTGCATCTTTAGGTGTTTATCTGGAATAAAATTTCATTGTCCTATTGACTTTTTGTTAATTTCAAATATATAAGAAATTGATCATAAAATTTATCTAAAGATATTAAAGCCAATAAAATGTTCTTGGTGACTTTTATTAAATTGGCACAGAATCTTTAATACAATACTAGTCTGTTTGAGGTGCTATAACAAGATACCATAGACTGAGTGACTTGAAAACCACTGAAATTTATCTCTCGCAGTTCTGGAGGCTGAGGAGTCTAAGATAAGCAGTGGAGAGATTTGGTATCTGGTGAGGGCATATTTTCTGTTCATAGATGGCACCTTCTTACTTTGTTCTCACATGGTAGGAGGATCACAGGAGTCTTCTGGAGAGGGTGGGGTCTTTATAAGGGAACTAATTTCATTAACTAGGGTTCCACCCTCATAACTTCACCACCCAAAGGTTTTACCTCCTGGTACTATTGCCTTGGGGATTTGAATTTCAGTATATAAATTTGAGGAAGACACAAATATTCAGGCCATAACACATTCACAGCTATGTAACTGAATAAAATTAATTGAATTAATTGTTTAGTAACCTAATCTAAAATGAGAATAAGGACAACATATATATAAACACAGAGGCTGGCCAAAATAATCAGTTAATTTGTTGAAATGTGGCCCAGATCTGAATTTATAATATCAATAAAATTGTTTCATTTATGTACTTTTAATTTAGCATAATTTTGACATTAAAAAACAACAATATAGAAAATAATAATGCTGTAGACTTAATGTTTGTGTCTCTCAGAGTTCATATTTTGAAACCTAATCCCAAATGTAAGGGGATTAAGATGTGAGATGTTTGGGAGCTTATTAAGTCATGAAGATGAAGTTCTTATGTTCTTATAAAAGGAACCTTAGGGAATTCCCTTCCTCCTTCTGCCATGTGAGGGCACAACTAGAAGGGCATCTCTTGAAACCAACCCAATTGTTCCATAGATATTTTTCTTTTGATAAACATAGAAATTCTGGTATTAAAGCTTGAAATTTATATTTGTTTTATGTGAGTTCCTTCATCAGGAAACAACCTCAGGTTTTTCAAAGAAAAGTATCAAAGAACTGAAACTCATCAGATCACCACATCCAGAAAATGAGATGCCGGGCCCCTCATTTATCATGATTGCTTCCTTGCCCTTCACTAGTTCCTGTTTTCTTACACAGTTACATTTCTTCCCTGCTATATAAATCCTTAGTTTTAGTTGGTCAGGGAGATGGATTTGAGACTGAGCTTCTGTCTTCTCGGCTGCAGCATCCGATTACAGTCTTCTTCTTTAGTAATACTCATCATCTCAGTCATTGGCTTTCAATGTGGGGAGGACCTAGACAGAATCCCTGGTGTTTTGGTAACACTATGAACCAGAAAGGGGACCTCAGCAGACATCAAATCTGCCAGGTCTTTGATCTCAGACTTTCCAGCTTTCAGCACTGTGAGAAATAAATATTTGTTTTTTATAAACCACTTCTTCTACAGTGTTCCGTTACAGTATCTCAAAAGGACAAAACAAATGAAAAACAAAGAAAGTTCAAACATAATTGTCAAACTATATTTCAATCCTAGAAAGCCTTTTAAATTGAGGCAGGGTGGGATGGAGAGACATATAATGAACTGAAGCATTATATAATGAACAAGCAGCAAATAGGTCAGAGATAGAAATAACCTTAAAATATTCCAGCCAAATGGTCATTTTATGGAGAAGAGAATGGACACCTAGAAAGGGTATGTGCTTTATCCAATGTCATACTGCTACAAATGCCAGCTCTAGGTCAGGCTCTATATCACAGTGGCTTTTTCCTACTCTCATCAATTGAATTGTGTTCCTCAAAAAGATATGCTGAATTTCTAACACCCAATATCTTAGAATGTGCCCTTAATGTTAGTTCCTCCTTATTAGCAGGGGATATGTTCTAAGATCCCCAGTTGATACCAAATCCTATTTGTACTATGTTTTTTAAAATAAAATGTATAACAAAATTTGTTTCATAAATATGTATGTATAACATAAAATGTGGATTGCTCTAATTCACAGAGATTCAAAAAGAAAAATATATAAAGATTTAAGACAACATCATTAACTCTGGACTACAAAATAAAGAAACATGTACTTATTTAAAATTGCAAATCGTTAAGAGAGAAACTAATGTCTAGAGCCTTTTGGGAAAGTGATAATATATGACCTCACAATAATGTTGGGGAATAAAACTTTGCTCATCTCCTTGCCATGCAAAGTCTGGATATTTTAGTTCTTACTTCTTACCTGTTATCACCAAAGTTTATACAAAATGAACCCTATACACAACTTAAAAATCTTTGATTTATTTTAACTCACTGAAATATAATGGCTACCTGGAGTAAATACAGGAAATGTATTTATAAAATAAACCAGTGGGTTATAAATAGCTCATATATAATGTATTTGATAAGAGGAGATATTGATAATTGGATTTTTTTTAAAAAAGTTTAAGAGCAATATATAAGCAAAGGTTTAGAGAAATCACATAAAAGGGAATGTTGTCTCTTGCCTTCAACTTTAGTCCTGGAAGGTCACAGTATATTGTTTGACAGCAAAGACTTTTCGCATCAAGCAGACCGGCTTTGCCATTCATTACGTGATCTCAGGCAGTCTTTCTCAGCCTCAGTTTCCTCATATATAAATTTAATCTGCCTCAAAAATTTTATGTGAGAAAATGAGACAATGCATATAAAATGTTTGAGTACAAAGCCTGTCTCCTAGTAAGCCCTTACGCTTGCTTTGAGGTATTATGTTATTATGAAATTGAGTTTTATATACACAGAACATCAAATCATTAAGCCCTTTAACATTAGAAGAATGGCATTAACCTTCTCTAATGATTCTTATTTTTCCTTTACAAAGGTATTAAAGTTGTGCAATTATTATGTCAGTAAGAAAATAGTGATAAAAAGATATTAAAATTACAAATAGTACATACCATTTAGTAGCAGTAACAAGTAGTTTTCCAAGTATTTCACGTATAATAACTCACTGAATTCTCATAGCTATTCTATGTGGTAGCCATTATTACTATTCCTGTTTTATAAATGAAAAATCAAGGGACAGAGAGGTTCTCAAGCTTACCTAAGGATTTACAACAGACATGAGTGTTGCTGCTAAGGAAACCTGGTTTCAGAATCTGCTTGTAACGTTAAGCAATACTGCTGTTTTTAGAATGGGCATCACTTTGTGGATCACTACAGAATGTGCTGTGTTCACTCACTTATGTGAAGGTTTATAGAAATTTTAATTCCATACTTGCATCCTTCTCTCTTACTAGGTAATGTCCTTGTATTTTTATGGTTTTTAAAAAATGTAAATAAGATAGTCTTAACTTCAGTCAATTCAAAGGAAATGTTTGTCCACAATTCTGACTTTTAGCTTCATTGTAAAAGTACTTTTATGCACCTAAAAATAGCTGAAAAAGAAGACAAGGGTGTATTGCAGGGATCTTATATGGGTAAGCCCTTATAGTTTAAATATCTATGCCTCTATCAAAACAAGAAGCCAAGGATTATAACTTACAAAAGAAAGTTGGTTGACAACTGGGATTCATCATAAAACCCTGAGTCTGACCATAGGCTCACAGAAGAAAAATTATACAGAAAAGAGGGAGAATTTTTTTCACCATATTATTTCCTGCATAGAGACCTATCCTAAGAGATTTATGCAGAGTCATATTTGTAGCAAGATGAAAAGCGTGCTCTGTCCTAAGAATCAAAGCCAAGGAAAGAATGAAAAATCGAATAGCAACAATAAGCTCATCTTCTTATCATCTTGCATGAAAAGAACGTGAAAATGCTTCTGATGCTCCCATTAAGCACAGTAAACTGTCTTAGGAGGATTATGTTAAAACCATTAAAGGTATGATACTATTCTATTAAAACTTCAGTAGGTTTAAATGTGTTTATATTTTTCAACTTTATATTCAGAATTTTTTATTGATAGGGTTTGTACCTGTTCAGAATGTTTACTTGCATAGTCAATTTTCACATAATTGTTTACCCCCAAAATATTAAAAAACACTCTATTTTTAAGTGTAATGAATATCCATCATAAAAATTCAGATAGCATTTAAAGTATAGAAAAATAAATATTAGCTGAATTTCTTTCACCCATACATAACCCTAACATGTTCATATACTATACATTGTCATCATGAAACTGGCCCAGTTATCTCATAGAACTAATGTTTACAGTTTTTTTTTTTAATACACATGGAAATTGACGCTCTCAGTCTTAAAACTTGAAAAATGTTACATTTGTCTTCTCAGTCCTCCCAGGTAGCATCAAGGAGCTCAAACTTTCCAGATCATCACCCCTGGACAATGAGACACCATGCCCCTCACTCAACATGATTGCCTAACTGACCACCTTTGACCAATTTCTCTTCCTTACCCCTCCCTAATTCCTGCTTTCCCACATGTAGTTACATTTCTTCCCAGATATATAAACCCCTAATTTTAGTCAGTTGGGATCTGATTTGAGACTTACCTCCCATCTTCTCAACTGGAGCACCCGAATAAAGCCTTCTTCTCTGGCAATACTCATTCTCTCAATAATTGGCTTTCTGTGGGACAACCAACAGGACCTAGACAGAACCGTGGGTGTTTCAGTAACAATCACAATACTATATTCTTCTAGTATAGACATAATTACATATTTTAGACTTAATAACTTTTAATAACAAACACATTTGTACCATAATTTTTTAAAGCAATCCCATATTGAAGGACCTTGAAGTTGCTGTTAAGGTTTTCCTATTATAAACAAGGCCACAGATAATATCTTTCACACTTTCCTAGTTACTTCTGTAGGATACATGGTTACAAACGGTAATGGTGTATTAAAGAGCATTCATATCTTAACACTTTATTACATCTTTTTGACCTCCCTTCCAAAAATGTATTAATATTTCCTTTCCCCAATGTTATATGTGAATGCCCTCTATGAAATATCATCAACATTAGAAATAGCCAAGCATCTCTTGGGGAAGCCTCTTTTGCCCATTCCTGATGTCTATTAATTTTTTTTTCTATAAATATTCTGGTCTTCTAGCCCAATACCTTACTTCATTCCACAGAAGAGCAAGTTAATAGTTTGGTGCTAACAGTCATTGATCCATTTTTGTGGAGAGGGAAAGACTAATTTGGGAAATTCATTCTCATTTGAAAACTTACACTGTCAATTGGTTAGACGAGAATTATAGTCCCTCAAATCTTGTTGACTATGGGATTGCAAGTTAGAATTGTGTGAGATGTGAAAAGTTGAATCAGAAATCATTACTTTTTGAAGATCATGTAAATAGAGGCAATGAAAGAAATCACAGAGTTGCAGGCCAGGTCCACCCAGATCTTACTTTCCTTCACTTTGTGTCCAACTCATTGTCCAAACTGTTGGCCCTGCTGATCAAGAGTCACCACTCCTTCAATACACACTTAGCTGCAGAACTACAGAAGAAATAGCTCCCCATAAATGTTTTTCACCAGCATCCCCTAATGGTCCCACATTGTTGGCTAAATATCAGATTGACAGGTTGGTGACATCATTGATTTTTCCAACTCTCTCTCTTAAATATTCATTTCCTCAGCAATTCTCATGGTTGTGTAATGTGTAAAAATAAAGATAAATAATGTCTTACCTGGTCTCATGTGGTTCTCCTACCCAATTAAATGCTGCCTGGTTTATATTTCCTCCTCTCTACCTGGGCCAATGAGAGCTGATATGTTGGGGTTCTACAAACTCAAATCTAGCTTCCCATGGGCTATCCTAGGAATGTGGTTGAACATGGAATGAGAAAACTCATTTTGGTTCTCACAATAAGGTATGTAAACAAGCCAATTTTTAATCATTAATAAATGTTCTCTATATGTGGCCTTACAAATTGTGTCAAGTTGGTCCAGAACAGAGAAAACAGGTCCTATCAACAGACCCTTTCTTCACTACTTCAAGGGTCATTCTTATTATTTTTTTCAATTTTGCTGATTTAAGAAGCAAAGTAAAATATTACTTTAAAATTTAAATTTATTTGAATATTAATTTTTTAATATATATTTTTATGTTGACTCACCATTTGCAATGTGATTTATTCTAATTGTTAGTGCATGCATTGTAGTCATCATTTGATTGGCCTATTTATTTTCTTTTTAATTTAACTATGTGAAAACTTAGTCAACTTTTTATATTTGATGAATATATGCTAAATATTCCTCACTTTGTTATATAAATTTCTTTATTATGTTAAATATATCAAAACAAATAATAAAATGACAGATATTAAAACCTTTTGTACTTCAAAGGACACCATTAAAATGAAAACACAAGTCACAGATTAGGAGATAATTTATATAAATAATATGTGATACAAGGAAATAAAAATAAATTTTGTATCTAGAATATAAAAATATATCTTATTACTTGATAATAAGAAGACAACCCATTTCACCAAAAAAATTCAACAAAGAAGATATATGAATTGCCAATAAACTCATGGTATGATTGTTGACACTATTAGACTTGAGAGAAATTCAAATTTAAAGCACAATGAGCTACCACTTCACACCTACAAGAATAGCTATAATAAAAAAATAGGCAATAACAAGTGTTGGTGATAATATAGATAAGTTGGAAACTCAAAATGATGCAATTACTAGAAAAAATATGACAACTTTTTTTTAAATTATACTTTAAGTTCTGGGATACATGTGCAGAACATGCAGGTTTGTTACATAGGTATACACATGCCATTGTGGTTTGCTGCACCCATCAACCCGTCATCTACATTAGGTATTTCTCCTAATGCTGTCCCTCCCCTAGACCCACCCCCCAGACAGGCCCCGGTGTGTGATGTTCCCCTCCCTGTGTCCACGTGTTCTCATTGTTCAAATCCCACTTATGAGTGAGAACATGCACTGTTTGGTTTTCCGTTTCTGTGTTAGTTTGCTGAGAATGATGGTTTCCAGCTTCATCGATGTCCCTGTAAAGGACATAAACTCATCCTTTCTTATGGCTGCATAGTATTCCATTGTGTATATGTGCCACATTTTCTTTATTCAGTCTATCATTAATGGGCATTTGGGTTGGTTCCAAGTCTTTGCTATTGTGAATAGTGCTTCAATAAACATACGTGTGTATTTGTCTTTATAGTAGAATGATTTATAATCCTTTGGGTATATAACCAGTAATGGGATTGCTGGGTCAAATGGTATTTCTGGTTCTAGATCCTTGAGGAATCAGCACACTGTCTTCCACAATGGTTGAACTAATTTACACTCCCACCAACAGTGTAAAAGCGTTTCTACTTCTCCACATCCTCTTCAGCATCTGTTGTTTCCTGATTTTTAATGATCGCCATTCTAACTAGCATCAGGTAGTATCTCATTGTGGTTTTGATTTGCATTTCTCTAATGATCAGTGATGATGAGCTTTTTTTCATGTGTTCGTTGGCCGCATAATGTCTTCTTTTGAGAAATGTCTGTTCATATCCTTCACCCACTTTTTGATGGGGTTGTTTTTTTCTTGTAAATTTGAGTTCTTTATGGATTCTGGATATTAGCCCTTTGTTAGAGGGACAGGTTGCAAAAATTTTCTCCCATTCTGTAGGTTGCCTGTTCACTCTGATGGTAGCTTCTTTTGCTGTGCAGAAGGTCTTTAGTTTAATTAGATCCCATTTGTCAGTTTTTGTTTTGTTGCTATTGCTTTCGGTGTTTTAGTCATTAAGTCTTTGCCCATGCCTACGTCCTGAATGGTGTTGCCTAGGTTTTCTTCTAGAGTTTTTGTGGTTTTAGGTCTTACATTTAAGTCTTTAATCCATCTTAATTTTTGTATAAGGTGTAAGGAAGGGGTCCAGTTTCAGTTTTCTGCATATGGCTAGCCAGTTTTTCCAACACCATTTATTAAGTAGGGGATCCTTTCCCCATTGCTTTTGTCAGGTTTGTCAAAAATCAGATGGTTGTAGATGTTTGGCATTATTTCTGAGGCCACTGTTCTGTTCCATTGGTGTATATATCTGTTTTGGTACCAGTACCATGCTGTAAAGCTGGATGCATCATGCTGACAACTTTTTTAAAGTTAAATACAGTTAGGAAATCCAAAAATTCCATTTCTAGGTATCTACCTAGCAGAAATGAATACATTTGTCCACACACAAAGAATATATAAATATTTATCACAGCATTATTTACAACACATAGACAAAAGTATAAACAACCCATATTTTCATCAACAGATAAAAAGATGAAGTATATGCATAAAGTAGTATATTATTCAGCAATAAAAAGTATGAAATATTGATACACACATAACATCGATAAAAATATTTGGCCACGTGAAAGAAGCCAGGTGTAAGAAACAATATATTATATGTTTCCATTTATTTTAAATGTCCACAAAAGGCAAATGTATAAACACAAAAGTACACCTGTGGTTACCTAGTGCTAGAGGTGAGAGCTCTGGGTAACTGCAAATGGGCATGAAGGACTTTTTTAAGGTCATGGAAATGTTCTAAAATTGTATTATATTGGAGATTGCACAACTCTGTAAATATATAAAAATCATTACATCGTATACCTAAAATGAGCAAATTTTATGGTATGGAAACTATACTTTAAGAAAGCTATTAAAAAGAGATAAACCAAAAATTTAGTTAGTGTCATTTATTTGGAGCTGAGAGATATAAACATAATTAATCTTTACCTATGAAATGTAGTTTATGAAATAGTTACCTGATTTGCCCAAGAACACTAAAAAAGAAGGTTAAGAAATCAATCATGCTAACACACTGGGTTCCAAATTCCCAGAGGACAGACGGGCGCGATGGCTTATGTCTGTAATCCCAGCACTTTGAGGGGGGCGAGGCAGGCCGATCACGAGGTCAGGAGATCGAGACCATCCTGGTTAATACAGCGAAACCCCGTCTCTACCAAAAATACAAAAAAAATTAGCTGAGTGTGGTGGTGGTGGCGGGTGCCTGTAGTCCCAGCTACTCAGGAGGCTGAGGCAGGAGAATGGCATGAACCCGGGAGGCGGAGCTTGCAGTAAGCCGAGATCACGCCCACTGCACTCAAACCTGGGCAACAGTGCGAGACTCTGTCTCAAAAAACAAAAAACAACAACAACAAAAATAAATAAATAAATAAATAAAATAAATTCTCAGAGGACATGAAATTGAAATAGTAAATAATTATAACGTACTAAAATATTTCACTTTGCTTTCATGTATTTTAAAGTAAATTACAAAATAAACCATCTGTAGTAAAAATAATGTATTAAAACAAAAATAGTCTTATTAAAATAAATCCCACACAATTAAAAAACTGAATCCATAACTTATTCTCTTAGATCAAGGTCAAAAGAAATGAGAGCACATGATCATATTAGATAAAGCATACATGCACTATAAATGAAGTGCCAAATTTAAACTTTCTTTGGCTGAATCTTTCTTTTTGAATGGCAAAATTCTGTATACACATTCTAGGTAGTAAGCTTGGTCAGAAACTGAGAACATGTGTCTTTGGGGATCCAAGCACCGTTTACTTATCTTGCTTCAGATCATTTCATGATAGAGATCTAGGGGGAAAACAAGCAAGTCAAAGAAAGGAATAGAAAATGAAGAAACTAGAGAGGGAGGATCAAAGTACTTTACTTATTTATATATTTACTTTATTCATTTTAATATTTCAATCCCCATTCTGAGAAGCATATATATTTATTTTTAGCCAAGGATTGTCTTTGAAAACCAGCGGAAAAAAAAAAGGGGATGCAAAGGAACTTTCTCCATACTGCCTTTGAAAAATCACAGGGAAATGATTCAAAGCACCTTTCTATACAGAACTTGAATAACAGGAGATAAAGGAATACGTGGAAAACATTAAAAAATAAATGCAGTTATAGAGGCACTCTTTTTCAGTATCTGCGCTATACAGTTTTCTGTTTTTCATTTTGTAGCTTCTACTGTATAAAGAGGCATTTATTATACACATGTTCCTCTGGTCTCATATTTAAATTCATGCATGTCTTTCTCCTGCAATTGAAAAATAACAAATAAAATTTCTATTCGCAATTCTTAAAGCTCTTTTATGGGTATTAATGTAGCCTGATCTCCACAAGATGTAACACAGGTAGGCAGATATAATTTTCCTTAGTTTCTATAGGAGAAAAATAAGAGATGTTAATTGACTTGGTCATGTCATAAAGTTGACAACATATGTAGCTGATGCTTAAAACCAGGTCTGAAGAGCCTAGAATTTAAAACAACAATTTTGCCTTGTTTTGTTTTGTCATCAGAACACCACCTCCACAAACAGTATCACTTTATCTTGATTTCAAAAACGGAATCTGTTGGTTAATCTATACAACTGGTTACAAAATGGCCTGAGAATAAATTTAACGGTGACTTTCAATGAAGCAAACTGCAGGTTATTTCAGAAAATGAAGTGATTGGTTTAACCAGAAGCCCTCAATTAATTCTAATATAAAGTAAAACAAGATATACATGGCTAATATTATCTGGCATCAGGTATTACATATAAAACATTCTTTTTAAAAATATATTAAATACACACAATTAAAAATGTGTATTTCATAAATGTTCATAAGTCCAGTACACTTAGACTTGCACCAATATTTGGCACTTAAATTTCTCATTTTTTTCTTTAAGTAATATTGCAGATACCTAGCACATGGTATTTTAAAGAAAATGTTTTGAGAAATGATTGTATGATATTAATAGCATCCAGGGATAATAGCATCCAGGGATAATTCTGAAAAGAAATATAACCATTATTTTTTGTGTACATTAAGTCCATTTTTGTTCTCCCTACATGACCACCAAAGCTACACATACCTACAGATGGCCATAAAACAATATATTTTTTCTTAGCTTCTGTAGTTAACTCATTCCTTAAACTTTTAATCAAGGGAGGACATTGCCAGTCTTTGTTATTACTAAGCCAAATCCAAAGGACTAATATTTAATAATGTAGCTCATTTATTTAAATAGGAAACATATTATGTAACTAGAAAGTATCATTATAGACTTTAAGTGAATAATTTTACTTATTGAAATGAATTTTAGCAGTCAGATTGAATTGTCAGGTTTACATCTTTATTTTTCAATGATTCCAATTATTTTGAGTACCAAATGCTTTAATAATATCAAGAAGGCAATTAATAAGCTCAATTTGACAAATCAAAAATCCTCATCAATTTTTACAGCATTAAAATATTCTTTCTGTTATAAATGAGTACACCCCACAGACTATTTTTTTAAAACTTCTTATAATTTCCAACCTTAAGTGTCAAGAGGATGAACGATGTGTCTATGTCAATGGGTTTTCTAATCTAGGTTTGCTTTTTCTTTAATCTACATTTGTCTAAGCTTATAAAGAATGTAGACAATAAATTCACAGTTCATCCTAGCTATGACACACAGATAAGGAAAATAATATTTTATTTTGAAGAGAAATTTTGTTTTTCAAACTTTCTTCTTAACCATCTTATGAGCTGATTCCTAGAATTAGCTTTATCACTTACTAGTTCCGACATAAAGGAAGAGACTTTTAATTATTCATGCAAAATAATGTTTTGATTAAATTTTATTCCATCTCAGAAGTGTTTAGTAAACTATTATCTATCTAATGAAAATGTATTCCAAATCGAGTGGTCCCCAAGACATACTAAAAGGTCTTTACACAGTCCCTATTTAAATAACCATTCCCTACAAAGTCTCAAAAATTCCTAAAGATATTTTTAATCTTGATTTTATTATATATTAGGTTTCTCCCATAATAAAAAGTTTAAGTGCATCAAGTAATTATATCTAACATGATTTTCTTTTAAAACTTTAGTTGATAAGATGTTTTCCACCCTGCAGAGAACCTTCCTAGGTAAAGACAGAAAAGGCAAAAAATGGCTAAAGATATCAAAATGAAACTTCTCTTTTTGTATAATTTTTTTTCACAGATCAATCCATTCCTTAACTAGCATATATTAACATTTATTTTTAAAAATAAAGAGAGGCATTATAATACAGAAAAATTATGATACATTATTTTTCTTAGAAAATCAACTAAAATTAGATCCATGAAAATTATTTTTTAATTCCTTCTTTTGGCAGCCAGTTGTGGCTTTCAATGTATTCTTTTATTCTTCATGAACAACAAAGAATACGCATATATGCATTGAAGCATAAGTTTGGTTTCCTATGTCATTGTCTATGGTTTGCATACAACAAATATTAAGAGCCATAAAACTATACAGCCATGGTATTGGGCTCAGTGACCTGCCATGATAGTGAATTCAACAGATTGACTTTACGAAGCATAGAGCTGTTGTTTTTTTTTTTTTTCAAATTTGTACCAGTTAATAAGAGTTAGCATTCTATTTCTATAGCCTGGCTTGGGTTAAATTCATATCTGTGTATTTGCCACTTAACTCAAAGCATAAGAAAAATCAGTATATTGCCAGGAGTCATACTGTATAATTCTGAGACCAGAATCTGATTGAGAGGTAACTAGAAATTACTCACTGTATTCTGAAAAAACTATGCTAAAATTACAAATGATGGATACAGATATAGTAAATTGGATCATTTCCTGTTTATATTCCCCACTACAATATTTAAAAAATGATTATACTTTTTATTTCATACTATGCTTGATCCCTGAATAAGAGAGAGCATTCGAGGGGGAACGACCAGCCAAATATACATATCCTAATAGACTGCTTTCTTGCACCTAGGGGTCTTGGGGAGTAACAGATATTTTGCTGGGAAAGATACAGGGTAAGAGATGCTTAATAAACTATTTGCACGGTTGAAAGTTGAGAAAGCCCTTCAAGAGAATAGTAGTCATTCACTCTAAATTGCCTCCAGAGCAGCAGTCTCACTGTGTCACGAATTTTTGTGAGATGTTACCACAGGGACTATATTACAAATAATAAACAACTGAAGTGTGAAGATGCTTAATTTAAATAAAATGACTGCAAATTTATGATTGTCTCTAATACTCCTTTGTTGTTAGATACTCTAGCTCCTGAGCTGGAGGAAACAGAGAAATTCAGTTTCCATGGCCTTTTAAATATTTTTCTATATATTATTTTATGACATTCCAGAATATTCCCAATGAACTTCTTTTTGAACATTTAGTGTTTTGCAGCACTTGGCTTGAATATAAATGAGAACTATGCCAATCTTCTGACATTGGCCATAACAGGAAGTGGACTCACTATATAAACTGTTAAGCCAATGTAATGGCCAGAACTATCATATTAACTTCTCATCCTCATTTACGTTTCCCACAAGGCTGCTCTTTATTTGTGAAACAAACAGGCTGGTAATTGGCTGTTCACCTTCTGCCTGCACTTTTATCAAGATTTACGAAATAAGGTTAAAGAAATCAAGATGAGATTGATGTATGAATCATTGTAACAGAGAAAACTGAGAGTCCCCTGGCCATTCATTTTCTGGCAATAAAATCTAATGCTGTTAAAGAAAGAAGCTGTGTATAATCCGTGATGTTCCTGGTTGCGGTAATATTAATAACACTTAACAGTAAAATAATAACAGTTCCCAAGGTCAATGATTTTCTCTTACATTACTCATAGAGATTTAAAATTATAAATAAAGAATATCTACAGTTTTCTCTTCTGAAAGCTATTTTTTCACTAACGTTGAAGGCATTAGATCAACATGACTTGAGCTATTTGAAAGAAAGTTGCCTAAAATGCAAGCATATTGACTCCATAAAAGTAGAAAACTAAAGTCCACATTAATCTCATTGCAATCATAATCTGGAATGCTGATAAAGATATTTGTCAAAGGGAATCTCAAGCTCTTGTATAACGTCCTCATAAAGCTCCTTATTGGAATACATTTCCACTGCAATTTAATACAGTTAAATTTATTCACAATAATAACATAATTTTGAAATTCAATTGAGAAATTCTACATATTGGGTTTTTCTGTGATTTAAATAAAACCTATTAATTCACCATTAAAAACTCAATTGAATATTTTATTATGATGGGATATAATTCTAAATTTATGAGTTTCATGTAAAATAACAGCTTGCATATCTTCAAAATAGAGTCAATTTTATAATGTACAGTGGGATCACATGTCATGCATGTTAATGCATATATGTTTTATATCTAGTCAGTACTGGTTAATTATTTTGTTTGAGAAGAATCTCTTTCTCACAAAGCAGGAGACATCCCTGTAAAACAACTATATTGTATATTTCCTCAGACTTTGAATGCAGCACACTGACACACATGTGTGAATCTAGAAGTCACAATAATAAAGGTCAATAATAGAAATCGGAAACATTTGAAACTGCAGGCTGCTTTTAGACTTACATCACTTATCTTGTTTTGATACCAGTTGTTAGAACTTAAATATACAATTTAATGTTGAGTTTCTTAGCCGTCAAAGAAAAAAAAGAACAAAGAAAAAAAAAAAAAGAAAATACCAATTCCTGAGGGTAAGCAATTATTTTCCCCTTTTTTTTTCTGTCTCCCAGAAGGAAATGTATTTAGAGGGTTTTAACTGCTGCAGCTGTCAACATCCTTTTCTTCTAACATCCTTAAATGAAAGTAAAAAGACAGACATTGGAACTCAATTCAGAAAAAGCGATTTGTGAGAGGCTAAATTGATGTGATATGATCCAGTATATAAATGTGGTTACCTGGCTTCATATAGTAATAGGATTTAGCCTGTACTTTAAATGATCTTTTTAAGATATAACTTCTCTCCAAATGGCATGTAATAGGAGCCAATAGCAGATTGAGAATGACTCTTTAACCAGACTTGCAAAGCTGATTCTCTATTTTTTGTTAAGATCAAATCTGTGACTATTGGATGCCAGATAGAAACAGTAAGATAGAGAATAAATTGATTTAGTTGGAGGAAGAAGGTGAACATAAATAAGATAGAAACAGGAAAATAAATGAAGCTTTTTTGAATATAAGAAATAGAGTAACCAGAGAATAAAGGATTGGAAAACCATGTAGGTATTGGAGAGTTAAGAAAATAATGTGAAACAGATCTATGTGTTAGGTAAGTTACTTTGCACTAATTGCCATGTATAAAATTAACAGAAAGAAGCTGGAAGGGCAGAATAATGTGGCAGCCAAAATTAATGCGCCTGACATGGCAGGAGATAATATCTCTCCAAAACAACTAAATTTGATATTTCATCACGAAGCTTTATTTAGTAATTAACTCATTTTTAGAACCACACATGGATATTAAGTCTCAAAATAGTTGCTTTCTGTTAGATCCTTATTGTTAGAAGTCATAAATGTTATTTCTGATGCAGTTATATTATCTTTCCAATTACTAAGAAGAAATAAAAACAAATGAAAAATGATAATTTGCCACTCGTGGACCATTAAACACAAACTATATATGTAGTCTGCAGTTGGGGACAGAAGCCATTGTGGACCAGTTTTCTTTTATAAAATTTCCCTCTCTTCTCACAGACTTTGCAATACAGTTTATTTTATTTCTCTTGATTTGAACTTTTAATAAAACTTGTCTGATTCACTAGTATGCCTTGTGTTTCCCGGTTTTTAAAATTTTTTTGCCTTCCTTAAAATGTAAAATTTATAAAGCTAAAAAATACCAGCTATATAAATGTTTGCTTTGAGTAAAAAAAATGACATTTATATAATATCTTCAGTTTAATGTTATTTATTTATTTTTACTGTTTCAACTGTGATAGTTTAGCAGACATATTCAAGGCCTAAGCCTTGTGTCAGGAACTGTGGATATAAAAAGAGAGCATCCCAACCCCTGCCATCCAGACTTATTTAACAGAAAATGTGAAGGTATAAAATATGATTTCTGTGACATAGGGCCAGTTCGTGGTGTGGACAATGGGTATGTAACACAGGCACGTAGAAATTAGTGCTTGAAGAGGCCCCAGGGATTATCTAGTTCCTCTCTATAAAGATGAGAAATCTGAGGAGCACAGAAGTGATTTGCCCAAAGCCACGTAGTATGATTGTAATGGAGCCAATTGTTGAGAGTAGAACAAAGATTTTTTTTTTTTTTAACCACAGAGACAGTACAATCTCTACTACAACACACAAACCATTTGATTCAGGAGTTGGCAAATTAATTCAACACTTTAGGGTACAAATTAAAACTTGGTTGCTTCGCTTTTACTTCTTGCTCTCCCTCCCCTGTCTCTCTTATTTCCTTCTTTTTAAATATATATATTTTCCTTTTTTTAAGTGTTCGATAATCTATTGGCGGGGGTGGGACTTTGAATAGCTATAAAACACAGAAAGAGCTATCTTGAAACAGTCAACTGATCCTTAAAAGTTGAATCCTGATGATTTAAGTTTAAATTAATCAGAAAAGTAGAGGTGAAGGGCCAGATTGGCATTCCCCTCTGCACCGCCTCGTTTCATCAGTGTTCAGAGTTCCAACTAATTGCAACGAGAACTCCATGTACAGAAGCAATGAGTAGGGTGCAAGATGCATATTAATTTTGTAGAGCATTTCCCCTAGTTACATTTGTGTTTTATGTTTTTTTAAATTAGAGGGGGAAGTGCTTGGTTAAATAGTTCAAGACATCCAAAGACCACCAAATGTAGCTGGGATTCCTAATTAATATGTGTTTTACAGAGAGGAACGCTTGTAAGTTTGAGAGCATTGGGGAGTTTGATGTTATTTTTGAAATAAATTTTTAATTAAATTTTCCTTAATTGAGCATACTGAAATTCCAGTAAAGGATGCCTATGAAGTACTCCTTGGGGTGTGGAGGAGATCCACAGAGGTGTGGAGAAATATGTGATTTGGGCTGAGTATCTCATTAATTCTTACAACACCCTGGGAAGAAGATAGGAAGAATAATGTGCAAGCCACAATTCACTGAAGTAAAATGACCTTGGAGGGAATGTGAAAACCTTTGATGTCTGGAGACTAAAAGAAGCTTAGCACAATTTCTTCCCACCAACCCTCTTTCTCTCCCCATGTTCCGCCTTGTAAATTAAGCAAAATTCTATGTATGGTGAGTTCCTATACACTCGCGTATATGGCAGAGATAGATTGTTCCATAACGTCAGATTTTATATATATATATATGTTTTTTCTTATCAGAATAAGGAATTTAACATATATTACTATGTACAAGGCATTGAGTGTGCTCTCTGAGAGGCAAAAAAAATGGCTAAATAGGCATCTCTTCTATGTGTCTCTCCATCAACAGGTCGCACCTATCATAATTCCAAAAGTATGCAAAACTCTGAAGAATTTTCAATTACTTTTCACTTAATGCAATTTCCATTAAGACACAAAATCATGAATCCATGAGTTTTTACATAAGATACAGGGCTACCTGATGTTATGGTAAATATAAGAGACACAGAGGAAATGATTTTGCCTTTAAGACACTCATGAACTAACTGATAAGAAAGAAAACAGACAAAAACAGGTGAAAAGAATAGTTACAGACTACAGGAAATTGGAGAAAAGATAGGTCTGTGATATGTGTTGGTCATGTAAAATAAACTTCATAGACAAGATAGGATCAATATACAGTGATCAGATTCTTAAGCCAATCTCAACCTTCATTCTACCACTATGAGCCCTAAACTTAATCTTCTTAACATCTATTCTTGAGTTGTCACCCAAGTGACAACCACAAAATCTGACATATTAATTCCAAATGTCAAATCAAAATGAAATCCCTGAGACCAGGTTTAGTTGAGGTTGCTAAAGCAAGTAGGAAGATTTCATTTTGCCAACTTGAAGCAATTTGAGTCAGGCTTAGGGTACTTTCAATATAAAACAGAAAGTTTAAAATATCATGACTCTCTTGCTTTTTCTTACCAGTGAAAATCATGAAAAGCAATTAATAGTACGATGTGGTCCAAATACACGTGATACGGTTATTTCCCTTTTTTTCTGAACTTCCAAGTTCCTAAGGAGAGTTTTAGTCATCCTTCATTATTTTGTCTGAGAACACTGCATACTAACCAAGACACAGATTGTCACTGAGCCATGAATATTTGTTGAAAGGCTAAATAAATGAACATTTTTTATTGCCTAGCTTTATAGTAATAATTATCTTTCATAATGTTAAAGTTTTGTGAACTATTTAAGATAGCAAACATATAAAAATAAAAATGAAAATATTTGTATTTGCAAAATAAATAATTTTAGTAAAATATTTACCAAAGCCTTTTTTTTAAAGCTTTAAAGTTTTTAATCTGCTGTTTTCAAAAGTAAAACTTGGTTTGCTGAGTGTAATATATAATTTTCTGCAATATATCCATTGCATATAGTAAGATGTCTGCACTGAACTAAAAGATATAACCATTTCATTTATTTATTATTTGCATTGTAATTCTGTACAGATTGAAGCAGCCTAGTGCTTAGTTTTAAATAAATCACATTCAATTGGATATTTAATTCAAAATGCTAATTGAATTTTATGTTGAAACTTGGCACTAAACCTTTACAAAGCACAATGCAATTTTTAATACTAATTTACATTCTATTTACACTTCTTAGCCCTCACTTTCTTCTATTTGATCTATAGGTTATGACATCCCTATTCAAGGAAACCTCTAAAACTCATTCCTGAGCTCATAGATAACCTTTAACATCATCTCATGCTGAGATTTAGAAGGCTATTCTTCCTTCTTGTATAATGTTTTATTAAAATGGTATCTTGCTCAAATGTCTAGATACCACGTCAAAAGCATTAACAAACACTTATAGATAGATGCATGTTTTCTGAGCTTGAAACGTATAAATGCCAATCAAAAATAATAGTAATCATCACAATGATAATGGTAATGCTACTTTTTATTTGTATAGCGCCATGCCAACCAAGCTACTTATGAGGTATTTGCCAAAACAAATAAAATTGGAGAATAAGTAAGCCCAGAAGAGATGTCCACAATTAAACATTATTTTTGAAAAATCGTGTAAAATAAAATTTTAAAGTCCCAAAAATATACTGAGTATATGGTTGCCTGAACTGATATTTCTGGCTTTCTTACCTCATGGAATTTTTATAGCAATAATAGTATGTGATTTTGCTATGTTTAAAATTTATAAGAGATATCAAAGAGATGTGCCATTCATTGCCTTTTTTATTAGAGCAGATAAGAATGGGCTATAGGTTATGACATTTCCTTTCAATGAAAATTCTAAAAATTGCTCTTTAGTGCACAGATAACCTACAGTATCATATCACACTTCTCTTTGGAGAAAATTATTCTCTCTTCTTTTTTCTGTACTTCTCTCATATAACACACTTGTCAAAGTGTCTAAGGAATGCATGTTATAGTATTATGCCAATTAGATGTATCTAGACATCTTTAAAAATAATACATTTTAAATGAAAATAAGGACAACTATCATAATCATCAAAACCATTCTGGTTTTGTTTTGTAATTGCTGATTTCTTTCAAGATGTTCAAGATAGACATAGAGCCAGAATCTTCTTCCCTGAAAGCTTTTACTTGGAACCAAGCTGGTCAATTTACAAAGCTTGATGAAGGAAGTGAAATTAAAGGAATGCTTTGACATGCAAGGGATGTCAAAATACTTGGGATATTTTGAATCCCAAGTAAGATATTGTTATAACATCATTGGAGATGAGAAAGAATAAAACCAAGAAAGAAGAATAAATTGTGTCATAAAATGAGTGATGAAGGATAAATATGGTAATATAAAAGAGCGTAAGAGTCCAGTGAATGAAGAAGCAAAACTTTAAAGCACAATTTTAAATCAGAGCAGACTGAGTGTGAGTGATACTTCTGGGCCCAGAAATAAGGGAAAACCTGGCTAAATAAATTTTTCATCTAGTTATTTCATAGTAAAAAGGACAGCATCAAATTTGACCAAACCAACAATAAAGTACCCAAATGATCCCATAATTCCCTCTGGTAAATGGAAAATAATTGAAGTTACAACTGAAACAAATATTCTACTTCCATTACTTTGAATTAATATAGGGGGAAATAAGTTACAAATGTAAATATTTTATTTGTACAGATTAGGATTTTAACACATAAAGGTACCGGAAGGGATGTTAAAAAAGAAAAGACAAAGAACTTGTCATTTTCAGCCAAAACTTTGAGGGAAACAATTTGAAAACTAATTTGAGAGTGTATATTTGGGGACAAGTGATAGTGTCACAATAATAGATCTTGTATGGAGAAAGAGCACTGTCTCTGTCAATGTACTTCAAGTAACATAACATCAAGTTTAGCAAGCAGTCTCTGCCTTTCTGTGACCAGGTGGCCATTTCTATACTATTTTCCCATTAATTTGGACTTTATAACTTTGTAGCTATTAAAATTAGGAAATCCTATTATCACCATTAAAAATTATAGATTTGATTATATCAAAACATTGAACTAGAGTAATCAATTTAGCCTTCTCACTGCCTTCCTACTTGAAAACTGAATAGCTATTAGAACAGGTATGGCAAACAACATTGACAAATACCGTTGTCAACCTTAAGCAACACAGTGTGAAATGCTTCTCTGGACAATGAGAGGAAGTACATATACAAAACAGACTAAAATAGCATGCAGTATTTTTAAATTTATATATATATTTTTACATTTTCTCTTACATTCTAATTATATGTGTTAATCCAGAGTATTTATTTCCTATATCTCAGGCTATCTCTACTGAACCTCTATTATATATTTAGGCTATGGAAAATTGCATAATTGACAAAATAGGTCTCCGAAGTAATTTTCTAGTTACTCAGTTAATTGGCATTGAATTTTTATAAATCATTGCCATTCTTCTTTTCCATAAACAGCTTGCATTGAGATTATATTTCATAGTGCAGTATCCCCATGAAGTAGATGTGTTATTAATACAATAATACCTTTTATGTGTTATTATTAACCAGAATGCCCCTATGGGGTTGCTATTATGCATGTTTCATGAAATCATACAACATGTAGAATTTTTTGGCTGGCTTCTTTTAGTTAGCATAGTATTTCCAAGGTTTATTCATGTTCTAGTAATTATTATCAGTACTTCTTTCTTGCTGAAGGTTATAGCAATATATTATTGCTAGATAATATTCCATATTATTGTACGGCCCTACTGCATATATTTATTCACCAGTTGAAGAACATTTAGATTGTTTCATACTTTGGCTATTATGAATAATACTGCTATGAAAATTTGTGCGTGCCCAAATTTTTGTGTGAACATTTGTTTTCAATTCTTTTAGAAATATACCTAGGATTAGAATTGGTGGCTTATATGGTAATTCTATGTTTAAAATGTTGAGGCAGTGCCACACTGCTTTAAAAAATGACTGTGCCATTTTACATCTCCACCAACATTGTATGAGACTTCCAATTTATTCACATTCACATCAACACAATATTTTTATCTTTATAACATTTGTCATCCTAGTAGTTGTGAAGTGGTATCTCATTGGTGATTTTAATTTTCATTTTCCTACTGACTAATGATGATGAACATCTTTCCGTGTATTTGTTGACCATTTGTTTTCCTTTAGAGAATTGGCTTCTTAAAATTTTTGCCCATTCTCTCATTGGGTTGTCTTTTTGTTGTTGCCTTGTAGAAGTTCTTTATATAATATACTGCATTCAAGTTTCTCATCAGAAACTTGAGTTTGTAAAGATTACAAATTGAAACTTATATTTGTAAAGATTTTCTTCTATTCTGTAGGTTTGTTCTTGAACTTCATGGTGTCTTTTGACAGACAAATGTTTTTAACTTTGATTAAATCCAACGTATTAATTTTTGTTTGGCAGTTTACGCTATTTTTTATTGTAACTAAGAAAACAAACTCCAGTCCACAAATATTTACTTTTATGTATTCTTTCAGGAATTTAATGGGTTTAGTGCTTACATTTATTGTAACATTATGTCAACTAAACATGTTAATTTTTATAGTGTGAATTATGGGTTTAATTTCATTATTTTACATGTGGATATCCAGTTGTTCTAGAGCCATTTGTAGAAAGACTGTTTTTCTCCAGTTGAATTGTACAGATACCTTGTCAAAATATTAGTTGGCCACAAATATGAGGATTTATTTCTGAATCTTTAATTCTAGTTTGTTGATTTGCACGTCAATCCTTATGCAAATATCACACAGTCTTGACTAATTAAATTTGTAGTAGGTTTTGAAATCAGAAAGTATGAGTCTTCCAACATTGCTCTTATTCTCGAGTGTTTTAGCTTTTCTGAGTTACTCCAATTCCACATTAATTTTAGAAACAGCATGTGGATTTCTGCAAAAAATATAGCTGGAATTTTAATAGTGAATTAAAATCCCTAAAAATTTAGTTGTGTTCAATCTGTGTATCAATTTGAAGAGTACTGCCATCTTAACAATGTGATGTCATTAAATCCATTAAAATGGGACATATTTGCATTTATTTACATATTCTTTAATTTCATTCAACATTGTTTTATAGTTTTAGGTGTGGAAATCTTACACTTATTTTGTTAGGTGTATCTTATTTTATTTCTTTGTTACTGTAAATAGGATTGTTTCTTAAATTTATTTTTGGATTATTCATTATAATATATAGAAATACAGTGAATTGTTTATGATCATGTGTTTTCCTCATGGCCGAACACATGTATTAGTTCTAAAAATATTTGAGTAGATCATTTGGATTTTCTACATAAAAGGTTATGTTATTCACAAATAGAAATACTTTTATTTCTTTTTTTCCAATCTGGATAACTTTTTTGTTGTTGTTGTCTAATTGTGGCTAGAACCTCAAGTACTCTGTTATAGAAGTGGCTACAGCAGGCATTCTTGTTCTTGATCTTAGGAGGAAAATATCCATTCTTTCTCCATTAAATAATTTAGCTGTGGGGTTTTGTAGATATACTTTATCAGGTAGAGGATATTTTTTTCTTTCCAGTTTGCCAAGGGTTTTAAAAATAAAAAAGTATTAGATTTTTGTCAAACATTTTTGTCTGCTTACATTAAAATGATTATGTGGTTTTCATGTTTTATTCTATTAATATGGCATACTACCATGTACCACCATGGAACAATTTTTGCATTTCTGGAGTATTCTCACTTAGTCACATTTTATAATCCTTTTTACATATTATTGGATTTTATTTGTTAGTATTTTGTTGAGGATTTTTCTATCTATACTCATAAGATAGTGGTCTATAATTTTCCTTTATTGTAATGTCTTTGTCTTGTTTTGGTATCAGATAGAATTTAGTGGATAGACAATGAATTATTAGATTTTGTTTAATGTTTTACCTGAAGGTAAATGTCATGGACCCTGCTGTTTTACTGAAGTTCAGTACTTTCTATTAAAGAAACAAGTTTCAATTTCTTCTATGGATTTGATTAACTACTAGAGTTTGGATATAGTTGATTTCTAGTTGTCTTGTTCTTTAAGATCAGATTCACATTGCTTCATCCCTGTAACATTTTTTCCTCTCTTCCTGAATTAATATCCTCTCTATTCACTTTTTCAAGTCTTTAAAAAAACCTATAACATTATACAGAATTTATGAATGTCTATTTCCTCCTTCATACCCTTAGATCCCTATTTTACAGTAAGATATGTAATCTTTCAGGGAACCAGCAAGTTGTTTAGAATTATGGTTTTGCCCAAATTTGGGACATTTTCAGCTATTATTTACTTGAATACTTTTCACCTTTTTCTCCCCTTCTCTCCTTCTCTTCTCTAGGACTCTGATGACACAAATGCTAAATCTTTTCTTATACTACAACATGTCCCTGAGGCTCTGTTCATTTTTCTCTCAGTTTATTATTTCTTTGTTGTTCAGATTAGGTAATTCCTATTGTGCCACTCAAGTTTGACTGATGCTTTCCTATGTACTCTTGTCCTCTCCATCCTGCTGTTGAACCCATCCATTAAGGTTTACACACACACACACACAAGCACACACGTATGTGTACACATGTGTTTGTATATATAATATAAACATTATATATATATATTTAGCTACTGTAGCTTTCAGTTCTAAAATGGCCATTTGATTCATCCCTATATCCCTATTTATTAAGGCCTTCTGTTTTTTTCTTTCATTTGTTTCAATCAGGTTCTTAATACCAACTGATGCATTTTTTATGAGTGTTTTAATTTTTGTCATGTAAATTCTATTATCTGTATCAGCTCAGTGTTAGTTTCTGTTGTGTTTTTAAATTCAGTTTGAGATCTTCCTGGTTCATACTATAATGGGTGATATTAAATTGAAGCTTGGTGTCTTAGTCCCTTTGGGCTGCCTTAACAAAAAATATCTTAGACTGGGTAACTTAAAAACGACAAAAATTTATTTCTTATAGTTCTGGAAGCTGGGAAGTTCATGTTCAAGTCATCAGCAGATTGGTGTCTGGTGAAGGCCCTCTTCATAGGTGGTATCTTCTAGCAGTATCTTCACAGAGTGGAAGGGGCTAGCTGGCTCTCTGGAGTCTATTTTATAAGAGAACTAACATCGTGATCAAATCACCTCCTAAAAGCCCCATCTTCTAACACTATCATACTGGGAATTAAGTTCTAGCATATAAATTTTGGGGGATATAAACATTAGATCATAGCACCTGGACATTTTTGGAATTATGTTTTCATACTCTGGATCTCATTTGAGTCTTGAAATTTAGTTGACTTCCTCTGGCCCTGCTCTGGAGGCAGGAATGCTCCCTTGTTACTGCCAGGTTGGCTGGAAGTCCAGGTTCTCCATTTGGTCTCTTTTGACTCCCAGGAACTAGGGCTATTTTTTACTTCTTGGCTGAAATGGGAATTTAGGGTACTTGTTAGCCATTTGCTGATAGTACCCTAAATGGCAGGGAGAGGGGCACCTTGTCATTAGTCTCCACAGGACTTCACTGACACTGAGGGTGCAAGGCTGTCTACATTCAGTTTCTCTGACACCATATTTTTGGGTGAGTTGGTCACCTTGGTATAGCCTGAAAAGAGTGGAAGTCTAGCCTCATCACTTGCTTTTGCTGAGTTGGGGCTGAAAATTTGTCTCTGGTAGTTTACTGGATAGAGGGTTAGTAAGTAAAAAGTTTTCAGGTCTTGCTAGGCTACCTCCTTCCTTATCTGTTGTTCACAAAGAGCTGACTTTTCTTGACCTACACTTGTCATTTCCAGGTTGCCAGCTTCTATAGTACCTAGTCTAGGATATATGAGGCAAAAATAAAACTCAGGGAACTGACCACCTTTGTTCCTCTGGTCCTGAGTTCTTAGCTGGTCTGACTTATACTCTTTACTGTTCAGGGCAATCTTACAGTTGTTTTGTATATAATGTAGGATTTTTTTGTTGTTGCACTTAGTGAAAAAAATAGATAAAAAGTATGTCTACTTCATCTTCCCGAAAGAGGACATTGCTTAAGATCTGTTAATCCGTATTTCCTGACGTTTTACGTAGTGGCTACTAAGTAATAAATATTTGATAAATCATTGTTAAATAAATGACTTAGTAGCAGAACTTTATGTCTACCTTTTTGGGATGCCTGGAATCAGTTTCACTTACTTTTGTTTTAGGATGATGTTGTAGATAATCATATCTTCCAGAAAACAGCACTCTAGATTAAGGGAGGTGTTACTGAATTTTAGAAATTTTTATAATTTCTTTCATAATATTCTATTTAAATAAAATATTTTATTTGAAAAAGAGCAAAACCCTTGTTTTACTATTGTTGCTGCCATTATCTGCATTTGAAAATCCCCTAAACACTTTACTCTTTAAACATGTTTTTCTTTGTTGTACTGATTTACAGCTTCTAAATAATTTAAAGAATGTAATTTGTAATTAAGAACATTCTTATTCACATATGCAAATTCAAATGACTACTTGTTATGATCTTGCTATTTTTAATAACATTAGTACTGCTGGGCTGAAATTTCTTAAAGATCAGACTAATTTTAATAACTCAGTGTTCTTTTTATAATTGCCAAAATCATTAATTTTATTGTTCATTCCATGAATATTATTGGTTATTCTCTTTAATATTATGGTGCCTACAGAATACAACATAAATATCTTGGCACTTGTGATGCAATGAGAAATTGTCATTTAGAGGTTCTGTAGTCCCGGGAACCAGAAATAGTTTATTTGAAAGAATTCTTCAGTGGGAATGCTTTGACAGGCAGGCCTTGATTGAGGCATTATTCCATCCCTTAGCTCCTTTACTAGTTTTATACTAATTTGAACCTTTCAAGTACTATTCTTAGTGTCTCCATTGAATAAATCAATTAAACTAAGTTTAGTTCAAGTAACCTTGCTTTCAATGAAAAATATTTACCAGAAAATCATGTGGTTACAGTTATTATACTGAGTTTAAGGCTATATTAGCCTTATATATGACTGGTAAGTCAGCACAGTCCACTCCACATAAAATAGTGTAGGTTGAGACAGCATTTTTGAGGAAGGAACAGGATATCTTATTTAGAACACCACCACCACCACCACCAACAACAACAAAAAAACATTTCAGATAGCTGCAGATGGAAAGCTGTTTCCTAAAAGTGATAATAATATGAC